>NC_000012.12:117460128-120451830 GCF_000001405.40 Homo sapiens
CATGGAATGAAAGGTCTATGGGACATGCTTGGGAAACAAGGTCTTATTTAGATCAGGCACATTCTAGACAGAGTCCATCTCCTCCAGCTCAGTCCTCAGTGGAAGGAGGACAGCCATTCTCAACCCCATGAGATGAATCCTTCATATTCTTGGTGTTAGGAAATGGGAGCTGCATGATCCCAATGAGTGGGAAGGAAGGGCCCTTTCCCACCCCTGAGAGGGAAGAGCACTCACTGATGTACGCCTCTCAGGAACACGGGACCACAGTGCAACATCCAGCAGGAGAGACGGAGGGGATAGGAAGCCTGGAGCAGGGATACTGGAGGGACCCAGGAGGGACTCTGCCAACCCAGATGTACATTTCCTGGAAATCCGGGCTGCTGCTGGCAGCCTGTCAGTTTGAGAACATAAGTTCAAGCTTCCGTGCAAACTCCCAGTATGGTCCCTGCCAGCCCCTGCACCCTCCCTTCCACAACTTCCTGCTTTTCCTCTCTCTCTTTCCTGGTTCCAAGTTGCCAATAAGTCTCAGAGGCTGGGATTGTAACATCCCCATGAGCAGCTGGACATGAACCCCTTGACCTGGAGGTGGGTTCCTGGGAATGGATGAGCCCAAAGACTCGTTTTTAAAATGCTGGGTCTGCAATTTGGAGGCTGGTTTCTGTCCCTGTACCACAGTTGCCCCATTGGAACGAGAATAAGACTACTGATCTCCCCAAACCATCATAGGAATTCCAGCCTGGCACGTAGTAAGTGCTCTGTGAATGAGGGCTGTTCAGGGTGGATTGTTACTCTGCCTCCTAGACATCCTGGGCCACCTGACTCAATGGGTCGCTTCATACGTCACAGATATTAAACCTGGCAAACTGGCTCAGCACAATGGCTTAGCCCTGTAATCCCAGTGCTTTGGGAGGCTGAAGCAGGGGGATTGCTTGAGACCAGGAGTTCAAGACCAGCGCGGGCAACATAGCAAGACCCTGTCTGTACAACAAATAAAAAATTAGCCAGGCATGATGGTGTGCACCTGTAGTACCAGCAACTTGAGAGGCTAAGGTGGGAGGATTGCTTGTGGCCAGGAGTTCGAGGCTGCAGTGAGCTATGATCACGCTGTACTCCAGCCTGGGTGACAGAGCAAGACTCTAACTCTAAACCACAACAACAAACCTAACAAACAAACTCATTGGGGTTGATATGGCACCCACAACATGGTCTGGCAAAGGGGAATCCCAATACCATCCAGCCCTGCCAATGGTGCCCTTCTAACTCCCTGTGCCAGGGTCTTACTCTTACCCAGCAAACCTCTCTGTCTGCATTCTGTAAACATTTCTTGAGCACTTACTATGTGCCAGGCACTACTAAGACAAGTCCAGGAGGTCACTGGGACCGCAGATTTTCCATCAACCTCCTGCCCCACTACTGGTTTCAAAACTAAACTGGTAACAGAATGGGTATGGATTGCAGGGCCTCGAGAAGGGAGTCTGGGATTTGGGTTAATATCATAGTCAGGCACTGACCAGAGAGGACAGAGGTTCACTGCGGCTCCACATTCCAGGACCCAGACTGACATTTGCTGCCTGTCACTCCCCTTGGAGTTCAAAGTGATTCCCTTGCAGGTGTGTGCAGGTGAGGGTGAGGTGGTACGGGAGGAGGTGAGGCTGGGAGCCAGGGAGAGTGGCCACATGAGTCTGCCTAGGAACTTCCCCACATCACAGGCAAAGCCAAAAAAGGAAACAGCAAAATGTAGCTCATCAAAATCCACTCCTTTGTCAATGAACAAGAGTATAGATAAAATCAGATGCTGTGTCACCAACTGCTTTGGATAGGGTCATGAGGCACATTCAGGGGTCAAGTGACAGTCCGCTACAGACAAGCCACTTACACACAGGCTGTTCCCATACAGCCACAGAACTGAGATCCAGAGCTGTTGGAATTCAGTGATGGGACGTGTTGATTGGGGCAAGCTTGGTAAGCATGACAGCAACAGCCTGACCTTGTAGACCAGGAATTCTGGGGAATCTATCTTCAAGGGCACCTGGGTTCTACAGTGGAGGACCAGTCAAGGCACAAGAGAAAATGTCTTAGAGGGTGTTATAAGTTGTGGTGTCCCCAACAAAAAAAAAAAAAAAAAAAAAAAGACATGTTGAAGTCCTCATTCCTAGTACCTCAGAATGAGACTTCATTTGGAGAGAGGGTCTTTGCAGATATAATTAGTTAAGATGAGGTCATACTGAAATAGGGTGGGCCCTTAATCCAATGTGACTCGTGTCCTTATAAGAAGATGGCCATATGAAGATAGGGACACACAGAGAGATGATGAGGGCAGGGATTGGACTGACACAGCTGCAAGCCAAGGAATGCCAATGATGACCAGGAAAGCACCAGGAATTCAGAAGCCGCCAGGAAGGATTCCCTTACAGATTTCAGGGGGAACATGGCCCTGCTAACACTTTGATTTTGGACTTCTGGCATCCAGATGGGTGAGAGATGATACATCTGTTGTTGTAGGCCCCAGTGGGTGGTGGTTTGCTGCAGCAGTCCTAGGAGCCTCACGGAGGTGAGGGGGGCTTGGGGATATGGTGGCACAGTGGAACAAGACCAGCCTGCAGGGGATGGATGGGTGAAGTGAAGGTAGGCACAGGATGAGGATAGGGAGGGCATATTTCGGGACTCAAGATTGAGAACCAGTGTGGGGAAAGAAAGCCGGGGATGGGAATAAAATCACAGAGCGTTGGAACCCTAATCTAATAAGATTGTTGTCTTTATCAGAAGAGGAGGAGATACTGGGGATGTGCAGTCACAGAGGAAAGGCCACGTGAGGTCACGATCAGAGGGCAGCTGTCTGCAAGCCAAAGAAAGAGGCCTCACCAGAAACCAACCCTGCTGACACCTTGATCTTGGGACTTCCAGCCTCAAGAATTGTGAGGAATAAATTCGTGTTGTTTAAGCCACTCAGTGTGTGACATTTTGTTATTATGGCCCCCCTTAGCAAACGAAGAGTTTTAAAGTCCAGGGAGTTGGTCCAGCCTTCAGGGCCTGAATTGCCTCCATATCACACAGGCCAAGCAGTCAACATCTGCTCCACCCTATCCAAGGACAGGGAGTTCTCTACTTCCGGAGGCAGCCCGCTGCATCTTGGGGCAAGCTGGCCTTCTTCCGCTGAAACAAGTTCTCTCCCCCTCCAACTTCCTGTTCCTCCCCTGAGAGCCATATCCAACCCTCTCTATCAAAGGCTCCTGTTCCTCCCCTGACAGCCATATCCAATCCTCTCTATCAAAGGCTAGCAAAGTTAGGAAAGGGCCAGATTGTAAAAGTTTTTGACTGTGTGGGCCACATCGTCTCTGTTGCAAATAGCTGGCTCTGTCACAGTTGCATAGGAGCAGCCGTGGTTGTGTAAATGGAGAGGTGACTGTGCTCCAATAACATTTTGTTTATTGACATGAAATTTGAATGTTATAGAATTTTCATGTCATGAAATATTATTCTTTTGATTTTTCCTCAATTAAAACATGTAAAAACCATTTGGCAGGCTGGGTATGGCCTATGGGGCATAGCCTGACAGCCCTGGGTTTAGATTTCTCAAGATAATGATTGGCCTGAGCTCCGTGTCTACTACTTCCTCCGTGTACCTTTGATGATCAGCTGTAGGTGGGGATGGGAATGGTGGAAGGTGAGATAAGGCTGGTTTCGTGTGTTTGTGGGGAGGGGCATGATGTGTGTATATGGCATGGGAGGTGAGAAAAAGGGAAGAACTAGGTTCCCTGGATACAAAAGTCTAGTGGTCAATATCAGTCAAGGGCTTCTATTGACTGACAATCCAAGGTAGCTGTGGAGACAAGTGGATGGGGTGAGGATGGGGGGGTCCATGGCAAGATGAAAATTTTCTCTTTGATCAGTAAAAGGAATACCAGGACAAAATGGATCTAAGCAATGACTTTGGGTTTCCAGCTTGGCTCTGGGGATGGGGACACAAGGGGCACGTCCTCCCACAGGGGGCCAAGAAGGAAGCTCCTTGGTTTTATGAATAATCTGTATCCTGGAAGAGTTGGGTGAAATTTATGTGCAAATCCACATGCCCTTTAAAGAAAGCTGAGATGTTTCTCTCTGCAAAGCCAAGGCTTCCTGGTGAATCTTCACCCTGTGGACTGGTCCCCTCGGGAAGCCCATGTATATGACGGTTTGCTAAAAGCAAGACTGACTGGAACAACTCGCTGCTGAGTCAGTGACTTATGTGTACAGGGCACCTGTGTGCAGCTGTGATGGGACAAGGGCAAACACACAAATCTTGGTCGTGTCATTGTATAGAATGAGTTGCAGGTGAGGCTGGTAATTATGATGTAAAAATATACAGCCTCTTTCCTCTTTTTTTTTCCTCCCTGCGTAAGATGAATATAACCTCCTCCCAAAACCTCATCAGCGAATAAAGATGGAAGCCAGCAGGGAAAGCAGCGGTTTGGTTCTTCCTGGATTTAAATGTGTGCAAATTAAAGCTGGTTTCTCAACAAGTCAGGGCGGTGTAGAGGGGACAGGGTAGGGGCGTCAGGAAGGCACTGAAGGCCAGGATCCTGGCCTGGCTGCAGCAGAGACCAATGCAGGTGGGGACAGAGTAGTGAAGTGGGGAAAGATCGAGAAGTCAAGAGCAAGTGACTCAGATTCAGGGATGGACCCAAGGCACCCTGTTCCACAAAGGGCTGGGTTTTCCCCTGGATCACTCAGGCCCTGTCCTTAATCCCAAACTGGTGCTCATGAATGAATGGAAAAATCAGCTGTTGGAGATCATGCTAGGCCTTGCCAAAGGCTGTGGTTGGACATTTTAGTTAATTCTGGAAACAAGAGAGGCAAGAGTGAGAAGGTGCCAGTTCTTGTGGACATTTCAGCTGCAGGGTAGTAGACCCTGGCTGCCTCTTCCCTTCCTCATATCCTGTCTCTTGGCACAAGGGAACATGACAAGGACTGGAGCCTGTGGACCCAAGAAGTCCTGGTGTGATGGAAGAGAAGTGAGTGGTTGGGTTTCAGGCACTCAGTAGGCTGCTGGGCAGAGCCAAGACAGGTGCAAGTCCAGGCCCAGGGCTGGGACACAGAGTGTTGTGTTGGGATGGGGAGGTGTCCATTGACAAGAGCCATCCCCAGCAACCCCAGAGTGGCTGGGGCTCAGGCAAACATATATAAAATGCCTCCAAGACACACACACGTCGTCAAGCCAAGAGCCATAGATGTCCCCAGAAGAGCAGTGTCTGCTTAGGAGCAGCCCAAGCCGGGGTCTTTAGTCCTCTAGTCCCAGTAAGCTGGGAGTGTTGGAAAGGCAATTCAGGAGGGCCCTTTGGGAAACACAGGGGTTTCCTGTAGCCAGGCTCCTGGGAAGCATGACTGATCTCACCATTCTTCCCGGTTTGGAAGCAGGTTTGGCCCCCAGAGCATGAACCAGTCTGGGAGTCACCCAAGGTGGGGAAGAGATCCTCATAGGTCTATTTGGATTTTGAAAGTAAGATCAGGTAGGGTTTTTGAAGTTCCAGTTCCTCTCTCTGGCCCTCTAGGAGGGAGATGCCTGGATAGATAGTAGCTACAAGAAAACTAAGGCCCAGGTAGTACCCAGGAAACACAGAGGGGCTGTGGCCGCCCTGGGCTTCCTGTTCACTGCCCAGATAATCCTGCTATTGCTCTGCTTGGGGACAGATTTCCCTTTTGTATCAGGTCACATGCAGGGGGTCAGGGCTTTGAAAACATGGGCAAATGACCCAGAGGTTCTCCTCTCCCATCTGCATGCCCAGCCTGCTCTCGGCATCCTTCCTACAGATACAGAACACCAGGGGCTTCCCCAACATGGTCAGGAAGAGTCGCCGGCCCAGGTTGGGATCAAGAGGAGGGAGGGAAGGTGGGGCACTGAGGGAACACACACAGGTGAGGGACACAGGCTTCCGATGGGGAAGCTACTTGAGGACCCCGCACCAGGCTAGAGCAAAGAACGCAGAAGTGTAACAAACATCCTCCCTTTGTGCTCCCCCAACAGGACTCCTCAAGGGTGACAGGCAGGGAAATCTTTTGCAAACGTGTTATCATAGGTACAGCCACATAACCCAACATGGACGTACCCCAAGAACCCGCATCCACCTTGGTGGGGGAATAAGCTTCACTGGTGTGAGTAGCAGAGAAGAGGGAAGAAAAGGAATGTCCTAGAACTCCCTGCCCAGAGCCCTGATTCTCAGGGACCAGACTTCAGGGGGTGCCCTGAATGACGGTGAGCTCTAAGGAGCCCCTCAGAAGTCATCTTGGCTTTCCAAATGGCAAGGAGGTGCGGGCAGTGAGGTGAAAAGGGATGCTACTCTCAGAGAACAGGAGAAAACAGCAGAAATGGGGGAATAGGTCCCCCAGAGAGACCCAGAACTCAAAAGACGTTCTAACTTTCCTACTGTACTTCAGAGCTCTATGCAAAGGTGCCACACGCCATGACAGGCTCGGGTTGGGGTGTCTGAAAACAGATATTTCCAAAGGAACGAGCTTAGCCACTCCCGACCTTCCCTGCTCGATCTTGGCTCAGTAGCCTTGACTAAGCTGCCACTCGGCTCTGTACCCTCCTCTTAGCTTCCCAGATGGTACAGCTGGAACCTACCACATACAGACAGAACTGAGGAGTGCCCCGTCATTGGGACAGTCTGGCTCTTGCTTGTCAAGGGGAAACAAGAGTGAACAACGTCAAACACACAGACACACACACACATAGCCCCGTCTGTGAGCCCCCCCACGTGGGGTCTCCTGTCCTAGTCCCATAGCCCAAAGGCACCACGTGCAGCCTGCAGTGCTCTCATTAGTGCTGTCCCCTGGGCCGCACTGATCAATAACGCATCACCCTGGCTGGTCCGGTTCAGTCCTAGCTCGGGGGTCCCCAACCCTGCCCGAGGAAAAGGGCTCAAGTCTGAGGTGCAGGGAGGCCGCCGAGCAGTTGTCCAGTGCTCCCAGGTCGGTCGGGGTTGGTACCCTCTGATGCTGAGTCTCTGGCCTCCTGAGCTGGCAGAGGACAGAGTAGGGAGGGAGAGGTGACGGGAGCCCAGGCAGCTGGGCGCCGTCCCGATGTCCAAAGGTCACAGCCTGGAGTGGGGAGAGAAGGGAGAGAGTGGTGAGAGGTCACAAGGACATGATGATGTCATCCGTTGTGAATGACACCCTCTCAGTGGGCCAGGTGGCTTGAGATGAACTGTTCCTGTCTTCTGCAAGAAGACATGGAAGAGATTTCTGTTAACTGAGTTCTTACTATATGCTGGGCTCTGCCACACACCTGATCCCATTTAAGCCTGAGATGAGCCTGCAATATAGGCTACTAATATTTTCAAAGATGAAAATAATCAGAGACGAACTTCTACGACAGAATCATACAATTTCACAGATGAAAACACTGAGGCTTCGGGAGGTTAAGTGTTTTGCCAAAGGGCACACTGCCAGGAAGCAGCAGGGTCAGGATTTGAACCCAGAACTTTTCCCACTTGGGCATGGACTAGGAATGGTCATCTAGTGTATGGGGCTGGGATAAAGCTCTGTAACAGCTAGAGAGGCAGGAAGAGGGGGTGGGACTGGGATCCACACTGCAGCCTCCTGCTATGAGCAGACTTTGATGTCCACTGCAGCAAAAGGAACTCATTTATTTTGTTGACTGCTGTATTCTCACTCTTAGAACAGTGTCTAGCACATAAAAGATGTTCAGTACACATAGGCTGAATAAAAAAAAAAAATGAATGAATGGAAGAGGGAATGAATGGAAAATTCCACTGAACCCAGCATCCTATTCTGCTAGACCACAGTCCTGTGTTTTTTTTTTTTTTTTCCAGCCCAACTCCACAATAAAATATAGAAAGAGAAGCCTCCTGCCTTTCCCTCCAACCAGTAAGCTTTAAGTCCCTCTCTTCAGTTGAACTGCTAGGTCCTGCCTGGAGCTCCAACACTAATTCTCTAACTTGCCAGCACTCCTTTAGCTGGGCAGAGTTTTTGCTTGTTAAAGCTTCCTTCTGTCTGTTTTCATATCCAATCCATTGTAAATCCTGCCAGGCTGCCACAATAGGGCTCGGTCTCCCTCTTGGCAGATGACAGCAGCTGAGCTACAGTGAGTACCTGCTATGTTGAGAGGCACCTGCTAACCAGGTGCTCTACACGTGGCCACATGGGACTTGCACAGCATTTCTGCTAGAGCAGTTTCACTGCCCTCACCTTTCAGAGCATGAAACTGTAGCTCAGAGAGGCCAAGTGATGTGCCCCAGGCCACACAGCTATTACGTAGTGGAGTGGCAATTTCAATCTATGTCTGTCTGTAAAGTTTATGCTCCTTCCAATGGTCTGGGGAAGGATAAGCCCCTGGGGAAAGAAGAGATTCCATCCTTCAGGTTCAGCAAGCTCAAATGGCAGGGGAAGGGAGTAAAAAAAGAGCCTCCTAATGTCCACAGCCCCCGGGGACATCTGCTCTTCAGGACGCCGCCTTGGGGAACTTCATGGGAAGACTGACAATGGCTATGGTACACCACGCACACAGGTGGGAGTATCTGTATCTGTGGGTACTGCTTGTCTTTAGAGGGTAAGCCATGGCAGTGCAAGTGTGTATATACACATGTCTTCATGTACCATGTAATGTGATTGTGTACCTGTGTGTGTATGTGTCTGAGTCTGGCTATGTATGCAGGCTTCTGTGTAGGGATGTGCGTTCATGGAATGTTTTTGTATATGGATGTGTGTGAGTATAGATCTGAGTGCAGCTGTGTGTGAATGAATTTGTATAGAGGTATGTTTTTAAGTACTGCTCCTGTGTCTGCATGAGTGTGAGTACCTGAGAGTGTCTGTGTGAGTGTGCCAACCATGAATACCTGGGAGCAACTGGCAGAGCCATGGGGAGCCCTCAGCAGCCTCATCTGGGCCTGTCTCCCTTTTACCTTCTAGAGAGCTCAGTCATGGAAGCTGGGGCTGTCGAGAGAGGTCCCAGAAAGAGATGCCACACTCATTATCTCAGATAGAGCTACTGATCTCCAGCCAGAAACAAGGGGGAGGAGCATGGTCTGGAGCCTCTTATGAGGAAATCAGCAGAGATACTTCTGGTGAGCTCAGAGCCTTTCCTGCTCTGGCATTCATGCAATAGAGAATGCTGGAAGCTGAGATCTGCCATGACAGGGGCAGGCTGCTGGCTCAGAAGGAAGAGTTCCAGAAAGCTGGGCCTCGTGGAGGGGTACTCTGAATACCTGACATATGGGGGGCTTGGCAGGTTCAGACATCACCTCACTGCATGATGCTCAGACTCATCGGGGCATCAATCTTCATCAGGAAGAGATAAGCAATGAGAAACCCAGGGTAGCTGCAGGACCCAAGACCCACAGGACAGACTCCAGCACCCAAACCCCAAAACAGACTCCATTGAACAGAAACCTAGTAGGGAAGAGTGGTTGCCGAAGGGTGGGCACATGGATAGGAGCTTGTTGGGGGAGGAGTAAAAAAGATGCAGAGGGGATCAAAAAGGTGACAAAGGGCAGAGGACAAGGCAGTGGGGAGAGACATTAAGGGAGAAAACCTACTCTGCAGACTTCCAGAAATGTCCAGGGTGAGACAGGCGACGGTTTCGCTTTGGCAGTTTCTCCAGCATGTCCATGAGCTTGGTGAAGGTAGGTCTCTCTTCTTGTTCAAAGGCCCAGCAGAAGAGAAGAATGTCCTAAATGAAACCAATGTGTGGTGATTACACATAAATGGTGATTTCTTGATTACTCTTTGGCATCACATTTGGTCTGCCAATTTGTCCACTCATCTGCCCCATTTCCATATTCCTCCATCATCCATTCATCCATCCATCCATCCATCCACCCATCCGGTACGTGTCTACACATCTACCCATCCAATCAATTCACTCTTCCATCCTTCATCCATCCATCCATCCATCCAGTATGTATCTACACATCTACCCATCCAGTCAATTCACTCTTCCATCCTTCATCCATCCATCCACCCATATATGATCCATCCATCCATTCATCCACTCATCCACCCATCATGCATGCATCTATATATCCACCCATCTATGTCAATTCACTCATTCATTCTTCATCTTTCATTATCCATCCATCCATCCATCCATCCATCCATCCATCCGGCATGTATCTACACATCTACCCATCCATATCAATTCACTCTTCCATCCTTCATCCATCCATCCACCCATATATCATCCACTCATCCACCCATCATGCATGCATCTATACATCCACCCATCTATGTCAATTATCTCATTAATTCTTCATCCTTCATTATCCATCCATCCATCCATCCATCCGTTTACCATCCATCCATCCTTCTTCCCATGTACTTTCTGAGCCCAAATAACAACCAGGTAAGCTCTATTCTAGAAGGTCT
Source organism: Homo sapiens (assembly GCF_000001405.40). NCBI lineage: Eukaryota > Metazoa > Chordata > Mammalia > Primates > Hominidae > Homo > Homo sapiens. The sequence continues at coordinate 117,470,491 of NC_000012.12, forward strand.
AGAATACACTGAGGTCAACAATACTTCCCAAACAGTTTCTTGACATTTCTCTCAAGAGAAGGGATAAAAGGGAATCCTGGGGTCTCCATCCATATCTCAATACTATAAGAGCCCTTCAAAGTCAGAGGAGAAAAGTTACTTTTAGTAATCTCTTCATCACCTAGGTGCAGGTAATCTTTAGAAACATACCACATCATTACTCCTTCTCTGACTTATGTGTCTTCTGATCAAAAGAGAGGATTCTTCCTGCTGTGTTTCAGAGGAAGATTGTTAATATTAATGTATACCCAGGCTTCTCTGTTTCTGTATGTCTTGTTCTGAGTTAGATAATGCCTTAAAATTATTATGTAGATGCAAATAAAATTGGAACCATTAATATTTGTGATGTTTTAATTCATATCTTTTAAAAATACCAGAAAAAGAGAGATATATTGGTTCTACCTAACTCAGCAACCCACAGTTAGGAAAAACCTGACCACGTGTTACTGTGCCCCTGGTGGCAGGTACCTGAAATTGCAGGCACAGTGCAGCAGCCTTGCCTTTTAAGCTTCAAACTGCCATCTGACAAGGTTGGAATGCATATTTTTTTGGTCACCCTATGGGAAAGCATTTGTAACCTTAACACATAGTAAAAAGAAGGCCCATGACTGTGTCTGTGTCTCCCCTCATCCCCCAAGTCTGGACCTATCTTGGGACTTACCGAGATTTCTTTTCCCATGCCAATCTGGCTGAGGTTGGGTTTCATGCCTGTGCCCATTTGCCAGATTATTGCCTCTGCTGGTTGGGTCTTGAAAGGCCATTCCCTGGCGTGGAGTTCATACCAGATTGTGCTGTTGGCAGACGTTGTTAAAGGGGTGTTGGTGTGGTGTGTCACTTGCAACCTTGTACCTCCATTATTAGCACACACCCACCCAGCCAGTCTCCTGGCACCCATTCTTCTCCCCACTTTCTTCCTCATGGGGTTGGTATTTTGCCATGTGCGACATACCTAAAGCTTTCTTAATGTCTTAGAAGTCATGTTTATCCCAGGATATCTTCTAATGAATAGTTAAATATAATGTGGTTAGGATCTCTGTCCCTGATTCTACTTGCAATGATTCTAGGAAATCATTGCAAATAAATGAGGGATACAAAAATTTATTTATAAGGATATTCTCTAAAGCACTATATATAATATTGAAAAAAAGTAAAAATAACACAATTGTCCAATAAGAGGAATTGGTTATATGCATTATGGTAAATCCATAAAATAAAATGAAATGCTGTATTATTATTAAAACATTTCAAATAAATTTTGCTGACATAAAAAATGCTCAATATATAACCTTAGGTAAAAAAAAGCAGGATATGAGACTGTATGTAGGATTTGATATTGCTTTTTAAAAAACCATTATATATGTATGAACAAGAGAATAAAGTAAAGCATAGCAAAATGTTAACAATAACTAACTCTGGGTGACAGGTTAGGATTTTTTTTCTTTTATACTTGTCCTTTTTTTTTTCTAAGTATAAACCACCCTGCGGAACGGTGGAAAGAAAAAAAGAGGTTTGACAGCGACTTGGGTTCAAGTCCTGATTCTATTTATACTAGTAGTATAATAGGGTAGGTTTCCTGGGTACGTCACTTCACTTCTCCAAATGCAGGTTTTCTTACCTGATAAATGAGAATAATGACAACATTGCAGTGGAAGGATGTTTATCTGGGACTCCGAATGCCAAAACAACTCCATGCTAGGATTATTCTAGAGGGATTTACCACATTATTTTCTGTTTCATAAGTCATGACATTGTAATTAATGGAGAGAGGATTGCTCTAGTGAGTAGCATGTGCCATGAAGGGGGTGATGGGCCAGGTGGTGCATAAATGATGCTGTGAAGTGTGAATAGCAGTGAGGACCACAGTGGATGAAACAGGATGCTAGGGTGTCACTGAGCTGTATCATGGGGACAGATCTCAGCGCTTTGAGCACAAGATTCCCCAACTTAGGAAATATCTGAAACAATCCTAGAAAGTGATCTTTCCTCCACTCTAAGATTTCATGTAAGTTTGCTTTAAAGAACACAAAGCACTCTGCTATCCTTTTTACTAATCAGAGCACTGTGTCAAATCAACTATTGCTAGGGTTTCACTTCGTAGTTACATCTTCCTTCTACCTGACAACCTTATACCTCTGGGCTGGGGAAGGGGTGGTGATGCTCAGGTGTTCGGATGTCAAGTTAGATGATCAGAAAGCTCTCAAGAGAAGGTGCTAAAAGATTATAGTTATCATAAGAAATAATAATGCTTATTGAGGTTTTACTCTGCACTAGGCACTATTCTAAGTTTTTTTGTGGAGGGAGGTCTATTCATCATGTCTTTTTATTCTGATGCTTTGACTACTTGGGGCTCTGCTGACCCTGGAGGGTCTGCCCCTTCCAGGAACAGCCAATTCCTGGAAATAGTAAAGCACTCACCTGTGAGCACAGCTTTCACAGGCTAATCAGATAATCCAGAACTCACACTCATACTGCCAACTACCTCCTTAATTGGGCTTTCAAGTTCCAGGCCAATATTCCCCAGCCCCTATACACCAGAGCCTGCTGAAATCATTCAAACAAGCCAATCCTAAGTCTTCTTACCCTGCCTCCCCTGCTCCTTCCCAAGAGCCACAATAAAGGCTCTTCCCAACGTTTTCCTCACATTTCCTCTGCCTCCAGACCGACCCTGGTGCTGCCCCCTGTGGACACTGCATGGTGTGGCACGCCCCCTCTGGGAACTGTGAGTAACCATCTTTTCAAAGGCGACTGTTGGCCTCATGCTGCCTGAATAATAACAAAACCTACATTTTAAAACAGGAGGCATTATTATTAATATTATCCGCCTTTCATAGATGAGGAAACTGATGCCCAGAAAGGTTGTGTGTCTTTCCCAAGATAACACAGCAAACAAGAAGGGCAGCCAGAAGCTGAACTTAGTCCATCTAACTCCAAGATGGTGCCACTGGCCAACGTGCTATCCTAGGAAGCTTAGACTCCATCCTATTTAAGAGTCCTTTGTAATCAAGAAAGTGCACAATTTGGGAGGTGCGAGCTTGTGGCTGGCGATTGGAGTCTGGTGAAGGAGGCATAAACAGACTCATCCACCACTCATGTGAAACGGGGAAGGGTGTTTTGAGTTATTCCCTGTGCTGGGTACCTTACAAATGTTTTCTCACTCAATTCTTAGAACACCTCAATGGATTTATTATCCTTGATTTACAGTTGAGAGAAATAGGGCTTTGAGTGGCAAAATAAATCCCAAACCCACTGGGACTCTATGGTTAAAAGCTCCAACTCTAGAGTACAGGATATTCCAGGTGAATCTCAGCACCATCATTCATCACTGTAAGGCATGTCACTGAGCCATCTGAAGCCTCAGTATTCTCACCTGTCAATTGGGAGCAACATGGTATCTGCTTCCAAGGGTGCTTGTAAAAATTGTGAGACAATGCACATAAAAGGCTTAACACAGTGCTCAATCCTCTTTAAAAAGTTCATTTTTGTTCTAAGTCATTTCTGAGCACGAGATTCCCAAGCAACAGGATGCACCTAATTGGCAGGAAACCAGAGAGCCGGGTCCTTCGGAATTCAGCAGTGTCAGAAATAAAAGCCTCATTAAAACTTCCTTTTAAACCCAACTTTCAAGAGAAACTCACTTTAAGGAAAAAAGATTTGCTGAAGATGAAAACTCCAGCAGAAAACCAATTATTCTGGTACATTTTGTTAATCACATTTTTTTTTCTTTTGCTAAATTTACACTAAACTATACCAACTTAATTATTGCAATTTGGTTTCAGATAACAATATCTAACTAGATAAAGATTTGGGCATAAAATAATCAGGCCAACTGACATCCTCTAAAGGGGCCCAAGCAACAGATGTTGAGAATTCTGATCTTCCAGAAATATCTCCTCAGGGTTTTTCAGTGAGGATGCGGTGGGGGCCCTTTTCCAAGGAAGACTGTCTCTGTAACATCTCTCGGTGGTGCTAAGTCTAATTGCACTCATCTGCAGGCCTGCAACTTTCCCAAACCGCTTCCCCAGTGTTATCTCCCCCAGCCCTTGCAACCACATGTGGACAAGGTTAGGCAAGGATTTGCATGGCCATGGGAGCCTAGAAGCCTTTCTGGCTATATTTTCTCAGGGCACTCTTCCCTGCATCCTGGCGCTGTGTCCTAGGCCCTTCTTCTCCTTCTGTACTTCCAAAGACATCTCATTCTGTCTGTGGCTGCAGTTACCTATTTTCTGACAAGTCCTAAACTGCTCTTTTCTATACTAGTCGTGTAGAGGCAGCTGTGTTTTGGTGGTTTCATTTGTCATCTCCACGATAGCTCAAACTCACTGTGTCTAAACCTGACCTCTTTTCCTCCCTGGCATGCCCCAACCCTGCTGCACCGCCATGGTCTCCACCTTAGTGAATGATGCCACTCTCCACCTGCTTGCTTAAGGCAGCTATCTAGGCACCACCCAAATTCAATCCATCATCAAGCTCTATTGCTTCCACCTCCTCTGGGTGCTGCTGATGTCCATTCTCAGCTTTCATACCCACAGGCTCTGATTCAGTGAAGGCTGCCAGCATTTCCCTGTGTATTGGACACCCGGCCCCCATCCTCTCCTTCTTCATTCCATTCTCTACTCAGCAGCCAGAGTGATCTGATTGATCTAAAACTCAAATTAGGATTATGTCACTCCCCCTTCCCCCAGAGTTTAATAACCATCAATGGCTCCTTAGTGCACTGAAGATGAAATGAAAACTCCTTAACTCAACCTTTAAGTCCTTGCAGGATTGACCGTGCTTCCCTCTCTAGTCTCTTATCTCACCACCCCCAGCCTAATTTTTTTCCTGACTCTTCATCCATCAGCTCCCTTTCCTCCCCCAACCCTTCTATATATTATTCCATGTGGGCAATGTGTTCTCTTTTCTTTTTGAAACTTTTTGCACAGTCTTTTGATCTGGAACACCTCACCCTGCCCTTGTACTCAATCTTTAACTTAGGCTCAGGATTATCATCTCCTGGAAGCCCTCCCTGATCTCCCAGATTGGATTTGGTTCCTCTTTTATTCCCACAGTCCTGTGTTTATTCTCAGAATAGCATTTATCATACTTTGCTAAAGTTGGATGTTTCCTTATCTGCCTTCCACTAGAAAGAGAGAGTAGGGGCCTCTGGTGGTTTTAAATATGTCCAGTATATTCTTTGATATTCCATTATGTATAAGATAGAGCTTAATTCTCCTCCCCTTAGGTGTGGACTGGATTTAGCAACTTGCTTTTAACAAACAGCATATGGTAGGAGCAATGATATGTAAATTTCTGAGACTAGATCATAAATGACAATGAGGCTTGTAGCCACCATGTTGTGAAGTCATTCAAGTAACCTATACTCAGGCCCAAGGGTTGAGGAACTGAGGCCTCCTTCCAACAGCTGTGTGAGTGGGCCACCAGGGAAGTGGATCCCCAGCCTGCTGAGCCTTCAGATGAGACCGCAGCCCTAGCCAATATCTTGACTGCAACCTCATAAAAGCCCACTCAGAACCACTCAGCTAAGCCACTCTCAAATTCCTGACCACAGAAACTTGAGATAAGAAATGTTTTCAGTGGCTAAGTTTTGGGGTAATTTGTTATGTAGTAATAATGAAGACAACACTGAATCTTGTATCCCCTGCATCTGCTACAATCCTAGCACATAGTAGGCAGCCAACAAATAGCTATTGAATAAGTAAATGAGTTGGGTAACTTGTTAAGGCCACATAATCCATTAGAAACCAGACACACACGTTTGTTAGGGTCATTCTTTCTAGTATACCCTACTCAGGTTCCTCCATTCTCACCCAAAAATCCAGCCACTTTGGCCCTGTAGACAGGTACACCCTGGCCCTTCCAAAAGCACTGAAAGACTTGAGAAGTGCCCCTCTGCCCAGGCTGTGGCTCTCAATGGCCAGGGCAGGGCCCACTTACCCAAGGGCAAAGACGTCAGAGTGCTTGGAGAAGGGGAGCTTATCCTCCTCTGTGTCGGGGGACAGCTGGCGGATGATCTCTGGTGCCAGGTGGCATAGCCAGCCATTCTGGATGCGCAGTTTGTCCTCCCGCCTGGAGAAGCAAAGCACAGGATGAGCTCTGTTTCATAGCCCAGGGTGGACCAGTCCCCCTGGCACTGACCCTACGTCCCTGGAGCCATCTCTGCTGCCCTTCTCGCTTCCCACATTGAGCACTGCCTGACCACCTACTGGAGGCCGAGACCCAGTAGTAGGTGCAGGGAAGGCTGCTCTAGAGAAACACTCAGGATCCAAACCATCATCAAATTCCATTGCCTCTGAGGCACCCACCTTCTTGCCCATCTTCATTCAATGACAGTGTGGATTCTTGTTATTCACGGCAGTTACGTTCTATAAAGTCACTGGAACACGGAATTAGCAGAATACTGAATCATTGCTCCTGGGGAAATATGTACACATGCACACACCCCCTCACATAGTTTATAATTTTAACCCTAAAAACAACTTATCTAACAGATTCTGTTTTATTTTACATAATAGACTATGGGGCTCAGAAGTGTTAAGTGACTTGTCTGAGGCAGCCCTACGAACAGGTGCCAGAGTTGGGATTCAAATCTCATCCAACTGGCCCCAGAGCTAGAGCTTCTTATGCTACTCTGCACTGCCCACTCTGTCTCAACCTCCATCCTCAAGGCTTCTCTGCATGAGGCTGAAACAATGAGGCAGAACATCCTCCTGTTTGACCTAAGCTGGAAACATGTGCATTGGGTAACTCAAACTTTTCCCCACTCTGCATGTCCCTGAATAACTGTGAAAGTGCTGTGAGTGTTGATTTGGGGGATTACAAATACATTTCAGTGAATCCACAAATAATGATAATCTACTGTGTTTTTCCATCACCTATGATGCCTAGGTTCTGTGCTTGGCACAGAACAAGACCAACAAGGTCCCTTCCCTCCTGGAGCTTGCACTTTAGTAGGGAAAGAAGACAACAAATGAGTTCAATAAACAGGAAAAGCTAAAGATTGTGATAAGCATCGTACAAATAATTAAAATAGAGGATGCATCAAAGATAAGATGGATCTTACTGCAGGTAAACTGTGAGCTAAGATCTACGTGACATAAAGGATCCAGTTATGTGAACAAGGAGAATATCTAGACAGAAGGGGAAGTTAGGACAAAGTTCCAACAAGGGCCCCATTCAGGGTGTTCTAGAACCCTAAAGAACACCAGTGTAATTGGAACACATCATCCCATCCTATGTATCAAAGTATATACAACCAACTCCTTGCTGTTGGGCCTTGGGCGGGTGGTTCCCTCTTCCGCCATTATGAACAATGCTGCCATGAACATCTTTGGGTAGATACAGGGAATATCTCCCTTCATCCATGTTAATTTATTCCTTAGGTAAATTCTTAGATGTGGAAGGAGGCTGGCTCCCTTCTTTCACTGGAAGTCATTAGCAAGACAGAGCTTTCCATGTGGGTCTGAAATCTAAGCAGACCCCCTCTGAGATCTTCACTGACTCAAGACTCCTAGGAACTGGCTCATTAACACAGGGGAAGGGAGCAGTCAGCGGGAGAGGGGGTGCATATCTCGAATCATCCTCAAAAGTGAGGTCATTCAGGATGACAGCCTCCAGCATGAAGGTCTCTGTGGGGACCTGGGGCTAGCTAGATTCTTCCAGAGAGGGTTTCTGAGATGTAGAAGTTGTGACATGCTGCTCCCTCAAACGCACTCATTCATATCCCATAATCATGATTTTTGCCATATCTAAATACCTTCAAGAGCAGCATTATGCGATAGAACTTTCCATTATGCCAGAAATATCCTCTATATGGTCCAATGTGGCAGCCACTAACCACCATGACTATTGAGCACTTGAAATGTGGCTTACAACTGAAGAACTAAACTTTTCATTTTTTTTTTTTTTAATTTTAGAGACAAGGTCTGCTGAGACAGTCTGTCTATCACCCAGGCTGAAGTGCAGAGGTGAGATCATAGTTCATGGTCGCTTGAACTCCTGGCCTCAAGCGACCCTCCCATCTTCAGCCTATGAAGTAGCTGGGATTACAGGCGTGAGCAACCGCACCCTGCTAATTTTATTTTATTTTTTTTTAGAGATGTGGTCTTGCTATGTGATCTTGCTATGTTGCCCAGGCTGGTCTGAAACTCCTGGCCTCAAGGGATTGATCCTCCAACCTCAGCCTCCCAAAGTATTGAGATTATAGGCATGAGCCACTGCTCCTAGCCCTGAACTTTTCATTTTAATTAAAGTTAAATTTACATAGCCACATCTGGCTAGTGGCCACCAAATTGGACAACACTGTTCTAGACTATTATATATTAAGAAATGCATTTTTAACTTAAATATATTTCAATAGGTCACTCTGTAGTGTGGCCATAAATGGAGACTAGTGATTTTCTAATACACATTAAAATTAAGATAGAAAATGTTTGTTCATGTCCTCCCCCACATCAACTTGCAGATCACACCTGTAGAAACACTGGGTGGAGGAAAGATCCCTGAATGACGCTCCAAGAGTTTGGGGCTCAGGGTTCCAGTGCTGCAGTGACATTCACTAGCTGGGTAAGGCTGGATGTATCCCATACATGCGATTCTTTAAGATCTCTTTCATAACCCCTCCATCTCACACATGAAGGTAGCATCCATTTGGATATACTCGACTTTTTGTAGAACCCAAAACAGGGACTGTAGGAAAGGAAGCAAAGCCGGGTAACTGCGGCAATCACAACTCTTAATTGCATTTGGATGGTGGCTTACCACAGGTATCCCACCCTGGGCCACCCATCCACCTCCTGCACTCCCAGGCTAGGAGCAGACTGGCATGCATGCAACAGAAAGCAATGTGGCCAGGCAGACACCATTAAATTTGTTCTAATTTAGGATTTCTCAACCTTGGCACTATTGACATTTGGGTCTGGGCAGTTCTTTGTTGTTGGGGGACACGGGGGCTGTCCTGGGCATTGCAGGATGGTCAGCAGCATCCCTGGCCTCTACTCATTACAGGCCGTTAGCACCCCCCTCCCCCTAATCATGACAACTAAAAATGTCTTCAGACATCATCAAATGTCCCCTGGAGGGGAAAAATGGCCCTGGTTGAGAATCACTGTTCTAATTTATACAAAATACGGAAATGGTCCAAATCTCAGTGTTTCAGGATTAATAGCACATGACTTGCTCCTGCATTCTACACAAAAGACATGATACACACATCCTGTGCTAGAAACTACTACTCAAACTAACTAGCAAACACTTGAGTCAGCAGAGTTAAATCAGCTCTTGCTTCTAGAATCAGGAACACCCACAGAGGTTGAAGGCTCTTACTTACTAGCTATGGAACCTTGAGCAGACCCAAATTTCTATTTTCCCATCTATAAAATGGGCACATTAATTTGTACTTCACAGAGCTGTTGCAAGGATTAAAATGAGACAGTGCGTGGCACAGGACTGTGTCAGCTGCCAGAGACACGCAATTACTGGACATAATCATTACACATGTGTATGTGTGTGTGTGTGTGTGTGTGTGTGTGTGTGTTTATCTCGAGGACTCAGAAGTGGAGTTGAGACTAGAGCCCACAGTAGGAATGTCTTCCATGAAAGTCTTTGGCATAGGCCAGCCAACATTCTCCTGCAATGACTGGGCCACTGGGGGTGGGGTGGGTTGGGGTGCCCCTGCCAAAGGGAAGCTTCTCTGCTCCCATCTTTTTGCAAACACCCCTGCCACCTCTTCCTGACTCATGGGGTCAGCAGCTGGCATTTTGGGGCCAGGGCAGGAGGTAGAGTGGTGACCACGCCTGGCACGGGTGTGGTAGGGGGCTGGGAGACAGGCCTGGCACTAACACCCTGGGGTGCCCCGTTCCCATGGCGATGGGCCCACCGATGACAAACCCAAATCATCTTCATTATGGTTATTATGATTAATAACAGGCTTTGGGAGGCTGGCATGACAGCACTGGCATCTAAAACGATACCTTTTCTTGACGACGGCAGAACAGCTGGATGCTGGGGTCTGTCTGGATGTGCAGAACACACTCACATCACTGGGCTGCCCCATCCCTGCCTCGGGCTTGGTGGCGGGGGGGTCTCTCCCTGCTGGGCACCAAGGGCTATCCATACCCCAAGCTCTAACTGAGGGGAGGGCAGGAAGGCAAGTGACTCCTGCTGAGTGCCTACTGTTTGCCAGATTGTCCATCCCACTTAGACCTCATAAGCCCACAATCTGAGGGCTTATGAGGATAAGGAAACGGAGGCTCAAAACATTTAGGTGACCTGTCCAAATGGACAGAGCTGAGATCTGTTTGCACACAAGTCTTTAAAACCCCAGGGACTAGGCACCTCAACCCAATTCTACAAGAATTTCTGGAGAGAACCATTAAAGAGTAAAGCCCAGCTGGGCATGGTGGTGCATGCCTGTAAGCCTGGGACCTTGAAAGGCTGAGGTAGGAGGATCGCTTGAGCCTCGGAGGTTGAAGCTGCAGTGAGCCGTGATTGCACTACTGCATTCCAGCCTGGGTGACAGAGCAAGAGATCCTGTCTCGAAAAAAAGAAAAAAAAAGAGCAAAATGCTAAAATATCCTTCCACATCTCTATCCCATTTAATCATCAAAACAGCCTTATGAGATAGGTGCTATTAGTGCCTGCCCCTACTCCCATTTTACAGGTGAGGAAACTAAGGATCAGGGAACCAGGTGTGTGTTAAACACAAGTTTCTGGAATCTATCTCAAGGTATTATAGACTGAATTTTGCCTCCCCCAAATTTAGTATGTTGAACCCCTAACCCCCAATTTGATTGTATTTAGTGATAAAGCCTATAGGGAGGTGATTAAGGTTAAATGAGATTGTAAGTTCGAGGCCCTAATCCAATAAGATTGGTGTTCTTATAAGAAGAGGAGAGACATCAGAGACCTCTCTCTCTCTCTTTCGGTGCACAGAGAAGAGGCCATATGAGGACACAGTAAGAAGGTGGCCATCTACAAGCTGGGAAGAGAGCCCTCACTAGACACTAAATTTGCCAGCACCTTGATTTTGGACTTTCAGCCTCCAGAACTGTAAGAAAATAAATGTCTGTTGTTTAAACCCCTGAGTCTGGTATTGTGTTATAGCAGCCCAAGCTGACTAATACATGCACTCCCTAATTATTTGCTGACTGGCTGAGTGAGTAATGAATGAGGGAACTTCCAGGCCTATCTCCTGAGAGATACTGGCCCTGCTTCCTGCAAAGCCCAAAGCCTGGCCAGCTCCCTTCTCTCTCCACTCCTATAATCCAGCCCCCAGGTTGCTGATCAGGGCCATAGATGCCCCTTATTCAAGGGGTGTCTCCTGGCCTCTGGCGGCTGCACTAGGGGCTCCAGGCTGCAATGGGGGCAGTTACTGAAGATGCCTTGTCATGAACAAGAGGGAGTAAATGGACCTGAACCCCTGAGGGGACCCTGTGGATCCCTAGAGCTACACTGGTGGTATTCATAAATATTGAGGTAAATCTACAACCTGGGAAAGGTCCTGGGATTCATGGGACACCCCAGAGTTCCACCTCCCTGTCATAGTTTGCAACGCACTTGCTTTGGTGGAGCCCAGTTGCTACATAAGAAGTTTGACTACCCTGAGACTGCCATGGTGTGAGGAAGCCCAATGTAGTCAAGCAGAGAGGCTGCATGAAGAGGGAAAAGCAGGGAGATGAGAGAGACCCCATCAGCCCCCCAGATGTTTCAGCCAGCCCAGCCCAGCTGTGTGAATGTGGAAGCCTTCAGATGTCTCCAACTTCACCCCCTCCCCGCCATCTGATTGCACCTACAGGACAAACCGAGCACAAGAGCTCAGCTGAGCCCAGTCAACCCACAGAACTATGAGGGATGACAATACCTTGTTTTAAGCCACTAAGTTTTGAGATGGTTCATTGCAGAATAAAGGATAAAAGCACAAGAAGTCATTGATGGCTACTTGTGGGTGGCCAGGAAATGTGAATTTCTTGTTGGGAGATGTTGCTGAAGGCACTCCCTGGGTTTGTGTTGACAACCTGGCTGGGGCAGGGGTGGGAGGGGCTGCTCTCTGGACAAGGAGACCAGAAGCCACCTTGCCCTTGACTTGGTTGAACTAACTTCCTGGTTGACAATGGGTCTCCATGAATGAGCTAAAGGAAGGGATGCCCAAGGCATTCCATTTCTTTTTCTTCCTCTTCTCCTTGTGGCTTCAGAAAACTGAGTCTAAAGGAAGAAAATCAGAGGTCCTGCACCCCTTTCCTCCACCTCAGGGACAAGCCACTGTTGAGGAGAAAGAGAGAGGTATGGACATGCCACCAGGAGGGAAGAATTTCTGCTTTTTATAAAACAGCCCAGAAGCAAGTTAGAGAAAACTCTTACTGGGCCTCCTTTTGTCTTGATGCAAATACTTGGGTTGACAGTGAAGTCACCCAACATTGCGTCCTTGCAGTTCCCTTGGGACACTGGGAAACTGGGAAGGGTATGAGTTCCCTGCCAGTGAACCAGGAACTTAACTGCTGCTGGGGAGTCAGAGGGAAGAAGGGATTCTACACAGTCTTGCCCTCCCGGGCTTCTTGGGTTCCAACTGGAGGGACTCTCTTCAAGTATCTATTAATATATTTATATATTTACTGCCTACTTACTGCCTTATCTTAGGGACTACAAATAATTTTGTAGACTATGGTTAATCTTTCTTGGGTGGAGCAAAATCTGAAAAAGAAACAAGCGCCTGTTTGGTCCTCATCACACAGAAACAGCTACATGAAGTTTTGTCAAACTCCAAATGGTCCAACTTATAACAGATTCAAGGTGTCATATAACACAAACAAGATTCACTTTGTCCGGGTTCCTGGGGCATTCCTCAAAAAAATAAAAAAATAAATAAATAAAATAAAAAAAAATCAGTGGTTCTCAAAAGCAGCTGAAACTGAAGTAAAATGAGAGAAACTGTGGGGCTTTCTGGAAAGATGCACCATTCGTTATAAAATGCAGGATTATAAAAAACATGCAGAGGTTTAAAATGAGAGAGAGAGAGAGAGCGAGAGAGAGACAGCAAGAGAGAGAGAAGGAGAGAGAGTGCAGTCCAAATTAAAAGTCACAAGGGTAGACTTTCTGAATTATGGGTTGTTTATTTGAGATCAAGCTGTTTCTCATGTGGCCAACTCAATGCGGCTTGCTCTAGGGTGAGTAGTGGCTGAGAGTTAATTACTTAATGATGGTTAATGATTCTCCTGGGTGATACTGGGAGGTATATGCAAATTAATACTAATTGCTACAACTCAGCAGCAGCTACCCTTTGCGGAGCTTTTGAGGTGCATTGGGCACTGGGTGGATGCTTGATGCGTGTTCTCATTTTATCCTCACGAGAACTGACAGAGGAAGGCATCAACAAACCTACCACTTTTCTTGCAGACAAGGAAACTAAAGTTCAGAGACGTTGTTCGGCTTGATTAAAGTCGCATTTAATAAGTGGAAGAGCTGTGTCAGGCCATGGGTGCCTCTGACTTTAAATCTCTTGCTGTTAACTGTACTCTTCCTGTACTAAAATCACTTAATTCCTAAGAAAACTTTGAGCAAGGCCTCTTGGGTGATCTCAACTTCCAAGTGAATTACTTAGGGTTAGAGGAGAGTCCTCCAGTTAAATTAAAGGGTAGGGGCTTTGAAAGGTCTGGGGGTGCTCTGTGTCCAATCACACACACTCAAAGACAAGACAGGTGAGCAAGGTGCTGGCCCCCCCAGGGGGAAACAGAGCAGGGCCTTGGCATCCCACATCAGTAGAGCAGCTGCCCCACTCAGCTCAGCAACCTCAGGACCAACCCTGAGTCTAGGTCACTAAAGCCATTTGGACTAACTTCCCACCTCCTGACCATCATCTGTCAGGAAACTCTCCGGGTCTTCCCACTGCCTCTCACCTGCCAGCCTGCAGCACCCCAGAAATGCTGAAGAGTCCAAAGTCCGTGATGACCACTTTGCCGTTGTCATAGAAGACGTTCTTTGACTTGAGGTCCTTGTGTAGGATTCCCTTGGCGTGGAGGTAGCCCATGCCCTGCAAGAAGCAAGGAACAGAGAGTTGCCAGAGAAAAACCTAAGAGCTTGCTGCCACCCTGGCTTGAGTTCACATTCCTTGTCCTGAAGACTTGGCTCCCTAATGGGACCACACTCAACAGAGGCAGGGCCTGGGGTCTGACCGTGGGTCCTGGGGGTGAGGTCGGGGAAGGCATGGCAAGCGGGAACAGGCAGGGCCCCCAAGACACAAATCCACTGCCACTCTTAGACCACAGAAAGGCCAGCCCCATTTGCTCATCTGATTCCTGAAGAAGAAACAAAAAGATCCCCAGGGAAAGGAATTCAACCAACCATTTTCATCCACTTCCCCTTTAAATACTAACTCTTCCGCAAGACTAGATAGTCAGATCTACTTAACCTATGCTGCCGCAGAAGGCAATGAGTTCCTAAAGAGATGTTCACAACTGCTCATTAAGAACACACAGAAGAGTCTATTGGAGGCCTCGTTCAAGGGCAAACATCTAGAGTTGTGGTGGTTTCTTTTTTATTGCCTTTGTGAGCAGTCACATCTTTTATTTCCTCATGCAGCTCAGTCCTAACACCTCCAAATGAGAAATAAAAGCTTGAGTACAACTGACTAATAAGGCCCCTTCCAGAAAACACAGAATGTTCTTGTTTGTTTTAATCCAAAACAACACCCAACAATTTGATGTTTCCCTAGCAGCAGTGGAGAGAGATGGTTTCCACTCATGGAAATTCAAGGACTCGAAGGATGGTGGATCCTAACCAAGAGGGCTGAATAGCTTGTATGTGACCCCTGGTCCTTGCATAGGTCCAAGTACCATAGTGATGAGACACCAGATGGAAACCAAACATTGGTGGATAGTTCCTAAAGATCGTATCGAGGCAGAATTCTTACTTATACATGGCCTGGCATTTTTCAGGTCAAGTCTAATTTCTTTTAAGTCCAGATTGGTAGTCTGAAATCCAACCATGAATCTTAGGAGCCCTGGGGTAGGGGGGCTTCCCTGGGGGAAACTGGGTCTTTCTGAGATTTAGATAGGAGGCCCAAGAGCCGACAGTACCTTCACAATTTCTTGAGCAATCTGCCTGGTTTTGTTGACATCCAAAACGATTTTGGCATCCCTCACAACGGAATAGAGCGTCCGTCCCTTACAGAGGCTGAAAAGCAAAAGGACAAGATAAATTAATGGCAGTCGTTCAGAAGAAGGTGACCCACAACAGTTACTACAAGTGACAAATGATGGCATAGACACGTGGACATGCCACTATTGTGCTTATGAGATAATAAGTCTGGGACTGGACTTCAGATCTGGTTCTGGGATGGAGATCTGGGAGGAAGTTCTTGCAGATTCTTTAGAAACTTGGCCAATGTGGCTGACCGACAAGGACACCCACAGAATCTAGCCTAGTCCAGAAATGGGTTTGCCATGTCCAATCCATCCCAGAGGCTCACAGGTGGAAAGCAGCACATAAATCAAAAACTTCTGGGTCCTCAGACGCCACTCAGACAGCATTCTGTTGGCCATTCACACCAGCTGCATGCACTTACCAGGAGTCAGTGTGTGAGGACAGTGATGAAAGACCAGCAGAGTGGTGGCTGATGTGTATTAAGTATCATCAGCAAACGATGCAGTCAATTGTTTGGACAGGGATGTGTAAACACCAGTAATACCACCCCCAAACCAGACGCCTGTCTAGATAAAGAGTTTTTCAAACTATGTTCAGCCTCATTGAGTTCATTTCGAGGACCAGTAGTTTAAGATGAATGACAGGATGAAAAAGGACATTATGCACTGAAAGTAACACCTTCTCATTTAGTTGCCTGTATGCTCATCTGTCCTGTTCCTCCGCAGTGAGCACAATTCCCAGCACGCACAGAGCAGGCACCCACAAGCTGTCACTGAATGAATGAATTCTAGATTCATCATAGCACTCCCAGCCCCTAGCACCGTGACTGGCTCAGAGTATCCAATGTGGGCCAAAAGAAGAAAGAACGTCACTGTGAAAATTAATTTTCCATCTACATCAAAATCACAGTTTGAATTTTCCTCTTTTAACCTGTGATGTTATTGCTAAAATACTCCTGGCATTGTGTTCATTCATTTGGTGTTTACTGAGCCCTTGTTGTGTACTGGGCTTTGCTGAGATTGTATTTCCTGTGGTTGAAGCAAGAGCGCTGGCATCAGAGGGATCTCAGAATCCCAGCTCTGCTCCTTACTTACTGTATGTCTTGAGGTGGGTTACCTCACCTCTCTGGGCCTCAGTTTCCTCATCGATCAAAGGAAACTAATAATACTTAACCCTGTAGTTGAATACGAGGATTGAATGAGATAAAAGAGTTGGAAACAGGCCTTGGCATCCAGTGGGAAGTATAGCACAGTGGTTAGGAGCATGGGGGCTTAGAGTAGGACTAACGGGTTAGAATCCTGATCTGTCATTTAGTGGCTGTGTGACCTTGGGTGGGTGCATTAACCTCTCTGAGCTTCAGTTTTATTATCTGCAAAATGGGGCCAACAGCTGCTGCCTTTCTGGGTTGTCAGGAGAACCACATGAAATCAGGCATGTAAAGGTGTAGGCACCTCTCTATGCCTAGTACATTTCATGGTAACTTTCCATGAGATCACTGGCTATTATAAAAAGTTGTTAAGTGATTAATAAAATAGTAAACAGACACACATACACTTGTACAAATATATATAAGTGATATATCTATACACATATCACAACTGTTTATCTGTCCACCCATCCGTATACTAATCTAAAATGCCACTGATAGCCACCCATGATCTTTGACTAACATTTTTTTCTTCATCTGCTTAAGGCGACAGTCCCCGGGTAGCTGACTCACAGAAAGTCTGATTCACATGTCTGAGGAGGTCACCCAGCCAGTTGGCAGGAGGCAGCCCAGAATGAGTCAGGGCTGACCCTGCATCCCCCAGGTTGCTGTCCCAGGCAGGGCATTTGCTGTGGCTGCTGGAGCAGAGGTGGAGGAAGGGTGGGCAGAGCAGCCAATTACTCCATGTTGACATTTCAATATTTGAGACTGTGGGCAGAGTCCCTCCCCTGGGTACTTAGTTCCTGAACAGCCACCTACACTCATCACAGGCCAGATCCCAGAAAATACCCTCCCCACTGCAGACCGCAGAGCAAATCACCGCCAACAGGCTCCAAGACTCCCTGGACTCTCCTGCTCAGGGTAACTGCAGGAAAGTCTCAAGCTTCAGATTTCCACGCCTTGTCTTCTTTCCCTCCTTACAACCTCTTTCCCTTCAGCAGCTGCTGAAGTCTTTGCTTCTCTCACTCCCGTATGACCTCAAGAGCTTCTGGAGAAACTACCGCACCAGTTTGGCACAGCTACTAAAGTGAAATATACATACAAATAACCCTGATATGGTTTGGCTGTGTCCCCACCCAAATCTCACCTTGAATTGTAATAATCCCCAAGTGTCAAGATCAGGGCCAGGTGGAGATAATTGAATTATGGGGGCAGTTTCCCCCATACTGTTCTCCTGGTATTGAATAAGTCTCATGAGATCTGATGGTTTTATAAAGGGGAGTTCCCCTGCACAAGCGCTCTTGCTTGCCACCATGTAAGACGTGCCTTTGTTTCCCCTTTGCCTCCCATCATAATTGTGAGGCCTCTCCAGCCATGTGGAACTGTGAGTCCATAAAACCTCTTTCCTTTATAAATTACCCAGTCTCCGGTAGGTCTTTATTAGCAGCGTGAAAACGGACTAATACAAATCCACAACCAGCGATTCTTCCTCTAAGTAAGTACCCAACAGATATGAATTCTCATATTCACCCCTACACATGCACTAGAATGTTAAAGCAACCTATCTGTTGAAATCCCAAACTAGAACCAACCTGCAATGGATTGAATGTTTGTGTCCCCAATTCCGTATGTTGAAATCCTAATCCCAACGTGATGGTATTAGGAGGTGAGGCTTTGGAAGATAATTAAGTCATGAGAGCGGAGCCTCATGAATGGGATTAGTGCTCCTTTAAAAGGGACTCCAGCTAGTTCTCTTGCTGTTTCCTTGCCATATGAGGATATAAGGAGAAGTCAAAAGTCTGGAAGACGGCCCTCCCCAGAATCTGCCCATGCTAGCACTGGATCTTTGACTTTTCAGCCTTTGGAACTGTGAGAAATAAATTTCTTTTTTCTTTTTTTTTTTTTTGAGATAGAGTCTCGCTCTGTCATCCAGGCTGGAGTGCAGTGGCGCAATGTTGGCTCACTGCAACCTCTGACTCCTGGGTTCAAGTGATTCTCCTGCCTCAGCCTCCCAAGTAGCTGGGACTACAGGCTCAATTTCTGTTGTTTCTAAGCCACTCAGTCTGCAGTACCGTGTCACGGTAGTCCAAACTAAGACGCAACCCAAATGTTCGTCAACAGAAAAGTGGATAAAATATGATATATACTTATAACAAAATATGTTCATGCTGTACTATATAAAAATAACCAAGCTACTGCTAACTGCAAAAAGCATGGATAAAGCTCACCAACATAATGTTGAGTGAAGGAAGCCTGACACCCAAGACTACTCCATTTATATAAAGTGCATAAGCAAATGAAACTGACCTACATGCTGAAAGTCGGCACAGTGATGGCCCTTGTGTGTGTGTGTGTGTGGTGGGCGGGGGTGCTGGAAGGAGCATTATTAGGGGGCTGGGGGAAGGCAGTGTTCTGTGTTTTGATTTGGGCGCTGGTTACATGGATACATACTTAGTGGAAACTCATTGGGCTGTTCTTTTATGATCTGGATAATTTTGAAGGTACGTTATCCTTCCAAAAAATGTTTTAAAAAGTCAGAGCCTGGGCAACATGGCAAGACCCCAATTCTACAAAGGATACACAAAAAAACTAGCTGTGTGTAGTGGCACATGCCTGTAGTCCCAGCTATTTGGGAGGCTGAGGAGGGAGGATCTCTTGAGTCCAGGAGGCAGAGGCTGCAGTGCATGGAGATTACACCACCACAATCCAGCCTGGGTGACACAGAGTGAGACCCTGTCTCAAAAAAAAAAAAAAAAAAAGTAAGCAGGGAAAGAATTAACAATTAATATAATTAATGTATGGCGTTGAAATCTGTAAAAAATGTAAAGCGGCACTGATACCCAAGGTATCCTTTTCTAAAGTCTTTACCCAGTGAAGAGTATTTGCAGATGGGCAATGTCTACAGAGGAATTTGGGGCTCCAGGCCTGGCTGTGCCCACCTGGATGTTTATCAGGAACAAAGCTGGAGACAAGTTCAAGATGAAAGCTGAGCTTTAAAGATGAGCAGGCCTCAGGCAGATGTCCAGGATGACTGAGGCTAGGGCGGCCCCGGCAAGTCAGTCCAAGTGTCCACAGCAACTGCTCTGAGCTTGGAATTCCTCATGACTAATAATGGTGGCCTAAAAGCCACTCGCAGTGTGGGATGTGGGGAAAGGAAGGGAGAAGAGGATGAAAGTTTACTGAGTATGTGCTTAGGACCTATATCACCTCCATGATTCCTTCTAGCAATGCTGCAACCCCTATATATATAATAGCAAACCCTATTATATCTATTTTATGGGTGAGGATATGGACACCTAGAGGACCAGCTCGTGGATGCATAGCCTTGATGGGAACCCATTCCCGATCTTCTTCCTATCTTCTCCTCCACTGTGTGGGTGCCCAGTTATCAGACATGATTCTTGAGCCATTAATTAGATATCACAGCTAAGGGAACAGAGGAGCACAAACTGAGTCCAAATCCCGACTCCAGCATTCACTACTTGCTGGGTGACCTTCAGAAATGACTTCAACCTCAGTTTCCATGTCTGTAAAATGGGCACAGCAGAAACAATACAGGCTGACATGTCCTGGGCACATTCTATGTGCCAGACACTAGCCTAAGGATAAGAGTCTTACAAAGTGGGTATTCTTGCTGTATCTCGTTGATTCCAAAGATGCACATCTCTAAAATCAGAATGTGTCCTGCAATCATTGACAGATCATAGTTTCATTGGCACTACATTTCTTTCTTTGTAGCCCATAAAATAAATGGTGAATATTCTTTTCTTTGAGATGGGGTCTCACTATGTTGTCCGGGCTGGTCTCAAACTCCTGGGCTAAAGTGATCCTCCTGTCTCAGTCTCCCAAAGTGCTGGGATTACAGACATGAGCCGCTGCACCCAGCCTAAATGGTGAATATTCTAATTGAAGGTATCTTCAATGATTTAATGAAGCATGGTATCAATCTCATTTTATAGATGACAAAATTGAGGCTCAGGGGTTAAGTAGAGCGGGGATGAATTTAACGTGTAAAAATTGTACATATTTATTGTGTAGCACATGATGTTTTGATATATGTATACATATGGAATGGCTAAATCAAGCTATTGTATTTATCTCACATTTTTTTGTGTGCGGTGAGAACACTTAAAATCTACTCCCTCAGCAATTTTCAAGTATATAACCTATTGTTATTGATTATAATCACCATGATGTTCAATAGATCTCTTGAACTTATTCCTCCTGTCTAAATGAAGTTCTGTGGCCTTTGATCAAAGTCTCTCCACTCCCCATACTCCCCAGCCTCTGGTAACCACCATTCTACTCAATTTCTATGACTGACTTTTTTAGATTCCACATATAAGTGAGATCATGTGGTATTTGTCTTTTAATTAATATATTTATTTTGAGATGGAGTCTCACTGTGTCACCCAGGCTGGAGTGCAGTGGCGCCATCTCAGCTCACTGCAACCTCTGCCTCCCGGGTTCAAGTAATTCTCTTGTCTCAGCCTCCTGAGTAGCTGGGATTACAGGTGCCTACCACCACGCCTGGCTAATTTTTATATTTTTAGTAGAGATGGGGTTTCACCATGTTGGCCAGGCTGGTCTTGAACTCCTGACCTCAGGTGATGCCCCCATCTCGGCCTCCCAAAGTGCTGGGATTACAGGCCTGAGCCACTGCCCCTGGCTGGTATTTGTCTTTTTATGCCTGCCTTTTTTCACTTAGCATAATGTCCTCTAGGTTCATTCATGTTGTCACACACGATAGGATTTCCTTCTTTTTTTAAGGCTGAATAATACTCCGCCGCATTTATATGCCACATTTTCTTGATCCATTCATCTGTTGATGGATTCGAGTTGATTCCATATCTTGGCTATTGTGAAGAGTGCTACAATGAACCGGGGGAGCACAGATCTCTCTTCGACATGCTGATTTCCGTTCCTCTGGATAAATACCCAATCGTGGAATTGCAGGAACTGGGGTTTGAATGCAGGCCACCTGGATCTGGAGGCTATGTTCTTAAAATCCATCTTTTGCTTCTTAACAACTTTCTCTGAGTCTCTGGCATGTCATAAGCCCTCAGAAAGTGGTAGCTGTAATGTCACTATCCCCATCGCCTACGGCAATGAAGATTAACGAGGTCTGCTGGTAGTACAGTCCATCTGGAGGTCAGCAGAAAGTGTTTTAGTGGCTCAATAGTGTATTTAGTATCTCTCTAGCTTCTAGTGCACATGCACACATGCACCTCTCGGTATTTCTGTACACCAAAAATCATCTTTCTCCAAGAAGAGGGGCAAGGCCTGGGAATTCTCCATCTTATCTGCAGGCTACCCCACCTCTCCCAGCCTGGCCTCAGGCAGTACCCTCAAGGCTGCCCTTTGAGTCCCTATCTCAGGTGACACAGAGAGCCTTTGGCTAAGATGGCACTGTGGGTACAAGATGTTTATTATAAACCAACCTAAAAGGGGCTTGTCAGAAACAATGAGATAAAATCATCTAGAAGGTTTGTCTCTGAGGGCCTCTGTCCAGACTGGCTCATTCTGCCAAAACAGTGACTGGGACAGAAGTCTGAATGCCTGTGGCAGCCATGTCCTTTCCCTCCTCCAAACGCTTCAGCACCAAGCCCAGGTGGGGAGCAGGGGCTTTTTCTGGGAGCAGCCACCTCTGAGGACTGACACCCTGGCTCCCAGCCCAGCTCTGTCACCTGAAGCCCCCACGACCTTGGGGCACACTGCATCTCATGGGGGCACAGGCTCTGCCTCTATAACCAGGAGTGTGGTGAACTGAATAATGGCTCCAAAGATGTCCACATCCTAATCCCTGGAACTGGTGAAAATTTACCCTACATGGCAAAGGAGACTTTGCAGATGTGATTGAGTCATACTCTTGAGATAGACAGATTATCCTGGATTAGCCAGGCGGGCCAGATGGATGTAATCGCAGGGTCTTCAAAAGCAAAGGGGGAGACAAAAGAGAGAGGCAGAAGGAGATGTGATAGAAGAGGGGGCTGAATGGTTGTGATGGGGGAGAAGGACTCAACCCACCATCGCTGACTTTGAAGATGGAGAAGGGGGCACGAGCCAAGGAATGCAGGCAGCCTCTAAAAAGCTGGAAAAAGGCAAGAAAATGGATTCTCCCCTAGAATCTCTAGAAGGAGCACAGCCCTGCCAACATCCTGATTTTAGCTCCATGAGACCCACTTTGGACTTCTGACTTTCAGAACCATGTTCTTGTTGTTTGTTGTTTCAAGCCACTAAGACAGTGGGGCAGTAAGTGCTGCCTCGTGAGCAGATGGGAGGTTGAGATGAAAGCACACAAGCGCTTCATCCAGTGTCCAGCTAAAGCGTTTACTCCTTCACCAGCTGCTCATATTATCACTAATAATATTACCATGAATATTATTGCTAATAATATTCTTCTTCCTGAATGACGACAACTGTTCCTCACTGTCTCTCTGGCTTCCCCAGTTCATTCTTCGTCCAGTACTATGAGCGATTGCTTCAAAATGCACAATTGATCAGGTCACTCCACTGCTACAATGACTCCCCAGCACTCTCTGGATAGAGAGTCTCCCAGTGCCTGGAGGTCCCATATAGTCTGGCTCACACACACCATTTTCCCTCTTCTCATATGACTCTCCCTGTCATTCACGGAGTTCCAATCACACCAGCCCATCTCCGAGCCTTTGCCTCTGCCATTTCCTTGGCCTGCAATGCTTTTCCCACTTGCCTCAAAAGCCTCCCATGGCCTCTCCAACTAGGTCACTCCCCCCAATAGGTCCCTGAAGCACTGTGGACTCCACCTTTGCAACACCTGCTGAGGTTGTAATTGAACAGGTGTTGCCTGGAGCCTATGATGACGAACTGTCTCCCCCTCCAGACTGTAAGCCTTAAGAGGACAGTTACATGGTTTGGCTGTGTCCCTACCCAAATCTTAACTTGAATTGTATCTCTCAGAATTCCCATGTGTTGTGGGAGGGGCCCAGGGGGAGGTAATTGAATCATGGGGGTGAGTCTTTCCTGTGCTATTCTCGTGATAGGGAATAAGTCTCACGAGATCTAATGGGTTTATCAGGGGTTTCTGCTTTTGCTTCTTCCTCATTTTCTCTTGCTGCTGCCATGTGAGAAGTGTCTGTCACCTCCTGCCATGATTCTGAGGCCTCCCCAGCCATAGGGAACTGTAAGTCCAATTAAACCTCTTTTTCTTCCCAGTCTCCGGTAGGTCTTTGTCAGCAGCGTGAAAATGGACTAATACGGGCAGGGACTGGGTTTATCTGGTTAATGTTACAGGTGCTGAACACACGAATGAATGAATGGATGCAGTGCCTTAGGCTGCTTCCCATGGCCAGACCTTCCCTTCCAGTATTCCAGGGAGTGAGATCCCCATCATGGAGTGACAACCAATAAAACATAACAGCTTCTATGGGGGTCTGCACCTGCGGTCTCCTTTGCCACAGTCCTCACCACTCTGTAGTGTACCACACCTGGTCTACTTCCTGCATTTACACACCTACCTAGACCCCATAGGTGTTTAAACACTAGGCCAGTGGTTAACAAACCTGAGCAGGCACTAGAATCTCCTGGGAAGCTTTGTTAAAACAAAGGTGGCTGGCACTACCCCAACCACCTTTAACCTGCAAATAGAGTTTCTGATTTGCATTTCTAACAAGTTTCCAGAAAATGCTGATGCTGGGGGTCCAGGGAACCCCACTTTGAGAACCACCGCTCAAGCCCACTCTCCTTTTATGGAGGCCCAGAGGTCATCTCTTAAGTTCAAAATCCACTACATGGATGCCAGAATGGTCCTGGCACAGTGTTCTAGGTGCAGGAGATACTGTATGCACGACAGACCTAGTCCTTAATCCTACAAGCTGAAGGTCTAGTGGAGAAGGAAGGCAATAAACAAATAAATGAGACTTCAGAGAGATACAAGTGCTGTAAAGAGAATGCAGAGACTTATTGGATAGAGAGTAGATGGAGTTGGGGGCATCTTTAGCCAGGGTGCCCAGGGAAAGCCACTCTGGGGAGGTAATCTTTATTCTGAGAGCTGAATGAAGAAAAAAGCCAGGCATGTGGAAATCTGGGGAGAGAACTCCAAGCTGGGGAAACCAGCCAGTGCAAAGGCCCTGAGGTAGGACAACGTGTGGCATGCTTGAGTAACACGGCAAAGGCCATCTGGCTGGAATCCAAAGAGTGTCTCCCAGTGGCTACTCTCTACAGGTGTTTGCCTTCCAAATAAAAGACATAGATAGCTGGGTGCAAATAGTCCCTGGCGCTGCCTGGCTTGAGCTCCCAAGGCAGTTGGTTTCAAAGTCAGCTGTTATTTCAAAAAACACTCGAGCTGTCAGAGGGATTTACAACCCCTCTGCTGCTCACTCCCTTTTAAGCATTCCCCACTTCTTGAAACTCAAATCCCAGTTAATTGTCCCATGCTCTTTCCCCCTCCCTTGAGTAAATAAATCACATTCCAAGTTACAGGTCGCACACTCCATCAAATTCCAGCCTCCGGCAATCTCTAACTTCCAAGTTGCTCATGAATCTAACACTCAAGATATTAAACCTTGGGACTCTGGGGCTTTATAATAAAAAATGCCAGGTTAGCTTCCTATAAAAATGGGACATGCCAGAAAGCAAGTGAGAAATGCCAGCTGTCTGCCACCTGCTTAACTCAACGTGTGTCCAGGAAATGAAGAGTTATAGAGTTCCATTAAGTAAGGGGCTGGCTGGGGAAGGCTCACATCCTAGCCAGACAAGAAAGATGACAGTGGCCTGCCAGGCATCAGAATATGCAAAGACAGAGCCTAGCTGCCCACGAGGGCACTGAGCTTTTGTTAATGCAGGCCCTCCCTCCCCTCCTTCAGCCTTTGATATTGCTGCAAAGCTCAGAAGTGGGGAGGGAAAAAGGAAGCGTAGACTCTCTGTCTTGCTGAGTTCTTCTCCCCAGAACTGAATCTGATTTTGCTAAGTCAAGAGGTCAGAGGCGGCCGGGCGCAGTGGCTCACACCTGTAATCCCAGAACTTTGGGAGGCCAAGGTGGGCGGGGTCACAAGGTCAAGAGATCGAGACCATCCTGGCCAACATGGTGAAACCCTGTCTCTACTAAAAATACAAAAATTAGCCAGGCGTGGTTGTGTGCGCCTGTAGTCCCAGCTACTCAGGAGGCCGAGGCAGGAGAATTGCCTGAACCTGGAAGGCAGAGGTTGCAGTGAGCCGAGATTGCACCATGGCACTCCAGCCTGGCAACAGAGGGAGACTCCGTCTCAAAAAAAAAAAAAAAAAAAAGAGGTCAGAGTCTGGCTGCTCTGGGCTCTTCAAAGACTGAGATGTGGGGTTCTGCCCATTAGGGGCTGTCCCTTCTGCCCCAGACTGTGTATGACTCCAAGCTGCTGGGCATCTGGGTGACCTTCTGCCCTCTCTGGTCTAGGCTTCATAGGGAGGGAGTATTCCCACCCCACAGGCAGCCAAGTTGGAGGTGTAAGCCTCCAGGTCACTCCAGGAAGAATTGCAGGGAAATGGTAACCTGGCATTCCTCTACCTCTTGTCACATTGTGGGGTCCAGCCTGGGACCTGCCTTTGCTGACACTGTCCAAAGACACCCTGAGACATGCTCTTCCCCAATCCTGCATCATATTTTCTCAGCATCTCCTAACGATGGGGCTGCACATCTCATTCAGTATCTTTAACATTGCAATCATTCAAGATCCGCCCACTTGTATTTATATGAATCTGCCAGATCAGCCAACTCCTATTTATCACTTAATAGCTTTTGTTAAATGTACTGCCCTTGGGGGAAAAATCAGTGTATTTTAAAGAGATACTTTCTGTCATTACCTTCTATCATTGCCAGATGGAAAGCTAGAATCCCTAGCCCCAGGTAAGAGTAAAAATAAATACAATGAAAACAAACATATATTAAAAAACAAAGTGAAATCCTAGTTTGGCACTGTGGTCTGCCAAAGGCCCTAAGTTTGAGGGCTTCTCTTTTTGTAAAAAAAACAAAACAACAAAACTAGTTTAGCAAGTTAGAGTTAGAAAGGTATCAAATACTAGCACTGAACAGAGATTTTTTTTTTTTTTTGAGACAGAGTCTCGCTCTGTTGCCCAGGCTGCAGTGCAGTGGCACAATCTCAGCTCACTGAAACCTCTGCCTCCCGGGTTCAAGCGATTCTCCTGCCTCAGCCTCCCAAGTAGCTTGTACATGGTGGTACACACCTGTACATGGTGGTACAGGTGTGTACCACCATGCTTGGCTAATTTTTATATTTTTAGTGGAGACAGGGTATCACCATGTTGTCCAGGCTGGTCTCAAACTCCTGACCTCAGGTGATCCACCTGCCTTGGCCTCCTGAAGTGCTAGGATTATAGGCATGAGCCACTGTGCCAGGCCAAAGATGTTTTCCTTATTGTCACAATGATGGTGAGTGCAGGTGACAAGAAGGGCTGACTCTTTGCTCGAATGAGCTGACATTCTCATGAGGAGACAATATGCAAATAAAATAATTGCAAGTTATAATTAGGGCAATAGAGAAACAAACTAGGTGCTAGATGCTTCCATTAATAGGATCACCAGGGTAGGTACCTAAGGAGAGGCAGCAGGGGCCCCCTTCCCACTACATTGTGTTCTTTCAAGGCAAAGACTCTTCATTAACTTGTGACAACTTCTAGCATAATACTCCTTATCAAATCCCTCCACGCAGGGCAGCATCATCATCCTGTTTAGGATGACGACCATCTTTAGAGGGCCTACCAGGATGCCAGGCACAGAGGCAAAAGGTTTCCGGGCAGCACCTCATTACATGCTTCTTATAACTCTCTAAAGAGGGTACAGACCAGGAGACTGGCGCAATAAGTCAGCCTAGTTAGGAGCATACACTTTAGAATCAGAACCACCTGAGATAATCCGCCACTTCCTGGCTACGTGATTTTTGGCAAGTTACCTAAAAGCTTTGGAACTCACAGTGCTTTGTAACCTCTGAGGTGGGGGTGTACAGTCTGAATCGAATTCATATTCCAAGGGGCTCAGCCTTGCTTTGGAGACTCCCTAGCTGTTATTTTTTGAGAGCAGGAAATAAGCATCTTGCCACTTCTGTCTTTTGCACAAGTGCGTGTGATTTTATGTCCAACTTTAATGCCCACTACTCAGCAGTACTTGCAGGTTAAATGAGATAAGATGATGGTCTCCGTTGATGGAGTTTTCTCCTGCAAGGCACTGTCCTGAGAACTTCTCGCACCATCTCCCCTAGTAGGAGAGACATGATTTACAAATGAAGAAATTCATGTGCAGGAAGGTAAAGATTACCTGCGCCAGGGTCCTACAGTGAGTAGGCAACAGGGTCAGGATTGGAGTTCAGGACTCAAACCTTCACCTCTTTTCAGGATTTCATAAGCTCGCCAGGAAAAGATGACTTAGCAGAGCAGGTGACTCCGGAGATTCAGAGAGCCTGACCTCTGAACCCTCATTTGCTCACTGAGCTCAGCTGAGACTACCCCATTCCAACTCTAGGCCTTTCCTTCCACCCCCCAAATTCAGGGCAGGGCCATGTTAATCCTTATCATGCATTTGCTGCTTCTGTTTGGGAATTCCCAGCTGCTACCCAGAGACAAGCAAAGCAGGCTGCAGGTGGCTAGAGCTAGAAGGTCTCAGAGCTGCTGGATGCATGCTTGTCCACACTGGCCCAGGGGAGGGGCTGAGGAACTGCTCTTGGAATGAGTGCATGGATAAACAGAGCAATGAATGACTCCTATCCTTTGTCTTCTTGGGGATAAGCATCCTGTGTCCCCTGTAGCTCGGGAGGGCTGTGTTTCATGCCAAGTGATACGATTTGGCTGTGTCCCCACCCAAACCTCATCTTGAATTGTAGCTCCCATAATCCCCATGTGTTGTGGGAGGGACCCAGTGGGAGATAATTGAATCATGGGGACAGGCCTTTCCTGTGCCATTCTCGTGATAGTGAATAAGTCTCACAAGATCCGATGGCTTTATAAAGGGGAGTTTCCCTGCGCAAGTTTTCTTCTCTTGTCTGCCGCCATGTGAGATGTGTCTTTCACCTTCTGCCATGATTGTGAGGCCTCCCCAGCCATGTGGAACTGTGAGTCCATTAAATTTCTTTCTTTTGTAAATTGCCTAGTCTCAGGTATGCCTTCATCAGCAGTGTGAAAATGGACTAATACACTAAGATACGCCTTTACCTGCTGTCTTAACACATGAAATAGACCATGAGCCAAGCCCAGCTCAAATTAGTAATGAACTTTGAGCCTCTTCCATGAGCAAGGTACCACAGGGGCAAAAAGACCAAATAGACCACTGGTCCTGCCCTCTAGGGCTAGACATCAAAGGATATCAAAACGCTGAGATCTTTTTGTTGACTCACCAGAACCACACTTATTTTTCAACTCAACAGTAGCCTGAATTACTGTTTTAAAAACTGTACACATATATCACCTAATTCATATGCATTAAAAATCCAGGGAGAGGATAGCCCCCACGGTGTTAGCAGAGCTATCTCTGGCTACTGGGATTAGGAGGTTTTATAAGGTTTTTTTTCCCCTTGCTGCTTATCTTTCTTTCCTAATTTTTCCTCCAATAAATGCATGTTCCTTTTGTAAATCGAGAAAAAAGGAAGAAATGAGAAAAGCACCTCTGACTTCTGACTAGAGTAAAACCAGACACATATGTTTATTCTGTAGACGGTTTGGAAAACATTGAATCGGTGGGGAACTGAAATGAGAAAGTGGAGTCTGAACCAAATTCATACTCCAAGTAGCTCAGCCTTGCTTTAGAGACTTTCTGGCTGTTACTCTGCGAGGAGAGGAAACATTTTTGCTCCTTCTGTCTTTTGCACAGGGTTTAGCCCACTCTGGTCCTCTTTGGAAGTGGGCACACAACAAATGCTTGGTGATTACAGAGAAACCTAATAACACTCTTGGCTCAGGAAAGTTTGGTCCCTAATGAGGAAGACAGAGTTTACTGTTCAATTTTTTTTTTCTAATAACTGTGTAGCTGATAAGAGACAAAAGGGCAGGCAGACGCGTGGTAGGCATAACCTCCACCTCAAATGGCTGTGTTCTTTCCACCCATGGGCCCCACAGCCCAAAAGGGCACAGGAAGGGAGGCTGAGGACACTGGGAGGAGGGCCTGTGTAAGGCAGTCAGCCGGGGTGGAGTGTGTGGGGCATTGCTCCCTTCTGCCACTGGGGCTGAATCAACCCTGGATCTGTTGGTCAGGTCCGTTGCTTGGTGAAGGAGATGGGAAGATAAGGAGATGGGGAGGGAGGTAAGAGGAAGGGGAGGCTGGGAAGTTATCTGAGCACGGAACCTACCTGGCCATGGTGTAAGACATCACGTGTAGAAGAGAAAACAGGCATAGAAATGTTTTGAACTCAGGTTGTAGACTAACATTAGGAATTACTGGATCTGCTCCTTTCACAGGGGAGATGGAGAAACCGGAATGCAGAAGGGGGATGGAATTTCCCAAGGTTGTGTTTAGAGTGACACAGGCTGGCTGCAACCCAGCTTTGTCTGAAGCTAAACCCAATGCTTGTAGACACAGAGCTATGCTGCCTTCTCAGAATAATAAGTGGCATTTCTGAACCTCACCACGAGGACTCTGCTGAAGGTTTTACATAAATCATATCCATAGATTGTAATCCTAACCTAACCCCATAAGACAGGTGTTATTCCTATCCAACAAATGGGGAAACTGAGACTCAAGGAGTTCAGGTCATTTGCCAAGGTCATGTAGCTAAGATATATGAGACAGAACTGGCATTCTACCCTAATTCTATTTGATACTAGCATCTTATTCCTAACCACTAAGCTATATGGCCTCTTTGGAAATGGAAGGAACAGAGGCTGAGGAACAAGGGAATCAAAGTTTCCCAAGCTCCTGAGATAAGCCTTGTACTCATTCTACCCACACAAGAGCCCTGAGGGGGAGCTTTTCATCCTCCCGTCCCTCCAATGAGGAAGTAGTGGCTCAAGAGATTGAATGACTTGCCCAGTAATCCTCTCTGCCAGGACATGCAGCAGGAGCTGGGTCCAGTTTGACCAAAGCCCCTGGGCCTTCCACTGCCTCCCCCTTTTCTGAGAAGGCCTCGAGCGCTGGGCCACCCCAGAACATGCCCAACTAGCCCACTATTCAGACTGCTGTAGGTCAAGGGTTTGCAGAGTGTAGAATTTGCAAGACTGCAGATACTGAGGCTTGGTAGAATCAGGCTTCTGAGGTGGGAGTTGCAAACTATGGCCCGCGGGCCAAAAGTAGCCCAAAGCCTGTTTTTTGCATGACCCATTAGCTAAGAATGATTTGATACTCCTTTAAATGGTTGAAACAATTTCAAAAGAAGAGTAATATCTTGTGCCATGTGAAAATTATATGAAATTCAAATGTCAGTGTTCATAGTAAAGTTTGATTGGAAGACAGCCATACTTTTTGTCTGCAAATTGTCTACAGCTGTTTTCATGTTAAAATAGCAGAGTTAAGGAGTTGTAACAAAGCCCATATGGCAAAGCTGAAAATATTTACTGTCTAGCCCTTTACAGAAAAGGTTTGCTGACCCCTGCTCTAAGAAATCAGGGTGGAGCCAACAGAAATTGGGCTACTCAAACTAGAAGGGCTTTCTTCAATTTCAGCCATTCTCCTCTGCATTGGGGTGCGGTTAAGGTCACGTGGATTTTCCATTCATTCACTTGCTCACTCAGTCAACCATTTGTGCCTCTATGCATGTGCTGAGCTAACACTTCCAGAGCCCTGCCAGGCACTGTGCCAGGTGTGGGGATACTGAGTCTGGTGGGCAGGCACATATTACATGAGAAAGAGCCAGCAAGTGTCATAGGTCTAAGGACAAGGTTCTGCTTAGGAGTGAGTTGGGCTAAAGAGGGAGAAGGAACTTGAACTCGGGCCAGTGCATATGTAGCCAAATAAGGGAGCTTATCTGCAAGCCTGTGTTACGCAAGGTGGAGACAGACTGAACTACCCGCTGCCACCCATCAGGGAGGGGCGTGCCCCAGCCACACAATCACTCAAACGTGGAAGCATATGTCAAGTCCATGTTTTCTGCCTCTTCCTTTCCCTAATTCCCTGCCCAAACTCCTATATCACATCCTCACAGAGCCTTCCCAGGCAGCTCCTGGACATTAAATTAGCTGGACAAATGTTCACCCAAGTGAGACAAATCCAAAATTGCTTTAGAATGTCTTTCTTACAGACCACTGACTTCAAAACGGCCATTGGGAGGAAATGACCTGACCCACTGTCACCACACAAGGAATCACTGTAACTGGATCAAAAGCCACAAGTGTGACATATGTCTGTGCACACAGGTATTTACATGGGCATTCTTGTTTCTGAGTGCAGGTGTATGTCTGCGTCTGTGACTATTTATGCACACATGAACACACATAAAGACATGTCAATGCATGCATGTGCATGACTGTAGGCGCATGTGTGTGTACATATGTATGTGGACTCACGTGTGTAGGGGTCTTTGCATTTATGTGCCCATCTATGTCTATGTATCTGTATGTTTTTTTGTGACCTGACTTGGGGACAGCAATATGGGTTCCATCATGCCAACTGCAGAACTGGCCTTTCTCATCCCTCAGAAAGCACTCTGGGTCTGCATTTTCCCTGGACTTTGAAATGCTCCAATAAGAAAATCAATTATTTGTCTAAAATTAGAACTTCAGGTTGCCTAGGGGTGGGGAAAGTTGGGAGGAGGGTAGTGGGGAATGACTGGTAATGGGTATCGAATCGATTCCGTTTTTTTGAGGAGAGAGAAAATGTTCTAAAATTAGATTTTGGTGATAGTGGCAAAATTTTGTAAATATACTAAAAACTATTGACACTGTGTATGCTTTAAGTGACTAAACTTTAGGGTATATACATTATATATCAATAAAGTTGTTTTAAAAAAGAAAAAAACAAATGGAAGTTTACAAAATTCCCAACTCACTTCCTGTTGCTTTTGCTGAGGAGCCCTGAGCCAGGCAATGGGTAAAAATAAAACACCCTGATTTCACAGCTTTGTCAACCAGGGAAGGAACTTCTTCCAGTTTCAACAACCCATGCCTCTGCTGGCCTGACAACAAAGAACATTTGTGTTCTTTGCTCTCGAAGCTTTGTAAATAGAACTTGAAGGACCTAGGAGATTTGAAGAGGCCTGGGTGGGCAAGATATTGGGGCGGACACTGAGAGGAAAACAAACTATCATTTCATTACCCCAAGAGGAATGGAGAAAAATTGAAGCCAGGGGAGTGTGCTGGCAGGAATCATTTCTTTGAGAAGGAGGAACAGAAATGAGAGTGGAGAGGGGAGAGAACTTATTAGGGGAGACAGTAGCACCTAGAGGTTAGGAGCTTGGAATTTGAAGTCAAAGCCAGGTTTCAGACCCAGTTTTGATATTCTTTACCTATGAGCTTTTGGGAAAGTTGCTTAAAAATCAATGCAGGTAGACAGACCAGAGTCTATGTCATAGGTCTGGAAGGGTTAAATTAGAAGATTCATGTGGTACAGACAACACCAGTGTTCATCAGATCTTCCTCCCTGTTGCTCCTAGGCACTCAGGAGACTACACTTTCCAATCTCTTTGCAGTTATGTTGCATATGTGACTGGCCCTGGCCAGTGAAAAGTAGGATGTTTTTATTGGCCTGGTTGGGGTATTTTAAAGTGCATTGCTCAATCCCCACTTTCTTTTCTTGTGCCACCCACGACCAAGGAGGCTCCAGGATGATATGCAGACCCACTAGATCAGAACAGCCTGAATCCCTGAGTGACTGCATGGAAGACAGCTGCCCTGGAGGATTGCCCAACCTATAGCCAACTTTACATGAGTGAGAAATAAACGTTCTGAGTAGCGAGAAATAAATGTTCACAGAGATTTTAGGGTTGTTTGTCATTGCAGCACAAGCCTATCCCTTCCTACCTAAAAGGACATGCAAAGAGGTTGGATCATTAAAAGCACTCAATATTGACAATTATGGTTGATTGATAGACCCCAAAATACAAAGTGAGTGAGGCCATGAGAAAAGAAGACAGACAGGGACAACAGCAAAATCAGCAAAAATAAGAGACTGCAGCTAGGATCAAACTTCCATAATAAACATCACTATTTTGGGAAAGCAAACTCTGGGATGGGAGTTGTATTTTCCTTTGTGTTGAAAAAACGTAGTTCTTTTCCAAATGCCCACAAACACTTACCTCTATTTGTACATAAATGGGCAGCACAATGATTTTAAAAACCAACAGGCAAATGGGAATCTGTGCTTGGTGAGATTCAATTTCATTTTTTTGTTAATAGCTTTCTCCTACTTCTCACAGATAGAAAGCAAGCCACTCTAGGGCTGTGACCTCACCTCTCAATCATTTGAAAACAGAAAATAAATGTCCAGAGAGATTAAAAACATGGGTTCTGTGCCCCAAAAGTTGTCATGTGACAATGTTGCATCTTCATGGGAAAGATGAAAACTCCATGTAATCCTATTACGAATATTTCCATTAGCCACCAAGTCTCACCTTGGTAATCTGTTTCAATTGAAAGTCCTGTCATTCCCCAAAACCCAATTTAGAAGGTGCAGGGACAAAATATAAGTTTGTGCCAATTTCTCAAAGATGAGCAAAAATCATCACTTGAGTTCATCTGGGATTCTTTTTTCCCTTAATCTCTTAACTCCGGGGCACTAAAAGAATTATTTCCCAATGTTCACCAAGGTAACCTTGTCCTCTCAGGCCTCCTTAAAAATTCCATAGGCACTCTAGCTTCTATCTATGAAGTGTGGAGGGTGGAGATATGGGGATCTTAACAAGCAAATGCCCAGCTACCTGGATATCCAAGGTTCTTGTGCTTTTGCATGCTCTGGGAAGGTTAGTAGGAAGGGGTGACTGGGACTGGTGCCACAGTATATACAAAAAGAGTCAAGATCAGCCAGACTGTTCAAACAGCCCACCCAGCACCAGAATCTTTTAAAAAAATCTTTGTTAAAATTTCAGTAGCTTTTGGGGTACAAGTGGTTTTTGGTTGCATGTATGTATTATACAGTGACAAATTCTGAGATTTTAGTGTACCTGTCATCTGAATAGTGTATGTTGTACCCAATATGTAGTTTTTAATCCCACACTCCCTTCTCCCATTCTCCCCATTCCGAGTCTCCAAAGCCTATTATATCACTCTGTATGCCTTTGCGTATTCATAGCTTAGCTCCCACTTGTAAGTGAGAATATATGGTGTTTGGTTTCCATTCCTGAGTTACTTAATAATGGCCTCCAGCTTCATCCAAGTTGCTGCAAAAGACATGATTTAGTTCATTTTTATGGACGAGTAGTATTCCATGGTGTATATATACCACATTTTCTTTATTCACTCATTGGTCAATGGACACTTAGGTTGGTTCCGTGTCTTGGCAATTGTGAATTGGCCCGCACCAGAATCCTGACCTTGTGTCAGTCCTTATGCAGTCCCCTCACCAACGTGGAAGCTATCACATCATGTTGAGCACACTGAAGGTGGGTGGGAATAGCTGGCCCCATTTTCCATCAAGGAAATGGGTTTAACTCAAACCCTAGAGGCAGCACATGGTGGATGTCGCCCTCCCTCCAAGACCAAAACCCAAACGTTTTGTTTTCATGCCCTTTTATTTTTCATCAGATCACCCCAGCCTCTTGCTCAAACAGAAGCTCAAATGCTTCTGTTGCTTACACCCATGGAACCCTGGGCAAATAACATTTCCTGGAGTCTGATCTGTAAAACAGTGACAATCACATTCTCCTCTCAGGTTGCAAGCATCCAATAGCGTAAAGTATGTATAATGTGCTCAGCACACTGCATAGCACCTGACAAGGCTCAACTATCCACTTTTCTTATCACAATTACTCATCCAGGAGAGTCAGGATACATTAGGCTTTGGTGTCCCTCACTGCATATCCCCCAGTTGGCACCATTTGCTCCAACTCAATTGAGCTATTTGAAGTTTTGCAAATGTGACCTCTTTTTTCTGCCACCTTCTTGCTTCTGTCTATGCTGTTCCTTATACCAAGAACACCCTTCCTCTAATCCCCATTTCTTCCAAAATGTCTTATTCCACAAGAAACAGCCCATTTCACCACTCAGTCAGTCCCTTTCTCTGAATTCTCTTCATGCCCTTTGCACACCTCTGTTTCAACACTTCCTTCCCTGTATAATGATTCCTGAATTCCTATCTTCCCCATGGCTGAGAGGCTACTGAGGACAAGCATGTCTTATAAAGCCCCGCAGCTCCAGTACCTACTACCTCCTGGCTATGTTTGATGAATGACTGGACAAGTGAATGAATGGATACACAAATTATTAACAAAGTTATTTCTGAACATTTTGATCACGGGACACAGATCTTGATCCTCTACCACTAAGAAAGAATCTTCAAAGTCGATACACATGTCACCAGTATTGGGCCCAACGAAACATCTTCTCTGTCAAAATTAGGAGCTAAATATCAAGGCTTTCAGATGCAATTTCGTGAATTATTTCAACCAGGCAGCCTGGAAGAATTAGACTATGGATTTTATTGGTTCTCCATATTATATGTTAATACTCTTTTGGCAGCCTGAAAATGACATTTCTCTTTCCAGCCAATATCACCTCTTTCTCTACTTAGCAAACATTGATATATTTTTTTCCTGAGTTGTCAATTTCAGGTTGCAATTTCCATCCCTGTTTGGTGCACGCATGTGACAGTCTGTTTGCTTCAGAGATTGAGAAATAAAATCCCCTGGGTGTCAGAAGAGTTTTGGGTCATCCACAAGCCTGACTGTTTCCTCCCAGCATAGCTGCCAAGACCACACACCTTTTTAGAGAATAAATGTAGTAGCCAGGAAGTGACAGAGATGGGGCTGCACCAAAGTCTATAGGATTCCAGAGTGCTATGCAGTTCTGACTCTGAGATGGGAGGAAAGAGAAATTTGGTTTGGCATGGCTTATTCTGGGAATAGTTCAGTGGTTCCCAGTCCTGCTTCCATAATAGGATTGCCTGGAGATATATATATGTCAGTAGATCAATAGATAGATAGATTTATTTATATATGTATGTGTGTGTGTGTGTATATATATGTATACACACACATATATAAATAAATAAAAGATCCAACCCAGATTCACTGAATCAGGATCTTTTGGGGTTGAGGGTGGAGCCCAGGCATTACTTAGAATTCAAAACTCCCAGGTAATTCGAATGTTCACCCAGGTTGCCAACCACTGGAAAAGCTGAAAACACTCATTTTGATTCAGTAAAGGAAAAAAGTCTCTCATTTTCATTAAAATCCACCTGAAACACTATTTGCCCCTCACATCTGCTTTGCATTTTTCTGTTTACAAAACACTTTCACCTACATGGTTTAATCTACTGCCTGAACTCTGTGGGATGGGCAGCAGTGTGCCCGTTCTATACAGCAGGAAGCTGAGGATCACAGAACCCAAGTGACTTGCCCAAGGCCATTCAGCACCAGGATGGCAAACTAGGTCTTCTAACCTCAAATCCAAGAGGCTTTCCTGAAATGAAAGGACCAGAGGTCTTTAAGTCACTTAAAGAAGGCCATGGCCATTCATCTCCAATAAGGGAATGAGTTTAAGGGTCCTGATTTTGAGACTTGACCCCAAAGGACATTCATTCTTTCTAGGGTTGACCAAAGGCTTTTACTAGGCTACTGAAACAGCAACATAAAGCCAAATGTCAAATTCAGACTGGATGGGGAAGAAAGAGGCCAAGGTGTACTCCTTAGAGACCATTTTGAGATAAAGTGAAGGCTTCTGGAGTTGCAAAGCAAGGGCCGTGAAGGCTGGCTGGTGTCCTTCTGTCACCAGCAGCCCCATCTGCCTTCAGACAGGAATGTGCTGAGGCTCTTATTCTGATTGGTTTTCTTGAGTGGGTTAAACCTACCCCCCTGCGATCTTGTTTGAACTACTGATTTGCTTAGCAAACACTTTCTCTATAAATAATGAGTAAGTAAACTCCAGCCTGCTGCTGATTGCTGATAAATTGTTATGAGTTGGGAGTTAATGGGGTATAAAATAGGCAGTGAGCAGCCCCCACCCCCACTCCTATTGGAAATCAGGCTGAACTACCTCAGGACCTGCTAAACTGGCACCTTCTCTCCCTGTCCCCGTGGCCCAAGCCTATCCTTTTCCCCTCCATTTATCATCACCTCCCAGGCTGAGATAAAAAGCCACCCTCCCTTGTCATCTTCCCAGGGTCTTAGACCTCTACACTCATCAGCCTTGGGTTCCACAAAAGTTAGATCCAAAGGGAAGGAAACCTGCAGGAAAAGACAATTCTGATTATTTTAGTCCTGCTGCCTGTATTTTCCTTTGAGGGGGAGTCTGTTTTATGTTTATATCAGGGAATGTGATCCACAGATGTGCAGTTCACTAAAATTCCCATCTACTGATGCTCCCCTAGACTTATTTGTTGTTGGCTCTAAACACGTGATACCAGAATGATGCTGACCACAGCCTTCCCATGCTACTGGCCATCATGTCTTGCCTCAAGGAGTCGGCTTTAATTGTGACACACGGCATGCTTCCATCACATCCCAGAAGAAAAGCCCCACTCACAAACTTCTAGCACCTGGGATTGCACGTTAGAGAGTAAGATTTCAACAACTATTTGCTGAACAGCTAGGTGGCTAGAGTAATGATGGGTGAGTGGATGGGTGCATGAATGGATAGGTGGGAGGGTTGGAGAGTGGGAACATGGATGGATGGATTGATTAATGGTGATTAAACAGATGGGTGGGTAGGTAGGTGGATAGCTGGGTGTTGAACAGATAGATGGATGAGAGGGTAGGTGAATGGATGGGTGGATGGCTAGATTAATGGTGGGAAGATGGATGGGTGGGAAGTGGATAGGTGGACTGACAGGATGAATGGGTAAATGGACAGGTGGATGTTAAACAGATGAATGGATGAGAGGGTGGGTGCATGGGTAGATAAATGAGTGGATGGGTAGGTTAATTGTGGGTAGATGGATGGGTGGCTGGATAGGTGGTTAGTGGGTAGGTGAATGGGTAGATGGATAGGTGGATGTTAAACAGATGGGTGGATGTGAAGGTGGGTAGATGGATAGATGGGTGGATGGATGTTGAATGAATGGATGAGAGGGTGGGTGGGTGGATGGGGTGGATGGGATGGATGAGTGGATGGATGGTAGGTGGGCTTATATTGAATAGATGGATGGTTCAGAGGGTGATTGGATGGGCAGGGGGACAGGTAAGGGGTCTGGGGGATATAAGATGGTTGAATTGATAGGAGGATGGATGGATGCGTGATCATTCACTTCTGAGGGTTCAGCTTAGGTCAAACAGGTCCAGACAAGGAGGTACATGGTCCAGCTAAAGATGAAGCAGATAATGTTATAATCATTTCAAAAACAAGAAAACAGAGCTAGAAGGTTGAAAGGCTTGTCTAGAGTCACACAGTGGTAGAAGAAGAACGTGAATTCTTGGCCCCCTCCTCCTTCCATCCCCTTCCCTCTTTGCATTCAGCACCTGATGGAAGGCCCAACCCTCTGAATGCCAGGCAAACAGCACCGTGTTTTCCCCTCCAATTCAGGAGCCAGGTGGTGAGATAAGGCCTAGGGATAGGGCAGCACCAAGGCTGGAAAAGGGACCGAAAGAAAGAGAGCAGGGAGGTAGGAAAGCACACAAACCAAACCCTGCAGAAGGAAGGGCTGCAAGGCCAGCTGAGCCTAGCAACTGCAGCTTATTGACAAGATAGAATAATAATCCACTGAGCTTCAGTGCTATGAGAACTTGTCAAAGGCAGCCCTTGTTGCTCAGAGAGAGATCAGACCCAGGGAACTGAGACGCTCTGACAGTCCTCAATGGTCTACAAACACTTCCAAACAAGTCTGCCGAGAATCCTTGATCTGCACCTCCAAGTCCCGAAGGGCTGTGCTAATAACAGCCTTGGAGGGACTGGTCTCAGCTGGGGAAATTCTGAGGATGCTTGTGACCCCCTTCTTTGCCTTTGAAGATACCTGATCTGTTCCCTTCTCGAGGTTCCTCTCAGTCTTTTAAACACCTAGAAGAAACAATCTTCTTTTGAAGAGGACTCGAAGTCGAATCTTTTGATTTAAAGCAAGAGTGACTTCTCAGCTGCATACTTTCTACTGCCATCAAAGGGAGAAGATGACAAGAGGGCTGGGGAGAAGGGCCTCTGCTTCTCATCACTCAGTCTCAGAGCAAGGACAGACACTTCCCTGGAGACTACAGAGGCGCTGACTGTGGGTCCCCTCAGTTGCAGTTCTAACTTTAAATTTTGGTCACCTACACCTGCCAACTCAAGAAGAAAGTTCTCTTCAGCGATAAGGTGCTTATGTATACTTGCTTTGACAACAGCAGGCATGAGCTCAAATCCTAGTTCCATCAATACCAAAAGCACCAAGCCCACTGATACGTGGAAAAAGTCAAAGTGCTTAGAACAGTTCTGGACACACAGTCAATACTTCTTAAACTATTATTATTACTACGTGATTTAAAAGATTATTCCACTTTTCTGTAGTCTTGGTTACTTTATGAAGAATTTTCAGTTTTGCCTAACCACCTAGAGAAATGCACACAGTTACCTCTACATGATAGATGAGAACACTAAGGCTCAGAGAGGTGAGGTGATTTTGTCCAAGGTGACACAGCCAGCAAGTGACAAGGCTAGAACATTCATCCAGGACATCTAACTCCATACCCAATATTCTTTCTACTGCAGCAAGGGACAAGAGTGTTGTATTTACGTCACCTCCATTGAGTCCCTGTGATACAGTGCTAGCAGTAACAATGTCTGCGACAGGCCGGGAGCAGTGGCTCATGCCTGTAATCCCAGCACTTTGGGAGGCCAAGGCAGGTAGGTTGCTTTGAGCTTAGGCGTTTGAGAACAGCCTGGGCAACATGGAGAAATCCTGTCTCTACCAAAAATACAAAAATTAGCCAGGCATGGTGGCATGTGCCTGTGGTCCCAACTACTCGGGAGGCTGAGACTGGAGAATTGTTTGAACCTGGCAGGTGGAGGTTGCAGTGAGCTGAGATCGCACCACTGCATTCTAGCCTGGGCAACAGACTGAGACCCTGTCTCAAAAAAAAAAAAAAAAAAAAAATCCTCAACAACAGCAGCAGATGTCAACACTAATCTAGCACTTGATGTGTACCAGGCACTATTTTCAGAGCCTTATGTCTATCAATTCATTTAATCTTCACATTTATCCCACCTGGTAGGGACTGTTAGACTATTACTACCTCCATTGAACGGATGCAGAAACTGAGGCTCAGACAGTCTAAGTGATTACCAACACAAAAGAAAAACTTGTGTAAGCAAATCTGCACTAAAGTTCAATTACTCAAGACCCAGAACAACTAGCAAACCAAGCATTCCCCTACAGGCTCTTTTGGTGACCACTCGGCTTCTGTTTCCTGATGATCCACAAGGCCAGGCACTGGCGGACACACAGGTGCTCAACTCTGATGTGGAAGAACATTTCTTTCCAGTTCAAAATTTCTATATGGCAGAAAATTCTTACAAATTTTACTTTATACCCAAGAGTAAGAGAAGTGGCCAGACTACGGCAATGACCTATGAAATTCATCTTGGGAAGGCATGGAGAATAGCCAAAAAGAATAACCAAACAAAGATTTTATGCATTCTTTAAGATGACCCAGTACAGCCTGGCAGGGTTAGGACTCAAGCTCTGAAATCAGAGGTCAAGGTTATGCCCTAGCTTAGCCTAACACCAGCTATATGTCTTTGAACAAGCCACCTTACCTCTCTAATCCCCAGCTTTCTCATCTGTAAAACAGGATAACGATTTTAAAAAGCAGTATCTACAAAGTCCTTAGCACAGTGCCTAGTGTGCAGTAGTTGCTCAAGGAATCTGTTTCCCTTAATAAATATCCATAGTGCCATTTCACAAGGAAGCCCTCTTTCATATGAAAAATGATTCGCCCAAGTGACCAACTTCCCTTCCGTATTTTTAAAGGACAGTGGTGGCAAACATCAATGATCAGTTTGGAAAACAATACTGCTCAGTCCCCAGAGAGGACATGTCTCCTGGAAGTCAATGCATTTCCTGTCTCAGCGACCCCACACTGCCATTCTGGTGAATTTTAGCTCTCTCCTTGCTGGGAACTGTTGCTGGGAAAGGATCTTCCAGTTCTGTCCTTGATCCCTCCGATGACTCCGATAACTGAAATAGTCCCACTAACCTGGTTCAGAGGGTGAAGAGCTCCACTCCCAACTGAACCCTAGCCCTACACTGGAAATGTACATGGTATGCAATTACAGGTTGAATTATCAAATTACAGGTTGAGATGTCAAATGTCACTGGGCAGGTGAATAAAGGAAGTCTGCATGCAGTGGTAAAACCACAGCCTAACAAGATGTTAAGGCTGCAAGAATTCTGAGGGACGTTTTTCTAGTTGCATCCCATTTGTCCTTTCAACACCAGCCTCTAAGCTGCTGACCACTCCCCTTGCTGGACACTGAGTGTCCCAAGCTTCCATGACAATACCCTCTTCCTGGTTTTCCTCAATTCTCTTGTTCCTATCAGTCTTCCTTGCAGGAATGCTGCGTCCTCTTCTCTTCTCAGCTTTTTCTTTCCCCTAACAAAGCTGCTGGTTCTCAAAGTGGGGTCCCCAGACCTGCAGCATCCGTATCACCTGGGATGACTGTTAAACATTGTTAAAGTGCATATTCCCAGGCCCCTCCCAGACCTACTGAATGAGAAACTCTGGGGGTAGGACCCAGCAATCTGTATTTTCAAAAGCCCTCCATAAGCTTCTGATGCACGTTTCAGTGTGAAATCCATGCCTTCTAATACCCATGCTTTCTAATACCACCCAGCATGAATGGCTCCCAGGCTAATATCTCCAGTCTAGAACTCATCTCTGAACAGCGAGATATCTAAATGTCTACTTAACATCACCTCTTAATAGACTTAGAGGCACCTCACATTCAACATCCCCAACCAAAATCTCCTGATTTTGCTCCCTGAGCCTAACTTCAGTATCCTGGTCCCAACCTGACATCATGTCCCACCTTTCCCTCCTCTATTTTCTTCCAGTGACACCAGAAGGCCAAACATTAACAGAACCTTGCTGCCCATAGGCAGAAGGGATTTCTGGGCACTGGACATCTAGACAACAAAAAAAGCAAACACTAAATACAGTTTCTCTTGGAGGAAAACCTCTCCTAGGATTTCTGTAGTTCACCGCCCACCCCTCCCCCCGCAAAAAAATCAGTGAGCACCTACTTTGTGCAGGTGCTGTGTTTGAGTCTGGGGATACTGAGTCATTCTGTCTGTCCTCCCTCCATCTCGTTTCCCTCTTCTGCCAAACAAATTCTTATGTCACAAAGATATATGATCTCAATGCATATATTAATACATCTATTGATTTTCCTCTTGCCAGTCATTATCAAGATTTATTTATCCTCACAGCTCTCCATTGATTGAGGAAAGCAGTATTCCCAGTGGTCAATCAATCCTGATATACTCCATGACAAGGAGTCAATATCTATTTATTATTTGATTTATGGACCTAATTATCTTAAACATGATCAGGCAGGGGGCAAGGCCAAAGCTGAGCAGTGATCAAGCAACTGGAGCCAGGTTGGGAATACATCAAACCAAAGTCTGGGGCCCAGCAAGTTTCTGAACAGTGCAGACACACTGATTTTACCCTTCCCACTCTCACCACCCCAGCATCTGCCGCTGGGGAAGGAGAGGGAAAGGGACAAGTGGCAGGGTTTCAATTTGTGCCTGCTGCCAACTCAACAAGTCACAAGCCAGGCAGGTTTGGTGGTTTGGACAATGAACCTGATTTGGAGGTAGGTCAGTTGTTGTCCTTCCCAGGGAATGGGACCCAGCAGTGGGGAGTTCTTAAGGTGTCCGTGGGACATAAGAAAGTGGGATGGACTCAGGCACGGCTAGAAAGGGAAAGAGGACGAGAGAGTGGATGGATACAAGCTTCAGTATGAATCAGACAGTCTCTTCCTAGCTTATGACCTTGGGCAAAATCGTAATTAAAAGCTGATTCCCTGCAATCTGACCAACCTGCATGAATTACTGGTTTTTCTGTTTTTTGAATCTCTTTCATGATCCCTTGAAGTAGGTACCGTTCAATTCCCCTATTTACAGACAAGGAAATGGATTGCATGGTACCTACTTCAGAGGGTTGTTAATTACAACGTTGTCTCCCTATGTAAAGCTGTCCCCATACTCCCAAATCTTTGTTTAACCACTGCCTGCCGGCAATACTGAGGAAACCATCCCTTTGCTTTCTGGAACACATGGTAAGGGCCCGATGTTGCCCACACTTGCCTTCAAAACATGCAAATGCAGCTGGCTATTTTTAACGTTGGTAAATAGTGAAAGCTGTTGAAAATGCCTTCATTTCCAAAGGCCTGCCAACTCCCTGTTGCTTTCCCCTACGGGAGGCATGCCAAAAATCTCTTAGAACCTAGGGCATTGAAGCCTGCATTTGTTCCTGCTAATGTCTGATTAGGAGCAACACTAACCGTCCACACCATTTTTGGAGGAGGGGAATACATCACCAACCCTACTGCAAGCTCTCTTAAGAAGAGGGAATGTCCCAAAATAGTCTTTATAAAATGCAAACCAGACTGTGTCCCTCCTCTGGTTTAATCCCTGGGTGGCTCCCCTGACTGCCTTTGGGAGAAAGGTTCAAGTTCCTTAGCCTGACTTGAAAGGTCCTTT
The DNA here is from genome assembly GCF_000001405.40 of Homo sapiens. NCBI lineage: Eukaryota > Metazoa > Chordata > Mammalia > Primates > Hominidae > Homo > Homo sapiens. Next base: position 117,514,512 of record NC_000012.12, read on the forward strand.
AAGATGTCTTTGGTTTCTCTCTCTCTCTCTCTCTTTTTTTTTTTTTTTTTTGAGACAGGGTTTCACTCTGTTGCCCAAGCTGGAGTGCAGTGGTATGATCATGGCTTTCTCACTGCAGCCTCAGTCTCCCAGGCTCAAGCAATCCTTCTGTCTCAGCCTCCCAACTCGCTGGGACTACAGGAGCACACCATCACATCTGGCTAGTTTTTTAATTTTTGTAGAGATGGGGTGTCCCTGTGCTGCCCAGGCTGGTCTTGAACTCCTGGGCTCAAGAGATCTTCCCACCTTGGCCTCCCAAAGTGCTGCAATTACCGGTGTGAGCCACCGCACCCGGTCAGATCTCTCTAGTTTCATATCTCTTGCTACTCCCCGTATATATCCTCTACTCCAGCTCTTGCCCCTCCCCTGGCCTTGCTACCTCCTACCTCTAAGCCTTTGCATATGCTGTCCCCTCCATTAGGAATGTCACTCCCTTCTTGTCCATCTGCCTAATTACTTGGTTGGATAAGGGGCAGGTTCCAGGTCCCCATGTACCCCTGGGATCTTATTGCAGAGATCACGACACCGTTGGAGAATCATCCAGTTAATTTCCTTGTCTGTGAGCTCCATGACGGGCAGACATCATGCCTTCCTCTCTCTATTTCCATCATCAGGCACTGGACCCTATACACAGTAAGTGAGTGGGGAAATACTCCTTTACTGCACTGTTATAACTTACATCACATACTTGGCATCTCTTTTCTTTTCATCACTGTTACTTCTCCCACATCCTATAGTCATCCCTCCAGTGCGTACTATATTTTCTTTATGTCTACTCATTTCCCAGTGATTCTAAGTAAATAGCACCATTCATTGTCTGCTGCTACACTTGCCTAGAGGAGCAGGCTGTGCTAATGTGTGTGAATGTATTTTTGTAAATGTGTTAATCCATTCAACAAGTATGTATGGAGGACCTAGTATTTTGGGGGCTGGGGATACAGAGGTGAGTCAAATAGCTGAGATCCTTGCTCTCCTGGGGCTTATGTTCTAAGGTGGGGGAGGGAATGCAGGGGAAAAAGTAAGTGAGCAAACATAGAAGAACAAAATAATAATTATCTTATGATGAGAAGCACCTTGATGAAAATAAAATGCAGGCCAGGCACGGTGGCTCACGCCTGTAATCCCAGCACTTTGGGAGGCTGAGGCGGGCAGATCATTTGAGGTCAGGAGTTCAAGACAAGGCTGGCCAACATGGTGAAACCCCGTCTCTACTAAAAACACAAAAATTAGTTGGGTGAGGTGGCATGTGCCTGTAATCCCAGCTGCTGGGGAGGCTAAGGCAGGAGAATTACTTGAATCCAGGAGGCGCAGGTTGCAGTGAACTGAGATTGTGCCACTGCACTCCAGCCTGGGTGACAGACCAAGACCTTGTTTCAAAAATAAAATAAAACACAGCAATGTAATAGGAGGAGACAGAGATGGGAGAAGCTGCACAGTGGGAACAATTTTGGGTTGGCTTCCTGACTTCATGCTCCTCTGGTTGCCTCTACCATCCAGCCACTTCTTCTTGGTCCCCTTGCAGAATTTCCCATCTCAACCGGGCCACAATGCTGCAGGTGTTCCGGGCTTCAGGTGGTCTGGGCTTCATCCTCAGGCAACCCTCCTCTTTTCCCCAGATGACCTCAGCTTCAGAAGAAGTCCATGACTTCCATCACCATGTCTATGCAGATGACTCATACATGGTTATTTCTAGTCCCAACCTTTCGTCCAAGCTTGAGACCAGGATATCTAGCTCCCTACTCGAGATCTCCCTCTGGATGGCTCAAAGCTTACAGAGGTTCAGTAACTTGGCCAGGGTGCAAGCCAGGAGCACAGCTGGGACACAAATCCAAGCAATCAAACTGCAGTCACTGACTCCTATCATTTGGTATTATAATAAACACAAAACACTTGCTGTTTGTAGTGTCAAAGATGTTTTGGCACCTGAGAGAAAATACATGACTTCTACCATTTGCTGCTACCATTATTATTATTGTTGTTATTATATCATTATTATTATAGCATCATTTTATAGGAGATAAAAGTTATTGAGCACTCCAGTTACAGGAGGCACTATGCTATAGTCTTTTCATATACATCTCTAATTCTTATCACCATCTTGCAAAAGAGATAAATGTTATCCCCATTCTATATGTGGAGAAATTAAGACAAGCAGGAGTGAAGAAATTTGCAATAGACCCAAATGCCAAAGGGGAGTGTTTCATACACATACTGTTTAGTGAATATAGCAAGTCATGAAACAGGGTTGCTGGTATGAGTCTATTTCTCATGGGAGAAGAAGATCTATCCATAAAGATGAATGTGTGTCTCAGAGCTCCTGGCTGTTCATAAATCCCACTGTTTTCCTCCTGGGAATACAGTTAGCTATTTTCCAGTCTTCTTTGCAGTTAGGTATGGCCAACAGACTCAGCACCAGCCAATGGCACATAAGTGAAGTGATGTGTACCACTTGTAGGCGGCTCACAGACCACCCCCCTCCATAGGATGTTCCATGCCCCTTCCTTTTTCCTCAGCTAGAGGCAGAGGACTGTGCAGCTTAGAAGAAGGCAAATCCAAAAGAAGGACATGGTTTGGATCCCCCCATACGTGGAGAAAAGCCACCTACCATCCAAAAACTTGCATCTTGGACTATTACATGGACAAGAAATAAACTTATATTGCGTTAAACCACGTCATGTTTTAAGACTTATTTGTTACAGCAGCTACCATTACCCTGACCAATACAAAGTGTGAATTTACACATATTCTGGGACAAATGCCTGGATGGATATACACTAAGATGTTAATGTCATTCTCTCTGGCTGGAGGCATTATGGGTGAATTTCATTTTCTTCTTTCTGCTGATCTGCATTTGCAATTGCAAACAAGTCATTCACTTGTGTAATAAGATACACAGTTTTTTAAAGTGATGACAGATGTCACACGTGCTAATTCAGGATCTTTGAGATTCGAGGAGAGTGGTGGCCAGTGGTGAGGTCTTCAGCCATGCAAATCCTCTGCTGCTCATAGGATGGATTACACAGGCGTATGCAATGTACATGAGATGATGCTGATAATAATAATGATAATGATGCTGTACATTTATAGCGCTTCCTTCACAAAAGTCCCAGGGTGCTTTACATTTCAGCACAATTAAAGGCAGCCACAGACAAAAAACCTTTTCAGCTGTGCTTTATAAAGGGAAAGCGATTCAGCTTTTTGAACATAAAAGGAAGCCGCTTCCACTCGATGATGGGGACGGAATCTTCATGTGCTCAGGCCCCCCAACTCCTGTACGTTATATTTAGGACAATCAAACTGGCCTGAAGAGAAACAAAAATTAGAAAGACCACAAGTACAGGAGTTACAGAAAAAGCAAGTTGATGGAGTTACCACCTTAACAGAAGGCAGGGTTCTCCATGCATCTGTCAAATATAGCAGCTTGGTGCTATTATATTTGAAAGCATGGAAAACAGGAACTGATTTGGAGTTGGAAATAAATAATCTATTAAGTAGTTCCTGATATTTACTGGATTTAAAATGCTGTGCAAATGAGGCCCCATGGGATTTCATTACTACCTTGTCCCTAGGAGATGGGTAAGTGCTGGATATTTCATGCACGCGGGCAACAGTTAACCTCACATAACTGAGAAGATGCCTCTCAGACTCTGGGAACCCAGCGAGGGGATTGGTGACATGCGCCAAATGAGAAATTTAAAAAATCATCCTGGGGGGCATGGGGAAATCCAGTTCTTCCTTCCTCTTTTTTCCTGGGGCACACAGTCTGAGCCCCTCAATTACAAGATGTTTAGGTAATGCCCCTAATACCTCGCCCCATCCTACCCCAATCCCTGGGAAAGGATCCTGATGAAATTCACTGGTATCGTTCCTAAGAGCCCCACATAGGTGGAAATGGCAAACTGACAGTCAGGATACCCCAGAGCCTTTTCTCTTGGCTTGTGCCCTTTGGCGCTGGGTTTCCTTGATGCCATCACTATTCTAACCCATATGCATTTTGACACATTGAACCAACCAGCTGAGTGCAAGAGGAGGTAGGATCTTGGCCATCAGGAAACCCCCAGAGTAGCGTGGGCAGCTGCCATTTAAAACCTTACGTGGGCTTCCCATTGCCGTAGGATAAACACTACATTCCTTTCTATGGCATTCAAAGCCTTGCAATTATCTGGCCTCTGCAGCCCCTTTCTATAGCTCCTCAAACGTACCAATCTCATACCTACCCCAGGGCCTTTGCACCTGCAGTACCTCTACCTGAACTGCTCTTTCTCTGCCTCTTGGCATGGCCAATGCCTCTTCATTGCTAGATCCTAGCTCAAATGTCACTTCCCCTATGAAGCCCCCTCTGAGCCCCTCTTCAAAGTAGCCCTCCCATCACTCTGACCCATCGATCACCCTGACTGTGGCCTTCACAGCACTTATTACGATGCTTTAATGATCTTACGTGTTTGTTTAACTTGTTATTGTCTGTCTCTTCTGGAATGCAAAGTCCACAGTACAAACTGTAGACACTGTGTTCTGAGTGTCTATCATGTGGTCTGGCACTGTGCCGGGGTCCGATGAATGTCTGTGGAAGGCGCGTTAGTGGAATGTGCTAGCACTGAAGCTAACAGATGGCTCTCAGGCCCCTGCAGGTGCTGATATTGGGTCATTCTAGGCCCTCACCCATTTTGGACTCAGCTGCACACCTCTCAGTTAGTGCCTGAGAGAAGAGGTTTCCAAGGTGTGCCCGAAGCTCTTGGCAGTTGTAAAGGCAGTTTGCTCCAGGTGGGAGGAAGGACCCGCTTTCTTTAAAGCAGCAGGTCTCACAATTGAGCATGAACAAGAATTCCATATAGGGCTTCTTAAAACCCAGCTTGTTGGACACACCCGCAGAGGTTCTGATTCAGCGGGGGAGGGTGGGAGAGAGAATTAACATTTCTAACAAGTTCACAGGTAAGGCTGGTTAGGGAACCACATGATACGAAGCACAGATTTACATAATTTTAGAGTTCTACAAAATAATTTGGGGAGTGGGGAAGGGGGTGACGTGGGGGCTTCTGTGAGGGACTGTACGTTCTCTGAGTTCTGCACAGCAGTTTTGTGAGCTGCTAATATTTGTGGAATGAGTGTTTTGCAGGGAAAGATAGAGTGTGTGCATTTCTTTGAGGGGATGTGGGAAAGAGAACAGGAGAGAAAGAAGAGAAGATGGTGTGTAATTTAGCGTATATATAGAAGAGGAGCGAGTGTGTGTGTGTGCGTGTGTGTGTGTGCACGTGTGTGTGTGCATGGTTGTGCTGGTGCCACAGGAATTTACAGGGTATTGGAGAAGCACATAAACACCGGAAAATCAAGGCTACAAAAATGAAACTCAGTTCTAATAGGCCAGTGGTTCTTAAACTGTGGCGTGAACAAAATCCCCTGGCACTTACTAAAAAGGATAGAGGTCCAAGCTAATTGAAGTAGGATGGGGCCTCAGCCCTGAATTGTGATCAATTTCTCCAGGTGATTGTGATATGACCAAAAATGCAGAATCTCTGTGTCACCAAAGTGCTCACAGATGGAGCCCATTCCCCTTGGTGTAGCTAAGGCGGCCATTGGCAAAGAAGGAACCTACCAGACTAGTATTTAGATATACATTTGCTTAGTCCCAGTTCTGCCAGTTATTTGTTCTATGATTTGGGCAAGGGCTCCCTCTGCCTTTCTGACCTCAGTTTTCTCACCTGTAAAATAGGCACAAGGATAAATAGGAGAACCTCACCACGCCTGGCCTGAAGCGAAGCACTTGCTGAAAGCTGATGGAATCTGCTGCTTTTTTGGTTTATTTTTGAGGGCTCTGTCTTGGTTCTACCCCACAACCAGGGAACTGATTTCAGCAAAAAGGCTCAGCCACGCCACCTAGCATGGCTTGGCTTCTGCTGGTTCAGAGCCTTACCCACTGTCAGAACAGCAACCCTAATATGGTGATCTTCATAACACAGGGTTTGCCAGTCTGACCGAGGGCAGCAAAATGGGGTGAAAGCAAGGACACTGAGTGTCCACCAAGATCATCAGCCCTTTGATTACAATGGGAAGTTAGGGCAGATAAGCAGATCATTTCCTTAAACTGTCGTTGCCTTTGCACTAGGCAAAATATCTCCCTTTGTGCACCCACCCTTTATTTTTGAGGCTTCCTCATTCTTGTCCTCCAACAACACCATGTCACACCCCTGCCTACAGCCCTCCAACGGCTGCTCACTGCCCTTGGCATAAAATCAGGACTCCTCACCAGGGATTCTATAACTGAGGGTTCAAACCTGGCTGTGTGATAGAGTCCCCTGCACTCTGGACAATGTCTCGAGGGCATTTTGGTTGTCACAACTTGACGCTTAGTGCTACTGGCATCTAGTGAGTAGAGGCCAGGGACGCTGCCAAACATCCTACAGTCCCCACCACAAAGGCTTTTCTGACCCCAAATATCAGTAGTGCTGAAGATGAGAGACTCTGCTCTGGGGCAGGGCCAGGCACTGTTACTGTATTAAAAGCTCCCCTTCCTCCACCAGGCTTGAGAACCCCTGCCCTCTCCAGTCTTGCTCCTGACAGCTTCTCTACCCTCACCTTCTCCCCTTTGCCCTCACCTGCCACCATCACAGTCTTTTTTCTGGAATCTGCATTTTTACAACTTTCCTCTCCTAGGACTCTGGTGCAGGAAGGTCCAGGTACGCCATCTTTGAGAAGCACTGTTCCCAGCTGCTTCTCAAACACAGCTCATTATCAGACAAGCAAAGAATACTGTCAGAGTTGGCAGGACACTGCAAGAAACATCCGCTTCCACCTGCTCATTTTACAGAAGGAGAAACTAAGGCTTGTGAAACCCTAGGTAGCAAGGTAGACGGGTGAGAGACACTTTCACTCAACTCTATTGGCTTTCAGATTTCACTTGGAGTTTTTAACATGAGTGATTGCGCAGACCGTCGATAGCTTTGCAATAATCCCATAACGACCCAATTGTGAAACAATTTAGCAATCCTGCTGCTAATAGCATTTGCGGCTATAGCAATTGGGTAACTAGTTGGTTATTACTCATTCCCCAAGAGCCACACATATTGCATTGCAAGGAAGCTAATCTTAGAAATACTTGTTAACTTCGATGATAATTACTAAGTAATTGGCTAGAATGTGCCACTGTGAATTGATCCAGAATATGCCAGGTAATTATCTGGTCTTATGTTCCCTGTAAAATAAATCTAGGGTCCAAAAATGGTTCCAGTTGGTTGGCTATTGTCCAACCATCAACCTCTGCCAGCCAATCGTGCGAATGCAAGTGATTAATCAAATTACTCAAATATTTGGTTTCAAACTGAACGTGCAGATAAGAAACCTGGAGAGCCAACAAGTGGACAGTGCTGAACAGAAAGAGGGATGCACAGAGCCCCTCCCTAAGATAAATATATAACAACACAATAATATGGAATCAATGCCACTTCTTTGGGGCTCATCTGGCATCCTCACACAAAATACCAAAACACTTCAGAGACCAATTACACATCCCAAAGCTGCAGAGTCTTTATCGTGGTGCCAGGAAAAGGCTGGGCTATTTGTGAAATCTGTAGGCAGTTATGGCGCTTGGGGAGGGGGGCTCAGAATTTTGTACATAATAGAAGAGGGCCGCAAATGCAGCTGGCTTGCAGGATGAGCAACACATTTTCATAATGACCACTCGTTTTTCAAGGATGGCTGCTGAGTTTGTCTATTTCCAACTTGCTAGCCTTTGAGAAGGGGGTGAGGGAGGCATGGGGATTAGGCTTCATAGGTAATGCTGAACAGGGAGGCAGGAGGGTGGTAAGGAACTGACCAGACAGAAAGATGGGATAAGAGCTTAAGATGGGAGCAATGGAGAGAAGGCCAGGGGTGGGGAAAAGACCACCCTCCAACCAGACTTGTGTATCCCAAGTAATAGGCTATTGACTGCTGCTAAAAGATGATGATATATACTGGGTAAGAAAGGGAAGGAAAGGGAGCTAAGGGCCTCTCTGTAGTAAATCGCAAAAATAGCCACAGATTGTCCCCACCCTGCATCCATGTCCTTGCAGTGGGACATTGCAGATCTTCCCATTCAGAAGTAGAGGCTGTGTCTCCATGCCTTGAATCTAGTGGATAATAGGAGTTGCTCTGGCCAACAGATGTAGGTCTTGACCTCTTGCTACACTTGGAAACCTGAGACCGCCATGAGAATGAGCCTGAGCTAGCCTGTTGAGGATATCCCCTGACAATCTGCCAACCAGCAGACACACAGATGAGGGCATCTAAGACTGACTATCCCCTTGTTGACCCAGAGCTGACCACAGCCAACTACAAGAACCCAGCTACTGAGTCTGGCTCAGCCCAGAACTATCCATAGGATAGAGAGAAACCACTAAGTTGTGGAGTAGTACTCAGCAAAAGCTTAAACTCAGAACAGCTCAGCCCCTGAAGATTACCTGGGCTGATTGCTTCAGAGCCACTTCTGTCTTGTGCAGAGTTGAGAACCACCATTTTTACCCTGATTTAAGGAGGCTTGGAGGCCCATCCCTAGATCTCTAATCTTTCACCAGCGCTTATCATTCAAAGCACGAGTCACTCCAGTCAACCCACCATCTGCATCATCTATGGATACAGAATATAATGTACCTTCTACCAATCACCAAGTTCTCATAAGTGGACTTAAGAAGGTTTTGTCTCACAAGGGAAGAGATCAAAGACACACCAGCTCTTCTCTGAGCCCACAGCATCTGTTCTGGGCCTGGTAAGATGCAAGACTTGTGCATTTGGGGTCTCACTGCTTGAGCTGAGTAGAGCAAGGAGAGAGCTCCTAACAGCCCCTTGGCATCACAGGTCATACTAAGAATGCCATTGCAGAGGCCAGTCCTTATGTTACAGGGGAGTCAGCGCCAGAGTTTAAAAACAAACCAAAGGATTGTTTCACAACTGTTCCATCAAAACCAAAGCTATTTTTCTCCCAATGCCTCAAGCCTCTGGGAGAGGCCAGAGAGCAAATCTGAGAAAGTCCAAGAAACATTTTCGCAATGTTAGTTCTCTATGAACTATCCCTTCTTTGTACCCATAGACCACAGATCCTGGATATTCCAAACCACAATGGTAAAGACAGCAAATGTGCTCTGCAACTTTCATGAAAACCAGAGTAACACTTATCAGAATCTTGGCTCATGCTTGTCATCCCAGCACTTTGGGAGGCCAAGGCGGGCGGATCATCTGAGGTCAGGTGAACAAGACCAGCCTGACCAAAATGGCGAAACCCTGTCTCTACTAAAAATACAAAATTAGCCAGGCATGGTGGCACATGCCTGTAATCTCAGCTACTTAGGTGGCTGAGGCAGGAGAATCGCTTGAACCCGGGAGGTGGAGGTTGCAGTGAGCCGAGATCACACCATTGCACTCCAGCCTGGGCAAGAAGAGTGAAACTCTGTCTCAAAAAGAAAAAGAATCTTAATCAGGGGTTTGCAGACTACGGCCCATGGGACAAATACAGCCCACTCCCTGGGTTTGTAAATGACGTTTTATTGGGACACAGCCCTGCAATTTCATTTGCAGATTGTCTATAGCCGCTTTCAGACTACAGTGGTTGAGTAGAGTAGCTGCTACAGAAACTGTACAACCCACAAAGCTGAAAATATTTACTATTGGGCCCCTTACAAAAAAAAGTTGGCTGACTCCTGATTTAGTTGAATATACTCATTTCACATATGGAGAAAGTGACTCTTGGAGAAGCTGTTACACAAATACTTGGAATAGAGGGGGAACTAGACCCGATGTTTCTAATTCCCCATTTAGTAGTCTTTGGTTTTGCTAAAGAGTTTTAGCATTAAAAATATTTTCTGGGGTTAGGCGTGGTAGCTTACAGGCCTGTAATCCCAGCAGTCTGGGAGGTCAAGGCAGGAGGATTGCTTGAGGCCAGGAGTTTGAGACCATCCTGGGCAACATAGCAAGACCCCATCTCTACCAAAAAATTAAAAAATTAGCCAGGTGTGATGGCACACACCTGTAGCGCCAGCTATTTGGGAGGCTGAAGCGAAAGGATCTCTTGAGTCCAGGAGTTCAAGGCTGCTGTGAGCTATGATCATACCACTGCATTCAAGCCTGGGCAACAGAGGGAGACCCTGTCTCTAAAAAAACAAATAAGTAAAGTATTTTCTGGAATCTTAAATCTTAAACCATGTAAGTAAACTGTGCATGGTAGAACTAGAGATGGTCTATTAACCAGAGTGGTCAAGTAAGCAGAAAACCATTTCTCAACCATGCCAGAAGCAGAGTTTTGCCAATCCCTGGGTAGAAGCCCAGGTGGAACTGACCTGGTGATGATGGCCAGGTGAGGCGGGCTCATGCAGGCACCCATGAAAAGCACCACGTTCTCATGCCGTGTCTGCCTGTAGGCCATCACCTCCCGCTTGAAGGCCTTGAGCTGGTCCTCGTTGTCCCTCTCAATGTCAATCAGCCGGATGGCCACCTCGCCATGCCAGCGGCCGTGGTACACTTGCCCAAAGCGGCCCTTTCCAATGAGCTCGCCGATCTCCAGCTGCTCAAAGGGGATGTCCCACTCCTGAAGGAAGATGCTGGTCTGGCTGGCCTTGCGTGGGAAGCTCCGGGCCGAGAGGAGGGACAGGTTCATCTCCTCGAAGTCATCCTCTGACTCTTCGGCCTCATCATGGACCTCTTCATTCTGTGGCCGGAGTGGGAGAGAGGTCAGAATTGTGTCTGCCACTGCCCCAGCCTCCCTCATGGTCCTGCTGGGTCCCGTGCACATGCGTAGGTCTGGGCACATCTCTACATGCATTTGGAGCTTGTGCAGACATACGTCCCTCTGTTTCCCCAGCTCTAGAATCTGGTCTAGAATCATACTACAGTGAAGGTGCTGAAAGGGAGATCATGATCATCCACCTCTCTTGTGCTAAATGGGGGGATACTGAGGCTCAGAGAGAAGTGTTATAGGGATCGCCCATTCTAGTTTGCTGGAATCTTCCTGGTTTTAGCACCGAAAGTCCCATATGTTGCCCTGGGAAGTGACTCACTCCAGGTCATGCAGCCAGGCAGAAGAGGGACTAAGATCCAGGTCTCTGGACTTGAATATCCGATGGCCTTCCTATTCTTCCATAGTCTTTTGGTTTGGCTGTTTACGTGCATGTGATAAAGTTGACAGGCTAGACAGGCTAAAACAATGGGTACATCGTGCATCTGCATGTAACACATGACAACTGCCAACATGGAGTATCTTTTGCTTCCCCCAGGGAATTTGGAATTGATGATTCAAAAACTGGGAGAGGTCAGAGCTACAAGCTAGCTGTCTGAGGCTCCTACAGCAGCTGGGAGGGTAGGAGACATGAGAGTGAGGGGTTAACAGAATGGGCTTAACAATCAGACAAAGAGAGCTGAAATCTGGCCTCTGTATGACCTTGAGCCAGTTGCTTTACTTCCCTGAGGCTGCCTTTCCTCATTGTAAAGTGGGGGTAATAAAATCTGCCCCAGGGCCGGTGTGAGGTTTTAGATGAAGGCCTGTTAAGTTCTTTGTACAGACCTGACCATCTGTATTAAACACCGACTGGGAGGCCCGAGAAAATGCAGATTCCTGGGCCCCACCCAGCACTATTGGATCAAAATATCCGCAGGCCAGGACCAGGAATCTGCATTTTTATCATGCACACACACGACTCAGGCGTACTTCGGCGTAACTACCACTAGAGTTAAATGCTCAAGGTGTAGGGACCCACCTTATCAGCATGATATCTAGGGGTGCTTGGGGGCGAATTGCCTCTTGGATTCTCCTGCAGAATTGTGGGAGCAGCAGGTGGCCAGGGCCAGCGGGGATTCCCAGAGACCCTGGGACCTGATGAAACAGCCTGAGAAGGTGGCTTCTTGACTGGGTACAGCTCTTCCTGACCCAAAATACCTGGGCAAGCTGCCCCTGATGGCACATTCAGGAGAAACAATACAGGGGACATTGATTTCTCCCGGGATCATTTTTCAACAACCAAAATAGTCCCAGAAAAGAACACGATTTTCCTTGGAAGCCCTGACTCAATTCCTTTCAGTATGAGACCCAGAGCAGTTGCAGAGCTGAGGGGCCAGGACTCCATGGTTTCCAGCCAGGGCATTTCATGTATTTCTGCAGCCACTTAGGCAGGTGGGAAGAAGCCCCAGAGCATTCTCAACACTTCTAAGCCCAGCATCCCTGAGGCCCCCACCTCTTCCCACATATTCTTTTGAAGGCAGCGGGGCACATCCCCCTTGGTATTCACCCGGCCCTGAGCTGATCTTTCCACTAAGAATGCAAATCTCTTGACAATTTCCACACAACTGGCTTTTCCATGATGCATGCCATATAATGGCCCATTAGACTCAGTGCTGGGAGGGACCACTGCTTGCTAATTGTCCCAGAGTTAGAATATCCATCAGTCAGGGCCACCACAGCCCCCACCTGACCCCAAGCCCTCTGCGTCATCCAAAACGTCAGTCGGCTTTGCCAAGTTCTGGGCAGTCCCTGGAAAATGTCGCTTCACTGCTCTCTGATTCTCACCTCCGACGTTGGCTCCACTTCAATTTGAAGTAATGGATTTCCTTCCAAGCTGTAAAGAAAGAAAAATAAACGTGATCCCTAGGTGAAAAGGCAGGTCTATATATTGAGTTTAGCTATGTACGAAGAATCCCCAGATCGGAGGTCTTTACCACCAAGTCTTTATCTCACATTTCATTTCAACAGGTGTGTCTGAAATAATCCATAACCTCGACACACACACACACACACACAGACACACACACACACACACACACAGACACACACACACACACACACAGACACACACACACACACACAACACAGTGCGCAAGGACCTTGTTTTAAGTTGATTTTCCGGGCTGCTCAGGGCTCATTTTTCTTCATTGCTTTGGTTTCAACTTATCTAGCAGCTTTCTTATAAATTGGCCTAAATGCCCTGGGTAGATAAGTCCTCAGAGCTGTATATGTTTGCCAGGAAAGAATTAATCAGATCTCCGAAGTTCACACAAATTTGGAATTTCTTGGAAGGATCTCAGTGTTCTTGTTTGTCTGTTCATTCATGCATTCATGCGACTATTTAATAGATGTGTGTGCCAGGAACAGTGTTAGGCCCTTGGAGGGATATAGAATTGAAACTGGCACGGCTTCTGACCTTCAGGAATATTGTGTTCCTACTGAAGGAACTAAAGCCAGTATGTAGATACTATGCAGGGAGGCTAAAAGTAATAAGGCCAAAAGTTAGGTGTGAATTGGATAAATGGAGTGTCGTGGGAATTCCAAGATGAGAGAATTACTGGGTGTATTTGAAAGTTCCCAGTGTTTGAGGTAGGTCTTGCCAATCACATGGAATTAGGATGTGTGGAATGAAAATAAAAAGACCATATTGAGCTGGAAGACACAAGTGTGTGTGTGTGTGTGTGTGTGTGTGTGTGTGTGTGTGTGTGTGTGATGCATTCATAAGCTCATGAGCTGCAGTTCTGTTCTTAGTAAGCAAACATGTTGGGTATAGATGCTGGCGGGGCGTCACAATTTGTGTGAGCACTGCATAGGTATTATGGGATGTGCTTTGTGCAGGGTTGTCTTGTGTGCATGTGAGTTGGGTGTACACACAGGATGTTGAGGGGGATGCTGTATGCCGATAGTATAATTGGGTGTGCATTAGAGGTGTGAGGGGACTGTCAAATGCATGTGACATTTGACATGTGATGGATGTTGGGTACAGTGTGCATTAGAGGTATGTTGCAGGGTTTAGACTTGAGGATGTGCATGTGTTTTTGAAGTGCAGCAGGGAGACAGAACTGGGCTATTGAAGGCATGGAAGAGCTGAGACAGGTGAGAAAAAAGAATCACAATGAATACCCCACCCCTCCTTTCCTATTTCCCCAGTAGATTCCCCCTTCCCCATCCTCATTTGGGGGACCTCCCCTATCCTGACCCTCAGATTGCAGGAAGTGGCTGACTCCACAGAGTCAATCCACTTGCTGGAGGGGGTCCTGGTGAAAGAGTCTGAAAGACCACAAGAACTAAAAGAAGGAGAAAGAAAGGTCAACCACAAAGTGGCATTCGCCATGGTATTAACCAATTATTCATAGCACAGCCTGGGAAAGTGGAATGAACCTGCACGATGACAGCTGACATGCTGAGAACTTGATGCCCTGGGGGAGACTTGGCTGGGACAATGCAGCTGGAGTCCCTCCTCATGCCCAAAACCAAAACAGGCCACCCTCCTCTCTGCATCAAGGCGTGATTCCAGCAGCCAGGGCTATTCAAGTATTTCCTTCTGCAAAGAGTTGTCATCACTCCGCGCACATTTAAGCAGATCGCAAGCAGCTATTGACTCTGTTTTTCGCTGGTACCTCTGGACTGTCAGTTAATAACCTGGAGTTCATCTTGCACAAATTGTAGAATTGGTTTATGTGAAGCAGAGAAATGATCTCGAGCTAGATGTCAGCACCATATCCCCCGGCAAGTTGCTGCTCCTTTGATTTCAGAGATGTACCATGTAAGTCTTTAACAAAGTCCATAAGACCAGTCAGAAAAGATGAAGCAGTTAGGGGACCCAGAAGAAAAACTAAGTAGGCACAAAGGTGAGTTAGGAAACTGGTCAAATCCTAGCAAGCCCCAGGCTTCCATCGCAACCAAAGAAGTTAAGGAGGTGACTTTGTGACATCACTTTTTTCTTCTTTAGACAGAGTCTCCCTCTGTTGCCCAGGCTGGGGTGCAGTGGCACAATCCCACCTCACTGAACCTCCACCTCCTGGGTTCAAGCAATTCTCCTGCCTCAGCCTCCCAAGTAGCTGCGATTACAGTTGTGTGCCACCACGCCTGACTAATGTTTGTATTTTTAATATAGACGGGGTTTCACCAGGTTGGCTAGGCTGGTCTCCAACTCCTGACCTCAGGTGATCCTCCTACCTTGCCCTCCCAAAGTGCTGGGATTACAGGCATGAGCCACTGCGCCTGGCCAAGGTGACTTCACTTCTGCTGCACAAGCAATAAACCACCTGAAAAGAGGGTCTGTTTCCTAAGGATGCTATGCACAAAGATGTTCATTGCAGCATTATTTACAACAATGAAATATGGGAAGCAATGTAAAATCCAGCAATAGGAAAATGGTTAAGAAAATTATTCTACATCAATATGTCATTTTACACCCATTAAAAACAATATCAGACAGGTGCAGTGGCTCATGCCTGTAATCCCAGCACTTTGGGAGGCTGAGGTGGAATGATCACTTGCACCTAGGAGTTTGAGACCCACCTAGGCAACATGGTGAATCCCTGTCTCTACAAAAATAAAAAATTAAAAAAAAAATACAAAAATTAGTTGGGTGTGGTGGCACACACCTGTAATCCCAGCTACTCGGGAGGCTGAGCTGGGAGGATCATTTGAGCCCAGGAGGCTGAGGCTGCAGTGAACCGTGATTGCACCACTGCATTGCAGCCTGGGTGACAGAGTGAGACTCTGTCTCAAAACAAACAAACAAAAAACAAAAACCAACAATGTCTATGGAGAGGCTAAAATAATATTCATAAAATGTGATGTTTGGCATAAAGATAACAAAGCAGGATGGTAGCTGCTTGCATATATTGTGGGTCATAACTATGTAAAATATAAATGGAAAGAACACACATAGAAGTTTTAACAGTGGTGAGATCATGAGTGATTATTTTGCCTTTCCCTTTTTAAAGAATAGCCCACATTTTCCAAAATTAGCTTATATTATTTTTATAATAATATAAACCAGAGGTTAGCAAATTTCTTTCTGCAAAGGGTCATAGAGTAAATATTTTTGGCTTTGCAAGCCATACAGATTATGTTACAACTACTCGATTCTGCTGCTGCATGGAGAAAGCAACCATGCACAATACATTGTAAACAAATAGGCATGGCTGTGTTCCAATAAAACTTTAAATAAAAACAAGCAGGAGGTTGGATCTGTCCCATGGGCTATAGTTTGCTGATTCCATAAACCTCAATGAGACTTTTGAAAGTTATTCCATGTTCAGTGACATGGAATAATTGCCCTTTCATTAAGTACTAGCTATCACCCGGGGAAAGTTTTCTTCCTAATCACAGGGAGGTTATGGGTCCTTAGGAAACGGTCCAGCCCCTGGAAATTGCATTTGACAGGCAGGGTCAGAGACACAAGGCATAGCTGCTCGTGAGGAACAGCATTGCCTCTCTCTCCATCTCTCTGTCTGAGCTGTCACGCCCTTTCTCTTTGCCTAAGTTATTCCCTATGTCTCTCTGACCCCCTTGTACATCTCCCTCTGCCCCCAACTCCATCAGTTCCAGGAAGAGAAGGAAAGAAGATAGGGAACCTGAGTGGATTGTAGGGCCAGGGCTGGGAAGCTTGGGAAAGGGGGAAGATGTCTCTGTCTCACTTACATTGGATTCGAGGTCACCGGATGCAGGATGACCTGGGGCGCCCGGGTCGGCGTCTCCGGCACCGGCACCACATCTGAAAACCAGAGATTGAACACTCAGAAAAAAAATGTGAAGTCCACAACCCCCGCAAAGGCCTGATTCCTGGGCGACATGGCAGCCAATTTTTCACCAGATCTTGGATCTCTGCCCTTGGCCAATCTCCTTTCTCCTTTCCTGGACCACCTGGACTCTACCTGCTCAGCTGGACCAGGGTTCTGGATGACATCCTCAACAAAATTCCTCATTGTTGAATAGGGGGCTGCCAGAACCCTCAAATATCTAGCCTGAAGCATTCATTGGTCATCTCTGAATCTTTCTTTCTCCTGGGTTCCCTTTGGGATGATAAAGCCCCTTGGTTTCACATCCTCTCAGTACCCAGCTCAGGACCCTATGACCATCTCTTTCCTGCCACATGGCTCTAGACCCCTCCTCACCCTCGCCCAGTGTTCTACAGCACTCCACCCTCTCAGGCCTTTCCACGGTGCCTTGGGACCTCCTTGGGTCCCACTGTGCCCACTCTTTCTTCTCCACTTCCATGTTCAGCCATTATCCTGGAGTGTGGTGACTCCACTACCCTCTTTGATCTTAGGCACCCCCACAACATCTGCCTCCATTCATCCCAGAAACTCCTGCAATGCAGCGGGGCTTGTTCAGAAGGGGCTGCTTCCAGCTCACATGAAACTCACCTGGGAAGATGAACTGCTGCTTGTATTTGTAGTAGTGGGATGCTTGCAAAAGAAAGAAAACATCAAAGTGAGTGTCCCCAGGGAGACATCGCTTCAGGGACCAGATTGAGCTCTTACAGCCACCACATGGTCATTCTCTGCCCACCTTCAAGAGTTTCCATACTTCTGCAGACATCCCTGCAGACAAGGGACTGCAAACATGTGTAAAGAAACCAGAACTCTAAACATCCATGCCGACCCTCCCATCTGACATCTCACACTCCCTAAAATCAGACTGCTCCAACTCAAACAGACATTCTGACTACAATACCATTTTTGTGAAATGCATAATTACACACACACACACAGAAAAACTCTGCAAAGCCATAATCCAAAATATTAATTTTTTCCCCTTTTGGCAGAATGATTACAGTGGCTTAAAAAATCCTTTGTGCTTTTTCTGTACTTTCCTAATTTTCTGCAACGAGCATCGTATCAGTTTTCTTTTTTGTGCCTGTAACAAATTACTACAAACTTAGTAAAACAACACAAATGTATCCTCCTACAGTTCTGGAGGACAAAAGTCTGAAATAAGTCTTACAGGGCTGAAATCAAGCTTAGTTCCTTCTGAAGGCTCCAGGAAAATCTATTCCTTGTCTTTTCCGTTGTTTGAGGCTGCCTGCATTTGTTGGCTCATGGCTCCATCACTCCAACCTCTGCTTCTGTTGTGCCATCTCCTTCTTCTGCCTTTGACCTTCTTGCTTCCCTCTGATAAGGACTTTGTGATTATATTTAGGGACTGCCCAGATAAGCTAAGATAATCCTCCCATCTCAAGATCCATAACTTAATCATATCTTCAAAGTTCCTACTGTCCTGTAAAGCAGCATCTTCCCAGATTCTGAGATCAAGACATGGACATCTTTTGCGAATTATTCTACCTACCACAAGCATGAATTAACCTCTGTATTTAGGAAAAAATTTTATAAAAGAAATTTTCTGGACTTCACTGCCAGTTCCCTGACAATTCCTTTTACTTCTAATCTACTCGCCAGAGGCCAGGGGTCTCGGACACTTAAAGGTTTCTAACATTAGCACTTACTCCATTGGGGAATAGTGCCTGGAATAGGGGGCCAAGCGGTGTTGGGGGCAGGGGACACAGAGATTTGTGTCCTTAAGTAAATGAAGAGGGCAGGGATATAGTCAGATGAGTCTGTATTGGTGAATCCACTTTCAGAAACAATTTGATGACATTCAGGGACAAGCCACCACTGGAGTTGCTTTATCAAATATTAGCACAGTAGCTCAGAGCCTAGAGTCTAGAAGCTGATCCTCTAGGGTCAAATCTTTGCTCTGCCCTTGGCTATTTGTAGAAGCTCCAAGTCTCACTGTCCACACGTGTAAAATGAGGATAATAACAGTCCCTTCCTCAAAGGGCAAGGACCATCATTACGAGATAAAAGTGTATTGAAGGTGCTGAATTCATATTAGCTGTGAGATAAATAAACACATTTCTAAGCTCTCTTAACTAATAGACAAGAATGATTTATAGCCACGAGACAATCACATAGTTCCAAGTGCTAATGAAATCTTCTGCTTTGGGGAAGCAGACGGAACACTCTCCCTGAGGTTGAAATGTATTGATAGTTTCTTTCAGGACAGGGAGTAAGTCCTACTATCTCAGGACCTCAAACTCCTGGTTCTGTGCCTTGCACCAGTCAGTGTGCAACACACATTTGTTGAATTAACCAACTCTCTTTATCACAGATGAAACAGCAAAAACCTTGGGCTTAGTCCAATTCCAGATTATATCAAATAGTTGGAGTCCATTTTTGATTCTGGAAAATGGGATGTCCAGGGCAAGAAGCAGCTTATTCAAGGTCACAGAGCAAAGCTTTAAAAGAAAATCACCCTCCATGACTTCAGGGACTGTTTTACTATTAGATAACAGAAGTTTTTTATTACATACAACTACTTTATTAGTCAACAAGGGGCTAAAATTAAAACAGGAAAGACGACCCGAGGCTCTCAAGAGACTTGGCTGATCTTTTCCCTCCACAGCTCTGACAGTGATGGGGGATTCAGTGTCTGCAGAAAAGGTTCACTGACAGCTATGTTCTTTTTGGGCAACGGAGAGCAGGAGCTGCTTCAGAGAGTCCGAGAAGGGACAGGTGTCAGGCAACAGGACACCAGCAAATGCCTCCACACCCGAAGCCAACGCCCTCCTTGACTCCTCCCCATGTGCCATGGAACAACTCGTTCCTGGTGACTGAAAGGGAAACATATGACCAGAAGAGGAAGAAAGACATTGTTGGGAGACCTGTTCTTCCTGCTGATGACAGACACCATCAAGAAGTGGCTCTAAAGAACAACTGGTGACCTTGAGTGGGCTGCTCAGGAGAGCAGAGTGGCTCCGGGCTTTCTGGCATCCAAGATGACTCAGGACCTGGGAGGCTGCAGATGAAGTCAAAGAGACAAGCAGGCCACTCTGAAGCAGCTTCCCCTCTGGAGCCCCCATGCCTACCCTGAGGCCTCCCAAGAGAGCAGCCAGAGTGGTCTTCTAGAAGGAAGGAAGAAAGGTCAAGTCATTCTCTGCCTAAACCTTTCAACTGCATCCCATGGAGTCTCACATAAAATCTAAAATCCTGCCAGGACCAGACCCTGTAGCTCTGAGTCTCTCTGGAGGCCACTTTCCCTTGTTTATGGCACTTGGGCCCCTTCTTGTGGCTGGGCCTTTGCCTTACTTCCCCCACCTGCAAAACTCAGCCATCCAGTGACCCTCCAACCTAAATCTGTTCTCTTGCATTTGCTCAAGGACTCTTAGCCATCTTAGCTAAGAGCAAAGGCTCTTAGCCATCACAGCCTTCATCACAATCTATAATCCTATTTTCATGCATATGTTTATTTGGTTAATACCTTTTTTTCTCACTAAGCTATACTTTTCATGAGAACTGGGGCTGTTGTCGGCAGAATAATGCCTGCCCCTGCCGCTACAACATGTCCAGGTCCTAATCCCTGGAAACTGTGAATCCATTTCATTACATGGCACAAGGGACTCTTTGGATGAGATTACTTAAGGATCTTGAGGTGGGGAGATTATCCTAGATCATCTGGGTGGGCTCAATGTCACCACAAGGGTCCTCAGAAGAGGAAGGCAGGGTCAGAGAAGGAGATGTGATCATGCAAGCAGAGGCCAGAATGAGGAGGGGCGACAAGCAAAGTTATGTGGGCAGCCCCTAGATGCTGGCAAAAGGCAAGGAGATGGATTCTCCCTGAGACCTTCCAGAACAAACCAGCCCTATTGACATCTCGGTTTTTAGCCCAATGAAGCCCGTTTTGGACATCTGGCCTCTAGAACCATAAGATAATAAACCTGTGTGCTTTTAAGCCACAAAGTATGTGGTCATTTGTTACAATAACAATAGGAAGTGAATCCAGGGGCCATGTCTGGTTTGTTCCCTGGTCCAAACCTAGTGCCTAGTACAGTAGCTGGTACACAGTAGATGCGTAATAAATACTGTTAACAAAATGAATGGATGAACACAGTCTGAGGGCCAAGAAGAAAATTTGAAGAGAAAAAACTGCAGCCCTGGGCAGTGCATGAAATTCAGGTCATTCATTCATTCAACAAACATGTAATGAGTGCCTTCAGTTGCAGGCAACATGTTGGGCTTTGAATGTGGAGTGGTGAATGAAGACACATTGCCTAGTCTCATGCAGCTGGCATTCTGATGGAGGAGACAGACACTTAACAAGTGAGTATGTAAACCAGATCATGGCACAGAGTGATGAGCATAAAAGAGGCACTCAGGAGAGACTGATGGAAAGGGAAAGGGAGGAAACACTCTCATGAGCCCACATGGCCCAAGTGAGGTCTCAGAAATCCTGCAAATTCCACCAAAGGCAGATTCCACCTCCTTTCTTCTCCCTTTGAGCCATTAGAATTCACCATTTCCTGGAGTTGTGTGTGTGTGTGTGTGTGTGTGTGTGTGTGTGTGTGTGTGTGTTTCAAGATGGCTCTAGGTGGCTCCAAAGACAGAAGGTATTTGGCTCCAAAGAAAGAAGGTATTTGAACACTCCAGCCTCAGAAACCCATAAGACAATCATTTTCGAAGCCTCTTCATCTGTCTTGCCATGATGGATGCTACCACAACTCTGCTCATCAGTAGCAGTGAACTAGCCCCATGTTACTGATGAGAAACAGACCTAAACAGAAGCAATACCATGCTCAAAATCACACAGCTAGCAAGGAGCAAAGCTGGGATCCAACTCCAGGTCTGTCTGTCCATGCAGCACTCTTGATGTCACCTTATACTGAGCCATGTCCACATGGCCCCAGGACTCAGGGAAAGGCTGATAACAGGAGGTCCACCCAACTGGCAGCACACAGTCACAAATACCACCGAGGCTGCACACGCCATTCTTGGGGTTCTTATATCCTTTTCACCACATGTCCTGAGATTAACAAATGAGTTAAATGGCTGGTCAACCCCCCCAGCCCCTTTTGGACAAGAATGTTCTAGATGAATCAGTGCTGGGGACATTGTTATGCCTAAGCTTTAGCTTAAATAGCCTTCAGAAAACTCAACATCTGGCAGGGACCCACAGGCAAAGCTCCATTTTTCATCAACAGAAGCTCCCAGTCAAGAGTGGGACAGCTAGCCAGATCTTTGTACAAACACGACAGGTACTCTTGACCCTGGGAGTGTTTTGCTAAAACCACCTAAGACACAGGGTAGGCCCAACTGTACTTCCAAAAGGTTCTGTTTTGTTTTCCATTTCAGCACTGAATTTTATTATTATTCGATTCTAAAATGGATGCACACTCATATATATCGTAGAAGTGCATGAGATAAAGTCCCTGTCCTCAACAGCTGCCATGAAGTTCTTCTAGACTTTACTGCACACATGCCAACACATATATGCACACTGGTACACAGACATATATATATGTAAATATTTTACAATAAATAGAATATTATACTGATGACTTTGCAAATCACTTATTTTCTACTTAAGAAACATTATGGATATCTTTCCATGTCAGGAAATCTATATAGAGTACTACATTCCTTTGAAAGTTTGCAGAATATTTGGTTATACGGATATATGTGTGTATTCAACCATTCACCACCTACTCTTGATGGGCATTTGGGTTAATTTCAGTTTTCACTGTTACAGTGAAGTCCTTACACACAGATCTTTGCACCCTAGTGCAAGCGTTTCTGTATATAAAGTCCTAGAAGTGATATAATGGTCAAAGGAATGCACATTTAAAACTTTAACAGGGCTGGCTATGGTGGTTCACACCTGTAATCCCAGCACTTTGGGAGGCCAAAGTGGGTGGATCACCTGAGGTCAGGAGTTCGAGATGAGCCTCACCAATATGGTGAAACCCTGTCTCTACTAAAAATACAAATATTAGCTGAGTGTGGTGGTGTGCACCTGCAGTCCCAGCTACTCAGGAGGCTGAGACAAGAGAATTGCTTGAACCCGGGAGGTGGAGGTTGCAGTGAACCAAGATCGCACCACTGCACTCCAGCCTGGGTGACAGAGTGAGACTCCATCTCAAAACAACAACAACAACAAAAAAACTTTAACAGAAAATGCCAAATTACCTTCCCCAAATGTTGAGTTCAGTTCATACTCCTATGTCAAGGTATATGGGGATTTCATCTTTCATTCTACAATTCTGTCTAGGTCCTCATATTAATTAGCAGTGATGATGAGAAATGCAAATAAAGATAGCCACTGTACTTTATTATTATTGTATTTAATAATAATCCAAGGAGCCCAGATTTGTTGAGGTCTTCAATGAAACTGTCACCCTGCTAAGCTTTGTCCATGTATTATGCCATTTCTTTCTAAAACAATTATCTAAGGTGGGTACTATTATGATCTCCATTTTATAGATGAGAACACTGAGGCCCAGAGAGGCGAGTTATTTGTCCAGCATCACACAGACATTAAGTGGTAAAGCTGAGATTTGAACCTAAGCAGCTTGGCTGCAGAACCCATACTCTAACTGCCATGCTGAAGTGCTTTTACCCAAAGGACCCCTTAGCCCAGTCCCCAAAGAGGGCCAGGACCTTGTCATGGCCTGTCATGGAGCAGATGGGGATAAGGTGGCACGCTAGAACAGCAAATTGTCAGGCACCCCTTCTTGAAGACTCTGGCTGAGGGAAGGAAGGAGCTAAGGGACACCCTGATTACTCCTGGCTAGGCAGGTCTCTTGTCTGAAGATGCCAGCAGATTCTTTAAGGGATGAAAAGAGCTGTGGTCCTTTTGTGCACAGTTCTCCCATAAAACGGCCCTTCCCCATCCCTTGGTCCATAAATAAGTGCCAAACAATTTCAGAGAAAATACTCCTGAAGTCAGTGTCTCCAGGGAGTGAAGTGGCTATTGGAAAGCATCGGGCTCACTTCCCCCAGGTGTGGGTGGTCATGGGAAGTCTAACGGTCTTTTTTTTTCCCTTCATCCCCTTCTGAAGAAGTAAAAATGAACAACCCTGGAGATGGCGGTGGGAGCCTTCTGTCTGTGGAAGTGCCGGGCAATGAATCGGTGGCATTTACTAAGACGATTCAGCTGGTGACTCACATTGCAGTCCTTGGTGGCTGCCAGATGAGTGGCCCCTACACTAGGTGGATATGAGGCTGTTAAATTCAGACTTGAACTTAACAAAAAACCCAAAGTTCCAAGAATTCAAAATATGTGCCATCTCTGTGGATATAACCCAAATCAAAACAGTGTGGGCAGGTGCTGTGATTGGCTTGTCCTCAGATGGATGGATGGTTGCATGTGGGTGCCGCCCAGGTGTGGGGTGGGGCCTCTGTTTGCCTCCTGGCCACTCACTCATGCCTGGTTAAGCTTAGAGGTGTGAACTGTGGCCAAGGACCTGGGATTTTTTTCATAGTGTGAAGCTTGTTGACTCAGGAGGAAATCAGGTGCTAGACCAGAGCATCCAATGGAACTTTCAGTGATGATGGAAATGTTCTACACCTGAGCCATTCAGTACGGCAGCCACCAGCCACATGTGGCTACTGAGCCCTTGCAATGTGGCTAGTGTAACCGATAAGCTAATTTTTAAATTATATTTAATTTTAATTTATTTAAATGTAAATAGCCACACATGGCTAGCAGATACCATGTTGAACAAAACAGATGTAGACTCTGGTTCCAACTGGCCATGCCAGTCCCACCAGCCTTCTTGTTGAAGCCAGCTGCAGTGCCATAAATATGGCTGAGTTGGAAGCATTCTTAGGGCCCTAGCAGAGGAACCGGGCCAGGCTGGACCCTGGAAGAGATGGGGAGATTCTTAGGTCTCGTCTACCTGAAGGAAAAAAAAATCCCATTCTTAGGTCTAATGACAAAGGAGGTCAGGAAACCACAGTGTCCCATGAGTGGCTTCTCTACTATCATCTCATAGCCCAGTGCATACTCTCTGGTCAACAGTCCAGGTACCTTGGAATTCCTGAGCTAGAGGAACCTTCCAGATTATCTTGTCCAACTACATCTTTTCAGAGGTGAGACACAGCAAGAATGCAATAGACCTGGATCTTGACTCCAGGAGTCCAGACTGCTCAGTGACAGCCCTGTCCTCACATCTGGGTTAAGACTCAGTATGCAGCCCTGCTCAGACATGTGCCCCTAAGATCTCCAGCACAGGATCTCACTGCCAATTTTAACCAATTTAGCTCATAAGACAACTGTCATCTCCAGAGCCAATGGCTCCCTTCTGTGACTTAGACTTAGGCGAAGACCCTGGGTTGTAGCTCGCCAAAAGACAGAGTCTCTAAGAGTTCCTGCACCTCTTTGAGCCTCTGTTTCTTCATCTGTAAAATGAGCTGATAATGCTTACCTTGTGGCTGTTCCAAAGATTAAATAAGTGATATAAGGGTAATTGCTTAGGGTACGATAAGGGTCAGTCCACATACTTCCTTGCCCCTCTCTGGTCATTGACCCATTCGCTTTCCTGCAGAGACTTGCTGCATCAGGGCTCTGGCATGAACCCACCCCCTCCCTAATCTCTGCCCCTCCAACGCTGCACCCCTCATGTCTCCCCAAGCATGGAGGTACCTGGCAGGTTGAAGTTCTTCTGCTGCCGTGTGCACTGTGGGGAAGGGTGTAGGGGAGAAGGCGGCGTGGCACTAGGAGGGAGGGGGGGTGCTGGCGAGGAGGGCGTGGAGGACGTCGTGGAGGAGGGGTTGCTGCTGGAGTCTGGCTGGTAAGGGACAGGGATGTGGTCCTGCAGAGAGAAAACAGGGTAGGAGTCAGGGACAGGCAGGGAAGCAGAAACACAGCAGAAAGAGTGGGCTGAGCAGGAGAGGCCCCCACCCCAGCCCCTGCAACAATTCTTGCCCTTTCCTCAGCCACCAGATCCTTCCGAAGTCCCTCCCGCTTCATCAGCCCCATTGGGCTGCATCCAGCTGTGGAAGGAACAGCCTCTGGAGTCGAATTCCTGTCCACTGCTTGGACCCCAGAGTGAAAGGTGACCACGTAATGAAAACCAAACAGGTGACAGTCACTCACCCTGTGCCTCTTTGATTCTGAAAAACCCCATGCAGAGGTGTCCAGAGTACCCCTCCCATCCCAACACCTCTCCTCCCAAGTGTTTATTAAAGAATCAACAGTCTGACAGCTCCAGAGAGAATGTGAGAGTGAGCCTTCAGCATCTTAGCTTGGGTCACAGCTGGAACCAGCACTGCCTCTCCTCACCCCAGACCAGCTCAAAAACAAGGAGAGAGAGAGAATCCATGTGTGCATTTTCGGAATGGCCTGCTGGGGTGGACTTCCAAGCACAGTAGTGGGTTGAACAGTGTCCCCCAAAAGACGTCCACCCAGGACCTCTGAATCTGATCATATTTAAAATAAGGGTCTTTGCAGACATAATTTAAGGTAAGGATCCCGAGATGAGATCATCGTGGATTCGGGTGAGTCCTAAATCCAATGACAAATATCCTAAATCCAATGACAAATATCCAAATCATCCTGGATTCGGGTGAGTCCTAAATCCAATGACAGACATATGGAGAGGAAAGTCATGTGAAGATGGAGGGAGAGATTGGAGTGATGCAGACACAAGCCAAGGACTGCCGGAGCCACCAGAGACTGGGAGAGAGGCATGGAACAGATTGTCCTTCAGAGCCTCTAGAAGGCAACCTTGCTGGCATCTTGACATTGAATTTCTGGCCTCTAGAACTGTGTGAGAATAAATTTCTGTTGTTTTAGCCACCCAGTTTATGCTCTTTTGTTACAGCAGCACCAGGAAATTAGTATCAGCAGGAACCGGAGTCAGGAAAACCTGGACTCAAATTCCACAGCCACCTCTTTTCTGTACATCCTGGGCAAAATGCCCAACCTTTCCATTCCTCGGTTTTGTCCTCTGTAAAATGGGAGTAATGATAGCATCAAGTGCACAGGGCTGCATGAAGATTAAATGATGTGGAGGAATGGGAGGCAGGGAGGCAGGCAGGGGGGAACAGTAGCTGATGTGGAGGAATGGGAGGCAGGGAGGCAGGTAGGGAGGAACAGTAGCTGATGTGGAGGAATGGTAGGCAGGGAGGAACAGTAGCTGATGTGGAGGCATGGGAGGCAGGGAGGCAGGCAGGGGGGAACAGTAGCTGATGTGGAGGCATGGGAGGCAGGGAGGCAGGCAGGGAGGAACAGTAGCTGATGTGGAGGCATGGGAGGGAGGGAGGCAGGCAGGGAGGAACAGTAGCTGTATGCATTTGCAGGCATGTTCTCCTGGAAAGGGACAGATTGGTGCTGCCTGAAGCTTGAAAAGCTTTTCACCTCTTTGGGACTTTTTGCTTTCACCAGATGGCAAGAGATGAGCAAAAGCAGCAAACCTCCACATGATATAAAAGGGATTCCTACCTCTCAAAGCCAGCAGAGCTAAGTGTTCCCAGGGGAGCCTTCATCTGTTCACCCACAGGACAGTGGTCACTTGATCCCTCCATTACTCAGAGGTCCACTACTCATATGGACCGGGTACCCAAAGATGGTATAGTGTGGTCAACAGGTATGCTTATCTGCCAACTCCAAGAGTAGGTGTGGCGAACACCCAATAGCAAAGGAGGTCAAGGGCAGAGGGGAAATGGACATTCTCTGTCTAGATGCTTACTGGGTGTCCAGCCAGGTTGTACATTTCACCTTCCCAAAGCCCACTCCACTGCCACTAGATCCACACTGCTTCTGGGTCAGTGAGTCTCTCCTTATCCTTTCTTTAAATTTTATTTTTATTTATTTATTTTTGTTTTTTGAGATGAGATCTCATTCTGCGGCCTGGGCTGGAGGGTAATGGCACAATCACGGCTCACTGTAGCCTCAGCCTCCTGGGTTCAAGCGATCCTCTCACCTGAGCATCCTGAGTACCTGGGACCACAAGCATGCACCACCATGCCCAGCTTTAAAACACTTTTTTTGGTAGACACAGGGTCCCACTATGTTGCCCAGGCTGGTTTCAAACTCTTGGGCTCATGCGATCTGATCCTCCCCCCTCAGCCTCCCAAAGTGCTAGGATTACAGGTGTGGGTCAATGCGGTCGGCCTCCTTATCCTTAACATGGGCTAAGAACATCCACCTTGTAGGTCTGTTGTGAAGTTTAAATGAGTTATGTAGGTACCCACCTCCTTCGTATTGAGTAGAGGTGCTTTGTCATCAATAAATGGTAGTAGCTATTATGTTAATGATAGTATATTTCTATAATTAAACTTTTTATTTTGAGATCATTGTGGATTCACATGTAGTTGTAAGAAGAGAGAGATCTTATGTTTCCCTTACTCAGTTTTCTCTACTGATAACATCTTATGAAACTCTAGTACAATATCACAGCCCAGATACTGAACTGATACAGTCAAGATACAGAACAGACCCATCAAAACGAAGATCCCTCATGTTGCCCGTTTATAGCCATACCCATTTCCTGTTCTCTCCTCACCATCCTCCCCCCATATTTAACCCCTGGCACTTCTAATCTATTCTCCATATCTGTCCAGTATAATAAACACTAGCTGTATGTGGGTTTTTTTGAGATAGAGTCTTGCTACATTACCCAGGCTGGTCTCAAACTCCTGGACTCAAGCAATCCCATTGCCTCAACCTCAATCCCAAGTAGCTGGGATTAGAGATGTGTACCCTGGTGCCCAGTTCTATTCTCTGTTTCTATAATTTTATCATTTCACTGTTTTATAAGTGGAATCATACAGTATGTAACCTTTTCAGATTGCCTTTTTTCACTCAGAATAATTCTCTATAGATTCATCCAAGTTGTTGCAGGTATCGATAGTTTCTTCCTTTTGATTGCCGAGTTTCTTCCTTTTGACTGATTGCTGAGTAGTACTCTATGATATGGATGTACTAGAGTTTGTTTAAACATTTACCCACGGAAGGAGATCTAAGTTGTTTTCTATTTTTTGCCATTGTGGATAAAGCTGCTATAAACATTTATTAACAGGATTTATGTGAACATATGTTTTTATTTCTCTGGAATAAATGCTCAGAAGTGTAGTTTCTGGATAATATAGTAATAACATGTTTAGTTTTAAAAGAAAATGCAAAAACTGTTCTCTAGAGTAGCTGCACCATTTTACACCAGCAATGTACAAATGATTGATTTTTCTCTGCCTCTTAGCCAGTGTTTGGTATTGTCACTGTTTGTTATTTTAGCCTTTCTAATTGGAGTGTAGTGATATCTCATTGTGCTTTAATTTACATTTCCTAATGGCTAAGATATTCAACATCTTTTCGTGTGCTTACTTGCCATCTGTATATCCATTTTGGTCTTGATGACTGTATCTATATAAGAAGTCTTGAGATCAGGTAGACTGATTCCTCTCACTTTATTATTTCACAAAAGAATAAAGCTGTTGTAGATATTCTAGTTCCTTTGTCTTTTCACATAACTTTTAGAATAATCATGTCTTTATTTATAAAAATAATCTTTCTGGGATCTTGTTATAAATTGTGTTAAACCTATATATGAATTTTGAGAACTGACTTCTTAACTATGTTGAATCTTCCAATCCATGAACATGGTATGGGTATCAGTTTCCTAGGACTGCTGTAACAAAGTACCATAAACTGAGTGGGTTAAAACAACAGAAATTTATTCTCTCACAATTTTGGAGGGCAAAAGTCCCAAGTCAAAGTATTGGCAAGGCCGTGTCTCAGGATCCCTCTGAGACTTTAGGTAGAATCCTTCTTTGCCTCTTCCTACCTTCTGGTGATGGCCAGCAATTCTTGTCATTACTTAGATTGCAGTTGCATCACTCTAATCTCTGCCTCTGTTGTCACATGGTGCTCTCCCTGTGTGTCTCTGTTTCTCTTCTCCTCTTCTGATAAGGCCGAAAGTCATATTGGATTAAGGGACCACCCTTCCAGTATACCCTCATCTAAACTTGATTATATCTGCAAAGTTCCTATTTCCAAAGATCACATTCACAGGTCCTGGAGGTTAGGACTTTAGCATATCTTTGTGCGGAATACAGGCTGAACCACAGTGGTATCTGTCTCCATTTCTTTTGATCTTTGTTTCCTTTCACCAGCATTTTGTAGTTTTCAGCATACAAGCCCTATACATGTTTTATCAGATATACACCAAAGTATTTCCATTTTGTTCAGCAATTGTAGATGGCATGTTTCTAATTTAGGTTTCCATATGTTAATTGCTAGTATATAGAAATATAACTGATTTGGGCCAGGCACGGTGGCTTGCGCTTGTAATCCTAGCACTTTGGGAGGCCGAGATGGGCAGATCACAAGGTCAGGAGTTCGAGACCAGCCTGGCCAATATAGTGAAACCCCATCTCTACTAAAAAATACAAAAATTAGCCAGGTGCGGTGGCACACACCTGTAGTCCCAGCTACTTGGGAGGCTGAGGCGGAAGAATCACTTGAACCTGGGAGGCAGAAGTTGCAGTGAGCTGAGATCATACCACTGCACTCCAGCCTGGGTGACAGAATGAGACTCTGTCTCAAAAAAAAAAAAAGAAGAAATATAACTAATTTGTATTGATTGTGTATTCTGTGACCTTGCTGAATTCACTAATTAGTTCTAAGAACTTTTTAAAAAATATATTCTTTGGGATTTTTGTATTTTCTTTGGGATTCTCTACATGGATGATGTCATTTGCAAATAAGGACATTTTTATTTCTCCCTTTCCAATCTGCATGTCTTGTTTCCTTTTCTTGCCTTACTGTATTGGCCAGAACTTCCAGCATTGTGTTGAATAAGAATGGTGAGAGTGGATGTCCTAGCTTGTTCCTAGCTGTAGAGGAAAACATTCAGTTTTTCATCACTAAGTATAATGTTAGCTGTAGTATTATTTTAGGTGCTTTTATCAAGTTGAGGAATTTCCTCATTTTTACTTTTCTGATTTCTTTTATCACGAATGGTTTTTGGATTTTGTCAAACAAGTTTTTTGTATCAATTAATATAACCATGTTATTTTTTATTCTTAGCTTGTTAATATGGTGAATTATGTTAATTGATTTTTCAGATATTGAACCAGTCTTTTATCCCTGGAATAAACTCTACTTGTATATATTGCTGAACTCTATTTTCTAAATATTTTGTTAAGAATTTTCGCATCTATATTAATGAAGAATATTAGTCTGTAGTTTTCCTTTTTTGTACTCTGGCTTTAGTATCAGGGTAATGTTGGTATATATCATGAGTTGGAAAGTATACTCTTCTATTTTTTGGAAGAGATTGTGTACAGTTGGTGTTAATTCTTCTTTAAACATTTGGTAGTATTCTCTGGTGACACCATCTGGAGATTTCTTTTTTTGGAGTAAGACAGTTTTAAAATTACGAATTCCGTTTCCTTAATGTTTACAGGGCTATGCAAATTATACATTTCATATTGGGTGAGTTGTGGAAGTTTGTGATTTTCAAGAAATTGGTTTATTTCATTTAAGCTATAAAATGTATATGTGTAGCATATCTCTTTATCCATTTGATGACTGCAGGGTCTGTAGTGATGTCCCATCCCATTCCTGACAATTGTAATCAGAGTTTTCTCTTTGTTGGTCTTGCTACAGGTTTGTCAATCTCATTTTTAATTTCTGTTTTATTTTTCCTGCCTTCCTGTGAGTTAAACATTTTTTGGAGTTTCATCTTGACATAGCTAGAGTATTTTTGAGTGTATCTCTTTGTATAGCTTTTTAAATGGCTGCTGTAGGTAGTATATTATATATACATAACTTATTACAGTCTACTGGTGTTGACATTTTACCAGTTTGAGTGAAGTTTTCCTTTATGTCCTTACCCTCCTCCTTTAATAATTGTCTTAAATATTTCCCGTACATATATATAGAACCACATCAGAAAGTGTTACAATTTTTGCTTCAACTCTCAAGCATAATTTGGAAAATTAAGAGGAGAAGGTATATGTACTATTGTATCTACTAGTATTTGTACACTTTTTACTGTTTTCTGATTTTCCAAGATTCTTTATTACTTCTTTTCTGTTTAGAAAATACTTTTCAGTTATTCTTTCAGCGTAGGTGTACTTATGGCAAACAGTCTTAGTTTTCCTTCATCTGACAATGTCTTGATTTCTCTTTCAGTTTTGAAGAATATTTTCACTATGCATGGAATTCTGAATTGAAAACTTTTCTTTCAGCACTTGAAAAAATGCTGTGCCACTTTCTTCTGGCCTCCATGGTTTCTGATGAGAAATTTGTTGTCATTTGAATGGTTTCTCCCATAGGTAAAGTATTGTTTCTCTGTTGTTGCTTTCAAGATGCTTTTGTCTGTCTTCAGTTTTCAGAAGTTTGACATGACATATCCTAGCATGGATTTCTTTGAATTGACCTTCTTTGACGTTTTCTGAGATTCTTTAATCTGTAGGTTTATGTCTTTTGCCCAGTTTGGGAAGTTTTCAACCATTATTTCTTTAAGAATGTTTTCAGCTCTGTCCTCTTTCTCCTCTTCTCTCTTTCCAGGACACCGATGACACCAATGTTAGATTTTTTATTATAATCCCCAAGGGTCCTTGATACTCTGCTCAGGCCATTTTCTCTCTGTTATCCAGACTGTGTAATTTCTATCATTCTATCTTCAAGTTCACAAATTCTTTCCTCTGCCCCATCCAACTTGTTATTGAGTCCATCCACTGAATTTTTTATCTGGTTATTGTATTTTCTAATTGTATGTTCTAAATTTTCTAAATGCTTCTTCTTTTTATCTTCCAATTCTTTGCTGACACTTTCTGTTTCTTTTCAGGGACTTCTTATGTTTTCATTAGTCTCAAGAACGTTCATAATTGCTTATTGAAGTATTTTTATAATGAATGCTTTAAAAGTGTCATCAGATAATTCTAAAATCCCAGTCATCTCAGCAATGGCTTCTATTGATTGTCTTTCTTTTTCTATTCAGCTTGAGATCTTTCTGCTTCTTGCTATGACAAGTAATTTTCAACTGAAGCCTGAACATGTGAGTATTATGTTGTGAGACTTTGGATGTTATTTAAACCTCTTGTTTTTGCTGGATTTCTGACATTGCTCTAGCAGAGAAAGGGGAGGTACTGCCTTGCTATTGCCAGGGATGGGTAGAAATTTAAGTTCTCCATTCAGCTTCTGTTAGTCCCTGAAGAGGGAAGGAGTTCCTCATTATTGCTGGGCAGAGGTTGAAATCCAGCTCCCCCATAGACCTTTGCTGATACCACTCTTGCTGGGAGGGGTAAGAATGCCAAAAAGCAGGGAGCAGACTTGTTAATGATGGTGGTGTAAAAGCTCTGACTCTCCACTAGGTCTCCTTGAATCCTACCTCAGCAGGTGTGGGAGGGAGTGCTGCATTATTGCTGGGTGAGGGGGGTGTTCCTTCCCACCAGCAGGGATGACAGTCCCTACTCAGCCTTCTCTAACACCAGCCTGGCAGGAGGATTGGGATGCCAGGGTTCAGCTTGACAAGGATGGGAGTCTAGACTCCCTACTTGATCTTTGCTGTTATGGGTAGGTAGGGCAACAGATTTTTCTGTGGTGTTTGGCTGGGGTAGGACGGTTATTGGGTAAAAGTTTTCTTGCTAAGCTGTCCCTTTCCTGGGCCTTTGACTAGATGGGGCAGGCTTTTGTTGGGGCTTATTTTGTTTTTACTCATTGACACATCCAGGTTGCCAGCTTCTTCAGTTCTAAGTCTGGGATACATGAAGCTAAAAGAAGTCTCAGGCGGCCAGGTGCAGTGGCTCATGCCTGTAATCCCAGCACTTTGGGAGGCCGTGGCAGGTGGATCACAAGGTCAGGAGTTCAAGACCAGCCTGGCCAACTAGTGAAACCCCATCTCTACTAAAAATATTCTGAAAATTAGCCAGGCGTGGTGGTGGGTGCCTGTAGTCCCAGCTATCTGGGAGACTGAGGCAGGAGAATCGCTTGAACCCGGGAAGCAGAGGTTGCAGTAAGCTGAGATTGCGCCACTGCATTCCAGCCTGGGTGACAGTGAGACTCCATCTTAAAAAAAAAAAAGTCTTAGGGAACTCACCACTGTGTCATTGCTTGGGTCCCTAGCTGGTCTGCCTCCTTCTTGCCCTCTTTCAGAGTGGTCTTATGTTTATTTTATATACAATGTCCATTGTTTTTAGCTGTACAGTTGACCCTTGAATAACACAGGTTTGCATTGCAATGGTCCACTTATATGTGAATTTTCTTCCACCTCTGCCACTTCTGAGGCAGTAAGACCAACCCCTCCTCTTCCTCCTTTTCCTCAGCCTACTCAACATGAAAACGACAAGGATGAAGACCTTTATGATGATTTGTGTCCACATAATGAATAGTAAATATATATTTTCTTCCTTATAATTTTCTTAATAACATTTTCTTTTCTTTAGCTTACTTTATTGTAAGAATATGGCATATAAGACATAGAACATACAAAATACATGTTAATAAACTCTGTGTTATTGGTAAGGCTTCTGATCAACAGTGGGCTATTAGTAGTTAAGTTTTGGGGGCATCAACAGTTATATGTGGATTTTCAACTGTGGGGGTGGGGTTGGCATTTCTCACCCCCACATTTTTCAAGGGTCAACTGAACTTAGTGGGAGGAATATGGAAAAGTACAATTACTCCATCTTCCTGGAAGCAGAGTAACTAATATTGTTAGTTCATTTAATCTTGGCAGCAAACCTGCAAGTTAGGTGTTTATCTCTGGAGGGAGAAACTAGACCCTCTCCAGAGAGTCTCTGAGAAAGGGAAACTCAACTATGATTGTGTAGACAAACAAATGGATACTGGCCCCATGGACAATTAACATTCCCAAGCTATAGAATTTTCCCTGGAATAACAGATCTCCCCAATTTGATCTCAGACCCTGTGTGGAAGAAATAAATGTGAGCCCCAGTAGAAGGCAGGGAACATCTGTCCACTTGGACATAGTCTTACTATTTTAGGCAAGGTTATGCTGTAGTTCATTCTAACCACCTGCCACGCAAGACCACCTTGAAGGTAACTCTGATCCAACATTAGTAGAAAGGCATCAGGAAGCCTTCGCACTCTATCTTAATTTATCTAATGGTAATTGCATTTCCATAACAATGGACATATTAGTGTAAGGAATAATATGTCAGTGACGTGTGGAGTGAAGATTTATCATTTATGACTATGATATAGAAAGAAGCTCCCACTTGGCCCAGGGGGCAGGTGAGGTTTTTCAAGAAAGCTGGAGGCCAATTATATTACACGAGGAAAAGAAAGTCAGGCATCTATCCACCCTCCCAAGCCTTGCTCTTTGAACTTGCTGGAAAATTTCAAGAAGTTTCCATAGATGCTCTGCAAAAAGATGGTCATCGTCTAACTTTAAAAAAAAAACCATATAGGCTTGTGCTTCTACATGGACATTTGTCAGCTTATCTGTCTCATCCTCTAGACTAGGCACTCCCTGAGACAGGGAGTATGTTATATGCATCAGCACCTAGCAATGAGCCAGTCACACAGTCACATGGTGGCCCCTCAGTAAATGTGTGCTGGATGAAAGAAAAAAGAAAGGAAGAAATGGAAAGAGGAAGGGTTGTATGGAAGAACAGGAGAGAGGAATAGAGGAGGAAGATCTATTTCCTCCCACTAGACTGTTACTTACTCATCTTGGAATCTGCAAAACTAAGCACAGAAACAAAAACATAGGAGGTAACTAATCAATGTTATATGAATGAATGAATGAACTAAGCAATTGAAAGGAAGAAAGGATAGAGGGAAAGAGGGAGAGAAGGAGAGAAAATTGTCTTTATGGTGGAAGGACTTATCTCTACCTCTTTGAGGACAGACTCATTAATACGTATGGTACTCACTTATCCTGGCAGAATTGTTACAACAGGAGGGAAAATCTCTTCTGCAGGTTAAACCCACATCTGTGTCTGAACGGGACCAGCAGCTGGTGGTTGTGTTCCATCAGAAGGAAACTTATTAAACTCTACCAGTTCATGCAGGGAAAGGCTAATGGCATAATTCCTCTTTCTGAACATAGATAAGAGCTGGAAACATCCATCAGAGACCATCCAGTCCAACTACTTCATTCTGTAGGAGGGGATGCTGAGACTGTAAGGTGAGAGGAATGGCCTCCTGGAGTCACACAGAGCATTAGTGGCACAGGTCCCAAGTCATGGCTCAGAAGCAGAAGCACGAGGTTGTGCCAAGTAATAAGAAATTCACATCTGACTCTGAAACTCAAATAGAAGCACGTTCATCACCCAGGTTTCCACTTCAGCCAGCTGAGCACTGATTTGGACATGGCGGTGATGGTCATTGCTCTCCCATGGACACTTTCTAAGGAAACTGTCCTCACCCTCCAACCCAACAGCCTTTGTTCAATGGACTGTCCTAAACAGACACACTTGTCTTATGACCTCCATAGCCCACTCCCAACACAGGATCATAGGCCAGAGCATAATGGCAGCTGACCAGTGACCTATAATATGGGATGGAATGATGAGATAGGCCATTAGGAAGAAGAGCAGAGAGCATTAGGAGCAAAGGCTGAGATAAGATGAGGTTCAAAGAGAACAGGGGAGCCACAACAGGCCAGAAAACAAAGAAGCCAAAGGTCATAAGGAGTAGGAACTATATGGAGGCAGAAGCAATGACAGAGGAAAGAAAGACAAAAGTAGAAGATGAGGAAACCAGCCAACAGTAACAACACATCAGAGCAGACCCATAAAGAGTAGCTAAGTCAGGGTCATGATGGAAGACCAGAACAATGGCCTATGGGCTGCTTTGGGTCCAAGGAGCTGGACTGAGCTAAAGACCATCCTCCACGTCTAGTTTCATGAGGCCCAGCGCCTAAATGATGATTTCCCTTTCTCTGAATTGCCCCCATGTCCATCCTTTACAAAAGACAACTCATTTTGCGGAGCCAGCCTAGGCGGGTCTCTGTACCTTGCAACCAACCAACAAAAGCAAACCAGCATGCAGCCACTTCAAACAGCTTGAATACAGCAGGCAGAGATTCAGCCTCTGCCACTACTGCAGATGGTATTTTTGATGGCTTGATGTGGAAGTACAAGGGTTGTAGCTTGGTCCCATAAGGAATTGGCAGATGCTACTGTTGCTGCTTCTCCTCCTTCCCCCTCCTCCATTCTCCTCATCCACCCCACTCTGTCTTCCTCTTCTTCCTCCTTCTTTCTCCTTCTCTTCCTCTTCCTCCTTCCTTTCCTCCTCCTTCCTTCTTCCTATTCCTCCTGCCTCTTCCTTCTCCTCTTTCTCTGTCTTCTTCATCATCAAGCTACTTCCATGCCCTGAGTATTCAGAATTTGACTAAAATCCTTTATACATATCATACATCTAATCCTGTCTGCAACCCCAATGATACCTCCTATTATGTCTATTTTACATAAAGGAAAACTAAGGCAGACAGATCTTGAGATAACTGGCCCACAGTCGTACAGCAAGTTAAAGAGCTGAGTTGCAAGCTCAGACTTCCTGTTTCCAAAATCTACACTCTAACCACTGTGCTGGGTGAAAAAGCAGGGCCTTTGTGAACCTGGATTGACTGAACTAGACAGGAGACAAGACAAAGAGCAGTGAAAAAAAAAATCTTCAGACCAAATTGGCTCAGAAATGTATTGCACTAACCACATCATTGCCTGACAAGAAGAATCTGTGTGAAGCCAGCGAGAAGGGAAAGAGGGGAAAAAATAACGCAGCCCTATGATAGATCTTGTCCACCTTCATGTCAAAGCTGCTTTCTTAATAGAGGTTAATTTATTTCCCTTATCAAATTCTCCTGCTGGCAGACAAGCAGAACAATGTCACAGTCACTGATCTATCTGACCTATGTTTCAGTCTCATCTGACACCAAGAGGCTCACTGTGCCTGTAAAGCCAGAGAGAAAGGTCTCAAGGTGGTTCTGAGCTCCTCGTCCCTCAAAATGTCACAAAGGAAAGAATGGGTTCTAAGGGATGCACAATTATTATACTTCCCAGAAGCCTCGCCATTTGAATTTGCTCAGCCCTCCCAGCAGTGGGGATCCCCTCTCCTAGAGACCTATATCTTTTGCCAATAACAAAGGAAAAGTGGACGTGGCCTGATGTTTTGATCAAAGGCCCCCAAATTTAAGCTGATAATAATAGCTAGAATCTCCTGGATATTAACTATGGGCCAGGAAGTACACTGAGTGCATTTAAATGTTGATTATTGAATTCCATCCTCATAACAACTGTCTGAGGTTAGTGTTCTTATTGCCTGCCACGGGCTCTTTAAAACATGACTACAAATCCGTGGACGCTTCCCACTAAGAGTTGAGGTCCGTGTTTCTTCCCGTTGAATCTGAGCAGGCTTGTGACTGCTTCCATCAGTAAAGTGCAGCAGAAGTGACACTGTCAAAGTTCCACCTGTTTGCTAATTCAGTTGCTCTTTGAGCCATGAGCTACCATGTAAGAAGCCTGACTACCCTGAGGCAGCCATATTGTGAGGACACCCAAGCATTACAGCAAGTCCATATACAGGTGCTCTAGTTGACATCTCTGCTGAACCCAGGCTTTGACTCAACCCAGCCCAGGCACCAGACATGGAGTGAAAGAGCCTCTAAATCAGGGGTCAGAAAACCTTTTCTGTAAAGAATCTGACAGTAAATATTTTAGGCTTTGCAGGCCATGCAGTCTCTGTCATGACTACTCAACTCTGACATCATAGCACAAAAGCAGCCACAGAAATATGGGTATGGCTGTGTTCCAATAAAATTTTATTTACAAAAGTAGGTTGTGGGCTGGATTTGGCCTGTGGGCCATAGTTTGTCAATCCCTGTTTTAGATGACTCCAGCCGTTATCTGTGTGAGTCTTCCCAGTTGATTCCCATTATGGAGCAGAGACAAACCATTCCCTCTGCTCTCTGTCCTAATTCCTGACCTACAGATTCTGTGAGTATAATAAAAGGATGATTGTCGTACGCCACTAAGTTTGGGTGGTTTGTTGTGCTGCAGTAGATAACTGGAACAGCCCCATTTTACCTACGGGAAAACTGAGGCTCAGAGAGATTAAGTTACTTGCTCAGTCTCACAGCTAATAAGCAAAGGAAGCCCTGGCTGGCTGCCAGGTTTGCCTGATTCCAGAAGCCAACTTCACTCAGCTGCTGAAATTATGCCACAAGGAGCCAGATGGTAAATGGCTTCGAGATAAAAATGGCGGGTGAGATAGCTTAAGAGCAAAGGGACACACAAGCTTTGTGGGAAGACATGGAAGGAGAGGTCAGAGATAGAGGAGGGACCAAATTTTGCATGGGCTTTCAGGCTGCAGCAGAGTCTGATTTGTTTTCTAGATGCAGTCGAAAGCTATTGGACGGTTTTTAAGCAGGGCATGACATAATTCAAATTACATTCATTAAGTATCACTCTGGCTGCTGTGTGGGAAATGGGTTGGGAAGGGGGCAATCCTCTCTCTGTGTGTTGCCATTGAATAGTGACTCAGCTATCATGATGTTCCTCTAGGACCTGAACACAGGTCAGTGCCCTCCCGATCCTTGGGCTGATGTGCTTTTTCCACTGATATCGTTTGGATATTTGTCTCCTCCAAATCTCATGTTGAAATTTGAACCCAGTGTTGGAGGTGGGGCCTAGTGGGAGGTACTTGGGTCACAGGGGTGGATCCCTCAAGAAGAGTTTGATCCCTTTTTTTGCGGTAATGAGTGAGTTATCCCTCTATTAATTCCTGCTAGAGCTGGTTGTTTAAAAGAGCCTGGCACCTCTCTTCCTTCCCCTCCTCTCCCCTTCCCTCCCCTCTCCTCTCTCTCTCTCTCCCTCTCTCATGCACGTTTCCTTCCTTCCTTTCACCGTGTGATGCGTGCTTCCCTTCACTTTCCAACATGAGTGGAAGCAGCCTGTGGCCTCCCCAGAAGCAGATGCTGGTGTCAGGCTTCTTGTACGGCCTGCAGAACTGAGAGCCAAATAAACATTTTTCTTTATAAATTATCCAGCCTCAGATATTCCTTCATAGCAATGCAAATGGACTTAGACATCTACCTTCGACATAATGCATGCAAGCTTTGAGATGCTTGGAAAATCACCTGCTGGTGTGTGCAACCTTTGCCTCCTACTGTGAGGCTGGGCATACCCCCGGGATAGATTTGGTACAGCCCCATCAGCAGACCAAATAAAGGATATGGAAATCAGGCCAGAAATTTCTAGGCCACAATTGAAAGAAAGATGCACAGAGGGGCCCACTGCTGACC
The DNA here is from genome assembly GCF_000001405.40 of Homo sapiens. Taxonomy (NCBI): domain Eukaryota; kingdom Metazoa; phylum Chordata; class Mammalia; order Primates; family Hominidae; genus Homo; species Homo sapiens. The sequence continues at coordinate 117,554,294 of NC_000012.12, forward strand.
ACCTGTCTGAGGGTAGAAGCCAACCAAATTGCCTGTTGCTCAGAGCTCAGGGCCCCCAAAGAAAACCCACCCATCCAGCCCCTACCAGAAGCTCAGAAATAGACCCCTATTCCTTGGAGGTCTGATCTGACAGATGTGTCAGAAAGCCCAGAACCATCTGCAAAGTTGGTCCTGGAAGATGGTGTTATGGTTTGGCTGGGTCTCCACCCAAATCTCATCTTGAATTGTAGCTCCCACAATTCCCACATGTCATGGGAGGGGCCCAGTGGGAGGTAATTGAATCATGGGGGCTGGTCTTTCCTGTGCCATTCTCGTGATGGGGAATAAGCCTCACAAGATATGATGGTTTTATAAAGGGGAGTTTCCCTGCATAAGCTCTCTCTTGTCTGCCACCATATAAGATGTGCCTTTCGCCTTCTGCCATGATTGTGAGGCCTCCCTAGTCACATAGAACTGTGAGTCCATGAAACCTCTTTTTCTTTATGAATTACCCAATCTCAGGTATGTCTTTATCAGCAGCATGAAACAGACTAATACAGATGGCAAAACCTCTCAAAGAGCAAAGCAAGTGAGGTCTGGACCACTAAGGAAACTCCTTTTAAGTCTCTCCTCCCATCCGTTGTGCCTTCCTGGACACCCTCATCCATTCTCATTCCGACATGCCCTCTTTCTAAATAAGATTTCTGGCACACAAATCTCTCCACTGATCTCTGGACGTCCCTCAAGCTTTACTCAACACAAACATCACAGAATTAGGGGAGCCGAGACGGGCTAGGAGGGAGCGCCATACTCCCAGATCAACCCTTCCTCCCTCCTACCCCTCACCCAGCAGTGCCAGCCCCACATGCCGAGACCCAGGGGAAGCCCAGCCTTACCTTGTTGATTTTGTTGGTTTTGGGGAGCGTCTGACTGATGTGCAGGTCTGAATAGCGAGGTGGCTTCCGTAGAGGGTTGTTGATGTCACACGGAACGGACTCTGTCCGGACTAACCTTGCTGGATCCGTAGGGGTAAAAACATTGATTTGGGAGTTTAAGTATCACTTTGTCTTTGGTTATGCCAGGACGGCATAGCTCAGATCCCACCTCTTAGACCCACCCTCCAGACTGGAGGACAATTCACTAAAAGTGATAATGATTCTGTGGTGGGATCAGGGTATACTCTGTGGTTTGCAACATATTTCTATTGTCCATATATGACTTTTGACAATTAAGATGATAATAATAAAACTAAAGCTATCAGGTTTTTTTAAAAGTACCACAATTGTTTCTTATTGGCAGACTCAAAACTCATTTTAAATACACGAGGTTCCTGATTTCTCAGGGCCTGTGATGAGCGGACAAGCTCATCATGGTGCCCTGTCCCTAACTTTCTAACCTCTGTGTTAGGATCATCTTTCATTCCTTTTGGGATTTCTCAGGCCTAAGCAGCCTGCCGCACATTGAAACACTTTGTCCTAAACAACTTTGGATCCCTGAAAGAAAGACAGCTGTTCTAGGAAGCTAGGCACATAGTAGATGCTAAATAAATGCTTCCTGATCCAAATCATATCGCCCAAGCCCCTCTCCCTTCTGTTACTTCTATTACTCACAGGGAACACAGCAAGGGGCAAAAATGAGAAGCTCAAAATCAAATTTGATGCCTGGTATTGTTACTTGTTAGCTGTTGTTGTTGTTGTTGTTGTTGTTGTTTTATTGCAGCGGTGAGGGGAGGGTGTTGGTTGAGAAGTTTAAGCTCCGGATTGACCCAGGGATTTCATTTCTCTGCTTAGCCTGAGCTGCCATCACCATGGAAACTGACTATATTTTCAACTTCCAACCAACGGAGAGAAAAAGCAAGAAGCTGGTGGATTTCTGCAAAGTTCAGTTCGCTCTGTATGTACAGACACCTGCCACCTTTGAACAAAAGGCGGCATGGCCTTGAGGGTGGGTGGGAGGGAGCCCTTCTTCAAATGTCAGCCTCTGAAAGCCATCACCTTCCAGCAGGCTGCTTCTGTCCATATGGGAATCAGCCTCTAGCAAAACCCTCTACGGAGGAGAATTTGGTGGGAGGCAATTTTTCCAATGAGGCTGACCCAAGGCAGGGTCTCAAGGGAGGTGAGAATTCAGGTTTTAAGATAGCCTCATTGAGTGTATACAGTTATTCAAGGAACAGATGGTTCTCAATTAAGGATGTGGGGTGGGAAGGGCAAGAGAAGGGAGCTGAAGACTTTGTCTTCACTTGCAATTTTCTCTGTTTTTGGAGATAAACAGTGCAACGATCATCGAAAACCAACTGCCCGTTGGCTTTGGGACACATCACAGTGCTTTCAGCAGCAGTCTGCCTCCTTCTTTAAGTTTCCCTTGGGTTCATTCTAAATTAGGGCAGATTCCCAGGAATATCCACCGATCAAGGCCAGGGGAGACGGGGGTGGGCAAGTGAGAGGACAGGGAAGGAGGACTCAGTGTCAGATGAGCAAGTTGCTGTACCCTAAAGTTGCTCCCTGGTGATTTGAAGGCTCTGTCCACCCTATAGATGAGGGGCTTGCAGGGAGGCAGCCAGCATGACTTTAAAAGATTTTAATAAACTGCTTACATTTAAAAATAAGCATATGGGCCAGGCGCGGTGGCTCACACCTGTAATCCCAGCACTTTGGGAGGCAGAGGTGGGTGGATCACCAGGTCAGGAGTTCAAGACCAGCCTGACCCACATGGTGAAACCCTGTCTCTATTAAAAATCCAAAAAGCAGCTGGGTATGGTGGTGGGTGCCCATAATTTCAGCTACTCAGGAGGCTGAGGCAGGAGAATCGCTTGAACCCGGGAGGCAGAGGTTGCAGTGAGCTGAGATCGCACCACTGCACTCCAGCCTGGGCGACAGAGAGAGACTCCATCTCAAAAAACATTGAATAAATAAAAAATAAGCATATGGCACATAAAATTCTCTATTTGGGCTTTTGTTGGAAATGTCAGAAATGCTGGCAATGTAGGTCCACATAGCTGGAGTGGCTGGCTACCCTCTCTAGATGGCACTTCGGTTTTCCAGTGTCCCACAGCCCGCTCTGGCCAACTTCTCTCATTTAGGACATCTACTTGGCCCTCATAGGCATCTTAGTTTATGTCTGACTCCTGCTCTAGAGCAGTGCTTCTCAACTTTAAGGTGCATAGGAATTCCCTGCAGATCCTGTTTAAAAAGCAGATTCTCATTCAGTAGGTCTGAGGTGGAGCCATAAATCGTGCATTTCTAACAAGCTCCCAGGTGATCCTGATGCTGCTGGTCCACGGACAGTGCTTTGAATAGCAAGGATCTGGCCTACGATGTGCAGTAGAACTTTCTGCAGTCAAAAAAATGTTCTATATCTGTACCAGTATAAGCCCTTGAAATGTGGCTGGTGGGACTGAGTAATTAAATTTGTGTTTTTATTTGATTTTAATTAATCTAAATTTAAATAGTCAAATGTAGCTAGTAGCTACTGTATTGGGGAGCACATGTCCAGAAAGTCCCTCGGAGATAAATTTCAATATGGATAATGGAGTTTGGGGGTGATCACCCCATAGGGCAAAGATCAGGGGAACTATTTTGAAAGCTGCACTACAAAAGTTCCCAAGGCAGTGTCCCTTATAAGTAAGTCCTTGGCAGCCAGGAAAAAGCCTTTCCTTCTGTCTTTCCTTCCAGCCAGATTCGTCTTGCTTTTGCAGTGGAATCCTGGTAGCGGCTCTCCCAGGGCTGCTACTTCCCTATGTGGACAGGTTGACCCAGACACTCCTAGGGCCCCAGGAGATGGGACACAAATGGCCCAATCCAGCAGACCCAAGACATACCCCTCCTCATGCCTACTTTTGCAAGGCCAATTGATTAAATCTAGAGAACACACAATGGAAAAACACCCAGCCAGTGCTCTTTTTTTGGTGGGAAGAAAAGCAATGGGATTGGTAAACAGAAGAGGCTAGAAATTAGGAGAGGAGACAGGATGAGAGAGCAGGGGTTAAGTGGGGAGACAAAGGGAGCTAAAGTGTCAGAGGGACCAGTAGAGGGGCAAGAAACAGGGAGAACAGGCATAGGGGAGGATAAAGGAGACAGATGTCAGGAAACAGGGCGTCAGAGAGAAAGAAACAATGCTGGAAGTATGTGGGGATCAAGAGGTATTCAGAACCAACCTGATGGGACAGCTATGTGGGGGACCTGCAGGAGCCCCACCTCACCCCTGCCCCTAGGGCAGTAAGTGTTAAATAGTTACCTCCTCGGTGGATGATCAGAAGATGACAGGGTGGGGCTTCTTTGGTGCATTTGTTGTGGCACTTTAACCTGAGAAAGATAAAGAGAGAGAAAGATGGATAGGTGAATGGCTGAGTGAGCGGGTAGGTGGGTGGGTGGATGAATGGATGGATGGGTGGATGGGTGGATGAATGGATGGGTGAATGGATGGGTAGATGGATGGGGGATAGATGGGTGAGTAGATGAATGGGTGAATGGATTCACGGATGGATGGGTAGGTGGATGCATAAATTGGTAGATGGATTGATGCATGGGTGGGTGGGTGGGTGGATGGCTGGGTGGATAGATTGATAGGTGGCTGGACAGATGGATGGATGGGTGGATGAATAGATGGATAAATGGGTAGGTGGATGGACGGGTGGGTGGATGAGTGGGTGGATGGATAGACAGATGACTAGATGAATGGATGGGAGATGAATGAACAGACAGATTGATGGTTGATGTGTGGATAGATGAGGAAGTGAATAGATAAATAAATGGATAGATGGATGGATGGAAGGATGGATGGATGGATGGATGGATGGATGGATGGATGGATGGTGGATGGGTAGGTAGATGGATAGGTGGATAGATGGGATGCCCCCAGTGGTCTGGAAAGCTCTGGGTGCTGTGGATACCAAGATGTGAGATGAGATGGGGCAGCTACTGCAAAGGCATATCCTCAGCAAACCAGGAAATTATCTCCGCAGAGAGGCTTCTAGTATCCCACTCTCTCAGGTAAGTCTTGGGTGGTCCAAGAATGGATGGCAGCTGTTTTATTAGCACTGCCCACACGGACTTCACGTTTTAAAAAATATCAAATATCATGCTTTTCCCATCAGCCTGTATTTATGATCATCATCACAATTCTTCTCATCATCTTCCATTTACTTGAAGATTCATTTTATACTATGTCATTTAATCTTCGTAACAACTTCACGAAATGGGCATTATTATCATTCCCATTTCACAGATGGAAAAACTTGGATTAACTGACTTGCCCTGACAGAAAACCAGGGTCAGGGGTCCCAAAGGTGGCCGCTCATTTTTCTTAAAGCCTCACGCTGTAGGACACATTCAACCAGGGCTTCCAATTATAATGAAATCGGTGCCAGGTATTAAGTTTTAGAGGCATACAGTTGAAGAGTTTAGAATGATAATGTCTTCCTTTGAGAGGAGCCAAAGAGGACACCTTGCTCTTTCCCCTGGAGTTGCCTGACTTCACAAAGATAATAAAATTCACAAATTACTGCAGCCTGGCTTTGTCCTTTTCTTGTAGAGTTTTATGTCAATAGGATAGATACACGCTGTGGAAGATGCCGTAAGTGCCCCATTCGTATCCCCTTGGATTCTCTTACCATTTTGCACATACCAGTCTAACTTCCAGCAGCCAACATCTTTGCCAGAGGGTGGCCCTCAGGCTGCTTGGAGATTTAGTATTAAAATAGACGTATACATTAAACTCAGAAGTAGGAACTTTACAGTTGCCCCCTACTCTCTTCCTGATTTGATAGTTCTCTTTAAAATAATGGTTTGAATATGCAGGCACAGACTCAACATTGATTCCTCCAATTAGTCTAGTTCAGTGGTTCTGAAAGTAGTGTTCTCAGACCAGCAGCATAAGCACCACCTGGGAACTTTTCTGGGGCCCCCTGGCAGATCTGCTGAATCAGTACTTGGAGGCTAGGCTGCAGCAGGCAGCACTCTGGGTCTGAAAAAGCCCTCTAGGTGAATTGGATGCATGCTCAGGTGTGAGAACCACCAGCCTAGCTGATTGTTTTGGAATATTTGTGCACATTTCCCCAGTTTTTCTCTTGTTTGGTCTTTCATGGCTCTGATGGGGCTCTGAATTCCTCTCTGAAAAAGTTAGACCTGGGACCACCGAGAGTGCAGAAGGGGAGCAAGGAGGGACATAGGAAATATGAGACAATGCTGAATCACAGGGTGAGACGTAAGCCCCTCTCCAATTCTCTTTCAATCTGATGGCACCAGAGAGGTCTCTCCAACACGTGCTATCTCCAGTCCCAGTTTTCGACAGGTAGCAGTATCCACAGGGAATTTTATCAATGATTTTTCCATTTGAAAATTTATTTTTTCCAGGTTGCCTTATGAGATGGTTTGAATACTTGTCCCTTCCAAATCTCATGTTGAAATGTGACCTCCAAGTTGGAAGTGGACCTAGTGGAAAGTGTTTGGGTCATGAGGGTGGATCCTTCACAAATGGCTTGGTGCCTTCCTTACGGTAATCAGTAAGTTCTCACTCTATTAGAGACCCTGAGATCTGATAGTTTAAAGGAGCCTGGCATCTCCTTCTATCTCTCTTGCTCCCTCTCTCACCATGTGACACCCCTGCTCCCCCTTCTCCTTCTGCTATAAGACCTTACCAGAAGCCAACAAGAGGCTGGTGCCATACTTGTACAGCCTGCAGAACCGTGAGCCAAATAAACTTATTTTCTTTATAAATTACCCAGCCTCAGGTATTCCTTTATAGCAATGCATAACAGACTAACACACCTTATATTAATGGCAAATTATGTTGATTTTTCATTTATGATAATGAGATACATTTTCATCTTTCAATAAATTTAAGTTTAAAAAGGCCATAAATAGAAAATAAGTAAAAATAGTAGAGTGGATATGTAATTATGATAAAATCATGACAGAGTGTTAGACAAATGTCTGAGTTAGACTGGGAAAAGTTGACTTAGACATTTTGGAATCTACAAAAAGAGGACATAGCTCTTGGCACCAGAAAGTCTAAGATGGTTGAAAAACATTTGGAAGTGCTGTTGGTCATGAATGTCATAAAGACTGTAGGACACTGAAAATAACAAGAACTAACATGTTTGATGTGTTAGGTAATATCCTGAGTGCTTTACATCATTCATTTAATCCTCATAACAGCCCTAAGAAGTAGCAATTATTGTTAGTCCCATTTTACAGAGTGAGAAACTCAGGCTTATCAAATTTGGATAACTTACCTAATGTCAAATGGCCTATAAGAGACAGAGTTCCCAAGCCCAACTTTTAACCACAATGCTAAATGCCTTCCTAACTTGCACTCTTTTTGCTTTAACATCTTGGGGGTAGGTGTGGGTAAAGTAGAAGGTTCCTGGGAGCTATAACTACCTGAGTCAAAATGCCCTTCTTTGAGACAAGCCTAAGATAACACCTAACTCTTCCCAATACGGATGCTTGACTTCACAAGGATAATCAAAATCCCAAGTTACTGTGACCTGGCTTTCTTTGTCTATTCCTTTTCTAAGACCCTCAGACTCTCAGACTTATGGGAAAGGTCCCAGCCCCCATGGGAAAGCTCATGATGCTTCAAAGCCCTGATGCAGAGCTCTGCTAAATGTGAAACGGGCCTTTCATTCATTCAACACTGAGTTTGGCCTGGAGTGCCCCAGATACTGGAGATTCACAATGAACAAGGCTAATGCAGCCTCTCTGTTTATGGGGAGGGATGATAAATGTATAAGCAGATAAATCAAATAATTGCAGATGTCATAAGATCATGAAAAAATATTACAGGAAAATGGGTTGGGGGGAATGATGGGGTATGAGGGAGGTCCTTGGGTAGGTGTCAAGGGTAGGGGAAGCCGAGTTCCAGCACAAAGGTTTGGAGGGCAGAACAAGTGTGGTGAGTTCAAGGGTCAAAAGTTAAAGGTCAATGAGGCTTTTAAAGTGATGAGAACTTTTAAAGTGAAGAGAACAACACGAATGGTGGGGACATGAGGAAGGGGAGGGGGTGGGGACCCCAAAAGCTAAGGCAAAGGGTCTGCATTTGAATCTGCAGGTGCTGTGAAGCCACTGAAGTTTTCTGAGGACCATGACATGGCCAGACTGATGTTTGGGAAGCCCTGAGCTGTGGGGAATCTGATGTCAAAGGGGAGTCAGTCCAAGAAGTTTCTGCACTTGGAATAGCTGGACTCCACCCCAGAAACTTCAAGAAAGAATATTTTTCCTTTCTAACACCCCCACCTAAAAGTCATCTCTAATAAACCCAGCTGGAAAAGTGCCTTGCAGATGCAAAGAAGCCCTGTTGGTATCTCGTGGGCAGCACTTTGAATCAGGAGCATGCAATTTAGTTTAACCTGTAGACCACTGCTAACCCAAGACAGAACAGGTAAGGCTGCTCATGACCTTGGCCTGTTTCCTGCTCTCCTCCTTGGCAATTTTTCCTCTCCAGAGTCCCTTATTGCTTCTCTCTTGCAGTAATGGAAAAGCCCTCCTTGACCTCTGTCCCAGGAGTGGGAGACCGAACACTCTTCCTTCCAGCCAGGGGCTTCGGTGGGCAGCATTAGCAGTGGAAACACAGCCTTGCTCATGCAGAAAACCCCAAGGGAAATATCTCCAATGCCCAGGCACTTAAACCTTGCACTTAGGTTCAGATGTCAAGAACGAGAGCCTGCACATCCCGGATCTGCTAATAGAGTCGGCAGGATTAGACAAACCCTGAAATTACACAGACTCTGGAGACAGAGGGAAGAGGGACCACAGCAAGGTTTTGCAAAGCACACTATGTCCCTCTTAATGGAAACTGTTCTTCCAGCTGGAAATGTGCATCATTTTCCCAAAATGTGGCTTTTCCTTTTCCCTACCCATGGAAGAAAGAGCTACTAGCGTGTAATTTACCAGGAGACCACCTGCTTCAAAATTAGATTCCCAGGCCTCACTCTCCAAGGTCCTGATTGGGTAAGTGTCTTTTGGGAATGCAAATTTTAAGCAAGCACACGTGAAACTCGAGAACTACCATATCAGAGGAATACATTCTACTTCCCAGATGAGAGATGAATGGGAGCCTGAATCTTTCGGAATACAATGTTCTCCTCCGAAAGGAAAATGGGGAAAGTATATAGAACAAACCTAGGTTCAAATCCTGATACCACCACTCCCTGGCTGTGATAACTTGGGCAAGCTGCCGATCCACTCAGAGCCTCAGTTTCCCCATCTGTAAGGTGGGGACAATTGTAGCCTCTTGCCTCTCTGGGTTGCAGTGAGGACTAATGATATAATGCAAGTAAGGTGCCCAGAACAAATATTTGGCACACAGTAGAATCTCAAGCAGCGGCAGGTGCTATCTTTATTATGGTAGTTACCATAATTATTGCTAGTTTGTGCAGCAGCTTTCTACAGCAAGCCCCTAAGATCCTCTGCTGGAGGACTTTCTCTGGCTGGAAACATGGGCTGGCTAGAACACTTGGAGACCTCAACCAACTATAGGTGGGCGTTGGTTGATGGATATTCCAGCCCCCTCTCTCATGGGTGGCATGACCCAGAGGCATGCTCATTTTAGGACTGCACCCCAATCCCCCCAAGCACCTGCTCTTTGATGCACCCATTACCAGCTGCCTTAACTCTCTGTCTCACTTCCCCATTCCTCTATTGGTGTGGCCTGGGATCACCTCTCAAATAAACCACTTGCCCTCACATCCTTGTCTCTGGGTCTGTGGAAACAGGGAGCCCAATTAAAACACCAGGATTATTAACAGAAATTCAGAGCATGAACGTGGCCTTCCCCATGGCTCTCACACCAAAACCCTTGGCTCCTCATGCTGTCAGTCCCTAATGAATTTGGTTCTCCAGGTGCTCCATTCCCGAAGGAGGAAGGGAAGAGGTGAGGTGGACACAACAGACTGCCCCCAGTAACGTGAAAGAAGGCAAACCTCCACACCAGATATGGGCCAGGAGGAGCCCCATGTTTCAAGATGGTGGGTCTGAAGGATTCCCAGGCACCAGGGAAGGTCCTATATGGTTCCAGAAATGGTCAAAAGTTTGCACTTTGCAATCAAGCCGACCTGAGCCTGAATCACAGGTCTGCCCTTCCTGGCAGGGCAAGACAGCATCTAATGAGAGAATGTCTAAGTAGTACCACATAGGCACCAAATAGGTCAACGCTTTAGCAGGCAGGGATATGACCCACTCTGAGCACACACAGAAAAAGCCTGCAAACTTGGAAAGGATTTATTTAAAACTTTCATGGCAAATAGTTAACTTCTTTTTTCTTTTAACTTCTAAGGTTTAATAGGATAAGCTTCAGTTATCAGGAAAAGTTGCTTACGAGGAACATCTCATTCCCCCAAGGGAGTTGCTGGCTAAATGAGACATCATCTCTGTCTGAATATTAAATATGTGAATTTATCTTGAGGGCAGAATCTAGGTCTCCCTCATGTGCTACCTCCCTTTCCTTTCCTCCTTCATTGAAAGGTGCCTGGTGTGTATTATCTGGTGGGTAAGTATCAGAGAGATGGAGGGAAAGAGGAGGAAAGAAAAAGAAGAACAGGCAGAAGGGGAAATCTGTCAAACACTGCAGATTTAGAAACATTCTAATCCCTATCAAAACGTTTTTGAAAGGCTATTTCTATTTCTTATAAATCGTATCCCTCTTTGTTTGTGAAATGCAATGATGCCCCCTCTGCATTTCCTTCTTTCTTCCCTCCCTTCTTCCCAGTGCGGGGCTGGAGGGCAGGATTTGACCAGAAGCAAACTGGATCTCCATGGGAACTGCGGGGGACAAATGGTCTCTTTCACAAGCAGCTCTGCTGTTTTCTTGAAAGATGTGTCATGGCCCCCTGTGAAGCAGTCATAAGCCTAGAGCCTGGCACAGAGCTGGAATCCAAATGCTGGCGTTCACAGGAGGGACAGGCAAGACCCCTCCTAGGGAAGACTGTCACGTCAATTTCTCACTGTTCATTGGGCGATTCTAACCAACGGATGAAAATTTGCTCCGATCAGCTTCGATCTCTCATTTCTCCTATTTTTTCTTGTTCCATGCCAGCTAACTTTACAATAATCTGTCTGACTAGGGCCCAGTCTTTCCTTCCAGAGTGCACATGGAACATTTTAAAAACCTGGCTCCTAATATCCAATTGAGGAAACATTAAACAAGCACAAACTTTGAGCCAGGTGCTAAATTACACAACCCATTTCCCCTGAACAGCAATCTCTTAAGAGGTGTATATTGTTACACCCATGTAATATGTGAAAAGTACTGAACATCTAGCTTTTGTTGGCTTACTTTTGTTAATAAAATAGTGGATATCAGTTTATATATGGCTATGGAATCACAATATTGACAATGAGAATAGGAATAATAATTATTTCCCTTTACCATGTGAGATAAACTGTGTGAAATGTTTTACATATATTTTAACCCTTATTAGATTCTGTTGGAGATAACTTATCTGTTTGTTTACTCTCACTGCAGATCTAATACATTCATTTTGCTCATTCATTCTTCAGAAAACAGAAGTGATAAATCCTCATTGATGTGGCCCCATTGTGTAGTCATGTGTAATCATGTGATATATAATTCTAAGTCTTCTATGTGCATGGCTTTAAAACCTCAATTCAAGTTTCAGACTGCAATCAAGTTTAAGACTTGAAGTTTAAGACTCTTTTTAACTGTTACTTTTCCCCCCAGTATTTTCTTTTGCTTTTTCACTTTTATTTTAGGTTCAGGGGGACACGTACAGGTTTGTTACATAGGTAAACTCATGTCGTGCCACGGGGATTTGTTGTACAGATTATTTCATCACCCAGGTACTAAGCCTAGTACCCAGTAGTTATTTTTTTTTTTTGCAACCTCTCCCTCCTCCCACCCTCCTTGCTCAAGTAGGCCGCCATGTCTATTGTCCCCAGGCTGAAGCGCAGTGGTGCAATCTCAGCTCACTGCAACTTCCGCCCCCAGTTCGAGTGACTCTCCTGCCTCAGCCTCCTGAGTAGCTGGGATTACAGGAGTGCGCCACCACGCCTGGCTAATTTTGGTATTTTTTGTAGAGACAGGGTTTCACCATGTTGGCCAGGATGGTCTCAAACTCCTGACCTCACGTGATCTGCCTACCTTGGCCTCCCAAAGTGCTGGGATTACAGGCGTGAGCCACTGCGCCTGGCCTGCCCCCCTCTTTCTGTCTATGTGTTCTCATCATTTAGCTCCCACTTATAAGTGAGAACATGTGGTATTTGGTTTTCTGTTCCCGCATTAGTTTGCTAAGGATGATGGCCTCCAGCTCCATCCATGTTCGTGCAAAGGACATGATCTCGTTCTTTTGTATGGCTGCATAGTATTCCATGTATACCCATTTTTAAGTCAAGAAGACTGGGGTCCAGTAACAAGCTCAGTCATTCAGATAGTGATGGGCAGAATTGGGACAATTCATCCCTGCATGCCCACAAGAAGACACTGTGTTCCTCCTCTGTGCCAAGGGCTATGCTAGGCACTGGAGGTATAATAATTAAATAAGACAAGAATTCTTTCTTTAAAGATCTTGCAGTCTAGCAAGAAATTTACTGTCCAAGAATGTAAACCCATCTCTTGTGGCTTCAAGCATGAACATCTCTCTACTCATCCTACTGCGCCCAAATTGCCTCTTATAAATGAGCCCAGCTGGATTTGAACCAGATTTGGGGAGCTTATATTGTCAAGAACCGCTCTCTCTGCAGAGGTCCCTACTGAGATCTACTCAAGCAACAAGTATTTACTGAGCATTTACCATGTGTGCCAAGCACTGTGCTGGCGCTAGAGGTTTAAACAGTGAACCGTCCAGAAATGAGATGGCCCTGCCTTCAAAGAGTTTAAAGTCTGGTCAGGAAGACAGGCAGGTAAATAGACAAATAAAACATAGTAGTATGTAATATGGTGTGACAGAAAAGGGCAGAAGGTGGCACTTCAGATTTGAGGGGAGTCAGGGAAGGCTTCCCGGAGGGAAGTGGTGGCTGAGCTGAGCTTGAAAGATAAATGAGAGCCAGCAGAGGTGTGCAAGAAAGATCCAGGCAGTAGCAATGGGGTGCAAAGACATGTCAATGAGTGGGCACATGACCTGCCACGGGGATTGATGGCTCGGAGAAGCTGCAGCTCTGGGCATGAAGAGGGGAGAGATGCGAGGGGACAGAGGAGTAAGCAAACATGGCGCGCGGTCTCGTCATGAAGTTGGATTTCGCCGAGAGCAAGGGGGAGCTAATGAAGGATTTTAAACAGGGAGGGGAATGCTGGCTAAGCATTTTGAAAAGACACCCTCTGGCAGCAGAAACTTGCAATTAAAGGGCAGCAAAGTTCCCCTCTCATTATCTTCCCTACTCTCTGTACCTGCTTTCCTTTTCCAGGTCACTGCATTAAGTGTTCCTGAAGGCTTCTCGCAAAAAAAAAAAAAAAAATCACGAAACCGAATCCTTGCCCCCTTTGCAGCAGGGCTTGGTTCACTGCATACCCCAACTGAGCATTCTGGTCTCATGTGAGTTCCCCTGTGGTCTCTTGTTTGAGCCAATGCTTCTAGAAATGACTCCGTACGCTCCAAGTGCAGGATATCAAAACCAAAAGTGCAGGTTCACTGCATACCAACTGAGCATTCTGGTCTCATGTGAGTTCCCCTGTGGTCTCTTGTTTGAGCCAGTGCTTCTAGAAATGCCTCCGTATGCTCCAAGTACAGGATATCAAAACACCCTTTCCCTCACTGCTAACAACTCAGTGGGGTCTAGCTCTTTAGCCTATAGCTAACCACAATACAAATGAGCAAAGGGCGGTAGGAAGTATTGACATATAAATCAGACCTCGGGTTCCAAGGACATCATGAAAAATCACCAGGAACCCCCAGCACTTTTCTCTCCATAAAAGGACACTGTAAGGGAAGCTGTAAATGTATTACTTGCTGTACCCTCCCTCCTCTCCTCTCCCTCGCCTTCCCTGAAAAAGAAGAAAGCGACTGTAGAGTCTTCTTGGCTCTCTGAACCCAGAGGTGTTCATCAGAACACAAAGATCCATTTGTCATCTTTCAATTCAAGAAAGGATGATGGGAGCATGTGGCAGGCTGGGGGAGGGATGAGGAAAAGCTTTGGTCCAGGTTGGAATTGAGACCAAATTCTTATACTCTGTTCTGCTTGTTTAGTTAAAGGGCAAGCAGAGTGACATGTAGCATTTATTGCCGGCCTGCTGTGTAGCCAGCCCTTTGCCCGTGTAAAGCGGTTAAAAGTCTGGGATCGTGAATCTGAGCGATCAGTGGGTTTGAGTAACAGATCCACACACCGTGACACTTCGAGCCGGCTGTTTACTTCTGAAGGCCTCTGTTTCCTCGTCTGTAAAATGGGGGTAATAATAGACCCTACTTTCCATAGTTGTGGCAAGGATTAAATGAGATCATGCATGTAAAGTGTTTAGCAAAATGTCTGGCACCTGGGTGAGCCCCCAATACATGATAGCATCATCATAATTATCATCATCATTATCACATCTAATCCCACCTCAGCCCCCAGTAGAATTATAAGCATCCCTCAGATACAACTATAATTAGACCTAAATTTTTGCTTATCATAGGTAAAAACGCATATATAGGATGATTAACTCCCATTATAATTATTGCAAAAACTGAAGTGTTTCTATTAATAGAAAAGTAAGTTCAAGATTCAAGCTGGTGATCTCTGAAATACTTGCTCATAATTATATCCTGCCAATATCCTGCCTGTTGTACAAACTCCCAAAGCTTCCAGGAACTTCGCAGCAGCTGCGACATCAGCACTCATCATTTCCCCACTTTTTAAGGTCTGGGTAAATTAGTGCAATGGTGGCTCAAACCAGCCATGGCTTACTTCACACTTTTATCTCCTCATCACCTGTGGCTGCAGCGATTTTGCAAAAAAATTGGACATTTTTAGGTAAAATATATTTTGTTGCAAGAACATAGGAGAGCAGAATGCACAGGGCAAGAGAGAAAATCAAGATGTGCTTGGTTTTGCTGTGTTATTTGACATTTTCACTTGGATTTTGATGTGTACAAACCCAAGTGAAAAGATCCACTAACACGGCAAAAGTCAATTGAGAAGTGCATGGCTTATTTAAGTAAAAATTATTAAAGTGACTGTTTACATAAAAAGAAGTAGGTACAAGCATGTCTGGCCAGCCACTGCAGGCAGGAGGAAAGAGGACTCGTATAAAGGCCATGAAAACACCACTGAAATACACTGGAAATCTTGTGCTGGTTAACTCAGGCTTCCAAACACCATGTCTTACCTTACTAGGGGAACGAACATGGGTCTCACTCCTACAGAAGTGGGCAGTAACCTCAACTGGAACATAGGAACATATAAAATGTCTTTAGTTAGTAAAGACCTACGTCTATTGTAAGGTGGCTAACCTAGGCCTGACCGAAGGGTTTCTAGGCACTTGGGAATCTCAGTGCTAAACCTCAGAAAGTCCCAGGCAAACTGGGATGGTTGATCACCCCCTTGTATAATAGGGATTATAATGCCTATATCACCCTATAACTATAGAGTGGATCACCCTGTAGTTCACCCTATAACCTGAAATATATATAAGGATTCACCCTATAAGTTGACTGTTTGAGTAATGAGTCCAAGCACAGGTCAAGCAACTGCAAGTTCACATTCTAAAACTGAATAATGCACACCATAGCCCCATGGCGTAGGAATGAGTAGCTCTCTCCTGGGGGCAGTTTGGACCCCCAGGGAACATTTGGCAATGTCTGCAGACTTTTTTTTTTTTTTTTGAGACAGGGTCTCGCTCTGTTGCCCAGGCTGGAGTGCAGTGGCGTGATCCCGGCTCACTGCAAGCTCCGCCTCCCAGGTTCACGCCATTCTCCTGCCTCAGCCTCCCCAGTAGCTGGGACTACAGGCGCCTGCCACCGCGCCCGGCTAATTTTTTGTATTTTCAGTAGAGACGGGGTTTCACTGTGTTAGCCAGGATGGTCTCAATCTCCTGACCTTGTGATCCGCCCGCCTCGGCCTCCCAAAGTGCTGGGATTACAGGCTTGAGCCATCTGCAGACGTTTTTGATGGTCACAACTGGGAGTGAGGAGGGGGTGCTACTGGCATCTAGTGGGTAGAAACTGTAGATGGTGTTAAACATCCTCCAACGACAGGACAGCCCCCACAACAAAGAATTATCTGGCCCCAAATGCCAATAGTGCCAAGGTTGAGAAAAACTGAAATAAACCCTATAACATGTCTTCCAAGAAGTTGGCTGATTCAGAAAATTCTGAAGGAAAAGCAGAGAACAAGAACTACAGAAAAGGCGAAAATGGGCTAAAATTTTCCAGAACTTCGATGTTGCTTCAACCCATGGAAGCGATTTAGTGGGTCTGTTTCTTTTTATACTTTGCATTCATATAAAGTCGGGTTTTGCAACGAAATAAATGCTGAACAACGTATTTAAAGATTCTAATTTGAAAGAATTCTCAAGTCATTATTATCGGGGCATGAACATATCTCATCACATGGAATGAATGTGTTAGCCTCACTGTGTATCAGAGAGGTTTAGAAACCTTCCTAGAGTCACACAGCGAGGGAGTGGCAGGGCCAGGACCTGAACTCAGCTCTCTCTCTGCAGTCTGTATCCTTGCTGTTGTTTCACTGTCATAAGTTGAGTTTTGTAGAAGCAGATCCTGAAATGAATATTCTTGCAAATGATTTATTGAGGGAGTATGCTCAGAAGAAACCTATTCCAGCCAGGCACGGTGGCTCATGCCTGTAATCCCAGCACTTTGGGGAGCCGAAGCAGGCAGATCACTTGAGGCCAGGAGTTTGAGACCAGCCTGGCCAACATAGTGAAACCCTGTCTCTACTAAAAATACAAAAATTAGCCGGACATGGTGGTGGGCACTTGTAATCCCAGCTACTCAGGAGGCGGAGGCGGGAGAATTGCTTGAATCCGGGTGGTCGAGGCTGCAGTGGGCCGAGATCATGCCTCTGTACTCCATCCTGGGCAACAGAGTGAGACTCTGTCTCAAAAAAGAAAAAAAGAAACCTATTCCATTGTGGAGGAAGCAAGGTTGGGAGTAGGGAGAAGCCAGGCATGGATGTGGTTTCAGGTGAATCCAGTCTCAGCCTCATCCCATGGGGATTTCTGCAGGAAAAACTGTACCATAAAATCTATTTGTCTCAAGGTAAGGAGGCTGGGATTTTGCACCCCTGAAAAAGGTAGTCACTGGCTCTGAACCACCTGGGGAAGGGGGAGGGGCTTAGTCTCAGGTACCTGGGTGAGGCAGCTGCAAGGTACGAGCCATTTGCTGCAGCCTCTGTAGCAGTGGCTGGTCAAAGAGATCACTGGAAATCTGATCAGAACACAAGATGGAAGTGGGTGATGTAAGACTGTGACCGCTGGCCACTGAGTTTATAATAACATCCTGTCTTCAAAGCAGAGGAGTGAGCGCTCCTTGGTCCTAGGGAAGAATAAGGCTCAAGCATCTATGAAGTACTCTGAAATCCCTTAGTTGATCAGACCCTTCGAATCTAAGGCCCTGAGAGCAGGTGACTCGGAGAATATCACAATTCCTAGTGTGTGTTCCTCACTCTGCCACCCACAGGAAGGGTGATCTTGACACCAGCATGCTCCTCCCCATGGTCCTGTCCTTGGCAAACAACTCACTCTTGGGATGATGAGAGCCTGAGTCCAAGATCGCTTTTCTAGGAGTGGGTCTGGCTGGGCACTGAGCAACGCCTCCCACCCCCATCCTATCCCTGCCTGGAGCCTCAGGTAGCAGCAGCCTGAATCATGGCAATAACTGGCCCACCCTGAAGCTGCAAAGCAGAACCCATCTCCGCTCTCCCCCAGTCCCTGCCTGGTGCAAACAATTGCAAAATATGCTCAAGGCCTTTAACGTCCCAGTCCAAGCTTTTGCTCAGGCTGTTTCCTCGGCCCAGAGCACCCTGACGCTGCTTCGCCTGGCTAACTCCTCTTCCTTCAAGACTTAGCTTCAAGGTCCTCCAGCAGAGTACCCTGATGTGCATTACTGCATCCACCCGACCTTGATGTAGCACCACAGCACTTCCACACTTAAGTACAAATACGAAGTATCTGGGATGCTTAGTAAAATGCACGTTTCTAGGCCTTATGCTCAGAGCCTGGTCCAGGAAATCTGCAGACGGGCTCAGGAAGTGGCAATGTTAAGCTTGCACCTTGATCCCGAGATAGGTGGGGCCAGGGCACACCTTGAGAACTGACAGTGACTGTGAGCATCTCGAGGACAAGTTTTTCTTTTTCACCCTCATACCCCGAGTGGCAGCAAAGAATCCCCACATGCTCAGAGATGGCTGAACTAACCAGAACCAAAACATAATCTGAGAAGAGAAAATGGGTAGCTAAAACAAGCATAGGAGACAGTTGAAATGCTACTTATCCACTGGTGGTTTTGGAAGATGTTCCCCTCTCTTCCACACTCCAGCCCATTAAAAAAAAAAAAAAAAAGAGAAAAGAAAAAGGAAAAAGCACCTCTGTTTAAACTCTCATTTTCTAGAGCAGGTGTCACCCAAATCACGTTGTGCATTTTCCTGCAAGAAATGCAGATAGGGGTAGAGAGGTTTCCAAGGAACCAGATCTTAGCTCTGCAGAAATTTGTGGAAGGACCCTGAGAAGGGGGAAGAATGCAGATGACACATGATTGAAGGCTGGGAAATCCATCAGCATCTTACTGCAAAAGCAAACTTCTGCCAGCTGAATCCAGTTATCAGACAATATGTGAATTGTGCTGACATTCTACACTCAGAGCTAAACTCCATTCCGCTCTCATGAACCTATTAGATGAAAACGCCTCAATTTAGATAACTGCAAATTGCTTTCGGAGTCTTAATTTCCTATTAGTTCATTAATCTCTCTATTCAGAATGCCAACAAGACAGCTAATGATAATTCCGGAGGAAGTGGGCATTAAATCGGAGCAGGAGGGAAGGGGGTTAGACATGAAGGAGATGTTTCTGGCTTCCTGGGTGGAGGGTACCCCAAAGTTAATTCATAAAGTTAGTAACAGCATTAGCTTACATTAATTAAACACTTCTAATGGACTGGGTACAAGGATGAACATGTCATTGAACAATTACCTTACCTGTTTTTTGTTGTCGTTGTCGTTGTCATTAAGCAATCTAGTAAGGTGGATATTATTATCCCCCTTCTACAAAACAACTGATACTCCAGGGAGCCACACAACCAGTTGGCAGCAGAGTCAGGGTTCAAATATAGGCGTGTCTGACCGGCAGCCTGTGTTCCTATCACATGTTATCTTTTTTTTTTTTTTTTTTTTTGAGATAGGGTCTCACTCTGTCACCCAGGCTGGAGTGCAGTAGTGCAATGTTGGCTCACTGCAACCTCCACCTCCTAGGTTCAAGTGATTCTCCTGCCTCAGCCTCCTGAGTAGCTGGGATTACAGGCGCCCATCACCAAACTCGGCTAATTTTTTGTATTTTTAGTGGAGATGGGGTTTCACCATGTTGGCCAGGCTGGTCTCGAACTCCTGACCTCAAATGATCCACCCGCTTCAGCCACCCAAAGTGCTGGGATTACAGGCATGAGCCACCGTGCCTGGCTCCTAATCACACGTTATCATTTGGTCTCATCACACCAATATTTACTGGATGAATTTGCTGGGGAGATGATGATGAAAAAGATTCCTATCTATAGAGTGAAGCTAAAGCGTGTAAGAACAGAAGAGCCTGAAAAACCATCAGCAAAGACTTACACAAACATCTCACATTATGAAATGTCCCGCTGGGCAATAAAGCTTGATTTTGTTTTTTAAACCACTACTTCTAATGTAGAGTGGTGGTTTGCAAACTGGGGTCCAAGGGCCAGCAGCCTCAGCATGGCCTGGGAACTTGATAGAAATAGACATTCTAGGAGTCTGCCCCAGAGGTATTGAACCTGAGATTCTAGGAGTGGAGCCCAGAAAACTGTTTTTTTTTTTCTTTTTAATAAACCCTCCAGGGGATTCTTGTGCACACTCAAGTTTGAGAACCATTATCTAGAAAATGAAAAGTAGCTCAGGAAAGAAATTTGGAGATCACCTAGAGAAGTGTTTCTCAAACTTTAATGTGCAAAAGAATCACTAGGACTGTATCAGCCTGCTTTCATGCTGCCGATAAAGACATCCCTGAGACTGGGTAATTTATAAAGAAAAAGAAGTTTAACGGACTCACAGTTCCATGTGGCTGGGGAGGCCTCATAATCATGGTGGAAACCCAAAGGCCGCGACAAGAGAGAATGAAGAAAATCAAGCGAAAGGGGTTTCCCCTCATAAAACCATCAGATCTCTTGAGACTTATTCACTACCACAAGGACAGCATGCAGGAAATGGCCACCATGATTCAATTATCTCCTGCCGGGTCCCTCCCACAACACGTGGGAATTATGGGAGCTACAATTCAAGATGAGATTTGGGTGGGAACACAGCCATTGCATTTAAGACCATCTTAAAATGCAAATTCTGATTTGGCAGGTCTGGAGTGGGCCCCAAGAATGTGCATTTCTAGCCAGGTGTCAGGTGACGCTGATGGTGCTGGTCCAGGGACCATGTGTAGAATAGCATGAGGCCAGTCCAATCCCTGTCACCCAGGGAGTTTCTGGCAGTAACAGAACTGGATTTGCTCTGGGTGAAAAAAAAAAAAAAAAAAAAATCACTCCCTCCAGGGAAGGATCAAATCCAGGCTTCGGGAAGGGCTTTCAGAGGACAGGAAATGACCCAGATCACACACTACTACTTTTGCAAAGTTCTCACTCAGGTATGAGACCATCCCTCACCACTTGAATTGAAACTGCAGCCCCCATCCTGATCCTTCTCTGCTTTGTCCACCTTCTTAGCATTTTGCATCATCTTATCATATGACCTAATTTACTAATTTACTTACTGTCTGCCCAACTCCTACCCATGCCCCAGCATAGAAACTAGGGAAGGGATTTTGTCTCTTTTATTCACTCTTGTTTCCCCAGCATCTAGAGTTGTGCATGGTGTATATATAACAGGTGCTCAATAAATATTAGTTGAATAAGTGAACAAACGGTTCCGCTCATTTTCTACAAGAAGCTGCCTCCCCATCCTTGGTGTCACCTCTCTGAAATGTCACCTGTCACGGCTCTTTATGTGTACACTTTCATTTTATTGACATTCAGTTTCCATAGGTGTGTCTCCTGTAAACTCCTTGACAGTGGGGTCTGTACATTTCCCATTTCTAGCCCTCATCCAACTCTTCTATCAGCTCATAAGTGCATCCAAAATTCTGCCAATCTTTGAAAACACATATAAATAACCCTCTATCCTCACTATAACTAATGCAAAAACTGCAGGAATTTAGTTGTAGAACACGTCTCAACTTCAACTGGTGATATTAGCAATGCATGCTCATAATTATGTACTGGAGATAGCTCTCAATTCTGTTGTAGTTTCTGCAAGCACCATGTCAAAACTCCTGAAGCATGTCAGATCTTCATGTTTTGAATTTTTGGTTTTGAATTTTGTCTCTTATATGCCAGGAGTCATTTTTGCACAAGACGGAATAGGGAAGAATGTTCTCTGATAAAACATTGCCATCTGGAGCATGGACATTTAATTGACTCCTTCCAACAGCCCTGTGGTGGGCACTAATGTCACACTTGTGTTGTAGAGAGAGACACTGAGCCCTATGATGGCACACCTCTGCTTAAGCTCACACAAGAGTTTAGTAATGGAGCTGGGACCCAAACTCAGTTCTGACTGCTTCCAAAGTCTGTGTTCTTGAAGCTTACCCCCCCACCCTATCCCTATCCTTCCCACAACCTCCTCTCCCAACCCTTGGCAGGGCCTAAGGCTTTGCTCATGACTTTTAGAACAGAGAGCACTAGCAAAGGCTACTTCTGAGTTCTGCCTCTAGTGCTGAAAATTAAAACGGCTTGGGAAGTGTTCAGCCTCACTACCCCAGCTACATCCCTGTCATCTAATTACCTGCCTTCAAAGCCTCCACACGGCAGGTATGAGGATGTAAGAGTTGCCATTACCCCCACGGAATGTGGTGGGACTAGATACAGATGAGTCTGTATCTTCAGACTTCAGAGCTGCTGGTGTATGGAGAAAATCAGTCAGCCTGGAGGCCAGACCTAAAGGCCCAGCCTTGTGCCTTTTGTTGTCAGAAAGACCACCTGAGAGCCTAGGTTCACAGAGGACCAAGGCAAGGAAGGTGGCCTTGAAGTACTAATGCTTGGTAATTATTGCTCCTGCTTCTCCTTAAAAAAAAATTTTTTTTTTTGAGACAGGGTCTTGCTCTGTTGCCTAGGCTGGAGTGCAGTGGTGCAATCACAGCTCATTGCAACCTCAAGCTCCTGGGCTCAAGTGATCCTCCTGCCCCAGCCTCCCAAGTATCTAGGACCACGGTATGTGCCATCACTCCTGGCTAATTTTTTACCTTAATTTATTTTGTAGAGATAGGGTCTAGTTCTGTTGCCCAGGCTGATCTTGAACTCCTGTCCTCAAGTGATCTTCCTGCCCCAGACTCCCAAGTAGCTAGGACAACAGGCATGTACCATCATGCCTGGCTAATTTTTAAATTTTATTTATTTGTGTGTGTGTGTGTGGATGGGGTTCTCACGATGTTGCCAAAGCTGGTCTCAAACTCCTGGGCTCAAGTGATCCTCCTGCCTCAGCCTCCCAAAGTGCTGAGATTACAGGCATGAGACTCTGCATCTGGCCTGTACTTCTCTTTATACCACTGGGGCTTAAGGCTCCCCACAACTCCAGGAGGAAAGGATGCTCAACCTTATCATTACTCAGGTGAGACTGCCAGGTGGAGGATATGGACAGGGGTGGGGCAGAGTGGGTAGAGTGAGAGCTTGCCCTTGCCGTTCTCTCACTTCTATCTTGGGGCAGGGATGTGGGGAGGCCTGAAAGGGCCTAAATGAGAGGCCTCTGCCTGGACTAGACAAGGAAGAGCAAGCCTAGAGCAGAAGGAGGAGTTCTCAGAATCTTTTAAACTAAATGACTTCTATAAAGCAAACAGATGCACATTCATTTGTAACTATTACATAAAGTTGACTGTTACTATTTTATAGTATTGGACCTGAAGGGGTACGTAATACATGTTTACAGAAGGAGAGAGAGAGAGGGGGGGAGAGATTGAGGCCAGATAGCAAGGCACTGCAATTTCTTACAAAGGACTGGACTGAGCGAGGCACTGTGTTATGTTCTCAAGTGTGCTGATTTATCAAATGCTCACTGCCACCCAAGGCAGGCAAGATTATTATATTAGTCTGTTTTTATGCTGCTGATAAAGACATACCCATGACAGGGTGATTTATAAAGAAAAACAGGTTTAATGGACTCACAGTTCCAAGCAGCTAGGGAGGCCTCACAATCCCGGTGGAAGGCAAAAGGCACTTCTTACATGGCAGTGGCAAGGGAGAATGAGAGAACCAAGCAAAAGGGGTTTCCCCTTATAAAACCATCAGATCCCATGAGGCTTATTCACGACCACATGGACAGTATGGAGGAAACCACCCCCACGATTCAATTATCTCCCACCAAGTCCCTCCCATAACATGTGGGAATAGTGGGAGCTGCAATTCAAGATGAGATTTGGGTGGGGACACAGCCAGACCATATCAATTATTATTCCTTTCACACAGATGAAAATACTAGGGACAGAAATGTGAAGTGACTTGCCCAAGGTCAGGCAGCTGCCAAGTAGCAGAGCCAGGATTTAAAACCAGCTTAGTCTGACTCCGGAGCCCACATCTGGCGTCTCAGTTTTCTTCTTCCTCCCTACCTTTTGCTAGCCATGACCTTGAATGGGGGTGTGGAAGAGAAAGGAAGCTTGGGGAGGCAGAGCTTGGGTGGTACGGCCTTCTCATCAAAACTCCAGACCAATATGATACTACAGAAGGTGAGCAGAAAAGGAGTTAGGGATCTGGGTTCAGGTCCTGACTGTCACTTCTTCACAGTGACTTTTCATTGCTAGACTCAGCCTTCACATCTGTAAAATGGGGATAATTACAAGGCTGGTTTAAAAAGGTACCATGAGGAGAAAGAAAAAGGAGAGAAAGGCTTGGGAGCCAGGCACGGTGGCTCCCGCCTGCAATCCCAACACTTTGGGAGCCTGACGGGGGAGGATCACTTGAGGTCAGGAGTTCGAGAGCAGCCTGGCCAACATGGTAAATCCCAGTCTCTACTAAAATTACAACAACAACAACAAAAAGCCAGCATGGTGGCACAGGCCTGTAGTCCCAGCTACTCAGGAGACTGAGGCAGGAGAATTGCTTGAACCCAGGAAGTGGAGGTTGCAGTGAGCCAAGATCACACCACTGCACTCCACCCTGGGTGACAGAGCAAGACTCCATCTCAAAAAAAAAAAAAAAAAAAAAAAGAGACAGAGAAAAGGAGTTGGCAAATTCTAACTCAGGGATCAGCAAATTACAGCTGAGGGCCACAGCCAGCCTGCAGTCTGTTTTTGCAAATAAAGTTTTATTGGAATAAATGAAGTTGTCAAGACTGTTTCTGTATTGTTTACGGCTGCTTATGGTCTGCAAAGCCTAAAATATTTACTATCTGGTCAACTCGAGTAAGAATTTGCCAACCCCTGGCCTTAGATGTTATGAAAACGAGAAGTATCACTGTGCCTCAGCACACAGCATTAGGCATTTCCAGGATCTTCCATTAGCTCTGGTTCTTATTCAGAATTGCTCTCCCTTGACCCCCTACCCAAACTTACAGGTGCATTTCCAATCTATTTCTGAAAAACAAAGCAAACAACTCTCCCAAGAGTGAAGAAATCAAACTCCCAAAGGCTGTTCAGTGCCCTGCATGGTTCTAGCTGACATCGGGTGCTGCGAAAAGTCACTGCAGGGCACAGTCACTTACTTGCAGTTTTTACACTTGAGGCCAAAAAGCATCCCTTTCCCACAGACTGTGCACGTCTGAGACATCCAGTACTTGGTGGAAAACCTGTGGAAAAGAGACAGAAAATGTTCAAGGTTAAGGAAATGGCGACTGACCTATCTCTAGAGGGATGAAGTACTTGAAGAGCAAGCACATGAACCCTGGATTCCAGTCCTGTTTCTTTCGAGCTGTGTGACTTAATCAAGTTGCTTAAACCACTGGAACCTCAGTTTCCCCATCTGTTAAGTCCAGATAATAACAGTATTGACCTCATAGGTTGCTGGAGAGATTAAACAAGGTCAGGCATGTCAAGGGCTTCGTACAGTGGCTGGTACATAGTAAGCACTCGATAAATTGGGTTGTGACTATACTATTACCTTGAACTTTCGTAAGGGTCATTCATTTGTTCAACAAATATTGCCTGGTGGCCTACTATATGCCAAGGTCAGTTCTGGGACAGAGCAATGGATAGGGCTGGAACTGCCTGTAGAAAGCTACAAAGCAAGGTGGAGCCTCCTGGGGGACCAGCTGAACCATCTCCCATCACTTGCCGGTCATATCACCTGGGGAGTATCAAAGGGAGCCCTCCCCTCCTGAAAGAGCTGAGACCCCAAACCTTAGTGGCAGAGAAGAAACCTTGAAAGTGAAAGCCATTCAGACCATCAGCTCACCTCGCTCTCCAACCCCATCCACTTGCTGCAAACTTGAGCAGTTTGGAGGTCTCCTGTGTACAGCGATAAACCAACTGGAGCAGAGGTGCATTCGATTAACTCCCTGGGCACATCTCCCCTCGATATTGCCAGGGTGCTTTCTTCCCCAAGAGATATGAGGCAGCAGCAGGACTGGGCCCAAGAAAAGTACTGAAGGTTGCCAGGTCACTGTTAATTTTAATTTTCAATTTGTGTCACCGTCAGCAGGAGTTATATCTAATCTCCACTGCCTCAGAGTGTCAAAAGGGAAATCGGAAGTGGTTATGTAACTTGGAGTCTGAGAATTTCGAGGGAAAGGTTGCATCCCTCTGCTGGACCGTTTTGCCTGATTTGGGTCAGTCACTCTCCAAACAGAATAAGCCACAGCCCAAAGCCTCCAAATCTAAGCAAATAGCAACATTCTGAGCAAAGACACTTACTGCCAAGAAAACTCTCCCTCTCTGGTTTTGGATT
Organism: Homo sapiens; assembly: GCF_000001405.40. Taxonomy (NCBI): domain Eukaryota; kingdom Metazoa; phylum Chordata; class Mammalia; order Primates; family Hominidae; genus Homo; species Homo sapiens. The sequence goes on from NC_000012.12 coordinate 117,580,300, forward strand.
TGTGAGTTGGTCAAGCCCCTTTCTTTCCCTTCAGCAGAGCCAGTGAGTTTAGCAGACTCTGTTTTGCAGAATTTGGCAGCTCTGGGGAATGGCGGCGAAGGAGCGTGTATTTCACTCATCAGCCAGCCACATAGGAGTGGCGGGCAGGCTTCATAAGCAGTGGGTGACAGTTTTTTCTCCTTTCCAGACCTCTCTTGTGCTTGGGATCAGCTCTGCCTCTTCCCCAGCTCTGGCTGAAGTGACTCTGATGGCAGCAGATGGGATTTTAATTTCATTTCTTCACCAAGGCTGGGGTGAGTCCAGTTCTCTCTACCTCCTGGCATTAAGCCCAGGGAGAAACATAGGGAGAGACTGAAGAGTAGCAGGTCATCCCAAGTCTCAGCTCCTCTGGGAAGACATTCCTAAAATTAATAGGTTGTTTCCCTCCTCTGGGCATCAGCTTTTGAATCTTAGGGACTACCAGAGAGCCTGGGGGCTGGACGATCTAGGGGGTGGGGCTGAGCCAGGGGCATGGCCAATCCAGGGGCCGAGCTGAGCCAGAGGAGTGGCTGACCCAGGGGTGTGGCCGAGCCAAGGGCGTGGCTGAGCCTGGGGCGTAGCCAATCCAAGAATGGGGATGAGCCAGGGGCAGGGCCAGTCCAGGGGGCACGGTTGATCAAGGGGCGTGGCCAAACCGGGGTGGAGCAGAGCCAGAGAGCAGTGAGGAGGAAAATACAAAAAAAGGCCCTTGTCTTTGATGCCTTTCTCTCTGCAGCTCAAGGCCTGACCATTGACGTGTCTATCACACACTTCTCACTTCTTCCTCCAACGTTTTCTCATTTAAGTCTTAACAACTATCCTGTCAACATACTTCTTTCAAAAACTGTTGATGAGATGCCATTCCATGAGTCCCCATCGTGAGAATGCTCACCTCCTCCATGCCCCCAGCTATGGTGATGCATCTGCCCCTGATATCACCCCACCTTGTCACCCCGATCTCTCCATACTGTCATGGTCTGTTAACTATCTGACCCTCCCCTAGACCACGAGCTCCCCAAGGGAACAGGCCTTATGTCTTGGTCAGAGCTGCAACCATGGCACAGAAACTCTGGAAATATAAGAGGAAAGAATCCATGAATAAGGGAACAGGTCCTCCAGTGAGTTCACAGAGGCCCTGGTGCTAGGAAAACTCAGCAGGGTGTCAAAAGAACACAAAGTACTGAGGCTAATTAGCTTTTCAACCTATCGCTTAATCTTCCAGGGCCTCAGTCTGCCTATCTGTCCAATGGCCATGAGCACACTTGCCCCACTCACCCTGCTAAGTTTGTGAGGAAACTGCAACTACCAAGACAAAATGGGGAAAGCTAATTCAGGGAGTTAAAGGACTTCTTATAAGGGATGCCTGGTATATGCAAACCCCCCTCCCTAAAAGGGCAGGTATAGCCCTGGAGAGGTTGTCTCATGCACCCAGCAGGGCTAGAGCTCTGGACTGAACGCCGCACCAGAGAATGTGCACCTGCAGTCTTGTGTATTCTGGGTGAGAAGACCAAAAATTAGGACATAAAGCATTAATCTTCAGAATGATACTGTTTATTAAGTGTTTGTTATGTGCCAGGCCCTTTACAAATATTATCTCATTTAATCTGCACAGTCACCCTATAGGTAGGCAGAATTACCTAAAGAAAAAATTGAGCCTCAGAAAGGTTAAGTAACTTCCTCAAGGTTGCAAAGCTTTACTAGCTGGGATTGGAACACAGGTCAGTCTGACTCCAAAGCCCTGGCTTTTAACTGCTATGTGCTAATTTTATAAGGGTCAGATTAGTAAGAAGCAGATGTCTCAGTCTCCTGGTTGCCACTTTAAAGTTTAGCCGAGCAGAGGAGAAAGGGACATGGTGATGTAGGTGCTGGAGCTCAATAGCCTAGCCTTCTCTCACCCCAGGGCAGGGGCCAGAGCCCCCACCCCTCACAGAGCTGAGAAGTAGGCACCAGTGCACACAGGAATCCAGCCTACCTGTGCTTGATGGAGTTGCCGAGATCTCTGCGAGGGATCTGCGGGGACCAGCGTGGCACTGACAGTGTGTCTACAGAGAGAAGAGAACAGCCTGTTACACAGAGGGTCAGAGACTGGGGTGGGCTCTGGCAAGGCCTGGAAGGAAAAGGGGGGCTCGTCACCCTCAGGAAGGATACCAGTTGCCATCACTTGCTAAACCAAAGCCAAGTGGAACACTGGTTTAGCTTGTCACCTCAACTGACGCAAGGGCCCCTGGGCAGGGCTGCCAGGGGATGCCTTAAATGAAGCCAGCTGTGGAATGAATAAAAGTGAGCATCACTTCCATTTACGGAGTGCTTGGTGTGTGCCAAGCATGTGCTAAGTGATTCGCATGCCTTAGCTTGCTACATTCTCAAAACAAACCCAAGAATAGGGGTTGCTAGCGTCCTCACCTTACAGAAGAAAAAACTGAGGCTTGGAGAGGGGAAGTCACTTGCTCTAGGTCATATACCTTAGAAGCCGCACAGCAGCTGTGATTTTGGGTTCGAGGAACCTGAAATGAACATGTGCCCTTGCATGAAAGTTAGAGTGCAGTGGATTCCCAGTGCCAGCCATGCAAGTGATGCTTTTCTCATTTCTGCCATGCCTCTGTACAACTGCCAAGTTATTTATTTAACATTTTAGGCTGACTCCAATTTTTTTTTGTTTAAGTACACTTATTTTAAAAAGCAAACCCTATGCAGAAAGCCATATCAATTTCTGTATATTATAGATAATTATTTTAATAATGTCTAAACATGTACCACCTAAAGTTATGCTAGAGTAAGTAGGTGGGTGGATGAGTGGATAGATGAGCAGGATGGATAGGATGGATGGATAGGCGGGTGGGTGAGTAGATGGATGGACAGATGGATAGGTGGGTGGGTAAGTGGATGGATGCATGGATAGATGGATAGACGGGTGGGTAGATGGAGAGGTGGGTGGGTGAGTGGATGAATGGATGGATAGGTGGGTGGGTAAGTGGGTGGATGGATGAATAGATGGATAGATGGGTGGGTGGATGGATAGATAGATGGATGGGTGGGTGAGTGAGTGGGTGGGTGGGTGGATGGATAGATGGATGGGTGGGTGAGTGAGTGGATGGATGGATGGATGGATGGATGGATGGATGGATGGATGGATGGATGGATGGATGGGTGAATGGAAAGATGGGTAGGTGAGTGGATAGACAGGTGGGTGGGTGGATGCATGATGAATGGGAATGAGGAAGAAACAAAAAAATGACTTCAGATGAGATGCCTGTCCCCATCTGGTCTCTTCTTTCATCCCTTAGGCTAAATCTCAGCGAACTGTACTATCACTCCATTACAGACTGAGTTCTGGTTCTCCCAAAGACCCTGTGCACCAGGTCCCACCTCCGCCCTACTGCCCATTGCCCACACCATCCTCCTGGCAGAGCTTGCAGGCCCCAGAGAGCTGTGAAACAACGGCAGCAAGGAACTCGTCCTGCTTGTGGAATCTCCAGGGGACAGGGAGAGAAGAAGCAAGTGCCTGACCCTACACGCCCGTTCTCATTTCTCAGGCCAGAGGGATGGAGCCAGCTCCCTGTTTTTGGAGCTGCAAATGCATGCCTCATTTTTCACAGCAATTGTTATGGAGTGGCACTCTCTTCGGGGAGCCGGGCATGTCAGAACCTATCACAGAGCATTTAACCCCCAACCTACTCGCTCCTCTATTCTGTCTAATGACACCGTCGGCAGCCGTCTGAAAGCTGTTTCCAGAAATCCCAATTCTGCCCTTGTAAAGCTGGGATCCTTTATGAGAGAGCTAATGATTTTCCAAGCCCCAAAGGGCAGAGAAAACCTAAGAGGGAGACAGCATGATTTATCAATCAGAATTATAGCCCGTGGGATTCCTTTAGTTTAACTAAAAACTAAATGTCATCAACCTCAAGCACATTTTACTACTTGTTTCGATTTCTGAGGGAAATAGAAAAGACAAGAGAAAAAAAAATTTTTAAGAGAGCATTCTTTCCATTCCTATCTCTTTTGGGGACTGAAGTCAGATGTGGGAGGAGGGATTCCACCCATTAACTCCTTAAGGTGCTTTCTCCAGTGCGAGGGGTGGGTGGGAATGGGAGGATGGCGCTGGAGAGGAAGGGTTAGCGTCCTCACAAGGAAATCTACAAAACTAGGAGTGCTAAATGGGTTTCATTTCAGGGGCCACTAGTAGTGGCTGCCCAAAGAAGTGTGTTAAAATGGATTCTGAGGCTCAACAGGAAAGGGCACTGAAACTGATTAGCAATGTCTGCCACGGGTGAAGAATAAGATTGTACCAACAGGTCCACATACATTTTCCACCTCTGCAAGAGCAGGAACCACATCTCATCTTTCCATCACCACCTCAAAGCATCGTGCCTGAAGCAAAGTACTTAATACATGTTTGCTGAATCCAAGATTATTATAATAGAAACATCAAGTTTATTGATTACTCAGTAGGTGCTAGGGATTATGCTATGCATTTTATACCTGGAAGCTATCCCTCTGTGTGGTCAGGCTATCATTATTCCCGTTGTGCAAAGGAAAACAAAAGGAGCTCAGAGAAGTGCAGTGACTTGCTAAAGGCCACACAGCCAGGCACCTGCAGATTCTCAATGAATAACTCTGCAATTGTTTGAAAGTCTTCCAGGAGCCCCCGCACCCCCGTTCTCAACCAGAGGAGTGCTCTTCCCCCTAGGGGATATCTGGCAATGTCTGGGGACATTTTTGGTTGTCACACTGTGTGTGTCTGTGTGTGTGTGTGCGTGTGTGTGTGTTACCAGCATCTGGTGGGGAGAGAGCAGGGATACTGTTTAACATCTTATAATGCACAGGGCAGACTCCCATAATAAAGAATTAAACATCCCAAAATGTCAATAGCATCAAGGTAGAGAATTCCTGATCTAGATGCTTCTCTGCTTGTCTAGCCAACTCCCTCCCTTATTATCACCACCTCTCCATCAAAAATCCCCCAGATGGTGCTTCTGAGGCTCAACTCAGCAGAGAACAAATCCTCTTTTATTATAAGCACATCTCACTATTAGGTTCATAGCCTAGTTATTCAGTTATTCTCAATTACAGCTCCCTTCAAAAAATAGATGTAATTAAGTTTAGTAGTTTGGTCTCATTTCCCAATATCTGGTTGAAGGGGTGAATTCTGTCAATTGCATTAAGTGGCTGCAGCATCATTAGTCTCAAGCAATAATAACCTCCACACAGCTTCCTACGTGGGCAAGAAGATTTGAACTTTGAGATCCTCTCTTTGCTTTCTTCGTTTGGATTTTATTAAACTTGCCAATGCAAGCCTTAAAGCAATGGAAAACTGTTGAAAGGGAAGGGGAAAAAATATATGAAAATCCAGGCCTTATCATAACAGAGAAGGCAAACGACATTTACAGCAATTAAACCGATACAGAAACTTCTGCTTAACAATCAAAGCACCTATTAAGATGTCTCCATAGCTGAACAAAAGCTTCTTTTCTACTCTAATTTTCTGATAACAAGTCATGCAGACACAGAGGCAGAATTTTGTGCATCCCTGGTGCCTATGGTCTCAGGAGTAGAATAATAGACATTTCTCCGTAGATATTTTCATTTCTAGTGCATAGAAAGAGAAAGAGGTGGAAGGAGGGAGGATTCTTCTCCCCTTGCACAGGTCTTGCTGTTGATGTCTTCTGAGAAATGCATCTGCCCAGAAGGGGCTTTGCACAGAAGAGGGAAAAGCCAGGAACCCTGGTCTTTGGAATCACCTTAGCAGTCAGAGGGACAAACAGAAGGCCCAACAGCAGGAACCAACATTAACAAAGCATCCACACCACACACAGCTTCTTGATGAAAAATCAGGCTCTGACCTGGTGAATTTGAAAGCTCCCTGACGGATGAGCTAGGCATGGGAAAAATACGTGAGGATATACACAGAGACACAGGTAAAAATGGGTGACGATAAAGGAAAGGAAGAGGAGGAGAAGAAAGAAGAAAATAAGAAATAAGAAAAATAGGGCCGGGTGCGGTGACTCACACCTGTAATCACAATACTTTGGGAGGCCAAGGCAGGTGGATCACCTGAGGTCAGGAGTTCGAGACCAGCTTGGCCAACATGGTGAAACCCTGTCTCTACTAAAAATACAAAAAATTATTTTTGTATATGGCGGGCACCGGTAATCCCAGCTACTCGGGATGCTGAGGCAGGAGAATCACTTGAACCTGGGAGGCAGAGGTTGCAGTGAGCCAAGGTCGCGCCATTGCACTCCAGCCTGGGCAACAAGAGCCAAACTCCGAAAAAAAAAAAAAGAAGAAGAAAGAAAGAAAAGAAAAAAGAAAGAAAAAGAAAGAAAGAAAGAAAGAAAGAAAGAAAAATATAGTAAATCTGCTGTCTGCTGTGTTACCGTGTGCCAAGCACTACTGTCAAACAGACAGACCCTTGACATATATTATCCCATTAATACAAACACTACAGAGTATACACACACATAGCGTATCAGCCATGATCATTAGTGCCATTTCAACAAGGAAATTAAAAAGTTATCCCGACTGCCCAAGGTAAATGCAAGTAAATGCCAGAACAGGGATTTTTAATTGAGCTGTGGCTCAATTAATGGAAGTGAATTTCATCTCCCTTTCACAGATGGGAATATTGAGGCTTAGAAGCAATATGCAATTGTCTAGAGCTGATAAGTGACTGAGTTGGGATTTAAACTGCAGACAGAAACAAACTGGATGCTTTTAGTCCAGAGTTCCCTCCAACACCCTGCTCAACCCATCCTATACTGCCAAGGCCTCCTACCTACCTCTGTCTGGGAAGGACCAAGGAGGCCTGGGAAGTGATGTAATAGCATAATGCTCCTCTCCCACCCAAAAGATGCCCACGTCCTGATCCCTGGAACCTGGGAGTATGTTATCTTATCTGGCAAAAAGAGATGCTGAAGACGTGATCAAGTTAAGGATCTTGAGATGGAGAAGTTACCCTGGATTACGCGGGTGGAACTAATGTCACCATAGGGCCCTTATAAGATGGAGGGAGGAGGGTGAGAGTCAGAGGTCAGAGAAGTGGACATGACAATGAAAGCCGAGGTCAGAGGGATGCAACTGCTGGTTTTGAAGGAGGAGGGGGGACAGCAGCCAAGGCACATAACTAGAAAAGGCGAGAATGGATTCTCCCCTAGAGCTTCCAGAAGGAACCAGCTCTGCCGACACCCTGATCTTAATCCCATTGGCATCCATTTCGGACTTCTGACCTCCAGAACTGTAAGATAATAAATCTGTGTTGTTTTCAGCCGCTGAGTTGGTGGCCGTTTGTCACAGCAGCCATGGGAAACTGACACAGCACCTATCTTGTTCCAGGCATGGTTTCAAGGGGATACGGTGAACGAGATAACCATGTTTCCCGAGTTTAGAGTCTACAGGGGGAAATCAGAAAGTAAATGAGCCAAGAAATAAGAGTCCATGAGGAAAATGAAACCGTACCAACGTTGGGGTTGTTTTAAGGCAATGGGAGCCCCGATGTGCGTTAGAATGGAAGCAGCAGGACGCTGTGCTGGGCAGTATGCATTTAAGAGCTCCCTCTGGCGGTCGAGGGGAAAATAGCCTGCCAGGCTGTAACTGGAAAAAACAGGGAGGGCCTCCCCGCCTCCCTATCCCTGCATCAATGCTCCATCACCCCAACCCCTACCCAGGTCCAATGCTACAGCTCTAACCCTGACAAGACCATTCCTTCCCAAGGTCATTCTCCCAGCACAGGCCTTTCCCACCGGAGCTATCATGATCCCACCCACAGCCCCTCATAAAAAATCCACATCCCATCACTCCTCCATGTCCCTGGGAAAAGCAAAGGGGGTGTACTCATTGGCCCCACAGCCTGTATTATTTTTCAGAAGCCAACAGAGTATTTTTACTTCCTTGGCCATAAAGAAGGGTTTTGTCCCAAACCTACCAACTTGTAGCACTGGAATATCTGCTGTGGCATAGACTGATCTTAGAGGACAGTTCCTGAAGAAATTTTCATGGGATTTGCATTCCCAAACCCAAGCAGGGGAGGATAAAAAGGTAGCCATGGGAAGAAGGCAAAGCCAGTTTTAAAAAATTATTCTTTGCGATTTATCTGCTATGGGGACAAACGATACTAGGCTGGGAGCTTTTGGGGTTTGGGCCTGGGTCTCATCTGTCACTGTATCCCCAAGTGTTGAGCTCAGGATCTGCTCTAAGAATATTAAATGTGTGTTTAATGGACAAATGAATGAATGAACAAATGAATGGACCGATAGTCAAGTCCTGGCTGAACCTGGTGTTTTTCCGATTAATGAGAAACTTACATGGCCCTGAGAGATCGTAGAGATAACTTTATCAGACTCAGAGCAAATCTGAACTTATTTATCCTCAAAATACTCTGTGTGGTAGGGAAGAAAGTACACATTATAACTGTTTCACAGATGGCAAATTGAGGTAGATGTGGGATGTGACCTGCTGTGTGTCTTTGGGCAAGTGACAACCCCATGAGCTTCAGTGTTCTCAGGCAAAAACTGTGAGTAAATATCAGTGCCCACTGTACCTCATTGTGTTGTTTGAAGACTAAGTGGGATAATGCACACAGAGTATTCTGAGCATGAGAGCAATGCTCAGACATATTTACCGTATGTATCTTGCAGCTATGTCTTCATTTAATCCACACAATCTTATGAGTTTGTATCCATAGTTTACAGATAAGGAAAGTAAGGATAACTAAATTGTTCAAAGTCATATAGCTAAAGTTCACCAAATATCATGAACTCTAGAGTTGAACCCAGTTTCCTATAAAATTAAAGCCTTCTATCCAGCTCCATACCATGTCCCCTTCTGAGATAAATGTAAAAATTATCTTAAAAGCCATGCCAGTCTAGAGTTGAAAAGGACCACAAGAAATAGTTTATTGCAGTCTTTGAATCGCTAAACCCTGTTGGATAAATAAGGAGCTACTCTACCCTAAATGTTTCCATGGAGATAAAGACCTCTGAGCACATAATATTATTAAAAATAATAGCTAACTTTTATTAAGCACCTATTACCCAGTGGGACCTAGATTATGTGATTTAGTTGTATTATTTCACTTAGTCTCCATAATTCCCTTTTAGGTGCTAAAGCTCAGGTTTGAACCCAAGAGCTCATCCTCAGAAATACCACAAAGGAACTGGAAGTTCCAAACTGCCCTTAAGCTTCCAGCCCAGGGACATGACAGACTGAGTGAGAACTCAGCAGAGGTGTTGCATTCAAATCAACTAGCAAATTCATTGGGCCTAAAGGTAACTGAAACTAATAAAACTTAGATCATTAAACTTTTCTTTGGAGTCACAGGCCAGTCACCAGCTAAAATCCCACTGATTTATCCAAGGCGCCAACCAATCCTAGACTAAAGCTGCTCATGATATCATTCACATAGCAGAGGATAACTCTATTTGCTTTAATATCCAACTCAAATATATCAGATCTGAAAGTATTTTAATTATGTGCAGTTTCTAAAGGTTACAGCTCCATGATGCTTCAGGGCCAAGTGCTTCTTCATGGAGTTGGACATAATTTTCTCCCTGAAACAATGATAACTCACCTCCCAAGATCCAAACATCATCATCTGGGGCCCTTGATGGCTATGGAGGCTTCCCTGGAATCCCTTGAAACTGGTGAGTGCATAGACCAGGGTGGGCTTTGGTTTCATGTCATCGGGGAAGAAATAAGGCAGAGGGGACTGACAGTGATAAGAGATGCTAGGGGTGAGCAAGGATTCTTGATGGAAGAGATCATATACAGGGATTTCAGAGAAGTTTCCTGGGGCTCCCATGACATTGAGACAAAACAATGGGCAATGGCTAAGCTATTGAGACTATGGCCTCAGTTCCTGTCCACTGCAGGAATGCAAGTATTAGGGTCAATGCAATTCATGCATGTGTGGAGTTTAAGTTAGAGACAAGACCTTGAGTGTGGACCTCCTCTGGAGACAGAGTAGCATACTTTATTTCTGAACAGGAAGGGCCTCAAGGGCAATCAACTTGCCCAGTGCAGTGTGGGAGAGAGAGCATGGGGCTTTGACGTGAGCACACCTGTGACAAACACCAGCTCTGCCACTTACGAGCTATGGGATCTTGGTACTCTTACTTTTCTGAGGCTCGGTTTCTCCTATAAAAAAAGTGGTCATTGTATCTCCCTCATAAGATTGGTAGGAGGATTAAGTGGGGTGATATAATTGGAACAGTGCTCTGCCAAGTGCCTGATGTAGTATTGTTATTATTGTTTTTGTCACTGTCATCATCACTCTGCCTCTTGAATTTAACACATCAGTTAGAACATGACAAAGCTCTGTACGGACTATGACTTAGTGCCAGAGTTGGCAAACTTGACCCTCAGGCCAAATTCAACTCATTGTCTAATTTTATAAAGTTTAATTGGCACACAGCCACACCCACTCATTGACACACTGTCTATGACAACAGGAGTAGTTGTAACAGAGACAGTATGGTCCACCAAACAAAAAATAATTATTACCTGGCCCTTTAAAGAAAAAGTGTGCCAAGTCCTGATTTAGAGCTATGAAACTCATTTTCTTGGCTAATCAGCAGAAAGATTTTTTCCATGGAGCCAGAAGACCAGGATTCAAGATCCCCTTCTGCCACTTACATGGTAGGAATCCTTACACAAATGGTCTGTAGTCTCCAAGCCAAAATACGTATAACCACTTTGTGTCACCCCACTGCCCACTTAATCCTAGCACCCTGTGAGGTGCATTGTTTTGATCCCCGTTTTGCAGAAGAGAAGAGCCAGAAAAGGAGGACATGCAAGCAGCCCAGTCAAGATGATAGCCCAAGACTGTGTTCTTTCAACCCCTCACTGTCTCTTCGTAGAATAGTCCATGAGGGGGCAATGTCTCTACATGCAACTTCTGAAATCTGGGTCAACTCATGGGGGCAGAGGAAAAGAAAAATTAACTCTTTCCTCTCACTGCTTCTGTCTGGATTAAAGAATTTGATTTTCTAGTTGTCACTCTATCAAAGCAGAGAGAAGACCTGGAGGAGTCTTCCTCCAGGGGAAGGAACATGCTGATCCCAGGCAGAAGAGGAAGAAATGCCCCTGCATCTGATAAAGCGGCACGACATAGCTGAGACCTGGGGGAGTCTTCTCTCTAAGTTACAATTGGAGGCAGTGGTGGTGGTGACGGATGAGATAGAGATAGGAGATGCCCTGCTAGGAGTGTCTCCAGGTAGCAGCTGATATTGGTAGGACCAGTGAGTGGTGAGGGCACTGCACCAATGGCAGCAAAGCAGATGAAGGGCTGGTATGTGGCGGCTAGAGGTAGGACATTGGAGAGGATGTGAGGGACAACATCACAGGAAAGTTGTCACCATCACTCTCCTCCATCACCCATTCCACCTGGTCCCACCCCTGCTTAAAAAAAAAAAAAATGATGCAGTGGCTCACGTCCGTAATCCCAGCACTTTGGGAGGCAGAGGTGAGCGGATCACTTGAGGTCAGGAGTTCAAGACCAGCCTCGCCAACATGGCAAAACTCCATCTCTACTAAAAAAAGAATACAAAAGTTAGGAGGGTGTGGTGGCTCATGCCTGTAATCCCAGCTACTTGGGAGGCTGAGGCATGAGAATCGCTGGAACTCAGGAGGTGGAGGTTGCAGTGAGCTGAGATTGTGCCACTGGACTCCAGCCTGGGCAACAGAGTGAGATTCTGTCTCGAAAAAAAAAAGGTTATACTAAACTAGAAAAACCTTCAGGATCTAGTGAAGATATATTAATGTATTTATTCTAATATTCACATACTCACCCTCAAAATCGCTTTCCCCCCAACTTTTTTTTTTTTTTTAGATGGAGTCTCACTCACCCAGGCTGGAGCGCAATGGAGCAATCTCCACTCACTGCAACCTCCGCCTCCCAGGTTCTAGTGATTCTTCTGCCTCAGCCTCCTTAGTAGCTGGGATTACAGGTACCCACAACCACGACTGGCTAATTTTTGTATTTTTAGTAGAGATGGGGTTTCACCATGTTGGCCAGGCTGGTCTCTAACTGCCGACCTCAGGTGATCCTCCCACTTCAGCCTCCCAAAGTGCTGGGATCACAGGCATGAGCGACCGTGCCTGGCCCACTTTCCCCTTTTTGAAAAGACCACCACCACCTGGTGTCTGAGACCTGGCAGGTAACCATCAAGCTAGGATCCCCTTAATTTGCTCTAAATCAAATGTGTGGACAGTGATAACATCCCTCCCTCTCCCAGTGAGAAATGCGAATCCTAGAGTCATCACCTGTGATTTATTTCAGCCTTTCTCAGATGGCCTCAATTAAGTTTCATTGCCGGTAAAGAAAGAAAAGATGGCTGAGGCATTTAATTACAGTTTCATAATGTGCTCACTGCTGAATTTATTAAAGTGCGTCAGGGATTTTTAACCTTGTAACCAAACAATGGGAGACCTGGGTGCCACAGGAGTAATTATCTTCCTTGTGGGGATGATGGATGGAGAATCTAAGATGGTAACACTAGGTCGGGTAGGGCAAGGGGTGTGGGGACACTGGTGGCCAATCGGGGGGTGGGGCACAAGACACATCCCATGGATCAGAGAGGGGAGTGTCATTAATTATCAATCTTCATTTGAATCTAAAGATGAGACATGTTTGAAAACTTATCTTTCTTCCCTTTCCTGGCCCCACCCCCAAACCTTCCCTTCAAATTTCCCCTTGATATAATTTTACCGCTATGATCTGGAAAGAGGAGGGGAACATGGTCTGGAAAGAGGAGAGCAGCCCTGAGCATGTGCAAAGGCAGCTTGGAGACCTGGAGAAGCATGGGGCCTGGCTAGCGGTGCAGAGCCATCTCAACCCACATAGATACAGGACTGTCTCCTTGACCCAAAGGAAAATGCTAATTCAAAGCTGGCTTCCCCTGCCTGGCTCGGACTTAAACGAGGACAAAACAAGAGCTGACAGAGGCCCCACACTGCCATCACCACAAATGTCCCTGCGAAGGGAGAAAAACAGCCAGCCCTGTGCTCCATCAATTTCCATTGTAAATGGCCTCACGTTGAAATAAACCAACAGAAACAGCAGTAGCTTGATAGGTGCAGGGCAGGGGGAGATGGGAGACACGCAGACCACAGCCTGGAATCTGCAAGTTGGGCTTGACATTTGGACCCAGAAACTGGTGAAGACTTGTTTGTGGATTGCATGTTCCCAAGTCCAGGCAACTAGGGGGACACAAACCCCCTCTTTTGCCCGAGTTGGAATGTGCAAAATGGAATTAATTTACAGATGCGGGCCTGAGTCAGAATTCTAGCTCTGTGCTTGTGTGTTCTGTCACCTGACTCTTTCCCTCTGTGCATCTCCTCCTCTGTAAAATGGGGGCAATGAAATCCATCTTGCAGGGTTTACCTGAGGATCAGACACTGGGAAATGAAGCAGGTACCTGGCAATAGTAGGTGTGCATTAAGAGGCGGATGGCCCCTAGAGCAATTCAGCTGCTTGTTTTTAGCTTTTCTTAGCTGTCTCTCTTCCTGGCTGGAGAAGACAAAATATGGGAAGAGGCTCCTTTGGGAAAGAAGCCATGACTGTAGAGAGAAGCTGCAGTGAGTTATGCAGAGGACAGAACTGTCTAGGTCCTTCTGACCATTTATTCCCCTTCTATCATCCTGTTCTCAGAGCGTGTCCACAGCACTTGCCTGCCTGGGTGTGATGGATGGGTCTTAAGTTCCTCACACACTACATCATCAATTACTTACATATTTATCGCCTTGAACTGAGTTTATGGATCTTAAATCAGAGCCATCGGAGTTGTCTGAGCTGAAATTCTCCCCTGATGGAAATATGATGTTTCTCATTATGTAGCCACTCTCTAGTTAATGTTCAGCGGAAGTTAATTGTCCACAGAACAAAGGGCTGCTGAGAAGTTCCCCCTACAGAACCATTCTGTGGAATTTACTGCCTGGATGGACTGCTCGGGGACAGACCAGACAAGCTTGCTGCCAAAGACCCCAGCCAGGTTTTCAAAAACCCAAGACACCAGGCATCGTGGGGCTCTGGACTTCAGGCAATAGACTGCCTCTCTCTCAGTTTCCTGAGACTTAAAGTGCCATCCGAAGAGATGTCACACTGTCTGTAGCTTGCAGACATGGTGGGGACAGCCTCGTGATAAATAATATATAAGTTCAAGACTGGGTGTCCATATTCCAAAGCCAGTCTTTCTGAAGCATCCCAAGTGAGGCCAGGAAGCCTGCTGAGGCGACAGGGTTGTGACAGGTGCTGATTGCATCCCTGAAAGTGAGACCTCTGGGGCAGGATACCTCTGCTGCAACAGGGCCATGGTTTATCAGTGAGAGGTGTTATCAGTAGAAGGAGGATACAGAGAGTCCCCATACCCCCAAGAACTTGGAGATAAGGAAGGAATTCCCCCGCAACAAGAGTTAAACCAGCCCAACCCCAACACATAAACAAAGTTAACCTAGAGCAACAGTTCTCAATCGTGAGCCCTGTTGATCCCTAGGGGACATTTGGCAATGTGTGCAGACATTTTTCGTTGTCACAACTTGAGGGGGAGGAGTGGTACTGGTATCTACTGGGTAGAGACCAGGGATGCTACAAACGAACAGAACAGCTTCCTCCAACAGAACACTGTCCAGCTCCAAATGTCAACAGTGCCTAACTGGAAATCCCTGCCCAGAAAGACAGGGAAGGACCTAGATCTCCATCGCCTGATACAATCCATTAAATGCATGGACAGATCTAAAAACAGGCTCAGTCACCATGAAAGGAGAGGCAGAGCTTGACCCTCCCAGCCCATCCAGGGGACAGAGCTCTATGGCTCTGGACACACGCACAAGCTCAGAGCTCACTCCTCTTTCTTCAAAACACTTAGCTAGACATCACCTTGTAGTCCAACACAGTGACAGGGCCTTTTCACTATTGGGTCTCCTACAAAGGAGTTTATTTATTTATTTACTTATTTATTTTACATATTCTCCTGGGTATAAACAAATTTATACTAATTAATTCACACCAGTGCCACAAAGCCCTAAACATTGCTAGATCAAATTCTTTTTTTTTTTTTTTTTTTTTTTTGAGACGGAGTCTCGCTCTGTTGCCCAGGCCGGACTGCGGACTGCAGTGGCGCAATCTCGGCTCACTGCAAGCTCCGCTTCCCGGGTTCACGCCATTCTCCTGCCTCAGCCTCCTGAGTAGCTGGGACTACAGGCGCCCGCCACCGCGCCCGGCTAATTTTTTGTATTTTAGTAGAGACGGGGTTTCACCTTGTTAGCCAGGATGGTCTCGATCTCCTGACCTCATGATCCACCCGCCTCGGCCTCCCAAAGTGCTGGGATTACAGGCGTGAGCCACCGCGCCCGGCCCTGCTAGATCAAATTCTAATGTGACCATTTAAAAGCAGACAGTGCTTCACTGGGTTAATACATCATAATTAACTGACAGACAATACTTTGAAGGCCACCTCATTAAAATCTCCTAGTAGGCCTGTCCCTCTTATCAGTTACTTTTGAAGAAAGTAGCAGCAGCCTGATTTTCCACTGGGAAACTACCGTTCCAATGTCCCACAGCAGGCTGAGTCCCTTCCAGTCTCAGAAGAGGGTGTTTGACCAAGGCTTGGTAAGGCCACAGCATTCTGACCATGGTGATTGCTTCAGGCAAAGACATAGGAAAGAAGGGCTGACACATCAGTTGAGCCCCTGGAGCTTCTCCAGTTACCCTTCCTTTCCTTCCCTCCCTCCCTTCCTTTTTCCCTTCCCTCCCCTCCCCTCCCCTCCCCTCTGTTCTCATGCTGCCAATAAAGACATATCTGAGACTGGGTAATTTATACAGAAAAAGAGGTTTGATGGAATCACAGTTCCACATGGCTGGGGAGGCCTCACAATCATGGCGGAAGGCGAAAGGCACGTCTTACATGGCAGCAGGCAAGACAGAATGTGTGTAGGGGAACTCCTCTTTATAAAACCATCAGATCTCATGATTCTTATTCACTATTAAGAGAACAGCAAGGGAATGATCTGCCCCCATGATTCAATCACCTCTCCCCGGGTCCCTCCCATGACACATGGGAATTATGGAAGCTACAATTCAAGATGAGATTTGGGTGGGGACACAGCCAAACCACATCACCAGGCATCTCACTCTGACAACCAATGGGTAGTGTCTGCCACTTCCCACCTGCCATAACGCACCAACGAACACCTACCCAGACATCACCTCGTAGCGAAACACAGTGTCAGGGCCTTTTCACTATTGGGTCTCCTACAAACGAGTCATTTATTTATTTATTTGCGTATTTATTTTACACATTCTCCTGGGTATAAACAAATTTACATTAATTAATTAACATCAGCGCAACAGAACCCAAAACATTGCTAGATCAAATTCTAATGTGGCAATTTAAAAATAGACAATGCCCCACTGGGTTTATGAATCATGATTAACTAAGAAACAATACTTTAAAGACCACATCATTAAAATCTCCTAGTAGGCATGTCCCTCTAATCAGTTACTGCTAAAATAAGGGTCATAACAGGAGGAAGAGCAAGCACCATGCTCACTATAGCTTTGATAAAGCACTGCATTACTGGACTGCTTTGACAAAGCACTGTGGTTCGCAGATAAACACTTCATATCTTCCCTTCAAGTTACTGAATCTTTCTTTTTCTGGAATGGTGATTTTAGCCTCTTCCATACACCGTTTTTGGGCTTAGATTTTTTTCTCCATGGCCAGTGCTGCCTTCTTTTTCTTTCCTACGTATCTCCCGTGCAAGGGCATGGAAAATATCATCAATGTAGTAGTGGTGTGCAGCAGATGTCTCAAACAAGAGACAGCTGAATTCTTGGGCCAAAGCCAATCCTTCTTCCTTGGTGACCTGAGGAGTTTATTTACAGAGTGGCTAATGACTTTAGTCACTGTGGTAGACTGAATAATGCCCCAGCCCCGCCAAAGATTGCAGGTGCTAATCGCTGGAATCAGTGACTGTTATTAGGTTTGTGTGAAAGTAATGGCAAAAATCGCAATTACTTTCACACCAACATAATACTTCATATGGCAAAAGGGACTTTGAAGATGTGATTACATAAAAGATCTTGTGATGGGGAATCCTCCTGGATTATCCAGGTGAGCCTGAGATATAATTATAAGGATCCTTATGAAAGAGAGGCAAGAGGAGCAAAGGAAGAAGAGGGAGAAAATGTGAGGCAAAACCATGAGCCAAGGAAGAAGCGCTGCCTCTGGAAGATGGGAAAGATGTAGAGGCTCATTCTTCCGGAGAGCCTCTACAAGGAAGCAGCCCTGCCAATGGCCTGATTTCAGCCCCACAAGACTTGTTTTGGAATTACGACCTCCGGAATGATTAAAAAATATGTTTGTGTTGCTTTCAGCCACTGATTTTATGATAATTTGTGGCAGCAGCAACAGGAAACCAACGTAGCCAAGTATTAAATATTCACCAGTTACTTTTGCATCAACCTAGTATTACTTTTGCACCAACCTAATACTTCCCAACTCTTTCAAATAACATGCATAAATGGACATTTATTTATCAAGCTCCTATTCCATGCCTGGTGTTCTATGTCCAGGATCCTCACAGCAACCTGAGGGTTCAGGACTATCTCCTATTTCACAGGAGAGAAAACCGCAGATCAGAGAAGTTCAGTAACTTTCTCAACACGAGGAGTGGGGAATTTCTCTTTTTTTATTTCAATATATTTTGGGGGCAGGTGGTTTTTGGTTACATGGATAAGTTCTTTAATGGTGATTTCTAGAATTTGGTGCACCCATCACCCAAGCAGTGGACATTGCACCCCATGTGTAGTCTTTTATCCCTCAGCTCCCTCCCATTCCCTCTGGGTCCCCAACGTCCATTATATCATTCTTATGCCTTTGCATCCCCATAGCTTAGATCCCACTTATAAGTGAGAAGATACAATAGCTGGTTTTCCATTCCTGAGTTACTTCACTCAGAATAATGGTCTCCAACTCCATCCAGGTTGCTGCAAATGCCATTATTTCATTTCTTTTTATGGCTGAGTAGTATTCCATGGTGTATATACGTATACCACATTTTCTTTACCCACTTGTTGATTGATGGGCATTTGGCTTGGTTTTATATTTTTGCAATTGCGAATTGTGCTGCTATAAACATGCATGTGTAAGTGTCTTTTTCATATAATGACTTCTCTAGTGGGATTGCTGGATCAAACGGTGGTTCTACTTTTAGTTCTTTAAGGAATCTCCTTACTGTTTTCCCTAGTGGTTGTACTAGTTTACATTCCCACTGGCAGTATAAAAGTGTTCCGTTTTCACCACATCCATGCCAACATCTATTATTTTTTAATTTTTTTATTATGGCCATTCTTGCAGGAGTAAGGTGGTATTGCATTGTGGTTTTGATGTGCATTTCCCTGATAATTAGTGATGTTGAGCATTTTTTCATATGTATATCTTATTTTGAGAACAGTATATTCATGCCCTTTGCAGAGAAGCAAGGAATTTCTTGCTACTTTCTTTTCAGGAATTTCCCACAGGAAAAAAAAAAAAGTCTGTTTATCCTGTATGTGACCTAGCAGCCTGAAGTGATGGGTCTGCCCTGGTAATATCTGTGAATAAGATTCAATATTTCATGAAAATCAAAACAAATAAAGTCCTCCCCGACCTTTCCTGGAAATAAACAATTTAATCTACTAAGTCCACAAGGGAAGGCGCCACCAGAAAAAAACAAAGGCATGCTCTCACCTGTAACAGTCATTTACCAGTGTTTTAATTTACCTAGAAAATGATTTGGCCTCTCAGACTGATAAGAGGCACTGATGTTGAGTGTTAGCTATTTGTATAATGGCAAAAACTGCAATAACTTGTGTGCCAACTTAATGATTTGACACAACTTCAAATGGGATGGAAACACGATAGGGATTGAGAAGCTGGACTCCAAAGTCAGTTGCATCTCAGCCATTTAATGAGACCCCCACCTGCAACTGCCCCTCTTGGCCCTTAACAGCACTAATGACTCCAGGTCACTGGTTCCCAAACTTCACGCATCAGATTCCTGGGGGAAGGATAGGTTGTTAATACGTCAATTGCTGGATTCCTCCCGCAGAGTTGCTGATTCAGTGAGACAAAGCATCTGCATTTCTAACAAGTTCTAGAAGATGAATGATACTAATGGCACTCCTCTTGGGACTGAACTTGGAGATCCACTGACCTAAATCGAGAATTTCCCAACCTCAGCACTGTTGACATTTGGGGCTACTCCATTCTCTCTGGTGGGGGCTGTCCTGTGCATTGTAAGACAGTCAGCAGCATCCCTGGCCTCTTACCTACTAGATGCCAGAAGCACTGTCCTCCCTAAGCTGTGACCAAGAAAAATATCTCTAAACATTTCCAAATGTCCCTGGGGGTGGAGAGGCAACATTTCCCCAGACTGAAAACCACTGCCCTAGATCAAACATATCAAGAATGCACAAGAAGGAGGGAGATCATTGAAGAAGACTCCAATATCTTAAAGCTCTTAACTGTACTGCCAACTATTTATTAAGCAGGTGGGTTGAACGGTGACCATGGTGGGGGAGACAACGGAAGGAGACGGGGAACAAGGAAATATCACAAAAGATCCCACCTAATATTGTTCAGACCTGGAGCAAGCCTGGGTACTACAGTGCTTAAGCCTGTCACTCCTGTAGCCCTCCCAGGTCGGTCAAGCTGCCACAGGTTCTACCAGACAAATGGCTCATTGTCTTCTTTGAGTGACCAGCAAGCTCTCAGAGCAGCCACCACTCCCAGCTGTAGTGACTCAGCCTTGTACCTAAGGACAAAATGGCCAATCCTGGCTAATCATTGAGAAATGGGTCTGAGCCCAAAAAGGAACTCAGGGCCAGTGCTCAAAGACGGTCTGATTGCAACCCTCCAGGAGGAAAACAAATTCACAAAGCAGTCCCAGGTTGCCAGTTCTCAAAGTCAGCAAACCAAATCCTAACGTGCAATCTTCCCAGGTTTTTCAAAAGCCATGGGATTGATAGTCAGTGGGGAAAGGAAGAGGTGTCGAATCCAGGCCTGATGGATGGGTGCAGAGGCAATCAGACGTGTTTTCAGAGCCACTGTGCTCTGACACCTGCCCCCATTTTCCACAGAGTTTGGCTCTGAATGCGTCCCTGGACCACGCCCTCCGTCTCCTTTACCTGGCGTTCCTATTCTTGTAGAAAGGAACACAGCCTAATGATGGATTTGTTCAATGTGATCATTCTCGCTTATGTACAAAACAAAGGCAGGATTGATGAACTCCTAAAGAAGCACATTCACAGGCCTGATCTATGCCTCTTACCTTGGAGCAGGCAGCAAGTACAGCCTCCAAGGGAATGTCAACATCTTTGCACTTTGTCAATAGGACCTTGATTCTCTAAAGGCTGAAAGGTGTTTTCATGGGTGAATGCTTAGAGCCAGCTCATGGTTTTCCAAACCCCACTCAAAGCTTCCAGATGACTCTTTTTGCATCTGTGAGCTTCTTTCATCCCTAGATATCACCCTGGGGAGAGGGCAGGCAAAAGATGTTCTCTGTACTTGCAAGGAAGAAATGGTAAAGGCATGGGGGTCGAGTGGGGGCTGGGGACTCCTATGTTCCGGAAAGAGCGAGGTTACTGTCCTGAAGTCACATCTCAGCTTTGCCCCTGGATGAGTCTTTTGCCCCCTCTAAGACTGTTTACTTACTTACCTGCAGTATGAGAATTTAAGTAGCAACCGTGCCTGGTGGCTGTAGGATTACATGAGCATCTGGAGTCTAGTTGCTGGGGTTGGCATCCTAGTTCTGCTACTTGTCAGCTATAAAACTTTGGGCAAGTTCTTAAGTTCCTCATAGGATCAACCAAGTGCTTAGAACAGTGCCTAGCACTTAGTAGGTGCTTAGCTGATATTTGTCTCTCTCTGCTCATTTCTACTCAGCCTCCGAGTGCATCTGACAAGACATAAATTGTCTGTGCTTACTTGTTTAGAATCCAAGATCTTGGGGGGGGGGGTACCTAATTACTAGATTAAATAGTGTCCTTCCCCAAAATTTACATTCACCTGGAACCTCCAGATGTGACTTTATTTGGAAATAGGGTCTTTGCAGATATAATCAAGTTAAGATGATACCATCCTGGGTTCGTGTGGGCCCTAATCCAAGACTTCTCAGCACAGGGGAAAATGGACACAGAGACCCACACAGAGGGAAGAGGATGCGGGAACACAGATAGGGAGAACACTATGAGATCACGGAGGCAGAGACTGGAGTGAAGCATCTACAAGCCAGTGAATGCCAAGGATGCTGGCCACCACCAGAAGCTGGGAGAGGCAAGGAAGGACCCCCCCCTAGAGCCTTCGGAGAGAGCATGGCCCTGCCTACATCTTGATTTTTGGACTTCTAGCCTCCAGGACTGTGAAAGAATAAATGTTGTCCTAAGCCACCCAGTTTGCAGTAATTTTGGCATTAGCCCTAGGAGACCAATACACCTAATATCAAAGGCAGCCTGTTTGTCCAACTCTCTGCCTCCAGACAAGAGCCTGCCAACCTTCCAGTCTCTCCAGAATTCCCACCTGACTTCCATCATCTGGCTGGGAAGGATCTAGAGCTAGGCCCAGCAAACATTTTCAGTACAGTGCCAGATAGTAACTATTTTAGACTTTGCGGCCTATACAGTCTCCGTCCCAACTATTCAACTCTGCTGTGATCACATGCAAGCAGCCATAGGCGGTATGCAAATGAATGAGCATGGCTGTTTTCCAATAAAACTGCATTTACGGCCACTAAAATTTAATTTCATGTAATGTTCCTGTGTCACTAGATATTCTTCTTTTGCTTTTTTTCCACTTACTTAAAAATGTAAAAACCTACTCTTAGCTTGTGGTCTGTATAAAAACAGGCAGTGGGCCAGGTTTTTTTTGTTTTGCTTTCAATTGAAGCAAAATTCACATAAAATAAAATTAACCATTTAAAAGTGTGTGATTCCATTGCCTTTAACACGTTCACAGTGGTGCACAAACATCACCTCTGTATAGTTCCAAACTATCTCATCAGCCCTTAAGGAGACCCTGTACCCACTAAGCGATCATTCCTCATTCCTCCCACCCCAGCTTCTCCCAGTCCCTGGAATTACCAATCTGCTTCCTGTCTACATGGATTTTACTATTCAGGATATTTCATTTAAGTGGAATCACATAATATGAGGCATTTTGCATCTGACTTCTTTTACTAAGTATAGTATTTTTGAGGTTTATCGATATTGTAACATGTATCAGTACTTGATTCCTTTTTATGGCTGAATAATATTTCATTGTGTGATACACATACCCACACAGCACCATTTGTTTATCCACTCATCTGTTGATGAGCACTTGTGTTGTTTCTACCTTTTTGCTATTATGAATATGCTCCTATGAATATTTGCGTATAGGTATTTGTTTGAAAACCTATTTCCCCAGAATTATGGCATTCTGAAGACTAGAAATGATTTGATGCAGCTTGCAAACCTCCCTTATTTGGAACCCCACTGGGCCTGAGCTCTTTTTCATTGCCAAAGCCCTGTTGCTAAAACTATATAGAAGCACCCTCCCTCTAGGCCCAGGAACTGTCTTGGAAAGGGTGGGTGTTGAGATTGTAAGGGCTGGTTTCAAGGGATAGAATTAGTTCAGTCTGCAAATCGAGGATGGGCACACAGATGCCTAAACAGCTGGCAAATTGAGGAACTTTGCTTCCTTGGCCATTATGTGGCCTCTTTTCCATCCATCTCAATCATGGAAAAATTCCTACTTTCCATAGAATTAAGAGAATTACCAAGAGGATATCAAGATACCTGGTGACAGAGCCTTCTGGGTATAGTTGTTTCAAGTTATGGGATTTATGCAAATAGAAATATGATAAGAAATTTTTCAGCCACCTTAGCACAAATTACTAAAGTGATTTCAAAAAGCATTGCAGCACAACAAAAATCCCTAACTTCCTTACACAACAAAAGTCTCCAACCTCCTTAGCTTAAGTGATTTTAGCCAATGTTTTATATAGCTAATTGCTACAAGTCTAACTGAAACCAAGATTACAGTAGCCCTATGCACAGAACTTACAGATAAGTCAACTTTGTAACCTTGTTTTTGGCTTTGATTTTTGTCTCTTACATTGCTGAAAAGGTTTTCAGAGTTGATGAGTGCCTGCCCACCGCCCTTCCTGTCTGGCCTGGAATGTTTAAATTGGCTGTTAGTCTTTTGGCTCTAAATCCGTTGGTCATAGGGAACCCACCAAGGGCCAGGAAGGACCCAGGGCAGGCAGCCACACCACCCCAGCAATGATATGGGATGAAATAGAAGTTTAGCCATCAATGCTGCCTCTGGCAAAACTTGGCCAAAAGGGGCAAAATGAGAAATAAAAAGAAAATTCTAACCCTCTCCAAAACCAACTGAACAGACTCCCTCTTGACCAAGGGGACCCCCCAAAAAAACCTTGAAAACTGAGTTCTCAGCCAGGACAGGATGGGAGGTCAGACACGCCTCATTAAAACTCCTGGCTTGCTAACTGTCTTAGGCTTTCTTCCCTAAGGGCTAAACAGAAACCAGCCCTTTCAGACTCCACTGCTGATATCAACCATCTGGCTGCTGCCCCCTCCCTCTGCAATTTCAACAAAGCAACCAACTAACATTTCTTCCTGAAAAGAGATCACCAACCATGGAGTGGTTCTGCCTGGTCTATGGAGAATGCACATTGGGGTTTCCATGTCTTCTGCTTCACTTATTGACATCAGAGGGCCAAAAACTCTACCTTCAGATCAAACACCGCCATTTTTTTGACATGGGACCCTTGAAGGGGCATGCGGCTCAGCTGCACATGTGCACAGTTCTCCTTTCATAAATATTCATGACTCCTCCTAAGCTTATTGAATAGGTATATTCGGCCACCCCACTCAGCATAAATTCCTGTTCCCTTTACTTCTCCCTTGAAGTGTCTGTTTCCAGCTTTTGACTGGAGGCTACACTTCCCAGCATGTCAGAATGGCCACCCTGCCGGCTGCAAAGCTTTGTGAAAAATAAAACTCTCCTTTCCAAATCAAAAAGAAAAAAGAAAAGACAATCTGTTTTCAATTCGTTTGGGTACATAAGAATTGAATTAGGAGTGAAATTGCTGTGTTGTATGGTAATTCAAAGTTTAACTTTTTGAGGAATCACCAAACTGTTTTCCACACGGTTTGCTACTCCTTGTCCTAGAGCAAGGGTAAGAAATCTCAATGCCTAAGAGTTAGAAAAATGAAACAGACAAGTTAGACAATAAAAAGGCAAGTTTTTTCATGATAAAGGGGGATCCTCTCCATCTACCCACAGTTTTCCTAATTTTTATAGAAGCAGAGATGCAGGTAATTGTTAATGAATATGTTAATTCAACTATATATAATCTTTTATATAATATATAAAAATTGCAGTGTGCATGTCATGCTAGGTTGGTATGTGGCATTTTGCCTCACTACTGGAGATGCTACAGGAAGAGTGGGACTGCAGCAAGTTGGAAACTATGCACCCATCTGACGGAGGTGGCCCGCTGCTCAGCTCTAGTTCATTGTGGCCAAGCAAGAATGAGGGTCCAGGGCCACTGCATTTTCTCATTCTTTTTCCAAGAGAAGCCAGAAATTCAGATTTTTATATAAAATTTCTCAATTTTTAAATATTAGCAACTAATTCAGGGGAAAAATGAATTACCTGAGCCAAGCAAAAAATATTTGCAGTCTATATCCAAGGATTCTAATCTCTTGTGCTTTCTTGTAATCATGTTTGTGGCTTTTTCTAAAGAAGAGATGGAATGAATTCACTGGGCTCTCAGGGGATTTTGGCCTCTGTGAGGAATGGGGTGTTCTAAGGTTCTCCCAAGTGTCTGTGGATGGACAGATATGGGCATCCTGAGTTTAAATGAGTGTGGCTGTGACCAGCTCATTGGCACAGGTGTTAAGGACACTCTCTCCAACCCAGGAAGGCTCTTAGGTTCATTAAGGCTCCTCCAATGTTGCTGCAAAGACCACGAATGTCCAACCTCAACAGGAGGGAGGATATACTGAGCTAAATTAATTTTGTTCATTACATAATTTTTATTTTATTTTTTAAGTTCCAGGCTACATGTGCAGGATGTACAGGCTTGTTACATAGGTAAATGTGTGCCATGGTGGTTTGCTACACCTATCAACCCATCACCTAGGTATTAAGCCTAGCATGCATTAGCTATTTTTCCTAATGTTCTCTCTGCTTCCCCACCCTCCCCTGACAGGCCCCAGTATGTGTTGTTCCCCTTCCTGTGTCCATGACCCAGCAATCCCATTACTTGGTATATACCCAAAGGAATAGAAATCATTCTATTACAAAGATAAATGTACATGTAAGTTCATTGCAGCACTATTCACAATAGCAAAGACATGGAATCAACCCAAATGCCCATCAATGATAGACTGGGTAAAGAAAATGTGGTATATATACACCACGGAATACTATGCAGCCATAAAAAGGAATGAGATCATGACCTTTGCAGGGACATGGATAAATCTGGAAACGATTATCCTCAGCAAACTAACGCAGGAAGAGAAAACCAAACACAGCGTGTTCTCACTTATAAGTGGGAGATGAACAAACGGCTTATTTTATGCCTCAGTTAGATTCCAGAAACGAGAAAAAGAAACCAAAGAAAGAAACAATGGGACCAGAGAGAGGAAGATTCACCCATAAAAGGAAGAAGGGCTCTTCTTAAGTGTTACATCCCAGGGTGGTGACCATGGCTGATAGGAAATGCTGTGATTAGATGCTTGCAGAGTGCTTAGGACAGGGCTTACCTGGCATGCAGGAATGGATAGGTGAAAGTTCAACAGTTAAAAAGTTTAAATACAGCATTAAGGCCCTGATATTCAAGCAGATATAGACAGTTTCCTTAGTGATTGACTCCTAATGACTTTCAAATTGCTTATCTTTCCTCCCTCCCTTCCTCCCTCTCCCCTCCTCCTTCCCTTCCCTTTCTTCTTCCTTCCTTCCCTACTTTCTTCCTTCCTCCTTTCCTTCCTTCCTCCCTCCCTCCCCTCCTTCCTCCCTCCCTCCCCTCCTTCCTCCCTCCCTCCTCTCCTTCCTCCCTCCCTCCCCTCCTTCCTCCCTCCCTCCCCTCCTTCCTCCCTCCCTCCCCTCCTTCCTCCCTCCCTCCTCTCCTTCCTTCCTCCATCCCCTCCTTCCTTCCTCCCTCCCCTCCTTCCTTCCTGCCTCCCTGCCTCCCTTCCTTTCTTCCTCCCCTTCTTCCTCCCTTCCCTTCTTCCTTCCTTCTTTCCTCCTTCCTTCCTTCCTCCCTCCCTTTCTTCCCTACTTCTTTCCCTTCTTCCTTCCCTCCTCCTTCCCTTCCTCCCTCCCTGCCTGCCTCCCTTCCTTTCTTCCTCCCCTTCTTCCTCCCTTCCCTTCTTCCTTCTTTCCTTACTCTCTCCTTCCCTTACCTTCCTCCTTCCCTCCCTTCATCCCTTCTTTCCTCCCTCCCTTCCTTTCTCCTCTCTCTCCCTCTCTCCCTGTTTTCCTCAATGAAGAAAACGATGACGGCTGTGAAGATACAGTCACAAATAAACACAGGACTGGGAAGAGGGAGAAAAAGATTCCCTGGCTTAGGAGAGAAGAGACCACTGAAAGATTCTCTCTGCCCACGCAGACTCCTGCTTGCCATCGCAGACTTCTGACCTCCCTGGAGTCCCTGGGGAGTTCTGTAGGTGATGGGACCATGTGTAGCTGATCTTGTCCCTGTGGGGCACCTGCAGTGTGATTTGTCCACTGGCTCATTGAGCTCAATGACAATGAGCTCTTCAAGGGCAAGGGACGTGTCTGGTTCATCTCAGCCTCCCCTGGGCCTGGCCCAGGACCTGTCTGGCTCAGAGCAGTCACTAACGAAGACCTAGTTGCATTAAACTAAGGTAGGGCAAGGCTAGTTTGCATATACAGGAAATTCCCCTAATAAGAATTAAGGATAAGAACTTAGATGCATTCAAAGTGCTAAGGGCTGTGAGGCCTCCTCTAGTCTTCTCCGTGACTATGGGGAAAGAGACATAGCTATTCCGCATTTTGCAAATAAAGAAATGAGCCCAGAGAGATGCCCAGCTGGTAGGAGGCAAAGCCAGAACTGAACCCAAACTGGGCAGCCTCCGAACTGCCGAGTCTGCACTGCCCTCCATCCCATCAGCCAGCGCTGGAGCTGGGAACCCTGGACTCTGCATGCCTCCATGGGCCCCCTTTCTCCAGCAGTGGGAGAATCTCCAAGAGGGAATCAGAAAAAGCTCAGCACTATCTGAGCTCATGCTCCACCACCCCGCCTGCATCCACAGACCTCCCGGAGAGGGGAGGAAAGGAGAGGAGAGGAGAGGAGAGGAGAGGAGAGGAGAGGAGAGGGAAGCACAGAGGAGCAGGGAGCAGCCTTGATGAGCAGGGGTGACAGTGCCAGGTGTTTTGCTGACAGGAGATTAACCTGGGGGTTCTGCGGATCTGAGGCCGACAGACAGGTGTGACAGGAGGGCACAGGGTTTCTGACACCACTGGTGCCCTTTTGGAGACAGCAGGGCAGAGTCAGGGTACAGAAGAGGCTTGGTTGTCCCCAGTGCCACTGAAGCGTGAGCAGCGGTTCCTTGCTGCTCAGGTACCTGCCGGTCCTCAGCACTGCAGCCCGGCCAACAGGAATGGAGCCCCACATGGGGTCAACTCAGCTCTGTAAGACAACCACCCCTTGAGGGGAGGAAACTGGATGCTTTTACCAAACTGTGGAGAGAAGGCAGCAAGGCATTGGAGCAAACGATTAAGGCTTGAATTCCAGCTCTGCTGCTTACAAACAGGGAACAGTACTTAACCTCTCTGACCCTCAGTGTCTTCATCTGTACAGCAGAGCCAAAAATAGTATCTCAAGTGTCTAATGGTGTCCAATAATATGAGCTTGCCTAGCCCACGGGTTCCTTGAAGACATGGCTGTGTCTTACGCAGTGCCCAGAGAGGTATCAGCCATATAGTAGCTGTTCGATTAAGAAAAAATATCCACTGAACAAAGAAATGTGCAAACAAATGTACAAAACCACAGATGATTTTATCGTCACCTCCAGACTTTGGGTTAATAAGGCATCACTATTATAATTTTTAAAACAAGGAGATATCAGCTCAGAGAATAAAGAAACTTGCTCCAGAATGCAGGGCTTTGCAGCTGTTACATGCTTCCAGAACTGTGGGGAATAGAATCAGAGTGGCCTCTCTCATCGGCACCTGAGGCACAGTGCCTGGGGCCCACCCTATGTATAGGTGCCCATGAAAATCCTTTCATTTTCATTTATTTTACAAACAGAAGAAAAAAATAAATAAAATAATAATGAGTACGGCAAAATGATTCCAGGATGGATTATATGATCTTTATACCAACATAGTTTAAAATATAATTTTTAATTTTTTCCTTTTTCCTTTTTTAATGGAGAAGGGACCAATGAAAGCCAAAGTACCTTGGGCCCACACTGAACAGCATGAGGCCTCTGCAGCAAAACATCCATGGGAAATTGCATGGAGCTCTGGGTGGGCTAATGAATAGGGTTAAGCACTGTGGAAACAGACTTGTACACAGTTGGGGGGTAATAGCTCAGACTTGGGGTGCACAGGGAATTCTGGGAGGTTGTCCACAGCTAGGGAGTCTCCCCACTATATTCTGTCCACAGGTAGCAGCCCCTTCCCTTACTCATATTCCCCTTGGTCTATCCCTCACCACATCTCCACTTCTCACCTTGGCCCCAACCTGAGACAGACACATCCAGGCTTGGGGAAGGGTCATACAATTTTGGAACCAGGTGGCCTATAGATTTTATACCCTGGCTCCAGAATGGGCCACACCTGGCTCAAATCCCAGCTCAGCCACTTTGTTGCTGAGAGATATTGAGCAAATTATTTCACCTCTCTGGGCCTCAAGTTTCTCATCTTTAAAATGGGGATAACAACGTTCCACAGGGTTGACGTGAAATGAAACAAGATCAGAATCCGTGTACAGTGCCTGGCCTATAATCAGTGCTCCATGAAGAATATCAGTTGCCCCAGCTCATAGAATCTCCAAGCATTAGAATCTAACTAACCCAGAGGTCAGCTAACTTACGGCACCAAGGCCAAATCCAGCCTGCCACCTGTATTTTTTATTTTTTGTATGGCTGCAATCTTAAAATGGTTTTACATTTTTAATGGCTTGCCTAAAAATTTTTAAAAGAATCATATTTTGTGACATGGAAAATTTATATGAAATTCTAATCTCAGTGTCCATCAACAAAGTTTAATTGGAACACAGTTGCACCTGCTCACTTTTGTGTTGTCTGTGGCTGCTTTTGTACAACAATGGCAGAGTTGAGTAGTCGTGACAGAGGCCATATGACAGGGCTCTCAAGGGTCCTTCAAGGGTGGCACCAGCGATGTTTGGGGCTGGATGATTCCTCATGTTGGAGGATGGTGCTGGGCATTGTAAGATATTGAGCTGTATCCCTGGTCCCATCCCACTGGCATTCCACTGCATTCTCTCCCCAGCTATGACAGCCAAAAATGTTTCCAGACACTAGGAGTGGAAAATCACTCCCAGTTGAAAACTACTGCCATATGGCCCACAAAACCTACAATATCTACTACCTGTCCCTTTATGGAAAAAGCTTGCCAACTCCTGAGCTGACCCAACTTCCTTTTTGCACAAAAGAGAAACTGAGACACAGGGACGCATGCATGACTCGCCCAGATACACCCTGGATGGCGGCAGCTTGGAGTCTGCTTATATCGTTTTCTTATTTTTATATTTTTTTCTGAGTATGCTTTCTAGATATTACTCAGCCTCCTGGGTAAGAAGATTTTTGGATTTTAGGGAGTATAAATCAATGAAATTTTTATAGGATAATTTGGCAATATAATTCAATAGCCTTGGAAATAAGCACACTTTATGACACAGAAATTACTCTTCTAAAAATGCCACCTAAGGAAATAATCACGGATGCTCGCAAAGCTCTGTAGCTGGGCAGATTGTTTTAGAATAACAGAATTGTTTAAAATGCCCCCAAATCAGAAAACAACCCAAATTTCAAACAATAAAAGAATGAGTAATAACACACAGGGTGTATTGTGAGATACTATGCAGCCATTAAAAATGATCCCAGTTATGACCAGGCACGGTGGCTCACGTCTGTAATCCCAGCACTCTTGGAAGCTGAGGCAGGCAGATAGGCAGATCTCTTGAGGTCAAGGGTTCAAGACCAGCCTGGGCAACATGGTGATATCTCGTCTCTACAAAAATTTAGCCTGGCATGGTGGCATGTGCCTGTGTCCCAGCTACTTGGAAGGCTGAGGTGGGAGGATCAATTGAGCCCAGGAGGTCAAGGCTGCAGTGAGCCATGATTGCACCACTGCACTCCAGCCTGGGTGACAGAGTGAGACCCTGTCTCAAAAAAAAAAAAAAAAACAGATCCCAGTTAGAAAATAAAACCCCCACACGCAGTATTCCGAATACATGTATAAGTAGGTAGGTAGGTAGAGACAGACAGACAGACAGACATATAGATAGATAAAGAGAGAGAAAAACCCTGGAGACATATATATTTCAATATATTATTAAGAACTCTAGTGAAACTACTTCTGCAATAAACCATAGTATTGTGTAAAAAATACATCAATGTTGCCAATTCTAATTTTTAAAATATGTCTGGTTTTAATAACAATGATTTGTACAGGCTGCATAGTTTACGCTACTGTCTAAGATTATATCACCTAAGTCCTTATAAAAGTTATAATAATCTCCTGCTAAAAAAATTTGTTGTCTATAAACCTAAAATAGTAATGACAATGACTTAAAAATGTTCTGATTCTCATTTTTAAAAGAATATGACAATCATCTCTCTTGCCTCTCTTCCTCCTAATCTCAGCACTCCTGTGGGCTTGGGAGTTGTGAGATGAACTCTGGGAGAAGTGGGAGCTCCTGGATGAAGCTTGATTGGTTCTAATTTACTCAAGAAAGCTTAGAAAGTCACACTGGGTGTGGCAAGACCAGGGTTGGATATGGGATCTAAGACAGTTTCCAAAGCAGTCAAATCAAGGTGTGCATCTGAGCTTCATGAAATGTTGTCAATACTTGAAAAGGCACATGCACGCACAGACACACACACACACACACGTGTATCCACTGCAGATTACCTGCTATCAGTCAGCAGGGTGACGAGTGGATGGGACGTAGCATGGTTATGTTTACATTATAGAAAGCTTATGTTCTTGGGGAATACGATGGGGAAAGTGAGTGGACATCTGGGGTACTCAAGAGCCAAGATTCATGATTGGCCAAGAACAGGTCCCGAGTAGAAATGACAGCTGAGCTCAGCACTCAAGTAGCAGCTGGGAACCTCTTATAACAATCATTTCTGGAACTCCTATTCTACTGGAGAAGTAGAGATAATTCTAACCAGTGATAACTTAAAATCACCTTTGTGATTTCAGCCCTAAAAAGAAAGGAAATTCTGACACATGCTACAACATGGATGAGACTAGAGTTCATTATGCTAAACGAAATAAGCCAGTCACAAAAGGACAAATATTGTATGATTCCACTCAAATGAGGTACCTAGTCCAGTCAAATTCATAGAGACAGAAAGTCAAATGGTGGTTGCCAGAGACTATGGGGAGGAGGGAATGAGGAGTTAGTGTTTAATGAGTACAGAGTTTCAGTTGGGAAAGATGAAAAAGTTCTGGAAGTGGATGGTAGTGATGGTTGCACAACAATGTGAATGTACTTGATGCCATAGACCTGTACTCTAAAAAATGGTTAAAGTGGTATATCTCATCCAGGCGCAGTGGCTCACGCCTGTAATCCCAGCACTTTTGGGAGGCTGAGGTGGGTGGATCATGAGGTCAGGAGATCAAGACCATCCTGGCCAACATGGTGAAACCTCGTTTCTACTGAAATACAAAAAATTAGCCGGGCGTGGTGGTGCACCCCTGTAGTCCCAGCTACTCGGGAGGCTGAGGCAGGGGAATTGCTTGAACCCAGGAGGTGGAGATTTCAGTGAGCCGAGATCGCACCACTCCACTCCAGCCTGGCGACAGAGCAAGTCTCCGTCTCAAAAACAAAAAAAAGGTAAATCTTATGTTATGTATATTTCATCATAATAAAAAAAATTTAAATCACGTTTGTGTTTGCCTTTGGAAGGCATGATGCAATTCTTCTTGCCAGAAAGTTTCCTTTTTCAAAGGTCAGCCAGAACAATATCTAAATGCCTTAGTACTCCCTGAAAAAATTAAAAAAGCAACCCAGAAGGTTGCTAGGAAATATGAAATTTAACTTGTTCTGAGATACACAAATAAGCAATTTGCAGAAGAAAAACCAGTGGCCAATACACCTATGAAAAAAATTCTGAACCTCACTATAATAATGGCAGTGCTATGGTTTGGCTCTGTGTCCCCACCCAAATCTCACCTCAAATTGTAATCCAGGTTTCAAGGGAGAAACATGTAGGGAGGCAATTGGATCATGGTGGCAGTTTCCCCCATTCTGTTCTGGTGATAGTGAGTGAGTTCTCACCAGACCTAATGGTTTTTTAAGTGGCAGTTCCCCCTGCTCTCTCTCTTTTGCTGCCCTGGAAAGATGTACCTTGCTTCCCCTTTTCCTTCTGCCATGATTGTAAGTTTCCTGAGACTTCCCCAGCCATGTGGAACTGCAAGTCAATTAAACCTCTTTTCTTTAGAAATTACCCAGTCTCTGGTAGTATCTTTATATCAGTGTGGGAACAGACTAATACAGACAGATTAAGGCAAAACCATTTTTCAGCTCTTCGGCTAGCAAATCCTGACAAAGACTGATAGTATCCAGAGTTGGTAACAGTATAGGAAATGACTCTCTCATACTTCCCTAGTGGGGCTGTAATTCCACGTAACCTCACTGGAAAGCAATTTGTTGCAATCTATCAAAGCTCTATATGCACATACATTTTGACCTAACAATTCTACTTCTGTTATATCACATAGAAATAGTAGTGTATCAGACTCAGCTCCCCCATTGGCCTCCCCAGAATTCCCCAGCCTCAGTCCCAGACCCAGCTGAGTCCCAGACTTTCAGCTACTGGCCCTGTCTAAGTTGTCACCCTGCACCCCAACTCCATGTGACCCATGTGGTTTTGCCACCCGAGGCTGATCAGTGGCACCTCTAGAGTCTCTGGCCCCTCCTGCACTGGACTCAGATGAAACATGAGACCACAGGGCATGGGATTTGGCCTCTGTGAGCTACTGCCACATGGGCTAGCTGACACAACCTGTAAGTGAGGGAGAGTTAATGCCCTGTGGGGTGAACCTTGGTCACTGGAAGACAGGATGTAAAAAGCAGTTGGGCAGATCCATTTTCTCTCCCTTCCTCTCTTCAATGGACTATTCTTGAAGCATGGTTTCTCTGCACAGCCTATCCTAAGGACATCACATGTGGATGAGCTGATGTATCTGTTAATGGACTGGCTGTGTCTCTTTGTGGCTCACAGTGAAGTGGTGGCCAGTGTGGTAATGCATCATCTTGCACGGTTTTCCCTGCTTCTCCATCCTTCACTTTCCATGCCCTTGAATTGTACCTCCCAAGTAATGTATTAGCTCTTCATCCTTGCCTCAGGCTCTGTATTCTGAGGCAAGCTCAAGCAATTAGCATGATGTTCAGAGATCTATATGCAAGCCATTGTGGTGCTGAGACAGTGAAAAGTTCAGCAAAATAGGGTAGCAAATAAATAAATGATGGTACATCCACAGTATGAAATATTACATGTTGTTAATGCCATATACATATATGTACTGATACTAAAAAATATATTTAATATAGTGGTAGGTGATAATAAGCAAGGTGAAGAATAAGACATATTTTCATATTATTTAAATAAATAGAACACTACTATATGTACAGAAAAAAACTTAAAAAGGATGTACCCAGACTGGTTTCTAAGTGGACATATTCTGGTGGCAGAATGTGACCTTTTTACTTTATATAATTGTGTATTGTTTTAATTTGTTGCAATAAGCATAAATTACTTTTTATAATTTAAATAAGGAGTGAGTCCTAAAATCTAGAGAAAGTTTATTCTAAGGATAAGATACATGGAAGGATACAAATGAATAATTAAGAATTGATTGGATTTGTTTGGGCTAAATGGAAAGTGCTCTGAAACTTTCTGGACCATATCTCCCTGGGTGGGCTGTTCAGAACTCCAGTTCATTAGCTGATAAAATGTGAATTTAATATCACTATTAGGAGTAAATGATGAATCTGGTTGAAAAAGGAACCTAACAGAAGATAAAAGGGGAGGCCATTGACATCTCCATGTGGAGAAAGGTCCCTTAATAGTTTTCTGTCATACTTTTGTGCATTCAGCTGTGGAAACTTGGGGAGAGGAAAATGAATCAACATTACAGGACTGCCTTTTAATTTACGCCTGTGAAATAATTTTGACGATTGTTCATAAGTGTTTAACTAATGTTTGTTCTGGAAATGTCACCATTGCCTCTGGAATTTACTTTGATATTCTCTGAGTGTTATCTCTCTATTAATATGTGAGCCTGGAAAGAATTGCTCCCTGTTTTTTGTCCTGACATCTTTTTTGATGTGCTAAGACTTGGACTGAATTTGATTATAATGATGGCAGTTGAGGGAAAAAAACTGTCTTAAAAGAAAATCTATTCCATGCTCTATCTTTCAGAGACCTAGGATGCCGTCCCTTCTCTTCTCACCACAGCCACACTGGAGATATCCAGGGTACCCTTGGCCCCTAGGGTGTTCTCCTGTCTAGTCTACCCACTTTGGGAGCAAGAATCTTTGTAAGATGGTAGAGGTGAGCACCCACTCTCTTCTCCTGGTAAGACACACTCAGAGTCCTGAGGAAGCATGTTCCCTTCTCTCTTCAGTTACACACACACACACACACACACACACACACACACACACACACATCAGATTCCTCTTTTGTCTAGAAAAATGTGTAGTGCTTTAAAGATGTTGGGGAAGCTCAGGCACAGGAGTTAAATCTTGCCCATTAGCTCAAACCTTGAGGAAGGATGACATCTGCCAACCAATGTTAAATGCTTTGTTTTCTTTGCTACCAGCCCCCATTACCTACCCATCTCCAAGTCTTCAGTCTTCAGTAAGCTCATGACTATGACACAATCAGCTTATTACTATGTCCACCTAGTGACAAAGATGAGAGCCAATGCAATGTGAAAAGATGGTGACTAGCTCCTGTGAAACTAGGGCTCCCATGTCATAAGGAAACTCAAGGAGACCAATAGAAAGATTCATGTAGAGAGGAACTGAGGTCTCCTGCCAAAAGCCAGCACCAACTTGCCATCCATATGAGTGTGTCATCCTGGAAGTGGATCCTTTCGGCCTCGGTCAAGCCTTCAGATGAGACTGTAGCCCCAAGCGACATACTGACTGGATATGAGGGACACTTATCCAAAACTGCCCAGCCAAGCTGCTCCAAAATCCCTGACCCATAGATGCTGTGGGATAATAAATGTGTATTGCTTGTTAAGCCAGTAAGTTTTAAGATAATTTGTTATGCAGCAGATAATACATACAGATTTTAAACAGATCCCAGCACTTTGGGAGGCTGAGACAGGTGGGTCACTTGAGCCCAGAAGTTCGAGACCACCCTGGGCAATATGGTGAAACCCCACCACTACAAAAAAACACAAAACTTAGCTAGGTGTGGTGGCACACGCCCATAGTCCCAGATACTTGGGGGGCTGAGGTGGGAGGAGGATTGCTTGATCCTGAGAGGTTGAGGCTGCAGTGAGCCATAATCATGCCACCCACTGCACTTTAGCCTGGGTGACAGAGTGAGACCCTGTCTCGAAAAAAAAAAAAAACAGATTTTAAAAAGAAGGAACTTTTAGTGCCTAGTAAATTGAAAATATTTTTATAAATATTTAAATAATGATGACTCAATCAATCAATTTGGAAAAAAAGAGAAGAAAAAGATCAGCAAAAGTCACTATAAGTAGCTGTCCAGCCCACAAGGCCTATGAGGAATTGCGTTTTCTCCATTCACATATTTGAGAGTTTAAGTTATTTCGCATGGCTGTTCAATAACTAAATAACTTCAGAAGGCTACAGAACTTGGGATGCTGGGTTCCTATGCCTGCTCTTTTCTCTGGAGATGTGAGGCACCATCCAGATATCCCTTCCAAGTACCTGCCCTTGACTAAAGAAAACAGCCTTGCCCAAAATCACTCTCTCCTTGGGGTCAGCCCACTACTAAATACTGGTCAGTGAGGTCATATAAAGACCTGTGCCTTTTGTCCCAATTCAGAACAACTCTGCATTGCCAGCTCAGCTCCTGAGCACACTGTGAGGTTGGATGAGGTCTTTACTGAGACTGTATCACAGCCCAACTTCTCCTTCTGCCCAACCTTGCTTCCTTTACTCCCCTTGTTGTTGATTCCAACAGTGTTCCCTAACAACCTTCTGATATGCTCATTTCTTTCTCAGATTCTGCTTCCTAGGAAACAACTTGAAATATCTGGCAATTCTTGGATAGAAAGCCAGGCTCCATGATTCATCTTTTTATTCTTCCTTCTCTCCTTGCTTTCTTTCATTCTTTTGTTCATTCATTCATTCATATGTGCATTAATGTAATGAACAAAAGCTAGGAGCCCTGCATTAACCAGAAATTCATTTCAAGGCACTGGGTTTAGCAGTTTTATGAAGATGTTTGTGGATGTGGTTTCCTTTGCATTCATCTTGTTTGGGGTTCAAGGCACTCCTTGAAGCCAAAGCTTGATGTCTTTTGTCTCTTTTGGAAAATTCTTGATCACTATCTCTTCAAATTTTGCTTCTCTTCCTTCTTCCTCTCCTCTCCCTCTGGAATCTCAATCAAAAAGACCTTTTCAATGGGTCCTATATGAGTTGCACACATTCTTTTCAGTATTTTCCATCTTTCCCTCTACTTTTTGTTTCAATCTGGGTATTTTCTTCTAATCCTTCCGCTAGTTCACTAATTCTCTCTTCAAGTGTGTCTGATCTTCTATTAAACCCACGTATTGAATTCTTCATTTCAGTTTTTGAATTTTTCAGTTCTGAAATATTCATTTGACTTTTTTATAATTTCTAGATCTCTGCTGTAATTCTCTATCTAGTCATCTAATGTCTTATATATCTTAATCATATTAATTAAAGTTCATGTCTTATAATAAAATACAGCAATTAAAAATAACAAACTACTGATAAATACAACAACATGGATGTATTTCAACAGCATAATGCTGAATGAAAGAAGCCAGATGCAAAAGAGTATATACTGTATGAAGCAATTTATATGAAATTCCAGAAAATGTAAAGTAATCTATAGTGATAGAAGACAGATAAGTAGTTGATGGGTCTAGGAGGATGAAGTGATTGCACAGGGAATGAGAGAACATTTTGAGGTGATTAGAAGTTCTGTTTCTTCATTGTGGTAGCATTTATAAACGTGTATGCACGTGCCAAAACTTATCCAACTATATATGAGTATAATTTACTATACCTCAATAGTGTTGCTTTAAAAAACCCAGATTAAACCTAGACGAGTTGAGGAGATAGCTCCCAATTCTGGAAAATCCCAGAACACAAGAATTAAGAATAAATTAAATTATGATAAAAGAAGATCAAGTCCATGTTTAATAAACTCAAATATCTGGATCTCTTCAGGGTCTGATTTTTGCTCCTGGTTTTCAGTCATGTCATTTTATGTCCTAATATTTCTGGTAACTTTTTATTGAATTCTTAAAATTGGGCATAAAAATTTGAGGAGATAATTTGTGTTTCTGGATGATGTTATCTTTCTCCACAGAGGATTTAAATTTTCCTTCTGGCAAGCAGTTAGAAAAGAGGAAAATAACACTAATTCAATCAAGGATTGAGCAGATTTGATACTGGACTTCATTTTTATAAGCACTGGTCTATTTCTAGTTTACCCTTACTCTCAGAGTGTAGCCCCTCAGAGTCCCTACTGGACACATTGATATTTACCAAGGTCCCCTTCTGCTTGATGGAACTTGAGCACCAACATTTGTCCCTCAGCAACATGACATGCAGGAAGTTCTATTCAGCTTCTTAGTCTCTCAGCCGCCATTTTGGAATTAGCAAGTATCTTGAGAGGAAATGCAGTATTGAACTTTGGGCTCTTTCCTCTGTGCCTCCTTTCTTTCTGGAGTCATGGCCTGATATGGTTTGGCTGTGCCCCACCCCCCAAATCTCATCTTGAATTGTAGCTCCCATAATTCCCTCATGTTGTGGGAGGGACCCAGTAGGAGATAATTGAATCATGGGGTTGGCTTCCCCCATACTGTTCTCATGGTAGTGAATAAGTCTCATAAGATCTGATGGTTTTATAAGGGAAAACCCCTTTCATTTGGTTCTCTCATTCTCTCTTGTCTGCCACCATGTAAGAATGTAAGACGTGCCCTTCACCTTCCACCGTGATTGTGAGGCCTCCCCAGCCACATGGAACTATGAGTCCATTAAACCTCTTTTTCTTTAGAAATCACTCAGTCTCGGATATGTCTTTATCAGCAGCATGAAAACGGACTAATACGTGGCCACACTCAAGCCCTCACTTCCTTGGTAGCTTGATAATACCTTCAAACATTTTTAAAAATATATTTTATCCAGCTTTTCCAGTTATTCTTGGTAGGAGGATTGGTCTACAGCAAAACAACTCACCATTTCTGGAAGCAGAAATTTCTGCAGGACCCTAGGGGGACACAGATCCAAAGATAACTCCCACCTTCAAGAAACCTTCTAGGAGACCTTGAGAATTACTACAATGCTGTCTGCTAGATGGGCAGGCTACCAACCTGGTGCAATAGCTCTTTCCTGGCAACATTTCTTGTGTGCAGTCAGCCACAGGAAACAGTCAATTTTCTTTTTTTTTTTTTATTCTACTTTAAGTTTTAGGGTACATGTGCACAACGTGCCAGTTAGTTACATATGTATACATGTGCCATGTTGGTGTGCTGCACCCAGTAACTCATCATTTAACATTAGGTATATCTCCAAATGCTATCCCTCCCCTCTCCCTCCACCCCACAACAGGCCCCAGTGTGTGATGTTCCCCTTCCTGTGTGCATGTGTTCTCATCGTTCAAGTCCCACCTATAAGTGAGAACATGTGGTGTTTGGTTATTTGTCCTTGCGATAGTTTGCTGAGAATGATGGCTTCCATCTTCATCCATGTCCCTACAAAGGACATGAATTCATCATTTTTTATGGCTGCATAGTATTCCACGGTGTATATGTGCCACATTTTCTTAATCCAGTCTATCATTGTTGGACATTTGGGACATACTGTATATGTGAGTGTTGTTATTAGTATTTTTAACATTAATTTTCAATGTTAAAAATACTAATAACAACACACACATATACAGTATGTCACAATGCCTTATATGAGGCCAATTAATCATCTCATGTGAGCCTCAAAATTGATACTTTTTATAAAGACAGCTTTATTGAAGTATGATGTACATATAAAATTCACTCATTTTAAGTGCACAATTCAATCATTTTTAGTAAACTTGCAGAAATGTGACCATCATCAAAATCCAATTCTAGAACATGTCCATCTCCCCAAGAAGACACTTTGCACAAAAGTTACTCACTATTCCCAACTCTAGCCCCAGACAACCATTAATCTACTATCTGTCTCCATATATTTGCCTTTGCTGGATATTTCAAACAAACGAAACCCTACAGTGTGTGGTCTTTTACATCTGCCTTCTTTAATTTATCATAGTTGATCTTTAATGTAGGTATTATTAGCCTCACTTTAGAGATGAGAAAATGGAGAATTGGAGAGATTAAAAGACTTGCCTGAGGTTAATCAGCTGGTGAAAGATAAGGACACCAAGATCTGAACCCACGTCTAAAAGCTTTTTCTCCCTACAAAACCACCTTCATCATATGTGAGCTTCCTGGGAGTCAGAGTCATATTCCATGGGCTCCTAGACCCTGGGTGGTGAGCAAAGGGTCTGCCCCATTGTGGATATACAGGAGTTATTTGTTAAACTGAAACAAATTTATCCTATATTAGTTCCTGCTTCTATCTCAATTCACCATCCCCAAACACCATTCTGAGTGACCTCCTGTTGCCTGCCATTAGTTGATGTTTGCTTAGGGACCACACATTTGTGTTATGGCTGACAGAAGAAAAACACAAAGGAAACAAAAAGAAATACAGACATTATGGAAGTACATGCAGCACAAATAGTTTGTGAGTTTACCACTATTGAAGCTTATGCACTCTAGAGCTCCCAGTGAGCAGATATCTGTGCCCTGATAGAGATGAATTAGGTTTCTCCCTAGCTCCAATATCAGCAGCAAAGACTGGAAGAGTGAACTCATTCTCTGCTTACATGGCTCAAATGTAGGTCAAGACACTTCTCTGTGAGCTGTGACCAATAACCAATGTGTGGGTATTTATCATTCTTCTTTTTTTCTGATTACGCCATTCCTAGTTATCATGACTTAGACTTAACAATAAGTTCTGGGAAAGCAGGGAGAGACCATTCTAGTCATATTTCATTGATTCTGCTTATATATTCACTACATACATACAAAACAAAACCTAAACATGTAGTAAGCCCCTTCCATCTGTAAATTACTGTGGGAATATTAGAGGATATATAATCTGAGTCTCCACTTCTAAGGAATTTTATTATTGAATTTGGAGGCAGTTGATATGGTTTGGCTCTGTGTCCCCACCCAAATCTCATCTCGAATTGTAATCCCCACGTGTCAAGAGGGGAAAATTACTGGATTATCGGGGTGGTTTCCTCCATACTGTTCATGATAGCAAATGAATTCTCATGAGATCTGATGGTTTTATAAATGGTAGTTTTTCCTGTGCTTTCACATGCTCTCTCTTACCTGCCACCATGTAAGACATGCCTGCTTCCCCTTCCACCATAACTAAGTTTCCTGAGGCTTCCCCAGCCATGCAGAGCTGTGAGTCAATTAAACCTCTTTTCTTTATAAATTATCCAGCCTCTGGCAGTTATTTACAGCAGTGTGAAAATGGAATAATACAGCAGTAGAGAAGAAAGATTAAAAGCACAGGATCTGGAATGATTTTGGCTGACTCCACGACTTACTAGCTGCATTCACATAGGCAGGTTAGTTAACCTCTCTGTGCCTCAGTCTCCTCATCAGTAGCATGAGGATAAATATAGTATGTGCTTCATAGGGTTGTTACAAGGATTTAAATGATATAGGCATGAAAAGGGGCTGGTACAGAGCAAGAATTTAGTGATTGCATCCACATATAAATGCATGTCATCAACACAGACCTCCTCTTGTAATTTAGTTAATGGTATTATACCAATGCCATTTTCTTGTTCAGGTAATATATAGTGATGATGTAAGACAATATCATTGGAAGAAACTAAGTGAAGAGTACATAGGAACTCTATACTATTTTTGCAACTTCTTGTGAGCCCAAAATTATTTCAAAATAAAACATATTTTTAAAAATTTCAAAACCAAATATAAAAATAATAATCATAATGCAGACCTTCTCCCCACAAGCCAACCTCTACCACTGTCTCCTACAGCTCCATGCTGTAGCTGCACAACAAAAATTTGCAAAGGATGAAAGATAAAGGGACCATCCACATTCCATGGGCACCTTATGGATGCATTTGCACATCCTATTACATTAACTTAGGGAGCTAAGGAATAATCTCAGTGAGCACATGAAAGTTATGTAACTGCTTTGACCTCACAAGCAGGATGGCAACAGTTGGCAAACTCTTGATGGGGCAGTTGATGGGAGAATTTGAGACCATTTTCATCAGTGACTCCCAATGTGACTTTAGGCATATCTCTACATCTCTCTGCACTTCTATATTTTTTTTTTGTTTAAGTATGGTGGAAAACTGCCTAATCCTCTTGGGAATCCAGGATTTGGAATGTGATTCACTCAGGATTAAATCATCATTTCCTGCATCTTATTTTACATAATTCAAGAACTCAGAGAGTCAACACTGTTGAAATTTACAATCAGCCTTCACAGACTCTGTACTCAAAACATCTGCAAAGCA
Source organism: Homo sapiens (assembly GCF_000001405.40). NCBI lineage: Eukaryota > Metazoa > Chordata > Mammalia > Primates > Hominidae > Homo > Homo sapiens. The sequence goes on from NC_000012.12 coordinate 117,622,385, forward strand.
AAAGAAAGAGTCTATCTCAGAGAACCTCTTTGATAAGACAATAAAAGTTACTTTATTCAACTGGCATCTTATTCTCAATGAGCCTATTTGTGCAATTTGAGTGTTGTGCAATTTAGTTATCAAGGTTTTTTTTTTCCTGTCCCTGGAAGACAAGGTCAAGCAGGATGTGCATGTTAACACCTTCCACTGACTTAAACAAAGGTAACACCAGATCTAACCCACACTGGTTGGAGAGATTCTCCACACAAAATCTTGTGGAGAGATTTTGCTGCACAAAACTTCCAGATCCACTCTGTGCCATAAAGCTTCAATTCAATGGGATTTCCAGCATCTTGAATTGTTTAGAAATGTCATTTACTCCACTTTTAGGAATAAGAAGAGATAATTTCCCAAACCCATCCAAGCTGTTACACACTCAATAGATATTTCTTGAACCTCTTTTATGTTCCATATATGGTGCTGAATGCAAGAAATATAAGAAGAAAGCATGAATACTGCCCTCTTGGAATGCATTGTTGGGTCTGGGAGAAAGACAAATAGCCCTAAAATTATAGCATATTGAGGTAGGCATGCACTCCAATGGAGGAAGTTTAAGGTAGTGACTCAAAGCACAGGTATTAACAGTCAGAGCTGACATGAAAACCAGACTCTGCCAGCTGCTGGTATGAGGCTCAGAGGAAGCTACCCCACCTCTTTGAGCCTCATTTTCCTCTGCTTTAAATTTCATAATGCAAATTTGATAATGTGCTTCGCACATGGTAGATACCAATGAACACTCAGAGGTGAATACCAGTTAAATTCCATAACAATATCTCACATTTATACATTTACTTATTTATGCCTTTGGGTTTTTTTTAATTATTATACTTTAAGTTCTAGGGTACATGTGCACAACATGCAGGTTTGATACATAGGTATACATGTGACTTGTTGGTTTGCTGCACCCATCAACTCATCATTTACATTAGGTATTTCTCCTAATGCTATCCCTCCCCCAGCCCCGCACCCCGATAGGCCCCAGTGTGTGATGTTCCCTCCCTGTGTCCAAGTGATCTCATTGGTCAGGTCCTGCCTATGAGTGAGAACATACAGTGTTTGGTTTTCTGTCCTTGTGACTAGTTTGCTGAGAATGATGGTTTCCAGCTTAATCCATGTCCCTGCAAAGGACATGAACTCATCCTTTTTTATGGCTGCATAGTATTCCATGGTGTATATGTGCCACATTTGCTTAATCCAGTCTATCATTGATGGACATTTGGGTTGGTTCCAAGTCTTTGCTATTGTGAATAGTGCCACAATAAACATACATGTGCATGTGTCTTTATAGTAGCATGATTTATAATCCTTTGGGTATATACCCAGTAATGGGATTGCTGGGTCAAATGGTAATTCTAGTTCTAGATCCTTGAGGAATCGCCACACTGTCTTCCACAATGGTTGAACTAATTTTCTCTCCCACCAACAGTGTAAAAGCGTTCCTATTTCTCCACATCCTCTCTAGCATCTGTTGTTTCCTGACTTTCTAATGACTGCCATTCTAACTGGTGTGAGATGGTATCTCATTGTGGTTTTGATTTGCATTTCTCTGATGGCCAGTGATGATGAGCATTTTTTCATGTGTCTGTTGGTTGCATAGATGTCTTCTTTTGAGAAGTGTCTGTTTATATCCTTTGCCCACTTTTTGATGGGGTTGTTTTTTCTTGTAAATTTGTTTGAGCTCTTTGTAGATTCTGGATATTAGCCCTTTGTCAGATGGGTAGATTGCAAAAATTTTCTCCCATTTTGTAGGTTGCCTGTTCACTCTGATGGTAGTTTCTTTTGCTGTGCAGAAGCTCTTTAGCTTAATTAGATCCCATTTGTCTATTTTGGCTTTTGTTGCCATTGCTTTTGGTGTTTTAGTCACGAAGTCCTTGCCCATGCCTATGTCCTGAATGTATTGCCTAGGTTTTCTTCTAGGGTTTTTATGGTTTTAGGTCTAACATTTAAGTCTTTAATCCATCTTGAATTAATTTTTGTATAAGGTGTAAGGGATCCAGTTTCAGCTTTCTACATATGGCTAGCCAGTTTTCCCAGCACCATTTATTAAGTACGGAATACTTTCCCCATTTCTTATTTTTGTCAGGTTTGTCAAAGATTAGATGGTTATAGATGTGTAGTGTTATTTCTGAGACCTGTCCCACTGGTGTATCTCTCTGTTTTGGTACCAGTACCATGCTGTTTTGGTTACTGTAGCCTTGTAGGATAGCTTAAAGTCAGGTAGCGTGATGCCTCCAGCTTTGTTCTTTTGGCTTAGGATTGTCTTGGCAATGCAGGCCATTTTTTGGTTCCATATGAACCTTAAAGTAGTTTTTTCCAATTCTGTGAAGAAAGTCATTGGTAGCTTGATGGGGATGGCATTGAATCTTTGGGCAGCATGGCCATTTTCATGATATTGATTCTTCCTATCCATGAGCATGGAATATTCTTCCATTTGTTTGTGTCATCTTTTATTTCACTGAGCAGTGGTTTATAGTTCTCCTTGAAGAGGTCCTTCACATCCGTTGTAAGTTGGATTCCTAGGTATTTTATTCTCTTTGTAGCAATTGTGAATGGGAGTTCATTCATGATTTGGCTCTCCGTTTGTCTGTTAATGGTGTATAGGAATGCTTGTGATTTTTGCACGTTGATTTTGTATCCTGAGACTTTGCTGAGGTGGATTATCAGCTTAGGAGATTTTGGGCTGAGGCGATGGGGTTTTCTAATATACAATCATGTCATCTGCAAACACGGACAATTTGACTTCCTCATTTCCTAATTGAATACCCTTTATTTCTTTCTCTTGCCTAATTGCTCTGGCCAGAACTTCCAACACTATGTTGAATAGAAGTGGTGAGAGAGGGCATCCCTGACTTGTGCCAGTTTTCAAAGGGAATGCTTCCAGTTTTTGCCCACTCAGTATGATATTGGCTGTGGGTTTGTCATAAATAGCTCTTATTATTTTGAGATACGTCCCATCATTACCTAGTTTATTGAGAGTTTTTAGCATGAAGGGCTGTTGAATTTTGTCAAAGGCCTTTTCTACATCTATTGAGATAATCATGTGGTTTTTGTCATGGGTTCTGCTTATGTGATGGATTGCATTTATTGATTTGCATATGTTGAACCAGCCTCACATCTCCGGGATGAAGCCGACTTAATCGTGGTGGACAAGCTTTTTGATGTGCTGCTGGATTTGGTTTGCCAGTATTTTATTGAGGATTTTCGCATTGATGTTCATCAGGGATATTGGTCTAAAATTTTCTTTTTTTGTTGTGTCTCTGCCAGGCTTTGGTATCAGGATGATGTTGGCCTCATAAAATGAGTTAGGGAGGATTCCCTCTTTTTCTATTGATTGGAATAGTTTCAGAAGGAATGGTACCAGCTCATCTTTGTACCTCTAGCAGAATTTGGCTGTGAATCCATCTGGTCCTGGACTTTTTTGGTTGGTAGGCTATTAATTATTGCCTCAATTTCAGAGCCTGTTATTAGTCTATTCAGAGATTCAATTTCTTCCTGGTTTAGACTTGGGAGGGTATATGTGTCCAGGAATTTATCCATTTCTTCTAGATTTCCTAGTTTATTTGCGTAGAGGTGTTTATAATATTCTCTGATGGTAGTTTGTATTTCTGTGGGATCGGTGGTGATATCCCCTTTATCACTTTTTTATTGCATCTATTTGATTCTTCTCTCTTTTCTTCTTTATTAGTCTTGCTAGCAGTCTATCTATTTTGTTGATCTTTTCAAAAAACCAGCTCCTAGATTCACTGATTTTTTTGACGGGTTTTTTGTGTCTCTATCTCTTTCAGTTCTGCTCTGATCTTAGTTATTTCTTGTCTTCTGCTAGCTTTTGAATTTGTTTACTCGTGCTTCTCTAGTTCTTTTAATTGTGATGTTGGGGTGTTGATTTTAGATCTTTCCTGCTTTCTCTTGTGGGCATTTAGTGCTATAAATTTCCCTCTACACATTGCTTTAAATGTGTCCCAGAGATTCTGGTACCTTGTGTCTTTGTTCTCATTGGTTTCAAAGAACATCTTTATTTCTGCCTTCATTTTGTTATCTACCCAGTAGTCATTCAGGAGCAAGTTGTTCAGTTTCCATGTAGTTGTGCAGTTTTGAGTGAGTTTCTTAATCCTGAGTTCTAATTTGATTGCACTGTCGTCTGAGAGACAGTTTGTTGTGATTTCTGTTCTTTTACATTTGCTAAGGAGTGCTTTACTTCCAATTATGTGATCAATTTTAGAATAAGTGCGATGTGGTGCTGAGAAGAATGTATACTCTGTTGATTTGGGGTGGAGAGTTATGAAGATGTCTATTTGGCCTGCTTGTTGCAGATCTGAGTTCAGGTCCTGGATATCCTTGGTAACCTTCTGTCTCATTGATCTGCCTAATATTGACAGTGGGGTGTTACAGTCTCCCATTATTATTGTGTGGGAACCTAAGTCTCTTTGTAGGTCTCTAAGGACTTGCTTTATGAATCTAGGTGCTCCTGTATTGGGTGCATATAAATTTAGGATAGTTAGCTCTTCTTGTTAAATTGATCCCTTTACCATTATGTAATGGGCTTCTTTTGATCTTTGTTGGTTTAAAGTCTGTTTTATCAGAAACCAGGATTGCAACCCCTGCTTTTTTTTTTTGCTTTCCATTTGCTTGGTAGATCTTCCTCCATCCCTTTATTTTGAGCCTATGTGCGTCTTTACACGTGATATGGGTCTCCTGAATACAGCACACTGATGGGTCTTGACTCTTTATCCAATTTGCCAGTCTGTGTCTTTTAATTGGGGCATTTAGCCCATTTACATTTAAGGTTAATATTGTTATGTGTGAATTTGATCCTGTCATTATGATGTTCACTGGTTATTTTGCCCATTAATTGATGTAGTTTCTTCCTAGCATTAGTGGTCTTTATAATTTGGCATGTTTTTGCAGTGGCTGGTACCAGTTACTTCTTTCCATGTTTAGTGCTTCCTTCAGGAACTCTTGTAAGGCAGGCCTGGTGGTGACAAAATCTCTCAGCATTTACTTGTCCGTAAAGGATTTTATTTCTCCTTCACTTATGAAGTCTAGTTTGGCTGGATATGAAATTCTGGGTTGAAAATTCTTTTCTTTAAGAATGTTGAACATTGGCCCCCACTCTCTTCTGGCTTGTAGGGTTTCTGCTGAGAGATCCACTGTTAGTCTGATGGGCTTCCCTTTGTGGGTAACCTGACCTTTCTCTCTGGCTGCCCTTAACACTTTTTCCTTCATTTCAACCTTGGTGAATCTGACAATTATGTGTCTTGGGGTTGCCCTTCTCAAGGAGTATCTTTGTGGTGTTCTCTGTGTTTCCTGAATTTGAATGTTGGCCTGCCTTGCTATGTTGGAGAAGTTCTCCTGGATAATATACTGAAGAGTGTTTTCCAACTTGGTTCCATTCTCTGCATCACTCTCAGGTACACCAATCAAACGTAGATTTGGTCTATTCACATAGTCCCATATTTCTTGGAGGCTTTGTTCATTTCTTTTTACTCTTTTTTCTCTAACCTTGTTTTCTTGCTTTATTTCATTAATTTGATCTTCAATCACTGATACCCTTTCTTCCACTTGATCGAATCAGCTATTGAAGTTTGTGCACGCGTCACGAAGTTCTCGTGCCATGGTTTTCAGCTCCATCAGGTCATTTAAGGTCTTCTCTATGCTGTTTATTCTAGTTAGCCATTCATCTAATCTTTTTTCAAGGTTTTTAGCTTCCTTGTGGTGGATTCGAACATCCTCCTTTAGCTCAGAGTTTATTACTGACCTTCTGAAGCCTACTTCTGTTAACTCGTCAAAGTCATTCTCTGTCCAGCTTTGTTCCGTTGCTGGTGAGGAGCTGCAATCCTTTGGAGGAGAAGAGGCGCTCTGATTTTTAGAATTTTCAGCTTTTCTGCTCTGGTTTCTCCCCATCTTTGTGGTTTTATCTACCTTTGGTCTTTGGTGTTGGTGACCTACAGATGGGGTTTTGGTGTAGATGACCTTTTTGTTGATGTTTATGCTATTCCTTTCTGTTTTTTAGTTTTCCTTCTAATAGTCAGGTCCCTCAGCTGCAGGTCTGTTGGAGTTTGCTAGAGTTCTACTCCAGACCCTGTTTGCCTGGGTATCACCAGCAGAGGCTGCAGAACAGCAAATATTGCTGCCTGATCCTTCCTCTGGAAGCTTCGTCCCAGAGGGGGAGCCACCTATATGAGATGTCTGTTGTCCCCTACTGGGAGGTGCCTCCCAGTTAGGCTACACGGGAGTCAGGGACCCACTTGAGGAGGCAGTCTGTCTGTTCTCAGAGCTCAAACGCCATGCTGGGAGAACCACCGCTCTCTTCAGAGCTGTCAGACAGGGACATTTAAGTCTGCAGGAGTTGTCTGCTGCCTTTTGTTCAGCTACGCCCTGCCCACAGAGGTGGAGTCTAGAGGCAGTAGGCCTTGTTGAGCTGCTGTGGGCTCCGCCCAGTTCGAGCTTCCCAGCTGCTTTGTTTACCTACTCAAGCTTTAGCAATGGTGGCTGCCCCTCCCCTAGCCAGGCTGCTGTCTGGCAGATCGATCTCGGACTGCTGCGCTAGCAGTGAGCAAGGCTCCATGGGCATGGGAGCCACCAAGCCAGGCATGGGAGAGAATCACCTTGTCTGCCAGTTGCTAAGACCTTGGGAAAAGCACAGTATTTGGGTGGGAGTGTCCTGTTTTTCCAGGTAGTCTGTCATGGCTTCCCTTGGCTAGGAAAGGGAAATCCCCCAACCCCATGCGCTTCCCAGGTGAGTTGATGACCCGCACTGCTTTGGCTCACCCTCCATGGGCTGTGCCCACTGTCCAACCAGTCCCAATGAGATGAACCAGGTACCTCATTTGGAAATGTAGAAATCACCGTCTTCTGCGTCGATCATGCTGGGAGCTGCAGACCAGAGCTGTTCCTATTTGGCCATCTTGGAATGCTTTCTATGCCTTTGGTTTATGTCAGAATATACTTAAAACTGCTTACATTCATACATTACAGAAAAAAAAGGTGTTTTTTGTGGTCTAATGAGAAAACTGGACAAGAAGGAAACAAGAGTAAGAAAAACATGTGAAACCAAACGGGAGAAAAGAACACAAAATCTATGCTGACAATTGCAATAAGTTGGTCACAGATTTGATTTTGAGTTTCCTCGTGATCACAGCAAAAAGGAAAACACAGCAGTTATCTGACTCAGTCACTAGTTCCATAATCTGCAAAACAAGAGTGCATGAGAATCAGAACTCTTCCTGTTCCTGACATCAGAAATAAATTACTCCTATATGTCCTCAATAGGACACTAGTTACTATAGCAATCAACATCCTCAACAACTCTTGGAATTGTCTTAAAATGTCCTTTAATTGATAGTGAAGAATATAAGAACCAATGTGTAAGTCTGTGGAAGTAGTTCAATGAGAAGTTAAAATAATGCAGCTCTGGCATCACCCAAAGACTAATTCTGGCATAACAAGAAGAGTTGTACATATCCTCCATAAAGTCTACTCCCATCATTCAACCTTTAGCAAAACAAGCAACAGCAAGTCCCCTACCAAGTGGCCTGCCAGCAGCTTTACCAAGGATGCTGCCATCTGCTTTGTTGTTCAGCCTGCTGGACTCATGCAGAAGTGGGTCATGGGAGTGCTCATGGACAGGCCAACAGGACCATTCTCAAGTGGCTTTGGATTCCTTCCCCCGCAGAGGAAGAAGAAAAATCCCTGGGGTCTAAGGAACAGGTGTTGCACATGCCTAATGTCCTCCCACTAGCGACGTCTCTCAGCAGCCCAGTGATTCTCATTTGCGGAAACACTTATCTACCAAACTGCAGGCCAACAGATGACACATACTGTAGGTGCTCGATGCTCAATTGTGTTCTAGGCAGAGAGAACAGCATGTGCAAAAGCCCTGGGGTTGAAGACAATATGGTGGTATGAAGAATGCCAGTAGGGGAGGAAAGGAAGAAAATGTGTGTGTGTGTGTGCATGTGTATGTGTGTGTGCACATGTGTGTGCATGTGTAAAGGAAGAGGGGTTGGAAGGTTGGGGGAGATATGGTACAAAATGAAGCTGGAGATGTAGGCACTAGTGCACACAGAGCCTAGTGTGCCAAGGACTGAGTTTTGTACAGCCATGGAAGGATTATAAACAGGGGCTACCTGATCGGATTTGCCTTTTCAAAGATCTCGTTGTCTGCAGAGTGGGGAATGAATTGGAAGAAGGCAAAGGGAAACGAGGAGTTAGGAGACTGTGGGCGGTGGTGATGGTTCTGACCCAGCAGTGGAAAGGTGGATGGAGAGAAGTGATTTGAGAGCTAATTAGGAAATGCAAATTGGCAGAGGGTAGGGACGCAAGGTTCTCTGGGAGTTGCAGTCATTGAATGGATGAAAGAGATTGGGACCAATGAGTGGTACCAATGAGTGGTATTGATGGGTAGAGAAACTGGGGACCGGGGTTACATCTTCTGCAAAAAGCAGGAACCCTGCTGATAAAGGACAATGGTACTGTTTCCTGTGGGTATAGATTCTCCAAAGACCTGAGGATTCACAATCCAAGCCAATGAGCTCTGTGAGAAGTAAAAATGCTCCCCAGGCTGACAAGAGACGGGCTGTAGAATAAGATTCTCAGTAAATATTTGTTGAGTAAGCCAGGCGTGCTGGCTCACACCCATAGTCCCAACACTTTGGGAGGCTGAGGCCAGGAGCTCAAGACCAGCCTGGGAAACAGTGAAACTCTGTCTCTACAAGAAAACTTTTTTAAATTAGCCAGGCATAGTGGCCTGTACCTGTAATCCCAGCTACTTGAGAGGTTGAAATGGGAGGATCACTTGAGCCCAGGTGTTTGAGGCTGCAGCAAGCTATGATCACTCCACTGTACTCCAGCCTGGGCAACAGAGTGAGATTCTGCCTCTAAATAAAGAAATAAATAAAAATTTGTTGAGTGATTAAATGACTCCTGGCTGAGTCGGGAGCTGCTAGAGAGATGCAATTTTAAAACAGCAAGCCTATATGATGGCCTGACCTCCTGTAACTACTTCTGTGCTTGAAAAATATCTTAGACTTTTATTTTATGACTAAACAACAATTTCATGATTCTTCTTTGTGATTATCATAAATCTAGGTCTTTTATTTCTCCATCAGAGAAACAATCTTGACTTTTATCTACATTTTTCATGCCTAATTATTTTTCTTCATCAATATTCCAATATGCTAAATATTATGATAATATAGCTAGATAATCTTTAGTTGGTTCCTTTTCAAGCATACCAAGAGTTCATTAACAACCAGAATCCAAATGAAACCCCAGTGTTTGTCATGTACTGATCAATAGGAAGAATCGAGTGACTTGAGGGTAAAGCAGGGATAATTACCATTATTTATCAAATGAAATAATACACAAAAAGTACTTTTAAACCAAAAGCAGTATGCAATATGTGAGCTGTTATTATCATTCATTAAACAAAATTGCAAAGCATAGAGTCCCCATAAAACATTTATTTTGAGCAGCAACAAGTTCCTGGTATACCCACAAAAATAAACTAGTTGCAAATATATTACTGGTATCAGGATGGAGTAATACAGTACAAAAGACCATTAACTAAAAGTCAGAAATATAGGAAGTCATCTGCCAAAATTCTGACTATTTTTTCATAGCTGTCCAGGAACATTTAATTTTGGCTAGAATTATTAATAGGAGAGGCTAGTTGTCTATTAAGACCATTCTCAATTTACAGCAGTAAACTACATTATTCAACAACTTCATTAAACCAGTATTGAGTCCTTTATATGACAGGCTGTAAGAGAATGCTTATGGCTCTAGTCCTACTCCTTTTTTTTTTTTTTTTTTTTTTTTGAGATGATATCTCACACTGTCACCTGGGTTGGAGTGCAGTGGCGCAATCTTGGTTCACTGCAACCTCCACCTCCCAGGTTCAAGTGATTCTCCTGCCTCAGCCTCCCAAGCAGCTGGGATTACAGGTGCCCGCCACCATGCCTGGCTAATTTTTTTTGTATTTTTAGTAGAGACGGGGTTTCACTTTGTTGGCCAGGCTGGTCTCAAACTCCTGACTTCATGATCAACCTGCCTCGGCCTCCCAAAGTGCTGGGATTACAGGCATGAGCCACCATGCCCTGCCACCTACTCCTTTTTCTAGCTTTGATTTCAGGTTCAGGGGTACATGTGCAGGTTTGTTATACAGGTAAATTGCGTGTCATGGGGGTTTGGTGTACAGATTATTTCATCACTCAGGCAATAAGCATAGTACCTGACAAGCTGTTTTTCGATCCTCTCCCTCCTCCCACCCTCCACCCTCAAGTAGGCCCTGGTGTCTGTTGTTCCTTTCTCTGTGTCCATGTGTGCTCAATGTTTAGCTCTTAAGTATAAGTGAAAACATGCGGTATTTGGTTTTCTGTTCCTGCATTCGTTCACTTAGGATAATGGCCTCCAGCTCCAACCATGTTGCTGCAAAGGACATGATCTCATTCATTTTTATGGCTGTGTAGTGTTCCATGGCGTACATGTACCACATTTTCTGTATCCAGTCCACTGCTGATGGGCATTGAGGTGGATTCCATGTCTTTGCTATTGTGAATAGTGCTGTAATGAACTGCTCTATTTTTAGTTGCAGGAGAGCTTTCATCCAATTATTCCAAGGGGGAATAAAGTCATTCAGGTACAATTGTTAAAAAGCTGGAGCATACCCCTTTTGCATGGCTACTGGAAATAGTGATTTGATTTATCAAAAGACATTTTTCAGCAACTCCTGCCTTCATAATGTTACTTAAGTTACGATGTTCACTATCCTCCAGTGATGTGGATTTCCTTTCAATTCTCTAAATATTGCCAACCTCTTTCCTGCTTCAAGTCCCTGGAAGTTCCACTTCTCTCCGCTGAGAACACTCTTCTTCTGGTTCTTCTCATATCTGGCTCCTCCTTCATCTTCATGTCTCAGCTTGAATGTCTTCTTCTCAGCAGAGCCACCAGGAACAGGTGTGCGGGTTGCGCCTTGCCCAAGGGCTCCTGGGTCAGGGAATATCAGTGTCCCAGAACTACTATAACAGAAAATCACAAACCGTGTGCCTTAAAACAACAGATATTTATTCTCTCACGGTTCTAGAGAAGTCTGAAATCAAGGTGTTGACAGGATTGGTTCTTTGTAGAGGCCCTAGGAAGGATAAATTCCATGCCTCTCTTCTATCACCTGATAGTTGCTGGCAATCCTTGGCTTGTGGCTGTATAACTCCAATCTCTGCCTCTGTCCTCACATGGTCTCCTTCCTGTGTCTTTTTGCAAGGACATCAGTCATTGCGTTTAGGGCTCACTTAATCCATCGTGACCTCACCCTAACTCATCGCATCTGCAAAGACCCTATTTCTGTTAATAAAATCACACTCTGGGGTTCTGCATGGATATAAGTTTTGGGAGGATGCTACTCAACCCGGTACAGGGAGACAAATTGGGGGTGGAATTTCACCTGCACTGTGCTCCTCCAGACATGCCCCAGTGTGGGGTGATGCTGTCCAGGGAAGTATGTTTTTCTAACTGATGCCATATGGACCAGGCAGCCCTGCCTGACTCTGCTTCACATAATTTTGGAACTATCTGGATGATTTGTTTTCCCATTTCCTATCTGGCAATCAGTCCATAAAGGCGGACGCTGTGTCTGTCTTACATACCCAGAGCCTAGCCCAGCCCCTAGCATGTGGTGGGCGATCCATGACTATACATCAAATGAATGGCAGTTCAGTTTCTATCCAAGAGTCAGCAACCAAGGTCCAGCCTTGACCTCTTACAGCTTATCCCATAACAAATCCCTGTCCACAAAAGCCAAAAAGAAAGGTAGCTCTGATCAGGTAGGGAGAGGGAGGGAGCCTCGTTTAGAGGAAAACTACACACACTGAACAGGTTTGAAGTTGTCATTCATCTAATGGAAGGAGAAAGACAAAATATGCAAGACGGAACTTCCAAAAGCCATTGCATGCATCAGATCCTCTGTAGAATCTGAAAGCCCCTGAGTCTACCTGGCCCTCCTCAAGTACCAAACTTTTTGACAACACCCATGAATTCAGTCAGTTGCCAGACCAAAATTAAAACAAGAAGAAAATTCACTCCAAGCAAAAAAAGGGCTAGAGTGAGGTGCCCCCCAGGATAAAGCCTTATGGGAGTCATCCTTTTCCCAGGTTCACACACACAAGCGAGGAGGAATTGCCCTCTCGGGTGACACTCGCATGGCTAAGAGAACCGGCCACAGGGAAGCAATGTCATTAGGCAGGAATCAGGGCTGGATCCCATCAGACAAGCCCTGTTCAGCATTCAGAACTCCAGAGATGACTGGCCTGTCCTGAGAAATCTGAAATCAACCAGGGTTACTTCCGAGTAGATGATATTTTTCTTGGTTGGGAGAATGTAAATGTTGAGACAAATCATATTCATCTTCCTGGGAAACAGAGTTGGGTCCAGAAGGCAGACCCTCTGGCCACCCCAAAGATGGAGATGTGAGAGAAGTTATCCAGCCTAAGCCCACCCAGCAGAGGTTAGGGAGGCCCAAATGCAATGGCTCCAGAGACCTGAGCCCTGGATTGTCAAGGAGGCAATGCCACATACAAGACCTGCCCAAGGTATTGTGGAGGCTGCTGTTCCAGCCAATCAGACATCCACACACAGCAAATTGCAGGTTAACCCACGGCCAGTCTCCCAGCATGGAGGTTCTCTGGAAAACTCAGAGTTTGCTGCTAAAATTCAGGGGCAGAAGGAAGCAAGTCTCCTGTCCCCTCATTCATGATAAGGACTTGCTCTTTCCTGTCTTCCCCACAGCCAGACTTTTTCTGCTATTAAAAACACCACTAAAAATAATGGACTACAGACATAAAGGGGCAGAGGAAAGAAACACCCTATATTTTAAACAACAAAGGGAGGGTAGGTGATTATGAAGTGATTAAAACTAAGAGCAAACTAAAAGAGATGAATAACCTAGAAGTTAAAAATGAGTTAGAATTCCAATAAATAGAAGACATTAACTGTTTTTCCTCTAACTAGTGAGATAAAAGAAAAGGAATTTAAAATAACAAAGATTGCCAGTCAATGAAGCCAAAATTTAAAAGATGAAAGGCAAAAGAGATGAAAGGTTAAGATACATGGTTTAAACCCAAGAGATGATCAGTATAAGACGCCAAAGTAAGTGATGGGTTTAAGGATTAAGAAATAAAGAACAGAAAATATAATTTTTTAATGAGATAAATATTTTTAATCAAGGTTTACATTTTGGAATACTTTCAGATTTACAGAAAAGTTGCAGAGATAGTACAAAAGAGTTCTCATATACCCTTCACCCAGTTTTCTGTAATGTAACCTCTTACATAACCACAATACATCTGTCAAAACAAAGAAACCACATTGGTATGTTACTTTTTTTTTTTTTTTGAGACAGAGTCTTGCTCTGTCACCCAGCCTAGAGTGCAGTGGCGCGATCTCAGCTCACCGCAACCTCCACCTCCCAGGTTCAAGCGATTCTCCCACCTCGGCCTCCTGAGTAGCTAGGATTACAGGCACACACCACCATGCCTGGCTAATTTTTGTATTTTTAGTAGAGATAGGGTTTCTCCATGTTGGCCAGGCTGGTCTTGAACTCCTGACCTCAGGTAATTCACCTGCCTTGGCCTCCCAAAGTCCTAGGATGACAGGCGTGAGCCAGGGCACCTGGCCAGTATGTTACTACTTTTAAATGCTAGACTTTATTTGGATTTTACTCATCTTCCACTAATGTCTTTTTCTATTGTAAGATCCATTCTACAATACCACATTTCATTGAAGAGAGAAATATTCCACTGCTGGGTATATAAGCAAAACAACAAAAAAAGGAAATATCCGTATATCAATGAAATATCTGCACTCCCGTGTTTGTTGGAAAAATAGTTAAAAAATAAAAAAATTAAAATAAATCTTATGTACTCCAAATATATATATATATATATGGATATATGTATATGGAGATATATATATATGTAAGGATATATATAATAAGAAAACATTTAAGATCATCCAGGTAGATATGAAAGAGGAAAACTGAAATAACAAACCAGTCACACCCAAGAGAACAGAATAGGGAGTACAGAAACAGTCCTGAGTTAAGGTACACACCTGATCAATGACAGGTTGACATGACAGATGAGTAGAGGAAGGAAGGTTATTCAATAAACGCCACTAGGCAACTGGTTATTCATCTGGAAAAAAAATAGGTCCCTAACTTATACCATATTCTGAAATCAATTCCAGGTTGATTAAGAGCTTAAATGTGAAAGGCAAAACTTCACAGATTTTAGAAGAATATATAGAACAATACGTTTATGACCTCAGGGAAGAAGAATTTGTTAAATAACATTTTTTAAAAGTCAACACCATAAAGGAAAGAAATGATACATTTGACTGCATTAACGTTAAGAACCCCTATACATCAAAAGAGCCAATAAAGGAAATAAGAAGGCACACTACAAACCAGCAGACATTTGCCACATATATACCAAAGCATTAGAATTCAGAATACTTTTTTAGTTTCTAAAAGTCAATAAAAAAAAAGAGAGGTAATTTAATAGGAAAAAATGGCAAATGACAGAGACATTTCACAGGTAATGAAACCTAAGAAGACTATAAACTTGGGAAAAGACCTTCAACCTCATCAGCAATTAGGGAAATGCAAACTGAAATTAAACTGAGGCACCATCTCCTCACCTTCTTGGCACAAAATTTAAGCAGCCTGGCCAAATGAAAGTTAGCAAGGATATGGAGCAACCTAAACAAAGCTGGTGAGCATATAAATTGATGCAACAATTTTGTCAGCCAATTATACATCATTTGTTCCAGTAGTTCTCAACTGGGGGTGATTTTGACACTCATCCCCACCTCGGGGCACATTTGACAATGTCTGGAGACATTTTGGTTTCATAAGTATGTGTGTAGATGGTAGGGGAAGAGTGCTACCAGCCTGTAATGGTAGGTGCCAAGAATGCTGCTACACATCCTGCAAGGCTCAGGGTAGCCCCTACCACAAAGAATTATCCATCTCAGTTGTCAATAGCACTGAGGTTGAGAAACTGATCACATCCAGTTGCAGATGTGCAGACTCTCAGACTGAGCAGATCTATTTCCAGGAGTATTTCCTAGATTGATATTTCCAACACTTTTCCTGATAAAAATTAAGAAGGGCACTTGAATCAATGACTAAATGTCAGTCAGGTCCCTGGGAAGGCTGATTCAAGAGGCTAGAAATGGGACCCAGCAGTCAGTTTTGGGTTTTTTTTTTTTTTTTTTTTTTTTGAGACAGAGTCTCGCTCTGTTGCCCAGGCTGGAGTGCAATGACACGATCTCAGCTCACTGCAACCTCCACCTCCCAGGTTCAAGCAATTCTCCTGCCTCAGTCTTATTTTTACATAAATGCCTAAGTAACTGGTAACACCAGAGAAGTTTGCAAAACTGTCCTAAATGCTCAAGTGTGCAAGAAGAATGTCCAAGAATGCCTCAAGGTAAAAAATAAATACATACATACATAAACAGAAAAAACAGGAAAGAATCCAAATGTCTTTCAACAGAGGAATGCTTACATTAATGGTGGCCTATTCATAGAATGAAGTGTTACTATATTTCCTCCACTCTAACACGACATTGACTGAAGTACATCACTAATTTACAAACCACTAAGATAAAAAGAGGCTGCCAATGAATCTAGGACACACCGCTTTCTCATACTTAACATTTTTGCCTAAGTGTTATTTTAAAATCTTTTTATTTAGATATATTTTGTTATATATTATGCTGCTCTCTTCCCACGTCTTCCTGCATAGACAATATTATAGGTGATTTTTTGTTTTAATGCCAAATTACAGTGTAATAGTTTTGAAGTCCTTTTAAATTCCGGTTAAACTCATGTAAGATCAACAATGAACAACACGACTGAAGTAATAACATGAAGAGCCACGTCCATGGGCCCTGGATGAGCAGGCAATGACAGCTACACCCTCACCATGCTGGGCAGACAGCCACTGTGGGGTGCCACACAGTGCAATTCACAGCCCTATTTCAGAGATACTGAACTGTTCACATAGCCCTGAACGAATCTCAAAAACAATATTCAGGGAAAAAAAAAAAAGCTGCAGAATATGTGAAATACGATCTCATTTCTATGAAGTTCAAAACTATGCAAAATTAAAAGATATACTATTTAGGGACATGTACATGTGAGGTTTCCCACAGGGGAAAGTGAGACCTGGTCAAACAAACTCAGGATGATGCTATCTCTGTGAGGAAAGGAAGGGGAAGGTAATCAGGAAATGCACATCGGGGCTTCCAGGAGCTTGTGATATTCGATTTCTCAAGTTCAAATTCAGGACTGAGCACTCAGGTGTTCATTTTATCAGGGCTGGAACTACCATGAGGCAAGTGAGGAAAAACCTCCAGCACAAAATTTAAGGGGATATCCAAAAAATTCAGGTATCAGGATAAAAATATTTTAATGCAATAATTTTTTAAAAATCAAAATGAATGCCCCCCAAAACTCCATGACCAACAAAGTACGATCGATAAAGACTTTTACATAAAGACGGGATTTAGCCCTGCACCTACCTGACACTGCTTCACAGGCCACACCCTAATCCCGGCCCTCATTCAAATAAAACTTTATTTTACAAAAAAGGCAGCTGGTTCACGTACATTGCCCACTTAGTTTTTGAAAATATTGTATTAAAATATTTTCATCTTGATATCTGAGCTTTGGGGCACCTCTTAAATTTTGCATCCAAGGCAAGCCTTTATTCCCAGCCCCACCCTAGTCCTGGCCCTGCATTTTATTTTTAAAGTATACATATTAATAGATTATAAACATATACATATAAGCACATACACACATATGTGTGTATGTAGACACACTAGTTTATTATTATTATCATCATTATTATTATTATTATTACTAGAGACAGAGTCTTGCTGTGTTGCCCAGGCTGGAGTGCAGTGGTGCGATCTCAGCTCACTGCAAACTCCGTCTCCCAGGTTCAAGCAATTCTCGTGCCTCAGCCTCCTGAGAAGCTGGGATTACAGGTGTGCACCACCATGCCCGGCTAATTTTTGTATTTTTAGTAGAGATGGGGTTTCACTATGTTGGCAAAGTTGGTCTCAAACTCCTGACTTCAAGGACTCCACCTACCTCAGCCTCCCAAAGTGCTGGGATTACAGGCATGAGCCACCGCACCCAGCGTATTATTATTATTATTATTATTATTATTATATTATTTTAATATTTTACTGAAAGGGAAAGCCAGCGAGAAAACTCAAAACAATACTTGAGGTGGGAGATGTCTCCTGTTGCACCCTCCCTCATGGTGGGAGAAATGTCCTCTTCAGATGTATCCGTCAATACCAGGAAGATCAAGGGGCATTTCCCACCACAAACTCCAAACAGATGGATCAGGAGCTTCACCGCAGCTTCTGCCAGCCTGGGCTGCTAGGAACCTTCTCCACCACCTCCCCGACAGTAGAATAGCACTCTTCAACTTAGAAGCCACTCTGTCATGCATTCCAGAGCTTAAGCTTTGTCACAAAGCTGCAGGGGAAGTGGAAAAATCCTCATTTTCCTGATGGGGAAACTGAGTCTCAGGGAGGTTGACTAACCCAGCCAACATTGCACAGCAAGGGGTGGCAGAGCCCGGCTCCTTGGTGGTATCGAATCCATTCAATATGCATTCCATCATGGCCAACTGACGGGTGGCCTTTCTGAATCAAGACACGCTTCACTTAGTTTACTATTACATCAGAAACTGGGGTGACAAGAGGAAGCAGATGGGGGGTTCCAATGAAGCTCTTTTTTTTTCTTTTTTTTGAGATGGAGCCCTATTCAGCCTTGAAGGCTCGCTCTGTCACTCAGGCTGGAGTGCAGTGGCGCGATCTCAGCTCACTGCAACCTTCACCTCCCAAGTTCAAGTGACTCTCCCACCTCAGCCTCCCCAGTAGCTGGGATTACAGGCATGTGCCACCACGCCCGGCTAAATTTTGTATTTTCAGTAGAGATGGGGTTTCACCATGTAGACCAGGCTGGTCTCAAACTTCTGACCTCAGGTGATCCACTCGCCTTGGCCTCCCAAAAGTGCTGGGATTACAGGTGTGAGCCACCGTGCCCAGCCTTGATGAAGCTCTTTTAACTGGGAAAATAGTTTCATCCAAAGAGCGTGTTCCCACAGTGTGGCAGGCAGTACAGACTCATGCACTTGAGGTTGGGCAGCAGCAGCAGCAACAGTCATGTCTAACTGGCTCCCACCCCTTCCTCCTCCCTGGGCCCCCGTGGACAGCACGTCCAGATACCCCTCCATGGCAAACAGCCGCCCAGAGCAATGGGCCATTTTGGGAAAGAGTATGTAACTCTTTATGGTCACTGGGGGGCCATCTGTGAGGTTATCACTCGAACACATTGACTGATGAGCAATTTCACAGCTGAGAAGAGCTCATGTCACTTCCCCCCAAAAGCACCCAGTTTACTCCCAGACTGATTATACAGTCACTGGGAAACGGACTCATTAGCACGCCACTTGCTGAGTCAAGGCTGAAGACATGCCCCTGATAGACACTGTGTTAGTCTCCTAGGCTGCTGTAACAAAGTACCACAAACTGGATGGCTTAAAACAATGGAAACGCATTCTCTCACAGTTTTGAAAGCTGTAAGGTTTTTTTGTTTTATTTTGTTTTGTTTTGAGATGGAATCTCACTCCGTTGCCCAGGCTGGAGTGCAGTGGTGCAATCTTGGCTCACTGCGACCTCTGCCTTCAGGTTCAAGCCATTCTCCTGCCTCAGTCTCCCAAGTAGCTGGGATTACAGGCGTGTGCCACCACGCCCAGCTAATTTTTGTATTTTTAGTAGAGACAGGGTTTCACTATGTTGGTCAGGCCGGTCTCGAATTCCTGACCTCAGAGCCGACCCACCTGCCTCTGCCTCCCAAGGTTAGAAGTTTTTATTTTTCAAGGTGTCATCAGGGCCACACCCCCTCTAAGACCACTAGTAGAATCTTTCCCTGCCTCTTCCTAGTTTCTGGTAGCTGTCCTTGGCATTCCTTGACTGGCAGCTGTGTCATCCCAATCTCTGCCTTTGTTGTCACATGACCTTTCTCCCTGTGCATCTCTGTGTCTGAATTTCCTTCTTTTTATAAGGACATCAGTCACATTGAATTAAAGGCCCGCCCTACTCCAGTATGACCTCACCTTAGCTTGCCTAATTATACCTGCAAGGACCCCGTTTCCAAATAAGGTCACATTCCAAGGTATTGGGGGTTAGGACTTCAACATATCTTTTTTAATGGGGGGCACAATTTAACCCATAGCAGACTTACCTGTCAGGTAGCAGAAGTTGCCCTTGAAGAGAAGAATAGAAACAGCACGGTTTAGTAGCACCTGAGGCGAAGGCTTGTGAGCTTCCCTCAGGTCCGAGATGAAAGCCTGGATACTAAACTAAAATCTGGATCTGACTCCCACCCACCTCTCCAGTCCCACCTCTAACATTCTCTCTCCCCTGCTTCATCCACAGAATCTTCCGTGTTCCTGAAACCTGCCAAGCTCTTTCAGCAGAGGCTATTCCTTCTGCCTTAAATGCACTTCCATCCCATCCCCGTTCATCATCTGGCTGGCCCTACTCAGCCTTGCAGCCTTGCAGTTTAACGACACTCACTCGTGGAAGCCTCCCCTGATCCCCGGCTAGATTAGGCATCCCTGTCCCCTCACCATTGCTGCTCCCCTGTTGTAGATTTCTGTAGCATTCTGAACTTCCACTTTGCAGCTCTTAACATTGTCATAATCGGCCCTTTTATATCTGTGTTCCCAGCAGCCTGGGTGTTCTATGAGAATGGAGATCTTGGACATCAATTCATCCGTTTCCTCGTTGCCCATCACAGCGGGTGAGCACTCAAAAAATGTTTCTGATTGGATGAACAGAAGGAGGAATGACTCTTGAAGATACAGAGTTGGAAGTTGTCCTAGGGGAAAAGCCATAGTTTCTATATATTTTCAAGGCTTCCTTCAAGGATCCAGAGCCAACTTTGCAGCATCAGAAAAAGCAGAAAAGAGCTCTGGACCTCAAGGTAAACGTACCTGTCCCTGAATCTTTCCTCCCTCTTGGTTGACCCTGAGAAAGCTGCTTAACTTAGCTGGACCATGTTGTCCTCATTTACAAAAGGAGAAGACTCAGACTCCACCTTCCCCAAAGGTTGTTACAAAGAAGACCATGCCCCTTGATACCTTACCAGGCTCTAAGCCATACTGGAGTTCGGGTGGACCTTTTTCATTAATCAATGATATGCTGATCTTGTGATGACTGAACTCAAATAGGAATTAGAAGTTTGGGGAAAATACTTTCCTTTCTAGAGCCTTGATTTTCCCATTTATAACATTCAAAGAAATTTCTAGGAGAGTAGTTTCCAAGTTGAGTTTTAAGGAGGAGGTGTCTCAGGGGCCACTGTTGTTAGGGAATGGAAGGAAGGGGAGACCCAGGGGATGGGAAACCAGGCCCCCAGGCTCCATGTAACCCACAATGATTCCACTTTTATCTGCTCATTCATCTACTGAGGTTTTAGACAGGATTCTTTTAGAAGAGAGGTTTTATTGCTAAATAAGAAGAAAGTTTTAAAATGCCAATCTAGAGAAATGGTTTCTGACTTGGATTTTATGCACCCATGAAATTAATAAATAGGGGACTACCTAGAGTTAGCAACTTTTCTTTCCTAGTAAGGACACTAAATAGAAACCATCAGCCGGGCACGGTGACTCACACCTGTGGTCCCAGCATTTTAGGAGGCCAAGGTGGGCAGATCACTTGAGGCCGGAAGCGCAAGACCAGCCTGGCCAACATGGTGAAACCCCATCTCTCCTAGAAATATTAATACAAAAATTAGCCGGGCATGGTGGCGGGTGCCTGTAGTCCTAGCTACTCGGGAGGGTGAGACAGGAGAATCGCTTGAATCTGGGAAGCGGAGGCTGCAGTGAGCCAAGATTGTGCCACTGCACTCTAGCCTGGGCAACAGAGCAAGACTCTATCTCAAAAACAAAACAAAACAACAACAACAACAAAATAGCCATTTATCATTATCATCATTTCATTTTTAAAAGACATTTAACACCAAAAAAGGATGCAGGATATGATCTTAAACTAAAAGTTTGTTTATTAAGTGCACGAACATACTTTATGGAAACACTCACTACATTGCCATTATTTTCTCAGGTGGTTGGCAGTTGGTGAAAATCATCACCAGGTCCTAACCCTGGTCTGCAGACTGGTCTCTGTATCCTAATTCCATGAGTGCTTGTTAAATAGCCCCCCGATTCTGGGCCCAGCCTCAGAGACAGGGATCAGCAGGTATAAGATGGGAAAGAGATTCAAATGCAGTGGATCCACAGAACCAGCATTTAGGAACCGCCAGAGCCTCCTCTCACTCTAAATCTTAGGTATGGGCTTGACAATTTTATTCTTAACACTACCGCACGATGCCTGACTTTGCAGATCTCCCATAAGCATCTGTTGAATGAATGAATGAATGATCCTTGGATGGGGTGTGGCAGATGTTTTAGGCCCTCTGGACAGCTGTTGAAGCCTCCTCTTTGGCCTTGTCCCCACAGGCTGATCTGTCTGTCGTCCATCCCAGGAAGCACAGTTGTGTATGTAGTTCTTGCCTGCCTGGCCACTCACTGTCTCCACCTCTGCAAATGTGGATTCAAGGGGCTGAGCAGCTGCCTTGGTGCCAGTTTGGCTGAAGATATAGCAAGCAGACCAGATAATCTGACAGTAATCAGTGTGTTAGTAAGCAGGAACAGCACTGGTGAATTATGGCCCTAGCGAGGCCTCTGCACCTGTAAATTACATGGATCATATCACAGTCTAAAACCTGTTTTTATTTCTAGGGCTTGGATACGGTTTGAGATGAGAAGAAAAAGTTCGCAGCATCTACATGGAAGTCATAGGTATTCAGAAAATCCTACTAGAGTTTAGCTCCACCTGTCTAGGACAGCTGCTGAATATGCAGGCTACTAAAGCAGGATCAGTGGTTCTTGATCTTGTCTGCATGTTGCAATCACCCAGGGAACTTTAAAAAGTACTAACCCCTGGACCCTATCCTCCAGGGGCTCTGATGTCATTGGACCAGAGTGCAGCCTAGGGATCAGAATTTTAAAATGCATCCCAGGTGATTTGAATGTGAAAGCAAGGTTGGAAACCACTAGGCAAGAAGCGCTTTCTTCTTGTTTCATGGTCAGCAGAAAGCCCATGGTGAAAGTGGGGAAAAGAGGGATTCCTGACACTCTCTGAAAGTACAATCTTGAATAATCAGAAAGAGAAATACTCATCAAACAGGTTCATGCTCCTCTTTCGAATTAATAATCATTCATATTCCCCCCTGGCCACTCCATGGGGGGACAAACAAACGAGAGCATGAATCACAGGTGCCCAACCCACAGACCAGTTGGTATCTATAGGCAGCAGTTGCTCTCGCGTGCTCAGCATCCCTATTCTGGTAATTACGTCACCCTGGTCTTTGGAAATCCACTCCGCTTGATTGCAACCCAGTTGATTCAGTGGAGTTGATTCACTCCATGGCTTCAAGAGTGGACCAATAACTTGGGCCACAGTTGGTTAGAGTGATCAGTTCAGGATAAACATGTATGTGTTTCCATCCATCTAATCAGAGCTAATACTGAGACTCTTTTTCTGATACACTTAGAACTGTGAAGATGGAAGTTTGGAGCAGTCAAAGGCTACTATGAAGAGGAAGCTTAACTGGGAATAAAACTCACAAGGAGAAAAACAAGGCTGTGAGATGAAGAAAGAGAAAGAATGTGTGCTGATGACACTGAGCTCCTGGATCCAGCCATTCCTGATGCCTTTATTCTAGAACTGGATTTTTTTTTAGTACATGAACCATCATGTTCACTTGTATTTGCTGAAACCAGTATGTGGTGGTTCTCTGTTACTTATATCAGAAAAAGTTCTACAAATGCAATCTTGGAGGCCTCCATGCCAGGTGTCCCTCTTTTGATAACAATCCCCACTCCTCTGCCCAAGTTCTATGGGATTTCCCAAAGGGAAAGAAGTTAGCTAAGTAAGAAATCATCTCCTCACTATAGACCCCTGAATCCCAACTTCAACCACATACCTGCTAGCAGAATTGAGTTTACACCCATGTAGAGGTCATATTGTTCCTTGGGCAAACCTCAATTTCACAATCTGCCTCCCCACCCAATGTTCCTGGAAGCAAAATCTCTAACTGTTTGGAAGGGGCTGTGATGGAACAGTGTGGCCAATCTTAGATCAACGCCTTAGTTTCTCATGAGGGCTAAGCATGAAATGTTCTCATCAAATACAGTGGGTGGAGAAGCCTCATCAAAAACCACTCTGCTTGAACTCTTCTTACAATTCCGAATACAGCACTGAAAAACAATTATGTCTTCTGGAATGTGCATGTGTATGTGCGTGTGTGTGTGTGTGTGTGTGTGTGTGTGTGTGTGTGTGTGTGTGTACAGCTGTCCTTCAGTATCCATAGGGGGTTGGTTCCAGGACACCCCACATATACCAAAATCCAATATGTTCAAGTCCCTGATATAAAATGGCATAGTCTTCATATATTAATAACTTACACAAAGCCTCCTGTATACTTTAAATCACCTCTACATTACTTATGATACCTAATACAATGTAAATGTTATGTACATAGTTGTTATACTCTATTGTTTAAGAAATAATGACAAGAAAAAAGTCAGTACATGTTCAGTACAGACATAATTATCCATGATTTTTCAAATATTTTAGATCTGAAGTAGGTTAAATCCATGGATGTAAAATCCATGAATACAGAGGGCCAGGGCTATTGTCTTGCAAAGCTGAAAATACTTGTTATTTGGCCCTCTGCAGAAGCAGCAGCTGAACCTATCCAGCCATTTCCAGCCCATAACATGCAGTATCAGCTCACTGGGTCCTCGTGGCAGCTCTGCGAGGCCGGGAACACTTACATCAATTAGTCCCATTTTATAGATGGACAAACAGACAGGTGAGGCGGCAGCCCAAGGTGACCCTACCGGGGCTCGCAGCCTCCCAGAAAGAGCTACTGCAGGACAAGGTGCTGTTTCCTAGGGTTTCCAGAGAAAGCTGCAGCCAAAGCCTGGAGGGTTTGGGGAATAGAAAGTAAATACTCCAGCTGGAAGCAGGCCAAGGCAGGCCAATTAACCCCGGGGATCCAGGACCCCAGGCTTGTCATGATGGAGTCAGCATCGAGTTTCTTCTGAAGGGGCGCACCAGCACCCGCCCTACAGAGCTCCTCCTCTGCCATCTGCCCCCTCCTTCTCACTCCTCAGTATTTAGCATCAAAGCCCCGGCATTGCTCCCAAAGAGACAGATGCTCTGACTTCTGAAGGGGCTTAGTCTTCCCTCCCTCCCGCAGTCCCCCAGCCACCACCTCCAAGTCCTCTCTGTCAGCAGCAAGGGTTTTTAAGGAATGCAGCGCAGAAGGGCTGCCAGTGTTCATGAGGCTGTGAAGGGTGGATGATTACAGCCAGCGGGGAGAGGAGAGGGAGAAAGAGCCAGGGAGAGGCAGAGACAGAGACAGAGATGAGAGACATGGTGACCAGGAGAAAGAAAGACGGAGAGGGTGAAAGCCACACAGAGAAAAAAGAGAGGAAGACAGGGCTCAAGGAAGAAAGTAACAGAAAAAGAGACTGGATGATCCAGACAGACAGACCTGAAGACAGATGTGACGGAGGAAGAGAGTAAAGAGAGTAAACAGAGGAGGGTTTTACTCTCCCTGTTAAGGTAGGAGAGAGTGAAGGGCGAAGAAGCTAAGTGCCCACCTCCGCCTGCCTGGTCATGCCCTGACTTTTAGCAAAGGAAAGAATGGCTTTAACAGAGACCTTCAACAGAGCAGCATGGGACACAGTAGAACACTTTTCACTTTTATCCCCGGCCAAGAAGAATTTGGCCTGAGATGAAAAGCAGGGTCTCAGATCCTGCCCACAGACTGATGGGGCCAAGCCTCAGAGTGCAGGTGTGTGCCAGGAGCCAGCACGGGCCCAGGGTGCCATGGGTGGGAGGCTGTGGCACGTCCACGCAAGGCCTTGGAAGCAGCCTGTTATTTGGAGAAGGAAGAGTCCCTCCATTCAAATGAGTGACAAAGAGGTAAATCCCCAAGGTGAAAATCCAAGTTATCAAAGCTACATCCTAGGGGCATAATCATAGCTGGGAGAACAGGCTTTTGTGGCATGTTAGTGATGCTGGAGATCAGGGGAGGGGCCAGGAGCACAGTCCTAAGGATGAGAAGGAAGTCTGACCCATCCGTTTTTGTTCTAATTTTTAGTGACAGAGTCTCACTCTGTCGCCCAGGCTGGAGTGCAGTGGCGTGATCATAGCTCACTGCAACTTCAATCCTGCTGCCTCAGCCTCCTGAGTAGCGGGGACAACAGGTGCACACCACCACGTCTGGCTTTTTTACCTTTATTTTTTTGTAGATATGGGGGTCTCAGCACATTGCCCAGGCTGTTCTCAAATACCTGGGCTCAAGCAATCCTCCTGCTTTGGCCTCCCGAAGTGCTGAGATTACAGATGTAAACCACCACACCCAGCCTAACCCTGTCTTTTTAAAGACAAAAGTTCCAGTTACAAGAATCAGCAAGGGACATACCATTTATGGCAGGTCCAATGGTCACAAACTGGTGGCCCCATATATATATTGCTTAACCTGTGATGGTTTTTATAAAAAACATTTTACTCCATTGCCAATATTTTAAAAATTTTGAGATTACCTACAAAAATCTAGATGTCTGG
Organism: Homo sapiens; assembly: GCF_000001405.40. Lineage (NCBI taxonomy): Eukaryota > Metazoa > Chordata > Mammalia > Primates > Hominidae > Homo > Homo sapiens. The sequence goes on from NC_000012.12 coordinate 117,648,209, forward strand.
CTTCTCTCAGAAAATTTGGATAATGTGATGACAATTTTTCCCTTTCCCATAGAGCAATGACTGACTTGGACTGGACGTTGACTGCCTTCTTTAGAAGTGGAGGAGGAGGTGATCTCCTGTTTGCCACAATCTTCACCACCCCCACCATTGTCCGACACCAACTGCATCCTTCATCTCTGATGACCCCTAACGTCCTCAATCTGGATTCACTGAGTAACCATTGTGCCCCTAGCATAAGGCATTGGGGCTTCATTTATGCATTCAAAACATACTTGTTCAGAGCCTATAATGTAGCAGGCTATGGATATGAGGATATGGCAGTCAACAGAAAAGATAAGATATTGCCTTTACAGAGCACAGTCTTGTGGATGGGACAGACCATAATCCTTAACATTTCATTTCCTACAGTCTTCACCATAACCTTGCCAGGAAGGTATTGCTATCACTGTATACATCAGGAAACTGAGGCTTGAATATTTTCTTATGCTTAGTGAGGTAGGTGCTTGTGTTTAGGGGTGTTACTGAAAATATTTAACCACCCTTATGGGCTGGCATGGGCCAAATAGAAACATATCCAACCAATCACGCCAAGCCAATGAGGAAATATGCTCAGCCAAACAGAAAATATGCCCAGCCAATCAGAAAATAGGCCTGGCCAATCAAAATATACACTCAACCAATCAGAACACACACCCAAAAACATGCCCAACCAATCAGATTGAACAGTGCTACAGATGCGCAACAGCTGAATGTCTACGCTGCCTGTCTGTTTGCTGTCTTACTAGGCAGGGATAATGATACTTTGTCCATCTGAACAATTTCTGGTTTCCAAATGGTGATCACACACCTCCCAACAATCAACAGTTTTGTGAGGTATGCAGATGGCATCAATATGCACATTTGCCAGATGAAGAAACCAAGGCTCTGAAATGTTGAGTGATCTAACAAGAGCCAGACAGCCAGGGGTAACAGCCCTGGAAGGAAAACCAAGATTTCCCAACTCCTGGACCAGAGTTTTGCCTGCATCCTAGAGGGCTTCTAACCAACTCGACTGCAAGTTCACTGAGGTCAGGGACTGTAACGTACATTTATTTGACTCCTCCCTGATACTCAGTATCTTATTTTACATTTCAGATGTTCAATCAATACTGATTGCTGCATTCAGGTATGCTGTAGGGTGGGGCGATATCCAGCAGAAACCAATGAGGATTAAAGCTGACCTAAATCCAAACACCATACAACAGTATCAACAATCACAACACTTAGGTACTGCTTCCTTTGCAGCAGGCATAGTGCTTAGGATCCTTTCATTTCATCCCAATAATCAATCCATGAGAAAGGGATATGATGCCCAGTTTTAAAGATGGAGAACCTGAGGCTTGGAGCTGGTAAGTAATACAGGGCAGAGATAAGATCTGAACCCAGGCTTGTCCAACTCTCAGTTGCCTGCCTGGCCAAAGCCAGGATGCCATGGCTTTGCCCTGGGAGTGGGGCTGAGTCTCTACTTGGTACCATGATTAACTCTCCCTAGAAGGCTATGTGCTTCCTAGAGGAGTGTCAGGGGATGGGAGAAAAAAGAAACTCCTTTCCAGGGATCACTGGGGAATACAGCCCAACAGAAACAGAGAACTGAAATGGTTTTCTGTACAATGGTAGAGACACAGCCTGCTAATTCAGGTCATGAACTGATCTGGCCTGGGGTTGGAGGAGTGCTCCTCAAAGTCTTTGAAGACAGGGACCCCACATTATTCATGCTTGCTCTAGTGAACACTGATTGTCAGCCTCCCCAGCATTCATTCTCTCTTTTAAGCAAATGTCATGGTTAATACTGAGTGACAACTTGATTGGATTGAGGGATACACATTATTAATCCTGGATGTGTCTGTGTGGGTGTTGCCAAAAGAGTCAGTGGGCTGGGGAAAGCAGATCCACCCTTAAACTGGTGGGCACAATCTAATCAGCTTCCAGGGAATATAAAGCAGGCAGAAAAATGTGAAAAGGAGAGATGGGCCTAGCCTCCCAGCCTACATCTTTCTCCCGTGCTGGATGCTTCCTGCCCTCAAACATACAACCATACAACTCCAAGTTCTTCAGTTTTGGGACTAAGACTGGCTCTCCTTGCTCCTCAGCTTGCAGACAGCCTATTGTGGGACCTTGTGATCGTGTAAGTTAATATTTAATAAACTCATATATATCTCCTATTAGTTCTGTCCCTCTAAGAGAACCCTGACTAATATAGATTTTGGTACCAGGAGTGGTTTTAGAGGAATAGAATATTAAGGATGGAGTTCTTTCATTGATTTGGGGGTTTCTGGAGTTGGCTGCTTAATATGATTAGACCCAAAAATGCTAAGGACTCTACTTCTAATAGTATAGAGAACACTGATAGTCCTTGGCATGAACTGTTTAGAGAATTATGCAAAATAAATGCATTTGAGACTCCTGATTCACTGCTTATGAAAGGCAAGGAGTTTAGTGACGCTATACATAATACCTTTGACCATATTTGGAGACCCAAGGAACACAATGAAGCTGGTTGGCTGCTCCTAAGTTCAGTAGACAAAGTGATGAAATAAAATTATGAAAGAAATTATGAACTCAGGGATTCTGTCTCCCAGCTTCAGAAACAGATACTGAACCTCAAATCTACTAAGATTGCCCTGAGTGAGTCTTATCTCCTGTAGAGAAAGAGCTGAAATTGTGGAAAAACAGACATAAGCTCTTACCATGTGAGTGGCTGGCTAACCTGCAATGAAAGGTGCATGCACAGCCTCACCAGGTGTTTACTGTTAAAGTGAGGGCATTGATTAGAAAAAAATGAGACCCTGAAATTTGGAATGGGGATTTGTGGGAGGACCCTGATGAAGCTGGGGACATTGAGTTTGTAAACTCTGATGGACCCTTTTTGCCAGAAGGAACAACTTCCCCATCCCCAGAAATGGCAACATCCCCTCCCCAACCCATGCTGCCATCAGCCTTTCCACCTTTGTCTGAGGGGATAAACCCTGCCCTGCCTGAGGCAACAGTGATGGCCTCCTCTGAGGCAGTTGCCAGGCAAAATAATGTTGATTCTCCTCAGGAGCCACCCCCAATACCCCTGTTTGCTTCTAGACCTATAACCACACTCAAGTCCCAGAGGGTCCCTGGAGGTGAGGTTGAGAGTGTGACCCATGAGGAGGTGCACTACACTCTAAAAGAACTGTTTGAGTTCTCCAATTTATATAAACAGCAATCTAGAGAACAGGCATGGGAATGGATATTAAGGGTGTGGGATAATGGGGGAAGGAACACAGAGTTGGATCAGGCTGAATTTATTGATTTGGGCCCACTAAGTAGGGACTCTGCATTTAATGTTGCATATTGGGGAGTTAAAAAAAGGTTCTAATAGTTTATTTGCTTGGTTAGCCGAAATATGGATTAAAAGATGGCCCACTGTGAGTGAGTTGGAAATGCCTGATCTCCCTTGGTTTAATGTAGAGGAAGAGATCCAAAGGCTCAGGGAGATTGGGATGGTGGAGTAGATTAGTCACTTTAGACCTACTCATCCCAGCTGGGAGGGTCCAGAAGATATACCCTTGACCAATGTCTTATGAAATAGATTTGGGAGGGCAGCACCTACATCTTTGAAGAGCCCTGTAATTGCTCTTCTCTGTATGTCAGATCTAATGGTAGGAACCACAGTCACTCAACTACAAAATTTACATACAAGGGGAATAATTGGATCCCAAGGTGGCAAGGGCCAAGTGGCAGCACTCAACTGTCAAAGGCAAGGTGAGAGTAGCTACTGTAATGGACAGCAAAGGCAAAGTGGCAATCAGAATACTCTGACTCTAAGTGAAGTAACTCAGGAATGGAAAACCAAACATTGTATGTTCTCATTGATATGTGGGAACTAAGCTATGAGGACGCAACGGCATAAGAATGATACAGTGGACTTTGGGGACTCAGGGGCAGTGTGGGAGGGGGGCGAGGGATGAAAAGACTACAAATATGGTACAGTGTATACTGCTCGGGTGATATGTGCATCAAAATCTCACAAATCACCACTAAATAACTTACTCATGTAACCAAATACCACCTGTACCCCAATAACTTATGGAAAAAATAAAAATAATAATAATTTAAAAAAGAATACTCTGACTCATGTAGATCTCTGGCATTGGCTAATTAATCACAGTGTTCCTAGAAGTGAAATTGATAGGAAGCCTACTGCATTCCTACTTAAATTATACAAATGGAAAATTTCTAGGTAGGATGGACAAAAGGCTAATTTGAATTATAAAAACAGAGAATCACAGCCCCTCAGTCAATTTCCAGACTTGAGCCAGTTTACAGAACCAGAACCCTTTGAATGAAGGGCAGGCTGGGTCCCTTGAGGAAGGACCCCACTACATTACAGACAATTTATGCAGTGAATCTTTCTCCCATCCTTCCCCAAGGACACCTCCAGCCTTTTAACGGGGTAACTGTGCACTGGGGAAAGGGAAATGATCAGACATTTCAGGGACTACTGGACACTGACTCTGAGCTGACACATTCCAGGGGACCCAAAAACATCACTGTGGTCCTCCAGTTAAGGTAGGAGCTTATGGAGGTCAGGTAATTAATGGAGTTTTAGCTCAGGTCTGATGTACAGTGGGTCCAGTGGGTCTCCGGACTCATCCTGTGGTCATTTCCCCAGTGCCAGAATGCTTGATTGGCATAGACATACTCAGCATCTGGCAGAACCCCCACATTGGCTCCCTGACTGGTAGGATGAGGACTATTTTAGTGGGAAAGGCCAAATGGAAGCCATTAGAGCTGCCTCTACCTAGAAAAATAGTAAATCAAAAACAATATTGCATCCCTGGAGGGATTGTGGAGATTAGTGCCACCAACAAGGACATGAAAGACACAGGGGAGGTGATTCTCACCACATCCCTGTTCAACTCTCCCATTTGGTCTGTGCAGAAGACAGATGGATCTTGGAGAATGACAGTGGATTATCATAAGCTTAACCAAGTGGTAACTCCAACTGCAGCTGCTGTACTTGTACCAGATGTGGTTTCATTGCTTGAGCAAATCAACATATCTCTGGCTACCTGGTATGCAGCCATTGACTTGGCAAATACCTTTTTCTCCATTCCTGTCCATAAAGCCCACCAGAGGCAATTTACCTTCAGCTGGCAAGGCCAGCAATATACCTTCACTGTCCTACCTCAGGGGTATAGAAACTCTCTGGCTTTGTGTCATAATCTTATTCGGAGAGAGACCTTGATTGCTTTTTGCTTCTGCAAGATATCACACTGGTCCATTACATGATGACATTATGTTGATTGGATCCAGTGAGCAAGAAGTAGCAAACACACGGGACTTATTGGTGAGGCATTTGCATGCCAGAGGATGGGAAATAAATCCAACTAAAATCAGGGATCTTCTACCTCAGTAAAATTGCTAGGGGTCCAGTGGTGTGGGACCTGTCGAGATATTCCTTTTAAGGTAAAGGATAAGTTGCTGTATTTGGCCCCTCCTACAACAAAAAAGAGGCACAACGCCTAGCGGGCCTATTTGGATTTTGGAGGCAACACATTCCTCATTTGGGTGTGTTACTCCAGTGCATTTATCAAGTGACCCGAAAGGCTGCCAGTTTTGAGTGGGGTCCAGAACAGGAGAAGGCTCTGCAACAGGTCCAGGCTGCTGTGCAAGCTGCTCTGCCACTTGGGCCATATGATCCAGCAGATCCAATGGTGTTTAAGGTGTCAGTCGCCGACAGGGATGCTGTTTGGAGACTTTGGCAGGCTCCCATAGGTGAATCACAGCAGAGGCTTCTAGGATTTTGGAGCAAGGCCCTGCCATCTTCTGCAGATAACTACTCTCCTTTTAAGAGACAGCTCTTGGCCTGTTACTAAGCTTTGGTGGAAACTGTACATTTGGCTATGGGTCATCAATGTGACCTGAACTGCCTATGTGACCCGAACTGCCTATCATGAACTGGGTGCTTTCTGACCCATGTAGCCATAAAGTGAGTCGTGCACAGCAGCATTTCATCATCAAATGGAAGTGGCATATACGGGATTGGGCTTGAGCAGGTCCTGAAGGCACAAGTAAGTTACATGAGGAAGTGGCTCAAATGCCCATGATCTCCACTCCTGCCATCCTGCCTTCTCTTCCCCAGCCTACACCGATGGCCTCATGGGGAGCTCCCTATGATCAGTTGACAGGAAGAGAAGACCAGGGCCTGGTTCACAGATGGTTCTGCACAATACGCGGGCACCACCCGAAAGTGCACAGCTGCAGCACTACAGCCCCTTTCTAGGACATCCCTGAAGGACAGTGGTGAAGGGAAATCTTCCCAGTGGGCAGAACTTCGAGCAGTGCACCTGGTTGTGGACTTTGCCTGGAAGGAGAAAGACCAGATGTGTGATTATATACTGATTTGTGGGCTGTAGCCAGTGGTTTGGCTGGATGGTCAGGGACTTGGAAGAAGCATTATTGGAAAATTGGTGACAAAGAAATTTGGGGAAGAGGTATGTGGATGGAACCCTCTGAGTGGTCAAAAACTGTGAAGATATTTGTATCCCATGTGAGTGCTCACCAACGGGTGACCTCAGTGGAAGAGGAGTTCAATAATCAAGTGGATAGAATGACCCACTCTGTGGACGCCACTCAGCCTCTTTCCCCAGCCACCCCTGTCATTGCCCAATGTGCCCATGAACAAAGTGGCCACGGTGGCAGGGATGGAGGTTACGCATTGGCTCAGCAACATGGACTTCCACTCACCAAGGCTGACCTGGCTACGGCCACTGCTGAGTGCCCAATTTGCCAGCAGCAGAGACCAACACTGAGCCCTCGATATGTCACCATTCCTCAGGGTGATCAGCCAGCTACCTGGTGGCAGGTTGATTATATTGGACCTCTTCCATCATGGAAAGGGCAGAGGTTTGTCCTCACTGGAATAGACACTTACTCCAGATATGGGTTTGCCTCTCCTGCACACAATGCTTCTGCCAAAACTACCACCTGTGGACTCACGGAATGGCTTATCCACCACCATCATGGTATTCCACACAGCATTGCCTCTGACCAAGGCACTCACTTTACAGCTAAAGAAGTGTGGCATGGGCTCATGCTCATGGAATTCACTGGTCTTACCATGTTCCCCATCATCCTGAAGCAGCTGGATTGATAGAACGGTGGAATGGCCTTTTGAAGTCACAATTACAACACCAACTAGGTGGCAATACTCTGCAGGACTGGGGCAAAGTTCTCTAGAAGGCCGTGTATGCTCTGAATCGGCATCCAATATATGGTACTCTTTCTCCCATAGCCAGAATTCACAGGTCCAGGAATCAAGGGGCGGAAGTGGCACCACCCACCATCACCCCTAGTGATCCACTAGCAAAGTTTTTGCTTCCTGATCCCACGACATTACGTTCTGCTGGCCTAGAGGTCTTAGTTCCAGAGGGAGGAACGCTGCCACCAGGAGACACAACGATTCCACTAAACTGGAAGTTAAAATTACCACCTGGACACTTTGAGCTCCTCCTACCTTTAAGTCAACAGGCTAAGAAGGGAGTTACAATGCTGGCTGGGGTGAATGACCCAGACTATCAAGATGAAACCAGTCTGCTACTCCACAATGGAGGTAAGGAAGAGTACGCATGGAATACAGGAGATCCATTAGGGCATCTCTGAGTATTACCATGCACTGTGATTAAGATCAATGGGAAACTACAACAGCCCAATCCAGGCAGGACTACAAATGACCCGGACCCTTCAGGAATGAAGGTTTGTGTCACTCCAGCAGGAAAAAAACCACGACTTGCTGAGGTGCCTGCTGAAGGCAAACGGAATACAGAATGGGTAGTAGAAGGTAGTCATCAATACTAGCTATGACCACGTGACCAGCTGCAGCAATGAGGACTATAACTGTCATGAGTATTTCCTCCTTCTTTTGTTAAACACATGTTTGTGTACGTATACCCTTGTACTAAGAAAATATCTTCATTTTATTTCCTTTTCCTTTATCATGTGACATAAGATTTATTGTCTGCGTATCAGCATTTAAGCATTGCTAACTTTATATAATAGTATTTGAGTTAGAGGTTGGTGCATTTCTGGTTATATGAAGGATAGTTGTGGCCAGGCATGGTGGCTCACGCCTGTAATCTCAGCACTTTGGGAGGCCGAGGTGGGTGGATCACCTGAGGTTGGGAGTTCGAGACAAGCCTGACCAACATGGAGAAACCCCACTAAACCTCTACTAAAAATACAAAATTAGCTGGGCGTGGTGGCACATGCCTGTAATCCCAGCTACTCAGGAGGCTGAGGCAGGAGAATCACTTGAACCCAGGAGGTGGAGGCTGTGGTTAGCCAAGATCGTGCCATTGCACTCCAGCCTGGGCAACAAGAGTGAAACTGAATCTAAAAAATTAACGTTTGAGTCAGCGGGCTAGGGAAGGCAGATCCACCCTTAATCTGGTGGGTACAATCTAATCAGCTTCCAGTGAATATAAAGCAGGTAGAAAAACATGGAAAAGGAGAGATGGGCCTAGCCTCCCAGCCTACATCTTTCTCCCTTGCTGGATCTTCCTGCCCTTGAATATTAGACTCTAAGTTCTTCAGTTCTGGGACTCAGACTGGCTCTCCTTGCTCCTCAGCTTGCAGACAGCCTATTGTAGGACCTTGTGATCATGTAAGTTAATACTTAATAAACTCCCCTTTGTGTGTGTGTGTATACATATATATAATAGGATATATATATATATATAATAGGATATATATATATAATAGGATATATATATATATATATATATATATATATATATCCTATTAGTTCTATCCCTCTAAGAGAATCCTGACTAATACTGCGAAACTCTCCATTTCTAAGCCCATAGCTTAGATCATGGCCCAAATAAAGCCAGTAAGTATCCATCCCATTTCTCTGGCTCTGCTGATTGGTTCAGAGATGAGTACACAGTCAAGCCTGTGGATTCAGAGTGAATCTCAGATCTAAACAATCTTACTCTGCCGCTATGGACTAGAATAGGGGAGACTGCTGGGGCCATCTTGTCACCAAATAGAGCATAAAAGTGAAGCCGACCTAAAAACAGCAGGGCTGAGAGATAGAGACTAAGTCACAACATGAACAGAGCCCTTAGATCCAGCCATACCTGAAGGCTACATAGCCTATGGACCTTCTAGTTACATGTGTCAATAAATTACCTTTATATTTAAAAACAAAACAAAACACTTAGGTTGGGTTACCTGTCACTTGTAACCAACCATGAATCCCAATCACCAACATCACCATGCAGTGATAAAGAGCTGCTTATTTTTCAATCAACAAAATGGTTTCGGGGGCAGTTTTTCTTGGACACTTGCTTCCCTAGTCAGTTAAGCAGGAGAAACATCCATAAATCCAAAGACTGCATCCAAATCCAGAGACTTCAGTTCCTGCCTGGGTGAAGCCAAGCCCAGCCAGCCCTGCAGCTCTGGAGGGCAACAAGTAGAATTCTTTGTCCTTTGCCATCTAGGTCCTGAGTAGCTAAAGGTTCACAGTGCTGGACACAAAGTGAATGCTCAAAAATGTTCGTTGCTATCTATTCAAAACTATTTTGTGTGTGCTAGCTCCATGCCAGGCACAGTGATGAACAAGACTGACGTAGTCACTGCCTTCATGGAACTGATATTAGAGGAATGAGGCATGAAACAAATACTCATATAAGTACACATATACCTGCACATTGTGCTAAGTGCTTCTAAAGAAAAGTACAGAGATGAGAAAAGGTGTAACTGATCTAACTTAGAATGTCAGGCAATGCTTTCCCAAGGAAACATTAATTCAGATGGAAGTGATAATAATGAGCGTGTGTCCATTAGCCTAAGAGTTCATGGCAAGAGAGAGCATAGTTCAGTGAAGGAATTCATGTGACGGGGCAGAGAGAGAAAAATGAAGCTAGAGAGAGCACAGGAGCCAGCCAGGGTCTGGCATGACACGTTAAGGATCTGGGCTGTAGACTATGAACAGTGGGAGACTGTGGTAGAATCTTATCTTAATTGGGGTTGAGAGCCAGATTTTCACTTTGGGAAGATTACATCAATGGATTGGATTTGGGTCAAAGTGGATACAGGACGATCCATTTGGAAACTATTGCATAGTTTGGACAAGGGTGGTGATGATGGAGGAGGAGATGAAAAAAAGTGGAAGGACAGAGGTCACAGTCTACATCCCATGAACCAAATCTGGCCCTCCGCCTGCTATTGTAAGTCAAGTTCTACTGAAACACAGCCACATCCATTTGTTTTGGTATTGTCTCTGGATGCTTTGTGTTACAATGGCAGAGTTGAGTAGTTGTCACAGAAATCATACAGCCTGCAAAATTGGAAATATTTACTATCTGGCCTTTTACAGAAAAAGGTTGCTGACCCCTGATTTAGAAGCCTCACTCAACAAGACATGGAAGATAGGGCATCATGGAAAAGAAGGGTCAAAGTTCACACCTAAATATAGGCTTACCCAGCTGGATAGATGGGCAAGACGAGGCTGCCAGAAGAGGACCAGGCTTGTTGGGGAGGAGGGTAAATTTGGTTGAAACAAACCCAACCCCCCTGCAGCGCTACCACTTCATAGAAATGAGGTCAGGCCAAGTCATGTGCAGAAAGATCGTGCAACCTGGTGTCTGAAGGCGTTATGGTTTTTAGTCTTGCCTCTGATGCACTCTGTAACTGCCAGCCAGGAATTTTCCTCTCTTGGTACGTCAGTTTTCTCATCCACAGAATGGGGATGCAGGGGCACTGATAAGGAATACGAATGCCTTGTGTACACCGTACAGTTCTATCGCAGATAGAAATCAACTGATGTTTTGAAATCAGCTGATGCTCAAGAGAGGGGTTACTGGGACAAAGGCAGGATCGATCAGACACAGGTCCTGATGAGGGGGAATGGGATTGCCCACTCTGACAGCATGTACCTGACCGAGGATCAGGACTTAACTCCAACAGACACAAATGGCCCCCTTGCTTTCTAACGCCAACCACTTACCTACCAATTTTGGTCACCACAACTCCTGGTGAAAGCAATCATAACAAAAGGGCTGAGGTTGTCTACTGCATGCTGAGCCCAAACTGTTTTTGCTAGGGCAAGAAGTACAAAATATGTAGGCAGGGACAAGAGAAGACTGATGATAAGAACCCAGAAGTTGCCTCTCATGGAACATACACACCCACACATGCACACACACATACAGCTCACGTCCGCATGCTTCAGCAGCCCTCCATACAGACAAAAAGTGTCACCATTTAAACAAAGACACGCTAACTTCCTTTGAACTTCCACCACCTTGTTGCTAAGCACTTTGAGTGGCAGCAGAGACTGCTGTTCTGCAACCCTCTTGATATAATGGAGAGAGCCATTGGTTGGCATCAGGAGACTCAGGTTCAAGCCCCAGCTCTATAGCCCTGGGCAAGTCCTTCCTACTCTCTAGCCTCAGTTTCCCCATCTGTAAAACAAGGGGCTGGACTCAGTGATTTCTGAGGCCCTTTCCAGCTCTGACATCTATCCTAGAACAGAGATTAAAAATTGGCAGCCCCCAAACAAAATGCAACCCGCAAATCTGTGGAGTTATCCAACATGAGCTTATACAGTGTCAAAGGATGTATAATTGGTTGCTAACATTTTTAAAATGGGAGAGTGCTTGTAAAAGTCAGGATCTCCAACTTCTGAACAAATCAAACAATCTGGCAGCACAGTGCTGGGCCCACATCTCCACGCAGCCACACCTGCTGGGGCTGGAGAGCAGCTGCCCCTGCCTCACCTCTTTCTTCTCTCCCCCACATCAGGCTGCTACACCCTTTTCAGGTACTTCTCAGAACCCAGTAGGTATCTCAGAGGAAAAGTCCTGTTCCAGCTGGCATTTAAGGTGACACTGAGACTTTGAATAGGTATTGACTTGCCATGATTATACAGATTGGCCCTGGTACTGCCTTTCCTTATTCTTATTTGGAAAATGAGGAGGAGGTCTGCGTTGGTTTCCTAGGGCTGCTATAATAAAATACCAAAAACTGGTGGCTTAAAACAAGACAGGTTTATTCTCTCACTGTTCTAGAGGCCAGAAGTCCAAGATTAAGGAGGTTCTTGATTTTCAAAGCAGGGTTGGTTCTTTCTGGAGGCTCTGAGGAGAGCATGTCCTCATGAGTCTCTTCCAGCTTCTGGTGGCTCTGGCAATCCTTGGTGTTCCTTGGCTTGTAGACTCATCAGTCCAATCTCTGTCCCTATCTTTACCTGGTGCCATCCTGGTATCTCTGTCCAAATTTCCCTCTTCTTATGAGGACACCAGTCATACTGGACTAGGGCCCATTCTAATGACCTCATTTTAACTTGATCACACCTGCCAACACCCTATTTCCAAATAAGGCACATCCACAGGTGTGTGGGGTAGGATTTGGGCACATCTTTTTGAGGCCACAATTCAACCCATGACAAGGCCGAATCTACCTCATTAAACAGGGGTGGAAATGAACACACAACACAAGAGGTTGAAAACTCCTTTGAAACATAAAGATATTTAATAGATACATCTGCAAATGAATCATGACAATTTGACACACGTGCAGTCCCTTAAGGCCAACTGCTTACATCCAGACTTTATCTTCTGTGTCAGTTTCTTGCACTTTGAGAGCAACTTACACCTGGAATAACTCCCATCCCATCACAGAGAAGCACCAGGAAGGCTGAGGGCTGGGCTCCTGGCTTCCTGGAAATCCAAGGGGCAAGTGTGCAGGGCACAGAAGGACCTTAAGTCTCCTGATCCCACACAGTGGAGTTGTCTATAAAGATGTGATATACTAAGAAAGATTCAACGCCACTTAATGTAGGCATCCTGCCAAGGACATCTAGCCTGAGTCCAGCCAGGAGGAAACATCGGGCAGACTTGAATTGAGAGATGTTCTATAAAGTAACTGACCCCTCCTCTTCAAAGAGGCCAAAGTCATACACAACAACAAAAAAGGCTGAGAAACTGTTCTAGCTTGCATAACAGCTAAACACAATATGTGACCTCAGATTCGATCCTGTACCAGAAAAAAAAAAATTGCTCTAAAGGATACTATTGGGGCAATTGCTGAAATTGGAATCTGGTGAGATGAAAGTACTGACTCAATGTCAAGTTTACTGAAATTGGTAACTCTACATGGTTATGTAAGAGAGTATGCAGCCTAGTCCCAAATGGTTCACAAAAATTAGAGAGAGAGAAAGAAAGAAAGAGGGAGAGAAAAAAGCAAATGCAGGAAAATGTTAAAAACCAGTGAATCTAAGTAAAGAGGGACCTGGAAGTCCCCTGTGTTGTTCTTGCAACGTTTCTGTAAATTTGAAATTACTTCAAAATGAAAGCTTTAAAAAAAACTGCCATATAACCCGGGGATTCTGAAATGCCAGCCTGCAGAACTCCCTGGAGAGCTTGTGAAAACTCAGATTGCTGGACCTCTCCCCAGAACTTCTGATTCAATAGGGCTGGAGGGGAAGAGCAAGAATGTGCATTTCTAACAAGCTTTGGGATGCTGCTGCTGCTGGTGATGGTGGTCTGGAACACACTTGGAGAACCCCCGGTAGAACCTGGTTTAAATTGTGGTTGTGATCACCAAAATAACTAGGCAGAAGGAGTTAAGCTGGTTGCTTCTGGGAAGCAGGATTGGGGAGGAATAGTGCAAGAGATCAGTGCTTTTCTTTAGGAACTGTTCTGTAGCATTTTGTTTATTTCCAGGTTTATATATTTCAATGCCTGCAAATCATCTACATCCTGCCTGGCATGTAGCAGGTGGTCAGTACCCATTAAAAAGCTGCTGGGGCCTGAGTTTCTAAAAGATGCCAGGCAACGTGGAACCTCCTGTGTCTGCTGAGTCCCCAGGGGAAGAGGAGATACCAGCACCGACCCCAGCTCATTTTGGGGGAACGAAGTCCTTTGGGTAACTCCAATAGGATATCTACTTTCCCCTTGGAATTGGCACCACTGAGTCCAGTCAAACCCAAACTGCTCAAAATATCTTCCAATTCTGAGACAAGACTGTGGTTCAGCCAGCAAACTTCTGTCAAGACACGAGCCTCTCCTCCCTCTCTTCTGGGGAGTAATGAACCTTGGCCTTAAGCCTCATTAAACCCCATTATATAATCACCCCCATCCTGAGTCTCTTTATAACCCTTCCAGCGGCCGCTTTCTTGGGAGTAGGCAGTTCTGCTCCATCAGTCTTTATTGCTACCTGCTGCCTTCCTCGACAAACCAGGCTTCTGACTCAGCCTCAAGGTACACGCAAGGCCAGGCTATCAAAAGAGGGGCAACTCTCTCTTAGCTTGTCCCCAGGACAAAGAGCAGGAGTTGCTTAGAGTAGGGATGAGCAGAGGGGCTGCCGTCTTTCAAGACACCTCATGAAGGACAATATTCCATAAGACCCAGGCCTTGTGGGTAACTCCAGCTGGTGTCATTACGACCAAGATGGGGAAGTTCTGGAACCATCAGTCACTTGTTCCCCTTGGTAACTGCTGCCCTGAAGCTGCTGCACCTGGTAGCTGTGTTCTCCCAACCCCAAGCCCCACCCAGAGTTTCCAAAACCAGCATTCTAAGTGAGTCATGGGCAGCTAATAAAGAAACACCCAGAAAACTGCAGGTGGCAAAATTACTATGTCATTCCTCATCTTCCACCAGAGATGTCCAGGATGAATGAGTCGCAGGAGCTTCCTGCAGCTTGCAATTTTGGCTACTTTCTGCAACTGCCTGGCCCCTACGGGGATGGCTACAACCTGGGACGACAGATCCCTAGAATAATAACAACAGAGTCTAGGTGGAGCAGCAAATGGTTAGTCAATGTGGGTGCTGCTTTCTAAGTGAGCACAGCACACTGACAAAGAGGCGTCCTTTGAGCAAGGCTGTCACCCACAACACACTCCCTCCGTGATGCAAGGGCATTGGAGAGAAAACGTGAGCATGTTCAGTTCCCTACCTAATGAGCAAGCAAGTTTTAATGAAGATGACATTGCAATTTCACAACCGAGCACTGCAGAGTGGAGGATTCAAAAGGATGGCAAACTTCACCTCTTTCCTGACCTTGTGACCTTGGGCCAACTGCTTAAACTCTCTCAACCCCAGTTTCTTAATCTGTAAAATGGGAATAATAGTAGTACCTACCTTATAGAGGATGATGGAGTTTAAATGAAATAATAAAAGTGAACTGCTTTGTGCAATGCCTGGAGCATTGTCAACACAATACATGCCGATTGCTATTATTAACATGGTTTTCATCATTGTTGCAAGCCACTTCATCATGTAACATACAGCAATGGCTCCCAAAGCCACCCTTTATTGAGACTCAGTGCTCTAAGTACCAGTCCCCACGCTAGGGAATTTACATGCATTTCTCATTGTATCCTCACTGCATTGTTGCTGGGTAGAAAATAGACTCAAGAGGTTAAGTAATTTGTCCAGCGACTTAACAGCATCCAGTTAGTTGCTTTAAACCCGAAGTCACTTCTACCAGCTGGTAATGAATGATGACAATTATTCCTTCCATCTAGGTGGCACTCTTTCATTGTGAAGTAGCCTTTCTTTAGGGGATTTAAGAAAGCCTGACCTCCATCAGCTGGGATCAGAGATAGCCTACAAGGAGCCCACGAGCTTGCAGGTTGTTGGGGTAAAGATGATCCACTGGTGAAGAGCACCTAAGCAAACCACCAGAGCATGGTGGCCCACCCAAATGCAACACAGAATAAATACAGCAAGGGTGGAGAGATAAGTCCACTGCTCTCTATTTCTCTGGGAAGCAGGTTCATTTGAGTCAATATCTCCCATGGTGAACAGAAGCGTCTGACGTCTTTCATTCTAGCCCTACCTGAGTGAGGCTATGAACCCCAAGGGCTGGTGAACCTTGGAGACAGATTCCTCCATGAGCGAAGGCTCCTGCCATTCCCCTCCCTCCCTTTCCCCACTCACCACTCCCAGGCCAGGGGAGTAGGGTAAGCCCCAAGAAGGTGATGTCCTTCTCGCAGCCCACTCAAGGTGGCTGGGCACCCTGAGGTTGTGAGGCTTGGCCACACTACAGCCAGATCTGCCTAATGCTGTCCCCAGGCGTTACCATCATGGGGTAACAAGATGACGTGTCACCACCCTTCACAGTGCAGACCAGAGCCAGAGCCGACAGTTACAAACAGGCAGACAGACTGAGCCTGGCAGGGATGCAGCCCCAGGGGCCCCCTTGGCTGGCTCAGCAGGAGGAAGGCTGCCACCAGGGCCCAAAAGCAGGGAGTTCTCTTCTGGAATTCACTGGCATGGGAATGGGAACTATTACAAACAAGGAGGAGTCGGCACCTGGTAGCTGTGTTCTCCCAACCCCAAGCCCCACCCAGAGTCCCCAAAACCAGCATTCTAATTGCATCAAAAGATTTGCCTAGGAAAACTCAGTGGCTAGACCTCAGAGTCACTGAAATGGACCCTCAGGGAGTGCATACCCCTGGGGAAACTGAGACCCAGATAGAGGAAGGAACTTGCCGCATTGAAGTGATACAATGCAGGCTAGATTGGATCTGGATTCAGAAGGGACCCCATGGACAAATTCATGCACCATTCTGAGCCTCAGTTTCTTGATCTGTAACATGGGAATTCTAGCACCTGCCTCACAGACTGGGGTGAGTCTTAACTGAAATAGTGCAGCTGACACACCAGGCAGAGACAGAGGCCACAAAGGCAACCGGCGGCAACACTGAGATTCCAACAGAGAGCTTCTCGTTTCCCAAACGAACCTGCCTGCCCCACACCAGGCTGCCTCTGTTTCTGTTACTTGTTAGAATCAACAGATAGGGAACTGGTCCCTGAGGTCTCAGCTATTTGGGTTACACACTCACTCATTCTTCCACTGAGACTCAAATGCTGTCTTTCTTCTTTCCGGGAGCTCAGAGAGCAACTTTTTTGAAGAACCAAGACTGTCCAAGGGGCAGTTGTGCTCCTGGTGCCTCTTACTGCTGGGAGCCACCTTTTAATTAAGGACTTTGCTCCTGTCCACAGGCAAGCAGAAACGCTTTTCCTCTTAGGTGGAGACCAGGGCGGGAACAAAAAGTTAGAAGCCATGATGAATCCTCAAAAACTCTTTGGTAGGGACGGGGGCTCAAATGTTTAAATCTGTGTTTTGTTGTCTTTTTTTTTAAAGCAGGAAGGAGATGTTTTTACTCTGGCCAAAATTAAAGTGCAGAGCAGTGGCCAACCCCTGGAGGGGGCCCGGCTGACATTCACTCATAGGATGGCGATGACCAAGGACAGATGGCTGTTAGAGGCAGTCACCCAGAGTCATGCCAAGGTAAATGCCAAGCACTCTTCGGGCCATGGGGAAGTGGGGAGGGGAAGTAAACTGCAAGGCATTTAGCCACAGAAGCCCCAAATTAACCATCAGCCCACAGGCTGTAAATGCTTCAAGAATAAAACATCATCATAAAAGCCACCATTTATTATGCACCTACTGTGTGCCAGGAACTGTGCAGAAGGCTTGGCATGCATGAGCTCATCTAATCCTCACAACTGTCTACAAGATGAACCTCTTATTGTCCCCATTTTACAGATGAGGAAACAGGTTCAGAGGCTTTGAACTCACTTGAGGTCACACATAATTGCTTAAAAGTAGAATAACTGGGGTTCAAACCCAGGCATCTGCTCCTGGTCGTGACATCTGCCTCACCTGGCTGTTGCTACACACTGGACTTGTCACTATCACGCTTTTCTTCATCCACGCTCATGCAGCCAGTCTCTTTGACTACCATGCAGGCCCACCGTCATGAAGGGTGCTCTCTCTGGCAGTGATTTCTCTGGACAAATTAATAAATTGGCCTTCTGGTATGGACCTGGGAGTCGAGGGTACTATTTTAGTTTGCTTGATTTAGAGCCTGCCTAACCTGGGCACCAAGACAAGGCAGTCTCTGGACCGACTCCTAACTGATGTCCACATGGTTCATCAGTCCATACCCTCAGCTGATTCCTACCACGGATGCACCATAAACACCCATGGGCTATAAACCAAGCTCACTATTCGGGCCCCAGCCTAACCATCTAGCGGGATGTTGGATATTACATGTACCTGCCTTTTTTTCCAGGCACAGAATTAATAGATCTTGTCAAATTCTCAAAGTGTAAGAACCCTTAGATAAAAGTAATGAAGGAAACCCCATATTTAGAGAAAGGCATTCTGCTGAGTATTTGAGCGGTCATGGTTATCAAATGATGTGTGATGTGTTAGAAAGAACCAAATTCAAATCCCAGCTCAAATACTCAACACCTGTGTGACTTTGAGCAAGTTCTTTGACATCCCTGGGCCTCAGTTTCCCCTTCTGTACAATGGGAATAATCCATCTGCATGAGGGATTGTTTGCAAGAACTAAATGGGGCCCTGCCTGTGAGTGATTAGCATGTATCAGGGCTCAGTGAACATGTCTCATCATTTCTCAGAGCAGCAACACAACGTGCACAGCCTGTGGCTGAATTAAGGGCCAGGGGTTATTTCTTCTACATTCTCAGAGCCCTTCCTTCTCTTGAGCAACCAATCAATAAAAGTTGCTGTCTTGGCTGGAGGACTGGCTGGGCTTTATTCAGTGGGGGTGCCCCTCTGACCACATCTGTGCCTGTTCAGCAAATCGGGCCTCTGGGTAGAGAAGATTAAACCAGCCCTCCATCACCAAAAAGTTCCATTTCCGCTCCAAGTAATAACCACCCTGTCTCCAGCAGAAATTCGTAAGAGCAGAAAGTAAACCACCTCAGGCCATGCTCAACCCCATTTGAACCCAAATACATCTTTGAGATGTAAAGGTTATATATATTGACCTGAGTGGGGAAAAAAATACAAAACTTAATCATAGATGCCTTAGCCACAGCAGCCAAGAAAAATCCTGTAATCAGGCAGCTGAGAGACAGCCGGGAAGAGGGAGAGAGAGGGCGGGTGCCTCCCTGAATGCCTGCTTGCTTTTCTCTATCTTTCCTTCACAACTTCAGGGGAAAGAGCAGGAACTGGGGACCAACGACAACACCCAGTCAACCTCCCCAGCGTCAGTTATGCCCCCTTCCAAAACCATCCAAATGGGCATGAGTGGCATAGGCAGATGGGGGGGCTGTGGGCAGATGATGGGTGAAGCTCTACAGTGAGCATTTCACAAGCCCTTGAGATAAAGAAGAGAGAGTTTGCACCTGGCACAGAGGACAGCAGGTGCTGGGGAGAAGGAGGTGGCATGGCAAGCGTTCCCAGTGCAGCCCGGCAGGGTGACTTACTTGCAGAGAAGTTGGCCTCAGTGTGAACAGGAGGGGTGGAAGGCAGGAAAGGTGCGTGTCCCACAAAGAAGGAGCGGAGGGAGCGCTCGGACAGCAGCGGGGAGCGCTGCTGAGAGGGGATGTTCTCGCAGCTGCCTACGCTGCTGTGGATCTTGAGGTTCAAGGGTTTGCTCTTCTTCTTGGCTCTGAAAGGGAGACAGAAAAAGAGGAAAAGGAAATATATCCATAGGTGCACAAAGTTACAGCAGGGAGGCCCAGCCTTGTGTTTCCCATGAGGGGTCCAAAACCCACAGGGAGAAATTAGAAGAGCCCACAGGCTTTTAGGTAGAGACACAAGGGCTGGGCAAAAAGGGTTTACCCTCTCACCCCTAGGTCCCTCTAAGAAGCTCATTCTACCATGGAGCACAAGCAAACACTTCAGCCATTCTTTTTTGCCCAGCTCCCTAGAGAAGCTCTAGAGAGCCAGTGTCAAGTTCAGCTTCCAACTCCAATCCCGCAACTTTTGCCTAAACATCTCGAGTCTCCAGAGCTCCAAGCCCCCAACCCGTGGCCAAGCTGCTCTTTGGCCATTTGACAAAAACAGCAAATCCCAGGCTGTCCTCAAGTGAGTCCAGATCTGTGTCAAGGTGGCATTCACCATCTACGTGTTTAATCCCCAAATCCACTGCCCTTCCTCCATGTAACAATAATCAGTGCATTTCTGTAGATGTTAAGCCTGATGACTTTCAAGAGATCTAAGTAGACTAAGCCTTCGGTAGGATCACAGTGCCTCTTCTGGAAATGCTTCCTCTTGCTGAGGACTTCTGGTGCCGGGCTCCTCCTTCCCAGCCCACCCACGGCTCTGTCTAGCTCTTGGTCCGGTGCCTACCAGGAGCCTCAGATGGTGCCCACCTTAGGAGTTCAGGAGGGAGGGTGCTCCACCAGATCATAGGCTGGATCTGATGGGGTGCCTCACAGCCTCACAGGCAGCTGCCAGAGATCAGAAGAGTGATATAGACAAGGGACCCTGGGTGCCCCCACCCTTCATCGCTGTGTCCACCATAGCAGCATTGCTGGAGAAGAGCAGGTGCAGCTTGCAGGAATTACACTATTCTGGGGCCAGACTCCCCAGATTCAAATAACTGGTCTCACCACCCCCGGGTGAGTCCATTAAACTTCTCAAGCCTCAGTTCTCTTGCCTACAAAAGAGTCCTTTGGAGAATTGTGGAGAGGATTTAAAAATGCCCGTAAGTGAATTAATACAAAGTATAAACATGAATTATCATTATTATATTATGGATATCTGTCTGATAGTTCCTTCAGAAGAAAGAATCTGCAGCTGAAACCAAGCAGAAGCTTCAGGAAAGTTTGGTTCTCCTCTTGGGGACTCTTCAAGACCCAGGAGATTGAATGGTATTCTTTGTACACTCTGTGCCCAGCAAAACGAGTCACATAGAGCAGGAATTTAAATATTTGTTGAATGATCTCTAAATGGTAAAAGGAAGGAAGGTAAAGAAGAGCTCTTCCAGGGACCCCTCAGCTCACAGCATTTGATCCATGGCCAGTTATAGATTCATTCAAGAGAAGAGAAAGGGGTGATGTCTAATCTCAATCCTACACACGGGCATTGGTCTCACCCCACCAGTGGGTGAGCATCTGCCTTCTGCCTACAACATGGTACATTCATGGCAACAATTGTGCAATAAAGCCAGGGACTGTCTCTTACACAGAATCATAAAGGTAAGGAAATGTATAGGTAACTCACTGAAACGGGTAATAGTATGATATTTAAACAATTAATTAATAGCAATGTGTTATGAGTGCAAGTATCCATCAGAGTTAAGCTTATGGCAAAATTTGATACTATCAAAAAAAGTGCAATGTATACTGAAGGCTGAGAATAACTACGCCCTCAAGAATGGATCTGTCACATCCTGGCCATTTCTTAGTATAGAGCTACCCTGTCCAATAACAGAGCTACTCGTCCACATGAGCACTTGAATTGTGGTGAGGCTTGACTGAAATAGGCTTAGAATGAAAAATAATAATAATGGACAATACCTAACAATATTTTTGTATGCATCAAATGTTGGGTTAAGTAAAATACATTGCTAAAATTAAAAAAAAAAAGAGGGCTGAGTGCAGTGTCTCATCTCTATAATCCCAGCACTTTCGGGGGCCAAGGTGGGAGAATAACTTGAGGCCAGGAGTTTGCAGCCAGCCTGGGCAACATAGCAAGACCCTGTCTCCATAGAAAATTAAAACATTAGCCGGGTTTGGAGGCATGTGCCTGCAGTCCCAGCTACTCAGGAGGCTGAGGTGGGAGGATCACTAGAGACCAGGAGTTTGAGGCTGTAGTGAGCTACGGTTGTACCACTGCACTCCAGCCTGGGTGACATAGTGAGACCCTGTCTCTAAAATAATAATAATGATAATAATAAAATTTAAAAATGATAAAGAAAGTGAGGGGCTTAGCAATTATTCACAGTCTGTTGCTGAAATAAAAAAAAATAGGGTATTTAAGATTCTTTTTGAATTGTTTCTTTTTTTTCTAGGCATCTTCCTTGCCAACAGATTATTAGGAGGCGAAATTATTCCATTTCCAACAGGCCCTCTCATACTGAGAAAGAGATAGAAAGGAGACACTAAAAACAAGGATTCCAGCAAGGTGCTGATTAAGCTTTGATCTGAAATGGAGAGAAAACAGCTCGGAAATTATAAGCATAAAACATGGACATTTAAAATTTTTCAACTTTATCAAACAGGAGGCTTCATCATAATAATAACAGCAACAACAGCCACTGTTACCACTGCTTTGATTTGAGTGCCAACCATGTCCTAGGGACTGTATCAAGTGCTTTTCATGTATGACCTCACTTAAGCGCCATGGTAACCTTAGGTGGGAGATGCTGTTATTATCTTCTCTCCAATGATGAGGACACCAAAGCAATGAGAAGATAAGGGATGTGGTGAAGGTGGTGCCAGCCCTGAAACCAGGCAGTACGGCACCAGGGTGCATCTCTCAACTGCACCCACACCAGACCCTGCATGTCAGTCCCAACCCTACATCATCACCCACCCCGAGGCCACTATCCTGAGAAGTTCGATTTGGGACATGCTCAGGTCAGAGGCACTGGGGTGGCCAAGAACTGAGCCCTAAATCTTCACTTTTGCTTCATCCACCTCTTTCTTGGAACCCTTTCACCAGAACCACCCAGAAACCCCACGCAGATATTTCCCTTTGCCCCCCTGTGTCTAGCACTGATCCCTTTTGCTCTGGAGTAACTAAATAGAAAAATGCTGTAATAGATGAAGGAGACAGGGCAGGGACCCAGGAGAGTCCCTGTTCAGTGGCCCCCACGGAACGGCAAAGCTGCCCCTCACAGAGTGTTTCTATCGTTTCTCTTCCTCCTCCACCTGGTGAACCCCTACACATACTCCATGGTCCAGTTCAAATGCTACCACGTGTATAATGCCCTCTCCTACCCACAGAGTCGGGGTAACTTATCATTCCCTCACCTCACTCTCTTAGAACCTGCTTTTCCATCACATGCTGGAAAAGACCCAATGTCCTTAACATGGTACCCAATATCTACCCACACACACACCTTGGTCTGGCCCTGGGGCCTTCTCACTCTTTGTATATGCTGTCTCCACCACCTGGAATACCCTCTGTTGCTTTGCCTGGCTAAACCCTACTTGTCTTTTATGACTTGGCTCTGATGTCCTCTCCTCCAGGAAGTCTTCCTTGATATCCTAATTCATTTCGGCATGGGTTGGGTGTTCTTCCTCCAGAAAGCATTCCCTAATACTCCCTCTTCCCTCCTAGACTGGGTTGGGTGTTCCTTCTCAGTTCTCTCTCTCTCGATTGATTGATCATTAGATAGATAGATAGATAGATAGACAGACAGACGGCAGAGAGACAGACAGATTGATGGCAACAGTTTCCTATTTTTTCAGATTTGCTGTCTTCCAAGTAGACTGTGGTCTTTGAGGGCAATGACTCTGTGCTGTTCATTTTCCTATCCTTGGCAACCAGCACAAAGCCTGGCACATAGTAGGTGCTCATTAAATGCTTACCAAATGACTGTTCTGGATTAAGACTCTGGCACACATCACATTCCCTTCTAATTCTTTGCCTTCCACACATGACTGTAGGCTCCTTGAGGTCAGGAACCATGTGGTTTACCCTGTTGGATCCTTCATCCCTTAGCTTAGTACTAGTTGAATGAAATGAAACTTTTCAGTGGGCTTGAAAACATTTCTTCCCTTCCCAAGGAGTGCGCTTAAGAGCGCTTGGTTCAAAGCTGCATCCAAAAGGAATCTCTCAGCTCCTCCCACCCACCTCCCCCAAACTCCCATCCTGCCTGCCCAGGAGTGGGGTGCCCTCTTGTGGCCAGAGCACAGCCTCCTTGCAGATTTTCAGAATCCTGGAAGGAGAGTTCAGAAAAGTCTATTGGTTTAAGCCTGGGGGCATCCCACACAAGCAGGTTAAAAGCCCCACTGTGAAGGAGGCCTGCTGCTCGCTGGCTTGAGGGAGTCTAAGCATGCCTGCAAAGTCCTTAGCGCCTGGAACGCCAACTCTGCTTATCTCCCCAGGGGCCCACGGCGAGGACCAGCAAGGAGCCTCCAGTTATAGCAGCACATACTGGCGGACTCTTTCCTGCCCATGGTCAGAGAAGAAAGGAAAGCAAGGCGGTGGGGGGAGGGGTGCCATTTCATCCCACGCAAATGCTCAATGTTCAAGATTCAAAGAAACATCCATACACGGACACAAATGACTGTTCCTAATGACTGTGACTGTGTACTTAAGATTTAGTGAATATTTTGCAGTATATCCCACAGATGCAGTGTAATTTAGTGGTTAAACTCATAGGCTTTGGGGTCAGAGAGACTGGGACTTAAGTCCTGATTGTGACCTTGAGAAAGTGATCTCGGTTTCCTCATCTGGGCAATGGGGAGAATACTAACACCAATCTCAGAAGGCTATTGTGAGAATTCTATGAGATAACAAGCTTGGCAGGGGACCCAGCACAGAGTGAGGGTTCAGGTGATGTCACCTGCTATTAAAGTCACTATGACCAGGTCAAATCAGATGTCTGTATAGCTATAGAAGTAGACTTGAAGAAGCCAACATTGAAGCCAAGCTGCAATTTTCACCCGAAATATCCAACAAACTTTTTTTTTTTTGAGACTGAGTCTTGCTCTGTCACCCAGGCTGGAGTGCAGTGGTACGATCTCGGCCCACCACAACCTCTGCCTCCAGGGTTCAAGGGATTCTCCTGCCTCAGCCTCCCAAGTAGCTGGGACTATGGGCGTGTGCCACCATGCCCGGCTAATTTTTGTGTTTTTAATAGAGACGGGGTTTCACTATGTTGGCCAGACTGGTCTTGAACTCCTGACCTTGTGATCTGCCCATCTTGGCCTCGGCCTCCCAAAGTGCTGGGATTACAGGCGTGGGCCACTGCGCCTGGTGATATCCAACAAACTTTCAATCCACCATGGCCCTTAGTGAGTGAAGAGGACACAGCAAAACCCTCTGGTGATAGATAACCACGGTCATCTCCAAAACCCTGACAGGAGCCTTGAGGCACTGAGCTAAGTGACAAGACCAGATCCTCTGGCAAGAAGAACCAAGTCTGACCCAGCACAAGTTTAGCAGGAGCTCAATGACCTCAGAGTCAATCTGTTTTACCAACCATGGCCACAGATGGAGGGGAGAAGGGGTATATCTAAATAAGGGTTAGTTGGACAGAAGGATAGATGAAAAGATGGATGGATAAAAGAATGGAAAGAAGGAAGGAAGGGTGAAAAATTGGAAGGATGGAATTGATGAAGGACAGAGAGGATGGGAGGATGGGAACACAGATAAAAGGAAGGGAGGATGGGGGAGGAAGATGAAAGAATTAAAGGATAAATGGATGGAATAAAAGTGAGAATGGGAAGACAGAAGAACGGATAAAGGAATGGAGAAGAATGGGAGAATGGAAGGATGGACAGATGGAAAGAGGAAGGAAGGATGGAAAAGGGAAGAATGGTGGGATGAAAAGATGGAGAGAAAGAAGGGCAGAAGAGAGAATGGGAGTAAAAGAAAACGAGAGAATACATGGCTATTTGATTAGAGTAGGGTGGAAAGAAATCCCATATTGCTTCCTACCCATCAAGGAAGCCTTCATGGACAAGATGTGGGATTCACCTTTCCATCCACCCTCATTACCAAGGCATGGTCAGGGGGAAAAAACAGACACAAATGACTGTTTCTAATGACTGTGACTGTGTACTTAAGATTTAGTGAATATTTTGCAATATATCTCACAGATGCAATTAAAAAGAACATTCTTTCCCGTGATCTTTGTAGGATATTAGATATCTGTCACACAGATGTCTCATCTGGAAATAAGGCCAATTCAGAGAAAATCAACAAAATTAGGTGGCACAAAACATTAGAAAGGGAAGCCAAATCCTCTGGGGCTATATCAGCCCTGGGTGTACCATGGTGCTTTCTGGATGGGCCAGCAAGTCAGGGCTCCCTGACAAGGTAAGCTGTGCAGAGGGGCTGGGCTAAGCCAAGGCTGCACATCTGTGTTAGGGAAAGACACTCAGCTCCAGGCCATCACCTATGCTTAGGAAAATGCATGTTTCCCAAGTACAGCAAAGGACTCTTCCAGTGTTGGAATCTGGGAAAACTCTTCCCACTTTTCTGATGCCCAATTTACATACAGTATCAAAACTAAAAGGATCCCGAGAAATCTTACATTGTCTTTGAATGAGTTCATTACTCTCCATCTCTAGCCCCAATGTTCTGGTCCAAGCCACCACCTTCTTCTCACCTGGGCTGCCGCTGCCTCCTCGCTGGAATCGCAGACTCACTTGCATTTGGTTCCATTTTTGCTTTTTTGTTATACTAAAGTGAAATTCACAGAACGTAAAATTCACCATTTTAAATTGAATAACTCTGTAGCATTAAGTTCATTCATATTGGAAGATCACAACCTCTATCTAGTTCCAAATGCTCACCACTTCAAAAGGAAATCCCTTACGCATTAGTCACTCCCATTTCCCCTTTCCTCCAGCCCCTGCACCACCAATCAGCTTTCTCGCTCTATGGATTTGCCTATTCTGGACATTGCATATAAATGGAATCCTACAAGATGTGGCCTTTTGTGTCTGGCTTCTTCACTCAGTACAATGTTTTTGAGGGTCATCCATGTTCTAGCATGGATCACCACTAAATGACTTTTTATGGTTGAGTAATTGGATCCCACTTTGGATTCTTTACAATGTATTCTCTACCCAGCAGTCAAAGGCAGGCTTTAAAAAGTATACATTGTATCATGTCACTCCTCTTCTTAAAACCCCACAAAGGTTTCCAGTTGTTCTCTCTTCTTGTGGTCTATAAAAGCTTCCTAGGACCCTCCACACCTACCCTCCAACTTCTTGTGTCATCTTGGACTCTAGCTGTTCGGGTCATCTTTCTGGTCCTTGACCACACTAAATTCTCTACCTCAGGGCCTTTGCACATGCTGTTCCTGCTGCCTGGGACATTATTCCCCATTGTGCTTGTTAGTGGTATCATACTCATCATTAAGGTACCACTTCCTCAGAGATGCCATCCTTAACTCCCAAACCAGTCAGATCTCCTGGTTACACCTGCTCCCAGCACCACCTGCTTTCCTTCTTAGAATGCATCCCAGCTGGAATTCTGCATTTACTTATGTGGTTACCAGAGGAATGTCTGTCTCCCCTAGGGCCCATGCCCATCACACAAAAAGGGCCTGTATCCTCACCATCTAGCATAAGACAGGGACCCAGAAGCTGGGTCTACAGATGCTCACCCTAGCCCATGTATCCCACCTCAAGCAAGGACTATGTGACATCTTCTATTTGTGGGGAATTCTAAAGGAAAGTGACCCAGTCTCCATCTGCAAATCAGGAGGGCTGGTTTAGCAGCATCTTCCCAGTTAATTCCCAAGTAAGGGCTCTTCAAGGACAGAAATACAATTTCTTTTTCTTTCTGACAATTTCTTTTGTCAGCCCCCGGCCACCCTTGGCCTAGGTCTGGCAGGTGGTTGCACATTCAGCAAACTGAATCGATACCCTTTTGCCAGCCCACCTCTCCCAGCTTTCATCACAGAGATCGTCAAGGGAAGCCCCAAACTGATGTTTAGTCTTTGCACCATTTCCTCTTCCCAAAGTGTGCTGGGGTCTGAGTGAAACAGAGCCGCTGGCTCACATGGCCTCAGCCTCCTCGAGCGTGTGGGTTGTGTCCCCTTCAACTCAGAAGCCTTTACCCGGCCAAATCCCTCAGCATCTCATTAACTGTGTCTGGAGCATCTGGCCCAGCCAATTGGGAGGAAATGGCAGGGCTGGGAACAGACAAGCTCCTCACAAGCCTGCTTTGAGGACAGGCAAGAGCACACATTCTTGCAGACCGCCCTGTACAGCAAAATGCTAATCCAGTAACCATTTCCCCAAACAGGAAAAATGCCCAGTGGTCTTACACAGGGCTATGAGCTGTCCCTATCAAATTGGCCCTTTTAAATCCTTTGCTCTTGGGCTGATCCAATGACCCAAGAGGAGGCCTTCAGGAAAGACTTTTCAAAATCAAAGAATGCACAATGTTCTGGGGCAGCAGAGCTTACGAGCTCTCGGCTCAGCTGCTCAGAGCCCAGGAAAGGGAGCAGTTTGGAAAAGCAAAGCCCCATTAAGTGTAACACCAAGGGGATGTTTATTGAGAATCTGCTCTGTTATTGGCCACAGGCGATAGCCCTCATTTCTGGCTGGAGCACTCCCCAAGCATGGCATTAATCAACCAGCGTCCTGGCAAAAAAAAGGGGCATGATGAGCCTGTGAAATAGCACAAGCTGCATTTCCCCAAGTGTGGAGGAATACGCAGTCCTTTTAGAGAAGACATGGATGCATCTTTTTGCATTTTAATAAAATTCAAGAAATAGCCTTTGCACGTCAAATCTATAATTTCATAGTAATTATTTTCTATATGCAAAAGATACTAAGAAGGAGAAAAAGAAGGGGAGGAGGAAGAGAAAGAAGGATGAGAAAAAGGAAGACAAAGGAGAAAAAGGAAGAGAAAAGGAAGAATAAGAAGACAAACGAGGGGGAGGAGATGTTGGCTAAAAAAATGTTAAGTAAACTATAGTATAGATCCCACCCAAATGGCTAAAAATAGACTGGCAGTTACAAATATTGGCAAAGATATAAGGCAAACAGAACTCTCCTAAAATCCTGGTGGGAGTGTAAATTGGTACAACCGTTTTTGAAAAATGACTTGGCAGTAGCTACTAAAGCTGAAAGTAAGCTCTGACCCAACGATTTTACTCCCAGGCCTGTATCTAACCAAAATGAGGGCCCATGTCTGCAAAAAAAGACCTTTGTAAGAATGTTCATGGCAGCGTTATTCATAAGGGCCACACAAACACTGGGAACATCTCAGTGACCATCAATAGTGGAAGGGATAAATAAGTCATAGTGTACAAATGCTATGACTTGAATTCTCAAACACACAAAGTCTGAGAATGACACTGACAAGTGGAGAAGGGTGTCCATCATCGGGATAAGGTGATGATGCCAGGCCTGGGAAGCAGGAAGCCTTCCTTGAAGAAGGGAGCATACAACAGCATCATCAAAGGCATCCAGAGAAAAGGTGTGCAAGGAATACTTGGCCAAAATGCCCCTTCTCCCCACACTGCGTTTTTGGTCTTAAGACATTCTCTTGGTTCTCACCATCAATGCATGTTATGGGCTGAATTTTGTCCCCCTCAAGTTCCTATGTTGAAGTCCTAACCCCTAGGACTTCAGAATGTGGCTGTATTTAGAGATGGAACCTTTAAAGAGGTGACTAAGCTTAAATGACATCATAAGGGAGAGCCCCAATCCAATAGGATTGGTGTCTTTTTAAGAAGAGGACAACACACCAGGGATGTATAGAAGCCGCCATGTAAGGACACAGCAAGAGGACGGCCATCTGCAAGACACAGAGAGAGGCCTCAGGAGAAACCAACCCTGCCAACACCTCGATCTTGGACTTCCAGCCTCTAGAACTGTGAGAAAATACATTTCCATTGTTTAAGCCCCTCGATCTGTGATATTTTGTGACAGCAGCCCTAGCAGACTAATACAGTACCCTTGTCTCAAGGGATTCTTTGGTGCCATAACTCAAACAAGAAAAATACCTACCACTTTTAATGGGATAGTTACTAGGGGCCACACACAGGACTGGCCACTTTATGAGATTCTTATTCTAGCGGTGTCTGAATTTCTTCATTTGTTCTCTGTCTGCCAACTAGAATATGAGCTCTATCTCAATGTTGCTTACCAATGTTGTCTCCAAGGCCTAGAAAAATGTCTGACGCACAGTGTGTCCTCCAAAACTATATTTTGGATGAATGTACAAGTGAATATTAACAACAAGCCTTGCAGGTGGTTCCATCTCACAGATGAAGAAACCGAGTCCAGAAAGTTCTGAGCTCCTTTTTTGTTTTTGAGACAGAGTCTCGCTCTGTTGACCAGGCTGCAGGGCAGTGGCGTGATCTTGGCTCACTACAACCTCCGCCTCATGGGTTCAACTCGTTCTTCTGCCTCAGCCTCCCAAATAGCTGGGATTATAGGCATGTGCCACCAAAGCCCAGCTAATTTTTTTTTTTTTTTTTTTTGTATTTTTAGCAGAGATGGGGTTTCACCATATTGGCCAGGCTGGTCTTGAACTCCTGTCCTCAAGTGATCCACCCACCTCACACGCCCAAAGTGCTGGAATTAAGGCATGAGCCACCGCACCGGGCCAGTATTGGGCTTCTAACCCAATTTGTCCAGATCCGGAGCCCAGGCTCTCACAGCTACATGAGGCTCCATCCCACTCTGGTGCCAGAAAGAGGATACTACCCCCACCCCGCCCCCACCAACCCTTGCCAAGCTTTGGATCGCAGACATCTTCATGTACTAGGAGTTAGGATTCCGGGGCTCTCTGGGTGAGACCTACATGGCTTCCTCCTCACTATGACCCAAGAGCTTGACCACAGGGAGATTTGGACTGAAGAATAGATTTCTTGCAAGAAGCAAAGGAGTTTTCCTCCAGGTACAAAACAGAACTGCTGAGGTACCTGAGAGGTGTTACCTGCATCAGTCCTCTCAAACCAAGCTCCCATGACACAGGATCTGGCCTGGGAGGAATATGGTTCCCCTATGGTCACGGGATCTGTTTGGGGGTAATGCAGCTCTCAGAGATTGAGCCAAGTAACCCCCAAGGGACCTCTGTAGTGCAAAGGCAGGTTTTCTGTGGGTGAGGACAATGGACAACATGATGTGGGCAGCAGGGACTGAATTCCAAATGGCCCTGGATGATGGTCCTGCTCCCCTTGTACCAGCTGTGTGGTCTTGGACAAGTCACTTCTCCTCTCTGGGCCTGTCTCCTCATTTCTCAAAGAGGGATACTGCCCAAGTGTGATGATGGTCACAGCAGACAAGGTCTGCTGAGGGGTCTGCAAGGGGTGGGGCATGGCATCAGTGGGAAAGACTGGTATCACCCTCTTGGCATGAATTCGTATTGTCTCTAGTAAATTTCCTACTTCATGAAGGCACATGGCCCAAACTCTGTTTCCCCGTCTCCTTTCACCTTGAACCTGCTCTGGCTCAGCTTCTCTGTACCTTCACTCTCCTAGGACCCAGTGCCGTCTTCTCTCCATGTATCCTTAAAGGCTGAACTCAAGTCTGAGCGCCCTTGAAGCTCCCAGAACCATCGAACTTTAGGTTGCTATCACCAGCACTCCATGTGCATCAGCACCATGCACGGAGCGTTTCCTATGGTCCAGGTACCAGCTCCCCATGTGCATTAACTCATGCGGTCCTCACAACAACCCTACAAGGAAGGTACTAGAGTTATACCCATTTCATAGATGGGGAAATTGAAGTTCAGAGAGGTTATGCGGCACTTGGTTAAAAATTCAGCACACACCAACCGAGCACACTCTAAGTGTGATGCACTGTGTTCTTACACTTCAGAGGTCTAAAGGGAAATAGAAGACACAGCTTCCATTGTCAGCAACCCTGACTTGTGTATCACATCCGCACCAGCACAGACCTGGCCATGAGGCAGGAGTCTGTTTGACACCTGCTATAAGGGTACGGGTGTCTCAAGACACAGCAGAAATCTCAAATCAGATGTGGTGAACCAGTAACTGATTCACTGAGACTGGGTTATCCATGCTGTCTTTTAGCCCATCTGGGTGTGTAAAACTCAAGAATTCCTGGGTTATGGCTAGGGCATGGTTCTCCCTTTGTTCTCAGGAAGATTGCCTGGTGGTCTGAACTGGGCAGCTCTAGCCAGGTTCTTCTAGAACAGGGGTTCTAGAAGAACTATGGGCCAACCAATGGCCAAATCCAGCCCTCATCTTGTTTTGGTAAATAAAGTTTCCTTGGACCACAGTCATGCCTACTCATTTATATACATATTGTCTGTGGCTTCTTTTGCCTGACAATAGCAGGGTTAGTTGTGACAGAGTTGGCATAACCCCAAGCTGAAATATTTACTATCTGACTCTTTGTGGAACAAATTTGCTGATTCCTGTTCTACACTACCTGTCCACAGATGTCAAGAGAAAACTTGTAAGAGAGCCTGCTTTAAGGGTCTGCTTGGGATTTATTTTCCCTCAGCATACAGCTTCTCTCTTGACCTTCTGTGTCTAAATAATGAACATTCTCTATTCCTGTTCACTCCTCTCCCCATATCCCTGAATTGTATGCCACTGTGACTGGGTTATGGGGAGGGAAGTAAACAGGAACATTCTTTAATGATCAGTATAAATCCCTTTGTCTAAATCTATGCTGTTCTTTACGGGTATTAACATTTTAATTAAAGCAAGATAAAATTGAATATTCTTCTCATCAGCCATTACATCCATGATTTAAATGCTCAAAAGCTACATGTGGCTAGTGGCTACTGCACCGGACAAAGCAGGTAGAAAACATTTCCATCATTTCTAACATTTCTTTTGGACACGGCTGCTCTAAACAATCCCTGCCCCCAGCATTGAAGGGTGAGATGATGCATTGTTCTGCAATTAGATCATTTGCTCCATCTCATCTCTCTCTCCTCTCCTCCTCTCCAAGTCTGGTTTTCACACCCCTCCCAACAATAGTGAAATTAACTGTGCTTAGCAAAAGACTGGAGGCAGCTGAAATATGCATTATGGTGGACTGGTCGATTAAATTATGGTAATTCCATTTGATGGAAACTATGTAGGTGTTAAAAAAGAATCAGGAGAGAGAGAACACCAACATTTATTATAAAGTGAAAGTGGGAGGAGAAAAAACAATGGATATGATATGGCCTCATTGTGTCTTTGAAAGATATATATTAATTCGAAAAAAATGACCTGGTAAGTGTTACTAGGACAGTAAAATAATTGGATTCCAGCAATGAAGGAGGCAGACAAGAGCTATACTTTCCTTGGGCTTATATCCTGATGGGGGAATACAGACAAACAGATAGCAACGAGGAAATGCTACTTAAGAATAAGAGCTACCACCAGGTGTGGTGGCTCATGCCTGTAATCCCAGCACTTTGGGAGGCCAAGGCAAGTGGATCCCTTGAGCTCAGGAGTTTGAGACCAGCCTGGGTAAGATGATGAAACCCTAACTCTACAAAAAATACAAAAATTAGCCAGGCATGGTAGTGCGCACCTGTAGTCCCAGCTACTAGGGAGGCTGAAGTGGGAGGATCACCTGAGCCCAGGAGGTGGAGGCTGCAGTGAGTCAAGATTGTGCCACTGCACTCCAGCCTAGGTGGCAAGGCCAGAACCCATCTCAAAAATAAATACATAAATAAATGACAATAATAAGAGCTTCTACATAGAGAATTAAAATCCAGTGATATGGTAGTGAGTAACTGGGTGGGAAGGCAGACCTGGCATTTTGGCTGAGACCTGAATGTCAAGGAGAAGCCAGATTTGAAAGATTTGAAGGAAGAAGGATCAGGCAGCCTGAGGCAGGGGGAATGTCGCGGAGTCCACAGAACTGGTGCAAAGCCAGGACAGGGAAACTCAGAGTAAGTGACGAGGAGAGGGGCAGAGGTGAAGTCGGGAGGCAGCAGGGCCAGATCACTGCAGGTCCTTGTTAGGAGGTAGGGTTTTATGCTGAGAACTTTGGGAAGCTGTTGGAGGACTTTAAGAAGGAAGATAACAGAATTGGATTCTGCTTTTAAAAGATCACTTTAAAGTCTTTAATCCACCTTGAGTTGATTTTTGTATAAGGTGTAAGGAAGGGGTCCAGTTTCAGTTTTCTGCGTATGGCTAGCCACTTCTCCCAGCA
This sequence comes from Homo sapiens, assembly GCF_000001405.40. Lineage (NCBI taxonomy): Eukaryota > Metazoa > Chordata > Mammalia > Primates > Hominidae > Homo > Homo sapiens. The sequence continues at coordinate 117,681,772 of NC_000012.12, forward strand.
CCATTTGCTAAATGGGGGAGAAATAGAAACACTTTTACACTACTGGCAGGAATGCAAATTAATTAAACCGTTGGGGAAGACAGTGTGGCAATTCCTCAAAGATCTAGAACCAGAAGTACCATTTGAACTAGCAATCTCATTAAAGGGTATATACCCAAAGGAATATAAATCATTCTATTATAAAGATATATGCACATGTATGTTCACTACAGCACTATTCACAATAGCAAAGACATGGAATCAACCCAAATGCCCATCAATGATAGACTGGATAAAGAAAATGTGGTACATATACAACGTGGAATACCATGCAGCCATAAAAAGAAATGAGATCATGTCCTTTGCAGGGACATGGACTGAGCTGGAAGCCATTATCCTCAGCAAACTAATGCAGGAACACAGAACCAAACACCACATGTTATCACTTATAAGTGGGAGCTGAACAATGAGAACATGTAGACACAGGGAAGGGAACAACACACACTGGGGCCTATTGCGGGGGCGGGGGGAGAGAGAACATTAGGAAAAATAGCTAATGCATGCTGGGCTTAATACCTAGGTGATGAGTTGATAGGTGCAGCAAACCACCATGGCACACATTTACCTATGTGACAAACCTGCATGTCCTGCACATGTACTTCAGTTTTTTTTGTTTTTTTTTTTGAGACGGAGTTTTGTTCTTGTTGCCCAGGCTGGAATGCAACGGCGCAATCTCGGCTCACCGCAACCTCTGCTTCCCAGGTTCAAGCTATTCTCCTGCCTCAGCCTCCCAAGTAACTGGGAATACAGGTGCGCACCACCACACCAGGGCTAATTTTTCATATTTTTAGTGAGACGGGGTTTCTCCATGTTGGTCAGGCTGGTCTCAAACTCCCGACCTCGGCTGACCCGCTGCCTCAGCCTCCCAAAGTGCTGGGACCACAGGTGTGAGCCACCGCGCCTGGCTGTATCTCAGAACTTAATATTAAAATTAAAAAGATCACTCTGCCAGATGTGTAGAAAGTTGACCAACAAGAATGGAACAAGAACGGCAGCAAGAATGGAATTGGGGGATCTGGAAAGGAGGGTGTTGGAGTCACCCAGGCAAGAGAGGATGGAGGATTGGAGCAGGGTGGAGGTCATGAGGTTGGAGGGAGGGGACTCAGCTCTCCCAGGACTTGCCAGCAGTTTCAGTGTGTTAGGGGTGAGAGGCAGAGGAGTCAGATGCCTCCTAAGTTGAAGCTTCAAATAGATGTACAGTCTAAGATGCAGGCACATATACGTATCAACACTTTCTAGAAAGACAGGCAAGGGGCAGTTGGCAGGTGAGGGGGCTGTGGATTTGGGGAGTAGATACTTCGTTACTTTTAGACTTGTCTCTACCATTTGAATTTAGTAACAGAAGCATTCCTTTATAAAAATAAAACACAATTTTTAGTTATATAGTAGTCATATATAAATAGTATATGACATATACTATTTTTTTTGCCTAGAATGTTTTCTTTTTATTTTTGTCAAAGGAAAAAAATTCTAGAAAACAGAGAAACAGACATTAAATAACAGAGTCAACTGTTATTTAATATTTTGATGATATTTCATTATTTTTTCAAGAAGTTACACATTGAAGATCAAATTTGAGTTGGATTTTTGTTTCCTAAATGGCTGCTATAAGTCAGCTGGTAACTGGTATCTTGGATTTAGTTGGCAAAAATGAAAATGTAGTTAGGTATAAATTCCTAGAAATTAAACACATATCCTATACCTACATAAATGTGTATATTATATGTCTATTGGAACATTTACACCTGAAAAATATGCAAGATGTTTGAAGAACAGCTAGATAGTGCTTATTTTAGAGATTAAACTTCGCTCAGTGACAAATCATCTCTTGATACCTAACAGACCTTCTACCAAGGCTAGATTTGAAGAACGAACAAAATGTCCCTTAAATACATATTCCCCTCTTGTCCACTAAGACACACTTCAGGTCTAGGGCAAGAGAGGAATAAAGAAAGGGAGAGGAAAGGAAAGATGTCCTGATGCAGAGGTTGCCAAATCTTTTCTGCAAAGGGCCAGAGAGGAAATACCTTCGGCTTTGCAAGTCACTTGCTCTCTACTAAAACTCTCCATTTCTGACTTTGTAGCAGAAACTCAGCTGCAGACAATGTGTAAGTGAACACGTATGACCATGTTCCGATAAAGCTATTTACAAAAATAGGCAATTGGCTGAACTTGGCCCCTGGGCTAGACAGTAGGTTGGGTAGTTTCCCAACCACTGTTCTAATAGGATCTAGACTTACCTGAAAGTTGGGAAGTGAAAACAAAACACTAAGAGTAGCCCCTGAATCCCACTTCCCATCACCTGGCTCCCCTAGAGCCCTCATCTCTGCCACTGGGACTTTATCTAGTGTCTCTCCTTTCCTCATCCTGACCCACCCCTCCTGGTATGGGTTAGGTCTTCTCCACCGCTCTGACCACAGTTTTGAGGTACACACTGATTTTTCTGATGACTTGATGAGTATGGGCCTCTCCCACTGGTTTGGGAGTGCTGGGAAGGCAGGGGTTGTGTTTAACTTCTTTCTGGCTCCCAGCACCCAGCACAAAGCCTGGCATATAGTAACAGCTCCATAAAAACAGTTTAACTAAACAAATACATGAAAATCCAAGTGTTTCCACTGTACTATTACATGAATGCTCACGGGCTTTCCATGGAAATGAGCAGGGAGGGGGTGGCACTCCAGTGGATCCAATTTTCCTCGATGCCATGAGAGAGGCAAGGCTGGCACCCACCCTCTATACATATTTCCAATAGGAGGCATTTACTGTGTAGAGTGGTTATGTGGGGTTTAGCTGGCAGGAGAGGTAAGTGCCTGTACCAGCCCACTTCGGGGAGGGAATTCCAATTCTCATACAAATGCCTATGTCAGCACCAAGTTCTCTCTGTGTCACATGCCAGGGGCCGGACACTGTGCTCATGACACATTATCTCATTTGGGGTTGGAGCAATTATGACTTCCATTTTGTAGTTAAGGTAACCGGCGTTCCCAATAATTAATGTATGCAGATCACAATTCAACACAGGCTGGAGTGTGATGGCAGTTCTGGCGGATTTCAAAGCTAGTTCCTCATCACTCTATTAATTCTACCGTAAGAGTTGATCGCATGTGTTCCCATTTTACAGAGGTACCTGTGCAAACAGGTTGTCAATTTCAGGGTTAGCCAAGGAGAATCAATCTTAGACTCGCAATCTGGGAGGGGAGGGGTAGGGGCTGGTCTCAGCCAGTTCTTTAACTGGACACTGACAATGCTGCCTCTGCCCCATGGAATAATCCAGAAGCCCATGGCTCCCTCTTCCAGTAGAGACCCACTGCACAGCACAGCCCAGCCTCCTCCACCATCCCCTGAGCTCATCCAGACAGCGACCCGGACTTTGCCTCTTAGGCCTGATCTGTGTTGGCGTCCAGGCCCGTTGATTTTCCTGCATCCCTGTGATTAGTGACTAATCTTATTTTTTTGTTCCCAAACCCATAAATCGGTTACAGACCAAATATTTACACAGGCCATCATTTCCGACTGAACCAGAGCTCGTGACAGCCCTCATTATTAAAAAGGATGACTGATTTTGGGCAGAGATTTCACGGCCATGTGGCTGGATGTTTTCTTTTAGGTTTCCTTCCTCCTCCCCTTGCCTGAAGAAAAGACAATTTCCAAGATAAATTGGCGCAGAGGTCTGCTCTCACTGTCTCCCCGGGGCTGATGGTGTGGGCAGGCTTCCATCAGCCCAGTAAGTGATGGGCCCCCAGAGAAATGGCCAGTGCTAGCTTCTGCCCGCATCTCCTGGCCTCCCTCTGGGGCCAAAGAGTGGAACAGGGAGTCATTTGACTCACAAACATTCCCGAAATCAGAGGCTGTAGAAGACAGCAGAGGGGAGGGGCCCAGAAGAGGAAATAGCTGCATCCCCACCTCCAGCCCATGTGACCCACAGGGCAGGGAGTGGTTTGGCCTGTCAGGTGCCCCACCCCCAACCCACCACCAGAGGCCACATGTTGAGTGGATAAGATCACTGGACAGAGAAGCAGGAGGATGAATTCCTGACCTAGCTCTGTCATTACCTAAGTTACCTTGGATTTTAATGCTGATTCCCCCCCTGTAAAAAGCAAAGATTTGCGGAAGGTCCCTTTATATCCCTTTTTGCTTCAGGTACCTTGGTCCTAATTATGACAGCTGCCATTCATTTCACCCTTCCTACATGCCTGGCTTTGTGCTAAGCATTTCAGAGGCATCAGCTCATTTTATTCCTTTTTTTTTCTTTTTTTGAAACAGGGTCTTGTTCTGTCATCCAGGCTGGAGTGCAGTGGTGTGATCACAGCTCAATGCAGCCTCAATCTCCAGGGTTCAAGCCATCCTCCTGTCTCAGTCTTCTCAGTAGCTGGGACCACAGGCACACACCACCACACCCAGCTAATTTTTTTTTTTTTTTTTTTTTTTTTTTTTTAGCAGAGATGAGGTCTTGCTATGTTGCCTAGGCTGGTCTTGAACTCCTGGGCTAAAGTGATCCTCCTGCCTTGGTCTTCCAAAGGGCTGGGATTACAGACATGAGCCACCATGCCTGGCCTCATTTTATTCTTTATGATGGGATCTGTCATTTGCAGATGAAGAAACAGAGGGTCAGAGAGGCTAGGCGACTTGTCTAAGGTCACACAGCATATAAGGGGCAGAGCCAGGATTTGAACCTGGTTCTGTCTGACCCCAAAGGTCTTAACCCTAAAATATATCACAGACTCCCTAGGACCTGGATTTGCTTGTAACACCTGGATAAAAAAGCTCATTGTCATCTGGATTCTCAACACTCCAGCATCTCCATAGGAAAGCACCCAGAGTCAGTGTTCTAAGCAAATGCATCATTGATCATTGTCTACTCAGGTGGTAAGCCCGTAAAGACCCTTCTCTGTGCAAGCAGGAGGTCAGCCAGAAATGTTTTACTCAAGGAAACTGATAGTTTTGCCACCTATGGGATATTTCACAGATGCTTCCTTTATCCTGGGAAAAAATAAACAGAGAGTGAATCCTTACAAACATGCCTAAATTGGAATATATTTCAATCTATGATTCTATGAGATCCACGCTGAAATCCACGCATCAGAGCCCGAGAGACAGACAACGAACAGTATCTACCAGTTCCTGAGGGCTTGGAGAGGACTCAGAAGATGCTGGGGCTGGCGGGCTGGCTGGCTGGGTGCCCAGGGCTAGTTGCTTAACCTCAGTGAGCTCTTAGCTTCCTCGCTTGTAAAATGAGGGGCTTAGAGCAACTCATCCTTAAAAGCTTATCCACCCTCAAAGCGGCGATTCTGTGATGCTGCTCCCTCTTTTCCAAGCTTCCAGCACGACCTTGGGCAGGTCAGAATCTGTGTGGTTTCAGGTCTTCTTATTTATACAACAGGATAACCTCTCCTGCCTCTTTGTCTGCCCCTTGCTTCTGTGGGGGCAAGTGAGTCAGTGTGAGCTCAGCAGAGAGTGCAATTAAACATCAGCAAGTATGATCCCACCAGTGTGGAATTTCTAATAATTCAGTCGTGGCTCTCCTACTGTGACTCCAGGAAACAAAGTCTGAATCTCTTTTTCCACGAGAGTTTGAAGAACTGTTGCCTGAAATTAGTGGGTTTCTTCAAAGCCAGGCTTTTGATGTGCTTTCAACTTTTGCATCCAGCATGAACTTGTTAGGGTAGAAAATTTGCTTATTTGGGATCAAACAGTATAGAGGGTGGGCTCGCTGCAAATTGTCACTTAACGTGTTCATCTATGTAATTATTCCTGCTCAGCCGGACTCAGGCATTTCAATATCTGAGCCAATAGCCTGTACTGCTGTCTTGCAGAGGACACTGGTTTTGTGACCGTCTAGCATTCACCCCACTCCACCTCGGGGAATTCTCTCTCCTACTCTGTGCACAACCTTATTGGGGGTGTCAACTAGGGTACACTGCCTTCCCCTAACTCACCAGGTGCCAATCAGACCAATCTGAGTCTCTCTTGGGAATATGAATCTTCAACAGCATGACACACGATGGAAAAAAATATTTGAAGCTCAATCTAGTAGTGGTCCCTCCCAAAATCAGCTGTCAAGTCATCCCTGCTACTTAGAGCCCAAAGACACCTGGGTCCTGCCCCTTTCTGAGCCTGGGTCTCCAGCTTTCCTGTCAATCCTGAGAGTTATCCCATAATATCCCAAACAAGTTCATTTTCAGCCTAAGTTAGATAGAGTTGGCTTCTGTTGTTTGCAACCAAAGATCTCGTCTCTAACGTATTCTGAAACCTTTAAAGCTGAATTCCCTTTTAAAAAAAAGTCTATTGGCCGGGTGTGGTGGCTCACGCCTGTAATCCCAGCACTTTGGGAGGCTGAGATGGGTGGATCACTTGAGGTCAGGAGTTCGATACCAGCCTGGCCAACATGGTAAAACCCCGTCTCTACGAAAAATACAAAAACTGGCCAGGAATGGTGGTGGGTGCCTGCAATCCCAGCTACTTGGGAGGCTGAGGCGGGAGAATCGCTTGAACCCGGGAGGCGGAGGTTGCAGTGAGCCATCACGCCACTGCACCCCGGCCTGGGTGACAGAGCAAGACCTTGTCTCAGAAAAAAAAAGTCTATAGCTCAATTTTTTCACTAAATCAGACTAAGTACCCGCAACTCAAAAGTTTCTCAAGTCCTTTGGGGTGGGGCCCACAAATCTGCATTTTATCATGCTTTCCAAAGATCATTTCAAGCTCCCCAGAACCACTCTCTGCATCATAATTCTACACCGATAACATCAGCCAGTGTCCAATTGGCAGGTTTGACATTGGCTGATGCTCTGAAGCAAAATACTTTTCACATGCTAGTGTCTGCTCAGGCCCTCCAAGAACCAGACTCTAAGGCCTGAAGGTTTAGTCCATAGAGGCTCGATCAGGTTTCGAGTGTGCCAGAAGCAAGAAGAAAATGTGCTGCCAAAGGACACTCTCCAGGATGGCCATAGGGATACAACTGCACACGCCATGAAGTCACTGCTGCTGTAAGTTTGGAGGACGACTCAGATTCCTCTGCCTTCCCCACTGGAAAAGCCCATAGTGTTTATGTCAAACTCTAGACACCCGGTCACAACTCATTTAGCAGATCTCCTTCTTTCCTTCCTTCTCTCCTGCCTCCTTTTTCCTTCCTTGCAAACGACACATGCATTACACACATAGTAGGTATTTTCATTGCAAAAGATTCACACATATAGTCAAATTTGGAAGTTCCTCCAACCCCCTTACTCTCACTGCCTGTCTCAGTGTAAACTCTTCCAACTCTTCTGTGACCATAACTACCTAATACCAACATACAATGAATATGTCCAAACATTATATAAATGTATATATACATATTTATGTTTATATCTATTTCTCTTTGTAGAAATACGATCATACTATATGTGCTGTTTGGCAGTTTGTTGTCTTCACAAATCAATGTATCTTGGAGTTTTAAACATCTCTTTGTGTAGACCAGGGGTCATCCACCAAAGGCCATGCCAGGTGCAGCAAAGCAGAGATGTCTTAATAAGAGAGTGATTTAATAAAAATATGACACATCCATATTATAGAACACTATTCAGTCATTAAAAAGAATGAGGTGGTTCTATAACAGGGGTGAAAACTTTCTCTGTAAAGGGCCAGATAGTAAATATCACAGGCTTTGCAGGCCATGCAGTCTCCACTGCAACTACTCGATTCTGCCTTTACAAAAGCAGTCCTAGGCATTATATAAACAAATGGGTGTGGCTGTATATTAATAAAACTTTATTTACAAAAACAGTCAGCAGGCCAGATTTGGCCCCGGGGGGCATGGGTGGATGACCCCTGGTCTACACAAACAGATGTTTCAAACTCCAAGATACATTGATTTATGAAGAAAACCAACTGCCTAACAACACATATAGTATGACCGTATTTATACAAATAAATATAAATATAAATATAAATATAAATATGTATACATGCATTTATATAATGTTTGGACACTTTCATTATATGTTGATATGAGGTAGTTATGGTCACAGAAAAAGAGCTAGATGGGTTTAAACTGAGAAAGATAGTGAGAGTAAGGGGGGTGGGGGGAACTCCCAAATTTGACTATGTGTGAGAATCTTTTACAGTGAAAATGCCTAGCATGTGTGTAATGCATGTGTGATTTGGAAGGAAGGAAACAGGAAGGCAGGAGAGAAGGAAGAAGAAAAGGAAGGAAGATGGAAGAGAGAAAGAGAAGGAGGGAAGAATGAATGGAGGGAGGGAGGGAAGGAGGGAAGAAGACAGAAAGCTGTGTTCCAATAAAACTTTATTTACAAAAACAGGCTGTGGGCCAAGTTTGGTCCATGGCCACAGTCTTCCAACCTCTGGTTTAGAATACCAAGTCCACGAGGGCAAAGTCCTGGAAATCTTATTCACCATTATGTCCCCAGTCTATAGAACAGACCCTGACACACAACAGGAGCTCAAGAAATAGTTGTTGAAAGAATGGGGAAAAAGGCCGGGCACGGTGGCTTACACCTGTAATCTCAGTACTTTGGGAGGCTGAGATGGGTGGATCACCTGAGGTCAAGAGTTCGAGACCAGCCTGGCCAACATGGCGAAACCCCGTCTCTATTAAAAATACAAAAAATTAGCCAGGCGTGGTGGTGTGTGTCTGTAATCCCAGCTACTTAGGAGGCTGAGGCAGGAGAATCGCTTAAACCTGGGAGGCGGAGGTTGCAGTGAGCCGAGATCACACCATTGCACTCCAGCCTGGGTGACAGAGGAAGACTCTGTCTCAAAAAAAAAGATAAAAGAATGGCGAAAAAAATAAAACCTCACAGTCTTTCCCTATCAACTTGGAAAACGAACAACTCAACTACTATTCTAAGCCCTTGTCATGAGCATGTGTAAAGCAATATGCTGTGTGTTACTCATTTAAATGTCTTGAACTAACTGCTGCCAGCACACAGGTTAATTAAATGGCAGTGACCTTAAAAACAACAACAACAACAAAAACGAGTTGTCATCCTCACATTATCACATCAAAAGTGGCTCACACTGTGGTACTTCAGTGGCTGAGAAAACCTTTTGCTCTGTATCCAGAGACCTATTTCTCTGTTCTCACCATGCACAAAAGCTGGTCTGTGGTCCTGCAGGTTCTCAGATCCGAAGGTAAATATTCCCACCTCCAAGGAAACCACATCTGTAAATGCAATGCAGTGTTTTCCGATCACAGGCAAACAGATTCTGATGTAGAAGAGAATCGGCAAACCTACTCTCAAACACAGGGACAGGGCTTCAAGTGGGACCCAGCATGGGTTGACAATGTTGCAAAAGTGACTTTCAAAAGAATCTGGGCTGCATTTTTGAGGGGATAAGAGGAGAAATGGGAAGCTGTGCAAGTGGATTTTAGAGGAGAAACAAAATTGCTGCATTTTTGGACGCTTTGTTCCACAGTGCCCTGGAATCCAGGGTAACGGGCATCCCAACTGGTAGACTCAGGGAGCAATGTCAGATACAACTTTTAGGTCCTTGGGAAATGACACAACCCAGTGTCTTACTGCTGCAAAGAAAGATGGTGCCAGGGGACACTGAGTCACTGACCCTCGCCTTGAGCCACAGCCACCTAGGAAACTGGATAAGAGCCTCCCTTCTCCCTCCCACTTAGGCAAACTCTCCTGTCTTCTGGTTCTGTTGCCTTCGGTGTGAGTTTCAAGCCATGTTCAGCACCAAGATTAATGAATTATGCATCAGTGAGGTTTGGCAGGTTGACATAGACAGACGGCTGCCCACTGAAGGCCATGCCGGGTGCAGGCCAGAGCCATCACATCAAGATCTTCCAAAAGACTCCCTCCTGCCTCCAGTTCTCCATGGTGCAGAATCTCTATGCTGTGTGGCTGGCTCCAGCACTATCTACAGCATCTATCCCAGATCTCTGATGGATGCTAAGGCATCTGGCAAGGTAGTATATCTCATGGGCTATGCTGTAGCTGCAAATTAAGCCTAGAGCAGGAAATAAAATCAAGCTAGGAAGAAGTGTTCATGTCTCCTGAGGGCCCTCCCCACACTGGGTACTGGGATAAACATTTCCCCTACATTACCTCTAATCTTCAGAGACTATATAGGTGATAGAGGATTCCCCATTTTACAGATGAGAAAATTGAGGCACAGATAATGGAAGCTGCTTGCACAAGGGCACATAGAGGTGGCATTCCATCCAGACCTGGCTGGCAACAAGTCTGTGTTCCTTTGCCTCTGCGGGGTGTCACTCCTGTGCTATCAGGCTGGTAGAGGCTTAAGGGAAGGGGAGGTTACAAATATGGATCAAAAAGAGGAAAGGGAACAGAAAGACAATCCAGTTAACATATGGCGAACGGCACGAAGAGACGGTTCTCCGAAGGAGATACATAAATGGTGGCCAACAAGTATATGAAAAGATGCTCAACATTATTAGTCATGAAGGAAATGAAAATTAAAACCAGAAGGAGATACCACTTCACAACCGCTAGGGTAGCTATAATTTTACAAATAGAAAATAATAAGCATTGGCAAAGATGTGGAGAAATATGAGCTCTCACATATCACAGGTGAGGATATAAAATGGTGCAGCTGGCGTGAAATAGTTTGGTGGTTCCTCAAAAAATTAAAGATAGAATTACCATATGACCTGGCAACTTCACTCATATATATATATATATATATATATATATATATATATATATATATATATATATATATACACACACACATATATATACACACACACATATATATACACATACATATATATATATATATGAGTTGAAAATAGGTACTTAAACAAATACACGTACACCTATGTTCATAGCAGCATTTTCACAGTAGCTAAAATATGGAAACAACCCAAATGTCCATCAACAGATGAATAGATAAACAAATTGTGGCATATCCACACAATGGAATATTAGCCACCCATAAAAAAGAACACGATTTGAGACATGATGAATCTTGAAAACATTATGCCAAGTGAAGGAGGTAGCAGTCACAAAAGGTCACATAGTGTCTGATTTCCATTTATATGAAATGTCTAAAACAGGCAAATCCACAGAAATGGAATGCAGACTGGCAGTTGCCATGGGGATAGGGGGAAGCTAGGGAATTGGGAGTAACTGCTTAATGGGTATAGGGCTTCCTTTTGGGATGATGAAAATATTCTGGAACTATTTAGAGGTGGTGGTTGTGCAACACTGTGACTGTACCAAAGGCCACTGAATTGTTCAGTTTAAAGTGGTCGATCTCACGTTATGTGAATTTCCACTTCAATCATTTTTTAAAAGACTGTGTAATCCAAAGAAATGAGGAGGCGGGATGGTTGCCTAAGAGGAAGCCTGGGAGGCCGAGGTTCTGGAGGTCTTTACCACCAACCCACCACCCCATCCTCAAGCAGCCAAGACTGACCCCCAAAGTGAACAGAACAAATAAATAAAGACAAATGAAAACACAGTGTGAGATAAATACCAAGGGTCTGTTGGCCTTGTTTAATTGAATAAGGATAGAATATTAATAGAAGATGCTTTAGAGTAAGAATCAATCTACAATGAACCACCTATGGGCCACAAATGACTTCCCATTCACCCTCCATGGAAGCCTAGAGGATTGTGCTGACTTGGTAGAACATTCCTAAACTAGAAAGGGAAGTTCATTTTCCAAAAACTACACATCCTCCTCCCCCACATCTCTGCTCAGGTCACTGAAGATGGGTGGCTGCTTCAAAAGACCACCTCAAGGTCTGGGTCTCAAGAAGCAACAATCGTAATAGACAATAGTCATGTCTGTGAATGCCCAAGCCTAGCATGTCTGCATGGTCCTCAGCATACAGTAAGTTGTGCTTAATAAGTTCTGGCTGGATAAATACCTCCTTTCCATAATAGTGATGTTCTGGGAGTGCTCATGTACTGCCAGGCCCTATGCGAGATGCTTTATATGCACAATCTCATGGAGCGCTCCCAACCCCAGGAAGCGGGTCCTACCGTCATCCCCACTGACAGATGGTATACCTGCGGCTCACAGGGGAGACTCATTTATCAAGTTGTCTGCCCACTGAGCAGTAAAATCAGGCTTCTAGAAGACATGCTCTGACGCCTATGCCCTTAAGCTAAATCACTCTGCTCTTGCCTCTTGAATAACTTACTTTCTTCCAATTCCATATTCTTTGGTCTACAACACTGATTGAAGGGTCATCACTTGGCCACTGAACTTTGTTTTAGGTGATAAGTGAAAGGGTTAACCAAAGGACACTACAAAAAGGTGTGGAGGAGGTGGAGAAACAGGAACCCCACTGCATGGCTAGTGCGAATGTGAAGTGATGCAGCTGCTGTGGCAAACACCACGGCAGTTCCTCTAAAAATTGAAAACAGAATTACCATATGATATGGTTTGGCTGCGTCCACACCCAAATCTCACCTTGAACTGTAATAATCCCCACAGGTCAAGGGCAGGGCCAGGTGGAGATAACTGAATCATGGGGGACGTTTCCTCCATACTGTTCTCGTGGTAGTGAATAAGTCTCATGAGATCTGATGGTTTTATAAATGGTAGTTCCCCTGCACAAGCTCTCTCTTGCCTGCCACCATGTAAGATGTGACTTTGCTCCTCCTTTGTCTTCCACCATGCTTGTGAGGCCTCCCCAGCCACATGGAACTGTGAGTCCATTAAACCTCTTTTTCTTTATAAATTAACCAGTCTTGGGTATGTCTTTACTAGCAGCATGAGAGCAGACTGATACCCCATATGATCCAGCCATCCCACTTCTGGGTAAATACCCTGAAGAACTGAAAGCAAGAACTCAAACCGATACTGGTTCACAGCAGTTCACATGTTCACAGCAGCATTATTCACAATAGCCAACAAATGGAAGCAACCCAAGTGTTCACTGACAGATGAATGGATGAACAAAATGTGGTCTATCCACACAATGAAATATTATCCAGCCTTAGACAAAAAAGGAAATTCTGACACATGCTCCAACATGAATAAACCTTGAAGACATTCTGCTAAGTTAAAAAAGCCAGTGACAAAAGGACAAATGTTGTATGATTCTTTTTTTTTTTTTTTTTTTTTTGAGATGGAGCCTCACTCTGTTGCCTCAAGCTGGAGTGCAATGGCACAACCTCAGCTCACTGCAACCTCCACCTCCCAGGTTCAAGCAATTCTCCTGCCTCAGCCTCCCGAGTAGCTGGGACGACAGGTGCACGCCACCACACCCAGCTAATTTTTGTATTTTTAGTAGAGACAGGGTTTCACCATGTTGGCCAGGATGGTCTCAATTTCTTGACCTTGTGATCTGCCCGCCTCGGCCTCCCAAAGTGCTAGGATTACAGGCGTGAGCCACCACACCTGGCCGTATGATTCTACTTCTATGAGGTACCTAGAACAGTCAAAATTGTCGAGATAGAAAATAGAGTGATGGTTGGCCAAGGCTGGGGAAGGAGAATGAGAAATTTAATGGGTACAGAGCTTTAGTTTGGGAAGATGAAGAGGGTTCTGGGGATGGATAATGGTGATGGTTGCACAACAATGTGAACGTACTTAATATCACTGAACTGTACACTTAAAAGTGGTTTAAATAACAAATGTTCTGTTATGTATATTTTGCTGCAATAAAATAAATGTGTTGGGGCTGGGCACCATGGCTCACACCTGTAATCCCAGCACTTTGGGAGGCCAAGGTGGGTGGATCCCTTGAGCTCAGGAATTCAAGACCAGCCTGGGAAACATGATGAAATCCCATTTCTACAAAAAAAAAAAAAAAAAAATTAGCTGGATGGGGTGGCACACACCTGTAGTCCCAGCTACTTGGGGGGCTGAGGTGGGAGGATCACTTGAGCCCAGGAAGTTGAGACTGCAGTGAACTGTGATCACACCACTGCACTCCAGCCTGGGCGACAAAGTGAGATCCTGTCTCAAACAAACAAAAAAAAAAACAAGAAAAAAAGGAAAAAAGAGAAAGAGATCTGTTGGCAAGGGGATAACCCACTCTCTGATAATGAAGACCTGAAATGGGGAAAAAGAGTCCTGTGGGGAAGAGAGAGAAAGACACCGGAAAGGTCGCCGCTCTTCTTCAGGAAGGCCAAAGAGAGGGTCACCAAGACCCACAGCAGGGACAGGACTGCCATCCGTTGGCAAATGGAAGCTGAACTTGTGCAAGTGAAAGCTGACAGCCAGCACAGTGAGAGAAGCCATCGGCGGGCTGGGCTGAGGCTGGTTCCCTTCTACCTTCTCTGCAGCTGTTAAATATCGTTTCTAGCTGTGTGCTCTCCACCTGCTCAGAGCCAATTTAATTAGAGGTTCAGGACTCCCCAAGTACCAAAAGTAAATGCCAAGTTTATGACCATTAGCAAAGGAACCATAAAACTCCGGCCCACTGAAGTACAGCTCAAAGCCACCTGCCACCTGCCACTCCAGGGAGGCTGCTGGGCCCCGGCTTGGGTTTCTCTGAGGTCCCACTCCACCCATGATCCACACATTACCTGGGTCATAAGAAAAGCAGTGGACGGTGAACCCCAAAAGGGAATGAAGCACAAAGTGTACACATTTTCAAAAGTAATCATGGCAGTAAGTGTCCTAAGATACCCTGAGCTGTCCTTAAGGATAAATTTTACAGTGGATGCCAAGAAAAAAACAGGTTTAGAGACAAACTTGGAATGTGTTTCACTGCACCTTAGATTTCCCTTCGGCAAGAAGAGGTGACCTACATCCTAGCACTGGTCGGGGGGAGTATCATGGTCTTGTACAAAGTAGGGGGGCTTGGGAGTTGGAAGGGGATTCAGATCCAGCTCTGTGGCTGACCAGCTGTGATATTTTAGTGATGTTAATCTTTCTTGTAAAGGCATTGCATTGGGTTGGATAGTGCCATTCTCCCAAAGGGCCCTTTCAGCCCAAATCTACCTTAAGACTACCTATTATGTTCATTAATGAGTGATTACCAGGCATCCAAGGACTTCTGTGACTTTCCCTTGCCAGGCCCAGATAACATCCACAAAACACCTAAGAAACTGTTTCTAGGAAGTCACCTTGGAGAGCCTCAGCCTCTGCACCTATAAAATGGAACTAGAAGCACCTACCTCCCTGGGTCGCTGGGAGGGTTTCCTGAGACTGGACGTGTTAAGCTGGGCTCTTCAATCTTTTTCACATCACGACACACCCAGAAAATGACATAATTTGTGCACTGGGGTGGACAGATGAGGGGACACCAGCTGCCCCAGGCATCCAGAGTTCAGAGCACATTGATATTTCAATGCGCCTTTAACCATTTTGCGGACGCTAGTTTGGGAAGCTTCTTTGAAAAGCACCCAGCACAGAGAACAAACGAAGCTGCTTTCCTCCCCCTCGAGATGGAAGGTTCCCTATCAGCTCAGGAAGGACAGCGTCCCTAAACTTAATAATATGAGCTCTTTATTTGCAAGTTTAATTTGCAAGTTTTATTGTTAAAGTAAATCCACACCATTTTAAAAATGTTAAAACAGTATAGGAAGGTACATATTGAAAAACAGAAGCCTCCTCCACCCCCAGAGGGCTTCTGGAGGGCAGAAAATGTTGATTCTTGATCAGGGAGCTGGTTACAGAGGTATGTTTATTTAATGAAAGTTCAAGACGCTATCTGCTTAGAAATATGCATTTTCTACGTATATGTTACACTTCAATAAAAAGCTTTCTGCCAGGCGCTGTGGCCCATGCCTGTAACCCTAGCACTTTGGGAGGCCAAGGCGGGCAGATCACAAAGTCAGGAGTTCAAGACCAGCCTGACCAACATGGTGAAACCCTATTCTACTGAAAATACAAGAATTAGCCAGGCATGGTGGCACATGCCTGTAATCCCAGATACTCAGAAGGCTGAGGCAGGTGAATCGCTTGAACCCAGGAGGCGGAGGTTGCAGTCAGCCGAGATCGCGCCACTGCACCCTAGCCTGGGCAACAGAGCGAGACTCCATCTCAAAAAAAAAAAAAAAAAAAGGTTTCAGTGGCCCCTGTTATTTGGGTTCAATTGTGCTTTCTCAAAATATAGTGAAGTCCCCTAAACTCCAGTATCAAAGAATGTAATATGATATGGAAATAGGGTCATTGCAGCTGTAATTAGTTAAATTTAGATGAGTTCATAACTGGAGTAGGGTGGACCCCTCCCATATGACTGATGTCCCTATAAAAAGGGGAAACTTGGACACAGAGACACGCACAGAGAGAACACCACGTGAAGATGAAGGCAGAGACCAGAGTGATGCTTCTAGAGGCCGAAGAACACCGAAGACTGCCGGCACATCACTAGAAGCAGAAGCTAGGCAAGAAGCGTAGGACAGATTCTTTTTCCAGCCCTCAGAAGGAATCAACCCTGCTCCCACCTTGATTTCAGACTTCTGGCCCCCAGAACTGTGAGACAGTAAATTTCTGTTGTTTAAGGCATCCAGTTTATGGTACTTTGTTACAGCAACTCTAGGAAATTAATATATCTCCTTGGTCTCTTCCTCTCTTAGTTGAACTCCCGAGACGTCCCACTGTTAATGGCTTCTTGGGTGTCTCTCAGATTTTTTTTTTTTCTTTGAGATAGGATCTCACTATAGGCTGGCATGCAGTGATGCAATCACAGCTCACTGCAGCCTCTACCTCCCAGGCTCAAGTGATCCTCCCACCTCATCCTCCCAAGTAGCTGGGACTATGGGCATGCACCACCACTCCCAGCTATTTTTTTTTTCCTTTGGTATTTTTTGTAGAGACAAGGTTTTGCTATGTTGCCCAGGCTGGTCTCAAACACCTGGGCCCAAGCCATCTGCTCAACTCAGCTTCCCAAAGTACTAGGATTACAGGTATGAGCCACTGTACCCGGCCAGACTTTTTCTCTTAATCATTACATCTGTCATCCCTTCCTAGCTTCATCCACAGCACATACACCCAGATCCAGAGCTCCAAACCCACTTCCAAACCCTGAAAGCCTCCAGAATTCCCCTGTGTCATGTTCCATCCACTCGTCAGCTTTATTTTCCTCCTTGTTTTCTCCTAGCACCACTTGACATTATATTTCTTCTTGTTTATTCATCTTCTGATTGTCTCCTGACTGGGCCCATCAGAGTCTTACTGGCTGCCCCAGGGCCTTTGCACATACAGTTCCCATGGCCTGAAATCTTCCTGTAGAAATCCCCATGGCTTGCTCCACCACTTCATTCTCTGCCTAAATAAGCCCTCATCAGAGAGGCCATCCCGTCCCCTTCATCTAAAAGAGCAGCTCTCTCCTTAACACTTTCTACCTCTTGACCTTGCTCTCATTTAGTGTTCGGCAATAATCTTCATCTGACATTTTGTCTATTCATTGGTTTATGTGCCTTTTGTCTATCTCCCCTCATCAAGCTATATGAAGACAGGGCCTTTGGATGATCTGTTCTGCTTTAAGCCTAGCTCCTAAGGTAGTGCATAGCATGTGCTCAGCATTCAATAAATACCTCTGAATGAATCAATGGTATGGCATTTATGTAAAATGGCAGAGAGAATTATGGTTACCCTTTTACTGAGTATTATCCATGCATTATCTCATTTAATTCTCCCAGCAGCCCAATAAAGTACTCATGCGTCACTTAATAAGAGTGATACATCCTAAGAAATGCATTAGGTTATTTTTGTCATTGTGCAAACATCATAGAATGTACTTATACAAATCTAGGTGGTAGAGCCTACTACACACCTGGGTGATGTAGCCTATTGCTTCCAGGCTACAAATCAGTACAGCATGTTACTGTACTGAATGCTGTGGACAACTGTAATGCAATGTAATTATTTGTGTATCCAAACATCTAAACATAGAAAAGGTACAGGCAAAATACGCTATAAAAGATTAAAACGGTACACCTGTATAAGGCATTTACCATGAATGGAGCTTGTAGGACTGGAAGTTGCTCTGGGTGAGTCAGTGAGTAAGTGGTGAATGAATGTGAAGGCCTAGGACATGACTGTACACTACTGTAGGATTCATAAACACTGTACACTTAGGTGACACTAAATTAAAAAACAAAGCAACTACACTGCAAGGTTACAATGGCTATGACGTCACTAGGTGATAGGAATTTTTCAGCTTCATTATAATCTTTTTTGATTTTTTCCTTGAGACAGAGTCTCACTCTGTCACCCTGGCTGGAGTGCAGTGGCGCGACCTTGGCTCACTGTAACCTATGCCTCCCAGGTTCAAGCAATTCTCCTGCCTCAGCCTCCTGAGGAGGTGGGACTGCAGGCGCCCACCACCACTCCTCACTAATTTTGGTACTTTTTTTTTTTTTAGTAGAGACCGGTTTCACCATGTTGGCCAGGCTGGTCTCGAACTCCTGATCTTAAGTGATCTGCCTGCCTCAGCCTTCCAAAGCACTCCATTATAATCTTACAGGACCACCATCGTATATGCAGTCTGTCACTGACCAAAACGTGGTTATGTGGCCCATGACTGTATTGTTATCCTCATTTTACAGAGGGGACACAGAATGTTTGGGACTTACCCAAGGCTATACAGCTACAGGGTGGTGGAGGCAGGATCTGACAACAGGACCTCAGATCCTGGAGCCCACAGACTCAACCACCTGCCTAGCTCCCTTGTTCAGCCTCACCTACGCATTCCATGTGACAGGGAGGTCATTGTCCATCTACCACTTTGCCTATCCAGCCATGATCTGACCACAGCATTGTAGTAGAACAAGGTCCTTAATGAACATGAAGTGCAACCAACAGTGAGCACCGAATTGCCTTCCTCATGTATTTTTCCTGCACAGGACAAGTTTGGTTATTATAAAAAAATAATAAGTCACTGAAAAATAATGATGCTTCACGGATGCTACGGAGATATATAAAGTCTGCCTGTGCTATAATTGCCTTCCTGCCTCTGTATGTGCTTAACTTGGTGAAGACGCTATTAACCGCAGTAAAGAAAACATTTATTCACAAGAAAGCCATGTAATGAGGAGAATCCTCAACGTGGGAGCAAATGTCAGTATCTCTCAGATAAGACAGAAAGGTTCATTCAGACGACCGAAACATCCTCTTAGCAGGTTTTTGTACAACTCCCAATGTCGGTGCTACCATGCAGGGCAACACCGAATAAATGATTCCAGATGGTAAAAAGGAACTCCCATTGTATTTCCTAAGTATTTCTATCCATTTCTCAACATTACCCCTCTCCATCACCCCAGGAGATAAGCCACCATTATCTCTTGCTAGATGACTGGGGAAAAACACAAACCAACTAACCTTTTAGCTCCACCTGACTGCTCATCCATCCTCCATCTGCACAATAGGAGGAAAACTTTGTTTGTTTGTTTATTTATTTATTTATTGAGACAGAGTCTCGCTCTGTTACCCAGGCTGGAGTGCAATGGTGCGATCTAGGCTCACTACAACCTCCACCTCCTGGGTTTAAGGGGATGGATTCTCCTGCCTCAGCTTCTCACCTAGCTGAGACTATGGGCATGCACCACCACACCCAGCTAATTTTTGTATTTTTAGTAGAGACAGTGTTTCATCATGTTGGCCAGGCTGGTGTCGAACTCCTGATCTCAGGTGATCTGCCTGCCTCAGACTCGCAAAGTGCGGGGATTACAGGTGTGAGCCACTGCACCAGGCTGGAAGACTTTATAAAATCATAAATCTGGTCATGCCAACACCTTTGCTGAAAATCCTTCAGCATCTTCCCAAAGCATATAAAATAAAGATCAAATTCTTTAGCATCATCTCTGTAGTGGGCTGAATGGTGCTTCTCCAAAAAAGAAAAAAAAGGCTACTGGGACTTGTGAATGTTGCCTTATTTGGGGCAAAAGGGGGGTCCTTATAGACGTAATTAAGTTAAGGATCTTGAGATGAATCAACCTGCATTGTCCAGCTGGGTCCTACCTCCAATGACAGGTGTCTTTGTAAGAGAAAGGCAGGGAAGATTTGACATAGACACAAGAGGAGAAGACACAGAACAGAGAAGAAGGCCTTGTGAAGACAGAAGCAGAGATTGGAAGGATTCAGCCACAAGCCAAGGAATGTCAAGGATTTCTGGAGCAACGGAGGCTGCATGAGGCAAGGGAAGATCCTCCCCTAGAGCCTTCGGAAGGAGCATGGACCTGCTAACACCTTGCTCAGACTTCCAGTCTCCAGAACTAAAAAAGAAAAAATTTCTATTGCTTTCAGCCATCAAATTTGGGGTAATTTGTTATAGGAGCCACAGGAAACTAATACTGCTTCCAAGGCTGCCATGTGATCTGGCCCTTCCCACTTGCTCTTTCTCCTCAGCCGCACCATCCTTCCTTGTCACTCAAGTGCAACTGCAACATGCTCCCTTGCCCACTCCAGGGCCTTTGCACATGCTGTTGCCCTTGTCTGCTCCCCAGTAGTTTCTTCCACACTTCAGACAGCAGTTCTATCCTCCTTCCCCTCAGTAAGCCTCCCCCAATGTCACTGGGCCAACATGATTCCCTGTTACAGGCCCTCCCAACACCAAGCACCTCGCGTTGGTAGCCTTTGTCAGTTCCATTGCAAAGGTGTGAGATTCAATCATCTTATCAGATCTGTTCCACGAGGGTGGGGACCATGTGTGTCTTCTTCACCCCTATCACCGAGCTATCTACACAGCACCTGATGTGTAATAGACACCTAAATATTGGAATGACTGTTGGAATGAAAGGAAGTGCAATTTAGTGAACCTCAAAAATTGAGTCTCTAACCAAATATCAAACAGATCCATCAAACTGAAAAAGGAAGGAAACAGAAAAGTCCCTGGGGTGAATAGGTGGTTTAGCCTGATTCATCTTCCCATAAACCATATCAAAGTTTTCAGAGACAACTTCAGTGCCTATGGATGGTGTCAAACCGGGACATTGACTTACACACTCCTCAGTGTTGACAGAACTATCTTCCCTATTAAGGATCACTTTTATCCATGGATCCCCTCTTCCCCCACCAAGCTGGAATATTCCCAGACACCGAGCCAAAGTCTCCAATCACTTTCAAATGGACAGAAATTCAGTGAAATGGCTAGAGCTGCTGGCCAGTGCACCGTGGCCCTTTTGAAAGCTCCGCTCTGGCTACTAGGATACTTAGCTCAGAATGAGATCCTCCAGAGCTAAGTTATTACATGTTTGGGCCATTTTTCTCTTTTCACAGCTGGACAACTGACTGGAGTGGAAGCCAGCCAGCTCCTCAGGGAGCCCAAGGGGGAAAATAGTGAGGAAGGACAGTTTTCCAGCAATAAACTTGTTTCCTTCTCATTCTCTCCAGACTCAGACTTATCGACTCTTTGGAAAAGCCCACCCAAGAAACGAGGGGGAACAGAAGAAAGCCAGGATCAAACCAGGGTCAGAGAGAGAGAGAGAGAGACAAAGAGAAAGGCAGATGGCTCTGGAGTCAGGCCTGGGTTCAAATCACACATTCAGAAGTTGTCATTGGCCAGATCTTAGGCAAATTATTTCACCTCTTTTAGTCTCACTTTGTTACATAGAAGAGGAATTGATTTGTCCACTCAACAAATACTGAAGGAGCAACGACAGTGTGCTAGGCAGGACTATGAGTAGGGTAAGGTGCATGAGGTGCCTAGGATACTAAATTTAAGTTGATACTCTCAGAGACATACCCAACCTTGAGAGTGGGCACCTCCCTAAATGCCACCCCTGATGTCCCTCAGTTGCCTCCCCCTGGCCCTGGTGCTAGATGTTGGGATCCACTAATAAAAACATCAAGGCCATTTCCCTGCTATGAAGACTGCAGGCTAGAAGGATAAAACTTTCCTAAACTTCATGACACTGATCTCCTGGTCACAATAAAAACAGCAAAGAAATTGAACGTTGAAGTTCTTAAAAGGCCAATTCCACCTCCCACTGAAAAACCACTTGTGTGTCTTAAGTGACGCTGAATTTATCAAACACACACAGCTACCCAGCAATCCTCCCAGAGAGCAGGATTATAGGCCAAAAGAAATTAAGGCAAACAGACTCCATAAATACCAATCTCTTCCAGACCTGCTCTGCCGGGGCATACGTCCTCCCAATCAGGATGCTGAGAACTCCAACTTCATGAGGTATGGACTGTGAGCCCTGAAATTACCCCCTCTCCATGCAGTGTAAATAAAACAGGATGAAATCAGCAAGTCTCTTTACTTTGCAAAGAAACTGGGGAGAAAAAGGGCAAAAGCACATACCCACAACTGGGATGCATTAACATAAACAGAAAGCATTTGGGCAATTTCTGGGTAAGAGCTTAGCCTTATTTTCAGGGCATTATTTGATCTGTGCACTGCTTCCTATGGGGTTCCAATAGAAGACCTATAATCTTCAAGATTATCTGAAATTGGGGAGGGCATTTCATATTCATATTCGTGGATGGAACAAATGCATATTCATGTCTTGGTGGTGAATGGTTCCTGAGCTGCAGGTGCCCCTGAAAAGTCTTTCGTATCAACAGTCTTTAGTTATGGAAACTCAACTTTCCAAATAGCTGCAGCCACTAAGATTGTATCCCACCTACCGCTGTCTCTGGCCAAGCAGGCAAATGGAAAAGCATGTTTTCAGTGTGGAAGGAGAAGCTGGTAATGGGTAAAGCCAAGAAAATCCAATTGCTACTGATCTCAGAGCTTACTTCTACAGTCTCTTTAATAATTGATCAACACAGCCTCACCTGCAACCCAGACCACTGGGGAGAGAAGGGATCCCCCAAAACCCTGGTGAAACAGAGCCTGTGTGACCCATAAAGCCTAAAATATTTACTCTGTGGTCCTTTACAGGACAAGTATGCTGACCTCTTCTCTATACCAAGCTCAAGACATAATGAAGGGCCAGGTGCGGTGGCTCACAGCTGTAATCCCAGCACTTTGGGAGGCCAAGCAGGTGGATCACTTGAGGTCAGGAGTTTGAGGCCAGCCTAGCCAACACAGTGAAACCCCATCTCTACTAAAAATACAAAACATTAGCTGGGCATGGTGGCACACGCTTGTAGTCTCAGCTACTTGGGAGGCTGAGGCAGGAGGATCACTTGAACCCAGGAGGTGGAGGTTGTAGTGAGCCAAGATTGTACCACTGCACTCCAGCATGGGTGACAGAGTGAGACTTCATCTCAAAAAAAAAAAAAAGTACACAATGAAGAAGGATCTGGGGATGAGATTATTTTAATTAGGAGCTATTGACTCTAACCTAAAGAGTGCGACAAGGTGGGAAGGACTCATTTGTCTGAACTTTTATTCAGTCGCCTGCCCCACAAATATTTATTAAGGGACGCCTTTGTGCCAGGCCCTGGGCTAGGATATGCCGGGATATGACTATGAGCTAGGCAGGCCAGGGCCTGCCTCCAAGGGACTTAGAGTCCATCCTATAAAGGATGAGTTCATTACAGTGAATGTGAATGCTACAGAAGGGCAGTCCTGGGGACTCTGAGAGCTGATAAGATGCCCACAGCCTAGCGAAGGGATCCTGGGAAGTTCTCCCAGGAAGCTAAGACCATACTAGAGAGCAGGAACTGGTCAGGCAACAGACGCTCCCAGAGGAGAAGATCCATCTCTCAACCTGCACTGCAAAATGCCAGCTCCATTCATTTGCTCCAACACTCTTCTGGTTATGCAGCAGGCCCACTTATTTACTGAGGGCCTATTAGGAGCCTGGAATCAGAGACACAAGACACCGGACAATGGGTTCAGAGACACCCTTTCCTCACCCCACTAGGCACAGTGGCAGGTGCACTGATTGGGCCCCCAAGGGACACCTAGCAGAGGTCTCTAACCCAGTCCTCATGCCAATAACTTCAGGTCCTACAGCCCCAGCCTCAACTTGGCCTTGGCTTGACATCGAACAGCTGAATGTGCCTTGCACTGCCTGGTGACAGGTTCCATCTGCTTCATTACTGTCAGTCCCCAGAAACCAGGCTTGTAGCTAAGTGCTCTGGGCCCTAATTGGTTCCTGATAGATTGGGCCATAACGAAGCACTTAGAACCTGCCAGAGAAGTTGAGGATGAAGAGGGGGTGCCCCTGCATAGACTGGGAATGCTCCCCTCTTTGGGAATTCTTGCTGGGAAATCTGGGCAGCTGGAGAGGTGGATAGGACTCAGGCTCCTGAATCCACCAATCTGGAATGCATTCCCAGTATCGTCACTCACCACTGTGAGCCTCAGTGTATTCTTCTGTAAAATGGGGCTGGTGACACCTGCCTCACAAGCCGTTCAGACAAAGTGAGGTGCTGACCATGGTGTTTATGGTTAACTGAGTGCCTGCCCTGTGCGGAGTGGTTGGCTGAGTGTTGTTGGGTCTTTTTTTTTTTTTTTTTTTTTTGAGACGGAGTCCTGCTCTGTCGCCCAGGCTGGAGAGCAGTGGTGCAATCTCGGCTCACTGCAATCTCTGCCCCGCGGGTTCAAACAATTCTCCTGCCTCGGCCTCCCAAGTAGCTGGGATTACAGGTGCATGCCACCACACCCAGATAATTTTTGTATTTTTAGTAGAGATGGGGTTTCACCATGTTGGCCAGGCTGGTCTTAAACTTCTGACCTCAGGTGATCCGCCTGCCTCGGCCTCCCAAAGTGTTAGGCTGAGTGTTTGGAATGCATCCCCTCTTTATAATTTCCAATCTTGTTAATCACCTATAATTACCAACCCCATTTCACAGATGGAGAAACGGAGCCTCAAAGAGGTGAAATCACTTGGCCAAGCTGCCTGTCTTCTGTTCACATTCCCATAGTGGACATTCAGAAATGGTAACCTCTTCTCTCTCTGCATTAGCCATTCTGCTTGGGTAACAGATATAAAAGTAGCTCAGTCACAAATGTAGACAGACAGAAAGCCGATCAGTGGTTGCCTGGAGCTCTGCTGGAAGTGGGGATTCACTGCAAACAGACATGAGAGATCTTTTCAGGGTGACAGACATGTTCTAAAACTGGATTAAGACAAAGGTTGCTCAACTCTGTAAATTTACTAAAATGCATTGAATTCTATTTCTTAAAATGGTGATCTTTATGCCATATAAATTATACCTTAATAAACCTGTTAAGAAATAAATAAATACAATTATACTTCAAAAAAGTGGCCTGGTCAACATACTGTCTATAACAATAAAATATACATTGTAATAAACAGGAGGGTTACAAGAGATATGGAAAAATATGTCCACACAAAATCTTGTACATGAATATTCATTGCAGCAATAATTGCTAAAAAATTGAAACATCCCAAATGCCCATCAACTGAGGACTGGATAAACAAAATGTGCTATGCATGTATGTATATATGTATGTGTATGTATATTTGTGTGTGTGTGCAAAATGGAATATTATTCAGCCATAGAAAGGAATGCACACTACATGAATAAACTTTGACAACATTATGCTGAATGAAAGAAGTCAAACACAAAATACTACATATTGTATGATTCCATTCATATGTAATATTCAGAATGGGCAAATCCACAGAGACAGCAGATTAGAGATTGCCAGGGGCTAGTTGGGAGCAGGGAGGTGTAGGGATGGGGGTAAAATAGGAAGTGACAGTTAAGATATTTGAGGTTTCTTTTCGGGGTGATAAAATGTTTTAAAATGGATTGTGGTGATGGTTGTACAACTTTGTTAATATACGAAAAAACCATTGAATTCTATACTTTAAATGGATGAATTGTGTGGTGTGCAAACTATATCTTGATAAACTTGTTTTAAAAAGAATAGAATAAAAAGGAAGGGTTAGTTGTAGTCTTGGACAGCCAGGGTTCAAAGCTGAGCTGCATCACTTTCTAGCTGTGTGACCCTGAGCTACTGCCTTGGCCTCTCTGAGCCTTGGTTTCCTATTATATAGAAAGGGGTGGGATATGAGGAATAAGAGTATTTTGGCATGTGGGTTGTGCAGAAAACAAATGAAGTTACTGCACAGAGAGTACTAAGCATTGTGAGCCAGGCGCACACTCCGGCCTTGAGAAACAGAGGAAAATCTTGAAGACAAACAAGAGAAAATGAGGACACGGAGAGTCATCTAGACTAGCCTCACAGTAACCCATCTATTTCAACTGGTATTCTGACTCCAAAACCAGCACCAAGGTGTGGCTGTCTGGGAGGGGATAGGGGTTGCAAATATGCCTAAGCTTGCTCTCTAAGGCTTCCTGGATCAATGATCTCTGGTAGTATTTCCCCTAGGGTGATCCTTACCATACTGGATCCAAGAGATGCTGATAGATGTTGCATGAAAAAGGAGTCCCCCATGCAAATTATCTTGGGAAATTCAAAGTGTAAATGAAGTGAAATGGACATCTCTGCTGCCAGCCTTGTCAGAGCCTTTAATTCTCCTATTTGTGCACTGGATATCTATACAAGGATATAGCACCCAGAATTTTCAAAATTAACATAGTGACAAATCATTCTTGAGCGTTTCATGTGGTATGACAGTTTGGCAAAATAAATGTTAGGAGACAGCGGATCCATGGCTTTAATTAAACCATTGTGATTCTGCTTTTGGCTGTTAAGTCAGATAGTGATAACTGAAACTGTTAAGTCAGATCCGGAACTTGAGGACTCCAGGGTCCAGTGGAGTCCAGTGGTTCTAGTGTCAGGCTCTCTGTGCCTTATCTCATGGGAACCTTCTGAGAACCAGGAGGTAGTGGCTGAGATTTCCCCCACTAGAGATGAAGGGACCTGCCTCGGTTAATGAGTAGTAGCACCAGAACCTGAATCTAGCCCAGACTAGACCCAAAGCCAGTGATTCTAATCACCATGCCTCATCACTTACTAATCGCATAGTAGCTAATACCTAGTGTAGTGGATACTGTAATGTGCCACCCAGGACCCCCTGGAAGAATGAAGGATTCACACCCCCAGCTGATGATAGTATTGCCAGAGAATATCTCTCTGCTGTCAGTCTCTCCAACAATTGACTGAGGCTGAAAACAACTGCCTTGCCCAAGGTCAATTTCCTTCCAGGAGCCGCCCACATCTAATACTGATTGTTTCAATGTGCAACAGTACTAAAGGGTCATTCCGGCAGGAGACCTGGCTGTAAGGTTGGCTAAGGCCTCTGTTGAGACTGCATCATAGCTCGCGTTTTCCCACTTCCCAATCGTATTCATCTCCTGTTCCTGCTGTAACAAATCACCACAACAGTAAACGGCTTAAAACCACACATATTTATGACCTTATAGTTCTAGAAGTTAGAAGCCTAAAATGGTAGGCCGCTCGCATTCCCTGAATCATGGCCCCTTCCTCCAACTTCAAAGTCCATCATTGCAATGTTGGCTTCTATCATCACATCTCCTTTTTTCTAATTGATTCTCCTACCTCCCCCTTATAAGGACTTTTGTCCTTATAATCTCCCCATCACAAGAGCCTTAACTTAAACACACCTGCGAAGTCCCTTTTACCATGTAAAGTAACACAATAAATTCACAGGTTCCAAGGGTGCAGACATCTTTGGGGGAGCTGTTATTGTTCCTCTCACACCCATTTTGCTTCCATATTTCTCTTCCACTGGTGTTAATCCCCAAAGCACCCCCTAATTAACTTCCTGCATCCTATTCTCCATTTCAGAGGCTTCTCAGGGAACATGACCTGCACCCAACAATCATTGGGCTATATGTTTTATTTTTGTTTTCTGAGACAGGGTCTCACTCCATCACCCAAGCTGGAGTGCAGTGGTGCAATCATAGCTCACTACTCCCGGGCTCAAGTGATCCTCCCATCTCAGTCTCCAGAGTAGCTGGGTCTATGGGCATGCACCACCATGCCTGGCTTATTTTTTTACTTTTTGCAGAGACAGGGTCTTACTATCTTGCTCGGCCTGCTCAGAAGGCCTCACGGGATCCTTCTGCTTCCACCTCCCAAAGTGCTAGGATAACAGACATGAGCCACTGTGCCTGGCAGCTCTCTGTTTTATCTACTTCAGTGCACCAGGCTGGGGACACAGCGGTTAGCAAAACAGCTGCTCACAGAAATCATGGTCTAAATTCAGGTTTTCTCAGCCTCAGCACTGTTGACATTTGGGGCCAGATAACTCTTAGTTGTGAGGGGCTGTCCCGTGTATTGTAGGATGTTAGGCAGCATCCCTGGCATCTGCCCACACAATGCCAGTAGCACCCCCACCCCAAGTGACAACCAAAATGGACTCCAGACATTGCCCGCTGTCCCCTGGGAGGGGGCAAAATCACCAAGATTGAGAACCACTGGACTATGGGAGAGGAGATACTAAGCGCACTTGATTGTAAAAAGTCTTGATCTACACTGGTTCTCATCCTAACAAAGAGGGTCATGGAGTGAATCTACTCCCAGCTCTCGAGGAGATGGATCTGGACAGGACCTTTGGCATCCCATTGGTATTTGAAAAACCAGCTGCAAGAATGTTGGAATATTGAATCGAGCCCTGAATCTGAGGAGAGAAATGAGTGAAAAAAATAGCGAGCCCCGACAGGTAATGATGCCATTTGAATACGGCCTCTTGCTCCGAACCATCAAACCATCGCTGCTGTTTTGTTTAAAGAAAAAAAAAATGACCAACGGGAAAATTGGCAGGTGACAT
Source organism: Homo sapiens (assembly GCF_000001405.40). Taxonomy (NCBI): domain Eukaryota; kingdom Metazoa; phylum Chordata; class Mammalia; order Primates; family Hominidae; genus Homo; species Homo sapiens. The sequence goes on from NC_000012.12 coordinate 117,710,271, forward strand.
AGAAGGCCTCGAGGGCATCTGGATTTCATTATCCGCCTCTCATCTTTTATTTAACAAGGAAATGGGAAAGTTTCAGAGCATTTGGGAGCATGGAAATAATGGAACATTCAAGTGCATTACAAAGCAAAGTGTGTATTAGGGCTGGGCAGAAAGCTCTGTCCTGAGGTGGATTATCACATAGTCTGGGGTACTCACACCTCCCTATACTGGATCCTTTGGCAGAGGAGCGTGATGTTGGAGCAGAGGGTAAACAGAGGCAAGTGTTTTGTGGTATCTAAAAGCTTTGGAGTCATGGGTTCAAATCTGAGCTTCACCTCTGCCAGCCGTATGGGTGGGGTTTTGGGCATGCAAGTTAACCTTTGGGGACTCAGTTTCTTCATCGGTGCCTTGAGAATAATCATATCCATGATCGTAAGAATTAAAGAAGCTATATAAAGCTTTTAGCTCAGGGTCTAATACATAGTAGGGTTAAATAAACGGTCAGTACTATCATGATGGTGATATTTTTTTAATGCATGCTCTGCCCCCTTCATAATTCCCTGGTGCACTGTCTCATATTCCTCCCTCACCATGTTTCATCCATGTCGACCTTCTTTCAATGAACATTCTAAAATCATTCCTGCCTCAAGACCTTTGCACATGCCGTTCCCTCTGTCTGGAACAGTCTTCACTCCATTCTCCACTTGGCTCATGTCTACAATCCTTTAGCGCTTGTCTCAAATGTCACCTAATCAGAGACACCATCTCCAACCATTAGTCTAAGTCAGATCCTCTCCCTATCTTCATTTCTCATTGCACTCTACATTTTCTTTCCTATCCCTTATCATAATTTTATAACTTATATCTCTTTGTGTAATTATCTATTTAAAGACCATTGCAGCCTCCAGACCCCAAATTTCAAGAGGGCAAAGACATGAGATAGATAAAACAATTTTAAAGTGCCTCACGTGCCATTAAGGAAACACACCAGGAGCTGAGATTGAGGATGACAGGGTGGTCAGGATGGGCTCTCTGAGTGGCTGAAACTGAGATCAGAAGGATCAGAAGGAGTCAGCCATGCAAAGAATGGGGATGGGGAGAGAGAAGACATGTGCAAAGGCCCTGAGGCAGGAAGCACTTGCAGGCTGCAGGAACTCATGGAAGACCAATGTGGCTGAAGCTGTCTGGAATATGGTTTGGAGGAAGGCAATCACAGTTGGAGGGAAGCACGTGGAGATGTGCAAATGCTGGTGGCCTGGACAGAGCAATGGGAATGGACACACCCAAGGTAGATGGAGTTGAAATAGATTTTGGAGGTGAAATTGACAGGCCTTGCTAATTACCATTATGTGTATTGCTATCCTTCCTAGGAAGACAGGAGTCTGGGATGCAGAAAGATCTATGGATTATACAGGCCAGAAACTCTGAGGACTTTGGCTATACTTCTTGCTTTGATTTCTCATGGAAGGATCTTTCTGAAATTCTCCATGGTTCTATGTATTCAACATCACCTTAAGCTCTTGCAGAGATGCCCTTAGCTCTCTGCTATAATATACAAAGCAGAGGGCAATCCTGTGGTTAGAAAGAAGCCCCAGGGACCCCTCTGTGGTTGGGTTGTGCCATGAAGAGTTGCCCCAGAAGTGTGGGGATCAGGGAGACACCGCTGAGCCATGCCCTTTTCTCAGGTTCTCCCTTGGCTGTCCTGCATGGAGGCAGAGCTGGCCTCAGGGCAAGGCTCCATCCCATGGGGACTGCCTGCATGTGAGGCACCCAAGATCCAGGTTTGAATCACCCAAGCCAACCCTCCCAGGTCCAGAAAAGGGGCTTCAAGTGAGCTCATGCATGTCTCACTCCCATGTTAGCAATGACCAGGCTTCTTGGTCCTTGTCCTCCTAGGCAAGAAGTGGCAGGTGAGGTAGAAACCCAAGGTGTGGCCTCATTCCTTATTTTCCATCAGCAATAGCCTCATCTCTACTAATAACAAGATGCCTGCACGCTCCTCTCAAGGGGGTAGACTTCTCTGAAGCCTTGGCTTTGGGAAGTAGTGGAAAATCTTCCCAAGAAGGGATGAAGTCTGGGGACAGGGTCTCAGGCCAAGGAAGCAGATGGGGAAATGGGGGAGAAGCCACAAAGACCACACGTAGGAACAAGACAGAGGGTCAGCTGCTGAGACCCTCAGCCGTGACAGAAACACCACTAGCCGGAGTCAGAAGGGGCAGCTCTTCCCTGCCCAGATGCCCACCCAGCAACAAGACATTCTCACCTGCTCCTTCTTGGGCCTCACTCCCTCCACCTGTAAAATGGGGCAATGAGCTTGGTCCCTACCTCCTAGAGTGCTTACGAGGAGTAAATTGTAAAATGCATTTAAAAGGCTTAACACAGTGTCTGGCACATGGTAAGGAATTCTACTTCTAGAATACCTTCAGACTCAAGACTTCAACATCAACTTCTGCCAGGCCACTGGCAGACCACCAGGGCTTACAGGTTTGGGTCAGTCACATAGCCAATTCTTGAAAATCAATCCCTCTCATTCATTCAGAGATCGATAGATACAGAGATATCTATATCTAGATAGATAGCTACCTAGGTAAATAGATATAGATATATCTAGATAGACAGATGATAGATCGCTATAGATATATCTATATAGAGCTATATCTTTAGACAGAAGCAAGATACAGATATATCTCATCCTTTTCTCATTCATCTATATTATTTAAGTAGATATAGATAGATAATAGATATAGATACAGATGTATCTATATAGAGAGAAATATGTATATAGATATCTAGACAAATATATAAATATATATATACTTATATAGATAGATTATAGATATAGATAGATATTTGGATAGATACATATAGATATATGTATATCTAGATAGATAGATAAAAGATAGAAGATAGATATAGATATATCTGGATGGATAGTTATAGATATGTCTATATAGATATATATAGATAGATAATAGATACAGATATATCTAAGTAGACAGATGATTGATAGATACATGATAAACAGATATAGCTATATCAATTATCATTATCCATGTCTATAGATAATAGATACAGATATATAGATATAGCTAAGTAGACAGTAGATAGATAGGTAGATAGATAGACATAGAGATGTCTCCTATTGCTTCTGTCTCTTTGGGGAACTCTGATACAGATATAGATTTTGGCACCTTAGTTATTATTCTTCAAAGGAATGTGCAACAAATGTTGAGAGAATGCATAACAAATGTTAAGAGCAATGACTTTGGGACTAAAATTGGGGCAGGAGGGAATGGGGGCTTTCACTGTTTTACTCTATCTACATTTGTGTAGTTTGCATTTGTTACACCAGCACAGATTACTTTTATAATTTAAAATAGGAAAAGTGAGGGATGGAGAAGGGACAGTAAGAGGAAGGACAGAACAGGACAGGAAAGAAAAAGTCCTTCAAGCCTCCAAAATTCTGTCCTCTCACTCTCTCCTCTCTCCTGTTTTCTGTCAGCCCTAATGAGAGCTGGAGAAGGGCTTCTGGAGTGAGAGGTGAGGTGGACCCGCTCCCTAAGGGATGAGGCGAAAACACAAATTACTCCCTGAGGCTGAGTCAATTTCAACAGCTCTGACTCCAGCTCCCTGATGCCAGCAACCCATTGCTTCTAAGTCAGAGTTAAATGAGTTCAGCACAGCATCACCTGTGAGGTTTGGGGACTGAGGAGTGCTAATTATTCCCCCAAATTATATTTCATCCTTTTCTCATTCATCTAAGAGGTCAGAGTGAAGAAGAGGAATTTTCTTTCCTGATTTGGGGGCGGGATGGAGTGAGGGGGGGAGCAGCAGCTCTTCATTATCAAAGTCTGGCTCGTTAAATATTCATTCAAATGCCTGTCACTGTTCCAGGAGGATGAGCCGATTTAAGGTTCAAATCTTACTGATCTATTATTCTTTTTGGAGCGGCAGGTGGAACTCTTTCATGAGGCTGCAAATGATAAACTGCACCGTTCTCTGAAGGGAACTTTAAGTAATCAAATGCAACTTTTTCTTCACCCCAACATGTACGCCTCTTATGCTGATTCTCCTGAGGAAAGGCAAGAAAAAAGAGCAGAGGTAAAAAAACCTTGGGGAAGATTGCACCTGTTTGCCCCCTAGGGAGCAGCAAAGAGGGGAAAGATTCTCAGAGCCTGGGAATAAGAGCGAAAAGGAAGAGGAGGAGAGGAGAGGGGCCATAGGGAGAGAAAGAAATGACACTGGCAGAGAACCTATTTTGTGCCTGCAACTTTGACAGCATTTCATCTTTACCACAACCTTTGAAGCAACGATTCTCTTCTGAGAGGTGAAGTGACTTGCCCAAGGTCACACAGCTAGCAGCACGCACTCTGGGGATTTGAATCCAGTCTCTCTGCTTCTCAGCCCAGTCCTCTGTAACAGCTGCCTCACGACTCACAAAGTCCCTGTTCTCAATGGGGACAAATTTGTCCTCTAGGGGACATCGGACAATGTCAAAAGACATTTTTGGGTGTCACAACTTGGGGGCAGGAGTGCAACCGTCATCTAGTGGATAGAGACTAGAGAAGATGCTAAACATCTACAATGCACAGGACAGCCACCACCACGAAAAATTATGCAGCCCCAAATCTCAGCAGTGCCAAGGTTGAGAAATTCTATGCTATGTGGAGGGCATTTGCAGTCACCCCATCATGTGTCCTGGCTTCTGGCTGTCACTATAGGAATCTAGAAATTCCACCCAATGCTCTGATATTTTTTTCAGAGCCCCAGAAAAAAAACTCTCCTGGTGGTGAGCAGGTATTTTGGGGATTCTTGCTTTTCTGTGTTGCCCCTGGATACATAAATTCTCATCTAAATTCATGCTCGCATTCACAATTCCACAGTGGCAAAAGAGACACAATTTTCTTATTAAAGGGCACAGTCTAAGTTTCTCTCCAGTGAGGCAATAAGAATCTGTGCTCCCTCAAAATGAAGCAGAGCTGTAATTAACATTTATGAAACACCCTAAGTCGACCCACCCGGGGATCCCTGCAGCAGGGTCTATGTGCTATGGACAACTCCATTCTAGCTCGCAGCCCCCATGAAAATAAAATGCAACATTCAGGAATAATTGAGGGACCCACAGAGGAAACTCAGTCCCCATTTCAGCTGCCTGTGAACAAGAAAGGTGCCCAAGCACTGGAGCTGGAGCCCAGAGAAAGATGTGGAGCAGAGCGCAAGGGAGAAAATTCACCTTTGTTGCGTGTTGTACCAAGGGCCAGCCACTGGGACAGGCAAGAGATATCCTCCTCTCATTTAATCCCCATACAGTTGTTTAAAGAAGTTATTATTTTCCCCATTTTATAGATCTTAGGTCAGCAAATGTTTTCTGTTAAGGGCCAGAAAGTAAATATTTCAGGCTTTACAGGGTGTAGGATGTCTGTTGCAATTACTCATTTCTGCTACTGTCATACGAAAATAGCCACAGACAATACAAAATGAATGCATCCTTCTGCCTGTCCATAACTCTATCTACCCATCCACCCATCCATCTATGTAACAAATATTCATCAACAACATGCCATATATCTGGTACCTTGGATATCAAGTCAGTTGAGTCTCTTTCAAGGCATCCTCCAAATAGCCCCAGTCATACTGTTCTTCATTAAGTTCCTAGAACATGCAAATGCTTTCCTGCCTCAGGGCCTTTGCACATGTCTTCTCTCTCCCTGGAACATGCTCCTCTATCCCCCCGACACCTCCACTCTTTGTACGGCCTCTTCTCTGACCTCAGCTTCAGCAGAACAGAGAGGTCTTCATGATCACTGTATAAGTCTCAATCTCAGCACCCTGTCTGCTTCTTTCATAGCACCTGGAACACTTTGAAATTACTGTATTTACTTCCTTGTAAATTTGTTTTGTGTCACCCTCTTCCATTAGCATATGCCTTCCATGAAGGCAGAAATCAAATCTTTCTCATTTGCCATTTTATCCTCAGCATCTGGCACATAGTATATGCTCAATAAATAGTTATTGAACTAAATGAATGAATTGAAACCCAGAAAAATTTACTCTGAAGTATGGCCTCCACCCATTACACCAAGCACAGCCTAGACTATGCCACCCAATATGGCATCCACTGGCCACATGTGGCTAGAGGGCACCTAAAACATGGCTAGTCTGAATTGAGATGTACTCTAAGTATACAATGCACACCAGATTTTGAAGACTCCACATGGAAAAACATAATGTAAAACATCTCAAGTGTTTAAGTTGATTACTTATTGAAATAATATTTTGGATCTATTGGTAAAATAAAATAAATTATTAAAACCAACTTCAACTGTTTCTTTTCACTTTTCTAATATGGCTATCAGAAACTTTTAAATTACATACAGGGTTTGTATTACATGTCTGTTTGGTAGTGCTGGTCTAGAACTGCCTATATTCTATTCCCAGACTTCTTACTAATTAGCTCTCTGACCTTGGTCCAGTCAATTAACCTCAATAAGTCTCAGTTTCTTCATGTGACAAATGAATATAAGAATTTCTGACCTGCCAACCATGCAGGGTTGTGATGTAGCTCAAATGAGATAATGGATATGAAAGTGCCTGGGAAAAAAATCTATACAAATGCAAGCTCTTCTGTAATGAGATTTTCTGGCTTTGTTTCTAAATCTCCAAGTGTTTTATTTCCTCCCACGCTGGCTCCTGGATATGACCCAACTTCCTCCAGCTTTCCCAACTTCTGATGCTCATAGTTTGACTTTTCAAGTCTATTGACTCTCTTTCCAGGTAAATTTCAGAACTGTAGAAGCTGAGGAGTTTGGCAAGACAAGTCTATTTTCAGACTCCTGAAGTTCACCAAAGTTGGTGTGTGATCCACTCTCCCAGCCCACCTTGGGGATAATCTTTCCAGTAACAATGATGCCAAGGAAACTTGATGATTTAGACATACTCCTCTTGTCTTATAATTGCACATTGCCAGCTGCACTTTTTAGAGAGCCCAAGGCCAGGTACAGTGGCTCATGCCAGTAATCCCAGTACTTCGGAAGGCTGAGACAGGAGGATTGCTTGAGCTCAGGAGTTTGAGACCAGCCTGGGCCACATAGTGAGACCTCATCTCCACAAAAAAGCAAAATTAGCTAAGCATGGTGGTACATGCCTATGATCCCAACCACTCAGGAGGCTGAGGTGGGAAGATCGCTTGAGCCCAGGAGGTCAAGGCTGCAGTGAGCCGAGATTACACCGCTGCACTCCAACCTGGGTGACAAAGCAAGACCCTATCTCAAAAATAAAACATAAAAATTAAAAAAAGAGGGCCCTATATGATTTAGGCTGACTGGGAGTTGAAGTTTTCATTATTTTAAAATGTAGATGACATCTGTTACTTTAGTCTATCTACCATCCATCCATGTGGCATGTGTGGGGCAGACAGGTGTGTGTGTGTGTGTGTGTGTGTGTGTGTGTGTGTGTGTGTGTGTGCATGCGCGCGCGTGCATGCACGTGTGCCTGTCCTAATCAGCTTACTCCATCCCTCTGGACACAAAGATGGTTTCAGGATAGGCAAGACGCCCAAGCTGACTCACAAGGGGCCAATCTCAGGACTTTTGCAGCAACCTTAGAGAAAGAAGTTTCTCTTTCCACTGAGGCAATTGAGTCTCTTTCTGGAACTACTTGAGACACAGAGGGAGGAGGAAGGCAGCTGGCCATAATGAGAAAGCAAAGCTACCAAGGAGCAGGGGGCGAGTTTCTCCAACATTTGTGTAAGCACCTAGATCCAACCGTACCTAAAGCCCACCATTCCTAAGCACTTTGCAGTTACAAAAGCCAACAAATACATTTTGTGGGAGAAGCCAGTTTAAGTTGAGATTTAAACACTTAGAAAGAGATAAAAAATAATGCATTCGAAAATTACTTTTATGACTTTCAATTCATACAGTAACTTCATCTGGATTAACAGAGTATTGTCTAGAGGTGCTGCTGTAAATCTTTTATAACTAGATTATGAATTAAATACAAAGAAGCTCTTCTAAAGTTTGGGAATGCAAAGAGGATCATAACAAAGGCATTTCCTCTGGAACCACTTTACTGAAACCCTGTTGTTCACTGTCCATGGAAGGAAAGAGATTGCTCAGCAACACTAAATTTTAGACAAGTCACTCCAGTTGGAATGATCCAGAACTGGATTAATGGTCTTTAAATAAATACGGCTTTCAGGGTTTTATTCTTGCTGCTTGGCAGAAACCTCCTGTGGGAATGCCACCCAGGAAACCTCCACCTGTACCCTGAGGTCCTGGTCCTTGTCACCTCCTCAGGCAGACCATGAGGTTGGTGAATGAGTGGCTCAGGGGCAGATGGGGAAACTGAGGCTCGCACATGCCCAGCTGGAATTAAATCATATGCATTGGAAGCTCAGTTTTGTCCTCTAAGCCAGGCACCCTGCCATGAAGATTAATGAGGTGACAGTTGTCTAGGGCCTGGAAGTAGTTAAGACAAAGCAGCCACCCAAACACTTGGGACTATTTTTAGCCTCTTCGGCATAGGGCTTGAATACACATGCCAACACCAGCTCTGGCAAGGCATGGCCTTTCAGCTGCGTGTTGATCCCCGCTATGTCCCCTCTGCCATACCATCATGAACATGGAGACTCTGACTGACAAGGTCTAAGGTGATGATTTAGAGTCACTATCTCTCTAAAAGGAGAGGACTTCCAGTCTCCTAAACAGCCGCTCATCAATGGACCCAGAGGGTTTTCTGTTTAGGTGGACTTCAAAGAAAACTCTATTCCATGGATTTGTAAGGTTTAAATTTTACTATGCAAAGCTATGGCCTGTGGAGAAACATCTGGAATGCAGACAAACTTTATTTGGCTCATACAAACCTTAAACGTAGATTCATTGGCAACATTTACAAAAACAGGAAAATTTCACATGAAAAATTCCATGCTTCCACTTTTTCTTGATAAATTGAAACAATTCAGGTCTTTCCCCCCCTCCACCCCAGTCCAGACTGGAGTGCAGTGACACCATCTTGGATCACTGCAACCTCTACCTCCCAGGTTCAAGCAGTTCTCCTGTCTCAGCATCCTAAGTAGCTGATATTACAAGCATGTGCTACCATACCCGGCTAATTTTTTGAACTTTTAGTAGAGACAGGGTTTCACCATGTTGGCCAGACTGGTCCTGAACTCCTGACCTCAGGTGATCTGCCCACCTTGGCCTCCCAAAGTGCTGGGATTATAGGTGTAAGCCACAGCACCTGGCCAACAATTCAGGTCTTGCATTCAATGTGGCAACAGTCAGCTAGAAAGAAGGAGTGGCTTCCCCCTTTAGATGAGGCATGGGTGCTCCAGTTTGCCCCACTCCCCACCATTCCCTATTGTAAATCATTGACCCTGAAGCCAAATGTCAGTTGCCATTTGTCATCTTATGCTAGACCCTCTTCAACCATTTGAGTTTCCTGACAGGCCCTATTAGGTATCAGAGTTTGCAAGTTCTGCAAAATGAACATGCATTAATTGCATAATAAATTGTTTAGCCAAATTCCAACAAGCAATTACAAAGAAGATGACCCTTCTAAGCCTCCTTCAAACATTGGTCTTGTATGACTATATGAACAGAGTCTGAGAATATTAGAACTATAAGAGTCTTCTGAGGTTAGTGTGTTGGGGGCGAAGGGCAATGCTTCTCCTTACCCTCAATGTCTTTTTCCAAGTGAAAGAAATTCTGCCAGCATCCCACTCCTGGCCCTTCTCCACTCCTTCATCACTCCTTCCATGCAGAGACAGAGTGACTCAATAACTTGAAGTTTGGAAGCTTGGGAGAGAAGCTGGGTATAGGGAGCATTTCTCATTTCTTATTCTTCTTCAGACAGGGGCAAAGTGCCTGGAGGAAGTGCAGAGTCAAATTTCTATAGATGGTTCATCCCTGCTGAACCAGGCATGCCCTGATTGGGCACAGCCAGGGGCTGGGTGAGTAACTCCCTTCAATTACAGGGAAGCAGGCCTGTTTCTTGGGTGTTGTGAAGACCACACCAATGATCTAGGCTGATGGCTGTTATCATTTAGAAGGTTTGCTACCCTCTTTAAAAATCTCATGATGGAAGCCATGGACCCTCTACCACCTTCCTCCCCAGGTGCACCTGTCTGCACAACACTTGTATATATAATATTAGAGTGTTCACCAACCCTTGAAGCCCATTAATAGGCTCCAGATGTTTTTAATCCCTAATTTGGCCCCATGCCTAAAAAGGAATTGTTTAAAGTAACACGAGGCAGAGGCAAGATCGATAAAAGTCCCAGCATCCTGATTGGCATCCCTGTAAATTTGCATCAGATGTGTTTATTCATTCGACAAAGTCTAAGTGCTTGTGTGCCAGGCAATGATAAGCTCCACCCTTTGGTCTTAACCAAGGGCTCAAACATCAGACTGCTTATTACACAGATGAACGTCTAATCATACATCACGATAAATGCTATGAAAGAAAGAACAGGTCCCTATTCTTGACAAGGGGGTCTGGCTTATTTGAAGGTGATAGAGTAAGAAAATATTTTTCAGCAGAAGTGATCTTGAGCCCAGATCTGAGATCTCAGGGAAAAAATAGGAATTAATTACAAGGAGGAAAGGAACACAAAGAAGAGGCACAGACAAAAGCATAAGCAAAGTCCCTGAGGCAGGAGGGAATGAGATGAAGCTGGAAAGAGGAGAGTTGTGTATATAACAAAGATGACAGTGACAGGTATTGACTACAGATCCTCTTAGGTCCCATTCGGCCATCAGACCTGTAATTTGTAAGGGGAGGGGAGTTTAAATTTGACAAAGAGTTAAGAAGTTCATAAGCTCAATACCTTTCCTACTTCCAGGAAAATTTCTCCAAAGAAAAGAAGTCGTCAAAAGCAAGAAGTTTTATGCACCAAGATGCCCTCAGTGGTGCTACTAGTAACACCAAACCTCTGGAAATAACGGAAATCTTTATCTGAAAGAGAAATAGTCGGAGAAGCATGGATACCAATGCAATGCAACATTATGTGCCCATCTAAAAATGGAAACTCCCATTTGAAATAGAAATGTGGGTAAATGCTTACGATATAATGAACAACTATCTATGAATGTAGGTGAGAAAGGGAAGGTCATTTACTTCCATAGTTGTAGAATAGTATAGAAGGCTATATGGTCAGAATAATACTATTAATGATAACAGTGTAATTGGCTATCAAGTGGGATTTCTACTGTTGTCCCAGAATTATAGTTTATACCCAAATCTAAAAATAAGACATAAAATAATTCTACTTTCTAAAAAGAGCTACCTGTGAGTCAGAGCTGAGATCAAACTCCTTCCCACAAGGATCCAAAGAGGGGGCAGATTGAGCCCCCACTTCCCAACGACCACTGCTGCCTCCTCCCCAGAAGAAGAGGAGGTAGATGGGTTGAGTTTTGGTCTTTGACCTTCTGAGGGCATAGGATTCACAAACAGAGTGCATTCCTACTCCCTAGGGGTGTCTACAAGAAAAGAAACTGGCATCTTATTTCTTAAGTAGATGTCTGCTGAAATTATGCATCTCATGGCCATCCACTGGTACCACCCTTTAAGCAGAGGGAGGTGGGGCAGTTCTTAGAAAAGACTAACATCGGTAGCCGTAAGATGGGGGATCTATTAGTTAGACCAGCAATGTCCAAAAGAACTCTTTATGATAATGGAAATGTTTTATATCTGTGCTGTCCAATATGGCAGCCACCAGCCATATATGGTTATTGAGCACATGAAATACAGCTAGCGCAACTGAAGAATTAAATGTGTAATTCCATTTAATTTTATTTTTTTTTAACATTTTTTTAAGGGTCTCGCTATGTTGCCCAAGTTGGTCTCAAACTGGGTTCAAGTGATCCTCCCGCCTCGTTCTCCTAAGTAGCTGGGACTACAGTTGCATGCCACTACACACTAATTTTAATTCTTTTAAATTTAAATAATTAACACCTATAGCTAGTGGCTACCATATTAGACAATGCAGGCCTAGACATTTCTGCAGGTGGGGGAACCCTAGATGACCTACATCCAAACAGCTTGAGGATATCAGATGTGTGTGAATCAGAGCAACTCCATCTTGAAGAGGAGCTGGGTAAAATGAGGCTGAAACCTACTGGGCGGCATTCCCGGACAGCTAAGGCATTCTAAGTCACAGGATGAGATAGAAGGTCAGCACAAGATACAGGCATCAAGACCTTGCTGATAAAACAGGATGCAGTAAACAAGTTGGCCAAAACCCATCAAAACCAAGATGGCCACAAGAGTGACCTCTAGTCGTCCTCACTGCTACACTCCCACCAGCATCGTGACAGTTTACAAATGCCATGACAACGTCAGAAAGTTACCCTATATGGTCTAAAAAGAAGAGGCATGAATAATCCACCCCTTGTTTAGCATGTAATCAAGAAATAACCATAAAAATGGGCAACCAGTAGCCCTCAGGGCTGCTCTGTCTATGGAGTAGCCATTCTTTCATTCCTTTACTTTTCTAATAAACTTGCTTTCACTTTACTGTATGGATTCACCCTGAATTCTTTCTTGCCCGAGATCTAAGAACCCTCTCTTGGGGTCTGGATCAGGACCCCTTTCCTGTAACAAGGGGACATGGAAGTAGTGAGTCAGAGGAGGCAATGCAGATACTCCCCACTCCATCCCAGATCTCTCCATACCAAGAGAGTGCGAGAAGTATCCCGTATTCCCATGGCTGCAAGGGAAAGCCTGAGGGCCAGTGGATGGCAGGAGTTCTCTATGTCTAGGTGACCACCAGAAAAAGGACCAAAGGGGTGCCATTCAGGAAGTCAATGAGACCAGGCTGCCCCTCAGTGGCAGGGGAGGTTATCAGGATGACCCTGAAGGCAGGCCAGAGGAATCCATCCTCACCATTCACAAAGAGATCACTCACAACCGAAGAATCAAACCAAACCACACCAACACCAGGGAGACCTTCTCTGCTTTAAGCTCTTCCAGCCAAAAGTGAATAAATCTGCCCAAGTTGTCACTAAAAATGGAAAAGAAGACATTCCACGTATCTTAATTAAACTAAAAGTAAACTGCTTTCTTCATTTTATACTTCCATGAGTTTAGATTTTTCAACCAACCCATCACAACAGTTCCCAAGCATGATATACCTGTATAAGTCACTGAATTTAAGCCTCACAACAACCGTAAGAGGTAGATATTATCAACTCCATTTTACAGAGGAATAAACTGAGGCTCAGAAAATGAATGAATCATCCATGATCTCACAGATAAGTGACAAGGCTGGAATGGGAACTCGTATCTTTCTCACTCCAAAATTTTCTTGGATATTGCTAGGCCATCTTTTGGACAATAAAATCATCATTAAAAAAAATAAAAGCTCAAAAAATGCAAGTAAAAAAGTAAAAATTGGTGAAATCCAAATAAGATCTGTACCTAAGTCAACAGTATTGTACCAATGTCAATTTCATACTGTGGTTATGTAAGATACTGTCACTGGGGGAAAGTTGGGGGGAGGATACAAGGAGCATCTGCACTATTTCTTGTGAGTCTTCAACCATTTCATAATATCATTTTTTAAAAAAATCTAATACGGGATTTTTGAAGTTATGCAAATAACATTTATTGTGTATTTCTCACATCAAAGTACTAGTATAGATATCAAGAAAATCTCACATTTTGATAAGTATTTTAAACTCAAGCTGTCTTTAAATCCTGTTCTTACTATTTATTTCAATTTACTCTTTAAAACATAATATGTTTTAAAGATAGGGTTAAATATATATCTTTCGGGCTGGGCGTAGTGGCTCACGCCTGTAATCTCAGCATTTTGGGAGACTGAGGTGGGCGAATCACTTGAGGTCAGGAGTTCGAGACCAGCCTGGCCAACATGGTGAAACCCCGTCTCTACCAAACAATACAAAAATTAGCCAGGCATGGTGGTGTGTGCCTGCAGTCCCAACTACTTAGGAGGCTTACGTGGGAGAATTGCTTGAATTTGGGAGGTGGAAGTTGCAGTGAGCTGAGATCGTGCCATTGCACTCCAGCCTGGACAACAGGACAGAGTGACACCCTGTCTCAAAAAAAAAAAAAAAAAAGAAAAATAACATATATCTACCAAACTATACCTAAAAATAAGTAGCAATGTTCCTCAGATACTGAGGTGTTAGCCCAGGTTCTGATCCACCATTTACAAATATAAAAACTACACTTTTTCTAAATAATGATGCAATGGGCAATATAATCTTGCCATTTTGTTCTGAAGAGTCATGAGACTTTAGGTGGCTTTGCTGCTGGTAGCCACACAACAAGCATCATCTCTCTGGATCATCAGCAAAAAAACCTGCCCCCCCACCCCCGGCCGCCTGCAGTTCTGGACTGTTGGATGCTCCATGATCCACATCAAACAGGCAGGGGGTCTGTGCAATCCCAGACATAACCAGCAGCATCAGCCCAGATGCACAAGAACATGCCAAGAATAAATGGGAGGAATCAACAGAGACAAGGCACATTTTTGATCCCTTGTAGCGAGGGTTGTTTGTGAGTGTTCAGTCCTGGCTTGATGAGTCACTCATTAGAAAAGAAGAAGTATGACTTTTTTTTCTATTGATTCCAGGAAGACTTCGGGTGGGAGGGAGGGATTTCAAGAAGTCAAGAGAGTCAAAGACAAGAGGAGGAATAGACTTGGCCAATCTGTTTAGACTGGATGCTCTTGGGGCAAGTGAGAACTTAGGTGCTGAGAAGAAAACAGTAAACAGGAAAGAAAACTGGTTAACAAGAACAGGGATGCTCAGGGCAGGCATCTGGTACTTTTTATCCCTGGCTTAATTCCCTCTCTCTCTCTCTCTCTCTCACACACACACACACACACACACACACACCCCAAAAACAAAAGATGGCAAAGGAGGTAGACTGCAGAAAGGCACGAGAAATAACAAGAAGCAAAATATAGCTTAGTTTTTGTCTCCCAACTGCACTCACCCCCAGCCCAGTGAAAGAGGGGAAGTTGAAAGAGGAAAAAGCAGAGGAGACAGATGAAAAGACAAGAGGCCAGAGAGGTAAGACAGTGTCTTCAAGGCAGTGTGACATTGTCTTAAGAGCAGGCTAGTAGATCAATGGAACAGAACAGAGAGTCTTGAAGTAGACCCACATGCATATGGCCAACTTACATTTGATGAAGATATCAAGTCATTCAATGAGGAACAGGTGGTCTTTTCAACAAATGGTGCTGGAACATCTGGATATTCTTATGGAAAATAAGGAGCTTCCATCCTTACTTTACATCATATGCAAAAATTAATGTGAGATAGATAATAAACCTATCACAAAAGCTAAAAATTATAAAGCTGCTAAAAGAAAATAGAACATTGACAACTTTGGGATTGGCAAAGATTTCTTAGGACACAAAAAGCACTAAACATTAAAAAAATTATTAGGCCGGGAGTAGTGGCTCACACCTGTAATTCCAGCACTTTGGAACACCTAGGCAGATCACCTGAGGTCAGGAGTTCGAGACCAGCCTGGCCAACATGGTGAAACCCTGTCTCTACTAAAAAATACAAAAATTAGCCAGGCATGGTGGTGCACACCTGTAAGCCCCCCGACTCAAGAGGGGGAGGCACAAGAATCACTTAAACCCAGGAGGTAGAGGTTGCAGGGTGTGGTGGCTCATGCCTATAATCCCAGCACTTTGGGAGGCTGAAGCAGGCAGATCACTTGAGGTCAGGAGTTCAAAACTAGCCTGCCCAACATGGTGAAGTCCCATCTCTACTAAATATACAAAAAATTAGCTGGGTGTGGTGGCGCACACCTGTAATCCCAGCTACTAGGGAGGCTGAGGCAGGAGAATCGCTTGAACCTGGGAGGTGGAGGTTGCCGTGAGCCCAGATAGCATCACTGCACTCCAGCCTGGGTGACAGAGCGAGACTCCATCTCAAAAAAAACATAAAATAAAATAAAATAAAAATTTTTTTAAAAAGATAACCCAATTTAAAAATAAGCATGAGATTTAAATAGATAATTCACATATTCACATAAAATGGGAGAGAAATGGCCAGTAAGTCCCAAAAAAAGATGTTCACCATATTTAGTCATTAAAGAAGCACAAAGCAAAACACGATAACATTTCATACCTATTAGGATGAATAAAGTTAGATGCCTGACAATGCTAAGTGGTAGCAAGGAGATAGGGCGGGATTTTTCAGCCTCAGCACTGTTGATCTTTCCAGCTGGATAACCCATTACTGGGGCCTGGGAATGGGGGCTGCCCTGTGCATTGTGAAATGCTTATCAGCATCCTTGGTCTCTCCCCAGGTGCCAGATGCTAGAAGCACTGTCCCCTTCACTGCAAATTATGGCCAGCAAAACTGTCTTCAGACATTGCCAAATGTTGTCTAGGGGACAAAATTCAAAATTGCCCCATATTGAGAACTACTGATGATATAGAGCAACTTGTCACACCTGCTGGTGGGATTGTAAAATATGCAAGCACTTTGGAAAACAGTTTGGCAGTTTCTTACGAAGCTACATAAAAACACATATGCTAGGACCTAGGGATTCTCCTAGTAGCTATTTACCCAAGAGAAATGAGAATATATTTCCACAACAACAACAAAAAAAACTTGTACAAGAATGTTCTAAGTAGATTTAGATTTACTCTCAATAACCTCAACCTGGAAGCACTCCAGATGTATAGTGGGTTGAAATGCAGCCCCAAAAAATGTACGTTGAAGTCTTAACCCCCAGTAACTGTAAATGTGACCTCATTTGGAAGTAGGGGTTTTGCAGATATAATCAAGTTAAGGTCATACTTGATTAGGATGAGCTCTAAATCTAATGACTGGTCTTCTTATAAGAAAAGAGGGCTTGTGTGCTGGCTTACACCTGTAATCCCAGCACTTTGAGACACCAAGGTGGGAGGACTGCTTGAGCCAAGGAGTTTGAGACCAGCCTGGGCAAGATGGTAATACCCCATCTCTATAAAAAAAAAAAAAATAGCCAGGCATGATGGCGGGCACCTGTAGTCCCAGATACTCAGAAGGCTGAGGCGGGACGATCACTTGAGCCTGAGAAGTGGAAGCTGCAGTGAGACGTGAGTGCACCACTACACTCCAGCCTGGGTGACAGAACCAGACCCTGTGAAGAAAAAGAAGGAAGAAGGAGCAGAAAAAGAAGAAAGAAGAAGGAGAAGAAGGGGAAGGAGGAGGAGGAGGAACAAAAGGAGGAGGAAGAGGAGGAGAAAGAAGAAGGAGGAGGAAGAGGAGGAGGAAGAACAAGAGGAGAAGGAGGAGGAGGAAAGGAGGAAGAGGAGGAGGAGGAACACACTGAGGGAAGATGCCATGTGTAGCAGAGTTTAGAATCATGTAGCCTCAAGACAAGGAAGGAACACCAAGTATTGCCAGGAGCCATCAGAAGCTGGGAGAGGCAAGGAAGGATCTCCCCTATAGCCTTCAGAGGGAGCACATCCCTGCCCACACCTTGACTCGGGACTTCTGGCCTCTGGAACTGTGAGACAATGGAATTCTGTTGTTTTAAGTCACCACGTTTGTGATACTTTGTTACAGCAACCCGAGGAAACAAATAAAATGAGAATGGACCAATAAATGATGGTATATTCACACAAGAAAATATTAGTAATATGTAGCTATAAAATAATACAAAAGAATGCACTGATACAACACACGGATGTATCTCAAAAACAACATGTTGAGTGAAAGAAACCAGATACAAAAGGGTACACACTATATGATGGCATTTACGTGAAGTTCTGCAAGAGATCTAAGCTATGTGCTAAAAAGCAGAACAAGGGTTGCCTTCAGGGTGGGGCAAGATGATCGGAGAAGGACATGAGAGAACTTTCTGGGGTGGAGGAGAAATATTCTGTCTTGATTGGGGCAGTGGGTATCTAGGGATATACCTCCATCAAAACTCATTGAACTTACCATCTGTGGTTTTTATTGTATATAATTTATACCTCAGCTTTTTAAGTGGTAAAGAAGCTAAAGAGAAGAGAAAGGTAAATCAGGAAGCATGTCCTCTTCCATAAAGATAAGGGGCAAATAAGGGTCATGTGACAAAAAGACCAATGGTCATATGAGAAAAAGACCAACACACTGACAACTTCTGTCATTTTGTTACACCTGTGCTCGCTATGGTTAAGTAAGCTCACAAATTCTTCACCGGAGTCCAAGTTTGCAGAGATGCTCAAAGCAAATTGGCCCAGGCGGACATCCCAGCTGCTGTCCATTATAACCTGGAATGGAACATTAACTTCTGAGAGGCCCCTCTGGCTCCCAGAAAGCCCCCAGCTGCCCCACACTTCAGGAATAATCTTGAAAACCTAAATGGACAACTGAGAAAAACTCAGAACTCTGTGTCTGGTGAGCAACCTGTGTGTTCCCCCAGCGCTGCAAAACACGCCAAGCATGGATAACGGCCGTGCCGCCCTCACCACACAGCTGCACTAAGCTCTCATCTCAGGTGATGCAGGGGCTTGGGCTGAGCTGCAGACTCACAGGGTCTCAGTAGGGAAGAAGTGGCCTTAGACAAAAGTCCTCTATGCTGTCCTTACTCAGGGCCAAGCCATGCCAGGGGGTCACTGCAAATGTGACGAAGGGTTGAATATCATGAACTTTGGCATCTGAGAGTCCAGAGTTCAAGTGCTGAGACTTGCTTCTTACCTGGGCTCTTGATGCCATCTCTTCATCTGACAAATGGGTGAAATGATAATTTGTTGTAAGAGATACACGCATGTAAGGAACTGGTACTCCATAAATGCGAGTTTCCTTTTGCAAAATGCGGTTAGCGGTACCCACTTCAAAATGCTGCTAGGGGGCCAAACTCAGCGCTGTGCATGAAGGTGTTTTTCAAATGCCATGGCTACAGAAAATGAAGTCACCAGCAGGAAACTTTTTTTTTTTTTTTTACCAGTAAGAAATAGAATCAGTGCCCCTCGGGAGTCTACAACCTAACATTGAGGGTGATGCTGCTGGTGCTTCTGCGTGGAATTCCCAGCTGACCCAGGGAAGAGCACCCCTCTCATGCATTGACTGCCTCAGCAATAGGGAAGGGACCACATGAATTTACATTCAAGATTCTGCTTGCCATAGGGGTGACAAATATTAGTTGCATACGACAACAGGGTATTAGTAATGTTCAGAGTCTAAATTACAGGCAAGGACAACTCTAAGAGATCTGTCGAAAGGAATGATAAAGAATGTTTCCTCTGGCTTCCAGGGACCTCCACATTACTCTGCCTGGCAGGATGAGGGCTGGAAATGATGGGGCTGGTATCTTCAGTCAACACAGTGTCATTCACCTCCGTCCCTACCTAAGGTCCCTCATTATGAAGTTTCTCTCACGTTCACTCCGTAATGGGGAGAGCACTAGACTGACAGTCGGCTTCCAATGCTGGGAAGGCTGCAAAAACCATTTAACCATGCATCCATCCATCCACCCATCCACCCACCCACCCATCCATTCATTCATTTGACAAACATTCATTGAGCCTTTAACAATGTGCCCAGTCCTGTGTTAAACTGAGAAATGAAAGAGATGAATAGGACAGGTCCTACTCTCAAAGAACTCATGGTCCAGGATTCCGGAAAACAACAGGGACCTAAAACCTGCTGTATGAAAAAGTGGTAAGCATAGAAATGGTAATATAGAGGCAGCGTAGCACTGATGATCATGACTTCAGCCTCTGGGTCCAAGGAACCTAGGTTTGTATCACATTTTCCACTTATTAGCTAGGATAGGAGCCTGCAACAATTTCCGAAAGGGCCAAATGGTAAATATTGTAGGCTCTGTGGGCCATATGGTATCTTTTGCAACTACTCCAGTCTGCCATAGTAGCATGAATGCAGCCAAAGAAAATATGTCATTGAATAGGTGCGGCTATGTTCTAATAAAACTTTATTTACAAAAACAGGTGGTGGGCAAGATTTGGGCCTCAGGTGGTAGGGTGGTAGCTTGCCGATCCCTGTGCCCTTGAGCAAGGAGATGTGATCTTCAGCAAGTTATGTAATCCTCCATACCTCAGTTTCATTCACTACAACGGATGATGATAAAACCTACCTCGTGGGATGCTATAAACTGATACTATATATAAGGCACTTAGCACAATGCCCATAACATGGTAAGAATGCAATATATCCTGTCTCTATTATTATTATTATAAAAGTGAAATCCCTCTCCCTCTCCCTCTCCTCTTTCCACAGTCTCCCTCTCCCTCGTCTCCCCTCTCCCTCGTCTCCCCTCTCCCTCTCCCCCTTCCACGGTCTCCCTCTCCCTCATCTCCCCTTTCCACGGTCTCCCTCTGATGCTGAGCCGAGGCTGGACTGTACTGCCGCCATCTCGGCTCACCGCATCCTCCCTGCCTGATTCTCCTGCCTCAGCCTGCCGAGTGCCTGGGATTGCAGGCACGCGCCGCCACGCCTGACTGGTTTTTGTATTTTTTGGTGGAGACGGGGTTTCGCTGTGTTGGCCAGGCTGGTCTCCAGCTCCTGACCGCGAGTGATCTGCCCGCCTCGGCCTCCCGAGGTGCCGGGATTGCAGACGGAGTCTCGCTCACTCAGTGCTCAATGTTGCCCAGGCTGGAGTGCAGTGGCCTGATCTCGGCTCGCTACAACCTCCACCTCCCAGCTGCCTGCCTTGGCCTCCCAAAGTGCTGAGATTGCAGCCTCTGCCCGGCCGCCACCCCGTCTAGGAAGTGAGGAGCGTCTCTGCCTGGACGTCCATCGTCTGGGATGTGAGGAGCCCCTCTGCCCAGCCGCCCAGTCTGGGAAGTGAGGAGCACCTCTTCCCGGCCGCCATCCCGTCTAGGAAGTGAGGAGCGTCTCTGCCCGGCCACCCATCGTCTGGGATGTGGGGAGCGCCTCTGCCCAGCCGCCCCGTCTGGGAGGTGAGGAGCGTCTCTGCCCGGCCACGACCCCGTCTGGGAACTGAGGAGTGTCTCTGCCCGGCCGCCACCCCGTCTGGGAGGTGAGGAGTGTCTCTGCCCAGCCGCCCCGTCTGGGAAGTGAGGAGCCCCTCCTCCCAGCAGCCGCCCCGTCTGGGAAGTGAGGAGCGTCTCCGCCCAGCAGCCGCCCCGTCTGAGAAGTGAGGAGCCCCCCCGCCCAGCAGCCGCCCTGTCTGGGAAGTGAGGAGCGTCTCCGCCCAGCAGCCGCCCCGTCCGGGAGGGAGGTGGGGGGCAGCCCCCGCCCAGCCACCGCCCCGTCCGGGAGGTGGGGGGCGCCTCTGCCCGGCCGCCCCATCTGGGAAGTGAGGAGGCCCTCTGTCCGGCCGCCACCCCGTCTGGGAGGGGTACCCAACAGCTCATTGAGAACAGGCCATGATAACGATGGCGGTTTTGTCGAATAGAAAAGGGGGAAATGTGGGGAAAAGAAAGAGAGATCAGACTGTTACTGTGTCTGTGTGGAAAGAGGTAGACATGGGAGACTCCATTTTGTTCTGTACTAAGAAAAATTCTTCTGCCTTGGGATCCTGTTGATCTGTGACCTTACCCCCAACCCCGTGCTCTCTGAAACATGTGCTGTGTCCACTCAGGGTTAAATGGATTAAGGGCGGTGCAAGATGTGCTTTGTTAAACAGATGCTTGAAGGCAGCATGCTCCTTAAGAGTCATCACCAATCCCTAATCTCAAGTACCCAGGGACACAAACACTGCGGAAGGCCGCAGGGTCCTGTGCCTAGGAAAACTAGAGACCCTTGTTCACATGTTTATCTGCTGACCTTCCCTCCACTATTGTCCTATGACCCTGCCAAATCCCCCTCTCCGAGAAACACCCAAGAATGATCAACAAATACTATTAAAAAAAAAAGGTGAAATCAAAGCTGGTGTCAAGCTCAGATCCCCTGAGGTGCCACAGTTCTCTCTCTACCCCCAGGTGCATCCCACCCTGAGTTAATAGGTAAAACCCTGGTCGTGAGGTGGTAACTGCTAAAATTGTGCCTAATTCAGCTGATGGACACAGAAAGGCCACCTCTTTAATGTATGAGTGATGATCCCAAAACACAACTAGAATGGGAGGGATGACTCGGTGTCTGCTTCCTGAATTTTTTTCTTTTTTTTTTTTGAGTCAGCATCTTGCTCTGTCACCCAGGCTGGAGTGCCATGGTGCCATCTCAGCTCACTGCAACCTCTGCCTCCTGGGTTCAAGCAGTTCTCCTGCCTCAGCCTCCCGAGTAGCTGGGACTACAGGCACCTGCCACTATGCCCCGCTAATTTTTTGTATTTTTAGTAGAGATGGGGTTTCACCATGTTGGCCAGGTTGGTCTCGAACTCCTAACCTCAAGTGATCCGTCCACCTCGGCCTTCCAAACTGCTGGGATTACAGGTGTGAGCCACAGCGCCTGGCCCTGAAAATTACTGAGCAGCACTTAGAAAGTGACCCTCACCTGCTCTCCTTGAAGCTTCTGGGAAGTGGATCATGCTGGAAGGAGGCCTCAGCTGGAGGCCTAGAGAGTTGTTAATATTTTTCTTCTTCCTCTATTAATTTGAGTTAATAAATGCCTCTAGCCTAAGGGGAACAGGAGGAGGAGGTGAAGGCCTCATTACCAGTGACCAGACAGCCCCTGACCACAAGCGTTTTAAATTACTGAGTCCTAACGGGGTCCATCAGAGGGGATGTAGGCCAGGAGGCCATGAGAGGAGATGCATGCAGAGCAGTGCCCCGCCCTGCGAGAGGGTCCAGGGCTCCCTCCTCTGCCATCAGCCGCCAGGAGCAGATGGCAGTGCCTCCCATTGACTTCTGCTCAGCTGTGTCATCAGAGCCACGCTCTGCTGTGTCCTGGGAGGCACACTGCATACCTGCAAGAATTAATTAATGGAAAATAGGAAGAAAGGGGCTCAGAGCAACTAGATTGAGGCCTTGAGGCCACAACGCGCCATGGCTTAAATGATGCATGACAGGTCCTGTCCCTCCAGGCTGAGAGCCATTCTAGGGGGCTTCCTACTGACTGTCCTCAGGATAAACTCAGAACTCCAAAACAGCCCTTCCTAACCCTCCTGTCACCCCATGCCGTACCACACATGCATGCTATAGTCCAGCCACACAACCACTCTTAGTTAATATTTTTCTTCCAAACCAGCTCTATCTCCCGGGCCATGATGCCTGCTATTCTCCTGCCTGAACACGTCCCACTCTTTACCTGGCCATTCATTTCCCACTCACTCTTTAGGTCTTATCTTAGATCAGGGGTCAGCGTATTTCAGCCCACAGGCCAAATCTGGCCCACTACCTGTTTTTGTAAATAAAGTTTTATTGGAACACAGCCATGCCCATTTATTTGCACACTGTCTACGGCTGCTTTTGCTCATAACAACAGAGCTGAATGGATACAACAGGGACCATATGGCTGCCAAGAGCCTGCTGTATTTACTCCCTGGACCCTTACAGGGAAAATTTGCCAGCCCCTGTCACAGATGCTAATTCCTTCAGAACATTGTTCCTGGCTCACTAGAATGTTTTAGGTGCCCGAATCTTACTTCCCCTACCCCAGCCCTTTCCCCTCTGAATTATAATTGATATTTTCAGTCTTTCTCTTCTAGACTCTGAGCTCCTTACAAGGAAGGCTGGTTTTTTGCAACTCGGTGCCCCAGGCCTCTTATACAGACCCTGAACCCCTCATAGGCACCGAAAAATAAGTTTGCTGAATGGAAGAATGAACAAATGAAGGAGTCTTTGAATGCAGTGCTGGAAAGCCCAATGATGTCACTAAATAGAGTTCAACTAACTCAGGCTATTGATGAATGTCAAGAGACTACACAGGTTGGGTGTGGTGGCTCACGCTGGTGCCCAGCACTTTGGGAGGCTGAGGCAGGCAGATCACTTGAGGTTAAGAGTTTGAGACCAGCCTGGCCAACATGGTGAAACCCCGTCTCTACCAAAAATATAAAAATTAGTTGGGCATGGTGGCGTGTGCCTGCAGTCCCAGCTACTCGGGAGGCTGAAGCAGGAGAATCACTTGAACCTGTGAGGTGGAGGTTGCAGTGAGCTGGCATTGCACCACTGCACTCCAGCCTGGGCAATAGAGCGAGACTCTGTCTCAAAAAAAAAAAAAAAAAAAAGAGAGAAACTACACGACTACACAGAGGCATTATTTCTCTGGAATGTACAGAGAGAAAATGAAAGGCTTAAACATTAGCCCATCCAGTGATTAAAGAGGCCTCAAAAATGTCTCCTGGGGAGCTTCTCCTAGACCAAATGCAAGGGAGAAGAGATGAAAATCTCACTAACATCTCACTAACAGCTGGGGCCCGGGGTCCTCCAAGACTATTCCAAGTTACAATCCATACTCCAAATTCTCTGGTTGCTTCCAAGTCAGCCCCATCGCTCCCTCTTAATCCTTCTCATTGTACATTGTTGTTTCAGTCTGCTGACTTATCATTCTTTTCTGCTGAACTGTAAGCTCCTGAAAGGCAGGGTCATTTGCTCACCAGAGAATCCCTGCTGAGACCTGGCTTCATGTAGGCCCTCCTAAAATGTGTGATGGATGGACGCATGCATGCATGCATGCATGCATGGATGGATGGATGGATGGATGGAAACTAACCATCAAGTCCTTCCATCTGGCATACAGTGGTACAGAGTGCCAGGTGGGGCCTGATTTCACTCTGGGGTGAACCCAGGATTGGCCCCCAATTCAGTAGAGAACACAGAGGAGCTTCATTTAAGGATGGTCTTGACTGTTTTGTGGTTACTTTGTGTCTATCATGCCGAAGCCACACACTTGGTGTTGAGCAGCTTTGCCCTCACGGCCTCCACTTTCTGGGTGCGTTTCTGGGGCCTCAGCTGTCTCCAGACTTGTTCCTGCCTTCCTCAGTGTGACTGCTCCACCGCAGCCTGGCCCCCATTATCCTAAATCAAAGTGCCAGGCACCCGCCCTCTCTGACTCAAGCTGCCACCCAGGGGCCAAAGCACAGTGGAGACGTTGGCCCTGCAAGGAATTGTTCTGTCTCCCCATTTATCACACTAAAGGTTCATTTCAAATTATATTAAACAGGTCAAATATCAAGATAGAGAGCAGAGCCTTCTCTTTCTGTTTTCCAGAAATGACACCACCCTCTAGAGTGAATAGATCTGGGGCATTTAATTTGGCAACCAAGTGACATTCCCTCCCAGAAGCCTGGCGCCTGCCAGTGGCCAAGCGGAGAGAGAAGGGAGGAGAAGCAAGAACTCAACACGATTATCACAAAGAAAGATAAAAAGAAACCATAAATTCTACAGGACTAATGATGTCTCTCAGGAAACCCTGCATTTTCCTGTATACAAGACTGGCTTTTTTGTTCCTAGGGACCTCATCCCTGAGACTAATTCTAATGCTCCTTCTTTTATCATGTTAATAATAATAACTGTAATCATGCATTTAAGATACCAGTGTCACGCAAAATGTATCATTCCGCTTGTGGTAAAACAGTTCTTGGTTTGCATCAACAACAGGCCTGTAGGATGACACTTCTGGGTGACTTGGAGAAAGTGCATCTATAAGATAGTCACAGAACCGTAAGGCCACAGGGTGCCCTATAATAGTAGTTAAGAAATACGCTTAACGGCTTAAAAATGACACTCTTCCCCAAGCATTTTCTTACCTCCCTGCATTTCATCTTCTAAGATACATCCCCATTAAGAGAAAAACTATTTGCTCAAAATGACAGAATTTAGGGCTTTGGGAAAGGATAGAAATAAGATTAATTGAACGTGCCCCTTATGCATGACTTAGAGTAATTTTCCCAGAGTGTTGTGTTGAGAAGGATTCTGAAGTCATACCGGGATCCATGAAGAATGTCTGCCTCCAGAAACGGTAGGGAAATGGTCAGCCTTACACACACCAGATATGCCAACCTGACTTTTGGTCATTTGACCATAGTTGAATCAAGTCAAAATAAGTACTGAAATTTTTACCCATTTCTCTAGGCCCAGCCAACTCAAATACATCCCACGGGGCCCTGTTAAAATGTCCCCCAGGTCATTTATTCACTTTGTTTTCCTTGGTACTGTTCCCTTCTGCTCAGGGAAATGAAACACTCCCTTGCCTGTTCAAAAATGTAAAGTGATCAAGTCTGTAAATTTCACAGCTTTCTCTCCTTTAGTACTTCATAAACTGACTGGAGGAATTTGCCTGTCTGTCTGTCTCCTCTTCTGGCAAGAGCCTGCCCCATCCATCTCTGAACTCCCAGTGCCTGGCCCATAATAAGGACCGAGTAACTATTCGTTGAATTTACGTTTCATCTGAGTAAGTCTCATCCCATCCTCGTCTCATCCAAAAACTTTTAAAACTAATAAAGAGTAAGAACCAGCCGGGCACAGTGGCTCACACCTATAATCCCAGCACTTTGGGAGACCAAGGCAGGAGGATGGCTTGAGTCCAAGAGTTCGAGTCCAGCCTGGGCAACGTGGCGAAACCCTGTCTCTACCAAAAAAATTACAAAAATTAGTTGGGTGTGGTGGTGCATGCCTGTAGTTCCAGCTACTCAGGAGGCTGAGGTGGGAGGATCGCCTGAGGCCAGGAGGCAGAGGTTACAGTGAGCCAAGATTGTGCCACTGCACTCCAGCCTAGACAACAGAGCAAGACCCTGTCTCAAAAAAAAAAAAAAAGAAAAGAAAAGAAAATTAAAAAGAGTAAACATCAGTTTACAGAGGGGAAATTGCAATTGCGATGAGCTTATTCCCGAATAGGAGAGTTTTCTTCTCCCTACCAAGAACCCGGCTCCATGGCTCAAAGGGGAGAATGGGAATTAACCCTCGAAGAAACACAGGGAAAACCGCATGGCTCCCAGCCTGTTATCCAACGACACTTAAATCTTCTATAATATATACAACTTCAAACACCATTTTCACCTGTGTGGCCTCATGAGTGTTTGATCCACACTGGAAAATTCAATCCAATCCTTTGTGGCGAGAGTATGACTTCAAACTATTTCCCATTTGCCCTGAGAATACTCTTGTCTCTAATCCTAATGTAACATCATATACATTTCCATCACATTAGGATTAGAGACAAGTTCTGTTTAGAAACAACTCCAAGAATAGTTTTTATATTTTATTTTCACACTGAAAATCAGTGAGATTTGCTTCAGCCTCAAAGAGTATGTTTATGTAAGATTAAATGAGTGCTGGCAGCACACTGCATTTTTTTTTATTTCTAAACAGGAAATGGGTTAAGGTGGTACCTTCCAAACTTCAGTCATTCTGTAAACCATCTTCTCATGCTCTGTCATATCTAAGAACCATCTTATTTACTGGCCATTTCTTTAAATTGACTTTTTGAGGCCAGGTGCGGTGGCTCGTGCCTGTAATCCCACCACTTTGGGAGGCCGAGGCAGCCAGATCACTTGAGGTCAGGAGTTTGAGACCAGCTTGGGCAACATGGTGAAACCCTGTCTCTACTGAAAATACAAAAATCAGCCGGGCATGGTGGTACATGCTAGTAGTCCCAGCTACTCAGAATGCAGAGGCACGAGAATGGTTTGAACCCAGGAGGCAGAAGTTGCAGTGAGCTGAGATCACATCACTGCACTCCAGCCTGGGTGAGAGAGCAAAATCCTGTCTCAAAAAAAAAAAAAAAAAAAAAAAGACTTTTTGTTAAAGCCTCATCTTAAGCAACGAACACATCTGATGAATCATCCAATGTGTCGGCCACACTTTTTTCCTAATAACACTAAAATGTTAACATAATTTTAAATGTTTAAGGTTGGCCAGCGTACCTCTTAAAGTCACCTCAGCTGCAACAGTTTGAGTCCCAAGGTGTGCAAGTCACTGCCCTCAAGAATTGCTCCACAGGGACACCCTGTCCCCTCCACAGGGCTCCAAGCACAGCAGTTAAAACCCACGTTGTTATTGGGCAGAAGACAACACTATCCCGGAAGCAGAAGGACTCAGCAATTGAGAGTAAGGGATCTGGAGTCAGAGCTGCATTTAAACTCCGGCTCCCACACACTAGCTGCAACGGGAAGCAATGTTTCTACCAACTCTGAGCCTCAGTTTCCTTATTTGTAAAATGGGGACACTAACAGCATCCACTTCATATGGGATAATGTGGGGATTAAATAAGAAAACGCATTCTATGTACCATCATGCATCACTTAACGACAGGGATGCATTCCAAGAAACGCACCGTTAGAGGATTTCATTGCTGTGCAAAACATCATAGAGTGTACTGACACAAACCTAGATGACGTAGCCTACTATCCCCCCAGGCTGTGTGGTGTAGCCTATTGCTCCTGGGCTACAAACCTGTTTAGCGTGTTACTCTACTGAATGCTACAGGCAATTATAACACAATGGGAAGTATTGGTGGATCTAAACATATATAAATATTAAAAAGGTACAGTAAAAAAAAGATATTAAAGACAAAAAATGTGGCTGGGCATGGTGGCTCATGCCTGTAATCCCAGCACTTTGGGAGGCTGAGGCGGGCGGATTACTTGAGGTCAGGAGTTCGAGACCAGCCTGGCCAACACAGTGAAACCCCATCTCTACTAAAAATACAAAAATTAGCTGGGCATGATGGCACACGCTTGTAGTCTCAGCTACTCAGGAGGCTGAAGCAGGAGAATCGCTTGAACCCAGGAGGCAGAGTTTGCAGGGAGCCGAGATTGCGCCACTGCACTCCGGCCTGGGCGACAGAGACTCTGTTTCAAAAAACAAAGGATAAAAAAAGTTACACCTGTGCAGGGCACTTACCATGATCTGAGCTTGCAGGACTGGCAGCTGCTCTGGGTGAGTGAGCGAGTGAGTGGTGAATGAATATGAAGGCCCATGATGTTACTGTACACTATTGTAGACTTTATAAACACTGCACACTTAGGCTACATTAAATATATTTTAAAAATAAGGTAATTGGACGGGCGCAGCGGCTCACGCCTGTAATCCCAGCACTTTTGGAGGCCAAGGTGGGCAGATCACGAGGTCAGGAGACTGAGACTATCCTGGCTGACACGGTGAAACCCCGTCTCTACTAAAAATACAAAAAATTAGCCGGGCGTGGTAGCGGGCGCCTGTAGTCCCAGCTACTCGGGAGGCTGAGGCAGGAGAATGGCGTGAACCTGGGAGGAGGAGCTTGCAGTGAGCCGAGAGCGCGCCACTGCACTCCAGCCTGGGCGACAGAGCAAGACTCCGCCTCAAAAATATAATTGAATAAAATTAAAAAATAAAGTAATTGCACTACAATGTTATGACAGCTACAGCAACACTAGGTGAGAGGCAATTTCCAGCTCCATTATAATCGTAGAGACCACCGTTGAGATAAGCAGGTCATCCTTGCCCAAAACGTCATTATGCAGTGCATGAGTACAATTAGTGCCGGGCATATCACTGGCCCTCGATAATGATGTTATTAACAGCATCATAAATGCATTATCACTAGCAACATTCATTCATTCAACAAACATATATACAGCATCTGTGTTTTCACTGAGAGCTCAGTGGTGAGCAAGACATGCAGGGTCCTTGAGGAGCCTGGGTCTGGTGGCAAAGACAGTCTAGGGAAGAAGAAAGACTAGAAACAACTGGACAGGTTGCTAGAGACAGGATGAGGTAAGATAGGGGTGCTGGGAGTTGAAATAGACCTCCCAATCTCAGCCAAGGCACAAACTCAGAGAAGAGTAGTAGGAGGTAGCTCAGGCACATGGTTGGACTGACATATTTTGGGTGTTACTGTTTTTTTTTTTCACTCTTAGAAAAGCTTGTATTTTTTTTTAAATTTCTTATTTCCATAGGCTTTCGGGGAACAGGTGGTGTTTGGTTACATGAGTAAGTTCTTTAGTGGCGATTTGTGAGATTTTCGTGCACCCATCACCCAACAGTATACACTGAACCCAATTTGTAGTCTTTTATCCCTCAGTGGCCCCCCACCCTTCCTTCCCGAGTCCCAAAAGTTCATTGTATCATTCTTATGCCTTTGCATCCTCATACCTTAGTTCCCACTTATGAGTGAGAACATACAATGTTTGGTTTTCCATTCCTGAGTTACTTTACTTAGAATAATAGTCCCCAATCCCATCCAGGTTGCTGCGAATGCCATTAATTCATTCCTTTCTATGGCTGAGTAGTATTCCATCATACATATATATAATATATATATACACATATATACATTATATATATGTTATATATACTATATATAGTATATATATATTAGATATGTTATATATACCATATATAATATATGTACTATATACATATATTATATATGTTATATATTACATTAATATATGTATATAGTACATATATTATATGTAATATATAACATATAATATATATGTTATATATTACATTTATATAATATATAGTACATATATTATATATGTAATATATGCATATAATATATGAATATATAACATATATTATATATGTACTATATACATATATAGATGTAAAATATACATATATTATATATGTAATATATACATATATTATATATGTAATATATAATATATATAATATATATACACACACATATACACCACAATTTATCCACTCATCGATTGATAAGCATTTGGGCTGGTTCCATATTTTTGCAATTGCAAATTGTGCTGCTATAAACATACATGTGCAAGTATCTTTATTTTCAATTGATAGAACTTGGCACACTCTGCCAGGTGATGATAATGACAATGGCAATCATACCAGCTCAATGCAAACACTCCCAAAAAGACTGATGGATAGGCCACCGTGTCTGAGGCCCTCACGGCAGATCTTCTTGGGGGAATCCCCCATCTCATCATCCATCTGAGATGAAGAGGAAGCGGTGAGGAGGGAAAGATATAGCTGCCATACCACTTATTCACTCTTCTATCTCTGAAAACTTACTTGACGGTCAAGGTTAAAGGGTACATCCTAAGAAAGATGGGAACATGTTTAAAGGATGCAGTGGCCAGCTAGAAGGGGCTTCTGCTGGCCAAATCTGGGACAATTTGAGCATCAAAATAAATAGCGATAGTAAAGGAGTATAACCTATTGAATGAAATAAGAATCTATGAGTCTACACTGATACAAGTAGAGAGCTGGGTGTGGTGGCTCACTCCTATAATCCTAGCTACTTGGGAGACTGAGGTGGGAGGATTGCTTGACCCTAGGAGTTCAAGACCAGCCTGGGCAACGTAGCAAGACCCAGTCTGTACAAAAAAAAAAAAAAATTTAATTAGCTGGGCACAGTGGTGCACACCTGTCAAGTCCCAGCTACTCAGGAGGCTGAGGCAGGAAGATCACTTGAGCCCAGGATGTCGAGGCTGCAGTGAGCTAGGATTGCACCACTGCACTCCAGCCTAGGCGACAGAGCAAGACCCTATCTTTTAAAAACAAACATAAACAAACAATACAAACCACTCACTACAAAAAATCTCAAACATCTCTTGAGTCCAGAAGTGGGGATTACAGTGAGCTATGATTGTACCACTGCACTCTATCCTGTGTTGCCCAGGCTGATCTTAAACTCCTGGTCTTGACAGAGAAAGACCTCAGTCTCTTAGAAAAATAGTGTTACTATTATTAAAAATAAAGAAGGAGAAGGGAAAGGTCATCCTTTCAGTAGAACTAACTAGTAAATGTGGAAGAAATGACAGAATTTGAAAATCACCATTTGGAAACCATCATAATTATAATTGATTCAGGAAAGAATCATCAGTGGATGCTAAAACTCATAGTGAAATTTTGAGGAGTAACAGAATATTTATGTAGTTTAAAAATATCTCCCCACAAGATACTTATGAATTTCAACTGGTGAGAGAGTAACTGGACAGTGAAGAGATGTGGCAGACAACACTTTCACCAAATGATCACAGTTAGTATCACCAGTCATGGGTCAGATCGACAGGTGTTCCCTGCTGTGATGCACTGAGAACACCACTTCGCTTCTATAGCATCCCTGTTAAAACTGTATAACCTGAATCATCATAAGGAAATCTAATCTAATCATAAGGAAAAAAACAAGTTGAAAGATAGCCTACAGGAGAAAGCAAGTCCCAGGAATTGTTCCTGATTAAAGGAAACTGAGGGGTCAGGATAACTGAATGCATTGCATGATGCGGATTTTTCTTTCACTATCAAGGGTGTTATTGGGACAACTGAAATCTAAATAAGTTTGGAGATTAGATCACAGTCTTTTATTTTTATTTTCATCAATGTGAATGTTCTGATGTTGAGAATTGTACTGTGATTCTTTAAGAGAATGCTCCTGATTTTAGAAAATATTCGCTGAAGAAGTTAGGAGTAACAGGGCATTATGTCTGCAACTTAATCCCAAATGGTTCAGAAAACATATGGATGGATGGATAAAATGGATGGATGGATGGATGGATGGGTGGATGGATGGATGGATGGATGAATGGGCAGAGAGATGAACAGACAGATAAAAGGGTAAAGTGGGTAGAATAAAATATTGACATTTGGGAATCTGGGTGAGGGGAATTAGAAAGGAATTCTTTGTAATGTTCTTATAACTTTTTTGCAAGTCTGAAATAATGTCAAAAACAATTTTTAAAGAGGTAGAGGTTCCAGACTTTTCCCGGCTAAGTATTTTGAAGGCTTAACCAACTTTGAATTTGAATTTTTAAAAATTAGACAGGAGCAGAAAAAGAAGACTTGTCATTCAGAGACTCTCTCTTCTTAACAAAAGCCACCACCCTCTCTGCAAGAATAGTTATGTCATGAAGAAATCCACATATCATTGAGTCACTGGGCCTAAAGCTGTGGTCAGGATGTGAGTGATAAACATCTCCACCTCTACACAGTGTGGTTAGTTTGATGAACGCTTTCCTCGGACCATCACATGTATCCATTGCCTATATAAACTACTGAAAGGGTCCCATCACAGATGACCACCCAGCTAGACCATGCCCTGGCAAGAGCATCCGACCTCCAGCTTCACCAGGCCAAGGGCCTGCTGCTCCCATACAATCCAATTCGCCAATCACCATCCATCTTAAACAACTAAACACAAAAATAAGCCTGCCAACTAGAACTCTTCATTACACCGTTTAGGTTTTCAGCCCAACTTCCCATTACTAACTCTTCCCAAAGAAGCAAGTGCTCTTCGTCTTCATTAACCAGGACTTTGATCACCCTCCATTTCTTTAAATGGCAATGGCACGATCTGTCTTGGGATTCCCATTCTACCGCCACTGCAGCCTTGCTTAATGTGCTCCTGGAGGGAAATGGGAAGACCATAAGTATGGACAACCAAATGACAAATGGAGAGAAGTGGAGAGAAAGCAGCAAATGTCTCCTTCTTTGACTTGAGGTTTTCCAGAACATGAACTATGCTATGGCACAATATACACAATGATTTCTGTGAATATGTTCCACGCGCACACACCCACATGTATACACTCAGTGCAGTAAAGCTTCAACAACTCTGTACTATAACTGCTATAATGATCTCTATCTTGCAGAGAAGGAAACTATTGCTCAGACAAGTTAAGTCATTTTTCCAAGGAAATTTGGCCAATGGGTGGCATGGCTGGGATCTGTTCAGCTTTATTTCCTATGCCCTGAACTTTTACACTCTCCTACTTTTCTGTCATTGGTATACAAATGCACTCTAAGTGGCAAGGACCTCAGATGCACTTAGCCAATCACCAGGCATCTTAAACAATGCAAGGTGAAGTCCTTTCTCTTCTAGAGGAGAGAGAGAGAAGCAGAAGATTCTTCAATGCCTGGCTGCTTTCAATGCCTGGCCTCCAGATTCCAAGCCAAGATGATGTCTGGGGAGGTGCCAAGAGTACCTCATGAATTCTCAGCTCCCTTCACTTCATTCTCACCACTCCTAGTGCTTCTGTCACTGGTCCCAAGCCAGCACACAAGCTCTGCATGCCCTCTCTTCCATCTGATTCCTATAGCATTTGATTTCTGTGCTGTCTAGTTGGCATAAGCCCCATCCATCATGGCATAGCGGAAAGACCTCTGGTGGTAGGCTGGGTTCCCATCCTGCCTCTGCTGCTTGAAAAGTTGCATGGCACTGGTCAACCTCTCTGAGCCTCAGTTTCCTCATCCACAAAATGGGGCTAATAATAACTACTTCTCCTGTTTACTGTGAGAATCAATTACCCTAAAATACATGGAGTAACAGGCCCACCCTATGTATTAAAAAATTGTTAGTTCCCTGTCTCCTTGAACATAAAGTGATAATCTTCCCATGCGTCCATGTGTTCTGGGTACCAGGACCCATCACAACTGTAACTGGGTTAAAAACTGTTGGCTGGTAGACATAAGCCTTTATGAGCCTTTTCTTCCCCAAGAAAGGAAAGGAATGCCTGAATTAAAGCCCGATAAGAGATTCTCCATGGTTCCAACCTAGAACTTTGTTTATAGAGGGTCCAAGATCTAGCAGAGAGGTTTTCTAAGTTGGCTAGCAGGAAGGGAAGGAAGAAAGGAAAGCAATCCATCACTCTGCAGCCACTGACAGCTGCCCTGCATGGAAGCACTTAGAGCCTGGGGGTGGATGCAATAAATCTGTAAGTTTTTCTCTACTTCCAAATCTGTTTTCATGCTTGATCCATTATTAACTTCACATCTTAACAATAAATATCTCTTGTTTTCTCAAACTAGACTTGAAGCTCCTTAAAAGCATTGGGGGTTCTATCAGATCCTTTCTCCTATCCTCCACAGTGTTATTGATTAACTGATCATTCCCCTGCAAGAAACCTACCAGTAACCAAGGTTATATTCACAGATTCTGAATAACAACTAGGAATAATATTTTTTAAATAATGATGATTGGCAGCACTAATTTAGCATTTACTCTGTGTCACTTAACTCCCCCCAACAAAACTATGAACTAAGTGCTGTTATGAGCCTCATTATATAGATGAGGAAACCAAGGCTCAGAGAGGGTAAGTGACATGCCCAGGGTCACACAGTCAGGAAGGGTGAAAAGAGGAGGCAAACTCAGGCCACCTGGTTCCAGAGCCCCTGCCCTACCCCTACCCCAATGCTGCCACAGACTTTGGGTAAAATGGAATCTCTTCTGATTCTCAGTGTAAATGAACTTGGACAAGGTATACTCTCTTACAGCCTATTTTCTCACCTACAAAATGGGACTTTCAGGACTAAATAAAATAAACCATGATATGACTCTAAAAGCACAGGCAACAAAAGCAAAAATAGACAAATGGGATTTCATCAAGCTAAAAAGCTTCTGCACAGCAAAGGAAACAATCAAGAGAGTGAAGAAATGACTTATGGAGTAGGAGAAAATATTTGCAAGTCATACATCTGATAAGAGGTTAATATCTAAAATATATAAGGAATTCAAACAACTCAATAGCAAGAAACAAAATAACTCATTTTAAAAATGGGCAAAGACCTCTCTCACCACTCCTATTCAACATAGTATTGGAAGTTTTGGCCAGAGCAATCAGGCAAGAGAAAGAAATAAAGGGTATTCAAATAGGAAGAGAGGATGTTGAATTGTCTCTGTTTGCAGATGACATGATTTTATATTTTGAAAACCCTATCATCTCAGCCCCAAAACTCCTTAAGCTTATAAACAACTTCAGCAAAGTCTCAGGATACAAAATCAACATGCAAAAATCACAAGCATTCCTATACACCAACAATAGACAAGCAGAGAGCCAAATAATGAATGAACTCCCATTCACAACTGCTATAAAGAGAATAAAATACCTAGGAATACAACTTACAAGGGATGTGAAGGACCTCTTCAAGGAGAACTACAAACCACTGCTCAAGGAAATAGGAGAGGACACAAGCAAACGGAAAAACATTCCATGTTCATGGACAGGAAGAATCAATATCATGAACATGACTTTACTGCCCAAAGTAATTTATAGATTCAATGCTATTCCCATCAAGCTACCATTGACTTTCTTCTCAGAATTAGAAAAAACTACTTTAAATTTCATATGGAACCAAAAAAGAGCCCTTATAGCCAAGACAATCCTAAGCAAAAAGAACTAAGCTGGAGGCATCACGCTACCTGACTTCAAACTATACTACAAGGCTACAGTAACCAAAACAGCATGGTACTGGTACCAAAACAGATATATAGACCAATGAAACGGAACAGAGACCTCAGAAATAATACCACACATCTATAACCATCTGATCTTCGACAAACCTGACAAAAACAAGCAATAGGGAAAAGATTCCCTATTTAATAAATGGTACTAGGAAAACTGGCTAGCCATATGCAGAAAACAGAAACTGGACCCCTTCCTTACACTGCATACAAAAATTAACTCAAAATGGATTAAAGACCTAAATGTAAAACCCAAAACCATAAAAACCCTAGAAGAAAACTTAGGCAATACCATTCAGGACATAGGCAAGGGCAAGGACTTCATGACTAACACATCAAATGCAATTGCAATAAAAGTCAAATTTGACAAATGGAGTCTAATTAAACTAAAGAGCTTCTGCACAGCAAAAGAAACTAGCATCAGAGTGAACAGGCAAGCTACAGAATGGGAGAACATTTTTGCAATCTACTCATCTGACAAAGGTCTAATATGCAGAATTTACAAGCAACTTAAACAAATTTACAAGAAAAAAAAACCCCCATCAAAAAGTAGGCAAAGGATATGAACAGACACTTCTGAAAAGAAGACATTTATGCAGCCAAAAAACATATAAAAAAAAAAAGCTCATCGTCACTGATCATCAGAGAAATGCAAATGAAAACCACAATGAGATACCATCTCATGCCAGTCAGAATGGTGATTATTAAAAAGTCAGGAAACAATAGATGCTGGTGAGGCTGTGGAGAAATAGGAATGCTTTTACACTGTTGGTGGGAGTGTAAATTAGTTCAACCATTGTGAAAGACAGTATGGCGATTCCTCAAGGATCTAGAACCAGAAATACCATTTGACCCAGCAATCTCATTACTGGGTATATACCCAAAGGATTATACATCATTCTACTATAAAGACACATGCACACGTATGTTTACTGCAGCACTTTTCACAATAGCAAAGACCTGGAACCAACCCAAATGCCCATCAATGATAGACTGGATATAGAAAATGTGGCACATATGCACCATGGAATACTATGCAGCCATAAAGAAGAATGAGATCATGTCCTTTGCAGGGACATGGATGAAGCTGGAAGCCATCATTCTCAGCAAACTAACACAGGAACAGAAAACCAAACCACCACATGTTCTCACTCATACGTGGGAGTTGAACAATGAGAACACATGGACACAGGGTGGGGAACAACACACACCGGGGCCTGTTGGGGGGTGGGGGACAGGGGGAGGGAGAGCATTAGGACAAATACGTAATGCATGTGGGGCTTAAAACCTAGATGCCAGGTTGATAGGTGCAGCAAACCACCATGGCACATGTATACCTGTGTGACAAACCTACACATTCTGCACATGTATCCCGGAACTTAAAATAAAATAAAATAAAATAAAATAATTAATTAATTAAAAATGGGCAAAGAACCTGAATAGACATTTCTCAAAAGAAAACATGCAAATGACCAATCGATTTATGAAAAAATACTCAACATCATTAATCATCGAGGAATTGCAAATTAAAACCACAATGAGATCTCACTTCATACCTGTCAAGAATGGCTTTTATCAAAAAGACAAAATTACCAAGTCATAGAGAGGATGTGGGGAAAAGGAACCCTTGTACACTGTTGGTGGGAATGTAAATTAGTACAGCCATTATGGAAAACAGTGTGGAGGTTCCACAAAATACTAAAAATAGAACTACCATAAGATTCAGAAATCCCACTACTACATATGTATCCAAAGCAATTGAAATCAGTATGTCAAAGAGATATCTGCACTACCATATTTATTGCAGCATTATTCACAATAGCTGAGACATTGAATCAACCTAAGAGTCCATCAGCGGATGAATGGATAAAGAAAATGTGGTATATATATGCACAATGGAGTACTATTTAGTCTTAAAAAACAGGAAACCCTGTTATCTGTGACACCATGAGTGAACCTGGAGGATACCATGCTAAGTGAAACAAACCAGGTTCAGAAAGACAAATACTGCATAATCTCACTTTGAAAAGTCAAACTCGTAAAAGTAGAGAATAGAATGGTGGTTACCAGGAGCTGGCAGGAAGGAGGCAGTGGAATGGGGAGATATTGGTTAAAGGGTACAAAGTTTCAGTTAGATAGGAGGAATAAGTTTTTCAGATCTATTGCACAGCATGGTGACTTTAGTTAATAATAATATACCACATATTTCAAAACCACTGAGAGTAAATTTGAAATACTCTCATCACAAAAAAATAATAAGTATGTAAGATGATAGATATGTTAATTAGCCTGACTTAAATAATTCCACAATGTATACATATATAGAAACATTACACTGTACTCCATAAATATGTACAGTTATTATTTGTCAATTAAAATAAAAATAGTAAAAATACCAATAAATGATGCAAAGTATCAGCATACAATAAGCCTTCCATAAGTGACAGCTATCATGTATATTCTAATAACAAATTAATCAAGAAAACTTTTGTGTTAGTGAAAATGTGTCCACATAGCTGTGCAAGAGCTTAATGCAATTATACTTATGATGACCTTTATCCCTGTCTTAATTTAGGTTCCCCCAAAAGCAGACCCTAAAGCAAGGTTTGGGGTCCTTGTAGTATATTTGAGAGGTGATCCTAGCAGCAGGATGAGGAGATGGAGAGGTGAGGCAGGGGAGAAAACATAGCCCATAAAGGGTGTTACGGGGAATGCCTCTGGGGACAACTGGGGCTGTCCCTCTGGGAAGCCTTCAGGAGGGGTATAGAACGCACAGCAGAATGGGCCCTCTGAGGGCATATTTATGCACTAGCTCTTGTCCTTCAGCAACTGAAGGTTGTTCCCAAGGACAACACCAAGCCCCTGACATTTCCAGCCGGCCCTGCACTCAGATTGAACATGCTCCACTGGCAAAAAAAAAAAAAAAAGCAAACGAACAATACCTCCCAGGCCGAGACACAGGTGCTTGACATGGGAAGCCCTCGGTGTGTACAGAAACTGCCTGCCACAGCTGCAGGTGACATCCTAAGTACAGCTAGGGAGTATAAGGGGACCTTACCAGCTCTGAGAAGTGGGCAGCCACAGTCTCCACACTGCTGGAGCATCAATTCCTAAGTGACTTATTTGCAGTCACAAGGCTAATTAGTAGCCAAGGTGGGATTCACCTTGGGCTCCTTCTAAAACACCTCCTAGGAAACTCTCAACTCCTTGAAAAGAAATAACGAGAGGAAGGCAGGCACTAGGTAAGTCAAAGAACTCGATATACCATAGGAAAAAAATCTCACCGTCATAATATCATCAGTTTGTTCCTGTAAATAATAAGGGACTGCAAACTAAATACTCTGTTACCCAACCCACAGAACACTTCACCACAAAAATTCATCAAGAAGCACATTCTTGAGCTAATTTTCCATTGTGGAACTTCAAAGCTGCTGTTTCAATAAGAATGTGACAATAGATGATTCATTAGTGCTGTCTGTATAAGCCTCTGGGGCAAACACCAAAAGATAGTCCATTTGATATTTAGAAAGCTAAACATATTTTAAATGAGCCT
Source organism: Homo sapiens (assembly GCF_000001405.40). Classification (NCBI taxonomy): domain Eukaryota; kingdom Metazoa; phylum Chordata; class Mammalia; order Primates; family Hominidae; genus Homo; species Homo sapiens. The sequence goes on from NC_000012.12 coordinate 117,749,763, forward strand.
TACTGGACTGAATCTCTCATCACAGGCCTGAAAGATTCAGCAGCTAGGGGATTGTGGCATGGTCTTAATGGAGGCTGGGGCAGGGTCTTTAAGAGGATAAGGACCTATTCTTGCTCCAGAGCTAAGGAAGAGGGCCTAGAATCCAGGATGGGGGTACTAGGTCAATGCTGAATGGGAATCTGGGGGATCAAATAGAACTTTCTGGCTGGGCGCAATGGCTGACGCCTGTAATCCTAGCACTCTGGGAGGCTGAGGCAGGTGGACCACCCGAGGTCAGGAGTTCGAGACCAGCCTGGCCAACATGGTGAAACCCCGTCTCTACTAAAAATACAAAAAAATTAGCCAGACATGGTGGCATGCACCTGTAATCTCAGCTATTCAGGAAACTGAGGCAGGAGAATCGCTTGAACCCGGGAGGCAGAGATTGCAGTGAGCCAAGATCGCACCACTGCACTCCAGCCTGGGTGACAGAGTGAGACTCTGTCTTAAAAAAAAAAAAAAAAAAAAGAAGAACTTTCTTATGCAGAGTAATAATAATACTTAATGAAAATTTCTCAGGAGCATACATTTTACTAGAAATAATTATTTTATGTTATAGAATATATACATATAATGCTATTAATATAAATTATAAAATACCTTGCAAAAGATCTCAATTCAAAATAAGACATTCAACATGAATTGGTGACAAATCTACATTATAAGATTTTTATTTTTTAATTTTAATTTCAATTTTTTATAATTTCAACTTTCATTTTAGGTTCAGGAGGTACACGTGCAGGTTTGTCACATGGGTATATTGAGTGATGCTAAGGTTCGGGGTATGATAGACCCAACATTCAGTTAATGAGCATGGTACCCAGTTGTTTGGTTTTCAGCCTTTGTCCCTCTCCCTTCTCTCCCCTATCTAGTTATCCCCAGTGTCTACTGTTGCTATCTTTATGTGCATGTGTACACAAATGTGTAGCTCCCACTTATAAGTGAGAACATGTGGTATTTGGTTTTATGTTCCTGTGTTAGTTTGCTTAGGATAATGGCCGCCAGCTGCATCCATGTTGCCACAAGGGACATAATTTTGTTCTTTTTATGGCTGTATAGTATTCCATGGCATATATGTACCACATTTTCTTTATCCGATCCACCATGGATGGGGACCTAGATTGATTTCATGTCTTTGGTATTGTGAATAGTGCTGCAATGAACATAAGAGTACATGTGAAGCTGTGTGATACAGTTTGGCAGTGTCCCCACTCAAATCTCATCTTGAATTATAGTTCTCATAATCCTCACATGTCGTGGGATGGACCAGGTGCAGATAAATGAATCATGGGGGTGGTCTCCCCCATCCTGTTTTCATGATAGTGAGTGAGTTCTCTTGAGAGCAGATGGTTTTATAAAGGGCTTTTCCCCACCTTTGCTCTGCACTTCTCCTTGCTGCCGCCATGTGAAGAAGGATGTTTGCTTCCCCCTCTGCCATGATTGTAAGTTTCCTGAGGCTTCCCCAGCCATGCTAAACTGTGAGTCCATTAAACCTCTTTCCTTTATAAATTACCCAGTCTCGGGTATGTCTTCATTAGCAGCGTGAGAACGGACTAATACACTGTATATCAAGGATTAACACAATCTTTTCCTCTTCTGCATGAGAATTTAACCCTGGGTTAACTTTCTAGCTCTGATCTGCTGAACACCTGATAAAGAGGAAACATCACTGTGCTAGTGGGCCACAGTGCTCATCAAATTGCCCCTTGTTGGTAGACTGCATCTGGACTGGGAGCTCACGGAATGGATCTGAAATATCTAATGAGGAATCTACAGCTTTGGGAGTCCTTAAGTAGCATGACTGTTGTAACAGGGCATGTCCCCTGCAGACACCCTGGCAGCCATGAAGATAGAGTTTTTACAACAGCTATTGTCCCATAAGACAGGATAGTTGCCACACCTGCTTAATGTGGGTCTCATCACTTTGTACCAAACTGCCACTTGGAGGTAGGGGGCAAAAAAGAATGGCCCCTGAGGATCCACAGAAGAGATGCCCAATGCTGCCTGCATCCTCTTAAGTCAGTATGGTGCTGAGCGTGTCTGAATGCTTAGTTAGCCTAAAAGGAATTACCAAATGAGTATGGCAGAAGTCTTCCTATTTTAATGAATATACTATTACCCACAGACTAGTCATTCCTCTCTTGCCCTTATAAATATATTAGAGATCCTTGTAATAATTAGCACAATGATTTGTAGGTGTGTGCTAGTGAGTTTAAGTGCTTATACCTAGTTTTCTAAAACAGACAAAAATATACCTCCTGAAATCTTATTTACATAATGAATCTGTTAGGCAAAGCCTGTTTCCATGCAAACAACAAATGATATAGCCTAGGCCAAGCACGAAATATGAATTAGTTGGAACAGAGAGAATGGGGTTTGAGTGAAGGTATAATAAACACGGCTCTTATCCAGCCTGGTTCTCTCTGCTCACAGGCCAGCTGAAGTTTTTGACATACTGTTCCATAAGGGTGGAGGTGAAATGTGTTCACTCACAAACTACACACGTCTGAACACAGCGACATGTACCAAGGAATGTTCTAGATGTGCTTTGGGGAAAACAGAAGAATTTCCAAAGAAGTAAATTGTGAAAAGGTCATAAATGGAATATTTGTATTTGTGCAGGACTAATAAAGGCAAGTCACATTAATAAAAGCATATAGTGTGGTTCCAATAATGAAGAAAGGGAACTAGATATATTTCATATATGCCTACAAACATGAATAAATGCACACAAGGATTTATATCAAAGTATTAATAGCAGTTATAGTAGTTCTCTGTGACAAGGGAAATGGAGAATTTTATCATCTATTGCTTACATTTTATTTTGCTTGTATTTTCAAAATAAAGATATATCTGCAAATTACTTCTGTAATTGCAATTATAATTGAAAAATCACCTTTAACAAGGATTTGAAAAAATATATATGTGATAGGATTCCTTTTTAATACTGAGCTTCTCCTGCACATTTAAAATATAATTCAGTTTACAGAAATGCAGTTTACCCTTTCAGATCTTCTGAAAAGAAGGAACAAGCCATTTGTATTGTGGGCAGACCTAAATGAGAAAATCTGAAGACATACAAATCATTGCACACATAGAGTTGTTAGGATCTTTCTTCCCCCAACAACGTGGCTGTGGGTGTGGGATCCTTGGGATGAAGATCAAGATAACCAGAATCCCTGAGATCATTCCCTCTTAATTTTCTGAACAGCTCACTATAAGGAATCAGTGCCTGTTTACCTTTCTAAGTATGGCCACAAAGCCAGAGGGAAAACAAAGGCTGATAAGAATGTCAGAGGGATTCTTGATAACTCTCCATGCCTATGGCTAACTGCATTTATAGGATTAAATCCATAATCTATGTCAGTGTTTCTCAACCCGTTTTCTATTATGGCTCCTTTGGGAACGTTTTTAGATTTTGTGGTTCCTAATCTCCATCCCTAACCTCCAGTGAAATTTTCATAAGCGCAGATATGGTGTATCTCTGTTTACATACGGTGGCTCCTTGTGAAGGAGAGGCATAAACTATTGTAAAAATCCAAGATTTTTCCTGTCTTTCCCCAATAACCAATCTTTGTCCCCTCAGAGGTGATTTCAGCCCCATTGAGAATTCATGCTCTATGTATATCTATGTATATAAGTATATGTGGTATATATACACTATGGAATACTACACAGCCATAAAATAGAACAAGATCATGTCCTTTGCAGGAACAGGGATGGAGCTGGAAGCCATTATCCTTGGCAAACTAACACAGGAACAGAAAACCAAATACCGCATGTTCTCACTTTTAAGTGGGACCTAAATGATGAGAACACATGGACACATAGAGGGGAACAACACACACTGGGGCCTTCCGGAGGGTAGACGGTGGGAGGAGGGAGAGGATCAGGAAAAATAACTTATGGCTACTAGGCACCTGGGTGATGAAATAATCTGTACAACAAACTCCCATGACACAAGTTTACCTATGTAACAAACCTGCACTTGTACCCGTGACCTTAAAATGAAAGTTAAAAAAAAAAAAAAAGAAGAAGGAAAACAAGAACATCAGCACATATTTCCCACTGTCTTCATCACATTTCCAAAGTTGTTTCAACTTCCACAATAATCAATCATTACTTTTACTGGGGAAAGTATAGAGCGTGTGTGTGTGTGTGTGTGTGTGTGTGTGTGTGTGTGTGTGTGTGTGTGTGTGTTTTAGGAATGCCAGAGGAATAAAACCATATACTTAAATGCAAAAATAAAAAGAAAGGAAAAGAAGAAAATAAACAGTTCTTTGAGAATGAACACAAAACAGGGGAAACAGCTTTGATTAGACTAATCATAGCAGTTCTAACACATTCCAACACACCTAGACAGCAAATCTCCCAGTGGAGATGACAGACATGCTATGGCCAGTATATTCTTGTTTTCTTGTCATGCTCATTCTGAAAAGGCACGTGAGATACTACTGGGGACAGGAGGAAAACCCAAACAGATCATCTGATAAAAACCACCACGGGTGTGCCTGAGAGCACCAAGGATAAGGGGCCTAAAAAATAGCCTTCCTCGGCCAGGCATGGTGGCTCACACCTGTAATCCCAGCACTTTGGGAGGCTGAGGCGGGAAGATCACCTGAGGTCGGGAGTTCAAGACCAGCCTGATCAACATGGTGAAATCCCGTCTCTACTAAAAATACAAAAATTAGCCAGGCGGCATGGCATGCACCTGTAATCCCAGCTGCTCAGGAGGCTGAGGCAGGAGAATCGCTTGTACCCAGGAGGCAGAGGTTGCAGTGGGCTGAGATTGTGCCACTGCACTCCAGCCTGGACAACAGAGTGAGGCTCCATCTCAAAAAAAAAAAAAATTAGCTTGGGGTGGTGGCAGGTGCCTGTAATCCCAGCTACTTGGGAGGCTGAGGCAGGAGAATCACTTGAACTTGGGAGGCAGAGGTTGCAGTGAGCTGAGATTGCGCCATTGCACTCCAGCCTAGGCAACAGAGCAAGACTCCATCTCAAAAAATAAAAATAAAAATAGCCTTCCTAGCCTTCCTCCAACCCAAGACCTCCTTTGGTATTGTGTGCTTGAAAAATCACAGCAACCAACAGTTTTGAAAGCTTTGGAACCTGTTCACAAAGATCTGTGACTGTTGAAACTCAGATTCATTCCATTCAGAGGAAATAAAAGCAGACTGAACACTAGTTAGCCACAGAGATGGTTCCCAGCAGGACTACAGGGGTGAAGGAGAGAAGAAACCAGACATGAAAGAGAGATAACTGGAACCAGAATGCACCAAATAGCTCTGGAACTATCTCTGGCTACATTTCACAGAAGAGAGGGCAAAGGCTTCTCAAACCTTCTCACCTACTCCCTGATGGGGTTTATTCTAGAATCAAAGCTGTTCAGAGTAGGAAGAGCCTCCAGCGGGGTAAAAAGAAAAGGACACACAGGCATATCTTGTTGTATTGCACTTCACTCCACTGCACTTTGCAGACATCACATTTTTTTACAAATTGAAGGTTTGTGGCAACCGTGCATTGAGCAAGCCTCTCGCTGCCACGTTTCCAACAGCACAAGCTCACTTCATGCCTCTGTGTCACATTTTGGTCATTCTAGCAATATTTCTAACTTTTTCATTATTATTATATCTGTTATGGTTATCTGTGATCAGTGATCTTTCATGTCACTATGGTAATTGTTTTGGGGTGCCACAAACCGTGCCCATATGACAGTGAAATAAATCGATCAATGTTGTATGTGTTCTGACTGCTCCACTAACAGGCTATTCCCCATCTGTCTCTCCTTTTCCTGGGCCTCCCTATTTTCTGAAACACAACAATATTGAAATTAGCCTGATTAATAACCCAACAATAGCCTCTAAGCGTTCCAGTGAAAGGAAGAATTGTACATCTATCACTTTAAATCATATGCTAAAAATGATTACGCTTAGTGAGGAAGATACGTCAAAAGCCAAAATGAACTGAAAGCTAGGCTTCTTATGCCAAATGGTCAAGTTGTGAAGGCAAAGGAAAAGTTCTTTTTCTTAAGGAAACTAAAAGTGCTATTCCCGTGAGCACATGAATGATAGGAAAATAAAACAGCCTTATTGCTGATACGGAGAAAGTTTTAGTGGTCTGGATGGAAGATCAAGCCAGACACAACATTCCCTTAAGTCAAAGCCTAATCCAGAGCAGGGCCCTAACTCTCTTCAATTCTATGAAGGCTGAGAGAGGTGAGGAAGCTGCAGAAGAAAATGTGGACACCAGTAGAGGTTGGCTTATAAGGTTTGTGGAAAGAAGTTGTCTCCATAACATAAAAGTACAGTGAAGCAGGAAGTGCTGATGGAGAAGCTGCAGCAAGTTACCTAGATCTAGCTATGATCACTGATGAAAGTGGTTACACTAAATGACAGATTTTCAATGTAAATGAAACAGTCTTATATTCAACGATGCCATCTAGGACTCTCAGAGCTAGAGAGACGAAGTCAGTGCCTGGCTTCAAAGCTTCAAAGAACAGGCTGACTCTCTTGTTAGGGACTACCGCAGCTGGTGACTTTTAAGCTGAAGCCAATGCTCATTTATCATGCCAAAAATTCTAGGGCTCTTACGAATTACGCTAAATCTACTCTGCCCGTACTTTATAAATGGAACAGCAAAGCCTGGATGATAGCACTTTTGTTCACAGCATGGTTTGCTGAATATTTTAAGCCCACTGTTGAGACCGACTGTTTAGAAAAAACAAGATTCCTTTCAAAATATTATTGCTCATCGACAATGCATGTGCTCAACCAAAACCTCTGATGAAGATGTACAAACAGATTATGTGATTTTCATCCCTGCTAATACATCCATTCTGCAGCCCATGGATTAAGGAGTAATTTTATCTTTCAAGTCTTATTATTTAAGAAATACATTTTATAAGGCTATAGCTGCCATAGATAGTGATTCCTCTGATGGATCTGGGAAAAGTAAAATAAAAACCTGCTGGAGGCCGGGTGCAGTGGCTCACGCCTGTAATCCCAACACTTTGGGAGGCTGAGGTGGGTGGATCACCTGAGGTCAGGAATTTAAGACCAGTTTGGCCAACATGATGAAACTCCATCTCTCCTAAAAATACAAAAATTAGCCAGGCATGATGGTGGGCACCTGTAATCCCAGCTACTCAGGAGGCTGAGGCAGGAGAATTGCTAGAACCCAGGAGGTGGAGGTTGCAGTGAGCCGAGATTGCTCCATTGCACTCTAGCCTGGGTGACAGAGTGAGACTCCATCTCAAAAAAAAAAAAAAAGAATCTTCTGGAAAGGATTCCCCATTTTGGATGCCATTAAGAACATTCGTGATCCATGGAAGGAGGTCAAAATATCAACATTAACAGGAGTTTGGAAGAAGTTGATTCCAACCCTCATGGATGACTTTGAGGCATTCAAGATTTCAATGGAGGAAGTAACTGCAGATGCGGTGGAAACAGCAAGAGAACTAGAATTAAAAGTGGAGCCTGAAGATATAACTGAATTGTTGCAATCTCATGATAAAACTTAAATAGACAAGGAGTTGCTTCTTACGGATGAGCAAGGAAAGTGGTTTCTTGAGATGGAATCCACTCCAGGTAAAGATGCCTTGAACATTGTTGAAATGACAAGAAACATTTTAGAATATTGCATAAACTTAGTTGACAAAGCAGTGGCAGGGTTTGAGAGGATCGACTCTAATTTTGAAAGAAGTTCTACTAGGCTATCAAACGGCATCACATGCTACAGAGAATTTTTTGTGAAAGGAAGAGTCTATCTATGTAGAAAACTGCATTGTTGTATTTTAAGAAATTGTCACAATCAGCCCAACTTTCAGCTACCATCACCTTGATCAGTCGGCAGCCATCAACATTGAAGCAAGACCTTCCACCAGCAAAGAGTATGGCTCACTGAAGGCTCAGATGATCATTAGTGTTTTTTAGTATTAAAGTATTTCTAAATTAATGTATGTACATTGTTTTTTAAGACATAATGCCATCATACACTTAATAGACTACAGTATGGTATAAAACATAACTATTCTATGTACTGGGAAACCCAAAATTCGTGTCATTCACTTTGGGATCTTTATCGTGGTGGTCTGGAACCAAACTCACAATATCTCTGAAGTATGCCTGTACTTACTGAAAACAAGTTTTACAAAACAACACTAAAACGCTTACCAGATGCAATGTGTTCCAATATACTCTAGTCTAGGCTAGTCTATTTCATTTTTTTAATGCTGGTCACAAGCCATTAAAATAATGCTATCAACCACAAATGGGTCATGACCACAAATTTAAAAACACAAATGTATTCTAACCTCTTGGGTCCACAGCTGAGAAAGCTAAGATTCAGAGAGGTTAAATCCAAGGTCAAAAGGCTACTTCCTGGCAGGATCAGGACTAGTTTAGACCCAGGTAAATGATGACTGTTGTTATCAGTCTAATAATTGGGACTCACCTCAACTAACGCCTCCTTTATAAATCCTGATCAGAATTCACCTCTACCCATGACCCCCGCTGCCAACATTATTCAGGTTGCTGTTATTTATGTTTTAGTTTTTTTAACACCCCCAGGCCTGCTGCCCTGATATCCCTGTGAACCTGGAGGCATGGTCCCAGGCTAAGTGGTCCCACGGCATTTTCCACATCACCAAACTGACCACTCTGTTCCTCTCCTCTACTGCTTCCTTGCCATGAACCACAGCATCCCCCAAGGTGGGCCAGGGAACTACCAGCCTTGAGGAAGTGATGAGCTTGCTAACTCAGCCAGAAGAAACCTGAAGGGCAAAGCTTAACGCCACCTGAGTCCTGATACACAAATTCCAAAAAACACTAAAGGTGGCCAAGTCAATTTGGAAGGCCTTGAAGAAGTGGGCCATTCAACCCTATCCAGGCAGAATAAATCCTTCAGGGGTCTAGGGAAAGGACAGCATTTAAAAACCAAAGGGCAGCCTCTCTCACTTGGCCTCCATCTTGCAGATTAGAAGATGATGTGTCTGGAGAGTCGGCTTTCTGATCAAGTTTCGCCTTACTAAGTGGTGCACCCTGGGAAAGGGACAGGGAGAAGCACAAAGTGTGGGGCCACCGTAGCAACCAAACCCCAAATGCCTCTTCCACCCTCCACCTTAGCAACCTGCACTCCCAGCCTTCCTGGAACTTTACCCCACATCTTCACCTTGAGGTTTCAGCAGGCCCCAATCTCTGTGGCTCTCACAAAACCATGCAAATCAAACACAACTCCAATCAGAAAAGCATCTATCCTCTGCTTCACCCTCAGAGGTCTCAAACATGCATTCTACGTCTTCAAGCTAGGTTTCACATAGCAGCTTAAATATGACTGTTGTAAAATCACATGTTCCACGTCAATCACTGTAGGGCATTCCCAATGCTTCAGAAAAGAGATCACTCTCTACACTACGGCTTCAGACAGGGCTTGGTAAATCACAGTTCATGGGCCAAATTGGGCCAGGTACCTGTTTTTATAAATAAAGTTTTATTGGAACACTGCCATGCCCATTTGTTTACCTATTGTCTGTGCTGGTTTTGTGCTACATGATAGAGTTGAGTAACTGCAACAGAGACTGAATGGTCTGCAAAGCCTAAAGTATTTACTATCTGCCCCTGTACAGAAAAAGTGTGCCAACCCTTCACTTACAGAATCCTGCCTTTTTAAAATGGTGATAAAATATACATAATATAAAATTTACCATCTTAACCATTTTGAAGTGTACAGTTCAATGGTACTAATTACATTTGCATTGTTGTACAACCATCACCACCATCCATCTCCAGAATGTTTTCATCATCCCAAATGCAAAGTCTATATCCAATAAATAACAACTCCCCATTCTCCCTCCCCTCAGCCCTGGCATCCACCGTTCTACTTTCTGCCTCTATAAATTGTCTACTCTAGGTATCTCATATTGGTGGAATTATACAGTATTTGTCATTATGTGTCTGGCATATTTTACTCTTAGCATGCTGTCTTCAAGGTTCACTCATGTTGTAGCATATATCAGAAGTTCCTCCCAGGTCGGGCATGATGGCTCATGCCTGTAATCCCAGCACTTTGGGAGGCCAAGGCGGGCAGATCATTTGAGGTCAGAAGTTCAAGACCAGTCTGGTCAACATGGTGAAACCCTATCTCTACAAAAACTACAAAAAATTAGCCAGGCGTGGTGGCACAGGCCTGTAGTCCCAGCTACTTGGGAGGCTGAGGCAGGAGAATCACTTGAACCTGGGAGGCAGAGGTTGCAGTGAGCTGACATCCCACCACTGCTCCAGCCTGGGCAACAGAGCTAGACTCCGTCTCAAAAAAAAAGAAGTTTCTTCCTTTTTAAGCCTGAATAATATTGCATTGTATAGATAGACCACACTGTGTTTACTCATTTGTCTACTGATGGACACAGGTTGTTTCTACTTTTTGGCTACTGTGAATAGCACAGCAACCTGCCTAATCCTCGAGTCTCACCCTACATCACACACCTGCTCTCTCCCCCAAAGGGGTCCTCTGTCAATTTCCCCAACGTGTCCTGCTTCCTACCACCTTCAACTGAGATGAGCCGTGGATATAAAATACACATTCAATTTCAAAGACTTTGTATTTTAAAAAATGCAAAATATCTCTGTAATGATATTTTACATTGATTCTTTGTTAAGATATTATAATTTTGATATATTGGGTTGAATGATGTATTATGATCATTAATATCACTTGTTCCTTTTCATTCTTTTTAATGTGACTACTAGAAAGTTGAAGGTTAATATATGCCTCATATCCTATTTCTAGGAGCGGCACTAGGCTAGACTCTGCAGGGGTTGGCAAACGTTTTCAGTAAAAAGCCAGATGGTAAATACTTTCAGCTTTGTGGGCTATTCTCACTCTGCCATTGTCACACAAAAGCAGCCATAGGCAACACATAAAGGAATGATCATGGGCGTGTTCCAATACCTTTTATTTACAAAATCAGGCCGGGTATCAGATTTAGCCCCTAGGCCATAGGATATTAATCGTATTTTTTAAACGGCCAATTCTGGGAAATTCTGTTCTATTCATTTGCTCAGAACCCTCTGTGAAAAGCCATTTTTCATTCAACCAGAGTCTGGAACGCAAGTCTGTTCCCGGTTTCCTTGACCTGGGCAGTTCCTGGGACCAAGGGGCAGCCCCTCGCAGGCCGGGTTTCGACCGCCCCAGGGCACCCACCGATCGCACTCACTTGGGCGTGTGGGCCTCGTCCACGCGGTGCCCCAGCTGGAACTCGTGGGATTTGCTCCGATGCAGCGCGGTGAATCCCGGGATCAAGTGTATCAGTTTTCGGGAGGAGGGCGGTGGGGTCCCCGGGGGCTTCAGCTTGTTCTTCTTCCTCATGGGCGGCGTGCCCGGCGGGGTCACGGTGGTGACGATGTTGGGGGTGCGCGGCGGGGTGCGGACCGCGTGCCGCTGCCGGGGCGATGGGGGCAGGGAACGGTGGCCCGACTCCAGTGGCGGGGGCGGGCACAAGCCCGGGTAGGCGTCCACGGTAAGCCTGTCCACGTGGGTGTACACAGGGGCCCCGGGAGTGGGGCTGGTGTGACAATAGTGCTGGACGCACTTGGACGGGACCCTGGGGCTCTGGGAGAGATGGGTGCGGATCCACGGGGTGGGCTCCGGGGGGCACACGGGATTGTTCTCCTTCCCCGTCTCTGTCGTGGGCCACTGGATGGTCCAGTCTTGTTTGGAAAGGTTGCCTCCTGAGTTGGAACAGAAGAGCAGAGACAATGGGTAAGCCATGAGAAAGCCAGGTGAGTTACACCATACACACCATTACATCATACACACATTACACCACGTGCCCATTACATCATGTGCATGTTACACTATATACCTGTTACATCGTATGCATGTTATCTCATATGCAAATTATATCTTATGCACATTATACCATGTGCCCATTACATCATATGCATGTTACACTATATACCTGTTACATCGTATGCATGTTATATCATATGCACATCATATCATATGCATGTTACACTATATATCTGTTATGTTGTATGCATGTTATATGCACATATCATATGCACATTACACCATATGCATGTCACATTATATGTGCATTACATCATATGCATGCTATTTCATATGCCCATTACCTCTTACAGACATTCTATCAAATGCATGTTACATCATACCCACATTACATCATAAGTACATTTACATAAAGCCAACCATCTCTACTTGGCTCCTCCAAAAAGACAATAAAATCCCCTTGTTGACCCTGTTACCCTATTCTCCATTCAACAGCCTTGCCTTCCACTGCCCCATAGCTGGGAAGACCCCACAGCCCAAATGCTCAGAAAAGCAAAGAAGTTAATTCTCACTTTTTGAACTTCCCAAGGTCCCAGTTCTGGTAGTTTCAAAGTGATTTAAAGGACTTTAAAGGATAACTTTTCCCTTACATGGAAATTTTAATACCTAACCCTCATGTGAGATACACAAATTCCAAGGAAGTCAAGTTCATCCTTAGTCCCTCCCTGACCACTTCCTCAGCCACCGCATACTTCCTCCAGATCTGTGTCGCCATGTTCTTATTCATGCATTTGTCCAGTAAACATCCTGTGAGTGCCAACTATGCCCTTTGCTTGGAAAAGACACAAAAGCAACACAGATGAGACCCTGGTCCCCTGGACTTACATTCTGCCAAAGCAGCCATGATAGACAAGAAAACATGCTCACAGAAGGATTTCACATGGTTATTGGTGCTGGGAGGGAAATAAACAGAATGACGTGATAAAAAGAATATGGGCAGCTGGGCACGGAGGCTCACACCTGTAGTTCCAGCAATTGGGAGGCCGAGATGGGCAGATTACTTGAGGTCACGAGTTTGAGACCAGCCTGGCCAACATGGTGAAACTCCATCTCTACTAAAAATACAAAAAAATTAGCTAGGTGTGGTGGCGTGTGCCTGTAATCCCAGCTACTCAGAAGGCTGAGGCAATAAGAATCGCTTGAACCCAGGAGGCAGAGGTTGCAGTGAGCTGAGATCGCACCATTGCACTCCAGCCTGGGCAACAAGAGTGAAACTCAGTCTCAAAAAAAAAAAAACCTTTTTTTTATTTTATTATTATTATACTTTAAGTTTTAGGGTACATGTGCACAATGTGCAGGTTAGTTACATATGCATACATGTGCCATGTTGGTGTGCTGCACTCATTAACTCGTCATTTAACATTAGGTATATCTCCTAATGCTATCCCTCCCCTCTCCCCCGACCCCACAACAGTCCCCAGAGTGTGATGTTCCCCTTCCTGTGTCCATGTGTTCTCATTGTTCAATTCCCACCTATGAGTGAGAACATGCGGTGTTTGGTTTTTTGTCCTTGCGATAGTTTACTGAGAATGATGATTTCCAATTTCATCCATGTCCCTACAAAGGACATGAACTCATCATTTTTTATGGCTGCATAGTATTCCATGGTGTATATGTGCCACATTTTCTTAATCCAGTCTATCATTGTTGGACATTTGGGTTGGTTCCAAGTCTTTGCTATTAAAAAAAAAAAATCTAAAAATCTAATGGTGTATTAACATTTTTCATTCATTTGCCATATTGACAGTGCAAATACAAATTTGGTCTAAAGACACAGATTCTCATGCAACCACGTAAAGCCTTTCTGCATCCTCCATGCTAAGAGCTCTAAATGCATAAAGATCCAACAACACCAAATGTGCAGGCTTCAAAACCATCTAAGTTAGGGCAGTCACTTTCCTAGGTCTCTTTCCCGGGTGCCTGCATGAAGGTGGTGTTCACAACTGTGTGATGACAATGGGGTGACACTCAAGGAGAGGCTGAAGGGACAGGTGAAAACAGACTGCCAGGTCTGTGGGCTAAGGTGCAGATTGGCTTTTATACCAAGTCCAACAGGAAGCCATTGGGAGTTTTGAGGCAGGGGAGGCATGGATTGAATGTTCATTTCTCAAAGATCACTCAGGCTGCTGCGGGGAAAACTAGAGCCCAATTAAGGGGTATCTCAGGGAGTTGCAAGAGATGATGCTGGCTCTGGTTTGGGTGGTGGCAGCAAAGATGGAGAGAAGTCGGCCAGGTGTCAATGAAGGAAGACCCACCAGAACCCAGAGGAAGGTAACCACGTGGCCACTTCCATGATGGGCCAAGGAAGGAGATTTGGGGCGCAAAGAAATTCCTAGCTGACTAGCAATAACAATAATAATTACTATAACGACTGTAACAAGAGCTAATTTATAGCACATTTGATGGTTTCCAAAGTGCTTTCATGAACACTGACTCACTGTCCCATTTTTAATTAAAACAACTCATTTTGTTATTATATATTCAGTACAGAAAAATTAGAAAATTGAGATAAGAAAAAAAGGCAATGCTGTTCTACAGCCTAGCCATCATCCCTATCAATAGCTGATGGTCGAGCCTTCCAGATGGTTTGGGGCGGATTTTTTTTTTTTAAGGAAAAAAAAATTCCATAAGACCATATTTAATGGTTCATTGTCTGTTTTCTTCACTTGTTATATTGGGACTGTTTACATCTAACTTAATTTTTGTAACTCTGTGTGCAAAGGGTCATTTTGATTTCCATTTTGTAGGTAAGGAAACTGATGCAAAGAGATGAAGATCTGCTTAAGGTCACAAGAGAGATGGTAACTGGCAGCCAGATTCAAACCCAAAACTTCGGCCACCTCAACAAGCAGGGCATGAGGCTGTCTGTGAAAGAGAACTGGGGCCTCCATTTGCCATCATAGATCATTCAAACGGGAAAAGATACTGAAACAAAGGCTCATTTCTCAAAATGAGCCTCCTCCCAGGCTTGCCAGAAGAACACTCTACCAAAGTCACCATCATTACAGTATCTACTCTCAAATATTGACACATACACATTAGCCCAGTGAGTAAGAGAGTCAACGCTGGAGTCGGATGACTTGGGCTCCAAATCTGACTCCCCACCACTTATGGCTGTGTGACCTTGGGCACTCATCTAACCTCTCTAAGTCTTAGCTTTGTCACCTGTGCAATGGGACAATAAGAAAACCTAATAAAACTCAGGGACTAATAAACAATAATAAAACCTAATAAAACTCAGGGACTACTATGAGGATCAGATGCACAAATACAAGCAATGTGCTTAGCACAGCTCCCAGCACACAATAGGTACACCATAAATGCTAGCTACTGGCATTGTAATTCTCAACACTGTGGTAATACATCAATATCTGCTATTTAAAGAGTGTGTAGTGGTTCTGACAGCTTTACTATTCTCACCCTTTGTACAGTGAGGAAGTGACATTTAGCTGAAGCTAAATAGGTCTAAGAGCCAGAACAGAACAGAGAATCAAGTTAAGACAAGTTTCTCCATCGCATGGTAAGCTCTGGATTGATGTATTTGCTGAGGGAATACAAGCTCGTTGTCAAGTTAGCCTAAGTAAAGCCTGTTTAAGAAAGTCAATCTATTTTCTAAGCTGTCTTAATCAAATACTGCACCATGAAGCCACAAAGTAGTGCTTTTGGCATTATCATGACAAGCTGTTGTCCATCCTGAATGAAATGGAAAGAATATGGGATTGGGAACCAGAAGAACCCAATAGAATTCTGGTTAAACCACTGACCAGCTCTGTGACCTTGGGCAAATTACTTAACCTCCCTGAGCTTCAGTTTGGGGGCTCATAAAATGGGAATAATTATGGCTTTGTTGGAGGGTGCAGTGAGAATTAAATGTATTTATTTTACAAATATTTGAACACCCTTTACGTACCAGGCACTGTTGTGGACACCAGAATAGAACAAGAAATAAAACACACACACTCAAAAAAAACCTATTTTTGCAGAGCTCACATTCTTAGTAGGGAAACAAATGAAACAAGTAGATGAACAAATTTATCATATATGTAGTGATAGTAAGTCTTCTAGAGGGAAAGAAAGCAGGGCACAGAGACAAAACAAGTGTTGGGGGCTATTTTAATCGCAAAAGGATGAGGAGGTGACAGTGGGCATTTGAGCAGATATCAGAGTGAAGTGAGGACTGAATTAATAAGATAAAGCAATCAAACCATCAGACAGAGCCTGAGCCATTATGTCAATGCCAACAAATGGCAGATGATTGAAGATGGGTGAAAACATCTATTCTGGGTGCCTTGTGACTCATCCCCTTTGTGCCCAGGCATTCACTATGCCAGCCCCTGCCCTCAAGATGATCCCAGTCTAGTGAAAATGATCAATAATCAAAAAACTCTCACTGCAGTTCCATCCTAGGTACAGACCCCAAATAATTGAAAGCAAGGACTGAAATACTTGTAGACAAATACTCATAGCAGCACTATTCACAATTGCCAAAAGGTGGAAACAACCCAAGTGTCCATCAACTAAGGAATGGATAAACAAAATGTGGTACGTCCATATAATGGAATATTATTCACCCATAAAAAGGGAAGAAGTACTGATTCATGTGGATCCACCTTGAAAAACACTATGCTAAGTAAAAGAAGTCAGACACAAAGGGTCATATATCATATGATTCCATTTATATGAAAAATCCCAAAGAGGCAAATCTATAGAGAAAGAGAGCAGATTCGTGGTTGCCAGGAGCTGGGGCTGGCAGGGAATGGGGAGTGACTGTTAATAGGAATGGGTTTTTGAGGGGGTGATGAAATAGGTTTGGAACTAAATAGAGGTGGTGGTTGCACAATCTTGTGAATGAACTAAATGTCACATCCTGGTTTACTTCGAAATGATTAATTTTATGTTATGTGAATTTTCCCTACATAAAATGAATCAGTAAGTACTCACAATACCAAACACAGAATCCTAAGCTAGAAAAAGTGCAGGAGCATACAGGGCACAGAAGAGTGGAACCCCACTGGCCAGGAGGTGGGGGTGGGTAGGAGAAGGCAGCCTGGAGGAGGTGGCACCTAAGCCCAGAACTTGAAGGTGAACAAGAGTTCCCAGGAAAGGTGGCAGTGAGGTGGGTGACAGCAGAAGGATGGTAAGAGAGAGAACAGCAGGGTCAAAGGCCAGGAGATGAGGGACGTGGGAGTTTGGAGAACTGCCAGTCGTTCAGTATGGCTAGAGCTATTTTTCGGGATGGGGCGGGGGCGGGGTGGTGAGACAGAGTCTTGCTCTGTCGCCCAAGTTGGAGTGCAGTGGCACAATCTCGGCTCACTGCAACCTCCACCTCCTGGAGTTCAAGCGATTCTCCTGCCTCAGCCTCTCGAGTAGTTGGGACTACAGTGGCCTCGTGATCCACCAGCCTCAACCTCCCAAAGTGCTGGAATTACAGGCATGAGCCACTGCGCCCAGCCAAGCTAGAGTTATTTTGAGAGAGGAAAAAATTAGGCCAGGCGCGGTGGCTCACGCCTGTAATCCCAGTACTTTGGGAGGCCGAGATGGGCGGATCACGAGGTCAGGAGATCGAGACCATCCTGGCTAACACAGTGAAACCCCGTCTCTACTAAAAATCCAAAAAAAAAAAAAAAAAAATAGCCGGGCGTGGTGGCGGGCGCGTGTAGTCCCAGCTACTCGGGAGGATGAGCTGGAGGCTGAGGCAGGAGAATGGCGTGAACCCGGGAGGCGGAGGTTGCAGTGAGCCGAGATCGCTCCACTGCACTCCAGCCTGGGCGACAGAGCGAGACTCCTGTCTCAAAAGGAAAAAAAAGAGACAAACAGGTACACAAAAAGGAAATGAGGCTCTGGGGAAGATGATTGTGAAGTCTAGTTAAAGAGGCTGGGCACAGTGGTTCACAATGTAATCCCAGCACTTCGGAAGGCCAAGGTGGGCAGATCACTTCAGGCCAGAAGTTCAACATGGCGAATCCCTGTCTCTACTAAAAATACTAAAATTAGCCAGCTGTGGTGACCCACGCGTGTAGTCCCAGCTACTCGGGAGGCTGAGGCAGGAGAACGGCGTGAACCCGGGAGGCGGAGCTTGCAGTGAGCCGAGATCGCACCATTGCACTCCAGCCTGGGAGACAGAGCAAGACTCCGTCTCAAAAAAAAAAAAAAAAAAAAAATTCGAGCCAGGCTGGAGAAGAAGTGAAGGGAGGACTTCCCAGGGTTTTGCTCTTCTAAGCGGAAGGGGACGCTGAGAACTAAGGGCCGGTGTGACTGATCCCCTTGCCACTGGCCTCCCAGAGAGGGAGGTGGTCTCCTCCAGAGCTCCTGGAGACCTGCTGCAGCTGAGGGCTTGTGGCAATCAAACTTGGTGAGGAGTGTGGTGGAAGCTCTGGTCCACCACACCACACAGCTGCTTCAAGGTTTAGACCCTAGTCCCGTGGTCATGCCAGGAGAGGAGCTGAAACTCCCCTAATCATAAATGATAATGGGAAGGAAGCTAACTTTCTGTAGGGGCCGATATTGCTGTATCCTTGAGGCTTGGACCCCAAACTCCTGCTCATGCCGAGGAAGGGCTGGCTCTCCCCATGGACAAATGCAGACAAGTGGACTGGAGCTGGAGGCCAAGCATCTGCCCACAACATTGCTGCTGAATGCCAGCTCCTGATCATACCAGGGGAGGGGCTGGTGCTTCTTTGATCATATGGCTTAAAAGCCACACAGCCCAATGGATGGGATCCATGGAGTCCTTCTGGAGCCCAGTGTGCCAGACCAGGGTGCAAAGGACAATGGTGAGTGTGGGGACTATATACCTGCCACTCCTGTCCATGTGTGATTAAAGCTGTCCCAGAAACCCTGGTGCACAGGCTGTGTGGGCATCCGTCCTTGCGGCTCAACAGGGCTCCTGTGTGTAGGGAAGCTGAGCATCATGGAAACATGTCTCTGACCATGGTGTGGAGAAAGGATTGGACAGGGCCCGGCAGCAGCAGGAGCCCAGCCTGAGGCTCCTGGAAGCATCTGGATGGGAGATGACGGGGACCTGGGATAGTTATGGCAGTGGAGATAGAGAGAGGTGGAGTGACTGTATATTAGAAGAGAAAAAAGGAAAAATAGCCAACATTTATTGAATTTACACATAAAAAGTTATAGACCCACGGAACAATCCAACAAAGTGGGTGGAATTTACTCTGTCTTACAGATGAGGAAACTGAGGCACAGAGAGGTCAAGTGGCTTGCTCGAGGCCACAGAGCCTTGTCCAAGAAGGACATGTGGGGTTTGGGTCTTCACCTGACCCATAACCAGGACATTAAGTCCAGGCTGATGTCCCAGTTGCTAGCCTGGGTCACACAGTGGCCGGTGGCACTGATCACAGCAATAGGAAATGCAGAAGGAAATTGGGCACAGATGAGGTGGCAAGCTCAGGGTCAGACAGGCTGAGTCTGAATTTCCTGCAGGACACCCAAGAGCAGATTCTGGAATGCAGCTGAACCTTAACTTCCCCTTCTCCCAGAAACCCCGGGATCACTCCCCAGGAAGAAGTTATTTTTCTAGCCTGAAAAGATTGAGCACAAAATTCTAAAATCTCATCTTAGTGGGTTTTTTTTTTCTACAAAGACATGATTATTTCATCACGTTCACCTACTGTTCCTCTCCCATCTGATCTCTGAATCTCCAGAGTAAACATCCCATGACCCTGAATTACATGCTGGTAATGCAGGTCTGGAAGAGGGGGGATCATGAGCCTGTCACTCACTGACTAACTCCCCCAGAAAGGAAGATACCTCTGCATATGGAAGACTTGCTTTCTGAACTGAAAGAACAAGAGTTAATTCTCCTAAGTCAACGCCAACACTTAGACATGAATTTGTCCCTAAAATTCCTCACTGTGACTCCGTTTCTTCATCTGTAGAATGGGGACAACAGCAGAGCTTTCCCCCATGATTGCTCTGAAGATTAAATAAAACCATGCAAACAGAGCATTTAGCTTCATTCCCTAGCACACAGTCAATGTTGTATAAATGTTCATGTACAAAGAGTGTAAAACCATCTGTTTCACAGAACGCCACTGAGGATTAAATAAATGCATACAGTGCTTTTCATTTTGAGCCTGACACAGAGCTCACACTCAAGAATCATCCAGTCCTGCCAGGTGCGGTGGCTCACACCTGTAATCCTAGCACTTTGGGAGGCCGAGGCGGGTGGATCACCTGAGGTCAGGAGTTCAAGACCAGACTGGCCAACATGGTGAAACTCCATCTCTACTAAAAATACAAAAATTAGCCAGGTATGGTGGCACATGCCTGTAATCCCAGCTACTCAGGAGGCTGAGGCAGGAGAATCACTTTAACCTGGGAAGGTGAGGTTGCAGTGAGCTAAGATTGTGTCATTGCACTCCAGCCTGGATGACAAGAGTGAAACTCCATCTCAAAAAAAAAAAAAGAATCATCCAGTCCTTATTCCTGGTCTTGGCAGGTGCTAACTCTGACAGAAAGAAAGCTCAGGGTTATCAGAAGCCTTTATTTTGGGTTGAACTGCAGCCTCCAGTACCTTATTTGCATATAGGATCTTTGCAGATACAATCAAGTTAAGATGAGTTAATACTGGATCAGGATGCATCCTAAGTCCAATGGTTTGTGTCCTTATAAGACGAGGAGAAGACACAGAGGAGAACGTCATGTGAAGACAGAGGCAGGGGCTGGAGTGATGCAGCTGCAAACCAAGGAGCACCAAGGATGGCCAGCCACCCGCTGAAGCCGTGGGACAGGCAAGGAACCGATTCTCTCCCAGAGCCTTTGGAGGCACTGTGGCCCTGCCAACACCCGATTTCAGACTTTCAAGCCCCTAGAACTGTGGGAAAGTATGTTTCTGCTGGTTTAAGCCATCTAGTTTGCGGTAGATTTTTTTTACAAAAGCCCTAGATAACTCATTCATTTGCTGGACACTGACTGGGGGACTGCCACATAAAAGCCTGCCTGTGGAGTGCAGCCACCAGATTCTGTGTTAGGAAACTGGTGCTGATCTCACCTGCCCTGTAAAGTAGATGTTATTGACAGTTATCGGTCGGGCGCGGTGACTCACGCCTGTAATCCCAGCATTTGAGAGGCCGAGGCAGGCAGATCACGAGGTCAGGAGATCGAGACCATCCTGGCTAACACGGTGAAACCCTGTCTCTACCAAAAATACAAAAAAAAAAAAGAAATTAGCCATGCATGGTGGCGGGCGCCTATAGTCCCAGCTACTCGGGAGGCTGAGGCAGGAGAATGGTGTGAACCCGGGAGGCGGAGCTTGCAGTGGGCCAAGATCGCACCACTGCACTCCAGCCTGGGCGACAGAGCGAGACTCCGTCTCAAAAAAAAAAAAAAAAAAAAGACAGTTATCAACAAGTAATGCTATAAAGCACTTTATGCATGTATTCAATCCTCCGTGGCATCCTGTGAAATAGATGCTTTTACTCCCTTTATACATGAACATTTATACAACATTGTGAAAGGAAAATAAATCTTGGAAGACCCAAAGTCACTAAGCTAAAGGGAAAAGTCAAGCTGGGAACTGCTTAGGACAAACCTGCCTCCCATTCTACTCAAAGTCATCTCTCTGTTCACTGAGATAAATGCATATCTAATTGCCTCCCTTGGAAAGGCTAATCAGAAACTCAAAAGAATGCAATCGTTTGTCTCTCGCCTACCTGTGACCTGGAAGCCCCCTCCCTGCTTGAGTTGTCCCGCCTTTCTGAATGGAACCAATGTACATCTTACATAATCTGATTGATGTTTCATGTCTCCCTAAAATGTATAAAAGCAGACTGTGCTCTGACCACCTTGGACACATGTCATCAGGACCTCCTGAGGCTGTGTCATGGGCGTGCATCTTCAGCCTCGGCAAAATAAACTTTCTAAATTAATGAGGTCTGTCTCAGATTTTCAGGGTTCACAACATTGGCTGTGTGCTTACTGTGCTTGGGATGGGGCTAAATGCTCTAATTGCATCGTTTCATTTAATCTTCAGAATAATTCAAGGGTAAAGTTCTGCTGTTATCCCCATCCTACTGATGAAGAAACTGTAATGTTATCAACAAGTAATGGATAAGTGACAGGTCATGGCTAAAGTCTTATAGTTGGTAGTAACCTACACCCTCACTTTCCCCTTAATCACATGGCATCCTGCAGCTGAGCTGGGACCCACCCCTCCCCGTAGCCTACAGTTCCCCCAAAGACACACAAACACACACTCACACATACCACTCCCCCAAAGACGCACAAACACACAGTCACACATACATACCATTCCCCCAAAGATGCACACACACTCACACATACACACCATTCCATCAAAGACGCACACACACTCACACATACACACATTCCCCCAAAGATGCACAAACACACACTCACACATACACACCATTCCACCAAAGACGCACAAACACACACACATACACGCCGTTCCCCCAAAGACACAAAAACACACACACATACACACCTTTCCCCCAAAGATGCACATACACTCATACATACACACCATTCCCCCAAAGACGCACATACACATACACACCATTCCCCCAAAGACGCACAAACACACACTCATACACACACACCATTCCCCCAGACGCACAAACACTCACACATACACACCATTCCCCCAAAGACGCACACACACTCACACATACACACCATTCCCCCAAAGACGCACAAACACACACTCACACATACACACCATTCCCCCAAAGACGCACACACACTCACACATACACACCATTCCACCAAAGACGCACAAACACACACTCATACACACACACCATTCCCCCAAAGATGCACACACACTCACACATACACACCATTCCCCCAAAGACGCACACACACTCACACATACACATCATTCCCCCAAAGACGCACACACACTCATACATACACACCATTCCACCAAAGACGCACAAACACACACTCATACACACACACCATTCCCCCAAAGACGCACACACACACATACACACCATTCTCCCAAAGACGCACACACACACATACACACCATTCTCCCAAAGATGCACACACACTCACACATACACACCATTCCCCCAAAGATGCACAAACACACACTCACACATACACACCATTCCACCAAAGACGCACACACACACATACCATTCCACCAAAGACGCACAAGCACACACTGACACAACACACCATTCCACCGGGGCCACGGGAACATCGACTCGCCCTCAAGTTTACTTTCTTTCCTTGAAGTTTGTTCAAAGTCTGAGAGAGAAGCAGAGAGGAAGAAAAGTCTTACCCTCTGCCAAATTATCTTTCCCATGAAATTATCTTCCTCTCCACCCCTACACTTCAAAACTAGAAGTTTGGGGCTAAAAATGCAAAAAGTCTCATTTCATTATCCAAATTACCGGCTTCTAAATTGACAGGGATTCAACTTCTCTCTGCCGAAGCTTCAGCAGCGTTTCACTGATGAGCTGTATTGTATCAACTCTTCCCTCTCTCTTTTGATCCTCTTTTTAATAAAGTCTGAGGGAAATAGGTAATTTATCATTTTAAATAGGAAAGGTGTGGTAGCAGGGGGCTCTGGGGGTTATTAATTGTCACCCTTGCTATCTTGTCATCTGTTTCTGGCAAATCATTTTATTTCAAGTCTTGAAATGGGTGGGGAGAAGGGAATAGGTTTTTAAGAACTGAAAGGTCTGAAGATTGATTAAAGACATTTCAAGGTGTAGGGGTTTTTCACTTGACATTCTCTGATAAGGGACTAAGAGAAATAAAAGCCATTCTCAAGGGAAAAAGTGATTTCAGAAAGTCTAAGCAAGTGTCTAACTTCTTTGTCCCTTCCCATTAAAATGTTATAAACAGGCAATCACGTGGCTTAAATTTCTCTGAATTTCGGAGCCAGCATTGGAATCTACACAGTAGATTCTTTAGCTCTTCAGAGGCAGAAGTGACAGAGAGTCTACCATTCCAGGATCAACACTGCTTGTAACTTTTGTGAATACTTCAATGCACTTGTTAGTTTAATCCTCAAAACTCTCTAGCAAGAAGCAGAACTTTTAGATGCTGGCTGAAAATATTAGGCTGAAGTCATTGGTAGAAGAAAAAAACTGTTTTTTGGTTTAAATCCTCATAACTTTCTGGCAAGAGACAAAACTTTTAGACACTGGTTGAAAATATTTGACTGGAATCACAGGAAAAGCGAAGTACAATAAGTACTAGTAGTACAAATGACAATTACTGTTTGCTGTGCCCCTACCATGTGCCAGATACTATTCTAAGTATTCACGTGTATCACCTCATAGTATCCTCACAAGACCCCATGAAGAAAATTCCGCTATTGTCTCCACTTCACAGTGCTAGGAACAGATAATTATTTGAAAGACTGAGTTGCCCTAGGTTACACAGCTAGTAAGTGGTAGATCAGGGTTTCTGATCCAGATCTGTACCATTGGAGGGTTCTCTGGAGCCCCCTAACCCCTCAGGAAATGAGAGACCCGTCCAGAAAGCCCTTGGAAAGCTGAGCCATTATACACAGGCTTGTGGGTCAGCACCTGGGGCAGCTCCTTCTGACCTCCCGAAAGTCAAATAGGACATTCATTTTAGCCACAATCCCAGAAAGCCTGAAACCGAAAATCCAGGAAAATTTTTTGAGTTTCGAGTTTGTCATCCTTGCAAAAAGAAGCGAATAAGGACAAATGAAAAACATACAGTTGCCAAAGTAATTCAACATTAGCAAGAATCTTAATCTAAGACCTCATTAATGAGCTTGGCATTCAGCAGAACCCTGGGTCTCGTTGGGCACTAGCCCCGCCCCAGGATGTCCCCAGGTAGAACCAAACAAATGCACTGACCCTAGTCTGGGCAGGTCACCTGGGAGATGGGACAGGGCAGGGAGCACAGGCTCTGACCCCGTAATGCCTCCCACGTCCTGCTCTATGAGATTCATGATTTTATTACCCACCAAGAGACTGGGAAGATTAACCTTCAGTCACTAACTTTAGGGTAGCTTTTTTGTTTTAACAAAGCTCTTTTTAAGAAAAAATGTATTGAGGTGAAATTCACATTAACCATTTCAAAGTACAGAATTCGGCACCACTTAGTACATTCTCAATGTTGTGTAACCGCCACCTCTATCTAGTTCCAAAACACTATCATTACACCCAAAAGAAAACCCTGTCCCCATTCGCAATCCTTCCCAATTCCCTTCTTCCCCCAGCCCCTGGCAAGCCCTAAACTATTTTCTGTCTCTGTGGATTTGCCTATTCCAGCTATTTTATATGAATGGAATCCTACGCTATGTGGTCTTTCGTGTCTGGCTTCTTTCCTTTTGCATAATGTTGTCAAGGTTCATCCAAGTGTAGCATGTGTTGGTCTTTCCTTTCTTGTTATGGCTGAATAATATGTATACACCACATTTTGTTTAAGCATTCCTCAGCTGATGGACATTTAAGTTGTTTCTACTTTTGGCAAGTGTGCATAGTGCTGCTATGAACATTTGTGTACGAGTATTTGTTTGAACATCTGTTTTCAGTTCTTTGGGGCATATATCTAGGGGTGGAGTTGCTGGGTCAGATGGTAACTCTGTGGTTAACCTTCTGAGAAACCACCCTGCTGTTTTCCACAGTGCCTGCATCATTTTACATTCCCACCCAGCAACATATAAAGGTTCTGACTTCCCCACATCCTCACCAACACTTGTTAGTTTTTGTTGTTTATCATCATTGTCATCATAGCCATCCTAGTGGGTGTTTAATAAAACATTCTTAGTAATGGCCATAGCTAACATTTATCGAGCACTTACTGTGGGCTGGGCTTTTGCAGCATCTCCTCTCATTCTCACACCTTATTTCATTTAATTCTCATAACAATCTTGTGAGATTGAGAGGAAATTACAGCTCTGGAAAAGTGGAGTCACTGGCCCAAGGCCAAGATTCAAAGTGAAATTCAAAACCTGGCAGTCTGACCACAGAGCACGTTCTCTTGGCTGCTATAAACATACTGCACATCTGAATAGGAAACGAGTACCCAGGGGATAGGAATCATCAGCCCCATGTTTCCGATGGGGAAACTGAGACAGAGAGAGGAGTAGAAACTTTCCCAAGACCCACCCATCTAGAATGTTACTCAGCCATAAAAAGGAATGAATGAATGAATGGCATTCACAGCGACCTGGATGGGATTGGAGACTATTATTCCAGGTGAAGTAACTCGGGAATAGAAAACTGAACATCATATGTTCTCACTCATAAGTGGGAGCTAAGCTATGAGGACGCAAAGGCATAAAAATAATACAATGGACTTTGGGAACCCAGCGGGGAAAAGTGGGGAGTGGGGAAGGGATAAAAGACTACAAATTGGGTTCAGTGTATACTGCTCGGGTGATGAGCGCACAAAATCTCACAAATCACCACTAAAGAACTTATGTAACCAAGTACCACCTGTTCCCCAAAAAACTATGGAAATAAAAATTAATTAATTAATTAAATTTTTAAAAAAGATCCACCCATCTAGAAAGTTCCAGGTCCATCCATCCATCCAGCCCCAACCCCATATTCCTTCCCCTCCACTGTGTAGAATTGTTTTACAATATTTAGCATTTTAATTGTCAAGTGCAATTAAACCTGGGACTCAGCTGCTTCCAGTCTCTGGAATGAAGAGAATGATTATCATCATTCATTGGACATTTTAAACTAAAACACAAAGCCCTTCCTGGTTAAAATCACAGTTAAAATCTACATCAGGAATACAGCAATAAAACATTGCCTAGTATTGCAATATTGCAATAAAATAAACCCTATCTTAGAGTTGGGGTATTTACTACAACTCATAAAATTATAAACTGCAGCCCAGACTCACATGGGGCCAGACTTGGGGGATCAAGGATAAAAGAAATACTCAAGATACCATCCTCAATAACCCTTTTCAAGTATATCTATATTGCTGGGGGTAACTGGATCTGACATTGGAGACCACAGGCCCCTGGGAGTCATGGATATAAACCTTGATGGTCGCTGTCATCTCACTACAGCCCTAAACAACCTAATATGGATGTTAGGGCAGGGTCAAAGGCACAATACCCTGAACATCAGGATTCCCGGGTTCCACGGTGGCTTGGGCACACACAGCTCTGAGGATCTCATCTCAATTCTTCACCTTGGGGAGGCTTCCCCACCCACCTCCATCCCAGCTACTCTCTCATTCCTCCTCCTGTTTCATTTCCTCATGACCCTTACCACTCAGTGGAACTGTTTTGTTATACAATCAGTTCTTGTTATTTGTGGCAATTGTGTTCTCTTCCATAAAGTCACTGCAAATACTGAATTGGCAAATGCTGAACCATTGCGACTAGGAGAGATATGTGGTTAGGTTCCTGCGAGCCTCTGGTCATCTTATCATCCACTCATCCACACATAACCCTGTTTTAGGTGTGTTCCTGTTTCAAGACACTGTATTTAATATATATATTTTATATATATATATATATATACACACACACACCATATATATATACACTATATTATATATATATATATACACACCATACATATATACACTATATATATATATATATAGTTGATTCATTAACATTGAGCTCACAGCCCACAGCACTGTCACTCAAACCTAAACCAAGAATATCTAACACAGGTATTTTCTCCATAAGGCACAGCACACACAGCCTTCTTATTCTAAGGAACACTAGACAGCAGTTCAGCGCTATGCTTTGGGGCCATTGTAAACAGCAAAATCACCCACACAAAGTACAAACAAAATGTGAAAAACTTAGCATTCAGTTTAAGACCACAGAAAGGACACTGCTTACACCATGAGAGCTGAAATGAGAGGGCAGAATGCTGCCCTGTTCAACCTCAGGGGTTGTGCACATCAGGCGACTCAAAGTTTTTTACCACTCTGCAAATGCAAGTATTGATTTAAGGGTTACAAATACATTTTAGCCCGTAGGCAAATTCACAAATACAGAATCCACAAATAATGAGGATCGACTGTTGTTATCCGTTTATCATCCATCTTTCCCACTGGAATATAAGCTCTAAGAAGGCAGAGCCCTGGACTCACCTTCTCACTACTGTATCACCCACTGCCTTGCAATAAATAAATATTAATTTTTGGCCAGGTGCAGTGGCTCAAAATGCTGTCATCCCAGCATTTTGGAGGTTGAGGCTGGTGGATCACTTGCGCCCAGGAGTTTGAGGCCAGCCTGGGCAACACAGCAAAAACCCCATCTCTACTAAAAATATGAAAAATTAGCAGGGTATGGTGGCATGCACCTGTAGTCCCAGCGACTTGGGTGGCTGAGGTGGGAGGATTGCTTGAGCCTGCGAGATCAAGGCTGCAGTAAGCCATGATTGTGGTACTGTACTTCAGCCTGGGTGTCAGAGTGAGACTCTGTCTCAAAAAAATATTAAAATAAATATAATTTTTTGTCTCAATGCACAAATTATATGTTGCTTTAATAAATATTTGTGGAATGAAACAATTCTTCTTTACTTTTTTTGAGATGAAGTCTCTCTCTGTTGTCCAAGCACCATCTCAGCTGACTGCAACCTCCACCTCCTGGCTCATGCCTTAGCCTCCCAAGTAGCTGGGATTACAGGTGTGAACCACCATGCCCAGCTAATTTTTGTATTTTTAGTAGAGATGGGGTTTCACCACATTGGCCAGGCCGGTCTCAAACTCCTGACCTCAGGTGATCTGCCCGCCTCGGCCTCTCATAGTGCTGGGATTACAGGAGTGAGCTACTGCACCCGGCCGAAACAATCCTTGAACAGTCATAAATTAAAGCTGCCATGATGGATAACAGTATTGGTATCATGCACCTTGAATTCAGGCAAGAAATTAAGTGGGAGACAACTCGCTATAGTCAAAATTCTATTCATGCATAGGGCTACCCTAGATGGATAGTCTTGAGAAATGAAGGCCTGGTGACCAGAAGAAAGGGTGGAAGGTCGTCCTTATCTTGATCCTGCCTCTTCTGGCTCTGCATCCTCTGAGAAACAGCTGTGCCTCCACCAGCTGGGAAGAATGGGCTCTCTCATGGGCCTCTGAGGGAGGGAGAAGGAGGTGAGAAGCTTAGGAGGCCCATCCAGCTCAGGCTGGCTCCCACGCATGCTTGCACAAGAGAGTCCACACCAGGAAAGCCACATTAGAGAGGGATGACCTCTGAGACGCTCCTAATTCCAGAACCCTTTGTTGTTCTATTGCTCTGCCTCCCTTGAGTGACAGGCATTATATTAGTTTTATAACCTCTTGTGTTGGCAAATTCAAGAAAGCTAAAAGTAGCATTCGATGACCTTATGTGCTGCAAGGTGCCCTATTTTTATCTCCCAACAACTGACTTGGGGCGCAGGTTTTCCAAATCCCTTTGGCTTTCCCCTCCCTGTGCAGATTCAGTGGGGCCAGCACCTGCCCCGGTTTCCCTCCCAATTTCCCTCTGCAAAGACAGTGCTTATGAAGCCTTCAGAGCCAGGTGTGCCAGGAGGTCAATTTGCTCAGGTTATCCACATAGTCTTGACCTAGAGGCAGAGAGAAATGTGGATACTTCTAAGAGAAAGGTGCTGTGTAAACGTCTATCAACCTTTTTAACTCCTCTTAACTAAGGCAGACAACTGCATGGGCACCAGGGGGCTTTTCCAAGACATCTAGATTTAATACCTGCCAACATAACTTCTTGCCACAGCATGTAGAACTCAGCAGGGCCAGTGAGCTGGGTTTGAATCCCAGCTCCACTACTTACTAGCTGTGTGACTTGGGGTAAATTTCTTAACCTCTCTGAACTTCAGTTCATGCATCTAAAAAGGGAATAATAAAAGTACCCTCTTCTTAGGGTGAACATGAAAAACCAAGCAAGCAGTGGGCCTGCTATCTTTGTTACTATTTGATATGGTGTGGCTCTATGTCCCCACTCAACTCTCATCTCGAATTGTAATCCCCACGTGTCAAGGGAGGGACCTGGTGGGAGGTGATTGGATCATGGAGTCGGCTTCCCCTGTGCTGTTCTCATGATAGTGAGTGAGTTCTCATGAGATCTGATGCTTTAAAAGTGTTTAGCAGTTTCTCCTGTCCTCTCTCTTTCCTGCCGCCTTGTGAAGGTACTTGCTTCTCCTTTGCCTTCTGCCATGATTGTAAGTTTCCTGAGGCCTCCCCAGCCATGCAGAACTATAAGTCAATTAAACTCTTTCCTTTATAAATTACCCAGTCTTGAGTATTTCTTTATAGTGGTGTGAAAACAGACAAACACACTATCGTTGCTATCATTAGTAGTAATTCTCTTCCCTTCCCCAGGCAGAATGTGTGCATGCATCTTTTGATCAGACACCTACTTATACACCAGGTACTTTGATCTGAAGATGCACAGTCTCTCCATCCACACAGAATTCACACCCTACCCAGCAGGTTACGAAAACATATCATGAAAAAAGTAATACAGCTCATTAATAATTTTTACATGGATTACAAGTTGAAATGATCATATTTTGGAAATATTGGGTTAAATAAAATATATTGTAAAAATTAATGTCATTCCTCAAAAAGTTAAACACACAATGAGCAATTGGCAATTCTACTCCTAGGTCGATACCCAAAAGAATTGAAAGAAGGGACTTAAACAGATATTTATACACCAATGTTCAGAGTAGCATTATTCACGATAGCCAAAAGCTGGAAACAGCTCAGTGCCCACTGATGGATGAATAAATAAACAAAATGTGATATATCCATATAGCAGATTATTATTCAACCTTAAAAAGTAAGGAAGTTCTGATACATGTTACAACATGGATTAACCTTGAAAACCATATGCTAAATGAAATATGCCAGACACAAAAGGACAAATAGTGTATATTTCCACTTACATAAGGTATCTAGATGATGCAAATTTATAAAGACAGAAGGAAGAATAGGGGTTACCAGGGGCTGAGATTACTTAATGGCCATGGAGTTTCTGTTTGGGATTATGAAAAAGCTCTGAAGATGGATGGTGGTGATGATTATACAACCTTGTGAACATGTTTAATGCCACTAAACTGTACACTTAAAAATTGTTAAAATGGTAAACTTTGGTGTGTTTTCCTACAATAAAAAATTAATGTTGGCTGATTTTTTAATGTTTTTAAATGTAACCACTAGGAAATTTTAAATTACATACATGGTTCCCATGATCTTTCTCTTGGACATACAATGTCTAGCACACATCTGGAAGAAGAGATGGGCGCTAAACAAGGAATCACATCTCACAATGTCATAAAGGTTGTTGCAATGTAACCCAGAGCTGAGGGTTACGGAGAGGTTTCCTTAAGGAAGAACATTTGCACTGGGGTCTTGATATGCTTTGGCTGTGACCCCACCCAAATCTCACTGAATTGTAGCTTCCATAGTTCCCACGTATTGTGGGAGAGACCCAGTGAGAGGTAATTAAATCATGGGGGCAAGTATTTCCCATACTGTTCTCATGGCAGTGAAAAAGTCTCACAAGATCTGATGGTTTTATAAATGGGAGTTCCCCTGCACACGCTCTCTCTTGCCCACTGCCATGTAAAAAGTCCCTTTGCTTTTCCTTCGTCTTCCGCCATGATCGTGAGGCCTCCCAGTCATGTGGAATTGTGAGTCAATTAAACCTCATTCCTTTATAAATTACCCAGTCTCAGGTATGTCTTTATTAGCAGCGTGAGAACAGACTAATACAGGTCTGGAGGATGAGTGGCGGTTCATTAAGCAAAGAAAGAGGGACAAGTGTCCCAGCCAGAACCAGTCTGTCCAAAGATGTGATCCACCGGAGGAGGCTCAGAGTGGCAGAGGAGGTAGAGTGCAGATGATGGGGAGAGGGAAGGGGGAAAGTGAGGCAGAGAAGAGGTGGACAAGTCAAAGTGGAGAGCTGAGGATTTATCCAGAGGACAGTGCCATGTGCAATGTCATGGCACCAATGATCACCCCTCACGAACCAAACCCACTGCATTTGAGTTGTAAACTTGTCTGTGTCTTCAACTGGACGATGAATTCCTGATGCTCAGGGACCATGTCTTGGTATCTTCCATATCCTCAAACCATCTGAGCCCCTGGCACAAAATTTACACCAATAAATATTTTACTGGCTTGACCTAAGGAAGCCAACACAAATGAGTCCCCCTAGCAGTTAACCCTCCCTGGCACCCAGCCTGCCTCTGGAGCCCAAACGTCAGGTTGACAATGCTTCCAAAGGATATCTCTAAAAGGAGATGCTGCCGAACCCAGAGATAAAGAACAAATGCAAAACTAAAAATATCCCTGCAGGTCTAAACAATAATTAAACCGTTGAAACTGATAAAAAATCATCGGGTAAAGTGGAACTAAGCATGTTTAGATACTAGCAACAGAGATGTTCATGCTTAACATCGTTCCACCCCTAGTTACCAACCCTGTAGGGCAGTCTGATGCTGGGAGATAGGGTAGCAAATTCGAATTGTTCTGTTGATTATTCTTTCCACATGTCTTTATTGAGTGCATACTATGGAGCAGGTACTTTCTTTTGAGATGCTAGAAGCCTTGGTCAGCTTCTGGCCAATAGTATCTGGACCAGAACTCCCCTCCTGTATCTAGAGTAACTCCTCTCATACTGCAGCTGAATATCTTATTATCAAATGTTAATGAGGAAACTAACAGGTTTTTTTGAGACAGGGTCTCACTCTGTTGCCCAGGCTGGAGTGCAGTGGCACAATCATGGCTCACTGCAGCCTCAACCTTGTAGGCTCAACCGATCCTCCCACCTTGGTCTCCCGAGTAGCTAGGACTATAGGCGTGCACCACTACACTTAGCTAATCTTTTTTATTTTTTGTAGACACAGGGTTTTGCCATGTTGCTCAGGCTGGTCTCAAACTCCTGGACTCAAGTGATCCATCCACCTTGGCCTCCCAAAGTGTTGGGATTACAAGCGTGAGCCACTGTACCCAACCAGAAACAAATATTTTTAAAGTATCTACTATGTGCCACGAACTATGCTAGACATTTTGCGAGTACCACCTCATTGTAATTCTCACAGCAACACTGTGGGGTAGACTCTATTCTTCACAAAGTATATATGAGATTCTAGGGGTCTGTGTTTTACATGTTTTAAGCTACAAACCTCCTAAGTGAAAAAGCCAAAATTTGAACCCAGAGTTCCTCTTATTTCTCGATAAGGGAGAAGTGAGAAAAGTTCAACTTGAGCAAGAAAAAGAAGAAAACAGGAAAGGCTGTAGGGTAAGAATGGGACCAGGACATCTAGACCCCTCCGCCCCACATAGCAACATCCTGTGGGTAGAATGGGGGACTACACATAATAATCGCAAAAAATGCTCATGGGTTTCTAAAAGAAACAACAAAGTAAGATCCATGGTGTTTAAGGATAAAAATGGTTTCACCAAGGACTGAACTTAATAAATATTTACTGAGCCCTACCCTATGTCAATTGCTTTGCTGTCAGCATTCAATATCCAAGGAAAAAATAAAAATGACAATGATCATGATCACCCTTTTTTGGAAAGTGTACCGTGTGCCCAACACTATTCTAAATATTATATGTATATTACCTAATTCAACCCTTACAACGGCACTACAAGGTAGTTATTAATATTTTCTTGATTTCATGGATGAAGGACAAGGTGGATGTAGCCCCTGACCCCAAGGGTCCCATAGTGGAATAGGGGAGATAAGGCAAGCAAGGAAACAGCCTCTGCATCATGTCAACGCATTGAGCAAGGTGCCAAGTAGCACGACAACAGCAATCGGGTGAGGGCTTAGATCCTGATTCACTTATCAGAGCCTCTGTTTCCTCATCTGTAAAATGGGGATAGTGTCACCCACCTCATAGGATTGTTTTGAGGGTCTAGTGATTTTATACTTAAAAAATACCCATCCCAGTTTTGGCTCTGGCCATGATAGAGCAAGCCCACCAAAGCCTATCTTTCCCAAAAATTCTGGGAAAAAAAATGGAAAAGGCAACAACCTGAGGATTCCTACAAGTCAATGACAGCAGGTGGGTAGGGCAGGGGAGTCCACATCTGAAGCATGGCCATTATGGCGGTGGTGAGTTTCCTTCATCTGTCAGTTTTGGCCAAAAGTTGGCAGGATTTAGGAACTGTGCTTTGGAAATGAGGAGTAAACACTTCAGAGTATCCCATATTTCTGGCCAGAGGACCAGGAAAGGAAGATCTGTGAGTAGGAGAGTATGGGCAGAATCCTTGGGGTTTTTATGTGTGTGTGTCTTTTTTCTATCCCAGCCATGTCCCAAAATCAGCCCAGACACAAAACTGCACTCATATGACACAGAAACAGCACAGGCACCAAAGCCCCCAAAAGATATCCCATTCCTTTGGACTGAGAAGCTCAGAATAGAGGCCAATGTTATGTGAATAAGGTAAGGAAGAGTACATGAGAATTTTTTTTAATTTTTTAATAATTTTAACTTTTGTTACGGATTCATGGGTACATGTGCAGGTTTGTTACAGGGGTATATTGTGTGATGCTCAGGTTTGGGGTATGAATAATCCCCATCACTCAGTGATATGGCTTGGCTGTGTCCCCACCCAAATCTCACCTTGAATTGTCATAATCCCTACATGTCAAGGCCAGGGCCAGGTGGAGATGATTGAATCATGGGGGCAGTTTCCCCCATACTGTGTCTCATGGTAGTGAGTAAGTCTCACGAGATCTGATGGTTTTATAAATGGGAGTTCCCCTGCACAAGCTCTCTTGCCTGCCACCATGTAAGACGTCCCTTTGCTCTTCCTTCCTCTTCTGCCATGATTGTGAGGCCTCCCCAGCCACGTGGAACAGTGAGTCCATTAAACCTCTTTCCTTTATAAACTACCCAGTCTCACGTATGTCTTTATTAGCAGCACGAGAACAGGCTAATACAGTCAGGTAATTAGCACAGTACCAAATAGGGAGTTGTTCAGCACTTGCTCCCTCCCACTCTCTCCCATCTAGTGGTCCCCAGTGTCTGCTATTTGCATCATCTTTAAGTCCATTGCACCCATGGGTTTTTTTCTCTCTCTTTTCTCTCACCACTTTACCGCCAATGAGAAGGCCAGTCATTCAGATCTGTGCAACAAGACAAGAGGCTAAAACTCTAACAGAACCCTATCTTTTTGGCCAAAAGAACTGGAGAAAGAGGCCCCTGAAAGCCAGATAATGTGCAAGTTATCTCCAAAAGAAAAGAACTGGAGGAGAGCCCTAATCTGTGTGTGAAATGCTGCCCACACTTGGAATAAACCCTAAGAAGCATGGCAAAGGCTTTAGGAACTCAACTGGCATTGGAGCACCACCTATAGAAGACAAGACAGCACCGACAGTCTGACTCTAACCAGACTACTGACTGCTTAAGAAAAACAAAACAAGCAAACCAAAAATCAATATTCTCCAGAAGGAAACCCAGAGTCTCACAAAAATATTCAAAATCTCCAGGAGATACTCCAAAATTGCGTGATATGCCAAAGACCAGGAAAATCCTGACCAATTTTCAAACGCAAAAGCAATCAACAGGCTGGGCATGATGGCTCACGCCTGTAATCCCAGCCCTTTGGGAGGCCAAGGCAGGTGGATCACCTGAGGTCAGGAGTTTGAGACCAGCCTGACCAATATGGTGAAACCCCATCTCTACTAAAAATACAAAAATTAGCTGGGCATGGTGGCGGGTGCCTGTAGTCCCAGCTACTTGGGAGGTTAAGACAGGAGAATTGCTTGAACCCGGGAGGTGAAGGTTGCAGTGAGCCAAGATCCTGCCACTGCGCTACAGCCTGGGCAACAGAGTGAGACTCCATCTCAAAAAAAAAAAAAAAAAAAAAAAAAAAAAGCAATCAATAGGTAGCAACACTGAGATGAGCCAGATATTAGAATTACCAGACATAAACTTTAAAGCAGGCATTATGACCATGCTCCATAAGATAAAGGTAACCACTCTTGAAATGAAAAGATAGCAATTTTCATAGAGAAACAGAAGCTATTAAAAAATAACCAAATGAAAATTTTGGAATCGAAAAATACACTATCCAAAATTCATTGGAAAATGTTCTCATTTACTGGATGAGCTCAATATCAAAACGGAGATGACAAAGGAAAGAGTCAGTGAATGTGAAGTTAGGTGAATAGAAATTATCAAATCCAAAGAACAGAGAGGAAAAAAGATTGATTTCTTTAAAAAAGCCCCAAGGAGCAATTAGAGAATATCAAAAGATCTAACATTCAAAAGATCTAACTGGAGAATTAAGAAGGATTGGTGCAGAATAAAAACAACAAAAAACAAAACAAAACTCTTAAAGACATAATGGCTGAAAATTCCCAAATTTTGTGAAAAACATAAATTCACAAATTCTAAAAGCTCAGCAAACCCCACATAGGATAAACTCAAAGAAAACCACGCCTAGGCACATCATAATCAAACTGTTGAAAGCCAAAGAAAATCTTGAAAGCGGCCATTAAAAAAACAATAATGATGCATTATAGATAAAAGGACAACAACTTGAATGACAGGAGATTTCTTATCAAGACTATGAAAGACAAGTTACTAGAACATCTTTTTTTTTGCAGATAAATTTTGACATTTATTCCATTTTAACAACATTTAAGAAAGAAGTATATTTTTTCAATCGTATTTTCCACTTTTTACTAAGCAGGCATTCAAGCTGTCCCACTCACTCATATATTACCCATGATACTAACATATTTTTTATTTTTTTTATTTTTTAAACTTTTATTTTAGGTTCAGTGGTACATGTGCAGATTTGATGTATAGGTAAACTTGTGTCATGGGAGTTTGTTGTACAGATTATTTCACCACCCAAGTACTAAGCTTAGTACTCAATAGTTCTTTTTTCTCATCCTCTCCCTCCTCCCACCCTCCACCCTTAAGCAGACCCTAGTATCTATTTAGAACAACATCTTTTGGCTGGGCATGATGGCTCACGGCTGTAATCCCAGCACTTTGGGAGGCCGAGGCAGGCAGATCCCCTGAGCTCAGGAGTTTGAGACAAGCCTAGCCAACATGGTGAAACTCCGTCTCTACTAAAAATACAAAAATTAACTGGGCGTGGTGGTGGGTGCCTGTAATCCCAGTTACTCAGGAGGCTGAGGCAGGAGAATCACATGCACCCAGGAAGCGGAGAATGCAGTGAAACGAGATCGCACCATTGCACTCCAGCCTGGGCAACAAGAGTGAAACTCACTGAGGTCGGGAGTTCGAGACCAGCCTGATCAACATGGAGAAACCCTGTCTCTACTAAAAATACAAAATTGGCCAGGCGTGGTGTTGCAAGCCTGTAATCCCAGCTACTCGGGAGGCTGAGGCAGGAGAATCGCTTGAACCCAGGAGGTGGAGGTTGCCGTGAGCCAAGATCACGCCACTGCACTGCAGCCTGGGTAACAAGAGCAAAACTCCATCTCAAAAAAAAAAAAAATTATGTATATCAGCTCTCAGCTCAAACATCAAGCTTCCTTCCTAGACCATCTCATCTGAATTTGTCCCTACCCCACTACTCTCTGCCACTGCCTGTCCACTCAGCACAAGTTTAAAGTGTGTATTTATGTGTTTATATGATCATTGCTCTTCTCCCTTAGAGACTGTAAGGTCTGTGCAGATCAGTTTGGTCTTGTTCAGTCTTGGCTCTGTAGCATCTTGTGGGATACCAGGCACAGAATGGATACTCAAATGTGCATGGAATGAATGAGTAAATGGGTAAATGAGAGATAAGAAGAAAGCCAGTAGGCCAGGAGCAGTGGCCCACATCTGTAATCCCAGCATTTTGGGAGGCCACGGCGGGCGGATCATCTGACGTCAGGAGTTTGAGATGGGCCTGGCCAAGATGGTGAAACTCCGCCTCTACTACAGATACAAAAATTAGCCGAGCACAGCGGCACATGCCTGTAATCCCAGCTACTCGGGAGGCTGAGGCAGGAGAATTGCTTGAACCCAGGAGGCAGAAGTTGCAGTGAGCCGACACTGCGCCACTGCACTCCAGCCTTGGCAACAGAGCGAGACTCCATCTCAAAAAAAAAAGAAAGCCAGTTAATTGGTTGGTCAAAGCAAAGTGCAAATATAGTTTAGGAGTGGAAGGGTAAGTAAACCACGTGGCTAGGCACAAGAAGGAGCTTTCAGATGAGCAAAACCACTGGACTCACCAAAGCAGACTAACCAGAAAGACTGTGTGATCTCCCCCAGATCTTTATTAACAGGATGAACTGCCATCTGTCTCAGATAGATGAAGTAGAGATAAACTACACCACACCAGAAAATTCTTGAGATACCTTTCAACTCAATAATAAACATTTGCTCTTTGTAATCACTCTTTGAAACTGTACGTGGGAAATAAGCAATTTTAAAGAAGCAATTTCTAAATACTTCACTAGCTAAAAAAGTCAGACCATGTCTATGGGATGGGAACCAGAAAGGAGAAGTCTTGGAAAGAGATGGAGAATGAACAGCTGTCTTCCTGCTGCTGTCAGGCAGAAGGTGAATTAGACTTGTTCTAGGAGGTTCCAGGACTCAGAGGTAAAACCAAGAGGAAATTAAAGGAAAACAGATTTAGCTTACTGTAAGGCAAATGCTAATAGTTACCAAGATCTCCTCTGAAACAAAAGAAATGAATGACTTCATAAGGTCAGCAACTCCCTGTATCTAGAAGACTTGGAGGAAAGGCTGAATAACCAGAAATTTACAGAAGGTAACTTCAAATTGTCCACTTGCTGGGAGATTGGACTAGATCTGTGTTTTCCAAACTGTACCATGGGATATGAGTCCTGAAAGGAAATCTGAAAAAGACTGCATGCTATAACCCTCCCCTGGAGATTAAAAAAGCACATTAGCATATTATAAGCTTTGAAAAATCCTGCAGGTAGGACTTGAGCTCCAATGTTGTACAGAACACTTTTTTTTTGAGACAGAGTCTCACTCCATTGCCCAGGCGGGAGTGCAGTGGCATGATCTCAGCTCACGGCAACCTCTGCCTCCCAGGTTTAAGCATTTCTCCTGCCTCAGCCTACCAAGTAGCTGGGATTACAGGTGCGTATGACCACGCCTGGCTTTTTTGTTTGTTTGTTTTGTATTTTTAGTTGAGACAGTGTTTCACCATGTTGGCCAGGCTGGTCTCAAAATCCTGACTTCAAATGATCCACCTGCCTTGGCCTCCCAAAGTGCTGGGATTATAGGTGTGAGCCACATTGCCCGGCCTCCAGAACACATTTCAAATGACCTGGACTAGAAGACAAAGCTGATCTTCTCAAGTTGAATATTCTATGATTCTCTCTCCATTAAAAAGGAAGCTCTAGGCTAGTGGATCTCAAACTTGAGCATGTATCTGAATTCCCTGGAGAGCTTATTAAAACAACGTTAGGCTCCACCCCTAAGTTTCCCATACCTGGGATCTGGGGTGAAGTCTGAAATTTTGCATTTGCAACAAGTTCTCAGGGGTTGCTGTTGCTGCTGGTCCAGTGATCTCACTTTGCAATTTGTCTAGACTTGGAGATTAAGAACGTTCAGGGTTTGAAAAACTTGAAGTTGCTAAACTTCGTACATCTCACTGCAAATTAGTCTCCAAGCACCTATAATTCTGACCTTTTCTTCTCACTCCGTAAAATGGTAGGTGGATGCCTTCTGTAAGGCAAAAGAGAAATCTGATCCTTAATGAAGTAGATACAGTCTGCAAAGCCCTCTCCTGTCAGTAATTGTGACCAGAGAAGACCCAGGTGGCGTTATTAGGGGAGGCTGCATGGAGCCAGCCTTGCTCAGACCTTTCAGATTCGAATTCAGGCACATACTTACTTTTCCCCCAGGCATCCTCTGAGATGCTTCCACCTCTGTTGCCTCATGTATCCACCAGGGAAAACTTACTAGGCAGCTACCACGATTCCCTTTTAACTGGTGGCAAAACTGAGGCTCAGAGAAGCAAAGGATGTTGGCCAAGGTCACACGGTAGAAAGAAACAGAGCTGGGGTTTGAACCCAGATCATTTAAGCCCACGTTTGGATCTTTTTCTTAATATGACTCTTCCTGCCACCTTGCATGCTGGCCTCTTTCCTATCCTTCAGTCCCTCCCTATCCCTCACATTGGTCAAAACGTAATGCTTGAGGGAAGCCCCTCCCCTCCACCAATTCCTCCTATAAGCAATTCTATTTAGTTGCACAAAGCACTACTGAGTGTCAGGTACCTGGAGATACAGCAGGGAACAAAACAGACAAGGTCCCCATCCCTGCTGAGTACACAGCAAAATTAGGTAAACAGACAACTCATAAAGCCTGCAAAGTATTGTCCACACACACACACACAGCATGTCTTGCTGGTCAGAAGGGTTTCTGGGAGGAGATGACGTTTTTGCTAAATCTTAGAGGTATCTGGAGGAAGACACGCTGGACCCTAGACCAATGCCCTGGGCTGACGCTTCCACCGTCACACCTGGACCCCTGCCAAGGTCCCAAGCTTCCCCAACTCCATACATAGCACTGCCTTCCACTCCACTGCATGGGACCAAAACATAAGAGTTGTGAGCCCAAATATCTGAGACAGGTCTCAACCAATTTAGAAAGTGTATTTTGCCAAGGTTAAGGACGTGCCTGTGACACAGCCTCAGGAGGTCCTGATGACATGTGCCCAAGGTGGTCAGGATACAGATTTTGCTTTTATGTATTTCAGGGAGGCAGGAGACATCAATCAGCATGTGTAAGAGGTACATTGGCTCAGTCCAGAAAGGTGGGACAACTAGAGGCAAGGGGCAGGTAGATGACAGACAAAAGGTTGCATTCTTTTGAGTTCTTGATCAGCCTTCCACTAAATACACAATTCAGTCTGGCTCCGTGAATCTGCATTTTTACCTAAACAATAGGGCAGAGGAAGCAATCAGATATGCATTTGTCTCAAGCAAGCAGAGGGATGACTTTCTGTCCCGCACCTGTGAATATCAGCTACCCATTTACATTGCCAGGGTGAAATTCAACAGAACTGTTTTAGGGGAAAGATCTTGTGGGCCACAAGGAACAAACTGTGAGAGAAGTATGTCGCTTTTTAATCTTTGTAGCTATCTTATTTTGGAATAAAATGGCAGGCAGGTTTGCCAGCTTGACTTTTGCCTTAGCTTAGTGCTTCTGGTAGCCCATGGTTTATTTTCCCTTCACGGAGTCATCCTTGATAAATCTCCTTCCTCCCACCCCACAGTAAGACCCATCCACACTACCTCTGTGCACATTCCTGGAATCCATCTATTCTGTCCATCAGCACTGCTGTGACCCAGTCCCAAATACCCTCACCTCACACCTGGACAACTGCAGCAGCCTCCCAACTGGTCTCTCTGACTCCCCTCTAGCTCCTCTCTAACCCATTTGACTAGAACAATGGATGTTTTGCAATCATGTATCAGACCTTCACTCCCCTCCTATCAACCTTAATGGCTCCCTATTCCCTTAGAATCCAAATTCTTGCTAATTGCCTACAATTCTCTCCCTAATCAGAGCATAGCCCACATCTCTCCCACCTCACCCACCTCTACCCTTCCCCAACTCTCATCTCCTGCCACACTGATCTTCCTTCTTTCCTTTATGCCCACCAGCTCACCCCAGGGCCTTGTCACTTGTTGCTTCCTATCTGCAAAGCTCTTCCTCCAGATCCTTCAGGAGCTTGCTTCCTGTCACACCGATCCTTAGCCTACATGTCACCTTCTCAAAGAAGCCTCCCTTGACCTCCCAGTCACTCCCGATTATATCAAAGATGTATTCTTTTTCACAGCCCTGAGTCATTCTCTGATATTTTCCAGTTTATTCATTTACTATCTGTCTCCCCCAACTGGAATATAAGCTTCTTAAAAGCAGAAACTTTGTCTATCTTGTTTATTGCCTAGAATGGAGTTTGTTACATTATAATGGATCCTCGAATATTTACTGAGTGAA
Organism: Homo sapiens; assembly: GCF_000001405.40. Lineage (NCBI taxonomy): Eukaryota > Metazoa > Chordata > Mammalia > Primates > Hominidae > Homo > Homo sapiens. Next base: position 117,791,519 of record NC_000012.12, read on the forward strand.
TGAATGAATGGCAAAAAAATAAAAATAAAAATAGCTCAGTGTGATTGGAACAACCAGTCTGTGGAAATGACACTGAGGGGTTTTCAGCCAAGGAGTGACATGATGAGAGGTGCTTTCTAGAAAGGTCACTCTGGCTGCTGGAGGAGGTGGGAGGGGAGCAGAGGCATATACCAACTTGAAGGACATTTGAATGGGACATGGTGATGAGTGAGACACACAGGAGGCTGAGGAACGGAGGCATCAGCGATCAAAAACTCCACTGCAGTTCATCCTACACTGCCCAGATCCATGGATTGTGTTGCAACCGATATCAACATTTTAATTCACCAACTAAACGTACTCTGTGTATTTTAGAACCAGAAACTTCTCTTCTACTTCTCTCCCCATATTTCTCTCTACTCCCAAAAAACAGATTGCACAGCACTATGCCCACAATGAGTGCCCACTGCATAAATACATGGAGCTTCTAGAAGGTGAAAGATCTGACATTCCCTCTGTAAGATGCAAAGGGAGCAATGATAAAGCATTGCGGTTTTGGCCAAGCGCAGTGGCTCATGCCTGTAATCCCAGCACTTTGAGAGGCTGAGGCAGGTAGATCGCTTGAGCTCAGGAGTTTTGAGACTAGCCCGGACAACATGGTGAGACACAGTCTCTACAAAAAAAAAAATAAATAAAAATTATCTGGGCATGGTGGTGTGTGCCTGTCCTGTAGTCCAGCTACTCGAGGGGGCTGAGGCAGGAGGATTGCTTAAGCCCGGGAGGTCGAGGCTGCAGTGAGCTGAGATCGTGCCATTGCACTCCAGCCTGGTTGACAGAGTGAGACACTGTCTTTAAAAAAAAAAAGAAGAAGAAGAAGAATTGCAGTTCTGGAGTCAGACAGACCTGCTTACGCTACATGCAACACCTGGGCACGCTGGTTAGCTTTTGGGCCTCAACATCTTCATCTGTGAAACAGGGATATTGGGAGCCTCTATCTCAGAGGATTCTCGCAAAATTACAAGGGATCCTACATGCAAAGTGTTCAGCACTGTGCCAGGCACAGAGTAAGCCCACAAGGGCTATTATTAGGAACCTCAGTCACTTAAATCAAATCAGCAGCCTCTCCCAGCCCCGCGGCCCCTGCCCTCTGCCTCTGTCCCTGTGTCTGAATCATCCTACTCCCTTTCCCTGTCTTGACTGCTGGTTGGCTGCTATTTCTCCAGACCTGGGATATGTCATAATGTGATTGATGCACCCAATCATAAAAATAACCAGTTATTTTGATGTGGGGTGCGTCATCCCTAAAAATAACTGAGAACTGTGGAAGTGAAGACACCAAGGCAAATATTGGTTTGCATTGTGTGCACACACACCAACATGCACACACACACAACATGCAGACCCTCACACCAACATGCACACACCCTCACACCAACATGCACACACGCTCACACCAACGTGCACACACAACATGCACACACTCTCACACCAACATGCACGCACACACACCAACAGTACGCACTCTCACATCAACATGCACACACGCTCACATCAACATGCACACACACCAACAGGCACACACTCTCACACCAACATGCACACTCACACCAACGTGCACACAAACATGCACACACACACTAACATGCATATACCAATATGCACGCACACCAACATGTACACACACCAATGTGCACACATACACACCAACATGCACACACCCTCACACCAACATGCACACACACCAACCTGCACACACCCTCACACCAACATGCACACACGCCAACATGCAACATACCATACACACAACATGCACACACCCTCACACCAACATGCACACATACACACCAGCATGCACACACCCTCACACCAACATGCACACACACCACTGTGCACCCATACCAACATGCACACATACACACCAAAATGCACACACACCAACATGCACACTCAAACCAACATGCACACATACACCAACATGCACACTCACATCAACATGCACACACCCTTACACCAATATGCACACATACACCAACGTGCACTCACGCCAACATGCACACTCACACCAACATGCACACACCTTTACACCAATATGCACACATACACCAACATGCACACTCACACCAACATGCACACTTATCCCATGCACATATACACCAATATGCACACATACAACATGCACACACCAACATGCACACATACAACATGCACACACCATGCACACTCACACCAGCATGCACTCATACCATGCACATATACACCAACATGCACACATGCAACATGCACACACCAACATGCACACATGCAACATGCACACACCAACATGCACACTCACACCAACATGCACACACTCATACCATGCGCATATACACCAATATGCACACATACAACATGCACACACCAACATGCACACTCACACCAACATGCACACACACCATGCACACATACACCAACATGCGCACACACCAACATGCACACACACCATGCACACATACACCAACATGCACACACACCAACATGCACACTCACACCAACATGCACACACCAACATGCACACTCGTACCAACATGCACACATACACCAACATGCACACTCACACCAACATGCACACTCACACCAACATGCACACTCACACCAACATGCACACACCCCAACATGCACACATACACCAACATGCGCACACACCAACATGCACACACACCATGCACACATACACCAACATGCACACACACCAACATGCACACTCACACCAACATGCACACATACACCAACATGCACACACACCAACATGCACTCACACACCAACATGCACACACACCAACATGCACTCACACCAACATGCACACTCACACCAACAGGCACACACACCAACATGCACACTCACACCAACATGCACACTCACACCAACATGCACACACATGCACATACAACATGCACACTCACACCAACATGCACACACACCAACATGCACACTCACACCAACATGCACACTCACACCAACATGCACACACAACATGCACACACACCAACATGCACACACAACATGCACACTCAACCAACATGCACACACACCAACATGCACACATACATCAACATGCACACTCACACCAACATGCACACATACACCATACACACACACACCAATATGCACACTCAAAACACTCACACCAATATGCACACACTCATACCAACAGGCACACACACACCAACATGCACACATACACACCAATATGCACACACTTATACCAACATGCATACACACACCCAACGTGCACACACACACAGAATAGTCACTTTAAATAGGACGGGGAAATATACCAACTTTAATCAAGGGGGAGAAAAGCCTCGCTACGACCCATCACTCTTAGCCAGTTGATGATAGTGACAGCTGATTAGAGGGCTCTTGTCCAGAGGCGGCCCAGCAAGGGACAGAAAGAGACAGCCTAACTACAGTATCAGAGAACACTGCTAATGGTTTTCCCCAAGCTGCAGCAAAGTGATTGACTTCCAGCCCCAGTAACTTCCAGGACTTCATTTGCCACAAGAGTGCCCCTAATTCTAAGTTGGTGTCATGCTTCTTTCCTTTAGCAGAGAAATGCCCCCAAGACATATCATTCTGACTTGCACGGCAAAGGACACCGACTCATCATTCTTCCAGCCTCTGGAAACGGGTCCCTTGCTGTTGACAGTGCCTCGGAAGAAATTCATTCTTTATTTCTGGGACCATTTTCTTCTTCCCTGTACACTTCAGGGATGATGGGCACAAGGTTTGAAAAACCTCCAGACTTTTTAGAAATAGACGAAATCCAACTTGTCAATGGTGTCACCTTCCTGGCGACATCATCTTTGCCTCCTCCTGGCAGATACTACCTCAGCCTTCTGGAAGATGATGCCACCTTTTCACACGGAGCTCAGCATGCCAAGTGGAACAGACTGGAATGCCAGAAGAGCACAAGATTCAGAGAAATGGCTCAGGATTGTCAGGACACCAAGACCCTCTGGAAAGGACCCAGAATCTTCACAGATGTCCCCAGCTCCCAGAGAATGACATTTGCCTCCAAGATGCAGGAAAGAGGTTGCGACAGCTTCCTGGCAAGAATTCAGAGTGAGTGAAGGTTGGAGACAGAAGCCTGTGGTTTTTATTTATTTATTGAGACAGGGTCTTGCTCTGTTGCCCAGGCTGGAATGCAGTGGTACAATCATAGCTTACTGCAGCCTTGAACTCTCAGGCTCAAGCAATCCTCCCGCCTCAACCTCCCGAGTAGGTGAGGCTACAGGTGTATGCCATCAATTTTTTGTAGAGACAGGGTCTCACTATGTTACCCAGACTGGTCTCAAACTCCTGGGCTCAAGTGATCCTCCTGCCTCAGCCTCCCAAAGCGCCAGGACTACAGACATGAGCCGCCACATCTGGCCAAAGCCTGTGTTGTTGTTATTGTTGTTGTTTTGAGACAGGGTCTCTCACTCTGTCACCCAGGCTGAAGTGCAGTGGTATGAACACAGCTCATTGCAGCCTTAACCATCTGGGCTCAAATGATCCTCCAACCTCGGACTCCTGTGTAGCTGGGACCACAGGTATGTGCCACCATGCCTAGCTAATTTTTTAATTTTTTTGTAGAGATGGGGGAGTCTCACTAGCTTCCCCATGCTGGCCTTGGAGCTCCTGGACTCAAGCAGTCCTCCTGCCACGGCTTCCAAGGTGCTGGGATTAAAGGCGGAAGCCACCATGCCCAGCTGGCCTGCATTTAAATACAAGCATTGTCTCTTACTAGTTAGGCCTCTGTGAGCAAGTGCATGTGTGAGCCTCAGTCTCCTAGTGTGTAAATTGGGGAGAATAATACCTGCCTAGTAAGGTGATGGTGAGGACTAAACGAAATGATCTCAGGAAATTACATCCCAGGCATAAGGTAAAAAAACAAGTTGTCATTACCATCAGCATCACGTTAGACAAACGTGGAAGGGATATAAGCTGCCCTATAAATTTCCAAACCCATGCTACATTCGTGGAAGCTCCCAGTGATATTTTACACCCAAAGGAATCTCATCGTGTTGGGCGAAGACTGCGGACTTCACAGTCAAACAGGTCTAAGTTCAAATCCCAGCCCTGCCCTTACCAGGCATGTACCCTTGATTTCCCCAAGGCTCAGTTTCCTCAGCTGTGAAATGAATGTGGAGTTTCCAGAGTAGAGGGGATGATAAACGTGCCAGGAAGGGCTCACAAGATGCAACTTACCTCTGCTTCCCCTTAACAAGGTGGCTTAAGGAAAACAAGAGACACTATGGCTCAATTAACCCCGTAGATCTCCAGCTCAACCCATATGTTGATAGAACCCCCATGGCATTCAGTCCCAGACCTGCTGCCCAGCCTCCAAAATGCCCAGCAACTCCACAGCCAAGGAGGCCAGCCCAAAGTTTCTTAATTCCCCTGATCACTCATTTAACAAGCATTCACCAAGTGCCTACTGAGTGCCGAGCTTTGAATTGGAGCCTGGGAACACAACAAAGAACAAAGCCAACCCAGCCCCTGATCCCCAGAGCTCACCATGCGGATGGGGAAGAGATCATCACACAAAGACTGGGTTAGGGCTCCTCAAAAAAGTGAAACATAGAATGACCACAGGACAGCAATTCCACTTCTAGGCATATACCCCACATTAAAAACAGGTGCTCAAACAAATCTTGGTATGCAAATGTTCACAGCAGCCCTATTCACAATAGCCAAAAGGTGGAAACAATCACCATGTCCATCAACAGAGGAATGGATAATAAAATGTGACCTATCCATACAATGGAATATTATTCAGCCATAAAAAGGAATAAAGTACTGATACATGCCATAGTTGGGTTAATCTTGAATATATTTTGATAAGTGAAAGAAGCCAGATGCAAAGTGTCACATCTTACAGGATTCCACTTACAGGAAATGTCCAGAACAGGTAAATCCATTAAGACAGAAAGTAGAAGGGTAGTTGCCAGAGACTGTGGGAAGGAGGGAATGAGGAGCGACTGTTTAATGGCTACGGGGTTTCTATTTGGTGTGATGACAATACTTTGGAACTAGACAGAGGCATAATGGCACAACACTGTGAATGTACTCAATGCTACCGAATTGTTCACTTTAAAACGATTAATTTTATATTATATAAATTTCACCTCAATTTTTTTTTTTTTGACATAGGGTCCTGCTCTGTTACCCAGGCTAGAGTGCAGTGGCGCAATCATGGACTCAAACCATCCTGGGCTCAAACCATCCTGGGCTCAAACCATCCTTCCACCTCAGCCTCCCAAGTAGCTGGGACCACAGGTGCGCACAATCATGCCTGGCTAATTGTTTTTCTTATAGACAGGGTCTCACTATGTTTCATAGTCTGGAAGTGAACTCTGGGGCTCAAGCAATCCTCCTGCCTCAGCCTCCCAAAGTGCGAGGATTACAGACATGAACCACCACACCCAGCCTGTCGCTTTGATATTTTAAAAAGACTGGATGATGTAGAACAGGGGTAAATGCCTTGACCGGAAAGTGTGAAGTGCTGTGGGCAGCATGGGGGCCCTGATCCCGTGTCACTGACCAGATTGACTAGCTATCTCAAAAGCTAATTTTTTTTCTTCTCACCTTTGAAGCATCAAATGGGATCTTCCTACAGCCCATGCCTGAAGACTGCATTCCTAAGAAAGCAAAGGCACCAGGGGTGGGGCTACCTGTCCTGAAGGGAAAAGTGGAGAAGAAGCTGCCCTGCCTGGTGCCAGCTACTCAGTCTCTCATATCCGCGCTTCTGCCTGGACTGGTTCCTGTTCCAGCTGCAGGCTAATCAAGTCTTGAGAGGAGGCTCTAAGAAGTTCCTAAAGAAACAGAGGAAGCTGGGTGTGGTGGCTCACGCCTGTCATCCCAGCACTTTGGGAGGCCAAGGCAGGCGGATCACTTGAGGCCAGGAGTTGGAGACCAGCCTGGGCAACATGGTGAAACCCCATCTCTACTAAAAATACAAAAATTAGCTGGGCATGGTGGCACACACCTGTAATCCCAGCTACTCAGGAGGCTGAGGCAGGAGAATCACTTGAAACTGGGAGGTGGAGGTTGCAGTAGGCTTAGATCGCACCATTGCACTCCAGCCTGGGCAACAGAGTGAGACTCTGTCTCAAAAACAAAACGAAACAAAACAAAAAGTTACTAAAGAAATAGAGGAGGAGGAAAAGGGGGAGGTAGGCAAAAAGTCCAAAAAAAAAAAATATATATATATATATCAACCCAAAATAACTGAAAACAGAGACTCAAACAGCTCTTTGTACATCCATGTTCATAGAATAATTATTCACAACAGCCCAAAAGAAGAAACAACCCCAGTGTCCATCAATGAAAATATGGATAAACAAAAGGTAGTATATGCATACAGTGGAATATTATTCAGCCTTAAAAAGGAATGATGTTCTAACACATGCTGCAACATGGGTGAACCTTAACAACATGATGCTGAGTGAAAGAAGCCAGACACAAAAGGCCACGCAGTGTAGAAGTCCCCTTATCTGAAATATCTGGAATAGGCAAATCCATAGTGGATTGCCAGGGGCTGGGAAAAAGAGAAGAACAGGTATTAAGTGATTCCTTAATGGGTACAGAGCTCTATTTGGTGTGATGAATATGTATTGGAAATAGATAGTGGTGATGATTGCACAACATTGTAAATACTTAATGCCACTGAATTGTAGACTTTAAAAATGGTCACAATGGGCTGGGCGCGGTGGCTCACGCCTGTAACCCCAGCACTTTGTGAGGCCAAGGTGGGCAGATCAACTGAGGTCAGGAGTTCAAGATCAGCCCGGCCAACATGGTGAAACCCCGTCTCTACTAAAAACACAAAAATTAGCTGGGCGTGGTGGCACGCACCTGTAATCCCAGCTACTCAGGAGGCTGAGGCTGGAGAATAGCTTGAACCGGGAGGCAGAGGTTGCAGTGAGCCGAGATCGCATCACTGCACTCCAGACCAGGCAACAGAGCGAAGACTCCACCAAAAAAAAAAAGAAAAAAAAAGGTCAGAATGGCACAATTTTATATTGTATCTATTTTACCATAATAAAAAAAATTTAATCATAGATGATGCATGGACATTGTCCTTATTCTTTCTAACAGCAAAATTAAGAGGGTTGGGATCAGGGATCAAGCGGACTGGTATTGAGGCTCAGCACAGTCACTTCAAGCTGAGTGACCTTGGGCAACTCTCTTAACATCTCTGAGCCTGTTTTCTAATCTATAATAGTACCCACAACTAAGGGTGGTTGTGAGCATAATGGATGCAAACCACAGTCCCCGGCTCTTAGTGTTGAATAAATAGTGATGATTGTTGAGACTCTGGGGCACCTAAAAGGCACCAAAATTCTTTTCCACCTCCAAGAGCTGTGCTAGGTTGAGTGTAAAAAAGGCAGAAGAGGAGGCCACGTAATCTGCCTCCAAGACTCAGGCTCTTAGCCCTATGAAACGAGGCTGGACGCCTGCAAGATGACAGTAGAGGTGATAATTCAGTGACAATGGCTCTATGTAGAGACTTCAAGGAAACATCCAAATGACATCTTCCAAGGTTGGGTACATAAGAACATCAACCTTTCTGAAGGCCCTTTGTATGTACATTGCCCAAACACCACCTGTGACTAGGCTGCTTTGGGGGCCTACAGCTCACCTCTGGGCAGGGCCAGGAGGAAGAAGGGCAGAAGCCGGAGGGGTCTGCTGGACACCATCTCAGATGGCCATAGGAGTGAGGGACCAAGGTTGCTGTTATGAGCTGGTTTATTGAGCCCACTATACATGTTGGGTGGGTCCTGGGGGGTCTCTGTGGCCCTTTCCACAGGGCCAGGTTCCTGTCTGTGGTTCCTCATGTGCTATTTTTAATTATTCTGCCCCCCCCAAAGCCTAAAACGTCCAAGAGTCACAGAGGCCTGGGTGCTTATCCCCTGGGGAAAAGAAGCCTTGGGGAGCTGGAGAAGCCAAGTTCAGTGGCTACTCAGCTGGAGAAAAGCAGATTCCAATAGGATAGTGTATTAGTCCATTCTCACATTGCTATTAAGAAATCCCTGAGACTGGGTGATTTATTTATTTTTATTTTTTAAATGTTATTTTACTTTAAGTTCTGGGATACATGTGCTGAACGTGCAGGTTTGTTACATAGGTATACATGTGCCATGGTGGTCTGCTGCACCTATCAACCCGTCATCTAGGTTTTAAGCCCCACGTGCATTAGGTATTTGTCCTAATGCTCTCCCTCCCCTTTTCCCCCACCCCTCAACAGGCCCCGGTGTGTGATGTTCCCCTCCCTGTGTTCATGTGTTCTCATTGTTCAACTCCCACTTATAAGTGAGAACACGTGGTGTTTGGTTTTCTGTTCCTGTGTTAGTTTGCTGAGCATGATGGTTTCTAGCTTTATCCATGTCCCTGCAAAGGACATGAACTCATTTTTTATGGCTGCATAGTACTCCATGGTGTATACATGCCACATTTTCTTTATCCAGTCTATCACTGATGGGCATTTGGGTTGGTTCCGAGTCTTTGCTATTGTAAATAGCGCTGCAATAAGCATACGTGTGTATGTGTGCCTTTATACTAGAATGATTTATAATCCTTTGGGTAATACATATTTTATTTATATTTTAAGACTGAGTCTCACTCTGTCACCCAGGCTGGAGTGCAATGCAGTGGCACAATCTTGGCTCACTGCAACCTCCACCTCCTGGATTCAGGTGATTCTTGTGCCTCTGCCTCCTGAGTAGCTGGGATTATGGGCATCTGCCACCATGCCCGGCTAATTTTTTTTTTTTTTTTTGTATTTTTAGTAGAGACGAGGTTTTGTTATATTGGCCAGGCTGATCTCAAACTGTTGGCCTCAAGTGATCCACCCACCTTGGCCTCCCAAAGTGCTGGGATTACTGGCGTGAGCCACCACACCTGGCCAAGACTTGGTAATTTACAAAGAAAAGAGGTTTCATTGGTTCACAGTTCCTCAGGCTGTCCAGGAAGGATGATGTTGGCTGGCATCTGCTCAGCTTCTGGAGAGGCCTCAGGAAACTTACAATCCTAGCAGAAGGCAAAGAGAGAGCCAGCACTTCACATGGCCAGAGTGGGGTTGGGTGGGGAGGAGGTCCCACGCACTTTCAAATAACCAGATCTCAAGAGAACTCACTCACTATCCCAAGAACAGCACCAAGAGGGAAATCTACCCCCATGATCCAATCACCTCTCATCAGGCCCTACCTCCAATACTGGAGATTATAATTTGACATGAGATTTGGGCAGGGACACAGACCCAAACCATATCAGATGGAGAAGGGGCCAGGGAGGTCCAGGGAAGCAGGAAGTACCGTGGGGGGAAGAAGAACAGCAGGTGGCCTGGGATTCCCAAGAGGCCCTGGGGCTGAAGAATTGTATATGACCAGGGTTGCTCACCATGAAAACTTGTCCCTAAGAAAAGGGTGACTGAAAAGGCAATGGAAGGGGCGTGGGATACATTTGCAAAAAGGCATGGTGTAAGTTTCCTATGACAATAAGATTAGGGGCTTAATACAACACACATTCATTATCTTAAAATTCTGGAGATCAGAATTTCAAAATAGGTCTTACTAGGCAAAAATCAAGGTGTAAAGAAAACTGTATTTGTTCTAGGACCTCTAGGGGAGAGTCTGTTTCCTTGTCTTTTCCAGCTTCTAGAGACCATCAGTATACCTTGTTCCTGGCCCCTTCCTCCCTCTCCCAAGCCGTTGGTGTAGCATCTTCAGACCTCTCTCTCTGACTCTGACCTCTGACCCTCCTGCCTTCCTCTTTCCCTTATAAGGACCTCTGGGATGACTTTGAGCACGGCTAGATCATCCATGATAATCTCCCCATCTCAACATCCTTCATTTAATGACATTTTCAAAGTCCCTTTACTATGTAATATCACATATTCACAGGTCACATACTCACAGGTCACACGTTCAGAGATGTCCCTGGGGATGAGGGCATGGGCATCTTTGGGGAAAGGGGGTCATTATTCTGACTACTACAGCAAGGAATTCCCTCCTCCTCTCTGAGCCTCAACTTTCTCATCTGTAAAATGGGGCTAATAATAATAGCACTGATATCTGGGGTTTGTCTGAGGATGACACCAGGAATAGAATAATCTCTTAGCAGGCCCCCTGGGAAAAACCAAGTGTCAGGGGTGGGGAGGGGGACATTGGTCAGGGTCCAACCCTTTCTTTCCCCACCCACCCCCTTTTCCCCACAGATACCCCAGTAGGCCTGTGGAATCTTTGGAATCAGGGTTTGCCAATTCCTTGTCCAAGTGTGAGGCTCAGGAGAGAGCGACATATTGACTCCCAGCCCCGGCTCTGACAAGACAGTGTCATTCTTCATATAAAAGTGAAGAATGAATCTTCACACCCCCCAATCTGGGAGTAATGGGATTTTTCAGGCAGGCTTCATTACTGTGCCTCGGTGCCATTTGACTGATAATTGCATTCTGAAGCTGGAATTGATAAATTGCCCATGCATTGTCATTACTGGATGTTTACCTGATCTATTTGATGAATATTAATTCACAAAAAAATATTTCCATTCCTGAAGCGATTCTGGGCAAAATAATGCCTTTCTCTCTCCTACCAGGGATTGCCGAAACAATGTACAGAGTTAAGTAATAACAAGCCCTTGTCAGAGTGATTTATTGGGCATGAAAACAAAGAGAGAGGAGGACTTCAGCCTCTCCTTTATTAAGCAACACCTGGGGGAAGGAACACAGCGTTCCATTCCAGAGCTGGGAGCGGACGGCAGAGAGGTGGCATTTGAAGGCCACAGAGAAAAGAGTTTATACAATATATTCACCTTTTGCCAAGGTATCTTCCAAGGAGCACCAAGATGTTTCCTATGTACCCCCGACCCCATGCTGGGGAGCTTATAGAGAGAGTTGAAATTGGCCAGGCGCAGTGGCTCACGCCTGTAATCCCAGCACTTTGGGAGGCCGAGGCGGGCGGATCACGAGGTCAGGAGATCATGACCATCCTGGCCAACATGGTGAAACCCCGTCTCTACTAAAAATACAAAAAAATTAGCCGGACGTGGTGGCGGGAGCCTGTAGTCCCAGCTACTCGGTAGGCTGAGGCAGGAGAATGGCATGAACCCGGGAGGCGGAGCTTGCAATGAGCCGAGATCGCACCACTGCATTCCAGCCTGGGCAACAGAGTGAAACTCCGTCTCAAAAAAAATTAAATTAAATTTAAAAAAGAAAAGAGTTGAAATTTATTGAGCACTAGCTACGATTCTGTCTTTCCGGCCATGCATTTAATCCTCACTACAAACTTGAGAGGCTGGGCCCATCATTGTCCCCATTTTACAGAGCAGTACACTGGGGCTCAGAGAGGTTAAGATCATACTTAACCAAGGTCATAGTGGTTGAAACTGGCAGAGCTGCATCTGGAACCTAACTCTGACTCCTAAAGACAGTTATCTTTCCACCGTATAAGGGGTTAACAAACTATAGTCCATGGGCTATTTTTGTAAACTGAGTTTCATTGACACATAGCCATATCCATTCTTTTATTGTTTTTTGGGGTTTGAGACAGGATTTTGCTCTGTCACCCAGGCTGGGGTGCAGTGATGCAATCTCGGCTCACTGCAACCTCTGCCTCCCGGGTTCTAAGTGATTCTCCTGCCTCGGCCTCCGGAGTAGCTGGGATTACAGGCATGTGCCACCACGCCCGGCTAATTTTGTATTTTTAGTAGAGACAGGGCTTCACCATGTTGGCCAGGCTGGTCTTGAACTCCTGATCTCAGGTGATCCACCTGCCTTGGCCTCCCAAAGTGCTGGGATTACAGGCGTGAGCCACCGCACCCGGCCATTTATTGTCTATACCTGATTTCACACTACAATGGCAGAATTGAGTCGTTTCAACAAAGACCATATGGCCTTTGAAGCCTAAAATCTTTACTACCTGGTCCTTTAAGAAAAAGTTAGCTCACCCCTGCTCCTATACCATTTGCCAGCAAGTTTAGATTCCACCTGGAGACCCTACACTGAATACCCAGTAAATGGCAGCCGAACAATAATTACTACTGTTGCTGGTTGTTGTTTTAGTATTATACTATTATTATACTGCTTTTATCATCTTTATCTCCTTGAGAAAGACAAAGAAATCTTTCCAGCCACCCCATTAAGGAACCGGCCTTCAAGATAATAAGCGTTGTGTTTCCTGCAGTAAATCATAAGATCCTTAAACATATTTAATAATATCTTAGGTCTTTCAATGTTTCCAGCTTCTTAATGAGAATTTAAATTGCAACCACATCCTTCAACAAGCTCTTCTGAAAATGTAAGCTGCTCTCCCTCTCATTACAGAACAATTCTAGAGATGTCCAAAGGCACACAGTTGGAAAAGGTCCAAGTTATTTACCAAGATACGGGTGGGAATAGTCAGACCTCTTGGGGTACCTTAGCCCATCTTTCCCTGCTGCCCAGAGCCCACTCAGCATCCGTGGAAGCCATGAAAGAACTCCTGGGCTCTAAGTAGGGTGACCAACCATCGCGGATGGACTGAGGGATTTCCAAGGATGTGGGACTTTCAGTACTAAGACCAGGAACACCCTGGGTAAACTGGGATGAGTTGATCACTCCCTCTCCAAGACATTTGGCATTCACCCCACCAGAAACAGATGGGAAGTCCAGCTGAAGTCAACCACAGCTCTTTTAATTTGGGAGAACTTCTTGTTAAATGCTAATCTCCCACACACACCTTTTTAGGGACTAACTTGGCTGTGCTGAATTTAGACTCTGAATATTACTCAAGCCATCTTTGAACCACCTTGGGCCAAGACACACAGGTGTGGCCTTCCCTGGTAACTTCTCTAGAGACCAAGAAGGGTAGAAATTAAGAACACAGATTCTACACTCGCTAGTCATATAAACGTGGGCAAGTTACTGCCTGCCTCTGAGCCTCAGTTTCTTCATCTGTAAGATGGGGACAATAGAAATACTTGCTTCAAAGGGTTCAGGTCATGATGAAATGAGTTAAAACAACCAGAGCCCATTCAAAAGAGCCTGGTACCCAATAACTGTTTTGTGCTGGCTATGCTTCAAAATCTCTGAACCTGAATTTGCACCGTGAGGATTTGCTCATATTTTAGACCCTGGCTAAGTGTGGTCCCCTAACCAGCAGCAGCAACATCCTCCAGAAGCTGGTTAGAAATGCAGGTTTCCAGGCTAGGCGCAGTGGCTCATGCCTGTAATCCCAACACTTTGGGAGACCAAGGCGGGCAGATCACTTGAGGTCGGGAGTTCGAGACCAGCCTGGCCAACATGGCGAAACCCCATCTCTACTAAAAATACATAAATTAGCCAGGTGTGGGGGTGTGTGCCTGTAATCCCAGCTATTTGGGAAGCTGAGGCACAAGAACTGCTTGAACACAGGAGGCAGAGGTTGCAGTGAGCCAAGATTGTGCCACTGCACTCCAGCCTAGGTGACAGAGGAAGACTCTGCCTCAAAAAAAGAAACAAGAAAAAAAGAAAGAAAAGAAATGCAGGTTCCATGCCCAATCCCAGACCTGCTGCAGCCAAATTAATGTAATATGATCCCCAGCTGAGGCATGTGAACATTAAGTGTGTGGAGCGCCGTTTTAAACAACGTCCGGCATTTCCTAAAAGTTAAGGCTCAGGAGGGAGATGAGTATAAGGACAGATCACAGGATAGGAATATGGGATTCCGGAGGCACTTGCCCTGGCCCGGGGCTTTGCTGCTCACATGCGGCATATTCCAATCCCCTGCAAGTTAGAATTACCCAGGATGCTTTTTAAAATCCTGGTACCCAGACGCCACCCCAGCCCAATTAAATCAGCTCTAGGAGTGAAGCCCAGGCAGCCAGAGTTTCAAAGCTCCCCAGGTGACTAACTGCAACCAGGAGCGAGACTCATGGCTCCAGCCTAGACCAGATCCTAAAATTCGTCTAGGGCTCCATTTCCCTCTCTCTAAGTCGGCAGAAGCAGACTAAGGACTTCAATATAGAATTATCTTAAGGAAATTTACAAAACATGAAATTGACCATTTTCACACAGACACTTCAACGGCATTTACAGTCAACAATGTGGTGCAACCACCACCTCTATCTACTTAAAAACATTTATATCACCCCCAGAGGAAACCCCAGACCCACTAATAACAGTCACTCCCCATGTCCCCTCCTCTCAGCCCCTGGCAACACCCATCTGCTCTGGCTCTATGGGTTTACCCATTCTGGACATTTCATAGAAATGGAATCCTGCAGTACAAGCCCTTTTGTGTCTGGCTTTTTTCACTTTGTCTAATCTTTTTGAGGTTCATCCACATTGCAGCATGCACGCATATCTCATTTCTTTTAAGTTACATTGAGACACTAGTGCTCGGTGAACCGAATCGAAACTCCAATTCACCTGCTGTACAGGCTGGGGCCTCAAGAACAAGCCTCTCACTTCCCAGAGTGCCTGTCCCCGTGCCCGTCCCCTGTCAGGATCCATTACGGAGGGACAAGGATGGAGACACAGGCGCCTGTTCCGCTCAGCCCCGCTCAGCGTCAGCTGGAGCAGCTGTGACACTTCCTTTTCATGGTGGGGAATCTGCAGTGCCACCAAGAAGCTGCGAGCCCCTGATCAAACCTAACAGGAGTGAAGCTGAGCAGTGAGACAGCCTCACTCTCACCCGATGACCTGCTCAAGAAACAAAGCCGGGAGAAAATGAAGCAAGTGATTCCCGGGCCTCTTGGAAACCGAGTGTATTTTAGAAACCCACCTCCAAATTCCACCAACCACCAGGGCATCTCCCCTACATCTAAAAAACCAGAGTGAGGGCTTAGATGCAGCGTATAAAAAAGAGAGAGAGGGAGAGAAGAGACATAAGAAACCCACTGTCACTTTCGAAGGTTTCCATAAACTGGGTTCCACCGAATAATACTATTCCACAATGTGTTAACAGGTTCTATGGGAAAGAGAGACCCAATGCTCTAATAAGTTTGGGTTATCACCAAATATCAGCTCCCATTTTTGGAGATTCTACAAGCAAGTTTGCAAATTAAAGGCTCTGAGAAGTCCTGCAGGAAAGAAAACTATACTCATTTATTTAACACATCTGATCAAGGAAATATTTCTAGGGGAGGAAACTCACTGACCTATAAATGCATCATAAACATCCCTACACATCTTGAATTCTTTGTTCAACAAATATCTATTGAGAACCTACTATGTGCCAGGCACAGTTTCAAGGACTGAGAATGTGGTGGTGGAAAAGATAGTTGTGATTCCTGCACCTCAAAAAGTCTACATTTGAGTAAGTGGAGATAGGTAATTAACAAGCTAATAAGTAAACAAGAATAACAACACCTGAAATCCGCTCTTTCAGTGTTTGCCTCAAAGTTCCCTTCATTCAAACCTTTCCAGCCCCCTCCAGTCAAGAGTGATGTCTCCTTCTTTGAGCTCCTACAAATTTATGGTCTGCACCATTCAGGAGGTAATAAATTGCACTCTGCCTGTGACAGCTCCCAAATAATTATGTTGAACTTTCATAATCTCTTGGATTGATAAAGTTCCAGGCTTTATGTCTTGTTTTCTCAGCCACATTGCATGTTCCTTGGAGGAAGGAAAGGAGTCTGTTTCTCTCCCCTCTTGACTCCAATTGTGTAAAGCCCAAAGTATGGCATTTCCTTGGGCCGCTCTGGGTGGATTATAATGAGTCTAGATGTCATGTATGGCCCTGTCCAGGGGCCCCTTGGACCTACCAAAGCAGAACCACAGACGCAGAGCCCAGAAATCAGTGTTTTTGCAAAGCATTCCAGGTGACTCTGATGCACAGCCAAGCTTGAGAACCTCTTAGCCTACAGTATCCACCCCCGCCTCCTAGATCCTGGGATTAAATCCCAGCTCCAACCTCGATAAGTGGGAAATCAAGGTTGGAAAATCAAATGAGGAAGTTATTTAACCCCTCTAAACCTCAATTTCCTCATCTCTAAATTGGGAGTAATAATAGTGACTACCTCAAAGAGTTGGTATGAGGATTAAATGAGATTTTCCTTTGGAAAAGGTTTAGCCCAGGGCCTGGTCCGCAGCTGGGACCCAATCCCTGCTAGATCTCACTAGCATGATTACTTCCATGATCACTAAGAAAACGTAGCATGTCTAATTGCATCTCAATCTGAAGCCTCTGCCCATCTCTCCATCCTCAACTCCTACACCCCTCTCCTCTCCCATCCATTCCAGCCCTGGTGAATTCGTTGCCATCCTTCCAATGAAACCTGCTCATTCCCACTCTGGCTAGCTGACCACAAGCTCCTTCCTCCCAGGCCACATCTAGATGACATTTCCAGCCTCCTTTGCAGTTAGAGTTCTGGCCAATGGAATACGGATGCAGCAAATTAGAGCACTTCTAGACATGGTCAGTAAGAACTCCTGTGCAATCTTACACACCCTCTCCTTTTCCCCTCCCCTTCTCCCCAGTCTACCTTCTGGGTGTCAATATCCAGGGCAACCCTGGTAACTACACATTGAAGATGGTAGAGCATGGGTCCTGGGCTTCCTGAATGACCATGTGGAGCAGACTCCCCACCCCCCGCCTCTAATCCAGAGCATCCATTTTTAGTCTTTACCTAAATTAGAATTAAACTTCTACCATATTCAGCTACTGAGACTTTAAGGTTTATCTTTTACAATAATCAGCATTACCTTAACTAATACATCACCAGAGGGGCTTAGATGTGCTGTTCCCTCTTCCTGGAAATTTCTTCCCTATTCATACCTCTACGCCAAGGTTTCTCAACTTTGACATTGTTAACTTTTGGGTCTGGCTAATTCTTTGTTGATGGGGGTTGCGCTGTCCTGTGTATTGAAGGATGTTAGGCAGCATCCCTGGCTCCTACCCACTAGAAAGGCGAAGTAGCACCCCCACCCCCTTCCCCATTTGTGACAAGCCAACCTACCTCCTGAGACTGCCAAATGTCCACGGGAGCAGAAGAGAGGGGTGCAAAAATCACCCCCAGTTGAGATTCACCAATCGACATAAATGTCAGCTTCTTAGAAAGTATTTTCCTGGCCACTTAAACTAAAATAACCCCCTTGCCTCATCAACATCACTCTCTGTTGCTTTGCCCCACTTGTTTGTGGTTGTCCATAGAAAGTGCCACTCACTGAAATTATATTATGAATCAGTTGACTGGTTTGCTGGCTGTCTCCCCAGCTTGCACGTAAGTCTCACATGAGCAGAGGCCTTGTCCATTTTGTTCTCTGCTGTATCCCTCACGCCCAGCCCAGCATCCAGCTCCTAGCAGGAGCTGAAAAATAAATAATCCAATAAATACTTAATGAATGAGAGGCAAATCAGATGCCAGCAGTGAGAAATGGATGGGGATGGGAGGATTAGAACTCAGGGGATGGACAGTATAATTTGACCCCAATTTACTTAGTGATTCAGAAAGCAGAAAGTGATTCAAGTGACTGAAGAGAGGGTAAAGATGAATTTTGGAGGCTGTGGGCATTTGTGAGGTTCAGTCTCTGCAGCTCTGTCAACAGCAGCTCTCAGCTAGGAGGAAGTAGAGCCCGAATGAGCCTTTGCTGAGGCCCCCAGCCCTCAAGGACTGGCCACCAGTGAGCTGCTAACCAATGGAACCTAACAAACTGATCTCGGTTTGTTTTTTTTGTCTTTTGTTTTGTTTGTTTTGTTTTTTTGTTTTGCCTCACTGCAGTCATATAACAAAGAACCCACATAATTCAGGAACTATCACTCTATTAATCTGCACTCTACAGTATCTCCATCAACTGCCAGTTTAATACGAAAATAAATCCTCTCTCAATTTTATTTTATTTATTTATTTTTGAGACAGGGTGTCGCTCTGTCACCCAGGCTAGAGTGCAGTGGCACCAACATAGCTCATGGTAGCCTTGACTTCCCAAGGTCAAGCAATCTTCCCACCTCAGCCTCCAGAGTAACTAGGACTTACAGGCAGGCATCATCATGCCCAGCTAATTATTTTAATTTCTTGTAGAGATGAGGTCTCACTACGTTGCCCAGACTGGTCTCAAACCCCTGGGCTCAAGAGATTCTCCTGCCTTGGCTTCCCAAAGAGCTGGGATTACAGGCATGAGCCACCACATCCAGCCCTGTCTCAATTTTAAAGGTGATATCCGACTGGCAATTAAATTATCATTTCTTAGCCCTCATCCTAACATTCCAAGCTAATATGCAGAAGAAATGAAGGACAGATGCTGCAGTATGAAGATGGTTAAACTGTTTAACCATCCCAGACCTCCAGCTTGTCTTTGTTTTGTTTTGTTTTGTTTTGGGGGTGGTGGTGTTATTTTTGGTTCCTTTTAGAAAAGGGAAAATAGAAATGAAAAGAGATGAGTAAAGTTAATGAGCTTATAAAAACAAAGCTAAAAATAAATGAAGACATGAGAATGATGATTGTGGGATGAAATAAAATTAAGTTAAATTGAAATTAAAATGTGCTGTGATATCTTTCAAAGAGGATCAGACTTGATAAATTGATGAGTCTTTATCAATTGCATCAAAAGACCCATCAATTGGTTGCTTCCCAACCAATGCCTGGGTCTCGGATGAAACCCTTTTGGTGACTGGTGCTTCAGAAGGCCCGTACTTGGAGGGCAGGCCTGGCAAATAGAAAGTTCTTGCTTTAATGAAGCCCAAACTATGGCCAGGGTGACTTCTGCCCTCCTGGCCCTGCTCTGCCCTCTACACCCACACAACACAGCCTCCTCTGCCCCGTAGAGCCCTTCTCACAGGTGACAATGGGACGTGACTATACCCCTCCCCACTTCTGTTTCAGGAAACTATCTCTAGTTCCTTCAACCATACTAGAAGGGATACAATTTGGGGGAAGGAATAACTTTAGCACAGTGCTTCTCAAAGTGTGGCCCCCTGTCCAGCAGCATCGGCAACACCTGAGGACTTGCTATTAATGCAGATTCCCAGGCCCCGCCCCAGACATATGGAGTCAGAAATTCTGGGCATGAAGCCCAGCGATCTGTGTTTTCACCAGCCCTCTAGGAGATTCTGATCCATGCTCAAGTTTGAGAAGAACTGCTTCCCATTAAGACAGGACTTAGCAGATTAACCTCTCTCTGCCTCCACTTCCCCTCCATAAAATGGGGCAATTAGAAGTACCCACATCACAGAGTAATTGTAAGAAATTAGTGAGATAAGGTATGTGACAGAGTTTACCGGGACTCTGGTAAGCCTGGAGCTTACTGAGGAGGTCAGTGAAAGATAATACCAGTTACTAATGTTATCACTACAATTAGCTAAGGTTTGATAGCTATAAAGAGGACAGCTCTAAATTTGGTCAAGCTCTACTTAGAGTCACCTGCTTAGAAAAGAAGATGTTTTGGAGGTTCTGCAGGGACCTGAGGCAACTCCCAGGCAGCACTTAGAAGTTCACAACCTGCCTGCTGCCTGAACTTAGAAAAAAGTGTGGTTATTCTTGCCTCCTTCAGCAGGCCAGCTGAGAATGCCAAGTGACAGTCTCTGCTGGGGGTTAGACCACTGAGCTTGGGCTCAAGGAGCAGGCAGGATTTTTCTTGGAAAAAAATAAGGTCCCAATGTGAGAAGATTCTTGTTGGCATTCATTTTCACCAACCATCTGCCTTTGAGAGCTCTACAGCTGCCCTGTCCAATAGGGTAGTCACTAGACACATATGGCTACTGGGCACTTGAAACATAGCTAACCAAATTGAGATGGGCTGTAAGTATAAAATACACACAGATTTCTAAGACTTAACACAAAATAAAAGAACTTAAAATGTCTCCGTAAAAATATTTTATATTGATGACATGTTGCAATGATTCTACTTTGGATATACTGGGCTAAAAAAACCATAATGTTAAAATGAATGTCACTGGTTTCTTTTTTACTTTTTTAATGTAGCTACTAGAAAAATGTTAAACTATTTGTGGCTTGCTTTATATTTCTATTAGAGAGTTGATCTAGACAGTTGAGCACACAGGAGAGCCAAGTCCAATTCATTCCAAGCGAAGTCTTCAGCTCCTCTTGAATTTATTACAATGAATTTCAGATAGTAAATGGTCCTGTACTCTCCATTTCCCAGCATCATCATTTGCTAGCTAAGAAGAGTCCCCTCTACAAGGAAAGCTATAAAACACTGAAAAAAGAAACTGAAGAAGACATGAGAAAAATGGAAAGATATCCCATGTTCATAGAATGGAAAAATTAATATTGTTAAAATGTCCACAGTACCCAAAGTGATCTACAGATTCAATGCAATCTCTATTAAAATACCAATAACATTCTTCTCACATAAATAAAAAAAAATCCTAAAATCTGTGTGGAACCACAAAAGACCCCAAATAGCCAAAAAAAAAAAAAAAAATCATCCTGAGCAAAAAGAACAAAGCTGGAGGCATCACACCACCAGCACCAGACTTCAAAATATAATCCAAAACTACAATAACCTAAACAGCATTGTACAGGCATACAAACAGACATCAGACACATAAGCCAATGGAACAGAATAGAGAACTCAGAAATTAATCCACATATCTATAGACAACAGATTTTGACAAAGGTGTCAAAAAAAAACTGGATAGCCACATGCAAAAGAATGAAACCAGACCCCCATCTCTCATTCAGTACAAAAATCAACTCAAAATGGATTAAGGATCTAAATGTAAGACTTTAAACTTAAAACTACTAGAAGTAAACATAGGCAAAAGGCTTCAGAACATTGGTCTGGGAAGGGATTTTATGAATAAGTCCTCATAAATACAGGCAACAAAAGCAAAAAAATAGACAAATGGGATTATATCAAACTAAAAAGCATCTACACAGCAAAAGAATCAATCAACAAATTAAAGAGACAACCTACGGAATGGCAGAAAATATTTGCCAATTATCTATCTTACACGGGACTAATAACCAAAATATTTAAGAAGCTCAAACAACTCATTAGCAAAAAATAATGATAATCTGATTAAAAATGGGCAAAAGACCTAGAATAGACATTGCTCAAAAGAGGACATACATATGGCCAACAGGTATATGAAGAAATGCTCAGCACCACTAATCATCAGGGAAATACAAATTAAAACCACAATAAGATATCATCTCACACCAGTTAGAATGGCTACTATCAGAAAGACAACAAATAACAAATGCAGAGAAAAAGGAACTCATACATTGTTGGTGCGAATGTAAACTAGTACAGCCACTACAGAAAACAGTATGGAAGTTCTTTAGAAAACTACACATAGAATTGCCATATTATCCAGCAATCCCACTACTGAGCATTTATCCAAAGGAAAAGAAACCAGCTTATCAAAGAGATGGCTACACTCTCATGTTTATTGCAGCACTATTCACAATAGCCAAGATATGGATTGACCCAAGTGTCCAAGAAGAGATGAATGGATAAAGGAAATGTGGTATATATATACACAACAGAATACTATTTAGCCACAAAAACAATGAAATCCTGCCATCTGTGGCAACATGGTATAACTGGAGGACATTATATTAAGTGAAATAAGCTAAGAACAAACACTACATGTTCTCACTTATAGGTGGAAGCAAAATAGTTGATCTCATAGAACTAAAAAGTAGATGAGAGGATAACAGGCTGGGAAGGCTAAGGGGAAGAGTGGGATACGGAGAGATTTATTAAGAGATACATTATAGCCAGATGGGAGGAATAAGTTCTAATGTTCTATACCACTGTGGGATGACTACAGTTAACAATAATATATACAGTTAATAATAAATAGCTAGAAGAGAGATTGAATGTTCCCAAGACAAAGAAATGAGAAATGTCTGAGATGATGAATATGGTAATTACCCTAACCTGATCACTATACATTGTATGTATCAAAATCCCATAAATATCTACAATTATTATATGTCAATTAAAAATAAATAAATAAGAGCCTGGAGCATGGGAGGATGGGGGTGGGAGATGTGGTCAATCATCTTGCCATCAGGATAAAAAGGGTGGGGGGCTCTGCCACTTTCACTGTGACAACCCCTCCCAAACACCAAGACCCCTGACAAAGGGCGGAGATTAAATAAACTGCACAATGGGTACCTCAAAATATTCCCAACCAGGTAAAAAGAAGTTCCCTTTGGAGATCTTATCTCCCCAAAATGTTCCAGCGGAACCACATTCCTCCACAGAGGCTCCATTCAGAGAGCACTCGGGAGGCGTCTAGGGGCATGAAGAGTGAACTCTACCTCGGTGCCTTGTGCTAACCACAGCAGGATCCCTAGTTTGAGCAGGATCCCTCAAAGTGTGGGTCCTGAACCATCTGTACTTGAATCACCCAGGTACATGTTTAAGATACAAATTTCCAGGCTCTAGCTCAGACCAGCTGAATAAGTATCTATAGGAGGAAAAATATTTGCTACTCATGTCACAGCAAAAGGCCAATATCCTAATAAGTAAAGAGTTCTTATAAATCAATAAAAAAACAAACAATCCAGTGCCAAAATGATCAAAGGGTGTGGCCAAAGGGCTCACAGAAAGGGAAATACAGATGGCTCTTAAATATATGAACATTCTTAACCTCACTCATAACAACAGAAAGGCTCATTGAAAGGTCAGGAAAGAGCACTCTTAGACCTAGCCACAAAGGTCAGTTTGGCAAGACCATCCAAATGCAAAACACACAAGCCCTTTGACCCAGCAATTACAATTCTATATTTCACACATGTGAAATCATAAGCATAAAAAGATATTGCTGAAGCTGTGTTTGTAACAGCAAAAGATTGCAATCGACCTCAATGCCCATCAATGGGAGACCAGTTGGATCATTACACAATTAGGGATCATTACACAATTAAATACTAGGAAGCCATGAAAAAGATCAAGACCACTCTATATGTCTTGATATGGAACAGTCTCCGTGATACATGTATAAGAAAAAAAAGCAACATGCAGAATAGTGTGTATAGCACTCTACCGTGTACATAATAAAACATTTATAAATATTCATTTATTATTAATGTTACCAAGTACTACTATGTACTAGGCATTTTGCTAGATGCTCAGGATACAGTAGCAAATCAAATAGACAAAATCATTATCTTCACAGAGCTTCTAGACCAAGAATGTGAGTATTAAGTAAACAGTATATATGCTAAAGAGTGCATGAAAAAAAAGTAAGTACTATGAAAAAGTATGGTGGGAAGGGTATAGAAAGTGTGTGTGTGGGGGGCGCAGACGCAGTGGCTCAGGCCTATAATCCCAGCACTTTGGGAGGCAGAGGCAGGTGAATCACAAGGTCAAGAGTTCAAGACCAGCCTGGCCAACATGGTGAAACCCCGTCTCTACTAAATATACAAAAATTAGCCAGGCATGGTGGCATAGGCCTGTAATCCCAGCTACTCGGGAGGCTGAGGCAGGAGAATTGCTTGAACCTGGGAGGCAGAGGTTGCAGTGAGCCAAGATGGTGCCACTTCACTCCAGCCTGGACAACAGAGCAAAACTCTGTCTCAAAAAAAAAAAATAAAGTGTGTGTGTGTGTGTGTGTGTGTGTGTGTGTGTGTGTGTGTGTGTGTGTTGGGGAGGTGAGAAGAGGGCAAGGTTGCAATTGTAAACCAAGAAGTCAGGGAAGGCCACCCCTTGATCTTGGGCAGGAGTTTGTGACTCCTTCAACCAATAAAGAATGGTGGGAATGACATTATATGACTTACCAGGCTAAATTATAAAAATGCCATGCACCTCCTCCAGGTTCTGTTGGATCACACACTGTTGGAGCCCAACCACCATGCTGTGAGGAAGCCCAAGCAGCCACCTGGAGTTCTGCAGACGGCCCCAGCTGAGGCTTTAGCCAGTAACCAGCATCAACCTCCAGCCATGTGAATGGGTGAGCTTTTAGATGATTGCAGCACCCAGCTATCATGGTGCAGAGACAAACTATCCCCTCTGTGTCCTGTCCCAATTGCTGATCCATAGATTCCACAGCATAAGAAAAAGGTTACTGTTTAACACCACAAAGTTTGGAGTGGTTTGTTGCAATAATATTTTACAAGTGTCTGTGACCTGGCTTTGTCTTTTCTTAGTCATCATAGAACCCTAGGAAGGCCATGATGGCTGAGGGCACAGACCCTGGACCCTAGCAGGTACAAATCTTCATCATACTAATTAATTTCCACATCACTTTCCTCTAGAAACCCGTGTCATCCTTAAGGGCATGGTCATCCTTGGATCCTCAGTGCACAGCACAGAAACTGACCCAGGCTAACAGCTGCGTCCACTGAGTGTTTACTAGAAGGCAGGGCATTATTTTGGTTAATTCACACAACCATCCTGTGGCAAAGAACGATCATCACCCCCATTTTGCAGATAAGGCAACAAGGCTTCCAGAACTAAAGTGGGTCTGCCCATAGTTCATTAGCTCATAAGTGGCAAAGAGCTGAAATTCCAACCCAGTGCTGTTTGGATGGATTCCCATGTGATTCCATTACACAAGGCAGCACATCCATCTGGCTGTTCATCTTTCCATTGGCTTCTTCTTTCCATTTGGCTTTCCAAGGAAACCAATGGAAAGATGAACAGCTGGATGGCTGCATTTCTGTTTGCAATGACCAGGCCAGGGGAGGGGAATATCCTTTTGCCAAATCTTTCCAGAAATCCCAGAACACAGTTTTCAATCAACTTCAACTCTTATTCATGAAAAAGTTTCAATAAGCCATTTAAGGACTGTTACAGCCTTTCCGTGAAGGTCTGTCTTCCTCCGGAAAATAAAGTTTGCTGACAAAGAGCAGTCCCTTAAGACCTACTGTCTATTTGCATCTGAATTTCAAAACCATTCTAGCAAAACTTCATTAGACTCTGAGTGTGTCATAAGAGATAATGATTTGTTCTCTCTCTCTTTCTCTCTCTCTCAATAACCGCCCCCCACCCACACCGATGTTCCCAAGTAAAAACAGCACGGGAAATTAGACGGCTCTAATTAATGACTCAATAAATAAAGAGAAAAGGAAAAGGTTGGCAGGACACTTACTCCAGATCACACATTTCGGCTGGTAACAAGTTACCTTCCCACAGCCAGCTCACCCCTCTTTAAAGAAAGGACCCTGCTCCAGGATCTGACCTCATGATAATATTACCTGATAATACTATTTATATATACTAATAATATAATATTATTAACTCTTGCTATCAATGGCCCCAATCCCTGTCCCCATATTTGTGTGCCAACATTGATTAAAAACATGCTATACACAAGACCTGAATTATACCTCAGGAGGCTATGACAATGGATAAAGAGAGATTCCTTTTCCCCACAGGGGCTGGGATCTCCTCCATCCAAATCCCTTTCTTCAAGATGTTCCAGGCTGGGCGCGGTGGCTCACACCTGTAATCCCAGCACTTTGGGAGGCCGAGGCAGGTGGATCACTTGAGGTCAGGAGTTCAAGACAAGGCGGGCCAACACAGTAAAACCCCGTCTACACTAAAAATACAAAAATTAGCCAGGCGTGGTGGTGCATGCCTGTAATCCCAGCTACTTGGGAGACTGAGGCAGGAGAATCACTTGAACCCAGGAGACAGAGGTTGCAGTGAGCCAAGATCACACCACTCCACTCCAGTCTGGGTAACAGAGCGAGACTCTGTTTCAAAAAAATAAAAAAAAAAAAGTTCCAATGGTTTATCCAATATGTCCCTCAAATCAGAGGTAGAGAGTAGAATAGGGATCAATGGGCAATCTCTGGGGTCACACTGCTAGGGCCAAATCCTAATGTCACCATTTGGCCCTTGGAAGATTTCCTACCCCACTGATCACCGATCCTTAATCCCCTCACCTGGGAAATGGGAACCTTAGCAGAGACAGTATGTGCTCAGAGGCTACAACCAAGGACTCTGAGGGTTTGTGTGGCCTAGGGCACGTTGTGTGCCCTAGGGCACATGGCTTAACCTCTCTCCCTCAACTTCCTCATCTGTAAAGTGAGAAGAATAAAAATGGCAAGGTTGCTATGAGAAAGAAGGGAGCTAAGAGACACAAACGACTCACAGCACAGCCTATGGGTAAAAGGTTGGCTCAGAGGTTTGAGCTCATATTGTGGCTGGGAGAACGCAGTGAATGAGCCCATAGCAAGTGCTTAGTGCAGGGCATGCCACCTGAGAAGCATGTGATAAATGTTCATGGGTGGCAGTGTTTTCATTGTGGTTATTGTCGTTTCTAAGCCAGCCTTTGATCCTGCTGAAAACGTTCTGTGGCTAGAGGAGGAGGAACGCCTGCTGTCATTGGCTGCATGATTAGGCAAATGTCCTTGGAGACAGGGATCTTAGTGTTCCCCAGCTGCAGGTGCAAGGATGACAAAAGAGCAGGCAGGAGATGAAGAATCTGAAAATCCTGCCCAATGGAGACGTGGCCAAAGCAACTCATAATGTTTAGACCAGGGAAGAGAAAATGACAAAGAGACATAAAAGGCTATCATGAAGCATGACATGGAGGCCTTTGCTGACCAGGGCAGCCCCCAAAACACCAGCTCCCCACCACAAGTTTTTATAGCTCTTATACCCCTTTTTTCCAGAGCATTGCTCACCCTGGGGTTCAGTCATGATTTACATCATTAGTTGTTCAATGTCCATCCCCACCAAGAAACCATGAGCTCTATGAGATCAGGGGCTAGGTCTGTACCGCCCCCTCACTGTGGCCAAAATATGTAGCATCAGGCTCAGGGGAATAAGGCCAGTTTGAGCTCATTCAAGGATTGACCACCCAGAACAAGCTAGCTGTGGAAGGGGACTGAGTTATTTGGGAGGAAGTTCCCCGTCACTGCAGGTGTACACCAGCTAGGTATCTACACACCCAGCAGAGTTTAGTTGCATTCTTTCATCCAGCAAACATCTACTACGGCATCTTCTAAGTGAGGGCATGCCCTAGAGGGCGTCGTAGGTGCCTCAGGGATCCAGAGTTGCTGAGAGCCTCCTAGACCTGGTGAGGTTATTTCAACACACAGAACAAGGATGCTGGAGGGCACAGTGGGGGTAAAAGCCATGTTCACTCTTTTGATTTATGGTGATGGTTTCCTGGGTATCTACATATGTCAAAGCTCATCAAATTGCATACTATAAATCTGGGCAGCTGATTAAATGTTGATTATATCTCAGTTAAGCTGTCAAAAAAAATCTCACGTTCAAAAGAAGTGGAATGAGAATAGGTAATACAAAAATATTCAGAGTAGTAGTGTCAATAATAGCAAAAATAATCACTCGTTCAAAAAACAATAGCAAAAAGAAAAACCAAAAAGCATAATATAACCAAAACCCAATACTTATGCAAATTCCCCCTGTTCACAGGAAGGAAACAGGGTATAGCTATTAAGCGTGATATTTTCAAAAATTAATGACATGGCCCTCCAAAAAAAAAGAAGGGAAGGAGAAAGGGCATCAGATAATCAATATAATTTGATACCATTTCTGCTTTGTTAAAAATGCATAGGAAAAAAGCCTAAAAGGTTTTATAATTAAAATGTAATCCCTTTACTTGGGTAATTTTGAAAGCATTTTTAAATATTGAAAAGACTCACCGGAAAATGCGAATATGAGCAAGATTATGGGTGATTTGGTTTTCTTTTTTTACATATTTCTTCATTTTTCAAAATTTTCACAAACAAAAACCATTTTAATATCAAAAAGAGAAATGTTACTTTAAAACAATAACTAGAAGACAGCTAAGGGTTCCCCCCTACCCAGCTCTATGAGAGGGAGAAATCAGAGGAGCGTTAAAGTCTAGGTGACCTTGGACCCCCTGAAGATTACCTCCCTGCGATCTCTTCTAAACTCCAGATAAAGGTTTGGGGGCACTGAGGTTATTGACAGGAGGCGGGGGATGTTCTGCCTAACGCAGATGCTGATTGGATTAGGGTCTGGTTCTGTTTTCCTCTAAGTAGATTATGCTTTTCTTGAACTTGCTCCAGTGGGTCCCGGAAATTCAGCCCAGGACAGACCTGCGGATCGTTTTCAGAGCTCACTGGAATATGTTTAAGCATGTAATAAATACATTTAAGCCTAATCGGATAAATCACTAAATCAGATCGTTGTCTTGCAATTTGAAAACCAGGCTCTGGCTCCAGACCCTGGGGAAGGAGGAAAAGGAAGAAATAGGAAGACTTCGGGCAGGTGCCGAGGTCATCTTCCGACCCAACACCACCCAACATCACCCAACAACAAAGACAAAGAACCTCCCTCCTTCCCCTACAACCCAGAGGTTCATCAACTTACAATGACCTCAGATATGCCATAAAACCTGGCAGCAGTCAGAGTCAGTGTGAAAAAAAAAAAATCCAGGTGCTACCAGCAATTCAGGACCTTTCAAAAGACACCAGTATTAGAAGCCTACATGTGGTCCATCTGCTCTACTCCCTGTCTCAAAGCAAGAGAACTTTCAAGTTCTCAGGCAAGACCTCCGAAAGAGCCATGTTACTGAGTCTCTGTTTCTGAGGTTTTGTTACATTAAGGCCCTAAAGAGTCAAGGTTAAGGGGTAAAAACTTGAGAACCAGACAGGTCTAGGTTCAGATCCTCTGCCACTCCTTCTCTGTGAGACTCTGGGCAAATGACAGCCTATCTGAGCCTCAGTTTCTGCATCTGTAAAATAGACACAGTCATAGCACCTAGTTCATAATGCTGTTGGGAGGATTAAATGAGATAATGCCTATAAGACACTTAGCACAATGCCTGGCATAGAATGATTAATCCATGTTAGATACTATTATCGTCTGAATTATTTTTAATAGAACTTCCCACCTAGTATAGTTGATCCTAGAACAACACAGGTTTTAACTGCATGGGTCTACTTATATGTGGATTTTCTTCTGACTCTGCCACCACTGAGATGGCTAAACCAACCCCTCCTCTTCCTCCTCCTCTTCAACCTACTGAGCATGAGGATGAAGACCTTTATGATGATCTACTTCCACTTAATGAACAGTAAATATATTTTCTCTTCCTTATGATTTTCTTAATAACATTTTCTTTTCTCTACCGTACTTTATTGTAGGAATACGTATATTCATAACATACAAAATATGTGTTAACTGACTTCATATTATCAGTAAGGCTTCCAGTCAATGGTAGGCCATTAGTAAAGTTTTGGGGGAAATCAAAGGTTATATGTGGATTTTCAACTGTGTGAGGAGTTGGTGTTCCTAACCCCTGTGTTGTTCAAAGGCCAACTGTACTTTTTATGTGGACATATAATATCTTTATGAGATCTAAGCTGCCTGATAACATTTCATTTTATTTTAACAAATATGAATTGGAAGCCAGGCTCTGGGAGAGACAATAGGGACATAGCGCTGAACAAAAGAACATGGTCTTTGGTCTCAAGGAGTCTGAAGTATTATTGTCAGAGGCGTTTGACCTAGAGCAACTCCATCTTGAACAGAAGTTGGGTAAAATGAGGCTGAAACCTACTGGGCTGCATTCCCAGACACAGGCATTCTAAGTCACAGGATGGGATGGGAGGTTGGCAAGAAATACGGCTCATAAAGATCTTCCTGATAAAACAGGTTGCAGTAAAGAAGCCGGCTAAAACTCACCAAAACCAAGATAGCAATGAGAGTGACCTCTGGTCGTCCTCACTGCTACACTCCCATTAGCTCCATCACAGTTTACAAATGCCATGGCAACATCAGAAAGTTACCCTATATGATCTAAAAAGGGGAGGCATGAATAATCCACCCCTTGTTTAGCATATCATCAAGAAATAACCATAAAAATGGGCAACCAGCAGCCCTTGGGGCTGCTCTGTCTATGGAGTAGCCATTCTTTTATTTCTCTACTTTCTTAATAAACTTCCTTTCACTTTACTCTACGGACTCGCCCTGAATTCTTTCTTGCACGAGATGCGTGAACCCTCTCTTGGGGTCTGGACCCAGACCCCTTTCCTGTAACATTATGACACAGATGTTAAATAAACACACAAATAAATGCAGATGCTCCTCAGCCTACAAAGGGGTTACGTCCAGAAAAACAAATCATAAGTTGAAAATACCCTAAGTTAAAAGTGCATTTAATACAGCCAACCTACCACACATCATAGCTCAACCTAGCCTACCTTAAATGTGCTCAGAACACTTTCCATTGACTGGAAGCCTTACTGATAATATGAAGTCAGTTAACACATATTTTATATGTTATGAATATATGTATTCCTACAATAAAGTAAGGTAGAGAAAAGAAAATACATGAGATATTCAACACTTGACTATACAATGGGGTTTGTGTTAAATGATTTGGCTCAGGATCATGAGAGAGTAGTACCATGCTGCATATTGCTAGCCCGGGAAAAGATCAAGATTCACAATTTCAAGGACATTGTCTCCTGGATGTGTATTGCCTTCACACCATCATGAAGTAGAAAAATCCTAAGTTGACAGTCAGGGACCGTCTGTGTGTGATTAAAAACTGGGACATGTACTACCAAGAAAAAGAAAAGGGTTATCCCAAGAGAAAACAGAGAAGTGCTATTTTGGGCCAGGGGACAGAAAGGCTTTCCAAAGAAAAATACATTTAAGCCAGAATATGAACGTCCAATCAGAATCAGCTAGGGAAAAAGAAAAGAATGTTCCAGACAGAGGCTACAATATATGCAAAGGTCCTGAAGTGAGAATGGCATTCAAGGAACTCAAAAAAAAAAAAAGTGTGGCTGGAGGGTGTGGAGTAAGAGAGAAAATAGAAGGAAACGTGGCTGCCGAGGTAGGAAGGAGTGGACTGGGTCTTGTAGATGGAGGGTCTCCAGCAAGAGTCACACGATTTGCTTTGGGATTTTAAGAGATGAATCTGGTTCCAAGTCCAGAAGACACTGAAGGGGAGCAAGAATGGATGCAAGGAGGCCAGACAGGAGGCTGCTACAGTCATCCAGGCAAAAGCTTGGGGTGGTAGTCATGAGAACTAGGCAGATTTGAGATACAATTTGAAGACAAAATGAACGTGAGTTGAGTGCATATAGCATTTGAGGAGTGAGGGTCGGGCTGGAATCAGGAGGCTCCCAGAGTTCCAACTTAAACATCTAGAGAGATGGTGCTACCATTTACTAAGAAGAAAAAAACATCAGGTGGAAGGGCAACTGCAGGGAAAAGAGGAGCAGTTCAGTTTTAGGCATGATGCTAAGTTAAAGGTGCAGGTGATACAGCTAATGAGTGGACAAAGAGGTAGGAGGAAGACCAGGAGAGTGTGCTTTCTTGGAAACCAAGAGAAGATATCATTTCCAAAAGGGAGAAGTGGTCAGTGGTCTCCTTGCACATACTGATAGGAGATCAAGTAAGAGAAGAGAGATGTCTCTCTGATTCACCTTGATATCCAAAAGTGCCTGACATATAATTAGGACAGCCACTCTGGAGAAGAGTATGGAGTTTCCCCAAGAAACTAAAAATAAAATCACCATCTGATCTAGCAATTCCACTGCTGGGTATACACCCAAAAGAAAGGAAGTCAGTATATCAAAGGGCTGCCTGCAACCCCAGGTTTATTGCAACATGATTCACAGTAGCCAAAATATGGACACAACCTAAGTACCCATCAATGGATGAATAGGTAAAGAAAATGTGGTATATATACACAATGGAATATTATTCAGCCATAAAAAGGAATGAAATCCTGTCATCTGCAGCAACACGGATGGAACTGGAGGTCATTTTGTTCAGTGAAATAGGCCAAGCACAGAAAGACAAACATCACATATTCTTACTCCTATGAAACAGCTAAAAAAGTGGGTCTCATGAAGATAGAGAGTAGACTGGTGGTTGCCAGAGGCTAGGAAGGGGCAGGGGGAGGGGGAGGGGGTATGACGACAAGTTGGATTAATGGGTACAAATATTCGATTTGATAGAAAAAAATAAGACCTAGTATTCAACAGATCAGTAGTGTGACTATAGGTTACAAGAATCTATCATACATTTCAAAATAGCAACAAGAGAATAATTCAAATGTTTCTAGCATAAAGAAAAGACAAATATTTAAGGTGATGGATATTCCTACACTTTTTGATCTTTACAAATTATATGAATGTATTAAATTGTCACATGTACCCTGAAATTATGTACACTTATTATGCATTAATAAAAAATTATTTTAAAAAAATTTTAGGCCGGGCGCGGTGGCTCATACCTGTAATCCCAGCACTTTGGGAGGCCGAGGCGGGCGGATCACGAGGTCAGGAGATCGAGACCATCCTGGCTAACACAGTGAAACCCTGTCTCCACTAAAAATACAAAAACATTAGCTGGGTGTGGTGGCAGGCGCCTGTAGTCCCAGCTACTCGGGAGGCTGAGGCAGGAGAATGGCATGAACCCGGGAGGCGGCGCTTGCAGTGAGCCAAGATCACGCCACTGCACTTCAGCCTGGGCGACAGAGCGAGACTCTATCTCAAAAAAAAAAAAAAAAAAAAATTAAACAAAGTACCTGACAAAGCTGGGAGCAGTGGCTCATGGCTGTAATCCTAGCACTTTGGGAGGCTGAGGTGGGTGGATCACTTGAGGTCAGGAGTCTGAGACCAGCCTGGCCAACATAGCGAAACCCTGTCTCTAGTAAAAATACAAAAAAATTAGCCAGGCATAGTGGCACACACCTGTAGTCCCAGCTACTCAGGAGACTGGACAGGAGAACCGCTTAAACCCCAGGAGGTGGAGGCTGTAGTGAGCCAACATTGCGCCACTGCACTCCAGCCTGGGTGACAGCAAGACTCCATCTCAAAACGAAACAAAACAAAGTGCCTGACACATATTAGGTTGTCAATGGATGATTGATGGGTACACAGATGGACATAAGATGGGTGCATGGATCATATGTGTGGGTCCGTGGATGGGTGTGTGCATGGAAGATTGGTAGGTACGCGGATGGATGGATGGAGGGATGCATGGTTGGGGGCATGGCTGGGTAAATGTGTGCAGGGATGGATAGGTGCATGGGTCGGGGCATAAATGTAGTGGTTCCAGCCATGGAGAACTCTGGTTAGTTTTCCAAGCAAAAAATACTTTCCTTCTTCATGTAACCATTCCCTCTGTCTTGAGCACTCTTTCTGCCATCCCTTCTCTCCTTTGCAGTCTTCAGATCTCAGTTCAATATTACTTTGTCAGGAAGACCTTCCCTAACTACCCTAGCTAGCTAACATGGCTCCCTCACTATTTTCTTCACAGTATTTGTCAGATTCTCAAATCATCTCATTGTTTCGCTGAATGGTTTATTGTCTGTCTCCCTTGTTAGATGGTTCAGTCCACAAAGGCAGGAGCTTTGCTCATCATTTCTAAATCTCTAGCACTCAGCAGAGTGCCTGGGATATAGAAGGGGCTCAGTGTCTATATATTAGATGGAGGAATGGACAGATGGAAGAATGGATAGATGGATGGATGGGTAGGTGGATAAATGGGTGGGTGGGTTGATGGACGGACAGATGCATGCATGCATGCATAGATGCGTGGATGGGTGGATGGGTGGATGGGTGGGTGGGTAGACGGGTGAACAGGTGGGTGGATGGGTGGGTGGGTAGGTGGGTGAACAGGTGGGTGGATGGGTGGGTGGATGGATGGATGCATGGAGGGATGGATGGATGGATGGATGAATGGATGGATAAATGCATGAATGGGTGGGTGTATGGATGGAAGGAAGGAAAGAGCAAAGGGGAGATGGATAGAAACAGAAGAGAATGAGATGGAGGAAGAATGAATGAATGAATGAATGAATTCACCCCACTTCCTTCTGATCCATGTTCAGGAAAATTACCACCTTGACCTCTCTGGATCCACCTCTGCTCAGCCACCATCTGTCAAAGCCTACAAAGGCTTGCAAAGAAGATGTACACCCTCCCAGGTGCTAAAGGACTTAAATTCTCTCTTTGCAAAGCCCACAGCAGTCCTGCTGTGCAGCCTCAGCCAGAGCTGTGGCAACGTCCTGTTCCTGGGGGTTGACGTTAGCTGTTCCTGTTATACTGTCTTTGATAAGCAAGGCAGGGTCAGGCTACTGGGCACTGGGAAGGAGGAAAAAAAGATCTTTTTGAAGACTAAGGGGAAAAAACACACTAATAGGAGAACAAACAAAAAAAAACCATTTAAAATACACTGCTTCTTAGAGAGAGGGTCAAGCTTCCACTCTCAAAATATTCAGAGAATGACAAGCAAGAGACACATGAAGTGTGAAGGGTGACCTCTGTGAAGCACTGCCTGACATTAGCAGATGCAGGTATTAGCATTTAGCAAGATCTTTTTAAAAATATACACACATGCACACACACACACACACACACACGCCGAGAGAGACAGAACTGATTCAAGGATGAGGGCTCCGGTTTTCCTGCACTTTTTGTTTCAACATCATGGACAGCTGGGCGCAGTGGCTCATGCCTGTAATCCCAGCAATTTGGGAGGCCAAGGTGGGCAGATCGCTTTGAGCTCAGGAGTTCAAGACCAGCCTGGGTAACATG
Organism: Homo sapiens; assembly: GCF_000001405.40. NCBI lineage: Eukaryota > Metazoa > Chordata > Mammalia > Primates > Hominidae > Homo > Homo sapiens. The sequence goes on from NC_000012.12 coordinate 117,826,905, forward strand.
GTGAACCCCATCTCTACAAAAAATACAAAAAAATTAGCCGGGCATAGAGGCACGTGCCTGTAGTCTCAGCTAGTGAGCTGAGATCACACCACCACACTCCAGCCTGGCCGACACAGTGAGACCCTGTCTCAAAAAAAAAAAAAAAAAAGGCATAATCATCGTGGGCAGTAGCTCTCTTTTATAGATGTGTTCTTGGGATTTCTGAGCTCTGCTCCTGACTTCAAAAAGCCATGGTAAAAACTGAAGAGGAGGAGGAAAAAGAGAATGAAGTCTGCCTTTTTGAAAGGAAAAAAGAAGGTGTACCTGCTCCTGGAAGTCTGAGGAAGAAAGACTGGACTTGGGTGATCTTCTGAGACATTAAACCAAATGCAGCCAGATCCCCTTTGCAGCTGCAGGGCTTTCCTCTCCCTTCCCATCTATAAGCTGAGCCTCCACCTGGTAAACATGTCCTGCCTCTAAAATCACTTATCTACACAGGGCTGGGATGGAAGTTAAGATCTCAGGCACTGGCGTCAAACAACCTGGCTCCAAGACTTACTCACTGTGTGCTCTTGGCTGTGACTTAACTCTAAGCTTCAGTTTTCTTATCCATTCAATCAGGATAATAATAATTACCATATAAAGTCATTGTGAGGAATAAATTAGACAACCCATGCAAAGTATCTGGCACAGATCAAATAATTGATCAATGTCAACTTGGTTTCAAATAGTTGATCAATGATGTTGGCTGCTGCTATTGATATTGTGGATAATTTATTTAGCACTTACAATGTATAACACAATAGGTAAGTGTTAAATATTGGGCACTTTGATAGGTCAGTGTCCTATAACTTATTAAATTCTATGAGGTTTAGACTCATTAAACCCTATGAGGTAGTAGTAGTATCCTCATGTCATAGAAGGTGATGAAAGCACAGAGAGGTTAAGTAACTTGCACAAGGTCACACAGCTAGTAGGCAGCAAAGCTGGTTCTCAATCCTCAGCCAACTAATTCCAGAGTCTGCGCTCATCACTCTGGCATTATTCTTATGTATGACCCTTCCACAATTCAGCTTTTTAAATCCCCACCCAAACCATTATCTCATATTATCTTCCCTATCTCCTGGGGAGAAAAAATGTAGCAGGGACTCACATCATTTCTATTTCACAGACTCGAACACCAAGGAGCAGAGCAGCCCAGGGCTCTGGCTACTTCTTGTATTGATTCCAGGGCCATCACCAAACTCCATGAGGATGGGACAATGTGCTACTTGTTCACCGCTGCGTCCCCAGGGCCTACCCAGTGTCCGGTATGCAGTAACACTTGGGAAGTGTCACCTCAATACCAACTCTTCCCTGAAACGATACATCCCACAGCCTGCTTCATAATCACTTGTTTCAACCTATGATTAGCAAAAACAGAAAGCCACAGTCAAGTTCAGGTAGAATCCTGGTGTTATGTAATATCCAGAACACGGCAGCACGTAAAAGCCCTCAACATCCTTTGCAACGTGCTATCCTGAATAGTAAACCATTAGTAGCCATACAAATGGCTACCAAACCATTTTTATTGAGTGCTTACTGTATATCAAGTATTTGCTTTATGTATTATAACTCATTACATACTTAACATAATCCTAAGAAGTGTGTGTTATAATGATCCCCATTCCCAGATAAGGAAGCACAGATCACTAAGCCCTTTTATGAAAGCAAATGTACAAACCCCGGACCTGCCCTTGCGGCCAGGCTGTCCTGAGTTACAAGGGTGGACAGCACCCAAGGCCGACTGGTCTGTATCTTGTTAATTCGGGGGCCCCTCAGCCCTGGCCCTAGGCTTCCAGAAGGCATCCAGTATCCATACCACCTGGATGTCCCTCTGAAACTTTCCGAGACCCTCTGTGGGATGCACCAGACTCTAGGTCCTTGTCCCTTAGCTAGCCTCCCAACTGCCATCTGTGTCCCACTGTGAAAACAAGAACCATGCCTTGGAGAAGTCTAGTGCTCACATTCCCATTGGCCTCAGAAGGTGGGGAGTCAATTCCAAAAGGATGACATGGTTCTGAAGAGTCTGGGACAGCCAACTGGGTCCAGGTCGGCCAGCTTCAAAGCTACCTGTGGATGGGGTGACCTTGGGGTAACTCCAGTATGATGAACTCAGTCAACCACACACCACCCCTTAAGTTGCTCCTTGAAGCTAATCACCATGGAAGATGAAGACATAAGAGTCACCATTCCTGTCCTTAGAATCCTTCCCATATAACCTCTCACCTCCCTCCCCAGTCTCATCTCCTCTTTTCATCTCCCTAATCCTCTTCCAGGCTGACTTCCAACTCACGCTTTATCACAACTATGTGCCTCACTACAGGTTTTTCCGTATGCCTGAGCAGACATGTTCCCCCAACCAATTGGTAACTTTCTGGTTTTATACCCAACTCAAATATCTCCTTCACTCTAAAGGCTTCCCTAACCTTCTCCTATGCTCAGCCTCCAAAACACTGCTTGTTTTACCCTCTGTGCCACCACTGCAGCTGACAGAGTTCTCTGTATCTTATTGCATCATGACAATACCTTAAAGACAAGAAGTACATGTGCTCATCTCTAAATCTCTTGTACCTAACATGGGGCTTGGCACAAAGAAAGGGTTCCCAAAACACTTGATGAATGAATAAGTACATGGGCCTACTTGTTTACAAGCACTCACATCAGAAACTGATGAAAAACAACAGAGGGCTACAGTCAAGGCCTAGGACAGAGGTCTACAAACATTTTCTATAAAGGACTGGACAGTAAAGATGTTGACTTCATGGACCACACGGTCTCTGTTGCAACTAATCAATTCAACCATTGTGGTACAAAGGCAGCTACAGACAATGCATACATGATTAGATGTGACTGTGTACCAGTAAAACTTTAACTAGGCAGCCCACTCTAGTTCACTGGCTCCTGGATTAGACTATTCAACACATTTCAAAGTGGCATAAAGCAGACAGGCTCATGCTTAGCAAGTCTTCCTCTATTTTCCTCTAAAGATAGCTGGCCAGCATTATCCTAAGTGAACTAACACAGCAACAGAAAATCAAATATTGCATGTTCTCACTTATAAGTAGAGTGCAGTGGCTCACGTCTGTAATCCCAGCACTCTGGGAGGCCAAGATGGGTGGATCATTTGAGGTCAGGAGTTCGAGACCAGCTTGGCCAACGTGGTGAAACCCCGCCTCTACTAAAAATACAAAAATTAGCCAGGCATGGTGGTGCATGCCTGTAATCCCAGCTACTCGGGAGGCTGGGGCAGGAGAAGAGCTTGCACCTAGGAGGCAGAGGTTGCAGTGAGCGAAGATCAAGCCATTGCTACTCCAGCCCGGGAAACAGAGTGAGATTCCATCTCAAAAATAAAAAAAAAAAAGTAGGAACTAAACATTGGGTATACATGGTCATAAAGATGGGAACAAAAGGCACAGGGGACTCCTAGAAGGGGGAGGGAAGGGGACAAGCTCTGAAAAACAAACTATTAAGCGCTACGCTCACTACCTGGGTGATGGGATTATCCATATCCCAAACCTCAGTGTCATACAATATACCAATGTAACAAACCTGCACATGTACCCTCGAATCAAAAAATAAAAGTTGAAATTATTAAAAATTAAATTAAATTAAAAGAATAGCCAGCCAGGCTAGAATAGAAAAGGAACACTGAAAAGGAGAGAGAGAAAGAATATACCATCTCCTAAGAAAGCCTGCGTCATTTCCAGATGATTAAAAAGATTTTCTCAGAATTCTATCAGACCTCAAGCCTCAAGCCCTTGAGGCAGACGTGGGGAGAAACAAATTTAAGCTATGAGTTAGCAACCGATTCCTCTAAAAAGACAGCTGCAACTTTGACCACAAACCGGAGATCAGAGAAGACATGATACTGTTTGGGTTTTATGATGATTTTTACTATTATTCTTACTAATACTGTCATTTCTATTGATAAAGTCTGCCTACTGATAAAATTCTGCCTCATTTTCCTTGAGAAAGAAGGAAAACAGATGAGAAAATTAGCTCAAAGGAAAAACCAAACTCCAAGGAAATTTAATTAAATAAATAGATTTCTTGGCTGTGAGAGAAAAGAGATGTGACATGTCCCCAGATCCAACTTCCTCCATGTTCCTGTCTCCTGGGGAACCGGCAGAGCATGAAAAATCCAAATACCTCCCCCAGAGCAAGAAACGCTGATATTATTATCAATATGCCCTTGCCGCTTTAAATCATGTCTGTTCGGGCAGAACTTGCTTCATTTCACTCTTTCTTTCTCTTTCCCAATAAATCCACTTGGAAAGGAAGTTTGGATTATTTTTTAGCTCTTTCTTTTTCCATCCTGGTTCTTAACTGATGCTATCTCTCCAACAGCTTTGAGCAATTTCTTTCCCTCGAGGAGAAGTTTCCCGCTTGTTCCATGTGGGCAGAAATCTCCAACCTGGCCCACCTTGCAAGAAGCAGGGGCAGGACAGCCCAGGGCACCTCTTCTTTGCCTCTTTGAGACCTGAACCACGTTGCTTGGCAGCTGCCCTTCTTTCTTCTTCTATAAATTGGGGGCAGGAACGCCAGGCACTTAATTCACACAGGAGACAGCTTGGGAAAATGAAGTCAAGTTGAAAGCAAGGGGGAGAAAAATCCTTGCAAGACTGCTGGAAGGATTAAATGAAATCATATAGCGAAGACACCTACTAGTAACAATAGTTATTACCCAATAATAATAACAGCAAGGTATTGGTTATCAGGCACCCACAGCAACTCCATGCAAGACATTGGACTTTGTATATTTGATTTCACTTAATCCTCAAAACAACCCAAGAGGTAGGGACAGTTATTATCTGAATTTCCACACATGGAAGTGATGGCTCAGGTGAATTCACTTGCCAAAGGCCACACAGCCAAGTACCCCACACAATCCAAGAACACAGGAGGTACTTAATAAATGCTGGTTAAAGCTGAATGCATAGGTCAATTGCCCACTAAGATGTCATCATCCCTTGACTGCCATAACCTTTAGGAACAGCTAACTTGGTTCTATTTTCAAGGGAGCACCATTTAAGATACTTGAGGGTGGTTTTTTCACCTCCTATAAAACTTGTACTGTGGCCGGGTGCAGTGGCTCATGCCTGTAATCCCAGCATTTTGGGAGGCCGAGGCGGGCAGATTACCTGAGGTCAGGAGTTTGAGACTATCCTGGCCAACATGGTGAAACCCCGTCTCTACTAAAAATACAAAAATTAGCTGGGTGTGGTGACGTGCACTGTAATCCTAGCTACTGGGGAGGGTGAGGCAGGAGAATCACTTGAATCCAGGAGGCGGAGTTTGCAGTGAGCCAAGATCATGCCATTGCACTCCAGCCTGGGAGACAAGAGCAAAACTCCATCTCAAAAACAAAACAAAACAAAACAAATCTTGTACCGTGTCCGCATCCACATGTTTTAGGGGAGGAAACCAGAGCTACAAGGCAATTTATTTCAACAGAGAAATTCCCCCCTCTTCTTTGCTAATGGCTACAGATAAAGCTACAGACCCAGCGTCATCAACAAAAGTAGCAATTGACATTTGTTGAGCACAGAGAATGCAGCAGGGCTGAGCTGCAAGCTTTTATCTGCATCACCTCACTGCGTCCTCAATGCCACCATCTAAGGAAGATGCAGGTATTGTTGCAGTGTTCCTGTTACAGAGAGCCACGGAGGTCAGGCCAGTAGCTGCCTGATGTCACAGAGCAAGCTGGAGGCAGGATGGCATCAGCATTCCAATCTGCCCTTTCCAGAGCCCTAGAGAGCAGGGTGCTCCTTCAGACCCCAGGCCTTGTCTCTAGCCCTTCCTAAGTCATCTCACTTCTCCCTACTTCTCACCTTCTGCCTTGGGTCCAACCTACTCCTAGGCTATGAAGCCATCCACCAGCCTTACCTAGGCACAGGCCAATGCACTGCTGCCTGGGACAACAGGTCACTGCAGGTGATGGGTTTACGTCCCTTGAAAATCAGTCTGAACTCTTGAAGTCCACGGGCTTTCAGACAGACCCAGGAGAGACCAGTGGCATGACCCTGGCCAAGTGGCTTCTGCACAGCACGTGGGCTCCCAACAAATACCCTGCCTTCCTTTTGCTCTTTCAGAGCCTTCGTGGGGCGGGGGGTGGTGGAGGCGGGAAGGTGGGGCGGTATGTAGTGGTGGTTTCACCCTAAGTTCTGAGCACAATGCTGGCTTTGTGACTTACCCAAGCTGTGCGGCCTTTGCTAGGCCCAGGCACCTCTCTGAATTCTATCTCCTCCCTTTTTACAAGGGACGGGACAACTCATAGCTTAGAAAGTTGTAATAAAAATCAAAGGAAGTCATCCATGGAAATTCCTCACACATGATGTGTCTAGCACACTGTAAACGTGGACCAATGCCTTATACATAGTAGAGGAATGTTAAATATCTGTGCAGAAACCCTTGGGACAGGAGTGCATTTGGGGGTGGGGGTTGGAGTTTTCTTAGAGACAGGGTCCTGCTCCGCCACCCAGGCAGGAGTGCAGTGGCATGATCATAGCTCACTGCAGCCTCAAACACCTAGGCTCAAGAGATCCTCCAGCCTTGGCCTCCTGAATAGCTGGGACTACAGGCACACACGACCAAGCCCAGCTGATTTTTTTATTCTTTGTAGAGAAGTGGTCTTGCTATGTTGCCCAGGCTAGTCTTGAACTTCAGCCTCAAGCAATCTTCCTGTCACTCAAGCAAGCCTCCCAAGTCACTGGGATTACAAGTATGAGCCATTGTGCCTGGCCAGGGGTGCATTTTAAATCCTCTTTTTCCACATTCAGTGGCATCATGAATATTCAGAAAAGACCACCGGACACTAAGTCCTTCCTTCATGAAGAAATCTACAAGCTCTTTCATCTCAACCTATTTTGAACCCACCTTGATGTCATAATTCCCCTACCGTGATTTCCCAAAAAATCACAGTATCTTGTCTTAGAACCGGCAACACCTGGCGGGGCACTTTGGGAGGCCGAGGCAGGCGGATCGCTTGAGCCCAGGAGTTCAATACCAGCCTGGGCAACATGGTGAAACCCTGTCTGTACAAAAAAAAAAATTTTCATTAAAAAAATTAGCCAGGTATGGTGGCATACCCCTATAGTTCCAACTACTCTGGGGGCTGAGGGAGGAGGACGGCTTGAGCCTGGCAGGCAAAGGTTGCAGTGAGCCAAGATCAGGCTACTGCACTCAAGCCTGGGCAAGAGAGTGAGACCCTGTCTCAAAAAAAATAAAAAAAAAAAACAGAACTGGCATCACCCAAGAATCCGAAGGACTCGGCTGAATAAAGACCATGATCCGAAGTTAAAAGGAGTTTCAGGTAAATTCTGCTTCCACCCTCTGGTCAGTGGTACAAAGATCAAAGGAAAGTGGATGTAGTTGAGTACAACTCTGTCCTTCTTTCCAAAATCCAAACAAAACAAGTACACCTTTTCCAGGGCACCGTATGTTACTGACTTCAATACTGAAAGTTTGCAGGCAGCTTTGACATCACAAAATGGTCCAAAAAGATACTGGGGGTGGGGGGCGGGGTAGGGATTTTTTTTGAGCTATGGTGATTTGAATGAAAAAAGAAACTGTCCTGAGTAGATTGGAGATTTGGCATTTGATAGGCAATAAAATAAAATAATCAACCCAGGAGGCAACAGGAGAAGCCCAAACATAGCCTTTGAACTCAATGGAGGGGTTTATTCTCCTAGAAAACTTCCCCTGACCTTGCTCGGGCTGCGGTGAGGCTCCTCCTCTGGGCTTCCCAGCCCCTGTGCTTCCCCAGCCTGAGAAGAGCAATGAGAATCATACTAATAGTAATATATGATAATCACACTAATACCATGCACTGAGTACTTCCTACAGCATTTGAGCTGAGACCCAAATAATGAAAAGGAGCTGGCTCACAGAAACAGTATTGCAGGCAGAAGAAACAAATGCAAAGGTGGGAATTAATTTTTTTATGTTCAAAGAATCCAAAAAAGGTGTCACTGAGTGGATATAGGGATCAATGCAGTAATAGTAACAACAGTTAGAAGCTGTGCGGGTAAACCAGAGAGCCGTCTTCGAGGGCAGGGATGCAGTTTCTGCTGGCAGCTCACTGGCTGGGCATGAAAATCGAACCCGAGACACAGAGTCCAGGGAAAAAGGGGCTTATGGGCCATCCATCCTGTCCTCAGGCATTTGGCAGACCAAGACACCAGGCTCAGTGAGGCCATGTGGCTGACCCAGGCTCCCATAACCAGAGAAGTCAGGGGCAGAGCCAGAACCGAAGCATCCTGCCTCCAGCCCTGAGCTCCGTCTGCTGTTGCCCCCTTTCATGGGTGATCAGGAGCTGTTTATCTGCAAAACTGATGGAAGTTTTAACAAGGTCCCTGGGGAGACAGGGAGAGATGGTGCATGTATGTGTGTGCATGGCGAGTTGGAGGGAGGGTGGTATATCACGGTTCCTCGCTTTCATCTGGTTCCTGTTAATTGGACTAAAGACCCCTGGGAAAACCATGCTCTGGGCATGATAAGCCAAACCCCAACTCAGTTATGGTTTTCTGTGCTTTACAGAACCTCAGTGTTCACAAAAGCTCCTGGCTTTCATCTGGCCTCAGAATACAGAAGTTGTCGTCAGTGTCGTCATAATCATTATCCTCCTCCTTAGAACCAAAGCGGCTATGTTCCTGGAGCGCTTAGGATCAGTCAAGCCAGTGGCTCTCAGCCCAGAGTGATTTTGCCGCAGGGGACATTTGACAGTGTCTGTAGGCATTTTTGATGGTCACTACCAGGGGCTAGGGGGTTGGATGCTACTGGCATCCAGTGGGTAGAGGCCAGGGATGCTGTTAAACATCTTCCAAGGCATGGGACAGTCCCCACCACAATTTTCCAGCCCCAAATGTCAACAGTGCCAAGGTTGAGAAACCCTAGGGGCTAGCCCTTTTTGTGCTGTAATTGGAGACCACCAAGAAAACCTCCTACTTGGGACCTGAGATGTAATGACTGACATCAGAGAGGATTAACGATGAGCACTGTTGTTAAGCAAGGCCGCCTACCCTACAGCCTCCAGACAGTCTGCAGTTAGGAAGTACCCTCCGTAAACTGACAACCCCCTACAGAAAATCCCTTTAGTCTAGAAACTTGCCCACTCTTGGGGAGTAAAAATATTTCCATAAAAGACTATTGGGAAACTTTTCCCAACCTCCCAAATATGTTAAAAGAAGATTGCGATTGGGTGCTAACTTTTTTCTGCTCCAAAGTACTAAAAGGGGTCAGAACACTGTCTTCCATCCACAGGGCAGTAGCATCGTCAAGTTTAGGGCCTGATGGAAGTCACAGGCAACACCCTCAACTGTCGGTACCCATCATGGAGTGGACTTCAACAGCTCTGGGGCCCCGAGACCATTCAGTTCCTGTGGAATCTACCTTCCAGAAAGATACTGGAGGCAGAACAGGCAATGCCAACACCGTACTTATTAGGAAATGGAGAGAAACCTTTCACTTCACCATTCTCTTTGGGTTGTATGATTCCCAATTCACCCCAGCCAAAAGGAGCACAGCAAAGTCCCGCTCAGATGGAGAGGTTGTCCCAGACAGAGGCAAAAGCACACATCACCTCCCTTAAACATCACAACACTAAAAGACTCGCTATCATGATGCCTGTTTCAAAGACAGAGGTTCCGATAGGGAAGAGGCTGGACCCGTGGCCCAGGCAGGACTCACATCCCAGGCTCAGGACTCATATGCCTTCCTGACTGTGCCACAAACCAACCAGGGCAGCTGAATGACGCAGCCGGGAGGCCCAGCCCCTTGCCAACTGTGGCCCGTGTCTTTTTTATCAGTGCACCCCACTGCAGGGAATGTGGCAAGCACCAGAACACTGATTTCAACTGAAGCAAGTCCAGCCACTTCTCATCGTAGCCATTCTTTAGACAGCCTCTCGGGAGGGCTCCCATGCAGCTGGGGGTGCCCCAGGCCGGGCCCCAAGCTCTTTCCAGATGTCTCCCAAGGGAATGAAGCCACTGCCTAGAGTTTTTTCTGTCGCTTCGGAGCTCCCTTTGCATCTCCACTAGTTATTATTTGGAGGCTGCATTTCAATGTTCCTTCTTTACAGTTCATTTTCTCCTCTTAATTGGTCTTGCAGTGTGGCAGGGAGACCAACGCAAGAGCATCATGACATGAATGCGGAAGGAAGGTGAGTGGCAGCAAGGCCCCGTCGGAGTAGGCTGCTCTGATAGATGCCTCTGCCGTTCACTAGGGGCCAGCCGGGAAAGAAACCCAGGGTCTCCCCTGGCTTCCAGCCTGCCTGCCGAGAAAGCTCGGTCTGTGAAACAGAATTAAGCCAGCATTAGTCCCTGCTGTAGCTGGGTCAAGCCCTCCTCCTCTCTCAGACTCAGTTTTTCCTTACTTAAAAGTTGAGATGATCAGACCGAGGTTCCTGCCAGTTTCTACATTACTATGCATCTTGTGCACCGATTTCAAGACAATTTTGACGTCTCCGCTAAAGGAAGCTTATCGGGCAGCGCCTCCTGGTGGCCAAACATGACACTGCGCCATCAAGAGGTGGCCCTGGTCGTATGGTGTCCAAGAAAACACTGGGAGGAAAAGGCATCCCAGTGTCTACGGCCAAGCAGCTACGTGCCCCTAACTTTTTCAAGCAAGGAGCCTAGGATTGAAAGCAACAATGCAGCCCTGACGCTCAGTTCCTCCACCCTACGTGATCATGATGGCACAAGGTCTTTACAAGTGGAGCTTGAAAAATCTGTCAGCCCGAGCCACTGAGAGCATCCTGGTATCCGGTTACAAAGCTGGTCTGCCTCATTTCTCCTCCACAAAGTACCAGATAGAGAAGGAAAGAAACAAAGGCGCTAAAGAAAGAAAATGATCAGATGATGAAGCTAAACTGAGCTCTGTTCCCAAGGACAGGGCTGATGTTGGGGGTAGGGAAGTACCGTCTCCCACCCTCCCAACTCAAAGCAACAGGTTCTCTGTGTGGGGAAAGGAGGACCATTTAAGGTTTCCTGTTTGAAGAGTGAAGTCAGTGGGGGAAATTCGGAGTGTAGGGCAACCCCACATTTCTGAATCCCATCAGGATGGTGGTCACACTCACCCAAAGAAAGCCACAGACTCCTATATAGGAGTGACCTTCAGAGAGTACTATCCAGACAGCATCTGTGTACAGCACTCCAAAGACAACGAGATGTGGTCCCCACTCCCCAAAGAACTCAGTCTGATGCAGAACAGACCCCAAAAGTCAGCACAATGGACCATGCATAACGTTTTGGGTTGGGTTTTTGAGACGGAGTCTCGCACTGTCACCCGGGCTGGAATGCAATGGCACAATCTCAGCTCACTGTAACCTCTGCCTCCCAGATTCACGCAATTCTCCTGCCTCAGCCTCCCAAGTAGCTGGGATTACAGGCGCACACCACCACACCCAGCTAATTTTTTGTATTTTTAGTAGAGATGGGGTTTCACTGTGTTAGCCAGACTGGTCTCGAACTCCTGACCTTGTGATCTGCCCACCTCAGCCTCCCAAAGTGCTGGGATTACAGGTGTGAGCCACCATGCCCAGTCAGGACCATGTATAATGAAAGTTTTGGGTGAAACTGATGTGGGTTTGAGCACAAGCTCTACCAGGTACTAGCTGTGTGACCCTAGGCATCTCACCCTCTCTGGGCGTGTGCCTCCTTCCTGCCTTCCCCTGAGCACTTACTATAGGAAGTTCTTGATCAATTACAGCCCCCTATAAATGTTGTACCACTTGTGCAAATATTCATTCACCCCCACTACAGAGTTCTCCACAGTCAATGCCTCCCCAGCCTCTTCATGTATTTATTGCCCTCCTCCAAAAGGAAGTTCTTCTTTACATCAGACCAAAATCTCCCCTGACTTAGACATGTATGTATTTGTTTTAATTGACACTCACTATTTCTAGCTTGGTCTTTTACAAAAAGGGTTAGCAAACATTTTCTCTAAAAAGCTTGACAGTAAATATTTCAGGTTTTGTGGGCCATACGGTCTCTGTCACACTACACAATTCTGATGTTGCAGCGTGAAAACAGCCATAGACAAAGTGGAAACAAATAGGTATGGCAGTGTTCCAATAAAACTTTATTTACAAAAGCAGGTGGAGGGCTGACTTTGGCCCGTGGGCTATACTTGGTCAACCCCTGTTTTAGAGAGAAAATCTCTCATTATCTGATCACTATCCCTCCCACACGATCTCATTCCTGATACACAGACAGAAAGTGCTTTGGCTTCACTTCTCTCCCCTAGGGCAAATTATAAAGGCTTCAACCTTCCCCTCCAAGGACATAATTTCTGTGATTAGATTATGACAGTTCATTTGTTCGTTAATTCATTCAATGATACTTTTGCAACCATGCTAAGTAGTTTGTAGGAAATGAACAAAGTGCTGCGTTTAGAGTGTACGGTCTGGAATCAGCCCGAGCTCAAGTGCTGGTACCCCGCAATTTACTGGCCATGTGACCTTGGTTGGGTACCATGGTTCACCCCTCTGTGCCTTCATTCTCTTATCTGAAAACTGGGGAATACAAAAGTCCCTGTCTCATGGGGATATCTGACGATTAAGTGAAATAACCCTCAAAATCAGCTCAGAACACCGCCTGACACTCAGTATGTTTTTAATATTTTATCGTTATTATTTTGTTTATTAAAAGATGGCTCTTGCTATCTAGGAATTTCCAGTCTAATATGGGAGATTTAGATATCAAAGCAACTACAAGATAACTGCCCAATGACTATGGCCGAAGATCGACACAGGTGCAATCAAGGAAATCCTCCCCGCAGTGGTCAGGAGTTGCCTAAGCCATGGGAAGGTTTACTTTAGAAAGATGCAGCCCAGAAAGTTTTTCCTTTTGAACAGATGCAAAGGGACGGTGAATCAGTGAGAAAACCATTGAAACCTGGGAGGTCAGAGCATCCTGCCCCACCAGGCATCAGCAGCAGAGAAGAAAGTATCACAGTACAGATGAAAGTAAGCAAACAGGGTTCGAGGAGGATTCTTTTCCTTCAAACTTTCTCATTTAAGTTACACAACTACTTATTTGTTGCCCAGAAAGACAGAAAATGCAGAAGGGCAAAAGAAAGAAAATCATCACCCTTAACCAAAGAACAGCTATGCTAAATATCCAAGTGGATTTCCTTCCAGACTTTTTTCCCATTTTATTTTATTTTACTTTATTTTATTTTATTTTTTTTTTTGAGATGGAGTCTCCCTCTGTCACCCAGGCCAGAGTGCAATGCGCAATCTTGGCTGTCTGCAGCGTCCGCCTCCAGGGTTCAAGCCATTCTCCTGCCTCGACGCTCTGAGTAGCTGGAACTATAGGCGTGCACCACAACGCCTGGCTAATTTTTGTATTTTTAGTAGAGATGGGGTTTCACCATGTTGGCCAGGCTGTTCTTGAACTCCTGACCCCAGGTGATCCACCCACCTTGGCCTCCCAAAGTGCTGGGATTACAGGTGTGAGTCACCACACCTGGCCTATTTATTTATTTATTGAGATGGAATCTTGCTCTGTTGCCCAGGCTGGAGTGCAGTGGCATGATCTCAGCTTACTGCAGCCTCCACCTCCTGGGTTCAAACAATTATCCTGCCTCAGCCTCTCAAGTAACTGGGACTATTGGCATGCACCACCATGCCCAGCCAAATTTTATATTTTTAGTGGAGACAGGGTTTCACCATTTTGGCCAGGTTGGACTCAAAATCCTGACCTCCAGTGATCCATCTGCCTCGGCATCCCAAAGTGCTGGGATTACAGGCGTAAGCCACCACGCCTGTCCCCATGCAGCTGTTTAAAAAATACTAAGCCAGGCATGGTGGCTTACGCCTATAATCCCAACACTCTGGGAGGCCGAGGTGGGCGAATCACGAGGTCAGGAGTTTGAGACCAACCTGGCCAACATGGTGAAACCCCGTCTCTACTAAAAATACAAAAAATTAGCTGGGCATAGTGGTGGGTGCCTGTAATCCCAGCTACTTGGGAGGCTGAGGCAGGAGAATTGCTTGAACCTGGGAGGCAGAGGTTGCAGTGAGCCGAGATTAAGCCGCTGCAATCTAGCCGGGGCGACAGAGTGATTCTGTCTCAAAAAAAAAAAAAAATTGCTAAGTAACATACCAATGTGGATGCAAATTATGGTCAATGCGGTGCTTTCTTTTTCTCTCCCAAACAATAGCTTGGGTACTTCTCACACGAGTGTATAAGTTGGTAATCAGGGAAATAATTAGAGAAAGCAAAAAGCCACCTGAGTGAAAATCATGACTATAATGAACTGGAGCCATCTCCCCTCAGCATATTTTAAAGGAAGGCAAGAATAATTTTGCTCCAAATAATAACAAATATTTTCATCCTCCTTGCCCTTTCTGCCTTCCCCCTGCATGTTCCCTGCAAGTTTCAAACATAATCATGCGCCCACAGAAGCCTCCCATCCTCCCTCAGGACCGTGGCTGGGAAGGACAGAGATACTGATGGAGAGTCAAATCTGCTGGGAATGTTCCCATCTGTGAAACTGGGCGTGCAGCCTAATCTGCCCACCACTCATATGGTTGCGAGGCTAAAACAAGATCACCTGCATGCAGGTGCTTCCTAAAACTGAAGGTGCTCTGCAAATGTGCAATATTATTTGATATTTACATGCAGCCTTTAAATAATTTCTTTTTATCTCAGTTCCAGTGTAAGCTGCTACAAAAGCCCCAAAGGGTTGCTCCCTCAAGCTGAGCAAATGGAAACACAGGGACCACTCAGAGTTAAGGAGAAAGCCATTCATTCCCACCACTTTTTTATGTGGGAAGCCTCCGCTTAACAGGAGTCAGACAGAAATGAGTTCAAACCCCGCCTCTGACACTTAGTTGCTGTGTGACCACCACCCCCCTCCCAGGCAAGGGCTCTACCTTTCTGAGCCTCAGTTTTCTTACCAGAAAATAGGAATAATAATCCTACGGACCTCATGAGGTTGTTGAAGAATTAAATGAGCAGGTGCTGCGTGACTTGGCCCAGTAAGAACTCAATCAATATTTGTCGCTGCTGTTATCATCAACCACTAGCATTCACTCAGTCACTCCGTGACTACTTCTTGCATTCCAACTCTGAGCCAGATGCAGGGAGAATTCCAACACAGGGGTTCTCAAAGCGTGTTCCCCAAACCAGCAGCACCAGCGTCGCCTGGGAACTTGTTAATGCAGATTTCTGGGCACTGCCCCGGACTGGCTGAAGCAGGAACTCTGGGAGTGGAACCCTCTGGGGGATTCTGATACATGTTGAGGTTTTGAGCACCACTGTTCTTGTGGAAAGGGGTATGAAAATAAACAAAATCATTTTAGATATGCTAGAGACTATGATAGGATAGAGAGTGGCCAGGATGGAAGTGGGACTCTGAGAAGCTGGCAGTTGGGCTGAGTCCAAAATGACAAGGAATCAGCCAGAGGAAGATTGAGGCAGGGTATTCCAGGCAGAAAGAAGGGCTGTGCAAAGGCCCTGGGGCAGGCGTTGTGAAGAAGAGAGGGTAGCTGGGTGCAATGAGCCAGTGAAAACATCAGCAGATAGGGACCAGATCGGGAGCCCAGGGACAGGACTGGGGGTCTCATTCTAAGATGTAATAGTCTGTTTGGAGCTGACTCAGTTCATGTAGTTTCATGGAACCCACAAACCTCAAAGAGTTCAGGCCCTGCCAAGCACAAGTTCAATGTCAATTCTGCACCCAATTCTTCTGCCCAGCACCTCGTGGATGCCAGGAATAAAAAGAGAAAGTGACTACAGCGCTGATCAGAGATGACAGCCAGAGAGTCGGGTTCTCTTTGTTCTCATTGGGGGGGTTCCACAAAAGCCAGATGCTGGCCACATGAAGCAGCAGGTGGGCAAGACAGAGGGGGCAGGGGTGGCCTGCAAGAAAGAGAAAGTGGGCTGCAGGGGGACAGGACAGGTGGATGAAGCCTTGGACCAGGTTGCTCGACAGGGGTTCTGCTGCAAGACAAAGGCTGGAGAGGAAAACATCCTGCCCCTCCCTCCACCCCTGCCTTAGTGGGGACCAGTCAGTGGCTCTGTAGGAAGACTTCCTTGGTTCAGATTCAGCTTGGGAAGGAGGGAGGAGGAAGGAGGGAGGGAAGCTGACTTTAAAAACAATAAAAATAATCACAGTCCAGTACATATTCAGTGCCAAATTTGCCAGACAAGTGTTTATACGAACACAGTGTTTATATGACTTCATTTCTTTCCTTGCAACAACTCCATGAGGATGATACAACTAGCATCCCCATTTTACAGATGAGGAAAGCAAGGTAGTTAGACAGAAAGGGAACACCGAGGGATGAAGGAGGGAGAGAGGAAGGGAAATTGACTCATGGATTTAGTTTAGCCTAGAACGAGTTAAGTGAAATCCAACAAGTCCCTTCCCTTCTTTAATCCCCTCCAGTGGTTTCCCATTCTACTAAGAAGCTGCCAGCAATGGCTACAAGGGGCCTCAGGAACTGAGCCCCGACCATGTCTCTGACCTCATCTCCTATCTTCTGCCTCCTCTCCCAGTCATGGATTAGCCCACTGACAACTCAGTTACACTGGCACCCATGCTTCCATGGCACCCGTGTTTCCAGAATCCCCTTCTCTGTGTGGTTCCAGATTAGAGCTGGCCAAAAGTGAAGTTGTACAAGGCTTGGGTGGCAAAAGAGAAGGAGCCATCATGCCCTGAAGAGTAACATGGGTTGAAGGCAATGGGGAACAGAGGCTGGGGTGCTGGTCCTGTTTATCCTCCATCTTCCCTACCTCACAGCCAACTCTTCTTCCTGACAGTAGTCCCTCAATGACCAACAGCCGACCTTAAGTTCACCACCAGATGCTTCATGACAAACTCACAAAGGCAATAGCCACAAAGGGCCAACAACTTTCCCTGGGCATCTATCCAAGCCTGTCTTCATGGTCCCTTCCAACAGCTGGACGTATTGGCTGCCAGATGTCCCTGAAACCGCAGGCTGCCTTACCTATGTCAGGGTAGGTTCAAGACCTTTCTCTGAATCTTAAGCTTCCCTTTTTTTTTTTTTTTTTTTGAGCTTGTACCTCCCCAGCTCTTCCTACGGTCGTATAAGTCTAACATCTAATAAATTCCATTTTTTCCATTATACTCACAGTAATTTGGCTTCCCTGATTGACCCATCACTGAGATCATCACTAGCAGAAGGGATACTGTTCCAGAACTAGCAGCCTCCATTTCCTCCTCCTTGGGATGTGTGTTGTGAGAAGCTCATGTCACATAAAAGGCAACATGTGGGCACCTAAGCAGATAATCCCCAACTGAACACCCACTCAACAACTAGTGCCAACTGCCATCCATGAGCATGCACCATCTTGGATGTTCCAGCCCAGTCAAGCCCCAGATGACTGCAGCTCCAGCCAACAACACACGGAACAGAAGAACCACCCAGCTGAGCCCAGCCAATCCCTGAGCCCAGGGAATTATGATGATGAAACTATACCCTAAAGAGTTAATGAAACCAATGACAGAAATTACTGAGTTTGCAGGATAACAGATAAGAAAAAAAAACAACTTGCTGAGATGCTGAAATTCCCTCCTCTTCTGAGTATTTTTTTTTTTTTAACTCACAAGTTTTTTAAAAAGTTGGCAGTGGGCTAAAATTAATTGGAACCAGGATGACCAACTGGAGATTGTGCACAAGTTTGCTGACATCACAGCCCAAATTTCCACCACATATTTCATACTAACTTCTCCCAAATTTGCATATGCAACCTATGAAGTAACATAAAGAAATAAGTACACACACCCAAGGACTTTCCAGACTTCCCCTTTCCCTCCACCAACCACCTGCTAATCCCAGTATCTACCCCCTAAGCCTTTCCTAATAAAAATACTGCCTTGAAGCCAGCCCAGAGTGGCAGATTTGAGCTTGACTCCTGTGTCCTTGGGAGTCAACTTTCAATAAGAAGCTTTTCTTTTCTCAAAAACCTGGCCAGGCACAGTGGCTCATGCCTGTAATCCCAGCACTTTGGGAGGCCGAGGCAGGTGGATCACGAGGTCAGGAGATCGAGACCATCCTGGTGAACACGGTGAAACCCCGTCTCTACTAAAAATAGAAAAAATTAGCCAGGCGTGGTGGCGGGTGCCTGTAGTCCCAGCTACTTGGGAGGCTGAGGCAGGAGAATGGCATGAACCCGGGAGGCGGAGCGTGCATTGAGCCAAGATAGCACCACTGCACTCCAGCCTGGGCGACAGAGCGAGACTCCAACTCAAAAACAAAAAACCGGCGTCATAGTATTGGCTTCTAGTGCATCAGACAGCGAGCCCCTTTTGCTCGATAACAATGAGAGATAACAAGGCAGTTGTGTTGAGCCACTAGGTTTTGAAGTGCAGGTCTGAGACACAGACCCACGCAGCCATGGGTCCCCACAACCACTGGCCATGTAAGCCTGCCTTCTGCTTCTTAAAAGTGCTTCTGAGACATGCATTTGAGACCTGTTTGCTCTCAGAATGCTCTTCCCCCAGATCTTCTCCTGTCTGATGCTTTCTTGTCATTCAAGTCTCAGCTTAAATGTCATCTCCCCAGAGAGGCTCGCTGTCAGTTTCAGTGTGAACTTGGTTAAGCGATAGACCCCAGTTATTCAATCAAACAACAATTTAGGCATCAGGTGAAGGTTTTCTGTTGCTGTGATTAAAGTCTATAATCAGGTGACTCTAAGTAAAAACTCTCCTCTATAATCCGGGTGAGCTGATTCAACCCATTGAAATTGAAATGCCTTAAAAGCGGAACTGAGACTCTTTTTCTTTCTTTTTTTTTTTTTCCTGAGACAGGGTCTCGCTCTATCACTCAGGCCAAAGTCCAGCAGTGCAATCTCGGCTCACTACAGCCTTGACCTCCCAGGCTCAGGTGATTCTCCCACCTCAGCCTCCTCAGTAGCTGGGATTACAGGCACACACCACACCTAGCTAATTTTTTGTATTTATTTTTTTTTTTCAGTAGAGATGGGGTTTTGCTGTGTTGCCCAGGCTGGTCTCGAACTCCTGCACTTGAGCAATCCACCCTCCTTGGCCTCTCAGAGTGCTAGGATTACAGGCGTGAACCACCGCACCCACCCAGAACTGAGATCTCTCCAAAGAAAAAGAAATTCCACCAGCCTGCCCTTCCTAACAGCCTGCCCTTCCTAACAAACAGCCTGCCCTTCCTAACAGCCTGCCCTACAGATTTCAGACCTTCCCAGCCAGCCCCCACCATTGCATAGGCCAATTCCTTGCAATAAATCTCTTAATATATCTTATTGGTTCTACTCCTCTGGCTGAACCCTGACTGACCTGCTCTGATCAGCCCATCAAAGCCAGCCACAAAGCCACCATTGTTTCACTTCAGTTTTAATTCTTGCATAAAACCTATTACCATTTGATTTTTTTTTTTTTTTTTTTGAGACAGAATCTCACTCTGTCGCCCAGGCTGGAGTGCAGTGGCATGATCTTGGCTCACGGCAGCCTTGACCTCCCAGGCTCAGGCAATCCTCCTGCCTCAACCCCTCAAGTAGCTGGGACTATAGGTGTGTGCCACCACACCCAGTTAGATGGATTTTTTGTCTATTTTTTTGTACAGATGGGGTCTTGCTATGTTGCCCAGGCTGGTCTTGGACTCCTGGACTCAAGCGATCCTCCTGCCTCAAGCCCCACAAAGTGCTAGGATCACAGGCATAAACCACTGCGCCCAACTTGATATTTTTCTTATTCATTGTTTCTTCCAACATATTCTAGAGCAGCACTGTCCACTAGAATATTCTGTGATGATGGGGATGTTCTAGAACTGTGCTATTGCAATAGGGCAGCTGCTAGCCACCTGTGGCGATGAACAACTTGAAACATGGCTCCTGAGAACGAAGAAGGGAATTTTAACTTTTATTTAATGAATATAAGTTTACCTGGTCACACGAGTCTGGTGACCGCTGTACTGAACAGTGCAGGTCTGGGACACAGACTGATGAGAACCCACAGCCAGCCAGCCTTCCCCACCACTGTTATCCCCAACCCCTCCTGGCAACTGACACAGGGGGAGTTCCAACCGTGTTTACAGAATGAATGAATGGAGCCATTTGCGCCTAAGCGCGTTCGCATCAGGTTTCTGCCGCTCGTAAGCGAGAGTCCTAATTTGATGCTATCTACATGTAAGGGATTCCTGAGTGCCTACAGAACAGGAGGGCTGGAGAAGTTACAGGGGAAAGGAAAGACATCAGTGTCAACACCAGAACATACGAGACCCTGTGGGCTCCGGGAGGAGCAGCTCTTCCTCTGCCAGCCCAGCCTTTCCCAAGTTAGAAGCAAGTAGAACAATAGGGCAATCAAGACCCACTCTTAGTCTTTGTTCCAGTCAAAGGAAGACCGTACGGTGGCAGGCGGCATTCTGGGGGGCTTCATTCAAAGCCCAAACTGGGAAGAAGCCAGAGGGCATCTGAGGCTGTCCTATTTCGGGGGCCACTCTGCATCCTGTTTTTCTCCTGACTGCCAGTTCTCCCCCTTGATACTCAAGAGAAGAAGCCAGAGGAGGGCCCAGGCAGGCAAGCTCCCAGGAGGTTGCAGGGGTGCAAGGGCACCTGCCTGTCTGCAGCACCCTGGCCTCCACTCTCTCCCCTCCGTGGCTCCCTGAGCCCCCGAAGGATTCCCAGCATCTGTCACCTGCTCTAAGCCACCCATCGACTCTGCAGCCAGAGTGTTATTTAAAAACCGGAAAAGAGATCCAGACACCTTCTGTTCAGCCTACCCTGCTTACTCTGCAGTGTAAGCTCCTTGCCATGGCCCACCGTGGGGGCTGGCCCTGCCCACCTGTCTGGCTCCAGCTCCCACCACTCTCCCCAGCATCCCCACTGGGCACCCATACTGTTCTCTCTGTGCCTGGGATGCTCCCCTCCCTCCCGTCCCAAGGCACTTCTGAGTGTTCCCATCACTCCCAGTCATTAAGACTTCCCCTCCTCTTCAGGTCTCAGTTCAATCCTGAAGTCCTGAGAAAGTCCCTGAGCCCTGGAACCCAACACTGTGTGTGCCAGATGCAGAGAAAGTGCTTGATAAACACACGTGGGAGGGGGAAAAGGAGGGAAGGGTAGAAAAGAAGGAAGGGGAGGAGGAAGGAAAGCAGTATCTCCCATTATCCTTACATAAGCATATTCGTTTTAAAAAAGGAAAACAATATCCACAACACAGATCTTCTATTATCTTGACCAGAGGTTTTTCCTTGGGAAAGGAAAGATACAGATGACCACAAATTATGAGGCTGAAAACCATCAAAATGCCAAAAAGAAGAGGAGAGAGAGAAAAAGAACAGCAGAGAAGAGGAAGAAGGCCACAGCAACAGCACTCTGATAGCTGGGCCACATCTCCGCCAGGCTCTCTTCTGATAAGACAGCTGTGGCCCAGGACAGGAAGGTCTAGGAAGGGACCCTGCTGTCCTCAGACGCTGAAGTTCCCAGTTTTGGAATGGAGTGGGAGGTGGAGACAAATGGTGAGAACGTGCTCTTCCTGCAGCCAAATCAGTTTCACCCTAGGACCTCAGCTCTGTAGTAACCACGGAGGAAAACTAGGGCTGTGCCCAGAGAAAACTGGTTTGAGGTTTTGCCTCTATTTTTGTGGCCAGGGAATGGTAGGTTACCTCTGGAGAACAATCAAGCCAGACAGAAGGGGAGTAGTCTCAAAAGAAACAGCAGTGCTGAGGGAGACCGTGGCTCAGAGGGAAGGGAAACAAAGAATGAGAGTGCTTAATTAGAAAGGCTGAAGCCCCTTGGAAGGGCCCCTTGGAGGAAAAAAGAGAGGAGGATGAGGAGAAGTGGAGAAAAGTGAGCTGGGGGAAGAAAAAGGCTGGAGGAGCCTGGTGATGGTGATGGCGATGATGGTGGTAATGATGGTGGTGGGTGGTGATGGTGGTAACAACAGTGATGGTGGTGGGTGGTGATGGTGGTAGTGGTGGTGATGGTGATGATGGTGATGATGGTGATGACGGTGCTAACAATAGTGATGGTGGTGGTGGTGATTTGCCTGTATCATCTCATGTAATGCTCCCAGCAACCACTGTGGCCCACATGATCATCATCCCCATCCTGCTGCTTAGGAAACAAAGCACAGAATCATAATATGTCGTATCCACAATCACACAGCTAATAGGTGGCAGAGCCAGAACTTAAACCCAAGTTTGTTGGACTCCAGATTCCATACTCCTAGAAGATGATTGAGGACTAAGAAGGAGAAAGGAGAAAGAGAACGGAGGCTGCCCTAGCCACCTTATTTAATATGATGACCAGTCCCTCCATTCCAGAGGGCACTACCAACCCCGCTTAGCCTGCTGCACGTCTTCTTTAATCCATAGCACTTATTCTCACACACTGCATAAGGTACGTGATCATTAAGACAATAATTCATTGTCTGTGCCCCAGCCCCCCACACTAGAAAGTAAACTTTATGGAGACACACACCTCAGCACGCATTTCTAGAGATCAGAAGAGCACCTGGCATAGAATAACCATGCAACCAATTTCGTTGAATGAGTGAATAATGGTTTTTTGGTTTCAGGACATAGCTGCCACGAGAAGGAAAGGTTAAGCTATCCTGGCTCTGGGATCCTTTGATCTTGCTAAATGAATGAATGAGTATTCTTTGGTTTCAGGCTAAGGGTGATCTAACAAGCTATGAGAAGAGAAAAATGAGTTAAGATTTCCTATCTTCGGGGCTCCTTGGGCACTGGAAAATAAAGATATCCCTAAAACCCAAGGAGAAAACTAAGATTAGCATTAACATCTCTAAAATAAAGCTACCTCCATCCTCTGAGAAAGAAAGAGAGAGAGACAGACAGACAGACACAGAGACAGAGACAGACAGGGACAGAGAGAGAGAAAGAGATGACATTCTTGGCCAAGCACAAAGCAGCCTTGCTGCCATATCCTTGGTCTCCATATGAGTTCCTCAATACAACTTGTCTTCTGTCATTTAACAAACATGCATCCAGCCCTCACTTTGGGCCAGAATTTTAAAAACCTGATTTCATCACTGTAGGAAACACCAGCTCTGGGTTGAGCTGGGGCTATTAAGATGAATACAATATCACCCTCAAGAAGTAAGAGTATGATGGGAAAGATACTAGTTTATTCCTCAGTCTGGGATAACATTTTTAGAGTAAAGGAAAGCCATCCAACTCCCAAGATGGTTAGAAGCTTCAAGGAACCAATTATTATTTTTGAGGGAAGAAGGGAATTCCAAACATGAAGGATACTTTGAGGATGGCTCACTGGTTCCCCCTGGTGGACATTAATAGCAAGCACATCACACAGCTTTTCAGAGGTAGGGAGGGGCTCAGCGGTGTAGACCTGGTGGTCACTGAAGTATCTGCTGTTCCGGTAGCCAAGGCAAGAGGTCAGCTCAGTTTGCAGAGCCCAGGAAAGGCCTCATAGAGAACCAGGCTTTGCACTGGGCCTGGGGAAGAGCAGGGATTCACCAGAAGGACAAAAGGAAAGAAAATTCTAGGCAGAGGGATGTGAGTACCAAGATGTGAAATCCAAGCCTCATCTAGAAAACTCTAAGTAATTCATGAATTTAGCAGATATTTAGGGCTTGAAGGGAAAATGTGAATGGTAGGACTTCAAGTAGGAGCCAAACCCTGGGATGTTTTCCAATCCATGAGGAAGACTGTGTTCTTTAAGCCACTGGTAAGTTTTCAAGGATTGCTTGAGCTCAGGAGTTCGAGACCAGCTGGAGCAACATGACAAAACTCTATCTCTACAAAAAATACAGAAAAGTTTGCCAGGCATGGTGGCACACGCCTGTAGTCCTAGCTACCCAGGAGGCTGAGTGGGGGGATCGCTTGACCCCAGGAGGTAGAGGCTGCAGTGAGCCAAGATTGCGCCACTACACTCCAGGCTGGGCAACAAAGCAAGACCCCATCTCAAAAAAAAAAAAAATACACATGTATTGAACCATTACTATGTGCTAGATATTGATCTTCCTGGGAATTGAATAGTGAGCAGAAACAAGTATGATCCCTGCCCTTTTGCAGCTTACAGTCTAGTGGAAAAGAGAGGCATTCATTTAAAAACAAATTGCTCCCCAAAACAGGTAAGCATTAAAATGTTTTTAAGTGGCACCATCACCTGCAGGAACAGCATACGTGAAGTACAGTGTTAAGGATCAGAACTGGGTACACAATTCTTTACTAAGAAGTCTGAGTTGAGCTGACTTCAGTGCTAAGTGCTGTAGGAATGGGTTAAAATGGAGCACTTGGTCATTGCTTTCAAGGTCCCAGTGGCCCTAAGGCTGGCATCTGAGGCAGGACATAGAAGACTGAGTCTTAGCAGCCTGGGAAGAGTCCAGAGGGAGGCCTATGTGGAGGTAGGGGATCAGTGTAGGTTCAAACCATAGTGAGGTGTGTAATGAAAAGTGCTGCTTGACCAAGCATGGGGACACATGCCTGTGATCCCAGCACTTTAGGAGGCCGAGGCAGGAGGACTGCTTGAACCCAGGATTTCGAGACCAAACTGGGCAATGACAAGGCGAAACCTAGTCTCCACGAAAATTAGACAGGTGTGGTGGTATGCACCTGTAGTCCCAGCTACTGGGGAGGCTGAGGTGGGACAGTTGCTTGAGCCCAGAAGGTCGAGGCTGCAGTGAGCTGTGATCACATCACACCACTGTACTCCAACCTGGGTGACAAAGCAAGACCCTGTCTCAAAAAACAAAAAATAGAGGCAGGCCAGGCACGGTGGCTCATACCTGTAATCCCAGCACTTTGGGAGGTCGAGCCGGATGGATCACCTGAGGTCAGGAGTTTGAGACCAGCCTAGCCAACATAGGGAAACCCCGCCTCTACTAAAAATACAAAAATTAGAGCAGCATGGTGGCGCATGCCTGTTGTCCCAGCTACTCAGGAGGCTGAGGCAAGGGAATCACTTGAATCCAGGAAGTGGAGTTTGCAGTGAGCCGAGATCATGCCACTGCACTGCAGCCTGGGCGACAGAGAGACTCCATCTTAAAAAAAAAAAAAAGAAAGTGGCTATTACTAGCATCTACTAAATGATATAGAATAGAACAGGAATGAATTTACAACATCTTCATCATGCATAAGAAGGAGGAGTATTGTTTCATGAAACATGCTATAATTGTGTATGTGTATGTGTAGCTGTGTGTGTGCATGTATGTGTACCTATGTGTGTGGGGGGGGTCACAATATAAATTGTACTGTCCATCTGGATCAAAAAAATTTTTAAAAAGATCAGAGGACAGGGCCAGGTGTGATGGCTCACACTTGTAATCCTAGCACTCTGGGAGGCCAAGGCAGGCGGATTGCCTGAGCTCAGGAGGTCAAGACCAGCCTGGGCAACACGGTGAAACCTCGTCTCTACTAAAATACAAAAAAAAAAACTAGCTGGGCGTGGTGGCATGCACCTGTAGTCCCAGTTACTCGGGAGGCTAAGGCAGGAGAACTGTTTGAACCCAGGAGGTGGAGGTTACAATGAGCCGAGGTCGCACCACTGCACTCCAGCCTGGGTGACAAGAGTAAGACTCTGTCTCAAAATAAATAAATAAATAAATAAAAATCGGAGCACCAGAACTTTCATGGTCTCGCACAGCCTAGAATGTCACAAAAAAATGACTATTCTTCCCCATGGTCTCGCACAGCCTAGAATGTCACAAAAAAATAACTATTCTTTCCCATAAGGCTGACATAAATGCCTCTCTCATGGAAACTGGAATCTCACTCTACTTTTAAGGATGCTGCCAAACTCAGTAGTGCCTCCCGGATGAGACAACATGAATTCTGAAAAGCAATTAAAAACCTAACCTCAAACGCTCACTGTCAGGCATTGTGCCGGCATAAATTGGTACAAACTTTCTGGAAAGATATATGACAATGTTCACCATAATTTTTAAAATATGGGTTTTTTGTTGTTGTTTTTTGTTTTTGAAATGGAGTCTCGCTGTCACCCAGGCTGCAGTGCAGTGGCACAATCTCAGCTCACTGCAACCTCCACCTCCCAGGTTCAAGAGATTCTCCTGCCTCAGCCTCCCAAATAGCTGGGATTACAGGCATGCGCCACCAAGCCCAGCTAAATTTTTGTATTTTTAGTAGAGATGGGGTTTCACTATGTTGGTCAGGCTGGTCTCAAACTCCTGACCTCAGGTGATCCACCGGCCTCGGCCTCCTAAAGTGCTGGGATTATAGGTGTGAGCCACCACGTCCGGCCAAAATATGCAAATGTTCCACTGCAAGACCCCTCTCCTATGAATTCACTGTAAAGAAATAGCCACGGGGGTCCCCAAAGATAACACTCAGGGGTATTCACAGCAGCGTTGCTTATGATAGGAAAAATATGGATATTTCCAAAAATAGGAGATTGGTTGAATAAATTGTTAGTATTCAGGTATTAAAAATAAGAAGTGAATGCATTTATTGACAAAGGAAGATGTTTATGACAACACTGTAATTTGGTGCAATTTTTTTTAAGACAGGACCTCACTCTGTGGGCCAGGCTGGAGTTCAGTGGTACTATCTCAGCTTGCTGCAGACTTGACCTCCAGGACTCAAGCAATCCTCCCACTTCAGCCTCCCAAGTAGCTAGGACTACAGGCGCATGCCACCACACCCAGCTAATTTTCTTTTTTTGGTAGAGGTAGAGTCTCTTTATGTTGCCCAGGCTGGTCTCAAACTCCTGGGTTCAAGCAATTCTCCCACCTTGGCCTCCCAAAGTGCTGGGATTACAGGTGTGAGCCACCATGCCTAGCCTGCAATTTTTTTTTAAAGAGAGAAAACTGCCATCTGCTTCTCACTGTGGGTAAAGAGAGAAAGTCACCTTTGGAGCAGATTTTGTATGTACTGAGTGACTGAGAGGCCCCTCCCTGTCAGCCACACTCATGTTGGGTGAGTCAACACCATTGTGCTAGAGGTAAAGAGTAACATGACCTTTACAGCTCGTCAGCCAGGAGTGATTTTGCCTCCCTGGGAACATTTTGAAATATCTGGGGATATTTCCATGTGTCATGACTTTGAGTTGGGGGATGTTACTGGTATCTCATGGGCAGAGGTCAAGGATGCTTCTAACCAAACATCCTTCAACACATAAGACAGCCCCCAGTGCATGGTCTGCCCCCCATTTTATTTTTGAGACAGGATCTTGCTCTGTCACCCAGGCTGGAGTGCAGCAGTGTGATCATAGCTCACTGCAGCCTCAATCAATGTCCTGGGCTCAAGTGATCCACCAGCCTCAGCCTCCCGAGTAGCTGGGACTACAGGCGTGTGCCACCACACATGGCACATTTTTTTGTATTTTTTGTAGAGACGGGGTTTCGCCATGTTGCCCAGGCTGGTCTGGAATTCCTGAGCACAAGAGATCCTCCTGCCTTGGCCTCCCAAAGTGCTGGGATTACAGGCGTGAGCCAGTGTGCCCGGCCGCATGGTCCCTTTTGATGCTGACTGTACCTGAATCAGGATCTGCCAGCAAGAAAAAATACAAAAGGGCACGCATGGAGGACTGGGCCGATGACCTGTTTCAAGTATGTTCTGTTTTGTTCACCGCTGCCTTCTCAGCCCTGCTGGCACCCCATAGCCACTCAGATTAGAAGACTTCTCCAGGCCTAGAACAATATTCAACAAATGCTTGTTGAATAGAGCAGGTTGAATCAAGCAAGGGCATCTGTGAGCCTCCACCTGACTCTGCCAGACTGATGCTCAACAGTGACACCTTGTGGTGGGAACTGCAACAACCGTGCTGATGGCCACTAACACTTCTCCGTGGCTGGCATGTGCAGAGCGGATCCCTTGGGACAGAAAGGCCCCAGAATTTGCAGAAAAATCATGAGGCTAAAGAGAAGCAGGAAGCCTCAGGAAGATGATATCTGATGTTCTGCTAATAAAGACAAACAGGTATCTGAGCAATTAATGGAAAAGATCCAGGAGGGATGACAATATATTTGGCCCCCAAACTGATAGAACAAGTCACAGAGGTTATTTTATTAGGTGAAAAAAAAAAAAATTTAAGCAATATGTGTGGATAATTCTATTTTTTAAAGTATACATATATCCATTTGTCAGGAAAAATTATACCAAAATGACAAGAGCAGTTACCTAGAGGGTGGAGCTTAGGGTGATTTTTTTAAAATCTATTTTCTGGTTTATGTTACAATTAATGCAAATTACTTCTGTTAAAAAAAAAATTAGAAGCTAGACATTGACCCAAAATGCAAAGCCACGTCAGAATGTCTAAAGTAAAAAGACCCTGGTCTCCTATTCACACTCAATATTTTCATATCTGGACCCTAATTATCCAGAACCAGATACCCTAAACCTCAGCGGGTCTTCCTGGGGCAAGAGTTCAAATCCAAGAGCTGCCCTTGCTGGTGTCTTCCGGCCTCCAAATCCCAGGTCCACGCTGCCTCTTCCTGCGTTTCGGATTTGCCCCCCAGGGTTGACTCTGTCTCGTCCTGGCCTGCAGTGGCGGGCACGGGATGCCGAGGGACCGCGGCAGCTGTGCTGGGGACAAGTCTCCACATCCCCGACCCCGGGGCCTGCTCACCTGACATGTGGACATTCCTGAGGCAGGAGAGGGAGGCGTTGAGGCGGGCACACTCCTCCCGGTTGGCTCCGTATTTCTCCACAGTCTCGCACACCTGTTCATCCGTCATCTCCAAGAGGTCCTCCAGGCTCAGCTGGCCGGGGGAGATTTCCTAGAGGAGGGGAGAAGGATTGTCAACCGTGGGGCAGGAACAGCATCTCTGCCTCCACGCTGCCCTGTAGTGGTGCCTAGAGGAGAACACTCCGCAGTGTAAACGCTTTGCATGACAGTGGGGTCTCCGAATCTCGGGTTTGCCACTCATTATCTAGATAACCTCTGACCAGTCGCTCAACCTCTCTGGGCCTCACTTTGCTCATCTGTAAAGTGGGACTCCTAAGTGTCCATACTTGGCAAGGTAGCGCAGGTGCTTAGTGCTATTATAATTACTACCCTGTCTGGCGTCAACACTGTGCCTGTCTCTCGAATGTTTATAAGGCAGGGCCCCATTTTTTCATGTTTGCTTGGCTCTCAGTGCCTCCCACTCTGCAGGGACTCATCTAAAATCCCAGCACAAACTCAGAGCAAGCACAGGACAAGGCAGGTGTGCTGGTGGCTGGGTCCCACTCTCTCTCTGCTTCCTCTCTTCTCTGGCTGCAGGGTCTAGGGCTCACACTGGTCTTCAGAAACCCTAATGGAAAAGGGGCTGAAAGTCCATGCCCCGTGCTGGAAATGAAACTAGGTTTGTTTTTGAGCCCCATGGGGCATGGCTTTGCATCCTAAGGCAAAGCAGAAACACTGGAGTATAGCGTGGAGTGGGGGAAAGGGACCTAGAAAAGGTAGGATTCCCAACTTAACGTGTTGGGCAGGTGAACTTTCACCGCCACCCCATGTTCCCAAAACAGTGTCTCCCTAGACCATCATATGGACACACCTCAAAATTTGTCAAGCTTCTATATTTATGCATCAGTATCTGTATGTATATATGAGTCTTCTTTTATAGCACTTACTACTCAACATTTTAACATATATTGTTATTACTTAAGGGTTTTTTGCCTTTTTTTGTTTTTTGTTTATTTGTTTGTTTGTTTTGAGACAGTCTCGCTCTTGTTTCCCAGGCTGGAGTGCAATGGCGCGATCTCGGCTCACTGCAACATCCACCTCCCGGGTTCAAGCGATTCTCCTGCCTCAGCCTCCTAAGTAGCTAGGATTACAGCCACTCACCACCACGCCTGGCTAATTTTTGTATTTTTAGTAGAGACAGGGTTTCACCATGTTGGCCAGGCTGGTCTCAAACTCCTGACCTCAGGTGATCTGCCCACCTCAGCCTCCGAAAGTAAATAAGGGTGAAATAGCCTACGGATGGTGTTTCTAGGGCAGTATTGCGGAATACATCTACCCTCTTGTGGTCATGTTTGTGTATTACAACAAGATACAGCTCCCACATTAAACTGATAGCCAGAAAGAAGAAAACTGTCTCAGTACAAAAAATTATCTTCAAAAATATGAGCTATGGTGCCTTTTCAACTCACCCAGGCAGGCAGGGGGCAGAGAGAGAAGAATAGTGGAGTCACTTAGAGGCTTTCTCAAATAGGGACACATTGCTGGTGAGCCCCTTTAAGAAAGGTGATGACCACGGATCTGTTTATTTCTGGTTGTTGTTTTTCTTAAATAGAGACAGGGTCTCCCTCTGTCACCAGGCTGGGGTGCAGTGAGGCCATCATATCTCACTGCAGCCTCAAACTCCTGGGTTCAAGCGACCCTCCCACCTCAGTCTCCTGAGTAGCTGGGACTACAGGCATGCACCAACATGCCTGGCTAATTTTTAAATTTTTTTGTAGAGATAGGATCTCACTATGTTGCCCAGGCTGGTCTCGAATTCCTGGCCTCAAGTGATCCTCCCACCTCGGTTTCCAAAAGTGCTGAGATTACGGACTTGAGCCACTGCACCCAGTCCAGGATCTGAAGGTACAGAATGACTCATGTTTGAAGGGGGTGATTCATAACATAAAAGGATTCTCCTCTTTGCTTCAGGATTCACTTGTGCATTTTAATCTTATGATTTATATATGTATATATTTCAATTTACTCTAAAGCTTAAGTTCAGAAAAAAATCATAAAAGTAACATTTTTATAACATCAAAAATGGAGAAACCCTTAACAAACCTGGGCCAAAAGGGCAGACACACCTCTGTTTGATAAAATAATAGTAATAATAATAGCTGAAATGGATGGAACACTGTTTTAAGGTTTTTGATAGATTTCCTTTTATTATCACAAAAACTACTGAAAGTAGGCACTTTTATCATCACCACTTACAGACTAGGACAGTAAAATTCAGAGAGGTTAGACCACTTGCCTAAGGTCACACAGCAAGTCATTGGTGGAGCCAGGATTCAAACCCAGCTGTTTTACTGTGGAGCTTTCTCCATACTTCAGTCACTTCACAGAAAGGGGACCTCTGGTGGACACATACCTGAACTGCAGACAAAGAGCAGAAACCCCACGTCTTCTCCCGCCCACTCCCTGGGTCCCTGGACTCAAGATGCTCAGTGACTAAGGCAAGAGCCAAAACTCAGGTACCTGCAGGTCAGGTAAATGTAAATGAGCAAATCGCTGCCAGACAGGAGCTCAGTTCAGCATGGTCAACATTTCTGATTTTGTAAGTGAAGCCAGAGATCTCTGGGTTTTTTAGACAGACTCTTTCGGTTTTTAAGTATTGGCTCAAAATAAATGTCCTGACATCATATTAACCAAACAACAACAACATGTCTGCATATCAGAACCAGCTTGAGGGCCACCAGTTTTCAACCCCTGGTCTAGAATCGAATCGTTTCTACCTTATTTGCCCCCACAAGTGGCACTTGATATATAAATGACTCTGAAGCCTCCAAAAGAAATGCCCTGAGCCATGCAAATACAACACTGTCTGTCCTTATACAGGACCATTCATTCTAAGGATATTTGCAAGAAACTCATCTGGCCATACTGGGAATGAAATAAGGAAATACGAGATTGCGCGTGGTCTGATGTGCATATGCAAGATGGGGTGGGGTGGGGGCCTGGAGGAATGGAGCGGGGTGATGCTGCCTCTAACTTGGGATTCTTAGATCTGGTGGGGCTGGGTGAGATTCTTGTCCCTGCGGACAAGGTCTAAAAAAGACAGGAAGCCTCTTCAAGTAGGAAGCAGGGAGCGCCTCGAGAGAGGACTCTTGGTTTCACTGGCAGGGAGGCAAGCTCCTCTTCTGCCCAGCTCTGGGGGGACCCAGGCAACAGGAAAACAAGGCTAATGCACAGTGCTTCTGACCTAAAGCTTTGCTGTCCATCTGAGCTGGACATCCTGCTAGCCCCATCCACTTGCCAGCTAGACTACTCACTTAGCTCTGAGCCTCAGTTTCCCACTCTGTACAAGGGGGATAACAGTCACACCTACTCAAAAGGTCATTGCGAGGAGGCTGAACAGTCTCAGCAGTTGAGATCCTAAGTGCAAAACCCTTTGCACAATGCCTGGCATGAAAGATGCAGTGATGTCCGCTGGTTTTATTAGGTTTGGCTTGGCCCTGTCACTGCAAATGAGTCGGTCTCTGGGATCCCAGGGGGTAAGAAAATCTCACAATCCTCAAGATGTTAAGAACGTGGTCTAATCTTTGAGAGCGGACATAAGATGTCAGATGCTCACAACAGTAACAGGCTGGCATCTACTGAGTGCTATTTGGTGCCAGAATATGAGCTGAACTTTTTTTTTTTTTTTTTTTTTTTTTGAGACAGAGTCTTTCTCTACACCCAGGCTGGAGTACAGTGGTGGGATCTCAGTTCACTGCAACATCTGTCTCACAGGTTCAAGCTATTCTCCTGCCTCAGCCTCCCGAGTAGCTGGGACTGCAGGCGTGCACCACCATGCCCGGCTAATTTTTGTACTTTCAGTAGAGACGGGGTTTTGCCATGTTGGCCAGGCTGGCCTCAAACTCCTGACCTCAAGTGATCTGCCAAAAGTGCTGGGATTACAGGCATGAGCCACCGCGCCTGGCCTGTTTTTTTCGTTTTTTGTTTTTTATTTATTTTTTTTTTTTTGAGACAGGGTCTCACTCTGTCACCCAGGCTGGAGTGCAGAGGCATGATCATAGCTCACTGTAACCTCAACCTCCTGGGCTCAGGTGATCCTCCTCCCTCAGCCTCCCAAGTAGCTAGGACCACAGGCATGCACCACCACACCCGGCTAATTTTTGTATTTTTTGTAGAGATGGAGTTTCGCCATGTTGCCCAGGCTGGTCCCAAACTCCTGTGCTCAAGCGATCCATCTGCTTTGGCCTCCCAAAGTGCTGGGATCACAGGCATGAGCCACTGCGCCCAGCTGAGTTGAACATTTTATAAAAATCATCTCATTCTATGATGTCGGCTATTTAAGAAGAGATGACAATCATTATGCACATTTCACAGATGGTAATATTAATGCTCTAAGAAAGCATCGTTCGATATGGCAGCCACGGGCCCCATTAATTAATGTTAAACACAATTTAAAATCTCAATCACATGTCCTAACCACAAGTGGCTACCACAGCCGGCAGCACAGATAGAAAATATTTCCATCGTAGCAGAAAGTTCCACTGGACAGCGCTGGACTAAGAAGTGAAGTGATTTGGCCAAGGTGACTCTGTGAATATGTGGCAGAGCTGGAGGGTTCTAACTGACTCTGGAAGCACACTCTCAATGACCCCATTCAGACAGCATCAGCGATCCTGAATGTTTTCGTCCAGCACATATTTATTGAGAGCCTGCTATGTGCCAGGGACTGTGCTGGGCACAGCCAGAAACCTGCAGCTCAAGAGCAACACAGGGGGTAGCTGCTGGCCAGTAAGGGGCAGGGGACACAGGGGCCCCCCAGGTCACCTCCAGGACCTCCTTGCGCACATCGACGATTCGGAACCAGTGCCGTAGCTGGGGGAAGCCGTCCAGCTCCGCGTTGCGCTCCTGCAAGGCTACCTTCTTTTTGCAGGACAGCTGCCGGCTGAAGTACTTCACCAGCTTGCTCTGTGGAGACACAGACGAGGACAGAGGACACATCTCAGAGGCAGTGACACAAGGAAGAGAGGCGAGAACCCCCTACGAACCCCCACCCTAAACCCAGCCAACTCTATTTTAAAGACTGGTTCCGCTACAGTGAGATCCAGTTTGGCACCCATCTTTCCACCTCGTTGGTGAAGATGGTCAAACAGGCGGCTCTAGCATCTTGCTTGGGGTTGGGGGAGGCGGCGCACATTAGTACCAGTTCAGTGGAGGGCCTTTTGATCTCACAATTGCACACATCTTTTTCTGTTTTTGTTTTCTTTTGTTTTGACATGGAGTTTTGCTCTTTCACCCAGGCTGGAGTGCAATGGCGTGATCTCTGCTCAGTGCAACCTCCACCTCCCAAGTTCAAGCAATTCTCCGGCCTCAGCCTCCCAAGTATCTGGGATTACAGGCGCGCGCCACCATGCCTGGCTAATTTTTGTATTTTTAGCAGAGATGGGGTTTTACCACGTTGGCCAGGCTGGTCTCAAACCCGTGACCCCATGTGATCCACCCGCCTCGGCCTCCCAAAGTGCTGAGATTACAGGCGTGAGCCACTGCGCCCGGCCTGCACACATGCTTTGATCCAACAATTCCATTTGCAGGAACTCCTCCAACAGACACCCATCCTGTGCAGAAGGACTGTACAAGAGGCTACTTCCCTACAGTTCTGTTTGCAATAGCAAAGGACTGCAAACATTCTGAGAGTCCATCAGTAGGAGACTCGTTACATAAAGGATGCTACAGCCAACAAAGAAACTTATGCAGCTCTAAAATCAAATCACGAAGCAGGCTCTGTACTGCCAGAGAGCAGTCTCCAGGGTACACTGATAAATAAAAATAAATACTCTCCCATTCATAAGGAAAATGTTTCCCTGTGTATATCTTTGTAAATACAGAAACTCTGTCCACAAGGACTCCCAATTCGCTTTTTTTTTTTTTTTTTTTTTTTTTTTTGAGATGGAGTCTCACTCTGTCGCCCAGGCTGGAGTGCAGTGGCGTGATCTCGGCTCACTGCAAGCTCCGCCTCCCGGGTTCACGCCATTCTCCTGCCTCAGCCTCCCGAGTAGCTGGGACTACAGGCGCCCGCCACCACACCCGGCTAATTTTTTGTATTTTTAGTAGAGACGGGGTTTCACCATGTTAGCCAGGATGGTCTCGATCTCCTGACCTGGGGATCTGCCCGCCTCGGCCTCCCAAAGTGCTGGGATTACAGGCATGAGCCACCGCGCCCAGCCGAGGACTCCCAATTCTTTAGGGGAGGGAAGAGGAAGGGTGGGGAAAAAGGGTGGGGGAAACATTTTATTTAAACTCTTTTGTGCTGTTTGAACTGTAAGTCCTACAAAAGCATCCCAAAATTAACTCTTTTAAAATGAGATAGACCTGAACCCAGGCCTCTG
Organism: Homo sapiens; assembly: GCF_000001405.40. Taxonomy (NCBI): domain Eukaryota; kingdom Metazoa; phylum Chordata; class Mammalia; order Primates; family Hominidae; genus Homo; species Homo sapiens. Next base: position 117,861,850 of record NC_000012.12, read on the forward strand.
GAGGGATCCCATAACATGAGAAAAGAAAGTTTTTTATTGCTGAGTTTGTAAAATCTCACAACATTAACCAAAGAAAGGCAATACCTGTGTGTCTGAGCAGAGAAAACAATTTGGAAGAATAAACTCCAGGCTTCTAACTTGGGTCAAGTATTTCTTTATATACATTTTTTTGTATGCATTCAGTAGTTACCTGAGATATAATATATTATCATCTTTTTTTTTTTTTTTAAGAGACAAGGCCTTGTTCCGTTGCCCAGGCTGGAGTGCAGTGGTGCAATCATAGCTCACTGCAGCCTTGAACTCCCTGGCTCAAGAGAGCCTCCTGCCTCAGCCACCAAAGTAGCTAGGACTACAGGTGAGTGCCACCAAACCTGGCCTATATTATCATCTTTTTAATTTAAAATGTATTTAATAAAGATAATTAAATAAAACAAAATTAGAATTAGGTATGGAGGTGTCTGTGGCATTTTAAAACACAGTCAACCAACATTTATCAAGAACAAAGTCTGAATTCTAGGATCAAAAAATTCGGAGGGCCAGGTGCCGTGGCTCACACCTGTAACCCCAGCACTCTGGGTGGCCAAGGCGGGAGGACTGCTTGAGCCCAGGAGTTTGAGACCAGCCTGGGCTATATGGTGAAACCCTGTCTCTACAAAAATAAAATAAAATAAAATAAAAATCCTCACTCAGGAGGCTGAGGTGGGAGGATCACCTGAGCCCAGGAGGTGGAGGCTGCAGTGAGCCATGATCATACCACTGCACTCAATGCTAACTGACAGAGTGAGACCATCACTCAAAACAAAACAAAACAAAACTTGGAGCCTGGGATGGTTGTCATGGGCTTCTGTTGCTTTTGCTATCTGGTCTCCATTCCCCCCCTTTTTTTTTTTTTTTTTTTGAGACGGAGTCTCGCTCTGTCGCCCAGGCTGGAGTACAGTGGCGCGATCTCGGCTCACTGCAAGTTCCGCCTCCTGGGTTCCCTCCATTCTCCTGCCTCACCCTCCCGAGTAGCTGGCACTACAGGCACCTGCCACCACGCCTGGCTAATTTTCTGCATTTTTAGTAGAGATGGGGTTTCACCGTGTTAGCCAGGATGGTCTCGATCTCCTGATCTCGTGATCCACCTGCCTCAGCCTCCCAAAGTGCTGGGATTACAGGCGTGAGCCACCGCACCCGGCCTTCCATTCCCCCTTTTACCGAAAAGAACATGTCAACTTTCTTTCAAGGAACCTCCCTTCTTTGGCCCACAGTCCATCCGGCTGATGTGAGGCTGTTCCCATTGTATCACCCCATCACAGCTGCAGGATGCGCATGTGACCCAGGCCCCACCAAACAGCTGTACTTGGGTCAAGGGCAATCATGGATCCAACTGGGCCACTGAGACCCCACCAGGACCTCTTCCAAGCACTCAAGACATAGCCATAGCACACCCTAAAGAGCTGCCAGGTGGTGTCATGGAAGACAAGAGCTGCCTGGACCATCGTCCCTGCTGCCATCTGGAAGCCTCCTGACACTGAAGCCCATTTAGAAGACAGCAGAGCCAAGAGATGGAGTCACATTCCCAGCCACACCCATCATCTGAGCCCCAGCAGTGAGCGGAGAAACCAGATCTCCCTGGACTCTGCAGTGATGTGTGCTAATAAATTCTCTTCTTTTGCTTAAGCTGCAGTGAGCTGGATTTCTGTTGCTAAAGCCTCCTGACTCATAGGGAAATTAAAGAACATCGAATCCACCTCCTTGAGGGAGTCTTGGCATCCCTGGTATACTGGTTTCCTGTGGCTGCTGTCATGAATAACCACATACTAAGTGGCTAAAAACAACACAAACATACTGATCTCGCAGTTCTGGAGATCAAAAGTCCCAAATCAGTCTCACGGGGCTAAAGTCAAGATGTCAACAGGGCTGGTTCCTTCCAGAGGCTCCAGGCAAGAATCAGTTTCCTTCCCTTTTCGGTGATCAGAGGCCGCCCGCATCCCTTGGCTTCTGGCCCCTTCCCCACATCACTCCACTTCCTCTATCACCACATCTCCTGCTACTGCCCCTTACCCTCCTACTTCCCTCTTATACAGACCCTTGCAATGATCTGGGGCCCACCCAGACAACCCAGGGCAATCTCCCCATTTCAAGATCCTTATCTTACATCTGCAAAGTCCTTTTTCCCATGTATGGTCACACAATCACAACTTCTGGGGATTAGGAGGTAGAAATGATTGGGGGACTGTTATTTAGCCCACCACACCTGTGCACTTACCCGGGCAAGTGGTTCAACTCTACCTGGAGGAGAGGGGAGGGGCTGAGGAAAGGCAGCCCCAGCAGAGGTCAGGGCCCCATGAGACAACCATCCAAGAAGAGCATCCAGAAATAGCAATGGCCCAATGAAGTGGGGAGATTAGGTAAATACAGAAAACTGAGCAAATAAACAAATCTACTGAGCATTATTTTTCTTCCTGTCTGAGAAGAATGACACGGATGTGGGATAGGAAAAGCTAGACTAAATCCTGTGGTATTGGTTTGGGAAGAGTTACCCCATACATATAGATATAAAAATAAATGTTGATGTAAATGTGTGTATATGTATACATACATGCATTGCGCACACACACATATATATATAGCCTAGATTATCCACTGAAGGGACTGAGATTTACTCCAAAACGTGAGTTCTGGGCTACATTAGTTTACTAGGACTGCTGTAACAAAGTACCACAAGTTGGATGATTCGAACAGCAAACATTTCCAGTCTCACCATTCTGGACGCTAGAAGTTTGAAATCAAGGTGTCGGTGAGGCCATGCTCCCCCTGAAGGCACTGCGGAAGGCCCTGCTACAGGCCCCTCTCCTCACTTCTGAGAATCCCGTGGCTTGTGGCAGCCAAACTTCAATCTTCACATAGCATTCTCCCTGTATGTGTGACTGTGTCCAAATTTTCCCTTTTTACAAGGACATCAGCCATATTGGACTAGTATGAACTCATCTAAACTAATTACATCTGCAACAACCCTATTTCCAGATAAGGTCATATTCTGAGACATTGAGGATTAGGATTTCAACATTTGAATCTTGAGGGATCACAACTGGAACCAGAACATGGACGTTTGAAAGACACCAAAAGCAAGAATGAAGCCCTGACCACCCCCGTCTGACCATCTGTCTGCAAAGACACTGCATTCATCCTAGATAAGGGACCTGGGTGACAGAACGAGACTCCATCTCAAAAAATAATAAAAATAATTAATTAATTTAAAAAATAAAATAAAAAACTAATCAGGTTTAAATTACTAAACATTCTTTAAAAGCCAAATATATCATTTATCTAGTTTGTTTAAAGTACAGGTTACAGTTATACTGCAAGATAATGTACTTTTAATCGGATAGAAAACTGTGTCTTCCTAATTTGTAATTTAAGTTCTGATTTTGAAATTAGTAGGGTTTAACTTAATCCATCCTATTTATAGAAATTACATGAAAGATATACAAACTTACATCATTGGCAATATCTGCAAATCGGGCTTTTTACCAAGTGGTTTTCCTCAGCCTTTTCTTCTGAATAAATGACGTTTTACTGTTCATTATTCTATATCTATGTATGCCTATGTTGTATTTCAAACATTGCAAAAGAAATAAGGATCTGGTCCCTTTAAAAAATAATAATAAATGACCATGCTTTATCAACTTCTTTTCTTTTCTTTTCTGAGACAGGGTCTCACCATGTTACCCAGGCTGGTCTTGAACTCCTGGGCTCAACTAATCCATTCACTTCAGCCTCCCAAGGTGCTGGAACTACAGGTGTGAGCCACCATGCCCAGCCTCAATTTCTTAAACAAAAGAGGTAATATCAACTTGGAAGCCAGTGACGTCATGCCTCGTGCCTTTAAAAAAGTCACAGAAAATTGAAAAACTAGGCTAAGACCAGAAGTTAAATGGCAGGACCAGTGGAACCATGGTACTACCTTATGCAAACATCTGCTGGAGAATAGTAGTGTTTCCCAACTGTAGGTATCACTGATAACTTGAGAGGTGGTACCCAGGCATAGTGTTAAATAACATCGTATCATATAGCATAGCGAGCACTTTCTTCTCTGTCCAAATTTTTCTCCAGCCATCTGACTATATCAAGGAGATAGTCTCTGTTGAATGATACTATGTCTTTAACAACTCTCTAACCTCTGTAACACTTGCTAATCTCTCTCTTTTTTTTTTTTTTTTGAAACAAATTCTCACTCTGTCGCCCAGGATGGAGTACAGTGGCATGATCATGGCTCACTGCAGTCTTGACCTCCTGGGCTCAAGCCATCCTCCCACCTCAGCTTCTCATGTAGCTGGGACAACAGGTATGTGCCACCATGCCTGGCATGGGCCACCACACCACGCCTTTTTTAATTTTTTGTAGAGACGGGCTTTACTTGGTTGCCCAGGCTGGTCTCTAACTCCTGGACTCAAGCACTCCTCCTGCCTCAGCCTCCCCAAGTGCTGGGATTATAGGCATGGGCCACTGCTCTCTTTATAACGGAGCACAGGACACAGTCTCAGAGCCTTGGGCAGATAACAATATGCAACACAATTTCATGACACTTGTGTTACATTGCATTTATTTTCTTCATTGCCTTCCATTTATGCCAAGTGATACTAGTTTTCCATTACAATAGTTACACATGGCTTAATTTTTAAATACATGTATGTTAAAAAATTGAGTTGATTCGGCCGGACACAGTGGCTCACGCCTATAATCCCAGCACGCTGGGAGGCCGAGGCTGGTGGACCACCTGAGGTCGGGAGTTTGAGACCAGCCTGACCAACATAGAGAAACCCCATCTCTACTAAAAATACAAAACTAGCCGGGCATGGTGGCGCATGCCTGTAATCTCAGCTACTCGGGAGGCTGAGGCACGAGAATCGCTTGAACCCGGGAGGCGGAGGTTGCAGTGACCCAAGATCATGCCATTGCAGTCCAGCCTGGGCAACAAGAGCAATACTCAGTCTCAAAAAAAATTAAAAAAAAAATGAGTCGATTTAAAGAAAATACACAGATATGGCAAAAAGTATGATGGTGGTATCAAACTGATGCATTTGGAGAAACACTGTCCTACAAAAGAAAGTTCTGACTCCTTAAACTATTACTTGGGGCTTAACCCTACTCCATTTCTCCTTCCTTGCCTCATTCATTTCCATGTAATTCCCTAAACAGGGCCAGGCACAGTGGCTCAAACCTGCAATCCCAGCACCTTAGGAGGCCAAGGTGGGAGGATCGCTTGAGCTCATGAGTTCGAGACCAGCCTGGCCAACATGGTAAGACCCTGTCTCTACTAAAAATACAAAAATGATCCAGGCATGGTGTTGTGTGCCTGTGGTCCCAGATACTCAGGAGGCTGAGGTGGGAGGATGGCTTGAGCCTGGGAGGTCGAAGCTGCAGTGAGCTGTGTTCATGCCACTGCACTACAGCCTGGGCAACAAAGCGAGACCTTGTATTTAAAAAAAAAAAGGGAAAATTCCCTAAACACATGCAGGACCCCAAATGTCACCTCTCTGATTCCTCCTGTCTGGAAGTCCTTTCCACACCCACCTGAGGAAGGCTATAAAAATGACCTGAATCCTTTACACCCCTCCTGTGTCCATACCCTTTGCAATGTCACTTTGCAGTTAATTCACCAAAGAGGTGCAGTCTGTGTCCACGCCTTTTCAATGACGCTGGCCATGTGACTTGCCTCGGCCAATAGGAGGCCTGTGTGCTTCTACCTGCTGGCTTGGACCCCTGTCATCTTCATAAGAATGTGCCCAGGCTAGTCAGCTGAAGGATAAGAGACTACATGGTGCAGAGTCAGGTTTTCCCAGACGTCCCAGCCAAAACCATCCTAGCGCAGTTGACAGCCAACTCTTGCCTGGCTATTGGCTATAAGTGAGGCCATCTCAGATCAGATGAGCCACCAATCTACTGCTGATCCCAGAGGCATGGCCAATAAATGCTTATGTTATGTGCCACTGGGGTTTTGTGTTTGTTACACAGCATTATGGGGACCCGTAGCTAACTGATACACCACCACATCAACGCATGAAAATCTGAATTTTTCTCCAAAGCCCACCTCAAATGCCACCTGCTCCAGCAGGACCTTATAAATTCTTTCTTGGGACTTTATAAATTCTTTCTTGGGACTTTATTTATACACACTGTGTTATAGAATTATTCACAATTTTTCTTGCATTATAACTGACTGACAAAGAAGACACTAGATCCCTTAAAGGGTTAAGGTGTCCTTGCTAGATTTGGAAGAGTAAATGAAATAAATATAACAATAAAAATACGGCCGGGCACAGTGGCTCATGCCTGTAATCCCAGCACTTTGGGAGGCCAAGGTGGGTGGATCACCTGAGGTCAGGAGTTCGAGACTATTCTGGTCAACATAGTGAAACCCTGTCTCTACTAAATACAAAATTAGTCAGGCATGGTGGTGCACATCTGTAGTCCCAGCTACTCAGGAGGCTGAGGTAGGAATCTTTTGAACCCAGGAGGTGGAGGTTGCAGTGAGCCGAGATCACGCCACTGCACTCCAGCCAGGGCAACACAGCAAGACTCTGTCTCAAAAAAAAAAAAAATTAAAAAGAAAAAACAATAAAAATAAAAGTACCGTTACTGAGCACTTCCCCCATGTGCCAGGCCCATGCTGAAGGTCACACATGCATTATTTCAATATATCCTTACATTCCCAGGAACTAGGTCCTATTAACATCTACATTGTACCAAAGAAGAAACTAGGCACAGAGAAGTTAAGTCATTTGCTCACAATCACACAGCTAGTAAGTGCAGAGCCGAGATTCAAACCCAGTCTAATTCAAACACTCCAAAGTTACAGAAAGGATAACCTCATTTTAATTTATTTTAATTATTTAATAAATGCATGCATATATTTTCTTTTCTTTTTTTTTTTGAGACAGAGTCTTACTCTGTCACCCAGGCTGGACTGCAGTAGCGTGATCTCAGCTCACTGCAATCTCTGCCTCCAAGGTTCAAGCGAGTCTCCTGCCTCAGCCTCCCGAGTAGGTGGGACCACAGGTGCGTGCCACCACACTCAACTAATTTTTGTATTTTCAGTAGAGATGAGGTTTTGTGCCACGTTGACCAGGTTGGTCTCGAACTCCCGACCTCAGGTGGTCCTCCCACCTCGGCCTCCCAAAGTGCTGGCATTATAAGAGTGGGCCACCATGCCTGGCCGCATATATTTTCCTTGTAAGAAAGTTAGAACATTTCAGGCCAGGCGCGGTGGCTCACGCCTGTAATCCCAGCACTTTGGGAGGCCGAGGTGGGTGGATCACCTGAGGTCAGGAGTTTGAGACCAGCCTGACCAACATGGTGAAATCCCAACTCTACTAAAAGTGCAAAAATTAGATGGGTGTGGTGGCGGGCGCCTATAATCCCAGCTACTCAGGAGCCTGAGGTGGGACAATTGCTTGAACCCAGGAGACGGAGGTTGCAGTGAACAGAGATCACGCCACTGCACTCCAGCCTGGGCGACACAGCAAGACTCCATCTCAAAAAAAAGAAAGAAACAAAGTTTGAGCATTTCAGATAAGGCCAGAGCTCCCTTTGACCGCTCCCACGAATGCAGATCCCCATCCCTGGAGGTAGAGCGGGTAATCACTGAGACTAGTTAGGTGCCCATCTTTCCAGATGTTGATCTGTGAATTTTCACAAATACATACAGATCTATTGAAACTCTGCAATGTGGCTTTCTGTGGACGATTTCTTTTTTCCTCTCACATAAATGATATCATACAGCATGCACTTTTGTGCACTTGCTTTTTTCACTTAGTAGTAAGCCCTGAGGGTCTTTCCCCGTTAGTTCGTACAGATCTGCCTCGTTCTTTTTAATCTTCTGCATGAAGGATTCCTTTGATACCTGGGTGAAAAGCCCATGATGTGAGCAGTTCTGTGATGTCTGCTGGGACGCCTTTGTCAACGACAATAAAGCATTTTCAGGAATAACAGCCACCATCACAGCTGCCATGTACTAAACATTTACAGTATGCCTGGCATCGCAAGCCAAGTGCCGTGAATGTGTTTGTTCCTTTTAATCCATGTGACAATGCTAGCTGTGAGGCTGGTACTTTCAGCCCATTCTACAAACAGGAAGACTGAAACTTCAACAGGCTAAATCATTTGCTGAGATCCACAGAGCTATTGAAATGGGAGCACCAGGGTGTGATCCCAAAGCTCTGTCTCTTTACCAGGACACTATGCTAGGAGCTGTTCACGGCTCCTTCCCACTGACCTGGAAGTGCAAAAGTTGGGCATCGACCCCTCAGGGGCAGAGAGAGGGCCTTATTCATCTTAGGAAGCCTTCTAAGTGAATTCCCGAATTCTAGCTCTGAGGTTTGGGCAAGTCACTTCAGCTCTCTGAGCCTCCACTTTCTCATCTGTAAAACAGGTGTATTCCACCTTTCCTCGCAGGCCTGCTGAGGCATTACATAAGATATTCTCAGCCAGACGTGGTGGCTCACACCTTTAATCTCAACACTTTAGGAGACAGAGGCGGGTGGATCACCTGAGGTCAGGAGTTCAAGACCAGCCTGGCCAACATAGTGAAACCCCATCTCTATTAAAAATACAAAATTAACCGGGTGTGGTGGAACATGCCTGTAGTCCCAGCTACTCGGGAGGCTGAGACAGGAGAATCGCTTGGATTTGGAGGCAGAGGCTGCAGTAAGCCGAGATCGCACCACTGTACTCCAGCCTGGGCAAGACGGAGCGAGACACTGTCTCAAAAAGAAAAGAAAAGAAAAAAAAATTATCTGTGCAGTAGATACCCCATACACTCATGTCCTACTTGTTGAAGGGGGATGTGGATTCTGGGGAGGTGTTTCCCAGGTCACCAAGAGACTGAGATCCTGCGCTTGCCAAGGAGCTAGAACCAAGGGGTACTCCAATTATGATACATTAGAAATGGGAGGAGTGAGTTTAGGAAGCAGATGGAGTAAAGGAGACAAGTGGGGACAGTGGCCTTGAGTTCTGGCCTTGCCCTTGAGGCAAAAGGGAATGAGAATCATCTTGGGGAACAAGAGTGTACTCAGCCGAGCAGGGAAAAACCCAGAAAACTGCACAGAGTGTGAAGCTGTGTTGGGCAGAGATCGAGCAGTGCTTCCCAAACAGGGATCCTGGGAAAGAGCAGCTCTTTCTCCTAGTTTTCCAGGATTAATGTTGCAGAAAAACTGTAGCTGTCAGTTAACAGGGATATGCTTCGAGCCAAATGCTGTAATGAGCACGTTTTATGAATTATCTTCTTTAATTTTCCACAACGCTGGAGGAATGTGATATGGGTCCAATCACTGTCCCCATTGTACAAAGGAAGAAATTGAGACCTAGAAGTGTCAAATAACTTGCCCAAGGTCATCAAGCTACTAAGCGGATAAACTGGGATTTGAACCCAAGTCTAACAAACTCTTATTAACACACAAGGAATGTCACGCCAGGCCAAGCGCGGTGGCTCACACCTGTAGTCTCAGCACTTTGGGAGACCGAGGCAGGAGGATCACTTGAGGTCAGGAGTTCAAGAGCAGCCTGGACAACATGGTGAAACCCCGTCACTACTAAAACTACAAAAAATGGCCGGGTGTGGTGGCGTACACCTGTAATCCCATTTATCAGGAGGCTGAGGCACGAGAATTGTTTGAACTCAGGAGGCGGAGGTTGCAGTAAACCAGGAAACCGAGATCGTGCCACTGCACTCCAGCCTGGGCAACAGAATGAGACCCTGTCTCAAAAAAAAAAAAAATGTCAGATGAAACCACACAGCAGCCAAAACAAAAGGTATAGTATAACCCTAGTTTCTGAATGCAAAATGCATTTATACAGATAGATAGATATATATATTTGCACACAGAGAGAGAGAAAAGAGAAAAAAGGCTGGCAACTGCATCTCTGGGTTATGATAGGTGAAATTTATTTTCTTATTTCTGTCCTTCTATATCTTATAATTTTTCAATAAGATATGGATTTTTTTTAAGAGAGGGGGTCTTGGTATGTTGCCCAGGCTGGTCTCAAACTCCTGGCTTCAAGCAATCCTTTCACCTCAGCCTTCTGAATAGCTGCAATTACAGGCACAAGCCACTATTCCCCATTTATTTTTCTATAAGCCTGAATTACCTATATGATAGTAAGTTACAAATCACTTGAAAATCAGACATTTGCCAATCATAAAGACACACAGGCCATCCTTAATGTCAGCCATCTCATTAAATAAGTATGACAGGCATTAAATAAATATGCCAGGCATTCTGCTACGTACTTGATACATTATTTCACTGAACCATCACAGTAGCCTCAATAATAACCCCATCTTATTTACAAATGTGAAAACAGAGAACCACAGGGTTTAGGCAGCTCACCCAAGGTACTAGATAATTTCACATTATTTCCCTCTTTCCTCAGTTTCCAATCATAAGCTTCAACTGAAGATGTCTGTTAAAAATCAAACATTGCTACTCGTGAGGCTGAGGCTGGAGGATCGCTTAAGGCCAGGAGTTCAAGACCAGCCTGGGCAACATAGCAAGACCCCCATCTCCACCAAAAATTAAAAATTAGTAAGGCATGGTGCTGTGCACCTGTAGTCCCAGCTACTGGGGAGGTTGAGGCAAGAGGATCCCTTGAGCCCAGGAGTTCCAGGCTGCAGTGAGCCATGAATCACACCACTGCAGTCCCACAGGGACAGCAGAGCAAGACGCTGTCTCCAAAAAAAAAAAAAAATCAAATTTCTAGGCCCATCTCTTAGAAATTCTGATTCAGTGAATCTGGAGACAGCCCAGGAATCTGTGAAAACACTGAGGACTCTAATGGTTCCAAGAATCAGGCAAGCATGAGAAACATCCCTCTACTGTCTGAACAATTACATAATGAAAGTAGTTTCTCAGTCAAGCCGAAGGATCTGGGTCCTTGGACAATAAACACAGGGCAGAAACCCCATTCTAGAAGCCAGGGTTCAGCACCCTCAACAATCAGTCCCCTCTCCAAGGGCTGTGGGCTCATTTGTACAATAGGCTCATTTTCCAAGCAGCTTCCAAAGCAGTCAGCACCTGTCCAGGCCTGAAGGGGCTCCCAGTGGGCAGGGAAGACAGATGTGCAAATGCAAATCACAAGGCCACGTGGCAGGAACCAGAACAGAAGGGCAGCCAGGGTTCAGTGCGGGCATCAAGGATGCCAAGTCAAGAGAGACGCCTTTTAAAAAGCCATGTGCCCGCCAGGTACAGTGGCCTGTAATCCCATCAGTTTGGGAGGCCGAGGCAAGCAGATCACCTGAGGTCAGGAGTTTGAGACCAGCCTGGCTCACATGGTGAAACCCCATCTCTACTAAAAATACAAAAATTAACAGGGCATGGTGGCGCATGCCTGTAATCCCAGCTACTCCAGAGGCTAAGACAGGAGAATTGCTTGAACCCGGGAGGCGGAGGTTGCAGTGAGCCGATATGCACCACTACACTCCAGCTTGGGCACCAGAGCGAGATTCTGTCTCAAAAGAAAAAAAAAAAAAAAGGCCATGTTCCATATCATAAGATAATAATAATGGGAGCTCCACGTTTATTCTAAGAGAAGCAAGGCCTCATTCGTTCATTTAAAGATGTTCATGGTGCTTTTTTTTTTTTTTTTTGAGATGGAGTCTCACTCTGTTGCCCAGGATGGAGTACAATGGCATGACCTCGGCTCACTGCAACCTCCACCTCCCGGGTCCAAGCGATTCTCGTGCCTCAGCCTCCCCGGTAGCTAGGATTACAGGTGCGTGCCACCACACCCGGCTAATTTTTGTGTTTTTAGTAGAGATGGGGTTTCACCATGTTGGCCAGACTGGTCTCGAACTCCTGACCTCAAGTGATCCGCCTGCCTTGGCCTCCCAAGGTGCTGGGATTACAGGCATGAACCACGGCGCCTGGCTGAGGTGCTTTCAAAATACAGACAACAAGGGATACAAAAATCAACTACACACCACCCCTGCCTTTAAGGTGGGCTATTTCAGGTGGCACCTGAAGACAGGTGCCTTATCTGTACCTTTGGATAAGCACAGAAATCAAGAGAGAGCATTTAGATACTTTTATAGCTATTTGATGGAGTAGTCTTATGTCTATTCAATCTAATTTTTTCAAAGTGAGCACTGGATGTTGTTTGCGTTTTTTTGCATTTCATTTCCCTCGCAAATCATCTTTATTCTATTTCACAAAAGTATTGGCTGCAAAATGTCAGAAAAGATAAAGCTGATTCTTTCTTTACCGCAGAAGGCGGGAAAGGCACTGACCCTTCTACTCGGTGAATTTCAGGTATTCATCTTAATCTACCAACATCTCTAAATAAATTATTTTCCAGAATGGTTCCTTGAGTATCATGACAATGCTGAAGTGAGTGTTAGATTTTTTTTTTCAACTTGTTTTGAGACAGGGTCTTGCTCTGTTGTCCAGGCTGGAGTGCAGTGACACAATCATAGCTCACTGCAGCATCAACCTCCTGAACTCAAGCAATCCTCCCACCTCAGCTTCCCAAGTAGCTAGGACCACAAGCGTGTGTCACCACACCCAGCTAATTTTTTCATTTTTTGTAAAGGTAGAGTCTTGCTATGTTGCCCAGGCTGGCCTCAAACTCCTGACCTCAAGCAATCCTCCTGCCTTGGTCTCCTAAAGTGCTGGAATTACAGGCATGAGCCACAGTACCTGGCCCGATTGTAAATATCATTCTACAGATGGGGAAACCAGGCCTTGGAATTGCTGGAATTGTGCCCGTGATCACACAGATAAAGCAGCATCGGGATCGTGATTTGAACTCAGGACCTCTAGTTCCCAGTCCCGTGCTCTCTTCACGATTCTCTGCTGAAACAGACCATCAACGGTTGAGAAGCACAATTAGAAAAGGGCCTTTGTATGGCTTCACCCTGCCAGGCGGCCTAATTGATATTTAGGTCGACCTCAATTCAAGTCCATGCAGAGCCAAACTGAAGAAGAAGAAGAAAAAAAAAAACCCAAAGGTTCCATCTTCAAATAAAGAAACACAGGACTTTTGGAAATAGCACATCTAAGCCGAGCCCACCGTCTGACTCTGCACTGCCCAGGTGTAGAATGAGGTCCCCTGGGCCTGGGGTTAGAGGGATCACAGGTTGCGGAAATCCGACGGAGCTGGAGCCCGGAGGTGTAATTTTCCATCTCCACACCAGGGGGCAGCCTGGCACCTTCCACGACAGATGGAAAATTTTCCGGGCCTTGGCCCATCCGAGCATCCGCAGCGCCTTATTACTGTACTCTGTATTAGCATGGCGGTAAATTTAGCAGCATAAACAACAACAACAAAAAAAATCAAAAAGTCAAGACATGTGACAGAGCTAAAAATAATTGTGTCTGAAATCCCTAATGTGAAATGGGGAACTTTTCACTCCGAATCTAAACCCAAATCCAACCCAGAGACCTCCGGGAACGTCCTGGCCGTTGGGTTTGACAGAGCTCCAAATCCTCACCCCTTAGGTGCTATTTTTTTTTTTTTTTTTTAAGAACGAAAGCGGAGTCCGTGAAAGCTGGGAGGGAATGCAGGACACCATGGGGGCCTTCTAGGGACCAGGCCCTTGCAAGAACCATCCCTGGTGTAAACCTCGCAGCAGCGCCAAGGGAAGGGGCTTGGCTCTCAGCCCATTTTACACACGAGAAAACTGAGGCTCAGTAATGGAACAGGGCTGGCCTTATGGTCACACACATAAAGAGGCAGGCTCCAGAGCCCTCTGTGTCCCTCAGGACTGCCCGTCAGCACCCCATAATCGCTGCCTTCTCCCTAAAGGTACACATGAGCAGCAAAGAGCTCCAGCCTTTGAACTTGCTTGTCCCACCGGCGAGAGCTCTTCTGTCAGCTTTAGGCATAAACAGCCCTTTCCGTTCCTTCAGGTGTCACCTCTGCCCAAGCTCCTCTCAATGCCACCATCACGCCGCCCTGCTTTCTTTCCTTGGTGGCACTTTGCTATCTCACAAATCATCCTGTTTATTGGTTTCCATGGTTACGCCTCCCCCCCACCACCACCACACACCCATCATGTCAGCTCAAGAGAGCACGGGCTTTGCCTGTCATTTCCCCAGCGTTCAGATCCGTGCCTGGCATACAGTCGGTGCTCAATACATTTTTCTTGGTCTTTCAATAAACCAACATCCTTGGTGGTTAAACGCCAGGCCACTAAAAATAAATCCCAAGTCCTTTTCCAAGCGGGCACAGTGCACCTGCAGGACCGGGTCCCTGGTTGTGTTATTAAGGTTCTCGGGTGAGCAGACCCCGTGCGGGTAATGAAATCGCGGCAGCCACAGCCAGCAGCCCCGACGCCTTCCCGCCGTTGCCAGGGCGACCATTGTCATAACATCCCTGGCGCTTGGCGGCCCAGCTGACGGGGGAGAGAATTATTTGACTGGAGAACGTCTCAAGTAACCGGCCAATTTGCATCCACAAGAAAATCCCCTGCTGAGGGAGGGCTGGAGGCCTGGGAGAGGCGCCCTTCCTTCTCTCCCCAGCCCTGGATCCCAATGAGAACCGGATCCCTGAGGCCAGGCAGAGGGACCCAACAGTCTGGGGCAGTCCCGCCGAATGCTGGAACACAGGCAGCTGCCTCTGCAGGAAGGAAGAGCCCCCCTCTCCGCTGTCTCACTATTGCTGATGGTTTTTCCTTTTCTCTACGTTATTACTGCTGATGGATATTACAAACAATAGAAAAAAGGGTTTATATATTTAATGAGCACTTACTAGACAGCAGGTCCAGTAGTAATAACTTCCTTACACGATCCTTATAATTTTAACATTTACACAATAATACATTATGTCATATTTATACTATATATGTATACTGTATAATGTCATCATAGCAGTCATAGATCTCCCATATGTGATAATTCATATATAATACATAATATAATTTGAAATATATATATTTATATATATATAACAATATTTATATTATGCAACATACACAGGTTGAGTATCCCTTATCCGAAATACTTGGGATCAGACATGTTTCAGATTTCAGATTTTTTTCAGGTCTTGAAATCTTTGCATTATACATCATGAGCTATCTTGGGGATGGGACCCAAGTTTAAACACGAAATTCATTTATGTTTCATATACACCTTATACACATAACCTGGAGGTAATTTTGTACAGTATTTTTAGTGTGTTGCATTAAACAAAGTTTGTGTTAAGTTTTTATGTGTGGAATTTTCCACTTGTGATGTCATGCCAGTGCTCAAAAGTTTCCGATTATTGGGAGGCCAAGGCAGGTGGATCACTTGAGGTCAGGAGTTCAAGACCAGCCTGGCCAACATGGTGAAACCCTGTCTCTACTAAAAATACAAAAATTAGCTGGGCATGGTGGTGGGCGCCTGTAATCCCAGCTACTTGGGAGATTGAGGCAGGAGAATCGCTTGAGCTCGGGAAGTGGAGGTTGCAGTGAGCCAAGATCGCACCACTGCACTCCAGCCTGGGTGACAGAGTAAGACTCCATCTCAAAAAAAAACTTTCCGATTATGGGACATTTTACTTTTTAAATTTTGGATTAGGGATGCTCAACCTGTATTATATATTTATAATAATAAAACTCACATTTGTTGATAGTTTTTATATGCTAGCCCTGTGCCTACTGCTTTGTGTTAATAACGCTGTTACTGATAAATTATTATACAATATATTCATAATCACAATCATAGCTAAGTCTTATTGAGCACTTACTATGTGCTAAGTGCTTTATGAATATTATCTAATTGTCATATGCACTCTAAGGGCTAAGAACCATATTATTCCCATTTTGGAGATGAGAAAAAGAAGCACAGAGTAACAATGGAACTTGCCTAAGGTCACATGGATAAAACACAAGGAGGGAGGCTGCCCCCAAGCCTGTCCCCTTCCTTATTTTTCCATAGCACAGTTCAAAGTTGTCAAACTTTGTAGCAAGATCACCTGGGGAGCTTGTTAAAAATACACATGCCAAGCCCCAGCTTCAGCCCCAACCCAAGCCTACGGAATCAGGCACTCCTGGGGACAGGGGCTTCTCTTTTCTTGTCAACAAGGTCCCCAGATAGCTCAGACAGAGGCAGAGCTCAGAACCACTGCATGGGGCTTTGCCGCCCGGCCCTATGAGAGATGGGTTCTTTATTTGTTGTAAATATCACAGTTCCCATTGGGTGATCTGATTAAATGAATGAGTCTTGAGGGGCTGAGATGTGGAGAGGGCAGCTTTGAGTTGGGTATGCAAGACCAAGAATCCCAAAAAGAAGGAAGAGAAGCAAGGGGCAAAATAAGAATTCAGGCAAACTTAACTTGCACCACCGTGCAAGAATTCAGGCAAACTTAACCTGCACTAATCACTCCCGGCCTTTTTGGAACCAAAGAGCCCTTCATGAAAAGTAAATCAATAATAACACACGCTTTCATCCAGGGCTGGCTTTTGCAGGGCAAAGCCAATCCGCCTAAATTCCCTCCCACTGGTCACCACCCCACATAACACACACACTACCTGCCCCCTCTTAATCATTCACCGGGGGCCAAGCTGGACAGAGAAATATCAGCTTGCAGAGTGGGGACCCACCCTCAGCACCCACATTTTGAACAATGGGACCTCCTGCAAGTGGCAAAAAATAGATGATGTTGTTAAAAATAAAATAAAAATTGGTGGCAGGTGCTGTACTAGGGGAGGCAAGGCTAGGAGGAGGTAGGCAGAAGTTCTGAGACTTCCACGCCTGTGGCCCCTGCACTGCTGGGGGTACTGAGAGCAGGACGCCAAGTAGCAGCCAGAGAGACATGCTGCTGGGGCTACTGTAAGCAATGCGTTGCCTTATTAGCTATGGCTGAACTAAGAAGCAAGCAGAGTTAAGATCCCAGACTCGAGGTAAGAGCAGATGAATCTGGGATAAAACACACATGTCCTGAAAGCAGGTCTCACTGCAGCAATTGCTAAGCAGCTTCCCACTTTGGCCACAGAGGCTGTTCCATCTAGAGCTGCAGAGAGGAACTCCTCCCAACAGAGAGGCAACTTACCACATACAGCTATTTACGGTCACGCTGGAATTAACAAAAGTTACATAAACAATCAACATAGTGAACAAACAAAGGCCATAGACGCATAGTGAATCAACATGCATCCTATCGGGGTCGTGGATAAAAAATCCAGACAACACGCCCACCGAAATCACTGGTCATTATGCGACCTCAGGCAATCAGGGAATTCAACTCCCCTCCTACTGCCTGGAAAAAAAATTCGTTAGAATTTAACCCTAGAATTGTGTGACATAACCCAGTATTCTTAATGGGGTGCATCTTGAAGTTCTAGGAAGATCCAGAATGAATTATAGGTATATTTCAGATAAATAATCCCATGATATTAATATTTGAATTAAAGAGATCATACATTTTGGGAATTTTATTTTATGTTCTTTTAATGTTATATAATTTAGCCAGTTAGAGTAAGAGTTCACCTTTCTAAGTCTAATTTGAAATGTGTAACTGAATAACTAATTTAGACATGTATTTTAAATTGAAATTCTATTCAATTTATGTACAATATTATTAATAGAAAGCAACTTAAGGCTAGGCATATTTATAAGTTTAATTTTTCAGGCTTATGGGTTACATAAGTAGTTGAGAAGGCTTGTCTGTCAACAATTAAAGAGTAGTTTTTTAAAATCCTGTATATCTGCCTGGGCAACGTGGCAAAACCTACTCTCTACAAAAAATAAAAAATAATTAGCCAGGTGTGGTGGCACACACCTGTAGTCCCAGCTATTCAGGAGGCTGAGGTCAGAGGATTGCTTGAGCCCAGGAGGTGGAGGCTGCAGTGAGCCATGATTGTGCCACTGCACTCCAGCCTGGGCGCCAGAGCGAGACCTTGTCTCAAAAACAAAAAAGAAAAAAAACTGTATATCAAATTTATAAATGCAGTTTAAATTTTTTGAAGATGTTTAATTAACCAACGTTGCAATTGGGAGCACACATTATATAAAATCTCCTTATACCTGATTGCTGGATTTTGTTAGATTTATATGAATAGGTCTGGGCACAGTGCCTGTAATCCCAGCACTTTGGGAGGCCGAGGCAGGCAGATCACCTGAAGTCAGGAGTTCGAGACCAGCCTGACCAACATGGCAAAACCCTGTCTCTACTAAAAATACAAAATTAGCCAGGCATGGTGATATGTGCCTGTAATCCCAGCTACTTGGGAGGCTGAGGCAGGAGAATCGCTTGAACCTGGGAGGCGGAGGTTGCGGTGAGCTGAGATTGTGCCATTGCACTCCAGCCTGGGCAACAAGAGCGAAATTCCATCTCAAAAAACAAACAAACAAACAAAAAAGATTTATATGAATAGAACAATACTGTGTGAAAGCATAGGAATAAATAGAATGAATTTTTGCTTTAATAAATTAAATATTAATTTCTAAAACCAAAATATAATTACATGAAAGTAAAAATTCAGTTCCTTGATCACACCAACTATCTTTCAAATGCTCAATAGCTGCTTGTAGCCAGTGGCTCTTGTACTAGACGGTGCAGACACAGAATATAGCCATCGTCTCATGGGGAGTTTCTTCTAAATCTGCAGACAATTTTTTAGCAGATCTCCTGGGAAAAAGCACCCCAAGCCCCCCCACCAAAGAGAAAATTTAACTCTTTCTATTATATTCAGAATTGTCCTAATGGAAAATACAGGCTCCTGAAGAAAATGAGACAAGTTATGAGGCAGACCTGGGCTGGGAGGGATGGAAAACAAGGCAGAGAATGCTGGCCATGAAATTTACCCTAGGCCAAGGACGACCCAGAAAACCTGCCGGAGGAAGCCGTAAACATCCACTAACCCCTCCTCATATTATTTTATGACAGAATTTTGCCAGATTCTTTTTTTTTTTTTTTTTTTTTTCTGAGACGTGAAACCTCCGCCTCCCAGGTTCAAGCGATTCTCCCACCTCAGCCTCCCAAGTAGCTGGGATTACAGGTGCACACCACCACACCCAGCTAACTTTTTTGTATTTTTAGTAGAGACGGGGATTCACCATGTTGGCCAGGCTGGTCTCGAACTCCTGATCTCAGGTGATCTGCCTGCCTCGGCCTCCCAAAGTGCTGGGATTACAGGCGTGAGCCACCATGCCTGGTCTTTTTATTTTTTTTTTTATGGCAGAGTCTCACTCTATCACCCAGGGCAGATTTTGGAGCATTCTAATTAGGATACTCGACCTATACCAGATTTCAAGTATCTCAAGGGCCGGGGCCTTGTTTTTGTCATCTTTGCATCCTCCCAACAATGAACATGATGAGTTTCCCCGGAATAATTAAAACTATGGAATGGATTCATGAATCAATGAATGAATGAATGATGTGCAAGAATGAAGGCCTTTTCCGTAAGCAACAACCACAAATGCCTAATTGGTCCAGGGTTCAGATTCATGGTCTCAACTCTGGGTTACTTTTTGTTAGTGTTTGTTTTGGTTTGTTTGAGGGTACAGAGGGGGCTTGATGAGGAAGAGACAGAAACACTACAGACCGGCCACTCCAACCAGCTGCTCCTACCTAGAGATGAGGTGTTGTCAGCAGACAGAAGTGAAAAGCAATTCTTTCCAGAGAGAAAGATCCTTTTCACTATGTAACCCTTGTTAGTATGGTGACTGTCCCACCAAGTCTGTGCTATAAGCCCCGCTGTGTCATTTCTCCCAAGAATCTCAACAGCTAGAAAGTGACAACAACATTCCCCATTTTGCTCAGGCTCTTTCTGTATAATATCTTGAATTCTTCTTATGAAATTCTTATGAACCTATAACATTGGCCACATTATCCTCATTTTACAAATGAGGAAATGGAGGTCAGCTGACTTGCCTTGCACAATGCCAGCTGGACAACAGCAGAGCTGACCCCAGCCTGTCTGGCTCCAAAGCTGCTGTCTTTCCACAAGCCATGGTGACCATCTGAGTTGGGAAGAGACAGAGCCATAGGCCAAGGTTGAGAATTGAAGTCCAGCAGGGTCTGTTAGTGACTCAATGCATCTTTGCCCAATTAATATTAATATTTCTTGAGGTTGTGAGAAGAGAGAACAGAAGACTGAATGGTTTAGGGCCACACACCCAGTACCAAAGTCCTCCTATTCAGGGCTGCTCCAAAGAGATGCTGGAGTGTCCTGCGCATATTTACAAAAGGATATACATTTCCCTGAAATCTCAAAAGCAACTGTAAGTCTCAGGATGGAAATGCCATGGCAGTTAGAGAAGGACAGACCACTCTAAGAGGAAAGTACCTTGCACTTTCCAACAAGGCTCTCAAGGGGCTCAGAGTCCAGTGGAGCAGACAGGGACGTGCACAGCTCCCTCAGCACACTGCAGGGGGCAATAGGCACCATAGTAGCAGCACAGGCCAAGTGTTCAAAGGACAGGGAGATGGTTTCTGGGAAAGACAATCTGAGAAAGCTCTCTGGAGGAGGTGGCATATAAGCCAGGCCTTGACAAGCACTCATAACTTCCCATTTCCAAATTGCCGTTCAACTACCATCTACACACACAAACACACCCACACTGGCTTCCACCTGAGCAGAGATGAGTCACATTTGGATAGGAATGTTGAACTGCATGAACCTTGAGGTTCCTTTTAACCCTGGAATTTTATGGTTACAGGGATCTGAGAACTAACCATTCTTCCATCCATCCATCCATCCACTCATCCTTGCAACCATACACCCATACATCTAGCCATCTATCCATTCATCCATCCAACCACCCATCCAACCATCCATCCAACAATCCATCCATCCTTCCATCTATCCATCCATCCATCCATCCAACAATCCATCTATCCATTTATTCATCCAACCATCCAACAATCCATCCATCCAACCATCCATGCAAGCATCCATCCATCCATCCAACCACCCACCCAACCACCCATCCATCCATCCATCCAACAATCCATCCATCCATCTGTTCATTTATTCATCCATCCATCTATTCACTTATTCATCCATCCATCTATTCATTTATTCATCCATCCATCCAACAATCCATCCATCCAATCATCCATGCAGGCATCCATCCATCCACCCATCCATTCATCCATCCAACCATCCATCCATCCAATTATTCATGCAACCATCCATTCAATCCAACCATACATCCAAGCAACCATCCATTCAATCCAACCATACAGTCAACCATCCATCCATTCATCCAACCACTCATCCATCCATCTCTCCCTCCCTCCCTCCATTCATCTATCCATCCATTCATCCCTTCAACCATCCATCCATTCAGCTATCTATCCATCTGTCAAATAAAAGTATTTCACTCCTGGTACCCATCTAGCACCATATATTAAAAACATAAGGAAACTGGGATTGACTATCATCTTAAAAGCCAATTACATCACATCAGGCATATCAGGCCATGCAGAACTGTTACATCCAAGTGATACAAATTATAATTACTGTTATTAATAATAAAAAACAGTTTGCAACCAAACACATAGTAGAATCAGATAAGATAATGTTTCTAAAATGCCTCTCACAGTGCCTGGCACATAGTAGATGACGAAAAGTTGATTTCCTGTAAGTGTCAACCATTGGGCTAAATCCTGAGATAAAATTATGAACAAGATAGGCTTGGTCCCTGCCCCCATGGAACTTCTATTTGATAAGTGCTATGGTGGCAGCAAAGAGCTCAGAGCATATAACAGAGAAGGACAGTTGGTACTACCCGGACCAACCAAAGAAAGTCTCCCTACAGAGGGGATCAGGCAGCCAGGCACAGAAAGGTGTGCAAAGACCCTGAGGTGGGAAAGCACTTGGTATGTTTCGGGAATTCAGAGCTGGAATATTATGGGCAAAAGGGAGATAAAAAGGAGTAAAACTCTGTCTCTACTAAAAATACAAAAATTAGCTGGATGTGGTGGCAGGCATCTGTAATCCCAGCTACTTGGGAGGCTGAGGCAGGAGAATTGCTTAAACCTGTGAGGCGAAGGTGGCAGTGAGCCAAGATCGTACCACTGCACTCCAGCCTGGGCGACAGAGCAAGTCTCCATCTCAAAAAAAAAAAAAAAAAAAGGAAATGAGGTCAAAGAAGCAGAGACAGGGGCTGGGTCAAGTAGAACCTACTACAGTCACGGAAAGCAGGTGAATTTCATTCCTATGCCGTGGGGAGCTTCAGAAGTTTTTTAAACAGAGAGTGACATTATCTGATAAAACAGGAAAATAATGCCGTTTGTCCTGCAAAGCAACCTAGTGAGAAATGGGTCTGGCCAATGTCACTGTGCCCATCTTACAAATAGAAAAACAGAGGCTCCAGACAATGAAGGGCCTCCTCCATGTCGTCAGGACCTCAAACTCTGAACTCACCCAGGCTGAAGGTGTGCTCCCCGCTCCTGCCTCTAAATGATAGTGCCCCTCCTGCAGATTACATCTCGGCACAATTCCCAATCCCAGAGCAAAACAACACAGGCAAAAGGAAGAGAGAAAAAGGGACATGAGAATGAGAATGAGAATGAGACCTTGCCAGCTCTCAGCACAATGTTCTCTGTGACACATACTCAAGTTGGCATGAACCTTTTCAGCTCTGCATCAGAGAGGCAAAATCCTCCACCATGCCAGCTCTCGCTAGAACTGAACACAGTCTTCTGAAAGGGAAATTTCTAAAGTTCTCTTGCTTGTAGCAGCAAGGGGGAGAAGCATCTTGGAATCCTGATGACCAGCAAGCTCCACATATTAAGTTTCCACCAAAAGTTGATACTCAGAAGAGATGCCAAAAACACTGCCTTGAGACCAAAGAAACACACAATCTTCTAATTCTGGTGGATGTGCAAGTTGTTATACCTTTATGAAAAGCAATCTAGCAAGAGCATTACAAACTCAAGTTAGATGTCCTTTGACCTCTGTGGCTGTGGCATAGCGAGTGGAAAGAAGTGATGTAGAGTCTAAGTGCTGCACTGCCGAGACCTCTGTAAAACCCACTTTGGGGAAGGAGGCACTAGAATTCACCAGCCATCTCTGTTTCCTTCTTCTCTACCATCTGCTCCGTTCCTCTTTACTTTAAACCTCACCAGCAACAAATGGATTAGAAACAACCATAGCACCTGCCGTGTAGGAAAACTGCACAGAACTAACACCTTTCTGTCTTCCCCACCGACACGCAGCAGGTAACACCAGAGGATGCTCCTGCCCAGAGGAGGGAGCACAGATCAAGCCGAATATCCTTGGATATGTTACTTCACCCACCGGGGCCTCAGTTTCCACTGCCCGGGGGACACACAACAGCCCTGTTGCATGTGGATGATGAAGCTCTGAGAGGCTTCTGAGAGGCTCTGAGAGGCTAAGTGACCCCTCTAGGGTTCCACAGCTGAGAGTGACATGGCTGGACCTGGAATCCAGGTCTTTCCGATAGAGATCTTAGGGGTCACTACTGCCCCTATTTATTGAGTGCTTTCTACGTAGAAGGCATGACGCCAAGCACTTTCCATGCAGATCTCATTTAATCCACATAATAACTCTGTGAAGTAGGGTTCATGCTCACTTATCACATTTTGCAGATAAGGAAACTGACACAGAGAGGCTAGGCAGTTTACCCACACAGCCAGGAAAGGTGGAGCCAGAAGATGAATCAGGTCTAGCTGAGAACCCAGGCTCCTAGCCACTGTACCACCCTGCTGGGGTTATCTCTGGGGAAAAGTGTGTGTCTGTTTTTTTATAATATGCATATATTTATAGGTGTGTATAAACACATATGTAATATATACATATATGTGCATGCTTATATACCTATAATTATATATGTGTATTATATGTAATTATATGTATATAATATATACATAGGTATTGAACACAGGGAGGGGAACAACACAGGGGGCGGGGGGTAAGGGGAGGAAGAGCATTAGGACTAATACCTAATGCCTGCGGGGCGTAAAACCTAGATGACAGGTTGACAGGTGCAGCAAACCACCATGACACACATATACCTATGTAACAAACCTGGCCGGGCGCGGTGGCTCACGTCTGTAATCCCAGCACTTTGGGAGGCCAAGGCAGGTGGATCACAAGGTCAGGAGATCGAGACCATCCTGGCTAACATGGTGAAACCCCGTCTCTACTAAAAATACCAAAAAAATTAGCCAACGGGGTGGCGGACGCCTGTAGCCCCAGCTACTCAGGAGGCTGAGGCAGGAGAATGGCATTAATCTGGGAGGCGGAGGTTGCAGTGAGCTGAGATTGTGCCACTGCACTCCAGCCTGGGCAACAGACTGAGACTCCGTCTCAAAAAAAAAAAAAACCTGCACATTCTGCACAAGTATCTGAAACCTAAAATAAAAATATACATGTACATATGTGTATATATAATATTTGTATAGGTATAAATAATACATATAGGTATATATAAATATATTTATGTAAATGTATATGTATTATATATGTATGTTTATATAGCTATAAATATATGTAATTATACAGGTATATACCTATAAATATATGTAGTATATATTTCATATACATAATTTACATAGACATACAGTCATGCACCCCATAATGATGTTTCTATCAGTGACAAATCATATATATGATATGGTTCCAAAAAATTATAATACTGTGCTTTTCCCATGCCTTTGCTATGTTTAGGTACACAGATACCATTGTGTTACCATTGCCTACAGTATTCAGTACAGTAACATGTTGTGCAGGTTTGTGGCTGGGAGCAATAGGCTCTATCGTACAGCCTAGATGTGAAGTAGGCTATGCCATCTAACGCTTGTGTAAGTACACTCCCTGATGTTTACACAATGAAATCACCTAACAATGCATTTCTCAGAACGTATCCCCGTCATTTAGCGACATATGACAGTATACATATAATTATATATAATATAATCACATATGTAAATGTACATAATATACACATGTCTATTATATGACATCTATACATAACAATATACATACACACATATAGATGTTGAGATGTAATTGTTACATCCTTCTTTTTCTGTTTCTTTTTTGCTATGTATATTTTATCTCATGTGCATGTATTACCTGGCTTATTAAAAAAAATAGTCTTCCCCTATGAAAGACAGAGAATACCTTTTCTTCTTTTTTCATTGTTATATTTTTTTGAGACAGAGTCTTACTCTATCACCAAGGCTGGAATGCAGTGGTGTGATTATGGCTCGCTGCAGCCTCGACCTCCTGGGCTCAAGTGATTCTCCCACTTCAGCCTCCCCAGTAGTTGGGACTACGGGCGCTCATTGCCACACCGGGCTAAATTTTTTATTTTTAGTAGAGATGGAGTCTTGCTCTGTTGCCTAGGCTGGTCTCGAACTCCTGGGCTCAAGTGATCCTTCTACTTCAGCCTCCCAAAGTACTGAGATTACAGGCCTGAGTCATCATGCCCAGCCGGATTTTTTTTTCTTTTCTTCTTTTTCGGTTTTTGTTTTGTTTTGTTTCATTTTGTTTTGTAGAGACAAGGTCTTGCTATGTTGCCCAGGCTGGTCTTAAACTCCTGGGCTCAAGCAACCCTCCTGCCTTGGCCTCCCAAGTGCTGGGATTACAGGCACGAGTGACGGCACCTGGCCCCTTGACTTCCTTTCCATCAAGAGACTAAGAATCAGGCCAGGAGGGAGAGGTTCAGGTGAAGTTTACATGCAAACCCAACTAGGTCAAATCCAGCATACCCAGGCCTGGTGGAACCACGTGGAGCAGAACAGGCCCTTGACCAGTCCTGAGAATCCAGTGTTTCAACAGGAGGTTCTGTGTTAGGGAACTAAAAACCCTCCCCAAAGTGGCTTCAACAAAGGAATTGTTTAGTTACACAGCAATAATCCAGCAGCATGGTGGCTGCCAGGGTTGCTTCACTCAGTGGCTCATCAGCAGTATCAAGGGCCCTGGTAGGGTTGAGATGGCTGTGGCATTTCCATGTGGGCATCAGCAGAAGAATGACCATTCTCACCAATGTTTCCTTTCATGCATTAAAAAATAAAAATAAAAAAAAATTTTAAAAAACTCTCCTCCACTGGCCACCCCTCATATCCCACTGGCCAGGAGTGGGCAGCCACATGGCTATGATCAACCAGTGATTGCAAAGGGAACGTCACTGGCCTAGACCAGTCATGAGCGACATTGTCTCAAGAGCAGGCTGCTCAGATGAGCAAGAACAAAACTGGATTCAGGAAGCAAGGATGACTTTGGATAGGCAAACAGAGTGTCTTCCACACCCAGTGCCTACCTGAAGAAGGGCTTAATGCTTCGTAACAATATTTCCAAGTGTAGCCTTTTCTCCAGCCCCAAAACCCTTTTGAGAATAACCATCAAACTACCAGCATTCTTCAGTTTTCATTTAGATATTTGATCTTCAGTTTTTACGTAGGGCACTTTCAACCATTCTCTTGGAGGCCAGATTCAACCCTGGACAATGCTTCTGGGAATATTCAAAGACACAAACACAAATTTGTATATTTGTATTCAAATATACAAATAAATGTTCCACCATATATCAAAAGTATGCTCTCCAAAAGGACAAATACTCTATGACTCCACCTACATGAGGTGCCCAGAATTGCCAAATTCACAACAGAAAGTACACAAGAGATTAGGAGTGGGAGTGATGGGGAGTGTTCTGAATGTGTGTCCCCAAAAGCCATATATTGAATCCCTAACTCCCAGTTTGATGGTATTTGGAGATGGGGGCCTAGGGAGTGATTAGCTTTAGATGAAGACCTGAGGGTGAAGCCTCCATGATGGGATCAGTGTCCTTCTAGGAACAGGAAGAAACCAGAACTTTCTCTCCACCATGTGAGGACACAGAAAGAAGGTGGCCGTCTGCAAGCCAAGAATAGAGCCCTCACCAGAACCTGGAACCTGACCATGCTGACAACCTGGTCTTGAACTTCCCAGCCTCCAGAACGGTAAGAAGTAAATTTCCATTTTTTTCTATATATGGGAAAATAAATTTAGATTTTATTTCTATTGCTTAAGCCATCCAGTCTATGGTATTTTGTTACGGCAGCCCAAGTTGACTAAGTCAGGGAGTTAGTGAATTTCATTTTGGGGTGATGAAAAAGTTTGAGATGGATAGTGGTGATGGTTACACAACAATATGAATGCACTTAATGCCACTGAACTGTAAACTCAAAAATGATTAAAATGGTAAACATTATGTTACGTATAATTTACCACAATATTTAAAAATGAATGCTCCCACAGGTCTTATAGTGTCTGTCTTACAGGTATGGAAACCAAAGTGCAATCAGGCACTTGAATGATGCACCCAGCATCTTCCATGCAAGTTATGGGTGGAGGTAGAATTGGAACCCAGGTCACCTAACTCCAAGGACGGTGTGCCCCTTCCGCAGCTCAGATGCCTCTCCCAACTCAGGCCACATGTAGAAGGAAAATCCAAGCATGAGAGGCAGTTCACCAGCAACGGAAATCAGATCTCTTGTGGTTATTATTAGCAGGGCGAGCAGCCGGGTGTGGAGGGGACCAGCTGTGAAACTCTCATGGGAGGGGAAGCCAAGGTGAAGTGGAGGGAACTCGTGCCCCCACATCACAGCAGCAAGCTCTGCAGTTACAGAGACCTCAAACTTTCCATCAACAATCCTCACTCGCAGCCTCTTAGCTCTTGGGGGAAAATTAACACAGGTCCCAGGGCTGAGATTTTCCATGTTTAGTTTCAACCCAAAGGAAAATTTTGTTAGAAAGTTGAAAGAGTGTGACTATTTTTAAATAACGAGACGTGGGGCCATAGTGTCAGCACAGTCAAAAAGGTAAAAAACATTTGTATCTTGCTTTCTTCCACCCTCCCCTTCAATTCAGATGGATAGACTGCAGAAGAAAACAAGGGAAGTTAACACTTCATTCAGAGCTTGCCAAATGTCAGGAACTTGCTTTATCCTGGACCAGGAGTTCTCAACTGTAAGTGATTTTGTCCTCCAGGGGACTTTGGCAATGTCTATAAATATTTTGGTTGTCACAACTTGGAAGATGGGGAGCTGTTACTAAAATCTAGTGGGTAGAGACCAGAATTGCTCTTCAACATCTTTCAATACACAGGACAGATCCCACAACAGGGAGGTATTCACCCCCGAATATCAGTAGTGCCAAGGTTGAAACACCCTCTCCTACTCTAAGAGTCCTCAAACTTGAGCATGCATTAGAAAGCCTTGGAGGGCTTGTGAAAACACAGATTGCTAGAATCCCCCCAACCCCTACTCCCTGCCACAGCTGCTGACTCAGTAGGTCTGGGGAACCATCCAACTTTGCGTTTCTAACAAGTTCCCAGGTGATGCTGATGCTGCTGGTCCAGGGACCGCATTTTGAACAGCACTGTATTGGATCATCCTCGAAAAGGTCTTGAGACAATGGTACTGTTCTTCCTATCTTATGTCTTTGAGATCTAAGGCTCTGAAGGAAGAGAAGTGTTACCTAAAGTCACCCAAGTCACACTGGGTCCCATAAGCTAGTAACTAGTTTGATCTTCATACCAAGATCAGTACAATCTCCAGCCTCTAGGGGTGTCCACAGGCTTTAGAGCCCAGCCACATGTCCACAGAGCACCAGATAGTACCTTTGGTGTGAATCTTCTCTGACATTTACCATCCTCAACAAATGGAGCTTCTGAGCTCCAGAGTAAAGGGAACAACCTTAGAATTCTACAGTAGTGCTCTCCCGAAAACACTGCTTAGAAGTCTAGTCTTTTTAAATAAGCTCACTATTTAAAGGTCCTCTCTGTGTTAAAGCCTTTTGCAGGTTCTAAGAACTTTTCATAGAAGAACCATATTTGTCCATGCTTCCATGCCCAATTTACTTAATGGGAAGACCTATGCATTTGGCAGATCCATTTGATTGCATTTGATTGCATTTGATCCATTTCTTGCATTGTTTATATACCCATAAGCTAGAAATTTTTTCTTCCCACTTAGATGCACCGTGGGACATCTCTCTGCCATATCTTGCATCACACTTGGATGGTGTAATGGAAATAACATTAGACTGGGAGTCAGGAGACTTGTGTTCCAGCAGAAGGGAAAAAGAAGTCTCAGAGTGGAATATTGCAACATCCCATATTCTCCCGAGAAGGGCTGCTGGATTCCCTTGCTGATGAGGAATTACCATGGGGTCACCTTGCTACATGGTTCATCACTGTCATCCCTCCCTTCAGAAAAATTAAATCATTCAAAGGTCACATAAGAGGTCAATGGCAGAATAAAGGCAGTAGGGGACAAAAAAACATAAGTGAAATTCCCAAATTTTTAGTCCTCTAGTTCAAATTACTAGACAATAACCCCTTTATTAGAAATGTCTTCTTATGGCTGGGTGCGGTGGCTCACGCCTGTAATCCCAACACTTTGGGAGGCCAAGCCACGCAGATCATATGAGGTCAGGAGTTCAAGACCAGCCTGGCCAACATGGTGAAACCCATCTCTACTAAAAATACAAAAAATTAACCGGGTGTGGTGGCGCATGCCTGTAATCACAGCTACTTGGGAGGCTGAGGCAGGAGAATTGCTTGAACCCAGGAGGCAGAGGTTACAGTGAGCCAAGATTGTGTCACTGCACTCCAGCCTGGACAACAAGAGCGAGACTCCATCTCAAAAAAAAAAAAGAAAGAAAAGAAATGTTTTATTAGACAGGTGGGTGTAGTGACTCATGCCTGTAAATCCCAGGACTTTGGGAGGCAAAGGTGGGAGGATTGTTTTAGCCCAGGAATTCAAGACCAGCCTGGACAACAGAATGAGACTCCATTTCTATAATAAATATTAAATTTTTTAAAAAATGAAATGTTTTATTATAACAAATATGACTTTTTAAAAAATCAATTGCTCAGAAGGAAGCATGGGATGAAAACCAACCAACCAAACAAACAAACAAAAAACAATTAGGCTGGGCGTGGTGGCTCATGCCTGCAATCCTAGCACTTTGGGAGGCCGAGGAGAGAGGATCACTTGAGCCCAGGAGTTCAAGACCAGTCTGGGCAACACAGGGAGACCCTGTCTCTACAAAAACAAAACAAAACATAACAAAATATTAGCTAGGCATGGTGGTGCACACCTGTGGTCCCAGCTACTTGGGAGGCTGTGGTGGGAGGATCACTTGAGCCCGGGAGGCTGAAGCTGCAGTGAGCCATGATCATGCCACTGCACTCCAGCCTGGGTAACAGAGTGAGACCCTGTCTCAAGAAAAACCACATAACGGCCCAGTGCGGTGGCTGACGCCTGTAATCTTAGCACTTTGGGAGGCCAAGGTAAGTGGGTCACCTGAAGGTAGGAGTTCGAGACCAGCCTGGCTAACATGATGAAACCCCGTCTCTACTAAAAATACAAAAAGAAATTAGCTGGGTGTGATGGTGGGCACCTGTAATCCCAGCTATTCAGGAGGCTGAGGGTAGGAGAATCACTTGAACCCGGGAGGCAGAGGTTGCAGTGAGCTGAGATCGCGCCACTGCACTCCAGTCTGGGCAACAAGAGCAAGACTCTGTCTCAAAAACAAACAAAAATACACATAGAAAAACCAATTGGAATATCTTTTGTCTTTCTCATTTGTCCTTATGCCTCTCAAACAAAGAGCTCTCACAACACATTATCTCCAATTCTTCCATTGCTTTCTTTTAGAACTCTTCTCTTTTTGTCTCCAGCCTTTCAAGATTCCATCTTCACAGGCCAATTTCAGACTTTTCAAAGCATTTTTTCCCATACTGGCTTCTGGGAAAAGGTAGAAATTCCTATATACCAAAAGTCAGCAAACTACTGCCCAGAGGCCAAATCTGGCCCTCAGCCTATATTTGTAAATAAAGTTTTATTGGAACACAGCCACTACCATTAATGTATATATATCATCTGTGGCTGCTTTTGTGCTCCAACTGCAGAGCTAAGTAGTTGCCACAGAGACTGCATGACCCAAAAAGCTTAAAATATTTACTATATGTCTCTTTAAAGAAAAGTTTGCTGACATCTGTGCTATGTGCAAAAAAAAAAAAAAAAAAAAAAAAATCAATCTCATGAGAAGTTGCTTTTAAAGTGAATTTTTATAAATAGTATTGCATCTCTACTCCAAATGCAGGACTGTGGCTGCCCTGTCCCATGTCCTAATCAGCACAAGACAAGGCACCCAACTGGACTCAACAATTATTTGCTGAGCCAAATGAATGAATTACTAATGAAATGAAGGGGGAAACTGGGATGAGACCCTGTGTAATTTTTTTTTTTTTTTTTTGAGACGGGGTCTTACTCTGTCACCCAGGCTGGAGTGCAGTGGTGTGATCATGACTCACTGCAGCCTTAACCTCCCAGGCTCAAGCCATCTTCCCACTTCAGCCTCCCAAGTAGCTGGGACTACAGGTGCATACCACCATGTCCGGCTAAGTTTTGTATTTTTGGTAGAGATAGGGTTTCACCATGTTGCCCAGGCTGGTCTCAAACTCCTGGGCTCAAGCTATCCTCCCACCCCGGCCTCCGTGGTGCTGGGATTACAGGCATGAGCCACTGTGCCCAGCGAGACCATATATAGACTAAAAATGTCTTTTCAAAAAAAGTGACCAAGTCTCCAAAGAATCAGTGAGGCTCAGTTTTCTCATCTATAGGTGAAAAACCAACATTTTCCACCCTTTGTACTTTGCAGCGTAGGCTGTGGCCCGTGAACCTGAAAGTGTCATACACCCTAGCAGGTGCCAAGCACGTAAGCTCTCTGCATGAAGACCTGGGTCCAAATCCGACTCACCACCCACTACCTGTGAGATTTGGGTCAAGTCCCACATCTCTCTGAACCTTGTATCCTCATCTATAAATTGAGAATTCTAACACCCACTCCAAATGAACTGTTGTGAGACTCAGGTGGGATAAAACAAGATCAAGAGAGCACCTAGGAGTACCCAGAACTACCAAAAACAAGTAGGTGCTTGCTTTTCACAATATCTGGGAGAGAGGTAAAATCAAGGCCAAGAATACGGTAAGGAGAGTGAGGCATTCACTTTGGGTGCAAAATTTAAGGAGGCTCCAAAAACTCAGTAACCAAGATAAATATATTTTAACGCAGCATTTTAAAAAGTCAAAATTCATAGCCAGAAAAATCCACAAAGAACAAAATTCTTTTTTTTTTTTTTTTTTTTGAGACGGAGTCTCGCTCTGTCGCCCAGGCTAGAATGCAGTGGCGCGATCTCGGCTCACTGCAAGCTCCGCCTCCCGGGTTCACGCCATTCTCCTGCCTCAGCCTCCCGAGTAGCTCGGAATACAGGCGCCTGCCACTACACCCGGCTAATTTTTTGTATATTTAGTAGAGATGGGGTTTCACCGTGTTAGCAAGGATGGTTTCCATCTCCTGACCTCGTGATCCACCCGCCTCGGCCTCCCAAAGTGCTGGGATTACAGGCGTGAGCCACCGGCGCCCGGCCAAAATTCTTAAATAAAGACAGGCTCTAATAGTGCCAGCATTAGGATGAGGAGAGTGAGATGAATTGTACAAGTGCCAGGTCACAGGCTGTGTCTTTGTAAAATGTCGATATTTTGTTTATCATGAACTTTTGTATTAATTTTTATCTTTAAATAGTGCATTAAAATATTATATGGCTGGGCACAGTGGTTCATCCCTGTCATCCCAACACTTTGGGAGGCCATGGTGGCAGGATTACTTGAGGCCAGGAGTTCCTGGCCAGCCTGGGCAACACAGAGAGATCTCATCCCTAAAAAAAAATTAATAAAAAATTAGCTAAGTGATATGGTTTGGCTCTGTGTCCCCACACAAATCTCATGTCAAACTGTAATCCCCACATGTTGGAGAAGGGACCTGGTGGGAGGTGATTGAATCATGGGAGCAGACTTCCCCCTAGCTGTTCTCACAAGACCTGGTTGTTTGAAAGTGCGTAGCACTTCCCCCTCCCCCTCCCCATCTCCCTCTCCCCCTTCCCGTCCCCATCTCCCTCTCCCCCTCCCCCTCTCCCTCTCTCACTCTGGCCACGTGAAGACCATGCCTGCTTCCCCTTTGCCTTCCGCCATGATTGTAAGTTTCCTAAGGCCTCCCCACCAATGCTTCCTAAACATCCTATGGAACTGTGAGTCAATTAAACCTCTTTTCTTCACAAATAACCCAGTCTCAGGTATGTAATTATAGCAGTGTGAGAATGGACTAATATCCCGGGCTTCGTGGAGCTATGCCTGAAGTCCTAGCTACTCGGGAGACTGAGCCAAGAGGATTGCTTGAGTCCAGGAGTTCAAGACCAGCCTGGGCAATACAGTCAGACTCTGTCTCTACAAAAAATTAAAAAAATTAGCCAGGTGTGGTGGCACAAACCTGTGCCTGTAGTTCCAGCTACTCGGGAGGCTGAGCTGGGAGGATCGCTTGAGCCCAGGACTTTGAGGCTGCAGTGGCCCATGATCACACCACTGCACTCCAGGTTGGGTGACAGCAAGATCCTGTCTCTAAGTATCTATATAAAATATATATTACCGACATTTTGATGCCTCCACACAAACATTGTGCCCAAGGGGAGTGCCTCACTGGCCTTACCCTACTCCAGGCTCTGGGTAGAAGCTTACCAAATATCTCACTTGCATAAGTAAGTTCCCCTAGCCCAGTGGTTCTCTAACTTGGCTGCACATGGAATTCAACCAGGGGAATTAAAAATATAATAATAATAAAACCAATTCTCAGAATGGAGAGATGTGGGGGCAGTGTTGGAATCTGGCATTTTTTTAAAGACCTCTAGACTTCATACCCATTAGGATTTCATACCTCCTAGGATGGCTATAATCAAAAACACAGACTGTAACAAGTATCTGTGAGGATGTGGTGAATGCAGAACCCTCCTGCATCACTGGGGGAATATAATATTGTGGAGCTGCTGTGGAAACGTTTAGCAGTTCCCCAAATGTTAAACATAGAGTTATCATATGACCTAGAAATCCCGCTCATAGGTATATACCCAAGAAAACCAAAAATATCATATAAAAAGTTGTACATAAGGCTGGGCATGGTGGCTCATGCCTGTAATCCCAGTACTTTGGGAGGCCAAGGCAGGTGGATCATCTGAGGTCAGGAGTTCAAGACCAGCCTGGCCAACATGGTGAAACCTCATCTCTACTAAAAATACAAAAATTAGCTAGGTATGGTGGTGGGTGCCTTTAATCTCAGCTACTCCAGTGGCTGAGGCAGGAGAATCACTTGAACCCAGAGGGCAGAGGTTGCAATGAGCCAAGACCATGCCACTGCACTCCATCCTGGGCTAAGAGTGAAACTCTGTGTAAAAAACTTGTACGTGAATGTTCATAGTAGCACTATTTATAACAGCCAAAAAGTAGAAGCAACCCAAATGTCCATCAACAAATGAATGGATAAATAAAATGTGGCAGAGCCACACAATGAAATATTATTCAGCCATGAAAAAGGAATGAAGTACTGATACATGCTACAACATAGATGAGCCTCAAAAACACTATGCTGAGTGAAAGAAGCCAGACACAAAAGGCCACATATAGTATGATTCCACTGAAATAAAATGTCTAGAAAAGATAAATACATGGAGACAAGAAGTAGATTAGTGGTTGCCAGGGGCTGGTGGGAGGTGGACTAGGGAATGACTGCTAATGTGAGGTTCCTCTCAGGATGATGAAAATGTTCCAGAATTAGTGGTGGTTTCGCACAACATTTTTTTTTTTTTTTTTTGAGACGGAGTTTTGCTATTGTTGCCCAGGCTAGAATGCAATGTCGCCATCTTGGCTCACTGCAACCTCCACCTTCTGGGTTGAAGCGATTCTCCTGCCTCAGCCTCCCAAGTAGCTGGGATTCCAGGCGTGTGCCACCACGCCTGGCTAATTTTTGTATTTTTAGTAGAGATGAGGTTTCACCACATTGGCCAGGCTGCGCTCGAACTCCTGACCTCAGGTGATCCCTCTGCCTCGGCCTCCCAAAGTGCTGGGATTATAGGCACGAGCCACCACACCTGGCCTGCACAACCTTATAAATATATTCAAAAACCACTGAACACTTTAAGAGGATAAATGTTATGGTGTATGAGTTATATGTCATTTTTTAAAAATTCTCCCCAGGTGATTCTAATATGGAGTCAAGGAATGCAGTCTCCATCTTTATAAAATGGGTAGGCAGTCGTCACCCTCCTGTTAGGTGAGGGCTTCTCTGAGGTTAAGGATCCAGTGTTCACACTGGAAAAGCCTGACAAGACAGGTGCTGTGCCAAGCAGGGCAGTGATACTTCATCTGCCTAACCAGGAGGTGTTAGAGTGAAGAGGTTTCTTCCTCTCTGCCCTGTTCCTCTTCGCCCAAGTCTACCGGGACTGATGTTCAGCTTGAGGGAGTAGCGGAGCAGCCACGTGTTCGTCATCAGGAATTATTGTTTCATTAACATCCAGCTCCCAAGCTGTGACAGATGCCAGTTTCAGGCCATATTATGCACATCAGAAATGATCTGGAGGGGGCAAACATGCCAGGGCAGTGGTGCCAAGGAAATACTTGCCAACTAAGAATACCTTTGGCAGTCAGCACACCATGCTGAAAGGTGAGAAGGTTGCTTTCCCTGACCCAGCAAGTCTGAGATCTCGGCTTCTTTTAAGAAAAAAAGAAAGCGCTCCAGCCTACCCAGCACTCTCCATTATCAGTAGGCATGAAAGGTTGACTAGGAAACCACATCAGCTTTGCAGCATCCAAAAATATAATCAAAGCTTACTGGTGTCTCCTGTGATTCCCAGGAGAGGGGCCGCACTCTGTCTTCACGCTGTCCCCATTAGCTGGCTGAACAGACACGTCTTTGAGGTAACAATGGCCTTCTGGAGCGGGGAAGGAAAATTCTCCCCCTGTGGAAATCCCCTTTGGTACAAAAATAAGCACGAGGTTGGTAATTTTCCTATTTTTTTAAATGTGAGCTAGGTGACTTGGGTGCTAGCTCTTTGCAAGGCTAAGAAACCTGCTGATCCGAGAACCTGAATGCAGCAGAAACCACCAAGCAGATGCCATACAAATATAATGGGCTTAATTCCCCAAATTGTTGGGAATATTGTTTTATTTTCCTATGAAAACACCCCCACAGAAGTTTTAGTTGGCTTGAGAATATAGCCACCCACGCGAAATGGTTGGCAGTCTATTGTACACACCGTCTGTGTGTGTGTCTGTGTGCACTCATACACGTACACACACACAGTCATATGGTATACTCTATCAGCAACCTAACACCACTCCCAGGTGACTTCCTGGCCAATTTCAACAGTAAGAAACACACTAAACAGCTTCCTGTGAACGCGTCCAGCCTCCTGCCCATCAACTACCTGCCAACCAGTTACCCATCTTGAGGGTTAGGCAACTCAAAGGCACTTCAAAAGAGTAACGGGATCATGAACACTTACAGCGAATGGTCAAACTTCCCCTTAAAATAACTGTCTTGGTACAGAGTTAAATGCAATCACATTTCAAAAGCCCTCTGGTTTGAGAAGAGATCAGTGAAGCATTTTGTCTTCCACTTTCTTTAGGAAAACAGGAGGTTTTTATGTGGCTGTTTGTCTCCTTTTTTTTAACTTTTTTTTTTTTTTGAGACAGGGTCTTGCTCTGTTGCCCAGGCTGGAGTGAAGTGGTACAATCTCAGAACACCTTCTGGGTTCAAGCAATTTTCCTGCCTCAGCCTCCCGAGTAGTTGGGATTACAGGCACCTGCCACCATGCCCAGCTAATTTTTGTATTTTTAGTAGAGATGGGGTTTCACCATGTGGGCCAGGCTGGTCTCGAATTCCTGACCTCAAGTGATCCACCTGCCTCAGCCTCCCAACGTGCTGGGATTACGGGTGTGAGCCACCATGGCTGGCCTTTTTTAACTTTAAAAAAAAATTTTGTGGGTACATAGATGTATACACTTATGGGGTACAGTGTCCATCAACAGCTGAATGA
Organism: Homo sapiens; assembly: GCF_000001405.40. Taxonomy (NCBI): domain Eukaryota; kingdom Metazoa; phylum Chordata; class Mammalia; order Primates; family Hominidae; genus Homo; species Homo sapiens. The sequence continues at coordinate 117,898,701 of NC_000012.12, forward strand.
ATAAAGAAAATATGGTATGGATACACAACAGAGTACTATTCAGCCAAAAAAAAAAGAATGAGATCCAGTCATTTGCAACAACATGGAGGGAACTGGAGATTATGTTAAGTGGAATAAGCCAGGCATAGAAAGACAAACATCACATGTTCTCAGTTATTTGTGAGATCTAAAAATCAAAATAATTGAATTCTTTGTTTTCCTTTGGATGGGGTAAGGTCTAGCTAACATAAATTCCTACTTGGAGGCAGGGAGCAGGGCCCGACAACCTTAGAAGTTTCTTCTTTCTCTTTAGACTGTTTATTTAAAGTCCCTCCCTCCATAGAATCTTGGCGCAGATGATCTCATTACATCTTCGGTAGGTACATCGTGGATATATCACTGATACTTAATATGTGAAAAATACCTAAAAATCTCTGCTTATCCCAAAGTCAAGCTTCCAGCAACTCCCGCCCCACTTTGGGATACAACCGTGAAATAAACTGTAGATAAAGGCCTATGACAAGTTAAACACGGTTGGGCACGGTGGCTCATGCTTGTAATCCTACTCTTTGTGGGGCTGAGACTGGAGTATCACTTGAGGCCAGGAGTTTGAGACCAGCCTGGGCAATATAACAAGACCTTGTCTCTACAAAAATAAAAAAAATTAGCCAGGCGTGGTGGCACATACCTGTAGTCCCAGCTACTCAGGAGGCTGAGGCGGGAGGATCACTTGAGCCCAGGAGTTCAAGGCTACAGTGAGCTATGATCATGCCACTGCACTCCAACCTGGGCAACAGAGACCCTGTCTCAAAAAAAAATTAGAAAAATAAAAAATGAATAAAGCATTTTTAAAAAGAAGAAGTTAAATAGTTTTGCCAAAGCCCGTGCACCAACAATGAAGTGTTTTCTTCAAGGAGGCTGTGGTAGGCAGAAGCCTAAGATGGCCCCATGATATCTAATGCTGCCCCTGGTATTGTCCTTGTATGACCCCAACTCTTGAGTGTGACAGAACAAGTGATTTGCTTCTAGTTAATAGAATATGGCAAAGGAGATGGGATATCACTCCCATAATTACAACTCATTATCTAAAACTCTGTTTTAACACATTGGAGAGAAAGATTTTCTTGCTGGCCTTGAAGAAGCAAACAGCCACGTTGTGAACATGAAAAGAGCCACAGCCACACAGCAACGAGCAACTTGAGAAGACTTCTAGGACATGAAGTGTATCTCCACCGAACAGTGGTAAGAAGCTGGGGCCTTCAGTCAGAAAGCTGCAAGGACATGAAATCTGCCAACAACTCGAATGACCTTAGAAGCAGATCTCCCCCAGTCCAGCCTTCAGATGAGAATGCAGCCCAGCCAACACTTTGACTGTATCCTTGTGAGACACTAAGCAAAGGACCCAACTCTGCCATGCCTGGATGTCTGATCCACAGAAACTGTGAGATAATAAATGTGTGTTGTTTTAAGCCACCATGTTTGTGATGATTTGTATGCAGCAATAGAAAACTAATACAGAGGCCCTTGACTACTTATCCAGAGACTCATTGACTGTTACTCAATACCCAACAAAGAGGCTATTGACTGTTACTCAATACATAAATTCAGGTGTATATTTTTCTAGAACTCAGCTAATAAGAATCATAATACTAGCAAGACATATCCATCAGGAACAGACCCTATAAGAAAGAAACCTTGATAGCAGCTAAAGGAAAGGTGCTGTGGTCAGTCTTTAGCACACAGTGGGTCCTCAAAGAACATTAGATAGATGCCTCAAGGGAAAGGAGAATAAAACAGGAAAACAGACACAAAATTAACAATAGTGTTGACTACCATGTATTGAAAATGTACTGTGTGCCAGGCACAGTGCTAGAGACTTTATATATATATATGTTGCATCATACAGTAGGCATAACAAGTTAATTACTATTAATTGGGTTTCCAAGATATTAGAGACAGGTAAACCCAACTTACAACTTGTAACCCACTGCTTTTTACTGTCTTTCTTAAGAACATCTGCATCATGACCCAATCCCATATTTAAGAATGCACCCAACATGACAATGTGTTGAGTCACACACTCACTATAGCGGCTAGTGCCTCTATATTATTAACTGCAAAAAGCAAGCATGACGTGTAAGGTGGATGCATTCTGGATTGCATGGATATTTGATTGGATACTGTCAATTCACATGCCTCCAAACCAAGCAGTCGTTTTGGCAAAGACACCTTTTCTCTTCAAATTCCTTAGAACAGCATGGCACGCCATCAAACCATTAAGACCAAAACACGGTTTCATCTTTCCCAGCAGAGAACCTGGTGGCATAATAATTTCGGCATCAAGGACTCTTCCAAAAAAAGTCAGCTTGACATTGGGGAAGAGATTAGCATTGTGACAAACGCTCATGAATGAAACAGTGCACAGTGCGTCATGGAAGGAGAGGAACCAGGGCCGGGTGACACAAGTGAGGCACTCGGCTTGGGTGCAAAATGGGAGGCTGCCAAAAAAACGCAGGAATATGATAAATAAACAATAAAGTAGACAATAAACATATGATACAATAAATATACACCAAAATACAAATAAACTATGCGATATTTTAATGCCATACTTTTTTTTCTTTTTTTCTTTTTTTTTTTTGAGACAGAATCTCACTCTGTTACTCAGGCCGGAGTGCAGTGGTGCAATCTCAGCTCACTGCAACCTCCACCTCCTGGGTTCAAGCAATTCTTGTGCCTCAGCCTCCCGAGTAGCTGGGACTACAGACGCCTGCCACCACATCCAGCTAATTTTTTGTATTTTAGTAGAAATGAGGTTTCACCATATTGCCCAGGCTGGTCTCGAACTCCTGACTTCAGGCAATTGGCTTGCCTAGGCCTCCCAAAGTGCTGCAATTATAGGCATGAGCCACTGTGCCTAGCCTTAATGGAATACTTTTAAAAATTAAAACGCAAAAAAGAAAAAAAATTATGACAAACAAAGTATTCAGTTTTTTTAAACGTGGAGTGTGGTTGGTTGGCTGTTTTAAGACCTTACATTACCATGCAATAAGAACCGTCATTTCCAGTCAGCCCATTATTCCTAGACCTGCGAGGCCATCACATATGCCGCTGGGTGGGTTTACGAGGGTTCAGCGTGGCGTACAAACAGGTTAGACAAAACAGGGCTTTATATATAGTCATTTGTTTAACTGTAGAGCTTTATTACCTTTTCCACTCAGTTCAAAATATGGGAGGATATTTTAATAGGTATACAGATGGGCAAATATTTTTTCTTTGGCCTCGTGATCCAATATGACTTCTTGGCTCTAGGAGAAACTGTCAAAACTACCTTTCTCTCAGCCAGCATGTAGTCACCAGTCAAGGACTTCCATCTTCATAAATCCTGAATGGCCAATTTCTAAGTAAATGAATGTGATTTCGAACTCAGTTTAAAAATTTGAAAATTCTCGATGTAGTAAAATATATTTATGCTTGCTAAATGAGAATTACCAGGTGGCCGGATGTGGTGGCTCACACCTGTAATCCCAGAACTTTGGGAGGCCAAGGTGGGTGGATCACTTGAGGTGAGGAGTTTGAGACCAGCCTGGCCAACATGGTGAAACCCCGTCTCTATAAATTTGCAAAAATTAGCTGGGCGTGGTGGCGCGTGTCAATAATCCCAGCTACTTGGGACACTGAGGCAGGAGAATCACTTGAGCCTGGGAGGTGGAGGCTGAGGCAGGAGAATCACTTGAACCTGGGAGGTGGAGGCTGCAGTGAGCTGAGACCATGCCACTGCACTCCAGCCTGGGCGACAGAGTGAGACTCTGTCTTAAAAAAAAAAAAAAAAAAAAAAATGAGAATTACCAGGTAAGTAAAAGGGAACCACCTTCAGTACAGATGTCATTAGACTCATATTTTAAGATGTCTCTGAGGGTTCAGGGATAGGGGAGGGATAGCATTAGGAGAAACACCTAATGTAGGTGATGGGTTGATGGGTGCAGCAAACCACCATGGCACGCGTATACCTATGTAACAAACCGTCACGTTCTGCACATGTATCCCAGAACTTAAAGTATAAAAAAAAAGGTATCTGCTAAGCCAGCTCCAGTAAAAACATTTCTTTCTCCAAAAGTGCAAACATTTTATTTATGAATTCACCGGAAACATATACTGAACAATGCAGAGAGGATGACAGCACAGTCTCTGGAGTCAGATCACCTGGATGTGAATCCTGACTTTACTGTCTATGAACTGTGTGACCTTGGGCAAGTTCCTTAACCTCTCTGAGTCTCTGAAACATAGAGGATAACTGTTGTCTTTACTTCATAGGGCTTAATGAATTGATACATTTTAAGCACTTAGAATAGAGCTTTGAACACAGCAAGGCCCCTACAAAGGTGAGTTGCGTTAATGTAGGCGAGAGTTTGATTTCCATACTGAAGGCATAGTTATAAAGTTATTTCCATTTGATTTTCTTTCAGTTACATTTTGTCGTCAGGTTTGATAGAATTATGGTAAGAAAAACTATAATTCATAAACAAAGTACATGTGAAAATAAGAGTTTCTCTCATACTTTATGACCATCTGGAGTCATAAATCAGGGCTGGCCCACAGCTGGCTGTGGGTTACACAGCAAAGGAATAGAACAGTGTGGATTTGCATATAACAGTATAGTGACAAATAGGGTATGGCCATTGAGTCACCCGAGTTAGCAAATAAAAATAGAGGATGTCCACTTAAATTTGATTTTTGAATAAACAAATACTTTTTTAGTGTAAAGTATATCCCAAATACTACATGGGATATACTTATGTTTTATTTAAGTGTTCATTGTTTATCTGAAATTCAAATTTTACTGGGCTTCCTATATTTTATCTGGCAGTCCTGCCTGGGGGCAAACAGCTCAAATATCCCAGTCAAACCTCTACCATATCACTGTGGGAGAATGCTTGCAATCTGTATCACTGATGGTGACCAGAACAATGTTTTACATCATCTTATCTATTTAAAGAAGCAGCATATTTTCTGAAATATGTACATTTAAAAAATAAGCCTTTGAGGCCGGGCACTGTGGCTCATGACTGTAATCCCAGAACTTTGGGAGACTGAAGCACAAAGAGTGCTTGAGACCAGGAGTTTGAGGCCAGCCTGGGAAACACAGGGAAACTCCATTTCTACAAAAAAATTAGTTGGGCGTGATGGAGCATGCCTGTAGTCCCAGCTACCTGGGAGGCTGGGGTGGGAAGACTGCTTAAGGCCAGGAGTTCAAGGCTGCAGTGAGCTATGATCATGCCACTGTACTCCAGCCTGGGTGACAGAGCAAGACTACATCTCAAAAATCAATCAATCAATCAATCTTTGAATGGCTTGGTCAAAAAAGATTCCGTGATATCTTGTCTCTAAAAAAAAAATGAAGAAATCAAAAGTTTAAAAAATGATTCACACAGTAGTCCCTGAAAGAGAAAACATCGCCTGTCAGGTAGACGAACAAGAAATATGTCTGCAGCCCTGATGCTATACAAAGAAGCAAGAGCTGTGATCATCGGGCCTCTTAATCAGACCCTCAGGGGTTCATATCCGGGACACCAGCCTCACAGGAATCTCCTCCATGCCTGGAGGTGCTTCTGATATATTCAGTATCTAAACTCGTTGAATGAGTTTGAAATTCTAAGAATGGTGTCACTGGAAGTGTCTGGTATAGAGTTCCGCCAGTTCTCAGCCAACCAGGTGGAGATTGGCATTACAGGAGAACTCAAAAGTGCAGCTTGGGCCATTTGTATTAACATTTTCCACATCAACACTTGGTTTAAATGCAGACGGTCGTTAAGAAACTAGAAAATGGATTTCGGTGGCCTTATTACCCCTGTTCCACACTAAATAAAAATCACAGTCCCTTCCGAATATTGGACACCCACTATGTGCCAGTATCCTACTAAGTGTTTTATATACTTTTCCTTGCTCAATTCTCCCCATCACCCTGGGAGAGAAAAAATATTATTATTCCCATTTTATGGGTGAGAACATAGTGGCTTTAAGTATGCTGAGTCACTTAGCCATGACCACAGAGCTGATAAGTGGCAGATTCCAAACTCAAACCCTGCTGTATTTAGCCCCCAAGAAGATGATCTTAGTGTTTCCAAAACTTGTCACCTGCACACCGTCCTTCTGACCTTTGCCAAAATCACTGCTGTTAATTTAAAATCAGCAATTGTTACTTATTTAAAATGTGTATTCTGGCCGGGCACGGTGGCTCACACCTGTAATCCCAGCAGTTTGGGAGGCCAAGGCAGGTGGATCACCTGAGGTCAGGAGTTCGAGACCAGCTTGGCCAACATGATGAAACCCTGTCTCTACCAAAAGTACAAAAATTAGCCAGGCGTGGTGGTGTGCACCTGTAGTACCAGCTACTCAGGAGGCTAAGGCAGGAGAATTGCTTGAACCTGGGAGGCGGAGGTTGCAGTGAGCCAAGATCACACCACTGCACTCCAGCCTGGGTGACAGAGCGAGACTCCATCTCAAAAATAACATAACATAACAAAACAAAACAAAATATAATGTGTATTCTTCCCGTAGGAGATAGCTTATGATAAAAAATTTTAAAAAAACGTGTATTCAAGCTAACACGGACCTACTATCACTATTTATTTTAGCTTTGTCCTAAATAATAATATCTGGGGAGCCATATGTTTGATAGTTACGTTTGTTATAATACAAATAAAATAAGCACGTAACTATTAAAATGCAAAATGTTTTGCCCGCGGACTCCACTCCAGCCCCAAATCACTTCATGCACCATCAGTGATCAATGCACCACATTCTGGGACACCTTCACCTCTAGAACCAGCAAAGACAATGAAAGGAGGCAGGTGTTCAGAGGAAGAAACAAGAAAAGCTAATGAAGTGTGCAGGTTACATTCCACAGCTATGGTATACAAGCTACGAAAAAGGATGCAGAACTAAGAACGGCTGTGATTGTATCTGCTTCCCTGAAGGACAGTGTGGTGCAGCAGGAGAAAACACTTTGCCTGAGAAGCAAGTGACGAGGGTTCAGATCACTGCTCTGCCTTATGCCTGGGGACAAGACACTGGTCCGTGATACAAGGAAAATAATAAAATAACCACAAAAGAGAAATTGTATACCCTTGTCTTTCTGAAAAGACTTGAACTAAATTATACCAAGTTCCCTTTTTTCTGCTTTGATTCCATGATCTGGAAAAAAAAAAAAAAGTAGGACGATAGTACATAATAATTAACAAAAAAAAATGATTATAGTAGTGATCATACTAGTTAATATTCATTCATTCATTCATTCCACAAATATTTGTTGGGTGCCAAGTATGAGCCAGGCACTGTTCCAGGTGCAAGAGATACAGGGATGAGAAACACTTAAAAAAACCGCTTGCCAGCCGGGTACAGTGGCTCACACCTGTAATCCCAGCACTTCGGGAGGCCGAGGCGGGCAGATCACCAGAGGTCAGGAGTTCGAGCCCAGCCTGGCTGACATGGCAAAACCCCATCTCTACAAAAATACAAAAAAAATTAACCAGGCATGGTGGTGGGCACCTGTAATCCCAGCTACTTGGGAGGCTAAGGCAGGAGAATTGCTTGAACCTGGGAGGCAGAGGTTGTGGTGAGCCGAGATCGGGCCATTGCACTCCAGCCTGGGTGACAAGAGCAAAACTCTGTCTCAAAAAAAAAAAAAAAAAAAAAAACTTGCCTTGATCACCTGAGATCAGGAGTTCGAGACCAGCCTGGCCAATCTGGGGAAACCCCGTCTCTAAAAATACAAAAATTAGCTGGGCATGGTGGTACGCGCCTGTAGTTCCAGCTACTTGGAAGGCTGAAGCAGGAGAATCACTTGAACTTGGGAGGCGGAGGTTGCAGTTAGCCAAGATCACACCATTGCACCCCAGCCTGGGCTACAAGAGCAAAACTCCTTCTCAAAAAAAAAAAACTGCTTGCCTTCACACAGTTTCTACTCTAGGGAGGTACAATCTTTTGATGTGCTCATGATTCTCTCATTGATTCCTTATAGCAGCAGTTCTCAGTGTTCAGTGAGCATCAAATCCCCTGGAAGGCTTGTTAAAATACACATCACTGGCCGGGCATGGTGGCTCATGCCTGTAATCCTAGCACTTCGGGAGGTGAAGGTGAGAGGATCACTTGAGGCCAGGGCAACATACTGAGGCCCCCGTCTCTACAAAAAAATAAAATTATCCAGGTGTGGTGGCACACGCCTGTAGTCCTAAGTGGCTGAGGCAGGAGGATCGCTTGAACCCAGGGAGGTGGAGGCTGCAATGAGCCATGATCGCACCACTGCACTCCAGCCTGGGTGACAGAGCGAGACCCTGTCCAAAAAGATCCAAAACTCTGTATCTCTAACAAGTGCTTGTGTGATGCTTCTGCTGCTGCTGGTCAGGAACCCCACTTTGGGAACCACTGCCCTTCAACAATTCTATTATCCCCCCTTTGGATAGATGGGGAAGCTGAAGCTCACGGAGATTAAATTACTTGCTTACATGAGCACCGTAAGTAAGTGACAGCACCAAGATTCACACCTGGTTCTTTCTGACCCAATGTCTAGATGAGCCATTACACCAAACTGCCTTCGTTCTGGATGGGGGCGTCCTGACATGCTGACGCCACAGAGATGAAACAGGTGCACTCTCTTTGAGCCAGGATTTATAAAGCTCAAGGAAATGAGTCCTCCATCCTGTGAATCCAGGTGTGCTGGGTCTGCGTGCTCAAGACGACGCTCAGCAGGTATCTCAGGTGAGATCTGGTTTCTAGGTGAAGGCACAACAGCTGCACCCCTCTCCCAACACCATCCGCTAACTAATCTACGGGGCTGGATTGACGTCAGCCACAGTGGAAACTGCTCTCCTGCCCTGACCTGTTTAGAGATTAAGAGAGCACAGAACACAGAGAGAGAGAATATCAGAAAATGTGAATGGAAAAATCTGTAAGGAAACCAACCACCTGTAAGAGTACAAGGCTAAAGTGAGTTAACCTTACACTATTTAGTCATGAAATGCAAATGAAGAGAAATTAATGTGCTGGCTTTCCAGAAGTATCTGAAGGGGGCAATTGTAACCACGTCAATTTTTTTAGGTTTTTTTTTTCTTTTTTCTTCCTATAAAGCTATATAATATGAGCTTCATAATCATCTTTTCACTGCCCCTCTTTGAGAGCTGCCAATTTACTGAAAAGGTATTCAAAATAATCACACTGCTTGTCTTATAGAGAGAAAAAAATCAACTAGAAGTCTCTACTGAGGGCTGGAAGATATTGGAAGATTCAGGTTGGGTAAAACTAAAGGGATAATTAGTTTCCAAGAAGGAAGAATGTAAATAAGAAAAGGAAACATTTGAGGTGGTTATTTGCAAGAAGGTGATTGACAGCGATCAATATACAATATAGCATCAATATCTTTAATTCATATTTCGTGTTGAAATGAAAATGATTTATATATGGAAAAGCTAAACAGAGAACATATTTAAATGAACTTATCACATATCTCATATATCCATTTACATATATTTCTGAAAAACTCAGGAAAAATAATTTAAAAACTCATTAACTTTGGCTTTGTTTGCGCCTTTTTTTTTTTTAAGGCTAATTATTTACCGAGTTTGGCTTTCTTCTGGATTACATTGTAGAACCCACTGGGATATGTACTGAGAAGGCTGCTTTGTGAGAAATCTAAACAAATGCATAAACGCACCCCCACCTTCACCTTTAAGGAACCTCATCAAAATAAAATATTCCTAAACAACCAGCCACAGGAATAGCACAATTCATGAAAGCTGCCCTTTCTACTATCCGGAGAATGTCCACAGCTTAGATCGTTACATATCTCTGTGACACAAATATGCAAAGTTAATCTTTGGGATCTGAACAGAGAATCCACAGTGATTCTAAGGCCAAAGGTAGTTCAATGTGCTGTCACTCTTACAAGAATGAGAGTGCATTGCATGTGAAATCATACAACTGCAAGAAACACGCCAACATTCTAACACAATACAAAGAAAAGTATTCAGTTGATGCAAACAAAGGCAAAACGCATCAAAGACATCCAAGGCAAAAACTGCAATTACTTTTGTACCAACCTAATACTTCAAATATGTCACACTCAAGTTTCCACCGTGAGTCGCAGGATGTTCTCTTGAGTTATTAAGGCAATGAGGTAGTTGGGCAGTGAAATGTCCTACTCAATTGCAGTATTTAATTTATTCTGTATCACTACATTGAGTATTGAAACCGAAAGTGAGCCTTTGAAGACCTCTAGTCCAATCCAATTTTGCAGGTGAATAAATTAAGACATAGAGAGGTGGCTTCAATAGGCACAGCTAAGAAGCAAGTTAGTTCCACCACCAAGACTCAAACTTAGTTTTTATTCCCAAGACCAATATGCGTGTCCTTATACCAGTGGTCTTTGAACTTCAGGGTCCCATGCTGGAATCCAGCAGGCAGCATTCCAACACCCTCAACTGCTTCAACCCAATTACTTTACTTTTACCTACTTTATATATAAGGCTCTTCAGTAAGATTTCACTTGGAAAGGGGGCTCTTCAGCCTGACTAAAATTTGAACATCACTTCACTACCCCACTGTTGTATCCTTTAAAACAAATTCACTCTGAAGCTAGCTTCCCCCTACCAGGTTTAAGTCACCTGACATTGTTTGCCAAAAGCATGGTGGTAAGGTTGGAAACAATGCTCACACTGGCGCTTCAGTTTTCCTTCCACGGCCCCCCAACTATTATGACTTCAAACTGGCTTTATCCTCCAGCACAATTATCCAAGATATTGTTTACCGAAGTGTGGTATGTGTATGCCTGTTAATCTCAGGGAACATTTTAGCTGGTGCACTGACACGGCATTAACCCTGAATCCCATAGCACATTAAGTCATATCTTTTTCCAATTCTTTTTCAATTACATCAAGATTATACCAAGGGAGGGTGTGGTGGCTCACACCTGTAATCCTAGCACTTTGGGAGGCCAAGGCAAGTGGATCACTTCAGGCCAGGAGTTCAAGACCAGCCTGGCCAACATGGTGGAACCCCATCTCTACTAAAAATACAAAAAAAAAAAAAGCTGGGCATGGTGGCGCATGCCTGTAGTCCCAGCTACTCAGGTGGCTGAGGCAGGAGGATCACTTAAACCCAGGAGGTGGTGGCTGCAGTGAGTCGAGATCACGCCACTGCATTGCAGCCTAGGTGACAGAGCAAGACTTCATCTCAAAAAAAGAAAAAAAAAAGATTATCTCAAGGCAAGGGCATGGTGGCATGGTGGCTCATGCCTATAATCCCAGTACTTTGGGAGGCTGAAGGAGGAGGAACATTTGAGGCCAGGAGTTCGAAACCAACCTGGGCAACATAGGGAAACCCTGTCTCTGCAAAAAAATAAGTATACATTAGCCAGGCATGGTGGTGTGTGCCTGAAGTCCCAGCTACTCTGGAGGTTGAGGCAGGAGGATCACTTTAGCCTGGGAGTTTGAGGGTGCAGCGAGCCATGATCACACCACTGCACTCCAGTCTGGGTGACAGAGTAAGACCCTGTCTCAAAGAAGAAGAAGAAAAAAAAGAGTATGCCAAGAAAGTCTCAGTTTATTGCCATTAGATCCTTAACGACTTCCTAATGCTTGCTAACCTTCTGCCTATTAACCAAGAGAGAGTGCCCATTTCCTCACTTGTAATAAAAACACCTGCCTCACAGACTGGTTGTGAGGTTCCAATCAGGTATGAAAAGTGCTCAACACAGTACCTGGCATAGAAAATAGTCAATGTTGGCAAGCGAGAGTCTTGCTTTTTACCTGCTCCTGTATAAGGATCAGGAAATCAGAGTTGAATGAAAGCATCCCTGCCCTCAAAGAGCCCCAAGTCATGGCACTATTTTTTATTTTACCACAATTAAACTTACTTTGCTTTAGAAAAGCTTCAAGATTTCACAAGCTCCTCTAGAGACAACTAGAGAAATGCTTGGAATAGCAGGGCCAGGCACTCACCTGTACCCTCTTGTTATGGTGCAGTATTATATAGCGTCATGGGATCCCCAGAGAGTGCTGGAGTATGTTGCTTTGGAAACTTTGTTTGAATGTCAGTTTAGAAGGTAGGCGTGAATCTAGCATGTGGCACACTATAGCGCAGTCCTAAGAAGAGGGCATATGTGGGCTCAACTCTGTTCTTTTGTCATGAGCCAAGGGAAAGCTATCACTCACAAAGACCACAGTTCGGTGCCTCCCAACTTGATCCTGTGTGAAATTCACTACTAGACCAACTAGAGCAAGGTCGTAGGTCATAGTACTCACTACTCTGCCTTTAAGATACCATATGTTTCTAAACTTCCACACATAAGTCATGCCTGATGAACTTCTATGCATCCTTCAAAACCCAATTCAAAGGTCATCTCTTCTGTTAAACCTTATCTATGGTAGATCATTTTACTGTTCTGCAAATATTCTCTCTCCCTCTCTCACTTGCACACATTCTTTCTCTCTCTCTCTCTCTCACACACACACACACACACACACACTCAAGAAACAAGAATAATCCTGCCTACTCTACGGATGGTGGGCTTGGTCATGTGACTTGCTTTGGCCAATGGAATATCAGAGGACATGATGTCTGCCACATCCGAGCCAAATACTTAGTTTGGTTTGGCTTCTTGCATTCCTGTCATCTGTCATGAGAAGAGCATGTTCAGGCAGCTGCTGTTCCTTCCTCCTGGGTCCAAAATGATCATCCTATGGAGCAGACTTGAACCCAACCTGCAGCCTACTACAGAGCTGCTTCAGTGGCCCACAGACTAATGAGCAAGAAATAAAGGATTTATTGCCATAAATCACTGAAGTTGGGGATTATTTGTCACTGCAGCAATAGCTGACTAATACATTCTGCAAATAAAACCTCCCTCCTCTGCTCTGACAGCACTTGGACATATCTCTATCAAGGACTTCTTGTCCTACTTTATTTTTTTTTTCCTTAGAAGCCCATGTCCTGATCAGAAACTTAACTCCTTGAGGGCAAGACCCATATCTCTTCCCATCTCTTTTATGGCAGGCATTCAATATACTTGCTGAATAAATGACAGTGTTGACCAAATACCACAATTCATGAGGATCGCAAACTCTCAATCGCTACAGGCATAAGTAACATATATAAAGAGCATTTTAAACACTCCAACATATTGCTTGGCAAGAAGCCAAGGCTTATGCGTCTCCGGGCCAGGAGAACCACTTGCCCTGGGCCTCAAATCCAGAAGGGACCTCAAATTTAGACATCTGATGCTATCTCCAAAGGACGTGAATCCTCAGTCACTAATGTGTGTTAAACATGTCGATCTCCTAAGTGAAAACATTGAAAACATATCACCGACTTGCATCATTCTGGTTTGGCATTTAAAAAATTTTGTTTATTTCCAATATATCAGGAAACTCAAAGAATGAAAGTGGCGTAGGGCTCTCTCAACCTCTAAGAGGTGTTGTGATAAACGAAAGTCCTGGATTTCTCAGAGCCATTATGTACTAAATATGAAAACCAAGTTCTCCCAAGACCAAATTAAGCAATGATTGGTAACAGCCAAGGTCAATGGGAAAAGCTACTTCACTGGTATTTAGCTACTTGGATCTCTGACCCTGCTTAATGCTGTATCTTGCCTTCCTTGCTAAAACAGAATTGTATGATTCAAATGATGGTATGTTATATTCCTCTGGGAGACACAAAAAATGTACCTGTGACCTTAAGACCATTTGGAACTATAGAAAAGTACAGCAGACCTTTGCCAGTAAAGAACCGTGTTATAATTCGTACACCCTTATGGAAAACCGTAATTCTGTTTGTCCACAGGAATTCTAAAGTTGTCTGAGAGTTTTGAAAATGAAGAAAAATTACATTTCCAAATAATCCTATAAGATTAAGCATGAAAAGGAAGATGCAAAGTATTCCATCCAGACGTCCTCAATACCAAAAATGTTTCAGCAAATGCCTTGGCCTGGTGGGATTACGGGACTCTGTTTTGTACTTTGTAACACTTTTACATCCTGTCCAAGTGCTCAACAAGGAGCTGGATTTAAAAATATAAAAAAGGAAAACATAAATTAAAAAGAAGAGTGATTTGATCTTAACACTTCAGAGAAGACAGTGTTCTCTGATCGCAGCTCCTCCGATGTTGTATTTTAGGAAGACGGCAAGTAGGGACCCGTAAAGATAGTGAAATGCCAACTAGGGAAGCTTACCTAGTTAAAAAAGAAACAAATCATTGGCAGCCAGTCCCCTCAGGGCAGACACTGTTTCCAGCCAGTTCTGAAAACAGTTTGTTCCAAATTAACCTTTTGATATTAGTCTCCAGCAGGCCCAGAGGTGAGAGGCCCTACCCGGGGCAGGAAGCAGGAAGGTGGGGACAGGGAAACCGTGACATCTCCGACTAGAAAATCAATGGTGTATCCTGTCCGTTCCCGAGTTGGCCTCAGAAGAAGGGTGCTCCACCCCCAGGTGGCCCCAGAAGAGAAATCTCCTGGGATTTGCACAATGAGTTTCTAGACCAGGACTCAGGGACCTAGTTTCTTTAGGCTGTTGTGAGCCGTTCATGTGTCAGTGTGTTAAGGGAAGCGTAAGAGGTCCCCACTGCAAGGAAGCAGTCACCACTGCCAAGCCCTATGGAACTGTAATGACCCCTGGACTTGTCTGTCCTCTACCTTTCCACATATCTAACCTCTCCCCCTGTCCATCCCACCATAGTGGCTTGAATACCATCTCCCCCAAATTTATGTTCACCCAGAAACTCAGAACGTAACTTTATTTGAAAAATAGGGTCTTCTGTAGATGTCATAAGGTAAGAGTGAAGAGGAGATCATACTCAAAAGGGTGGGCCCTAAATCCAATGAAGGCATCCTTGTAAGAGACAGAAATAGGAGACACAGAGAGAAGAAAGCCATCTGAGGACAGAGGCAGAGATTGAAGAGAAGCAGCCACAAGCCAAGGAACGTGAGGAGCCCCCAGAAGCTGGAAGGGGCAAGGAAGGGTGTCCCCTACAGCTTTCGGAGGAAGCATGGCCCTGCTGACATCTTGATTTGGGACTTGTGGCCTCTGGAACTGTAAGACAATAAATTTCAGTTGTATGAAGCCACCCAGTTTAGTACAGCAGCCCTAGGAAATTAACACACATACCTCTCCCCCAAGTTCTCCACGCTGGAGTCTCGGGACCCGCCGGATGACTCTGCAGCATGTTTTATTGTCTGCCCACATTGAATCCAGCATCCAACACACCAACCTCTCCCATGACTTTTCTTCTCTGTCCGTCCCTTCACTCTCAATGGGGCAACTGGCTCCAGAAGGGTTCCCAGGGGTCCCACCCCTTACTGGCCATGTAATATGGAAACAGTATACCTACCCCTCTGTGTATCCAGTTTCCCGTCTGAAAACTGGGAAGAATAACATTCTGGGTGTACACTGTTATCAGGAGGAACAAAGAAGTCATCTATGGCTGGGTGCAGTGGCTCACACCTGTAATCCCACTACTTTGTGGGGCCAAGATGGCCAGATTGCTCGAGCCCAGGAGTTTGAGACCAGCCTGGTCAACATGGTGAAACCCCACCTCTACTAAAAATACAAAAATTAGCCAGGCGTGGTGGCACACACCTGTAATCCCAGATACTTGGGAAACTGAGGCACGAGAATCGCTCGAACCCAGGAGGTGGATGCTGCAGCGAGTCGAAATCACGCCACTGCACTCCAGCTTGGGCGACAGAGTGAGACTGTCTCAAAAAAAAAAAAAAAAAGCCAAACAACAACAACAAAAAGAAGTCATCTATGCAAAGCTCTTCAGCATAGCACTTAGTGTTTGGAAAATACTCCACTGGTTTTATCTGTCATAATCAGTAATTTATTTTACGAGACAGGATCTCTATCACCTAGGCTAGAATGCAGTGCTGTAATCATATCTCACTGCAGCCTTGAACCCCCAGGCTCAAGCCATCCTCCCACCTCAGCCTTCCAAGTAGCTGGGACTACAGGCGTGTGCCACCACACCTGGCTAATTTTTAATTTTTTTGTAGAGACAGGGGTCTTACTATGTTGCCCAGGCTGGTCTTGGACTCCTGGCCTCAAGTAATCTGCCCACCTTGGCCTCCCAAAGTGTTGGGATTACAGGCATGAGCCACTGCGCCCAGCCAATCAATTTTTGTATGCATAAGTGAACATGGTGTGAACTGAGGCTGAATACGGTGTGAGCTGAGGGATCTGAAACTATGAAAGACTGTAGGGAGCAGAGCATCTCAGAGAAAAGAAGCCAAGAAAGGACACACTTAGGTACTTAAGATCTCAGCTATGCAATGAGGGTCAGCAACACTAAATGTTAGCAGGGATACAAGGTCGCCTAAAGCCGTACCAGCAACAGGCTGTGTCTGTATTAACTTCTTTTCTTACCCCAAAATGAAGATTCAAGATCTGATAAGCCCCAAGACACTTATTATCTCAGTTCAGGCTTTTATAACAAACTACCATGGGCTGGATGGCTTATAAACAACAGAAATTTATTTCTCACAGTTCTGCAGGCCACAAGTCTGAGATCAGGGGCCAGCAGGGTCAGGTTCTGGAGAGGGTCCCCCTCACATGGCTGAAGAGGGCAAGTGAGCTCTCTGAGGGCCCTTTGATGAAAAGGCACTAATCTCTCTAAATGAGGGCTCCACCCTCATGACCTAATCACCTCCCAAAGGTCCACCTCTTACTGCCATCACATTAAGGGTTAGAATTTCCATATGTAAATTTTGGGAAGACACAAACATTCAGTCCATTACACTTAAGAAGACATTGGGGCAGTTTTCAGCTGGGATGACAGTCCATTCGTTCCTTTAACTGACATTTAACTGAATACTCATTCAGGCCATGTGGTGGGGAAATAGTGACAACACAGATGGGGCCCCAGCCATCAGGCTGATCACAGACAAAAATCCCAGGAAATCCCGGGAAAACAGTCTTATCTCCATATCCTCCATGGATCCTGACAAGTTTAAAAACTTCGGCTCGAGATATATTCTAAAAATATCACCTCTTTCAAAACCTGATTCAGATATCACCTCCACCTTGAAGCCTTCTCCAAGACCTGAAGAAGATTAAAGTCCTCTCACTCATTTTTTTAAAAATTTTAAAAGTTAGTTGGGCATGGTGGTGCATGCCTGTAGTCCCAGCTACATCCAGCACACCCTACCACCAGCTCCCCACACCCAGAATCAACAAAACCTTCTCTACCCTCAAGCAGACTTTGAGGAAATTTTTCATTTTTCCAACTAAAAAACTAGCAAATCATTCTACTTCCATTTTCTTGCTTTTTTCCTAGCCCAATGCATTCTGATATCCTCATTCATGCTCCTCAAACTAGGACACGTGAAATTTTGAGGGGCTGAAGATGAATTCTTGGGGGTCTAAAAGTTCTCTACAAGACTTTTTAAATTTTGAGTTTTTATTTCTTCTTCTTTTTTTTTTTTTTTTTTTGAGATGGAGTCTCACTCTGTCACCCAGGCTGGAGTACATTGGCGCGATCTCAGCTCACTGCAACCCCCGCCTCCCCAGTTCAAGCAATTCTCCTGCCTCAGCCTCTTGAGTAGCCGGGACCACAGACAGGCACCACCACGCCTGGCTAATTTTTGTATTTTTAGTAGAGACGGGGTTTCACTATGTTGGGCAGGCTGGTCTCGAACTCCCAACCTCAGGTGATCCGCCCGCCTCATCCTCCCAAAGTGCTGGGAATACAGGCATGAGCCACCCCACCCAGCCAAACTGTGAGTGTTTATTTCAAAGGTAATTTTTTAAATGGAACACAGTATATGCACTTGCTGGATCATCTGGATGCCTGCTTTATAAAGCAATACTGCCTGGTAATTTCAGTGGTTATAATTTATGATTCTTTTGGTGCCAAGTTGCACTGATTTAATAATCACTGCCTAATCAGAGTAGAACCAAGGCACATTTAATACTTGGTTCTAAAACAGGTCCCCCATAGTGAAGGCCAATGAAGTCACTCCTACCACTCTTTCTTCCTCATGCCACAGGATAACTAAGCCACGAAAGACACATACCTGAGGCTCACCAAAGACAAAATAATGTGCACCAGAATAGAAGCGCCCCATTCAAGTTTCAACGCACCATTTACTTTCACCAAAATATCTTTTTCATCACTGATGTCATCTACTAGAATGAACTGGTTTTGCAAAATAGATCGTATTTAATGTTTGCAAATCTGTTTTGTCTGCATAATTGTTTGATATCTATAAACATAAGACATTTACAGCTGGGTTTGTACATGGGTTTTCAACCTGGGCCCTAATGATGTTTAGGGCTGGATAATCCTTTGCTGTGATGGGCCATTCAGTGCATTGTAGGATACTAATCAGCATCCCTGACCTTTACCCATGAGATGCTAGTAGCACACCATCCTCCCCAAAGTCGTGACAATGAAAAATGTCTCCAGATGTTGCCAAATGTCCCCTGGGAGGGGGCAAAATTGCCCCCAGTTAAGAACTAGTCTTGTGTTGATAGATATTTAAGTAACATTATAATAAAATTAAGACTATACAATATATCTTAAAGTCTATTCCAGGCTGAGCACAGTGGCTCATGCCTGTAATCCCAGTACTTTGGAATGCTGAGGCAGGAGGATCCATTGAGGGCAAGAGTTCGAGACCAGCCTGGGCAACATAGCGAGACCCTGTCTCTAAAAAATTTTTTTTTAATTAGTTGGGTGTGGTGGTGCATGCCTGTAGTCCTAGCTATTCAGGAAGATGAAGTGAGAAGATCACTTGAGTCCTGGAGTTTGAGGCTACAGTGATCATGTCACTGCACTCCAGCCTGGATGATGGCAAGATCCTGTCTCTAAAAAAAAGTTTAATAAATGAATACAATAAAAGTATTTTCTCTTTATAAAAGGAACACGTCTCAAGTTGAAGAAACACCAGGGCATGGGGGGTAGGGGGCTATGTGTTGCCATGTTGCCCAGGCTGGTCTTAAAGTCCTGGCCTCAAACTGTCAACATAATGCACGCACCCACGGATGAATATATTTACCTGTGGATATATTACAATATGGTCAATACTCTGAAGCCTTACTGTACATGGCCGAGCCATGCCCCATTCTCCCCCATCACCCGAGGATGAAAATAGGCAACTCACAGGCCAGATCCAGCCCATAAGAGTCCTTTGGATTTTGCTTTAGTTACTAGACTTTGAAAATTAGGAGAGATAACAAAACCTGAATAACTGGCTTCTCTTGAAAAAGAAGCAGAAGATCCAACCGTGCTGAGCCCACATTTCTGGAAGAAAACCTCAGCTGGAACTCAGTAGTGGCTGTCTCCACTTCTCAGTTCATCCCATCTCTAACTCCCCACCTCCCACTGCTTATTTCCTCAGACTGAGGTCATGGCAACTGCAATAGAAATGTATTTCTGATTGAAAGAGGAGGCTGAGAACTGACCTGACCTCCTTGACCTAGCCAACAGGCAGTTGCCTTTCAGACTACGTTTATTTGAGGGGACACAGCTTCATTCATTATGGCTTCCTTGGCACCTCCGTGCATTTCAGTTTGCAAACCTAAACCCAACATGGTGTTTGTGCAAAATCCTAAAACATGTCTCTAATCTGCCACTCTCCTGCTCAAGAACACTAGCTCCCACTGCCCATCACAGTATTCAAAGCTTGTGACAATATGGCCCCAGTCTTGATAGCCAACTTCCCTAAACTACAGCAACAAGTTTCGAACTTCCTTGCCCCTATCACCTGCTTGCCTGCCCTATTCCTTCTCCTCTACTATCTCCTAACTATCTTTTAATACCTATTTCAAATATTGTCTCTTGGCCAGGCGCGGTGGCTCACACCTGTAATCCCAGCACTTTGGGAGGCTGAGGCAGGCAGATCACCTGAGGTCGGGAGTTTGAGACCAGCCTGACCAACATGGAGAAACCCTGTATCTACTAAAAATACAAAACTATCCGGGCGTGGTGGCGCATGCCCGTAATCCCAGCTACTCGGGAGGCTGAGGCAGGAGATTCGCTTGAATCCAGGAGGCAGAGGTTGTGGTGAGCCAAGATCGCGCCACTGCACTCCAGCCTGGGCAACAAGGGCGAAACTCCGTCTCAAAAAAAAAAAAAAAAGTATCTTTTAAACTTTTTCTGCAGGCGGGGTAGCTCACACCTGTAATCCCAGCACTTTGGGAGACCAAGGTGGGAGGATTGTTTGAGGCCAGGACTTTAAGACCAGCCTGGACAACATGGAAACACAGCCCCCTACCCTGCCATGTTCTGGTGTCTCTACAAAGAACAAAAATTTTAAAAATTAGCTGGGTGTGGTGGTGCACGCTGTAGTAGTCCCAGCTAACTCAGGAGGCTGAGGCAAGAGGATCGCTTGAACCCAAGAGTTTAAGGCTGCAGTGAGCCATGATCATGCCACTGCACTCCGGCCTCAGCCACACAGCAAAACCTCATTTCAAAATAAATAAATAAATAAACAAACAAACCTTTTCTAGTCCTTCAAACCAGGCATGTTCTTGCCACTGCTTGGAACAACTCCTGTGCTTCAACTGTAGCTTGTTAGTGAACAAGTCCGAGAGCCCCTAGGCTGTGCAGACCCTTAACAATGAAGAGATAGTCCAGATTTCTACTCTGGCCCTAAGCATAAGGTTGCTTTGCAGGACTTCCGCATCTTTCTGTAGCTGTCAACTGCTTTGAATATAGGATCATAGGTAAGAGAAGCATTCCAAGGAATAAGTGGAGGGATCATCAGCTTTGAACACAACCCGGCAGAATGTGAATCTTCAAGGAAGCATATGCTAGGCTGTTTGTTGCAGTACTGTTTGTAATAACAAAATGATTAGAAGTATCTAAAATGACCTTTCATAAGAAAACAGCTAAATA
This sequence comes from Homo sapiens, assembly GCF_000001405.40. NCBI lineage: Eukaryota > Metazoa > Chordata > Mammalia > Primates > Hominidae > Homo > Homo sapiens. The sequence goes on from NC_000012.12 coordinate 117,919,564, forward strand.
AACTATGGAACATCCATAGTCACTAATGCTACTCACTAACTCCTGTTTTGTTTCTCACAAGAAATTATACTTCCCCATACCCTTTAGTGTAAGGCATGGTCATGTGACTTATTCTGGGCAATGAATCATGAACAGAAATGACACATGCCACATCCAAGAGGAAGCCTTTAAGAACCAGCATGGGAGGCTCCCCATCGCCTTTCTCTGCCTTGGCAATTGTGGAGTTGAAGCCTCTATTAGCTTAAGCCCATGGGTAACTCTGAGTAGCAGAGACCTGGAATGAACACGTGGCATGAGAAGAAAATAAACTTTTGTTATGTTAAGCCACTGAAATTTGAGGGTTGTTTATTTCTGCAGCATATCCTAGCCTATGCTGATTGGTATACATTCTATAGATTACAATGTAGCACTTTAAAAGATGGGACTAACAATTATAAACATATATGTACCTAACAACAGAACCCCAAAATACATGAAATTAAAATCCACAAAATTAAAGGAATAGGCTGGGCATGGTGGCTCACGCCTGTAATAATTTTTAACAATTTATTTTGAGACAAGATCTCACTCTGTCACCCAGGCTAGAGGAGAGTGGCACAATCATGGCTCACTGCAGTCTTGACCTCCCAAGCTCAAATAATCCTCTGACCTCAGCTTCCCAAGTAGCTGGGAGTAAAGGTAGGAGCCACTATGCCCAGCTAATTTTTCTATTTTTTGTAGAGATGAGTGTCTCACTATGTTGCCCAGGCTGGTCTCGAACTCCTGGGCTCAAACAATCTCCCTGCTTCAACCTCCCAAAGTGCTGAGATTACAGGGCTGAACCACTGTGGTCTTTTTTTTTTTTTTTAACAATTTTAATGAAAGAAAAAGAATATAGGTCTTATGATGGTGGCTTTGACCTGGAATAAGAAAAGAACAAGACCATCTCCTAAGTTAAACAGATAAATAATGCTAATACATTGATGTTATTTGTTGAGCATTTACTATATGTCAGGCATTAAACCAGCTACTTGACATGAATTAACCTGAAACCTCACAATAGGCCCATGGGGGAGATACAGTTACAATTTCTGTTTTTTAGATACAGAAATTGTGGCTCAGAGAGGTGAAATCTTTTTCCCAAGAGTATATTCTATAACCCAGTCTCTTAACTTCTCTAAGTAAACTCAGTGCCTAGGGTAGAGCCAGTAGCTTCCCAGTGTGGCTGCCCACGCTACACAACAGGGTGGAGGGGAGGAAGGATTCAAGCATAAAGATGCAAGAGTTTCTGAATTTGGCACCCACCTGGCTTCAAAGTGGGTTTGCGGCCAACAGACGGCTAACTCCTGGGTGGCAAACTTGAGAAAATGTGGACTCGCTGTAGGTAGAAACACAACCCTCCTCACTCTAAATTACAGCTATCTGCATACGGTTCTTAGTCTTGATACTAGTATTTTATCTTTGAGAGGCAATAACAGTGTAAGGGTCTGGTTCAGAGACCCCAGCACCTGCATAGTTATTTGAACCCAGGCTTTGCAATTTGCTCACTTATGTGACTTTAACTTCTTATTTAATCACTCTTGGCCTCAGTTTCCTCATCTGCAAAATAAGGGTAATAATCAGACCTACCTCAAAGGTTATTAAAATAACTGCATGAGCCAATATACGTAAAGTCCTCAGAACTTTACATGTGCCTCCATGGCAGGCACATTAAATATTAAATGACTGACATGCTATTGTTATTCCTAATTCCACAAATGTCAACCATGGTGGCATATATACTTACGTGATAAATGTTCAGTAAATATTAAGCAAATTGAATAAAGCTGTCTTTGAAGCCACACACAGTGAGATCTTATTATAGAGAGCCTTTTCAAGACACTTTTTTTTCCCCTAGAGATGGGGTCTTGCTACATTGTCCAGGCTGGTCTCAAACTCCTGGCCTCACGGTATCCTCTTGCCTCAGCTTCCCAGGACACTTCTAATCAAGGCAGTTAACACACAGGCTTTGGAGTCAAGCAGACCTAGACTCTGCCACTGATGGACTGTGTGACTCCAGGGAGGTTACTTCACGTCTCTGAATGTCAGCTTCCTGATTTATAAAAGAGAGATGTTGATACTACCCCCTCAGAGCTGCTGTTAAGAACTAAATGCAATCAATGTAAAGCTCTTAGTGCCATGCTCAGCACATAATACACGCTCATTAAATGACAGCCATCATTACCAGTAACTCAGTCCCCTTGCATTGGGCTCACGTACCCCTTTTCCATCCCGGATAATATCAGAATGTACCCACGAGAAGATGCATAGCTAGTAAAGTGGTTTGACAAAAATAAAAAGAAGTAATCGGTAAATAGTAGATGCTCTTCTTACATATATAAATGCAAATCCCTGAAGAGTTTAGCAAATGTATGTTTGTGTGACAGCTATTTATGGAGGCTGTATACTTTTATTTGCCTAGAATTTGATGCACTAAATGTAAACAAAGCATGATGAAGACTCTAATAGAAGCAGTCCCCAGACAGAAGCCAGGGCTCTTTCCCAAGCTCTCTGGAAGGTTGGCTTCTCTGCAGGCGTGTTGATGCGGTATATTTAGGCTGTTAATCATACCCAGAAGCGTTCCCACCTATCTGAAGACAGGGCAAACCCAGCAAGTCTCAAATTAGCAACATCCTACAAAATTTTCATCAGCCAATCTAATGCAAATGCTTTAACTTCTTCCCAGAGAAATTCTGTGAGAAATTCTCCCTAACTGGCTAAAGTTCATGGCTCAAGATCAGCTATCAGGACAACATAATGAGCCCCTTGGTCAAAGCCTGCATGGCTGGAAAAGTGCCTGTCAATCAACTTTGGGGTAAAGGAAAGCACCGTTCACATATATTAGCAGAGTTCCCTATTTAAAGAAAATCTGGGTCGATCACATGGTGGGGTGAATAACAGTCATAAATAAAGCACTTGGGGACATTTTATATCAGGTTGCATTCATGTTAAATATTTCTAAGGACCCAGAACCAGTAGATTTGATAGATCTGATGACTCAGTAGATTTGACAGATCTGTGCCTGACGAGTGCTCTGCTGAGAAAGAACTACATTTCAAAAGAAGGGAAACACACCTAAGCCAAACACAAATATTTAGAGCTTTAAGACCCAAAGCAAAAAATATCCACTCTTCCTTGGGGATTCACTCATCCATCTACCACATACAAGGTGCACAACAGCAAGATCTTGCCCCTCATGGAGCTCACAATTGAGTGGAGAATGGAGAATAAAGAAAATAGTCCGTCCTCATTATTTGTGGATTATTCCATTTGGAGATTTGTCTACTCACTGAAATTTATTTGTAACCCCAATATCAATACACATGGTCTTTTCACGGTCATCTGGGGACATACGAACATACAGTGAAAAACATGAGCTGCCCGATGTACATGATGCCAGGTGAGATCCAGAAAGGTGACGCTCTACCTTACTTCATATTTTTGTACTTTTTTGGTGACTTCACTATTTAGAATGCCCCCGGTTAGTGATAAAGTGCTACCTAGTGTGTTCCTAAGCTCAAAAAGGCTGGAATGTGCCTTACAGAGAAAATGTGTGTGTTAGATAAGCTTCATTCAGGAATGAGTTATAGTGCTGTTGGCTATGAGCTAAATGTTAATGGATCAACTATCTATCATCTATCTATCTATCTATCTATATCTATCTATAAAATAAGGTGTCTTTAAACAGAAACACGTATAAAATGATCGGTTGGTAAATTTAGGGCCAAAGGCTTGCAGAAACCTAACCCTGTTATCTCCCCTGCAGATTCAATATTCGTTAACTCAGGATTCAGGAAAACTTTATAGAATATAACTGCCATGATGCCAGATGTAGTGGCTCATGCCTGTAATCCCAGCACTTTGGAAGGCCAAAGTGGGAGGACTGCTTGAGGCCAGGAGTTCAAGACCCCATCTCCACTAAAAATTTAAAAAATTAGCCAGACATGGTGGCACATGCCAGCAGTCCCAACTACTCAGGAGGCTGAGGTGGGAGGATCGCTTGAGCCCAGGAGGTCAAGGATACAGCGAGCTATGATCACACTACTGCACTCCACAGACTTTTGAGATACTGTCTTAAAATATATATGTGTGTGTGTGTGTGTGTATGTATATGTGTATGTGTATATATACGTATATATAACTGCCATGAATAATGAGAATTGACTGTAATCCAAATCTATAAACATAATGAAACAAACAACTAAGTAAAGAAGAAAACAGGGGTGTGCTGCTTTATTCAGTATTTGTAGTATTCTATGTTTTGTGTAACAAAGGAGTTGACATTAATATATATTTGCTTTTTTTTTTTTTTTGAGACAAGAGTTTCACGCTTGTTGCCCAGGCTGGAGTGCAATGGTGTGATCTCGGCTCACCACAACTTCCACTTCCGGGGTTCAAGTGAATCTCCTGCCTCAGCCTCCCGAGTAGCTGGGATTACAGGCATGCGCCACCACGCCTGGCTAATTTTGTATTCTTAGTAGAGACGGGGTTTCTCCATGTTGGTCAGGCTGGTCTCGAACTCCCGACCACAGGTGATCCTCCCACCTCGGCCTCCCCAAGTGCTAGGATTACAGGCGTGAGCCACTGCGCCCGGCCTATATTTGCTTTTTTAATAGAGGTTAAAACTTAAAACTGAAAAACTAAAATAAATCAATCTACTGTAGATATCAAGTTGGTGACATAACTATATAGAAAAAAAATTTAGGCCAGGCACGGTGGCTCATGCCTGTAATCCCAGCACTTTGGGAGGCTGAGGCGGGCGGATCATGAGGTCGGGAGTTTGAGACCAGCTTGGCCAACATGGTGAAACCCCGTCTCTACTAAAAAAAATACAAAAAAATTTAGCTGGGCATGGTGGCAGGCGCCTGTAATCCCAGCTACTCAGGAGGCTGAGGCAGGAGAATCACTTGAACCCGGGAAGCAGAGGTTGCAGTGAGCTGAGATCGTGTCATTGCACTCCAGCCTGGCTGACAAGAGTGAAGCTCCATCTCAAAAAAAAAAAAAAAAAAAAAAAAGAAAGAAAGAAAAGAAAGAAATACGGGCATGAAGGAAGAAGTTAAACTATGCCCCTAAGGAGGCATAAAAAATCTATAGTACAAATGACTCCGTTTCTTCAACAAATAAGTAATGTGGGGAAGAGGGAGGTGGAACTATGGAAGTTAAAAACTTAAGAGACATATGAACCAAATGCAATGTAAGAACCTGTATAGATCCCAATTCAAACAAGTCAACTGCAGCAAGACATTTTAAAGACCTGGAGATATTTGAACATGGACTGGATATTAAATGATATTGACAAATTAATGTTTTGTTTTATAAGCTGTGGTAGTAGCTTTCTGTAACATTATTTTAAAAGGCCTTACCTGTTTGAGATGCATACTGAAGTATTTACAGATAAAAATCTATGACCTCTGGGATTTGCGTCAAAACACTCCCACACACACACAAGTAGGACAGAAACAAATGAAACAAGATTGGCAAGACGTTGATTATTGTTGAATCTGGGTGGTAAGTACAAGGAAGTTTGTTATACTATATTTTCTTTCTTTTTTTTTTTTTTCAGACAGGGTCTCACTCTGTTGCCCAGGCTGGAGTGCAGTGGTTTGATCTTGGCTCACTGCATCCTCCACCTCCCAGGCTCAAGCAGTCCTCCCACCTCAGCCTCCTAAGTAGCTGGAACTATAGGCTCACGCCACCATGCCCAGCTAAGTTTTGTATTTTTAGTGGAGATGGGGTTTCACCACGTTGCCCAGGCTGGTCTCGAACTCCTGGCCTCAAGCAGTCCGCCCACCTCAGCCTCCCAAACTGCTGAGATTATAGGCATAAGCCACCACGTCCAGCTTATATTTTCTTTTATATTTAAATTTTCCATTTAAGAAAACTTTTTAAATAGTCTCTTACTGACCTTACTCTTTAAAGGAGAAGATCATTAATGCTGACAGTTTTTAATCAATTACTGAGTTGTTCACTATTATTTTAATAGACAGTGGTATTTTACATAATAATAATTATAGTAATGACAGCAGCAATGGCTATTAATATTATTACTTACTGCATGTCTGATATAAGGCTAAGCATTTCACATGTATTATCTTATTAAATCCTAACCCTGATAGGTAGGTCTAGTATGGTCTATATTTTACAGATGGAAAAAACTGAGGTACACAGTTGCTCAAAGACGCATGGCTAGTAATCAGCAAATCAGATTTGAACCCAGGACTGATTCCAAAGTGTGTGCTGGGGTAGGGGTTTAGCTAGTACGGGACAGGGCCCAATGTAGCCTTTTCAGAAACAAAGTAATGGGTGCCTATGGATATTCTTCATGTAGGTCTGGAATCAAACAACAGAGAAAAGCCTGTAATCCCAGCACTTTGGGAGGCTGAGGCGGGCAGATCACTTGAGGTCAGGAGTTCAAGACCAGCCTGGCCAACATGGTGAAACCCTGTCTCTACTAAAAACATAAAAATTAGCCAGGCGTGGTGGTGCACCCCTGTAATCCCAGCTACTCAGGAGGCTGAGGCAGGAGAATCACTTGAACCCAGGAGGCGGAGGTTGCACTGAGCCGAGTTCACGCCCCTGCAATTCCAGCGTATGTGATAGAGTGAGACTCCGTCTCAGAGAAAAATAACAACCGAGAAAAGGGGAGGAGAAAACCCAGCTCTCTCCCCATCCCAGCCTTGGTTTTCTACTTAGTGAACCATGTGAACCTTCACTAGCCCATCTTGTTTTCTGCTATAAAAACAGAAGTCCTGATAACGTGTTCACAGGGATGCTGTAAGCACCAACCATTACGTGCAAAGCACCCCAAGGATGATGGATGCTCCATAATTCCTAATTAGCATCTCTCAATTAGGAAGCTGGAAGCTGCTGCTCTGGAGGTGAATTGCAAGTCTGACTTGCAGATATCAGGGCTGCTTCAGATGAGGAAAACGGTTGGCCTCTCTCTCTGGAGGGACTCTGTGGGTGGCCCTTCTAAGAGCTCTTTTCAGCACTTTGGAAGTTTCTCTAAAGATCCATTCTCCTTGTCATATGTTTGCATGCATCCACAGGAGAAAAATCACCCAGCAGCCACCAGCGGTGACAGCCCCAGATGGCCTTGTTCTTGGCAGAGACGGCCCAATGACCTTCACCACCCACCTCTGTCCCTGCAATGTGGAGGCACAATTAAAACTCTCCAAGGGTGGCCTTGCTAGACCGCCTTTCAGCAGGTATCCTGGGAGATGGCACAGCATGGCCTACAGGACAGCAGAGACTGAGGTTCTAAAATCTTGCTTCCAACAATTCCTAGTTGTGTGTCCTTAGGGGAATTACTTGATCTCTCTGTGCCTCGGTTTTGTCATTTGTCAAATGTGATGTTCCTACCTCCCAGGACTGTGGTAGGTATGAAACTATATATGGAAAGTGCTTAGCTCAGTCTCTGGCACACCGTTGGCACCCAATCACAACACTGATCATTTTGGGGTAATGATTTTATTGTCATTATATAATTTTTTTAAAAAAAGGACCATGGCCGGGCACGGTGGCTCTTGCCTGTAATCAATCCCAGCACTTTGGGAGGCCGAGGCGGGTGGATCCCTTGAGGTCAGAAGTTTGCAACCATCCTGGACAACATGGTGAAACCCCATCTCTACTAAAAATACAAAAATTAGCTGGGTGTGGCGGTGCATGCCTGTAAACCCAGCTACTCGGGAGGCTGAGGCAGGAGAATCACTTGAACCTGGGAGATGAAGGTTGAAGTGTGCTGAGGTCATGCCACTGCACTCCAGCCTGGGCGACAGAGCAAGACTCTGTCTCAAAAAATAACAACAAAAAAAAAAGGACCAGGCCTTGGCTGGGCATGGTGGTTATGTCTGTAATCCCAGCATTTTGGGAGGCCGAGGCAGGTGGATCATTTCAGGTCCAGAGTTCAAGACCAGCCTGGCCAACATGGTGAAACCCTGTCTCTACTAAAAAATACAAAAAGTAGCCGAGTGTGGTGGCACGAGCCTGTAATCCCATTTACTCGGGAGAGTGAGCCAGAAGAATCACTTGACCCTGAGGGACAGAGGTTGCAGTGAGCCAAGATCACGCTACTGCACTCCAACCTGGGCGACAGAGCAAGACTCAGTCTGGAAAAAAGGAAAAAAAAAGGAACCAGGCCTTTCCTAGGCACCCACTAAAAGCTGGTATGTGAAAGCAAAGTCATCAATGTGTACTCGTATAAAATTAGCATCTAGAAAGTCATTCTGCCCTCCTTGCCCCCTTATTATTCTGGTAAAATATACATAACATAAAATACACCATTTAAGTGTACAGCGGAGTGGCCTCAAGCACATACGCAGTGTTGTGTAACCATCACTACCATCCATCCATAGAACCTTTTCATCCTCCCAAAATGAAATTCTGTACCCATTAAGCCATAACTCGCCACTGCCCTCCCCTCTCAGCCCCTGGCAACCACCGTTCTACTTTCTGTCTCTGATTTTGACTACACTAGATATTTCACTTAATTGAAATCATACAGTATTTGTCCTTTTGGATCTGGCTTCTTTCACTCAGCATCATGTTTTCAAGGTTTATCCATGTTGTGTAGCATGTGTCAGCACTTCATTCCTTCTTTCCTTTTTTTTTTTTTTTGAGACAGGGTTTCCCTCTGTCACCCAGGCTGGAGTGCAGTGGTGCAGTATCAGCTCACTGCAACCTCTGCTGCCTCCTGGGCTCAAGCAATCTTCCCACCTCAGCCTCCCGAGTAGCTGGAACTACAGGCATGCGCCACCATACCCGGCTAATTTTTTGTAATTTTAGTAGAGATGAGGTTTCACCATGTTGCCCAGGCTGGTCTTGAACTCCTGAGCTCAAGCAGTCTGCCCACCTGGGCCTCCCAAAGTGCTGGGATTACAGGCATGAGCCACCACGCCTGGCCTTCATTCCTTTGTAAGGCTAAATAATATGGGTGTGTCTATGGTATGGTATGGGTATATCATATTTTATTTATCCATGTATCTGCTCGTGGACACTTGGGTTGGTTCCACCTTTTAGCTATTGCAAATAATGCTGTCATGAACACAAGTGAACAAATAACCTGTTCAAGTCCTTGCTTTCAATTCTTTGGGGTATATACCCAGAAGCAGAATTGCTAGATCATATGGCAATTCTACATTTAATTTTTTTGAAGAACCTCCTTATATTTAGTGGAAACCAATATTTGTTGAATATTTACAAGCCAGGCACTTGAATTATTTTTTTCACATTTAATCATTTCAACAATCCCCATGAGGTAGACATCGCAAATGGAGCCAGAGATTGGCTACGACATCATGCTTAGCAAAGGCAAGTGCCTGGTTTTGAACTCAGATCTGGTAGACTTCAATGCCAACCTTTCCCACAAGCTGACACTGTCATCTCAAAAAAGGAAGGAAAACACTTCGCCTTAAGGCAGTCTCGCATGTGTCCTTTGGGATCAATGGAAGGGAACAAGTAAACCCAGAAACCCAGCACCATCACCAAGTAGTTGTATGACTTCAGACATACATCTCTGCATCTCAATTACTTCACATCTCTGCATCTCAATTACTTCAGGTTAGAAACAGCATTAATATTTGTAGGAATATACTCTAGGATTTGAAAGCAGATATTTGTACACCAATGTTCATAGCAGCATTGATATGGTTTGGCTGTGTCCCCACCCAAATTTCATCTTGAATTCCCTTGTGTTGTGGAAGGGTCCCAACTGGGAGATAATTGAATCATGGGGGTGGTTTCCCCCATACTGTTCTCATGGTAGTGAATAAGTCTTACAAGATCTGAAGGTTTTATAAGGGGAAACTCCTTTCTTTCGGCTCTTATTCTTCTCTTGTCTGCAGCCATGTGAGACGTGGCTTTCACCTTCTGCCATGATTGTGAGGCCTCCCCAGCCACATGGAACTGTGAGTCCATTAAACCTCTTTCTTTTGTAAATTGCCCAGTCTTGGGTATGTCTTTATGAGCAGCATGAAAACAGACTAATACAAGCATTATTCACAATAGTCAAAAGGTGAAACCAACACAAGTGTCTGTCAGTAGACGAATGGATAAATGAAACGCAGTGTATCTATACAATGGAATATTATCCAGCCATAAAAAGGAATGAAGTAGTGATATGTGCTGCAATATGGATGAAACTCAAAAACATTAGGTTAAGTGAAAGAAGCCAGACAAAAAAGGACAAATACTGTTTAATTCCATTCACAAGAGGTACCTACAACAGGCAAATTCATAAAGACAGAAAGTAGAATAGATGTTACCGGGAGCAGGAGGGAGGGGAAATGGAGAGTTCTTGTTTAATGAGGACAGAGTTTCTAATAGGGATGATGAAAAACTTTTGGTGATGATGTGGCAAGTTATTACATAGCACTGTGAATGTATTTAATGTCACTGAATTGGACACTTACAATTAAATGATAATGATGAAGTAATAAATATCATGTATACATACCTCAATTTAAAAAAAATTTTTTTTTTTTGAGACAGAGTCTCACTCTATCACCCAGGCTGGAGGGCCTCAACTCACTGCAACCTCCGCCTCCCAGCTTCAAGCGATTCTTGTGCCTCAGCCTCCCAAGTAGCTGAGACTACAGGCACACACCACCCATCCAGATAATGTTTTGTATTTTTAGCAGAGAAGGGTTTTAGCCATGTTGCCCAGGCGGGTCTCAAACTCCAGAGCTCCAATAATCTGCCTGCCTCAGCCACCCAAAGCGCTGGGATTACAGGCATGAGCCACCGCACCCAGCCAAAAAAATTATTCTTAAATAAGTTGTTCTTCATTATACTGGAGTTGTTCTGAGGACTAAACTGGTGTTCTCAAACTTTAATATGCACAGAAATCACCCAATTTTATTAAAATGTAATTCCATGAGGCTGGGCCAGGTCCTGAGATGTGGCACTTCTAATTAGCTCCCAGGTGGCACAGATGCTACCTGCCCATGGGCCACACTTTGGGTAGCCACATACATAAAGCTCCACTGAGTGCCCAGCATATAGTAAACACTAAATTCTCGCTGTAGTTATGAGATTAATACTAAAGTTGATGTAGGCTGGGCGCAGTGGCTCATGCCTATATTCCCAGTACTTTGGGAGGGCAAGGCAGGTGGGTCACCTGAGGTCAGGAGTTCGAGACCAGCCTGGCCAACAGTGAAACCCCATCTGTACTAAAAAGACAAAAATTAGCCAGACGTGGTGGCACGTGCCTGTAGTCCCAGCTACTTGGGAGGCTGAGGGAGGAGAATCACTTGAACCCAGGAAGTGGAGGTTGCAGTGAGCCAAGATTGCACCACCGCACTCCAGCCTGGGCAACAGAAGAAGACCCTGTTTCAAGAAAACAAACAAACAAATAAATAAATAAATAGGGTTGATGTGGATCTTTCAAACATCTTTGTCTTTCACTGGTAAATGCTCATTTCAAGAAGAAAGCAGCACATTTTGATCTGCTCTGAGATCTCAAAACCCCCAAGCACACTCTTTTTACAGAAACTCCAAGAGAGTCGTGCGGAGCAGAGACTTCAGCGGCTGTGTCTCCCACAGACATCTAAAAACATTTCTCTCAAAGTGTCATATGGATAAAAACACCAAGCTTGAAAAATATTTTCATTTTAAAGGATCTCAACCAAAAAGAAGCAAGCATAAGACACAGATAGCACTTTGGCCTAGCCCAGTCCACGCCCTGTTCCTAGGCAGCCATCGAATACTTCTGATGACCTGGGAATTCATTTTTAACTATCTCAGCCATTTGTTCAGGGCCTGCAGGTGAAGAATAGATGAGAATAGTTAGGGACCAGGGCTTCAGAGAATGACTCAAAAAGAAGGACATCACCATGGCTCGGATTCAGGTCACACTCCTGTATCCAATCTCCCTTGCTAAAGAGGTCGTGCCCGCCTGGATGTGGGGCACAATCTTGAGTCAAGACTGCCACAGTCATGTCCACCAATTCTAGGAACAACCCAGTCCAAACCACTGCTAGACGTTCTCTCTTCCCATCCGTCACCCTTCCCAACAATTTAGAGCTGAAAGCTGCTCATACGTGTCAAGATTCAAGACTGCATCTTGCTATTCTGCTTTAGGAATTCAGTCTGCTAGGCACGGAGCCCAAACCATAGGAACAATACAACCAGAAAATTTCCAAATAGAGCTGAGAAGTTCATTCAGAAAACCAAACCCAGGTTATTCTAGACCAGCCAGATTAATTTCTATATATTTACTATAACTGCAATGGTTAACATTGAGTGCCTGTCACATACAGGACACTGAGCTGAGCATTTTGCACCTATTGTCTAATCCTCATGCCAACATTAGGAGGTAAACATCCTATTTTTACAGATGGGGATTCAAAGACATGGAGGACATTATGCCCAAGGTTATGGCTCCATAACTTAGAAAGACAACACTGCTATCTGAAACTTAAACCTGGCCAGGTACGGTGGCTCATGCCTGTAATACCAGCACTTTGGGAGGCTAAGGCGGGTGGATCGCCTGAGGTCAGGAGTTTGAGACCAACCTGGTCAACATGGCAAAACCCCATCTCTACTAAAAATACAAAAATTAGCTGGGCATGATGGTGGGCGCCTGTAATCTCGGCTATTCAGGAGGCTGAGGTAGGAGAATCGCTTGAACCCAGGAGGCAGAGGTTGCATTGAGCTGAGATAGTGCCACTGCACTCCAGCTTGGGTGACAAAAGCAAGACTCTGTCTCAAAAAATTTAATTAATTAATTAAACCTATCTTAAAATGATACTTAATCATGGTGTTATACAGTTGACATATGTTCACAAGAAGCACAGGCCAGACAAATTCCAGAATTCACACTTGATCATAACACTACAGTCAAAAATAAGAACAGGCCAGGCACAGAAGCTCATGCCTGTAATTTTAGCACTTTGGGAGGCTAAGGTGGGAAGATCACTTGAGCCCAGGAGTTCAAAGCCAGCCTGGGCAATACAGCAAAACCCTATCTCTACAAAAAAATACAAAAAAAGTAGTAGCCAGGTGTGGTGGCACACACCTGCAGTCCCAGCTACTCAGGAGGCTGAGGTGAGAGGATAACCTGAGCCCAGGAGGTCGAGGCTGCAGTGAGCTGTGATCACGTCACTGCACTCCAGCCTGGGTGACAGAGTGAGATCCTGTCTCAAATAAATAGGCCGGGTGCAGTGGCTCACGCCCATAATCCCAACACTTTGGGAGGCTGAGGCGGGCAGATCACCTGAGGTCAGCAGTTGGAGACCAGCCTGACCAACATGGTGAAACCCCATCTCTACTAAAAATACAAAAATTAGCCAGGCATGGTGGTGGGTGCCTGCAATCCCAACTACTCAGGAGGCTGAGGCAGGAGAATCGCTTGAACCTGGGAGGCAGAGGTTGCAGTGAGCCCAGATAGTGCCATCGCACTCCAGCCTGGATGACAGAGCGGGACTCTGTCTCAAAATAAATAAATAAATAAAAACAAAAAGATCATGCACACCCAATCAGAAAATACTAGTGATGTCTACCATTTGGGGGTTCTTCCCAATGTTAGCATGAAGTGGCTGTCAGGGGTTAGTAATGAGTGGTCGGTGATAACACATTCCACTTGTTATGATCACCTAGATTTGCCAGAGTTAGCAAATAAAAAGACATTTGGTTAAATGAGAATGTCAGATAAACAACAAATAATTTTTAGTATAAGTATGTTCTGTGCAGTATTCAAGCATACTTATACTAAAAATGTATGCATTGTTGGCCAGCCGTGGTGGCTCATGCCTGTAATCCCAAAACTTTGGGAGGCCGAGACAGGCAGATCACGAGGTCAGGAGATCAAGACCATCCTGGCTAACACGGTGAGACTCCGTCTCTACTGAAAATACAAAAAATTAGCCGGGTGTGGTGGCGGGCGCCTGTGGTCCCAGCTACTTGGGAGGCTGACCTATAGGAGAATGGCATGAACCCGGGAGGCGGAGCTTGCAGTGAGCTGAGATCATGCCACTGCACTCCAGCCTGGGTGACAGAGCAAGAGTCTGTCTCAAAAAAAAAAATAAAGTATGCATTGTTTATCTGAAATTCAAATTTAAAAGAGCATCCTATATTTTATCAGGAAACCCGATAAACAGCAAAGTCATAAAGTACTTTGGTTTATGGTTATGGCACACTACAACCAAGCCCTAAATTGCGGGGCCACAGTTTCCCAAGTACTTTAAAATCTTCTTACCCTTGATCCTCCCAGTATCCTGTGGCTCAGTAAAGTTATGTAACTTGCCCAAGCGACACACAGCAAGAGGGTGGCAGAGCTGGGACCCAGCACCGTGCTCCAGTTCTCCATCCACTCACCATCCCAAAAAAGATACATGGCGCCTCTTAAATGGGAGGGCAGATGTGTGACCACACTTGGCTTCAGAGTGCATGAGTGGAGGGAGAGCTATTATTTAAATCCAGCCGACGTTGCAAACTCTGAAACATCCCACTCTGAATATCCAGACATTCCTAGTAATATGTTCTTTACCCTTTTGATCCTTATGCCCTACTTAGAATTTTCTGCATTTGCTGGAATTCTGGATTAAGAATTCTGGCTACATTGGAACAACAGAATCTATTGTATCCTCCAGCCAAGCTCATTATCTTTGAGTAACAGCATCCCAGCTTTTGTTTGGAGAACATCCCTGCTTGGTCCACAGGGCTTGGAAGGGACTGATCTCGCTCCCTGGCTCCAGAACTGACCCATGACAACACCGCTCCCTTTTGACTCCAGGAGTAGAGAAATGAAGCACTCCTGGCTGGTGAATAGGATACCCCAGAAATTTGTTGGAGCCACTGAGAAATAATCACGCTCTTCCTACAAGCAAGGTGATAAAATGCAAGTGTGGCACTTCCAGTGGCCATTCTGCCACCGTAAGGAAAGGCTGTTTGGATGAAAGCAATCCAGAAAGAAAGCCAAACTGAGAGGTGTAGACAAGGCTTTGCTTTGTCAAGTACCTGGATCTAGCCACGCTGAAGCCAGTGCTACCCATAAACATCTCAGTCCCACAAGCCAAAGAACTCCCCATTTTTGTTGAACCAGTTTGAGATAAGTTTCTCACACTCGCAAACAAAGGGGCTCAGATGAATACAATCAGTGAATATCATCACATTTTCTATCAGTCAACAGGCAAGGTCAAAAACATCTGGAAATCCTGTTCACTCTAAGTTCTAAATATAACCAAAATCCAACCATGGCTCACCGGCCTGGTGCAAGCCACAGTCGTCTTCTTCTTCTATTTATATTTTAAATTTTTTTCTTTTTGAGACAGAGTCTTGCTCTGTCACCCAGGCTGGAGTGCAGTGGTACGAGCATGGCTCACTGCAGCCTTGAACTCCTGGGTTCAAGGGATCCTCCCACCTCAGCCTCCTGAGTAGCTGGAACCACAGGCATGCACCACCACACCCAGCTAATTTTTAAAAATTTTTTGTAGAGACAGGCTCTTGCTACCTTGCCCAGGCTGGTCTCAAACTCCTGGGTTCAAGTGATCCTCCTGCTTCAACCTCCCAAAGCGCTGGGATTACAGGTCTGAGCCACCTTGCCCTGCCTTCTTATTCTTCTTCTTTTTTCACACAGGGTCTTGTCTTGCTCTGTTGCCCAGGCTAGAGTGCAATGGCCCGATCACAGCTCACTGCAGCCTTGACCTCCTGGCTCGAGCAATCCTCCCTCCTCAGCCTCCCAAGTAGCTGGAATCATAGGCATGCACCACCACACCCTGCTTGCAGTCTTCTGACTCATCCACCTGCTTCTATTCAGGCCCCTAGAGTCTGTTCTCAACCAGTGACTAGAAAGATGCTGCTAAAACTGAAGTCAGATCCCACTCTTCCTCTGCTCAAAACCCTCCAATGTGTTCATTTCATGGGGTAAAATGTTTACACTGGTCTCAAAAGCTCTCATGGGCCGGGCATGGTGGTTCATGCCTGTAATCCCAGCACTTTTGGGAGGCCGAGGTGGGTGGATCATTTGAGGTCAGGAGTTCGAGACCAGCCCAGCCAACATGGTGAAACCCCACCTCTACTAAAAATACAAAAGTTAGCCGGTCGTAGTAGTGGGCGCCTGTGATCCTAGCTACTCAGGAGGCTGAGGCATAAGAATTGCTTGAACAGGGAGGTGGAGATTGCAGTGAGCCAAGATTGCGCTACTGCACTCCAGCCTGGGCAACAGTGTGAGACTCAGTCTCAAATAAATAAATAATAAATAAAGGCTCTCATGATCTGGTCCCACTCCACTCTGGTCACACAAGCTTCCTAGCTGTTCCTCAGACACCTCAGGGGCTTGGCACATGCGGTGGCCTCTCTCTGAGTGCTTTTCCCCCCAGAGGTCCCCGGGATCACTCCCTCAGTTCCTTTAAGTCTTTGCTCAAATGTCACCTTTTTCATGAAGCCTGCTCTGCTTTTTTCTTTTTTCCATAGTACTTGTCACCTTCTATCATCCTTGATAGCTTCCTTATTCCATTTATTGAACTTTTTTTTTTTGAGACAGGGTCTTTCTCTGTCACCCAGGCTGGAGTACAGTGGTGTGATCTCAGCTCACTGCAACTCTGCCTCCCAGGCTCAAGTGATCCTCCCACCTCAGCCTCCTGAGTAGTTGGGACCACGGGCAAGAGCCACCATGTCCAGCTAATTTTTCATAAAGATGATGTTTTGCCATGTTGCCCAGGCTAATCTTGAACTCCTGAGTTCAAGCGATCTGCCTGCCTTGACCTCCCAAAGTGCTAGGATTACAGGCATGAGCCACCACACCAGGCCTAAATTATTTTATTTTTAAGACACGGTCTCAATCTGTTGCCCACGCTGGAATGCAATGGCACAAGCATGGCTCACTGCAGCTGCAAATTCCTGTGCTCATGTGATCCTCCCACCTCGGCCTCCAGAGTAGCTGGGACTACAGGTGCACACCACCATGCCTGGCTACTTTATCATTATTATTATTTTATTATTATTATTATTATTATTAGTAGTAGTAGTAGTAGTAGTAGTAGTAGTAGTAGTAGTAGAGACAGGGTCTCGCTTTGTTGCTCAGGCTGGTCTTGAACTCCTGAGAGATGGTCCCATCTTGGCCTCCCAAAATGCTGGGATTAGAGGCATGAGCCGCTGTGCCTGGCCAGCTTCCCTATTCAGTGACTGTGAAAACAGCTTTTATTTGTTTGTTGTCTGTCTCCCCCACCTAGAATGTGAGCTACAAGAGCACAGGGCTCTTAGCCTGTTTTGCTCTCAGACATATATCCCTAGCACCTAGAACATTGCACGGCACATGGCAGGTGCCCCATACTGGGAAACCATAAGCTGGGATGAAGCTGACCCAGGAAAAAGGAAACAGGTCTGAAAAACAGAAGGGTGGTGTCTGGGAGACTAGACAAACATGAGCCAGAGCCCAGAGGGTGCCCAGGGACGCCTCCTCCATCTGCCCCCAGCCTCAAGGTGGTATCTGGGCTCAGCCCACCCTCTCCCCTCTTGGTTCCACCTTACTGAAGACCCCAGCTACCGTCTTAGCAGACAACTAGGGGCAACCGGCTGCAAGGAAATGTGATTATACACATATGACTAAATAGTAGCGGGGGAAAGTTCTCCTCTTAATCTGAGTTAATTTAAGACTGCTCTTATTATAGTTAATCTGATCAAACAATGACCAGCTTCTCAGACCTGTAGCATGCTACCAATGAATTTTTCATAACTCTGCAGAGACATTTTCTGCCCTGCTGTTAATCATAAACCACAAAGCAGGAGATTTCAAATGTATTTCCGTTTCACCACCTCTTTTCTCCTGGCTTTATTTCCCCTCCCTCCACCCTACCCTTCTCAAGATCTTGCCCATCTATTATTATTATTATTACTATTATTATCATTATGAAGTGGCTTGTGTTTGTTCTGGTGTTAAAGAACCTGCCTCTACCTTAGGGGACCAATAAATTAATGTTATACTTTCAAATCATATTTGAGAAGTGGAGATCATATATTAGAGAGTTTGATTCAATTTGGCAAATGAGACTGCCTTATTTTCCTATAATAAGGAGATGAGGCAGGAAGGAGACGCAAAGGAACCCAGTTTAAAGACAGGAAAATATGTGGTCCTATCCCTTTGTCTCCAGATGAGCCTGAGCCAGGCACAGTGGCTCACCCCTGTAATCCCAGCACTTTGGGAGGCTGAGGCGGGTGGATCACTTGAGGTCAGGAGTTCGAGACCAGCCTGGGCAACATGGAGAAACCCCCATCTCTACTAAAAATACAAAAAAAAAAAAAAATTAGCCAGGCGTGGCAGTGCACGCCTGTAATCCCAGCTACTCGGGAGGCTGAGGCAGGAGAATCTCTTGAACCAGGAAGCAGAGGTTGCAGTGAGCCAAGACAGTGCCACTGCACTCCAGCCTGAGCAACAAAGACAGACTCTGTCTCAAGAAAAAAAAAAAAAAAAAAAAAGCCTGAAACATATTAGACTCCTCCCATGTTGGACTTCATTTGGTTCCTCAAATGCCCCATGCTATCTCCTAACTCTTGGCATTTGTGCATACTGTTCCTGCTGCTTGGAACACCCTTTCCTCGTCTCTAGCTAATGCTGTCATCCTTCAGGTCTTCGCTTTAGCATCACGTCACCAGATCCACGACGTGAAGGCATGTATTCTGTGTCCCAGTACCCAGCACGGTGCCTGACGTGCAACACATATTTGTACATCATTATTTCCACACATGCCAGACTGACATTTGTGTATCTAATGCATTTAACGTAAAGTGGAATAAATGAAGGACTGAATGAATGCTGAGCTCAACAACCAGCTTGCCTTTCAAAGCAGACATCATAGGCCAGGTGTGGGGGCTCATGCCTGTAATCCCAGCACTTTGAGAGACAGAGGTGGGAGGATCGCTTGAGTCCAGAGGTTCGAGATCAGCCTAGGCAACATAGAGAGACCTCATTTCTACAAAAAATTTAAAAATATGTAACTAACCTGCACATTGTGCACATGTACCCTAAAACTTAAAGTATAATAATAATAAATAAATAAATAAATAAATAAAGGCAAAAAAAAAAATTAACCGGGCATGGTGGTGTACCCCAATAGTCCTAACTACTCAGGAGGCTGAGGCAGGAAGATCACTTGAGCCCAAGAGTTCAAGGCTGCAGTGAGCCCATAATCATGCCACTGCACCCCAGCCTAGGCAACAGAGCAAAACTGTCTCTAAACAAACAAACAAAAATAACCACCAAGTAGACATTATAAATGGCTGAATTCTTATCCCAACACCAAAGCTATGACGCTGCTTCTTGAGTTCCCTTTCAGATACCGTGTCCAGAACATTATCGTGATCATCATCAATGGCAGCACATCTTGTTAAGAGTGGACTGGACTATTTATGCATTTTAAATGAACAAAAATCACTGGGAATCAGTCAAGCAGACACAGTAAATGCTACCATCTGGGGTCAAAAAAAAAAAAAGGAAAGTAAATAGACTTGTTTTCCTGTAAAGTGACTGAAGACAGCGTGTAAGAATATTTTAAGTACTGTCAGCAGAGCTAGGGCAAGGCAGATATAATCACAGTGACGACTTCAATAAATACAGTCCTCTTTTGTGTATAAATATTTCATTTTGTTGTTTCAGGAAATACCTGATTGAGGAATTGTTGGTATGACAATAGCACTGGTTGTGCTTAAAACATAGTACTTACTGTTTATGAGAAACATATATTGAAATGTATTGAAGATGAAATGCAATAATGGTTTGGGAATTGCTTCACAATAATCCAGGGAGATTTTTGACATGGGGAGGCATTGATTGACCATGACTTGATCATTGGTGAATTTGTGTGATGGGGACATTTTGCTATTCTCTCTTCTTTTGTATAGATTTGAAACGTGGCTGGGTCGGGTGCGGTGGCTCATGCCTGTAATCCCAGCACTTTGGGAGGCCGAGGCGGGTGGATCATGTGGTCAGGAGTTCAAGACCAGCCTGACCAACATAGTGAAAGCCCATCTCTACTAAAAATACAAAAAATTAGCTGGGCGTGGTGGCGGACGCCTGTAATCTCACCTACTCGGGAGGCTGAGGCAGGAGAATCGCTTGAACCCAGGAGGCGGAGGTTGCAGTGAGCCGAGATAGTGCCACTGTACTCCAGCCTGGGCGACAGTGCAAGACTCCATCTCAAACAAAAAACAAAAAACAAAAAACGATGTGAAACGTGGCCAATGTGGTGAAACCCCCGTCTCTACTAAAAATGGAAAAATTACCTGGGCATGGTTGCGGGCGCCTATAACCCAAGCTACTCAGGAGGCTGAGGTAGGAGAATTGCTTGAACCCAGGAGATGGAGGTTGCAGTGAGCCAAGATCGCGCCACTGCACTCCAGCCTGGGCGACAGAGCGAGACTCCATCTTAAAAACACACACACACACACACACACACACACACACACACACACACATTTTAATTAACAGCATGATGGTGAGGTTCTTGATCAGATGGTAATGAGGTACTGGGTACTGTCTGCTTTTTATAAAATACCAGGAATATAATTACCAGTTTATGCCAGAAACAAAGGCTCGGTCATATTCCCTTAAAAACGTCAATACTGGATGTCCTTCAGGAACCACTGATTCTAAGTTGTTGCTCTGGCCTCAAGGTAACTTCACCAAGGATATCACAAATAACATTACTTGGAAAATCTACCTAATGGGAAGTCTCTTTAATGCCATATCTTCAGTGACAAGACAAGGTTGAATTTCTAGGTAACTTTTATTCATACCCCAGCAAACTCTCTGTTTTGTAGGTATCTCAGAGCAACTGCAAGCCATTTATTTATTCAACTTATATCTATTCTCTGCTATCCATGTGTGTAACATATATTATAGAAACCCACGTATTTTGATTGTGAGGCACAATTTTGATTGTGAGGTACATGAACTTGGGACGCCATCAGCCTTATTTTCATCTGTATTTGAAAGAATGAGAACAATTCTTATTTTTCCCAGGGATTGAATTCAGTGGTGTACTGCAGTGTTCACAAACATAATGTATAAACCTTTTGCCACTTTTCACCAACCACATTCAATACCAATTTAAAATAGTCAAGTAGTCAAGACTGAAATTAAAATAAATTTTTGTTTGTTGGTTTTTAAGGAATATGGCAAAGAGCACAAAGTGCTCATGGGCTGAATCCAACCTACGGGTATGTATTTTTAACTTTTATAGCATTTTTTGTTTTGTGTGAAAAATTTCACACTTAAGATTTTGATTTTTGAGCCAGGCGCAGTGGCTCACACCTGTAATCCCAGCACTTTGAGAGGCTGAGGCGGGTGGATCACTTCAGGCCACGAGTTTGAGACCAGCCTGGCCAACATGGCAAAATCCCATCTCTACTAAAAATACAAAAATTAGCCGGGCATGGTGGTGGTTACCTGTAATTCAGCTACTCAGGGGACTGAGGCAGGAGAATCGCTAGAACCCAGGAGGCAGAGGTTGCAGTGAGCCAAGATCGTGCCACTGCATGCCAACCTGGGTGACAGAGCAAGATTGTGTCTCAAAAAAATAATAATAATAATAAGATTTTTATTTCTGGGGTTATATTGAAAAATGGAAATACTTGACAATGCTAGGTCCAAATCCTATTCATTGCCAACACCTGACATCTCTAAATGGATGCTGCCCAGGTCACCATGACCTCCCCACCATGTCACCCCCAAACATTCCACTTCTGCCCCATTTTCTTCCTGTGGGTTTCCTGCCTGGCCCCCAGAATCACTGTGTGACCCCCTAGAAATCAAGCAGCCTCATCCATAAAACTCACACCTCTTTCTGATGCCATTTGGGGAAAAAAAATCATCTTAAATTAGTCTTCCTTGTCATTGACATGATTCAAAATCTATTTATTTCAACTCAAAGTGTACATTTTTTTAAAACCAAGCCTGCTTCCAGCCTCTTAGCTCATCATGATCAGTTGATGCACAGATGTAGTAAAATGACTTTACATATTTTTATTAAGTTTCAGATTTATTTGAAACATTTGCCTCTACAGTTGTCATTCCTGAAGCTATAAAATCACAGGCTTTCCTTTTTTTTTTTTTTTTTTTTTTTTTTTTTTTGAGATGCAGTCTTGCTCTGTCACCCAGGCTGGAGTGCAGTGGCACGATCTTGGCTTACTGCAGCCTCCGCCTCCCTGATTCAAATGATTCTCGTGCCTCAACCTCCCAAGTAGCTGGGACTCGGGCATGTGCCACCAGGCCTGGCTAATTTTTTTTTTTTTTTTTTTTTTGCAGTTTTAGTAGAGACGGAGTTTCACCACGCTGGCCAGGCTGTTCTCAAACTCCTAACCTCAAGTGATCCACCTGCCTCAGCCTCCCAGAGTGCTGGGATTACAGGCGTGAGCCACTGTGCTCAGCCTACTCTTTTAAACTCTGAGAAGGTTATGAAGTAGAATGCTCTTTCCAAGGGATCATTAGGCCATAGATGAACAAAAGTCTTACATGCATGCATTCATGCCACTTCTAGGTATATTTCTTTCTCTTTTTGCTTACTTTTAATTTGTATGTATACATAATAGTTGTACACATATATGGGGTTCGTGTGCTATTTTAATACAAGCATACAATGTGTAATGATCTAATCTGGGTAACTAGAATATTCATCACCTCAAACATTTATCATTTATTTATCATCTCTTTGTGTTGGGAATATTCCAAATCTTCTCTTCTAGCTATTTTGAAATATACAATAAATTATTGCTAACTGTAGTCAGCCTACTGCGCTATCAAACACTCGATCTTATTCCTTCTATCGAGCTATATTTTTGACCCACTAACCAACCCACTTCACCTCTCCTTCCCTACAACCCTTCCCAGCCTCTGGTAACCACCACTCTACTCACTATCTCCATAAGATGAATTTTTCAAGTTCCCTCTATGTATATTTCTTTTTCTTTTCCTTTTTTTTTCTTTTTTTTTTTTTGAGACAGGGTCTTGCTCTGTCACCCAGGCTGGAGTGTAGTAGTGGGATCATGGCTCACTGCTGCCTCAACCTCCCAGGCTCAAGCAATCCTCCCACTTCAGCCTCCCAAGTAACTGGGATTTCAGGTGCATGCCATCACACCTGGCTAAATTTTTTTTGTGTTTTTTTTTTTTGGAGAAACAAGAGTTTTGCCATGTTGTCCAAGTTGGTCTCGAACTCCTGGGCTCAAGCAATCCTTCCGCCTTGGCCTTCCAAGGTGCTGGGATTACAGGCATGAACTACCCCACCCAGCCTATATTTCTTAAAGAAACAAATAAGAGTGCTTTACAAAGATTCCATTTCAAAAATATTTATTAAGGCTGTGTTTATGAGAGCGAAAAACTAGAAATAATCTAAGTCACTAAAGGGTGTCGTTCAACTCAATTATGCTTTACCGTATGCTGGAATGTTATATAGCCATTAGAAATGCTATAAAATATAGTTTTGACACTGAAAGACATTAATGTCTTATGTCAACTTTTCAGGGGAAATGAGGAGACTACAAAATACATACCATACAGTTACTCTTAAGAAACATAAACATACATGTTTGCATGAGGAAAACCCTCTAAGACTCTGTAACGAGGTGTCAACAATGTCCATATGTGGGTGGTAGGATCATAACAGTATTCATTTTTCTGACTAAGTACATATTCTGTTTTTTCTACAGTAAAGTACTTTGCCTTAATGACTATTAATTTCTCAAAACGACTATTTTCTCCATTTCTGAAATTAGTATGAACAATTCATAACCTGGTATATATAACCTGAATAGCCCCACTCAAATACGTTTAAGAGCTCCTGGGAATTGTCACATTGAACCATCATGTACAACTACAAAAGCTATAGAAGAAACTTCTGACTCTAGAGATCCTAACTGTGCACCAGCCTGAACCTGGGGACATTAGTTTGCTGTAGAGAACATTCCTCCTTATGTGTCCTTATCCACCTAGCCAAAAAAAAAAAAAAAAAAAAAAAAAAACCTCATAGCAGAATTATTCTCAAGAGCCACAAGTTGGAAACAACCAAATGTCCATCAACTGATTAATAGATCAACAAAATGGGCAGATACATACAATGGAATATTATTCAGTCATAAAAAAATGAAGTACTAATACATGGGTGAAACTTGAAGACATTATGTTAAGTGAAAGAAGTTGTAAAACAAAAGGCCATTGATATGGTTTGGCTGTGTCCCCACCCAAATCTCATCTTGAATTGTAGCTTCCATAATCCCATATGTTATGGGAGGGACCCAGTGGGAAATAATTGAATCGTGGGGGCAGTTTCCCCCATACTGTTCTTGTGGTAGTGAATAAGTCTCACAAGATCTGATAATTTTATAAGGGATTTCCCCTTTCACTTGGTTCTCATTCACTCTTGCCTGCTGTCATGTTAAGACGTGCCTTTCACCTTTTGCCATGATTGTGCCTTTCACCTTTCACCATGATTGTGCCTTTCACCTTCCACCATGATAGTGAGGCTTCCCCAGCTATGTTGGAACTGTGAGTCCATTAAACCTCTTTTTCTTTATAAATTACCCAGTCTTGGCCCGGAGCGGTGGCTCATGCCTGTAATCCCAGCACTTTGGGAGGCTGAGGCAGGCGGATCACCTGAGGTCGGGAGTTTGAGACCAGCCTGACCAACATGGAGAAAGCCCGTCTCTACTAAAAATACAAAATTAGCCAGGCATGGTGGTGCACGCCTATAATCCCAGCTACTCGGGAGGCTGAGGCAGGAGAATTGCTTGAACCCGGGAGACGGAGGTTGCGGTGAGCCGAGATCGTGCCATTGCACTCCAGCCTGGGCAACAAGAGCAAAACTCCAGTTCAAAATAAATAAATAAATTACCCAGTCTCGGGTATGTCTTTATCAGCAACATGAGAACAGACTAATACAGCCACATATTGCATGATTTCATTTATATGTGACGTCCAGAAAATCATTCGATTGTACAGTTTAAATGGTTAAAAGGTTGAATTTTATGTGAAATGTTATCTCAGTTTGTAAAATCCTGAAAAAAAAAATGGTCAGGTGCAGTGGCTCACGCCTGCAATCCCAGCACTTTGGGAGGCGGAGACAGGCAGACCTTTTGAGCCTAGGAGATCGAGACCAGCCTGGGCAACAAAGCAAGACCCCCATCTCTACAAAAAAATTTAAAAATTAGCCGAGGGTGGTAGCACACGCCCGTAGTCCCAGCTACTCAGAAGGCTGAAATGAGAGGATCGCTTGAGCCTGGGAGGCCGAGGATGCAGTGAGGTATGATCTCGCCATCGCACTCCAGCCTGGGCAACAGAGTGAGACCCTGTTTCAAAAAATAAATAAATAATAATAATAATAAGTTAAAACCTAAAAAAATAAAATCTGGAGTGACCATATTATATCAGAGAAAATAGTTTTCAGAGCAAGGAAAATTACCAGGGATTAAAGAGAACTTTAAGTAATGACAAAGGATCAACTGACCAAGAAGACATAACCATCCTAAATGTGTACACACTTAACAAAATATCTCAGAATACATGAAGCAAAACAGATGGAACTGAAAAGAAAAATGGATAAATCCACAATTACAGTAGGAGACATCAACACTTCTCTCTCTGTAATCAATAAGACAACTAGAGAGAAAATCAGCAAGGATATCAAGGATCTAAACACCATCAACCAACTGGATATAATTGACATTTATAGAACACTCCACCCATCAACAGCAGAACATGCATTCTTTTCAAGCACACATGGAACATTCACCAAGAAGTAACATATCCTGAGTTAAAAAAGAAATATTAAACATTTTAAGAGAATTGAAACCATAAGAAATGTGTTCATTGATCATAATTGAATTAAACTGGCTGAGCGCAGTGACTCACAACTGTAATCCCAGCACTTTGGGAGGCCAAGGCAGGTGGATCACCTGAGGAAAGGAGTTCAAGATCAGCCTGGCCAATGTGGTGAAACCCTATCTCTAAATACAAAAATTAGCCGGACGTGGTGGCGGGTGTCTATACTCCCACCCAGCTACTCGGGAGGCTGAGGCAGGAGAATTACTTGAACCTCGGAGGTAGAGGTTGCAATGAGCCAAGGTCGTGCCATTGCACTCCAGCCTGGGTGACAGAGTGAGACTCCGTCTCCAAAAAAATAATAATAACAATAATAATAATTGAATTAAACTAGAGGAGCGATGTCAGCAAGATGGCTAACTAAAGACACTTGGCACTCATCCTCCCACAAGAAAGGACCAAGGCAATGAATTAATAGGTAAGCTTTGATTGGCATATCAAAGGGAGAGTGCTAGCGTGCAAACAAAGGAGAGGAGATATACTTCTGGTAATTGGAAGTCCAGCAGAGAAACCAATAAACTAGAAATCAGTAAGAAAAATAGAATAAAATATATCCAAGCACTTAGAGATTAAACAAAAGACTTCAAAAGAAAACATGCATCAAAGAGGAAGCCTTAGAAAAAAATTAGAAAATATTATGAACTGGAAAACAATGAAAATATATCAAAATTTGTGGGATACAGCTAAAGTAGTTCTTAGAGGAAAATTTATGGCAATACTTACATCAGAAAGAAAAGAGTTCTCAAGTCAACTAGTTCTCAAGTCTTAACTATTAGTAAGTATCTGCCTCAACAAAACAGGAAGAAAAGGGCAAAATAAACCTATAGTAAGCAGAAGAAAGAAAAAATAGTAAGAATGAAAATCAATGAAATTGAAGACAGAAAAACATTAAATAAATGAAGCTGAAACCTGGTCTTTTGAAAAGATGAATTAAAATTATAAACTTCCAGCCAGACTAACAAAGGAAAAAAGAGAGAAAAAAACACACATTACCAACATCAAGAACGAAAAGAGGAGTATCACCATAGACCCCGTGACGTTAAAAGAATAATAAAAGAATACTGGGGACAACTCTATGCATGTAAATTCAACAATTTCAATAAGATGTACCAATTCCTTAAAAGCCACAAACTACCAAAATTCACCAAGAACAAATACACTACATGAATAATCCTAAAAACATTAAAGAAATTGAATTTGTAGTTAAAAACTTTCCACAAACACACAAAAAATTACTTAGGCCCAGTATTATCCTGATTCTTAAACTAAACAAAGGCAGTACAAAAAAGGAAAACCACAGATCAATATCCCTCATGAACACAGACAAAAAAAATTCTCAGCAAAATACTAACAAATTAAATCTAACAGTATATTCAAATAATATACCATAACCAAGTGGAGTTTATCCCAGGAATGCAAGGCTGGTTCAAAAATTCTACATCAAACATATTAACAGTCTAAAGAAGGTAAATCATATTAATTGTTTAAAGAAGATAAATGGGCCAGGTGCAGTGGCTCACACCTACAATCCCAGCAATTTGGGAGGCCGAGGCAGACGGATTACTTGAGGCTAGGAGTTCAAGACCAGCCTGACCAACATAGTGAAACCCTGTCTCTACTAAAAATACAAAAAAAAATTAGCTGGGTGTGGTGGTGCATGCCTGTAATCCCAGCTACTCGGAGGCTGAGGCAAGAGAATCACTTGAACCCAGGAGGTGGAGGTTGCAGTAAGCCCAGATCGCACCACTATACTCCAGCCTGGGTGACAGAGCTACACTCTGTCAAAAGAAAGAAAGAAAGAAAGAAAAGAAAGAAAAGAAAGAAAAGAAAGAAAGAAAGAAAGAAAGAAAGAAAGAAAGAAAGAAAGAAAGAAAGAAGATAAACCACATGACCATACTAATTGATACAGAAAAAGCATTTGACAAAATTCAGTATCCATTCATTATTGAAAACTCTCAAGGAGCCAGGAATAGAAAGAAACTTCTTAACCTTATAGAGAAAAGAGCATCTACCCAAATAAACAAACAAAAAACAAAACAAAAAAACTAAACCTAACATCATTATTAATGGTGGAAAATTTGAACACTTTCCCCTTAAGACTGAGAACAAGGCAAGGATATATACTCCCACTATTCCCATCCAACATTGTAATGGAAATCCTGGCTAGTAAAACAAAAATAAATACAATTTTTAAAAAATCAATTATCCCTATTCTCAGACAACATGATTAACTACATAGAAAAATCCATGGAATCCAGGGAAGAAAAGTTCCTAGTACTTATAAGTGTGTTTATCAAGGTCACAGGATACAAGGTCAACACAAAAATCAATTATATTTTTAATACTAAAAATAATCAGGAATCAAAAATTTTAAAGTAAATACATTTACATAGATCCAAAAAATATCAAATACTTGAGCGTAAGTCTAACAAAACATATTAAGAATCTATATGCTGAAAACTACAAAATGCTGATAAAAAAAGAAAAGAAGACTTAAATAAATGGAGAGACATACCACGTTCATAGTTTGGAAGACTTTAGTTAGTTAATATAGTTAATATGTCAATCCTCCCTGAGTTGAGAGACAGATTTAATGTAGTGGCAATAAAAATCAGATATTTATTATAAATATAGACAGGCTGATCCTAAAATTTATATAAAAAGACAAAATAACTAAATAGCTAAAATAATTTTTGAAAAAGAATAATAAAGGTGGAACTCACACTATTCAGTTTTTTTCTTTCCTTACCTAGATTTGACTGGTCAATTTTAAGAATTACAATAGGCCAGGCACAGTGGCTTATGCCTGTAATCCCAGTACTTTGGGAGGCTGATGCAGGTGGATCACCTGAGGTCAGGAGTTCGAGACCAGCTGCAGGTGGATCACCTGAGGTCAGGAGTTCGAGACCAGCCTGGCCAACATAGTGAAACCCCCTCTCTACTAAAAATACAAAAAAATTAGCTGGGCGTGTTGGCGTGTGCCTGTAACCCCAGCTACTCGGGAGGCTGAGGCAGGAGAACTGCTTGAACCCAGAAGGCAGAGGTTGCAGTGAGCCCAGATCGCGCCATTGCACTCCAGGCAGGGTGACAGAGCAAGACTCCGTCTCAAAAAAAAAAAAAAAATTATAATAAAGCTACAGTTACCACAAAAATGTGATATTGACAAAGGAATACACACATAGATCAGTGGGACAGGATAGAGTCCAGAAGTAGACTATAAATACAGACAATTAATTTCTTACAAAGGTGTAAAGGCAATTCAGTGGAGAAAGAAATCACCATTTCAATGAATGGTGTAGAAAAAAATTGTACATTTAAATGCACACACACAAAAAATGAATTTCAATTTAAACTCACACTATATACCAAAATGTATTAGGTTGGTGCAAAAGTAATTGGAGTTTTTGCCATTTTAAAAGTAATGGCAAAGGCCAGGTGCAGTGGCTCACGTCTGTAATCCCAGCACTTTGGGAGGCTGAGCAGGGTGGATCACCTGAGGTCAGGAGTTAAAGACCAGCCTGGCCAACATGGTGAAACCCTGTCTCTACTAAAAATATAAAAATTAGCCGGGCATGGTGGCGGGTGCCTGTAATCCCAGCTACTCGGGAGGCTGAGGCAGGAGAATCGCTTGAACCCGGAAGACTGAGGTTGCAGCGAGCTGAGATTGCACCACTGCACTCCAGCCTGGGAGACAAGAGTGAGACTCTGTCTCAAAAAATAAATAAATCAAAATAAAAACATATATAAATAAAAGTAATGGCAAAAACTGCAATTACTTTTGCACCAACCTAATACAAAAAAATGAATCACAGATTGAATGTAAATCATAAAAAAATAAACATTTTATGAGAAAATAAATTCAAAAGTGATAAATTGGACTTTATCATACCTTAAGTTTTGCTCTGCAAACAGTACTGTTAAGAGGAAAAAAAAAAAGAAAATCTTCGGAATGGGAGAAAATATTTGCAACTCACATATCTCACGAAGAATTGTATCCAGGATACATAAATAACTCTTGACGTTCAACAGTAAGAAAATAAATAGTATAATTTTGTTTCATGGGCAAGAGACTTCTCAAAAAGACAAAGCTATGGTAAAGGAGAATAGATCAGTGGTTGCCAGGGGTTAACAGTAGAAATATATTGGGGAAGCATGAAAGAAATTTTGTGGGCAAAAGAACTATTCTATATCCTGAATTGTGGCAGTAGTTACACAAATGTATACATTAAAGCTCACAGGACTGTACATCCAAAAAAGTCAAAAATAAAAAAGTACATGATGTATGATTTCATTTATATACAGCTCTTTTCCTTAGAACAGGCAAAATTCATCTATGGTGGAAAAAGAATCAGAAAAATTGGTTGATTTAAAGGTGGAGGGAGAATTAGCTACATGATGGTAAATGTTCTATATCTTGATGGAGGTTTAGGTTACAGTGGTGTATACATTTGCCAAAACTCAGTAAGTATATGCTTAAGATCTGTGTGTTTCACTGTTAGTCCATTTTACATCAAAAGAATAAATACTGAACTAATTAATGATAAATATACAGACATATATGGAAAGAAATGCACTGATGTCTGCAATTTACTTTTTTTTTTTTTCTTTTGAGATAGAGTCTCACTCTGTCTCCCAGGCTGGAGTGCAATGGGGAGATCTCGGCTCACTGCAACCTCCGCCTCCTGGGCTCAAGCAATTCTCTTGCCTCAGCTTCATGAGTAGCTGGGATTACAGGCACGTACCACCATGGCCGGCTAATTTTTTGTATTTTAGGAGAGGCGGGGTTTTACCATGTTGCCCGGGGTGGTCTCGAACTCCTGAGATCAGGCAATCCGCCCACCTCGGCCTTCCAGAATGCTGGGATTACAGGCGTGAGCTACTGCGCCTGGCCTGCAATTTACTTTTAATACATTAAACAATAAGATAGATTCATGGACAGAGAAAGGGATGGATAGATGAACAGACATGTAATAAAGCAAATATAGTAAAATGTTAATGGTACCAGGTGGCAGATGCTCACTGTAAAGTACCTTCAACTGCTATATGTTTGAAATCTTACATAAATGTTGAGGCCAAGCACAGTGGCTCACGCCTGTAATCCTAGCACTTTGAGAGGCTGAGGCAGGTGGATCGCTTGAACCCAGGAGTTGGAGACCAGCCTGGGCAACATGGCAAAACTTGTCTCCACAAAACATACAAGCAAAAAAAATTAGCCAGGCATGGTAGTGTGCACCTGAAGTCCCAGCTACTTGGAAGGCTGAGGTGGGAGGATCACTTGAGCCCGGGAGGTGGAGGTTGCAGTGAGCCAAGATCGCACCACTGCATCCTAGCCTGGGTGACAGAGCAAGACTCTGTAAAAAAAAAAAAAATAATAATAATAATAATAATGATAATAATAATAATAAAAGTAAAAATACACTGGGGGAAAACAAAATTATTTAGCATTCACTTCTATTCTCCTGGTATAAGCTATTAGGTAAGTGTGAGAGTATTTAAGGAAGGTCCTGCCAACCAGCGGTTCTTCTTATTTATTTATTTATTTATTTTTTGAGATGGAATCTCACTCTGTCACCCAGGCTGGAGTGCAGTGGCGCGATCTCGACTCACTGTAAGCTCCCGGATTCATGCCATTCTCCTGCCTTAGCCTCCCAAGTAGCTGGGACTACAGGCGCCCGCCACCACACCCAGCTAATTTTTTTGTATTTTTAGTAGAGACGGGATTTCACTGTGTTAGCCAGGATGGTCTCGATCTCCTGACCTCATGATCCGCCCACCTCGGCCTCCCAAAGTGCTGGGATTACAGGTGTGAGCCACCGCGCCCGGCGGCAACCAGTGGTTCTTCTAAGAGGGCTTTATTTGGAGCTGGTGGTAAGAAACTCATTCTTGCAGCTTAGGTTTTAAGCATATTTCTTGTTGAGTTTATCACAAAACACTGCTTCTCCAAGTCAGATATAGATAAAATAAAAACGGTGGCATCTAAACTTGCTCGGCCTCCTGATAAAAACAACGTCCATAAGTACCCACTTAACAAGTTCTCCTTTTATACCTATTGGCTTCAGTGCTCAAGTCCAAGCCACCAATCCTGACCAAGGATCATCCCAGTGCCTTCGTGGGTGGGCACACAGAGAAACACATGACTATTTCTGATTGGTGTGATACTCTGGGTAGGGGAGGTGGACAGACAAAGGGAAATTCACCATTCCAACAACTCCAGACCCCCCAGATGGATTAAGAATGGAACACACAGAGCAGGGGGATGCTGGCTGCAAAGTCTGGATCAGAGACTCATCAGAGGTCTTTGGGAGTGGCCATCTCTTGTCTCTACCTGCTAGGTTCCAGATCTTGAGACTATTTCCTCAACTAAAGGAGGGACTGGCCTCATTCCCTCTTCTCCAGAGAGCAAAATCAAAGGAGGGAGGTTCCCAGGAAGCGAATCCAACTCAACAGAAGGAGGACAATTCTAACCATCATAGGTTATCCAGATCAAAAGGCTGCCTTGTCATTCTGCTAAGTGAAATAAGGCAGACAGAGAAAGACAAATACAGTATGATTTTGTATGTGGAATCTAAAAAAGTCAAACCCATAGAAATAGAGTAGAATGGTGGCTGCCAGGAGCTGGAGGAGAAAATGGGGAAATGTTGGTCAAAGGATACAACCTTTCCGTTATGAGATGAATAAATTCTGGGGATATAATATACAATGTGGTGACTATAGTTAATAATACTATACTGCATACTTAAAATTTGCTGAGAGTAGATCTTAAATGTTCTCATCACACACACACACACACACACACACACACATACACATACACATACACACCCACACACACAGCAACTGTGAGGTGATGAATGTGTTAACTAACTTGATTGTGTGATCATTCCACAATAGATATCAAATCATCATATTGTACACCTTAAATACACACAATTTTGTTAAGTATGCTTCAGAAAAGCTGAAAAAATTTAATTTAAACAACTTTTGGGCCGGGAATGGTGGCTTATGCCTGTAATCCCAGCACTTTGGGAGGCCAAGGTGGGCAGATCACCTGAGGCCAAGAGTTCAAGACCAGCCTGGCCAACATAGCAAAACCCCGTCTCTACAAATACAAAATATTTGTAAAATATTTTTACAAACACAAAAATTAGCCAGGTGTGGTGGCATGTGCCTGTAATCCCAGCTACTTGGGAAGGTGAGGCAGGAGAATTGCTTGAACCCGGGAGGCGGAGGCTACAGTGAGGTGAGATTGTGCCACCACACTACAACCTAGGCAATAGCAAGACTCTGTCTCAAAAACAACAACAACAACAACAACTTTTGGCCGTGCGTGGCGGCTCACACCTGAAATCCCAGCACTTTGGGAGCTGGAGGCAGGAGGATCACCTGAGGTCAAGAGTTCGAGACCAGCCTGGCCAACATGGTGAAACCCCCATCTCTACTAAAAATACAAAAATTAGCTGGGCGTGGTGGCGCACACCTGTGATTCCAGCTACTTAGGAGGCTGAGGCAGGAGAATCACTTGAACCTGGGAGGCAGAGGTTGCCGTTAGCCAAGATTGCACCACTGTACTCCAGCCTGGGCAATAGAGTGAGACTCCATCTCAAAAAAAAAAAAAAAAAAAAATTTTAAAGGCTGCCTTGTGAAAGGACTTGAACAAACATTTCTCCAAAGAAGCTATACAGATGGCCAATAGGCACATGAAAAGATGTTCAACATCATTAGTCATTAGGGAAATGCAAATCAAATGCACAATGAGATACTACTTCACACCCACCAGGATAGCTATAATTTTAAAAATGAAAAATAACAAAAGTCATCAAGGATGTAGAGAAATTGCTGGTGGGAATGTAAAAAACGGTTGCAGCCACTGTGGCAAACATTATGGTGGTTCCTCAAAAAATTAAAAATAGCATTACCGTATAACCCAGTGATTCTGCCCCTGGTATACACCAAAAAGAATTGAAAACAAGAACTCAAACAGATACTCTCATACCAGTGATCATAGCAGTATTACTTACAATAACCAAAAGGTGAATATAACCTAAAAAATGTTCAACTTGATAGATGAATACACAAATGCTGACTATTCATACAATGGACTATTATTTAGCCATAAACACGAATGAAATGCTGATACATCATGAACCTTGAAATTGTATGCTAAGTGAGACACAAAATAACAAATATCATATGATGCTACTTACATGAGGTACCTAGAGTATTAAGTTCATAGAGAAAGTAGGATGACAGTTACCATGTGCTGGGCCAGGGGATGGGAGTACAGGGGAGTTACTGCTTAATGGATACAGAATTTCTGTTTGAAACAATAAAAAAACTTTTAGAAGTTGATAGTGGTAATGGTTACACAACATTATAAGTGTACTTAAGGCCAATGAATTATACACTTAAAAATAGTTGAAATGGGCAGGGCACAGTGACTCATGCCTGTAATTCCCAACACCGCTTTGAGGACAAGGTGGGAAAATCACTTGAGCCTAGGAGTTTGAGACTGGCCTGGGCAAGATGGCAAGACCCAGCCTCTACAAAAAATTTAAAAATTAGCTAGGCATGGTGGTGTGCACCTGTAGTCCCAGCTACTCAGGAGGCTGAGGCAGGACAATCACCTGAACCCAGAAGTTTAAGGCTCCAGCAAGCTGTGATCATGCCACTGCACTCCAGCCTGAGCAACAGAGCAAGACCCTGTCTCAAAAAAAAAAAAGTTAAAATGGTAAATTTTATGTATGTTTTCCATAATAAAAAATTGATTTAAGAAAATCATTTAGAGTGAGCTTGATGAGGTAGCACTCACCCTAAATCTGGACACTGGGCAAAGATGGGGCTGGACAACCTCTGAAGGGTCCCCCCTACCTTTACAGGATATGCTTTTCAGATGCTCAGACATCAGAGTTTTTAACTCTTCACCATGCAAGCTTAAGACAAGTCTAGAAGTTGCAAGGCCCAACCCCATACTTTGTTATCCAACTTAGAGTTGGGATGAGCATGTGGTTTAAAGACTAAGGCCTGCCGGCCACTGATGGGAGGTGCATCGTCTGTGGGCAAATTCAAAGATCCAGACGGAGTGTCAGGAATCCTGTTCCCTTCTGTCACCTGCAGCCTAGTGGGTGTGCCACTATGCTATAGAAGCCTTCTATGGGTTTCTTCTTCTCACACATTTGGGGCTCAGCTAACATTTACTGAATAAATGAATGATACATGCAAGGACGGTATCTCCCCAGATGGCAGTGCAGAGCTCAGCACCACACAGGGCTCAAGTACCCTCAGCTCCCTTCTGCCAATCTGCAGTGGGGATGATCATCAAAAATTGCAAAGCAAGAATTATTAAGAATTTGTGGCCGGGCACAGTGGCTCACACCTATAATCCCAGCACTTTGGGAGGCCAAGGCGGGTGGATCACTTGAGGTCAGGAGTTTGAGACCAGCCTGGCTAACATGGTGAAACCCCATCTCTACTAAAAATACAAAAAGTTAGCTGGGCATGGTGGCATGTGCCTGTAATCCCAGCTACTGGGGAGGCTGACACAGGAGAACCACTTGAACCCAGTACACGGAGGTTGCAGTGAGCTGAGATCGCGCCACTGCACTCCAGCCTGGGCAAGAGAGCGAGACCCTGTCTCAAAAAAAAAAAAAAAAATTTGCCATGTAACAGGCACTCGAATCTACTCAGCCCCTGAATGCATGATTCCATTTAATCACCTAACAACCTCATGTAAAATGATCATTTTATTTTATTTATTTTTGAGACAGGGTCTCACTCTGTTGCCCAGGATGGAATGCAGTGGCACAATCATGGCTCACTGCAGCCTCAATCTCCCTGGGCTCAAGTGATCCTCCCACCTCAGCCTCCCAGGTATCTGGGACCACAGGCATGCACCACTACTTAGACTCAGCTAATTTTTTATTTTTTGTAGAGATGCTATCTCCCTATGTTGCTCAGGTTGATCTCAAACTCCTGAGTTCAAGCAATCCTCCTGCTTTGGCCTCCCCAAGTGCTGGGATTACAGGTGTGAGCCACAATCCTGATTTTATAAACAAGGAAACTGAGGCTTGGCAAGGAAAGATCATTTGGCACAGGGTTACTTAGCTAGTTAAGTCCTGAACCAAATTGGAACCCAAACAATCTCACCTCAGAGCTCAAGCCCTCCTAACTACTAGTCTATATTGCTTAAAGCACCCATTTGAATTTGCAGGGAGTCAGGTTATTATTTCTGAGTCTTGATCTCACTTTTCTGGTTCAGGAAAATCAAACGCATCCATCTTTGGAATGCATGCACTGCTTTAATCAATGGCTGCCTGGTAACTCTCGGGGGATCAGATTTTCAGTCCTCATCAAGACCAAGATTTCTATTATGGCAAAACAGAGAAATCGCTTCAGTGCTCAAAAACAGCTCTGTTCCATAGCAATATACAGTGAGCCACCTTTGTAATTTAAAATTTTCTAGTAGCCTCAGGGGGTAAAAAAAAAAAGGAAAGTACATACAGGTGAAATTAATTTTAATATATTTTATTTAACCCAATATATCTAAAATGTTATCATTTTAA
This sequence comes from Homo sapiens, assembly GCF_000001405.40. Taxonomy (NCBI): domain Eukaryota; kingdom Metazoa; phylum Chordata; class Mammalia; order Primates; family Hominidae; genus Homo; species Homo sapiens. Next base: position 117,955,942 of record NC_000012.12, read on the forward strand.
CATGTCAATATAAAAATTATCAAGGCCAGCCAGGCGCAGTGGTTCACGCCTGTAATCCCAGCACTTTGGGAGGCCGAGACGGGCGGATCATGAGGTCAGGAAATCGAGACCATCCTGGCTAACACGGTGAAACCCCATCTCTACTAAAAATACAAAAAATTAGCCAGGCGTGGTGGCGGGCGCCTGTAGTCCCAGCTACTCGGGAGGCTAAGGCAGGAGAATGGCATGAACCTGGGAGGCGGAGCTTGCAGTGAGCCGAGATTGAGCCACTGCACTCCAGCCTGGGCGACAGAGCAAGACTCTGTCTCAAAAAAAAAAAAAAAAAAAAAAAAAAAAATTATCAAGGCCAGGTATGGTGGCTGATGCCTGTAATCCCAGAACTTTGGGAGGCCAAGGCAGGAGGGCTGCTTGAGCCCAGGAGTTGGAGACCAGCCTGGGCAACATAGCAAGACCCGCACCTCTACAAAAAATTAAAAATTAGCCAGGTGTGGTGGCATGTACCTGTAGTCCCAGTTACTTGGGAAGCTGAGGTAGGAGGACTGCTTGAGCTCCGGAGGTCAAGGGTGCAGTGAGCCATGATTGCACCACCGCATCCCAGCCTGGGCGACAGAGCAAGACTTTGTCTCGCTAAAAAATAAAAAACAGAAAATAGAAATTATCAATGCAATATTTTATATTTTTTTTCCTTCATACTAAGAGTTTGGACTGGGGGTGGCTGCTCACCCCTGTAATCCTAGCACTTTGGGAGGCCAAGGCAGGAGGATCACTTGAGCTCAGGGGTTCAAGGCCAGCCTGGGCAACATAGTGAGACCCTCATCTCTCTTAAAAAAATTTTTTTTAATTTTTAAAAAAAGTTTGGAATCTGGTGTGTATTTGACACTAACAGCACATTTCAACTAGGACTCACCGTATTTCCGTTGGTCAATGGCCACATGTGGCAAGTGGCTGCCATACTGGATAGCTCAGGTCTAAAATATCTCCCTCTCTTTATCTCATCCTCCCCTGTCTCTATGTTTCTACTTTGTTTCTATCAGTCCTCTATTTCTCTCAAATAATTGTCATCCATAATAGTCACCAAGGAAAGCATTTTAGAGACAGATTAAGTATTCCATCATCGTGATTGTCATTAATCCTATGGCTGCCACCTCTAATCACATCATTACCATTAACGTCTACACTTCCCCTTCGCCCTCTGTTTCTCCTCATCTTTCTTTCTTCTCTTCCAGGAGATTTCACCTTTGGGGAGTCCACAGGAGAGCAGTAAACCTCTGTCTGTTCCTGTGTCTGCGGCTGCCTTACTCGGTCAGTTTGGGTCAAATTGGTGACTCTAAACCTCAATAAACCTGCCTGTAAAGGAGCAACAACCACGGTTGTGGTCACGACCCATTGGAAGGACATTCCAAGCATCACAGAAGCCCTGCTGAAGAAAATCGTTCTATTTTTTTACTTTCTTCTCCTATTTTTGTCCCTTTTCCCTTCCCATCTTTCAGCTTCTCCATCCTCCTTCCTGGCCACCATGTGTCTCCTGTCCTCCTCAGCCTCTCAACACCTCCCCTGTCCCCACACCCAGAGCAGCACACGGTGGGCAAGAAGGAAGGCCAGGCCCTATCCCTCTTCCCAACAGTTGGGACCACATGGGTGGAAGCCCAGGAAATGACCCATTCTCTGGGGGTGGAAAGACTTCCTAGTTTTCTACTCATTGAAAGGTGATGGATTACAAATTGCCTGGTAGAATCCACTCTCAAAACCCAGAGGGAGGAGTGAACCCTTCAGACATAACATTTATCATGACTTAGAATTGTGAGTTACACACACACACACACACACACACGCACACCTTTATGAACACAAGGCAAAAGGAAAGGGCCAAGTCCTCACAGGCTGACCACCTTTTTTTTTTTTTTTTTTTAAACTGAGTCTCACTCTGTTGCCCAGGCTGGAGTACAGTGATGCAATCTCAGCTCGCTGCAACCTGCGCCTCCTGGGTTCAAGCGATTCTCCTGCCTCAGCCTCCCAAGTAGCTGGGATTACAGGCATGTGCCCCCACACCAGCTAATTTTTTTGTATTTTTAGTAGAGACGGGGTTTCGCCATGTTGGCCAAGCTGGTCTTGAACTCCTGGCCTCAAGTGATCTGCCTGCCTTGGCCCCCCAAAGTCCTGGGATTACAGGCGTGAGCCACTGCACCCAGCTGAGGTTGACCACTTTGTGCAGAAGACCAAGTATTCCCCATTACCCCAGGTACCAAGGCCCTACCCAGTTAAAAACAGTAAAGATCTCATTCTGACCTGAGACAACAGCCTCCTTAACCCTGAGCTCTTAGACATCAAAACACTCACACTCAAAAAATAAAATAAAATATACACCTGTGCTGAGGGTATGGGGAAATGAACCCTTTCCAACACTGCTGGTGAAGGGCAACTTGGCAAAACCCATGGAAAGTCCTAAACTTTTGCATATCCTTTGATCCAGCAGTTCCATTTCTAGGAGCTGAAAATAAGAATTAGCCACAAGGACGTCCACTGTGGCATTGTTATAAAAATGTAAAAGTATGAACATAAGCACCTGACAATAGAATTTTGGTTAAAGAAATGATGGGGGCCGGGCATGGTGGCTCAGGTCTGTAATCCCAGCAATTTGGGAGGCCTAGGCGGGCAGATCACTTGAGATGAGGAGTTCAAGACCAGCCTGGCCAACATGGTGAAACTCCATCTCTACTAAAAATACAAAAATCAGCTGGGTGCGGTGGAATGCGCCTGTAATCCCAGCTACTCGGGAGGCTGAGGCGCAAGAATTGCTTGAACCTGGGAGACAGAGGTTGTAGTGAGCGGAGATCACGCCACTGCGCTCCAGCCTGGGTGACAGAGTGAGACTCTGTCTCAAAATAAAGTGAGAAATGATGGGGCATCCATGTCATACTATGTAGCCATTACAAATAATACTTTTTACAGATATATAGAAAAAATAAGACCTAGTGTTGAACAAACCAGTAGAGTGAGTACAGTAAACAATAATCTATTGTATATTTCAAAATAGCTAGAAGAGAATAATCCGAATGTTCTCAGTATAAAGAAAAGATAAACATCTAAGGTAATGGATAGCCCAGTTACCTGGATTTGATTATTATACATTATATGAATGTATCTAAATATCACACATACCCTGAAAATATGTACATCTATTATGTATTAATTAAACAATAATAATACTTTAATAATTTGAAAAATTGGTTCATGGTCTATTAAGTGAACTTCGTATCTCCAGCCTTTCTCAGAGCTCCAAGCTCACACATCCAGCTGTCTACTTGACAAATGTAGCATGTCAAACAGGACTTGACTGTCAAACCCAATCTATTCCACCTCCAGTCTTACATTTCAAACAAGGGGACCCCCATTCTCCTAGCACTCAAGCCAAACACCTAGGAATAATCTTCGATTCTTGATTCTCCTTCACATCCACATCAGATTCATCAGCACCTTCCACATACTTGATCTTCTGAATCCAGCCACCTGCCCCATCCACCCCACAACAATCATACCAGTCAAAAGCACAGTCATTGAGGGCTTGGACTTCCACAATAACTACCAACTTGTCTCCCTGCTCTCATTCCTACCTCCTACAGTCTGTTTACCCTGCAGCAATCAGAAGATCATTTAAAAATATAACCCCTGGTTCAAAGGGCTTCTATCACAGTTAGAACAAAATCCAAGGCTGGACATGATGGCTCACACCTGTAATCTCAGCACTTTGGGAGGCCAAGGCATGAGCATCACTTGAGCCCAGGAGTTGGAGACCAGCCTGAGCAACATAGGGAGACCCTATCTCTACAAAATTTTTAAAATGTAGCCAGCGATGGTGATGCACATCTGCAGTCCCCGCTACTTGGGAGGCTGAAGTGGGAGGAAGGACTGAGCCTGGGAGGTCGAGGCTTCAGTGAGCCATGACAGTGCCACTGCACTGCAGCCTGGGTGACAGAGTGAGACCCTGTCTCAAAAGAAAAAAAAAAAAAAAACTTCAAGTACCTTAGCGTCTTAGCAAAGCCCCCTATGACCAGCTTCTGTCTCCCACTGCGTCCCTCTTCATCCTTTCCCTGCCCACTCCCTGCTCTCCAACCACAGTGGACTCCTTGGGGTTCCAATAACATGCCAAGCATGTTCCCATCCAAGAAGTTTGCATCTGCTGTTCCCTCTGCCTGGCACACTCTTCCCCCAAATATTTCATGGCTTGGCTTCCTCAAGTTAGTAAAACCTCCATGAAAGAGCCTTTGTTGATCATCCCATATCTTTCCCTTGCTCCCCTATGCTCTTTTTGTTTTGGTTGATTTTCATGGCTGTGGTATATTGTGACATTAGATTGTTCATTAGCCCCTCAATAAACCACACCTCCTGGAATCCATAGTCACACTGACTCTGGGCTTATCTATGTAACATGCTCTGGCAAAGAGGACATTAGCAAAGGTTGCAGAACCAGAGGCTTAGGAAGGGCTTGCACACTGGCGCCTGTCCTCTAGGAACACCGTTGCTGCCACCATGTAAGAAACCCGGGCTATCCTGCCAGAAAAGCCATGGAGCAGAGAAGTGAGGCACTGTAGCCAACCACCAGCCATGTGAGCAGGGCCATCTCGGACCCTCCAGCCACAGTTGAGCCATCAGATAAACACAACCACAAGTGAGTCAGGCAAGATCTGCAGAACTGGCCAGCTGAGTCCATACCTAACTGCAGGCATCTGAGCAAATGATGATTGTTTTAAGCTACTAAGTTTTGAGGTAGGTTGTTCTATAGCAATACATAACTGATATGACAGCTTATCATTAGCTGTGGCAGAGACTACTAGCTATTCAGCATATTTTCTTTTTCCTTTTTTTTTTTTTTTTTCTTGAGACAGGTTCTGGCTCTGTCACCGAGGCTGGAGTGCAGTGGTACAATCTCGGCTCACTGCAACCTCTGCCTTCCAGTCTCCAACCATCCTCCCACCTCAGCCTTCCGAGTAGCTGGGACTATAGGCACGTGCCACCACACCTGACTAATTTTTGTATTTTGGTAGATATGGGGCTTCACCACATTGTCCAGACTGGTCTTGAACTCCTGGGTTCAAGCAATCCTCCCACCTTGGCATCCCAAAGTGCCAGGATTACAGGTGTGACCCACCACATCCAGCCTATTCTCTTCTTCCTGAGCTCAGCTAAACTTCATTCTCCATTTTCTTTGCAGTGTTGTGACTAAATGCTAGCTAAGGGAACGCAAGCATAAGGGAATGCACTGATGAGGGCAACTTTGGGAAATAAGGCTTTGTCTTCTCTGCACTTTCTCCCCCTTCTAGATGCACCAATGATAATGCTGCAGAGGGGAAGGGGTCTGGAGCATGAGAGAATGGCCCGCCACCTGCAAACCAAGAACACCCTCCTTGGACTGTTTAGCGAACAAGAAAAAGACATTTAGGGGTCTATTTCTTACAGTCTGTCCTAATTAATACACTAACTTTGCAGCTTCTCTGACCAAGATGGGAGTCTATTTCCCCATCCTCTATACCCAGGCTGGCCATGGGACTTATATTATCTCACAACTCCAGTGGAAGTAACATCCTGTGATTTCCAAATACCAAGACTCCTTGCCACTTTCCCTCTTGCTCTCTAGGAACACTGGAGACCTGTAAGAAACCCAAGCTATCGCACCAACAGGCTGCAGGGAGAGAAAGTCTCAGCTTTCCTATCCTCCTCCCTTTCCACCAGCTGAATGTGGCCACGAGAGGAGCTCAGGCAAGACCAGCAGAACCCTCCAACCAAGCCCAACCCACAGAATCATGAAAATAACAAATTGTTGTCTTAAGCCCAAAGTTTTCCAAACGAAATTAAGTTTAAAGATAGTTCATGACACAGCAATAGAAAATTGAGATGGAATATATGAAGAGCAAAGAAATGATGGGAGGCCAGGCGTGGTGATTACACCGGTAATCCCAGCACTTTGGGAGGCCAAGGCAAGAGGGTGGCTTGAAGCTAGGAGTTTAAGACCAGCCTGGGCAACAAAGCAAGATACTGTCTCTATAAAAAATTTTTAAATTAGCTGGGTGCAGTGACATGTGGCTGTAGTCTCAGCTACCCAGGAGGCTGAGACAGGAGGATCGCTTGAGCCCAGAAGTTCAAGGCTGCAGTGAGCTATGATGGCACCACTGTACTCCAACCTGGGTGACAGAGCAAGACCCTGTCTCTTTAAAAAAAAAAAAAAAAAAAAAGCTACAATACCCTTGCTATACAAGGAGATTCCATACTTGTTCAACCTCAACTCCTAATATTTTTTTCCCCTTGCAATTTAACTAAAACAGAATCCAGCTCAAAACTACCTCTACTTGGCTAGTACTCTCCCATTCTAGTGTCACTTGCTCACCTTAGGATGGTCTCTGTCTTTCAGAGTTTTTCCCCTCTCATCTATCCTACAGCCTAGGGATTAGCAAGCTACAGCCCATGGGCCCAATATGACCCATCGCCTGGGTTTTGTTTTGTTTTGTTTTTTGGGTTTTTTTTTTTTTGAGATGTAGTCTCCCTCTGTCACCCAGGCTGGAGTGCAATGGTGCCATCTTGGTTCACTGCAACCTCCACCTCCCAGGTTCAAGTGATTCTCCTGCCTTAGCCTCCCGAGTAGTTGGGATTACAGGTACCCGCTGCCATGCCCCACTAATTTTTGTATTTTTAGTAGAGACGGGGTTTCGCCATGTTGGCCAGGCTGGTCTCAAACTCCTGACCTCAAGTGATCCACTCACCTCAGCCTCCCAAAGTGCTGGGATTACAGGCGTGAGCCACTGTGCCTGGCCACCATCACCTGTTTTTGTAAGGCCCAGAAACTACAGTTTGTACAACTATAAACATCAAAAAAAAAATCAAAAGAAAAATATTCATGACATGCAAAAAGTATATCAATTTCAAGTTTCAGGGTCCACAAATAAAGTTTTATTAGAAAACTGCCCCACCAGGCCCGGCTTGATGGCTCACGCCTATAATCCCAGCACTTTGGGAGGCTGAGGTGGGCGGATCACTGGAGGTCGGGAGTTTGAGACCAGCCTGGCCAATAGGCTGGTCTGAAACCCTGTCTCTACTAAAAATACAAAAATTAGCCAGGCGTGATGGTGCAGGCTTGTAATCCCAGCTACTCAGGAGGCCGAGACAGGAGAATCACTTGAAACTGGGAAGCGGAGGTTGCAATGAGCCGAGATCACGCCACTGCACTCCAGCCTGAGCAACGGAGCGAGACCCTGTCTCAAAATAAAAAGAAAACTGCCCCACCCATTCATGTATGTACTGCCCATGGCTGCTACATGCTACAGCACAGAGTCGAGTAGCTTTGATAAAAATTGCAGGGTCCACAAAGCCTAAACTCTTTACTATCTGTCCCTTTCCAGAAAAAGTTTGCCAGCCCCTGCCGTAGGCTGCCATCCAAGGCAGGCGAATCACTTGAGCCCAGGAGTTCAAGATCAGCTGGAGCAACATAGCAATACCTTGTCTCTATTTAAAAAATACAAAAAATTAGCCAAGCGTGGTGGTGCATACCTGTAGTCCCAGCTACTCAAGAGGCTGAGGCAGGAGGATCTCTTGAGCCCTGGAGGTCAAGGCTGCAGTAAGCCATGATCGTGCCACTGCACTCCAGCCTGAGTTACAGAGTGAGACCCTGCCTCAAAAAAAACAAAACAAAAAAGCTTATACTTTTCTATTGTATGCATTCCAAAACCTTTGAAGACTTCTATCTCCTTCCACAAAGGGATGAAACGTTGTTGGTCTGACTCTCTAATCTTTAGTTGGATCCCAGAAGTTAGTGGCCTAAATTCATTTCCTATGACAGGCTACCAGGTACCCTCCATTCTGGGCAAAATGGTCTCTAGGCTGCCCCATGAAGGCATTCAAATACCTTCATCTGGTTTGTTGTTCTTGTCCAGCATGCTCTCCCCTTTTGCTGCAATCTAAACCCTCCTCATCCTTCACTCCAAATCCCCATCTCCCCAACCAAGAAGGTTTCCCTGCTTTGCCAAATGTTTTCCCAGGTGTATCCTATGGAACAAAAATCCCAGGAGAAATCCTTGGGCCGGGTGCAGTGGCTCACGCCTGCACTTTGGGAGGCCGAGGCGGGCAGATCATCTGAGGTCAGGAGTTCAAGACCAGACTGGCCATCATGGCAAAAGCTCGTCTCTACTAAAAACACAAAAATTACCAGGGCATGGTGGCGGGCATCTGTAATCCCAGCTATTTGGGAGGCTGAGGCAAGAGAATCACTGGAACCCAGGAGGCAGAGTGAGCTGAGATTGCGCCACTGCACTCCAGCCTGGGTGACAAGAGCGAGACTCCGTTCTATCCTCTCTTGGAGGCCTAATACACATAGGTAGCATATTAAAGGCTCTGAGAAAAGTCCTGCAGTAAAGATGCCTGTTTCCCTTTGCTTAACTCAACCCTTCCCAAACTTATTAACCACAGAATTTGTTTTGTCCACAGAACACTTATTGACTACCAGCATTAAGTACAGTGCCTGGATGTCAGCATTTGTTGAAAGAATTAAAAACGCTAACATCCCACAGATTTAGGGTTCTACAGAACATACTTTGGAAATGCTACTCAAGCTCCTCCTTCTCTCTGTCCAATCTGAACTGCTCCCTTCCATGCCATCTAGTCAACACCATGTAATGCCAATCATTATCATCATCACAGCTGTCATTCATTTAGCACCTGCAGCCACTCTGTTCCAGATAGTGCTAGACCCTTGAAAACGTTATCTCTTTCAATCCTTATAACCATCCTCTGAAGTAGGGAATATTATTTAATTATTGCTGTTTTGCCAAAAACTTAAAACTATAAATCAGAAAACTTAAATCACTAGCCCAAGATAAAGTAAAAAGACAAGCTAGAATTTACAACTATATCAGTCTGACTCAACGTTCATGAACTTTCTTTTCCACCAAAATATCTTCTGACTATGTGCCATGGCTGCCATCGCTGGCTGTCCACTTACTTAATATCTACCTATGCCTCCTTCCACACTAGCAGAGCCCTGATTTTGCATGGAGTGGCAACATGTCATTTCAGGCAATGGATCATGATCCATCTAAGCCGATCCTGGTGGTGGTCCCACTTCCCCACTTCCCGGGCTCCCTTGCAGCTAGGACTCAGTTCTGGCCAAGAAGATATAATCAAATCATCTGCAAGGTGAGGAGGAAGAGATGTCCTGGGGAACCCTTTATTCCTTCACACTCACCAGGTCCTCCTCTTTCCTACCTTGAACTCAGATGTAATCGCTGAAGCTGCAGGAACCATCTTGCAACCATAAGAGAAAAGCCATGAGAATTCCCAAAGACATCAGCCCTGGTATTACTAACCTACTGAGCCAACTGAAGCAGCTATATGTCTCCAGAATTCTTGTTACATGAAGAGAAACCATTATTTGCCTTACTGCTAGGATTGGGTTTTCCATTTCATGCAGCTGAACACATGCCTAATGGGCTCACACATTGTCCCCCATATTATTTACCACTTAGACTTTATCATTATTTCACATACACATTATTATATCATGAAGTATGCTTCCTGAAGGCCAAGTCCACCTTGCATATTTTTGTTTCTACAGAAGTGTATACATGCTATTAAGTGCTGTTCATTATCACAGCACTGTTCAGGGATCATCTATTCAATTTATTACTTGCATTAGTGTTAGCAAGCAGTGAGTTTTCACCATTAAAGAGCTGAAATATCACATCTTTCTCCTAATGGTTTAGCATCTCAAAGTGTCCATTTGAAAACATGTATCAGAAATACCTGGACTGTTTATTAAACGCAGATTCCTTGACCCTCTTGCTAATCCCAGCTAAACTAGAATCTCTAGGGTTAGAGGCTAAGAATCTGCATTTTAACAAGCACCCTCATATGGTTTTGATATACAAAATTAGAAAATTCCGTGGACCCAAATGTTAGCGTTGGCTGGACTTGGCTGGACCCTAAGTTACCAGCCCCTCTGCAGGGGCCCTCCCTAACCCTGCAAATCTGGGAAATACAAATTGGAATAATTGCTCAAGAGCATTCCCTGGGCAAGATGGATGAAAGTGGTTGCATGCTCTGTAGCATACTGGGACAAGGGAACTGAAAACAGATGCATTTCCTACAACTGCAACTCCCCCATAGCCATCCTACCAGTGCCTCCATCCCCCCAGTTTAAAAGGAAAACCACTAGGCAGAAAGAAGGCAATGCCCACTGCGGCACATCCCCATCCAGGAAGCTATCAGAGGATGGAGCATGTTTGAAACAAAAAAAAAGAAAACTTCGAAGAAACTTACACAGGAATACACAAACTAGCATTTGGGACTCCTGATTCAGAGGAACAGAAGAGAGCTCAGGTGGCTTTTTTGGGGTTATTTATTGACTGCATGCAGGTCTGAAGAGTCTGCTCTTGGGCACTGTTCAGGCAGAGACAGAAGGCTGGATCAGAACATCCCACACTTTTTCTTCCAGCAACAGAGCTCCGGCCTCACCTGCTCTCCCAAGCTCCAGGAAAGGCAATACCTGTGCCTCCCAACACAATTCCCACTCTCCCGATACACCTTGACATTGATCTTATTTCATCTCTGAGGATCACATTTCCAGATGACAGGTGCACACAGACATGCATCCTAGGGTAGCAAACAGCATGTTCTCTCTCTCTCTCTCTCACACGCGCACGCACACACACACACACACACACACATGCTGTCTCTCTCTTTCTCTCTCTCCCTCCCTCTCTTTCTCCCTCCCTCTCTCTCTCTCTCTTCTTTCAAAGGGATGACCTCCTGCATGTTGACATCCAGCCAAATTTAAAAATCACGGAAAAAAAAGAAATACCCAAAGCGAATCCGAGAAAAGCACCCATCCAGGCTACAACAGGGGCAGGAGGGCCACAAGATTCACTACGGACTGACGAGTTCAGGCCTTGGGAACTCATGTGCCAGGACCAAGATGAACGTCTCAGTACTGCTCATGCCCACTCCACCACAGAGGGAACCCCTGTTCTCTCAGCCCCACTGCCCCCACCCTCGGCGGATGCCAGCTAATGGAAGTTCCCAAATTTAATCAACCCATGCGTATAGCTGGGTTGGTTTGGGAGAAGGAAGTGAGCTGAACCCTTCAAACATTTTGAACAATGCAGATGTCCAGTGATCTCGTGGACACCAGGCATTTGGCATTTCCTAAGCCTCTTTAAACCTTCCTCCTTTGACCAAATGGCCTTCAGAAAAAAATAATTTCTGCCATCTTCTTTCTGAGTAACTTTGCAACCACCCTTCATCCCATCCCACTCCCCCAAAAAACTGTTTCAAACTCCCCCTCAAGTTCTGCCGGAGAGAATGTCACAAGAAGCCAAAGATAACTCCTCCTCCCCGACCCCTTTCCTCTTTCCTCACAGTCCCACTGAGATTCAGGAGTATTCTCCCACACCACCTATGTGTGCTGATTGAGGCATATTTTTTTTTCCCTTTTGTACGTTTTAGGCCTGCAACAGCTCACTGCATCAAAACGATTGGATTGGAAATGGGTAGTTCCATAGGAATTTTTTTTTTCATGCATCTTGCCTCCTGACATGTATATCACTGATTTAAAACAAAAAATCTAAGGAGCAAAAGGAGGGAGGGGAAGAAGGCCAAGAGAAGAAGAGGTCTACACTGACAGGCGGCCCCATTCTGTGAGCAAAAACCACCTTTTGACCACCTGCAGAATGCGCAAGGTCACGTGGGTTCTCTGCAGCTCCTTAATGTATTACCCGGCACACAAGCCCCCGTGGCATATAAACAAATCCACAAGCGGAAAAAAGAGAGAACTCCCTCCTCAGCGAGGAAGCGAATGACAACGGTAACAGCCGCAACAATAATAATAAATAAAGAATAACAATTACTACTACTACTACCACCACCCAGCCAAGCGCAGACGACAGCAGCACAGTAAAAGGATATCCAATGCAGGCTTTGCAAGGAGAGAAATCACAGAAAAGCAAACCGTGCCCACCTTGCTTGCCCACACCACCACCCCCAGCCCCCAATAAACAGAATCAGAGGGAAAGGGGACCGTGGGGAGAAAGGAGGGGGAAAGAAGGATTGCTTTTTTTTTTTTTTTTTTTTTTTTTTTTCCCGTAGGCAACACCTACCTCCAGGGTCCGGATTTCTTTTTGTGTGAGGTCGTTGGAGGTAGCACATTTGGTCCTAAGCCCTTCCAGGTTGGAGATGCTCAAGTCTATCATGTTTTGGACCAGTTCGCACTGCTGTAAGGCTTTTTGCAAACTCAGAGGCTGCTGCTCCTCGCTTTTCGTCATGTTTTCCTCATCCATCGCTTGCTCTGCAACCCCCTTCCCCTCCTCCTCCTCCCAGAGAGAAAAAAGAGGGGGGGGAGTAGAGGTAGTCTACCCTCCGCCTCTCCAACCACTGCGACTTCTCAACAATGTCTCATGAAGAAGAAATCCAACATCTCACACAGGGTTGAGGGGGTGGGAGTGGGAGGAGGGGACAAGAGCCAAAATTTATTATTTTATTTTGGGATATCAAGCGGACTCCATTAGAATGTCTCCTCTCTCTCTGAGTCTCTGGTCCCTGAAAAGGAGAGATGCTGTTTCTCAGAAGCAAACCAGGTGATGTGATGCTGTCTGTACACTTAGGGAGGAGGAGGAGGAGGAAAAAGAAGAGGAGAAGGAGGAGAGAGAGGAGGAGGGAGAGGAGGAGGAGGGAGAGGAGGAGGAGGAGAAGGAAAATAGCGCTCACTCTTTACACACCGGCTCCTTGAAGGACAAAATTATATATTTTTGGCTGGCTTGCTTTTATGTCAAAAAAAATCTGGTTTTCCCCCCTCCCAGTTGCAGGGACACGGCATGGTCCACGGTTTGGAGTGCTTTAGCGCGTTCTCAAGGTGCTGTCTGCATTGCTCCCGCGGCTGCGGCGGCTACTGCGGCTGGCTGCTGTCTCCTCCCCGCGCTGCTGCTGCTGCTGCTGCTGCCGCCGCCGGGCTCCGGGGGTGACGGTTGCTGCAATCGCTCCTGCCTCGCTCCACACCGACATCTTGCCTGTCAATCAAAGGGCGGGGGGGAGCGAGGGAGCGCCGGAGAGGGATGGAGACCAAGCGAGGGACCTGCAGGGGAGCGGGTTGGTGGAGAGGCGCCGTGCGCGCAGCCGCCCCAGCCGGGCCCCGGCCCCGGCGCGCCAGGGACCCGTCGGAGGAGGCGGAGGAGGAGCGCGCAGACTCGCGCACCTGGCCGGGGGGCGGGATTTCTAGGGGCTGCGGAGCTCGCGTGGCAAAGTGAAATTACTACCGGGAGTGCGTGCGAGCGAGCAAGCGAGCGATCGGCGGGCGGGGGCGCGGAGACAGCGCGCGCATCGGGCCCAGCCTGCTCCCGGGGGCGGCGGGGGAGGCCGGGAGTGTGCCCGAGCCTGGAGGCTGGGCGAGGGGGCGGGGAGAGGGATTTGGTGGCGGGGAGCGGGTGGGGGCCACTACTCCTGCACCGCTCTCGCGAGACCGGGCCGGAGTGCTGCTCAGCAGGTGCGCTCCGGCTGGGAGCAGGTGTGCGCCCAACTTTAAAACCCTCGGTGCGCGCCGGAGAGGCGTCGGCGTGAACCTGGGCACATCCCGTCTGTCTTTAGCTCGGGGGTGGTGTGTGTGTGTGTGTGTGTTTGCCTTTTTTGTTCGTTTGTCCTTTGGGTGTGTGTTTGTGTGTGTGTGCCTTTTTTGTTCGTTTGTCCTTTCTTGTTACTGGGGAAAAAATAAAGCGAACCTGATGATCTTCCGTGAATTTCAGGAAGCTGCCTCCTAGACTTGGTAGCCTGGCCCGCCCTGATGGCTTTCCATTTGGCGAGGAAAAGGGCCTTTGCCTTATTCTGAGTATTCCCATGTCCTACAAGTGTCTGTGTGGCCTGACCCCAGCATACCTAACTGACGTTATATCAGCAAACGATGGCTCCACAGTTAAGATGGTTTTTACCTTTTGAAATTTTTGGAAGCCTGGTGAGGTGGCTCATGCCTGTAATCCCCAGAACTTTGGGAGGCAGTCAGGAGGCTCGCTTGAGGCCAGGAGTTTGGGACCAACCTGGGCAACAACATAGCAAGACCCTGTCGCTACTAAAAATTCAAAAATTAAAAATGTAAATAAAATGGTTGGAAAAAAATGAAAATAACATTTTGTGACACGTGAAAGTTATGTGAAATTCACATCTCAGTGTCCACAAGTAAAGTTTTATTGGAGTACCACCACCCATCTGTTTATTGTCTGTGGTTACTCCTGCGTTGTAAAGCAGAGTTGAGTAGCTGCAGCTGAGACCGGTGGTTCACAACACCTGAAAGATTTACTGTCTGGCACTTTACAGAAAAGTTTGCTGACTCTTGATTAAATCTTTGTACTCTATGTCCACAGTGCTCAGAACATGCTTCACCCTAATCCTCTCCTGGTGGGTTTCTTCTTGTCACTGTTAACTCAAATATCATCTCAGAGAGGCCTCATCTCCCTAACCACCTTATCTAATAGTATTCCCAACACACATTGCCCAACAGATGTATTTAGAATGATTAGCAAAAGGCACCTCTTTCTTTAGGTGAACAGAGCCCTGTGCTGAGGACTGAGTAAGACGTGATACTCAGAACACATGGTATAATATGTCACTCTTAAATGAAGCCACTTGAAAAGCAGAGCGAACAGGAGCCAGTGGTGGCCACGTTGAATGACAACCTTTATTTTTAAGTTCTGGGGTAAATGTGCAGGATGTGCAGGTTTGTTACATAGGTAAACGTGTGCCATGATGGTTTGCTGCACCTATCAACCCATCACCTAGGTATTAAGCCCAGCATGCATTAGCTATTTTTCCTGATGCTCTCCCTCAACACACTTTTTTTTTTTTTTAAGACTGCCAGCTGACCCGGTGTGGTGGCTCCCACCTGTAATCCCAGCAATTTGGGAGGCTGAAGCGGGTGAATAGCCTGAGCTCAGGAGTTTGAGACTGCCTGGCCAACATGGTGAAACCCTGTCCCTACTAAAAATACAAATAATTAGCCTGGCATGGTGGCAGGCGCCTGTAATTCCAGCTACTCCCAGGCAGGAAAATCGCTTGAACCCAGGAGGCGGAGGTTGCAGTGAGCTGAGATTGTGCCATTGCACTCCAGCCTGAGCAACAAGAGCAAAACTCTGTCTCAAAAAAAAAAAAAAAAAAAAAACACAAAGAAAGAAAAACAATACTGTAAGCCATGGGATTTATAGCTATACAGAACTGAGTCAGTATTTTCAACATCTGTCAATGAGCAGGTGAAGTAAGTTCTCTATGTTCTCAATCTTTTGGACGATGAAGTTTATGAAATCCGATTCTCTGGTAAAATTATCTCTTTTCATCTATTTTCTCCAACTTTTCATTTTTCTTAAACATGTTAATTATGGTTATTTTAAAGCATTTGTCTAACTCCAAAAGCTTGATCACCTGTGGGTCTCTTTCTATTGACTATTTTTCCCTTTATTTTCAGTGATATGGTCCTGTCTCTTGGCAGGCCTTGTAATTCTTATTGAATGTCAGACGTTGAAAAAATGTACAGTCTCCAGGTGATAATATCTAACTCTGGAGAGGACGCACCCTTTCTCTGCAAGACAAATGGCATACAGATCAATTATCTTAATCCAATCAGGGGCTGAGCTGGGTGGAGACCAGGTTATAGTTTTGATAAGACACCACTTCACTCTGTTCCCTACCTCTAATGCTGTGCCTTTCCAGGGTTCCAGCTAGGAACCTTGGGTGTTCACTAAGGCCCCTCTCTCTGGTCCTGAGCTCTAACCCTTATCTCCACAGCATGGCGAGACTGTGGGAACGGCTCTGTTTTTGAGGGACCTTCTGCTTGGCTTCTTTGCTTCTTGCCCTGCACTATTTCAAACTTTGCCAAATACCTCGAGGGGAAACCACCATCTATCAGGCTCACTTTTCTGCCCCTGTCTTCTCCCTGGGATAATGGCCTCTCAAGTCCCCAGTTTTGTCTTTCTAGCCCCATGAGGTTGCTAAAAGTTTTGTCAGTTTCTCTGTTCCCCCAAAGCAGCCTTCATGCCTGGGAAGAGTCTAGAACCTCGGCCTCTTTCCCTGTGCCCAAATGTGCAAATATCCCCAGGGAAAAATCGGCTGCAGAACATCAGCTCACCTCACCACGGTGTTCCTGTCTCCAGAATCTTGGCCCCTTTAGTCCTGGTTATTTCAGCAGTTCTCTGAATGTCTTTTAACAGATGGTGACGATGATGATGATTTAATCTTGTTTTTCTAGTTGTTCTCAGAAGAAGTGGAAGTTTAAACAATGAAAGTAGCCCATGGGGCAGATGTCATCAATGGGCAGGGCTGTAAGCAGCACACAAATGCATACTCTTCCTATGTTTGGAAAATGCCTCACATTATGAGTTCCACCTTTCCCTCAGAGAAGCCAAAGCACTTTTCCAGAATCTTCCTTGCAAACAGGTCACATGTGATCTAGGCTGTGCCATTAGAAGATCACATGAGATTTCTGCCAGGAAGTGAACAACAAAAGGGAGGAATCTATCTGATAGTGAGCCTGGCAGCCAAGCCATCTGCTTCCAGGTGCTCCACCCCTGTGTAAGCTTGGTGTCCACGGTGAAAGGCATGTCACGTGTTCACAGGGGCAGCCCCACAGCTGGTTTGGGAGTCATTTCTGGCTGCACAGACAGAACCTGGCTCTCTTGTCCTCCTGGAGATTCTACAGAGTTTTCAACCACCTGTCTTAGTGGCTGCCATAACAAAATACTGGGTGGCTTAAACAACAGAAATTTATTTTCTCGCTGGGCGTGGTGGCTCGTGCCTGTAATCCCAACACTTTGGGAAGCCGAGGCAGGTGGATTACAAGGTCAGGAGTTCAAGACCAGCCTGGCCAACATGGTGAAACCCTGTTTCTACTAAAAATACAAAAAGAAAAAAAAATTAGCTGGGCATGTGGCGGGCACCTGTAATCCCAACTACTCAGGAGGCTAAGGCAGGGGAATCGCTTGAACCCAGGAGGTGGAGGTTGCAGTGAGCCAAGATCACGCCACTGCACTCCAGCCCAGGTGACAGTGCGAGACTCCATCTCAAAA
Source organism: Homo sapiens (assembly GCF_000001405.40). NCBI lineage: Eukaryota > Metazoa > Chordata > Mammalia > Primates > Hominidae > Homo > Homo sapiens. The sequence continues at coordinate 117,973,014 of NC_000012.12, forward strand.
AAAAAAAGAAAAAAGAAATTTATTTTCTCACTATTCTGGAAACTGGAATTCTGAAATTGGGATGCCAGCATGGTCAGGTTCTGGGTTCTGATGAGGGCTCTCTTCCTGGCTTGCAGATGGCCACCTTCTTGTTGTGTCCTCACATGGTAGAGAGAGAGAAAGATCTATCACTCTCTCTCTCTCTTCTTCTCTCTCATCCTCTTCTTATAAGGCCGTAGTCCTATTGGATTAGGCCCCCACCCTTAAGACATCATCTAACCTTAATTACCTCCTAAAGATCCTGTCTCCAGATACAGTTACATTGAGGGTTAGGGCTTCAACATATGATTTGGTGCAGGGAAGAGGGACCACAATTCACCACCCTATTAAAATACTTCTGCTTAAACTACCTAGAGTGGATTGTGTCATTGGCAACAAAGAACCCTGACTAATGCTCTTGACAGTAGTTCCAAAATTAAGAGATGCTACCCCAAAAATGCAGATCTCTGGCCTTTCTGGAAAAATGGGAAGATCCGGCTACATTGGGCAATAATTGGTTGGAAGAGAGGTAACTGTCCTTTCAGATGGGGGCACAGACCCTCCACTACAGTGCCACTCAGTTCTCTACATTCATTATTTATATCTCCTCCCTGGCTCCTGTAGGCATTTGAGTTTGATGCCTCTGGTGTAGGGTTTTGCACCTCAAACTAATAAGAATGTCATCAATTTCAAAGAACGGGAGCTGACGGATGATAATTTTGTTGTTGATGATGATGTTGTTATTGTTGATGTACTTGACTTTAGAAACTGCATACTACCTCTGAAGGCCACATGTGTCAGAGTGGCTTTATTAATAGAGGGAATAAATTATTGTTACTGGGCTACTGAATGAGCTGGATTTGGCAGGAGGAGAGACACGTGGGAATCAAGAACTGGCTTTCTTTTCCTTCTTCCACTGCTTGTCAACCCTAAGATCCACTGTCAGGGCTCTCTCCTATGCCCGGGGCAATATCTCAGTAAATCTCTTAGCTTTTCAGTTAGTTTCAACTAAGAGTCTCATCAGACATTAGAAGTCCAGTCCAGGCCGGGCACGGTGGCTCACACCTATAATCCCAGCACTTTGGGAGGCTAGTTTGGGTGGATCAACTGAACCTGAGGTCAGGAGTTCGAGACCAGCCTGGTCAACATGGTGAAACCCCATCTCTACTAAAAAACAAAAATTAGCCAGGTGTGGTGGCGGGCACCTGTAGTCCCAGCTACTTGGGAGGCTGGGGCAGGAAAATCGCTTGAACCTGGAGGGTAGAGGTTGCAGTGAGCCAAGATTGTGCCACTGCACTCAAGCCTGGGAGACAGAACGAGACTCAGCCAAAAAAAAAAAAAAAAAATCCAGTCCAATCAAAACTTCATTCTCATATCCAGTTTAATACCTTGTTCCCTGCCCCTTCCAGCTTCACCCATGGATGGCTCAGGAATCTGCAGTGGAGACTAGGGTGTGTATGTCCTTCTCCTCCTGATCTCCATCTCACCTTGCAGGAGAGCAGGAGCTGAGGGCTAAGTGGAAAAAGTACCCTCAACGGAGAGCAGGTGAAGGGAGTCAGATGCCCTACTGTGTCCTGCCAGGCACTTGCAGGCTGACTTTTGAACATGGGGCACACTGGGGGAATCTTTGGAGACCATCAAGGGGACCTTATCGGGACTCAATGCACACACTGGGTGGCCTTTTGCAGACCAGTTTTCCATTTATACTCCAGCAAGTACCCCACATCTTCTTTCTGAGGTCCCTTTGCTGAAAGGATGCTCTCTTGGGTAAGTCTTTTCAGGATGGCTCAAGCCCAAGTATGCTCAGAGGTAGTCACCTGACTCACAGAAAACAGGACACACCTTTGCCCTGCAGAATGGTAATCGCAGGCTATTCCTCCTGCTGCCCTCTCTCCGCACCCTGCTATCTTGGGCAGCCCCAGGCAGCCTTCAGCCGGCAATGAGGTGCCAGCATATCCGCTTGGTGCACCCAAGTCCCACAAGTGACTTTTCGTTGAACCCCCTTCTCTTGGCTTGTGGTTGGGAGAGGAAAAGAAAATCCCCTACAAAGACCTGTCAAGGAAACCTCTTCTGGACAAAATCTTGATCTTGTCTTACATAGGCTGGAGGCTGATGGTTATTGATGGTCAAAGGACCAGTCTAGCTACCTCTTAATAGAAGGAGGAAGTGTCGTCACCCACTGCCCTCACCTTTGAAGCTTTAGCTGAAGTTCTGGGTCAACAAGAAAAGTCTCATTCCACATCCAGTTATGTTAGCCATGAGCTGGCCCCAATATTTTCAAAGTTGCATTGTGAGGACGCAAATGGGGAAATGGCAGATTAGGAGGAGAGGGGGCTACCAAGGACCCTGGAACTAAACAAAACTAATATTGACTTGTCCTTGAAGAGTTCACCATATTGCTTTCCCAGGGAATTTTTTTCTTTTTTTTATTTTAATAAATTTTGCAGAGACAGGGTCTCGCCAGTGTTGCCCAGACTGGTCTCAATCTCTTGGGCTCAAGTGATCCACTCACCTGGGCCTCCCAAAATGCTGGGATGACAGGTGTGAGCCACCACGCCCGGCCTCCTTTTGTCTTTTTCTACTGATTTTTGTGGGGAGAAAAAAAAAATCTCAGAATGCTATCCCCTAAGAGACAACCAAATCTTCTATAGCTGTTAGAGGATTATTATTGTTTCATTCTGACTCACTGATCCTCGAAACGTAAATGATTTTTTAAAAATACCTTCTACTTGCTGGCCAGGCGTGGTGGTTTATGCCTGTAATCCCAGCACTTCAGGAGGCCAAGGCAGGCAGATCACCTGAGACCAGCCTGGCCAACATAGTGAAACCCCATCTCTACTAAAAATACAAAAATTAACTGGGCATAGTGGCAAGTGCCTGTAATCTCAGCTACTCAGGAGGCTGAGGCAGAAGAATCGCTTGAACCCTGGAGGCAGAGGCTGCAGTGAGCCAAGATCGTGCCACTGCACTTCAGCCTGGGGAACAGAGCAAGACTCCATCTCAAAAAAAAAAACAAAAAAACAAAAACAAAAGCAAAGCCTTTCTACTTGGGAGGCTGAGGTGGAAGGATCACTTGAACCCTGGGATTCGAGGCTGTAACGTGTTATAATTGTGCCTATGAATAGCCACCGCACTCCAGCCTGGGCAACACAGTGAAACCCTGTATCTAGAAAAAAAAAATTACCTTTGATGAGGGCAGGCAGAAAGTTCCTATCTTTAACCTTGTAAGGTTTTTCTAACATCAGAAAACTGCTTTTTCACTCCAGCCTGGGCAACATAGTGAGATCCCATCTCCAGAAAAGAAATTACTATTGATGAGGATAGGCAAAATGTTCCTATCTTGAACTTGGTAAGGTTTTTCTTTACAATATCGGAAAACTTATTTTTCTAGAATTCTTCTCCTTTTGGCTTTTTGCCTCATTGTCTCTTTATTTCCATTGTGAGCAAGGCAACCAGATCACTCTCTTGATGGTGAGATAATTTGAGCTCACAGTAATGGACAATTTAGTCCAGTGATTTATGCTAGCTTTACAAATTAAGCACTCAACGATGCACTGTGAATTTTCACATATAGCACCCTAAGGATGGGAGAGGATGTGTACTGTGGTACTCTCCAAGTACTTAAAGATGTACAGCAAAGAAATATCATTGAAAATTGCAGTAAAGTAATGCCATCGACACAACTCACTCACTTCTTACGCCATCTTGTCTGTGAAGTTCAAGATCAGCATTAGCCTGAAGGGAGTCTTTGTATGAATCAGAAAAAGGCATCCACTTTGCAAAAGTACCAGAGGTCTGAACCCAGGGGGCAGAGCCCAATCTAGATTTCAGATTTGCACCCCAATCTGGGCGCCCTGTGCAGGCACAAGTTGTGTGGCATCCATCTGAGACAGCCCTGATGAAATTCCTGATTATTTTGTTTTTATTGTGGTAAAACATGTATAAGATAAAGTTTACCACTAGTGACTTTTAGTACATTCGCAATGCTGTGCAACTATTGCCACTACCTAGTTCCAGAATGTTTTTATTACCCTGAAAGAAAATCCTAGCCGGGCGTGGTGGCTCACGCCTGTAATCGCAGCACTTTGGGAGGCTGAGGTGGGCGGATCACGAGGTCAAGAGTTCAGGACCAGCCTGACCAATACGGTGAAACCCCGTCTCTACTAAAAATACAAAAATTAGCTGGGCGTGGTGGCACATGCCTGTAATCCCAGGTACTCGGGAGGCTAGGGCAGCAGAATCGCTTGAACCTGGGAGGCGGAGGTTGCAGTGAGCTGAGATCATACCACTGCACTCCAGCCTAGGCAACACGGTGAGACTCCATCTCAAAAAAAAAAAAAAAAAAAAAAAAAATCCTATACCCTTAAGCAGTCACACTGCTTATCAGCCTGTAGCAATCACTAATCTGTTTTCTGACTATGCATTTTCTATTCCAGACATTTCATATAAATGGAATCATACAATATTTGTCCTTTTGTGGCTGGCTTATTTCACTCAGCATAATGTTTTCAAGGTTTATCCATGTCATAGTGTGTATCAGGACTTCATTCCTTTTCATGGCAGAATAATATTCTACTGTACGGATAGACCACATTTTGTTTATCCATTCTTCTTATGATGGGCATTGGGGTTGTTTTGTCTTTTGGCTATTTGAATCATGCTGCTATGAACATTTGTGCACAAGTTTTTGTTTGAACACTTGTTTTCAATTCTTTTGGCTATATATGCCCAGGAGCAGAATTGAAGGGTCATTTGGTAATTCTGTTTAACATTTTGAGGAACTGATAAGCTGTTTTCCACAGCAGCTGCATTATTTTACATTCCTGCCAGCAATGCATGAGGGTGCTATCTTCTCCATATTCCCACTTCCTGACTCTTTATGCATGAATATTATTTCATTACTAAAAAAAATTAAAAACCACAGCAATGGCATACTTCTTAAAAAGCACACATGCAGCCAGGCACAGTGGCTCATGCCTGTAATCCCAGCACTTTGGGAGGCCAAGGCAGGAGGAGGTCAGGAGTTCAAGACCAGCCTGGCCAACATGATGAAACCTCATCTCTACTAAAAATAGAAAAATTAGCCAAGCGTGGTGGTGGGCACCTGTAATCCCAGCTACTTAGGAAGCTGAGGCAGGAGAATTGCTTGAACCCAGGAGGCGGAGGCTGCAGTGAGCTGAGATTGTGCCACTGCACTCCAGCCTGGGCAACAGAGCAAGAATCTGTCTCAAAAAAAAAAAAAAAAAAAAAAAAAAAAAAAAAAGCATGCATGCATTGACTTATACATTTCTTGAGTGGCTACAATGTGCCGGATATGATGCAGTATGTGTGAGATTAAAATATTAATAAAGTGTATGCATTAGTATTCTTTTAGTTGCAAGGAACAAAACCCCAACACACCCAGTTTAGGCAAAAGAAAGTAACTCACATAATCAAGAAGTTTAAAGATGACTCTTACTCTGGATAGGTACGTTTCTTTTCTGTCTGCATCTCTCAGCACTATTTTGTTGTTGGCATCATTTTTAGGTGGCTTTTTCCTAGATGTAACAAGGATGACCGCAGAATGCTGAGCAACCCTATCAGGGATACAGTCTCCCATTAGTTCTAGCATAAATTGCACGATTAACTTGCACTGACCTGGTTCAGGACACATATATACTCCTGAGCCAGTCACATTGACCAAGGGGATGGAATGTGTGTGTGGATGGGCCTGGCCTGGGTTGTAGGGCCACCCTGGAACCTAGAGAGTGGCACTGACGCTACCCAAACCATGTGGTATGAGATCAGGAGAGGGCTGATCTTTCCCTCCAAAAAGGTGGGGATGCTGTTATCAGAAGGAGCACGGATGCCCAGTCGCAGTGGCTCGTGCCTGTAATCCTAGTACTTTGGGAGAACGAGCCAGGCAGATTGAGGTCAGGAGTTCAAGACCAGCCTGGTCAACATGGCGAAACCCTGTCTCTACTATAAATACAAAAAATTAGCTGGGCGTGGTGGTGCACACCTGTAATCCCAGCTACTCAGGAGGCTGAGGCAGGAGAATTGCTTGAACCCAGGAGGCAGAGGTTGCAGTGAACTGAGATCACACCACTGCACTCGAGCCTGGGTGACAGAGACTCTGTCTCAAAAAAAAAAAAAAAAGAAGCATGGATGGATGTCAGGAAGACAAAAACATCAGCAATATTCCACCATCCTTGGGGAAGTCATAGTCTAGTTGGGGGACCTGTGTAAACAGAGCCTGTAATTATAACAAATTCTGAGAATAAAGGAGAGGAGTCCTTTAACCCCGGAAGGAAAAGGGGAAAGATTCTGAGAAGGCTCTGGCGAGATGATCCAGAGGCTAAGATTTAAAAAGGAATGGGAATCGTTCAGGTACACATAGAGGACCTGGCTTGTGAGTTCAGAAATCGCTGGTGATCACAGACAATCACAAGAAACATACGCTTGTCACTTTTTTTTTTTGTTAGATGGGGTTTCGCTCTGTCACCAGGCTAGCATGCGGTGGCATGATCTTGGCTCACTGCAACCTCTGCCTCCTGGGTTCAAGCAATTCTCCTGCCTCAGCCTCCCGAGAAGCTGGGATTACAGGTGTGCCCCTCACGCCTGGCTAATTTTTTAATAGAGACAGAGTTTCTGGTTGCCATGTTGGCCAGGCTGGTCTCAAACTCGAACTCTGACCTCAAGTGATCCACCCTCCTCAGCCTCCCAAAGTGCTGAAATTACAGGCGTGAGCCACTGCGCCCAGCCTTGTCACAATTATTTTTAAAGTTGAAACTGAAATACTAATCTATCAGATTCTATCTTAAGAAGGATTATGTTGGTGAATCACATGTGGCAGTCTCATACCTTGACTCTGAACTGGGATATTTCACTGATTAGCTTAAGCCAAGACACTACAGGGTGACCAGTCATCCTGGTTTACCTGGGACTAAGGGGGTTTCTAAGATGTGGGACCTCCAATGCTAAAGCTGGGACAGATGAAGGCAAACTGGGACAACTTCTCCATCCTAGAGATAAGTCCCCAGTTCACGAGCACCTAGAGTGTGCATGGAATTGGGATCGGTGCTACCAGAGCACACACTGTTATGTATGAAGGATCCCAGCATGCAAAGAAAACTCATACATGAATGTTCATGACAGTACTATTCACAATAACCAAAAGGTGGAAACAATCCAAATGTCCATCAGTGGGCCAGGCACAGTGGCTAATACCTGTAATCCCAGCACTTTAGGAGGCCGAGACTGGCGGATCACCTGAGGTCAGGAGTTTGAGACCAGCCTGGCCAACATGGCGAAACCCGTCTCTACTAAACATACAAAAATTAGCTGGGTGTGGTGGTGCGCACCTGTAATCCCAGCTACTCTGGAGGCTGAGGCAGGAGAATCGCTTGAACCCGGGAGGCAGAGGTTGCAGTGAGCCAAGATCATGCCACTGCACTCCAGCCTGGGCGACAGAGCAAGACTGTGTCAAAAAAAAAACAAAGAAGAAGAAGAAGAAGAAAGAAAAAGAAATGTCCATTGATGAATGAATGGATAAAGAAAAAATGGCCCATATATACAATGGAATAATATTCAGCCATCAAAAGGAAGTTCTGATACATGCTACCATATGGATGAACCCTGAAAACACTATGCTAAGTGAAAGAAGCCAGTCACAGAAGACCTCACTGTACAGGTCTTTTATGAAATATTCAGAATAGGCAAATCCATCCAGATGGAAAGCAGATTAGTGGTTGCCAGGGGGCAGGGGAAGGAGGGTGGGGAGCGACTGCTAAATGGGTATTGGGTAATGAAAAACTTCTGGAACTATATAGTGGTGATGATTGCACAATATGAATGTGCTTAATGCCACAGATTGTATACTTCGGTTAAATGATACATTTCGTAAGCGTATTTTACCACAATAAAAATGTAAGAATAATTTTTAAAAGAGTGAACCCTGCCTCTCAAAGGGTTTATTAACTAGATACACTAACAGGCAGCCCTCAGGGTCAAATTTAGCCTACACATGAGTTTCATTTGGCTACACGGAGTTTTAAAAGAGTCTGAGTTTGCTGCTAACATTTAGGAAATGGGATGTTTCACCTAAAAATTCTGACCACTAGTTTATTTTGAAAAAATCCCAAAATCTGGCTCCACTTGAGCTGCGTTTCCCGCTGGCAACATCAGGATGGGGGTGGAGTGGCTTCTCTCCTTGGGGACAGATGCTTTCCAGTTCTTTTAATCCCCTTCCCCCAACCCTCACTTTGGCTCCCTCCCACCTCTGCTGTGACTGCCTGGACCCCATAGGCACTAAAGTGTAGAATTTCCAGTACTTGCACAGAACAATTAGAAGACAGATAGATAATCAAGTATAGAAATGAAACAAAACGCATGGTGACTTCCATTTTTATTCCTTTCTAAATGAGATGTCAGTGGGTTACCATTTCACCCGAAATGCTATATGACTGTTGAAGTCTTTACCTTGAAAGGGGTAAGAAAATTTCCCCTTAAAGCAGCAGCTCATCACTTTAGCTGCACTCAGGAATCACCTGGGAAACTTGATTTTTTTCTTTGATACAGGGTCTTGCTCTGTCGCCCAGGCTGGAGTGCAATGGCGTGATCACAGCTCACTGCAACCTCGACCTCCTGGGCTCAAGTGATCTTCCCACTTCAGCCTCCCAAGTAACTGGGAATACAGGTGTGTGGCACCACGCCTAGCTATTTATTTATTTATTTTTTATTTTTTATTTTATTTTTTGTAGAACCAGGGTCTCCCCTGTGTTGCTCAGAGTGATCTCCAATTCCAAGGCTCAAAGCAGCCTTCTGTCTTGGCCTTCCAAAGTGCTGGGATTACAGGTGTGAGCCACCGTGCCCAGCCAAGGAAATGTTAAAAACTATCAATGCCCGGATCCTACCTGCTAAAGATTCTGATTTATCTGGTCTGGGGTACAACCCAGGCATCAAAATTTTTCAAAACTCCCCGGTGATTCTAATGTGTAGCCAAACTTGAAAATGACCACTTTACAGCTTCCATTTATTTATTTATTTATTTGAGACAAAGTCTTGCTCTGTCACCCAGGCTGGAGTGCAGTGGCACCATCTCTGCTCACGGCAACCTTCGTCTCCCAGATTCAAGCGATTCTCCTGCCTCAGACTCCCGAGTAGCTGGGATTACAGGCATCCGCCACCACGCCCAGGTAATTTTTGTATTTATAGTAGAGATGGGGTTTCTCCATGTTAGCCAGCAGCGGTGCTCAGCCAACTTCCTTTTGTTTATTTATTTACTTACTTACTTACTTACAGAGTCTCGCTTTGTCCCCCAGGCTGGAGTGCAGTGGTGTGATCTCGGCTCACTGCAACCTCTGCCTCCAGGTTCAAGCAATTCTCCTGCCTCAGCCTCCTGAGCAGCTGAGATTATAGGCGCCCGCCATCACACCCGGCTAATTTTTTGTATTTTTAGTAGAGACAGGGTTTCACCATGTTCGCCAGGCTAGTCTTGAACTCCTGACCTCCAGTGATCCACCCGCCTCGGCCTCCCAAAGTGCTGGAATTATAGGTATGAGCCACGCACCCGGCCCCAACTTCCGTTTAAAAAATTGTCTTCTGTTGGCCTCAGATGACAAGGACCCAACTACACAGAAGAATCTTTGTAGTTTCGCTGGCATGGTGGCTCACGCCTGTAATCTCAGCACTTTGGGAGGCCGGGGGGAGGGTGGAGAATTGCTTGAACCCGGGAGGCAGAGGTTGCAGTGAGCCGAGATTGCGCCATTGCATTCCAGCCTGGGCAACAAGAGCAAAACTCTGTCTCAAAAAAAAAAAAAAATCTTTCTAGTTTCAACTCAAGTGTGTTTTGTTGTTCTTGGTATATACCTTTACAGATACATTCTATCTTCAGCTGCCCACCAGGCATCTTGGCAGATACAAGAAACATATGAATAATCTATTTTCAGATTTTTTTTTTTTGGAGGAGAATCTGTTGATTCATTATCACATACAGCATTTGGCTGTAGCTCATGCCTGTAATCCCAATGTTTTGTGAGGCTGAGGTGGGAGGATCACTTGAGCTCAAGAGTTTGAGACCAGACTGAGCAACATAATGAGACCTCCCCACCCCTGTCTCTACAAAAATTTTAAAAATTAAAAATTAGCCAGGCATGGTGGTGCATACCTGTAATCCCAGCTACTCAGGAGGCTGAGACAGGAGTATCGCTTGAGCCCGGGATTTTGAGGCTAGAATAAGCTATGATCACGCCACCACACTCCAGCCTGAACGAAAGAGCAAGACCCAGTCTCTAAAAAATATATAGTATTTATTTATTCAATTATTTAAGAAAAACAGCATCTAAAGAATCTCATAAAATCTGAAAGTTACCCCACACTTGTTTAACTGGTGTTAACGACTCTAGTCCATAGTGTGCTATATTCTTTTTTTTTTTTTTTTTTTCTGAGACAGTCTCACTCTGACACCCAGGCTGAAGTGCAGTGGCACGATCTTGGCTCACTGCAGCCTTCGCCTCCCAGGTTCAAGCGATTCTCCTGCCAAAGCCTCTCAAGGAGCTGGTATTAATTTTTGTATTTTTAGTAGAGACGGTTTCACCATGTTGGCCAGGCTGGTCTCGAACTCCTGACCTCAAATGATCCACCCGCCTCGGCCTCCCAAAGTGCTGGGATTACAGGCATGAGCCATGTAATTTACATGGTTTGTCATGTAAATACACGTGCGCTCTTCCAAGTGGTCACCCCTTCTTTTTTTTTTTTTTTTTTTTTTTTTGAGACGGAGTCTCGCTCTGTCGCCCAGGCTGGAGTGCAGTGGCGGGATCTCGGCTCACTGCAAGCTCCACCTCCCGGGTTCACCCCATTCTCCTGCCTCAGCCTCCCAAGTAGCTGGGACTACAGGCGCCCGCCACTACGCCCGGCTAATTTTTTGTATTTTTAGTAGAGACGGGGTTTCACCGTTTTAGCCGGGATGGTCTCGATCTCCTGACCTCGTGATCCGCCCGCCTCGGCCTCCCAAAGTGCTGGGATTACAGGCGTGAGCCACCGCGCCCGGCCGGTCACCCCTTCTTAAAGTGCAACCGTGACACAATGGCTGATACCCTGGACATGCATCGTCCACGTGCTCCTGCCTGTGAGCTCTCTCCCAGCACACCGGAGCTCTTCCATGGTACATGATAACAACTGCTGGAAGAAAAAGCAAAACCCGTGCCATAGGCTGGACATATTCAAGGTATGCTTTCTACTCTAATACAGACCTTTCCTGCAGCCAGCTGTGCCCTAGTCAGAGAGGAAGCCTGCATCTGCCCTGCAGCTCCCATGTGGGTTGTCTGCCTGGTCGGTGAAAGCAGAAAGTGCCTCCTCTTTGTACCTCATCACAGCTGTCTGCATCTCGCCTTGTGGCACAGTGTTGACTCGGCTTCCAGCACCCATCTGTGACTTGGCAAAAAGAAAAAGAAAAAAGAAATGCATGTAGTGTGAGGACAAAAGAGCCCATAGAGTCCCAGATGAGCTCAAATCATCCCAAATTTGATTGCCTTCTGAAAGGTACAGACCCAGGGTTTATTAAGAACTCTCCCCATACTCCAGTCTGACAAAATGAACCGAAGGTCCTTTACAAGGATCTTCTGCAAGTTTTCAATTTTCCTTTTCTCTGGAAAAAAAATGGGGGGAGGAACTGAGAAATGCTGAGCTAAGCAGGTCACAGATTTTCCTGTTTTGTGCTTTTCTGCACAGAATCAGAAATCAGTTACCGGGTTAGTTTTCTTGGTAAATGGAGAACACTTTTTATTTTCATCATAGGAAATACACATGTTGGCTTTTCTTTTTTCAAGACAGACCTAGCCCATGATTTGCATTGAACTAGAAAGTTTATAGTCCTCAATCCTGGGATGTCACTGATTCATTAATTCATCCAATTCAAATATTGATAAATTTCTGATTGCACATAGTCTGATTGTCAATGATAGGATTGAAATCAGACTGACAGGCTAGAAGGACAAGAAGTTGCAGAATTGGAGGGGGTGATGAACTTTCATCATCACAAATAGAGGTGGGGATCCAGGAGAGGAAGTTGAGCATTGCAGGTAGGAATATTGGCCCTAAGCCAGAGGGCTTGAGTTCAAATCCCAGCTCTGCCACTTCCTGACTTTGTGACCTCAGGCTAGTGGTCTCATCTCCTGCATCTGAGTCTCCTCACCTGTAAAATGAGGGTAATAATAGAACCTGCTTCAAAGGGTTGTACCGAGGATTAAACATGTGTAAAGTGCTTAGAATACTGCCTGAAAATTACATGTAACTGCTGCCGCCTGGCAACAAAACCCACTATAGAGGCAGAAGCATATCTGTGGCATGACAGATTTATATCCAGCTAGCATTCTTGCCAATCTATTAAAAAATTTGGCTGGGTGCTATGACTCATACCTGTAATCCCAGCATTTTGGAAGGCCAAGGCAGGCAGATTGCTGGAACCCAGGAGTTCAAGACCAGCCTGGGCAACATGGTGAAAGCTCATCTCTACAAAAAACACAAAAATTAGCTGGAGTGGTAGTGCACCTTTGTGGTCCCAGCTACTCCAGGGACTGAGGTGGGTGGATTGCTTGAGCCTTGGGAGATGGAGGTTGCAGTGAGTTGAGATCATGTTACTGCACTCTAGCCTGGGTGACAGAGCAAGACCTCGTCTCAAAAAAGAAAAAAAATATATCGAAATTGGGTTAAAATGGGAAGGTCTGGTTCAGAATTTCTCTTTTTTTTTTTAATTGAGACAGAGTTTCGCTCTTGTTGCCCAGGCTGGAGTACAATGGTAAAATCTCAGCTTACTACAACCTCCCCCTCCCAGGTTCAGGATATTCTCCTGCCTCAGCCTCAGGAGTAGCTGGGATTACAGGTGCCCCCACCACGCCTGGCTCATTTTTTATGTTTTTAGTAGAGACGAGGTTTCACCATATTGCCTAGGCTGGTCTCAAACTCCTGACCTCAGGTGATCCACCCGCCTCAGCCTCCCAAAGTGCTCGGATTACAGGTGTGAGCCACCACGCCTGGCCTCACAATTTCTTAAAATGTCATATCAGTTGTACCAGAAGCACCTGGGTTGCATATGAAACTTGCAGAATCGCAGGTGACACACTCCAGACCTACTGAATCCAGCAGCTATGGTCCGAATGTTTATGTTCCCACAAAATTCATATATTAAAATCCTAACCCCCTAGGTGATGGCATATTAGAGGGGCGAATTTGGGAGGTGTTAGGTCATGAGGGTGGAGCTTGGAGACTGGTGCCCTTATAAAAGAGGCCCCAGAGAGATCCCTTGCCCCTTCCACCATGTGAGGGTACAGTGAGAAGATGGCTGGCCGGGCATGGTGACTCATACCTGTAATCCCAGCACTTTGGGAGGCTGAGGCGGGCGGATCACTTGAGGCCAGGAGTTTGAGACCAGCCTGGCCAACATGACGAAACCCCATCTCTACTAAAAATACAAAAATTAGCCAGGCGTGATGATGCATGCCTGTAATCCCAGCTACTCAGGAAGCTGAGGCATGAGAATCACTTGAACCTGGAGGTGGAGGTTGCAGTGAGCCAGGATCACACCACTGCACTCCAGCCTGGGTGACCGAGTGAGACTCCATCTCAAAAAAAAAAAAAAAAGAAAAAGAAAAAGAAACTCAGCAAGGGCTAGAGAGGTATTACAGGCTCACTAACACCACATGGAGACTTTCTCCTTGATGAAATGATTGGAAGGGAATTAAAAGGGGAATCACCTCCCCCTTGGGTGATTCAATGTCATTTAATGTTGGGTCTAAGCACCACCTAAAATCATTTCCTAGTGAGTCACAGCTTATGCTTTGTGGAGAACTTCAATGAAGTCTTTGAAAGTTTACTGACTCTGCATTTGCAAAAAAAAAAAAAAAAAAAGAACAAAACTAAAAATGACCCCAGGCGACTGGAGACACCACTGGTAGTCATGGTTCATGTAGTCCATAATTCTGTTGCCATGAAAATTTAGAACTTCTCTCAGATGTCATTCTCAAAGGGTGAGCGCATCAAAAGGATTTGGGTTAGGATCTGACCACCCACTTACTCACTGTGAACTTAAGCAAGTCTCCAGAAACCTTAGTTTTTTCACAGCTATAAAATAAGCTGATGCTTGTTTAAGCCAAGATGAAATAAAATGATGTATGAAAAGCCCTACCACAGTGGAGGACACATAGTTAATGTTCAACAAATGGCAGCTTTTAAAAATTACCAAGGCTTTATATTTTTAACCACTTTTACTAGTACTCTTTGTAAAGCACTGTTCTACTTCCTAAATGCAGTGTAACTACTGGATGACTCACGGTTATCATTTTTGAATGCTTCCATAGTCACTTTCTTGTCATTTGGACATATTTCAAACAACTTCCCATATTCGCCCTCCTTCTTGGCCATCTTGAATATGCAGTGGGCTGAGAACCAAGCTAAGTGTCCACCAATAGAGAATGGATTAAGTCAAGTATGGCAACATTACATAGGTAGCAAATAAAAATGCAAAATATACTTCACTAGTCATCGGAAAAATATTAATTAAAGCAACAAGATATTTTTGTCCATCAGCATAGCAAATACTAAAAAGTGTAATGTTATTTAAGGTTGTCGAGGATACAGCAAATAAGCACTCTCCTGCACTAATGGTGGGGGTATCAATTGGTACAAACTTTTTGGAGGGCAATTTGTTAGATGCATCAAAATTTAAGATATATATAACATTTGACCCATCAATTCCACTTCTAAAAAATCTATGCCAAGGGGTCTGTTCCACATGGACACAAGGATGTATGTGCAAAAACACAAGTGTTAGTTGGTGAAGCAGAGAAATTAGAGCCTTTGTGCATTGCCAGTGGGAATGTAAAATGGTACAACCACTACAAAAAACAGTATGGCGGTTCCTCAAAACACGAAACATAGAATTATCATGTGATCTAGCTGTTCCACTTTTGGGTACATACCCAAAAGAACTGAAAACAAAGACTTGGACAGATATTTGTGTACCAGTCACCAAGGTCCATACAGCATTATATGCAAGAACCAAAAGTTGGAAACGGTCAGGCGCGGTCGCTCACCCCTGTAATCCCAGCACTTTGGGAGGCCAAGGCAGGTGGATCACCTGAGGTCAGGAGTTCGAGACCAGCCTGGCCAACATGGTGAAACCCCATCTCTACTAAAAATACAAAAAAATTGGCCAGGCATGGTAGTGCATGCCTGTAGTCCCAGCTATCACTTGAACCCGGGAGGTGGAAGTTGCAGTGAGCCACAATCGTGCCACTGCACTCCAGCCTGGGTGACAGAGCGAGACTCCATCTCAAAAAAACAAAACAAAACAAAAAGTTGGAAACAACTCAAATGTTCATCAATGGATTAAATATATAAAATACATATAATGGAATATTATTCAGCCTTTAAAAAGGTAGGAAATTCTACAGTATAACATAGATAAACCTTGAGGACTGATATAGTTTAGATATTTGTCCCACTCAGATCTCATGTTGAAATGTAACCTCCCACCAAAAAAGAAATGAGATCCCTAATGTTGGAGGTGGGGCCTGGTGGGAGGTGATTAGATTATGAAAACAGTTTATCATGAATGCTTTAGCACCATCCTCTTGGTGCTATCTGTGACAGAGAGTGAATTCTCCTGAGATCTGGTTGTTTAAAAGTGTGTGGCACCTCTCCTCCCTCTCTCGCTCTCTCTCTCTTTCACTCCTGCTTTCTCCCTGTGATGTGCCTGCTCCCCCTTTGCCTTCCAGATGATTGGAAGCTTCCTGAGGCCTCCCCCGAAGCAGAGGCTGCCATACTTCCTGTACAGCCTGCAGAACCATGAGCCAGACAAATCTCTTTTCTTACGACTTACGCAGTCTCAGGTATTTCTTTATAGCAATGCAAGAATGGCCTAATACAAGGACATTATGCTAGGTGGAATAAGCCAGTCACACACACACACACACACACAACACCAATACTGTATGATTTTTTTTATATGAGGTACTAGAGTAGTCAAAATCATAGAGACAGAAAGTAGAATGATGGTGGCCAGGAACGGGCAGGAAAATGAAGGAAAGTTAGTGTTTAAGAGAGTCCAATTTGGGAAGATGAAAATGTTCTGGAGTGGATGGTAGTGATGCTTGCACAACATCATAAATGTACTTTATTTTATTTATTTTATTATATTTTTTTGAGATAGTCTTTTCTCTGTCGCCCAGCCTGCAGCACAAAGGTGCAATCTTAGCTCACTGCAACCTGTGCCTCCTGGGTTCAAAACATATGCCTGTCTCAGCCTCCTGAGTAGCTGGGATGACAGGCGCATGCCACCATGCCTGGCTAGTTTTTTGTGGGGTTTTTTTTTTTTTTTTGTATTTTAATAGAGATGAGGTTTCACTGTGTTGCCCAGGCTGGTCTCGAACTCCTGAACTCAGGCAATCCACCTGTCTCAGCCTTCCAAAGTGCTAGGATTACAGGCGTGAGCCACTGCGCCCAGTGTGTTTGTTTATTTATTTATTTATTTATTTATTGAGATGGAGTCTCACTCTGTCACCCATGCTGGAGTGCAGTAGCACAATCTTGGCTCACTGCAACCTCCACCTCCCATGTTTAAGAAACTCTCTTGTCTCAGCCTCCCGAGTAGCTGTGACTACAGGCACACACCACCATACCTGGCTAATTTTTGCATTTTTAGTAGAGACGGGGTTTCGCCATTTTGATCAGGCTGGTCTTGAACTCCTGACCTCAGGTGATCTGCCTGCCTCAGCCTCCCAAAGTGCTGGGATTACAAGCTTGAGCCACCGCACCCAGCACTATGTTGTTGTTTTTTTCTTTTTAGATGGAGTCTCGCTCTGTCACCCAGGCTGGAGCGCAGTGGCATAATCTCAGCTCACTGCAACCTCCGCCTCCCAGGTTCAAGCAGTTCTCCTGCCTCAGTCTCCTGAGTAGCTGGGATTACAAGCGCACGCCACCAGGCCTGGCTAAGTTTTGTATTTTTAGTAGAGACAGGTTTCACCATGTTGGTCAGGCTAGTCTTAAACACCAGTCCTCGAGATCGGTCTGCCTCAGCCTCCCAAAGTGCTGGGATTACAGGCATGAGACACCACTGTGCCTGGCCCTTTTTTTTTTTTTTTTTTTTTTTTTTTGAGACAGTTTCACTCTTGTTGCCCAGGCTGGAGTGCAGTGGCAAGATCTCAGCTCACTGCAGCCTCCACCTCCCGGTTCAAGTGATTCTTCTGCCTCAGCCTCCCAAGTAGCTGGGATCACAGGCACGTGCCACCACGCCTGGCTAATTTTTGTATTTTTGGTAGAGACCGGGTTTGACCATGTTGGCCAGGCTGATTTCAAACTCCTGAGCTCAGCTGATTTGCCCACCTTGGCCTCCCAAAGTGCTGGGATTACAGGTGTGAGCCAAAATGCCCAGCCATGAATGTACTTTAAAATGGTTAAAATGCATCCAGCGAAAGTTTGCTATCCAGAATCTGTAAGGAACTTGAAGAATTCAACAAGCGAAAAACAACCTCATTAAAAAGCGGGCAAAGGACATGAACATACGCTTCTCAAATGAAGACATACAAGCAGCCAACAAACATAGGACGAAATGCTCGACATCACTAATCGTCAGAGAAATGCAAATCAAAGCCACAAGGAGATACTATCTCACTCCAGTCAGAATGGCTATTATGAAAAAGTCCAGGGCTGGGCATGGTGGCTCACACCTGTGATCCCAGCACTTTGGGAGGCCGAGGCAGGTGGATCACCTGAGGGCAGGAGTTCGAGACCAGCCTGGTCAACATGGCGAAACAAAGACACACGTACTTATATGTTCATTGCAGCACTATTAACAATAGCAAAGACATGGACACAACTTAGGTGCCCATCAATGGAGGACTGGATAAAGAAAGTGTGGTATATATACACCAGGGAATACTACACACTCATAAAAAATAACAAAATCATGTCCTTTGCAGTGATACGAACACAGCTGGAGGCCATTACGCTAAGTGAATTCATGCAGGAACAGAAAACCAAATACTGCAGTTTCTCACATATAAGCAGAAGCTAAACAAGCACACATAGACATGAAGATCGGAAAAATACACACTGGGGACTACTAGAGGAGGGAGAGAACGAGGAGGGTGAGGGCTGAAAAACTGCCTATTGGTGATTATGCTCACACATGGGTGATGGGATCATTTGTGCCCCAAACCTCAGCATCACACAATATACTCACGTAACCAACTTGCACATGTACCTCTGAATCTAAAATAAAAGTTGAAATTATAAATAAATAAATAATAACATGGTTAAAATGGTAAATTCCTTTTTTTTTTTTTTTTTGAGACAGAGTCTTGCTCTGTTGCCCAGGCTGGAATGCAGTGGCACAATCTCAGCTCACTGGAACCTCTGCCTACCAGGTTCAAGTGATTCTCCTGCCTCAGCCTCCCGAGTAGCTGGGATCACAGGCACCCACCACCCTGCCTGGCTATTTTTTGTATTTTCAGTACAGACAGGGCTTCACCATGTTGGCCAGGCTGGTCTTGAACTCCTGTCCTCAGGCGATCTGCCCACCTTGGCCTCCCAAAGCGCAGGAATTACAGGTGTGAGCCACTGCACCCTGCCTAAAATGATAAATTTCATGTCAAGTATATTTTACCATAATTAAAAAAAATTGATACTACACCAAAGAGTGTTACTTTTAAACAGAACTTTGATGATCTGGGAATATTTTTCTTCTAATTGCAGGTTCAACACTATGTGCAATAAGAGAACAAACGATATTGGAAATCGGGTCTCAAAATAAGCAGAATGTTACTGGGTTTGTCTGTCTTTTTTCACTGTTTCTCCTATTCATCTTCATTTCCATAAAAATACAAACAGAATTCTGCTAATGTTTATTAAACAGTTAATAATTTAAAAACTAGACACTGTGATAACTATGCTCTTCACAAAGCTGACAGATTACAAGGATTCAATAAGACAATACATATAAGGCTAGGCACAGTGGCTCATGCCTAAAATGAGCACTTTGGGAGGCTGAGGTGGGTGGATTGCCTGAGGTCAGGAGTTTGAGACCAACCTGGCCAACATAGCAAAACCCCGTCTCTACTAAAAATACAAGAATTAGCTGGGCAAGGACAGGCGTGGTGGCTCACGTCTGTAATGCCAGCACTTCAGGAGGCTGAGGCAGGTGGATCACCTGAGGTCAGGAGTTCAAGACCAGCCTGCCAATATGGTGAAACTCTATCTCTACTAAAAATACAAAAATTAGCCAGGCGTGGTGGCGGGTGCCTGTAATCCCAGCTACTCAGGAGGCTGAGGCAGGAGAACCCAGGGGGCAGATGTTGCAGTGAACCAAGATCACGCCGCTGCACTCCAGCCTGGGTGACAAAGCGAGACACAGTCTCCAAAAAAATAAATAAATAAATAAATAAATAAATAATAATGAAATAACATGTATAAAGTGCTTTGCACAATTAATTAGGTATTGTTATTTTTATCTCATTTAATTCTCAAAACATTCCTATGACATTGTTATAACAATGTGATTATTATTATCCCCATTCTGCAAGCAAAAAAAAAAAAAAGGCTCAGAGAAGTTAAGTGATTTGTCCACGTTCACACAGCATATGGCAGAGCTGAGGCTAAAAGGCGAGCTGTCAGAGTCCAATGTCTACATGCTTGACCACTGTGCTGAAAACATTTTGCCAAATCTTTGATTTCCTGAGAATATTCTAACCATTGATAAATGTGCACCAAAGCAAGTTTTAATTAATTTTTTAAATTTGAAAATATTATTGGCCAGGTGCAGTGGCTCATACCTGTAATGCTAACACTTTGGAATGCCAAGGAGGGTGGATTGCCTGAGCTCAGGAGTTTCAGACCAGCCCGAACAACATGGCAAAACTCCATCTCTACAAAAAATGTAAAATAAAAAAAAAATAGCCAGGCATGGTGGCACATGCCTATAGTCCCAGCTACTTAGGAGGCTGAGGTGGGAGGATCACTTAAGTCTGGGAGGTGGAGGCTGCTGTGAGCTGTGTTCACACTACTGCACTCCAACCCAGGTGACAGAGTGAGACTTTGTCTCTCTCTATATATAGATATAGATATAGATATATAGATATAGATATGTTATTTACTAGCTCATTACTGTAGTCACACATAGTATATATCACTATCTTCAAAGTATTAAATGATGTATTCAAAATAACATGGTTCCTGGCTGGGTGTGGTGGCTTACGCCTGTAATCCCAACACTTTGGGAAGCTGAGGCGGGGGGAATCACCTGAGGTCAGTTAAAAATACAAAATACAAAAATTAGCCCGGCATGGTGGCGGGCGCCTGTAATCCCAGCTACTCCGGGGAGGCTGAGGCAGGAGAATCGCTTGAATCCGGGAGGCAGAGGTTGTGGTGAGCTGAGATGGCGCCATTGCACTCCAGTCTAGGCAACAAGAGAGAAACTCCGTCTCAAAATAATAATAATAATAACATGGTTGCAAAGTGTATTATTTAAAAGACTCTCCAATCCTATCCTTCCCCAGCCTATCTTTCATGTCCTGCTCCCCAGAGGCAGCCACCCTCAAACCTTATACCTTTTCACCTGGTACTTACCGCCATGCTTCTAAATAAGGAAGTTATACTGCAATTTCTTGACATCAATTTTTTTTTTTGAGACAGAGTCTTGCTCTGTTGCCCTGGCTGGAGCAGTGGTGCAATCTCAGCTCACCGCAACCTCTGCCTCCCAGGCTCAAGTGATTCTCCTGCCTCAGCCTCACAGGTAGCTGGGATTACCAGTTGTGCACCATGCCTGGTCTATTTTCGCTTTTTAGAAATGGGAATATGCTCTTGTTTTTCCATTTATGAATGCACAGTGGATCTAGTTTCAAGCTAGTTTCCCTTTAACTGTTTAATTCCCCTATTGACGTTCATCAAAATTGTTTCAAGTGTTGTCCCCCAAAATTTGCAGAGTACTAACTTCCTTTTGTAGTTTAAGTCCTGGTTACAACAACCTTGAAGAGTGACAGGTCTACCCCTTATTAAATCATCTGGGCCAGGTGCAGTGACTCACACCTATAATCCTAGCATTTTGGGAAGCCAAGTTGGGAGGTTCACTTGAGGCCAGGAGTTCCAGACCAGCCTGGGCAACATAGTGAGACCCTGTCTCTACGACAACTTTTTTAAAAACAGCTAGGTGTGGTGGTGCGTGCCTGTAGTCCCAGCTTCTCAGGAGGCTGAGGTGAAAGGATCACTTGAGCCCAAGAGTTTGAGGCTGCAGTGAGCTATGATTGTGCCACTGCACCCATTGTGACAGTATGGGTGACAGAGCGAGACCCTGTGTCAAACAACAACAACAACAACAACGAAAAAAAACCCATAAGTGCGACAATCTCTCCTATCCCAAATTTTCCCCTTGTCTATTGCCTACAGGATAGATTCAAATCTAAACTGCTTAGCCTAGCATACGAGGTTGTTCAGAATCTGGCCCAAAAAACCTTGCATTGTGACAATCTACACATACATCCAATGACCCACAGGCTCTCTTCACTCAACCTTATTGGTCTTTAGACTTTCAAGTGCATCAGCCTGTCTTGAATCTGGATCTTCCAACACACTCTCCTCTTTGTCTGGATAACTTTCTCTACTCCCTCATCACCAGGCTAAATGCTACTCATTCTTCAAGTCTCCATTGAAATATCACTTCCCCAGGGTCTTCTTTGACTTTCCTTCACCCTTGTCCATGCATCTTCACACTTGTAATTAACTTACTCAATGTCTGTTTTGTCTGCAATTCTCCATGCAGACAAAAGGAGGGTCTGTCTCCTTTACCCGCTATATCCCTAGCGCAATGTGTCACAGTGGGTGGCACATTGCAGATGTCAATAATTTTTTTGCTGAACCAGTGATGCTGAGTGACTCATTGGGAAATTTTACTGCTTCTAGATAATACCCAAGCACGTAGGTGCAGTCACATGTTGAATATTTGGTTCCAATGACAATGATAAGAAAGACACCAATCACTTACCAAAATAAAAGTATTCTAGTTTCTTTCTCAAAAGTGCCTTATACATTTTAAGAGATGCAATTATTTTCTAATATTTATTAATTTATTTATGGCTCTATCATTGTCAACCCATTTATTTTAAATGAGTCTTTTATAATCCAGTCATCTGAAGTAATTGAGATCCAATGTTTATTTCTACTGCCTCTTGCTCATGGTGGAGTGTTCCCTTGTGTGCTTTGTAATTTCAAACATGTAGATCTCTATATGTGGGAATCCCACACATCTAGGCTGAAGCTTTGTCATTTCCAAGTTTGTGTTTAGTTAATTTCTTGGCTTGGGGTTTCCATAGCATAAATTTGAACTCCAAATCTGTGTGAGTATAGTCTTGTTTTCTCATTCTAAAATATTTAATTAACAAATAAAGATTGGCTGGGTGTGGTAGCTCACACTTGTAATCCCAGTACTTTGGGAGGCTGAGGCAGGGGGATCACTTGAGCCTAGGAGTTTCAGACCAGCCTGGGCAATATAGTGAGACCTCGCTTTGTCACCCAGGCTGGAGTGCAATGGCGTGATCTTGGCTCACTGCAACCTCTGCCTCGTGGGTTCAAGCAATTCTCATGCCTCAGCCTCCCAAGTAGCTGGGATTATAGGCATGTGCCACCATGCTTGGCTAATTTTTGTATTTTTAGTAGAGACAGGGTTTTGCCATGTTGGACAGGCTGGTCTTGAACTCCTGGCCTCAAGTGATCCACCCTCCTCGGCCTCCAAAGTGCTGGGATTACAGGCTTGAGCCACTGCGCCCAGGCAAAAAGAAAAAAAAATAAATTAGCTAGGCATAGTGGCAGACACCTGTAGTCTCAGCTACTCAGGAGGCTGAGATGGGAGGATCACCTGAACCCAGGAGGCAGAGGTTGAAGTGAGCTGAGATCTCACCATGGCACTACAATCTGGGTGACAGAGAGAAACCCTGTCTCAAAAAAAAAAAAAAAAAAAAAAGCACAAAAAACAACAAATAAAGATTGTGCATACATATTCAAGGCATACAACATGATGATTTGATGTATGTATACGATATAAAATGATTGTCACAATCAAATTAATTAACACATCCCTCACCCGCCATAGTGCACATTAGATGCCCAGAACGTGCTCAATTTATAACTGAGAGTATAATCGTGACAAATGTAGAGGGGGAGTTTTTTCCACCTAGGACCCAGAATAAGACAGATAAGCTTCCTTGTCATTTCCCCACACTGGGTGGACAGATTTTTACGACCATTTTCCTTAAGGGTGTAACTCTTTGAGGGTCCTTATTTGGGTGGAGGTTGTAGTTCTAGTCCCACCAAAGCCTTGTCCCCTCCCTGTAGGAACTTTTAAAACTCAAACTCCAGCTGGGTGCTGTGGCTCATGCCTGTGATCCTAGCACTTTGGGAGGCCGAGGCGGGCGGATCATGAAGTCAGGAGATTGAGACCATCCTAGCTAACACGGTGAAACCCCATCTCTACTAAAAATACAAAAAAAATTAGCCGGGCATGGTGGCGGGTGCCTGTAGTCCCAGGTACTCGGGAGGCTGAGGCAGGAGACTGGCGTGAACCCGGAAGTTGGAGCTTGCAGTGAACCGAGATTGCGCCACTGCACTACAGCCTGGGTGACAGAGCGAGACTCCTTCTCAAAAAAAAAAAAAACAAAAAACAAAACCCTTCCAACCCCTTTCACCTCCATAAGGACCCAGTTCATCCTCACAGTTCTGTTTTTGTTTGTTTGTTTGCTTGTAGAGACAGAGTCTCCTGTCACCCAGGCTGGCGTGCAGTATTGCAATCATACCTCACTGCAGCCTCAACCTTCTTAGGCTCAAGTGATCCTCCTGCCTCAGCCTCCTGAAAGCTGAGACTAGTTTTTTTAAAAATGTTTTTGTAGAGACAGGGTCTGGCTATGTTGCCCAGGCTGGTCTTGAACTCCTGGGCCAAGAGATCCTCCCAGCCCTGCCTCCCAAAGTGCCAGCATTACAGGCATGAACTACCACACCCAACCCAAGTCTGGTTTTCACATCCTCTTTTTCTGATTCCTGAGGATTATCCCCATTTTCTGGCATTTAAGAGTGTGTTTGCTATATCTGGCCGGGCATGGTGGCTCACACCTGTAATCCCAGCACTTTGGGAGGCCGAGGTGGGTGGATCATTTGAGGTCAGGAGTTCGAGACCAGCCTGGCCAACATGATGAAACCCCATCTCTACTAAAAATACAAAAATTACCCAGGGGTGGTGGTGCGCACCTGTAATCCCAGCTACTAGGGAGGCTGACGCAGGAGAACTGCTTGAACCTGGGAGGTGGACGCTGCAGTGAGCCCAGATCACACCACTGCACTCCAGCCTGGGTGACAGAGCAAGACTCCATCTCAAAAAAAAAAAAAAATGTGTTTGCTCTATCTTATCCAGCATTTCTAGATGATTATTGGTATGAAAGTTTTTAGATTATCTGGCTCAAAATATTGCCAAAAATAGAAACCCAGTAGACTAATTTTTAGGCTTTTCCTCATTCGTGTTCAGGAGTCTATTTTTATAAAAAGTCACTTTGTTCCCCTCTTATTTTTTATATATTTACCACTTTTCTCTTCTTATATTTACAAGTTACATTACAGAACGAAATGCCCTATGCTAATCATATTCCTCGTATAAACTATTCTTTCTTCCCCCTTAGTATTTGGTTATCATTACTGGTTTTATTTCATCTCTTTTCCTAACAATGCTTTTATGTAATTTCCAGTAAACAGACACCTAATATAGCTAGTATTTGATCTGCTAAAATTGCCTTTTTTCAAAGAAAATACTATCCCAATCTTGCACGTTAAAAAAATACATACATTGGCTGAACACAGTGGTTCACGCCTGTAATCCCAGCACTTTGGGAGGCCGAGGCGGGTGGATCACCTGAGGTCAGGAGTTCGAGACCAGCCTGACCAACATGGTGAAACACTGTCTCTACCAAATACAAAAAAATCAGCCAGGCGTGGTGGTGTATGCCTATAATCCCTACTTGGGAGGCTGAGGCAAGAGAATCGCTTGAACGTGGGAGGCAGAGGTTGCAGTGAGCCGAGATTGCACCATTGCACTCCAGCCTGGGCAACTGAGCGAGACCCCATCTCAAAAAAATATATATATATATATTGTTGTCAACAAAACTGCTAGTGGTATTTCCATAATACCATTGGCAAAATGCTGGCAAACTTGGTAGCACAAGGTAGCTAAGTTTTTAAAAATTCAATACCAGTATTGCAAGTCATATTTATAATTCTTTTTAATTTTATTTTTTGAGGTAGAGTTTCATATGTCGCCCAGGCACGATCTCGGTTCACTGCAGCCTCCCAGTCCAGGGTTCAAGCAATTCCCCTGCCTCAGCCTCCCGAGTAGCTGGTATTACAGGCATGCACCACCATGCCCGGCTAATTTTTGTATTTTTAGTAGAGATTGGGTTTCGACACGTTTCCCAGGCTGGTCTGGAACTCCTGGCCTCAAGAGATCCACCCACCTCAGCCTCCCAAAGTGCTGAGATTACAGGCGTGAGCCACCGCACCAGGCCACAAGTCATATTTATAATTCTAATGAAAATTTTGACTTGCTTAAAACTTCCTTTTGGGCCCAGATAAGTTAAGTTTCTTTTGCTCTTAGATCTAAGAATGTATGCATATAAATATTTCTATTGTTATACAAGTATATCAGGTGTACTTCATATAGATCATATTTGCAGTCTAGGAGTGCCATAGTAGGGCACCCAGTTATTAATACTGCACATTCTTACACATAGCTTACTTGGAATTTCTCATTTACATGACACCAAGTGAAAATTAGTTAAGTACTGCAGTGACTGCTTTTGTTACTGCTATCATCAAAGTCACACATTAACTAACTTACAAAGAAATCACTCTTCATGACAGAAACACTTGCAGCTGAAACAGTTTGTAAATGCATCTATAAAGCTTTTTCAAAAGGACCTTAAAAAAAAGTTCTTATATTATGTCAGCTTGGGTCAATTAACATTCTACATTCTACCTGCTTCATATATATAGAGAGAGAGTCTCGCTTTGCCGCCCAGGCTGGAGTGCAGTGGTGCAATCTCAGCTCACTGCAACCTCCACCTCCAGGGTTCAAGCAATTCTCATGCCTCAGCCTTCCGAGTAGCTGGGTTTATAGGCATGTGCCACTATCCCTGGCTAATTTTTGTATTTTTAGTAGAGACGGGGTTTCACCATGTTGCCCAGGCTGATCTCGAATTCCTGACCTCCAGTGATCTGCCCGCCTCGGCCTCGCAAAGTGCGGGGACTACGGGAGTGAGCCACCTCACCTGGCCACCTACCTGCCTTTTTTTCTCAACCTCCAAAAACTTTTAAGAGTTTGTAAATCCCAATTTTAAGGATTTAGAAAATTGTCATTTTAATAAGTCATCTATTGCTGCATAACAGACCACATTTAAAGATAATGGTTTAAAAATAAAAATTAATTTATGTTATTTTATAGGGACAGGGTATTTCTCTGTTATCCAGGCTGGAGTGCAGTGGTTCAATCACAGCTCACTCCAGACTCTAACTCATGGCCTCAAGTGATCATCCCACCTCAGCCTTCCAAGTAGCTGGGAACTACAGGGATGCCACTATGCCTGGCTAATTTTTGTTACTTTTGTAGGGACAGGGTCTCACTATGTTGCCCAGGCTGGAACAACTGTTTTATTTGCTCATAAGTCTGTGGGTCTGGGACTCTGGCTGAGCTCAGAGGGGCAGTTCTGTATTGATATGGTTTGGCTGTGTCCCCACCTAAATCTCATCTTGAATTGTAACTCTCATAATTCCCACAGGTTGTGGGAGGGACCCAGTGGGAGATAACTGAATCATGGGGGCGGTTTCCCCTGTACTGTTCTTGTGGTAGTGAATAAGTCTCACAAGATCTGATGGTTTTATAAGGGGAAACCCCTTTTGCTTGGTTCTCATTCTCTCTCTTGCCTGCAGCCATATAAGATGTGCCTTTGCTCCTCCTTGCCTTCCACCATGATTGTGAGTCCATGTGGAACTGTGAGTCCCTTAAACCTCTTTCCTTTATGAATTACCCAGTCTCTAGTATGTCTTTATCAGCAGTATGAGAACAGACTAATACATGTGTTCCACGTGGTGTCAGCTCTAGTGGCTTCCTGTGGGGCTGGCAGATCCAAGATGGCCTCACACGGCTGTCACTTCAGCTGAATTGGCTCCAACGACTGGGCACTGGTGAGGATAGCTGGGCTTCTTTTCCTGTGGAGTTGGCTGGACTTCCTCATGAGTGTGGGGCCTGGGTTCTGGCTGTTATCTGGGTTCCTCGGGTCCCCTTTACTTCACCTCTTTCCCCAGTAGGATGGCATGGGTGTTCTCACAGGGCAGACGGTATTCCCTAGAGTTACAGTAGAAACTTCCAGACCTCAGCTTGGAAGTCCCAGAACAGCAACAGCATTTTCACTGCAATCCATTAGCCAAAGCAAGTCAAAGGCCGGCCCAGATTCAAGGATTGAGGAAAAAGATTCCACTTCTTGAGAGAAAAAGCTGCACGCACCCACTGGGATAAAGGAATTGTTGGCGGCCATCTTTGCAGACCAATCTACCACAGTCACTTTCCCCCAGTAAGACAGCAGCCATTCTATTAAAAAGTTGCTACCAATCAAAGGGGATGTTTATTAACTATAGTTTAGTACTAGTATTAGGGTAGTTCGTAGTACTTTTTTTTTTTTTTTTTGAGACAGAGTTTCACTCTTTCGCCCAGGCTGTAGTGCAGTGGCACGATCTCAGCTCACTTCAACCTCTGCCCCCCAGGTTCAAGTGATTCTCCTGACTCAGCCTCCTGAGTAGCTGGGATTATAGGTGCCCAGCACCACACTGGTCTAATTTTTTTTTTTTTTTTTTGTATTTTTGGTAGCGACGGGGTTTCACCATGTTGGCCAAGCTGGTCTGGAACTCCTGACCTCAGGTGATCCACGCACCTCAGCCTCCCAGAGTGCTAGGATTACAGGCGTAAGCCATCACGCCTGGCCAGTTTATAGTACTTTGACTAAAGACGTCAAGGTACTTTCCCAATAAAAATGTATTTAGGGCGGTGTTTGAATGTCACTGTTATTTTTTAACACTTACAATTTTAAGTGAGAAAGAGCAATCTCACTTAATTAACGTTAAAGCTTAAGCTAAATTCTCCCAGTCTTTAGGATCTGAGGGGTTACCTTTAGTTTATTACCTCTGTGTGTGTCTTCTGCCTGGTGGTCACTTAGGAGTATGGAAGACATGAATAAATTATCTTGTTTTGTTTGTTTGTTTGTTTGTTGAGACAGGGTCTCGCTCTGTTGCCCAGGCTGGAGTTCAATCACAGCTTACTGCAGCATTGACCTCCTGAGCTCAAGCATTCCTCCTGCCTCTGCCTCCCGAGTAGCTAAGACCACAGGCATGCACCACCACGCCTGGCTAATTTTTAATTTTTTGTAGAGATGGGGTTTCACCTTGTTGCTCAGGCTTACCTGGAACTCCTGGGCCCAAGCCCTCCTCCCGCCTTGGCCTCCCAAAGTGCTAGGATTACAGGCGTGAGCCACCATGCCCAGCCTTGTTTTCTCATTCTCATAATACCATATTGCAGACTTGGAATAACTTTCTAATCCTACTAATTGTTTTTAAAGAAAAAACACGATTTTGATTTCGCAAATTTTATCACACCAAGTTCCCCACATTTGGGTACACCAAGATCTTACCATTGAAACCCTTCCTGGTGTTAAGCAGATGGATAATTTTGAAATATGTATGTATGGAATTAAAGTTCTGTGACTATCCAAATATGACAACTTCTTCCATGGCATTTGGAATTATGCAATAGAAAATGTTTTCAGTGATGCCCTTTTATGTGTTAATTTTGCCAAATTTATTCTCAATTATAATTTCAAATCACCTGAGCAACAGAAGAAAACTAGAAGTTGTATCAAAACCAAGAACTTATTTGAGTTTAGCATTAAGGACAGATTTTTAATTAATTGGCTCAAACTGACGATAACCCATATTCAACAAGCCAGTTCTGGTTGACATTTCCCAAAATATGACATATTGAATATGTTATTTTTGTCCAATATCTCTTAAATTAAGAAAAAAACTAAAGCAGAGGATATAAAATGATTTACTCTCATGTGACTCAGGAAACTTTAGTTACTCTTTTAAGAAAGAAATTTGCTTTTGTTAAAATTTGTACTTTAAATGATCTTTAAATTTCAAGTCCTAATAAACAAAAACTAGCTGAGTGTGGTGATATGTGCCTGTAGTCCCAGCTACTAGAGAGGCTGAGGTGGGAGGATGGAGCAAGACTGGGGGATGGTGCCACCACTGCACTCCAGCCTGGGCAACAGAGCAAGACCCTGTCACAAAACAAAACAAAACAAGAAAAACAAATGTTTTTCAAGCCTTTTTCATGACACAATTGTCCAATCTTCATATTAGTGAATGTGCCAGATATTTTAATTTCCTGCAGATCTGCCAAGTTTCTTCAGTTCAGAGCAAGACTTACTCTAAGGTGCTTCTCATTTAAAAGAATAATCTTAAAGCATTTTAAAAAATATATTTTGATAGTCTATATTTGAACCACAAAAAATATCTTCAAGCTTAAAAATTCTCCTCCATATTGACTTGGGGCAAACTTGGTGCCTCAATTTTGTTTTCTTTTCT
Source organism: Homo sapiens (assembly GCF_000001405.40). Lineage (NCBI taxonomy): Eukaryota > Metazoa > Chordata > Mammalia > Primates > Hominidae > Homo > Homo sapiens. Next base: position 118,002,726 of record NC_000012.12, read on the forward strand.
TTAGTATTATTATTATTATTATTATTATTATTATTATTATTATTATTATTCTAATAGAGATGAAATTTTGCCTTGTGGCCCAGGCTGGTCTTGAACTCCTGGGCTCAAGCAATTCACCTGCATTGGCCTCCCAAAATCTGGGATTACAGGTATGCAGCACCATGCCTGGCCCAATTTTCTTTTCTTTTCTTTTTTTTTTGAGAGGGAATCTTGCTCTGTCACCCAGGCTGGAGTGCAATGGTATGATCTCAGCTCACTGCAACCTTCACCTCCTGGGTTTCAGTGATTCTCCTGCTGCAGCCTCCCGAGTAGCTGGGATTACAGGCATGTGCCACCACGCCCGGCTAATTTTTGTATTTTTAGTAGAGGTGGGGTTTCACCATGTTGGCCAGACTGGTCTCGAACTCCTGACCTCAGGTAATCTGCCTGCCTTGGCCTCCCAAAGTGCTGGGATTGCAGGCATTAGCTACTGCGGCCTGGCCCAATTTTCAATGCTTACTCTCTTGCTGTAATTTTCAGCATTGCATTTATTTAAAATGTACATTTTAGGGGCCACGTGTGATGGCTCATGCCTGTAATCCCAGCACTTTGGGAGGCTGAGGCGGGGGGGATCACTTGAGGTCAGTAGTTCAAGACCAGCCTGGCCAACACGTTGAAACCCCATCTCTACTGATAAATACAAAAATTAGCCAGGTGTGGTGGTGCACATTTGTAATCCCAGCTACTTGGGAGGCTGAGGCAGGAGGATCGCTTGAACCTGGGAGACAGAGGTTACGGTGAGCCAAGATTGCACCATTGCACTCCAGCCTGGATGACAGAGACAGACTCCATCTCAAAAAAATAAAAATTAAAAATTAAAATATGCACTTTAAAAATCACATTGCCTGGCCAGGTGCAGTGGCTCACAACTGTAATGCCAGCACTTTGGGAGGCTGAGGCAGGTGGATCTCTTGAGCCCAGGAGTTCAAGACCAGCCTGGGCAATATGGTGAAACCCTGTCTCTACAAAAAATACCAAAATATTAGCCGGGCATGGTGGCATGTACCTGTGGTCCCAGTTACTCGAGAGGCTGAGGTGAAAGGATTGCTTGAGGCCAGGAGGCAGAGGCTACAGTGAGCTGAAATAGAGCCACTGCACTCCAGCCTGGACAAGAGTGATACCCTGTCAAAAAAAAAAAAAGCCATTAAACTTGGGCCAAATGCTTTGAAAGAGTGAGTTTAGAGGAACTGGAGGAATGGGATAAAATGTCTATAAACAGCCATTCTTTGTGTAGCATCTACTATATAACAAAATGTTGTGTAACTCTGCCATGCAACATAAATAATGCTACTGATTTGCATTTTCTTATTACTTGGCATTCTCAAATGAATTCTACAGTCTTTTGCCAATATTAAGGTCTATTTCTCACTTCCTTACATCCCCAGGGTCCCTAGTATGATGGCAGAGGGGCAATAAACTGTCCCCTTGTTGTGCACACAGAGCTTACAATAGGTATGCACCCAATTGCTTTTTCATCTCTGCATTTTCTTTTTTAATTTACTTGCTTTTTTTTTTTTTTTTTGAGATGGAGTCTCACTCTGTCACCCAGGCTGGGGTGCAATGGCATGATTTTGGCTCACTGCAACCTCTGCCTCCCAGGTTCCAGTGATTCTTCCGCCCCAGCCTCCTGAGTAGCTGGGATTACAGGCACCCGCCATCATGCCTGGCTAATTTTTTGTATTTTTGTAGAGACAGGGTTTCACCACGTTGGCCAGGCTGGTCTTGAACTCCTGACCTCAGGTGATCCGCCTGCCTTGGCCTCCCAAAGTGCTGGGATTACAGGCGTGAGCCACCGTGCCCAGCCCATCTCCGCATTTTTAATGTCACAAACCCAAAAGCTGTGTGGTCTCAGGCTGGACCACTGCCAAACATGGCTAGGATAATGTAAGTACTTTGACCACATCCTTATTAACACCTTTTTATCTTTCTCAGTCCCCACGACTTTGGGGTTTCTAGCCTAGGGAAATTACACGGGATTCCATGTAGGGAGAAAAAGGGAAAATTTCAAAATAAATCTTTTTTAAATTTTACCAGCCTAGAGGGACTATTATTAGTGTGACAGAATAACATGGTTGAGAAATTAACTAGACTTATTAATATTTACTGCTGCAGACTCAATACAAAAGACTAAGGAGGATTTCTTCCCCACAAGCGATTAAGCCTTAGAGTTCTGGAATATTGGGCTTGCCTCGTCCAGGGGAACTTGAAAGCCTAGAAACTTTGGGACTTAAATTTGAATTGTCAAAACGCCAGGCCCTTCAAGGGGAGGAGGTGAGAGTGTTGTATGAGAGCAGAGTGGCCCAAGTCCCTGAAGAATTCACAGTGAGGGTGTAGAACAGGCTTGAGAGGCAGGACAGTGGGATAGAGATATCAAGTTGGTGCAAAAGTAATTGTGGTTTTTGCCAATGGCAAAAACTTGATACAATGCAGTGGTATCTGGGGCTTGGCAACTGAAGTGTGCTTACCAATTGCCTGGAGACCTTGTTACAATGGAGATTTGGATTCAGGAGGTCAGGAGTGGAGCCAGAGACTGCACTTCTAAGAAGCTCCCAGGTTGTGTGAAGGCTGCTGCTCCCTGGACCTTGCTTTGAGTAACAAGAGTGCAGATCACATCCTGTCTTCATAGATTAATACTTCTCTTGGAGGAAAAGGAGGGGAGAGGTGATAAGAAGGACTTTGAAGGACGAGCACAGGGAAGTTTAAACCCCAAACTCTTGTGGCACTGGGTGCAATGAAAAATGTTCTGGGTGGCTAAGTTGTACACTGAGAAAACCAACACTATTACCCACAGATCTGCTGATCTTCAAGGGAATCGTTTCATCCTGCACAAAGAGCATCTATTACAACAGATGATATAAAGAATTGAAGACCTATAATCCCAGCACTTTGGGAGGCCAGGGCAGGTGGATCACCTGAGGTCAGGAGTTCAAGACCAGCCTGGCCAATATGGTGAAACCCTGTCTCTACTAAAAATACAAAAAAAATAGCCAGGCGTAGTGGTGGATGCCTGTAATCCCAGCTACTCAGGAGGCTAAGGCAGGAGAATTGCTTGAACCTTGGAGGCAAAGGATGCAGTGAGTCGAGATCATACCATTGCATCCCAACCTGGGCAACAAGAGCGAAACTCCATCACACACACAAAAAAAAGAATTGAAGACCAACTGGGCCCAGTGGCTCATGCCTGTGATCCCAGCACTTTGAGAGGCCAAGGCGGGAGGATTACTTGAGCCCAGAGTTCAAAACCAGCCTGGGCAACATGGTGAGACCCCATCTGTACAAAAAATTTAAAAGGCCGGGCGCGGTGGCTCACGCCTGTAATCCCAGCACTTTGGGAGGCTGAGGCGGGCAGATCACAAGGTCAAGAGATTGAGACCATCCTGGCTAACACAGTGAAACCCCGTCTCTACTAAAAATACAAAAAAAATTAGCTGGGTGTGATGGCAGGCACCTGTAGTCCCAGCTACTCGGGAGGCTGAGGCAGGAGAATGGCGTGAACCCAGGAGGTGGAGCTTGCAATGAGCCGACATCGCGTCACTGCACTCCAGCCTGGGCCACAGAGTGAGATTCCGTCTCAAAAAAAAATAAAAATAAAAAAATATTTTAAAAATTAGCTGGGCATGGTGGCACATGCCTGTAATCACAGCTACTCGGGAGGCTGAGGCGAGAGGATCACCTGAGCCCAAGGAGGTCGAGGCTACAGGGAGCCATGATCAGGGCACTGCACTCCAGCCTGAGTGACAGAGCGAGACTCTGAATCAAAATAAATAAATAAATCGAAGACAGCTGGGCACAGTGGCTCACACCTGTCATCCCAGCACTTTAGGAGGTCAAGGCAAGAGGATCACTTGAGCCCAGGAGTTCAAGACCAGCCTTGACAACATAGTGAGACCCCATCTCTACAAAAAATTTAAAAATTAGCCAGGTGTGGCGGCACATGCCTGTAGTCTCAGCTACGCCAGAGGCTGAGGCAGGAGGATCACTTGAGCCTAGGAGGTTGAGCCTGCAGTGAGCCGTGATTGCACCATTGCATTCTATCCTGGGCAACAGAGTGAGATGCTATCACTAAACTTTAAAAATAATAATAATAATAATAAAAGAATTGAAGACCAAAAGCCTTTCTCCAAATTTTCTGGCCTATTTCCACAACCTCCTAGGCATCTTGAATGGCCCCAGGGAAGGGAAGAAACCCAACCCGTCATTCCCAACAGAATCAATTTCCAAAATACCTTAGCTTGAGAGGGCAACAGTGAAGGACATTAAGCCGGATACATTTAACTGAGAAAAACAATGAAATGTGAATTTTCTTGAGCCCCAGTATATGGAGCAAATTCATATGAGTTAACCCTTCCAATCTGAAAATTAGAATCAGATTCAGGACATGGTAAATAACCATCTATTAGTTACTTAATCAACACATGTTAGAGGATGATGAACAAGAGAAAGTTTCTGACAAGAGAAAGTAGTTGGGGGAAAGAGGACCTCAGGTCTTTGAGTCCTGATCAGTCAGTCTAGGGTTTTGCCGTGGTCATCGAAGACAATGGATTTTCCCGTTATACACACTCTTCAAATTGCCCTTTGAGATGTTTTTCTCCTTCAAGTCCTCCCTGTTTATTTAAACATGATTTCACCAGTATAAACACATTCAGGAGAAAGACCCAGTTTGATTTTCTTCTGCCAGCATCTTCCAAAGATAGCCTTGAATTCCATTCTCATAAGAAGAAGTCTTAAAAATAAACAAAGGCGGCCAGGCACGGTGGCTGTAATCCCAGCACTTTGGGAAGCCGAGGCGGGCAGATCACTCCAGGTCAGGAGTTCGAGACCAGCCTGGCCAACACGGTGAAACCTCATCTCTACTAAAAATACAAAAATTAGCCAGGTGTGGTGGTGGGCACCTGTAATTCCAACTACACGGGAGGCTGAGGCAGGAGAATTGCTTGAACCCGGGAGGCAGAGGTTGCAGGAAGCCAAGATTGCGCCACTGCACTCCAGCCTGGGTAACAGAGCAAGACTCTATCTCAAAAAAAAAAAACTAAATAAATAAAATAAACAAAGGCAGTAAGTGCTTTGTCCAAACCCAAGTTTCTTCCAAAGCTGAGAGTAGTGAAATCCTGGGCTCCCTTTCTCTAATCCAATACTAAGAGCAAATGCCTTGTGTTGGTAATTTTGCTTGTAATGTATGATCCTGCCATCTCCAGGACTTGATGTTTTATTAAACTGTTTCCAAATCTGATGGTGATTATATAAGAAAAGTTTGTACTTGTGCTCATTAATGTTACAATTCACACAGATATATCACCTTTACTTGCCAGTAATGCCCCAGAAGGGCTAAACCACAGGCAGAAGGGGAAAGTAAAAAGAAATGACTACATCTTTGCCTGATCATCTGTCCTGACAAATTGGAAGTCACAAAGTGATCCGTATAGTGTTTGTGCCTGGCCAGCAGTTTGTTTTTAATTAGTTGCCAACATTTAATATAGAAGGATTTCATATAAAATCCAAATTTCACCCAGGCACCATGGCTCACACCTGTAGTCATGATGCTTTGAGAGGCCAAAGCGGGCGGATTACTTGGGCTCAGGAGTTCAACACCAGCCTGGGAAACATAGCGAGACCCCATCTCTACCAAAAAAATTTTTTAATTAGCAGGGTGTGATGGTGCATGCCTATAGTCCCAGCCACTCAGGAGGCTGACGGGGGAGGATTGCTTGAGCCCAGGAGTTCAAGGCTTCAGTGAGCTAGGATTCCATCACCCCACTCCAGCCTGGGCCACAGAGACCCTGTCTCTAAAATAATAAATAGGCTTGGTGAGGTGGCTCATGCCTGTATTCCCAGCACTTTGGGAGCCCGAGGCAGGAGGACTGCTTGAATCCAGGAGTTCGAGACCAGTTTTGAGACCCTGTCTCAAAAATAAAATAAGATAAAATCCAAATTTCTGATTTTGCTTGAAAAATCCGAAGAACTGGCAACATTTGACTATAATCCCTCATGGCGGAATACTGGTGTGATAAACACCTGTGATACCTTTGGTCACCAGCTTTTGAACCCCTCTCCTTTATTCAAGGATGTCCCCAATTCACAAGTCTTGGTGGGAGGCAGATGTCATTTCCCACTGTTCGAACAATATACCCGATACTTACCAGCATGCACCAGGCTTGGCCAATTAAGCGTGTCTCCCAGGCTTATAAATGGGGTGCTAATTTTAGGAAGAATCCAGGACAAGAAAGAATTGTTGAATTATTTCTGGCAGTGGATGGTGAAAGCAAAATCCAGTTTCTAGGAACAGCGAGGGCGGTAGGGGCAGTGGTATTCCATGGTTGGCAGCAGCAACAGTTTCTTAACTGGCTGGATTTGGTGGAGTAATTTTGATCATGGTTTCAGTTGCACAGCCTGTCTGCCCCATTTTCCAAGCTCAGTACTCCAGCCTCGTATAATAGTGATTATATGGCCGGGTGCGGTGGCTCATGCATGTAATTCCAGCACTTTGTGAGGCCAAGGCGGGCGGATCCTCTGAAGTTAGGAGTTCAAGACCAGCCTGGCCAATGTGACAAAACCCCGTCACTACTAAAAATACAAATAAATAAAAAAATAAAAATAAAAATAAGAATTAGCTGGGTGTGGTGGCGGGCGTCTGTAGTCCCAGCTACCCAGGAAGCTGAGGCAGGAGAATTGCTTGAACCTGGGAGGCGGAGGTTGCAGTGAGCCGAGATCGCGCCACTGCACTCCAGCCTGGGTGACAGAGTGAGACTCCGTCTCAAAAAAAGTGCTTATACAAGCTATCCAACATTTCATTATTACATTCCCCATCTGCTTAAATCTTATATTTAAAACTTCAGCCCCTGGCCAGGTGCGGTGGCTCATGCCTGTATTCCCAACACTTTGGGAGGCCGAGGCGGGTGGATCACGAGGTCAGGAGATCAAGACCATCCTGGCTAACACGGTGAAACCCCGTCTCTACTAAAAATACAAAAAAATTAGCCGGGCGTGGTGGCGGGCGCCTGTAGTCCCAGCTACTCGGGAGGCTGAGGCAGGAGAATGGCGTGAACCCGGGAGGCGGAGCTTGCAGTGAGCCGAGATCGCGCCACTGCACTCTAGCCTGGGTGACAGAGCGAGACTCTGTCTCAAAAAAAAAAAAAAAAAAAAAAAAAAAAAAACTTCAACCCCCTTGAGGCACGCCATAGTTTCCACCCAACCCTCTAGAGTCCTTTATAGATTAACTTCCAGGCTACTTAGAGACATGTGAGTTTGCAACTCCAGTCTTTCTCTCTCTTTCTCTTTACAGTGAAAGCATTTTGGTACTTACAAAGTAAAGACTACCTAGTGCAAGAATCAGCAAAGTTATGAGAAAAAGCTTCCCGAAAGCCCCTCCCATCATTTCATCTTACATCAAAATTGGGCAGAACTGAGTCACATGCACATCTCTTAAGCCAATCACGAGCAAGAGGTCCAGGATGGCTGTGATTGGCTTTATTTAGCACAGTAGTTCCACTTTGGCTGAATATTATAATCACCTGAGAAGCCTCTTTAAAATGCCAGACCGGGTGCAGTGGCTCACACCTGTAATCCCAGCACTTTGGGAGGCCGAGGCAGGCGGATCACCTGAGGTCAGGAGTTCGAGACCAGCCTGATCAACATGGAGAAACCCTGTCTCTACTAAAAATGCAAAATTAGCCGGGCGTGGTGGTGCATGCCTGTAATCCCAACTACTCGGGAGGCTGAGGCAGGAGAATCGCTTGAACCTAGGAGGTGGAGGTTGCGGTGAGCCGAGATTGTGCCATTGCACTCCAGCCTGGGCAACAAGAGCAAAAACTCTGTCTCAAAAAAAAAAAAAAAAAAAAGAAAAATAAATAAAATGCCAGTGGAGGCTGGGCGTGGTGGCTCACTCCTGCAATCCCAGCAATTTGGGAGGCCGAGGTGGGCAGATCACCTGAGGTCAGGAGTTCAAGACCAGCCTGGCCAACATGGTGAAGCCCCAGCTCTACTAAAAATACAAAAAAATTAGCCATGCGTGGTAGCCGGCACCTATAATCCCAGCTATTCGGGAGGCTGAGGCAGGAGAATCACTTGAACCTGGGAGGCGTAGGTTGCAGTGAGCCGAGATCACTCCACTACACTCCAGCCTGGGAGACAGAGCAAGACTCCATCTCCAAAAATTAAATTAAAAATAAATAAATAAATAAATAAAATGTCAGCGGAGGGTCCCGCTTCCAGAGGCCAAGTTTAATTGGTCTTGCTGAACTTCTGATAATGGAATTTTTTAATAAAGTTCTCCAGGTGCTTTTAGTGTCAGCCTGGGCTAAAAGTCACTGAGCTAGTCCAGTCCCTACCCCTGCCCATTTTACAGATGTGAATACTGAGGTCCAAAGACAAGTTAAGTAACTTGCTCAAAGGGCTATATCTTTAATTAATAGCAAAAACAGAAATAAGCAAAACCACACACACAAATGACATCTAGTAGGAAAACTTGGCTAAGCGCTGTGGCTCATGCTTTTAATCTCAGCACTTTGGGAGGCCAAAGCAGGAGGATCCCTTGAGGGTAGGCGTTTGAGAGCAGCCCTGGCAATGCAGTGAGACTCCATCTCTACAAAAAAAAATTTTTTTTAAATCATAATAATACTAGAACAACTTTGTTTTTCCACAATAGACATGTGAGTACTGTTAAATAAAATTTATGGTATGAACCTGACAAGTTTTCAGAAAATAAAACTTAAAAATTAAATAAAACTTATGAGAGGCATTGTTTGGACTAAGTTCCTGCACTAGGCCTTGATAGACCAGACCAAACCAAAATGGAGTCACCTACGCTAACCGCCATGCAATCAAATGGAACTTTAAAATGGGCCAGTTTTCAACCGGGCACAGTGGCTTATGCCTGTAATCCCAGCACTTTGGGAGGCCAAGGCAGGTGGACCACTTAAGGCCAAGGCAGGTGAACCACAGGAGTTCAAGACCATTGTGGCCAACATGGTAAAACACCCACTCTACCAAATTACAAAAATTAGCTGGGTGAGGTGCCAGGCGCCTGTAATCCCAACTGCTAGGGAAGCTGAGGCAGGAGAATCACTTGAACCCAGGAGGCAGAGGCTTCAGTGAACCGAGGTTGCACCACTGCACTCCAGCCTGGATGACAAAGCAAGACTCCATCTCAAAAAAAAAAGAAAGAAAGAAAAAGGCCAGTATTCAAAAAACCAGATTTACAGCAACCAATCCAAAAGGGCCTAGTCAAGTTGAACAAGCATAACAATGTCTCCTCTGCTTTAATCTTATAAGGAAAGTAGCTTTGAAATGATCAGTTCACTTTCTAGCCTGTGTTTCTGCCTTCTTTAGTTCTTCTGCATACAAAACCCATCCCTTGCTCAGCTCGCTGGAGCACCTTTCTGTTTTACAGATGGGATGCTGCCCAATTCATGAATTGAAAATAAAAGATGGCTGGGCACGGTGGCTCATGCCTGTAATCTCAGCACTTTGGGAGGCTGAGGTGGGTGGATCAACGGAGGTCAGGAGTTTGAGACCAGCCTGCCCAATATGGGGAAACCCTGTGTCTACTAAAAATACAAAAAATTAGCCAGGCATGGTGGCAGGCACCTGTAGTCCCAGCTACTCAGGAGGCTGAGGCCGGAGAATCGCTTGAACCTGGGAGGCAGAAGTTGCAGTGAGCCAAGATTGCCCAACTGCACTCCAGCCTGGGCAACAAGAGTGAAACTCCATCTCAAAAAAAAAAAAAAAAAAAAAAAGCAGAAAATAACAGACAATGAGATCATTAAATTCAATTTGATAAAATTTTGTTTTTAGACAGCATCCATTGTGTTTCTTAGAAAGTGAAGTCCTGCGGCTGGGTGCAGTGGTTCATGCTTGTAATCCCAGTATGAGCCACTTTGGGAGGCAAAGGTGGGTGGATTATTTGAGCCCAGGTGTTCAAGACCAGCCTGGGAAACATGGCAAAACCCTGTCTCTACAAAAAATACAAAAACTAGCCGGGCGTTGTGGCATGCGCCCACATTCCCAGCTACTAGGGAGGCTGAGGCGAGAGGACCACTTGTGCCCTAGAGGTGGAGGTTGCAGTGAGCTGCGATAGTGTCACTGTACTCCAGCCTGGGTGACAGAGTGAGATCCCTCTCTCAAATAAATAAATAAATAGGAAATCAAATTCCTGGAGTGCTTGAGGACTGAGAAGCAGGGTAGTATAGTGATATGACTCTCAAACCTGAGCGATTCAGAATCCCCTCAAGGGCTTGTCACAACACAGATGGCTGGGCCCCAGCTGTGAAGTTTAAGATGTCTTGGGTTTGAGGTGGTGGGAAGAATAATTAGAATGTCTAACAAGTTCCCAGGGGCTGCTGTTGATGCTGTTGTCCCAGCATGGGCTATATAGAATCAGACTATATTAGCAAGATCCAGTTCTGCCCCTTACAAGTGAGAACCTAAGCAAGGTACCTAACATATCTGCAAAATGGGGCCAATGATAGTAACTTGGGCTTCTTGTAACAATTGAGTGATCATAATAAACGTAAAGTGCTTAGAACAGTGTCTCGGCCATAGAAACTGCCTAATGGATATGAGCCATTTTCATTCATTCATTCATCAAACAGTTATGAGTTGAGTACTTCCTTTGAGCCAGGCAATGTTTCAGGCCCCAGAAGTACAGTGGTGAGTAAGTCAAGGTTCTCCTCCAATGAGCTTACATTCCATTGGGAAGGCATACAATAGATGACTTTGCAACATATAATCTAATGTCAACACAGGAGAATTCTACATTCCAAGTTAACGGAACAGCAGATGCACACAGAGTTTTATGATAAGTTGTTCTGTTCTTTTTTGAATCTTCCAGCTCAAGGAGGTGGCAGCATCATGCTTCTAATGCAAAGGTCCTTAGAAGGATGGTTCTTACCATGAATGGCTCGTACCATGATGGTAAGGATGGCCTTAACCATCAATAAGGGCAGATTATGGCATAGTTCCACTAGCCAATCCTTTGGGTTTTGTTTCAGAGGACAAATTTGAAACCAGAACAGTTTGGGTGGAGAGTGTTAGGAGGGAAGGGAAGAGTAGGGTGGCGATGTATTGGATGCTGCACATTTGTTCTTTCATTTAATCCTTACAACAATCTTTGAGTAAATATTATTGGATAAGGAGAGAAGAAACCTGCCCAAGGCTAAGTGGAAAAAGTGGCATCCCACCCCAAGGGTACCTAATGCTTGGCAAGGAGCAAAACCACTGAAGGGAGAACAAATCATGAACAAAGAGAGAAGGATCCAGAGTCCACGTGGCCATCTTCAAAAGTTTGCCTTTGCCTTGCAACTTAAATTGCCTTTCTCATGAGAAGCAAAAACATTCAAATGCACCATTTTCCTGGCATGTAGGAATGCTTTGGTCTACATGTTCACTGCACTGATTCTAATAATTCTTTAGCCTTTATAATTCTTTTCATTCTCCTGGAACACTTGAGGATTTGGGGACTTGCTTAGGTTTCTCTCCATAGGCTGTGTAAAGATTTTTAGAGTTGAACTGATTCGAGGCAGGTCTTCTGACACCCAAAGCAATGCTTTCTTGATGACTTCTCCTTTAGTTTCAAAAGCCACTGTATTAGTCCATTTTCATACTGCTATAAAGAAATACCCAAGACTGGGTAATTTATAAAGGAAAGAGATTTAATTGACTCACAGTTCTACATGGCTGGGAAGGCCTCAGGAAACTTACAATCATGGTGGAAGGCGAAGGGGAAACAGGCACCTTCTTCACAAGGCGGCAGGAGAGAGAAGAAAGAGTGAAGTAGGAAGAGCTCTTTATCAAACCATCAGATCTTGTAAGAACTCACTGACTATCACAAGAACTGCATGGGGGAAACCGCTCCCATGATCCACTCACCTCTCTTCCTGGACACCTGGGGATTACAATTCAAGATGAGATTTGAGTGGAGAAACAGAGCCAAACCATATCAGCCACCCTTTAGGATTTTACCCCAGTGTGAAGCCTGCGTCTCAACAATTAGATCGTTGGTGAGGAGGGTATAGCACCATTTATTTCTTTAGTAATCTTTCATAATTTTGCTTAGTTATTGTATCAGTTGTTTTCTAAAATTGTATCAGCTGTTTTCCTTTATTTTTATACCCATCACTTGTATTTTATGCCTTTTAAAAAACAGAAGTGGGCTGGGTGTAGTGGCTCATGCCAATAATCCCAGCACTTTAAGAGGCCCAAGGCAGGCAGATCACTTGAGCCGGGGAGTTAGAGAGTGTAGTGAGCCGTGATTGTGCCACTGCACTCCAGCCTGGGTGACATAGTGAGACCTTCTCTCAAAAACGAAACAGAACAAAACCCCAGGAGTGTTCAAAGACCCCAGAATTTGGCAATACATGACAAATATTTAATGTGTTTCTATAACTTTAATTCAGAGGCATCTATATCTCACCTCAGCATGTGTCAGCAAATTAATTGTAAACATGTGCTGATTTTTAGCCTTAGTATTTAAGAAAAACTTGTTAATCATTTATGATTCCCTTCCTGGAGATAAAAATGAATAAAACCAGTTTTATCTTAAAAGAAAGAAAGAAAAGTTTAAAAATGGCATGCTAATGATCTAAGCCCCCAGTGTTAAAGTTTCCTGGGAGCAAGCAGAGTAGGGGCACTGTCACATCACAAGCCCTAGCTGATCCCCTTCTTCGGGGTCCCCAGGCAGGGGCTAGGGTGAAGCCATAACTGCCATCACATACTTGCCACTGTCCCTCTGCTGTGTTCCTGAAGCAGGTGACAGTGATGTAATCCTATGCAAAGAGTATTGCTACCTCCTAATCAGAACACTGCTGACCCCAGGCCAGCCTCAAAAATCCTCCAGGATTTTTGTCTTCCTCATCATGTTAAAAGAAAAAAAAAAAGAAAAGACTTCAATATGGATGCTTTGCATGCTCATTGCTGGAAAATACAGACCAGGCCAGGCGCAGTGGCTCACGCCTGTAATCCCAGCACTTTGGGAGGCTGAGGCGGGTGGATCACTTGAGGTCAGGAATTCGAGACCAGCCTATCCAACATGGCAAAATCCCATCTCTACTAAAAATACAAAAATTAGCCAGGCGTGGTGGCGCGCGCCTGTAATCCCAGCTTCTCCGGAGGTTGAGGCAGAGAATCGCTTGAACCCGGGAGGCAGAGGTTGCAGTGAGCCGAGATAGCGCCACTGCACTCCAGCCTGGGTGACAGAGCAAGACACCAAAAAAAAGAAAAGAAAATACAGACCAACAAAAAAGAAGAAAATAAAAGTGATCTAGAATTCTCCTCGCCTCAGGAAAAAAACCTAAAATGTTGATATCGATTCTCCTCAGTATCTCAGATCACAAGGACCTTGTCCTCTGTGTTCATGAACTAGACCTTCCAGCGACACAGATTAACCCAACTGGAAGTTTCTGTTTGTTTTTCTCTGGAGTCGTTTTCTGGAGGTTGGTTCCCTAAACTTTTTGGGCGAGGGGCACGGATTCCGGAGATAGGTAGGTTGCAGTTGTGTTTGTTTGGGGTTGTTTTCATTTCCAAATATTCACCTCCCAGCTTGGGGGCCGAGAGGTATCTCAAGCCTTCTTTCGCAAAGGCATCTATATTCAAGACCCAGCCGTTTTACTCGGTGTTGTTTTTTTTCTTAGATTTTTTTTTTTTTTTTTGAGCCCCGGCAGCTTTTGTTCCTTTGAATTTAAGTGTTTGAAGCTTGGCGATGGCAGGAATTGGCTTTGGCCTTGAGATCTTAATATGTAATGATGACTGGGGCTGCAGGGGGCCCTGCCTCTCCCGCTGCCCTGCTCTGGAAGCGCCTGGGTATCTGAGAGTTCAGAGCAGGCTGGAGGGGCGGAGCTTGGAGGGACGCTGGCGGCCCGCGCCTCCGGTAACCTAGCAACCGACGCCCTAGCAACGCGAGGGGGCGGGACCGAGGGAGGAAGTCGGAAACTGGTGGCCGCGTCTCGCGAGAGTTGCTTTTGCGCGCGAACTGTAAGTGCCAGGGTCTCAGGGTCAGGTCGCGGCTGGTCACTGTGCAGGCGCTTGGGTGACGCGACGATCTCAGCGGATCTGGTCACCTTCGTCTCCCCGCCATGGAGACCTCAGCACTCAAGCAGCAGGAGCAGCCCGCGGCGACCAAGATCAGGAACCTGCCCTGGTAGGAGGAGGCCGAGCGGCGGCGGTGGGCAGAGGGGGCCAGGCGGCCGCGCGGGGAGGAGGTGGCTGGGGTGGCAGGTGACCGGACCCCAACCCGACCTCTTCCCGTCGTCTCCAGGCCTGCAGCCGGGACCGACCTGCAGAGGTTTCCCCCGACACCCCCCAGCTACCCAGACTCGTCCGTTCTGTTTAGGGCTTTTGCCAGTTCTCACCCTTTCACCCCCAGCTCCATTTGCCGAAGAAGAAGGCGGCTTTCGCACCTGGTGACAGCACAGGGGTTCGATCCCGCGTCTCCTGACGCCTGCAATGGCCTCCATGCCAAAATGCCCTCTTCCCACTCTTCAAAACCTGCGATGCGACTATTGGTCACATTTTAAACTAGTAATAACGCTCCCTGGTCAACTTTTATTGAATGGCATATTATTAGATTAGCAGACGCCCTGTTAGATGTTCGATCCTTACAAAGACCGTAGGAGGTAGGCACCGCTTCAAATTTTACACAGGAGGAAACTGCATTTTAGAAAGATGTAATGACTTCCCTATGGTCCAAGGGAGAAAATTGGCTTGGAGGTGAATCTAGGAAGTCTGAATTCAGATCTTGTACTCTTAACCATCCTACTTAAACAGCTATGTTCTCGCAATGCTTCCAAGACTTTGAAGCAATTTGGCTTGGCTTCGAAAAGCTGCAAGTTGTCATTGTCTAGTAACTAGTTCAATTTGTCTTTATTGTGGTTAAAAAAAACCCAGAAGATTGACAGTTGTAACTATTTTATGTATTTACGTATTTTTTTTTTTTAGAGACAGGGTCTCGCTCTGTCGCCCATGCTGGAGCGCAGTGGTGTGATCACAGCTCAGTGTAACCTCAAACATTGGGGTTCAAGCCATTCTCCTGCCTCAGCCTCCGAAGAACTGGGACTTTTAGAGGCGAGCTACCAAGCCCATCCTGTAACCATTTTAAAATGTACAATTCAGTGGCATTAAGTACATTCAGAATGCAGTGTACTGTTGTGGAGTCTTCCCGCTATCTAGTTCCAAAATTTCATCACCCCAAATGGAAATCCTTTACCCATTGACAGTTACTCCCCATTCTCCCCTTCCTCTAGCCCCTGGCAACCACTAATCTGCTTTCTATCTATGGATTTGCCTATTCTGGACATTTCATGTAAGTGGAATCCTACACTATGTGGCCTTTTGTGTCTGGTTTCTTTCACTCAGGATCATGTTTTCAAGGTTCATGCATGTTGCTGCTTGTATCAGTAGTTAATTTCTTGTTATGGCTGAATCATATTCCATTGTATGGACAGAAGAGATTTTACCTATCCATTCTTCTGTTGAAGTCTATTTGGGTAGGAGTTCAGTTTCAAATGCACTTTGCAATAGTAGGTGCCCATCAGGTTGAGATTATAGGCAAACAGCTGGAAAGATGAAGTTAGAACAGAGTTTTCAACCTCAGCACTATTGACATTTTGGGCCAGATACTCTGGGTGGGTTTAGGGGAGCTGTCCTGTGCACTGTAGCATGTTTAACAGCATTCCTGGAGACTACACACTGAGTGCCATAGGACCCTCTGCCCACCTGTGACAACTAAGTATGTTTCTAGATATCACTAGATGTTCCTAGGAAGACAAAATCACCTGTGGTTGGGAACCACTGGTCTGTTCAAACTTAAAGTGCTTTCTTATTCTTCCTTTTTAAATTAGGATATGAAAGGATTCTGTTTTTTTTTTTAAGACAAGGTCTCACTCTGTCGCCCAGGCTGGAGTGCTGGAGTGCAGTGGTGCAATCTCGGTTCACTGCAACCTCCGCCTCCCGGGTTCCAGCAATTCTCCCACCCCAGCCTTCGGGGTAGCTGGGGCTACAGGGGTATGCCACCATGCCCAGCTAATTTTTGTATTTTTTGGTATTTTTTATTGAATGGCATATTATCGGGTTAGCAGACACCCTGTTAGTTGTTCTATCCTTACAAAGACCCTAGGAGGTACCCATAGAGACAGGGTTTTGCCATGTTGGCCGGGCTGGTTGGTCTTGAACTCCTGACCCCAAATGATCCACCCACCTTGGCCTCCCAAAGTGCTGGGATTACAGGCATGAGCCACTGTGCCTGACCTGCAAGGATTCTTTTGCACATAAAATATTCTTGCATTTATATATGTCATAATACATACTAAATTGTATTTCAGGGTTGAAAAATACCGGCCACAGACCCTGAATGATCTCATTTCTCATCAGGACATTCTGAGTACCAGTAAGTATTCATGTGTCAGTTGCTCTTGTCCTGCTTGAGCGACTTGTATAAATTGCTTGGTGATGTTGTCTCTCCTAAGTAATAACTTCAAAGAATCTGATTGCGCTTTGTAGAATGTGGCTTTAAGATCATTCATTCATTTTCTTCAGGTTGCTACAGTCCAGTGGGTAAGTCACAAACATGAGCATAAAATTGCAACACAGTGGAGTAAAAATAGCATTACGGAGAATCATTTAAGTTCACAGATGTTGCCAGCACCCAGAAAGGTGCCTGTAACACAGTAGGCACTCAATAAATACTTGTTGACTGGCTGCGCTATTGAGTGAATTCCAGTTGTTCCACGAAAGTAGATATGAGGCCCCTACATCAAGTTGTATCTGCCTCTGATTTGGACATTGAATTGGGTTGAAGAGCTTTCAGCCCAACTCAGGAGCCCAGGGTGAATGAGGCAGCTCCCAAAGACTGATGGTGCCCTTCTTCCTTCCTGATCCTCAGTTCAGAAGTTTATCAATGAAGACCGACTGCCACACTTGCTTCTCTACGGTCCCCCAGGGACAGGCAAGACATCTACCATCCTAGCCTGTGCGAAACAGCTATATAAAGACAAAGAATTTGGCTCCATGGTCTTGGAGGTAAATAAGATTGTTCTTACTCTACAAATAACTTAAGAGACTCCAGTCTCTTAATTTCAGTTCTGCTGGTTTTATTTTACTTTAAAAGTAAGTTGCCCCACGGACAGTTAGGAAAGAAGTAAATTTGAATATTTTAATTCCCTTTTTCCTATAATGGTCATTTTGGTCTGGATTAGCGTTGGTCAGCTAGAGGGCAGTTGTAGGGTTTGGCACCTTTTTCTTTGCTCTTGCCAACTTCTCCCCAAACCTTACTTTATGGTGACTTGGTTGCTGCCTGTCTGCCATGGCCCCTCTAGATCAATTCTCCACGTTTCTCCACCATATTCCTGCCTGGAAGGCTGAGCCCTACTGACTATAAGCTCACTTACCCTCTGGCTCCTGGTTGGGTTTGGCCAATAGGGGCCTTGGCAGGGGTGGGGGAAGGAAGTGAGTGATGCCTGGGCCTTCCCTGGGGGCTGACACAGGCTGGCAGCATGGCCCACCTGTAGGGTACATCTCACAGGTGGTACCTTTCCTGCAGCCCTCTCCAGGTGCCTACAGCCACTCCCTTCACTAAGCCCTTCAGGCTCAAGGGTGACAGGTATTGCATAGCCCCATGGTTTTCCTATATCACACCTTTAAAAAGATCTTGTTTAATTCTCTTCAAATTGCTGCATTTGAGTATGCCATCTGTATATTGCTGGGACCTTGACTAATATACTTAGATTCAAAAATCTGAGTATTGTCTATTGCAAGAAAAGTTTAACTTACTTTTTAGACGCAGGTCTCAGAACTTTGCTGCTACTAATGTCCTTATTTCAGTTTATTAAGAACTTGGTAACTTAGGATTGTGGTAGCTGAAATTTGTATCATTCTGCTCATACCAGAGGTGCTGTTCAGTGTAACCATACCAATTAATTATTTCTCCAATTTATGTCAGTCATTGTCCTCAAAGGGTGGGGGTAATATAGCCATCTTTATTAATTTAGTGAATTTTGTGTAAAACTGATTTTTTATTTTATGATGATCTCTTAGCCATCATTAGACATAGAGAGCTAGCCTGCTGAGCTGGACTGATGAGGAAATACACTAACACCAAGAACTCACAGATAGCACAGCAACATGGTTTTTGTTTTGTCTTCTGTCTTCCACATTTAGCTGAATGCTTCAGATGACCGAGGAATAGACATCATTCGAGGACCGATCCTGAGCTTTGCTAGCACAAGGACAATATTTAAGTAAGAATTATTTGTGTAATTTCGCTCCCTTGATTTTGATTAGTAAGATGATATGGGTTAATTTTTTAATCCTCTCCTTAGCCAGTTTATATGGGTTGAAAAAAAAAGTGACTTTGTCCAAAGCAACCATGGAAAAGAGATAAACGAGAGGGATGGTAGTAAGAAGCGTTATAATGCAACTGTTAAAATAAAATGTTATCTACGCTTGTATTAGCAAGTTTGTTTTTTTTTTCTTTTTTTTTTGGAGACAGGGTCGCCCTGTATCGTACAGGCTGGAGTGCAGTAGCATGATCTCGGCTCACTGCAACCTCCACCTCCTGGGTTCAAGCGATCTTCCAGCCTCAGCCTCCTAAGTAGCTGGGACTACAGTCGTGAGCCATCACGCCCAACTAATTTTTGTATTTTTTAGTAGACATGGGGTTTTGCCATGTTGCCTAGGCTGGTCTCGAACTCCTGAGCTCAAGCAATCTGCCCGCCGCAGCCTCCCAAACTGCTGGGATTACATACGTGAGCCCAGCCTGCATTACCAAGTTCTTTAGGGAGCATTAACTTCATTTTTAGTTCCTGAGAACTGGCTAGATTACCCTAAGACTGGATGAGCTAGTTTGAATTTAAAAATAAATTGAGATCAGGAAGGACAACTAGGATGGTGGCTAAAAAAAAAAAAAGAAAGAAAGAAAAAGGGTGAGGGCCGGGCGCAGTGGCTCACACCTGTAATCCTAGGACTTTGGGAGGCCTAGGCAGGTGGATCACCTGAGATCAAGGGTTCAAGACCAGCATGGCCAACATAGTGAAACCTCGTCTCTACTAAAAATACAAAAATTATCTGGGCATGGTGGTGGGCGCCTGTAATCCCAGCCACTCAGGAGGCTGAGGCAGGAGAATCGCTTGAACCCAGGAGGCAGAGGTTGCAGCGAGCCAAGATCGCGGCACTGCACTCCAGCCTGGGCAACAGAGCAAAAACTTAGTCTCAAAAAAAGCAAAAGGGTGAGGGACTCAGGCATGAGTGAGGGAGACGGGAAAAGCAGTAGCATGGTAGGGTGCCATGTGGAGGAAAGTGAAGATGCCAGAGGACACAGCGCACAGAAGTAGAGAAGTCTCCTCCATTCCCACCAAGGGTTGAAGGAGTGATGCGGCATTTCCTCTCTGAGTGACCAAAGATGTCTGCCTTGGCCAAAGTTCTAGAAGAAATTGTCTTTCTGAGACAGGGCCCGATGGCACAATGGGAAGATATAGGTTTGAGCCCAGATGTTGAGATGAGATTGAAGAAATCTTTAGACAGCACCATTTGTTTTTCTAGGAAAGGCTTTAAGCTAGTGATCTTGGATGAAGCAGACGCCATGACTCAGGACGCCCAGAATGCCTTGAGAAGAGGTAAGCAGAGGCACTGTGGAGCGTTTGGGCTGGTGTGCACACTGGAAGGAGAATTAGGAACTTTGTGTTTGTTGCTGTTGTCATTGTTTTTTTAGGCGGGGGGGAGTTTTTTTTTCTTTTTTTGAGTCAGAGTCTTGCTCTGTCACCCAGGTTGGAGTGCAGTGGCGCAATCTTGGCTCACTGCAGCCTCTGCCTCCTGGGTTCAAGCGATTCTCTGACCTCAGCCTCTTGAGTAGCTGGGATTACAGGCATGCACCACCACACCCGGCTGATTTTTATATTTTTAGTAGAGATGGGGTTTCACCATGTTGGCCAGGCTGGTCTCGACCTCCTGACCTTGGGTGATCCGCCCGCCTCGGCTTCCCAAAGTGCTGGGATTACAGGAGAATTAGGAACTTTAAGCTTCCCAAAGTG
The DNA here is from genome assembly GCF_000001405.40 of Homo sapiens. NCBI lineage: Eukaryota > Metazoa > Chordata > Mammalia > Primates > Hominidae > Homo > Homo sapiens. The sequence goes on from NC_000012.12 coordinate 118,022,774, forward strand.
CTGGGATTACAGGAGAATTAGGATGTGAGATATGGCTTGGCTTGTTTTCAGTTTTCATCTTCTGGCCCAGAGAAATCTCTATGCCTTTCTCTGTGTCTCCCATCTAATGACACAGGCTAGATACCTCTGTAGCGGGACTTCCCCTTCAGCAGCCTAGGGACTAAGCCCTGCGGGGACTTTTAAGTCTGGCCAGTCACTGGTGTTCAACCTCCTTTGACACTGGGTTCAATTTCAGAGTTGGGAATTCATATCTTTCCGTGGGATGGGGTGTGGAAAATCTTTCATCCTTAAGCTATCAGATAGTCCTTCTGCTAATAGTACCCTCTCCTTTCTACTAATGGTACCCTTTGAACCACAATGGCTAGGAAAAGCATATCTGAAGTTGAGGTGCTCAGAGAGCTGATATTACTTCACTGCTTGCCAAGTGAATGATTTGGCAGCGGGAGGGACAGCACCCTGCGATTTGTCTGTCTTCAGGGGCCTAGCGCAGTTCTTTTCTCTTAAAGGACACTTGTCATCTCTCATTAAGATTCCAAGTGAATCAGCTTTGAGAGAAGAACGATCTTTAGGAGTTTGTGGCGAGGGAGTAGATGGCAGCACATGTTAAGAGAAGGATGGGGGAAGGGGGAGGAGGAGGAGGGGGGAGGAGGGGAGGAAGAGGAGGGGGTGAGGAGGAGGAGGGGGAGGAGAAGGCGGAGGAGGAGGGTAGGGGGAGGTGGAGGAGGAGAGGTGGGGGAGGAGGAGGAGGAGGAGGACAGCGAGAATATCTTCTGGTCCTAGAAGCTTGGCAGCCTTTCTTCGGCATCTTGTTCTGCCGAGTGACTGTCATTCTGGGCAGATCCCCATGTGAGAACATTGGGTACCTACAGAATGGAACCGGTGTCATAAGCAACTCTTTGTTCGGGTTATTGCTCCCTTGAGTGCTCTAAGGCCTCCAGACAGTCTCCATGGAAAAGTCTGCAAAAAGCCGCCCTCCCTGCCCATAGAAGGTGAAGTGTCATCAACCTGCCAAATATAATTTTATGTAAAAGGACAAGAAGTCTCATAGTCTTAATGGGATTACATGGCAAAAGTGCCAGAATCATGGCAAATGGTAAAAAGGAAGCATTTTGTAAAATCCCACGGAGGCATGTTTACCAGTTTGTGAAAGAGGGGTGGCTAGGCAGGGCGCAGTGGCTCACACCTGTAATCCCAGTACTTTGGGAGGCTGAGGCAGGCATATCACCTGAGGTCAGGAGTTCGAGACCAGCCTGGCTAACCGATGAAACCCCATCTCTACTAAAAATACAAAAATTGGCCTGGCACAGTGGCTCATGCCTGTAATCCCAAAGGCCAAGGCGGGCGAATCATGAGGTCAGGAGATCGAGACCATCCTGGCTAACATGGTGAAACCCCGTCTCTACTAAAAATATAAAAAATTAGCCGGGCGTGGTGGCACGTGTCTGTAGTCCCAGCTACTCAGGAGGCTGAGGCAGGAGAATCGCTTTAATCCGGGAGGCAGAGGTTGCAGGGAGCCAAGATCGTGCCATTGCACTCCAGCCTGGGCAACAGAGCGAGACTCTGTTTCAAAAAAGAAAAAAGAGGAGTGGCTAATCTCTGATCTGAACAGGCCAGCACTGCCCTGTCTTGTCATAGGCTGCAGCCTCACTTGTTTACATTCTTTCTTTTTTGAGACAGAGTCTCACTCTGTTGCCCACGCTGGAGTGCAGTGGAATGATTTTGGGTCACTGCAACCTCCACCTCCCGGATTCAAGCAATTCTCCTGCCTCAGCCTCCCAAGTAGCTGGGATTACAGGCATGTGCCACCACACCTGGCTAAATTTTGTATTTTCAGTAGAGGTTTTGCCATGTTGGCCAAACCTCCTGACCTCAAGTGATCCTCCCGCCTCAGCCTCCCAAAGTGCTGGGATTACAGACGTGAGCCACTAAGCCACTACGCCCGGCCAACATCCTCACTTGTTTGCAGTATTGAATCTTTTCCTATACCCTTGTGACCACAGAAAAATTCAAGTTTTCTGGGCTCTCTGAAAAATCAGAATGGACTTTGACATGAGGTGGTTTTATTTTCTCTTACTAGTAATTGAGAAATTCACAGAAAATACCAGATTCTGCCTCATCTGTAACTATCTGTCAAAGATCATCCCTGCCTTGCAGTCCCGCTGCACGAGGTTTCGGTTCGGTCCCCTGACTCCTGAACTCATGGTTCCCCGCCTGGAACATGTCGTGGAAGAAGAGAAGTGAGTATTTTGCGGGCCTTTGGGGATGGAGTGTAGTAGAAACAGGCTTGTGGGATCACTGGCTGGTTCGTATGTAGAGGAGAGGAATGTTGGAAAACGACTTTGCAGAGTGCCTAGCACAGGGGAGGCACTGGGGACCGTCCACTGCTATCATTTTCTCTGCTGTCTCAAGGCCATTCCTCATAAAAGTCATTTGGTACTTCATTTTTCTTGATTCCATCCTCCTCCCCTGGAAGCTGTCCCAATTTCCTCCTACTCTTCTTTGTCATTGGAAACTGCAGGCTGCTGAGTCCCTTCTGCAAAGATGCTTCCAGCCTTTTTAGACTAGAAGGGAAGGTTCTAAGACATCACATTCTGTGTAGTCAGATGCCAAGCAAGTAGCCGACCTGAGCAGCTGCTTGTTGTGAAGGAGGAGTTTCGGCTGTGTGATCATGGCTTGTGCCAGGCCTCTGTCCTCCCCAGAGAGCAGAATTCAAGACGACTGGCTCCATGGGAGAATGCTTGTTCCTAAATTCAGGCTGTTCTCGATTTTGGTTGGCTGTGACTACTAATGTGAAGCCCAGGTCCCTAAAAACCAGAGTGAATTCTAGATCATATAGATCAGGAGATTATTAACTCTGTTCCTCTCCTTCCTTCATCCCTTTAAAGCCTTAATCATTCCAGGCCATCTTGTTCCTTTGGTGAATGCTGGTGCTCTCAGGGGGCCTCATAAATCCCTTTTGCTTATTTCTTTCAGAGTTGATATAAGTGAAGATGGAATGAAAGCACTAGTCACTCTTTCCAGTGGAGACATGCGTAGGGCTCTGAACATTTTGCAGGTATGGTCTCAAGCAAATCCTTTTTTTTTTTTTTTTTTGAGACAGAGTCTTGCTCTGTCGCTCAGGCTGGAGTGCAGCAACACAATCTCAGCTCACTGCAACCTCCGCCTCCTGGGTTCAAGCGAATCTCCTGCCTCCTGAGCAGCTGGGATTACAGGTGCCCGCCACCACGCCCTACTAATTTTTGTATTTTTAGTAGAGATGGGGTTTCGCCATGTTGGTTAGGCTGGTCTCGAACTCCTGACCTCAAATGATCCATCTGCCTCAGCTTCCTAAAGTGCTGGGATTACAGGCATGAGCCACCATGCCCAGCCTGGTCCCAGCAAATCCTGAGTCATTGTTTTGTAATAGTTTTTGAAGAAAGACCTAAGCAAAGGCATGATCAATCTGTAAATTTTGAAATCTACAGCTGGTAAGACCTTGGTCTCATAACCTGCAGGATTCCCCCTCCTCACTTTGTATTTTGATTAATTGAAAAAATCACTTGTTGCAGGCCAGGTATGGTGGCTCACGCCTGTAATCCCAGCACTTAGGGATGCCGAGGGAGGTGGATTGCCTGAGCCCACGAGCTGGAGACCAGCCTGGGCAACATAGTGAGACTCTGTCTCCACTAAAAAATCATGAGCCAGGTGTGGCGGTGCACACCTGTAGTCCCATCTACTCAGGAGGCTGAGGCAGGAGGGTGACTTGAGCCTAGGAGGTCGAGGCTACAGTGAGCCATGATCATGCCACTGCACTTCAGCCTGAGCAACAGAGCAAGACCCTGTCTCAAAAAACAAAGAGAGAGCAAAAGAAAATGTTTTAAAAACAAAAGGAATCATTTGTTGCAAAGAAGGCAAAGGGAGGGAAGGATTTGGCACTGGAATAGCCAACAGGCTGTGGCATCCTCTGATGAGGTGACTCTTCCGGTATTGAATATGTGGGTTCCCACTGCCTTGTGCCCATAGAACTTTGCTGCTCACCTGCATTGCTGCCTTGGCAATTTCTTCTTGGCTCCCTGCAGCTTGGTGGCAGCTGTGACAGCCACTGTGATCTCCCCTTTCCCCCTCTGTCTACACAGAGCACCAATATGGCCTTTGGGAAGGTGACAGAGGAGACTGTCTACACCTGCACCGGGCACCCGCTCAAGTCAGACATTGCCAACATCCTGGACTGGATGTTGAATCAAGATTTCACCACAGCCTACAGAAGTATCCTTTCTCATGACCTCCTGGCCACCGAGACCTGAAGGTGGCCCCAGGAGTTCAGGTTGCAGCCAGCACCCACACCTTGCTGGCAAAGGATGACTGGCTGCAGGCGACTCTGGTCAGCTTGTTGTGGGAGTGAGATGTCTGTAGGTGGAGTGGGTACTTGTCTTTAGCACTCCAGAGTTCTTCTTGGAGGGCTCTGACCTTCAAGTCAGGGTAAGGCTTGAAGCAGCTTCACTCACAGATGGGAGAAAAGCTTAGGCCTTGGCATTGAAGATGCAGGAATTTTCAAGTGGTCATGATAGTGATAGCTCTTGTGCTGTGAAATGAAAGGCTAGGAATGGTGACACAAAGCCTTTTTGGAAATGCATTTGGGGCTGGGTGTGGTGGCTCATGCCTATAATCCCAGCACTTTTGGAGGCTGAGGCGGTAGATCACTTGAGGTCAGGAGTTCAAGACCAGCCTGGCCAACATGGCGAAACCCCGTCTCTACTAAAAATACAAAAATTAGCCGGGCGTGGTGGTGGGTGCCTGTAGTTCCAGCTACTCGGGAGGCTGAGGCATGAGAATTGCTTGAACCCGGGAGGCAGAGGTTGCAGTGAGCCGAGGTCATGCCACTGTACTCTAGCCTGGGTGACAGAGGGAGATTCCATCTTAAAAAAAAAAAAAAAGAAAGAAAGAAAAAGAAAACGCAGTTGGCTTTATTCTCTACTAGAAGGAGTTACAACTCTATCTTTCAGAAAGCCCTTACTGAAGATGAAACAAAGAAAAATAAAGAATTGGAGTCCAACACGTGCAGCTTCAAGTTGAAAGAGAAACAGTTGTGTTGGGATTAAAAGCCTTACTTTAAAAAGTCTCTTGCCCGGGTTTGGATTCAAAATTCTCTGCAGTATGTTTGTTCTGGAACTTGTTCCCTTTGCCTTAACTGCTCCTCTAGATATTACAGAGTTGAAAACTCTGAAGGGGTTGGCACTGCATGATATCCTGACAGAGATACACTTGTTTGTGCATAGAGGTAACTTACATTATCCCCCAGCTGAGAAGCTGTGGAGAAGGTAGCCTGCTTTGGGGTTAAGGATGGTTAGGACAGGAGGCTTCATTCTTGAAGCAAAGAAACTAATGAATTGTAAATCAGACCCTTCTTGTTAGCAGTTCTGTCTTGCCACTGTTTAAAATTTTGTTCCAGAGCTGGGTACGGTGGCTCAAGCCTGTAATCCTAGCACTTTGGGAGGCCAAAGCAGGCAGATCACCTGAGGTCAGGAGTTGAAGACCAGCCTGGGCAACATGGTGAAACCCCGTCTCTACTAAAAATACAAAAAATTAGCCTGGCATGGTGGCGCACGCCTGTAATCCCAGCTACGTGGGAGGCTGAGGTGGGAGAATCATTTGAACCTGGGAGGTGGAGGTTGCAGTGAGCCAAGATTTGCCACTGCACTCCAGCCTGGGCGACAGAGCTAGAGTTTGTCTCAAAAAAAAAAACAAAACAAAACACAAAAAACGTGTTCCATAAACCCTCTTTTAATATCTAGAACTGCTGGGGAAAGTGAAAACTCCTGGAGGCTAACTTTATTTCCTCTAGGGGTTTATATTTTATAGCAGTAAGTAGTATATATTAATTCACATTTCTAAAAAAAAAAAAAAAGTCTGTCTATCTATCTGTCTATCTAGATATATATTCCCAGAAAAGAAAGAGAAGATATGTAAACCATGTAAACCAAAGCAGGCTTAAGGAAAACATCTTAAGTTCCACACTTGCCTGTACCTTCTACACAGAGAATTGGTTCTCAACCTTGGCAGCAGATAGGGGCACTCCAGACAAATTAAGTCAGCTTCTCGGAGGACAACCAGGCATCCGTATTCTCTAAGCTCCCCAGGTGACTTGTGTAGGCTTTCGGAGAAGCTCTTCCTTCCACAGTGGCCAACTGCAAGATGGAGACTTAACCGGGTCAATGAATGTTGGTTCTGCCCAGGCCTTCACAGGCCTCTTCCTGGCTGGCCCATGCCATGCCTTCTGCCCAAGGTATGGTTGGCTCAGGCCCAGCTCTGCACCTTGATTGTGGAAGCTGAGCATAAACCAACTTTAAAAAATCAGTTGTTTGTGCTTGGTTTTTAAATGGGGACAGGATCGGTATAGTGGCTGACGCCTGTAATCCCAACACTTTGGGAAGTCAAAATGGGTGGATCACTTGAGCCCAGGAGTTTGAGACCAGCCTGGGCAACACGGTGAAACCGCATCTCTACAAAAAGTACAAAACAGCCAGGCAAGGTGGCGCACACCTGTAGCCCCAGTTACTCAAGGGTCTTGAGGTGGAAGATCCCTCAAGCCCAAGAGGTCAAGGCTGCAGTGAGTCATGATCACGCCATGCCATGGCACTCCAGCCTGGGCAAGACAGTGAGACCCCGTCTCAAAATAAAGTAAAATATAAAATAAAAACAGCAAGTGGGAACTCAGCATTCAAGTTAACTTGTAGAGCTACCCAGCTGCTAAGAGCAGTGTGATCTTTGGTGCTCTTAGGATCACTTTGGTATCTGCTCATTTTCCTTTTTGTCTACCCTATAAAGCACAAAATCGAGTGGGTAAAAAGTATGAAACCAGCACTGTTTCTACTTTCTTAGAGGTCTGGTATCTAGTGAGCAGGCTGAGGCCTCAGGACTAGTTCAGTGTTAAGGATTTCATGTTGAAACTCATTTGTCCTCTGTGGGTTTTTTGACAGTAGAGAGTGACCTAACTCATTTGATTTTGTTTTTCCCTCAGTTGACTTTCCATCTTCAGTTCGAATACATTTATTGACCAAAATGGCAGACATTGAGTGAGTACTTCTTGCCCCAGTTTTAATTCTTTTCTTCCTTTTTTCCCCTGTTGTGAGTTATTTGTTTCAACTTTCTTGGTTTCAGGTTTTTTTCCTAAATCGTTCACATACGGTACAATCTAGTCTGGTGATATTGAATGGAATGTGGGGAAGGGTGTGAGCTGCTTAAAGAACATGGGGATAAATTCACAGGTCAAGTACAGATCAGTTACATATCTGAGATGAAGGCCTCTCCTTGGACCTCACAGGCTCGGCCCACATTGATTCTGAAAATGCCCTTGTTATTTGGGAGGCCTGCTTTGCTTCAACCACCCAGCTGTTATTAAGGCATTTTGGCATACTAAAGCATATTGGGGGGAAAAGTAAACACAAACTCAATTTTCTGCTTTGCCTGGTTCCGTAAACACTGTTATTAGCCCCCAGTGAAGCTGGCAGCTATCATTTAAGTAGACAGAGCATTGGGTTCAACATAGACGTCAGCATAGGCCAACTCTAATTTGTGGCATTGGCTTTCACAGGCACAAATTAGGTCACCTCTCCTCATTGCATTGTGAATATGATGATTTTGCTATCAGTGGCTGGGCATTTAAAAGGTGGCGAGATGAACTCCAGTGTCCTGCTTTACTGACTAGACCACAGACCCACCAATGTATCAGCCAAACTTCCCGATGAAATGGCTTAAGAGGAAGGAAATCTCTGTTTTGTTTCCCTCTTAACGTATTTTGCCGACGAAATAATCCTTCATTACATAAATTTTGTATATCTGTATAGTTAGGACAAAGTTAAGTTCAGAACACCGCTGTTGACACCTAATAATTTATTTCTTTTTTTGAGACAGAGTCCCACTCTGTCGCCCAGGCTGGAGTGCAGTGATGCAGTCTCGGCTCACTGCAACCTCTGCCTCCCAGGTTCAAGCGATTCACCTGCCTCAGCCTCCTGAGGAGCTGGGATTACAGGCATGCACTACCATGCCCAGCTAATTTTTGTTTTTTGTTTGTTTGTTTTGTAGAGACGGGGGTTTCACCATGTTGGCCAGGCTGGCCTCCAGTGATTGGCCCGCCTCCCAAAGTGCTGGGATTACAGGTGTGAACCACCACGCCCGGCCTGATACCTAATAATTTTTAAAATTGAATCGGTCCTTACAAGTTTGAAACATCACATTTATAAATCAATGTGTAGGGCAGAGAAGAAAATGTTAGGGGGACACATACAAGATTGCCATCCAGGGCACATTTGTTCTATCAATTCCCATCCCCACTCCTTCAACAGATTTTCAGCCCTAGATCTCTTGGTCCCTTAAGAAAAGGCAGCTGTGTTTGGTGTCTTTTTTCTTACCCTGTGTTTGGTTTCTGTTAGGTACAGGCTTTCTGTTGGCACCAACGAGAAGATCCAGCTGAGCTCCCTCATTGCTGCATTTCAAGTCACCAGAGACCTGATTGTTGCAGAGGCCTAGATGCTCTGAGGGCCATTCACAATTCTCAGGGCTCAGCAGTGATGGGAGAACAGAGGACAGTTCCAGGATAAACTGCTGCCTGGGGCTGTGGGATGAATCAGTCACCCCGAATCTTGGAAAAACCCCCTTCCAGGAGAGGATGGGCAGGCATTTAAAAAGTACCATTTTTGTGGTTGTTTGGAGCAGGGATGTACAAAATAATTTTAATGTATTAACTCATACTGCCTGTCTTTTATAGGGGAAAAAAATAACCTTTTTTATTTTAAAGTTATAAGGTTTTTACCTTTTAGTTGCTTGGATGACAGGGAATTAGCCTACCCCATTTTGGTCTGGAACAGAAGACTTTCAAATTTAATATGGTCCAAGTGTCTTCCTACTCAAGGTAAACATTATCTCCAAAATTACATTTATGATTCTAATATTTGGCATTGTGTCTGTATCTAATTTAAACAGATGTTAATGGACGTCTGGCCGAAACTATTATACTTTTATAAGATGAGCTGAATCCTCTTACTTTAAAAACTGGTCTTTTTATTTACCCTCTGTGGTAGAAGAGTCACCAGCAGGTTCCAAATTGATGTGTATGATAGGAAAAAAACCTTAATTTTAAATATAATATAGAGCCTTAAACTATGCCACTGGGTGGCAGAGGCTGTATAAAACGCACTTGTTTTCATGCAGGAGCGGGGCAAGTAAGGTTGAGCCTGACTGTAAACCTAGAACTGCGGAAGGACTGGGACTTTTGTACAAATTTCACATTTATTTTACAGCAATCATGCTGCATTTGTGTTAGTGTTCTTTATAATAAAAAACAAAGCAGCCTCCTGGCTGGCTGTGTTACAAGTGACTCTTCCTTAGACAGCTAGAAAGATGCTGACTTTGTCAAACTTGCATTTATATGAAAACCTTCTGTCTCTAATATCACAGAATAAACTTTCTTTAGATGCTGTTCTTTATAAAATGTCAAATTCTTAAACTGTCAAATGGAAAAAGTCACTATTCCCTTTGTTCATGGAGGACTCACCCCCTTAAGGACAGCGGCAAAGTATGAAGCTAAATATCTGATGGCCAACCAGGCCTCAAACCACCCAGAGGCTCAGCATCTGCTGTACCTGGAACTTCAAGATAACCATGAAATGTAAACGTTGGCCAATCCATTCCCAGCTCTTCTGCTGTACTACTTGTTTTATGTGTTTATTTTTTGAGGCAAGATCATGCTCTGTCAGTCACCCAGGCTGGAATACCGTGACACGATCGTGGCTCGCTACAGCCTCCATGTCCCAGGCTCGAGCAGTTCTCCCACCTCAGCCTCCTGAGTAGCCGGAACCACAGAACCACAGGTAAATGCCACCACATCCTCAGCCCCCTGAGTAGCTGGGGCTACCATGCACACCAGCACCACACTAAGTTTTTTTGGCTATTTATTTATTTATTTTTTAAATAAAGATTGGGTCTTATCTCACTCTGTTGCCCAGGCTGATCTTGAACTCCTGGGCTCAAGCAGTCCTCCCACCTCAGCCTCCCAAAGTGCTGGGATTACAGGCATGTGCCGTCACACCCAGCCCTGCTTGTTTTAAAAGGGGACTTTTTTTTTTCTTAATGGAAAAAAATGAAACAGAGAGCCAAAAGCTTTTAACTGTTGTTTTTTTCTTTTCTTCAATGAAAGCCTCTCATTTTGAAAAGACATGTTTTTCTTCAAGCAACAAAGGTGGTAGAGGAAATTCCTCAACTTTCTCAACGAGTCATGTAACGTTACACTGGCCTCCATAAAGCACCGATTAAGAAAGCTAAAGAATAAGATGTTGTATTTCTTTTAAAATAATTTAAAATATATTAAATTTTCCTAAGGCAGGTTTTGTTTGAATGAGGTGTCTTGATTAGATAACTACATGCCACTGAAGGAGAACAGTACTTTTAAGGAGCTATTTTTGTTTCGCAGTAGAGTTGAAACCAGCTGATTAATCCAATGAAGTTAAACAGCAGAGACAGATCTCGTACATAAGAGTATCAGCTAAAGTCATGACTACACCAATTCTTTACACAATTAAGACATCTTTGCAACTGTTCAATTTAAGTACTATGGTTTTTAGATAATCGAGAAAAACACAGTTGTACCTTAACATCTGTTGAGAAAATACAAATAAATATGATGCTAATAAATGGCCACTGATAACTCAGTAGCCATCTGAATAGTCATGCGGTTTAAGAATACATCCTTGTATAATCTGACATACAAATTTGTCATTTCCTGCACATGCACACCATTGTTAAAAAAAAAAAAAAAAAGCCAGTAATAGTGTCTGGATCGGTCAGGAGCACGGCCTCTGAGTCCCCTGTAATTTAGTTAAGCTAAATTAATACCTCATACCAAATGGCTCCAGGAAAACTGTCCTGCAGGTCAGAAGGGAGCCCAAGAAGAAAAGCACTTGGCCAACATCGAAGCAACTCTGACCACAGCAGGAGAGAACTTGAACCAATGCTACCACTGCATCAGAAACACAAGGATAGGTACTAGGCAGAAGCCATCGTTCCCAGCGGAGGGAGTGTGAGCTGCTCTGCCACTAGAGAGGCTCTGGAGGCCTACTTAGTTGCATAATCAAAACAACATCAGTAACTGCACTTTGAATCAAAACAAGCAGAAAGAGTTCAACACTTGCTGTTCATAACTGGACTGAAAATTTAACGTAAGGCTCTGTTGCCGTGCAAGTGGAATCTCTTCCTCTAAGACTGACTTTCACATGCCAGGGAGAGAAAGATCCATGACTAGTACACTGGAATCTGGTTTTGCTACATTCTATTCACAATCCCAAAGAAATGCTATTTCAATGCAAGACCAGATGTTTGGCCCATTATTCCAGCAACTCCCTTTGACAGGACGATTTACCCTGCTACAAAGAAGCACAAGATGTGGTGTTGCTTAAAAAGTCCTGTATGTGAGGAACTCTTTCATTTTCTTGGGGATTGGCAGTGCTAGGACTTGGTAAGTTGTTAGGAAACTTCGAAGGGCTTTCCGGCATAAGTGCTTCAGTGAGGACAGGACCCTAGGAGCTGTCCAGAACTGGACGTGGCCATCTCTTGTCCTAAAATGAAACAGAAACCGATGCTAAGACAGAGCTTGGATGTTCATGTTTTCATGAGGATGAATACTCATGTTTCTGTTTTGACTGCAAAGAGCAGGAGACTTCGGAGAGTGAAATGTAACCCTGACTGTGGAAATGGATGTAAAATTGTGGTGCTGAATAATTAAAGCTGCTGATAGGATTAGAAAAACTCAAGACACCTGTGATACCAAAGCGCTCTCTCTGTCTCTCTCTCGGCACAGCCCTTTCTAAATCTGACCACAGTTAGTTCAAAAGTATAAGGGGGAAGAGTGCCACCTACTGAATTATAGATGTTACCTGTAAAGTGGTCTTTTAGCCCTAAATGGTTTCCCATATATTATGCATCATCTCAATTTTATTCTCCCTTGTGAACTTGGCCCATTAGGTGGCATGACTTACAGATCTTTAATTACATTTAGGTTAAATATTCAGAGAAAATGGGACACCGTTATTAGCAAAATCGATCATTTGAGTTTTATATAATCTTGAATTGCCTTAAAGCTTTCCTCATAGGCAAGAAAATTCTAGATGGTTTCTTTCCTTAAAAAGCTCCATGGTATACTCAGCAGAAAGCACCACCCATCTGTTCAGCTAACAAATACATACCCTGTGGCAATGACTCCACCATGTGGAAAAAATGTGCAGCAAAGCCCATTGGTCATAGGAGCAAATGCAATGGGAGTTTTCAGTTCCAGGGCCCAGATCCTGAGGAGTCTGGATGGGGAGAGAGAACATCTGGATATTAGCTGACCCAGGGCCAGACCAAGAGGGCCTTGCTGCCATTACTTGCAAGCACTTGTTCTGAGGCCATGTAAAGAGAGTTCTCTTCGTTACCTGTCATCTGCCACCGTGGCAAGGTACAAGCCTTCTGGAGAGAAGCACACAGATCTCAGTGAGCTAATGTGGACGTCACTGTCATCCATGGCGGGGTCAACCTGGGTGTGGCTGGGAAGGAAAGAAACAGGATGGCAGGCCTGGAGTGATGGCTGCTCTCCACCCTCCATCATCACCCTAGGCAGGAAGCCAAACTGCCCTGGCTACAAAAGGGCTCAAGATGCATTGTGTGCCCCTCGTGGAAAAGCTTGGGATTTGCACACTGGGAAAAAAAAGGGTATCTCAGAAGGCTCCAGGTGTCCTGTGGATGAAGGGTTACTAACACTTCCTTGTGCTAATTTGCTTATGCAAAGTAGGTCAGCCCTCACTTTAATGCCACAGTAGAAACTGCAAGTCTTTTTTAGGCTAAGATACATGATAATTATAGGACTGCCTATTATTTGCTTCATAAAACAACAGACACAAAAGGAAAAAGGAGACCAAGTTTGTGAGAACATGAAACTCATTTTGGAAAGCACAGTTTCGATAAGAGGCTCTTTCTGAACTTGTTACTACAGTTATTAGTAAATGGAAATAAAGAGTCATATTGAGGCTTCATAATGCTGATTCCGAAGAAGTACACACAGCCACCTGAATCAGGAGACTGGAAGACACTCAAAGCTACTTGAGAGGGCTTAATTGACAAGGCATCACTAAGAAGCAATGAACCAGGCCAGGCGCAGTGGCTCATGCCTATAATAGCAGTTTGGGAGACTGAGGCGGTGGATCACCTGAGGTCAGGAGTTTGAGACTAGCCTGGCCAACATGGTGAAACCCCATCTCTAATAAAAATACAAAAATTAGCCAGGCCTGGTGGCGCACGCTTGTAGTCCTAGCTACTCGGGAGGCTCAGGCAGCAGAATCGCTTGAACCCGGGAGGTGGAGGTTGCAGTGATCCAAGATTGCGCCACTGCACTCCAGCCTGGGTGACAGAGCGAGACTCCGTCTCAAAAGAGACCCACTGTGCCTTTTTATCCAGCTTGTCCCCTCCCATGTCCCAGATTCTAAAAGAGACATGTCTAATCCCAGGCAGGTTCCTCATCAGTCCCCCCACAAAAAAGTCATAGCAGGGATTCAGTCCTTACTGGAGTGACCTCAGCCTTTCGCCGGTGTAGGGGTCCCACATAATCACATTGGTATCGTAAGAAGCCGTGACAAGCAGGGCAGAGTCGGGGGAGAAGTCACAAGAGACAACACTGCTTTGATGGCCCTCTAGCTTCCGAATTAACGTGTAGGACCTCATGCTCCATAGAAAGACCTGTGGAAAGTAAGAAGTGCCTGGTTAGGGCAGAAGCAAAGTGCTTAGGACTCAAACGGAGGGAGGGAAAGGTACCACCACCAAATCTGCAGGCCCTGCAGCCAGGGCTGATTCTCTATCCCTTTTCTACAGCTCTTCCAGAACGTGTGGTGTAGGTTTAAATAAGGCAACTGGTCTGGATTCTTGAGGATTTAAAACAATGGGCATGCTCAAGGAGCTCACTATAAGAGAGAATAAACCAGATCAGCCTTAGGAAGACCCCTGCTGAAACGCATGTGCAGAGACTTCTGAGTCTGCTTCTGAGTCCTGTTTGCCAATAGGGTAGTCGTATGTGCTGATGAAGACCTGAGCCAAGTGCTATCTTATTCCACTTAAAAATAAATGTCAGCGGCCAGGCACGATGGCTCATGCCTGTAATCTCAGCACTTTGGGTGGCTGAGGTGGGTGGATCACATGAGGCCAGGAGTTCAAGACCAGCTTGGTCAACATGGCAAAACCCCATCTCTACTGAAAATACAAAAATTAGCCAGGCATGGTGGTGCACGCCTGTAAGCCCAGCTATTTGGGAGGTTGAGGCAGAAGAATCACTTGAGCCTGGTAGGTGGAGGTTGCAGTGACCTGAGATCACGTCACTGCACTCCAGCTTGGGCGAAAGAGTAAGACTGTCTCAAATTTTTTTTAAAGGGTCAGAAGTGAAATCTGCGGCCACCCCACAAAGTAGTGGCAGGCTGCCAAGGCATTTTACACCCCCCACCTTGTGTATGGAACCATGGAAATCTGTCCCAAGACTGGGCCTCTGACCTAGCTCATCACTTTAAACCTTTGTGAGAAGCATTAAGAGGATTTTATTTTTATTCCTTTAAGAAAACCCTCAGGCCAGGCGCGGTGGCTCACGCCTGCAATCCCAGCACTTTGGGAGGCCCAGGCGGGCGGATCACCTGAGGTCAGGAGTTCAAGACCAGCCTGGCTAATATGGTGAAACCTCATTTCTACTAAAAATACAAAAAATTAGCCAGGCGTGGTGTAGCACGCCTATAATCCCAGCTACTCGGGAGGCTGAGGCAGGAGAATCGCTTGAACCCGGGAAGCGGAGGTTGCAGTAAGCCGAGATTGCGTCATTGCACTCCAGCTTGGGCAACAACAGCGAAACTCTGTCTAAAAAAAAAAAAAAAGAAAAGAAAAGAAAAGAAAACCCTCCAAACCACAAAAATAAATGATGAACCACCTGGGCTGTACCAAATGGTGAACTCTCAACCTTCCCTTCAGTCACAGCAAGTGACTCAACGCAACACAAAATTCAAACAGAACTGTTCTCAAATTGTTCTTGGATTTCTAATACCTGTTTGTTTTTTCAATTAACAGGATTTCAGGACAAAGTTCAACAAGTAACTGCACTGACATGATTTGAATGGGAAATCCGAATTAGAGGGATTCAAATTTGATGGTTCAAAGGAAATTTGGATTCACATGTGGGCTGCAACTTTTAAAATCTTAGACTCCAAGAAGAAAAGAAATTTAAAAAGCAATTGTTTTCCCATTTTATAAAGGGAAACAGCCCTCTGATGACAGGAGCAACCTGTTTCCAAATCCCTCCTGTCTTTGGGTTCGTGTTAAAGTGCAAGTCACAAGGGACTTTTGCAGGTGGTGGCCATGGCCCACCAGCATGCCTTCTATTGGGGTGGATTTGCGGACGATTTTGAGAACACTCACACACACCAGGCCACCACTTCAGACCTCCATGTCTCAGTGAATTAAAGCAATAACGCTGGAGACTCACCGACTTCTCTCCAGCTGCAGAGCACAGCATGCTGCAGTCTGGGGAGATGGAACAGCAGTAAACCCACTGCAGGTGGCCCGATAACACTTGAATCTGTTTACCTGGCAGGAAAAAGAAGCAAACAATGAGCCAGTCCTCAACAAAGCAGGAAGACTGGAGAACGGGAGAACTGGGGTGGTAACAGCCCCCAGCCCAGTATACCCATCAGCTCCTATCAGCTGGGCCCAAGGGTCCAATTTTTAATTCAGAGTAAGAAATATGACCAGATTTGTCATTTAAACACCTGTAATCTATGAATATGATATTCTAATTCCCCACGGAAACCAGTACCTATGGCTTCAACACAATCTATAAGATCAGTAAGGGTGAAGGGGTACATTGATCACTTTTTTGTTGTTTGTTTCTGAGATGGAGTCTTGCTCTTGCTCTGTCTCCCAGACTAGAATACAGTGGCGCGATCTCAGCTCACTGCAACCTCTGCCTCCCAAGTTGAAGCGATTCTCCTGCCTCAGCCTCCTGAGTAGCTGGGATTACAGGGATGTGCCACTGCGCCCAGCTCATTTTTGTACTTTTAGTAGAGACAGGGTTTCACCATATTGGCCAGGCTGGTCTCGGACACCTGACCTCAGGTGCTGATCACTTTTTTTATATAATCTTGAATTGCATTAAAGGTTTCCTCATAGGAAACCATATCAAAGGGACCTTTGATAGCAGAGAATGTTCTTTTTAGGCTCCCCAACCACCTCAAGTACCCTGAAGCATCATTCCCAATTTTAAGAGAGTGTTTATCTTCATTTAAACTCTGTAATGGTTTCTCTGTAATCACAAGGATCCTGCTCCAGACTGTCACCCTCCCAGCCTTGCCAGGATGTCCAGATGAGCAGTGGTGTGGAGTCACTAGGGGCACACATTCTAGAGTCAGACAGCTTGGGTTTGAATCCTGACTCCCCTGCTAATTCAGCAGATAACCCAGGGTGTCTCACACAATCTCTCCAGCTCTTGCTTTAAAAATAAAAAAGCCCGTCCATATAGAGGATGGGTGAATAAATGGTGGTATATCTACCCCATTAATGCAGTTGGAATTAGAGAGAGATTTTCCATGGGGTACCTACAGTTTAATGAAAAATGCGAGATGCAGGGAAAAATCGTGAAGATGTATGATTCCATTTTTGTCAAACAATGACCCAAAAGCCATGAATGCAAACGTGTGTGCACAGGATTATACAAGTAGACAGAAAAATATGGAAGGGTATATACTCCTAACACAGGGTACCAGGATGCAGGGGAAGAAGGGAGGATGGCAACAGCAGGGAGGGCAAGAGAGAGAATTGGGAAGGAAAGAGCCAAGCAAGAAAGAAGAAAAAATAATTGTTATACGCCTGTACATGGTCATATATATGAATTTATTTAAGTTTATGCGGATGTATGGATCCACAAAAATTAATATTTCTTTTTTATTTTTTTTTATTTTTTTGAGACAGAGTCTTGTTCTGTTGCCTAGGTGGGAGTGCAATGGCATGATCCCGGCTCACTGCAACCTCTGCCTCCTGGGTTCAAGCGATTCTCCTGCCTCAGCCTCCCGAGTAGCTGGGATTACAGGTATCTGCCACCATGCCCTGCTAATTTTTACATATTTTTAGTAGAGCCGGAGTTTCACCATGTTGGCTAGGCTGGTCTCGAACTCCTGACCTCGAGTGATCCGCCCGCCTTGGCCTCCCAAAGTGCTTTAATTAATATTTTTAAAAAGTTAGTCATGGTGCCTGTAGTCCCAGCTACTCCAGAGACTGAGGCAGGAGGATCACTGGAGCCCAGGAGGCAGAGGCTACAATAAGCCGAGATCGCAGCATTGCACTCCAGCCCATGCAACACAGTGAGACTCTGTCTCAAAAAATAAAGGTCAATCATGGTTTCTTCAGCTGTCAAATCTCAGGGTGCTGGGAGTACTGAATAAATTAAGGCATGTTAGGTCAGTGGGGCAGCGCCTGTCAGCTGGGAACCAACTTTATTCCCCTCCTCTCCTTGAAAAGCTCTCATAATTGGCCTACTCCATCCCGCCCACTCTTGGTCACTCTCACTTGGTCTTTCCTTCCAAGTCATCAAGTGATTTCCAGAGCCACTGCATGGACCTTCCTGAGATGGTGGCAAGCTGCCTCAGTACACACATTAAGCCAGCATTTAAAAAGGCACTGCCAGCCGAGCGTGGTACCTCATACCTGTAATCCCAGCACTTTGGGAGGCCGAGGTGGGCAGATCCCTTCAGGTCAGGAGTGCAAGACCAGCCTGACCTTCATGGCAAAACCCCGTCTCTACTAAAAATACGAAAATTAGCCAGGCATGGTGGCACACACCTGGAGGAGGCTCTGTCTCAAAAAAAAAAAAAAAAGAGGCACTGCCTTGGAGAAGCTGTCCTGATCAGCAGCACATCTTAGACTGTGGGATTACAGGTTCCACAGTACTGGGCAGAAACCACCTAGAGTAGGCCAGGCGCAGTGGCTCACGCCTGTAATCCCAGCACTTTAGGAAGCCCAGGTAGGCAGATCACTTGAGGTCAGGAGTTTGAGACCAGCCTGGCCAACGTGGTGAAACCCTGTCTCTACTAAAAATACAAAACATTAGCCAGGTATGGTGGCTTACGCCTGTAGTCCCAGCTACTTGGGAGGCTGAGACACAAGAATGACTTGAACCTGGGAGGCGGAGGTTGCAGTGAGCTGAGATCGTGCCACTGCACTCCAGCCTGGGTGACACAGTGAGACTCCGTCTCAAGAAAAAACAAACAAACCAAAAAAACACCTAGAGTTATCTTGGTGATCAGATGCCTTCAGATGAGGATGCATGTGCACTGCCTTAGTTTGTCTGACAAGTTGCTATGGACTAAATGTGCCCCCCACACATAAAGCCCTAATCCCCAATGTGATGGTATTAGGAGGCGGGGCTTTTGAGAAGTCAATAGGTCATGAGGGTGAAGCCTCAGGAATGGGATTAGTGCCCTTAGAAGAAGAGACATGAAAGAGAGAGATCCCTGCCAGATGAGGATGCAGAGAGAAGGTGGCTGTTTACAAGCCAGGCAGCAGGTGCTCACAGACACCAAAACTACTAGCACTTCGCTCACGGACTCCCCAACCTTCAGAACTGTGAGAAATAAATGTCTGTTGTTTAAGCCACCCAGTCTCTGGCATTGACTAAGATACAAGTTTTCAGGCTCATTGCTAAAAGAGCAGGAGAAAGGTCCCTCCCATGGCTGTGTGGAGCTGGACAGTCATAGCTTGGGAGAGAGTGCCAGTGCCTTCACACCATGGGGACAAGTGGCCTCTTCATGACCCTCCTTCCAATCCCTCCAGCCCCTGATCCTCTTCATGACCCTTTACCACTGCCTCCTTCCAATCCCTCCAGCCCCTGAGCCCCATCCAGGGCTGGAGGAATTGAAAGATGGCATTGCAATAAATTCCCCTCTCTTATGTCACTTTTTTTTTTTTTTTTTTTTTTTTGAGACAGAGTCTTGCTCTGTTGCCCAGGCTGGAGTGCAGTGATGCGATCTCAGCTCACTGCAACTTCTGCCTCCCAGGTTCAAGTGATTCTCCTGCCTCAGCCTCCCGAGTAGCTGGGACTACAGGCGCCCACCACCACGCCCAGCTCATTTTTGTATTTTTTAGTAGAGATGGGGTTTGGCCATGTTGGCCAGGCTGGTCTTGAACTCCTGACCTCAGGTGATCCACCCGCCTCAGCCTCCCAAAGTACTGGGATTACAGGCGTGAGCCACTGTGCCTGGCCTCTTATATCACCTTTCTAGTTAAGGATCAATCCAGAAATGTATGGAATTCCTTATTGGGCCACCCCTGTATATAGTTTGCTCGAGGCAGAATTTCACAAAACCTGATGCCCCATAGCCTGAGAGAATTATTCTAGGCTTAGAGTCTGCTTCAAAAAGAAAGTCTTTCTTTCTAACAGGAAGCACCCAACAGGGACTTCTAGATCAGTGGTTCTCAACCTGGGGAGACCTTGCCCTTCACAGGACATGGGGACTTTTTTGCTTGTCACAACTGGAGAGGATGCTACTGGCATCAAAAGAGAAGAGACCAGGCACGCTGCTCAGTGTCTTAGAATGCACAGGAGAGCCCACGACAAAGGGTTATCCAGCCCAAAATATCCATAGTGCCGATGAGAAAACCTGTTCTAGATCAAATATTTTTAACAGGGGCAATTCACCCCAAGAGGGTACAAACTAGTTCTTGGTAGCCAAAAAAATCTTAACATTTTTTTACATACAAAGCATAGACATGCATTCAGCACATAAGTAGATATACAATATATCTTCGATATTAAAATAGCCTAAATAGACACACAGTATATGTTCGGTATTAAACTCTATTTGGTATAGTATTATCTTTGGGGCGGGCAGGGGCGATTAGGAAAAAACTGTCTAAAAGGCTCCTTAAGGGGCAATCACAGAAAAAAACATCAAGAAACACTGTTTTAGATAAAAATGACACTGGTAAAGTGGAGAAAGCAAATACAGTATTTTTGGAGTTGCCGAGTAGTTCCTTCACTTCCCATACCGTGTTTATTCAGGTCCCAGATGCGAAGAGTCTTATCCCGTGACGCGGAGACCAAAATCAAACTGCCACTGGGTGTGAAGCTCAGATCTCTCACGACATCTTGGTGGCCGGAAAGATTCAAAAGCAGGAGCCCTGGCATGGGAGCAGGGGCACTGAGTCAGCCAGAGAGGGGGCACGAGGTGTGCCTGCCACGGCCACACCCCTTGGCCAACGTGAGTGGGGCAGGGAGGCGACATAGTCAGAACATGCACCCGAGCCTCCCAGAACCTTGTGCCAGCCAGGAATGACCTACCTGTCTGCACCTCCCAGATCTTGATCTGCCCATCGTTGAGTCCCGTAGCAAGAACCAGGCAAGAGACATCGGGCACTTGGGGGTGGTGGCGTGCCCAGAGCTTCCTGCTGGGTGGGGAAGGCCACGGGCTGAAGGCCAGCCCCCAGACAATCTGACCACAGTCCAGCGTCTTCTCTTTTGGGCTGCCCCGCCCTTTCGTCTCATTTTTGCTACTTCGGCTTTTGGCTTCAAACCCTTTAGGGATGCTGGGAGAAGCAGAGATTTCTTAATGAATCTGCAATTGTTACCAGTCTATCAACTTTTCATCCTGGGACACGTAAGACTTTTGGGGAGTGGAGGGAAGGGTCTGTCACCCAAGCTGGCGTACAGTGACACAATCATGGCTCACTGCAGCCTCGACCTCCCTGTTCAACTGATCCTCCTGCCTCAGATCCACCAAGTAGCTAGGACGACAGGCATGTGCCATTAGGCTCTGTTAACTTTGTTTGTATTTTTTGTAGGACGGAGTTTTGTCATGTTGCCCAGGCTGGTCTCAAACTCCTGAGCTCAAGTGATCTGCCCACCTTGCCCTCCCAAAGTGCTGGGATTACTGGCATAAGCCACCCCACCCGGCCACATAAGACTTTAAATCCTAGAAACAAGCTGGCCTTCGGTGAAATCTGCTGTGACTTTTCTTTTTGTTTCTTTTTAAGAGTTGATGTAGGCCAGGCGTGGTGGCTCATGCCCGTAATCCCAGCACTTTGGGAGGCTAAGGCAGGTGGATCGCCTGAGGTCTAGAATTCGAGACCAGCCTGGCCAACATGGTGAAACCCCATCTCTACTAAAAAAAAAAAACAATTCGCCGGGCGTAGTGGCGGGTGCCTGTAACCCCAGCTACTTAGGAGGCTGAGGCAGGAGAATCGCTTGAACCCAGTGGGTGGAGGTTGCAGTGAACCAAGACCGCACCATTGCACTCCAGCCTGGGGAACGAAGGCAAAACTCTATCTCAAAAAAAAAAAGAGTTGATGTTAACACAGGCTATACTGGCCATGGCTCAATCTATTTGCAACAGCCCTGCAATGGGGTGACCTGCCTTGTGGGATAACTAAATAACAGATGCTCCAGGGAGTCACATGCTTGCTCAGAAAGTTCTCTCAGGTTTTGATGAGTGGAAGGAAAAAGACACTCAGTTTTTCCCATGAGTAAGAAAGCATACTGCAGGTTTGGAACTAGGGCAGAACTTAGAGGCTGAATATCCACCACTCTCCTGCCTGATGAGTTCCCTTATCACTAGCTTAGAAATCCCCAAGGAGTTGGAAAATAAACTCATCTTGCCAACACCGTTTGTTTGGTACATGTTAATTTCCACCTTCACTCACGATGTTGCAACTGATTAATGAGGCTCCTTCATTTACTTCCTAACTGATGGTAACCCGCACAAGGATCAAACAGCAAGGTAGTCAAGAGAGAAAACGAATTCACAGGGCTGTGTAGAGGTATCCTGTCCTGGAAGATCTCTTAATCCCACCCTCTCCTACAATTCAACTTACAGTGAAACAGGCCCAGATAAGCTAAAACATGAGGCCCTGGCCACCACTGCGCCCAGGAAACAATGTCTCAAATGCACAAGCACTTGGCCGGCCCTGGGGTTGAGCCTGAAAACATGAAGCTTACTGTTTGCGGTACACAGCACAAAGGTCTCCATGTGACCCTGACCACACTCTGGTTGGTTAAACTGGCGGAAATGGAGATGAGAAAGCTGAACGCCAGGATGAGGTCAGATTTGATTCCATGAGAAATCCTAAACTCAATGCATACGTAGTTGAACATCTTTATGTATTAATTGGTGCGAAAATAATTGCAGTATTTGCAATTACCACCATTACTTTTGCACCAACCCAATATTATAGATGTTCCTGAAAAATTCTAAGTAAATCACATTTTTGTCAATTGTGTGGTGAAATACACAAAAGAATTTTAACTGGCCGGGTGCGGTGGCTCATGCTTGTAATCCCAGCACTTTGGGAGGCCAAGGTGGGCAGATCACGAGGTCAGGAGATCGAGACCACGGTGAAACCCCTTCTCTACTAAAAATACAAAAAATTAGCCGGGCGTGGTGGCGGGTGCCTGTAGTCCCAGCTACTCGGAGAGGCTGAGGCAGGAGAATGGCGTGAACCCGGGAGGCGGAGCTTGCAGTGAGCTGAGATCGCACCACTGCACTCCAGCCTGGGCAACAGAGCAAGACTCCATCTCAAAAAAAAAAAAGAATTTTAACCAAGCTCATTTACAAAATTAGAAGGGAGGGGCCGGGCACGGTGGCTCACACCTGTAATTCCAGCAATTTGGGAGGCTGAGGTGGGTGGATCACCTGAGGTCAGGAGTTCGAGACCAGCCTGACCAATATGGTGAAACCCCATCTCTACTAAAAATACAAAAATTAGCTGGACGTGGTGGCAGGGACCTGGTGGCGCATGCCTGTAATCCCAGCTACTCAGGAGGCTGATGTGGGAGGATTGCTTGAGCCAGGAGGCGGAGGTTGCACTGAGCCAAGATCACACCACTGCACTCCAGCCTGGGTGACAGAGTCAGACACTGTCTCAAAGAAAAAAAAAAAAAAAAGGTCTACACTCTTAGCAATTGTCAAGTGTACATTATTAATAACCACAGTCATCATGCCATACAATAGATCTTCTGAACTTACCCTGCTTAGCTGAAACTTTATACCTTTGATCAATATCTCCCCACTCCCTCTCCCACCCCCGGTAACCACCATTCTACTCTCTGTTTCTATGAGTTAGATATTTTTAGATTCTACATGTAAGTGAGATCATGCAGTATTTGTCTCTCTGTGCCTAGTGCATTTCACTTAGGATAAAGTCCCTCAGGTTCATCCATGTTGTAGCAAATGACAGGATTTTGTTCTTGTCAATAAAGTTTTATTGGAACGCAGCCACAGGCATTTGGTTAGGTATTGTCTGAGGCTGCTTTCACACTGTGACAGCGGAGTTCAACAGTCAAGACAGGGACCTTATGGCCCACAAAGCCTAAACTATTTATAGAAAAAGTTGGCCAGGTACCATGGCTCACGCCTGTAATCCCAGCACTTTGGGAGGCTGAGGCGGGCGGATCACTTGAGGTCGGGAGTTTGAGACCAGCCTGGCCAACATGGTGATACCCCATCTCTACTAAAAATACAAAAAAACTAGCCAGGCCTGGTGGGGGGTGCCTATAGTCCCAGCTACTCGGGAGGCTGAAGCAGGAGAATCACTTGAGCCCAGGAGGCAGAGGTTGCAGTGAACCGAGGTTGCACCACTGCCTGCACTCCAGCCTGGATGACAGAGCAAGACTCCATCTCAAAAAAAAAAAAAAAAAGAAAGAAAAAATTTGTCAACCTCTGGGTCTAAATCGCCAAATATAGGCTAAAACTTGTTATTCTGGCCAAACAATCTGAATGTGACCATGAATGTCACTTCGATCGGCTGCCTCTCCACAGACTGTCCAGACCTGCCTGGCTCTGGCCCTGGCACTGGCCCCTGAGTTTGTTGTCACGAGAAGCAGCACTTAAGAGGCAGGCTATGGGAAGAGGTTTAAGACAGCTTGGAACCACCAGTTAAATTTGTTTTATTTGTTATAAAATCCTGATTTCTGTATTTGTTTTATTTATTTTGGTTTTTTTTAAAGACAGGGTCTCTCTCTGGCACCCAGGCTGCAGTGCAGTGGTGTGACCATAGCTTACAGCAGCCTTGAACTCCAGGGCTCGAGCAGTCCTTCCATCTCAGCCTCCTGAGTAGCTGGGACTACAGGCGCATGCCACCATACCCAGCTAATTTTTTAATTTTTGCAGAGACAGGGTCTCACTATGCTGCCCAGGTTAGTCACTAAATCCTGGCCTCAAGCAATCCACCCCACCTCAGCCTCCCAAAGTGCTGAGATTACAGGCGTGTGACACCAAACCTGGCCCTAATTTCTGTATTTGAATTAAGGAATACACCTGTAGCTACTTTATTCCAAAAGAATTAAGGCATATTTATTATTTCATTTTAATATCCTAAATTTAATTTTTCTAGAAAGAGATACTAAAATCTCCATTTTATGGGTTATTAACTTTCCTGGGGTCACAAAATCAGGGGCAGAACTGGAACTAAGGTCTTAGGTATCCTGGCCTAATGCTCAACAAATACTTTGAGTTTGCTAATGAATCAAGGGATGAGTTACGTGAAAAGCAGGGAGGTCGTACCGTGGGAAAGAGCTGATGAGGCAAGACAGATTCATTGGCAGAATTTAGCTTCACTGAAGTTAAAGTTTCTAAAAACTTTATTTCAAAAAGCAGTATAATTATTTGGTTAATATCAATTATTTGCTCAATATCAAAAGCACTACATGATTTTTAAAAAATGTATAACTACCCTAACTAGAATATAAATGCCCCAAATTCTCTCTTTTAAAATACTTTTAAAATAGCTATTGTTGGCAGGGTGTGGCGGCTACGCCTTTAGGAAGCTGAGGTGGGAGGATCACTTGAGACAAGGAGTTCAAGGCTGCAGTGAGCTATGATCATGCCACTGTACTCCAGCCTGGGTGACAGAGCAAGACCTTTTCTCTGCCCCCCAAAAAGCCCGATTATTTTAAATTATAAAAATAATAAATAAAAATAGTAGCGAAACATGGGAGAAATGTGAAAATGAGACAAAGTAAAAATTACCTATAATCCTAACACCACCATTCTAAACGTCTCACTATAAATTTTTGTGTATATACACAAATGTCTTTTAAAAACAAATCTGATATCATACTGCATACATGGTTTTACAAACTGCTTTTTTTTGTTTTTTTAAGAGACAGTGTCTTACTGTTGCCCAGGCTGGAGTGGCCTGGTATGATCAGAGCTCACTGCAGCCTCTAATTCCTGGGTGCAGGTGATCCTCCCATCTCAGCCTCCTGAGTAGCTAGGACCACATGCACCTGCCACCACGCCAGGCTAATTTTTAAAACTTTTTTGTAGAAACCAAGTCTTGTTACGTTGCCCATGCTGATCTAGAACTCCTAGCCTCAAGTGATCCTCCCACTTCTGCCTCCCAATGTGCTGGGATTACAGGCGTGAGCCACCGCACCCGGCCATATAGCCTGTTTTTTTTCAATAAGCCTCATACTGCAAACATTTCCTCAGAATACTGTTCTTCAAAATATGTGATTTTGCCAGGTGCAATGGCTCACGCCTGTAATCCCAGCACTTTGGGAGGCCAAGGCAGGTAGATCCCTTGAGGCCAGGAGTCAAAGACTGGCCTGGGCAACATGGTGAAAACTTGTCTCTTCTAAAAATACAAAAAAATTAGCTGAGTGTGGTGGCACACGCCTGTAATCCCAGTTAGGAGGCTGAAGCAGGAGGACCACTTGAATCCAGGAGGCAGAGGTTAAAGTGAGCCGAGATGCGCCACTACACTCTGGCCTGGATGACAGAGCAAGACTCTCTCAAAAAAAAAAAAAAATGTGATTTTTCTCCAAAACCAGTAACTTCTCACTTAACATATGAAACAATAACACTTTGCTCATTATGTTAAATAATAAATATGAAAAAAAATGGTTAATACTCAAATACCTTTTTTCATTTTCCTTAGCTAATAGTGAAAAGATATATTCATCTATACAAATTTATGTTTTGTTCAGAAATAGGATTTAAATTTATGGTTTGTTCAGAAATAGGATTCAGAAAAAAAAATTGTTATTGTTTTCATTTACTGATACCAGTAATTAAAGTAAAGGAGCTTTCCCCAACCGACACATGCTCCACACTAGACCCTGAGCCACCCACAGTGCCCTTAGGGAGATGCAAGCCCAGGCCCTTCCTTCTACCCGGGAGCAGCTCTAGGTCATGTGACAGAAAAAAGACATATTTATCTATACAAATTTGAAAACAAGAGTGATTTTCAGGAAACTGACAGATCTTCCATGTTGTGCTTTTTAAAAAGAGCAGACTATAGAATTTATAATTCATATAGTAAATTTACTTACATGTCAAGTCTAGAAATGAAGGTGCATCCCTTGTATTTCAGGTAGGGAATTAGTAAACAATGTATGACCTTGGCATTATCATTAAACTGACCACAGAAGAAACTGAAAACTCTGATTAAAAACACATAACAAAATTTGATGGCTGCAAAAATATCATATGGAAATGGTAAAATTTTCGTAACCATCCTCTCATCCCTGGATTTCAAACTGTTTCCAATTTTCTTAACATGCAACTAATTTCATGATGAAGATCAGTGTATATAAATAGATGACACCATTTCTGAGATTTTTTTTTTTTTGAGATGGAATCTCGCTCTGTTACCCAGGCTGGAGTGCAGTGGCGCGATCTCAGCTCACTGCAACCTCCGCCTCCCAGGTTCACGCGATTCTCCTACCTCAGCCTCCTGAGTAGCTGGGATTACAGGTGCACACCACCACACCTGGCTAACTTTTTGTATTTTTAATAGAGACAGGGTTTCACCATGTTGGCCAGACTAGTCTCAAACTCCTGACCTCAAGTGATCTGCCTGCCTCGGCCTCCCAAAGTGCTGGGATTACAGGCATCAGGTACCGCGCCCAGCCCAGAAGAACATTTTTCAGGTCCTTGATGCATTTTGCCAGGCTTCCTTCCAAAAACTGCACAAATTTATCCCCCTCAACTCTAGCAGCATGCAGAGTACCCATCTCAACAAACTCCTGTCAACATTCCCTCTTATCAAGGCAAGTTTCATATCCAACTTATAAAAACCTTAAATCTAATGTTATTTATAAAAAATGCTTAAAGAAAAATAAATGAAAGCCTCAAGGGCAAGGGCCATGTCTGATTTATCTAACGACTCTCAGTCCCTAACTCAGTGTTACGCAAAGAAACTATGTAACCAAGGCTGGCCAACATAGTAAAACCCCATCTCTACTAAAAATACAAAAAAATTAGCTAGGGGTGGTGGCGCATGCCTGTAATCCCAGCTACTCAGGAGGCTGAGGCAGGAGGGAAGTGGAGGTTGCAGTGAGCCGAGATCGCACCATCGCACTCCAGCCCGGGCGACAGAGCGAGACTCCATCTCAAAAGAAAAAAAAAGAAACTACGCAACCAAGGCTGGCTGAATGAATAAATACAGACATAGAGTTGCCCTGGGACAAATGAAAACATACAGATGCTGGGCCATCTGAATGGGAGCTCACGGCATTCTGACACTGGGGCTTGTCCATCCCAAAGAAAGAAAAACTGGTATTAGAAACTAAACTTGGCCAAGCGCCATGGCTCACACCTGTAATCCCAGCTACTTGGGAGGCTGAGGCGGGAGGATTTCTTGAGGCCAGGAGTTCAAGACCAGCCTAGGCAAGACCCTGTCTCTACAAAAAATTTAAAAGTTGGCTGGGCATGGTGGCGCGCCTGTAGTATCAGGTACTTGGGAGGCTAGGGCAGGAGGATAGCTTGAGACCAGCAGGTTGAGGCTGCAGTGAGCCGTGACTGAGCTACTGCACTCAAGCCTGGACAACAGAGCAAGACCCTCTCTCTCTCTCAAAAAAAATAAATGAATAAAATAAACTTGGTTGATAATAAAAAGACAAAAACGAGCAAAGGCTCTGAGTAGACATTTATCCAAAGAACGTATACAAAGGACCAGTAAGCACCTGAAAAGATGCTCGGCCAGGTGTGGTGGCTCACACCTGTAATCCCAACACTTTGGGAGGCCAAGGCAGGTGGATCACCTGAGGTCAGGAGTTTGAGACCAGCCTGGCCAACATAGTGAAATCTCGTCTCTACTAAAAATACAAAAATTATCTAGGCGTGGTGGTATGTGCCTGTAGTCCCAGCTACTTGGGAGGCTGAGGCAGGAGAATTGCTTGAACCCAGGAGGTGGAGGTTGCAATAAGCTGAGATCATGCCACTGTACTCCAGCCTGAACAACAGAGTGAGACTCTGTCTCAAAAAAAGAAAAAAAAAAAGAAAGAAAGAAAAGACGCTTGACATCCATAGCCATCAAGGAAATGCAAATCGAAACCACTATGAAATGCCACTTCATACCACTAGGATGGCTGCCTGCTAGGATAATAAAAAAAGACAGACAATAACAACGGCTGGATGTAGAGAATCTGGAACCTGAATCCACTGCTGGTGGGAAAGTAAAATGGTGCAGCCACTCTGGAAAACAGTCTGACACCTCCTCAAATAGTTAAACATAGAAAACACAGGTTTTCTATAAATGTTCATAGCAGCACTATTTGTAATAACCAAAACATGAAAACAACCCAATGTCCATCAACTGATAAATGTACGAACAAAATTTGGCATCTCCATATGATGCAATAAAAGGAAATGAAATACTAGTATATGCTAGAATACGGATGAACTGTGAAAACATTATGTAAAATGAAAGGAGCTAGTCAAAAAAGGCTACGTGTTGTATGACTCCATTAATAGGAAATGTCTAGAATAGGCCAATCTAGAGAGACAAAGTAGATTAGTGGTTGCCTGGAGAGTGCAGGGGGGTTGGGGGATCTAAATTAAGGGGTACAGGGTTTCTTTCTGAGGAAATAAAGATATTCTAAAATTGATTATGTGCCAGGCACAGTGGCTCATGGGAGAAATGTGTAATCCCAGCACTTCGGGAGGCCGAGGTGGGTGAATCACTTGAGGTCAGGAGTTTGAGACCAGCCTGGCCAACATGGCGAAACCTCGTCTCTACTAATAATACAAAACTTAGCCAGGCGTGGTGGTGTGTGCCTGTAATCCCAGCTACTCAGGAGGCTGAGGCAGGAGAATCGCTTGAACCCAGGAGGCAGAGGTTGTAGTGAGCCAAGATTGCGCCATTGCACTCCAGCCTAGGAGACAGAGGGAGACTGTCTCAAAAAATAAATAAATAAAGTAAGACTGATGATGGTGATGGATGCACAACTCTGTGGATAGACTAAAAGCCACTGTATTGTATACTTAAATGGACAAACTGTGTGGTATATAAATTACATCTCAATAAAGCTATGGGAAAAAAAGCCAACTTGGGGCTAACATAATCTTGACAGAATTGACTTTCACATATACAGAACTTGGGGCTCTGGAAACCCCCATGATCAATTCCTGAACCATGAGCCACCTTCCCTCTCTCTGGTTCTTGGGCACAGAGATGGCAAAAGAACAAGGAGTGTTTGGAAATGCGCCGGATGGGGCCCCAGTACGAGAATACTTACAACTGCTCCTCCAACGGCCAGGGGATCAGTTTGACGATGCAGTGTCCTTGAGACCAAGCAAACCAGGAGCCATCTGGGGAGAAGGCGACGCTCCAGGTTTCACAGCTGGACTTCCAATCAAACTGGTGGGGGCGCCCGGGCTTGAGTTCGGCCAGCAGCAGCGGTTCCTCTGGGGCAGGAGACAACATGCTTCAAACACACACCCCCTTGCTCCCTGACCACCCAGACACAGGAAAGCCACTGTCTCCCTGTGGCAAAGAGCCACACTATCCATTCCCAGAGGGAGTTGTCACTTAAATGACCCAGGGCAATAACAGCAGCCACAGGCCACATTCCACCACGGTTACTCAATCCTGGCACTCCTCACTGCTGGTTAACCATGACTCACAGTAACCTTTGTGCCCATGAACCCAGTGAATGGAGGCCTCATTTTCCTATGAATACTTGAAGGGGAGGAAAGTGGAGAGACAGCCAGACCAGGAATATGCTAGACGGTGCTGATTATGGGGCCAAAATAGCAAGGCCTTCCAATGCATTTCAGGTTTCTTCAGAAGAACCTGCTGCTGTCAAAGAAGGAATATGTGAAACTCAAAGGCTCCCTCTCACTCGCCTGCATCCTCCCCATCATCAAGGCTAAAAACGTTCAGCCCTTGCCCTGCTTCCTCACACTCAGAAGTATGGATTCCATCTCCCCATCTCTCCCGCTTCCACGTCCTCTGTCTGGGGTTAAACCTTCATCTCATCTCACCCAGATCTTTTGCTACAGTCTCCTGATCAGTCTTCCTACCCCTAGAGATGCTGCTAAAGCTGAAATACCCACACATCACATCATTTCTTTCAAATACATTAGAAAGCTCCCGCCTGCCTACATCATAAAGGCAACTGAGACCAGGACTTTCACCACATGCCATCTGCCCCAGCCCATCGGTCCAACCTCCTTCCCTTGTCCCCTCCCTGCAGGCCACACTCTGGCCACAAAATCTCCTTGACATGCAAGGGGCTTATTTACGTTCACACCTGGACCCACTTTTGCTTATGAGAATCCCTAGCTTCTCAAAGTAACAAGAAAGAAAGAAAAAAGTAATAATCCCACCTAGATTCACAACTAAGAAGCGTACCCTGATCTCACACTATCAAAACGGAAATAAGTCGCACCTTGTTTATTTCATTCTCTCTTATGTAACCAATTTCTCTCTGCCCCCCGCCCTCGTCATCAGTGTCTAAGCACCTTGTTCCAACACCCAGATCATTTTGTCTTTGTTTCTCCCAGGACCTAGCACACCATCTTGTGAAAGAGTAGGCACCAGATTGGAGCTTCTTCATTGACTGACCCACAGTTCCTAGTTCAGTTCTCTACTCTGATGGAAGATTCTCATGGCTGATGAAGCTTATAAGTTAAAGGCCTTCAGAATGAATTTTTTGACCATTATGACTGTGATACTTACTAATATAAAAACTGGCTTCCATCCTGAATAAGGTCACTTCCTGATGTGTCCATTCCACACAAGGAATGTGGAATGTGGAAGACTTTGACCCTGGCTGTTACCAGATAGATATTCATTTTTAAAACCCGTATTTCATATATTTTAAGACACATCTTTATATATCTTACATTTTGACCTCGCTGAAATCAGGATGTATCTTATAATCAATGACTTTTCATAGTTAAATAGGTAGTATTTTTTTCTCAGTTATACATGATGATAATACAATCCATGGTATCTTGGATTCAATAAAACAGATGGTAGAGATGCATATGTGTATATTTATAAAATATTTTTGCCAGGTGCAGTGGCTCACATCTGTAATCCCAGCACTTTGGGAGGCCAAGGCAGGCAGATCACTTGAGGACAGGAGTTTAAGACCAGCCTGGCAAACATGGTGAAACCATGTCTCTACTAAAAATCCAAAAAAAAAAAAAAAAAAAAAAAATTAGCCAGACATGGTGGCGGGCACCTGCAGTCCCAGCTACTCGGGAAGCTGAAGCAGGAGAAGCACTTGAACCCAGGAGGCGGAGGTTACAGTGAGCCGAGATCGTGCCACTGCACTCCAGCCTGGGTGACAGAGCGAGACTCTGTCTCAAAAAAAAATTGGCTCATGCCTGTAATCCCAGCACTTTGTGAGGCCAAGGCGGGCAGATCACCTGAGGTCGGGAGTTCGAGACCAGCCTGACCAACATGGAGAAACCCCATCTCTACTAAAAATACAAAATAAGCCGGGCTTGGTGGCGCATGCCTGTAATCCCAGCTACTCAGAGGGCTGAGGCAGGAGAATCGCTTGAACCCGGGAGGCGGAAGGCAGAGGTTGCGGTGAGCTGAGATGGTGTCATTGCACTCCAGCCTGGGCAACAAGAGTGAAACTCTGTCTCAAAAAATAATAATAATAATAATAATAATAATAATAATTCTAGTATATGCATTTATAGGAAAATAATAACATAGGTATATCTTGTTATATAAAATAGGTGTGTGTTCCTGAAGTTTCTGTCTTTAAATAGAATGTTAATAAATCATATCAAGCCTTTGTAAAGAGACTATTCATTCTCAGAGGTTCTATGTGTAAATTTGGGTTTAATGTATTAGGTCTAGGCCAGGCACGGTGGCTCACGCCTATAATCCTAGCACTTTGGTA
The DNA here is from genome assembly GCF_000001405.40 of Homo sapiens. Taxonomy (NCBI): domain Eukaryota; kingdom Metazoa; phylum Chordata; class Mammalia; order Primates; family Hominidae; genus Homo; species Homo sapiens. The sequence continues at coordinate 118,054,941 of NC_000012.12, forward strand.
GGCCGAGATGGGATGATAGCTTGAGGCCAGGAGTTCAAGACCAGCCTGGTCAACATGGTAAGACTCCATCTCTTTAAAAAAAAAAAAAAAGAAAAAAGAAAGAAATATATTTTTATATATATGGTCTGAGTAAATAGCTATTTGTATAGACCCAGGTAAATCCTCCTAGAAATCTGTATGTTTGTATGTGTGACAGTTTCATTTATACAATCACATGTGTATAGCTATTTCTATAGACCCAGGGTTCTCAACTGGGGGCTAGTTTGCCCCTTAAGGACATTTGGCAGTAACATTTTTGGTTGTCACAACTGGAGTTGCTACTACTGCCATCTAGTGGGTGGAGGCCAGGGATGCTGCTCAACACTCTACAGCGCACAGGACAGCCCCCAGCAAAGAATCATCTGGCCCAAAATGTCAACAATGCCAAGGCTGAGAAACCCAGATGCAGTCAAGTATTAAATGACATTGACTGATCTAGAGAAACATTTTCAAATGACCTGGATGGCCTGGGGTAGTGGCTCATGCCTGTAATCCCAGTGCTCTGGGAGGCAGAGGTGGAAGAATTGCTTGAGACCAGGAATTCCGGATCAAATGACCAGGATGAAAATGTCTTTTTTTTTTCCATCCTGATAACATTCACAATTGGTTCACTTCCTCTACATTATCCTTTTTTTTTTTTTTTTTTTTTTTTTGAGATGGAGTCTCACTCTGTCACCCAGGCTGGACTGCAATGGCACAATCTCGGCTCACTGCAACCTCGGCCTCCTGGGTTCAAGAAATTCTTATGCCTCAGCCTTCCAAGAAGCTGGGATTACAGGCGTGCACCACCACACCCAGCTAATTTTTGTATTTTTAGTAGAGACAGGTTTTTGCTATCTTGGCCAGGCTGGTCTCAAACTCCTAGACTGAAGCAATCCGCCCACCTCGGACTCCCAAAGTGCTGGGATTACAGGTGTAAACCACCACGTCTGTTTTTTTTTTTTTAAATCTCCCAAACCAAATCCATTAGCAAGTTCTATCAAGTCTGTTTACAAAAGACTTGCCAAATCTAACCCCTCTCCATCTCTACTCTCATCTATGCAGCATCATCTCCCGCCTGGCCCAGTAGGCAACCTTCCAGCTGCTCTCCCGGCTTCCCCTCTAGCCCCGCACCATCGGTTCTCCTTGCCTCCAGAGTGGTCAGTTTCAAACACTGTTAGAATAAAACTCTAGCTCCTCACCCTGCCCTCAAAATCCAGCATAATCTGAACTTCCCTGGGCTTGTACTTCTCTCCCTGCCCCTGGCTCCAACACATTGCCCTTCTCTCTACCCTCTGCCAATGCTCAATTAGTTCTGACCCTAGGCCTTTGCACCAACCATGCCCTTCACCTGGAATGCCTCTCCTCGGCTGGCATCTACTCTTATTCAGGTCTGGCTCAAATGACAACTGCTTAGAGAACTCTTCTGACCCCTAGTCAATCTCCTTCACAACCCCTCACTTTATTTTCTTTACAGCTCTATCACCATTTGATCGCCATCTGTCTCCCCTCCACTAGGATATCAACTCCAGGGAGCAAGAACTTTGTATATTTATCCCCAGAGCTGGCAGAGTTCCTGGTGGAGGGCAGGCAGTGAGTAAATATTTGTCTAATAAATACATATGGTATAACTCTTTAAACAAAAAAGTAACATAAAGCTGGCCAGGCATGGTAGCTCATGCTTGTAATCCCAACACTTTGGGAGGCCGAGGCAGGCAGGTCACTTGGGGCCAGGAGTTCAAGACCAGCCTGGCCAACGTGGTGAAACCCCGTCTCTACTTAAAATACAAAAATTAGCCGGGCATAGTGGCGGGCGCCTGTAGTCGCAGCTACTCGGGAGGCTGAGGCAGGAGAATCACTTGAACCCGGGAGGTGCAGGTTGCAGTGAGCCAAGATTGCACCACTGTACTCCAGCCTGGGTGACAGAGCAAGACTCTGTCCCCAAAAAATAAAAAATAAATAAAGCCCCTTAAACTCTGATGATGCTTATGCCAAACATTTCACATGAAATGCTTCTTAAACACAAGCCCTACTCAGAATTCACACTCTATTTCTGTGATTTAGGGATTTAATCTCTTGCTATTTCAGGTTCAGGAATCCAGGAGCTAAAAGAAGAACAAACCCAGTGACTCCTGTCTCTTGGAGTCTGGGCCCAAACTAAACTTGGCTACACGGAGAGAAAGCCCTAATTAGTGCAGAACTTAAAAACAAAACAAACAAACAAAAACAGAGCTGGGGGTGGGGTATCTAGCTTCAACTGGTATGGTACTTGTAGATCCTTCTTGGTGAAAAGGCCTATGAATCAGGGTTTCTTTGTTTTCTCCTTTTTTTTTTGAGACAGAGTCTCACTCTGCTGCCCAGGCTGGAGTGCAGTGGCGCCATCTCGGCTCATTGCAACCTCCGCCCCCTGGGTTCAAGTGATTCTCCTGCCTCAGCCTCCCGAGTAGCTAGAATTACAGGCATGCGCCACCACACCTGGCTAATTTTTGTATTTTTAGTAGAGATGGGGTTTCACCATTTTGGCCAGGCTGGTCTCGAACTCCTGACCTCAGGTGATCTGCCCACCTCGGCCTCCCAAAGTGCTGGGATTGCAGGCGTGAGTCACCGCGTCCAGCCTCTTCTTTTTTAAACTGATAAATAAAAATTGTATATATTATGGAATATAACATGTTTTGATATATGTATACATTGTGGAATGGCTCAGTCAAGCTCATTACCATATATGCATTACCTCACATACTTATTTTTGTGTGGTGAGAACACTTAAAATCTACTCTTAGCAAATTTCAAGTATATCATATTCATATATATATTTGGGTTTTTTTTTTTTTTGAGACCCAGGCTGGGGTGCAGTGGCTGAATCACAGCTCACTGCAGCCTCAATCTCCCACCCAGATTCAAGTGATCCTCCCGCCTCAGCCTCCTGTGTATCGGGCTACGGGGGCGTACCACCACACTCAGCATTTTTTTTTTTTTTAAATTAAATTTTTAGTAGAGATGGGGGTCTGGCTATGTTGACCAAGCTGGTTTTGATCTCCTGAGCTCAAGCGATTCTCCTGCAGGCATGAGCCATTGCACCTGGCCCTGGATCAGGGTGTTCTAATTAAACAATGGGATGTGTTTGGACAATCAGGCTGAATGGAAAGGTATATATTATAAGCCTCTTCTAGGCAAAGCAGTTAGCCTTAACACAGAGATGAAAGCTATGACCCCAGCCAGCAGGAAGCTAGGTGATTTTTCCTGTATCAGGACATGTACATTAGATATTCCACCGGCCTCAAAAGCTTTCCTCAGTTGCTCCATCTTATCATTCAGGGATTGGTCCTCATGTCACCTTCTCAGAGACCATCCTGGCCTCACTATCTAAAGCGACCATACACTTTCCTTTTTTATTTTTTATTTTTTTTGAGACAGGGTCTTGCTCTGTTGCCCAGGCTGGAATGCAGTAGCACCATCACGGCTCACTGCAACCTCGACCTCCCCAGGCTCAGATGATCCTCCCATCTCAGCCTCCCCAGTAGCTGGGACTACAGGCACATTCTACCATGCACGCGCCTATAGTTCGGTATTTTTTGCAGAGATGGGGTTTTGCCATGCTGCCTAGACTGGTCTCAAACTCCTGAGCTCAAGTGATCTACCCAAGTTGGCCTCCCAAACTGCTGGGCCACTGCGCCTGGCACCATTCACTTTCCTTTAACCATTTGATTTTCTTTATAACCATCACTTAGATATTTTCTTCTTCTTTTTTTTTTTTTGAGATGGAGTTTCACTCTTGTTGCCCAGGCTGGAGTGCAATGGCGAGATCTTGGTTCACTGCAACCTCCACCTCTCCAGTTCAAGCGGTTCTCCTGCCTCAGCCTCCTGAGTAGCTGGGATTACAGGTATGCACCACCACGCCTGGTTAATTTTGTATTTTTAGTAGAGACGGAGTTTCATTATGTTGGTGAGGCTGGTCTCGAACTCCTGGCCTCAAGTGATCTGCCCGCCTCAGCCTCCCAAAGTGCTGAGATTACAGACGTGAGCCACCCCGGCGCATTTGGTTGATATTTTCTTGATTGCCTGTCATTTTTACGTATTTATTGTCTGTCTCTTTCTGAACCCACCCAAACTTGCCAGTTCACTGCTATTGGGCTACACTGTCTAATAGGGAAATCACATGTGGTTACCAACCACTTGAAATGTGGCAAGTCAGAATTCAGATGGGCTGTAAGTAAAAAATACACAACACGTTTTGAACACTTAGCACAAAAAAAAATCTAAAACATTACATTACAATTTATTTGATTACATGTAGCAGGAATATTTTAGACATGTTGTATTGAAAGAGTTTTTAAATTGTCACCTAGTTCTTTTTTCTTTTTTTTAATGTGGCTACTTGAACATTTTAAATTACATACGTGGCTCACATTAGACTTCTGTTGGTCGGGGCTGGCCTAGAGGGTGCCTGGCACATAGTAGACGTTCAACAAATATTTGCTGAATGAATAAGTGAAGTCTAACCATTGCTCTGAAGATTTCAACTGTTGCCCATTGTATTTCCTTTACAATGGGCTTTATTCCATTTGAAAATAAGTTAAAACTCTGGCCTTTTTTGTACAGTAACTTGGCAGCTCTCAACAACCCTGCCCACACCCTCAAAACGAAGTTGTCAATCTTTAGGAAAACCCCAGAACTGGAAACAGATTTCTGTTAAAAAGGCAGGCTAGCTACAGATTGCTTTCAGATTGAACTGTAAGGAGGCAATGGAAATCAAACGGAAGCTATAAAAAGATTCACATAGGATCTACACAAACAGTAGGGGCCCTTTTAAAAAGAATTCTACGGGTAACACTCACTGAAAAGAAAGCCCTTATCTAGATGGGAAGGAGAGAGAGCTGCCTTTAACTCAATGCCTGACTTCAGCAAACAAAGAAATGTCATTTCCTAAATTAAAAAGTAACACCACCCCAGGGAATACCCAGATTTCAACCTTCCCACCCACAGTAACAAGCCATCAGCAATCAGAACCCTCCAGACCAGGATGAAGCTTGAACTTGGCTGCAAGATTACCATGAAGTTCTGGAACAAATTCTGAGCCCTAGGCCTTGAACCTGCTCTGAAAATTTCTCCTAAGGAAATTACATTTAAACTCGGGTCCTTCAAGACCTGGGACTCCCGGAATCAATTCTAAATCTATCCCAAGTGGGGTTCCGAGGGAAGGTCGTTGGAGGGGAGAGGGCCAAGGCGTGCATGCGTCTTGGGGTTTTTTTCCCCTTGCATAAGAGACACACCTTTCCCACTGAGATTTTATGTTCATCTGGGCTGGCTTGAGGTATATCCAATATCCTCTGACTTCCACGCTGTCTTCTGATGGGGATGGCAGTTAACAAGAATAGAGGCAAGGTCCCCACCCATCAGTGTATCCTAAATTTGCCTGATCATACATGTCACCAGGGATCAGCGTCTCCAGTCCCGCCCCACCTCCACTGACTTAATCTCCAGTGGGAGAGGCTGGGAATAGATTGTTTCAATAGGGAACCCAGACCCCAGACCCCATTTTTACCGGGTCCCAGCCACCCTCCGAGGAAGGTACTAGGATTATCCCATTTTGCAGATCAAAACTGAGACGTGGGTGGCGGTGGTTCAGTGGCTTGTCCACTGTCACGATCACACAGCTTGTGAGGGACAGAGGTGACTCCCATCCAGACATGCAAGTGCGTCCCCTGGCACCTGGGTACCCAGGGGCACCCACCCCCTTGGGGATCTCCGTTTTAGGGCTTGGTGCCCCCCGCCCCGAGTCCCACCCGGGAGCCCCCTCTGTCCCGGTCGGGGGATCTCCTCCCGCAGAAGCCCGATCTTCCCGATCCTGTCGCCGGCGGGAGTCAGGGTGGCGGCCACTGACAACGAAAGTGAAACAAAGCTGGTCGCCGGGCGCGCACCCCCGCCGGCCCCGCGCGGACCTCCCAGGCCGGACGCCCCCGCCGCGTCCAGCCCCCGCCCCACCCCGCCCAGCCCGCCCCGGGGTCGCCTCCCCCCTCCCCGGGGAGAACGGGCCAGGGCCCCGCCGGGCGGGAACGGGCGCGCCCGGCCCCACTCACCTCCGGCCTCCATGGAGGACGCGAGCGGCCCCCGCGGCAGGCGGCGGGCGCCTCAGCCCCCCGGGCCGCGGGCCCTCATGCCGCCCCCGCGCCGCCCGCCCCGGCCAGGCCGCCGCCGCCGCCCGGAGAGGCCATCAGCTGCTTCCCGTCACATGGCGGTGGGCGCGGGCGGAGACGCGCGGGGGCGGGGCGCAGGGGAAACGGAGGGGGGGTGCGGACGGGATAAAAACGGTGGGGGGCAGCTGAGGGAAAAGATGGAAAATCGGGGAGGCGGTACGCTGACGGGATAAAAGCTGAGGGGTTGCTCAGGGGAAACGGGGGCGGGGAAGACGCGCGAACCAGATAAAAATGGGGCAGGGGTGGGGGGAGCTGAGCGGAAACGGGGTGGGGCGCGAACGGGATAAAACCCAGGGGTTGTGCGGGGTCCTGAGGGGAACCAGCGCCGGATAAAAACGGGGAAGGGAGGGAGGTGAACAGAGCTGAGGGAAACCGGGAAAAGGGGAGCGATAGAAACCGGAGTAGGGGAAGCCGGGCTCAGGGGAAAAGGGGGTGTTGGAGAGTGGTAGAGCCGGGCTGAGAGAAAAACCAAGCAGGGGAAGCGGCGATCCGGGGAGAACGGAGAGAGGGAGACCGAGGGCTGTGGGGGTAAGGGGAACCAAAGGGGCTGAAGCGAAATCGAGGGGAGGGGCAGGTGAAAATGGAGCCATGCGAAGGCCGATGAGGGGGGAAACGGGTAAAAATGGGGGCGGGAGAAATAGGTTGGAGGGAATACTGGCCGAGAAGAAACCTGGGGAGAGCTGGGCTTAGGGGAAAATGGGGAGGGGGTGGAAGGAAGGTGTAATAACCGGGTGCTGGGGAGGACGTAAGAATTGGGGGGTGCGGCGAGGGTCAAGGCTAGGGTAAAACAAGGGGGGCTACTCAATGGCTCCGGTAATGGGAGAGGGAAGTGAGGAGAACACGGGGCGGTGGGGAGAGGAGGGCAGGGTGAAAACCGGAGTGGGGGTGGGAACGAGATAAAAAACGGGGCAGGAGCGATTCGGAAGAAGACTGTCCCCTTACCTACCTACGGCGACAGCCTCGCCTGTCCCCGTCCCCCTGAGAAACCTGCTCTCCCTGTCTACCCGCATAGCCTCAAGAAATGGCTCGCTTGGGTCAGACGCCCCCTTTTTAACATTCCAGGGCCAGGGCAGGAGTCATCATGGAGGCTTTTCATGCCTGAAAGACCCCATTTCTTAGTTGTCCGGTCCCCAGTAGTATCAGTGGCTTGGGGATTTCTTACTGAGCTCAGCTCATTGTCCCCAAAATGCCTCCCCTTACCCCCAACTCGAGCGCTTCCCTTTCCTGCTTTGGGCCCAAGCTCTTCCCGCGGTTCTTGGTGTCAGCTTCATTCAAGTCACTCTCCCGCCTCTCATTCCTTTCTCCCCGCCTTTCTTCGCTTCCCTCCAAGTGCCCTCTCCATTTGCCGGTCACTGGTCCCAGAGCTCCGGATCGCAGTGGTTCCATTTTAAATTTCTTTGCTTCCTAACGCAACCTATGTTTTCTACGGTAACTGAGGTTCCCGTGTTCTTTTTCACCATGGTCTCTCCGTTTTAATGTTTCGGGTTTTTTTACCCAGGCCCCTGTTTTATGAGCCCTGGGTACGTCCTTCCTGTGTCCCGTTTGGCCTCCTGGGTTACACTCCTGTTCACCCCGCTTGGCCGGTTTTTTTTTTTCTTTTCTTTGAACCTGCCGGTTTCTCAGTCTCCCCCTTTTCCGCTGGCTACCTGTCCCTTTCTCGCCGCCCATGTTAACTTTAGCATGCCCCGTTCTCTCTCTTCATTTTCCACTGGGTATTTTTTATGTTTCCCAATTTTAAAAACGGCCCAGCGCACCCCTTTTTTTGGGACTCCACTTTTATCTCTGGCACCAGTGTCGGCCTCCTCCACCTCTGCTCCCATTTAATCGCTAATTTCCTGCCTCCTGAGGACCCCCGTTTTATTGTCCAGGCTCCCCCCTCCCATTTTTCTCTTCTCTAATTTTCTGAGTCTCCATTTTTTGTCTCCCAAATTCCTTCGATTCCTGGAGTCTTACAGGCCTCGTTTTTATGTACACGTCATGGAAAAGAATAAAAGGGTAAGGTCGCGGGGCGCGATGGCTCATGCCTGTAATCCCAGCACTTTGGGAGGCCAAGGCGGGCAGATCACCTGAGGTCAGGAGTTCGAGACCAGCCTGGCCGATATGGCCAAACCCAATCTCTACTAAAAATACAAAAATTAGCTGGGTGTGGTGGCGGGCACCTGTAAACCCGGCTACTCGGGAGACTGAGGCAGGAGAATCACTTGAACCCAGGAGGTGGAGGTTGCAGTGAGCTGAGATCTTGCCATTGCACACCAGCCTGGGTGATGGAGGCTCCGTCTGGAGGAAAAAAAAAAAAAAAAAACAAAAAAGGCGGGGCTGAGGTGAGAAGAATATTGTTACCAATTTTTAAAAAGCTAGTAAAAAAAATTTTTTTTGGCAAGTTCGTTTTTCCAAGTCTTTCAATTTACTAACCAGGTCTCAATCAAGATCACAAAAGCACTTACTTAAAAATAGCTTTATTCCATTATCTTTTAAAAAAGGCATATGATAACCTCAGAACTAATTTCTCCCAACCTCCCCCCACCACATCTTAAAATGTAAATAATGGAGAAGGAGCTGCTTATTTTTCTTTGCAGCAGTTCCTGGCCAGTCCCAACGTGAGAAATATCAGTTGGCACTTATTGCATCATAATACATTTTGCCTAGTAAGGATGATTTTCTAAGTCTCAGTGCATGGGTTATTGCAATTTTCCATCTTGTGTTTTCCTGCGGCAATTATGGGGCTTGTATGTGCTTGTGAGAATTGGGGCTAATATCAAAGCCACAGAATTGTGGAGGCCCCCTTCCCAGGCTCCACCAGGGTTTGAGAAAAACAAGAAAAAAGTCAGTTGCAATGGACCTGAAGTGTGTATCTTCCTGGTCCTGATAAATAGATCTCATGGTCTCTAAGTTAACAATACATGCAGATAAGATTTTTTTTAAAGCACAGTGTAACAACTTGGACTTTGCCACACAAACTGTAATCCACTGTCAACAAGCTTGTGGATTTGGGCATGGATCGTCTTAAAGAAGCCCGAATTCTTCAAAAAATCCTTAAAACTTGAAGACCTGGATTTTACCTGACCCAGGATATTACTGTGCACACAGGACTCAGATATGTGACAGCAGTCACAGCTCAGCTGGTCAAAGGTTTATAGTGTTTGACACCAGGACCATGAAGCTCCCATTTGGTAGTGGAAAAACCCTCAAATATTTCCTATCAACAGATGTGTGTGCTAGAGAAGAGGAAGTTGTGGAAAATATCCCAGTGATCCTACAAAACATTCTCTGTGTTCCTAGCTAGGGTTTTTTTTTTTTTTCACCTCAACAGTTTTTGTGTTTTCTTTTTTTAATCTTGTTGCCTCTGAGTAGTAGACTCTTCAATTCTGGAATTTGGTTGCCGAAGACTCTAAAGGAGAGACTCACTCAGTAATTCAGTGACTTTAGAAGCAAGCTGAGTATCTCATTCTAAAATGACACTGATTTACACTGTTGAGAATGGTTAAGTACGTGGGGTACCTTGCAGCAAAAGACAAAAAGCAAAAAGCCAGTAGACCTGCAATTCACAGCTATTCCTGAGGGGTGCACATTGCAGCCCACTCTTGAGCTCCCCAGTGTTCTGAGCAGGGGACAGGGCATACTTCTAGTGATTTGCTCAGTTTAATCCCTTCATCCAAGAAAACAGACCTTCCCCAACCACACCTGCAGGGTTACTTCAGACAACCAGCTTCTCATTTTAGAGTCCCAGTTCCTAGAATTGGAGAAAGGAAGTTCCCCTTTAAGCCCTAGGTCCTGCCCACTAGAGCAGATACGCAACATTAAAGAGTGCAAATTCAAGTCAGTTTTTCATATTTAGCAAACATCCATTGCACCCTTATAAGGTCCTCGACTTTAAGAAATTTATATGAAATCGGAAAACTTAAATCTTGAAACTATACAAGGATCTACTGGAAGCATCAGCAGGCTAAACTCATCACATGGTATTTTCATTCCAAATTTAGTGTTATTGATCAGTGTACCCTCAGAATATCCTTAAGAAGCAGGAAGGAAACAAGTTTTCCTCTTCCCACTTCCAAGACTGAGAAAGAGTCCAGATGAGCTGGTTTGCCCAAGCAATTCTTATCACCAGATACTCCGTTATTAAACGTGTCTCCTGCCTTCTTTGAAAGCAACAGGAGAAATGAAGCATAGGAAAGTCTGCAAGCTAACAGTGTATCACCTAGGAGGCTTGTATATAAATATGAAGCTCTGCAAAATGTAGTTATAATGAAAGGCACTTCCTATTACCAGCTCCCTAACTCTTTTTAAAAGAATTCTATCTCCAGGGAAATAAAACTGGTTAAGACAGTGCTCTGATATGCTTAGTTTAGTTCCTTCATCCAAGAAAACAGACCTTCCCCAACCACACCTGCAGGGTTACTTCAGACAACCAGCTTCTCATTTTAGAGTCCCAGTTCTTAGAAATGGAGAAAGGAAGTTCCCCTTTAAGCCCTAGGTCCTGCCCACTAGAGCAGATACGCAACTTTAAAGAGTACAAATTCAAGTCAGATTTTCATATTTAGCAGGTGATCTTACAAAGATATTTTTCAATAAATGGATTATGTTTTTCAATGAATGGATCTTACAAAGATGTTTTTCAATAAATGGAAGGAAAGATGTGTGTGCTTGGTTTTTTTGCTGAGACCCAAATGTTGCCAGTGCAATCCCCCACCAGGGGTACAGGTCAAATCAAAGCTGAATGAAGAGCTCATCTTCGATGTAGCTTTCCAAGCTTTCAGAACGAGACAATAATAAGTGAGCAGCTTCCTCATCTATTTTACAGGTGAGGAAATTGAGGCCAAGAGAGAGGTAAAGAGTCGTGCTCTAGCCCATGAAAGAAGGAAGCAACAGAGCCCAGATTCAACTTCAGGTGTTTCTAACTCCAAAGCCTGAACCAAACTGCCTTCCTCTGATTGGCATTGGTACCTGGAACTTCACCTGTTCCAAGGAGCTGATATTTGCAAGGTGCCGTGGCTGAGGCAGGAGAATCGCTTGAACCTGGGAGGCAGAAGTTGTGGTGAGCCAAGATCGTGCCATTGCACTCCAGCCTGGGCAATAGAGGGAGACTCCGTCTCAAAAAAAAAAAAAAAAAAAAAAAAAAGCGGCAAAAGGCACCAAGACCCAGTGCTTCCCTGACCTCTGTTCCCTCTAAATCAGCATCTATCACAGTAGATCAACCTGGATAAAGCCAGGATTCACAGCAGAAGTGGCACCTCAGACACCAAAGCAGCTTTCCTTCTCAAAGCTTTTAAACATCATTGGGAAAACTTAGAGCAAATCAAACCAATGTTTTTCAATACATGGAAGGAAAGATGTGTGTGCTTGGTTTTGTTTTTTGCTGAGACCCAAACATTGTTAGTGCAAGCCCCCGCCAGGGGTGCAGGTGGAGTCAAAGCTGAATGAAGAGCTCGTCTTCAATGTAGCTCTCCAAGCTTTCAGAGCAAGACAACCATGGACCATCCTCTTCTTCAGACTGGCCTGTCTTCTTCTTGAACAATGTCACTTTGCTCCTCACTGCTGTCATCTGTATGGGGGGAAATAAACCCAATGCTTTGTAATCAGAGTGTGATTCTATTTCCACCGTCAGTCATCAATCATCTCAGTGATTTCTAGTCCTTTCCTGGTGAGCCACAGAATGGGATCTCATGGAGAAGGTAGGGCAGCGTGTGTTTTCCCCTTTTCACCTGTTTTCTACATTCAGAACCTCTAGGCATGCTTGATACCAGTCACCCTTCATGTCCTCAGCTCACGCCCCTCCCCTCACCTGAAACGCCCTCTCTCCTTTCTGCTTATTCCAACTCAGCCGTCTTAACGCCTTGCTTCATGTCTACCTCTTCCATAAAGCTTCCCCTGACCAGCACACCTCTCCGGGCTCTTATCTTTCTCTGAGGTCCTATAAATTTTGGTGCAGTGGCACGATCTCATCTCACTGCAGCCTCAACTTCCCAGGCTCAGGTGATTCTCCCACCTCAGCCTCCCAAGTAGCTGGGGCTACAGGTACATGCCACACACCCAGCTAATTTTTTGTATTCTTAGTAGAGACACGTTTTGCCATGTTCCCAAGGCTAGTCTCGAACTCCTGAGCTCCAGCGATCCACCCACTTTGGCCTCCCAAAGTGCTGGGATTACAGGCATGAGCAACCGTGCCTATAATTTTTAAATGTGTTGTCCATCAGGCAATTAATCAAATATCTTCCTGCAACAGCTCCTCTACTGCTCTCTCAGTGTGTTGGTTCAATCTTGCTCCTGTTTCCATTTCCCCTGCAGGTTTTAGTTTGTTCCCCTAAACTGGCCTTTTTTTTTTTTTTTTTGAGACAGAGTCTCACTCTGTCACCCAGGCTGAAGTGCAGTGGCACGATCTCGGCTCACTGCAGCCTCCGTCTCCCGGGTTCAAGTGATTCTCCTGCCTTGGTCTCCCAAGTAGCTGGGATTACAGGCACCTACCACACCCAGCTGATTTTTGTATTTTTAGTAGAGATGGGGGTCTCACCATGTTGGCCAGGCTGGTCTCAAACTCCTGACCTCAAATGATCCACCTGCCTCAGCCTCCCAAAATGCTGGGATTATAGGCGTGAGCCACCGCACCTGGCCTGAACTGGTCTTGTAAAGCTCCCTGCATGCAGACACTACCAGTCTCTATTTTCTGTTCTCCCACAATGCCAATATTGTGCCTACCCTAGACCAGGACCTTGATAAGTGTTTGTCAATTTGATTTTCATGTTGGTAGTTGATAGTAGTCTCAGGTTCTAGACTAAAGTTTAGCTATCTTCCCCAGCCTTTTAAAAAAACTAAACTCACCCCTTAGAGATTTCCTGCTGGGAAGCTCACCGCAGCAGTTCAGAGGTTTGTGGGCTTTTTTTTTTTTTTTTTTTTTTCTGAGGCAGGTTTCCTACTGCTGCCCAGACTGGAGTGCAGTGGTGTGATCATAGCTCACTGCAGCCTGGACTTCCTACACTCAAGTGATCCTCAGCCTCCCAAGTAGCTGGGAACACAGGTGCACACCACCATGACCGGCTAATTTTTCTTTTTTTTTTTTTTTTTTTTCGTAGAGACAGAGTCTCACCATGTTGCCCAGGCTAGTCTTGAACTTCTGGGCTTAAGTGATCTTCCCACCTTGGCCTCCCAAAGTGCTGGGATTATAGGCGTGAGCCAACGCGCCTTTTTTTGTTTGTTTTCTGTTTGTTTGTTTAAGGAAAAAGAGCTTACCTTGAAGATCCTGGAATCCATTTCCCATCTGTTCTATGTTCCCATTCACCAAGGCGGTCACTCTGTGAATGTGGTCCTGCTTAGGTATTTCTTTTGGCAACTCCTCTCTCTCACGTGCTCCCTCCTGTTCCCCTACTGCAGCATCTTCCTCCTCCTCCTCCTCCTCCTCCTCTTCCTCTTCTGAATCCACCAAAACCATGACATCATCCATGTTTTGTCCCCTAATTTCCAAAGGGGAAAAATAATCAAGAAGATTTCTTATTTTTCCCAACTTCAGCCCTCACTGAATAGGAAACACTAGATTCTTTGCAACCCCATTAGTAATATGGAAAATTACAGCTTGGTGAAGTAATGAGGTGATGGTGTGGTAACCGCAGAGATGCTGCCACAAATTGCTTCAGATGATGGTATCTCATGCTGGTTTATTACTCCCCTGCTCCTTGGGCAGGTGACCATATTGTCCCAGGCATCTACCATTTCATGTCCCCTTACAGCAGGTAGACAAATGTTTTTCCTTTTCTGAAATGCCCTCATTCTGCTCTACTTACCAAAATCTCTCCCCTTCCTCATTTTGGAAGACCCAGGTAAAGTCCTCTCCCTCCTGCTAAAGACCTAAATTAATGACTGCATTTAGAGTCCATGCTATAGTTTATTTATCACCAGCTCACTAGCTTGCCTACCCAGCCAGACTTTGCATTTCAGACTATACATTTCTTTTTTTTTTCTTTTTCGGGATAGAGTCTTGCGCTGTTGCCCAGGCTAGAGTGCAGTGGCGCAATCTTGGCTCACTGCAACCTCCACCTCCTGGGTGCAAGCAATTCTCCTGCCTCAGCCACCCAAGTAGCTGGGACTACAGGCATGCGCCACCACATCTGGCTAATTTTTGTATTTTTAGTAGAGACATGGTTTCAACATGTTGGCCAGGCTGGTCTCGAATGCCTGGCCTCAAGTGATCCAACCACCTTGGCCTCCCAGAGTGCTGAGATTATAGGCATGAGCCACTGTTGTGCCCGGCCTGGACTGTGCATTTCTTCTTCTTCTTCTTCTTCTTTTTTTTTTTTTTTTTGAGACAGAGTTTCATTCTTGTTGCCCAGGCTGGAGTGCAATGGCACAATCATGGCTCACCGCAACCTCTGCCTCCCAGGTTCAAGCAATTCTCCTGCTTCAACCTCCCAAGCAGCTGGGATTACAGGCATGCGCCACTACATGCGGCTAATTTTTTGTATTTTTAGTAGAGATGGGGTTTCTGCATGTTGGTCAGGCTGGTCTCGAACTCCCGACCTCAGGTGATCCACCCGCCTCGGCCTCCCAAAGTGCTGGGATTACAGGCGTGAGCCACTGCACCCGGCCTGGACTATGCATTTCTTAAGGAAGAAGAATGAACGCCACAGGTCAGTCACCTGCCCGAGGAGCTGTGTTACATTGTCATTTAATCTTCACAAACCCCCTGGTGAAACAAATCAGGAGACTAAGGCTCAGAAAGGGTCAGGGATTTTCTATGGGTACAGGGCTTGGGAATGGCACAGCTGTCATTTGAACCCAGGTCCAATGGTCTCAGTGCCTTTTCCTACTACACCACACTGATGCCTCCAGTGAGAAATAAGCCCAGGGAATGACAGACTTACTAAGAATGGCCCTCCAATACAGGGCAGTAAAGGTAATGTTTTGCTACGAAAGATGGTCCCAGGTCAATAATATCCTGTCATTTTGAAGAGGTAAAGAACTGTTTTTCCATAGGATCATAGAGAAGAGTACTCTGCTCCCACCCAGAATCTCCTTAGGAAATGAAATACACAAGTTCCGTTTGGTTCCTTCGCCCCTACTGGGGTTTCCTTTTGGGAGGGGGTTCTGGGCATGCTCATAGTAGTCTTCCAAAACACTGTAAAACTGGCTGGGTGCAGTGGCTCGTGCCTGTAATCCCGGCACTTTGGGAGGCCGAGGCGGGCAGACCACTTGAGGCCAGGAGTTTGAGACTAGCCTGGGCAACATGGTGAAACCCTGTCTCTACTAAAAATACAAAAATTAGCCAGGCTTGATGGTGCGCACCTGTAATCCCAACTACTCGGAAGGCTGAGGCAGGAGAATGGCCTCAACCTGGGAGGTAGGGATTGCAGTGAGCTGAGACTGCACCACTGCACTCCAGCCTGAGCAAGAGAGAGAGATTCTGTCTCAAAAAAAAAAAAAAAAAGAAAAAAGAAAAAGAAAAAAAAACTTAAGACTATGACTGATTCTTTCTTTTAGCTCTTTTTAGAAAATTAAATA
Organism: Homo sapiens; assembly: GCF_000001405.40. Classification (NCBI taxonomy): domain Eukaryota; kingdom Metazoa; phylum Chordata; class Mammalia; order Primates; family Hominidae; genus Homo; species Homo sapiens. The sequence goes on from NC_000012.12 coordinate 118,070,639, forward strand.
AAACAAATGCATGAATGACTGGCTCAAAATGTACACATTGTCTTTCTGTCTCAATGACAGACCTGCAATGTGTCCAGCCCTGAGGTTTGGCGCTGTAAAAGAACACAGACTTTGGAATTGATTAGACCTGGACCTGAAGGAAGGCACTGCTGCTTTCTTCTGGAATGAGCTTGCAGAAATTACTTCACTGAGCCTCCATCCCCTTATCTGGAAAATGGAGATGTCACCACCACCCTGAGGAGATGATGAAAGGGTTTATAAGAATACCTGATGAAATCCCTAGGCCAGTGTCTAGCACATCGTAGGTCCTCAATGGTAGTTGCTATTATTGTTCTTGTGAAAGGAAGGGAACAAAACAGAAGTGAAGACAGATGCGGGAATGGGTGTTTGGTTTGATTCTAGGGAACACTCACCTGGAAGTGTTTCCTACTGAAGAGAGAAAGGAAAAACCATTAATATCCAGTAACATCCACTTCAACCTGACAGGTTCTTAATCAGGCAAACATTTACTAGAGGAACAAATAAGAAAACTGACTCAATATGACAGGTGATAGGGTGTCCCGGGATGGTACTTAGGTGACTTATTACTGTGTATCTTGACCCAGCAAAGAAGCCCAGAGAACAGAACTTCAGGTGGGAGCAAGGCAGGGGCCATCCTTCCCCATCCCGCACCTTTTCAAAAGTCTGGAAGAGAAGCTAAAGGACCCAGGGAGTCCTTACCTTTCCAGCAGAACACAGGGCTATAATGCAACAGAAGCCCTGAGATAATGGCCAGTCCCAGCAGAAGGAGGCTCACAATGGTTCCCACAATCCCCCCGATATTTAAAGGTTCTGTAAAGACAAATCACACCATTGATTCTTCCATCAGATATGTGTGCAATTAGAACAACACCTCCCTTTCTCTGCGTGGATCCAGTTCTTGTCTTGATTCCTGACCTTGGGTAAGGCTTATGACCTGTCTGTAATGCCAGATAAATATTTTATCACCCAACCTCAGAGAGTTTGTGGGGATCAGATGGAGCAGGGAATGTGAACAAACAATGGAAAGTTAAAATCTCTCTGTCTACCAAACACTGAGACTATTTCTAAGGCCATGGTAAGTAAGAGTGTTGAGAGTTATCAATGCCATGATAAACAGAGTGATCAACGGAACAGAACAGAGAGTCCAGGAACGGGTCCACACGTAAGTATAATTGATATATGACAGGGTCTTGAGCAAAGGAAGCACTATTTAAGAATTGGTACTAGAGCCCGGGCGCAGTGGCGCATGCCTGTAATCCCAGCACTTTGGGAGGCTGAGGAGGGCGGATCACCTGAAGTCGGGAGATCGAGACCAGCCTGACCAACATGTTAAAACCCCGTCTCTACTAAAAATACAAAATTAGCCAGGTGTGGTGGTGCATGTCTGTAATCCCAGCTACTTGGGAGGCTGAGGCAGGAGAATCACTTGAACCCGGGAGGCGGGGGTTGCGGTGAGCCAAGATCGCGCCATTGCACTCCAGCCTGGGCAACAAGAGCGAAATTCCATCTCAAAGAAAGAAAGAGGGCCGGGCGCGGTGGCTCACGCCTGTAATCCCAGCACTTTGGGAGGCCGAGGCAGGCGGATCACGAGGTCAGGAGGTCGAGACCATCCTGGCTAACACAGTGAAACCCCATCTCTACTAAAAATACAAAAAATTAGCCGGGCACAGCGGCGGGCGCCTGCAGTCCCAGCTACTTGGGAGGCTGAGGCAGGAGAATGGCATGAACCCAGGAGGTGGAGCTTGCAGTGAGCCGAGATCGCACCACTGCACTCCAGCCTGGGTGACAGAGCAAGACTCCGTCTCAAAAAAAAAAAAGAAAGAAAGAGGAGGGGAGGGGAGGGAAAGAAAAGAAGGAAGGTAGGAAAGGGAAAAGGGAGAAGAGAAAGGAAAAGGGAGAAGGGAAGGGAAGAAAGAGGCCAGGTGTGGTGGCTCATGCTTGCAATCTCAACACTTTGGGAGGCTGAGATGGGAGGCTCACTTCAGGCCAGGAGTTCAAGACCAACCTGGTCAACACAGTGCGACCTCATCTGTATAAAAAATAAAATAAAAAGAAATAAGTAGAGACATATATAGTAAAACTTAAAATTCAGGACCATGGTTACCTTTCGAGAGAGGCCCAAGATGAGACTAGGCCTACAGGGAGGGTTCCCAGGTAAAATTCAGTATGCCCAGTGAAATTTGGATTTCAGATAAACAATGAATAGTTTTTTTAGTGTAAGTATGTCTCATGAAATATTTGGGACACACTTATACTTAAAAGTATTTATTTTTCTAAACTCAAATTTAAGCAGGCATCCTGTTTTTAAAGTTCTATTGCTATTTTCTTCTTTTTGAAGTGGATTCTCGCTCTGTCACCCAAGCTGAAGTGCAGTGGTGTGATCTCGGCTCACTGCAACCTTCGCCTCCCAGATTCAAGCAATTCTGCCTCAGACTTCCGAGTAGCTGGGATTACAGGCACCTGCCACCATGCTCAGCTAATGGTCTCGAACTCCCAACCTCAGGTGATCTGCCCATCTCAGCCTCCCAAGTAATTTTGTATTTTTAGTAAAGACGAGGTTTCACCATACTAGCCAGGCTGGTCTCAAACTCCTGGCCTCAAGTGATCCACCCGCCTCGGCCTCCCAAAGTGCTGGGATTACAGGCGTGAGCCACTGTGCCCAGCCCTATCGTTGTTTCCAAATCTGGCCCTGAGACATACAAGTAACCTAATGCATGTTGGTACTATTCTGTATCCTCAGTGGGATGATAGTTTCTTAGGTGTTCATTTTGCTGTTATGCTTTACAACTGACATACACTAGATATCTATTCGTTGGTGTGTATAGATATTATGTAATTTTTGCTACCTATGGAAATATTAGTGAGTTTAGGGTTGGATAATTTCTTCCAGCCACCTTGTCAAGTCATAAGCAAGCAGATATGCCTTCTCCCAGTTGGCAGTGACCCATGTGTAGGGAGGCACCAGGCTGTCCTCATGCTGATGCTGGGTGCTCTGAAGCTCTGAACCCTCCCTCCTTCAGGCCCAGTTCCACCACTCACCTTTCACACTCAGCCAGATTTCCATCTCCCTCACCCCTACAGGGCTGTCAGCTCGGCAGATGTAGTAGCCCTCATCCAGGTCCTGGGAGCAGTTGTGGATAGTGAGGGTGGAGTTCTGGCCATCCTGGGTAATGAGATGGCGGCTGCTAGGCTGGATGATCACCTCGGGCTGGGTAAGGTTCCTCAGCCACAGGATCTTGGCAGGGGGGTAGGCCCCAGACACCTGGCATGTAAGCGTCACATTGCCCCCAGTGAAGCAAGTCTTCATGGGCTCAGAGAGAAGGGAGGGACCCCCTGGTGATCAGAAGGTAAACAAAGACAAATGTTTAAAGAGATTCAAGTCATGGCCTGAGATCTGCAGGAAAACTGCAGTAGTTTTTTGTTTTGTTTTGTTTTGTTTTGAGATGGAGGTTTTGCTCTGTTGCCCAGGCTGGAGTGCAGTGGTGCGATCTCAGCTCACTGCAACCTCTGCCTCCCTCCCGGGTTCAAGCAATTCTCCTGCCTCAGCCTCCCGAGCTGGGATTACAGGCATGCGCCACCACACCTGGCTAATTTTTGTATTTTTAGTAGAGACAGGGTTTCACCATGTTGCCCAGGCTGGTCTCAAACTCCCAACCTCAGGTGATTTGCCCATCTCAGTCTCCCAAAGTGCTGGGATTACAGGCGTGAGCCACCGCATCCGGCCCCAGTCCCCTTTATCTGTGATTTCACTTTCTGAGGTTTCAGTTACCATGGTTGACTACAGTCCAAAAATACTAAATGGAAAATTTCAGAAATGAACAATTTTTTTTTTTTTTTGAGATGGAGTCTCACTTTGTCGCCCAGGCTGGAGTGCAGTGATGCAATCTCAGCTCACTGCAATCTCCACCTCCTGAATTCAAGAGATTTTCCTGCCTCAGCCTCCCAAGTGGCTGGGATTACAGGCATGAGCCACCACGCCCACCTAATTTTTGTATTTTTAGTAGAGACGGGGTTTCACCATATTGGCCAGGCTAGTCTCAAACTCCTGACCTCAGGTGATCCACTTGCCTTAGCCTCCCAAAGTGCTAGGATTACAGGCGTGAGCCACCGTGCCGGGCCAATTCATAAATTTTTTATTTTTTCATTTCTTGCAGTACTTTTAAGTATATTCACAATTTCCTAAGTTTTAAACTGCACATTGTTCTGAGTCGTGTGACGAAATCTCACACCATCTGCATGAGCCTTTCTTCATCACAAGAAGGCTGAGTAGATATTTTGAGAGAAAGATCACATTCGCATACCTTTTATGACAGTATATTGTTATACTTGTCTATTTTTTATTAGTTACTATTGTTAATCTCTTATTGTGCCTAATGTATAAATTAACCTTATCATAAGTATTTATGTATAAGAAAAAGCATAGTATATATATGTATATATGTATATATGTGTATATGTATATATATGTGTATATATGTATATATGTGTATATGTATATATATGTATATATATGTATATATGTGTGTATATATATATGTGTGTGTGTGTATATATGTGTGTGTGTGTATATATATATATAGGGTTCAGTGCTACCCATGGCTTCAGGCATCCACTGGGGATCTAGGAACATATCCCTCATGGGTAAGGCAGGAACACTACATTTCCTTCCTAATGAAGCAACTCCAGAAATTTCTTTTTTTCTTTTTTTGTTTTTGAGACAAGGTCTCGCTCTGTCACCCAGGCTGGAGTGCAGTGCTGTGATCTTGGCTCACTGCAACCTCTGCCTCCCAGGTTCAAGTGATTCTCATGCTTCAGCCTCCCAAGTAGCTGGGATTACAGGTGCCTGCCACCATGCCTGGCTAATTTTTGTACTTTTAGTAGAAACAGGGTTTCACCATGTTGGTCAGGCTGGTCTTGAACTCCTGACCTCAAATGATCCTCCACCTTGGCCTCCCAAAGTGCTGGGATTACAGGCATGAGCCACCGTGCCTGGCCAACTCCAGAAATTTCTCCACCACACCTCGTCTTACATCATAATAAGCCTAAGATTACTAGGCATTTACTGTGGGCAAGGCACTGTTACATGTATTAACCCAATTCACTCTCACAGCAACCCTGTTATTATGCCCATTTTGCAGATAAGGAAACTGAGGCACAGAGAAAGTTAAGTAATTTGCTGAATGCTACAGAACTAAATAGGCAATGCAGCTAGGATTCAGAGTGATCAACTGCCCCAGTCTGCCCAGGACGTGGAGTATTCCCAGAATGAGGAGTTTTCAGTCCTAAAACCAGGAGAGTTCTGTGCAAACCAGGATAAACTGGCTACTGTATCCATAAGCCTTCCTTCTATGCTATACACTTTTACACATAAAAACTGTACTGATCGTATAAAAATGGACACATATCTGACAAGGATTTCAAGGGGACAAGAGGGCAGCTGTATTTGTTTCCAATTGCTGATGTAATAGATTGTGACAAACTTAGTGGCTTAAAGCACATTTATTCTCTTAACAGTTGTGGAGGCCAGGAGTCTAGAACGTCTTACAAGGTTAACATCAAGATGTTGGCAGAGCTGGTTCCTTTTGGACGCTCTAGAGCAAGCTTTTCCAACCTGCAGCTGCGGGCTAAATTCGGCCCAGGATGGCTTTGAATGTGAGGACATTTTTGTTTATCTGTGTGATGGATATCATGAAAATTATGCACGGTCCCTTTTTTTTTTTTTTGGCTCATCACCTATCGTTAGTGTTAGTGTTTGTGTGAAATACATTCCCATGATCAAATTACCTCCCACCAGGTCCCTCTGCCAATATTTGGAGTTACAATTCAACATGAGATTTGGGTGGGGACACAGAGCCAAACCATATCATGGTGTTTCGCTGTGTTGCCCAGGCTGGTCTCAAACTCCTGGGCCCAAGCAATATGCCCGTCCTTGGCCTCCCAAAGTGCTGGGATTACAGTCATGAGCTACCACATCTGACTGATCCTGGCGCTTCTGATCTCTCTTACCTTTCCCTTTTTTTTGTTTTGAGACAGAGTTTCACTCTGACACCCAGGCCTGGAGTGACCGCTCACTGCAGCCTCAACCTCCTAGGTACAAGCAATACTCTCACATCAGCCTCCCCAGTAGCTGGGATTATAGGTGCATACCACCATGCCCAGCTACTTTATTTATTTTTTATTGTTTGTAGAAACAAGGTCTGTGTTGCCCAGGCTGGTCTCGAATTCCTAGCCGTAAGCTATCCTCCTGCCTCTGACTCCCAAAGTGCTGGGATTACAGGCGTGAGCCACCACGCCCGGCCTTCTCCCTTCTTACAAAGAAAGACATCAGTCATTGGATTACAGCCTACTCTAATCCACTATGACCTTATCTTAACTTGATTCCATCTGCAAAGACTCTTTCTGAATAAAGTCATATCCACAGGTATTAGGGTTTGGACTTGAACATATCTACTGGGGGGACACAACTGAACCCCCAACCTCCACCCAGCTTTATCAGTACTTTACACACGATGCCCCGGCCACACTGGTCTTCTCTCGGGTCCTCAAATGCCAAGTTTGTTTCCACCTCAGGGCCTCTGCGTTTGCTGTTGCCTCTGCCAGGAACACTCAGCCCACGGATCTTCACCTAGCCAGCTCCTTCTCATTCTAAGGATAGATTATTACCATCTCACGGAGACCTCCCTGCCACCCTAGGAAAAGTGCCCCTCTTCTTATAAAGGCCTCCCTTTTATATATACCATTTTATTATCCTCATATTATCATCATATCTGGACCTATCTTACTTGTTTTTGTACTTTCTGTCTTCCTTCTACCCCCATGCCACCCAGAATATAAGCTCTGTGAAAGAGGAATGTTTGTGGTTTTAATATGTACAGACATTCTCTGACACTCCTCCCTTCAAAAAGTGGTGCCTAATTCTTCCCAGCCCTCTTCAATGTGGGCTGGACTTATTTCTAAGACACAGAGTGTGGCAGAAGGGATCCCATGTAACTCCTGAGGCTAGGTCATAGAAAGGATAGCATCAGCTTGACTCACTCCATTTTGGATCATTTGCTCTGAGGGAAGCCATCTGCCATGTTGGAAGGACACTCAAGCAGCCTTATGGAGAATCCCACATGGAGAAGAAATAGTTGCCAGGCATGGGAGTGAGGACTTCAAAAGTAGATCTTTCAGATGATTTCAGCCCCGCAACCTTCAATTCTTCCGGCTGACACCCCAGACATACAGAGCCAAGACAAACCATCCCCAATGCCCACTGTGCCCTCTCTGAATTCCTGACCCACAGAAATCATCAGATAATAAATGGTTATTCTTGTTTTAAGCCACTATGTTTGAGAGTAATTTGTTACATAACTAGAAGCTATAGTTTGAATGTTTGTCCCCTCCAAATCTCATGTTTAAATTTGATCCTCAGTGTTGGAGGTAAGGCCTAATGGAAGGTGTTTGGGTAAGTGAATTCTCATTCTATTAGCTTACTGCAAAAGTAATTACAATTTTTGTCACTATTTTCTTTTTTTGAGATGGAGTCTCACTCCATCGCCCAGGCTGGAGTGCAGTGGTGCGATCTCGGCTCACTGGAAGCTCCGCCTCCTGGGTTCACGCAGTTCTCCTGCCTCAGCCTCCCGAGTAGCTGGGACTACAGGCATGCGCCACCACGCCCAACTAATTTTTGTATTTTTAGTAGAGATGGGGTTTCATCATGTTGGCCAGGCTGGTCTCAGACTCCTGACCTCAAGTGATCCACCTGCCTCAGCCTCCCAAAGTGCTGAGATTACAGGTGTGAGCTACCACGCCCAGCCACTGCTGGTTGTTAAAAAGAGTTTGGCACCTCCCTTCTCTCTCTTGCTTCCTCTCTCACTATGGAACTCTGCATAAGCTGGCTCCCCTTTACCTTCTGTCATGAGCAGAAGCAGCCTGACGCTCTCACCAGAAGCCAAGCAGATGCTGGTGCCATGTTTCTTGCACAGCCTACGGAACTATGAGCAAATAAAGTAATTTTCAGCTAGGTGCGGTGGCTCACACCTATAATCCCAGCACTTTAGGAGGCCGAGGCAGGTAGATCACTTGGGGTCAGTTCGAGACCAGCCTGGCCAACATGGTGAAACCCCATTTCTACTAAAAATACAAAAATTAGCTGGGCATGATGGTGCACGCCTGTAGTCCCAGCTACTCAAGAGGCTAAGGCAGGAGAATTGCTTGAACCTGGGAGGCAGAGGCTGTAGTGAGCCAAGATCATGCCACTGCACTCCAGTCTGGGCAACAGAGCAAGACTCTGCCTAAAAAAAAAAAAAAAAAAAAAAAAAAAAAAATTTTCTTTATAAACTACCCAGCCTCAGGTATTCCTTTACAGCAACAGTAAATGGACAGACACAAAAGACGATGAACCTCATATGTCTTGTTCACTGCTCCATCCTCAGCACGTAGAAACTGTACCTGGCACATAGCAGGGGTTCAATTAGTATCTGTCAAGTGGAAAATAGCTGGGACTAGAATGAAGAAGCTTGAGCTAAGCATCTCTAAAATTTGAAAAAAGTGAAACATAAAGAAAAAGAAAGGGAGAAAGGGAAGGAATTCAGTCCACCCTGACATCCGGGGATTTCTTCCTCAGAAGAACTCTCAAATGCTTCTCCTAGGAGAAAGGAAGGCAGGGAAACTCCAACCCCAAGACAAAGCAAAACAGACTCACTGATCTGCACCATGCAGCTGGCGCCCGACTCTGGCCCAACTATGTGGCTTGTAACACACTTGAACTTCTTGCCATCCGACAGCTGGGACTCGCTCAGCATTTCCACCCCCAGCTTTGACTTCCCCACGATTACACCTCCTGGCTCTTCTATCCACAGGAAGTCAGGGTCAGGGTATCCCCCATCCCAGCGACAGGTAAGCTGCAACATGAACGATCCTGATGCCATCTGTGCCCAGCACTGGGGAGCTGATGGAGGGGGATCTGCAAAACACCAGAGGAAAGCATGGGCTGAATCACAGACTCTAGGATCAGCCACTGGACTGGCTCTAAGGATGGCAGAACCAGGGTCTCAGAGGGACATCAACCCCAGTTAGTGTTAGCATCTAATAGCTCCTAGCACAAATTCATGCCTGACAACAGTCAGGCTTCCTCTGTTGGGTGTTAAATTTCCGACCTGGGTCTCATTCACCTTTGCATTTCTTTCTTTCTTTCTTTCTTTGTTTTTGAGATGGAGTTTCACTCTTGTTGCCCAGGCTGGAGGGCAGTGGTGCAATCTCGGCTCACTGTAACCTCGACCTCCCAGGTTCAAGCAATTCTCCTGCTTCAGCCTCCCAAGTAGCTGGGATTACAGGCATGCGCCACCACGCCCTGCTTATTTTTATATTTTTAGTAGAGACAAGGTTTTGCCATGTTGGTCAGGCTGCTCTTGAACGCCTGACTTCAGGTGATCCACCTGCCTCAGCCTTCCAAAGTGTTGGGATTATAGGCGTGAGCCACTGCGTCTCGCCTCGCTTTTGCATTTCTTATTTATTTTTTCTTTTCTTTTTTTTTTTTAATAGAGACAGGGTTTTGCCATGTTGGCCAGGATGGTCTGGAACTCCTGGCCTCAGGTGATCCACCCGCCTCAGCCTCCCAAAGTGCTGAGATTACAGACGTGAGCTACCGCGCCCAGCCTCACTTTTGCATTCCTAATTTATTTTTTCATTTTTTTTTTAAATAGAGACAGGGTTTTGCCATGTTGCCCAGGATGGTCTGAACTGCTGGCCTCAGATGATCCACCTGCCTCGGCCTCCCAAAGCGCTGAAATTATAGACGTGAGCCACCGCGCTCAGCCCCACTCTGCATTTCTACCGTGGTTTTCGTCCAAGATATTTGTGTATGGGAGTGTTTGGTTGGTGTTTCCCCACTCCTGAGATAAAGATTCACACGCTACTTGTTCATAACAGTGCTAGAGGGCCCGGTGCCTATGACAGCCACACAGGTCCACAAAAACAATGTATACAGATGGATGGATGAACAAATAAATTGTGGTCCATCCACGCAAGGAACGGACTATTATTCAGCCATTAAAAGGAATGGATTACTGATACATGCCTCAATATAGACGAACCTCAAAAACATGAAGCCAGGTGAAAGAAGCCAGACACAAAAAGCCCCACATTGTATGAGCCATTCATATGAAGTGTACAGAACAGGCAAACCCACAGGGACAGAATGCGGATTGGGGGTTGTCCAGGTCTGGGGAAAAGAGGGAATGAGGGTGACTGCTTATTGGGTACAGGGTTATTTGGGATGACAAAATGGTTATCTGGGATAACAAAAATGTTTTGGAGGGCCAGGAATGGTGGCTCATGCCTGTAATCCCAGTACTTTAGGAGGCTGAGGTGAGCAGATCACTTGAGCTCAGGAGTTTGAGGCTAGCCTGGGCAACGTGGGGAGACCCTGTCTCTACTAAAAATAGAAAAATTAGTCGGACATGGTGGTACCTGCCTGTGGTCCCAGCTACTCTGGAGGCTGAGGTGTGAGAACTGAATTGCTTGAACCTGGAAGGTGGAGGCTGCAGTGAGCAGAGATCTCGCCACTGCACTCTAGCCTGGGTGACAGAGCGAGACTCGGTCTCAAAAAGAAAAACAAAATGTTTTGGAACCTGATACAGGTGATGGTTGCATAAATGCACTGAATGCCACTGAATTATACATTTTTATTTTTACTTTTTTTTGAGACGGAGTCTCGCCCTGTCGCCCAGGCTGAAGTGCAGTGGCACATCTTGGCTCACTGCAACCTCTGCGTCCCAAGTTCAAGGGATTCTCTGCCTCAGCCTAAGTAGCTAGGATTACAGGTGTGAGCCACTGAGCCCATTCAATTGTACATTGCTAAATGGTTAATCCTACGTACTTTCACCTCAATTTAGGGGAAAGAAAAAAAAAAGAATGCATTAGTGTTCTTCCGTGGTTCCCAAGCACTCTCCTGCACCCCTGCATAGCAGCAAGCTTCCAGAAGGGATGATTCCTTCCCTGAGTGCAGCAGCCCTGGATGTGTGTATTGAGGGAGCCACAGATACATGTTCAGAAGAATCATGCAGCAGGCACCCCCTTAAAGACAAATGGGAGGCCGGGCGCAGTGGCTCACGCCTGTAATCCCAGCACTATGGGAAGCCAAGGCGGGTGGATCACCTGAGGTCGGGAGTTCAAGACCAGCCTGACCAACATGGAGAAACCCCGTCTCTACTAAAAATACAAAATTAGCTGAGCGTGGTGGCCCATGCCTGTAATCCCAGCTACCTCGGGAGGCTGAGGCAGGAGAATCGCTTGAACCCATGAGGTGGAGATTGCGGCGAGGTGAGATCGCAACTTTGCACTCCAGCCTGGGCAAGAAGAGGGAAACTCCATCTTAAAAAAAAAAAAAAAAAAAAAGACAAATGGGAGAGGCACAAACGTGCAGTTCATAAGTTCACAAAGGGTTAAGGGGAAGAAGCGGGGCAGAGGAGTGCTGCTTACGCACAGTAGACCAGGAGCTCGGTGGTCACCTTTCGATGTCTCTTGCTGAGCTGATTCAAGGCTAAACAGGTGTAGTTCCCTTGGAGGTTTGGCGATATCAGTAACAGTGAGAAAAAGTTGACTGTCAGGTTGTGGCCAAAGGACTCGCTGCTGGAATTCAGGGCCTGGAACCACCATTCAACCACGGGTGGTGGCCTGGAGCTGCTGTTGCAGCTGAAGTCCACCTGGGAGCCCCTGGCTGCGTAGAGGGTGCCGTTGGGGAGTGTGCCGGTGGCCACGATGTGGACCTCAATCTGATAGGGGCCGCCTGGGGATGACAGGGGGAATAGGATGGCATTAATTATGTAAGAGCTCATTCGATTGCCTTACCAACTCTAATATATAAATGAACAGAAAATAGCCAATGAAGAGTATGGTATCTATCTAATACTAGGTGACAAATGCTATGCCAAGTGCCCTGATACATTATTTCATTTAATCCTGGGTGACTATGTGAGACTTTTTTAGGGGGATAAATCTTTACAGAACAGCAAAAGTATACATTGCTCCTTTAAAAAACAAAAAACTGTAAGGGCTAGGCACAGTAGCTCATGCCTGTAATCCTAGCACTTTGGGAGGCTGAGGAAGGAGGATCACTTGAGGCCAGGAGTTCCAGACCAACCTGGGAAACATAGTGAGACCCCATTTCTACAAAAAAATTAAAAATTAGGGCCAGCGCGGTGGCTCATGCCTGAATTCCCAGCACTTTAGGAGGCCAAGGCAGGTGGACCACTTGAGGTCAGAAGTTCAAGACCAGCCTGGCCAACATGACGAAACCCTGTCTCTACTAAAAATACAAAAATCAGCTGGGCGTGGTCGCGCATGCCTGTAATCCCAGCTACTAGGGAGGCTGAGGCAGGAGAATCACTTGAACCTGGGAGATGGATGTTGTAGGGAGCCGATATTGCGCCACTGCACTCCAGCCTAAGCAACACAGCAAGTCTCCGTCTCACAAAAAAAAAAAAAAAAAAAAAAAAAAAAAAAAAAATCACTGCAAGGGCTAGGCACAGTAGCTCATGACTGTAATCCTAGCATTTTGGGAGGCTGAGGTAGGAGGATCACTTGAGGCCAGGAGTTCCAGACCAACCTAGGAAACATAGCTAGACCCAATCTCTACAAAAAATTTAAAAATTAGGGCCAGCACGGTGGCTCATTCCTGAATTCCTAGCACTTTGGGAGGCCAAGATAGGCAAATCACTTGAGGTCAGGAGTTTGAGACCAGCCTGGCTAACATGACTAAATCATGTCTCTACAAAAAATACCAAAATTAGTTGGGCGTGGTGGCACACACCTGTAATCCCAGCTACTTGGGAGGCTGAGGCACGAGAATTGCTTGAACCTGGGAGGAAGAGGTTTGCAGTGAGCCAAGATCACACCACTACACTCCAGCCTGGGCAACAGAGTGAGACTTCATCTCAAAATAAATAAATAAATAAATAGCCAGGTGTGGTATCATGTGCCTATAGTCCCAGGCGCCCCCAGCAGCTGGGACTACAAGCGTATTCCACCATACCCAGCTAATTTTTGTATTTTTAGTAGAGACAGGATTTTGCCATGTTGCCCAGGCTGGTCTTGGACTCCCAGGTTCAAATGATCCACTCACCTTGGCCTCCCAAAGTGCTGGGATTACAAGTGTGAGCCACCACACCTGGCCAAAAAAATTTTTTAAAGTTTTGCTGGCCAGGGACGGTGGCTCATGCCTGCAATCCTAGCATTTTGGGAAGATGAGGCAAAAGATCACATGAGCCCAGGAGTTCGAGACCAGCCTGGGCAACATGGCAAAACCCCATCTCAAAAAACACCAAAGAATTTGCCAGGCGTGGTGGTGCAGGTAAGTAGTCCCAGCTATTCAGGAGGCTGAGGTGGGAGGATCACTTCAGCCCAGGAGGTGGAGGTTGCAGTGAGCTGTGATTGTGCCAGTACACTCCAGCCTGGGTGACACAATGAGACCCTCCCTATCTCAAGAAAAAAAAGAAAAGGAAAAGCTTTGCCAAATCCTGTTCTAGAACAATCTACAGCTGCTGCCTTCCTGTTCTTTGCTGTCCTCTTTGACATCAGAATTCACTTCTTTCCTTACCCACCACAAATATAGGTTGGCCAGTCAAGAGCTGCAAAAGGTTCATTTACATCTCAGTATCTTGAATTCCTTGCTAACAGGAAAAGTTACCTTATCTTCAGCTATTTACTCTTTAGACCAGGAATTTTATTCGAAAATGACTTCAGAATGCACCACACAGTCTGTGCTAATCAGTTAATGTGTACTTCTTCAATGGGATAAGGTCTGTGGGAAGACTTACAGACTGTGATATCACCTTTATAGGCAAAATCAACAACCGACTTTCTCTTGATCTCCCTAGTGACTGCCACGCAAAGAGCCCATCCCAGAGATCTGCAGGCTCCTATAAGCACCAATCTCTGCTACAGATAAGCTTGGCAGGCCAGGCACGGTGGCTCATCCTGTAATCCCAGCGCTTTGGGAGGCCGAGGTGGGTGGATCGCTTGAGGTCAGGAGTTTGAGACCCACCTGGCCAACATGGTGAAACCCCATCTCTACTAAAAATACAAAAATCAGCTGGGCGTGGTAGAGCATGCCTGTAATCCCAGCTACTCAGGAGGCTGAAGCAAGAGAATCACCTAAACAAGGTCAGGAGATCGAGACCATCCTGGCTAACACGGTGAAACCCCGTCTCTACTAAAAATACAAAAAATTAGCAAGGCATGGTGGCGGGCGCCTGTAGTCCCAGCTACTCTGGAGGCTGAGGCAGGAGAATGGTGTGAACCCGGGAGGCGGAGCTTGCAGTGAGCCGAGATCGCGCCACTGCACTCCAGCCTGGGCAACAGAGTGAGACTCCGTCTCGAACAAACAAACAAACAAAAACAGATAAGCTTGGCAAGACCTAAATTAATCAATCCTTGGGCAAGAATCACCCCACCTTCTGACCAGGCACAAACAAGTTTTCTTCGGTGTACCCAGCATTCCCTTTCCCTAGGGGCCTACACTGTGAGAAGACATAGCGACACCACCACCAACACAGACAAAGAGCTGTTGGTGGGTCCATATCAGACAGGTCCATCAGCCAGGAAACATGGATCTTTCTGAGATTCCCTTTCTTGGAAGTTTGGACTGAAGGCCACATCACTGGCTAGAGAGGAGGTCCCCATCCCCCAAACCCAACTGAATCCTAAGCCTCTTGGAGGTAGACACAGACCAGCTTCCTCATTGCTCACGTGCGAGCTGGTTCCATTGTTCCCCAAACACTTGTTTGGCCTGAGAAAAACAGACACAGGGAGAGCCTGGCACTGTGTGCCATGAAATCTGACTGGGGTCTTTCATGGGCTGATTTATCTCTCGATAGCTAAGCTCCTCAAATGCATATATAAGAGACAATATCTTTAAGAAAAAGAAAAACACAAAGTTGGCTGGGCATGATGGCTCATGCCTGTAATCCCAGCATTTTGGGAGGCCGAGGCGGGTGGATCACCTGAGGTCAGGAGTTCAAGAACAGCCTGGCCAACATGGTGAAACCCTGCCTCTACTAAAAATACAAAAATTAGCCAGGTGTGGTGATGCACGCCTGTAGTCCCAGCTACTTGGGAGGCTGAGGCAGGAGAATCATTTGAACTCAGGAGGCAGAGGTTGCAGTGAGCCGAGATCACACCACTCCTGGGCAACAGAGCGAGACTTCGTCTCAAAAAAAAAAAAAAAAAGTTGGGCCCAGGCATGATGGCTCACGCCTGTAATCCCAGCACTTTGGGAGCCCAAGGCGTGTGGATCACCTGAGGTCAGGAGTTCAAGACCCAGCCTGGCCAACATGGTGAAACCCTGTCTTTTCTAAAAATACAAAGAATTAGCCAGGCGTGATGGCAAATGCGTGTAATACCACCTACTTGGGAGGCGAGGCAGGAGAATCGCTTGAACCCGGGAGGCAGAGGTTGCAGTGAGCTCAGATTGCACCACTGCACTCCAGCCTGGGCAACAAGAGCGAAACTTTGTCTCAAAAAAAAAAAAGCACAAAGTCAGCTGGGCACGGTGGCTCACCTCTGTAATCCCAGCACTTTGGGAGGCGGAGGCAGGCGGATCACTTGAGGTCAGGAGTTCAAGACCACCCTGGGCAATATGGCAAAACAAAACCCTGTCCCTACTAAAAACACAAAAATTATTCAGGCGTGGTAGTGGGTGCCTGTAATCCCAGCTACTTGGGAGGCTGGGGCAGGAGAATAGCTTGAACCCAGGAGGCAGAGGCTGCCATGAGCCGAGATCATGCCAGTGTGGGTGACCAAGTAAAACTGCGTCTCAAAAAAAAAAAGTGTACCAGGATATGGGAAAGGCTGTGACACCTTCCCTATCTGACCAGCCTGTCTGCAGGTAAACACATGGCTGTTCCAATATCATACCCACTCCAATTTGGAGGTAGCAGGGATGGGTCAATTGATGAAATAAACAGCTGTGTGGCCGGGTAAGATGGATCCTGCCTGTAATCTCAGCATTGTGGGAGGCTGACACGGGAGGATCGCTTGAACCCAGTAGTTCAAGACCAGCCTGAGCAACATAATGAGGCCCTGTCTCTGCAAAAATATTTGTTTAATCAATTTATTTATTTACTTATGTATTTTTTTGAGATGGAGTCTCACTCTGTCACCCAGGCTGGAGTGCAGTGGTGAAAACTCAGCTCACTGCAAACTCCGCTTCCTGGGTTCAAATGATTCTCCCACATCAGCCTCCTGAGTAGCTGAGATGACAGGCGTGTGTCACCACGCCCAGCTAATTTTTTTGTATTTTTAATAGAAATGGGGTTTCACTATGTTGGCCAAGGCGGTTTCAAACTTCCGACCTCAGGTGATCTGCCCACCTTGGTCTCCCAAAGCGCTGGGATTACAGGCGTGAGCCACCACTCCCAGCCTAAATTTAAAAATTGAAAAAAAAAAAAAAGAAAGAAAGAAAGAAACGGCGTTGGCAGCCCTTAACTGCTCTGGACCAAGGGATTTCTGTACATTTAGAAGCAGAGTCTCAATCCTAATGGCAAGACCCTTCAACTTCACCTTTCAATTAACAGGGAGCAGTGCATACTCTTGTTGTGGGATGAGTGATGAAATCACACCACGGGTGCCCATTCCAGGCAGGTTGAATTGCCCCGGGCCTACAGAAAACCTGACCTCCTACAAGACAGAGACACCAAATGCCCACCGATGGACAAGCAGAGGACCAAGGGGTAAGGAGGGAGAAATCTAGCAACCTCCCTACTTCCATTTCCATGTTTCTACAGCATCTCTGTCCATTCACACATCCCCAGCCACTTGCAGATAACAAACTGTCATATCTTGGAATTTGTTCCCCCTAGATTCCAAGGCCATGTTAGAATGTTTCCAAATTGTTCTCCTTAAGAGAAGGAGGGGGCTGGGCGAGGTGGTTCATATCTGTAAGCCCAGCACTTTGGGAGGCCAAGGAGGGAAGACTGCTTGAGCCCAGGAGTTCAAAACCAGCCTGGGCAATATAGTGAGACCTTGTCTCTACAAAAAAACTAAAAAATTAGCCGAGTGTGGTGGCACACACTATTAGTCTCAGCTACTCAGGACGGTGAGATAAAAGAATCACTTGAGCCTAGGAATTCAAGGCTGTAGTGAGCCGAAATCACACCACTGCACTCCAGCCTGGGTGACAGAGTGAGATCCTGTCTCAAAAAAAAAAAAAAAAAAAGAGAGAGAAGGAGGTAATGTGACTCAGCTAGCAACTACATCAGTGAAAAGATCTGGGCACAAAGAGTCCCTAACCCACAGCAAGACCTGTTCGAAAGACCCAGATGAGGCTGGGCGCGGTGGCTCATGCCTGTAATCCCAGGACTTTGGGAGGCCGAGGCGGGTGGATCACGAGGTTAGGAGTTCAAGACCAGCCTGGCCAACATGGTGAAACCCCGTCTCTACTAAAGATACAAAAAATTAGCCAGGCGTGGTGGCGCACGCCTGTAATCCCAGCTACTCGGGAACCTAAGGCAGGAGAATCACCTGAACCCGGGAGGCGGAGGCTGCAGTGAGCCGAGCCATTGCACTCCAGCCTGGGTGACAGGGCGAGACTGTGTCTCAGAAAAAAAAAAAAAAAAAAGGACCCAGATATAAACTGGTTGATTGTTGAGAACTTGAGATGGACTATCCCACGGGAATCCCATCGCTGGCTTAACCACTGGATCCAGTTCAAGTGTGCTGAGGGCTACATGAGTTTATCTCATTAATGCATAACACAAATCCGTAACTCCTTCCACCGTTACCCTCAATTTCACAGACAATAAAACTAACACTGGAGTTCAAGGGACTTTCCCAAGGTCACACAGACAACAACAGCTAATAGAACGTGGATTTGAACCCAGTCATCTGGACCACTCCGAAATACCACTGCCATCCCAGAAAGAGGCTGAATCAAACCTAATCTATTTTCCTAAATCTACGCAAAAATGAGGGCCAACTCCAATCAGAGATGTCACGCCCTCCCCGCTGGCCACTGTCGGGGAGCAACACAGGCTTCCAAGGCAGAGAGGAGTCTGCTGTTTAGCCCAGGGACCTCCTAAGATGAGAACCAGGAGACCAACCCCAGACGGCTCTGGTGTATTTGAATCAAAGGGTATCTGTGTCTGGTTTTCACAAACAAGCCCTACATCAGTCAAGGACCCCATGTATTTCCACGTGAAGAAATTTCCATACTATGAATCACAGCACAGTAACTAAGACATGCACAGGACTTCCCTGGAGGGAGTACAAAGTGCCACTGGAATTCAGTGACATTTTTATTCCTTTTTCTTTTTTTTTTTTTTTTATGAGACAGACTCTTGTTCTGTCACCCAGGCTGGGGTGCAGTGGTGCCATCTCGGCTCACTGCAACCTCCGCCCTCCCCGGTTGAAGCTTTTCTTGTGTGTCAGCCTCCCACGCATCTGGGATCACAGGTGTGCATCATCACACCTGATTAAGTTTTGTATTTTTAGTAGAGATGGAGTTTCACCATGTTGGCCAGGCTGGTCTCAAACTCCTGACCTCAAGTGATCCACCCGCCTCAGCCTCCCAAAGTGCTGGGATTACAGGCATGAGCCACTGCACCCAGCCATGAGTTCAGTGACATTTTTAAAGTTGCAAGTTCACGTTCATTGCAACAAGACCTTGCCTTTATCTCCCTACAGGGCAATAATGAAACTAATCCATCCTCCAATAAACTTAGCCAATGATTAACAAATCAGTGTCTGATCAAGTCATCATAAACTAAAGAGAGTGATGATAAAGAAACAAAAAGTTGCAATGTCGCCTTACCCCACTGTGGATAAAAGATAAGGTTATTCATTGATGAGATGGACAGGAAGCGATGACTAATTATTTTGGGCAGGTGGACTGAGGGAGACCAGCCAGCACTTGCCCGTAGGCTCACAGTGGGAACCAAACAGTGGGGCCAAGATGGGTGACATTTTTTAATGCACCCCCTTCATTCCTGGCATCACCCAGGAATTTATCTATGGCCTCTCCAGACACAGAAACACTGCTGTAATGGACGATGCCCTAATCTTTGAGAATTGGCAGAAACCTTAGACATCACCCAAAACCAAGAAGTGTCCTGGAAGCCTCTCTTTCCTTTATCCTCTACTTCTGATCCAGCAGCGAGTCCTGCTGGTCTCCTTCCAAAATATTTTCCAAACCTGTGCATTTTCACCAAGGCCACTGTCGCCACCCTGTCTGGTCACCGACTCTGTATACCTTCAATTCTCCCTTCCCTGTTTTATTTCATCAGCTCTTCTTGATACCAAACACATACATTTTCCATGTGCAAATGAAATGGTGCCACACCCCTGCTGGAAGCTCCCGGAGTTTCTCCTGCACACAGAATAAAATCACAACTCCTAGCCAGGCACAATGGCTCACGCCTGTAATCCCACACTTTGGGAGGCTGAGGCGGGCGGATCACCTGGGGTCAGGAGTTCAAGACCAGCCTGGCCAACATGGTGAAAACCCCTTTCTACGAAAAATACAAAAATTGGCCGAGCATGGTGGTGCGAGCCAGCTACCCGGGAGGCTGAGGCAGAAGAATCGCTTGAACACAGGGGGCGGAGGTGGTTGTGAGCCGAGATCATGCCACTGCACTCCAGCCTGGGCGGCAGAGCAAGACTCTATCTCAAAAAAATAAAAAATAAAAAACTAAGGATGTCAGTCAAACTGGGCTAGTGCCCACCCTAATGATGTCTTCTTAACTTGATTGTATCTGCAAAGACCCTATTTCCAAATAAGCTCACATTCGTAGATACCAAAGGTTAGGACTTCCACATATCTTTTTGGGGGACATAATTCAATCCATAGCACAGGTCCTACTTGGCCCCAGTCTGGCCTGGCCTCCCATATTTCACACGGCCTGCCCTCTTACACACGAGGCGAGGCCCCTGCCACGCCGGCCTTCTCCCTATCTGTGAATGCACCACACTCAGCTCAACCTGTCCTGTTCTGCCTGGAAAGAGAATTGGCAGAATTCTTCTCCTTTTATTTTTTCAGAGACAGGGTCTCTCTGTCACCCAGGATGGAGTGCAGTGGTGTGATCATGACTTACTGCAGTTTTGATCTCCTGGGCTCAAGCGATCCTCCCACCTCAGCCCCTCAAAGTGCTGGGATTACAGGGATGAGCCACTGTGCCCAGCCCTACTTACCAATCAGTTTAAATGTCACTACTTCCAGGCCAGATGCAGTGGTTCATGTCTGTAATCCCAGCTTTTTGGGGGACCAAGGCGGGTGGATCACTTGTGGTCAAGAGTTCGAGACACGCCTGGCCAACATGGAAAAACCCCATCTCTACTGAAAATACAAAAAAATAGCAGGTTTGGTGGCACACATCTGTAATCCCAGCTACTCAGGTGGCTGAGGCATGAGAATCACTTGAACCCGGGAAGCAGAGGTTGCAGTGAGCCAAGGTGGCGCCACTGTATTCCAGCCTGGACGACAGAGGGAGAATCTGTCTCAAACAAACAAACAACAACAAAAAAGTCATTACTTCCAAAATCTCCCCTCTGGCCTCCCAAGTTAAAATGTTTCAGGGGCTGGGTACGGTGGCTCACGCCTGTAATCCCAACACTTTGGGAGGTCGAGGCAGGCGGATCACGAGGTCAGGAGATCGAGACCATCCTGGCTAACATGGTGAAACCCCATCTCTACTAAAAATACAAAAAATTAGCCGGGTGAGGTGGCAGGTGCCTGTAGTCCCAGCTACTCGGGAGGCTGAGGCAGGAGAATGGTGTGAACCCGGAAGGTGGACCTTGCAGTGAGCTGAGATCGTGCCACTGCACTCCAGCCTGGGCAACAGAGCAAGACTCTGTCTCAAAAAAAAAAAAAAAAAGTTTCAGAAAAATCACATTAATTTGTTTCTCATCTGTGTGCCCCACTAGGCTGCTCACTCCTCAAGGGCAGAGACCTTGTCTGCCTTCTTCACACCTGTGGTCCAGTGCCTAGAACAGTGTCTGGCATCAAGCTCTCAATGAATCTATGTTGAATAAAGGAATTAGTAGGTTCTTTATTTTACAGATGAGGAATCTTGGATCCAGAACAGTGATCACATGGGTATTTCCCTATTTTATTATTATTATTATTATCATTTCTTTTTTTGAGACGGAGTTTCACTCTTGTTGCCCAGGCTGGAGTGCAATGGCGCAATCTCAGCTCGCTGCAACCTCTGTCTCCCAAGTTGAAGCGATTCTCTTGCCTCAGCTTCCCGAGTAGCTGGGATTACAGGTGCACACCACCACACCTGGCTAATTTCTTGTATTTTTTGTAGAAACGGGGTTTCACCATGTTAGCCAGGCTGGTCTTGAACTGACCTCAGGTGATCTGCCCGCCTCGGCCTCCCAAAGTGCTGCGATTACAGGCGTGAGCCACCACATCCAGCCTATTCTTTTTATTTTTATTTTGAGGCAGGATCTCACTCTGTAGCCCAGGGTGGAGTACAGTGGCACCATCTTGGCTCACTGCAACCTCCGTCTCCCAGCTCAAGCGATCCTCCCCACTCGGCCTCCTGAATGGCTGGGACTACAGGTGCATGACACCATGCCCAGCTAATTACTATTTTCTAAACTTTTTGTAGAGATGGGGTCTCACTACATTCCCTAGGCTGGTCTCAGACTCCTGGGCTCAAGCAATCATCCCGTCTCAGCCTCCCAAAATGCTAGGATTATGGGCATGAGCCACCGTACCTGGCCTCCCATGGGTATGTCTACTAAACTACATGCCCTGAATCCAGAGCATGGATGTCCTTCTAATCCAGTGACCAGCAAACTCTCTCTGTAAAGGGCCAGAGAGCAAATAAATTTGGCTTTGAAGCCCATAGGATCTATGTTAACAGCCACTCACCTCTGCCATAGTTAGTAACAAAGGTAGAGATAATATGTAAATAAATGAATGTGGCTATATTCCAATAAAACTTTATTTACGAACACCAACATTTCAATTTCATTTCATATGATTTTCTTTTTCTTTTTTTTTTTTTTGAGACAGGGTCTTGCTCTGTCACCCAGGCTGGAATGCAGTGGCGTGATCACAGTTCACTGCAGCCTCGACCTCCCTGGGCTCAAGCAATCCTCCCACCTCAGCCTCCTGAGTAGCTGGAACTACAGGCACACGCCATCACACCCAGCTAGTTTTTTCACTTTTTGTAGAAATGGGGTCTTGCTATGTTGCCAGGGCTGGTCTCAAACTCCTGGGCTCAAATCATCCGTCCGCCTCAGCCTCCCAAAGTGCTGGGATTACCGACGTGACCCACTGCATCTGGCTTTCATATGATTTTCATGTCACAAATATCCTTTTTTTTCCAACCATTTAAAAATATAAAAAATATTCATAATTGGCTGGGCATGGTGGCTCACGCCTGTAATCCCAGCACTTTGGGAGCCCGAGGCAGGCAGATCACAAGGTCAGGAGATCGAGACCATCCTGGCTAACACAGTGAAACCCTGTCTCTGCTAAAAATACAAAAAAAAAAAAAAAATTAGCTGGGTGTGGTGGCGGGCGCCTGCAGTCCCAGCTACTTGGGAGGCTGAGGCAGGAGAATGGCATCAACCCGGGAGGTGGAGCTTGCAGTGAGCTGAGATTGCGCCACTGCACTCCAGCCTAGGCGACAGAGTGAGACTCCATCTCAAAAAAAAAAAAAATTCATAATCTGCAGGCCATACAACAGCAGGCTGTAGTTTACAACCTCGCACTCTAAATTCTTTTTTTAATAATTTTTTGTAAATATGGGGTCTCACTATGTTAACCAAGCTGGTTCCAAACTCTTCGCTCAAATGATTCTCCCACCTCAGCCTCCCAAAGTGCTGGGATTACAGGCATGAGCCACAGCACCCGGCCTGCTGTAAATCCATATGTGTATATCAGCAGATATGACAGACTGTTTTAGGAAAGTGCAATAGGAAAGGTGGCTCATGCCAAGCCCTGTACTTAGCACCGTAGTATAAGAGTGCTCACTATAGCTGGACACGGTGGCTCATGCTTGTAATCCCAGTACTTTGGGAGGCCGAGGTGGGCAGATCACGAGGTCAGGAGTTCAAGACCAGCCTGAGCAACATGGTGAAACCCCATCTCCACTAAAAATACAAAAATTAGCCGGGAGAGTTGGCAGGCGCCTGTAATCCCAGCTACTTGGGAGGCTGAGGCAGGAGAATCACTTGAACCCGGGAGGCAGAGGTTGTGGTGAGCCGAGATTGCATCACTGCACTCCAGCCTGGGCGACTGAGTGAGACTACGTCTCAAAAAATAATAATAATAAAATAAAATAAAAATAGATAAGAGTGCTCGCTACACTTGACAAAGCAGGCAATGTATTATCCCCCATTAACAAATGAGGAAAACTGGAGCTCAGAGATATGAAGCTACTTATTCAAGGTGACACAGAACTCAGTGACAGCCTTCGCCCTGGAATTCAGGCAGTCTGACTTGACTCCATATGTTTTTTTTAGAGGCAGGGTCTCCCTGTGTTGCCCAGGCTGGAGTGCAGTGGCTATTGATAGGTGCAATTATGGTGCACTGCAGCCTGGAGCTCCTGGACCCAGGCAATCCTGAGTAGCTGGGACTACAGTCCCACACCACCGCACCTGGCTTTGATTATGATATACTGTAACTTTGTTACATAATAAAATGATATTAATAGCAAAGATGATATTAACAACAAGCTAAAAATAAAAGCTTATTAATATGCCAGGAGCCTTTTAAAGCACTTTATTTGTTTATTTTTCTTTTTTTTTGAGACGGAGTCTAGTTCTGTTGCCCAGGCTGGAGTGCAGTGGCACGATCTCGGCTCACCACAACCTCCACCACCCGGGTTTAACCGATTCTCCTGCCTCAGCCTCCCGAGTAGCTGGTATTACAGGCACCCACCACAATGCCTGGCTAATTTTTGTATTTTTAGTAGAGATGGGGTTTCACCATGTTGGCCAGGCTGGTCTTGAACTCCTGACTTTGGGTGATCTGCCCACTTGACCTCCCAAAGTGCTGGAATTACAGGCATGAGCCACCATGCCTGGCCTAACGCACTTTATAAACTGGTATCTATTCTTCACAGCAATTCTAAGAAGCAATAATTTTTTTTTTTTTTTCTGAGACGGAGTCTTGCTCTGTCGCCCAAGCTGGAGTGCAGTAGTGCGATCTTGGCTCACTGCAACCTCCGCCTCCCAGGTTCAAGCAATTCTCCTGCCTCAGCCTCCCAAGTAGGAGGGATTACAGGCGTGCGCCACCATGCCTGGCGAATTTTTTTTTTTTTTTTTTTGAGACGGAGTCTCACTCTGTTGCCAGGATGGAGCGCAGTGGCGCAATCTTGGCTCACTGCAACCTCCGCCTCCCAGGTTCAAGCAATTCTCCTGCCTCAGATTCCCAAATAGCTGGGACTACAGGTGCGCGCCACCACGCTCAGCTAATTTTTTATATTTTTAATAGAGATGGGGTTTCACCATGTTAGCCAAGATGGTCTCAATGTCTCGACCTTGTGACCCGCCCACCTTGGCCTCCCAAAGTGCTGGGATTACAGGCGTAAGCCACCGCACCCGGCCGGCATTTTTTGTATTTTTAATAGAGATGGGGTTTCACCACGTTGGCCAGGCTGGTCTCAAACTCCTGACTTCAAGTGATCCGCCCGGCTTGGCCTGCCAAAGTGCTGGGATTACAGGCATGAGCCACTGCGCCCGGCCACAGAAATTCTTTTTATCTCCATTTTACAGGTGAGGAAATAGAGGTGTGAGAGGTCCCTCAGCTTCCATGTGGCAGGGCCCAGAATGATTTCCAGGCCATCCGAACCCAAAACCCATATTCCTGACCATGGTCTCCTCCTTTCCAAGGCTCCGAGCACCTCTCCAGCCCCGGTCCCTGCCAGCCCCACTTACTGGCCACCTGCAGCCACACTTGGAACCACTGAGTCACATTCAGGATCTCCTGGCAGGTGTAGATTCCCTCATCTCCCAGGCTCAGCGATTCAATGTGCAGGGAGGTGGCATCCACTAGAGAGAAGCGAGGCTCAGCTGGCCGGAGGCTAGAGTTGGACGAGAGAAGGAAGACAGGCTCCGAGTTGTTCCGGTACCAGGTCACCTGGCCCCTCAGTCCCGAGATGTTGCCACAGTGCAGAGTAACATTCTCATGAACTTCTCCAATGACAACAGCCTCCAATCCTGTACAAGGCAAGATCAGGCTGTTACTACCCTTCTTAATTTCTAAACAATGTCCCTTTTTGGACAGTACTCCTGTATTAGGATTTTTTTAAAAATCAGGTATATGTTCTTTTTTTTTTTTTTTTTTTTGAGACGGAGTCCCACTCTGTCGCCCAGGCTGGAGTGCAATGGCACTATCTCGCCTAACTGCAACCTCTGCCTCCCGGGTTCAAGCTATTCTCCTGCCTCAGCATCCCAAGTAGCTGGGATTACAGGCACGTGCCACCACGCCCAGCTAATTTTTATATTTTCAAAAGGGACAGGGTTTCACCACCACATTGGCCAGGCTGGTCTTGAACTCCTGACCTCAGGAAAAGTCAGGCTCATGCCTGTAATCCTGGCACTTTGGGAGGCCGAGGTGGGCGGATCACAAGGTCAAGACATCGAGACCATCCTGGCCAACATGGTGACACCCCGTCTGTAATAAAAATACAAAAAATTGTGGCCGGGCATGGTGGCTAACGCCTGTAATCCCAGCACTTTGGGAGGCCAAGGCGGGCGGATCACCTGAGGTCAGGAGTTCAAGACCAGCCTAACCAACATGCAAAAACCCTGTCTCTACTAAAAATACAAAATCAGCTGGGCGTGGTAGCACATGCCTGTAATCCCAGCTACTAGGGAGGCTGAAGCAGGAGAATCGCTTGAACCTGGGAAGCAGAGGTTGCGCTGAGCCGAGATCGCACCATTGCACTCCAGCCTGGGCAACAAGAGCGTAACTCCGTCTCAAAAAAAAAAAAAAAAGCACAAAAAATTAGCTGGGCATGTAGTCCCAGCTAGTTGGGAGTCTGAGGCAGGAGAATCACTTGATCCGCCGGCCTCGGCCTCCCAAAGTGCTGGGATTACAGGCATGAGCCACCGTGCCTGACCATATGTGTTCTTAAGATGCAATAACACATACAGAGCAGCTGGGCGTAGCGGCTCATGCCTGTAATCCCAGCACTTTGGGAGTCCAAGACAGGCAGATCTCCTAAGGTCAGGAGTTCGAGACCAGCCTGGCCAACATGACAAAACCCCGTTTCTATTAAAAATACAAAAATTAGCCGGGCGTGGTGGCACACGCCTGTAATCCCAGCTACTCGGGAAGCTAAGGTGGGAGAATCGTTTGAACCCAGGAGGTGGAGGTTGCGGTGAGCCGAGATTGCGCCACTGTACTCCAGGCTGGGCGACAGAGCGAGACTCGGTCTAAAAACAAAACAAACAAACAAACAAACAACACATACAGAACGTCTGGTATGTTGGGACTCTTGGCCAGTCACTGACAATAATGAACTTGTAGTAGGTAACAAACATAGCCCCAGTTGTCCACCCAGTCTGCCCACCATCCATGCCCCACATCACTGGGGGGCCATCCCACTCTTTGTGAGGACTCAGCCATGAGCCCTGTTTTGGCCCATGGGATGTTGGGAATGTGACACAAGCAGAGTCTTTAAAGTGTTTGTCTATAATCACTACAGAAATGCAAATCAAAACTGCAATGAGGCCGGGAGCCGTGGCTCATGCCTGTAATTCCAGCACGCTGGGAGGCCGAGGGAGGAGGTTTCACTTGAGGCCAGGAGTTCGAGACTAGCCTGGCCAACATGGTGAAACCCCGTCTCTGCTAAAAATGCAAAAATTAGCCAGGCGTGGTGGCGCACACCTGTAGTCCCAGCTACTCAGGAGGCTGAGGCACGAGAATCACTTGAACCCAGGAGGTAGAGGTTGCAGTGAGCCAAGATTGTGCCACTGCACTGCAGCCTGGGTGACGGGGCAAGACTCTGTCTCAAAAACAAGAAACAAACAAACAAACAAACAAAAGGCCGGGCTCCACGCCTGTAATCCCAGCACTTTGGGAGGCTGAGGCGGTGGATCACCTGAGCTCAGGAGTTCGAGACTAGCCTGGCCAACATGGTGAAACCCCGTCTCTACTAAAAATACAAAAACTTAGCTGGGCATGGTGGCAGGTACCTGTAATCCCAGCTACTCGGGAGGCTGAGGCAGGGGAATCACTTGAACCCGGGAGGCGGAGGTTGCAGTGAGCCGATATTGTACCACTGTACTCCAGCCTGGGTGACAAGAGTGAAACTCTGTCTCAAATAAATAAATAAACAAACTACATGGTACAGACCCAAGTTGTCTCAGTGGCTCCAGCCTGGCCCATTCTAGATCAGCCTTCAGCTAGTCATCGATCCCCAGGCAGATCAGCAGAGCCCCCTAACCAACCACCCCAGCCTGTGGGTAATAAGCACTACTGTCATTTTGGGGTTGTTTCTTATACAGCATTACTGTGGCGATCAATAATTGATACAGAACCCAAGTGGCTTTATTTGCCTAGAAATCCAGAAGGGGTAGAAAGAAGAGGGCTTTGGCTTTGTTTCCACTGTCCCACTGCTCTCTCTGCCTCTCCCTCTCTCTCCGCCTCTCCCTCTCTCTCCGCCTCTCCCTCTCTCTCCGCCTCTCCCTCTCTCTCCGCCTCTCCCTCTCTCTCCGCCTCTCCCTCTCTCTCCGCCTCTCCCTCTCTCTCCGCCTCTCCCTCTCTCTCCGCCTCTCCCTCTCTCTCTGCCTCTCCATCTCTCTCCATCTCAAATGGCCCTAGAGTTCAAGTTCTCTCAGAAGCCCCATGGAAGAATGGGCTGGCAGTAGGGACTGTGTGCCCACTCTGGACAAAGCACTGGGAATCCCACTGTGGACACAACACACAGAAACCTCCAAGAGTTCACAGTCTAGTGAAGAAAAGAGACAATAAACTGGCAAGTACAATGCAGTGTGATAAACACCAAGATAAGGCCTCAGAGAAAGGGCTCCTAAGTCCAACTAGGGCAAATGTCAGGAAACACTTCCCCCAGGAAGCCAAACTGAGATCTGATGGACAAGTAGGAATCAGCCAAGAAAAGGTGAGGATGGGTTCCCAGGCAAACGGAGCATGTTCCAAAGCCCAGATCGGCAGCCGCAGCATGTTAGAAATATAAATTATCAAGCCTCACCCCAAAACACCTAGATCAGAAACTGCGGGAGAGCAGCAGCCCTTTGTGTTTTATTTATTTATTTTTAACAAATCAGCAATTATTTAACTTTTTTTTTAAGAGATGGGGGTTGGGGGGGGTCTCACTCTGATGTCCTGGACAGTCTTGAACTCCTGACTTCAAGTGATCCTCCCACCTCAGCCTCCCAAAGTGCTGGGATTACAGGAATGATTCATTATACCTGGCCCAGCATCTGTGTGTTAGCGAGCCCTCCAGGTGATTCTGACGCCCATTCAAGACTGACAGGTGTCCGGGTGTGAGTGTGCCTGCTCAGGCCTGTAATCCCAGGGCTTTGGGAGGCTGAGGTGGGCGGATCACTTGAATCCAGGAGACTGAAGCTGCAGTGAGCCACAATTGTGACACTGCACTCCAGCCTGGGCAGCAGAGATACCCTGTCTCTCTTTTTGTTTGTTTAAGGTAAAAAACTGTTTTTTTCTTTTTTAGAGATGGTGGAGGGGCGGCGGGTTGGGGTGGGGGGTCTCACTATGTTGCCCAGGCTGGTCTTTGAACTCCTGGACTCAAGCATTCCACTCAGACCCACCTCGGGCTCGCAAAGTGGTGGGATTACAGGCGTGAGCTGCCACGCCCAGCCAACCCTGACTCATAAAAAAAGACCGACAGGTGCTAACGGGCATTAGACTGTCACTAGGTAACAAGAAGCAAATGCAACCCATTTTGCTGAGAAGTTTCACAATTGTCCAGCCCCCTCCACAATCAAGACCCAATACAAAGAGGCTGCAGGAATAGGAAGATGGGCAGAACCTGTTGGGGTGATAAAAATGATGAATTAGTGGTGATGGCTGTATAACCCTGGACTACACTAAAATCCCCTGGGTGGTACACTTAAAAAGGGTGAATTTTGTGGCATGTAAATTATATCTGAATAAAGCTGTTATAGAAAAAATAAACTGCCACTTGCCCCTGGCAATCCTTCCCATTTAAGTGAAAGAGTAATCATTATCTGTATTTGGCCTCTTGTCTGGTTAGAAGGGGCTCCCTTTTAAAGATCTGAAGCCAGCCTGGAGCCCCAGGAAGTTCTGATTCTCTCACCATTTTGGCCACACCATTCCCAAGACTTTTCAGCCAAGTCAGGATGAAAACAAACGAACAAACAAACAAAACACCAAATTTTAAAAACTAAGCCACTTGCTGAAAGGTGGAGAATGCCATCTAATGACAGAGATTCCAAAACAGCAAGAAATGCTTCTGAGCAATCACTTTAAAAAGCAGGTGAGGGCCGGGGGCGGTGGCTCACGCCTGTAATCCCAGCATTTTGGGAGGCCGAGGCAGGTGGATCACTTGAGGTCAGGAGTTGGAGACCAGCCTGGCCAACATGGTGAAACCTCATCTCTACTAAAAATTAGCTGAATGGCCGGGCGTGGTGGCTCCTGCCTGTAACCCCAGCACTTTGGGAG
This sequence comes from Homo sapiens, assembly GCF_000001405.40. Lineage (NCBI taxonomy): Eukaryota > Metazoa > Chordata > Mammalia > Primates > Hominidae > Homo > Homo sapiens. The sequence goes on from NC_000012.12 coordinate 118,100,268, forward strand.
GCCAAGGTGGGCAAGATCAAGAGCTCGGGACCAGCCTGGCTAACACGGTGAAACCCCGTTTCTACTAAAAATACAAAAAGTTAGCCGGGCGTGGTGGCGCACACCTGTAATCCCACCTACTCGGGAGGCTGAGGCAGGAGAATCCCTTGTACCTGGGAGGCGGAGGTTGCAGTGAGCCAAGATCGCACCATTGCATTCCAGCCTGGGTAACAGAGCAAGACTCTGTCTCAAAAAAAAAAGCAGATAAGAATTCTTTTTATTTATTTATTTACTTTTTTTTTGAGATGAAGTCTCGCTCTGTTGCCTAGGCTGGAGTGCAAGGCGTAATTTCGGCTCACTGCAACCTCTGCCTTTGGGTTCAAGCAATTCTCCCGCCTCAGTCTTCTGAGTAGCTGGGATTACAGGCACCCGCCATCATGCCCCGCTAAGTTTTTGTATTTTTGTAGAGACAGGGTTTCACTGTGTTGGCCAGGCTGGTCTTGAACTCCTGACCTCAGGTGATCTGCCCACTTCGGCCTCCAAAAGTGCTGGGATTACAGGCGGGAGCCACCGCACCCAGCCAAGAATTATTTTTAAATTATTAGGATTGGGAACCCAAATTATCCAGTGGCAACCGCCACAATGGAAAGGAAGATGAACTTCAGAGTTACAGATGCAACATGTGTTCATGCAACCTGCAGACCTGCCCCTTGCCTAACTCCTTGGCAAAGAAATAAAGGAACAGTGGCTTGGAAAAAAGCCGTGGTGAAACTTTAGTCTTGGAACTTGAGCTAACATTGTTTTCTCCTCCAAGGCATAGAATGACATGATCACAAAAGAAACCATTTGAAGACATTTCACTTCTCCTGGTTTGGCTTACTCCGTTCTTTTTTAAACCACTGTATCTGAAGGTGCCCTTGGAGATCATCTAGTCCAGAGATGTGGCTGCCCTGTGGGCTGGGTTGAAGATGAGATTGAGTCCTGGTTCAGTGGAAAAGAACACAGTCATCGATTTAGTGATGTCTGACATAGACATGGAAGGGGTAGTTCTTGCCTGGCAGTCCTAAACCTCCTCACTTTACTACTGAGAAAATTGAGATTTAGGAAGATTAAGTTATCACTTAAAGTCCCAAGCAAATCACTGGGAGATGTGGGATTGTCACTCAGGTCACGTTACTCTGGTCTCCTGCACCAGACAGGATGCAATGATAAAATATAGTAACAAGTTTAGAAGTCATTCATATGGTGTCCAGAGGGTCCTTCTTGCCCCCCAACCTTAAATGTACAATAGAGAACCGAAGAGGGAGTAATATAAACTCCCTGATGCTGCCCATGTATTATTATTTACAGAGTAGGAGTTATACCCAAACATTTATTTATTTTTTTAAAGCAACTTTTCCCAAGAATAACCTAGGATTTACAATCCGGGGTAGCTAGTGGATGCATATAAGTTGTCTGGCATTGAATGTCAGGAGAAAAATTTTTTTCCCCAAAAACTCCCAACTTAAAAAACAAACACACAACAAAAATACACCAAGCTCAGGAAGCCCCCTGGCATCATACACAAAGGTGAAGCAGGTCTGGGCATCAAAATAGCTGGGCAAAGGCCCAACACGGTGGCTCACACCCATAATCCCAACACTTTGGGAGGCCGAGACAGGAGGATCGCTTGGGTCCAGGAGTTTAAGACCAGCCTGGGCTCAAGCGATTGTAGAGACCGTCTCTACAAAAAAATTTTAGAAATTAGCTAGGCGTGGTGGTGCACGCCTGTAGTCCCAGCTACTTGTAGGCTGAGGTGGGAGGATCAGTGCAGTGATTGCACCACTGCACTCCAGCCTGGGCAACAGAGCGAGAGCCTGGCTCGAAAAAAATAGCTGGCCATAGCAGTGGAGATAGGTTCCCCATGGGGCGGGTGGCAGTCAGCCTGAAAGCCAGGTCATTCCAGCAGGATGACTTCATCCCAGGGTTCTTCTCACTTCCCAGGTTCCTGGTGTTCATCGTGCAGGAAACACTGCAAACAGCTGGGGAGATGGGAATACTTGACAACCACCTTTCACGTCCAGAGATGACCAACTAGGAACTGTCCTCCCCCATCACCCACACCCCAGCACAGTGATTACTCAGCCAAATGCCTGCAGGGCCAGCAGGTAACACCCATGACTGAAGGTGGCGGGGCAAATATTACAACAGGGAGAGGTGGAACAAATTTGGGCTCATATGCCCTAGATAAGAGGATGACCACTGCCCAATTCCAACTGGGAAAGCAGGCCCCGTGTTGCCAGACCTTCAGATTTTTCCAGATAAACTGGAAATCTAGAGATGTTATTGTTTTTAAATGGTTGGTTAAAAAAAAAAAAGCAAAATAAAATTGTATGAGCCTAATAATTAGGAACTCTTGGCACTTGCTGCTAAGAAGCTCCAGCATACTTTACAACCCATCTCCAGAAACGTGCAAGAGGAGACCCGTTGGGTGGAGCAGACCCGGGAACACAAAAAGTAGCGCTCTGCCTGCATCCTGGCAAACTTCACCACCTCCTGGCTCCATCTCCTCTCCCTGCACCCCAGCCTCCTCCCAGCTTGTCACACTCCCAGCACACAGTAGGCATGCACAGTAGGCATGCTGGTGAATTAAATTCAAATATATATAAATAGTTCAATCTTTTTACATTCTACATATTTTTGTAAGCACCCCTCCAATTCTTTTTTCGTAGCAAAGCAGACCATAGATGAAGCATTTCAGACCTTTTGTCAATCATGTCAAGTGTGAGGGGAAGTCTTTTGTAAGTCAGCCAAGTATTTCAAAATAAAAAGCTTTTCCAAAAGTAAAGGCGGAAGACCCCGCTTTGAAGGCGCTGGTCGGCACAGGAAGACTTGCAAAGGTGTGTAGGGAAGTCCACCGGTTACAGGTGTAAGGCGAGTTCAACCTTGGGCAGAGGGAGGAGAAAAATAAAGTGGGAGTCTCGAGTTTGAGCACCAGCGTATCAGTTACTACTAAAACCAGAACGCGAATTTACATCCGACGCTTAAAAAAAAAAATCACTTTCCCGGCACACGTGCCTCTTTACTTTGCCCCCGCACGTCGGCTCGGCTCGGCTCCTCTGCAGCCTCACCGGCTGCCCACCCCAGGAGGCTGGGGGTATCTCGCCCCGCACCGGGCGCCCGGGAAAACTCCTTCCTGCAAAGACGGCCGAGCTGCGAGCAGGAAACCAAGACCCTCCTGGGGCAGCTTCTAGGCTGGGGCCACCACGGATCCGGGCGGAGTCGGAGGGAATTGGGTCTCTCGCTGTCCCCTCCCCACCGCTGACTGGGAAAACTCAACTTTTCCCTCCAGATCGCGGCCCCTTACCTACGGCGACCCAGCCGGCCAGGAGCGCCCCGAGGCAGACGAGGACGCGGGGCTCGGGCGCACTGCCGCCTGCGGCCATCTCGCCCCAGATCCCGGCTCAGGAAACGCAGGCTCGGGCTGGGCTGGACGTGTGTGCCCCAGGGCCCCGGGGCCCGGGGTACCGAGGGCTCCTCCCAGGTCCTCGGAACGGCAGAGTGGCCCCACTTCCTCGGCCCCCAGGAAGGATGCTTGGCTGAGCCGAGTGTCCAGGGCCGGCAGCGGAGCTCGGCTGCAGGCTCGGGTCCCCGCTCCCGAGCGCCCTGGCCGGGGAGGGAGGGCGCACCCCGCCCCCTGCGCCCGCCAGCCTACTCCTGCCGGCGGAAAACAACAGGAGCGGGATCCCTCCCGCCTCCCAGCCAGGCGGGAGCCCAACTTCCTCTACCTTGGCCCGGGAGGAGGGCTTTCTGCCGAGGGCGCGCCGAGCCGGGTCCCGCCGGGCCAGGGGCGGGGCGCGGAGGCTGGGCCCTCCCCAGTCCACTCCGCCCGGGACAGCAGTACCGAGTCGCGGGGACAGCGGGCGGGACGGAGCCCTGCAGCTGCCGCAGGACGCAACCCCCGCCGCTGCCCCGGGCTGCAGAACCCGGAGGAAGCGGTTGCCAAGCTGCAGAACGCAGGACCCCCCTGGCAGTCCCCGCTGAGCGTCTCGAGGGATTCCGGTCTGTGTCCCTGGGCGCAGGGCGGGCGCCAAGGCCGCCATCGCTTCCTTTCCTTACCCTCTGCAAAAGGGAGCCAGAGAAAGATGATCCCCTGACTTTCAGCCAAAGCAGCCACGAGACTCCGGTTCTCCAGTGAACTGGCTGGGACCACACAGTGACAGCGAGAGCCAAGGAGTCCCCAGGACGTGTTTCTCAAGAGTTTTGTTTTTGCTTTTCCCCTTTTAGTTCTCCCACCCCTTACCCAGTCAGATTCCCAGGCTAAGCTCCTCTCTTCCCTGCCATGCCCTCATCCCATTCTGTCCTGGGGAAAATGCGGCTTTGATATCCTCAGGAAGAGCCATCCATAAAACAGCCCTAGGAGAAACTTCCTGTTTCAAATAATAATAATATGGCAGGGCGTGGTGGCTCACACCTGTAATCCCAGCACTTTGGGAGGCCGAGGTGGGCGGATCACAAGGTCAGGAGTTCGAGACCAGCCTGACCAACATGGTGAAACCCTGTCTCTACTAAAAATACAACAATTAGCCGGGCATGATGGCGGGCGCCTGTAATCCCAGCTACTGGGTAGGCTGAGGCAGGAGAATCGCTTGAACCCAGCAGGCGGAGGTTGCAGTGAGCCGATATCACGCCATTGCACTCCAGCCTGGGCGACTGAGCGAGACTCCATCTCAAAATAAATATTAACGTTAAAAAAAAATCATTAGTTCTGTTGTTCAACGGTCCCCTTATTGAAATGCTTCTTCCATGAGGAAATCCTCTTGAAACCACTTTAAAAAAAAAATGTTTCTCCTGGTGAACTGAGCAATGAAGCTGAACAGTTCTGCCTTTTTTACTTTTCTGTTTTTTATTTTTTTGAGACAGGGTGTCACTCCAGTTGCCCAGGCTAGAGTGCAGTAGCACAATCATACCTCGCTGCAGCCTCAAACTACCAGGCTCAAGTGATCCTCCCACCTCAGCCTCCCGAGTAGCTGGGACTACAGGTGTGCAGCACCACGCCCAGCTAATTTTTGTAATTTTAGTAAAGACAGCGTTTCTCCATGTTACCCAGGCTGGTCTCGAACTCCTGACCTCAAGTGATCCACCCGCCTTGGCCTGCCAAAGTGTTGGGATTACAGGTGCGAGCCACCGCGCTCAGCCCTTTTTTATTCTTTGCTCAAATATTTTTAAATAACTGTTCATCAGCCGGGCACGTTGGCTCATGCCTGTAATCCCAGCACTTTGGGAGGCCGAGGCAGGTGGATCACCTGAGGTAAGGAGTTCGAGAGTAGCCTGGCCAACATGGTGAAACTTCGTCTCTACTAAAAATACAAAAATTAGCCCGGTGTGGTGGCAGGCGCCTGTAATCCCAGCTACTTGGGAGGCTGAGGCAGGAGAATCGCTTGAACCCAGGAGGTGGAGGTTGCAGTGAGCCGAGATCGCGCCATTGCACTCCAGCCTGGGGAGAAGAGCGAGACTTCGTCTCAAAAAAAATAAATAAATAAAAAATAAAATAAAATAACTGTTCATCAGATTCTTGACAGGAATTTTGTTTGTTTGTTTTTTGAGACGGAGTCTCGCTCTGTCGCTGCAAGCTCCGCCTCCCAGGCTCATGCCATTCTCCTGCCTCAGCCTCCCAAGTAGCTGGGACTACAGGCTCCTGCCACCACGCCCGGATAATTTTTGTATTTTTAGTGGAGACGGGGTTTCACCGTGTTAGTGTGGGGAAAAGCAAGAGAGATCAGATTGTTACTGTGTCTGTGTAGAAAGAAGTAGACATGGGAGACTCCATTTTGTTATGTACTAAGAAAAATTCTTCTGCCTTGAGATTCTGTGACCTTACCCCCAACCCCGTGCTCTCTGAAACATGTGCTGTGTCAAACTCAGGGTTAAATGGATTAAGGGCGGTGCAAGATGTGCTTTGTTAAACAGATGCTTGAAGGCAGCATGCTCCTTAAGAGTCATCACCACTCCCTAATCTCAAGTACCCAGGGACACAAACACTGCGGAAGGCCGCAGGGACCTCTGCCTAGGAAAGCCAGGTATTGTCCAAGGTTTCTCCCCATGTGATAGTCTGAAATATGGCCTTGTGGGAAGGGAAAGACCTGACTGCCCCCAGCCCGACACCCGTAAAGGGTCTGTGCTGAGGAGGATTAATATAAGAGGAAGGCATGCCTCTTGCAGTTGAGACAAGAGGAAGGCATCTGTCTCCTGCCCCTCCCTGGGCAATGGAATGTCTCGGTATAAAACCCGATTGTACGTTCCATCTACTGAGATAGGGAAAAACCGCCTTAGGGCTGGAGGTGGGACCTGCGGGCAGCAATACTGCTTTGTAAAGCATTGAGATGTTTATGTGTATGCATATCTAAAAGCACAGCACTTAATCCTTTACCTTGTCTATGATGCATAGACCTTTGTTCACGTGTTTGTCTGCTGACCCTCTCCCCACAATTGTCTTGTGACCCTGACACATCCCCCTCTCGGAGAAACACCCACGAATGATCAATAAATACTAAGGGAACTCAGAGGCTGGCGGGATCCTCCATATGCTGAACGCTGGTTCCCCGGGTCCCCTTATTTCTTTCTCTATACTTTGTCTCTGTGTCTTTTTCTTTTCCAAGTCTCTCGTTCCACCTTACGAGAAACACCCACAGGTGTGGAGGGGCAACCCACCCCTTCAGTTAGCCAGGATGGTCTCGATCTCCTGACCTCGTGATCCACCTGCCTCGGCTTCCCAAAGTGCTGGGATTACACGCGTGAGCCACCACACCCGGCCTGGAATTTTTTTTTTTTTTTTTTTTTAGACAGAGTCTCCCTATATCATCCAGGCTGAAGTGCAGTGGTGTAATCATACCTCACTGCAGCCTCAACCTCCTAGGCTTAAGTCAATCCTCCCAGAGTGCTGGAATTACAGGCATGAGCCACTGCACCCAACTTGGTTCTTGCTTTTCATGTTTGACCTTGTGGAGATCCTATACTAACCAGACCTGTTTCCTGTATCCTCAGTACCTGCCAGCTAGTTGCCATTCTAATATACATTTGTTGAGTAAACAAATGAGAATTGATTAGTTTTGATATTGTAGTTCCTCAGCTTTTCTGGCAAACACCTTACATCCTCACCTGCAATAAACAAGCGGTAAATAAAATCAGTAACTGGGCCAGGCAAGGTGGCTCATGCCTATAATCCCAGCACTCAGGAAAGCCAAGGTGGGCAGATCCCTTGAGGTCAGGAGTTCGAGACCAGCCTAGCCAACACAGTGAAACCCCATCTCTACTAAAAATAAAAAATTAGCTGGGCATGGTGGCGCATGCTCGTAATCCCAGCTACTTGAAAGGCTGAGGCAGGAGGGTTGCTGGAACCTGGGAGGTGGAGGTTGTAGTGAGCTGAGATTGTGCCACTGCACTCCAGCCTGGACAACACAGAGAGACACTGCTCAAAATAAATAAATAAATAAATAAATAAATAAATAAATAAATAAATATTTTTAATTAAAAAAATAAAACCAATAACTGGCCAGTTTTCAGCAGAGGGCCTGGAATTCTCCATGGCCTCATGGTGGCTTGCCCAGGGCGGCCTTCCTGACATATTGGCGAGGTCGATGCATAGTTCTAATCTCACTGGACCCTCCCTGCAACCCTTGGACCTAAGGTGCAGTGCCACATACCATCGGTTTTATTTATTTATTTTTGAGATGGAGTCTTGCTCTGTCCCCCAGGCTGGAGTGCAGTGGCATGATTTCCGCTCACTGCAGCCTCCGCCTCCTGGGTTCAAGCCATTCTCCTGCCTCCGTCTCCCAAGTAGCTGGGATTACAGGTTCACGCCACCACACCTGGCTAATTTTTGTATTTTTAGAAGAGATGGGGTTTCACCTTGTTGGCCAGATTGGTCTTGAACTCCTGACCTCAAGTGATCTGCCTGCCTCAGCCTCCCAAAATGCTGGGATTACAGGCGTGAGCCACCACGCCTGGCCGGCCATCCAGTTTTATAAGTGAGCAACCTACAGCTCTGGGAGGTTAACTCTGAGTCACACAGCCGGCTGGCTGGTGGTAAAGCCACGACTGACTGTGTGACTGCAACTCCAGCCCCACAAAGTTGCACATTTGTCACATGTGCAAAGGCTGCCAGGGCTAAGGGGACATGCATCTGAATGCTCTGTGTGTCACTGGATGATCAGACACCAGCCTTCACCTGAGCAGAGCTGGCCTGGAAAACACCACCCTCTTTGTTTTGACTGCAGGGGCTCAAGCCAGCCCTGAGTCAGAAGCTGTGTAAGGAGCTGCCCTGATGTCCACTTGCATTTCAGGTCACTCTGGACAGTAGAAAGTACCCTGCCTAGAACAATGTTCAGTGAGTTGGGAGTTTTGCATGGGGTCCCCAGCAATGTAGGGTCCTTTTAGAGCCCAAGTTTCCCTATCAGCAAAATAGACCTAATATTTATCTCATGGGATGTTGTAAAGATAAACTAGGTTGGGCTTTGAGGCCTAGGCTGGAAGACTTCTTGAGGCCAAGAGCTTGAGACCACCATGGGGCAACATGGCAAGACCCCCATGTCTCAAAAAAAAAAATTTTTTTTTTAATTAGCCAGGGCCAGATGCAGTAGCTCACACCCATAATCTTGGCACTTTGGGAGGCTGAGGCTGGAGGATCACTTGAGCTCAGGAGTTCAAGATCACCCTGAGCAACATAGTGAAACCTTGTCTCTACAGATTTTTTTAACTTAGCCAGGCATAGTGGCACACCTATAGTCCTAGCTACTCAGGAGGCTGAGGTGGGAGGATTGCTTGAGCCCAGGAGGTAGAGGCTGTAGTGAACAATGATCATGCCACTGTACTCCAGCCTGAGCAACAGAGCAAGACCCTGTCTCTGAGAAAATAATAATAAAAATAATTAGGATAAACTGGGTTGACTTGTATGAAGAGACTCAACAAAAATCTAAGGCATGGTTTTGGAGCCTGTCATTTGATATGCCACTGATCCCACAATCCTATCTGGACCTTGGGGCTCAAACACTTCTCTGTCCAGGGTGCTGCATGTATGGGTTTTCCCCTGTCACCCAAGCTGGAGTGCAGTGGTATGAACAGAGCTCACTGCAACCGCCTCCTGGGCCCAAATGATCCTCCCACTTCAGCCCCCAGAGAAGCTGGGACTACAGGCACAGCCACCACACATGGATCATTTTTTTTGTATTTGTATTTGTATTTATTTTATTATTTTATTTTTATTTTTTTGGAGACAGGATCTCACTCTGTCTCCCAGCCTGGAGTGCAGTGGTGCAATCTCAGTTCACTGCAACCTCCACCTCCCAGGTTCAAGCAATTCTCCTGCCTCAGCCTCTGGAGTAGCTGGGACTACAGGCACGTGCCACCACACACAGCTAATTTTTGTATTTTTTTGTTTGTTTGTTTAGTAGAGATGGGACTACAGGCACACACTACTACCTCAGTTAATTATTTTTTGTAGTGATGTGGGGTGGGTCTCACTAATGTTGCCCAGGCTGATCTCAAATTCCTGGGCTCAAGCAATCCTCTTGCCTTGGCTTCCCAAAGTGCTGGGTTTATAAGGCTGAGCCACTGCACCCAGCCTGATTCACTTTTTAATTCAAAAAAACCAATGGAGTATCTCCATCCTCTGTTTTCTAAATGTGTCACTTTTTTTTCCTCATTATTCTTTCACTTTACAGTTTTCTTCTGCATTAAAACAATTTTTTTTTGTTTTTGAGACAGAGTCTCACTCTGTTGCCTAGGCTGGAGTGCAGTGGTGAAATCTCAGCTCGCTGCAACCTCTGCCTCCCGGGTTCAAGCAATTCTTCTGCCTCAGCCTCCCAAGTAGCTGGGACTACAGGCGCCCACCACCATGCCCAGCTAATTTTTGTATTTTTAGTAGAGACAGAGTTTCACCATGTTGGCCAGGCTGGTCTTGACCCCCTGACCTCGTGATCCACCCGCCTCGGCCTCCCAAAGTGCTAGGATTACAGGTGTAAGCCACCACGCCCGGCCCTAAAATAATTTTTAATTGTGGTAACATTAACATAACATAAAATCTATCATCTAGACGATTTTTTTTTTTTTTTTGAGACTGAATCTCACTCTGTCGCCCAGGCTGCAGTGCAATGGCATGATCTCGGCTCCCTGCAACCTCCGCCTCCCAGGTTCAAGCAATTCTCCCTGCGTCAGCCTCCTGAGTAGCTGGGATGACAGGCGCAGACCCCGCACCACACCCGATTAATTTTTGTATTTTTAGTAGAGACGGGGTTTTGCCATGTTAGCCAGGTCTCAAACTCCTGACCTCAGGTGATCGCCCAACTCAGCCTCCCAAAGTGCTGGGACTACAGGCAGGAGTGACCACGCCCAGCTAAGCCCACTTCTTAAAGGGAGGAGAGCAAAGAATTGATGGAAAAATATATGTCTGTGAAAGAACTAATGTAGGCTGGGCACGTTGGCAGATGCCTGTAATCTCAGCACTTCAGGAAGCTAAGGCAGTCATCAGGAGTTCAAAACCAGCCTGGGCAACATGGCTAAACCCTGTCTCTACCAAAAAAAAAAAAAAAAGGGCCAGGCACAGTGGCTCACGCCTGTAATCCCAGCACTTTCGGAGGCTAAGGTGGGTGGATCATGAGGTAGGGAGTTCAAGACCAGCCAGACCAACACAGTAAAACTCTGTTTCTACTAAAGATACAAAAATTAGCCAGACACAGTGGTATGTGCCTGTAATCCCAGCTACTCAGGAGGCTGAGGCAGGAGAATCACTTCAACCCAGGAGGCGGAGGTTGTGGTGAGCTGAGATTGCGCCAATGCACTCCAGCCTGGGCAACAAAGCGAGACTCAGCCAAAAAAAAAAAATTCAAAAATTAATTGGGCATGGTGGTGTGTGCCTGTTGTTCCAGCTACTTGGGAGGCTGAGGCAGGAGGATCGCTTGAGCCCTGGGAAGTGGAGGTTGCTGTGAGCCAAGATCGTGCCTCTGCACTCCAGCCTGGGCAATGGAGCCAGACCTTGTGTCAAAAAAAAAAAAAAAAAATTGATCAGGCCAGGCGTGGTGGCTCACACCTGTAATCCCAGCACTTTGGGAGGCTGAGGTGGGCAGATCACAAAGTCAGGAGTTCAAGACCACACTGACCAATATGGTGAAACCCCGTCTCTACTAAAAATACAAAAATTAGCTGGGCGTGGTGGCACGTGCCTGTAGTCCCAGCTACTCGGGAGGCTGAGGCAGGAGAATTGCTTGAACCCAGGAGGCAGAGGTTGTAGTGAGCTGCGATCGTGCCACTGCACTCCAGCCTGGGTGACAGAGCGAGACTCCATCTCAAAAAAATAAATAGGCCAGGCGCAGTGGCTCAGCCTGTAATCCCAGCACTTTGGGAGGCTGAGGTGGGTGTATCACCTGGGTCAGGAGTTCGAGACCAGCCTGGCCAACATGGTGAAACCCCGTCTCTACTAAGAGTACAAAAATTAGCCGAGCATGGCAGCGGGTGCCTGTAATCCCAGTTACTCAGGAGGCTGAGGCAGGAGAATAGCTTGAACCCAGGAGGCGGAGGTTGCGGTGACCCGAGATTGCGCCACTGCACTCCAGCCTGGGCAACAAGAGCAAGACTCCATCTCAAAAAATAAATAAATAAATATTTTTTATTAGATGATTATTTCTGTGTCTTGTCTAATAAACTTTTGCCTACCTGCAGGTCACAGAGATACGCTACTGTGTTTTTCTAGAATTTGTATGGCTTATTTTATTTTATTTTTTGTAATTTGAGACAGAGGAGTCTGTTGCCAGGCTGGAGTGCAGTGCACAATTTCGGCTCACTACAACTTCCGCCTTCTGGGTTCAAGCGAGTCTCCTGCCTCAGCCTCCCAAGTAGCTGGGACTACAGGCACATGCCACCATGCCCAGATAATTTTTGTATTTTTAGTAGAGACAGGGTTTCACCATGTTGGCCAGAATGGTCTCGATCTCTTGACCTCATGATCTGCCCGCCTCAGCCTCCCAAAGTGCTGGGATTACAGGCGTGAGCCACTGCGCCCGGCCATATGGCTTAAGTTTTATCATTAGGTATGTAATCCTATATAAAATTTTTTTTTTTTGAGATGGAGTTTCACTCTTGTTGCCCAGGCTGGAGCGCAGTGGCGTGATCTCCGCTCACTGCAACCTCCGCCTCCTGGGTTGAAGTGATTCTCCTGCCTCAGCCTCCTGAGTAGCTGGGATTACAGGCATACGCCACCACCCCTGGCTAATTTTTTTTTTTTTTTTTTGAGACGGAGTCTTGCTCTGTCGCCCAGGCCGGAGTGCAATGGCGCGATCTCGGCTCACTGCAACCTCCGCCTCCTAGGTTCAAGTGATTCTCCTGCCTTAGCCTCCCAAGTAGCTGGGATTACAGGCACCCACCACACCCAGCTAATTTTTGTATTTTTAGTAGAGACGAGGTTTCACCATGTTGGCCAGGCTAGTCTCAAACTCCTGACCTCAGGTGATCCGCCTGCCTTGGCCTCCCAAAGTGCTGGGATTACAGGCGTGAGCCACCGCACCCAGCCTAATTTTGTATTTTTAATAGAGATGGGGTTTCACCATGTTGGTCAGGCTGGTCTCAAACTCTTGAACTCAGGTGATCCACCTGCCTCAGTCTCCCAAAGTGCTGGGATTACAGTCATGAGCCGCCACACCTGGCCAAATTATTTTTTTTTGTATGGTGTTATGGTCAGAATATTTGTGTCCCCTCAAAACTCATATGTTGAAATTCAAATCCCTAAGTTAATGGTATTAGCTAGAGGGGCCTTTGGAAGGGGATAAGGTCATGAGTGTGGAACCCTCATGAATGGGATTAGTGCCCTTATGAAAGACACCCAAAGGAGCTTGTTCACTTCTTCCACCATGTGAAGATACAGTGAAAAGACAGCCATCTATGAACCAGAGAGTGGACCCCCACCAGACACCAAGTTTGCCAGCACCTTGATCTTGGACTTCCCAGCCTCCCAAACTGTAAGAAATACATTTATGTTGTTCATAAGCCAATAAATAAATAGATTATTAAAAATTTAAAAATTAGCCAGGCATAGTGGTGCATGCTTGTAGCTCTGACTACTCTGGAAGCTGAATCAGGAGGCTCACTTGAGCCCAGGAGTTCAAGACTTCAGTGAGCCATGATCATACTACCACACTCCAGCCTAGGCAATAGAGTGAGATCCTGTCTCAAAAGACAAAAAACAGTAAGTGAAGCAAACAAACAAGAAAAAATCCAAGCAATTTATAGTGAAATTCTCCTTGAAAGAAAGCCTTTTGGCTGGGCGCGGTGGCTCACACCTGTAATCCCAGCACTTTGGGAGGCTATGGTGGGAGGATCACCTGAGGTCCAGGAGTTCGAGACCAGCCTGGCCAACATGGTGAAACGCTGTCTCTACTAAAAATACAAAAAAATTAGCTGGGCGTGGTGGCGGGTGCCTGTAATCCCAGCTACTCGGGAGGGTGAGGCAGGAGAATCACTTCAACCTGAGAGCCGGAGGTTGCAGTGAGCCAAGAATGCATCATTGTGCTCCAGCCTGGGTGACAAGAGTGAAACTCTGTCTCAAAAAAAAGAAAAAAAAAATAGAGAAAGAAACCCTTTTGTCCACCCCAAACCCCTAGTCTTCTTCCCCAGTGACGAGCTGTCTCACCAACTTCCATAGACTACAGTCTTTACTGTTTACCTAATATGCCCCTGTCGGAATATCATACAGCCATTAACACTTGTGTTTTCCAGTTTTTTTTTTTTTTAGAGAGCTGGGGTCTCACTCTGTTGCCTAGGCTGGAGTGCCACGGCACACTTATCAAACTCCTGGGCTCAAATGATCTTCCCACGTCAGCCTCCTGAGTAGTTGAGACTACAGACCCTCACCACCATGCCTGGCCAATTTTTAAAATTTGTAGAGATGGAGTCTCAGTATGTTGCCCAGGCTGGTCTCAAACTCCTGGGTCAAGCAATAATCTTACCTCAGCCTCCCAAAGTGTTGGGATTACAGGCATGAGCCACTGCGCCTGGCAATTTGTATTTTTAAAGTTTATGTAACAATAAAGATCCCTCTATTGTGATTATCCAGATTTGTAACATTCAGTAAAAGTTTTTTTGATAGCAGCTTTATTTTTATTTTATTTTATTTTGAGACAGAGTCTTCCTTCGTAGCCCAGGCTGGAGTGCAGTGGCTCAATCTTGGCTTACTGCAATCTCCGCTTCCCAGGTTCAAGTGATTCTCCTGCCTCAGCCTCCCGAGTACCTGGGATTACAGGTGCTCAACACCACACCCGGCTAATTTTTGTATTTTTTAATTAGAGATGGGGTTTTACCATATTGGCCAGGCTGGTCTTGAACTCCTGACCTCAGGTGATCCACCTGCCTTGGCCTCCCAAAGTGCTGGGATTACAGGCATGAGCCACCACCCTCTGCTGATAACAGCTTTATTGAGATATAATTCATCCCATAGAACTCTCTCAGTTAAAGTCTACAATTCAATGGCTTTTAGCATAGTCACAAGGTTGTACAACCATAACTACCATCAATTTTAGATTTTCATCACTCCAGAAAGACACCCCATACCCTTTAGCTATCACCTTGCTATGGTTTGAATGTGTCCTCCAAAAGTTCATGTGTTGGAAACTCAGTCCCTCTACCCTCAAGAATGGATTAGTGTTGCCATCGTGGGAGTGGTTTTGTTATAAAAGCAAGCGCTCTCTGGCTCTCTTGCTCTTGTCCTCTTGCCATGTGATGCCCTCTGTTATGTTATGATACAGCAAGAAGGTCCTCACCAGATGCTTGTTCCATGCTCTTGGACTTCTCAGTCTCCAGAACCATGTACTAAATATACTTTTTTTCTTTATAAATTACCCTACCCAGTCTGTGGTATATATGCAACAGAAAACAGGCTAAGACACACTCACAATTTCCCCACCCCCTCCAACCCCCAGCAATCATGAATCTACTTTCTGTCTCTATGGTTTTGCCTATTCCAGACATTTCATGTTAACAGAAGCAAGCAATATATGTTGTGACTGGCTTCTTTCACTTAACGCAATGTTCTCAAGGTTCATCTACATTGTAGCTTGTATCAATACTTCATTTCATTTTATGGCCAAATTATATTCTGTTGTATGGAGATGTTAGTAGCAGTGAATCCATACGGGCCTGCAGCAACCTGAATCCTTGCCTCCTCAGAAGAGAGAATTCAACCAAGGGGCATAAGACAGAGTAAGAAACCAAGGCAAGTTTCACAGCAGGAGTGAAAGTTTATTAAAAAGTTTTAGCTGGGCATGGTGGCTCACGCCTGTAATCCCAGCACTTTGGGAGGTGGGCAGAACACCTGAGGTCCGGAGTTCGAGACCAGCCTGACCAACATGGAGAAACCCTGTCTCTACTAAAAATATAAAATTAGCCGGGCATGATGGCACATGCCTATAATCCCAGCTACTCGGGAGGCTGAGGCAGGAGAATGGCTTGAACCTGGGAGGTGGAGGTTGCTGTGAGCTGAGATCGCGCCATTGCACTCCAGCCTGAGCAACAAGAGCGAAACTCCGTCTCAAAAAAAAAAAAAAAAAAGTTTTAGAACAGGAATGCAAGGAAATAAAGTACACGTGGAAGAGGGCCAGTAGGGACCTTGAGAGATTCAAGTGCATGGTTTGACCTTTGACTTGTGGTTTTATATGTTGGCAGTCTGCATGTACAATGGCCTGCCAGCACTTGGGAGGGGCTGCATGTGAGTGTGTTTACTGAAGCTATATGTGTGCTCACTTGAGGTGTTCTTCCCTTATCAGTTGAGTGTTCCTAGAGGAAGGTCATGTACCAGCTAAGCTCAACCATTTTGCCTCTTCATGCACATGCTTAAGCCCACTCACCCACCTCCTGAGATCTTACTGGGAAGCTGCTGATCACCAGTTTCTGGCGTTTCTATCTACTGGGAGACTGTCTTTCCCTGGCATCGGCTGCAACCAATGATTATTTGAGAGAGACAGTTTAACAACTGCCTGATCATCTCCTGATGGGGCGGAGGAGCCTCTCCTTCCCTGCTCAGCTCTGACTAACTACCTGCTGCAACAGAGATACCACCTTTTGTATATCCATTCATCTGTTGATTGATAGTCAATGAATATTGAAGCCATGAAGTGACTCAGAAACTGGGGCACCTCTTTCCTAAAGTCTTCCACTCCCTACCCATTATCCCACCTCTAGAAAGAAATTGATTTTGCTTCCCTTGCTTGCCTTACTGTGAACAGAGTGACATTTTTAAAAGCCTACCTCTCTTTATTTACAGTGGGGTTTCTGTGCCTGTGGTCCCAGCTACTCAGGAGGCTGAGGTGGGAGGAGTGCTTGAGCCTGGGAGATGGAGGTTGTAGTGAGCAGAGATCGCGCTGTGGCACTCCAGCCTGAGTGACAGAGCGAGACCCTGTCTCAAAAAAATAAAAAATAAAAAAGATAGAATGGGCTTTCTTTTTGTTTGTTTTTCATTTTTGTTTTTGTTTCTTGAGACGGAATCTTTCTCTGTCACACAGGCTAGAGTGCAGTGGTATGATCTTGGTTCAATGCAACCTCCACCTCCTGGGTTCAAGCAATTTTCGTGCCTCAGCCTCCAGAGTAGCTGGGATTACAGGCTTCCGCCACCAGGTCCGGCTAATTTTTGTATTTTTAGTAGAGAGGGGGTTTTACCATTTTGGCCAGACTGGTTTGGAACTCCTGACCTCAAGTGATCCTCCCGCCTCAGCCTCCCAAAATGCTGGGATTACAAGCATGAGCCACCACACCCGACCTAAAGTGGCCAATGCACCTGGCTGGAATTTAGTCAAGCAATACTTTATGCCATTATTTTTTTCTTTTTTCAACAGTTTTAGTCAAACTATTTTGGATGTGTAGTTGGAATTCCCAATTTCTTAGGGTCCCAGTGAGACAGGAATAATACAGGGTGGTCACTAGAGAATAGAAAATTCCAGGTGGCAGTTTCACATGACTAGCAAAAGGAAACTTTTGCTGCAGAAGTAAGGGGCCAATAAGACCCTAAAAAACCAGGGTGTGGACCAAGCTGGCTAAGACAGACTGGACCCAACACGGTGCTGGATTTGATGTAGGTTTCACCAAGGACCTCATTATACACTCATTAATATACTAAATCCCACACCCATTGGGCATGGTGGCTCACGCCTGTAATCCCAGCACTTTGGGAGGCTGAGGCAGGCAGATCACCTAAGGTCCGGAGTTCGAGAACAGCCTGGCCAATATGGTGAGGCCTCGTCTCTACTAAAAATACAAAAATTAGCCGGGCATGGTGGTGGGAGCCTGTAATCCCAGCTACTTGGGACGCTGAGGCAGGAGAATCGTTTTAACCCGGGAGGCAGAGGTTGCAGTGAGCCAAAATCACGCCACTGCGCTCCAGCCTGGGCAACAGTGCGAGACTCCATATCAAAAAAAAAAAAAAAAGAAACCCAAAAGGTAGAAACCCCAAGTCCCATCGGACTCTGTCTTGAGTCCACCCATACTCCCCTTTCTTGAGTGTGTATTTTTCGCTTTGCAATAAATCTTTGTACTTTCATCATTTTCTGACACACTCTTGAATTCCTTCTCCAGATGGTGTCAAGAGCCTGGATACCAGCTGGGGTTGAGGTCCCACCAGCCTCCGTCTAAAAAAAAAAAAAAAATTACAGTTTAGGGGACATGCAGCCTCTGGCTCCAAGAGTTTGAACTTCCCCAAATTACTCCTGGAAATAACATCACTATTGTAAAACCTAAGATCAGAGCTTGGGAAATTTTCAGACCCTGCACTTGATGGATGGATCAGCTGATACCACCCAGACCGGTAATCTGGCTCAACCAGCTCTGCCATCCCACCCAGGAGCAGAAGACAGCAAGAAAAACTCACTTCGATCCCCTGATTCTATCTCCAACCTGACCAATCAGCACTCCCCACTTCCCAAGCCCCAACCCGCCAAGTTATCTTTAAAAACCCTGATCCCTGAATGCTCCGAGAGACTAATTTCAGTAACAGTAAAACTCCGGTCTCCCGCATAGCCAGCTCCGCATGAATTACTCTTTCTCCGTTGCAATTCCCTTCTTTTTTTCTTTTTTCTTTTTTTTTTTTTTGAGATGAAGTCTCGTTCTTGTCCCCCAAGCTGGAGTGCAATGGTGTGATCTCGGCTCACTGCAACCTCCGCCTCCCGGGTTCAAGCGATTATCCTGCCTCAGCCTCCTGAGTAGCTGGGATTACAGGCGCCTGCCACCATGCCCAGCTAATTTTTGTATTTTTAGTAGAGACGGGGTTTCACTATGTTGGCCAGGCTGGTCTCGAATTCCTGACCTCGGGCGATATGCCGGCCTTGGCCTCCCAAAGTGCTAGGATTACAGGTGTGAGCCACTATGCCCGGCCTCCCCTGTCTTAATAAATCCGCTCTGTCTAGGCAGCAGGCAAGGTGAACCCAATGGGCAGTTACATTATCGTTTTACAGGTGAGGAAGCTGAGGCTCAGGGAAGTGAAATAACTTTCCAGATAAAGTCATAGCCTCAAGTCCATGTTTATAAAATGCTGCCCTGGGTTATAGCATTCCCTACAGTAGTGGTTCTTTTTTTTTTTTTTTGAGACGGAGTCTCGCTCTGTCGCTCAGCCTAGAGTGCAGTGGCGTGATCTCGGCTCACTGCAAGCTCCGCCTCCCGGGTTCACACCATTCTCCTGCCTCAGCCTCCCGAGTAGCTGGGACTACAGGCGCCCGCCACCACACCTGGCTAATTTTTTTGTATTTTTAGTAGAGACGGGGTTTCACCGGGTTAGCCAGGATGGTCTCGATCTCCTGACCTCGTGATCCGCCCACCTCGGCCTCCCAAAGTGCTGGGATTACAGGCGTAAGCCACCGCGCCCGGCACCTTCTTTTTTTTTTTTAGAAGGAGTCTCACTCTGTATCCCAGGCTGGAGTGCAATGGCACGATCTTGGCTCACTGAAACCTCTGCCTCCTGGGTTCAAGCGATTCTCCTGCCTCAGCCTCCCGAGTAGCTGAGATTACAGGCGTGTGCCACCATGCCCGGCTAATTTTTGTATTTTTAGTAGAGACAGGGTTATACCATGTTGGCCAGGCTGGTCTCGAACTCCTGACCTCAGGTGATCCACCCGCCTCAGCCTCCCAAAGTGCTGGGTTTACAGGCATGTCACCATGTGTGGCCAGTAGTTGTTCTTAAACTGGAGTTGGGGGTTACGGAGATTAAGAACTTTCTGATAAGCCTGGGCAACATGGTTAGACCCATCTTTACAATAAATTATAAAATTAGCTGGGTGTGGTGGTGCGTTCCTGTGGTCCCAGCTATTCAGGAGGCTAAGGTGGGAGGATCACTTGAGCCCAGGAATTCGAGGCTGCAGTGAGCTATGATCACACCACTGCCCTCTAGCTGGGCAACAGAACAAGACCGTCTCTGCTGGACGAGATGTCAGGGCCCGGCACTGGCAAGTGGTGGGCTCGCAGGTCGTAGGTTAGTACAAAGAATTTACTGATGTCAGCATAGGTTTGAAAAAGAAAAAAATATATTAGAAAGAACACTGCATAAAAGCGCTGCGGGACTCCTCAGCATGAGAGGACTGAGTGCCCTGCGGTGAATTTTCCTTCCAGGTATTTATGGACCTTAAAGCAGGAGCTTAAGGGTAATTTGGACCATATTAGCTGTGTAGGCCACGATACGTGATTACATTTGTAGACATTTTGGTCCCTTAATGTCAGCCAGGGTTTGCACAATGAGTTTTGATATGCATGCATTTCAGAGATGTATAGGAATTCTTGTTACAGACCAGGCGCGTTGGCTCATGCCTGTAATCACAGCGCTTTGGGAGGCCGAGGTGGGCGGATCACTTGAGGTCAGGAGACCAGCCTGGCCAACATGGTGAAACCCCGTCTCTACTAAAAATATAAAAATTAGCTGGGCATGGCGGTACACGCCTGTATTCCCAGCTACTTGGGAGGCTGAGGCAGGAGAATCGCTTGAACCCAGGAGACCGAGGTTGCAGTCAGCCGAGATTGTGCTACTGCACTCCAGCCTGGGTGACAGAGCTAGACGCCATCTCAAAAAAAAAAAAAAAAAAAGAGAAGAGAAGAAAAGAAATCCTAGTTAGAAATTTTTTGAGGAAAGAAGCCTGGAACCAGATGCCAGCTTTAGGTTAAAAATAAATAAATAAATAAAAAGAAAGAAAGATCAACTCAACAAAAGGCAGATTAATTGGAGAAAAGGCATCTAGATTTATTAACGTGAACAAGAGGGGAAACTACAGAGGAATTACCCACACCTCAAGGGAGTGTGAAACATTAAATATCATTTTGAGATTACAGAAAGACAGGGGCTTCCATCCTGGCAAAACGGGTTATTGGAGGGAAAAAAGGAATTTGGGGGAAATAAAGGATTACTAGGGAAATGAATGGGTCAGGAACTAGAAGAGAAATTAACTTGTAAATAGATGTCTTTGAAATGTGAATGAGCCTGACATTATCTTATGAAAGGATCTGTTCAGGTGTGGTTACCTTCTGTGTCTTCCTTTCTGCAATAAAGAGATAACAGAGAGGGAAAGAAAGAACAATTGTTTCTAATTGGGGGGTCTGGATTTTAGGTGGATAAAGGAACTTCCTGTGCTTTTGGATGGGAGGGAATATCAGAGAGATCCTTCTTCAGTTCAGCGTATCAAAGCCTCCATTTCTGAGCCCCAACAAAACAAAAAAGCCAATCCTGCTGGTCTAAACTGGAATTCTAAACTGGGTCAGTCTGGCCCAGGAAGTGGGGCGGGGGGGCGGGGTGACTCACTTACAAACTGGAATCACCAGGTGGCGCTCTCGGCCCTGAACAGAATCTGGGTTCCACAGCCAAGGTCATCTCAGGGATAATAGTTGGTGCAAGCTTCATGGAACTCCAAAAATTTCAGAGATTATTGGTTCAACGAATAACCTTCACCTTCCAGAGGAGGAAAAGTGTCCCAGAGTTGTTAAACAGCTTGCTCAAGGTCACAGCTCATGGACAAAGGCAGGGCTCACCCGCTTGTCCAATCCTGATATTTCTAAAATGTATCACATATAGCTCCCAGACCCATTCAACAAAGCACAGTATGCACCATGCAGTATTTTCTTGTGATAATTCAAAGAATGAACTTTTGTGTATGAATATCGGGAACATTGGTGTCTGTCCTGTGCTATCTGTGGGAACTAGATAGATTAGAGGACCTTTATCCCACACACAAAATGCTCTGGACTACTGTTTCTTTGTTCCAACAGCTACCTACATTTTTGTTAATTCCTCCGAGGGGTGAGGCACTGTGCAGAGGTTTTGGTCCTTCTATTGGTCAGGTTTGTTTATGTTTCTCTGTGTCTTTAGGAAGAGATATTTTTCCATTCTCTGAGCTTCAGTTTATGGCAGTCAGTAAAAGTTGCCAG
Organism: Homo sapiens; assembly: GCF_000001405.40. Taxonomy (NCBI): domain Eukaryota; kingdom Metazoa; phylum Chordata; class Mammalia; order Primates; family Hominidae; genus Homo; species Homo sapiens. The sequence continues at coordinate 118,121,652 of NC_000012.12, forward strand.
CAGGGAGGAGATAATAAATAATTGATAATTATTAATATAAATACACTTCTTGACATATTAGCAGCCAACAAACAGGAAAAAATGCTCAACATCATTCATCATCAGAGAAATGTAAATCAAAACCACAATAAGGCTGGCTGGCTCACGCCTGTAATCCTGGCACTTTGGGAGGTTGGGGTGGGAGGATGGTTTGAGGCCAGGAGTTTGAGAACAGCCTGGGCAACACAGTGAGTCCCCCATTTTGAAAAAAGCTCTGTCACCAGGCTGGAGTGCAGTGGCGCGATCTCGGCTCACTGCAACCTCTGCCTCCTGGGTTCAAGGGATTCTCCTGCCTCAGCCTCCTGAGTAGCTGGGACTACAGGCACCCACCACCATGCCCGGCTAATTTTTATATTTTTAGTAGAGATGGGGTTTCACCATATTGGCCAGGCTGGTCTCAAACTCCTGACCTTGTGATCCACCCGCCTCGGCCTCCCAAACTGCTGGGATTACAGGCATGAGTCACCACGCTCGGCCGCAAATAATTTTTGTTGCTGGCCTGTTTCTGTTCAAAATTCTGCAGCCATAGATTTATTCTTTTGGCTAAACATTGTGCTTCCTGGATTTATTTTAATTTTAATTTAATTTTTATTTTTAATTATTTATTTATAATTTTTTTTTTCAGACAGGGTCTTGCTCTCTCGCCCAGGCTGGAGTCCAGTGGTGTGACCCCAGTTCATTGCAACATCCGCCTCCCAGTTTCAAGCAATCCTCCTGCCTCAGCCTCCTGAGAGGCTGGGATTACAGGCGCCCTCCACCACGCCCAGCTTATTTTTGTATTTTGGTAGAGATGGGTTTTTGCCATGTTGCTCAGGCTGGTCCCAAACTCCTGACCCCAAGCGGTCCACCTGCCTTGGCCTCCCAAGTGCTGGGATTACAGGCGTGAGCCACCATGCCTGGCCTAGTTTTATTTTTTTAAAGAGGAAGTCTCTGGAGGAGGCAGCACACTAAATTACTTCAGGATAAACAGTTCTTAGATAAAGTCTTTGTTTGAGACAGGGTCTCACTCTGTCACCCAGGCTGGAATTGAGTGGTGTGATCACGGCTCACTGCAGCCTGCACCTCCCTGGCTCAAGCTATCCTCCCACCTCAGCCTCCCAAGTACCTGGGACCACAGGTGCGTGCCCTATGCCCAGCTAATTTTTTGTATTCTTTGTAGGGATGTGCTCTCACTGTGTTGCCCTGGTTGGTCTCAAACTCCTGGGCTCAAGCGATTCACCTGCCTATGCCTCCCAGGCGTGAACTCCCATGCCCAGCCGATCCTTAGTTTCTTGATGGCACCCAGAAGTTTGATCAGCCCAGGAACCCAAGCAGCCTTGATCACCAGGGCTCTCTCCTTTTGCATACCTTACTCAAAAAAGCTCCCAGCAGGCTGGGAGCAGAGGCTCACGCCTGTAATCCCAGCACTTTGGGAGGCCGAGGTGGGCGGATCACCTGAGGTTGGGAGTTTGAGACCAGCCTGACCAACATGGAGAAACCCTGTCTCTACTAAAAATACAAAATTAGCCAGGCGTGGTGGCGCATGCCTGTAATCCCAGCTACTCGGGGGGATGAGGGAGGAGAATCGCTTGAACCCGGGAGGTGGAGGTTGCAGTGAGCCGAGATCGTGCCGTTGCACTCCAGCCTGGGCGACAAGAGCAAAACTCCGTCTCAAAAAAAAAAAAAGAAAAAAATCTTTCTACATTTTTTATCTCACTCTAAAAAATACCACAGTTAACTATTTGTTTTTTATTCTTTCAGATATGCATTTATGTACATATGCATTATATGGACACATTAACATAAATATATTTAAAGACATAGATAAGGTCACACACTACATGTTGTTGTTTTTTGAGCCTCTCTCTGTCACCCAGACTGGAGTGCAGTGGCGTGATCTTGGCTTACTGCAACCTCCACCTCCTAGGCTCAAGTGACCCTCTTACCTCAGCCTCTGGAGTAGCTGGGACCACAGGTGAGGGCCACCACACCTGGCTAAATTTTGCATTTTTTGTACAAATGGGGTTTCGCCATGTTGCTCAGCTGGTCTCAAACTCCTGGGTTCAAGCAATCTGCCCGCCTTGGCCTCCCAAAGTGCTGGGATTAAAGATGTGAGCCACTTTGCCAGGCATGTATGTATGTGTATGAGTGTGTGTATATATGTGTGTGTATATATATATATATATATACACACACACACACACATACATATATATTTGTTTGTTTGTTTTGTTTTGTTTGAGACAGAGTTTCACTCTTGTTGCCCAGGCTGGAGTGCAATGGCATGATCTGGGCTCACCGCAACCTCCACCTCCCTGGTTCAAGCGATTCTCCTGACTCAGCCTCTCCAGTACCTGGGATTACAGGCATGCGCCACCACGCCCGGCTAATTTTGTATTATTAGTAGACATGGGGTTTCTCCATGTTGGTCAGGCTGGTCTCGAACTCCTGACCTCAGGTAATCCACCCACCTGGGCCTCCCAAAGTGCTGAGATTACAGGTGTGAGCCACCACGACCGGCCCACCTCAGCCTCTTGAATAGCTGAAACAACAGGCACCCTGCCACCCCACCAGCTAATTTTTGAATTTTTTCTTCTTTTTTTTTTTGTCATGGAGTCTAGCTCTATTGCCTAGGCTGGAGTGCAGTGGCATGATCTCGGCTCACTGCAACCTCCACCTCCCAGGTCCAAGCAATTCTCCCGCCTCAGCCTCCTGAGTAGCTGGGATTCCAGGTGTGTGTCACCATGTGCGGCTTTTTTGTATTTTTAGTAGATACAGGGTTTCACCATGTTGGCCAGGCTGGTCTCAAATTCCTACCCTCAAATGATCCACCTGCCTTGGCTTCCCAATGTGCTGGGATTACAGGTGTGAGCCATGGTGCCCAGTCATATTTCTGTATATGTGACATTTGCCCTTCTAGAACTTTGATCCAACTCTAGGGAATTGGCTTGGCAACCCTTTTTAATCTAATCTCTTTGTTTACTTACCTTGAACTTTTGGTCAAATGTTCACTACAGATAAACATGACTAAGTCAAAACAGTTGGAGAAGTAGAAATAAATTCCAGGTTGATGTGTTTTAATGAATACAGTTTCTTAATTTCCGGAGCTTGCGGAAAATTCCGGAGCTTGCAGAAACTCATAACATTTTGATAAGTAGAGATGGAGTCTGTTTTAATTAAGTGGCCAGTATCATACATAATTAATATTAGCTGTGTACACACGCAAGGGGCTTACTCACCTGCTACTTAGATGCTGCTCTCTTAGGCTGATTAACAAGCTCTTTGCATTGGTGTGTGCATCACTCATTTGCTACTTGCAGAAGACATCTTTTGCCTTTACGTTTCCTACCTGTATTTCTTTTTCTTTTCTTTCTTTCTTTTTTTTTTTTGAGACAAAATCTCACTCTGTCACCCAGGGAGTCTAGCTCTGTCTCCCCGGCTGGAGTGCAGTGGCACGATCTCAGCTCACTGCAACCTCTGCCTCCTGGGTTTAAGCAATTCTCCTGCCTCAGCCTCCTGAGTAGCTGGGATTACAGGCACCTGCTACCACGCTCACCTTTTTTTTTTTTTTTGTATTTTTAGTAGAGACGGGGTTTCACTATGTTGGCCAGGATGGTCTTGATCTCCTGACTTCGTGATCCACCCGCCTCAGCCTCCCAAAATGCTGGGATTACAGGGGTGAGCCACCACACCCAGCTGTAATTTTGTATTTTTAGTAGAGATGGGATTTCTCCATGTTGGTCAGGCTGGTCTGGAACTCCTGACCTCAGGTGATCTGCCTGCCTCGGCCTCTCAAAGTGCTGGGATTACAGGCGTGAGCCACCACACCCGGCCTTTATTATCTTATAATTTCTATAGATCAGGGGTTTGGGGATACCAGACCTGGGTCTTCCGCTGACCCAGGGTCTCGCAAGGTTTCAATAAGGTCTCAGCCAGGTCTCGGGTCTCATTGTCAAAACCTTAGTCAAGCTGGGAGGGCAAGCTGAGGTGTCAGGTGTCCAAATAGCCAATTAAGCAATAAGCCATTGGCCAGGTGTATTGGGCTCATACCTGTAATCCAAGCGCTTTGAGAGGCCAAGGCAGGAGGATCACTTGAGCCCAGGAGTTTGAGACCGGCCTCGACAACATAGTGAGACTCTGTCTCTCCAAAAAAAAAAAAAAAAAAAAAAAAAAAACAATAAAAAAATTAGCAGGGCATGGTGGTGCACACCTGTAGTCCTAGCTACTCAAGAGGTCGAGGTGGGAGGATCACTTGAGCCCACATGGTTGAGGCTGCAGTGAACCATGATTGCACCACTGCACTCCAGCTTGGGTGACAAAGCGAGGCCCTGTCTCAAAAAATAAAAAAAATAATAAAAAAGATAGAAAGCAATAAGCCAAAAATGAAAGAGGAAAGGCTTTATCACTTGACTGTGATGGTATAAGGGCTAAGAGTGGAAAAGTACTAGGTATGAAATCAGGGTAGGAAACAGTGGGTTCAAGGTTTCCCGCTCCCATCCCTAGAAGGGGGCCTTGGCAGAAGCCCCATAGAAGACCTCTGCCCAAGGCCCCAGATAAAGAGACCTAGGATCAAAGGTGCTGCCTGGCTAGGAATGCAAATGTGTTCAAGAGCATGGCCGGCCAGGGCCACTGGAGTCTCTGACTCCAGTTCCCTTCAGACACTGCAGTGCATAGGCTGGGCACCCAGTGTGGTGTGGGGAGGGCAGCTTTCCCCGAGGCCGGCCAGGGAAAGCCTTCATCATTGCCCACAGTCAGGCAGGCCTGAAGAATCTCACCTAGGTTTTCAGCCAGGACTCGTACTCCCCACTCACCTGAAAGCCGGGCTTTCGGGGGAAGGATCCACTTCCAAGGTCACTCACTGGTTGCTGGCAAAATTCAGTTCCTGGAGGGGTGTTGGGCTACGGTCTCAGGTCCTCGCTGGCTGTTGGCCAGAAGCCGCCCTTGGTTCCTTGCCACCTGGGCCTCTGCCACACGATGGCTTGCTTCCCAGAGGCCTGCAAGCTGAGAAAGTAATGGAGAGCGCGTGCTAGCAAGATGGAAGCCACAGCCTTATTTATGTATTTATTTATTTATTTTTTTTTTTTTGAGACGGAGTCTTGCTCTGTCGCCCAGGCTGGACTGCAGTGGCGCGATCTCGGCTCACTGCAAGCTCCGCCTCCCGGGTTCACGCCATTCTCCTGCCTCAGCCTCCCGAGTAGCTGGGACTACAGGCGCCCGCTACCACGCCCGGCTAATTGTTTGTATTTTTAGTAGAGACGGGGTTTCACCGTGTTAGCCACGATGGTCTCCATCTCCTGACCTCGTGATCTGCCCGCCTCGGCCTCCCAAAGTGGTGGGATTACAGGCGTGAGCCACCGCGCCCAGCCCACCACAGCCTTATACAACGGAATCGGAAGTGACATCCTGTCCGCACGTCATATGTTGTTTGAGATAGGGTCTTGCTCTGTCGCCCAGGCTGGGGCGCAGTGGTGTGATGATGGTTCACTGTAGCCCTGAACTCTTAGGCTCAAGCCATCCTCCAGCCTCAGCCTCCTCAGTAGTTGGGACTACAGGTGTGCCACCACACCTGGCTAATTTTTTAATTTTTGGGGGAGATGGGGGTCTTACCATGTTGCCCAGGCTGGTCTTGAGCTCCTGGGCTTAAGCAATCCTCCTGCCTCGGCTTCCCAAAGTGCTAGGATTATAGGCGTGAGCTGCTGCACCTGACCCAGCCTTACATAACTTAATCAGAAGTGACATCCCGTTTACATGTTATGTTATTGATTAGAAGCAAGTTACTCAAGGGGAGGGGAGCACACGGGGCCATGAATACCAGGACGTGGGGTTCACTGGGTCCATCTTAGAAACTGTCTACCAGAATGGTTATCTGGAAACATGAAGGAGGAGTCTACTTGAAATTGAAACCACCCCACAGGTGGAAACACAGGAGGGAGACAGATACCTAAGGTATTAGGTAAGTCCCTGGATCCAGACACTCCTGAAGCCAATCACCCACCAGCATCTCAGTACATGAACAAATTACTTTTCTTCTTCTTCTTCTTCTTTTTATTTTTTTATTTTTTGAGACTGAGTCTCGCTCTTGTTGCCCAGGCTGGAGTGCAGTGGTGCGATACCAGCTCACTGCAACCTCCGCTTCCCGGGTTCAAGCAGTTCTCCTGACTCAGCCTCCAAAATAGCTGGGATTACACGTGCCCACCACCGGGCCTGGCTAATTTTTGTATTTTTAGTAGACAGGGTTTCACCATGATGACCAAGCTGGTCTCAAACTCCTGACCTCGGGTGATCCACCCGTCTCAGCCTCCCAAAGTGCTGAGGTTACAGGCATGAGCCACTGCACCTGGCCTTCTTCTTTTAAAATACCAGTTTGTCCAGGCGCAGTGGCTCATGCCTGCAATGCCAGCACTTTGAGAGGCCAAGGCAGGAGATCACTTGAGCTCAGGAATGTGAGACCATTAAGAGCCTTGTGGGGCTGGGACTACAGGCCCATGCTACTAGGCCCAGCTAATTTTTTTTTGTATTTTGTGTAGAGACAGGGTCTCACTATGTTGCTCAGGCTGGTCTCAAACTCCAGAGCTCAAGCGATCCTCCTACCTTGGCCTTACAAAGAGCTGGGATTACAGGTGTGAGCCACCATGCCCGGCCCTACAAAGCTTTTGATGGCCCCTCTGTAGTCTCTAAGTATCACCTCCATTCTATATTAGCTCCTACCATTCACAACAGCTGTTTCTCCTTAGGCACTAGTGCTGATTAAAAAGTCGAATCTGACAATGCCATCCACATCAAGCTACCAATGACTTTCTTCACAGAATTGGAAAAAACTACTTTAAAGTTCATATGGAACCAAAAAAGAGCCTGCATTGCCAAGACAATCTTAAGCAAAAAGAACAAAGCTGGAGGCATCACGCTACCTGACTTCAAACTATACTACAAGGCTACAGTAACCAAAACAGCATGGTACTGGTACCAAAACAGAGATATAGACCAATGGAACAGAACAGAGCCCTCAGAAATAACACCACACATCTACAACCATCTGATCTTTGACAAACCTATCAAAAACAAGAAATGGGGAAAGGATTTCCTATTTAATAAATGGTGCTGGGAAAACTGGCTAACCATATGTAGAAAGCTGAAACTGGATCCCTTCCTTACACCTCATACAAAAATTAATTCAAGATGGATTAAAGACTTAAATGTTAGACCTAAAACCATAAAAACCCTAGAAGAAAACTTAGGCAATACCATTCAGGACATAGGCATGGGCAAGGACTTCATGTCTAAAACACCAAAAGCAATGGCAACAAAAGCCAAAATAGAAAAATGGGATCTAATTAAAGAGCTTCTGCACAGCAAAAGAAACTACCATCAGAGTGAACAGGCAACCTACAGAATGGGAGAAAATTTTTGCCATCTACCCATCTGACAAAGGGCTAATATCCAGAATCTACAAAGAACTTAAACAAATTTACAAAACAAATCAAACAACCCCATCAAAAAGTGGGCAAAAGATATGAACAGACACTTCTCAAAAGAAGACATCTATGCAACCAACAGACACATGAAAAAATGCTCATCATCACTGGCCATCAGAGAAATGCAAATCAAAACCACAATGAGATACCATCTCACACCAGTTAGAATGGCGATCATTAAAAAGTCAGGAAACAACAGGTGCTGGAGAGGATGTGGAAAAATAGGAACACTTTTACACCGTTGGTTCAACCATTGTGGAAGACAGTGTGGCGATTCCTCAAGGATCTAGAACTAGAAATACCATTTGACCCAGCGATCCCATTACTGGGTATATACCCAAAGGATTATAAATCATGCCAGTATAAAGACACATGCACATGTATGTTTATTGCGGCACTATTCACAATAGCAAAGACTTGGAACCAACCCAAATGGCCATCAATGATAAACTGGATTAAGAAAATGTGGCACATATACACCATGGAATACTATGCAGCCATAAAAAAGCATGAGTTCATGTCCTTTGGGATGAAGCTGGAAACCATCATTCTGAGCAAACTGTCGAAGGACAGAAAACCAAACACCGAATGTTCTCACTCATAGGTGGGAATTGAACAATGAGAACACTTGGACACAGGGTGGGGAATATCACACACTGGGGCCTGTCGTGGGGTTGGGGGAGGGATAGCATTAGGCGAAATACCTAATGTAAATGATGAGTTAATGGGTGCAGCACACCAACATGACACATGTATACATATGTAATAAACCTGCACATTGTGCACATGTACCTTAGAACTTAAAGTATAATAAAAATAAATAAATAAAGCTTAAAAAAAAGGTACACCCACTTTGGAGAAATGTTTGACAGTTTCTTACAAAATTAAACACCATATAATCCAGTAATCCTACTCCTGGATATTTACCCAAGAGAAATTAAGATACATGTCCACAAAAAGATATACTAGAATGTTTACAGGAGTTTATTCATAGTAGTAAAAAAACTGGAAACAGCCCAAAGTTCATCAACAGATAAAAGGATAAACTGTGATTTTAAAAAAAATAAGTGGCCGGGCGCAGTGGTTCATGCCTGTAATCCCAGCACTTTAGGAGGCCGAGGTGAACGGATCACCTGAGGTCGGGAGTTCGAGACCAGCCTGACCAACATGGAGAAACCTCATCTCTACTAAAAATACAAAATTAGCCGGGCATGGTGGTGCATGCCTGTAATCCCAGCTGCTTGGGAGGCTAAGGCAGGAGAATCGCTTGAACCCGGGAGGCGGAGGTTGTGGTGCGCCGAGATTGTGCCATTGCACTCCAGCCTGGGCAACAAGAATGAAACTGTGTCTCAAAAAACAAAACAAACAAACAAAAATAGTCAACTCTGATTGGTCCAGGTCATGCTGTTGAGTCAGGCCATTTCATAGGTGGTTTGAGAAGCCTTTGAATTGGATGAAGGTGGGAGGGGTGTCAGTGGAAGGGCCCCTGAGGATGTCCTAGGGGCTGTGGGCATGGCAGGTATTCTGCAGCTTGTCTTGTTTAAGACACAAAGCAAGCCATTCTTCACAAAGATTGTCATGATTCTGGTTTGAATGATCACTAATTTTATTTTTTTTGAGAGAGGGTCTCACTCTGTCACCCAGGCTGGAGTGCAGTGGCGCGATCTTGGCTCACTGCAACCTCCACCTCCTGGGTTCACGCCATTCTCCTGCCTCAGCCTCCCGAGTAGCTGGGATTACAGGTGCCCACCACCACGACTGGCTAATTTTTGTATTTTTAGTGGAGACGGGATTTCACCATGTTGGCCAGGCCGGTCTTGAACTTCTGGCCTCAAGCGATCTGCCCGCCTCGGCCTCCCAAAGTGCTGGGATTACAGGGGTGAGCCACTGCGCCTGGCCTGAATGATCACTAATTTAACATTGCTAAAGTCTGCATGATGAGGCTTTCCCGAGTTTACGCATGATTTGACATACCTGGTTTCCTTTTGGATGTGTGGTCGTCTGCATCAACCAAGGACTGTCGGAGATTAAGTGAGAACATAGAGGGTATTTTTTTTTTTTTTTTTTTTTTTTGAGACAGAGTCTCCCTCTATCACCCAGGCTGGAGTGCAGTGGCGCGATCTCGGCTCATTGTAAGCTCCGCCTCCCGGGTTCACGCTATTCTCCTGCCTCAGCCTCCCGAGTAGCTGGGACTACAGGTGCCCGCCACCACGCCCGGCTAAGTTGTTTGTATTTTTAGTAGAGACGGGGTTTCACCGTGTTAGCCAGGATGGTCTCGATCTCCTAACCTCGTGATCCACCAGCCTCAGCCTTCCAAAGTGCTGGGATTACAGGCGTGAGCCACCGCGCCCGGACATAGAGGGTATTTTTAAATGCTTTGAAATTCTCAAAGAGAAAAGGGAAAAAAAAAGTCTCAATAGGAAAAATGTGACAAACGGAATCCCGGCGACCTGTTAATGGTTAATTCTCACAACAGTGTCTCAGTGCATATCCTTGGCCAGCAGCCAGCACCTCGGTCCCCTGGAGTGGCAGTTCCAAGTCACTGGCATGGCCACAACAGTTTCTGAACTCGAGCTAAGGACAGAACTTTGTTTTTGTCCAAAATTCCCTCATTATTATTTTTGTTTTGTTTTGTTGTTTTTTGAGACGGAGTCTTGCTGTGTCGCCCAGCCTGGAGTGCAGTGGCACGATCTTGGCTCACTGCAACCTCCGCCTCCCGGGTTCAAGCGATGCTCCTGCCTCAGCCTCCTGAGTAGCTTGGATTATCCCAGGCGCTCACCACCACGCCCGGGTAATTTTTGTATTTTTCACAGAGACAGGGATTTCACCATGTTGGCCAGCCTGTTCTCCAACTCCTGACCTCAGGTGAACCACCCGCCTCGGCCTCCCAGAGTGCTGGGATTACAGGCATGAGCCACCGCCCCTGGCCCCAAATTCCCTCATTAAACAGTTTCTCTTGCAGAAGCACAATGAGTGAAATTGGCATGAAGCCATTTCACTAAATAACCACATCAGTGAATTTCCTGGTCCTCACTCAACAAACAAAAACAACTGGTGGTTTTCCAGGCTGGTTCATTTGAGTCTACCCTCAACCAGCACCTGCCCAAGCTTCTGGCCTAGAAGAGGCACACGTGGCAGAAATACAAGCAGACGGCAGAATAAATAGCATCAATGAAAAGAGTCAAACTTTGTAAAACATTTGAAGAGATTCATTCTGAGTCAAATATGAGTGACCATGGCCTATGACCCAGCCCTCAGGAGACCCAGGGAAAATGTGTGCAAGGTGGTTGGACACAGCTGGGTTTTATACATTGCAGGGAGACATGAGACAGCAATTAAATACATATAAGATATATATTGGGGCCAGCTGTGGTGGCTCACATCTGTAATCCTAGCACTTTGGGAGGCTGAGGCCAGTGGATCACTTGAGCTCAGGAGTTCGAGACCAGCCTGGGCAACGTGGCAAAACCCTGTCTCTACTAAAAATACAAAACGTAGCCAGGCATGGTGGCACACACCTGCGGGAGGTGGGAGGACCGCTGGAGCCGGGAAGTTGAGGCTGCAGTGAGCCGTGATTGCACCACTGCACTCCAGCCTGGGTGACAGAGCGAGACCCTGTCTCAAACACAAAACAAAACAAAACAAAACAAAACAAAACAAAAAAACAAAACCTTGGTTTAGAAAGGTAGGATAACTTGAAGTGGGAGGGCTTTCAGGTTATAGGTAGATTTTAAAATTTTCTGATTCACAATTGGTTAAAAGAGTTACTATCAATAGAAAGGAATGTCTGGGTTATGATAAGGGGTTGTGGAGTATCCCCCCCAAAAAAAAGCCTCCAAGTAGCAGGCTTCAGAGAATATATTGTAAATATTTCTTTCTTTTTTCTTTTTTTTTGAGATGGAATCTCACTCTGTCGTCCAGGCTGGAGTGCAGTGGCACAATCTCGGGCTCACTACAACCTCCGCCTCCCAGGTTCAAGCAATTCTCCTGCCTCAGCCTTCCTAGTAGCTGGGATTACAGGTGTGTGCCATCACGCCTGGCTATTTTATTTTATTATTTTATTTTATTTTATTTTATTTTATTTTAATTTTATTTTTGAGACGGAGTCTCGGTCTGTCACCCAGGCTTGGAGTGCAGTGGCGCGATCTCGGCTCACTGCAAGCTCGGCCTCCCAGGTTCATGCCATTCTTCTGCCTCAGCCTCCTGAGTAGCAGCTGGGACCACAGGTGCCCGCCACCACGCCCAGCTAATTTTTTTGTATGTTTTTAGTGGAGACGGGTTTTCACCGTGTTAGCCAGGATGGTCTCGATCTCCTGACCTCGTGATCCGCCCGCCTCGGCCTCCCAAAGTGCTGGGATTACAGGCATGAGCCACCGCGCCCGGCCACGCCTGGCTAATTTTTATATTTTTAGTAGAGACAGGTTTCACCATGTTGTGCCACTGCATCCCAGCCTCGGCGACAGAGCAAGACTGTCTCAAAACAAACAAAAAATAAAGTGTGTATTTTTTGACCTAATTAATAAAAGTTCCCATGTAATAAAATTTTCCAAAAACAGTCTTTCAAGTTTTTAAAGATATATGTATAAGGAAGTTCATTTCAGTGATATTTGTAAAAGGAAAACAATGAACAAAACAGAGTACATCAAGAGGCTTGTTGAATAAATGATGGTGCATCTAGAGAAGTCATTAAAATGTTGAAGACTTTTTTTATTTTGCTTTATTTTTGTAGAGATAGGGTCTCACTCTGTCGCCCAGGCTGGAGTGCAGTGGCACAATCACGGCTCACTGCAGCCTCAAACTCCCAGGCTCAAGTGATCCTCCTGCCTCAGCCTTGGTAGTAGCTGTGACTACCGGCACATCCCTCCATACCGGGCTAATTTTTGTATTTTGTTGTAGAGATGGGGTTTCACCATGTTGTCCCGGCTGGTCTCAAACTCCTGGACTCAAGTGATCCTCCTGCCTCAGCCTCCCAAAGTGCTAGGATTAGAGGCCTCAGCAACCGCACCTGGCCTGACGACCTATTTTTGATATGACTATTTTATAATGGTAGGATATAATGCAATCTTTTGGTGAATAAACAACAAAATCATCTATACTCATATTATTTTTAAATAGGAAAGATATACCCTAAATGATTACTGACGTTTATAACAAAGTAGTGGGATAGAAGGGGATTTCTACTTCTTTGGGTTTTTTTCTTTGATTTTCTACAATGAACTCGTATTATTTCCTAGTAAGAATGTAAATCAAGAGACAACTTTTTATTCCATGGGAGGAATTATCAATGTCAAGAGTCAAAACAGATAAGAACTGTTAAATAGTGCTTATTGGCTGGGCGCGGTGGCTTATTGCCTGTAATCCCAGCAGTTTGGGAGGCTGAGGCAGGCGAATCATGAGGTCAGGAGTTCGAGACCAGCCTGGCCAACATGGTGAAACTCTGTCTCTACTAAAAATACAAAAATTAGCTGGGCGCGGTGCCGCCTGCCTGTAATCCCAGCTACTCGGGAGGCTGAGACAGGAGAATTGCTTGAACCCGGGAGGCAGAGGTTGCAGTGAGCTGAGATCACGCCACTGCACTCCAGCCTGGGCGACAGAGCAAGACTCCGTCTCAAAAAAAAAAAAAAAAAATAGTGCTTATCATATTCAGCAAAAAGCAAGCAGCTTGTGGTCACAGTAAGAGCAGTTTTGGTATGAATAAATATGGTTTAAAATTGTTTTTCAAAAAACAAACATAAAAAACCAAAACCCAAACATTTCTCAGGAATTTTGTGAGGACGAATTTTGTGTGTGGAGAAAACGGACAAATACATTTCCCCATATATTTAAATGCTCAAAAGTTCACTCAGGTGCTCTCACCAGGCAATTACTATGACAAGTGATCACGTGCGAAAATACAGAGAATCTGGCTCGTTTTAAAGTGCAGGAGAAAAGCAAGGCCTTACTGTTTCTGAATTTGCTGTGTGTGTGTGTGTGTGTGTGTGTGTGTGTGTGTGTGTGTATGAGAAGATGGGATCTGGCTCTGAAGCGCAGACAGGAGTGCAGTGGCAAGATCGTAGCTCACCGCGGCCTCAAACTCCTAGATTCAAGAAGTGATCGGCCGGGCGTGGTGGTTCACGCCTGTAATCCCAGCACTTTGAGAGGCCGAGGTCAGGAGATCAAGATCATCGTGGCTAACACGGTGAAATCCCGTCTCTACTAAAAATACAAAAAATTAGCCGGGCGTGGTGGCGGGCGCCTGTAGTCACAGCTACTCGGGAGGCTGAAGCAGGAGAATGGCGTGAACCCGGGAGGCGCAGCTTGCAGTGAGCCGAGATCACGCCACTGCACTCCAGCCTGGTCAACACAGAGAGACTCCGTCTCAAAAAAAAAAAAAAAAAAAAGTGATCCTCCCGCCCCAGCCTCCGGAGTAGCTAGGACTACAAGCATGCACCACTGTGTCTGGCTTTTTTCTTTTTTTCTTTTTTTTTAAGTTTTCTGTAAAGACGGGGTCTTGCTACCTTGTCCAGGATGGTCTCAAACTCCTGGGCTCAAGCGATCTTCCTGCTTTGGCCTCCCAAAGTGCTGGGAATACAGGCATGAGCCACCGCGACAGGCCATGTTGCTGAATTTGGAAAGTGGAGCAAAGAATCATGCAAAAAATTAAGAAAACCAAAACGCAACCAAGGCGAATTCAATTGCATTTTTTTTTCCCAGCGACACTTTCTGAGACACGAACCTCTCTCTTCGGCGAACCTATTCCAGGGCGCCCTTCATTTTCATTTCTTGAAACAACAGCCTTGCAGGCCGAGCCGCTGTTCCCGAGAACTCGGCAGCCACAGGGAGCAGGTTGCATGGACCCAGGAGCGCGAGAGGCCCTGCTCTGCCAGCTTCGGCCAATCAGAGGCCAGGGAGCGGTGGGCGTGACGTGGGGCGGTGCGCGGGGCTGGGCGGCGGCTGAGGCGCGTGCTCTCGCGTGGTCGCTGGGTCTGCGTCTTCCCGAGCCAGTGTGCTGAGCTCTCCGCGTCGCCTCTGTCGCCCGCGCCTGGCCTACCGCGGCACTCCCGGCTGCACGCTCTGCTTGGCCTCGCCATGCCGGTGGACCTCAGCAAGTGGTCCGGGCCCTTGAGCCTGCAAGAAGTGGACGAGCAGCCGCAGCACCCGCTGCATGTCACCTACGCCGGGGCGGCGGTGGACGAGCTGGGCAAAGTGCTGACGCCCACCCAGGTACACCGGGCGGCGGGCGTGCAGCGAGCGGCACGGCGCGGAGGCCTGTGCCGGCCTCCTGGGTGGGACCCAGCGGAGACAGGGCCAGGGGCGGTGGGGAGGTTCAGCCTGCGTGTGTCGAGGCCCCCCCAGGCCAGAGGTCCCGGGGTCCATGTCCCATGCCTGGGGGCCACCCCGAGCACCGGGAACCCGGCCTGTGGCGTGGCCAGGCAGGTTCGGCCTGCGGCAGAAATTCATTCACTTTTCCCGGGCTTCAGACCCAAGAGGGACCTAGGTTCGGAAACAGGCCGGATCCCCCTCTCCCCCCACAGGCCAGGGCGCTGGAGAGGGACGTCGCCGGGACAGAGTAGGCTGTGGCTGCCCGGACGCCCCCAGAGCTTCCCCTAGGGCCTCAGCATTTTAGGCCTGGTTTTGGAGGGCTGAAGCCTCACCCGAGAGCCTGTGACGCATTATGTAACTGGCGATGAGCGCGCCGGCCGATTTCTCCTTTGTTAAATGGGTCGAGAGCGTCCAGCCGGTACGCTGGAGGGCAACGGTTTAGTTTTGGTCTTTGACCTCCCACGCCCACGGCTGGGGCTGCCGAAAGTGAAGAAACTAGATTTGCAGACGCCACTGCTAGTTGGTTATGAAGCTCCGGGCAACAGCGTAAAATAAACTGCCCCGACCTTACATTGTTTTGGATGTTCACAGAATTTAATTTTTTTGGATGTTTAAATATGTAGTGCCCATCTAACACAGCCTCCCTTTTCCTGCTCCCTGCCCGCCTCTCATCACCTTGGCTTTCTCCTTTTCTTTGCACTTTGAAACGTACAGTTAATGCAGATTTCACTTCAGCAGGCTCCAGGTAACCTCCTGATCACCAAATCCAGAAACGCTGTGATTCCGGACAGACAATGTAAGGGTGTCGTTGAGAGGGGACTCAGTGCCAGGGTTGGAATCCCAGCCTTATCTGTTTCTCTTAATAGTGTGCTGGGATACTAGCCCCATGGTGTTGTTGGGACTGAAATAATATACAGCCTGGGCAACATAGCAAGACCCCAACTCTACAAAAAAAAATTGGCCAGGTGTGATGGTGTGAGCATGTAGTTCCCAGCTGCTCAGGAGGCTGAGGTGGGAGGATCGATCGATTGAGCGCTGGAGGTTGAGGCTACAGTGAGCCTTGATAGCGTCACTACACTCCGGCCTGAGTGACAGAAGGAGACCTGGTCTCAAATAAAATACATAACGTATATAAAACTCCAGCTCCTGGCTCTTACAGTCAATACAGGGTCATTGATTTTATTAAAAATCTATTCTGTTTTGTCTTTGGAGAGTCTGAGATCAAAGAAAGAGTATTGGTTTCTTCAGCATTTCTTGTTTTTGAGACAGAGTCTCACTCTGTCGCCCAGGCTGGAGTGCAGTGGGGTGATCTTGGCCGCCTGCAGCCTCTGCCTCCCCAGCTCAAGTGATCCTCCCACCTCAGCCTCCCGAGTAGCTGGGATTACAGATTCCCGCCACCATGCCCAGCTAATTTTTGTAGTTTTAGTAGAGGCAGGTTTCACCGTGTTGGCCAGGCTGGTCTCAAACCCCTGACCTCAAGTGATCCTCTCTCCTAGGCCTCCCAAAGTGCTGGGATTACAGGCGTGAGCCACCACACCCAGCCAGTTTCTTCAGCATTTCTGACTTTTTTACTGCAAACTGGTTCCTTCATACAGGTTAAGAATAGACCCACCAGCATTTCGTGGGATGGTCTTGATTCAGGGAAGCTCTACACCTTGGTCCTGACAGACCCGGATGCTCCCAGCAGGAAGGATCCCAAATACAGGTGAGAGGTGAGAAAGACGAGAAGAGCAGGTCATGCAGAGATGAGTTATCGGGTGTAAGTCCCTTGCTGGACACAGAGAAGTAGACCTGGTTTGGGATGCCCCCACCCATGCTTAAGCCAGAGAGTGCCTTTCCTGCCCTTTTGCCCCCCTACAGCAGGTGTCTGTAACTCACAGCCGAGAGCCATATCCACCTGTGGCCTGTTTTTATACAGCCCCATGAGCTAAGAATGGTTTTTACATTTTTATTTAGTTATTTATTTTTTATTTTTTTGAGACAGAGTCTCAGTCACCCAGGCTGGAGTGCAGTGGCATGATCTTGGCTCACTGCAACCTCCACCTCCCAGGTTCAAGTGATTCTCATGCCTCAGCTAACCGAGTAGCTGGAATTACAAGCGCCCACCACCATGCCTGGCTAATTTTTGTATTTTTAGTAGAGACGGGGTTTCACCTTGTCCAGGCTGCTCTCGAACTCCTGACCTCAGGTGATCTGCCCGCCTCAGTCTCCCAAAGTGCTGGGATTACAGGTGTGAGCCACTATGCCCGGCCTGGTTTTCACATTTTTAAATGATTGGTGAAAAATTGAAAGAAGAATAGTACTTTATGATGTGGAAATTACACAAAATTTACCTGTCAGTGTCCATCAGTTAACGTTTTATTGGAGCAAAGCTATGTGTCATCTGTGGCTGCTTTCATGCTGCCAAGGCCAAGTTGAATAGTTGCAACAGAGACTGTGGCCCCCAAAGCTTAACAAATTTATTCTCTGGCCTTTTAGTGGAAAGTTTGCTGACCTTTGCTCTAGAAAATGTCAGAGGGTGGGAGGGGCTGGGTCTGCTCTTCTGCAAACACATGAGGTTCGTGCTGGCCTCTAAGAAAGTGAGGACTGGGCCGGGCGCGGTGGCTCATGCCTGTAATTCCAGCACTTTGGGAGGCCGAGTCGGGGGGATCACGAGGTCAGGAGTTCAAGACCAGTCTGGCCAACATGGTGAAACCCCGTCTCTACTAAAAATACGAAAATTAGCCAGGCATGATGGCAGGCGCCTGTAATCCCAGCTACTTGGGAGCCTGAGGCAGAGAATTGCTTGAGCCCAGGAGGAGGAGCTTGCAGTGAGCCGAGATCGTGCCACTGCATTCCAGCCTGGGTGACAGAGTGAGACTCTGTCTCAAAAAAAAAAAAAAAAGAAAGGACTGTTGTTCGTGGCTGTGTTGTGGCAGCCAGCATGTTCTTGATGCCCAGTTGCTGACTGTGCAGTGAATGTTCCCTGATCTCCTGTGGTGCTGACATCCCGTGTTTCTTCATGCAGAGAATGGCATCATTTCCTGGTGGTCAACATGAAGGGCAATGACATCAGCAGTGGCACAGTCCTCTCCGATTATGTGGGCTCGGGGCCTCCCAAGGGCACAGGTTAGTAAAGGTTGTTTTTGGTGGGAGGTTGGGGAGGGAGCTCGGGGGCACATTAGGATTGACCCAATGCTTTTCTTTTGAGAGCCCTTAACCCTGCTGGAAATAGCATCTCAGCTTACCTCTAGGGCAGCTGCCTTCAGGGCACACATTCAGACCTGCAGCAGTGTCAGGTGGCTAGAGCCTTGGGTTCTGGACAGACGGACCCTTTGTGTAGAGCTGTCTCTGCACCCCTAGCCCTTTAGCAAGCAGGGAAGTTGGTGAGAGGGAAGCACTGTTGCAGAAAGCTTAGCATGGCCTTTTGGGGCTGCAGTGAGTGGAATACACAGTTAAACTATCTCAAGCCTTTGCCCGGGGTGATCTTTGAGTTTCTTTAAAACATTTCAGAAATGATCATAGTTTCCAAATTAACTATATAAGGTTGCTTTCTGTATTTGTTTCTGAAAAAGTCTAGCTGGGTATATTGAAAACAGATTTGGAAGACTTCAGTAGAACTATATTGAAGGCGCACACACACACACACACATTGTATTGTGTAGTATCGTGTTATAGCTATTATATATAAAATACATGTAGATATTTAGAGATAGAAAGAGAAAGCCCACCGTATTGAAACTTTCCAGGTTGGGTAAGTGCCACCTAAGCTGATGGTGAGATATGCATTCTTATTGCCTGGTGTTCAGTTCAGGATGTTTCCATTTGGTGGAACTGTCATAATCCTAGCTTTTTGTACAGCTTATCCAGCCAGGAGTTAACATGAAGAGGTACAAGAACATCTCTGACATGGACAGTTGGTCATGGGCTCATGGTTTCTCTGTAGACCCGGAAGCTTCAGATGCCTTTAAACCCTCTCACGCATGCATAGTAGATGGTAAAGGGACAGATTTCCCAGGGACCTAGTAAGTTCTCTAGGGCAGTTATAAAATTAGGCAGGTTAATTATGGGAAGCTTACCCATGAGAATAAGGCAATTCTCTCAAGTAAGAGCTGTGTTCTCATTTTTTTTTTTTGAGATGGAGTCTTGCTCTGTCTCCCAGGCTGGAGTGCAGTGGCACGATCTCGCTCACTGCAAGCTCCACCTCCCCGGTTCATGCCATTCTCCTGCCTCAGCCTCCCGAGTAGCTGGGACTACAGGTGTCCGCCACCATGCCTGGCTAATTTTATGCATTTTTAGTAGAGACGGGGTTTCACCGTGTTAGCCAGGATGGTCTCAATCTCCTGACCTTGTGATCTACCTGCCTCGGTCTCCCAAAGTGTTGGGATTACAGGCGTGAGCCACTGCGCCCGGCAGAGCTGTGTTCTCATTTTTAAAAAAGCCTCAGTAACTCATTTTCTTGTTGTTTTTTCCATATTCTTGTAATATGGTATAATTTACATGGTAACAAAATCCACAGATCGGAAGGGTTCAGTCAGCAAATGTGATCAATGCATACACCCATGGAAGGTAGCAGCCATTGGAAAGACAGATGACATTTCCATCGCCCAACGACATTCTCATGTGACCTTTTTACTTAAATTCCCCCAGAGCTAACCATATTCTGACTCCTGTCTCCATAAATCACTTTCACTATTCTTTTTTTTTTTTCTGAGATGGAGTCTCGCTCTGTCTCCCAGGCTGGAGTGCAATGGCGTGATCTCGGCTCACTACAACCTCTACCTCCTGTGTTCAAATGATTCTTCTGCCTCAGCCTCCTGAGTAGCTGGGATGACAGGCGCCCACCACCACGCCCAGCTAATTTTTGTATTTTTAGTAGAGTCAAGGTTTCACCATGTTGGCCAGGCTGGTCTCGAACTTCTGACCTTGTGATCCGCCCGCCTTGGCCTCCCAAAGTGCTGGGATTACAGGCGTGAGCCACTGTGTCCAGCCACTTTCGCTATTCTTGTGTTCATATAATGGTATCATGGACCAGGCACGGTGGCTCACGCCTATAATCCCAGCATGTTGGGAGGTGGAGGCAGTTGGATCACTTGAAGCCAGGAATTCAAGACCGGCCTGGCCAACATGGTACAACTCTGTCTCTACCAAAAATACAAAAATTATCCAGGCATGGTGGCATACGTCTGTAGTCCCAGCCACCTGTGGGGCTGAGGTGGGAGGATGGCTTGAACCCGGGAGGTGGAGGTTGCAGTGAGCTGAGATTGTGCCATTGCGCTCTAGCCTGGGCGATAGAGCAAGCCTCTGCCTCCAAAAAAAAAGTATCATGCAATGTGTATTTTAAAAAATTTGGGTGACTGGTCTGCTTCATTCCAGATAATATCTGTGAGATTGGTCCATAGATTGTATCAATAGTTACCCCTTTTTATTGCTCAGTAATATTCCCGTTGGTGAACAGGCCAGTTTGTTTAGCCATTCTCTATTGATGGGCATTTGGGATGTTTCCAGTATTTGGATATTATGAAGAAATATCCAAATATTATCCAGTCTTTTTGTTTAAACTTCTGTGTATTATTCTAGGACTATTTAGCTTTGAAAAGAAATTTGGGCACATGCTACACCAGGATGAACCCTGAGGAACATTATGTTAGTGAAATGAGCCAGTCACACAAAGACAAATACCGTACAATTCTATGAGATACCTAAAGTAGCCAAGCTCACTGAAACAAAGTGGAGTGGCTGCCATGCATTCTTTTTTTTTTTTTTTTTTTAAATTTTTTTTTTTCTTGAGACAGAGTCTTGCTCTGTCACCCAGGCTGGAGTGCAATGGTGTGATCGCGGCTCACTGCAACCTCCACCTCCCAGGTTTAAGCGATTCTCCTGCCTCAGCCTCCCGAGTAGCTGGAATACAGGTGTCCACCATCACACCCGGCTAATTTTTTTTACTTTTAGTAGAGACAGGGTTTCTCCATGTTGGGCAGGCTGGTCTTGAACTCCTGAGCTCAGATGATCTGCCCACCTCAGCCTCCCAAAGTGCTGGGATTACAGGCAAGAGCCACCATGCCTGGCAAAATTTACCATCTTAACTCTTTTTTTGAGGCTGGAGTGCAGTGGTGTGATCTCAGCTCACTTCAGCCTCCACCTCCCAGGTTCAAGTGATCCTCCCACCTCAGCCTCCTGGGTAGCTAGGATTACAGACACGTGCCACCATGTCTGGCTAATTTTTATATTTTTAGTAGAGACGGGGTTTCACCATCTTGGCCAAGCTGGTCTCAAATTCCTGACCTCAAGTGATCCACCTGCCTTAGCCTCTCAAAGTGCTGGGATTACAGGTGTGAGCCACTGCGCCCCCTCCATCTTAACCATTTTTAAGTGTACACTACAGTAGCGTTAACTACATTCACTTTTTTTTTTTTTTTTTTTTTTTTTTTTTTTGAGATAGGGTCTTACTCTGTCCCCTAGGCTGGAGCACAGTGGCACGTTTTCAGCTCACTGCAGGGCTCAGCTCACCTCCTGGGCTCAAGCAACCCTCCTACCTCAGGCTCCCGAGAAGCTGGGACTACAGGCACAGGCTACCTACCACATCCAGCAAATTTTTGTATTTCTAGTAGAGACGGGGTTTCGCCATATTGCCCAAGCTGGTCTCAAATTCCTCCTGGGCTCAGGTGACCCTCCCACCTTGGCCTCCCAAAGTCCTGGGATTATAAATGTGAGCTACCATGCCCGACCACTACATTCACATTGTTGTGAAACAGATCTCTAGATTTTTCATCTTCCCCAACAGAAACCCTGTCCCCATTGACCAACAGCTCCCCATTTCCCTTCCCCTAGCCCTGGCAGCCACCATTCCACTTTCTGTTGCAGTGTTTGTCTACTTTAGATACCTCGTGGAATTGTACAGTATTTGTCTTGCGACTGGCTAATTTCACTAATGTAATGTTCTCAAGGTTCTCTGGTGTAGCATGTGTCTGA
This sequence comes from Homo sapiens, assembly GCF_000001405.40. Classification (NCBI taxonomy): domain Eukaryota; kingdom Metazoa; phylum Chordata; class Mammalia; order Primates; family Hominidae; genus Homo; species Homo sapiens. The sequence goes on from NC_000012.12 coordinate 118,143,395, forward strand.
ATTTCTTTTTAAGGCTGAATAGTCCTAGAGTAACACAGGGGAGTAAAGAAAAAATAAAAGGCTGGATAATATTCTGTTGTGTGTATAAACCACATTCTGATCATCTTTTCATCCATCAGTGGACAGTCGGGTTGCTTCTGCTTCTTGGCTATTGTGAATACTGCTGCATTGAACATGGGTGTGCAAATATTTAAACAACTTTTTAAAAAATAACTTTGTTTCTGGCCGGGTGCAGTGGCTCACAGCTGTAATCCCAGCACTTTGGGAGGGCGAGATGGGTGGATCACTTGAGGTCAGGAGTTTTGCCAACATGGTGAAACCTGGTCTCTACTAAAAATACAAAAACAAAACAAAACAAAACATAACTGGGCGTGGTGGCACGTACCTGTAATCCTAGCTACTCAGGAGGCTGAGGCAGGAGAATTGCTTGAACCCAGGAGGCTGAGGTTGTAGTGAGCCGAGATCATGCCACTGCACTCCACGCCTAGGCAACAGAGTGAGACTCCGTCTCAAAAAAAAAAAAAAAACCCACTTTTTAAAAAAATAAGAGCTCATGGTACCTATTTGCATCCAGTACATCATTGAAGCTTGTAGAAAGCTGCTTAGTTAAAGTGAGGTTGGGTCACTTCGAAGTAGTCCTCCAGTTTTCTAAGCAAGTAAATTTTGGAGGTAGAAAGAAAATGTTCTCCTTTATCCTAGAGGCTCGACTGTGGTATGGTGGGCCCGGGTCATTGATTTGCTTTGTCCTTAATTGGTTGCTCCTACCTGACAGAAGTGAAATGGGTGTTCTGATGGGGGGTGGTGGGTGGTGACTTGAGAAGGTCCGGGAGCCTGAAGTGGGATGAATGAAGAGCACAGAGGCTCGTTGGGAGGCGAGGATAAGGGGGTGCAGAGGCCAGATCCCACAGGCCAGGAGAGGCTGGAACTAAGGGCTTGGGCTTGACACCAGTTACAGCAGGGGCCTAACACATTCTATTAGGTTGATGCAAAAGTAATTGCGGTTTTTGCCATTAATGTGTTAATTGCCATTAAATGTTAATTTGCACCAAATACCTGTCTGGACCCTCGGTGTCCTCCTTGTAAATGGTGTGGTCTGGGTGCCTCCATGTTGAAACATTCGATAAAAATGGATGATGTCCCCATCTCAAGTGCTGGGCTGTGTGTACATCTTCCCTCTGCCTCTCCCCACAGGCCTCCACCGCTATGTCTGGCTGGTTTACGAGCAGGACAGGCCGCTAAAGTGTGACGAGCCCATCCTCAGCAACCGATCTGGAGACCACCGTGGCAAATTCAAGGTGGCGTCCTTCCGTAAAAAGTATGAGCTCAGGGCCCCGGTGGCTGGCACGTGTTACCAGGCCGAGTGGGATGACTATGTGCCCAAACTGTACGAGCAGCTGTCTGGGAAGTAGGGGGTTAGCTTGGGGACCTGAACTGTCCTGGAGGCCCCAAGCCATGTTCCCCAGTTCAGTGTTGCATGTATAATAGATTTCTCCTCTTCCTGCCCCCCTTGGCATGGGTGAGACCTGACCAGTCAGATGGTAGTTGAGGGTGACTTTTCCTGCTGCCTGGCCTTTATAATTTTACTCACTCACTCTGATTTATGTTTTGATCAAATTTGAACTTCATTTTGGGGGGTATTTTGGTACTGTGATGGGGTCATCAAATTATTAATCTGAAAATAGCAACCCAGAATGTAAAAAAGAAAAAACTGGGGGGAAAAAGACCAGGTCTACAGTGATAGAGCAAAGCATCAAAGAATCTTTAAGGGAGGTTTAAAAAAAAAAAAAAAAAAAAAGATTGGTTGCCTCTGCCTTTGTGATCCTGAGTCCAGAATGGTACACAATGTGATTTTATGGTGATGTCACTCACCTAGACAACCAGAGGCTGGCATTGAGGCTAACCTCCAACACAGTGCATCTCAGATGCCTCAGTAGGCATCAGTATGTCACTCTGGTCCCTTTAAAGAGCAATCCTGGAAGAAGCAGGAGGGAGGGTGGCTTTGCTGTTGTTGGGACATGGCAATCTAGACCGGTAGCAGCGCTCGCTGACAGCTTGGGAGGAAACCTGAGATCTGTGTTTTTTAAATTGATCGTTCTTCATGGGGGTAAGAAAAGCTGGTCTGGAGTTGCTGAATGTTGCATTAATTGTGCTGTTTGCTTGTAGTTGAATAAAAATAGAAACCTGAATGAAGGAACTGAGTCCCCGGATGTTTTGTTCTATTGGGTATAGGTTTCATAAGTGTGAGAAGTCAAGTCTCAGGGTGAGTCGTCTCCGTGACCAGCAAGTAACAGCTGGGACTTGTTCTAGGGGCCATATGGAGGGTCTGTGCCTCTACATGTGCCATTAACCCACAGCAGGAGCAAACAGTTCAGATTTGAGGTTTCTAAAAAAAAAATCATAAAATGTGAGGCCGAGTCTTATTGCCCAAAAAGCACCTTTGCTTCAAGTGGTCCTTTTGACCCAAGAAGGATGTTCTAAAGAAGATGGCTGAAAACCTTCCCCCTTGGTGAAGTCTGGCGCGGACACCGTAACAATGCCTAAGAAGTAGCCTGCACTTCCCGTTCTGATGTGTTATCCACAGAGGCTCAGTACCAAAGAGGTGCGCAGGGTAGGAGGGTGAGAAGGTCACGGTCTCATGCCATCTGATGTACCGAAAGAAAGGAAAGGAGGTGTTTGAAGGTGCAAATCACTGTGATTTGGTCTCTGCGATGCAAAGGGGGGGGTCCTGAATCAGGCCTGACAGGTGCTAATGACTAGCCCTTCCCCATCTTTCACTGCAGTACTTTTTTCTCTGAAAAAACTTGGAAATGTTGCCTTGCTGGAAGCACATAAGGTAGATGTAAGTTTTCTTTTTTTCTTTTTTTAATTTTTTTGAGATGGAGTCTCACCCTGTCACCCAGGCTGGAACGCAGTGGAATAATCTCGGCTCACCGCAACCTCCACCTCCTGGGTGGGTTCAAGTGATTCTCTTGCCTCAGCCTCCTGAGTAGCTGGGATTACAGGCATGCACCACTATGCCCAGCTAATTTTGTATTTTTAGTAGAAAAGGGGTTTTGCCATGTTGGCCAGGCGGCTCTCAAACTCCTGACCTCCTGACCACTTTGGCCTCCCAAAGTGCTGGGATTACAGGCATGAGCCACCATGCCAAGCCTGGAAGTTTTTTTTTTTTTTTTTTTTTTTTTACTTTAGAGTTCTAAAATTCGTTTTTTTACGTAATAAGATTTTGTTGAACACAAGTTACAAAGAAAACAACTGTCAGCTGGGCGCCGTGGCTCACGCCTGTAATCCCAGCACTTTGAGAGGCCGAGGTGGGTGGATGAACTGAGGTCAGGAGTTCAAGACCAGCCTGGCCAACATGGTAAAACACCATCCCTACTAAAAATACAAAAATTAGCTGGACATGGTGGCGGGCGCTTGTAATCCCAGCTACTAGGGAGGCTAAGGCAGGAGAATCGCTTGAGCCTGGGAGGCGAGGTTGCAGTGAGCTGTGATCGCGCCATTGCACTTAAGCCTGGGTGACAAGAGCGAAACTCTGTCTCGAAAAAAAAAAAAACTGTCCTGTTGACCTTGGAAATAAATGTAAAGTCTGGGCATGGAGACTCACACCTGTAATCCCAGCACTTTGTGAGGCCAAGGTGGGGCAGATCACCAGCCTGGGCAACATGGCAAAACCCCTCTCTCTCTAAAAAAATGCAAAAATTAGCCCGATGTGTGGACTCGTTCCTGTAGTCCCAGCTACTAGGGAGGCTGAGGTGGGAGGATCACTTGAGGTCAGGAGGTCAAGGCTGCAGTAATTCCAGCTACTTGGGAGGTGGAGGCAGAAGAACTGCTTAAACCTGGGAGGTGGAGGATGCAGTGAGCCAACATCACGCCACTGCACTCCAACCTGGGTGACAGAGCGACACTCCATCTAAAAAAAAAATAGAAAAAGAAAAACATATTAATACTAACACGGAACTAAAGAGAAAAAAAAATACATATATATGAGAAGGCAGTAGTCATCTAAGAAAGAAGGGTGATGCCTTCAACTGGTATGTGATGTGAACTTCCCCAAGGGCGGCTAGGAAGGGGGTGACCCCCATTCTGAACTCAACTCTGGCCTCAAGGTCCAGCTGATAACCACCGGGCCCACTGGGTCACAAATTCCAGCTTCCTCATTTGAAAAAACATCAGGGTTGCAGGGGGTTGTCAGCCTGCCTTATTTACCTCACAGCGTTGTTGGAGGACAAAATCATCTTTTTTGGGATTAAGAGTTAATGTATGTAAATGACTAAACTTGGCCTGATTGTCATATAAGAACAAAGTACAAAAGTCCAGTTTCCTCAGGTCTGTTTCCTCACTGCAGCCTCCGCCTCCTGGGTTCAAGCGATTCTCCTGCCTCAGCCTTCCTAGTCCCCCTGCCTTCCTTACTGCCTCCTCAGGCAGGTACTAGGAGGAGTAGGACAACTCTGTCCATAGCAGGTGTTTGTTAGGAGCAGGGACCCACATCCCTGCTTCCGGGTAACTGCCCTGGGACACATCCTTGACAAACTTGCGCAGTGGGACTTTTTTTTGAGACCGAGTCTCATTCTGTTGCTCAGGCTGGAGTGCAGTGGTGCCATCTTGGCTCACTGCAGTCTCCGCCTCCCGGGTTCAAGCGATTCTCCTGCCTCAGCCTCCCGAGTAGCTGGGATTATAGGCGCCCACCACCACGCCCGGCTGATTTTTGTATTTTTAGTAGAGACGGGGTTTCACCATGTTGGCCAGGCTGATCTCAAACTCCTGACCTCAGATGATCCACCCACCTCGATCTCCCAAAGTGCTGGGATTACAGCTGTGAGCCACCGAGACCTTTTCTAAAGATAGCACCTACAATCTCAGACATAGGGCCCTTTCCCAAACTAGCTAGACATTTCTCACCACAGTGAGAAATGGATGAAAGAGGCTACAGGAAGCTTTTCTACCCTACTGAAGGTGGAATACTCCTTTGGGTATAGATCAGACAGGTCTCGATTCAGACCCCACCCTGCCACTGGAGTGAGCTTATTTCTTCATTTGTGAAAGCCTAGTGTTCCATCATGTGGCAAGCGTAAGCACGCCATCGACGTTATCTGTTTCTCTAACCCTTTCCAGTATTATTTTCAGATGTACCTAATATAGAAACTCCAATGAACAGAGGTACTTAGGAAACACAATTATCACTGAGTGTGATGTTACAGAAGGTTTTGTAGTTGGGATTAACCCATGTTGATAATTATTTATGAGTATACCTTTCTGCTTTAGCCTATCAGAGTGAACATGACTGGTCACATTTGTCTCCGATACATGAACATCCTGTAGGAAACAAGAGTGATCTTTAGGTCATCATATTCTTTTCTTTTGAAACAGAGTTTCACTGTTGTTGCCCAGGCTGGAGTGCAGTGGTGCCATCTTGGCTCACTGCAACCTCCGCCTCCCACGTTCAAGCGATTCTCCTGCCTCAGCCTCCCGAGTAGGTGGGATTACAGGTGCCCGCCACCACACCCAGCTAATTTTTGTATTTTTAGTAGAGATGGGGTTTCACCATGTTGGCCAGGCTGGTCTTGAATTCCTGACCTCAGGTGATCCACCCACCTCAGCCTTCCAAAGTGCTGGGCCCACCCCACGTCATCATACTCTAAAGAGCAATTTCCAGGAGTGTCCAAGGGAGAGAACACAAGTCATGGGTTCTTAGTTTCTGTTTCTGGTTGGGCCAGTAAAGCCCCTTCCTCGTCCCCCTTTTCCATTTATCACTAGACACAGAAACCAAAAACCATAGCTTCAGGCTGCCAAAAGCCTAGAACAAAACAAAACAGAGTAACAACAAAATAAGGTGGGTTGGACAAGCCTGATTGATAGAGGCTTAAGCATTTGGGATCTTACTGAGATTGTCCTGACTCCCAAATCATATCCCTGAAATTTTATATTTTTTACTATCTCATTGTTTTACATGTAAAATTATTCTAATAAAAGCAGAATATGAGGGGAGAGGGATCTAATATTACAGTGGGGTCATTTCAAATATTTGGTTATAGTGCCTTCTCCACAGCCTGCTTTTCTTTAAGGGTGCCCAATTTCTCTCTTCAGCAATGCATGCTTCTATGCACGACTGGCACGTGGGGGGTTTTGTGTGTGTGTGTGTGTGTGTGCGCGCGTGCGCGCGCACATGCCTTCTATTCTTTAGGACAGAAAGGTGCAGTTGACCACGTGCCCACATCGAATGGTGCAACACTATCTTCAGCCCCATAGAAGAACTTGGAAGACAGAGCTTTACCTGAAAGGCTTGAATGGCTCTTCTTGGAGCGACCGAGGCTATGGAGAACAGTTTCAGGAGGGTGGCTGTCCCTCTGAGTTGTGAACTGGTGAACCTAGAAGGGAAACTTCCTGCTACAATAACACAGCAAGGCGATGTGATGAACACTTTTATTTACAAATATAATTAAAAGCTCTGACAGTTATCATGCTCTTCCTTGGAACCTGAAAAATGTTTTGTTTTGTTTTTAAAGTGCATGCAAAAGAAGTAAAGCCTTTTTTTTTTTCATCATTTTTTATTGTAAGAAAATACACAGTTTGAAAGTGTGAATAATGCAATATTTATGACCAAGAAATGGGACTTAGGAAGGGGAAGGGAGATAAAGAAAAAGATCAAGATGATCTGATTGAGAGACAGTGTTGAACTCCAAATACTGAACTGGAAAAGGAGGGAGGTGGGGAGGAACAGGAGGAGGAAGTAAAAAAATTTGATCAGAGAAACAGTTAAAATACAATATGAAAATAAGTAATACCTCTCCTTAAATTCCTTCTATACACAAAATACACGATTTGCCAAAGCCCAATTTGTGCTACTGGGATTCTGTGAGCTCCTTAAGTGTATTCACATCCTCTGCAACAGCAGAAAATGATTATGATACAATCAGAATATGCTGAAGACAAGTTAAACTCTTGCCAGCAGGTTCTTAAAAATCACAAGATCTCTTCACCCCACCCACCCCCCGTCCCCAAAAAAGTAATAATATGTCACCACTGATATGTACATCACAATTAGTTTCTGTAAAATGTATCAAATTTTCAATCTTTAATAAAACTTTGTTTTTTTTATTCCTGATGAATAAATACCAAAAAAATAAAATAAAATAAAATAATGCAGCAGCTAGTTAAGGTGTAAGGCTGCGGATATTGTGTCTCTCTCCCCCTTGGCATTTATTATTATTATTTTTTGCTTTACTTTCACAGATTGGTGGTAATGAGTGATTGCTTAAAGCAATATACATCCACTTTTTTTGTTGTTGGTTTATTGGTTTTGTTAAAACTGTCTCCAAAGTTTTCACTGAAACATTTTGAATCACATCAATACTGTGACGTGTACTGTGAATAGAAGAGACGGCCAGGTTTTGGCCAGCACTGAAAGTTGACACGGGGGGAGGAAGGGGGCCCCTGATGGAGTAAGAATAAACAGGCACTAGTCCGACACGATGTCAGTAAGAGTAAGAGAGAGAGAGAGTGAGAGCAACGCCCGTTAAAATGGGGAATGTGGTTTTGCAGGGTCTGAATTTTTTTCTGTTTTCTTTTTTTTTTTTTTTTTTGTAAATGGCAAAAAATTTAATCTCATCTGTAGTCCTCCTTAGGAAAATCTAATGTAACCAAATTCCCAAATCCCATTCTGAGGCTCTCCATGTCAAAAGTTTCAATCTCTCGCTCTTGCCTTTCCAATAGGTTCTTTATTCTCTCGCTGCGTTCCTTCTGAAGGGCAGCCAGCTCCTCTTCAATCTGAAAGAAGCACGATGCAGTTCTTAATGGAAAGCATCTCCTAACAGGCACCCACGTGCACGCGATACACCCATAGGCACACATATGACATGCACACACACATAGGCACACACATGAAGTGCGCGCGCGCGCACACACACACACACACACACACACACACAGGAACTACGGGAGGACCGAGGAAGGCTGGCTGAGTCCTGTGATCAATGCATCTAAATCATTATATTTAAAACTTGCTCACAAGAATATCAATGTTTGGGGTCCACCTGGGGCTGGCAATGCCGTTCTAGCAAGCCCAGCGGCTGGGCGGATCTAGGTCAGTGTCCTGTGTTAGGGGATGGCTCATGAGAAGCTAAAAGACACTCAAGCACAATTGGATTGTGCTGCTTTCCCACAGAGAGCCAAATGCCTCCTGGGTCATTAGTAATTTAGTTCTAGAACAGGAGCTGGGAAAATAGTCTGTTACGTTGGTCTCAGGGAACTACTGGAAGAAAGTGCAAATAACTGGTTAAGCAAATAAATGCTTAACAGCTTTGAGATGCCTTATGAAATGTTTTCTACTTCATATTCCTCAGAATTTCTAAAGCAATGAATATTTCAGTTGGGATAACATTTATGCATGGCAATATCAGCCTATCATCATTTTAATTTTTTTTTAAACAGCCCTGCTGGTGATTTCTCTCGGTTTAAAAATAGCTGAAAAGTCAAATCTATTGTACATTTGGCTTCCTCGTGCCATTTGGCAGCCCTGCTGTCAGCTCACAGTACCTTTCAGGTGTCACATCAACCACCCCAGCAACCCACATCATTCCTCTGGCTGGGAACGTTGAGGGTTTCCTAGCAGAGCAGAAGAAAGACTTAGGATGTGGGGTCAGACATGCGTGCCTTGGTGTTTCGGTCTGTAGAAGGGGGACAATGCCTACCTCACAAGGGTACCAGTAGCATAAAGCAGATAAGTGAAAAGTGCCCAGTTTAATCTCTAACTAAGGAAGGCTGCATATATGGCAGTTCCCTCAGCCACGCCCCCTTCCACCCAGTGGCACCGGACCCCTGGTAATGCTCCCTTACCTTCTGCTCAAGGTGTGCTCTGCGCAGAGACACTCTCTGCTCTAGCTTCTGGAGCTCACGTTCATGTTGTGCCTCTGTTTGCATCTTGATTTTGCTCTGGTAGGCGTTGAGCAGCTCCATTTCCTGCTGGAGCTGTAGCCTCAAGGCCTGGCATTCTGCTTCTTGAGCCTCATCTAGCCGTAACTGCGGACACAGAAGACACACACGGTCATGCACCCTTGCCTACAGCCCTTGGTGGCCTACAGCCCTTGGTGACTACTGGAAGAGGTTTCCTCATTTGGATTGAAATTGGTTGCCCCCTCAAAAACACAGATGCTCTGGGTACATTCAGAGTTGGGAATCAAAAACAGTCAAGTCTGCCCAATGGGCTACAATACCAAACACATTCTTTTCAGTATGATCTGAAACCACAGCAGCAGGCGTCAGGAAGGCTACACCTGTGGGCTTTGGAGGTAGGCTCCTGGGCTTGAATTACAGCTACACCATCCACTTTGTGTGTGTCACACCTTGGCACATTACCTACCTCTCTAGATCTCATGTGTTTCATTCTCAAGAAAATAACAAGAATAGTTCCTATTGCCTGAGATTGGTGGGAGGATTAAATGAAAGAATTAATATAAAATCCTAGGCACAGTTCTCAATGCATTACAAGTTTTCAATAAATAGTAGTGGTTATCATTATTTCGGTTTCAACTGATCATGTCCTTATTTCAAGTTCTTTAACCCTAAAATCATTTAGATATGCTTAGCTCTAAAAAATTGATTCCAATTTCCATAAAACTTGAGGAATATACCACAGTACTGTTATGCTCCAAGTAGTAATGTTGGCACCTATTGTTGGCTATAAAAGTTACATTGCTAGCCAGCCAATCCAAAACTCCAAATGGTTCAAAATCTCTTCCCTGGCTGGTGGCTCACCTCTGTTATCTCAGCGCTTTGGGAGGCCAGGGTGTGAGGATTGCTTGAGGCCTGGCATTCAATACTAGCTTGGGAAATATTGTGAGACCCCCATCTATACAAAGATTTTTTAAAAAATTAGCCAGGCATGGTGGCATGTGCCTGTAGTCCCAGCTACTTTGGGAGGCTGAGGCAGAAGAATCTCTTGAACCCAGGAGTTCGAGGCTGCAGTGGGCTATGATCACACCAATGCACTCCAGCTTGGCAGACAGAGACTTTGTCTCATAAAAAAAAAATCTCTTCCTCTCAGAGGGTAGGTAGGCTTGACAATTTTAAGAGGCATAACTGCTTTGAAGCAGTGCCTGAACTTTGTCTTATACAAGATACCCAGATCCTGCGTGGAGAATGAACCAAGTAGAAGCGCCAACTTCTCAAAGCAGAGTAGAAGGTTTCGGACCATCAGCAGGACAGTGTTTAGGAATGATGACCCTGGGTTGCAGGCTTGGTTTGGTCCAATTTTGGCAGGCCCACAGTTTGGCTGAGAACTATGAGATTAGAACCCTTGAATCAGTCCATTTACCCTGAGCTTATCTGTGTTTCCTTATTGACCACTTTTCCAAGATACTTATTCTCCACCTTATGTACAATTTGTGACAATATACATATCTTGATTGAAAAATTACTTTTTGAAATGTTATATTAAAATAGTTTTAGTTATTTGCATGTATCTTCTTTTAGTACTTCTGGAGAAACATACTATAGAGATTAAAGGAACAAAATAAATTACATAATCATATTTCCAAGGTACCTTCTAAAAATTAATCCTAACCAGGTTTCATTAAAACCCTTAAAGAGGACAGACAGTTCTCATTTTCCCAGTAAGGAATGAAGGGATAAGAGACACTAGACACAATACATAGTCTTTGGCAGGAACAGACTCACAGGTAAATGCCAAAGGATTTACTGGCTCCCAATGAGGGTTGTTACTGATTCCCTCTTGATATGGGAGGTTCCTTATCAGTAAAGGCAGTGAAAGTCCTGTTCTTTTCTACTTGTCTGCATTAGTTGCTGTAAGCCCCAGCTAAGTGGGTGAGAGGTTCATTCTATGGTCAATTTAGACCATCTAAACATCTAAATATCTTTAAACATTTAGAACATCTCCATTTCCTTTTGTTTCTGGCACGCTATTATTATTAGCAGTAACTGGTACCATTGTTCTGTACCAGCTCTGACTGATGGCCCAGTGCTAGAAATCAGAGGATATTCCAGCATTTAGTTTTTATCACCCAAGGTTACACACATCAAATCCATTAAAAAGTTGTTTTTTCGTGGTTTTTGAGACAGTCTCACTCAGTTGCCCAGGCTGAGTGCAGTGATGTGATCTCAGCTCACTGCAACCTCCTTCTCCCAGGTTCAAGTGATTCTCCTGCCTCATCCTCCCGAGTAGCTGAGATTACAGGTAAGTGCCACCAGGCCCAGCTAATTTTTTGTATTTTTAATAGAGATGGCATTTCACCATGTTGGCCAGGCTGGTCTCAAACTCCTGAACTCAGGTGATCCGCCTGCCTTGGCCTCCCAAAATACTGGGATTATAGGTGTGAGCCACCGTGCCCAGCTCCATTAAAAAGTTTTATAAGAGTATAGGTAAATATGTCTGATCTTTACAGTGGCTTACACTGAAGATACGATAAGAGGCAACATAATGTAGAAGCAGCCAAGCATACAGGCGCACAGGATTCCCCCCAAGATGGGTTCAAATCCTAGCTCTACCACTAATTAGCTATGTGACCTTCCCCCTTATCCCCCCAAGCCAGTGGTTGGCACACTACAGCCCATGGGCCAAATCTAGCCTGGTGCCTGGTTTTGTAAATATATATATATATTTTTTTTTGAGATGGAGTCTCACTCTGTCACCAGGCTAGAGTGCTGTGGTGTGATCTCAGCTCACTGCAACCTCCGACTCCCTGGTTGAAGCGATTCTCCTGCCTCAGCCTCCTGAGTAGCTGGGATTACAGGCACGTGCCACCATGCCTAGCTAATTTTTGTATTTTTAGCAGAGATGAGGTTTCACCAGGTTGGCCAGGCTGGTCTCGAACTCCTGACCTCCGGTGATCCACCCGCCTCAGCCTCCCAAATTGCTGGGATTACAGGCATGAGCCGCTTCGCCCAGCCATAAATAAAGTTTTATTGGACATTGATAATACTCATTAATTTATGTTTTGTCTATGGCTGCATTTGTGCTACAATGGCAAAGCTGAGTAGCTGTGACAGAGACCCTGTGGTCCACAAAGCTAATTACTATCTGTCCCTTTACAGACAAAGTTTGCCAACTCCTGTCCTAAGAAAGTAGCTTTACTTCAGTGAACTTCAGTTTCCTCACAGGTAAATTAGGGTCAAAACAGTAACTACTTCAAAGGGGTTTCACAAAAATGAAATGAGGTAACACTTATGAGATGTTTAACATTGATTGTACTTGCCACATGGTAAGTAGTCAGTAAAGGATGCTGTAATGATCACACACTTATCTTCTCCCTGTCTCAGAAGAAAGGGCATTTCTCTCCTTTTATTCAAGGGTAATCATTGACCTGTATTTCTGATCCTGTTCTCTCTCATCTTATTTATTTTTTTTAAGAGTCCCAGTCTTGTTCTGTTGCTCAGGCTGGAGTGCAGTGGTGTGATCATAGCTCACTGCAGCCTTGAACTCCTGGGCTTGAGTGATCCTCCTGCTTCAGCCTCCCAAGTTACTGGGACTACAGGCATGTGCCACCATGCCTGGCTAATTTTTGTATTTTTTGTAAAGACAGGGTCTTGCTATGTTGCCTAGGCTGGCCAAGAATTCTTGGCCTCAAGTGACCCTTCCCACAAAGTGCTGGGATTACAGGCGTGAGCCACCGCGCCTGGTCTCTCCCATTTTATATAACAAACATTCATTGAACGCTTGTTGTATGCCACACATTGTTGCAGAGGCTGAGCATATAAAGATTAACAAGACAAAAACCCTATCAACCTCCATGTGTCTATCAACTTCTTCCTTCTCTTTGCCTTTCATCTCCCTCTGCAAACCTTTCCTCGCACTCATTCTGATCCTAACCCTCTACTTCTACCGCTCACATTAAGGTGACCCATGATAGCCTGGAAGTGGCCTGTTACCTGACCTTCCAGCAGCATTTGGTATTGCTGACTGCCCCTTCCTTCTTGAAATCTTTGTCTTCTGAGATACCACAACTTCTTGGTTTTTGTCTTCCCTCTCTGACTATTCCCTTTCCAGTAGTCCTTACCTACCTGGTCCTTAAATGTGGGTGTTCTTAAGGGCTTTGTCCTGGGCCCTCTTCTTCCTCTAACCGCTCTTCCTAAGAATCTCATCTATTTCAAAAGCCTCAATTACCATCTACATATGTACAAATGACTCCCACACTAAACCTCTATTTCAGACTTTCCTTCTGAGGTCCAGACGAGCTCCTGTAGTCTACCAGAGACATCCTCCTCTGGATGTTTCCCAGGCTCTCAGGCTCCCCGCAGCCAATACATCACCTTTTCCTTCCCACACCCCAATCTGTTCCACTTCCTTTTTTACCATATAGGTAAATACAGGTAGACCATCATCTACTGCTTTATTTTTGTTTTTTTTTTAGATGGAGTCTCACTCTGTCACCCAGGCTGGAGTGCAGTGGCGTGATCTCGGCTCACTGCAACCTCTGCTGCCTCCTGGGTCCAAGCGATTCTCCCGCCTCAGTCTCCCAAGTAGCTGGGATTACACAAGTGTGTGCCACCAAGCCCAACTGATTTTTGTATTTTTAGTAGAGACAGGGTTTTACCACACTGGCCAGGCTGGTCTCGAACTCCTGACCTCAGGTGATCTGCCTGCCTCGGCCTCCCAAAGTGCTAGGATTACAGGCATGAGCCACCATGCCTGGCCCATCATCTACTGTTTTGTTCAAACCAGAGACTGGAAGTCATCCTGAACACTGGACTCTCCACATCCAACCTGTCATTAAGTACTCTCAATTCTACCTCCCACCAAATTTAGTAACTTCCCCCTTCATCCCGACTGCCCCTTTTCTAGTCTGGCTACCACTCCCTCATACCCCAGGTAAAAGTCACTTCACAAATCATCTCCTAATATCCATTCTTCCCATCTCCCAGGCCATTCTCCATGTCACCAGAGTGATGGTTCAAAAACACAAATCTGATGTCACACCCTGCTTAATACCCTCCAGTGGCTTTTCATTGTTTCGGATAAAGACAAAAATTCTTAACAAAGCCTGAAAGCCCCTACGTGACCCAGCCTGTTTACCCCTCCAGTCTTGTTCTCATGTTAGTCCTCTCCTAGTTCCCTACATCCCAAACATAATAGATTTCTGTGAATTCTTCCAAAGTGCCACTGCCTTCCCAATGTTCACACGTTCCTCATGTGTAGGTTCCTCAGCCTACATAGCCATTGTGCCAGGGAGGCCTCTCCTGACTCTCCAGACCAGGTGAGCTCTCCTGCTTTGCAGTCTGTTGGCACCTTGCTCTTGCTCTGACATTACACGGAGTAGACTTTTCCAATGTCTGTTTCCTCCATGCTTCCATAAACTCCATAAAGACGTGATTCATGACTGTCTTATCCACCACTGTATCTCCAGATGCCTGGTACATCACGTAGGCACTCAATGAATACTTGCTGGATGGATGAATAGATGAATGCACTAGCTCCCATCCTCGGCCTAAGAACATGCATGCTTAAGCATCTCCCAACTAACAGAAGTCTTTCTTCAACTCTCTCTCCTTTTGCTAAAGCTCTTGTTCTCTTTTCCTTCATTGATGAGGATCTGGGAAAAGCAGTCTCACTTACCATCTGGATTTCACTTTATAATCCCTCATTCAATGCTCTATAATGTCTCCCAGTCCCACCACTCCACTGATTGTCCGAGACAAGCAATGGACGAATCCAGTGCTAGGTCCAATGAACACCTCAAAGTTTATTCTTCTAATTGATCTCTGCAACATGTGACGCTGTCAGTTAGAAACTCCTGCTCTGGCTCCTGTGACATGCTCTCTTCGGGTTCCCTTCCTGTGTCTCTGATTATTCACTTTTGTTCTACTTCTACCTCAGCCCTCAAATGTTGATGTCTACCAGACTCTGTCCTTAGTTCTTTCCTCTCTAAGAATACCTCCCGTCCCCAGCAGATCTCATCCATTCCTACCAGCCACAAGTGCACACATATAACAATGAAGTCTAGCTTTCTGCCTTTAATCTTGACATCCCTCCTAAACTGCAGGTTTCCATTATCTGTACCTCTCTACCTGGTCACCCACAAAACGCAGACACCAGGTCTACAACTTAGTCAATTATCCTTGCAGGCATCCAAACTCACTCTTTTATTGTTCTAGCTTGGTAAGATAATGACCTATTCTACTCTGTTGTCAAACCTCTCAAATTGGTCACTAAGTTATTTCTATTCTTGCCTCCTAAATATTTCTTAAAACCTTCCCCACTCCTCTCCATCTCCATTAGCATGTTCTCTCATCACCTTTTTCCTGAACTATTATAATGGCTTCCTAACAGGTCTCTTTACCTATATTTGCCACATTTCTGCTAATATCTTTCTGTAACACAAATCTGATCCAGTTATGCTTTCCTTCTTAAAACACGGTTCAACAGCTCTCCATTGCTTACAAAATAACATTCAAACTCCTGGCTTCTGAGGCTCTGACCCTGACTATCCTCCCGCTTTCCCTCAACAAGCATCCTATACTCTTGCCATAGCAATTACTCATTGTTTCTCAAATGTGCCATCCTCTTTCACGTCTCTAAGTCTTTGCATATACTGTATCCTCTGTCAGGAACAACTTTTTCTTTTATGCCTATTTGGTAAACTATTACTCTTTAAGACTCATCTCCTTGGGAAAGCTTCACCGAATTACCAGGCAAGCTCCCATCCCAAGCTCCCTTTATGACCTCTCCATTCTGGGTTCCTGCAATCTTCCTCCTTGAACTTTGGGCTCACACCAAAGTTCTTTCTGTCTCCATATATTTTCCTCTGTTTGAACCTTTGCCTATGTAGGTCCCAGTTTCAAGGAATCGGTTTATGTCAATGAATTCCTTAAAGTTTCTTGGCTCCCTCTAGGAAGATTTCCCTAGACGAGCTTAGTTAGTCCTACTTGTTCTCCCCTAACCCCCAGTACCTCCCATTTCAAATCACTCACTTTTTTTTTTTTTTTTGAGACAGAGTCTTGCTCTGTCACCCAGGCTGGAGTGCAGTGATGTGATCTCAGCTCACTGCAACCTCCACCTCCCGGGTTCAAGTGATTCTCCTGCCTCAGCCTCCTGAGTAGCTGGGACTACAGGTGCCTGCCCAGCTAATTTTTGTACTTTTGGTAGAGATGGGGTTTCACCATGTTGGTCAGCCTGGTTTCGAACTCCTGACCTTGTGATCCACCTGCCTCGGCCTCCCAAAATGCTGGGATTACAGGCGTGAGCCACCGCGCCCGGCCCCACTTACCATGTTTTACTATTACTGCTTAATTATCTGACCACCTGGCTTGACTGACAAATTGTCTGTCTAGCTCATCCTCCACCTCTGAGTCCAGCAGAGTGCTGAACACTGATGCTTAATAAAAGTTTATTGCATGAGTGTGTCTGTGTATCTGTCTTCCTCACTTGACTGTGGGCTCCCTAAGGGCAGGGACTCTTATTCATTTGTGCCTGATATTAGTTGCGGGGAGGGCAGTCAGTAAAATCTTTCATAAATGAACACATGGTATCATATGTGGTATCTATCACATTTGCCCTCAAAGTCCCTATGTGCCACAGGTCTGATGTGGCATGTCACTCCTTGAGTTCCATCTTATAAGACACTCCAGCAAGTATCCACATTGGCTTGGCTTTATTCAACGTCGTCCTTTCCTCAGTCCTTTGGGCAGAAAAACATCAATATCCTAAATTTGTGCAAGAATCATCTTGGGAACAACAGGCTGGATCTTGGATTTTCTTGATTCCCAAAGCTCTCGAAGCCGTGGCACCAAACCTAACCACTTACCGCTTGAGAGGCCATCATTTCATTTATACTCTGTTCATACTGCTCTGCCAAAATGGCAAGTTTTCTTGTCTGCTCATCTTTCAGTGTCTTTAAGATTGTTTTGTGCTCATTCTTTGGAGTAACTTCCAACTGGTGATTCTTGAGTGCTTTATACTGTTTGGTCTGTACTTTGCAAGTGTCCTGAAACTGTTTTTTAATTTGCATTTCCATGGCCTGGGTAGAAAAAGTGACAAAGGAAAAATAAAGGCACATCAGTAAATACAGAAAGCCTTCTACCATAATGATATAATACAAGTGCTGAGAGCGTCTGTTTTTTGGTGCAGTGACTCACATTGCTAATCAATAAAAATCAAGCAGTATGTATGACACAGACAAAAGTTAACTCTACCTGTACTTTTGGTTTTATATTGAATGACTATAAGTAATTTTGAATTTACAAATGGGGTCAAAGAAAATATGGACTGTTACAAGGGGATGACAACTCTAAGCAGATTGAGCGATACTATGAAGCTTAGCTTGTTGAAAGAGTGGCAACTCTTTTCATGCTTTCCTAGTCAGACACTTCAGTGTCTTCCATTGTTCATTGTTTTTCCCCCCTTTTTTTTTGTTTCTGTGTTTCACCCTGTTTTCAAGTGAGACAGGGGATAGCATTATATAAGCCAGCTCTCACTGCTCTGGTTTATAGCAATTTCTTATCAACTCCATAAAGGAGAGTATATGGATGGTACCTTATATCCTAACGCATTTCTACTGGATTTCAGCGTAAACTGAGAGAGAAAAGTGATTTAGAATTTTTTTCCCCATTAAGAGGTTGTGCTTGCATGTAGCAATATAAAATATGCATTTGGGCAAAGAGAAGGTAGAGTATATTATTTTGAGCCCAGAAGGCATTCCATCAGGTTGCCCCACAGTCATGTGTGCACTTCACGAACACTCTGAGGACTTATGGTGATAGAAATCATTGCTTAGCTTAGAATTTGACTGAAGAGACGCATAGCCAGTGTGATCCAGGTTGGCCTCATATCTGTGGCAACACTGACAACGTCCTCCCGGATATATAGCAATGGCTTAGTACACAGAGCTTGTTAATTAGCAGTCAGCTAAAATTAGCTGGAGGCAGTGAGGGCTACAGGAGTTCCTCCACATCTCTGCATCTCTAGTGCAGAAGTGGTAAATGCCTGGCACTTATAGATTCATTCCTGATGACCATGACAGACATCACTAATAAATGACACTCTTTCCTCCTAAGCTTGGATGTGGCTTTAGAGTCTTTCTCAATACAGCAGTGCTCAAAGTACCTAACACCAATAGAACTTCCTTATTTCCTGGGATTAAAACCATAAACTGCTATTAGTCCAGTTTTGAAGATGGCAGGTCATGAAGTGCTCAGAGAAATTCCATAATGGATATGATGACAAATTGATAGATAATGTAGTATAATAATAGTTTCCAAACCAGCTTGCCCAACATCTCCTTTTCAGGAGCTTAAATATAGACTCTGTGCTTTGCAACTGGAGATTCTGATACAATAGGTGTGGGGTGCAGAAATTTGTGATTCTGAAAAGTTGCTCAGGTGACTCTGACACTTCAGGTAGAGAAACCACTGATCTGGTCCAACACTGTCCAGCAGCACAAATCTTACCTTTAAGTTTTTTGGCTGTTGCCGAAGTTCCATGACATGCTTTCTGTGCAGTTCTCTTTCTCGCCTCTTATTGTACTCCAGCTGGTTTTCCAGTTCCGTCTGGTGCTGTAAACGGATCAGATCCATGCGTAGCTTCTGTAACGTGTGCAGCTGCCTGTACTCTAGCTCTCGGGTGGACTCGTCGTGCCGGATTAGCATGGCATGCTCCATCTCCTTCTGGGTCCTCTTTTTATTTAGTTCCTGCGTCCAGGAACAAAAGATAAACGGAGAGAGGTGAATGGAGATGAACTGGAAGGAATGCACAACTAAGTGAGGGAGGGCAAGGAATGGCACTGCTAACCATCTCTTAATTAAACCCATTAGTGTTTGGCAGCAGGACTTAATGAGATTAAATTAACAATCTCTTCAGGTTTAGGTTCTGTTCCTGGGTCCACCACTTACAAAATGGGCAACTTCACAGCAATCACTACTGTACTCTCTGTAAAATGGGATTAATTCTACCTGACTCTCTCTTACCTCACAGAGCTGCTGTGAACCTTAGTTAGGTGATGTGCTATGCATAGGTCTACATAAATGTTTCTTCAGTGAAGCTAGTGGTCCTACACCCTGACGGCCCATAAAAATCATGTGAGGAAACTTTTCAAACATAAGATGCTTGAATCTCACAGGGTGAAATTCTTATAACTGTCTGGGGTGGGAGCCTGATGTCAGTATTGGGAAGAGTTCTCCAGGTGGTGCCAATAAGCAATCAAGATTGAGAATTAAACTGATAATATCTGCAATGTTCTTAGCTTTCTGGGAAATACTCTGTTTTTGCATGAATCAGAGGTAGGCCAATTGTCTATTTTTTAAAATCTCAGAGTTCAAGGCATGTTGGGGAAAAAAAAACAGATGAGATCTCTCCCCTTTCATCTTCTGCATTACAGTCTGTTTGATCATTTATAGATCTAATCACTCTGTTCTTTTCCGTTCTACTCATGTCTTTCTTTCTTCCTTTTCTTTCTTTCTTTCTTTGGTATTGAAGGAGGAAAGGAAAGCAAACTAGAAAAAAGGGGAAGTTGGGTGAAATCTTTTCATTCCTCAATTGAAGAATATTTCCTAAATAGCACTATATATGAAGATCAGAACAATGTGCTCTCAGTACATAAAAATATTTATTAAACCATGACTTCTGTCCTCAACTCACTGACACTCCAACAGGGAAGTGCACTAGACATTTATTGAAGTATATGCTCTGCTCAAAGCTCACTGAATCAGATTTAGATACGTGGCCCAACCTGGGTCAATTTATTTTCTCTACTCGGAATTTGGAATTGATATTCAGAACCAGTTAATCTCTATGTGTGGCTGGAATTAAGGCATATAAAAACCACATATGTGGTAGTCATCTGCTGCTATGAGGGCTGAGGATTAGAGAAAGCTGGGCTTCAGATCAAGAAGAAAGGAAAAGAAAGAAGTGCAGGGAATATACTGATGCCTAAGTTACTTACTGCTTCTGAGCCCTCCAGTAGGTCTAGCTGTATTACTGCTATTCGATTTTATAAGACATTCCTGTATTTCTATAGTAATTTCCCTGGTTTTGGCTTAAGCTAGCTGAAATAAATTTCAGTTAACATGCAAACAAAAAAATCTTAATTAATACAGGGACATACTTTTTTTTTGGGGGGGGTGGGGGTAGAGATGGGGTCTCACTATGTTGCCCAGGTTGGTCTCGGACTCCTGGACTCAAGTGATCCTCCCATCTCAACCTCCCAAAATGCTGTGATTATAGGCATGAGCCACCCCACCATGCCCAGCCAGGAAATAAGTTTTACGTCCAAATTAAAAAAAAAAAAAGAGAGAGAGCAATGTTGGATAAGTGATGAATGCTATAAAAGGGGTAAAGATTTTATGCTATAAGATTTCTGAAAAGGGTGGTATTATTATTACTATTATTTTGAGACAGAGTATTGCTCTTGTTGCCCAGTGCAATGGAGTGCAATGGTGTGACTTCGGCTCACAGCAACCTCCGCCTCCCAGGTTCAAGCAATTCTCCTGCCTCAACCTCCAGAGTAGCTTGGACTACAGGCACATGCCACCACGCCTGGCTAACTTTTGTATTTTTAGTAGAGATGGAGTTTCTCCATGTTGGTCAGGCTGGTCTCGAACTCCCGATCTCAGGTGATCTGCCCGCCTTGGCCTCTCAAAGTGGTAGGATTACAGGCGTGAGCCACCGTGCCCGACCTAGCAGTATTACTATTAAGAAGGTCAAGGAGCCTGGGGCGGTGGCTCACGCCTGCAATCCCAGCACTTTGGGAGGCCGAGGCGGGTGGATCACGAGGTCAGGAGATCGAGACCATCCTGGCTAACATGGTGAAACCCCGTCTCCACTTAAAAATACAAAAAAAAAATTAGCCGGGCCTGGTGGCGGGCACCTGTAGTCCCAGCTACTCGGAAGGCTGAGGCAGGAGAATGGCGTGAACCCGGGAGGCGTAGCTTGCAGGGAGCCAAGATCGCGCCACTGCACTCCAGCCTGGGGGACAGAGCGAGACTCCGTCTCAAAAAAAACAGAAAAACAACAACGAAACAAACAAACAAACAAAAGAACGTCAAGGAAAGGAGAAAGCTTTTGAGCTGTACTTTATTTATACTTATTTATTAAATTTTTGAGACGGAGTTTCTACTTTGTTGCCCAGGCTGGAGTGCAATGGTGCGATCTTGGCTTGCTGCAACCTCCGCCTCCAGGGTTCAAGCAATTCTCCCGCCTCAGCCTCCCGAGTAGCTGGGATTACAGGTGCCCACCACCACGCCTGGCTAATTTTTGTATTTTTAGTATAGATGGGGTTTCACCATGTTGGCCAGGCTGTTCTCAAACTCCTGACCGCAGGTGATCCACCCGCCTCGGCCTTTCAAAGTGCTGGGACTACAGGCGTGAGCCACCATGCCCCAGCCTCAGCTGTACTTTAAATTAGAACAATAGAGGGCCTCTCTTCTCTGATGGCATCCACTATAGGAGAAAATGCAAATTATTTATTTTAATAGATATCATCGATAACATTTTTATACTGGCGTGGTTGGAAATATCTTGCACACTTGGGCTCCCTATTGATTGAAGAGAAATCCTTTTAATAGCACAGCATCTAGTACTAGAGTACAGTCACTAATCATTCACTTATTCATTCAACAAGTAGTTATTGAGCACCTACTATGTGCTGGGCACTGTTGTAGGAACTAGGGATAGAACAGTGAACATGTACACCCCCTCAGCGACCTTATAAGGAGAAAAAACCCAAAGTATAAATACAATTTAAATTTGTTTTAAGGAATAAAAAATAAGCCCTTAGAGTTATCTCTCTCATCTCCTCCCGTGTTTTCCTTTGTTTTATTTTTCTTCTTTACCTAGACCATCAAATTTCTTTTTTACAAAGCAGTAACTGGCCCGTAGGTGGCACCAAAGGATGGAGAGCCCTTCCCACAGACGAAAGCTCTCCCAGGCCAAGGAAAGCCCTTTAAATGAGGACTTTAATTGAGGTCCAGGAGTCCCAACACCAGGCATTTATTCATCCCACACTTTCCTAAATTGAGAAATGCAAACTGAGCCTGAGTTGCTAAGAGCCCTGAAACTCATGGGCTCTTGACACAAAGCAAAACACACAAAGCAAGCAAACACCTTCAGAAGAAATCAAGTGCTTCTCTTCCTGCTTAATGAAATGCTTCAAGATACTGTCCACAGAATACCTACATCCGAATTACCTGTGTTATAAGGGACTAGTCTCTATAACAAGCTACGCAGCTAATTCTGATATATATGAAAGTTTGAGAATCAATGGAAAAGTGCTAAGGGTGTGAGTCAGTTTCAGCTCCTCTATAAGTCTTATGTATGGCTTGGGGCAAGTCTCTTAATCTGTATTTCAGGTGTAAAATGAGGATAGCAGTACACATTGTGAACTATCGTAGTTGTAAAGATAAAATGAAAGACCATAAGAAAGTGCTTCAGAATACATAAATGTCATTATTTTTCTCTATTCAGAAGGGAATACATGGCATATAATATCTTAAATCTAGTTTTTATAAACTATTAGAAGAGTAAGAAAAACATGATACTGAAATGGCTTTTCTGTTACAAGTTGTTCCCTTCACCTTTAATTTGTACATCTGAGTTGCTGAGGTGTAAGATGGTAAGCTACCTTTAATATTTGAGACATGGGGGAAAAATTATTCACCTTATTATGAGGCCAGTGCTGTGCCTACATAATAATGTTTAATGTGCTTTCCATTTTTAAAAGTTATTCCATACATCTCATTCAATCCAAATTGCCACCCTATGAGGTGATAAGACTGTAAGGATTTCCCCCTTTTATATGTGTTAGTAGGCATTTGGGAGTTGAAGGACTAACATAAAGTTACACAACTTCTATAAAGAGAACTGAGGCTAAAACTCAGGTATTTAGCTTCTCAGCATTTTCCATTAGAAATGTTCCAATAAATGAGGCCAGACGCGGTGGCTCATGCCTATAATCCCAGCACTTTGGGAGGCTGAGACAGGTGGATCAGCTGAGGTCAGGAGTTCGAGATCAGCCTGGCCAACGTGGTTAAACCCTGTCTCTACCAAAAATACAAAATTAGCCAGGTGTGGTGGCACATGCCTGTAATCCCAGCTACTTGGGAGGCTGAGGCAGGAGAATCACTTGAACTCGGGAGGCGGAGGTTGCAGTGAGCTGAGACTGCGCCATTGCATTCCAGCCTGGGCAACAAGAGCGAAACTCCGTCTCAAAAAAAAAAAAAAAAAGTTCTAATAAATGGCATACTTTCCTGTTTTATACTTTTTCAGTCTGTGATAAAATATTTTGAAGAATTCTGCTCTAGCTAGACATGATACAATGGTTACTTTATTTGTACAAATGACACAATATACACACTAGAGCCACATCATGTGCACCTTTAGCTTATACAAATTTAACAAAATGAGCTGAGCAAAAACTAAAAAATCAGTTTTAATGGTACAGATCATTCTGCCCACCCATGTACTCAATGTATGTGTGTGTGTGTATATATATATATACACACACACACACACACATACACACACACACACACACACACACGTATAAGCCCTGGAGGGAGTGTGGGATAAGATACATGCAGCTTCCTTTCCCTCGGTCAATGTCCAGTGTGTTTCAAGCACTCTAACTTCTAATGGAAGTAGTATTGACTTCTTTAAAAGCAGCGGATTTCACTCATGCCAAATTTTTATGCTCAGGCTCACTGAGGTTGAGTAAAAACGAGAATTCTAACTTTTAAATAGAGATGCTGTCAGCCTATGACATTTAATGCCTTCTTAGTTTCAGTTCTTAGTTTCAACACTGGTCAGAAAATGCTGAGTGTCTGTGTGTGTTGGTGATAGAGAAAGAGGCTCAACCCAGTTTCAGTGATCTTCTTGTTTTCACTAATTAAAAGGATTGCTAATACTCAATCCTTTAGGCAAAGACACAGGAAACCAGGCATTCTTGTGCTTTGTTGGTGGGAGTATAAACTCCTTTAGAGAGCAATTTAGTGATATTTATTTTAAAAATTTAGATGTATGCATTCTTTGACCCAGGAATTCCACTTCCGAAAATGTATCCCCCAAAATACTTGTTTACATGTAAAAATATCTATGTACAACAATGTTCTTATATTATTAATAATACTGTAAAACTTCAACAAAATGTCCACCGAGAAGTGTCTCATTAAATAAATGATATTGAGGCCATACAACAAAATACTATTAGATGAAAAAGAATGAAGCAGAGCTGTACGTGCTGGAAGGTAAATGGAAAAAAGAGTTACAAAACAGTGGAGTGGACATCTGTTACTTTTTGTAAGGCTCAGCTTCCATTTTTCCTGCTTCTCTTTATAGGCTCTTTTTTTTTTTTTTCCTTTTTTTGCAAAATGACTCCCCCTTATCTGGAATCAGAGAGAGTGTTGAATAAGGCATAAGCACATGACCCAATCAAGTTATATCTCTCCTAGGAATTTTAATCTCGAACAGAAACGATACAAAGACAAAAAGTGGTTGGAGGAGGTACACTGAAATGGCAGTGCCTGGAGAACTGCACATGAGCCCTTGCTCTCTGTGTCATGGAAGTTGCTTTACCAGCGTGGCTCTTCATGTTTTCCCGCTCAGTTCTTCAGCTCTTTACCTACCTCATATCCTTCCAATAAATTCCTTTTCAGCCTTAAGTCAGCCAGAGTTTATTTCTATTGCTTGCAAATCAAATAATCCTACTGATACAAAAGTAATCTCATTTTTGTAAAGTCATATATAATATAGCTGTACATATGTATATAGAAAAAAACCTAGAAATATACATGCCAAATTAATGGAGACTGTTTGAGGGTAGAGATTGGGTGGAATGGGATTGTCGAAAAGGTGAAGATGGGCTGATGCTGGTCAAATGGTAGAAAGTTCCAGTTATGCAAGACGAATAATTACTGGAGCTCTAATGCACTCACTGCATGGTGATGATAGTTAACAATGTTGTATTACATGCTTGTAATTTGCTAAGAGGACAAGTCCTAAATTAAATCTCCCTACTCAACCCCATGCACACATGCACACAAATGTAACTATGCGGAGGTAATGGATATGTTAGTTAGCTTTCATGTGGTGATTATTTCACAATGTATACATATATCAAAACATCAAGTTGTATACCGTAAATACATACAATTTTTATATGTTGATATCTCAATAAAACTGTTAAAAAGAACTTTCACTACTTAGCTTTATGTGTTTCTGTTTTCGTCTATTTTCAATGTTCTTGAGTTACTTTTGTAAATAAAAAAGCTTTGAACATTTTCATGAAGGTGGGCTCTGGAATAAGACTAAACAAAAGAAAATCTAGACTTTTAAGAAAAATACTCTTACAGAGTTATTTTTTGCTCAACTGGCTAGAACCTAATACTAATGAAGTCACCAATATAGTTTCTATCATTTTTAGGGAGTAATTATCTTCTGTAACTTTTATTGACATGAATTGTCCCCTTAGCCTCAGACTTCCTCCAAATATCTATTATTAGAATAACAATAAATGTTACATGAAAAGACTCCCAAATGACTTATTTCCAACTGGCCATTAGCCTTTTTCATTTTGATTTTTTGACTTCTGACAAACTCAAAATGTGCAGTACTGAATCAGCTTGCTTGCTTTCCTTCCTTCCTTCCTTCCTTCCTTCCTTCCTTCCTTCCTTCCTTTCTTTCTTTCTTTCTTTCTATTTTTTTGAGACAGAGTTTCACTCTTGTTGCCCAGGCTGGAGTGGAATGGCGCGATCTCGGCTCACTGCAACCTCTGCCTCCCAGGTTCAAGTGATTCTCCCTCCTCAGCCTCCCAAGTAGCTGGGATTACAGGCACCCACCACCACACTTGGCTAATTTTTGTATTTTTAGTAGAGACAGAGTTTCACCATGTTGGCCAGGCTGGTCTCGAACTCCTGACCTCAGGTGACCCACCTGCCTTGGCCTCCCAAAGTGCTGGGATTACAGGCGTGAGCCACCACGCCCACCCCCACCCCCCCCCCTTTTTTTTTAAAGACAGTCTCACTCTGTCATCCAGGTTGGAACGCAATGGCATGATCTCAGCTTACTGCAAGCTCTGCCTCCTGGGTTCAAGCCATCCTCCCACCTCAGCCTCCCGAGTAGCTGGGATTACAGGCGCCCACCACCACGCCTGGCTAATTTTTGTAGTACAGATGGGGTTTCACCATGTTGGCCAGGCTGGTCTCGAACTCCTGACCTCAAGTGATCCGCCTGCCTGAGCCTCCCAAAGTGCTGGGATTATAGGTATGAGCCAGCATGCCCGGCCTGAGTCAGCTTCTTACCAAAACCTCTCTTTAATCTCTTCTCTGTTTCTACCACATCTTCATTTCCCCTAGTGTTAAGCCCTAGAAATAATTTTGATTCCATCATCTTTTCTCTCATATCTTTTTTTTTGAGACGGAGTCTCCCTCTGTCACCCAGTCTGGAGTGCAGTGGCGCAATCTCTGCTCACTGCAAGCTCCGCCTCCCGGGTTCACGCCATTCTCCTGCCTCAGCCTCCCGAGTAGCTGGGACTACAGATGCCTGCCACTGCGCCCAGCCAATTTTTTTGAATTTTTAGTAGAGACGGGGTTTCACCATGTTAGCCAGGATGGTCTCCATCTCCCGACCTCGTGATCCGCCCGCCTCGGCTTCCCAAAGTGCTGGGATTACAGGAGTGAGCCACTGCGCCCGGCCTCTCTCGTATCTTAGTATATGTCAAGTCCTGTTTACTTTAAACTTCAAATGGTGTTTTGAATCTACTGCTCTGACAGCCACTACCACCAGCCTTGTCCATATCCTATTTCCTGCTACTAGTCTCTTCTCTCTAATCCTGTGTTTCTCAAGCAGTTTTTTTTTTCATCATTGCCCCTATAAGGAGGCTTTCTAGGCTTTTTCTCCCTTAATTATCCCCATCACTGAAATATTAATACCACAGGTAAACTGTGTATCTGTTTATGCACTGTGGTCCTTTGAAGCTGTAATAAGACCTAGGTCACCGCACCCCAACAGGAACCCACTTTCACCCACTGGGGGCGTTATCACCCCCATTGAGAATCTATGTTCAAATCATTCTGTGTATTACTGTCAATCTGGGCTAATCTCTTTAAAGTACAATTTTAGCCATATCACTGCCCTTCTCAAAAATGTTTAGCAGGCTGGATGTGGTGGCTCATGCCTGTAATCTCCACACTTTGGGAGGCTGAGGCAGGCAGGTCACTTGAGCTCAAGAGTTTGAGACCAACCTGGACAACATGGTAAAACCCCCACCTCTACTAAAAATATAAAAATTAACCGGGCGTGGTGGTGTGTGCCCGTAATCCCAGCTACCTGGGGGGCTGAAGTGGGAGGATCGCTTGAACCTAGGAGGTGGAGGTTGCAGTGAGCTGAGGTTGCGCCACTGTACTCCAGCCTGGGCAACAGAGCGAGACTCTGTCTCCACAAAAAAATGTTCAGCAGCTCACAGCTCTCCCTCTTCCAATAAGACAGCATGCAGAAAGAGCCTGAGCCTGGCCTACATGTGTTCAATACATTTTAGTTTGCTTCACCCTTTTTCCTTCTCATTTCAATGCAGCTCTCTAACAAGGTTCTATCAATTCACTTTTGTATTAACTGTGCTGGAAGTGCTTGTTTCCCTCATGTAGGCTAACACTGGGCTTTTCTCAGACTTTGATACTGTTACCACTGTGCTAGATCATTTATAAAGTTTTCTCTGCTTACTCCAGGTCACAATGATTTTCTGTTGAACACAGTATTCTGTATTCCTCATCTCAGTGAATGCCAGCATATCCATCCAACCTCCCAAATTAGAAACTTGGAAGTCACTTCTGACTTCCTCTTCTGAAATTCCCATATCTATTTGGTAAGGATTAACTATCAGTTCTGAGTAAGAAATGTCACTCAGATCTAATTGCCTCTATCCCCACAGCCTCTTCCAGGCTAGAACTGGAGAAAGAGCATCCTGGCTGACCTCATTGCACTTTGCTTTTCATGACTTCTATCTCTCTATCATACTGAAGCACTAATTCTTTTGTTTGTTTGTTTGTTTGTTTGAGATAAGTCTCACTCTATCACCCAGGCTGGAGTGCAGTGGCACGATCCTGGCTCACTGTAACCTCTGCCTCCTAGGCTCAAGTGATTCTCCTGCCTCAGTCTCCTGAGTAGCTGGGATTATAGGCGTGCACCACCATGCCCAGGTAATTTTTGTATTTTTAGTAGAGACGGGGTTTCACCATGTTGGCCAGGTTGGTCTCAAACTCCTGACCTCAAGTGATCCTTCTGCCTTGGCCTCCCAAAGTGCTGGGATTACAGGCATGAGCCACCATGCCTGGCTGATGCACTAATTCTTCAAAATAAAGAAATGTCTCATCATGTCATTACCCTGCTTAAAAATCTCTCATGGCCACTGCCTTCAGGCTAAAAGTCAAATGCCTTGCCTTAAACAAGGGTCTCTACATTCTGCTTCCAACTAATATTGTTCTGCCCGCCACTCTATATACACAGAACTCTGGTCACACTCATCTTTTCATCAATAGCAGAGTCATCTAAGCCCTCTCATGATTGTATGCCAATGATACTTTATTTCTATGTCTAATATGTCACCTAACATATTGTATTGTAATTAGTCTGTTACATGTTTTTTTCTGCTCTTAGACTCATA
The DNA here is from genome assembly GCF_000001405.40 of Homo sapiens. NCBI lineage: Eukaryota > Metazoa > Chordata > Mammalia > Primates > Hominidae > Homo > Homo sapiens. Next base: position 118,171,984 of record NC_000012.12, read on the forward strand.
GCCATTTGAAGGCAGGGAGTACAGCTTCTTGGTATCCCTGGTGTCTAGCACTCACTCTGAGAGTACTGGATGATGGAATAAATGCACTTAGTTATAGAGCATCATAATGTTACTTAAATGTTTTATGCGGAGTCACAAAAATACAAGTCCTTGACAAGTAGGCTGAAAACAAAAATTCTCGATTCTACTTCTTTTGATTCTTCATTGTGTGATATGGCTTATAACGGGAGTTCAATAAAATTCTATTACATGTATTTAGATGGAGTTGATTCCTTGTTCTGTGAGTGGGCTTCCTCTTATCAATAGTAAGTTCATTCCCTGACTTTTTTTGTATACCTACTCTGTGTTAGCCACTGTGCTAAAAGGCTAGAAAGGCTAGGGATATAGGAATGGACCAGGCAGACATGGTCACAAGCCTCACATAGCATATTGTCTCCTATGTCAATGACAATAGTTACGAGCGTAATAAATACCTCCCGAATGTTCTGCTGCTCCACCTCGTGCCGCTTGATCATTATTTTCCGCTTGAAGAAACGACAATTTTTGTCGTAGTACAGTCTCTGTTGAGTGAGAAGGTGGGCTTCCTCTTCAGCCTGTGTGTGCTGCAAGTTCTCTTTATGTTTGGAGATCCGCTCTTGCTTCTCTTTCTTGGGTGTGCTATGGTCCTCATTCATTTCCTAAAAAGAACAGACAAAAACCAAGCCAGCCTTACTAAATGAAAGGGACTGTAACAGCTTATTGCAACTGAAGATTAAGTTATTTGGAAAGCCAATGCAGATGTAAGCACAGAAAAGCTTAGTGTTGCACATCCTTCCCCCAATTTTTTTTATTTGCTCATTAATTGAGTATTAAGTGAGAGGGACACTTGTGAGTTTCTGTATCTTTGGTTTCTCACTAACAGAAATTATTTGTTCACTCATTCACTCAACACAAACTTAACAAGCTCCTATCATGTGACAGGCAGTGTGCAAGATACAGGACACAAAGGTGAGTAAAAGGCCATGATAACTGCCACCGTGTGTCTTTATTATAGAATCAAAAATTAAAGAACCGCAGAAATGAACTAAAAATTACTGTGATCACTGCTTTGAAGAGGACGTACTTGGCCCTAGAAGAATTTAATAGAAAATATTTAATCTTGGTAGTAACTAAGAAAAATTATTCAGAGTTAACCAGCGGAAAAGGAAAGGGAAGAATACTCTCAGTAGAGAAAACAGCATGTGCAAAACCCTAGGGGTTGGAGAGGAAACATGGTGCCATCAAGGGCTGAAAGAAGGTCAGAGGGGCTGGTGTAACGTAATATGAGATAAGTCTGGCCAGGTAGGCAGGACCATTGAGGCTTTACAGGCCAATATAAGGACACTGATCTTTAGTATAGGAGAAATGGATTTCATGCATGTGAGAGTGTCATAATGAGATGCATTTGAAAATGATTACTCTGGCTGCCATGGGGAGAACAGAATGAAGGAGGCAAGAACATATGAAGATAGCTGGGAGGCTACTGGAAAGGTCCAGGCAAGAGAGATGGTAGTAGCTTGGACAAAGGAAGTAGTGACAAGACTGAGAGAAGCAGACAGATTCCAAAGAGAAGAGGTGACTATGCAAATGTCACTAGTTTGAATTTTAGGAAAAAACATTCTTCACTTGGGATTATAGAGTAAACAAACCATCTATATTTTCCAAGGACAAAATTCACAATTTTTCCAGAACATCTGAGCAAAGGAAACAAAGCAGTGAATCAGGACTGTTAAGATGTTAAACTGTGGTGAAAAGAAGAAGACTACTTGTTAAGAAAGTACAGTATACTCTTCTTTCTTCATTTGGTTAGCTACTCACTCAGCTAAAATCTCCTTTAGTTGCTAACACCTATTTTACTTAATGTTTTGTGATGCCGATATCATAGACTATTTTATCTCTTAGCCAAGAAGTCTCTGTAAATCAACTTTCAACTATCCTGTTCCAGTGAAGCTGTAAGTGAAATCTTAGAATCAACAAGAGAAAGTGTTGTTTTCAGAGTAAGCTGGAGTAAGCTGGGATCACAAGAGGAAGCCTGGGTCATTCATCTCTTCATGCCGTGATGTCACTACTTGGTTGGCCATTAACCACTAGACTGCAGACCCCGATTCAAATATAATCACAAAAATTTACTCCAAAATCAAGAATAAATTATTTCTGGACCATCTATCATTCTGTATTAGATACTCCTGTTATCTATCAAAAGTGGTGATAATGAAAAAATTTTTTTGTCATTCCAAGGACAATATCTGTAAGTATATAAATATCTAAATATATATGCCACTTTAAATAGTCTGAACTAAGCTTTACTTCAGAAAAAGTAATATTAGCTTTTGCATAGAATGGTCTAGTGGGGTTATCTCAAATTGGCTTCTGGCTTTTTTTTTTTTTTCATGAGCATGTTCAAAGACAGAAGTGTAGGCCTGTGGGCTTTGGCACTCAAGTCTGAGTATGGTGAGCCAAAAATTGACGTATGCTTGAGGACTGAGTGGGGACTCTTAAATGCTGTTCTGTGGGAAAATCTTCTAGAAGGTAGAGTTCATGAAATTTCCAAATATCTCAATGTTACAAAAACTCAAAATGGTGGCCATAGTCATAAAGTATGGCCTCCAGTGGATGAGTGGACGCGTGGAGTTAGAAATAAGGAAGGTATCTATTTATTTTATTTTACGATTTTTTTTTGAGACAGAGTCTTACTCTGTTGCCCAGGCTGGAGTGCAGTGGTGTGATCTCGGCTTACTGCAACCTCTGCCTCCTGTATTCAAGCAATTTGTCCTGCCTCAACCTCCTGAGTAGCTGGGATTACAGGCGCCCGCCATCAAGCTCAGCTAATTTTGTATTTTTATAGAGATGTCGTTTTACCATGTTGGCCAGGCTGGTCTTGAACTCCTGACCTCAGTTGATCCACCCACCTTGGCCTCCCAAAGTGCTGGGATTACAGGCATGAGCCACCGTGCCCAGCCAAGGAAGGTATTTAGAGTGGAGAAAAACCTCAAAATTTCTTAGGCTATCTCTGATCCAGCAACATCATATTATGATATAAAAATTAAGCTCAAGCCAATAACTCAGAGAAAATGGAAAGAATGTGAACCTTCTGAGTTGGGCTATTCTCTCTACACCCGGGTTTTCTAGACCTTATGGTGTCAGAGATTCTACCCATTCAGCCAGTGTAAATCAAATACAATTTTCTGTTAGGTCTAACAATTACCAGTGGCTTACCTGGGCAGGACAAAAAATCCCTAGGCCCACCCCAACCCCCTTGGTTTCACTTCCTAACTAAAAAAGAATTGGAGGAGAACCTTGCTGAGTCCTCTATTGCTAACCTACAAATCAGAATATGAGCTCAGGCCAGGCGTGGTGGCTCACGCCTGTAATCTCAGCACTTTGGGAGGCTGAGGTGAAGGATTACCTGAGGTCAGGAGTTCAAGACCAGCCTGGCTAACATGGTGAAACTCTGTTTCTACTAAAAATACAAAAAATTAGCTGGGCATGGTGGTGCACGCCTGTAATCTCGGCTACTTGGGAGGCTGAAGCAGGAGAGTTGCTTGAACCCGGGAGGTGGAGGTTGCAGTGAGCCGAGACTATGACATTGCACTCCAGCTTGGGCAACAAGAGCGAAACTCCATCTCAAAAGAAAAAAAAATAAAGAATATGAGCTCAAACACATGATTTTATATATACTAAAACAATGCGCCATATTGAATTTTATTAAACCTTAATACACTTAGTAAGTCTACAAATAAGAAATACTAAGGTTTATGAGAAGAAAAGTCCATGGAGCTGCAGACGATTCACCTGTAAGTACTGGTAAAAGGAGAACTGAAGAAATTTGAGCTTTCAGATCAAAGTGCAGTTCTTTGGGAAGAACTCCTAAGTCCACTAGTGGTCTTCAACCAAATATTCCAGAATCAATCATTCATTTACCAAATATTCATGTGTACAGGGCACAGGGATACAGTTGTGAGCAAACAAAAACATGGTCTGTGCTCTTATGATGCTTACCAGTTAGTAGAGTAAGTAGCTCAAATAATCATTAAACAAATGTATAATTAAAGGCTCTAGTTAGGAAACCAGAGACATCTGTCTTGGCTGAGGCAGTTAGAAAAGGCTTCCTTAGGAAAGTGACATTTAAGTTAAGATCCTAATAACCAATCCCGCATTGCACAAGGAGGAGAAGTAGGAATTAACCGAGCAAAATTGTGGTCAGGGAGGGCTTGGGGGTAGGGAGAACATCTTGGTGGAAGAAACAGTATGTGGAAAGACCTTGGGGAAGGGTGGAGCTTGATAAATTTGAGGAACTGAAAGGTGACCATGGTGGCTGGTGCAGCGAAGAGTGGGTTGAGGGTAGGGGCAGCATTAGTGTGAGATGTCACTGAACGAGTAGGCTAGGAGGGGACTGTGTAGGGACTTCTAGGATTTTGACTTGTCCTAAAAGCAATGGGAAGACAATGGATTTCAAAACTATGCAGTAGAATGACCAGATTTATGGTTTGAAAAGATCACTTTGACTGATGTGGAAAATACATAGGAAGAAGACAAGAATGGTTTAGAGTTATATCAATGGTTCTTGAAATGTGGTCCCTGAAGCAGTAGCAGCAGCGTCATCTGGGAGCTTGTTAGAAACACAAATTTTCAAACTCTACCCCAGAAAATCTAGGGATAGATTTTTAAAATCTGAAAATCAGTCAGATAAAAAAATAAATAAATAAATAAAATAAAATCTGAAAATCTGGGGGTGGGTTAGCAATCTGTTTTAATAGCATTTTAGGTAATTTTTTTTTTTTTGAGACAGAGTTTTGCTCTTGTCGCCCAGACTGGAGTGCAGTGGTGCGATCTCAGCTCACTGCAACCTCTGCCTCTTGGGTTCAGGTGATTCTCCTGCCTCAGCCTCCTGAGTAGCTGGGATTACAAGCACGTGCCACCACGCCCAGCTAATTTTTGTATTTTTAGTAGAGACGAGGTTTCACCATGTTGGCCAGGCTGGTCTCCAACTCCTGACCTCAGGTGATCTGCCTGCCTTGGCCTCCCAAAGTGCTGGGATTACAGGTGTGAGTCACTGTGCCCGGAAAGCATTTTAGGGTATTCTAATGTAAAGTTTGAGACTCACTGGACTAGAATATTGATCACAATGCAAGATGAGTGAATGTTAAGTTCCAACCATTCTAATGGCAACTTGGTGAGAACAAACATTGGTATCCTTACCTCTTTTATTTTTTCCTTACAAATCTTATACTGCTTCTTCTGACTTTCTAAGAAAGTTGTCAAATCTTTCTTCTGCTGGGCCAAGATCTGTTGCTGGAACTTCTTCTCATCTGCTGCAGCTACCTTTGCCTGATAAAATAACAAATACAATGTAGGATGAATCTATTCTTTACACAGAATTCAGTGATCTATATTCTCCAGTGCAGTAAGACAGTCCATGAGTGCTAATAATGAGACATTTTTGAACAAATATTAAAAAATAATTGTTTTTCTGATTTTCTTGTATCTTAAAGAAACACAAAAAAAAAAACACCAGAAATTTTCACCATTAATAAATTCTGGGCTGGGTGCAGTGGCTCATACCTGTAATCCCAGCACTTTGGGAGTTCGAGGCAGGCAGATCACCTGAGGTCGGGAGTTTGAGACCAGCTTGACCAACATGGTGAAACCCAGTCTCGACTAAAAGTACAAAATTAGCTGGGCGTGGTCGTGCATGCCTGTAATCCCAGCTACTCTGGAGGCTGAGGCAGGAGAATCGCTTGAACCCAGGAGGCAGAGGTTGCAGTGAGCTGAGATCACACCACTGCACTCCAGCCTGGGCAACAAGAGCAGAACTCTGTCTCAAAAAAAGAAAAAAAAGAAAAAGAAAAAGAAAAATACATTCTGAATTATGGGAAAAATATGAAGGTGAACCATAAACATGCTTTACTGAACACAAAAACATTCATGGGATGAAAGGAGACCTAAGAATAACATTTTTTTTTGAGATGAGGTCTCGCTCTGTCGCTCAGGCTGGAGTGCAGTGGCTCGAGCATAGCTCACTGCAGCCTAAAAATCCCGGGATCCAGCGATCCTCCTGCCTCAGCCTCCTGAGCTGCTGGGACCACAGGCGTGCAGCACCAGTCCTGGCTAAGTATTTTTAAAAAATGATCGTAGAGACTGGGTCCCACTTTGTTGCCTAGGGTCATCTCAAATGCTTGGCCTCAAGCTATCCTCTCTCCTCAGCTTCCCAAAGTGCTGAGACTACAGGCGTGAGCCACCATGCCCGGTCAGAACTAAGGATTTAGTTCTGATATAAATCTAATAAAGGTTTTTACATCATATTGTTGATAGCCCAAAGGTTAAGTTGTAAAAATGTATAAATAACCATGCCTGGCCAGTTTTATTCCAAGAATCAAACTCTAACTGATTAACTATTCCAACTATCAGATTTTCCAGTGGTATCAACTCAAGTGTAATTGGAACGCTAACGGCATTTTGTTTTCTTTTTTTTTTCTGAGACAGTCTCCCTTTGCCACACAGGCTCGAGTGCGGTGGCATGATCTCGGCTCACTGCAACCTCCACCTCCTGCGTTCAAGTGATTCTCATGCCTCAGCCTCCCCAGTAGCTGGGATTACAGGCACAAGCCACCACATCCACCTAATTTTTGTATTTTTAGTAGAGACAGGGTTTCACCATGTTGGCCAGGCTGGTGTTGAATTCTTGAACTCAAATGATCCACCTGCCTCGGCCTCCCAAAGTACTGGGATTACAGGCATGAGCCATTTTATTCTCTTAGGCACCTGCTGCAATCCACAACAGTCACACATCATGACATTTTTTGGGGTCCTAAATGAATAAAACACATACTATATAAAAGGTCATCCAATAAATACTGGCTCCTGAAAGTGACCAAATCTGTTTCTGGTAACCACTGGGTGAAGGATATACGTAAGACGAGCGACTTGGGAGATAGAGGGGGAATTATGCTTCATGGCTCATGGCTCTTTTTACGTATCTTTTTCACCTGCAACTTCCATGAAGGACAATTCTTCCATTATGAACAATTCTCACAACATATTTACCAAGTCAAATCCCAAGAAAGAATCTGACTGATTTATTTAATCAACATCATCCTTGTCTGGGCAGAGGTTTTCATGCCAGACTGCCTCACAGATTGATGGCTGTTGGGGGAAATCTTTCTTCTACAACCTGATTGTTCCTTCCATGTGGAGACAGAGAGAGACAGAGAGACCAAGAGAGACAGAGAGCAAGCTCAATTATGGAAACACCCTGGAACTGTGTCCCCAGTCACTGCATGCCCAGGGAGCACATGTCCACCACATTTTTCAACACTATGGAAGTCTCATGGGGGTGGCAGGAAAGGTGACTCAGTTTTAGCACTGCTTGAGCAGGCAGATCTGCTTAATTTTGTTTTCCTGCAGACATAAATCACCTCTTGTACCTAACATGTATCAGTAATAGATGATATTATGGGGAGGGAGGAGGGATAGCATTAGGAGATATACCTAATGTAAATGACGAGTTAATGGGTGCAGCACACCAACATGGCAGATGTATACATATGTAACAAACCTGCACGTTGTGCACATGTACCCTAGAACTTAAAGCATAATAATAATAAAAAAAGATGATATTATGACTATCTGCCTTACCCTTCTGTTTTTTTTTTTTTTTTTTCAGTCGGAGTCTTGTTCTTGTTGCCCAGGCTGGAATGCAATGGCGTGACCTCGGCTCACTGCAATCTCCGCCTCCCGGGTTCAAGTGATTCTCTTGTCTCAGCCTCCCGAGTAGCTGGGATTACAGGCACCTGCCACCATGCCCAGCTAATTTTTTGTATTTTTAGTAGAGATACGGTTTCACCATGTTGGCCAGGCTGGTCTCAAACTCTTGACCTCAAGTGATCCACCCACCTCAGCCTCCCAAAGTGCTGGGATTACAGGCATGAGCCACCATGCCTGGCTGGTTTTTTTTTTTTTTTTGGAGATGAAGTCTCGCTCTTGTCACCCAGGCTGGAGTGCAATGGCACAATCTCAACTCACTGCAACCTCTGCCTCCCAGGTTCAAGCGATTCTCCTGCCTCAGCCTTCTGAGTAGCTGGGATTATAGGCATCTGCCACCACGCCCAGCTAATTTTTGTATTTTTAGTAGAGACGGGGTTTCACCATGTTGGCCAGGCTGGTCTCGAATTCCTGACCTCAGGCGATCCACCCACCTCGGCCTCCCAAAGTGCTGGGATTGCAGGCGTGAGCCACTGTGCCTGGCCTTTTTTTTTTTGAGACAGGGTCTCGCTCTGTCACCCAGGCTAGAGTGCAGTGACACAATCTCGGCTCACTGCAACCTCTGCCTTCTGGGCTCAAGCAATCTTCCTGCCTCAGCCTCCCAATTAGTTGGGACTATAGGCATGTGCCACCACACCCAGCTAACTTTTGTATTTTTTGTGGAGACGGGGTTTTGCCACATTGTCCAGGCTGGTCTTGAACTCGTGGGCTCAAGAGATCCACCCACCTTGGCCTCCCAAAGTGCTGGGATTATAGGTGTAAGCCACCACATCTGGCCTTGTCTGCTTTTAAAATTAGTTTAGAACGTGGATGGGGACGAGAGATGTTCCCTAGAAAATCCAAATAATTGCCGGACTCATTATTTGCTCCTTTTGCTCAGGGGCTCATCAGCTGTAGGCAGGGATTATCACTACTATAAGAGACTATTTGTAAAGCAGTTTTCTTTTGAAGAGGACTGTGGGTATGGCAGATACAGTAACAGACTTTTGTTGTGCACGTTCTCAGAAGATGGAAGCATCTTGTTTCCCTTTACTTGTACCCAGGCCACCATCAAGGGACTGATACTCAGAATATACATAAGTATAATTTTTTTTTTTTTTTGAGAAGAGACTTCCTCTGTTGCCCAGGCTGGAGTGTAATGGCATGATCTTGGCTCACTGCAACCTCTGCCTTCCAGGTTCAAGCAATTCTCCTGCCTCAGCCTCCTGAGTAGCTGGGATTACAGGCATGTGCCACCATGCCCGGCTAATTTTTGTATTTTTAGAAGAGATGGAGTTTCACCATGTTGGCCAGGCTGGTCTCGAACTCCTGACCTCAGGTGATCTGCCTGCCTCGGCCTCCCAAAGTGCTGGGATTACAGGCGTGAGCCACCACGCCTGGCCTCAGAATATATTTGAATGGACAAGAATGTAACATATATTTTCAGTTGCTATTTTAGCTCTGAACGACAATTTTACATAGCCCTATAAAATCTAGAAACCCAATTTTGCCACCCCGGAAACAACAATTTTCCTCCATCCCCCACTCCTGCCTCTTGCTAACATCCTGCCACTGACCCCAACAGGCTGGGCTTGGTTGTGGCATGAAGGCGTGTGTGCACATACTGACCTCCTTTTCTATGATAGCCACTTGCTTCTTGGCCAGCTTCTCCAGCTCGATGGACGAGTTGTTGGCATGCGTCTCCACCTCCTTCTGTAGCTTGAGGCGGTGCTCGTCCATCTCAGCCTTCAGCTTGTTCTCCAGGGCGATCAGCTGCTTCTGGTGCTGGCGCCGCATCCGCTTATAACCTGACATCTGTTCCCGCAACTCGTTCTCCTGCTCATGCTCATGGATCTGTCGTGTAACCTGAATTGGGTTAGGAAACAGAACTCAGGTAACCAGGTTCATGGGAGACAAGCTTTCATGCAAAGTAGAACGGCCCTGTGGCATAATTTTATCCATCACCTTCACCATCAATTTACCTACTGTTTAGTGAATGCTCACCCGTAGGGGGCACTGTGCTAGATAGATACTCTTTATGTATTTTATCCCTAGTCCTCAAAACCATCTCATTCACTCATTCATTTCATTCATGAGGTAGGTGATAACATCTTAGTTTTATAGTTGAAGAAATTGATTCTTGAAAGAAACTCTTTATTCAGGCCGGGCACGATGGCTTACGCCTGTAATCCCAGTACTTTGGGAGGCTGAGGCAGGCAGACCACTTGAGGTCAGGAGTTGGAGACCAGCCTGGCCAACATGGTAAAACCCCGTCTCTACTAAAAATACAAAAATTAGCCAGGCATGGTGGTGGGCACCTGTAATCCTAGTTACTTGGGAGGTTGAGGCAGGAGAATTGCTGGAACCCGAGAGGCGGAGGCTGCAGTGAGCTAAGATCACTCCACTGCACTCCAGCCTGGGTGACAGAGACTCTGTCTCAAAAAAAAACAACAACAACAAAAAGAAATTATTTATTCAGTCAAAATATGTTTACATATTTTTGATATACCATCACATATATTACATGTTCACATTAACACAGCTAATAAGGACTGGATTGGGAATCAGGCCCATCTCTGTATAACTCCAGAGCCATGTTATTTCTACTGCACCAAGATTTCTCACCAACACTACTGACAACGAGCCCGATAATTATCTGTTGTGGGGGCCGTCCTGTGCATTGCAGGATGTTTAGCAGCATCCCTGGCCTCTACCCACTAGATGGCAGTAGCACCTCCCACCACATGACAATGAAAAGTATCTCCAGATATTGCCAAATGTTCCCTTGGGAACAAAATTCCTCTAGTTGAGAACTACTACACTGGTTTGTTTTGTATATGTGTGTGTGTGTGTGTGTGTATATATATATATATATATATATATTTTTTTTTTTTTTTAAGGATCATGTCTCTAACAGTCATAGACCTTTTAAATTAGTCTGAACATGATTTATTTCCTATTCCTAATATGAAGAGGTGAGTATGAGATCAAGAGATCTCTTAAATCATGTCTCCCCCATCCCCTTCTCTACAAAAGAAATGTTACCAAATTATAATACATTCACTCACTCTCCTAAAGAGGACAAAGCATTGCTATGATTTTTGGAAGGCTACTTTTCTTAGTAACTTTTCCTTAACTCATTTTCAAGTGAACATCCAACAAATTAAAGCTTGTAAATGTACATTTCAGCACCTCTTGCTCATTTCTATTAAATCTTTTGTGATTTTTCCAGTCCTTCCTTCAATTTATCTTCTCTCTTTATTTTCCTGATCACTTCCTCCCTATTTTTCCTATTTTAGAAAAAAAATCTTAATTCCAGGATTGTAACTTTAGTCTTGTTCTTCACTAAGTGATTTGGTCACTCCTATCTACTGTAAGGCCCATCTCCCCAGCCTAACACCCAACCAAGCTTTACAGGAAATTTTCAAGCTGCTATTAATTTTCTGTACTATTTTCAGTTTATGGGTTAAAATACATTTTATACAAAGAAGAGTTTGTTTCTCTGCTCTTTTTAGAAGGTGGCCCTGCATACTAAATTGAGTCCTTACTAACAAGAGAGTGCTGTTCTGTAACTAGATAGTATTATCAAAGTACACCATTAAACATTAGCCAAACTTTGAAACCTTTCCAGTTGAAACTAACACTGGGTTTCATATTCATTTCTCTTTTCTGAAGGATAATACTCTTTCAAGTATTAAGAATAAGAGCAGAGGATATTTTAAGACCAAAAAAGGATAGCATCACCCAAAAGGCACCTAACCCTCTAAAGAAAATAAATGATCTATTTTATTATCAGAAAATGTGTTTTTTTAATGGACATAATTCAAGATGAAAGGAGGAAAAGAAGTAGTTTGAAATATATGTATCAATTTTACTTCTTCACGCTTATATGTTTCTGAAGTACAACTTTAAGGAAGAAACAATTCTAATCAATGGAAAGGATACCATTTAGTCCTTTCTGAATTCAACTATTTTTCAGAAAAATATGGCAGTAAAGTATCAGGGTTAGGGTAATGAATTTTAGATATGTTTTAGCTAGAAACTTTTTCTTATTTTAGCATTCCTTCTTTAATCAGATTCCCAAAGCTGAGGCATGGCACACTCTAAGCTATCATGACACATTTAAAACTTGGCATAAGCATTGGCTTACAGCCAATAAAATATTCTCAGGATGGTCATTTCCCTAAACCAGGATGCCTAAAGATAAAAGGGAAATGAGTTGTGTCAAGAAAATTTTCTATTTCAGTTGGTGGGTGGGTGTCTGTAAAGAGGGTGGCTTTCTACTTGTACCAGATCACATACAAGGTGATCTGGTACAAGGATGTGGCAAAGAAAATTTACAGAGCTCAATCTGCTATCATTGTACACCACTGAATTCCAGGAGAGACATTTTGCTTTTGAATGCTTCCCATAATGTGGATAATTACCTTCTTAAACTCCTAATATCACCTTTCATTTGTCACAACTAAACTTTCCAAGTTTCAAATTGTCTTTTTGGGTATATATATAGAGATACTAAGCTTTATAATTCCATGCTCAAGCTGGATAGATGAATTTAAATAAAAGTATAACCAGATATTTCAATTGAAAAGTCTAACATGAAATATACAAAAAATATGATATTTACAGTTATATGTGCCTGTGTGTCTTAAGTGTACACTATGAGTTTTAAGAATACACCTTTTGGTCAATAAAATAAAAAATAATAGCTGATAACTTTTTCATGCATATGGTTTAAAAAGTGCTTTCACATATAATTTACCTCTTTAATTTTTAGAAGGCCTTGGATTCCTATGGTTCTTGAATTGCCTGAGGAAATTCATATCACCAAGGCAGAAAAAGAGTGACTATTTTCTGTTATAAAGTAATAGAGGGAATCAACACCCAAAAAAGTCAAAGCTAGAGAGGGTGGTAAGTCTAAATTACAAATTGAGTAAGTCTGAAATGGGAGAAAGTTATAAAGATGTAGTAACTGTAGTTTTTACAATGGCAGTCTCAAAAATGTGATCAACTAAAAGTGGGCAGTACCACCTTGCTCTACCCAGTGGATTGTGTGGAGAAAAACCTCATCTATCTCTTACTATATAATTGACCTTGGGCAAATTACTTAACCTCTTAAAGTCTCTCAGTTTCTTAATGTGTAAAGAGAGAGGAACTACCACTGTCTTCCTCAGGGTCAGAGGACTTTCTCATGTGAAAGTGCCTAGCAGGGTGTCTGACTCCTAGGAAATGCTCAACACATGCTGGTTTCCTTCCTTCTGATGCCAGGCTCTGCGAAGCATGTCCCTTGGCCCTCCACTTAGTATTTCTGGTGATGGAGACACAGAGCACAAGTGGATCCAGAAGAAGGGGCACATTTAAGGAAAAAAAAAAAAACTAGCTGTATCCAGGTTGTGGATTATAAAATTATGTATAATTTCTGAATCTGAATTATTACTTATTTCATGTATCTAGAATATGAAAAATAAACAAATAATAAATAATGTGCCATGAAAAGGAAGACCAAAACTTTTTTTCTAAAGGTTCCTATAGCTGTTCAATGCTACTTTATTTAATTCCAGCAAAATTCGGCCCTAAAACAAACCACTTCATCTGAAGTGCAGAGTGTCCCTACTGTGTACAAAACACTGCACTAGAAGGGTAATAAGCAACTTCCTGAACATAAAACAAGAGCATGGTGGCTGATGATGTTACCCTCTTAAGAGATCAAAGCCAACTTACAAGATTAATAATATGTAGGAATCAAAATGATGCATATGATAAAAGTGGCCACCTCAGCACTTAGAACAAATGAAATTTATAGCAAGTTCTTAAAAAGAATACAGTGAGTCACATTTTGGCATTAGAAACTTAACATTCTATTCTTTAGAATACCTAAGGAAAAACTGTTTTTTAAATTTTTGCTAAAAGTAATGACTGATAACAGGCAATTCTGCATTTATAAAAGAATATGTTACATGAGGAATTCTGAAATGCAAACTTATAAATCCAAATTCTCATGTGATAGCAAGGCTGGAGGTGACCTCATTCATTCGTTCATTCATTTATTCAATACACATTTATTGACAGACTTTGACCATATGGGTTGGGCATGTAGATTGGACAGCATAAGTGAGAAATGGTATCAGCAATGACCTTAGTGAGTTAAGAAGCCAAGAATAAGTAAAGAGATATGCAATATTTTGATAAGCATCCTCTGGTATACTGTCCAGGAAGAGAACACATTTTCAAGCATTTAGAAACAGGATGAAACAGTAGCATTTACTGCTGAGGCTCTCATATTTTTATTTTTAGGTATCAAATTCATTCACGTATCCAATTTCACAATTAGCTGAATTATTAGGGTGCATTTTAAAAACTCCAAATGAAGACTCTCTATGAGCTTTTCTATCGAATCTGGCAAAGCGAAGTAAAAGACTCTATATTTGCATGAATAGAACAATAATACTTTTCTCCTACATGCCTCCTTGGGAATTCCCCTATCACACCCTTCTCCCTGACATGTGTTCTAACATAAATTCGCCTCTGTAATGCAGTCACAGGTGAATTTGTGTTAGAACACACATTAGGAAGAGGGGCAGTGAGAATTCCTTCACAAAACCAAAAGCTGAACTCTGATAGATACACTGCTCTTTATATTAATATCTCTATCACAGAAACGGCCAAGAGCCCCAGACACTACAAAGTTTTCAGAAGAAATGACATCAGATGTAGCAACAGCTAAAAACACCCTCATGAATCACTAATATAATTAAAATATGAGGCTCTCCATAAAAACTCAAGGAAGGCACATCTCAAAGGCCCAAGAAGTCAGATTAGTGATTCTGCAGAACTATATAAACAACTTTTTTCCAGATAACACATGAGCCCAATATGAACTTCCTTACAGAAGAAGGAAAAGAAAGGTTAAAATAAAGATGCCATGAAATACCCTTCCTTTTCCTAATTCTTCAAAATAAGGGCAATAATCTCTGCCCTTAGAAAATTATAAAAATTATACAATTGTAATAAAAAGTTACAATGCTAAAGTTTTCTCAGGATTTCATCTGGTATCAAAGTTTATAGTCCTTCCTTATCCTTTGTTACAAATCCAACTGTGCAGCAGTGCATAATACAAAAATCTCAGTTATAAGGTGCCAAAATAATAAAGACATGTAGCAATACAGACCCAATGCCCATGGGCTTCTTCATATACTTGTCAGTAACCTCATTCAAAAGCACAATGTTGAAAGTGATACTAAGGGGGAAAAGCACAAAGCCAGGCCTCTTTTAGGCTTATGTTGAAGAAGTAGGCTCATAAACAAATTTTAGGAAGACTAATATCTTTGTCAGTTTGCAAGTAAATTTAAAATATGCATTTCATCATTTATTTATCTAGTTATTGAAAAACTAATTTCTAAATTCCTTTTCCCTGTTCACCTTTGGACCTCTTTGTGACTTGTTAGCGCCTCTACTAGAAGATGTTAAAGAACGAGTAAAACCAAAATAAATGAATAAATAAATATAGTATTGCCACCAACTATGAGAAGGCAAGGTTTCAACAATGACTTGATTTTTTATTATACTGGACTTTCACTTTCCCATGATCTTGCTCTTACTTTTATGTCATTTTAGTCATTTTCATTTGAGCTGGGGTCCATAAAACACAACAGAATTCATAATATATTTTTAAAAATTAAATATTTTATGATATTCCAGTGTCCTCATTTATACACTACTGTTGGCATTAGGCTTTAAAATAATATAGTGGGTAGAATTGTAGTACTTGGTAATATACATTAAAAAATCCATACCCATAGTTAGATTGTTCAAAATGGGACATGGAACCATACAACACCATACCTTTTCCCTTCCATTTTTTTTCCCCTCCCTAAAAGCCACTAGATACAAATACCATTGAACTCTGGTAAACTACCATCAATCCCAATCATGACTCCCAAAGCACTACATTTAGAGAGGGCACCCCACAAAAACAACTTATTTTGTGGCTAAAGCAACAGCATATCAGCTACTCTGTTTGTAACTTAATATAGGAGCAGGGGCCTTTTAGCAAATCAAAACTTCATTAGAGAGACTGGTTGCAGCTGTTCTCTGGATGGGCACTAGGAAGCCTGTACGATTCAGAGGGTTCCTGAGGACACTGCCCATAGCCCTGAGGTGGCATAGTAGGGAAGCAGCTTTTATCATCCACAGAGAAGAAGACTGTGATGGCTGATATACACACAGAGTAGCCCTGGGTGAGTTCACAGATGCGAGCATGAGATTATTCTGGCATGGCTGTAGTAATCTCTTGCTGGGAGGTAGGAGAGGTCATGAATATATGATGTGGGAATGAGGGTGTGGCAAGAGAGAAAAAAGAACCTGTCCCAGAGGGGGAAAGCCACTTGGTATAATGTCTGCTTCACATGTAAAACCACTGATGGTACTCGGTTGCTCAGAGCTTGTTATCATTTCCCCACTCATTTCAACATGAACGGGTCTGGATAAAGGTCCAAGTCTCACAAGAGTCGATGGTAAGTAGTCATAGTTCTCTAAAGCACCGTATTTCTTCTTTTGTCAGATATCATGGCATGAAGACAATGACTATTTGGTAATCTTATGATGCTTTATCTAGACTCAAAAGCACATTTTTAGGTGCCTAACAATCATTAGCAAATACATAGTGGACATTTTAAGATCTCCATTACATAGTGTAGCATTCCTTTAAAATGAAAAATTGCTCATCAAAGAGATCACAAGAAACTTCTACATAAAGGAACTTTAAAGTGGGCTTATTTATAAGCAGTTTAAATTAAATTGCTTGCTTTTAGACAGCAGCAGGCACAGCAATATGTACGTGCTTTAACTTCCATTTTTCCTTGCATTTGGGTTTTTAAAGGTTATAATCCATTATAATTTTCAAAGATAATCGAAGCCTTTAAAAGACTTGAGAAATAGAAGTAGAAATCAGGTTTAAAAAATAGGACAAGAAAAATGATCATTTCTGGGTCGGCCTTGGATGATGTCATCATAGGTTCTAAATGTAATAGCCAAGCAGTGTACACTAACTCTTCCTGCCCATGTGACCTCTAACATTAATTTGGGCAAAACAACTAATATTTCAATAATTTTTTGGCTGAGAAGTGAGATTCAGAAGCAAAAGATTAAAGAGAGTTTAGAGTGCCAAGGATGAAACGATGTGAGTGTGTGTGTGTGTGTGTGTGAGTGTGAGCGCGCACGCGCACGCGTGGGGGCCGAGGGGAGGAGGCATGAAAACTAACTCTTCCAGCACACACCCCTTTTGCTACTACAAGGGCATCCAGCAATCACATTTGCAATAGTAAAAATGCTGAAGAATCCTACAGTCTCTTTTCTTCCACAATCAGCCCTATCCTCTCCTACAAAGCCCTTCTTGCTTTATTGGTGCCAGGAAATTCTTCAGGGGTTAAATGGGGAAGTGCAGCCACTACCATTGTTGCAATAAATAAATGAATGAACCAGAAGGAACCAGCAATCCGTCCCTGGGAAACAAGTATCTTATTTTCTACAATTATATACATTATCCAGCAACCATATATTCTTTAAAATTATATTTTATCTTTTGATGTGTGTGTATACATTATAGACACATATGCATCTATACAAAAAGCAGCACAGTGCCGTGCATACATATACATCAATACCTTAAAAAAATTTAGCATTATTTATTTCAATGAAAAGACAAATAGCTTTTAAAAAATTGGACAGGCTAGCAACTTCATCTCAAAGGCCTTATATTTTGCACATACAGCATATACAAACACACACAGACACAGACACACACACACACACACACACACACACACACACACACACACAAAGGTTTTTTTTTTTTTCCATGCCATACACAATGCTAAAATATCTGAAATCAGGTTGCTATGCCAACAGATTTTTTTCCTAAAATGAATAAAATTATTAGGAGAGAGAAAACATTCTTGACTCCTTTCCTCCCATCCATGAAGCCGAGACAGGCTCAGGGAGGGCGAGAGGCTGCCAGATGGGGAGGAGGGGAAGGAAGGGAAGGTGGGTAGAGGGGTGTTTGCTTACCAAAGATGCTGATTTGATCGTGGCAAAGCGCTCTCTGTTCCGGTAGTGGAGGGCCTGGCTCTGAACTGACTGGGTAGGCCGCGGCTCAGGCCTGGGATCGCCGTGGCCCGCCTCATCCCTTATGAATACATGATCCTGCAGAAATGGATAAAAACAAGGAGAAAGTCCAGCTGTGCTCTTTCCTCGCCGGCTGCCTCTCTCTCACCCCTCTTTCTGCACAAGCACTGCTGTTTGAAATGCATAGTTTAGCTCTCTGCTAGTCCCCGCAGCTCCCACGGTACAAAATGAATAAGCAACACATTGCAGCCTTCAGTTAGGAATGTCAGCTGATCGCTAGTGGGATGCCTTCTGAATCCCTGGCAGGCTTTTTCTTTACCTCCAGAATTACATATATGCAAAAGAAAAAAAGAATAGAAAAAATAATGCAATGTACAGACTCCTTAGAACAGTTTGCTTAAAACGCTGTAACCAGATAATTCCTTTAAAAATGTCATGTCCATGTCTAGCAAGGAGGATGCTGGTGGCTTTTAACATAAAAGCGAGCCTCCGCCTCATTCCCTTGAAAGATCTGCTTTCTCAATTTAATTTTATTTGAGATCTGTTCGGTAGGATCATCGTTCTGCCTAGAACCAATGTAGGCTTGTGCTGAACTGCCTCTCTATCTTGTGCTGGGAAGATTCGGCAGTCACTGAGGGATCCTGCTTTCCAGTCATGATCGTACACAGTTCTAGCACCTTCTCTCTACAGCTTCTGAAAGGATTTTTTTTTAGATTTAAAGCGACAGGCGTACAATTTTAACCAAATGATACGTTCACAAATTCTTCTTCAACTCAGCATCGGTATGGTCACCAGAGTGAGTAAAGCTGGAATTTAATGTCCTTGACTGATTTAATCAAGCCCATGCTTCTTGATAGGCAAAGATAATTAATCTTGTTCTAACGTCCAGTGAAAAAATAGCATTCCCTGGAAGGATAATAATGGATGTTTCTTAAATGCAACTGAAATGACTTTTAAAGGGGAAAATGCTTTCAAAGGATGATGTTCCTCTCTATAAAGATGAAGTAGTGGTCAGTCATTAAGTGGCTATAACCCTTTAGAAAAAAGGACGCTATAGTAATTTGTACCTCAAAAACATGTACAACCATGGGGGATTTTAAAATAGTACATGTTCAGGGTGGAAAAGGAGAAATTAATTCCTTATTTCCCTAGGGTTTTAGGAAAACCATTTGTGAGAAGTCAGTATTGCATTTTATCCATGACCACTTGAAATTTTTTATAATGGCTTTTTTCTTCATCAGGAAACAAAAATTAAAGAAGTTTAGAAAATACAAAATTTTATTATAGTCCAAAATTTGGGGAGAAATTAAATTTTACATCCAGATTTTTATGTAAAAGCCAAGACCCAAGATTAAATTGGGCTGATTTTCTTTTTCCTTTTATACATTTAAAATGCTTTGATGTATTGGGAAGGTATCTACCATTACACCTATATGGAGAATTGTTTTAAATTTATGTATTATAGCTCAAATAATGAAGGGATCTTTAATAAACTTGCCATTGAGGGCATATATATCAAATTCACGTATATTCTGCAGCTGCGCTGTCCAGCAAGATAGTGACCAGCCACATATGACTATTTTAATTAAAAATTAAATTCAATTAAAATTAATTAAAACAAAATTAAGTGCAAAATTGAGTTCCTGAGTCATAATGGCTATGTTTCAAGCACTTAGTAGCCATAGTTAGTGGTGCCATATTGGTGGCTTATAAAACTTGTAAGTTTTTAAAACTTATAAGAAAATATTTGAAAGGTCAGTTAAAATTATTCTACATGATTTCTCGCGAAATTTGAACTCCTGTTTTACAGGGAAGAGCGAGAACGTGTGTAATTGGGATTCATTCACTAGGCTTAAGGTTCTAAAGAGGAAGGCACTGGGACCTGCTACCATTTACATTACTGCATATTTGCTAATAAATTTATGTACAAAATTCAACTTAATATTACAGTGCCAGAAAAGCAAGCAGCTCTTAAATGCCAGTAATCAAAAGAGATATGCTAGGTAGAGGCCTGTGATTTTATAGGAGGCTTTAACAAGTCGTAGTTTTGGTGAATATTAATTGGCTAACTTACCAAGTACATTGATAGAGGGGGAGACCCCAAATACATGGGCAACAGTTCAGTTTCACATTGTAATAACTTGATTTATAAGGATAACCAATGACACTAGAATCCACATTCTCCACAGGGCAGACCAAAACAAAATTTATTCATGTACAAATATGTGCAATTTTATTTAGTCTGTTTTATCTCTGATAAAAATTAACTCCTTAGAAACACGGTTTAGGGCTCTGCTTCTCCAATTAAAAGCCACAATGTATTTTCTAAGTTTACTAAACTTGAGGAAGTTGAAGTACACCGGAAAAATTAAAACTTGAAATGACATTGATTTTAGTTGACACATATGTAATTAAGTAACTCAAGTATATTTTTAAAATAATGCTATTTTTATAGTCCAAAGAATAGGTTCAAAATTTTAACCCACTTTAAATATAATAATGCTAATAGTATAATTCTTTGCTTCCCCCTACATTTTTTTCCTTTTATAAAATTATTCTTAGTTTTCCAGATCATTTTCATAACAGAGATCACTATCACTAAAGGTCTTCAAATATTATACAAGAGACCACAAAATGGAACAAAATTTTAGTCTAACAGTGGATATTCATTTCAAGTGCATTGGGAAATGAATTTTAATATTCAGTTCCACTGCATAAAACAGGTTCAAAACTCCAAAGACAGCTTATGAAGCTATTTAAAAATGGGAGAATGTAACTTGAGAAGTAAGCTCAAAGAAATTAAAGTATCAACTTTACTGGAAATATTTTCTGTTGGTTATACTGCCCCTTTAAGTAACAGTGCCTCTGTAAGAGACCACTATACCTGGCTCCCAGAGTTTCTGAACTGCACACATCTTAAGATTAACAATGGAAAGGGTTAATTTCTATTTTTATGCAGTTATGCACTAGATACAGATTATTTACAAATGATAAGGCTGAAATCTTCAAAGAAGGATTTTAGAAGATTAAGAAGAATAAATCTATTCTACTTTGCCAAGGCAAAATATATGGCATGGTTATAATTTATCTTTAAAACATTATCATCCAGGAAAAAACAAAAATAACTCCTTGAAATACCAGTTTTAAGTAAACCTACGTTAACCTGGTAAACTTACCACGTTGTTGTTTTTTTTTTTTTTTTTTTTTGAGACAGTCTCGTTCTGTTGCCCAGGCTGGAGTGTAGTGGCACTATCTCGGCTCACTGCTACCTCTCCACCTCCTGGGTTCATTTTTGTGCCTCAGCCTCCTGAGTAGCTGGGACTACAGGTGCGTACCACCATACCTGGCTAATTTTTTTGTATTTTAGTAGGGATGGGTTTTCACCATGTTGCCCAGGCTGGTCTCAAACTCCTGAGCTCAGGCAATCTGCCTGCCTTGGCCTCTCAAAGTGCTAGGATTACAGGCACGAGCCACCGCACCCAGCCCACGACATTGTTTCATCATAAAAAATAAATTTCTTCAGATTAAAAAGGAAGCTGTCATAATGTTTCTTCAAGATCTTTGGTAAAAAGAATTGAATTTCTATACAAGAGTGAAACATGTGAAGCATGAGGCACACAAACTTTACTATTATACCTTAGACAAGGGGCTTTCCTTTTATTTGGAAGTCTTTCCTTTAAGTGTCTGACCATTACACTTCTGAAATGAAGGTTCGTGGTTAGGCACTTGCCTAGAGTTTCTTTTTCTAAATATATTTTCTTCCCTAATAGAGCTGGGGTCTCACTATGTTGCCCAGGCTGGTCTTGAACTCCTGGGCTCAAGCGATCCACCCACCCCGGCCTTCCAAAGTGCTGGAATTACAGGCGTGAGCCACCGTGCCTGGCTACTTGCCTACAGTTTCTAAATGAACTTGACTTTAACCCAGGAATCACTCCTCTGGACTCAGTTGTGCTTTGGGTTTACTTTTATCACAGTACTCATCACACTTACTTGTCTGCCTCTGCATAAGGCTGTGGGCTTTTTGAAGGCAGAGTAAATGTCGTTTGAAAAATCTTAGTCTCCCTAGCACCTGGCATAGTGCTTGATACTTAGTAGGTATTCAGTAAATGTTTGCTGAATAAACAAACACAAGAATATAGGTCTGAGGAGATTTTGAGAAAATGACATTTTCTTTTGGATTATTTAACAGAATTCAAATTTGTATTTCATAAAAACCTGCCACTCTGTACTCTAAGGAAGTCGTAAAATAGTGACACACACATAAGCACACCTTTACACAGCGGGGTGCGGGGGGATGTATCTAAAAATGGCTCTTATCCGGTGATGAGAAACCTTTGTATAGACTCCCACACTTTCTACGCTGTGGAGAAGGGATCAGCAGACCCACCACTCTCCTTTGTTTTGTTCATTTCAAAATTATTAAATTATTGTCGAAGCAGGGGTAGCTATCAAAAGCTGGGGCTGGAGGAAGGGGAGGAGAAGATGAAAAAGCATATCTTAACTTGGAAGGATAGTTGGAGAGAAAAGATGACTAGCAAAAGGCTGAGGAGAAAGACGTTACTACAGAGAAGTGTTGTATGACTGCTCTGTTTAAGAAACATTACCTTCATATGTTAATTTACTTTTACTTTGCCAAATGTGAGTTGAAGAGGCAAAGGACCCACCCCTCTATTCAGCAAAAATAATAGGAAAGGCCACTGAAGCAAGTGAAAATTAAACTAGAACATCCTATTCCCTCAAGGACATTTCTTTTTTTTTTTTTTTTTTTTTTATCCCGCAAAGGTGGTGAAAGCTGTTCTTTTTTTAAAGAGGGGATGGGAAAAGAACTAACATTGACTAACAGGAAGGGTCAAATAAAGCTTTAGGAGTCAGGGTAGAATGGCTTTTTTTCCCCCTCCACCAGACGGAGTCTTTGCTCTGTCACCCAGGTTGAAGTGCACTGGCACCATCTTGGCTCACTGCAACCTCTGTCCTCCCCAGGTTTAAGCAATTCTCCTGCCTTAGCCTCCAGAGTAGCTGAGATTACAGGCGCGTGCCACCACGCCCAGCTAATTTTTGTATTTTTAGTAGAGACAGATTTTCACCATATTGGCCAGGCTCGTCTCGAACTCCTGAACTCTTGATCCACCCGCCTTGGCCTCCCAAAGTGCTGAGATTAAAGGTGTGAGCCACCGTGCCTGGCCAGTAGAATGACTTTTTTAAACAATAGTTTCTGGAACACTTATTCTGTTTTATAGAATGAAGTGTTGTCCCATTAAAAAAAAGAAAAAAATGTTCTCTAAATAATCCCTAGAAAGGGACCCTTATGACTGGCGTTCAATAAGCATACCTAAAATAACACTGATTCAAGAACAATGCTTTTAATATATTAAAGTCTTATGATCTATACTAATAGAAGGCAGCAACAGGCAAAGGGAATTAATTTTATACTTTAGTAAAATAAAAATACACCTTTTGATTAACAAATTTAAAAGACAGACTTTGCTGCTTAGGATATTATTAAAATCTATTTGCTATGGCTCTATAC
Organism: Homo sapiens; assembly: GCF_000001405.40. Lineage (NCBI taxonomy): Eukaryota > Metazoa > Chordata > Mammalia > Primates > Hominidae > Homo > Homo sapiens. The sequence goes on from NC_000012.12 coordinate 118,195,391, forward strand.
ACAATGATTTTAAGGAGTAGGATGAAGGCTCAGAAGCAGGCTAGATGACAAGGAAACAATCTGGATTAAAAATTTGTACCGGAGTCACTTGTGAATAATCAAGAATTGAGGTGTGGAATTGTGTCCTTGGCCATCTTCAATTTAGTTCACAGAACATTTGTTGAGCGCTTACTATGTAACAGACACTGTGCTACGTGGTAGGTGAAAAAAAAGGTTCCTGAAGAACTACCAGTCTAGAGATGTGGTGATGTTCTTGTTATTGAAAAAAGTAGTGTGGCAACACTAGCCAGGGGGAAAAATAAGTACCTAAAATTTATTTTGTCAGAATATGCCTTTAGCCTTATCAAATCATTCTTGCTCAAAAAGAAGACTGGATTGGGCCAGTCGCAGTGCCTCATGCCTGTAATCCCAGCACTTTGGGAGGCCAAAGAGGGTGGATCACGAGGTCAGGAGATCGAGACCATCCCGGCTAACACGGTGAAACCCTGTCTCTACTAAAAATACAAAAAATTAGCCAGGTGTGGTGGCAGGCGCCTGTAGTCCCAGCTACTCAGGAGGCTGATGCAGGAGAATGGCGTGAACGCAGGAGGCGGAGCTTGCAGTGAACTGAGATCGCGCCACTGCACTCCAGCCTGGGCGACAGCACGAGACTCCATCTCAAAATAAATAAATAAATAAATAAATAAATAAATAAATAAATAAATAAAAGGAAGTTTGGATTAGGATCCCCTCAGGGCCTGGGAAAGACCAGAGTAGAGGCAAGGACTGGAGAGTAAGTAACCTGGAATTCTGATGTCAAAGGAAAATTTTCAGTGTCCCACTTTGCATTTTGGGGGCTTGATCTGTGGTAGAACTGTCCTGCTAAAATCAGGGCATCTTTATTCTGGAAGCAGAGCAGTTAAGTGCAAGTCATGCTCTCACTAGCTACTCATGGATTTCATTTTATTTATTTTTTTAAGGTCCTTCTTTGAAAAAGCAAATTTATTTCCTATCTAAAATGGTAATCTGTTTCAGATCTGTTTTGACTACCAGTCAAATTAATTTGACTAATTTAAGATATGTCTGCTTGTGAGCCGAGATTGCACCACTGCACTCCAGCCTGGGCAACACAGTGAGACTCTGTCTCCAAAAATTAAAAAAAGAAAAGAAAAGATATATCTGCTTGATTATAACAATCAAGGGACAAAAGATTCCTTCTCCCATATTCATATATTTTGGTATTTATTAAGCACGTTCTTATTGTGTTGGGTACTCATTTAACTTTCATTTAACTATTATTTAACTTTCTCAAACTGTAAAGATAGCTAAGATTATTTAATCCTTTTGATCCATTATGTTCAATGAACCAGTAGAGTATGATATTTAATATTTGGTAATTAATTTATTCCCTGCCTTCTTTTTGGTTTTGTTGGTCTATTCATTCATTCCACAGTTATTTACTGAGCATCTATGCTGCGCCAGGCACTATTCTAGGTATTGGATTTGTTATTTGTCCAAAGTAAAATAAAACTAACAGAGGCAGATAGAACTATAAATTAGTTTCCTCATTCCTAAGTTTAATATACAAAATTTTCTGTTGAGAGTTAAAAATCCTATTTATGTTCCCAAGTGAAAAAGTGTTAGGAATTTGAGTAAACCATCCAATACAAACTTCATGAATAATTTTTATTTCTATTGTTTTTAAAGATAACATATTTTAAAGCTCAGGTACAAGAACTAAATGGATTTCATGAAAAGATACCATATCTTAAGTTTTCATATATATTCTATTTTTTGAGCTCACTTACATTTTAAAGGTAACTCATCCAAAGTTTTATTTGCAAATGTGTTTTGATTTTCTTCCATCATATTTCCTCTATATATTTCATGATAAAATAGGAATATATAACTTAAATTCTTCCTGACCTATATATTTTTTGTGGATCAAATGCAATTATCTTCTACTTCAGAATATAAATTTTATCTGTTCTACTTAAGTCATCACACATCAGGGAGAGAAAAGTATTGAAACACTCATATTATCACAAGGTAGGTCTATGACAGCATGCAAAAATAAAATTAAAAATCCCATTAGTTCTAGACCAGGGTTTTCTTTCTTGTTGATTATGCCAGTAGTGTCTTTCTTCTAATTCTGGTTGCCTATCTGAGAAGTCCTGGAGCAAAAAGATCCAACTGAATTCCTCTCTTTTGCCCCCTCTACTCATAGAGCCCCAGGGGTAATAGAAAGGAAAGTGCCAGACCTGTCAGCACTCATGATCACTCCCTCCAAAAAGACAGCCCAGCAAAACCTTCTTTTTTTTTTTTTTTTTTTTTTTGAGACGGAGTCTCACTGTGTTGCCCAAGCTGGAGTGCAGTGGCGCAATCCTGGCTCACTGCAAGCTCCGCCTCCCAGGTTCACGCCATTCTCCTGCCTCAGCCTCCCGAGTAGCTGGGACTACAGGTGCCTACCACCACACCCGGCTAATTTTTTGTATTTTTAGTAGAGACGGGGTTTCACCATGTTAGCCGGGATGGTCTCGATCTCCTGACCTCGTGATCCGCCCACCTCGGCCATTGCGCCTGGCCTCAAAACCTTCTTTTTTACTCTTCAAATACATGATCACTTGCCCATGTTGAAAGGACACCAGCTGGCAATGCTGATCTCTTGGTAGATTTCTGCATCTGTCTGACATCTTTGCTTTCCTCAAATTGCTTCCATGTCTTCCTGATAATCTGGGTCCTTTGCTGTCTCTCTGGTCCTGAGGCACTGTCCACATAGCACACCAGCCATAGCTTCTATGGCCTTCCCCTTTTCCTTGAACATACAAAGCTCTCTCTGTCTCAGTGCTCTTGTACTTGTTGCTTTCTGACTCATCCCCATCTCTTACCCCAGCTGGCTAGCTTCTATTTGTTTTTGAAATTTCTGCTTAAATGTCACCTCATCAGGTAGGCTTTTCTTACTCCCTGCTAGAGTAAGTCCTCCTTTTACCCGAGGCAAGTTTCTTTCTTTCTTCTTCTTCTTTTTTTTTTTTTTTTTTTTTGAGTCTCACTCTGTTGCCCAGGCTGGAGTGCAATGGCGCGATCTCGGCTCACTACAACCTCTGCCTCCTGGGTTCAAGCAATTCTCCTGCCTCAGCCTCTCGAGTAGCTGGGATTACAGGCATATGTCACCAGGCCCGGCTATTTTTTGTATTTTTAGTAAAGACGGGGTTTCGCCATGTTGGCCAGGCTGGTCTCAAACTCCTGACCTCAAGTGATCCACCCGCCTAGGCCTCCCAAAGGGCTGGGATTACAGATGTGAGCCACCACGCCCAGCCAAGAAACATACTTTTGAAAGAGCATACTTCTAAAAGGGCACAACCAACAGGTACACTCAGGAAGACTTGAAGGTCTACAGTATTAAGATTATTGGTTTAGAGAAGGACTTATCAAATTCTTCAACTTATTTATTGATGATGATGGACATCAGAGTAATGAGAGAGGGAGATGAAGAAATAGGCACAGATGTAGCCTGTGTAGTCCTTTGTTACTTTTTGACTGTAAGAAAACTGTCACATGCCAGGTTTAGTACCACACTGCAGTTGCAAAAAGGTAACTGAAACATCTGGAAGCTAAGTGACTTGAACTGGATTCGCTATGATTGACAAAGCTCACCTCTGTGGAGGGTACCAAGAAACCTACTTTCTTATGCACGACGGAGGAGCTGGAATTGATTGTGCTTTCGTCATCGTGCATCATGACAAGTTCGGAACTGCTCTCGTCCATGACTTCCTGCATGCTGTTCACACTGCTGCTCTGGCTGCCTGTGCTCACGGACATGCTTGGAATGGAATGGTTGCTGCCCAGGCTGTCCATTTCCCTGTTCAGGCTGGTTCCATGTTCACTGTCCTGTAAAAATGGGGCACTGAGGTTAGAAAAAAAGACTGAAGATAAAGAGTCAATCCATTGACAAAAGTGTCAAGCACACTCAATTTTGCAGTGTCAAGTTGCTTTTCTGCCAATCTGCAAAGACAAACTTTTTATGTACTGGCTCCACTACTCCTCCACCATTTTCATACATCTCATATTTGCTTCCTATGCCTTCCCCAGGGGCCATTCTGGACGTGGGTCATAAGGCTCCAAATGCTGCCATCCCAGGGCTTTCCCCTGTCATACACACTATCATATTATCGTGTTGCTATTCAGTAAGCAAAATCAAGCCAGGTTTGTAAGGGACCTTCTGGAACATCAAGGAGCTAGAGGAAGACTGCTGGCCACTAAACAGGTGAGCTCTAGGATATCTTCAAATACAGCAGTGGTCACTTGAAAAAGTAGAGTGGAAAGAGTTTTCAGATATTTGACAAGCAATATGCTCCCTCTGCAAGTCATTATTGAGTAACTTCATATCTAAGCAGAAATATTAATTCTACTTTCCTGGACAGGTAATTAAAGTCTGCCTCCCTCAAGCGATTCTATCATGCTTATCTCTGTAATCTTATTATATATATCTGTTAAATAATACTGGTATTCATCATTACTGGCCCAAAGACTACTATTTGAAAAGTGGTAAAATAATCAGAACATATAATTTATCCATCACAGTGGGATATCTTTTGATATAAGATTGAATAATAAAATTAAATCCATTTAGCTACAAATAAACCTTGTTCTCAAAAAACCATATGGTACACATATAACTTTAATAAACTGTTACTTAGCCATGGCAATATAAAAAATTACTGGGTAATATAAAATGGAAGATAATACATTATTTTTAACAGACTTATTTTCCCAATTAAAGGGGATCATTTCTATATATGCAATCAAGAAATTTTATAGTTCAATGCAACTTTCCGAGCTTCATTTTTAAAATTATTGATAAAATACTTTTATGTTTATTTTATTTTCTGTTAAAAAGCTAAAATACTCCTGTTCTTGTTATGTCTACGTTCTGAAATCCTGCCTCTTTAACTATATCCCTTTCTTCTATCTTCGGTGCCTCTGACTCTGCCCTGGCTCCATCTCTACTGCATTTAAAGATGAAGAAGCCTGCCTTATATTTATGGATCTCTCTACATGCTGCCCACTCTTACTTTTCCTTCTTAACCCAATTTCTGAATCTTAACATAATTATTTTTTCCTGTCTCCCTCTTATCAACTCCCATGAATTATACAACTCCAGTAATCTACTATTCATTCTACCTAGTCCTGTAAAACTGCTTTTACTAAGGTCATCAAGGATTCTCTAACTGAAAACTTCTATCTGTATACTGGCAAGAGTTTATAATGCCAGGACCTTAAACTCAAAAGGCACGAAACTGAAATCATCCTAAATCTACTCTTTCTCCCTGGTTCTTTTTCTCTGTTCTTGGTATTGACATACTCCTAGCCACCCAGGCTCCAATGCTCAGAGTCACCTTAAACTCCTCCTTATCTGTCACTGTCAATGAGAAGCCATGGATTATGAAATCTACCTCTACGATGTTTCTCTAAAGTGCTCCCTTTTCCCCATTTGCATCGACACTGACCTTATTACCTCTTGCATGGACTATTAGCCAGGATGTTGCCCATTCAAATCCATGTTACACTCTGTTGCTAGGATAATCTTCCTAAAGCACAACACCTTTCTGAGTCTAGAACACCCTATGCCCATTTGTCAGAAACTACCCACATCATGTCCTCCAGGAAACCTTCACTAATCCCACCAGCAGACTTATTTTCTCCCCATGATGGACCCCTGCAATGGGGTTACACCTCTGTAGCACTTTTCATATTTTGCCTTATATAAGTGTTATTTTATGAATGTCTCTTGTACAACCCTTCATGTTTCTTAAGGCGGACAGCATCAATTAATTTTTATCTTCAAAAGTTTTTCATAGTGCCCAGTCTAGAACTTTTTCACATAGTGGGCATTCTATAAGTGCCTGCTAAAATAAATTGAACCTACTTCCTCATCCTCCTGTGACTCATTCAAGGGTCCATTCCGTGTCTCTTGGAAAAGTATTTTTTTCATTTTTCGGTACTGTAGGTTATCTAGCTCACGAACTGCATCTTTTGTCCTCTGTATGAGGTCAATGAGGACACGTAGTGGCCGGTCTCGTCGAACAAAGTCATGCTGATTGAGGGAGGAGGAAAAAATAAACTGATAATGAAGAAATGTCCTTAGGTGCAAGGTACAGATATAAAAGGAAATAGAGAATCATAAAATAGTTCTATGGATATTACAGAAATAACAAAATATGATTTTCATGTCATGTGTCCTTCCATATTTTGTAAATCTCATAAAGAGATAGCTATGCTTTTTTCTTCTTCCTTAAGCCCCATTTTGCGGATGTGAGAATTCTTTTTAAAAATTGTACATATTTAAAGTATATGGCAACATGTTTTGATACACATATATATAGTGAAATGATTTCTACAGTTAAGCAAATTAACATATCTATTATCTCATATAGTTACTTCTTGGTGGCAAAGTACCGAAAATCTTTAGTCTTAGCAAATTTCCCAGATATAATACAATATTATCAACTATAGTCCTCATGCTGTACACTGGATCTCTACACTTATTTATCCCACATAACTAAAACTTTGTACCATTTGACTTTCATCTTTCCATTCCCCATCCCTTTCAACCACCTTTCATTTTGTGTTTTATTCTTTGTTTACTTTCCACATGTAAGTGACATCATATGCTATTTTTTTGTGTGTCTGGTTTATCTCACTTAGCATAATGTCTTCTGGGTTCACATGTATTGCTGCAAATGGCAGGCCCACTTTCTTAAGACTATATATAAAATAAATATTATAAATAAACAAATATATAATAAATATATATAATAAAATATTCAGTCATATATATTATTGAGTCTTAAATATCTATATCACATATACCATAATTTCTTTTATCCTTTCATCCACTGATGAACACATAGGATGTTTCCTTATTTTGGCTATAGAGAAAAATGCTGTGATGAACATGGGGGCACAGGTATTTTTATGAGGTGCTGACTTCATTTTCTTCAGGTATATAACCAGCAGGGGGATTATTGGAACAAATTAACATTTTGTTTTTTGGGTTTTGGAGGAACCTCCATACTGTTTTCCATAATGGCAACCCCAATCTACATTCCCACCAACAGTATATAAGGATTCCCTTTTCTCTATACCCTTGCCACTTATTATCGCTTATCTTTTTTGATAATAGCCATTCTAACAGGTGTGAGGTGATACCTCATTGTGGTTTTCATTTCCATTTCCAATAATTAGTGAATGTTGAGTATCTTTTCATATAAGAATTCTTGAGGTTTACTTTATCATATAAGTAATAAAAAAATCACTAGAACTTTAAGAAGTAGGAGGTAGGCTTGTACCTTTTAAATCTGAAACTACATAATAAGCAGAAGCAATGCATAGTATAGTCTATTCTTTTTTTTTTTTTTTTTTTTTTTTGAGATGGAGTCTCGCTCTCTCACCCAAGCTGGAGTGCAGTGGTGCGATCTTGGCTCACTGCAACCTCCACCTCCTGGGTTCAGGTAATTCTCCTGACTCAGCCTCCCGAGTAGCTGGAATTACAGGCATGCACCACCATGCCTGGCTAATTTTTGTATTTTTAGTAGAGACGAGGTTTCACCATGTTGCCTTGGCTGGTCTTAAACTCCTGAGCTCAAGTGATCCACCCGCCTCAGCCTCCCAAAGTGTTGGGATTACAGGCGTGAGCCACCGCACCGCACCTTGTTCTATTCTTATTATAACTTGCCTCAATCCTCACCCCCATACACACTATCCCTTGAAAAACAGACTTGTGAATATTTTGTTCTCTATTTCTGTGGCCGTATAGTGTATGCTTGAAAATATGCCAGTTGTTCAATTTATCCAGAGGTCAAAATTCTGGCAACTTCATTTCCCCAATTAAAAAAAAGGGTCTCTGAGGAGTGAAAACAACTGCCCTAAAGTCCATAAATTAATCTTGATATAAACATCCCTCACTTTCAATATTATTAATGATTGTTACATAATCTGGTTTCCTAGTTTCTCAGCCCATAGCAGGTTAGACAGAGAATAAGAATGGAGAAGTAAGCCTGGCGCGGTGGCTCACGCCTATAATCCAACACTTTGGGAGGCTGAGGCGGGTGGATTACTGGAGATCAGGAGTTCAAGACCAGCCTGGCCAACATGGTGAAACCCTTTCTCTACTAAAAATACAAAATTAACTGGGCATGGTGACGTGCATCTGTAATCCCAGCTACTCGGGATGCTGAGGCAGCAGAATTGCTTGAACCTGGGAGGCAGAAGTTACGGTAAGCTGAGATCACACCATTGCACTCCAGCCTGGGCAAAAAGAGTGAAACTCCATCTCAAAAAAAAAAAAAAAAGAGTGAGGAGTAAAGGATTGAGGACTGGGAAAGGTAGGGTTACCACCTGTTGTAAAAAGAAGTAGCTTTTGTAAGTTCTCTGACAGCTTGAGAGTAGAGAAACAGAGAGAAATTTCATGACTAACAGACCTATCAACCAAACAAATAATAATAAAACAGGTTTGTGGGCTATTTTGCAAAAGGGCAAATGCCCCTTATATAGCCCCTTTTATGCCTCAAGAGTTCACGAAACACTGTTTCTGAGCCCTCAAGAAGTGACATTAGGCTGGGCGTGGTGGCTCACATCTGTAATCCCAGCACTTTGGAAGGCCGAGGCAGGCTGATCACTTGAGGTCAGGAGTTTGAGACTAGCCTGGCCAACATGGTGAAACCCCGTCTCTACTAAAAACACAAAAAATTAGCTGGGCATTGTGATGCATGCCTGTAATCCCAGCAAGCCAGGAGGCTGAGGCAGGAGAATGGCTTGAATCTGGGAGGCAGAGGTTGCAGTGAGCCGAGATTGCACCACAGCACTCTAGCCTGGGTGACAGAATGGAAAAAAAAAAAAAAAAGACATTATTTTTTAAAGGCAAAAGTTCAGTTATGTGGAAAATTTACTTATGTAAAATTGTAATTTGAAGACATTGGGAAAATGAGATATAATGTAGTGGGCCTTAGCTGATGAAATGAATTTAATTTCTTTATAATTTAAACAGATAAAAAATAATAGGGCCCTTGTGAGAAAACAATCTATATGTCTTGTGGTTCTGCATTCTGACTCTCTTAGAGGAATTGTGGTTTTTGCTGTTGCTTTTATAAAATACCTCTTCCTAGGTAGAGTCCTTTTTGAATAAAAAACATCATTCCCAGAAGCAAGTGTAGCCTGCACATTTCAAGGATGAGAAAGAAAGGAAGAAAGTATTATCATTTTCCTCCTCTAGTGCTTACAATTATAAAGAGCTAATCGGTTTTTAGTAAACTTAAAGCTATGACTTAACATCATAGAATTTTAGAACGGGAATGCCTCTTAGAAAACTTTCTGTTTCAAGGCTGGGCATGGTGGCTCATTCCTGTAATCCCGGAACTTTGGGAGGCCAAGGCGGGCAGATCACCTGAGACTAAGAGTTCAAGAGCTGCCTGGCCAACATGGCAAACCCCCATCTCTACTAAAAACACCAAAATTAGGGACCGGGCATGGTGGCTCACAACTGTAATCCCAGCACTTGGGGAGGCCGAGGCAGGGGGATCACATGAGGTCAGGAGTATCAAAGACCAGCTTGGCCAACATGATGAAACTCCGTCTCTACTAAAAATACAAAAATTAGCAGGGCATGTTGGCACGTGCCTGTAGTCCCAGCTACTCGGGAGGCTGAGGCAGGAGAATTGCTTGAACTTGGGAGAAGGAGGCTGAAGTGAGCCGAGATCATGCCACTGCACTCCAGCCTAGGTGATAGAGTGAGACTCTGTTTAAAAAAAATAAAAATAATAAATAAGAAGTAAAAATAAAAAATACCAAAATTAGCCAGGCGTGGTAGTGCCCGCCTATAGTCCCAGGTACTCGGGAGGCTGAGGCACGAGAATCAATTGAGTCTGGGAGACAGATCTTGCAATGAGCCGAGATCAGGCCACTGCACTCCAGCCTGGGTGACATAGAAAGACTCTGTCTCAAAAAAAAAAAAAGAAAGAAAATTTTTCTTTTTCAAAGTGAGAAAATTTGGGCCCTGAGAAGTTAGGTGATTTCCATAGCTAATTAGTAGAAGAGCTACGGCTGCAACTCAGGCTTTAAAAATTTTTTTCTGCCAGGGGTGTGGGTGGTGGTGGTTATTTTCTGGTGTCCTACTACCATAATTATCTTTCTAAAATACAGGTATGATCATTCATTGCAACAGATACTACATGTCATTCCCCCATTCCAACTTCTTTTTTTTTGAGACAAAGTCTTACTCTATCACCCAGGCTAGAGTGCAGTGGTGCAATCTCAGCTCGCTGCAAACTCTGCCTCCCAGGTTCAAGTGATTCTTGTGCCTCAGCCTCCCCAGTAGCTGGGATTACAGGCGTGCACCATTACGCCCAACTACTTTTTGTATTTTTAGTAGAGATGGGGTTTCACTATGTTGGCCAGGCTGGTCTCAAACTCCTGACCTTAGGTGATCCACCCACCTCAGCCTCCCAAAGTGCTGGGATTACAGGCATGAGCCACAGCTTTCAGACCCAATCTCTCTCTCTCTCTTTTTTTTTTTTTTGCCTTACTTGAAGCACTAGGAAGTAAAGGAACTGAACCCAAGCCTTCTTTGTGGTTACAGATCACTAAGTGACTAAGTTCTGGCCAGTGAGAGGTAGGCAGAAGTTCTCAAGGAAGGTTTTATTTTCTAGAATAAAAAGGCAAGACACATGAGGACAAGGTGTTTTACCCTTTGTTCTCTCTCCTTCTTCCTGCCTGGAATGAAAACTTGAGTCATGGCAATGTAGCAGCCATTTTATGACAAAGACAATAAAAGCTACATGCTAAGGATGGTGAAGTAGAAAGAGAGAAAGAGCTTGGGTCGATGACGACATTGTTGAGCTGCTTAGAGCTTTGGACTGCTTACGCCACTTCCTTTTCCAATGTCCTGGACTTCCTATTACATGAGATAAACTCTTACCTGTTTAAACCTTTTACAAACAGATACACTCTACATCTTAATATCTCACTGTCTCTTAGATAAAGTGTAGCCTTTTACAGCCAGGTTCCTGCTTGTATTTCTAGGTTTAAATCTAGTCATTGCTACTCCTCCTTCCTACACAATTCTAGGTACATTCTAGGTAATTCTAAACCCGTGCATACCTTTCACACCTCTAGGCCTTTGCCTTCACATCTCTATGTTCTCTCTGCCTGCAATCCCATCTCCTCATTGTTTTTTTTTATTTTTATTTTTTGGGACAGAGTCTTGCTGTGTCGCCAGGCTGGAGTGCAGTGGCGCCATCTCAGCTCACCGCAACCTCCACCTCCCGGGTTCAAGCAATTCCCCTGTTTCAGCCTCCCAAGTAGCTGGGATTACAGGCATGCACCACCATTTCCAGCTAATTTTTTGTATTTTAATAGAGATGGGGTTTCACCATGTTGGCCAAGATGGTCTCAATCTCCTGACCTCGTGATCTGCCCACCTCAGCCTCCAAAAGTGCTGGGATTACAGGCGTGAGCCACTGCACCCGGCCTCCTCATTGTTTTTAAAAGCCCACTGTTCTCCAAACCCCTACAACTGGAATGCCCTCGGACTCTTTTAAAAGGACAATTTTATTGTTCTCAAAAATATGTTTACTTTCAACACTCAAATAACACAGAAAAATGTATAAAAAAAGAAAATCGGCCAGGCACGGTGGGTCATGCCTGTAATCCCAGCACCTTGGGAGGCCGAGGAGGGTGGATCATCTGAGGTCAGGAGTTCGAGACCAGCCTGACCAACATGGAGAAACCCTGTCTCTACTAAAAATAGAAAATTAGCCGGGCGTGGTGGCACATGCCTGTAATCCCAGCTACTAGGGAGGGCGAGGCAGGAGAATCGCTTGAACCAGGGAGGCAGAGGTTGCCATGAGCCGAGATCGTGCCATTGCACTCCAGCATGGGCAACAAGAGCGAAACTCCGTCTCAGGAAAAAAAAAAAAAAAAGAAAGAAAATCACCCGAAATTCTACCATCTCGAAATAAATACATAAATATTAAGTTACAGAATATCATTTTAGACATGTCCCTTTCTTTCTCTCAGAACAATGAATAACTAGAAATCATTTTACATGGGAATCTGATTATACAAGCTAATTTTATGTATAATCGATTTAATTAAGGTATATTTGAATTTAACAGGATTAGAAGAGACTGAATTAAAACGATTGCATAGGCTGTATGCAGTGGCTCATGCCTGTAATCCCAGCACTTTGGGAGGCTGAGGCGGGTGGATTACTTGAGGTCAGGAGTTTGAGACCAGCCTGGCCAACAGGGTGAAACCCTGTGTCCACTAAAAATAGAAAAACTAGCCAGACATGGTGGCGTGTGCCTGTAATCCCAGCTGCTCAGGAGGCTGGGGCAGGAGAATTGCTAGGGAGAATCTCAGGAGGCGAAGGTTGCAGTGAGACGAGATCGCGCCACTGCACTCCAGCCTGGGCAACGGCGCGAGACTCTGTCTCACACACACACACACACACACACACACACACATGCACAAATTAAAAAATAAAACAATTGCTTAACTTTAGTTGTAATTTCTTCACCAAAAGAGTTATCTGTTCCTAACAGATCCTCTAAAGTTAAAAAAAAAATTATTAAAGGCTTTACGAGATTGAAGTTACTTTAGTTCTTTTGTCCTATATATTTTAAGAAATGTTATTGTCCATCTACTTGGAAAGATAAGGAAATTAGTATGCATACGTTTTTCCTGCCCTTAGATTTTTCTAATTACATTATTTTTACATTGCAAATGTTTCTAACATTTACATCTGTCCTTTAACCATTTCAATAATTTTACCTCAGTTGTTTATTTAAATGGATTAAGTGTGAAAGTGATGTTTTAATGTCAGGGCAAAAATGCATGGAAAAGATGTATTATTGAAAAATATCTGGGAGTAAGTAGATAGCTTAGCTGGGGGAAAAAAGGTAGATTTTTACCTCACTCCTTGTAACAAATTTTTGCATAACTCTCCCCACCTCCTTTCCACAAAACATCAGCATAAAGAATGTCAAAAGAGAAATAGGAAAAAAAAAATCCAAGATCTACTATAAATTAAAAAGGAAATACAAATGGCTTTTCAACTTACGAGAGAGATGTTCAACATCTCCCATAATGTGAAATAGCAATTAAAACTATAGTGAGAAAAGTTTTCACTGATCTGACAAAGTTCAAAAAGTATCAGTCTTCATACTTTCACGGTGGGACTATAAATTGGTGCAACTGCTTTGAAGGACAAATGGGCAATATCTATCTAAATTTAAAATCCACATTGATGAGCAATCCCACTTCTAGGAATTTCTTTATTTTATTTTTATTTATTTATTTTTTTGAGATGGAGTCTTGCTCTGTTGCCCAGGCTGGAGTGCAGTGGCACGATCTCGGCTCACTGCAAACTTCGCCTTCCGGGTTCAAGTGATTCTCCTGCCTCAGCTTCCCGAGTAGCTGGGATTATCGACGCATGCCACCATGCCCAGCTAATTTTTGTATTTTTAGGAGAGATGGGGTTTCACTATTTTGGCCAGGCTGGTCTTGAACTCCTGACCTTGTGATCTGCCCACCTTGGCCCCACAAAGTGCTGGGATTACAGGCATGAGCCACCGTGCCCGGCCAGAATTTATTCTTTAGATATTCTTATACAGGGACAAAATGCCATATACACAAAGATATTCATTACGGCACAGTTTGTAATAGCAAAAGATTGGAAACATCCTAAATGCGTTGGTTAAACAAATTATGGTCCATCTAAGAATATTATGGAGCCATTAAAAAGAATGAGGTAGCTTTGCATGTAGTAATACAAAACAATATCCTAAGCACACTGTAAAGCAAAAAGAAAAATCAGGGTGGAACGGTTTTTATGGTTTGCTGTCATTTGTGCAAAAATAAAAACAACATTTACTTTTATATGCATAAAATATCACTAGAAGGAGAGGTACAAAATAGGTGCAGTGGTTGCTAGTGAGGGGGCCTGAAATGGGAGGGAGATTTCTTTTTCATGTTCTACCTTCTCTTATTATTTTTTGAGACAGAGTCTTGCTGTTGCCCAGGCTGGAGTGCAGGGGCACAATCTCGGCTCACTGCAACCTCCTAGTTGATCAAGCGATTCTCCTGCCTCAGCCACTCGATTAGCTGGGACTACAGGTGTGAACCACCATGCCTGGCTAATACTTATATTTTTAGTAGAAATGGGGTTTCTACGTGTTGGCCAGGCTGGTCTTGAACTTCTGGCCTCAGGTGATCTGCCTGCTTTGGCCTCCTAAAGTGCTGGGATTATAGGTGTGAGCCATTGCACCCGGCTCTTCTTCTTCTTCTTCTTCTTTTTTTTTTTTTGAGACAGGGTTTTACTCCCATCACCCAGGCTGAAGTGCAATGGCAGGATCTCGGCTCACTGCAACCTCTGCCTCCCAGGCTCAAGTGATTCTCCTCCTTGAGCCTCCGAAGCAGCTGGGACTAAAGGCGCATGCCACTGCACCTGGCTAATTTTTGTAGAGATGGGGTTTTGTCATGTCCAGGCTGGTCTTGAACACCTAGGTTCAAGTGATCTGCCTGCCTCAGCATTCCAAAGTGCTGGGATTACAGGTGTAAGGCACTGTGCCCAGCCCCAGGTTGTACCTTCTACTGTATTTTTCCTTTTGGAAATTTGTGAGACCTATTTAAAATGAAGAACATACAGCTTCTTTAGCCATGCAAAATAAATAAATAAGTATTTGGGGAGGGGCCTCTTTAAATTCAATATTTACCATCAGCCCTTTTACCAGTTTCTCCAGTCCCTCATTCATTCTTCCTGCTTGCCTTCCTCCCTCTTTTTCTTCTTTTTGCTTCATCTCTATATTGGCTAGATTCTGTTATTGAGCAATTTTTAAAAGGAAAGCGCCGAAAGGTTGCATTGCCTAAATGTGTGGGGCTCGAAGATGTCAGCTGCCTTTATAATTTAAGAACATCTTGGCTGGCTCACAATTCCTGGCTTATATTTTATTTCCCTTAGAACTCTGCAAACACTGTTCTATTGTTTTCTGGCTTTGACTGTTCCTGAAGAGGTAGGTCTGGAGTCAGTTGGTTTTTCCACCCCAAAATAAACTTTTTCAGTCTGCTTGTATGAATCTTTCTTTATTCCTAGAGTTCAGGGACTTCACCAGGATATGATTTACTGATCAATGAAGATCAGTTTCATGGTCCCCCTCTTCATGCATGTATCTGCTTAAATGTTACCTCCTCGAACGGCCTTCTCCTTACCTAAAATAGCAGCACCTGTCAATCTTGATGCTTGTCTAATTTATTTTTCTGCACAACACTTAACATCAACTGGCACTATAACATATATTTATTTCTTTTCTTTTTTCTTTTTTTTTTTTTTTTGAGACCTAGTGTCGCTCTGTTGCCCCGGCTGGAGAGCAGTGGTGCTATCTTGGCTCACTGTAACCTCCGCCTTCCGGCTTCAAGTGATTCTCCTGCCTTAGCCTCCTGAGTAGCTGGGAATATAGGTGCCTGCCACCATGCCCAGCTAATTTTTGTATTTTTAGTAGAGACGGGGTTTCGCCATGTTGGCCAGGCTGGTCTCGAACTGGTGACCTCCTGATCCTCCCACCTTGGCCTCCCAAAGTGCTGGGATTACGGGCATGAGCCGCCACGCCCGGCCTACTTATTTATTTCTTACTCCTTCTTGTAAGTTTCACAAGGGCAGGCACTATGTTTTTATTGTGTACTACTGTATTCTCTGCGCTTAGAATAGTACTTGACACCCAGCAGACAATCAGTAAATATTTGTTGAATAAATAGTTGGCCCATTTGATTTGGTCCATCAAATCAAGATGGAATCAAATCAAAGGAAGATCCAAACATTTCCAGAAAAGTTTTCTTCAAGGATATCTTTAAAAATCTTCTCCTCCATGTGTTTTGTTTTCTTTTTCAGGAATAATCGGTTGGCATATATTAGATCTCCTGTGTCTTCCAAATGTATCATTTTCTTTATATTCATCTTTAGAAGTTTTATTTTTTGCACTTAATTCTATTTTATTTCCTTAAGCCTATTCACCATTGGAAACATCCTAAATGGGTTGGTTTACTACATGTTCGTTGCTTATAATATGATTTTTTAAACTGTTATGTTTTTTCTCTTCCATTTTTTTCTTTACCTCTACCCATTTGCTTTTTATATCCTTTTGTTGTCTGTAACCCTTAACTTTTAACATCGCCCAAATTTATTCATATTTTCCTTTTTTTTTTTTTTTTAAAGAGATGGTATTTTCACTCTATTGCCCAGGCTGGAGTGCAGTGGCACAATCATACCTCACTATAACCTCAAAATCCTGGGCTCACGTGATCCTCCTGCCTCAGCCTCCTGAGATGCTGGGATTATAGGCGTGAGCCACCATACCCAGCTCCACATTTTTTCCCCTTTTATGGTAGTAATTTTTATGTCTTGGTTTTTTGTTTGTTTGTTTTTAAGATCTTTGTGTACTTCAAGGTAATAAAGATATTATTGTGTGTTTCTGGTGTTTTGTTCTGGTTGCTATTTTCCCCTAAAGAAACATGGAATTGTTGCTAAGTAGTTCATGTTTAAAACATGTAAGGGCTCCACAACAAAGGAGAACAAGATCAAGCTCTTTGTCCTGTTGCTTCTCTTACCATACTCCTGTGGCCTACCGCTCACAAGAAGTAAAAACTTGTCACCTAGCCAAGGTGTTCTTAAATTATAAAGGCAAACATTTTTAAGCTTTACAAATTGAGGCAATACAACTCTTCTGAGTTCTTCTTAAAAACGAACAAACAGAACTGCTATACAATAAAAGCCAGCCATTCTAGAGACGGAAGAAACAGAAAGGGTTGAAAAACAAACATGCAAAAGAAGGATTAAAGAAATTTGGACTATTGTGCGCCAAATAAAAGAAAACACTTCTACTGTAAAAGATTTCCACATACTACACTGATATTGATGCAACACACTGCCTATGTATAAAGTCTACAGTAAAATATTACATGAAAAGAGATGCTTGGTGATAATTAAATCAAATAAATGTGGTTAACACGATACTCTTATCACTAACATGTCATAATACTATGTAAATGTCTACTCTATATAGTTATCATACACCTTCACTGCCTGAGGATTTGGCAACAACCTAACTGAAAATCCCAGAGTTGGTGTTTGAACCACCAGCCAGCTCTGTCCTGAGACCACTGGATTAATGTTTATGCAGATGTTAGGCCCAGGAACATCACAATGATGACTAGAGCAAGGAGGAGAAATATTATTTGTTATAAGGCAAAAAAGGAACAGGGAGGGAGGGGAAAAAATAGAAAAGATAGGGAAAAACCTATCCACAGGGAATACATAGCACATAACGTTGCAATAATCTTGCTATTTCTATGCCTAGCTACTTATCTCAGGATAAATGACAAGGCAGCACGTCCTAAACCACTTTGTCATGATGAGCTGCCACAGGAATGATTTATTATATTCCATTATAACATGACTTTAAATCCCCCTCCTCAAATATAAATTTGAAAAATTACCCTTAATAGTTCTGCTGATGTTGGCCTTTCCTGAGGTATTTTCTGCAAGCAGTAATCAACAAATCTCCTAAAGGAGTCTGTCCTGTGTGTGCAAATACACAAAAGAAAATAAACTCAGGGTCTGTAGAGCACACTGATTACTTAAAACAATTTTCATTCAAGGGAAAATTTTGCATTTAAGGAGATTTTAAAAAAATGCTTTGGAATATCAGGATAACTGGAGCATTTTCAAGTTACGATATCTAAAATTCTTTTGGATAATGAGTGAGGACAAGTTTCAAGTTAGTCAACATATTAATACATCTTAATATATAAGGAAGGTCAAATCATAATATACATCAGAAAACAAAAATACTATGTTTAAATAAAAGTTTTATATACATTTTTCTCTCCAAAGACAACAATTCTCATAGTCTCAACTCTATATTCTTAATTACCAATTGTTAATTCCTCTACCACCCACAATCTATAACAAAGTAGTAAAATTTGAAGCATGAGGGATGGAGAACCCAGGAGTAGGCTTCCTGAACAAAAATTCTTCCTATCTTAAAAGTTCCATTTTATCCGTTCTTCTTTAATATTGCCCCTTTTAAAATAACTCTTGTGGCCCAAATAGTTATAAAAATGTCATACTTTTCAGCAAGGAACACTGTATCTGAATAGATAATGTATGCTCTGTCTCAACACATTTAAGTGTACATATAGTTTAAAAAAAAAAAAGACAACTGGAGAAATAATGACATCATAGAGGGCCCCTTATCTCTGCTGAGAAGTGATATCAGCTGAGATGATCAATACAAGACCATCATGACCTGGGACAATAGACTTGTTAGGAGGGTAGCAGGGCATGTTCCCTGCAGGATTTTGGTTACTAGACACATTAAGAACACAGTGCAAGCCATGGTGAAGGCAAAAATAAGAAAATCTATGCATGTGTGCATGTGTAGACAGTTGATGCTTGTGAGGCATCAGTGTCACTTGTAACAACATACAGTGAAGGAAAGAAATGCTTTCTAGGTCAGATATTTAAAATGTAATGTAATAAAAATGTCAAATACATACGGTGATTTTCTTAGAGATTTAAAATGATAGCAGAGTCTTACCATTCATTAGACTGTAACGTTGGGGAGTCATTCTGGGCAATGTGATATAAGGCACTCATTGCATTCATGTTGAAAAGGGGCGGCTTCCGTTCCGCTGGAAGAGGAAAGAAACACAATAAAGTAGTTCTTGAAGGAAACCAGGCAGACAGAGAAATAAGAAACTATGAGCAAAGCTTTGCGGCTAAATCAATAGCTCATTACTGTCATCATGCCACATAATCCACTTATTTTAATCTCTAAGGTTGGCCCAAGATAGCCATTCAGAAGAAGCTGCCGGACATTAAATGTACATTGGCAAAGCTCCTAACAGAACTCATTTCAAAAGAGTGAAAGAAAAGTTTTTTTCTTTTTTTCACATAGCTTCAAAAAATTGGCTTTTGCATATTTTCCCACAATAGGTATGAAGATCTTTGCATGTGCGTTTTAGCTCAAAAATATATATTCTCTCCTTGAAGTCTGGGTATTTGGTGAAAAAGAAAAAGAAAAAAATTCATATTCACTTAAAAAAGTCAGAAAGCAAAGAAACATAGAATAAGGAAAAAAGATTACTATAAAATGCAACTTTTTTTTTTTTTTTTGTGACGGAGTCTTGCTCTGTTGCTCAGGCTGGAGTACAGTGGCACGATCTGCAACCTCTGCCTCCTGGGTTCAAGTGATTCTCCTGCCTCAGCCTCCTGAGTAGCTGGGACTACAGGTGCCTGACATCGTGCATGGCTAATTTCTTTCTTTCTTTTTTTTTTTTTTTTGAGATGGAGTTTCGCTCTTGTTGCCCAGGCTGGAGTGCAATGGAACGATCCCAGCTCACTACAACCTCCGCCTCCCAGGTTCAAGCAATTCTCCTGCCTCAGCCTCCTGAGTAGCTGAGATTACAGGCATGAGCCACCATGCCCGGCTAATTTTGTATTTTTAGTAGAGATGGGGTTTCTCCACGTTGGTCAGGCTGGTCTTGAACTCCCAGCCTCAGGTGATCCACCCACCTCAGCCTCCCAAAGTGCTGGGATTACAGGCATGCGCCACTGCGCCCGGCCTAATTTTTGTATTTTTAGTAGAGAGGGGGTTTCCTTATATTGGCCAGGCTGGTCTCGAACTCCTGACCTCGTGATCCACCCGTCTTGGCCTCCAAAAGTGCTGGGATTACAGGCGTGAGCCACTGCACCCAGTCCCATAATGAAACATCTTAAACATCACTAACAAAATGGCCGGGCGCGGTGGCTCACGCCTGTAATCCCAGCACTTTGGGAGGCCGAGGCGGGTGGATCACGAGGTCAGGAGATCGAGACCATCCTGGCTAACACGGTGAAAGCCCGTCTCTACAAAAAAAAAAAAAAAAAAGAAATACAAAAAAATTAGCTGGGCATGGTGGCAGGCACCTGTAGTCCCAGCTACTCGGGAGGCTGAGGCAGGAGAATGGCATGAACCCGAGAGGCAGAGCTTGCAGTAAGCCAAGATCGCGCCACTGTACCCAAGCCTGGGTGACAGAGTGAGACTCTGTCTCAAAAGAACAACAACAACAACAAAAATCACTAACAGAGCATGAGAGATAAGCCAATTATATTCAGTAAATACTGTCTGATGCCTGATTCAGGCCAAATAATTGCTAGGGGTGACAGTAGAGAGAGAAATGGAAAGGAGGAAGAGAACTATAAATTATAAATAAAGTCTGGTCCATCCCACTCTAAAGAGAAACTCAGTGAGTCAGGCATTTATTTTTTAATTATTTATTTTTTGAGATGAGGACTTGCCCTGTTGCCCAGGCTGGAGTGCAGTGGCACAATCAGGGCTCACAATAGCCTTGACCTTTCAGGCTCATGAGATCCTCAACCTCTTGAGTAGCTGAGACTACAGGTGTGTGCCACCACGCTGGACTAATTTAAACAATTTTTTTTTTTTTTTTGTATAGAGGCTGGGCGCGTTGGCTGACACCTATAATCCCAACACTTTGGGAGGCCGAGGCCGGCAGATCACCTGAGGCCAGGAGTTCGAGACCAGCCTGGGCAACATGGTGAAAATTGTCTCTACTAAAAATACAAAATTAACCGGGCATGTTGGCACAAGCCTGTAATCCCACCTACTTGGGAGGTTGAGGCAGAAGAATCACTTGAACCCAGGAGGTGGAGGTTTCAGTGGGCTGAGATCGGCCCCTGCACTCCAGCCTGGGCAACAGAGTGAGACCCCGTCTTAAACCAGGCTGGTCTTGAACTTGTGGGCTCAAGCTATCCTCCTGCCTCAGCCTCCCAAAGTGCTGGGAGTATAGGCATGATGCACTGTATCTGGCCAGGTATTTCCTGGTAGAGGATTTACTCCTCCCCAGCCCACCACGATCTCTTTATTGGAACTCCTCCAACTCTCCCTTGGCATACTGGTCATTTGGCATGTGCTCACCTATCATATCTACATCATCATACAAATCTTTTCTCTCAAAAGAAATCATAAGCTCTAAGAGCACAAGATCTTATAACCTGAATATTCTTTTTCTTTTACTTATTCCCCCAGAATTTGTAATAAAATGTGATTCACATATTAGGGGTTCCATTTGTGGATCAAAGGAAAGAAACAAGGCTCTAGTTCTGAGTACAGTTAATTTTATGGTATTTATTAGTTGTTACGGAATAGAAGATAAATCACTATCAGGCCAGGCACGGTGGCTCACGCCTGTAATTCCAGCACTTTGGGAGGCTGAGGTGGGTGGATCACGAGGTCAGGAGATCGAGACCATCCTGGCTAACACGGTGAAACCCTGTCTCTACTAAAAATACAAAAAAATTAGCCAGGCGTGGTGGCGGGCACCTGTAGTTCCAGCTACTTGGGAGGCTGAGGCAGGAGAATGGCGTGAACCCAGGAGGCGGAGCCTGCAGTGAGCCGAGATCGTGCCACTGCACTCCAGCCTGGGCGTCAGAGTGAGACTCCATCTCAAAAAAAAAAAAAAAAAAAGAAAAAGAAAAGGAAGAGAAGAAGAAGATAAATCACTATCTCTTTCTACTGTGCTTACCCTAATGGATTTTTTATATAGTCTCACTTTCTAATTCATAATCTGATCTCTAGTTTCATCAGAGCACCTTAGTTTTTAAGTAAAGGCTCTTCTTCTATTAACCACTTCTAAAATGACAAATCGGGCTTATTCTATGCAGTTCAAAAAACAGAACAAGGCTAAGAGGTGAAGTTATAGAAAAGACATTTTCACTCACAGAAGGAAAAATTTGGACACAGCCAGAGTAGTTAAAACACAAAACAAGAAACCAGAATGGACAAGGTTGAAAAGTAGTAAACTTTAAGTCATTTAGTAGCACTTAAGCAGATGACAACTATACCTATTCATTTGTTATATTTTGGAGGGGCATCTTATAGTCTTGATTAAGTGATTTCTGTACCTCTGAAATACAGTAGTCTAGGCCAGGCATGGTGGCTCATGCCTACAATCCCAGAACTTTGGGAGACTAAGCGGGCAGATCACCTGAGGTCAGGAGTTCAAGACCAGCCTGGCCAACATGGTAAAACCCTGTCTCTACTAAAAATACAAAAGTTAGCTAGGCCTGGTGGCATGCGCCTGTAATCCCAGCTACTTGGGAGGCTGAGAGGAAAATCACTTGAACCCGGGAGGCGGAGGTTGCAATGAGCTGAGATCATGCCACTGCACTCCAGCCTGAGTGATGGAGTGAGACTCCATCTCAAAAATAAAAAATAAATTAAAAAAAATGAAATATAGTAGTCTCTCTCTATATATAGACAGTTAATTTTATGTATATATATGTATTTTATGTATATATGTATATGTATGTATGTATGTGTGTGTGTGTGTATACATATATATATATATATATATATATATATATATATATATATATATACACTTTTTTTTTTTTTTTGAGACGGAGTCTCGCTCTGTCACCAGGGTGGAGTGCAGTGGCGTGATCTAGGCTCACTGCAACCTCTGCCTCCAGGTTCAAGTGATTCTTCTGCCTCAGCCTCCCGAGTAGCTGGGACTACAGGCGCATGCCACCACGCCTCGCTAATTTTTTTGTATTTTTAGTAGAGACGGGGTTTCACCATATTAGCCAGGATGGTCTCGATTTCCTGACCTTGTGATCCGTCCGCCTTGGCCTCCCAAGTATTTTTTATTGACCTCTCAATAGGATACTTTATACTTACCAAACAGATACTGGTATTACAGTGATATGAACTGTTAACAAGTGGAAATTTGGAAGTTGCTGTGTGGTCGAATGGATTTATATCTGTTTCAAATGCAAAAGATTAAAAAAATCTGGTTTGGGTTTATTTTTCAGGGGGCAGATTTTAGAAAGTTTGCAGAGCTTGCTTTCTGGCAACTTCAAGTACAGTCATCCCTAGGTATCTGTGGGGGACTGGTTCCCGTTCCCCCCTGCATATACCAAAATCCATGGATCTCAAGTTTCCTATATAAAATGGCATAGTATTTGCATGTAACCTGCACACATCCTTCTGTCTGTATACTTTAAATCATCTCTAGATTACTTATGATATCTAGTGTAATGTAAATGTTATGTAAATAGTTATACCGCATTGTTTAGAAAATAATGAGAAGAAAAAAAGTCTATACATGTTCAGACTTGTATAGACATTTTCTTGTCATTATTTCCTAAACAATTTCCTATAAAGACTCAACCCTCCTTTTTTTTTCCTGAATATTTCTGATCTGTGGCTGATTGAATTCATGGATGTGGAACCCACAGATTTGGAGGACCAACCGTATTTAAAACCACGTGGAAGCCTGGCCAACATGGTGAAACCCCGTCTCTACTAAAAATACAAAATTAGCCAGGCCGTGGTGGCTTGTGCCTGTAATCCCAGCTACTTGGGAGGCTGAGGCAGGAGAATCACTTGAACTGGGAGGTGGAGGTTGCAGTGAGCCGAGATCACACCACTGCACTCCAGCCTGGGTGACAGAGTGAGACCTTGTCTCATAAATAAATAACTAAATAAATAAAACCACGTGGAACTAGGAACTCATCACGTAACCATCAATGGCTTCCCATCATTCTTAGGCCAAAGTCCAAATCCTTAAACATAGTCTCTTGGACTTCATTATCATGGGACTGGCTACTTCCAGAGCCCGATTCTGAGAAGTAACCTATTTTTCCCTCTCTCATGCTTTACGTGTGCTTCACTCAAAGAACCAAGCTCGGTGTTTTTCACAAATGCTGTTTTCTTGGTCTGGACACCCCTCTCCCTTTTGCTCCCTAAACTTTATCTGGGTACATCTTTTTGTGTATGTGTGTGTGTGTCGGGGTCTTGCTCTGTTGCCCAGGCTGGAGTGCAGTGGCGTGATCAGCTCATTGCAACCTCAAACTCATGGGCTCAAGTGATCCTCCTCCCTTAGCCTCCCAAAGTGCTAGTATTACAGGCTAATTCTCGACAATCCTTTCAGGTTTCATCTCAAATATAATTTCATTTCTACATGAATTTAATAAGTATGTATTCAGGATTCATTATGTGTTTATAATCACTTCCTCAGGGAAACCTTCCCTGACCTCTCAGACTAGGTCTCCTATTAGATTTTGTCATTGCAAATTATATTTTTTGCTTTCTTCCACATATCACAGCCCTAGTTATTTGTGTAATTTTTTTGAGACAGGGTCTTACTCTGTCACCCAGGCTGGAGGGAGTGCATCTCAGCTCACTGCAGCCTTGACCTCCTGGGCTCAGGTGATGTTCCCATTTCTGTCTCCTGAGTAGCTGGGATTATAGGCATGAGCCATTAAGTCCAGCTACTTTTTTGGCTTTTTTTTTTTTTTTTTTTTTTTTTTAGAGATGGGGTTTTGCTATGTTGCCTAGGCTGGTCTCAAACTCCTGGGCTCAAGCGATCTGCCCGCCCCAACCTCCCAAAGTGCTGGGATTATAGGCATGAGCGACCATGCCTGGCTTATTTGCATAATTATTTTCTTCCTTCCTTCTTTCCTCCCTCTCTCCAACCCTCCCCCCTTCCTTCCTTTCCTCCCTCTCTCTTTCTCACTCAAGCCATCCTTCTACCTCACCCTCCCTAGTAGCCGCAGCTACAGGCACACGTCACCATGCTTGGCTAATTTTTTTAAGGTTTTCGTAGACATAAAGTCTCATTATATTGCCCAAGCTTGTCTCAAACTCCCAGGCTCAGGCGATCCTCCCACCTTAGCCTCCCAAAGTGCTGGGATTAGAGGCATGAGCCACTGTGCCTAGCCTAGTTCTTTATTTAATGTGTGTCTTCTTTGCTAAACTTCATGAGGGCAGGAACAACATCTATCATGTTCATCTCTGCATTCTCAGTGCTGAGAACAGTACCTGGTACACAGCAGGTGGCCCCTAATACTTTTAAATAAATAAATGAAGGTGAGGGAAATTAAAGCACAGAATAAACTCTGTCAACAAACAAAGAATCTTTGTTCAGTAAGTAATTACAAAATTACAAAAATGACTGAGAAGACACTAAGTCTCGGGGCTCATGACAGATACTATTTGATGGCTTCATTCACTATTAGAAGGACCAGAACCCTCCCACTTACTGGCAAAAGGTTAAAAAAAAACAATCCCAGCTTCTCAGAACACTGAATTGCATAGGAGAAACAGTGAAACAGAAGGGAAAGGAGACTGAAGCAAGAGAAAAACAAATTTGAAAAGAAAAGGATGAAAGAACAAAAACACAAAGAAAACTCAGTTCAATAAAAGGCAGTGGCTTGGATTTGAAGCAGCAAAGAGAAGGCCTGTAAGTAGCAAGCACTCTGCCTAGGAACAAGCAGAAAAGATGGCTGACCATGTAATGGTAGAAGAAATAATTTTAATAGAGAAGCACATGACTAAAGGTACTCTAACCATAGAACAGCTCTATAGTCTGGGAAGCATTCTCTGAGTATTAGCTTCAAGTGATCTCATCTATGTTCAAGTCTTTGCTAGATGTAATAAATAAATCCTCTGAGCAATGGTGACAAGGCTCACTGCTGAGCCAGAATACTACAGAGCAAGGGCTGGCAAACTATGGCCCATGGGCCAAATTCAGCTATCAGCCTGCTTTTGTAAGTTTATTGGAACACAGCCATGCCTGTACATTAATGTATTGTCTATGACTGCTTTCATCCTCCAGCGGCAAAGTTGAGTAGTTATGATAGACATTAGATAGCTTCCAAAGCCTAAAATGCTTATTATCTGGTCCCTCACAGAAAGTTTGTCAATACTTATTGTAGAATATAGCAGTTTTCTTTTCTTTTTTTTTTCTTTTTTTGAGACAGAGTCTCGCTCTGTAGCAAAGGCTGGAGTGAAGAGGCATGATCTGGGCTCACTGTAACCTCCGCCTCCCAGGCTCAAGAGATTCTCCTGCCTCAGCCTCCTGAGTAGCTGGGATTACAGGCATGTGCCACTGTGCCCAGCTAATTTTTGTATTTTTAGTAGAGATAGGGTTTCTCCATGTTGGCCAGGTGGCTGGTCTCAAACTCCTGACCTCAGGTGAACCACCTGCCTCGGCCTCCCAAAGTGCAAAGTGCTGGGATTATAGGCATGAGCCACCGTGCCCAGCAAAATATAGTAGTTTGAATAAAGCTTCTTCTACATATGCAGCAGAATAGGAATTGGGAACGCTTCTGAAGAAGTCACCTTGTGATACGGAATACATATAACCTTTTTTTTTTTTTTTTTTGAGACAGAGTCTTGCTCTGTCATCCAGGCTGGAGTGCAGTGGCGCGATCTCAGCTCACTGCAAGCTCTGCCTCACAGGTTCACGCCATTCTCTTGCCTCAGTCTCCCGAGTAGCTGGGACTACAGGTGCCCGCCACCACGCCCGGCTAATTTTTTGTATTTTTAGTAGAGATGGGGTTTCACTGTGTTAGCCAGGATGTTCTTGATCTCCTGACCTCATGATCTGCCCGCCTCGGCCTCCTAAAGTGCTGGGATTACAGGCGTGAGCCACTGCGCCTGGCAGAATACATATATTCTTAAATGAAAGGAAAAAGGTAGAAGCATACAAACGTTGAGCTAGCTACATTAAAAGAAAAAACAGTAGTTTCCCTTTAACTTAGAGACAAAGATCAAGTTTCTGTGTATGATCAATCTCTGTCATGTAAGATCAAGGTTCAGGAAGGTCAGTTTGATCAAGTTTCTGGATACTGCTCTGCTTGGTAAAGAGTAAACTAAATTAGAGTGCCTACATGTATGTTTATCACAGCCCAATTTACAAACGGAAAGATATGGAATGAACCTAAGTGCCCACTGACCAAGGAGTAAATAAAGAAAATGTGGTGGCCAGGCGTGGTGACTCACGCCTATAATCCCAGCACTTTGGGAGGCCAAGGTCGGAGGATCACGAGGTCAAGAGATCGAGATGATCCTTGCTAACAGGGTGAAACCCCGTCTCTACTAAAAATACAAAAATTAGCTGGGTGTGGTGGCACGTGCCTGTAGTCCCAGCTACTTGGGAGGCTGAGGCAGGAGAATTGCTTGAACCCGGGAGGCGGTGGTTGCAGTGAGCTAAGATCATGCCACTGTACTCCAGCCTGGCGATGGAGTGAGACTCCCTCTCGAAAAAAAAAAAAGAAAGAAAGAAAATGTGGTATATATACACCATGGAGTACTACTCAGACAGAAAAAGTAATGAAATAATGTCTTTCTCAGTAACTTGAATGGAGCTGGAGGCAATTATTCTAAGAGAAGTAACTCAGGATTGGAAAACCAAACAGCATTATATTCTCACTTACAAGTGGGTGCTAAGCTATGAATACACAAAGGCATACAGAGGGATCTAATGGACTTTGGAGACTCAGAAGAGGAAGGGTAGGAGGGGGTGTGGGATAAAAGACTACGTATTGGGTACAATGTACAGTACTCAGGTGACAAGTGCACTAAAATCTCAGAATTCGCCACTATATAATTCATCCATGTAAACAAAAAAACACCTGCACTACAAAAGCTATTGAAATAAAAAAATGTAAAAAACAAAATAAAATAAATCAGAGTGTCTACTGGGCTTAATTTTACTAAGGAAAATGAAAGAGTACGCCTATCTTTAGATAAACACTACCTGAAAAGGTATAAGGGTTCTTTTCTTTCTTTCTTTTTTTTTTTTTTTTTTTTTTTTTGAGACGCAGTCTCGCACTGTCGCCTAGGCTGGAGTGCAGCGGCGTGATCTCGGCTCACTGCAAGCTCTGCCTCCCAGGTTCACGCCATTCTCCTGCCTCAGCCTCTCCGAGTAGCTGGGACTACAGGTGCCCGCCACCACGCCCGGCTAATTTTTTTGTATTTTTAGTAGAGACGGGGTTTCACTGTGGTCTCGATCTCCTAACCTCGTGATCCGCCCGCCTCGGCCTCCCAAAGTGCTGGGATTACAAGCGTGAGCCACCACGCCTGGCCATTTTTGAGGCAGAGTCTCGCTCTGTCGCCCAGGCTGGAGTACAATGGCGTGATCTTGGCTCGCTGCAATCTCTGCCTCCCGGGTTCACGCCATTCTCCTGCCTCAGCCTCCTGAATAGCTGGGACTACAGGCGCCCGGCACCACGTCTGGCTAATTTTTTGTATTTTTAGTAGAGACGGGGTTTCACCATGTTAGCCAGGATGGTCTCGATCTCCTGACCTCGTGACTCACCCACCTCGGCCTCCCAAAGTGTTGGGATTACAGGTGTGAGCCACCGCACCCGGCATTTTTTTTTTTTTTTTGAGACAGAGTCTCTCTTTGTCTCCCAGGCTGGAGTGCAGTGGTACAATCTTGGCTCACTGCAACCTCTGCCTCCTGGGTTCAAGCAATTCCCATGCATCAGCCTCCCAAGTAGCTGGGACTACAGGTGTGTGCCACTACACCTAATTTTTGCATTTTTAATAGAGACAGGGTTTTGCCATGTTGGCCAGGCTGCTCTAGAACTCCTGACCTCAAGTGATCTGCCCACTTTGGCCTCCCATAGTGCTGGAATTACAGGCATGAGTGGCCAAGCCCAGCCCATAAGGTTTCTTATGAACAAATATGGTTGAAAACCA
The DNA here is from genome assembly GCF_000001405.40 of Homo sapiens. NCBI lineage: Eukaryota > Metazoa > Chordata > Mammalia > Primates > Hominidae > Homo > Homo sapiens. The sequence goes on from NC_000012.12 coordinate 118,223,977, forward strand.
TAATAACTAATGATAACAAAATAATCGCTACCATTTACTGAATTCCTACTATATGCCAGGCACTCACTGCCTTAGGCATGTTACATATGTTATTCATAATTCTCAAAATAGCTTGTCAAGATAGGTATTATTTTTCCAGTTTCCCAACTGAAGAAACTGAGGTTCAGCTAAGTAACAAAACCAAATCACATAGTGTTTACGCTGAAATTTCAACCCAATCCTATGAGACTCCAAGGCCTGTGTTCTTTTTACTAGGCCATGGTATCTCTTCAATAACTCTGTACATTTTAAGGTAGATAGCACTAGAATTTCAAAATGAAAAGAAAAACTTTAGAAGACTAAATATAACCCCTTCTCCCCAACAACGATCATGGTATTCATTTATTAACAGATAAACTATAAGGGGCTAATGTATAAGAAGAAAATTCCAGGCAGAGAATCTATAACATTTATGTTTGTGTTTTGTTCTTTCCTGGAGAACTTATTTCTGGACACAATCCATTCCCTGACAGTGCCGACAGACTATTTGCCAGTTTCTACCATAACCTTTGTTGGTGAACTAAATGCCTGTAGTTTAAACAGAAGAGAACCAAGATTAACTTCTCCTGAATGTAATCCTGAAAAATAAAATATCTGGTGACTGGACAATTTCAACCTCCAAGAGTTTTAACTAGTCCTTTCAACAGGAGATCAATTTACCCAAAGATAATTTATAAAACAGGATTAAACACTTAGGAGCTGTAAAGTTTGATCTTTAGGAAAGAAGGACAGTGTCAGTAACACTATCATCATCCTGCTTTTTGATGCCATCCCAGCAATTCAACTTCTAGATTAGGGTGTTTTTAAAAAAATATATACTATTATAGAAGAGACAGACACCATAAAGAAAGGGGATAACAAGCTATTATGGAAGAGAGAGATATCAGAACAAAAGGGAACAGGACTATCCACAACTTTCCATGTAATTTCGATGTTAAAAGTACAACTTGGGCTGGGCAAGGTGGCTCATGCCTGTAATCCCAGCACTTTGGGAGGCTGAGGTGGGTGGATCACCTGAGATCAGAAGGTTGAGACCAGCCTGGGTAACATGGTGAAATTCTGTCTCTACTAAAAATATAAAAATTAGCCGGGAGTGGTGGTGGGTGCCTGTAATCCCAGCTACTCGGGAGGCTGAGGCAGGAGAATCACTTGAGTCCAGGGGGTGGAGGTTGCAGTGAGCCAAGATCGCGCCATTGCACTCTAGCCTGGGTGACAAGTGCGAGACTGTCTCAAAAAAAAAAAAAAAAAAAAAAGATACAACTTAAAAATATACTATTGGTATTAACAGTTAGAATTTCATTATGCCCCAAACATACAGAAAATAGCAAAATCATTGCTTAGGGAATATTTGAAACAGTTTAACCTTTGTCTTGCATGTAAAAAAAAAAAAAAATACCCTTCTTTTACATGTCCATTAGCAAAATTAATGCTAGGGAGATGAAAATGTATGATAAAGCTGTCAAAGAGATACTTGTATGACTTATTACATTACTGATATAATAATTTTCAAGTAATTGCTGAGAAATTAAATGTTCTTGGTAATAATTTTATTTTGTGAATATTTACTGACCATCTACAATCACATTTCTTTGAGTCTGAGATGTCATTGACTGTAAGGTGTACTACCGTTAAATATTCACCACGATTTTATAATATGTATAACAGAAAAAATGCTGCCAACTATAAGAGGCTGTTGCCTATAAAATACCTCCTACTTTAAAAAAGTTATTTCCTTGTTTTTGACAAAATTGTATATATTTAAGGTGTACAATGTGATGTTTTGATGTTCATATACATTGATTAATCACAATCTGTCCATCGCCTCATATAGTTACTATTTTTTTTTGTTGTAGGAACATTTAACATCATTTACTCTCTCAGCAATTTCAACTTTCAATGCATTTTACCATGTTGCTTCCTAGTGTTAAAGAGATGTTAAAATGGGCTGGCATGATGGCTTGCGCCTATAATCCCAACACTTTGGGAGGCCGAGGTGGGTGGATCATTTGAGATCAGGAGTTTGAGACTAGCCTGGCCAACAAGGTAAAACTCCGTCTCTACTAAAAATACAAAAATTAGGCCGGGTGCGGTGGCTCACGCCTGTAATCCCAGCACTTTGGGAGGCCGAGGCGGGCAGATCACAAGGTCAGGAGATCGAGACCATCCTGGCTAACATGGTGAAACCCCGTCTCTACTGAAAATACAAAAAAATTAGCCAGGCGTGGTGGCGGGCACCTGTAGTCCCAGCTACTCAGGAGGCTGAGGCAGCAGAATGGTGTGAACCCGGGAGGCGGAGCTTGCAGTGAGCTGAGATTGCGCCACTGCACTCCAGCCTGGGCGACAGAGCGAGACTCCGTCTCAAAAAAAAATTAGCCGGGCGTGGTGGCAGGCGCCTGTAGTACCAGCTATTCGGGAGGCTGAGGCAGGAGAATCGCTTGAACCCGGGAACTAGACGTTGCAGTGAGCCGAGATCGTGCCACTGCACTCCAGCCTGGTGACAGAGCGAGACTCCGTCTAAAAAAAAAAAAAAAAAAAATTTACAGACTTGAGATAATTTGACCAAAGTCAGACAACTACAAAATGGCAGAATAAGAACTGAAGTTTATCTGACTGCAGAGTCTATGCTCTTTAGCACAATTTGACACTATCACTTATCAATTTGCAGAAATAGCTGTCATAGAGGATTAGACAATTTGGGAGAAGGCTACTTTGTCCTTTAGTTCAGTAAATCATTTTATAAAATGCAATCAAAGGCTGATACAGAGAGCATGTAGTTATACATATTTCAATTCATTTTTATAAGAAGGTAAAATCAGAAAGCACATATAAGGGGCTGTCTTAAGAGAGGAAGCACTAAGGTATCTCTTGGGGTCTGTACTTGTGTCCAATGTCAACTGCTGTTGACATTTTAGTCATTTACATGTACACGGTACAAAATCTGATGTGATGATGATCTTGAATCATCATAAAAGGGTATATGTAGTTTGTACAATTGAAGAAGATTGGAAAGGGAAGAATCCATGTCAAATTTCGGAAAGATTTTGGTAAGAAAAAAACTTGTTAAGAAAAAACTTGGTAAGAAAAAACTAGTTAAAAAATGGGTAGGCACTAACAGTAAAATTCAACACAAGTGGCACATTCTTTTAAAAGATCGTAACTGAGGTGTTGCTATGATGGTCTCAGTGTTATAAGGAAAATTTTGGTTTATTTTTATAAAATATTACTTTTATATTTTAATATAATATAAAATTATGTTATAATTTTATAATATAAATTTATATATAAAATATAAATATATAAAATATAAAATATCTGTGTTATAAGTAAAATATAAAATAAGTAATATTTTATAAGAATAAACCAAAATTTTACTTATAACACTGAGACCATTGTAGCAACTCCTCAGTTATGACCCTAAAGGTACTATGACCTCTAAAAGTAGCATAATTTTATATGGCCTAAAACATAAATTACAAAAAACAAAAAACAATCCTATATATGAATACAATTAACTGTTACTGAGCACTTGCTATATGCCAGGCACTATGCTAAATACTTTACCTAAGTTATCTTATTGAAGCCTGTAAATATCTATGATATATCCATTGTTATTTTTACTTAGATGAGAAACTGAGGATTAGGGAAGTTAACAAAATGATCCATGATCACACAGTCAGAATCAATATGTTACACAGTCCCAGGAGGGATCATCTGCATCCCAGACTATGTGAATGCCTGATGGCATTATGTTACAGCCACACATGGTGGTCCTGCCAGCTAAGTGCTGGTAAAGCCAAGATTCACATCTAGGGTGTCTAATTCTAAAACTTACTCCATACTGCTAACTCTATGCTATGCACAGAGTAGTTTTGTTCCCCCAAAGGAATATATATTTACTTCTAATTTTTGAAAAGTTCAATTATTCAATATTTAAAATGTGTAAAATTTTGTAGAATATTATAACAGACACCTATCACTTAGATTTATTATAATCTTGTCATATTTGTTTCAGGTCCTTTTTCTTCTAAAAAAATAAGAAAGTAGATACAGCTCTATTTGCCTTCCTTTCTCCAGTGTTTACTGTTCTAGAATTATATCTTTACAACTGTATTCTTATGTTTTATTAGTATATATACTCTTTTTTTTTTTTTTTTGAGATGGAGTTTTGCTCTTGTCGTCCAGCTGGAGTGCAATGGTACGGTCTTGGCTCACTGCAACCTCCGCCTTCTGGGTTCAAGCAATTCTCCTGTCTCAGCTTCCCAAGTAGCTGGGATTACAGGCATGCACCACCATGCCCAGCTAATTTTTGTATTTTTAGTAGAGATGGGGTTTCGGCATGTTGGTCAGGCTGGTCTCAAACTCCTGACCTCAGGTGATCCATCTGCCTTGGCCTCCCAAAGTGCTGGGATTACAAGCGTGAGCCACTGCGCCTGGCCAGTATATATATAGTTTTAACAATATATAAAAGAACTTATAAAATTTTCATAACTGGCATCAAACCATCCTTGTACTTTTGCAATTTTATTTGTTCACCAAATATTCAATGTTATGATTTTGAGATTTATCCATGATGATACATGTAGATCCAGTTCATTCTTAACTATGATACAGTATTCCATAATTTATACATTCTCCTTTGGATAAGAATTTAGGCTAGTTCTACCTTTTCTGGCTACTATAAAAACAGTTGCACCCTTGTACACATTTTCCAGTGTGTATGCATACGGAGTTCTTCCTTCCTTGGCAGCTTCTCCAAATTTATTATTCGAGGACTTGAAATTCTTGCCAGTCTCATAAATGTGAAATTGTTTCAAATTGCATTTCTCTGATTACTAATGAGGCTTAGTGTCTTCTGATGTTTGTTTTCCATTTAGGTTTCCTCTTCAATGAATTGCTTAATCATATTCCTTTTTATTTTTATTTGAGATAGGGTCTTACTCCCATCACCCAGACTACAGTGCAGTGGCGTGATCATGGCTCACTGCGGCCTTGACTTCCTGGGTTCAGGTGATTCTCCTACCTCAGCTTCACTTAATCATATTCCTTACCCATTTCTCTACTGGTTGTTTGGCTTTTTCTTTTTTTTCCTTTTTTTTTTGGGGGGGACAGAGTTTCGATCTTGTTGCCCAGGCTGGAGTGCAGTGGCGCAATCTCGGCTCACTGCAACCTCCGCCTCCCAGGTTCAGATGATTCTCTTGCCTCAGCCTCCCTAGTAGCTGGGATTATAGGCGTGCATCACCACACACAGGTAATTTTGTAATTTTAGTAGAGGTGGGGTTTCACCACGTTGGCCAGGCTGGTCTCAAACTCTTGACCTCAGGTGATCTGCCCACCTTGGCCGCCCAAAGTGCTGGGATTACAGGCATGAGCCACCGCATCTGGCCAGCTTTTTCTTTTTCAGAAAGAAATTGTAGGAGTTATTTATAAATTTTGGACCAATACTTTGTTGGTTAAATGTATTTCAACTACCTTCTCCTAGTCCATAGCTTGTCTTTTAATGTTTGTGCTTTACATGGTTTTATATTTTAAAGTAGTAAAAGTTATGATATTTATCATTATGTTTTAAAAAACATTGATTAGAAAAGGTCTTCATTATACTAGTAAAAGTATTTTAGAGTAATAATAATAACACTAGGCCGGGCCTGGTGGCTCACGCCTGTAATCCCAGCACTTTGGAAGGCTGAGGCGGGTGGATCACAAGGTCAGGAGATTGAGACCATCCTGGCTAACACGATGAAACCCCGTCTCTACTAAAAATACAAAAAATTAGCCAGGCGTGGCGGCATGCACCTGTAGTCCCAGCTACTAGGGAGCCTGAGGCAGGAGAATCACTTGAACCTGGGAGGTGGAGGTTGCAGTGAGCTAAGAGCACACCACTGCACTCTAGCCTGGGAGACAGAGCGAGACTCTGTCTTAAAAAAAAATAATAATAACACTTACATAGTGCTTATTACATGCCAGGCCATGTTCTAAGCATATAATAGATATTAATTAATCTTCATAACAACCCCACAAAGTGGGTACTATCATTATTTCTATTTTACAGATGAGGAAACTGAGGCATTGGGGGGCTTCTTCTAAATGTTTAAAGTTTTACTTTTGGGCATTTAACCAATCTAAAATTTATTTTTGTGTATGACATAGCTAGGAATCCAGTTTTAGTTTTATCATATAATTAACACATTTCTCAGTATTATTTACCAAATGAGCCATCATTTCCCCATTGATCTGTAACGGCTTTTGTGTCTTATACCAAAATCTGACTCATACTAGAGTTTCCTAGTCTGTTCTACTGGATACTAGTCTTTCCCTGCAACAATACCATATGGATTTAATTAATATGGTATGGATTCTGGGGCAGTGATTCTTCTGTTCAAATTCTATTTCTCCAAAGTTGTTTTAGCTAATTTTGGTCCTATGACTTCTGGGATTACCCTGTGAAGTGTTTTTTTTTTTTTTTTTTTTTTTTTTTTTGAGACAGAGTCTTGCTCTGTCACCCAGGCTGGAGTGCAGTGGTGCGATCTCTCACTGCAAGCTCTGCCTCCCAGGTTCACACCGTTCTCCTGCCTCAGCCTCCCGAGTAGCTGGGACTACAGGCACCCACCACCACACCTGGCTAATTTTTTTGTATTTTTAGTAGAGACGGGGTTTCACCTTGTTAGCCAGGATGGTCTCGATCTCCTGACCTCGTGATCCGCCCGCCTCGGCCTCCCAAAGTGCCGAGATTATAGGCGTGAGCCACCACGCCCAGCCTACCTTGTGAACTTTTACGTAGTATTGTGGGAAGTTCGTTATAAGCCCTTTTTAAAACATGCAAATATTTCTGCTGAGTGGCCCCCAAAATCAGTATGAATAACTTTGATCAATTTCCTTTGGAGTGAAATAAACAGTAGTACCATATTATAACCTAAAAAAGAAATTCATCAACTCAATATCCATCAATACAAGACCAGTTAAATAAACTATGGTATATCATGTAATGGAATAACATGATGCCATTAAAATGATGAAAAACATGTCTAAGTTAGTCATAGAAAACAGATCTCCAAGATATTATTAAGTGAAAAACCAAAGTACAGAACCACATATATACGTTACCTTGGGTGTGAAAACGAATATAGGAAGTGTATATTCATGTTTGTTTGTATATTTACCAAGAAGATCTGGAAGGACACACCAATTAATAAAGTGGTTCCCTGCGTGTGTTGGCAGGGGTGGTGTAGGAACTGTGTAGATAGGGCAGGGGTGGAAGAAGATCTTTCACTGTATGTCTTTTTATGTTTTCTGATTTACAAACCTTGTGATTCTGCTACCTAATTGAAAAAAATAATATTCAAATTTTCCTCCAGGAATTCTTTTTTTTTTTTAATTAATACTTCTTTAATGTAAAAAAAAAATCCAGATAAATTGTGCATCTTTATCATATGTTGTTTTGTCGGAAGGGGTCAATGAAACATTGGCAATGTAATATAAAGTATCCCAAGTTGGCCTAACATTTTAGGAAAAGAGAAGACCATAGTCTGTGAATCAAACTAGAACTCAGAAATACTTATAGGATCAATTTGGAAACCTTAATAGAATTACATGAAATTAATATCTTAAAAAATTAGACAAAGAATTTTTTTAGGCCAGGCACAGTGGCTCATGCCTGTAATCCCAGCACTTTGGGAGGCCGAGGCGGGTGGATCATCTGAAGTCAGGAGTTCAAGACCAGCCTGACCAACATGGCAAAACCCCATCTCTATTAAAAACACAAAATTAGCCAGGCGTGGTGGTGCATGCCTGTAATCCCAGCTACTTGGGTGGCTGAGGCAGGAGAATCGCTTGAACCCAGAAGAGAGAGGCTGTAGTGAGCCAAGATTGCACTGCTGCAATGCAGCCTGGGTAACAGAGCAAGATTGTGTCTCAAAAAAAAAAAGAAAAAAAGAAAAAAAAGAATTTTTTAAAAACTGATTTTTTAAAAAGTTTAACATTTTTGATTTAAAATTTATGAAAATATGTAGATAAAGGCAGTATTATGCTGTAGCTAGCACATACTGGCTTTGGAAGGCCCATTGTGCACATCTTTCCCCATTTTCACATTTAGTGAATAGCATTGGCTATAGTAAGAGTATTTACATCATGGAAATTGGCAAAGCTACAAATCAAGGCCTTTTCCCCTCTCCACAAGAGATTGATTTGTTAAATTTACCAGTATACCACTGGATAGAAGTAAGCTTAAGATATATTAAAGTTCAAAATATACAACCAAAGGAGAGATTCTGTGGCACTTTAGACAATGTTAGATAACTGTAACAATATTTGGGGAATAACTTAATGGCTGAAGTTTATCTTATAACACAAAGTTTTCTTCACAGTTGTGCTCTACATGGGTCAAATACAGTTTTAGAGTCAGATCCCTGATAAGCTTTCTATTACTTTTTCAGATTTCCCTAATACAAGTTGGAGTATAAATTAAGGTAATGGGAACTCCCATAAAGGTAGGACATATATTATCATTCATAGTATGGAGAATGGATATTTTTCATATATTACTATGTGCTATTTTGTATTTCATTTGTTAACTGCCATATCTGCTTCAACTCCTTCAATTAAATTAATAACATGAGACTGGGTGTGGTGTCTCACATCTATAATCCCAGTGCTTTGGGACCTCGAGGCAGGCAGATCACTTGAGGTTAGGAGTTTAAGACCAGCCTGGCCAACACAGCAAAACCCTGTCTCTACTAAAATACAAAAATTAGCCAGCCTTGGTGGCAGGTGCCTATAATCCCAGGCACTCAGGAGGCTAAAGGAGGAGAATTGCTTGAACTTAGGAGGTGGAGGTTGCAATGAGCCGAGATTGTGCCACTGCACTCCAGCCTGGGTAACAGAGTAAGACTCTGTCTCAAAAAAAATAAATAAATAAATCATGCTGCTATAAAGACACATGCACACGCATGTTTATTGTGGCACTATTCACAATAGCAAAGACTTGGAACCAACCCAAATGTCCAACAAAGATAGACTGGATTAAGAAAATGTGGCACATATACACCATGGAATACTATGCAGCCATAAAAAATGATGAGTTCATGTCCTTTGCAGGGACATGGATGAAACTGGAAACCATCATTCTCAGCAAACTATCGCAAGGACAAAAAACCAAACACCGCATGTTCTCACTCATAGGTGGGAATTGAACAATGAGAACACATGGACACAGGAAGGGGAACATCACAATCCGGGGCCTGTTGTGGGGTGGGGGGAGGGGGGAGGGATAGCATTAGGAGATATACCTAATGTTAAATGACGAGTTAATGGATGCAGCACACCAACATGGCACATGTGTACATATGTAACAAACCTGCACATTGTGCACATGTACCCTAAAACTTAAAGTGTAATAATAATTAAAAAATTAAAATAAATAAATAAATACATAAATAAATAAATAAAAATAAGAACATGAAAATGTAGCAGAGAGAAAGCAATCTGTGTTATGAGTATAAAAAAATCTAATAAATTCGCATTGCCTAGCACACATATACCAGTAACTCATTAAGTAATAGCCAGATGAATAACTCCTAATCATTATGATTCTTAAAAATACAATGAAAATTCATCTGCAAAATAGAATTTTAAAAAATACAATGAAAACAAATAACTCTTTACTCACCCAATTCAATACAAGTGATGCCAAGTGACCAAATATCAACTTTCCCATCATACTGTCCTTCATCCATAGCTAAGATCACCTCTGGAGCCATCCTACCAAACATAAGGTACAAAACTCAAGTTGGAGATTAAAAACAAAATTTCTCCAGGAAAGTGATTCAATGAAATAGCTGTTCTTAAGGGTATTCTGAAATTTTATCTGATATAGATATTATTTCCTTACACAAATAATTTTGAAAAACACTATTCAAAATATAATCTACTTGGTGATTTACATGACACAGTATATTATTTTCAATAAAGACTGGCTCCACCCCTTACTATCAGTTTGATCTTAGGGAAGTTACTTAACCTATCTGTACATCAGTTTCTTCATCTGTAAAATGGAGATAATTCTCATAGCAACTTTACAGAGATTTGTAAAGGATGAATATACATAAAGTACTTAAATAATTACTTTGGAACATCTGATTATATTGCTTTATATAGTTCCATAAAGTATTTTTCATATTGTTTAAAGTAATTAAATAAAGCAGGAAATTTTTTTTTTTTTTTTTTTTTTTTTTTTTTTTTTGAGACGGAGTCTGGCTCTGTCGCCCAGGCTGGACTGCAGTGGTGCAATCTCAGCTCACTGCAAGCTCCGCCTCCCAGGTTCATGCCATTCTCCTGTCTCAGACTCCCGAGTAGCTGGGACTACAAGTAGCTGGGACTACAGGCGCCTGCCACCATGCCTGACTAATTTTTTGTATTTTTAGTAGAGACGCGGTTTCACCATGTTAGCCAGGATGGTCTCGATCTCCTGACCTCGTGATCCACCCGCCTCGGACTTCCAAAGTGCTGGGATTACTGGCGTGAGCCACCGCGCCTGGAGTCTTTTTTTGTTGTTGTTGTTGAGAGTCTTACTTTGTAGCCCAGGTTGGGGTGCAGTGGCGCCATCTTGGCTTACTGCAGCCTCTACCTCCTGGGTTCAAGCGATTCTCATGCCTCAGCCTCCCGAGTAGCTGGGATTACAGGCATAGGCCACCACACCTGGCCATATTCTTTTAAAATAATTAAACAACATGAAAAATACTTTATGGAGCCATATAAAGCAATATAATCAGCTGTTCCAAAGATACTAAAACCTACAAAAACCCTAGGTTGTAGTAATGGATGTTACTTTACTTGTTTGTCCATAATGCATCTTCATTAGGAGGGCAGGGGCCCTATCTGTTTAATATGCTTTGAACAGAACTGTACTCTATTATGATGTGTAAGCAGTTGCTTAGTAAATGTTATTTGGTGATAGAAAAAAATTCAAAGACTAGCTGATTTTTTTTAGTAGACAAGTAATTTTGCAGAGATCTAAGTCATTCTGTAAGGCATAATGAAATTCCAACGTGTCTAGGAAAGGAAGGAAAATAATCTGGAAAAGAATAGGGTGAAAAACTCTGAGCCAGACTGACAAGCTAGGTAACCTATCAGAACTCAACAAAGACAAGAACTTGGATTTCTTTCACTGAAAGGTACCATCTCTGCTTGTTGGCTAGTCAGGGAAGGTGAAAGAAGCTGCCCTGTCCTTACCTGGAGGCTTTGCCTCAAGAGAAAAGTTCAAAAGAAACTGCAAATGAAATCGAAAACCTGAACTTGGTCAGTGAATTGATAATCCTGCTCAGTTTACACACAGTGACACCAACCTTAACTACACAATTTAAAGTCATTGTAAATTTTATACAAAGCCAGAGTGTTTCTTTTTATGCCAGTGGGCTTTCTATCCTTCTCAAATGAAACCTCGTTTTGAGGCATATTGGTAAGACACTGTCACAAAACCAAGCCAAACCAGCACCATAGTTGAGTTCATGTATGCAGATTTTAAAACTATGTCATATAGCCTAATTCTACATACCAGTAAGGTGTGCCCACGAAGGAGTTGGCAGGAGAAGCCATTGAAGCAGATCCAAAATCAGCTAGTTTTACCTGACCTGGCTCTGTTAGAAGAATATTTCCTGCTTTAATATCCCTATAGGAAAAAAAAAAAGGGTTAGAAAATTACTTTTCAATTTTGATTATGGAATAGGTCAGAGCATGCAATTAATAAGACAAAAAGTTTATTTAAACGAACAAACAAACAAACAAAACAAACCTTGCTCAGATAGCCAGAAGGAGATTTAGTAATTACTGCATGTTGTAAGGGGGCCCAGATTCCTGGGTGTACTTGCAGGTAGGTCATACTAGTTACTTAAAGGTAGAGCTTTCTTCAGAGGGAGGGAATACAAATGAGAAAAAAGGCAGACATGGCGAACAAGAAAACCTATTCAGCTGCTACACTTACAAAGGCATATTCTTAAAGGCTAAATCCAGTTATCAATAGTATTCCCTGTGCTGAGAAAATTGGTGCCAATTTTAACTGCTTTTTCTGCTTTTCCAAATTATGTGACATTTTTGGAGCCTAAACAAACCTGCAATGATTCCGTATTGACCACCTACCAATAAACCTCAACTACACACATACCTTTTCTTTCTTGCCTGTGACCCTTTCTCTCTGTCTTTAATTGTAACTGCAACTCTAAGGCATTTGAGGTACATGTTATATAGAAGGTGATATTTTAAAAATAACTCTGTACAGTAAAAAGAAGACCCTGAAAGATCAAAACAAACAAGGATTAGGGGTTAGGAAATTACATTTCTATTGTATTACTACAAAGAATTGCACGTGGTTACTACTAAAGCTAATAGAGGTATTATATAGCAAAAAGTTTTAAAAATATAATTCAAAAAATTCATTTTTCATTATGGTAATTTAGAATGAGAAGGTGTGGATGTACTCCTTATTCTTTTTAAAAAAGGCATGAGGTGTAATGAGCACTAGAAACCATGAATTGGAAGTTGATGGTCAGTGAAAAGATAAAACAGAGAAGATGAGGAAATTTATGTCAAGCTGAAAATGATAAGGTTCAAATGCTTCAAAATAACTTTTATAAAAACTTCCCTTGAAAATTCAGTTTCCTTCCTCATGGTGACATTAGGCATTGGCAGACAGAACTAAAAAAAAATGCATTATTTATTTTTCTTCACAACAGAAAAATATATTTTCTCTACTTATCTTTAGTTAGGAGATTGAATTGCCTTTAAAATCAAAACAATAAAAATCTGAGACACAGTATTTACTTTTAAATTAAAAAAACATTATTTATAAGTATTTTGACTCTTCAACAAATTATTTTACATACTAAAGAAGATAAAGCATAATACAGACTAAAACATTAAGTTAATGTGCAGATTAAGGTAATAATGGCACAAAAAACTGAACTGTAGCTTTAAATGAGAGCAGGCAAAATAATCACAAGCAAGTTGGCAGTAGTATTAACACCTTGGTACCAAAGACATATATTTACAAAAAGTTGTCAGATCCATAGACATTATGATAATTTTATTTAATCAGTATTTATTAACATGATTAGGTTCACTCTTTGTCCTTAATTCCCAGCAGGATTTCGGTCTGCCTATCTTTAGGAAGTTCTGCTTTTGTGGTACCAGTAAGTGGTCATGGCTACACTGGGGTGATTAAAACAGAAGCAAAAGAGGAACCATAACCCAATAGTTTCACTTCTTCCTAGTAAATGCCAGTTGTTTTCTTTCATTTGTGAGCCATCTCAGATTCTTCATACCTAATATTTCACTCCTCCTCCCCTCATTCATTAATGTAACTGTACTAAAAGTTCATTACTGAGAGAAGAAAAGATTGGTAACATGTTTCTCTAGAAGTTAATGGAGGGAGGGAGGTTGCAGGGAGGAGAGTGTGGTTGTGGTAGAGAAAATACAAGGCAGAGAAAAGCCCTAGAATAGGAGTCAAGAAACTTGAGTTTCAATCCTTAACATATTACTTAAATTCTGTGAAACTCTGGGCAAGTTAAGTCTTTCTGAGCCCTGGTCTCTTCATATGCCAAAATACAGTAAAGATAATATCTTCCTAAGTATCTATATGAACTATAGAAATGAGAAATATTTTAAAGTTATAAAATAGCATATATTTATATAAGACTAGCTTGTTATTTGTAATAGGAAAGGGACAATAACTCTGCTAACAGATAAATATATGCAAGGAAGGTTAATTTTCTTTTCTTTTCTTCATGACACAGTATCTAAAGATTGGTGGGCCCTTTTTCAAATTTCCCTGCAACATTTAGCCTGGAGAACAGTTACCTACTGAACAAAGATGATATAATTGTGGATACGTAGGAGAGAATAAGAGATAGAAGCTAAATTCTGGCAACTTTATCCTTTATATCCAGAAGCAGCAATCTATTTGCTTCCCATGAATGCTTAGGCAACCTAAAAATTGGAGCATGCACTAATTTTCAAGGTTCCTGGAATAGACAGTCCTGCAACTGAAAAGAAACATAACTGGTCTCTAATCTTACCTATGAATCAATGCATGAGAATGTAGGTAGGCTAGTCCATGCAAGGCTCCATGAGTAATGGCAGCGATCTCCACTTCCTGAAGTGGTTTTTTATGAACTGAGGAAGGAAAAAAAAAAAAGTCAGTAGATGATCAGTTTCATTCCTCATTTTATTATTTTATACAGCTATACCAGACTGGGTTACATACTTTCTCACATGACAATTTGGGAACACATTCACCTAGATCTTCTATAGAAGATAATAAGTGATCAGACAACAGGAAACCCAAGTATATAAACACAAATGACCCTTCAAAACAAAAATAAAACAAAGAAAGCCTGATATTCCTTAAATGATGCATTGTTAATTTACTTATCAGTTGCAAGCCAAGCCACACTGATTCCAATTAACCAGGCCCAAATTAACCAGTCCCTTCCAACATTTCAATGTCTGGAGTGTTCTAGGTTACATTTTCCTCCTCTGCCACAAAGCCATCTTTAATTACCCCTTCAAACTACAGGTTTTCATTATTTGTGAAAGAAGCTAATAAGCAATTTCTATTCAGAGATCAACAGTGATTTAATTTTTTTTTTTTTTTTGAGACAGGGGTCTCACTCTGTTACCCAGGCTGGAGTGCAGTGTTTCAATCAAAGCTCACTGCAGCCTTGAATTCCTGGGCTCAAGTGATCCTCCTGTCTCAGACTCCTAAGTAGCTGGTATTATAGGTGTTAGCCTCTGTGCCTGGCTCAAGATATTTTTTTTAAAGTAAATTTTTAACACAGCCTCTGGTTATAGCAGCATCTGCAGAGAGGAATGGGGTCAGTCAAGATTTCTGAAAGGGTTTAACATCAATATAACGTGAGACTATCTACCTCTCTTTCACATATACCCATGAATATGATGTTTTTGGCTACATGTACCATATCACATTAGCCAAACATTTTGGTAGTACCTGCCCTGGATGGGCCATGAACTAAAACAGCAGGAAGACTGCTAACATCACTCAGACACTTTCAGTGGCATTGAAGAGAGGAAGTGTGCATGGCTTATCCACACCACCCTAAAGCTCAAGCCATCATTCAATTAGACTGCCCAAACTACACTTTAGTATGGCGGTAGATAACATTCTGATCAAAGTAAAACAGAAAGGAGAGTTTAATTCCTTCTTTCTTACCTTCTAATAAATCAGAGGCTGAGCCTAAGCAATATTCCATCACCAACTATAAGAGATTAAAATAATATTCAGAATAATGAAAGTTAATTTAAAAACTGCTGAAACCAACTAAACAACCAATCAAGGAACTAAGAATACTAGGTGAATAAATATTCTGATCTACCCGAACTTGGACTGAATTTTTGTCATCTGGCACTAATTGATTTTTATAATTTTCATCATCTCAGTTTTTATTATTTCTTGTTTGAAATTGGCCTAAAGATTATTGGGGGACTAGATATAGAAATATTCACTATAAATGGTGAAGCCAAGATTGCCAATTTATTTATTAACTCCTTCACTACTTTATTTCAAAAAGGATTCAGGTGACTATGTTGTACTATAAATTTGTAACTCAGAAAGTGGCAAACAAATACACGAGCCAGTAAAATCTATTTTGGGGTTATACCAGTTAAATAAAATAAACCAGTAAGTAGTAAATTCCTTTTTTTCACACTTTAAAAAGTTTTAAACAAGAAACAGATATTGTTTTGAACTGAATCTGAAGATGTAGCCTGCTATGTATCATTACATTACCTTGAATCCCTGAGATATATGTGTTATTTACATTTAGATCTTAAAATATTTCCAGAATAATATTATTATAATACTATTGATAGGCTAGGTGCAGCGGCTCACGCCTGTAATCCCAGCACTTTGGGAGGCTGAGGCAGGTGGATCACCTGAGGCCAGGAGTTCAAGACCAGCCTAGTCAACATGGTGAAACCCCATCTCTACTAAAAATACAAAAAATTAGCTTGGCATGGTGGCTTGCACCTGTGGTCCCAGCTACTTGGGAGGCTAAGGACGGAGAATCGCTGGAACTCGAGAGGTGGAGGCTATCGATAGTTATTGGGTTTGCAATCTGCGGAGGCTTTCTAAAAGCAAAAGTGAGAAACCTCTTTCTTTACTCTTTTTTTTTTTTTTTTTTTGAGACGGAGTTCACTCTTGTTGCCCAGGCTGGAGTGCAATGGCACGATCTTGGCTCACTGCAACCTCTACCTCCTGGGTTCAAGCACTTCTCCTGCCTCAGCCTCCCGAGTAGCTGGGATTACAGGCATGCGCCACCACACGCGGCTAATTTTGTATTTTTAGTAGAGACGGGGTTTCTCCATGTTGGTCAGGCTGGTCTCAAACTCCTGACCTCAGGTGATCTGCCCGCCTCAGCCTCCCAAAGTGTTGGGATTACAGGTGTGAGCCACCGTGCCCGGCCTCTTTCTGTACTCTTATCCTCGATTTCTTTTTTTTCTTTGTATTTTTAGTAGGGACGGGGTTTCACCATGTTGGCC
Organism: Homo sapiens; assembly: GCF_000001405.40. Classification (NCBI taxonomy): domain Eukaryota; kingdom Metazoa; phylum Chordata; class Mammalia; order Primates; family Hominidae; genus Homo; species Homo sapiens. The sequence goes on from NC_000012.12 coordinate 118,240,555, forward strand.
AGCCTGGTCTTGATCTCCTGACCTCGTGATCCACCCACCTAGGCCTCCCAAAGTCCTGGGATTACAGGCATAAGCCACTGCACCTGGCCCTTCTTATCCTAGATTTTTAGGTGCCCAAGACTACTGATTTGTAGTCAAGGTCAAAACTATCAGGGTTCAGCAACCAATCTCCACACACACATGCAAGCATTCACACTCCTACAAATTATTGTTATTTAAAAGAATAGTAGATGCTCATTATGAAATATAAATTTCCTATAATAAACTAGACATAACCAATATCAACATATTAGTTCCTTTCATTAAAAAAATTAATGTGAAAATATATTTATATTATGTACCTTGCATTACTGAGATAATTTAGAATATGTGATGTCTAGAAGTTTAAAATTTAGAAACTATTATACTTTTATAGTTATATATTATAAATATCAATATATATGAACATATTATAAATATAAGTATACTGTGTCTATATTATATAGAATGCAATTAAATTAGATATAACATACTTATAATACTATTTATATATTACATATGATTATGTCTTATATTTTATAGTTTTACAGTTATATATTTATATAGTATGTACCTTGCATTTCTGGAATAATTTAGAACAATGAGAGGTTTAGAAGTTTAAAATTTAGAAACCATACTATAGTTTTCTGCTTGACATTAAAAACAAACAGATTCAGAAACATTAATCTTATTTCTTATTATAAAATGGAAGATTCTACATGAGTAAATGTTATAATGAACACTAGCCTTTATGTGCCCTACTTTTTCTTTAATCAATTTTGATGAAAGCATTTCTAAATTTTATTACATAATTTTCTAATTTTTAAAAGTAACTGAATATGCATACATAACCTCCTTAAACCAAGCATATGAAATGTGAATATAGAACTTTAAAACTGAATAGAATGAATATGTTTCTAGCTGCATTAAATGTTTTAAATTACATGTTTAAAAACTCAGCATTTTTGTCACAAATATTTTTTCCCCTATTATTCTATAACACAAAGGCACCTGAGATGGTTGTTTGCTCCTGACACTAAACAGCTCTGGCTGCTCTGCCTTTAAATGATTAGCTCTGCCTTCTAGCTCCCCTGACTTTTTCCGTATGGTTAAATTATTCTTGTGCCTGTTTGTATGCATGTATCTAACAGCTCAGTTCCTTAGAGCTCTTTCTGATTGGTCTATCAAACCAGTTGTAGACAGAAACCAGGTAGCCATGCTTATTAGCAGTCTATATAATCTAAGAATAAACAGGTGGCCGGGTGCAGTGGCTCATGCCTGTAATTCCAGCACTTTGGGAGGCCGAGGTGGGCGGATCACCTGAGGTCGGGAGTTCGAGACCAGCCTGACCAACATGGAGAAACCCCGTCTCTACTAAATACACAAAATTAGCCGGGTGTGGTACTCCGGTGGCTGAGACAGGAGAATCACTTGAACCCGGGAGGTGGAGGTTGCAGTCAGCCGAGATCGCGCCATTGCACTCCAGCCTGGGCAACAAGAGCAAAACTCTGTCTCAAAAAAAAAAAAAAAGAGAAAAACGAGCTTCAAGTAACAGTGTGAAGGATTTTCTGAAGACTTGAAATACATGAGATTTTAGCACTTGGATTTTGTAACATTTATTCTGCCTGCTTGAAATCCCTTTCTTGACTCCTTCAAGACAGCTGAGATTGCCAGAGAACTGATTTCTAGACAATGAGATATGTCTTTGATTAATTTCTTATTTTCAGAATGGAAGCAATAGCTCTACATAAAAGTTCCTTGAACAGAAATATGTATGTTTAGTATACTGTTTGATAGTCTATTTAAGAACAAAATTCCATTCCCTAATTAGAGATCACATACAGGAAAGGAGTTGGTACATGGTAAACAATAAATGCTAGTTAAATTGGAGTTTAAGTAGGAATGTGCAATTTGAAAAAGTAGAAAGCATAACATTTTCACATCCTAAATGTGCCTAATGTGCCAACCTAAAACCAGAAATACAATCATATAAAAATATACTAAGGGCCGAGCACAATGGCTCATGCCTGTAATCCCAGCACTTTGGGAGGCTGAGGCAGGTGGATCACCTGAGGTCAGGAGTTGGAGACCAGCGTGGCCAACATGGTGAACCCTATCTCTACTAAAAATACAAAAAATTAGCTGGGTGTGGTGGCATGTGCCTGTAGTCCCAGCTACTCAGGAGGCTGAGGTTCAAGAATCACTTGAACCCAGGAGGCAGAGGTTGTAGTCAGCTGAGATCGCACCACTGCACTCCAGCCTGGGCAACAAGAGTGAATCTGTCTCCAAACAAACAAACAAACAAACAAAATATATATATATATATGAGTGTGTGTGTGTCTGTGTGTGTGTGCATGTGTATATATATTTATATATATATATCACAATAAGATGACAGAGTGGAACAAAAGTCTCTTATTTTAATCATATGGTGGCCCCTGTTTGGTAAAAATCACATAGCAATTAAAACATCAAGAACAATTCCAAATATGGGGGGAACTGGAGTGGAGGATGAGAAATGACAAAGATAAAAATTCTAGGATGAGAATATAAGGCTGTGCCTTTTACTTTTACAAACAAATAATTATAAAATGATGTCAACTTTTCACCATCTCTTTCTGAGTGTTTATAGAATGGAATTTCTAATAGGCTAGATATCATTTAATCTTACAGAATATATACCAAGTGACACACCAAAGTATTAACAAATGTTAAATACTGATAACAAAAGTTAAATGGAACAGAAATGAAATTAGTAATTTTACAGATCAAATAGATAATAGAAAAAAAAGAAAAAGAAAAAAATGTAATAGTAAAAGATAATAGAGGTCCTTCGACTTACCCAAGCAGTGTGTTCTTTCAAGTAACAGCCTTTGTACTCAATAGTATTAGGATGCTTCAATTGTCGTAAAAATTTAACTTCCTTAAGAATATCTTGCCATTTCTATTGAAGTCAGAAAAGGAACATTTTAATTTAATTTTTGATAGGAAAATAGTATTTCCTATCAAGTATACGTATATATCATTTATATTATTGTAAATGGACATAAAGTAAATGTTTAATAAATGAAGAAGCTATTTAAACATGCTATTTCTTTCTCTCTCTCTTTTTGTTTTTAATTGAGACAGAGTCTTGCTCTATCGCCCAGGCTGGACTGCAGTGGCACGATCTCGGCTCACTGCAACCTCTGCTGCCCGGTTCAAGGTTCAAGTGATTCTCGTGCCTCCCAAGTAGCTGGGACTACAGGCGTGCACCACCAGACCAAACTAATTTTTTTGTATTTTTAGTAGAGACGAGGTTTCTCCGTGTTGGCCAGGCTGGTCTCGAACTCCTGACCTCAGGTGATCCGCCCACCTTGGCCTCCCAAAGTGCTGGGATCACAGGCGTGAGACACTGTGCCCGGCCTAAACATGCCATTTCTTTAGTTTGAATACATGTAAACACAAATCTATCACCAAATACATTACAAAAAAGCCATTACACATACCCATGTTCTGGTCTGCAAAATAGTTTTTTTCCTTTTCAGGCACCCAGGCTAGAGTACAGTGTTGCAGTCACAGCTCACTGAAGCCTCCACATCCCAGGCTCAAGCAATCTTCCCACTTGAGCCTCCCGAGTGGCTGGACTACAGGCACACACCACCACACCCAGCTAGTTTGTTTGATGTTTTGTAGAGGTGGGGTCTCACCATATTGCCCAGGCTTGTCTTGAGCTCCTGGGCTCAAGCGATCCTCCAGCCTTGGCTTCCCAAAGTGCTGGGATTACAGGCCTAAGCCACCTCATCCAGCCTGCAAAATAGTTAATTGAGCTAGAACATTAGCCTTTTTAAAAATAATTATGAATGTTCACACATTTGTATGAAAAACTTCAGGAACTTTTATTATATGCTCCACAAGAAGGAAAAAAAAATTGTTCTAAAAAAAAGTTTAAAGAATTTTGTTAATTTCTTTTTTCTTTTTCTTTTTTTTTTTTTGAGACAGAGCCTCGCTCTGTCACCCAGGCTGGAGTGCAGCGGCGTGATCTCGGCTCACTGCAAGCTCCGCCTCCCGGGTTCACGCCATTCTCCTGCCTCAGTCTCCTGAGTAGCTGGGACTACAGGCGCCCGCCACCACGCCCGGCTAATTTTTTGTATTTTTAGTAGAGATGGGGTTTCATCATGTTAGCCAGGATGGTCTCAATCTCCCGACCTCGTGAGCCGCCCACCTCGGCCTCGCAAAGTGCTGGGATTACAGGCGTGAACCACCGCGCCCGGCCAGAATTTTGTTAATTTCATACTAACTTGTTTATTTCAGTTTAGGTATACAACTGTCTCTATCTCACCTCATGGGTCTGCTTCCCACTATAGGACATCTTCTTAATTGCCACCACCTCACTGGTGTGAGCATTTGTAGCCTGTGTTAAGAGGGTAGAAGAAAAAGAAAAAGAATTAGTGATGTTTCAGCCAATTTAACTTAAATATTTGACTAGAGACTATTTATTTATATATTTATTTATTGACAGTCTCATTCTGTCGCTCAGGCTGGAGTGCAGCTCACTGCAACCTCTACCTCTTGGGTTCAAGCGATTCTCCTGTTTCAGCCTCCCAAGCAGCAGGGATTACAGGCACGCACCACCATGCCACGCTAATGTTTTTTGTATTTTTAGTAGAAATGGGGTTCCACCATGTTGACCAGGCTGGTCTTAAACTCCTGACTTCAAATGATCCGCCCGCCTCGGCCTCCCAAAGTGCTGAGATTACAGGTGTTTTATTTTATTTTTGGAGAAAGAATCGAGCTGTGTTGCTCATGCTGGAGTGCACTGGGGCACGATCTTGGCTCACTGTAGCCTCTGCCTCCCGGGTTCAAGCTATTCTCCTGCTTCAGCCTCTCAAGTAACTGCGGATTATAGGCACCCACCACCACACCTGGCTAATTTTTATATTTTTAGTAGAGATGGGGTTTCACCATTTTGGCCAGGCTGGTCTCAAACTCCTGACCTCACGTGATCTGCCCGCCTCAGCCTCCCAAAGTGCTGGGATTACAGACGTTAGCCACCGTGCCTGGCCTCATATTATATTTAAAATAATATCTCCATACTGCAGTATCACAGTTCAAAGATGCTTCACTTTTTGATAGGCTAAATAGACATCTCCACTCCCATTTTAATGTATAGTTTATCTATATTCTTTTCTGGATACATGTAAAGATTGTAATATAAAAAATGATTAGGGTTTAATATATCAAACCAAACAAAAAATGTCATATTCCCAAATGACCCATTCTGGCTTCACCTTGTAAACTGTCCATCAATGGAGAACCAGTTAAATAAATAAATATGATATGACCATATAATAAAATAACCACTTAAGGAATGAGGTAATCTATGTGCAATGCAATATGAAAAGATGTTAAAAATGTTTTGGTCAAAAACAAGCTATAAAGTAGAATCCAATTTTTGCAAAATAGTAATAATGTGAGTATACGTGTAGAAAAAATTATAAAAGAATTGCTTCTTTTCCGAGAAAACAACAAATGGCGGATGACGCCGGTGCAGCGGGGGGGCACGGAGGCCCTGGTGGCCCTGGGATGGGGAACCGCGGTGGCTTCCGCGGAGGTTTCGGCAGTGGCATCCGGGGCCGGGGTCGCGGCCGTGGACGGGGCCGGGGCCGAGGCCGCGGAGCTCGCGGAGGCAAGGCCGAGGATAAGGAGTGGATGCCCGTCACCAAGTTGGGCCGCTTGGTCAAGGACATGAAGATCAAGTCCCTGGAGGAGATCTATCTCTTCTCCCTGCCCATTAAGGAATCAGAGATCATTGATTTCTTCCTGGGGGCCTCTCTCAAGGATGAGGTTTTGAAGATTATGCCAGTGCAGAAGCAGACCCGTGCCAGCCAGCGCACCAGGTTCAAGGCGTTTGTTGCTATCGGGGACTACAATGGCCACGTCGGTCTGGGTGTTAAGTGCTCCAAGGAGGTGGCCACCGCCATCCGTGGGGCCATCATCCTGGCCAAGCTCTCCATTGTCCCCGTGCGCAGAGGCTACTGGGGGAACAAGATCGGCAAGCCCCACACTGTCCCTTGCAAGGTGACAGGCCGCTGCGGCTCTGTGCTGGTGCGCCTCATCCCTGCACCCAGGGGCACTGGCATCGTCTCCGCACCTGTGCCTAAGAAGCTGCTCATGATGGCTGGTATCGATGACTGCTACACCTCAGCCCGGGGCTGCACTGCCACCCTGGGCAACTTCGCCAAGGCCACCTTTGATGCCATTTCTAAGACCTACAGCTACCTGACCCCCGACCTCTGGAAGGAGACTGTATTTACCAAGTCTCCCTATCAGGAATTCACTGACCACCTCGTTAAGACCCACACCAGAGTCTCCGTGCAGCGGACTCAGGATCCAGCTGTGGCTACAACATAGGGTTTTTATACAAGAAAAATAAAGTGAATTAAGCGTGAAAAAAAAATTATAAAAGAATTTATACCAGAATATATATCAGTGATAATCCCTGGAGCAGTGCTATCTGATAGAACTTTCTTTGATGATGGGACAGTTCTATTTCTAGATTGTCCAAAAGAGTAACATGTGAAATGTGGCTAGTGTGACTGAGAAAATAAATTTTAAATTTTAATAGTTAACGTGCCTACTTGCTATTGTATTGAACAGTACAGCAGAAAGTAAGATTAATCCTAAGGGGGACTTTGGTTTTCAGGATTACTTATATTTTATAATAAGACTGTATTACATATATACATGCCTACATTTATGTATGTATATATGTGTATTTTTTATCTATAGAGGTTGCCTTGTCTCATAATTATGTCTACTTGTCTTCTCCATACTCCAAATGTAACAGTTCATTGAAAGTACATATGAAAACCATTAATAATTCAAGTAATAGTCTTTTCCTCTCAACTTACTCAAGATATACATATATATATATACACACACACACACATACATACGTACATACTTTTTTCTTTTTTTAAGACAGGATCTTGCTCTGTCATCCAGGCTGGAGTGCAGTGGTACAATCTCAGCTCACTGCAACCTCTGCCTCCCAGGCTCAAGTGATCTTCCCACCACAGCCTCTTGAGTAGCTGGGATTACAGGCGGCCACCACCACGCCTGGCTAATTTTTATATATGTAGTAGAGACAGGGTTTCACCATATTGGCCAGGCTGGTCTCGAACTCCTGGCCTCAAGTAATCCGCCCGCATCAGCCTCCCAAAGTACTGGAATTATAGGCGTGAGCTACTGCTCCCAGCCTCAACTTATTTAAAATATTTAAAACTATTAGTTTTCTTAAAATTTTCATAAAAATAAATACAAGACATTAAAAGATTACCTCTGCATCAGTGCCATACCCCTAATGTAAGTAAGCTATTTTGCTTCTGTCACATTATTATCATTGTGGACCAATAAAGCTATCGCAGTGGTTCTGAAGTAAAAGATTGGAATTCATTCACTGATAAAGTCAGGTTAACAATTTTAGAGAAAAATTCATAATCATTTTCTTAAATACAACTAATTTAAAATGAACCTCTTCAGATACAATGGTTTCTTTATGATTTTTAAAAACGGTTAATTCAAACAATAAACAATAATGTAGTATGTACAAATAATTTGACCACAGATTCTTATGGAATGTCAAAATGAAAAAAAAAAAAACCCACAATAACGTACTACAGGAGTTTTTTTTAAAAAAGCATTAAGGTAAAAGTACCTATTATATATTAATGAGTTATCCACTAGACATAATTTTCCAGTCTGCAGAACTCCACAAAAGCATATTTTAGATATTTTATTGATTTAGAAAGTACAGAATGACTTTTGTTAAAAACAAAAATCTCTAACACTGTTCTGGCTTTTAAACTTTAACACTAAACTGTGCTTATATGGCAATCATAAATAAAAGCTGATGTAAATTCAGTATTACAATAAAGGTTAAAGGGACTATATCTGAAAAGTAGATATTTGAGGCATCAATATATATAGTGCAGCTTAAGGAGCCTGAGAAAGATTTAGGAAATATTCAGGCAATGAGAAATTTTAACTTCTTGTGAGGTTTTAAAAAATAATTAACCATTACTAAAAAATAGAAAAGCCCACAGAAATAAAATCAGATAGTATTATTATTTAATTGCTTATTAAGGTTATTTATAATTAATGCTATATTTGGACCTAAAAACATGAAAAATAACCACCCTAAAATAAAAATATATTTCTTACATTTATAGGATAATCACTGATTAGAACTTAATGCTTCCACTCACTTACACATCCTAATGTATAGGCAGAGACTTGAAATTTGAAAAACATTTCCATGTTGATTATTCTATAGATGTGAACTTTTTAGTGCAAATGTTAATTTTGCTATAGATGTGAATTTTTATACTGGCTAAAAGTCAAAACATGCTAGATAGAAACTTAAAAAAAAATCAATGTTTTAGTACAGAAAAAGGAGAGTATCAATGGGGTCTCAGCTTTCTAGTGCATACAGTACTATGAATGACTACAGCCTCTATCATTTCAAGTTTTATTCTTGAAACTTACATTCATGCTTAATACTTCCAATAGTCTCAATGGTCTCAGTAACTATTACCAAGATCATTGATTCAAGAAATACTTATTAAGAACTTACTATTATGTGTTTATATTTTTAAACATTTTACAGCTATACCTTTTGCTATTTTATAGACAAATATAAAAAATTATGTTAATTTAGGAGGCAGGCCAGGCATGGTGGCTCACTCCTGTAATCCCAGCACTTTGGGAGGCCAACGTGGGTGGATCACCTGAGGTCAGGAGTTTGAGACCAGTCTGGCCAACATGGTGAAAGCCTGTCTCTACTAAAAATATGAAAATTAGCAGGGCGTGGTGGCACACGTCTGTAATCCCAGCTACTTGGGAGGCTGAGGCAGAAGAACTGCTTGTACCCAGGAGGCGGAGGTTGCAGTCAGCCAAGATTGCACCACTGCACTACAGCCTAGGTGACAGAGTGAGATTTTGTCTAAAAAAAAAAAAAAAAAAATAGGAGGCTGAGGCAGGAGGATCACTTGAGCCCAGGAGTTTGGAACCAGCCTGGGCAACATAGCAAAACCCTGTATCTACAAAAAAATTAAAACCAAAATTAGCTGGGTGTGGTGGCACATGCTTGTAGTCGTAGCTACCTACTCAGGAGGCAGAGGCAGTAGGATTGCTTGAGTCCAAGGGTTCAAGGTTACAGTGAGCTATGATCACACCACTGTACTCCAGCTTGGGTGACAGAGTGAGAGACCCTGTCTCTAAATAAATGAATAAATAAAAATTTTAAAAGTGAAAAAGCTTTCTTTTTGCCCTATTTTTTGAACCCCAACTAAAAGGTAATTATATCCAGAAAGATAGAATTAAACTATTTGCTTTAGGTGGGTTATGGATAATATACTGAGTTCAACAAAGGTGATCTAGAAACCTACAAACTTTAGAGTTGTGTTTAGGTGAATACAAAAATGAACATGCGCAGTCCTTTTTTTGTTTGTTTTCCTTTAGTACAGTTTCTTACTACCTCATTTGTTAATGCTGCTAATTTATTCTTTATTTTTTTAATTTTTTTTTTAGAGATGGGTTCCCACTATGTTGCCCAGGCTGGTCTCGAACTCCTGGGCTAAAGTGATTCTCCCACCTCGGCCTCCCAAAGTGCTGGGATTACATGTGTGAGCCACCACGCCCAACCAATGATGCAAATTTCAAAATTACTTACGTAAATCCAAACACACAGAAATACTTCATCAAGTTAATAATTTCTGTTTTCTCTGAACATAACATATACTCTCAGCTGATTGATTTTACAAGAGCTGTTCCAGCTTACAATTCACACTAAGTTTATTCCCTGGCAGCATTCAGTGTAAAAAGCTGTGACCTACAGAGGCTAACAGAATTATAGTGTTTAGGTATAAAAATACTAGCTGCCAGACTCTGGTCTTTATGGCTTGCCAGCATGACTATGACTTATGAAAAGTACTAATTAGCAGTACCAAGTTCTCAGAGTTCTTCATCATTCATTCATTCAACAAATACTTATTAGCTGCCCACAATTTATCAGGAATTGGGCTAAGTGCTAGGGATAAGATAGTGAGTTAATATGCCCAGTACCTATCTCTCCTCTAGGAGGATAGACAATAACAAAAATAAAACAATAAAAGACAAAATGTAAAACTGCAATTCTGATATGTGCCACAAAGAAGGGTATTTGTTACTTTGAGAACCAACAACGGTGGATGTGACTTAGGGAGGTCAGGAAAGCCTTCCCTGAAGAAATGAGGTTTAGGCTGAGAGCTAAATGATGAACAGGAGTTAAGAAGGTGAAAATAGAAGGGAGAAATATTCGAGAGAGAACAGTTTACGCAAGATTCCAGGAAGGATGATCAGAAGAAAGGAATCAGAGCTACAGCAATGAGAATGAGAGAGAAGATAGCTCAAGTAGAGATAGGGACCATGAAGGACCTTGTGGGCTGGCTATAGTAGGGATTTTGATCTTGGCCTAAGAACGAGGGAGAGCCCCTAAAGGCTTTATAGGGAAAGGGGATGGGATGAGATTTACATTTCTTTTTTCAAGCTCATCGAGGTATGCACAACAGACTGAAGAGACCAAAGCAGGCAATCATAGTTGTCCAAATAAGAGATAGCAGAGTCTTCCTGGTAATAATGGTACAAGTAACAAAAGGAAAAATCTATTAGCACGGAGTAAGAAGCAACTTATATAAATACTACTTTGGCCAACAGGAAAATCCATTTTTAAGGTACTGCCCATGTGACCACTACAGATAAAAGGTTAAAGCTTTTCGTAAGTTCTATAGTACAGTGTCAGTTAATTCCCTTTTAATCTGTTTTTTAGTGCTTTATGGGTGTACATAGGCCTGTACTTTTCACATTTATATACAGGCCCTATAGAGTTAATGATTACGTTTATCAATGCCACTCTGCTACCTGTATCATTTCTCTAGTCTATCATCAGCAACAAATAATATATATTTAGTGCCTACTGTAAATGAGATCGTGCCAGCCTTTAGAGTTGTAAACAAATATTAGAAATAGTCCTCACCTTCAAAAACGCACACACTCTAGCTAAATAGACAGGGCTTAGCCCAAAAAGCAAATAAACCACTAGGTCTTCTGCAGCCTAGTACAACGTAGGTCTCATTTTGCCACTATTATAAATGGCTTTTAGTAAGTTTCAAAGCATGCTTGGTTTATTGTAGTCATTCTGAAACATTAGCACTTTAAGAAGGGTTTGGCTGCTTTTTTTTTTTTTTGAGACAGAGTCTCACTCTGTCCCCCAGGCTGGAGTGCAGTGGCACAATCTCAGCTCACTGCAAGCTCCACCTCCCGGGTTCATGCCATTCTCCTGCCTCAGCCTCCCCAGTAGCTGGGACTACAGGCGCCCGCCACCATGCCTGGCTAATTTTTTGTATTTTTAGTAGAGATGGGGTTTCACCATGTTAGCCAGGATGGTCTCGATCTCCTGACCTCGTGATCCACCCGCCTCGGCCTCCCAAGTGCTGGGACTACAGGCATGAGCCACTGCACCCGGCCTTGGCTGCTTTTTAAATGAGAAGAGTCAAATAGAGACTGACTCTTGCCAGGAGAGATTCTGAGAAGATGAATTAGATTTAAAATAATAGAAGAAAAGAAAGCAAAGATGACAGAAGAATACATCTGTAAGCAAAACAAACAGGTCACAAATGAATATATACAGATGTTTCCATTTTTAAAAAGTTCAAAACTAAGCAAAACCAATTTACATTTTTAGGAGTACAGATTAAGTGGGTTATAACTATAAAGAAAAGTAAGAAAATAATCACCATAAAAATCAGAATGGTGGATACTCTTAAGGGGACGGAGAGGGTTCTGACTGAGGGAGACATAAAGAGGGGCTTTTGGGATGCTGGCAGTATTGTATTTCTTGATCTGGGTGGTGTTTTTACACAGAGATTTACCTTTTAATTCTTTCTGAAGTTCTATATTAAAATAGATATGTATATTGTATATACTTCTTTATGTATACTTATAATAAAAACGCTTTGTTAACAAGAGGACCTGAGACTAAAGAAGACAGAACTTTGGGCCTTAAATGATATTCTGACTACACACTAACAAGGGAGTGTTAACTAAGAAATTAGCACCCTTTTTTCTTTTCTTTTTTTTTTTTTTGAGACAGAGTCTCACTCTGTCCCCCAGGCTGGAGTGCAGTGGCACAATCTTGGCTCACTGCAAGCTCTGCCTCCCGAGTTCACGCCATTCTCCTGCCTCAGCCTCCCGAGTAGCTAAGTAGCTAAGTACAGGCGTCCACCACCATGTCCGGCTAAGTTTTTCTATTTTTCAGTAGAGACGGGGTTTCTCCGTGTTAGCCAGGATAGTCTCGAACTCTTGACCTCGTGATCCGCCTGCCTCAGCCTCCTAAAGTGCTGGGATTACAGGCGTGAGCCACTGCGCCCAGCCGAAATTAGCACCCTTTTCAGCCAGAAAAATCTTTTATTGTATTTAATGACAAAATATACTTCAGTGGGAGCCAAGTTATTGATGGTAGTGAGGGAAGCAGAAGTAATGGTAGGGCTGAGCATAGACGCAGTGGTTGAGAAACAGTTTAGAGAAAATCCAGGCTGAAGATTTGGCTAGAAGCAAAAGGACAAAGTAAAGATGCAATTCATAAAATAATCTCATTTGGAAGGACAACTAAAGATAAGCCCTATCCAGATGGCAGAACATAAAGGACCACTTAAAATGGAAGAGTCAGTAATGTTTGATTACAAAGAAATTATTTGATTACAAGTTTGGAGAAGTAGGTAATAATTAGTACTTAATTTATTATTTGCTTTAATGGACTATTATGCTTAAGGAAGTATTTGTTAAATTAAATAACTATATTTTGGCCTGGCACGGTGGCTCACGCCTGTAATCCCAGCACTTTGGGGAGGCCGAGACGGGTAGATCACCTGAAGTCAGGAGTTTAAGACCAGCCTGGCCAACACAGTAAAACCCCATCTCTACAAAAATACAAAAATTAGCCTGGCATGATGGCAGGTGTCTGTAATCCCAGCTACTCAGGAGGCTGAGGCGGGAGAATTGCTTGAACCCGGGAGGTGGAGGTTGTAGTGAGCCGAGATTGTGCCACTGCACTCCAGCCTGGGCGACAGAGCAAGACTGTCTTAAAACAAACAAACAAACAAACAAAAAAAAAAAAACAGGGCCCGGTGCAGTGGCTCACGCCTGTAATCCCACCACTTTGGGAGGCCGAGGTGGTCAGATCACGAGGTCAGTTCAAGACCAGCCTGGCCAACATGGTGAAACCCGGTCTCTACTAAAAATACAAAAATTAGCTGAGCGTGGTGGCACATGCCTGTAATCCCAGCTATGTGGAAGGCTGACGCAGGAGAATTGCTTGAACTGGGATCCAGGAGGCGGAGGTTGCAGTGAGCCAAGATCGTGCCACTGTACTCCAGCCTGGGCTACAGAGCGAGGCTCTGTCTCAAAAAACAAACAAAAGAACAAACAAACTGTATTTTATGTAATGAATTTCAGGTGAATAAGCTGTGTTAAAATTTTGGCTATTTGTTTTTCTCATCAGGAGATAGTCACATTCTTGGAACTAAAACTGATTCTAGGGGTACAGCCTTGTACCCCTTAAACGAAAATACTGACTTGACATGATTGCCACTAAAAATCACTGTCAGTCCCTTTCTCTGAATAGTTGTCTGTTCATCTGTTTATCTGTCTATCCACCATCCATCCATCCATCCATCCATCCATCCACCCATCCATTATTTATCAAATTCCTACTACTGTCAGGCATATACTAGTTCTTGAGTCTGTAACGATGAACAAGATAGACATAAACCCTGTCCTCATGACACTTGTTATTTAGGGAAAAAGACATATATAAAGCAAAAAATCGTATACGTAATTGTTTTATTACAACTGTGATAAATGCAACAAAATATAAGAACAAGATGTTATGAAATCATAAAGTATTGATTTAGGGGTGGAGTCTTGAACAGTAAAGGGTATCTTGCAAAAGTAATACTTAAGGTAAAACTTGTAGGATGAACGGACAGGCATGGGGATGTAATGTGCAGAGTTTTCTAGGTGGGGTAATAGCACATATAAGGCTCTGAGGCAGGAAAGAGCTTAGCATACAGTGGAAATGCACAAAGCTCAACTTCAAGCTCTTAACTTTTTTTTTTTATTTTTTGAGACGGAGTCTCACTCTGTTGCCCAGGCCAGAGTGCAGTGGCACAATCTTGGCTCACTGCAAGCTCCACCTCCCTGGTTCATGCCATTCTCCTGCCTCAGCCTCCCGAGCAGCTGGGACTACAGGTGCCTGCCACCACGCCTGGCTAATTTTTTTTTTTGTATTTTTAGTAGAGACGGGGTTTCACCGTGTTAGCCAGGATGGTCTCGATCTCCTGACCTCGTGATCTGCCCGCCTCAGCCTCCCAGAGTGCTGGGATTACAGGCGTGAGCCACTGTGCCCGGCTGAAGCTCTTAACTTTCTTATACTACTTTAATAAGTGAGTCAATTGATTATAAATACCACTGAATTGAATAAAGCCTAGGATTCTGGAACTGGCTTTTCAGCAATGACTATTTGCCTCTACGGTAGATATCATTTAATTTATAGAAAAATCACTGAAACCAAGCTTATTTTACGAGCAACAGCTATGTGTAGAGAACATGTAGAGTTCAAACTTTATTTTATTTTAGTTTTTTGTAGAGACAGGGTCTTGCTATGTTGCCTAGGCTGGTCTTTCCTCCCACCTTGGCCTTGCAAAGTGCTAGGATTACAGGCGTGAGTCACTGTGCCAGGCCTAGAGTCCAACCTTTCTTAATCTGATCTATCTAAAAGACTCTTTTAAGTACTTACAAAATAAACTGCTCCAAAACTTCCATGTCCAATTTCATGCAAACCAATAAAAAGTTCCTCAGGATCATCTTTGTAGAATAGATCGGCAATCTCTGGGTCCTTCAGCACCCCTTTACGCATGATGGCCAGTAGAGCAGGCTCTGCTTTTTGATATCAGTTAGCTTTATTTCTCATTGACAATTTTTTTTGGGGGGTAAATCTTCAGTACCTGTAGAAAAATAAGGTTTGCCATTAAATTATTTCTAACACATTTTACTTGGTGGCAATACAAATACATACAAATATTAAAAGCCTCTTGGTCTCACAACTCAATAACAAAAGGACAAAAAAACCCAAATAAAGAATGGACATATGGCCGGGCGCGGTGGCTCATGCCTGTAATCCCGGCACTTTGGGAGGCTGAGGCGGGCGGATCACCTGAGGTCGGGAGTTCGAGACCAGCCTTACCAACATGGAGAAACCCTGTCTCTACTAAAAATACAAAAAATTAGCCAGGCGTGGTGGCACATGCCTGTAATCCCAGCTACTAGGGAGGCTGAGGCAGGAGAATCGCTTGAACCCGGGAGGCTGAGGTTGCGGTGAGCCGAGATTGAGCCATTGCACTCCAGCCTGGGCAATGAGAGGGAAACTCTGTCTCAAAAAAAAAAAAAAGAACAGACATATGATTTGAATACACATTTCTCCAAAAAGATATACAAATGACCATTAACATATGAGAAGATCCTCAAACATCATTAGTTATTAGAGAAACGAAAATTAAAACCACAGTGAGATACCATTGCATACTCACTAGGATAGTGATAGTCAAAAAGTAAGATAAGTGTTTGTGAAAATGCTGAGAAATTAGAACCCTCCAACACTGCTGGTAGCTGTGCCATTTTAGAAAACAGCCCTGCAGTTCATAACAAACTTAAATACCGAGTTACCATTTGACCCAGAGTTTCCACTTCTAAGTACACACATACCCCCAAGAGAAATGAAAACATGTGTTCACACAAAAACTTGTGCACAAATGTTCATAGCACCATTATTCATAATAACCAGAAGATGGAAAAACCCAAATATCCTTTAACTGATAAAGAATAAACAAAATGTGGTATATCCATATAATGGAATATTATTCAGCAGTAAAAAGGAATGAAGTATTGGCTGCAACATGAATGAACCTTGTAAAAATTATGCCAAATGAAAGATACCAGTCACAAAAGACCATATATTGTATGATTCCATATATACACACACACATATACATGTAATTTCCAGAATAGGCAAATCTATAAAGACAGAAAGTAGATTATTGGTTAGAGATGGGGGTTTGGAGGGTGATAGCTAAAAGATACAGGCTTTCTTTTCAGGGTGATGAAAATGTCCTAAAATTGACTGTGGTGATGACTGCATAACTGTGACTATACCAAAAATCATTCAGTTACACATTTTAAGTGAGCAAAGGGTATAGAATGTAAATTATATTGTAGAGATATTACAAAAATTCATTTTGGTGTAATTAATGTTGAAATAATAACGGTTGGTATTTATTAATCGATACTATGCGCCAGGCAGCACTAAAACCTTATATATATTATCTCCTTTAATCCCTACAATAGCTTCATAATATAATGACTTTACTGTCTTAATTTTATAGAACCAACTAAGACTTTGATGGGCTAAACTACTTCCACATGGTCAGAAAGCCAGTATTTGTCAGGACCGCAATTAAAACTCAGATCTAACAGCAAAGCCCATGCTCTTGATTGACATGTGGTATATTCATATAGAAATACAGGCAATTAAACAATTCTTTACTGACTACTAGAAGAAATTACTATCACATGGAGGCTAGGTTAAATGCCCATGTAAAGAGGCAAGTTATTCTGCTGCTACATAAAACATTCTGAAATCAAAGTTTCTATTAATAAAAGGACATCATTTTGACATGCTCATATATTGATCTGCCATTAGTTACATAAATTTATTTGATGTAGATTCTTTTTTATTTTTTGAAAAATATAGAAATGTTATCAATCATCTATATTTTTCATTTTAAATAACCGCTGCCCTCATACCCAGATAATCATTTATTTATGCCAACGTTTACACTGATCACAGGATAGTTGGTGTTTCTTCTTTGACCAACTAGATAACCAAGATAGAAATTTGGTTATTGGCCAATAAAACTATTTTTCAAAACATGGGCCAGTGGGTCTCATGCTAGGAGAAGAAAAAAAAGAAACTAATTAATTAAGTAAAACTGATAGTGCTAAGAGGTATTTTTTTCTTGAGACATAGCCATAGGTGACAACATACATTACTTCATAGTCTAGTTAGTTCACTAGTATACACAGGTCATCAACCTAAGGATCCATCCACTTACCCAACTCATTCTTTCATTCAACAAATATTGTTGAATGCTCACTATTTGCCATACCCTGTACTGAGTTTTGGAGGTAGAATGGGATGTAGTCCCTATCCTTAAAGGGCTTAGGAGTCAAATGGACTTATAGACATTAAATTATAAAGACACAAATGATAAAGTGGTTTTAACTGATTGGATCATGAGGGGAAAATAAATATTTTTTAATATAAGGATATTATAGGATGACTCAGCCTGTTTTTGACTTAGATGTGAAAAAGCATGCCTTTTTAGGGAAAATAAAATTAGTTCATTCAATATGAATTGTATGGGAGAGTTGGAAGGAGAAAACATGAAGCTGGTGTTGAGCCAAGGAAAATTGCAAAAGACCCTTTAAACCATATTAAGAAGTTTAGACTTTATCCTGAGGGAAAGGGGAACCACTGAAGGTTTATATGGGAAAAAGGATCCCTCCGCCAACAATGCACCTATAATCCTAGGCAGTCATCCTGCCAATCCATGGATGCCAATAATCAAGTATAAAGTTACTACATCAATACTACTGGGAAAGTAACTTAAATCCAGCTATTTGTCAATCAGGTAAATGAAAGCACAAAATGAGAGTTCAAAAACTGGCCGGGCGCAGTGGCTTACACCTGTAATCCCAGTACTTTGGGAGGCCAAGGCAGGCAGATCACAAGGTCAAGAGATCAAGACCATTCTGGCCAACATGGTAAAACCCCATCTCTACTAAAAAAATACAAAAATTAGCTAGGTGTGGTGGTGCTCCTGTAGTCCCAGCTACTAGGGAGGCTGAGGCAGGAGAATTGCTTGAATCTGGGAGGCGGAGGTTGCAGTGAGCCGAGATCGTGCCACTGCATTCAAGCCTGGTGATGACAGAGCAAGACTCTGTCATAAAAAAAAAAAAAGCTCAAAAAGCATTTTGATTTTATTGCTTATGTCTGAGAACAACAAAAAAAGAATCAATGGATTAAATCAAAGATATACCTTTTTGGAGACTATACGTAAAAGGGAAATTATGAGACTATCTTTAAGAAAATCAAAAAGACCTATGAACTAAACTTATGATAATTAAAATATTTTCAATCACCAAAACACATTATAAACTTTAGAATATTTTGGCTTCCATGTGAATAAAGCTAAGTGCTATGGATTTGGGGGGAAAACAAGGATTATAGACTAAAATCATTTTATGAAGAAATAAATATTTAAATGTAAAAATGAGACCATAAAAACTTCTAGAATAAATTACAAGTGAATATTTAATTACTTAGCAAGATACCAGAGGCAAAGCCATAAACTAAAAATCAATAACTGTAACTATATATAATTAATAACTTCTTTATCTTAAACATGTAATGAAGGGACTTCTGCTTCTAGCCAAGATGGAGTAACAGGGGCTGGATTTATTATCTGCCACCGGGAACAATTAAAACACTGGACAAGGCCAGCCACGGTGACTCATGTCTGTAATCCTAGCACTTTGGAAGGCCGAGGTGGGCAGGTGGCTTGAGCCCAGGAGTTTGAGACCAGCCTGGGCAACAGGCTGTATCGCTACAAAAGATACAAAAACTTAGCTGTGTATGGTGGTGTACGCCTGTAGTCCCAGCTACTCAGGAGGCTGAGGTGGAAAGACCACCAGAGCCCGGAGATCAAGGATGCAGTGAGTCAAAATCATGCCACTGCACTCCAGCCCAGGCAGCAGAGTAAGACCCTATCTCAAAAAACAAACAAACAAAAAAAGCACTGGATAGAACATATAAATGATGGTATTTGAAGACAATGGATATCAGGCAAAGAAAGACAATGATCCCTGACAGAAGATAGGCAAATGATGTAAGCCATTAAATGTTTGAGCTTAATGCCCTGGGAGAATTTCTAGGCCATGCTGCAGAGAGGGGAAATCCAGTTAGAGCCTGGTGGACTCCCTGAGTTGAGGAGACAAAGATGACAGTCCAGGTTGACCAAGGTGAGTAGAGTTGGCAGGGCAGAGTGTCAAATAGAAGAGAGCAGCAGAGAAACAAGATATGGAGATTTGCAAAGGGTTCCCCTCAAGTCTTCAGCTGAGCACTGATTAGTGCATGCATATGAGAAAACTACCTTAGACCAGGGGAAAAAAACAATCTGAAAGGAATACAAACTATAGTACCTATAGCTCAAAAAGGGCTGTGAATAGTACTCATTCCCCCTAGCCAGGATAAGAAATCTCATAATTCACAGGGCATTCTGGAGGCTACTCAGAAGAGTCTTGCCTTCATAGTAGGGACCCTAGACTAAATGCTGGTCTGTGATGCCTAACAATTTTTATTTTATCTATTTTTTATTTGTGAGACAGGGTCTTGCTCTGTCACCCAGGCTGGAGTGCAAGGGTACAATCATGGCTCATTGCAGCCTCAACCTCCGGGACTCAAGTGATCCTCCCGGCTCTGCCTCCCAAAGTGCTGGGATTACAGGCATGACCAACTGTGCCTGCCTCTAACAAATTTTAAAAGCAAGACCTAAAAGGATGAAATTATTTCCAAGTAACTTAACTGTGTTCCAGAACAAAGTCCAAGAATACTTGAAGGAATATAAAAATATCCAGTATCTAAAAAGGTAAAATTCACAATATCTAACACTCCATAAAAAATTACCAGGCATGCAGAAAAGCAGGCAAATATAATTCATAATGAGGAGAAAAATAATTGAAACCAAACCATAATTGATATAGATGATACATGTTAAAATTAGTGGTCAAGGACATTAAAACATTTAATACAGTTGTATTCCATATATTGAAAAGGGTGGAGAAAATTTCGAACATGTAAAGCAGAGACAGACAAAATATAAACAGATTCAAAGTAAACCTTTATTTTATGCATATATGTATGTCATTATTTTGAGATGGAGTCTCGTTCTGTTGCCCAGGCTAGAGTGCAGTGGTGCAATCTCAGCTCACTGCAACCTCTGCCTCCCAGGTTCAAGCACTTCTCCTGCCTCAGCCTCCCAAGCAGGTGGAATTACAGGCATGCGCCACCACATCCAGCTAATTTTTGTATTTTTAGTAGAGACAGGGTTTCACCATGTTGGCCAGGCTGGTCTCAAACTCTTGACCACAAGTGATCCACCCACCTTGGCCTCCCAAACTCCTGGGATTACAAGTGTGAGCCACCACACCTGGCCCTCAAATCAGACCTTTAGAGATGAAAGCTACAATGTCTGAGATTTAAAAATCCTCTGCATGGGTTGCATAGCAGAGGAGACTTTGCCGAAAAAGGGGTTACTGAACTTGAAGACACAACAACAGGAACTATCCAAAATAAAACAGAAAAAAGACTAACAAAACAAAAACCAAACCCACGACCCAGAGCATCAGTGAGCTGTGGAACATCTTCACGTGGCCTACTGTATGTCTAAGTGGAGTCCCTGAAGGGGAGGAAAGATATTAGGACAGAAAAAATTATTTGAGGAAGTAATAGTGGAGAAAATTATGAATTTGATGAAAAGTATAAACCCACAGATCCAAGAAGGTCCATGAACCTCAAGCACAAGAAATACGAAGAAAATTATACCAAGGCACATCATAATAAATTGCTCAAAATTTGTGATAAAGAGAAAATCATAAAAGTATCCAGAGAAAAAAAGCATGTTAAATACAGAATCAGGAAGGAGGCAAGGATGTTTACTCGCAACACTTACATTCAACATTGTGCTGGGGCTGGGTGTGATGTCTCATGTCTGTAATCCTAATGCTTTGGGAGGCCAAGGTGAGAGGATGACTTGAGACCAGGAGTTTGAGACCAGTCTGGCAAACATAGCAAGATCCTCTCTCTTTACAACACCAAACCAAACCAAACAAAAACATTGTGCCAGATGCTGTACAGGTGCAGTAAATAAGAAAAAAAGAAACAAAAAGCATCAAGACTGAAAAGGAAGAAGTAAGACTTTCTGTTGTCAAACAACATAATCATTGTCAAAAAATTCAGTGGGATCTACAAAAGCTACTAGAACTTATTAGTTTATTAAAAAGTACAGAAGATCAACACATAAAATGATTACACTTCTTTTTTTTTTGAGACACAGTCTTACTCTGCCCTCTGTCACCTGGGCTGGAGTGCAGTGGCACGATCTTGGCTCACTGGAACCTCTGCCTCCCGGGTTCCAGCAATTCTCGTGCCTCAGTCACCCAAGTAGCTAGGATTACAGGCATGCACCACTATGTCTGACTAATTTTTGTATTTTCAGTAGAGACGGGGTTTTGTCACATTGGCCAGGCTGGTCTCAAATTCCTGGCTTCAAGTGATCCACACACCTCGGCCTCCCAAAGTGCCGGGATGACAGGTGTGAGCCACTGTGCCTGGCCTGAAATGATTATGTCTCTATGTATAAATAAATGAAAATCAAGGCCAGGCACGGTGGCTCATGTCTGTAATCCTAGCACTTTGGGTGGCCGAGGCAGGTGGATCACAAGGTCAGGAGTTCAAGACCAGCCTGGCCAAGATGATGAAACCCCATCTCTATTAAAAGTACAAATAATTAGCCGGGCGTGGTGGTGGGTACCTGTAGTCCCAGCTACTCGGGAGGCTGAGGCAGAGAACTGCTTGAACCTGGGAGGTGGAGGTTGCAGTGAGCTGAGATCGCACTACTACACTCTAGCCGGGGCGACAGGGCGAGACTCCATCTCAAAGAGAAAGAAAAAGAAAATCAAATTTAAAAATATCATGGTAGCATAAAAAATGTGAAATATGGCCGGGTGCGGTGGCTCACGCCTATAATCCCAGTACTTTGGGAGGCTGAGGTGGGTGGATCACTTGAGGTGAGGCGTTCAAGACCAGCCTGGCCAACATGGTGAAACCCTGTCTCTACTAAAAATACAAAAATTAGCCAGGTGTGGTGTCACACACCTGTAATCCCAGCTACTTGGGAGGCTGAGGCAGGAGAATCGCTTGAAACCGGGAGGCAGAGGTTGTAGTGAGCTGAGATCGTGTCACTGCACTCCAGCCTGGGTGACAGAGCAAGACTCCGTCTCAAAAAAAAAAAAAAAAAGCGAAATACTTAGGGATCAATGCGACAAAGGATATATAAGACCTGTACACTGAAAATGACAAAATAATAATGACATAAAGACATAATGAAGGGATATACGGTGTTTATAAATCAGAAGACTCAACATTTTTTAAACTCTGAGAAGTTTAATCTAAAATTCATATGAGAATTCAAAGGACCCAGAATAACCAAAGCAACTTTGAAAAAGGAGGACAAAGTTGGAGAGCTAGCATAAAATAATTTCAAACTTTATTATAAATCTACAGTTATCAAGACCATGCAATACTGGCACAGAGATAGACAAATTAATCAGTGCAGTGGAATAGGAAGCCCAGAAGTAGACCCACATATTTATGGACAACTGAGATTTGGTAGAAGTACAAAGGCAATCCAATGAAGAAATAATTGTCTTCAATGAATGGTACTGGAACACTTGCATCCAAATATGCAAGAAAACAGATATTTGGTCCATACTAACAACCTGTGTAAAAACTGACTCCAAATAGGTTATAGAACTAAATGTAAATCTACAATAATAAAACTTCTAGACGAAGGTACAGGAGAAAATATTTGTGACCCCAGGTTAGTTAAAAATTTCTTAGTTAATAACCCAAAGCACAATCCATCAAAGGAAAAATTCATAAATTAGACTTCGTCAGGATTAAAAATGTCTGCTTTTTGAAAGACACTTGAGAAAATCAAAAGACAAGCAAGATATTGGGAGAAAATCTTTGCAAATTATGTCTCATAATGGGACCCCTGGATCCAGAAAACATAAAGAATTGTCAAAACTTAATAATAAGAAAATAAGAAAACCCAATTTTTTTAATGGACAAAAGATTTGAACACAAGCACTCTACCAAGTGAGATGGATGAATGGCAAAAGAAAGATGCATACTATCACTACTCATTAGGGAGATGCAAATGAAAACCCATGAGAGGCCGGGCACGGTGGCTCACACCTGTAATCCCAGCACTTTGGGAGGCGGAGGTGGGTGGATCACCTGAGGTCAGGAGTTCAAGACCAGCCTGGCCAACATGGTGAAACCTCATCTCTACTAATAATACATAAATTAGCCATGTGTTGTGGTGAGCGCCTGTAATCCCAGCTACTCGGGAGGCTGAGGAAGGAGAAGTGCTTGAACCCAGGAGGTGGAAGTTGCAGTGAGCCAAGATTGTGCCATTGCACTCCAGCCTGGGCAACAAGAGCGAAACTCTGTCTCAAAACTCAGTCTTTTTAATGTTAGCCATTAGCATATGGAGTGACTGTATCTTTCATACACTGCTGGTGGGAATGTAAAATGGTAAAACACTTTGGAAAACATTGGGCAGTTTCTTAAAAAGTTAAACATACACCTATCATATGATGTAGCCATTATACTCAAGTATTTACCCAAGAAAAATGAAAGCTTATGTCAATACAAAGCCATGTATACAAATGTTCACAGTAGCTTTAATAGCCAAAATTGGAAACAACCCAAATGTATATCAACAAATGAATGGACAATCTGTGATAAATACAATGGACTGTAACTCAGCAATAAAATAAACTACAGATATACACTACAATATGAATGAATCTCAAAATATGCTGTGTAAAAGAAGTCAGACAAAAAATAGCACATACTTTATGATTTCATTTATATGGAATTCTAGAAAATGCAAACTAATTTAAAGAG
The DNA here is from genome assembly GCF_000001405.40 of Homo sapiens. Lineage (NCBI taxonomy): Eukaryota > Metazoa > Chordata > Mammalia > Primates > Hominidae > Homo > Homo sapiens. The sequence goes on from NC_000012.12 coordinate 118,264,523, forward strand.
ATAGAAATCATATCAGTGGTTACCTGGGGGAAGGGGGTGGTGATGGCAGGTAAAAAGGAGTAGGTAGGAGGGGCTAAAAAGGGGCCTGATGAAGCTTTTTGGGAGTGATAGTGGATATGTTTATTTCCACTATGATGGTGGTTTCACAGATATATACCTGTTAAAACAAATTATGCTCTTTAAATATGTACACATTATTGTTGTAGAAAGATGTACCAAATTGAAATAAGTCTGGGTGTGGTAGCTCATGCTTGTAATCCCAGCTCTTTGGGAGGCAGAAGCAGGCAGATCATTTGAGGTCAGGAGTTCGAGACCAGCCTTGCCAACATGGTGAAACCCTGTCTCTACTAAAAACACAAAAATCAGCTGGGTGTGGTGGTGCATGCCTGTAATCCCAGCTAGTTGGGAGACTAAAGTGAGAGAATTCTTTTAATCTCGGAGGCAGAGGTTGCAGTGAGCAGACATTGTGCCACTTCACTCTGGCCTGGGCAACAGAGCGAGACTCTGTCTCAAAAGAAAAAAATACATAAATTAAATGAAGTAGAGAAAAATTTTGCAAAATATTTGCCAGTTAAAAGCTATTCTGGGCCGGGCATGGTGGCTCACATCTGAAATCCCAGCACTTTGGGAGGCCGAGGAGGGCAGATCACGAGGTCAGGAGTTCAAGACCAGCCTGGCCAACATGGTGAAACCCCGTCTCTACTAAAAATACAAAAACTAGCCGGGCATGGTGGCGCTTGCCTGTAATCCTAGCTACTCAGGACGCTGAGGCAGGAGAACTGCTTGAACCCAGGAGGTGGAGGTTGTAGTGAGCTGAGATCATGCCACTCCACTCCAGCCTGGGTGACAGAGTGAAACACTGTCTCAGGAAGAAAAAAAAAAAAAAAAAAAAGCTATTCTGAATATCAGAGAGGTGAACACACACACACATACACTTACCTACAAACTCAAAAGAGACAGGTAGGAAAACAAAACAAAAAAAAGAGTAGTGTCCATTTAAAATATGAAACATGTAACTTCACTAATGATCAAGGAAGTAAAAACAGAAATAATATAACACCTCATTTCACCCACCAAATTGGCAAATAAGAGGAAAAAATATACTTTTTTTGGGGTAAGGGTATAAGAAAATAGTTTCATACATTGCTTGAAGAATAGGATGGGTATGCTCTTTGACCTAGTAATACACTTTTGGGAATTCACACAAGGCAGTTTCTTGTTTGTTTTGTTTTAGCAAAAGAGGCAAGGCATAATTAGGGAACGTACAGAAGGAATACGACAGTGCATCTGGGAAACGTGACTTCTTTGATCTGTAAGTTTGGGTTTCTTTGTAGCTTGTGTTTTATCTGAAGTTAGGTGTTGAAATTTTGGGTAATTTTTTATTTCCTTCTTTTTGTTTCTGTGTATTTTCTAAAATCATATTTTGCAAAGTCTATTACTTCTGTAATTAGAAGAAAAGTGATACGAAACCTTTTAGGTAATTTCAAATCTAACTATAAACTACCAACAAAAAAATGGCAATATATATATTTCCAGAAAATAATTTGACAATAGGAATCAAGAAAGTTTAAGTAAGCTCATTTCTTTTAACCAAATAATTCTCTATATTGTAAACTATAACTGAGAAGAAAAAAAATTTTAGGAAATAAATAGAAACTCAAAGATTTTTATTTTTATTTTATTTTTTTCAGACAGAGTTTCGCTCTTGTTGCCGAAGCTGGAGTGCAATGCACGATCTCGGCTCACCGCAACCTCTGCCTCCTGGGTTCAACCAATTCTCCTGCCTCAGCCTCCCCAGTAGCTGGGACTACAGACATGCGCCACCACGCCCGGCTAATTTTTTTTTTTTTTGCATTTTGAGTAGAGACGTGGTTTCTCCATTTTGATCAGGCTGGTCTCGAACTCCTGACCTCAGGTGATCCACCTGCCTCAGCCTCCCAAAGTGCTGGGATTACAGGCATGAGCCACCGCACCCGGCCAAAGATTTTTATAAAAGAATATTTTATCCCAATTTTATTAATATTTTTACTTTCCCTTTTATTTTTCTTTCAAAGATAAAAATTCATCCAAAAACCCAGAAAATATTATTTTTTTCCATTTCTTAGGAGAAAGCTAAGTTGTATGGACAATACCTTTTTGTGTGTGGCACAAAATATTCCATATTGCTCAGATTCATTTTAGCAGCAAACTTCTCTTTTCTCTTTTATAACTTCAGTCCTTTGTATTTATGATGCAACCTATAGAAAAAGAAGAACAAAATACATAATTATCAGCCAAATTAAAGAATCAATAATTGCTCATGTGGTAGTTTTACATATTTACAAATGTAATATTACAAAGTTAAAATTTTATCTTCATCTGTTTGTGGATGGCAAAGTTAAAAGGTAAGATGCTCAAAACAAAGATGCAAGCTACTCTTTCACAGGCAATATCTGGGAAACAAATGTGTCGTTAGATTTAAGAATCTATACTGAAGCTTCCACTGGTTTGTTTGTGTCCAGGTAACTTAATGGAGATTACCAGTAGACAGCACTAATCTGACAGCACGCGGTAATGCTACTGATTCTCTGTTGTTAAGGCTTCTATTTTGAATTGCTTTTCCAATAGACATGATGATTTGCATTGATTACTCTACCTTTCCTTTCCTAGGCTCTCCTATAACCAATCTTCCACATTTTCAGGGTGATGATTATTATTTATTTATTTTTTTTGAGACGGAGTCTTGCTCTGTTGCCCAGGCTGGAGTGCAGTGGCATGATCTCGGCTCACTGCAACCTCTACCTCCCAGGTTCAAGCAATTCTCCTGCCTCAGCCTCCCAAGTACTGGGATTATAGGCATCTGCCACCAAGCCTGGCTAATGTTTGTATTTTCAGTACAGACGGGGTTTCACCATGTTGGCCAGGCTGGTCTCGACCTCCTGACCTCAAGTGATCCACCCACCTTGGCCTCCCAAAGTGCTGGGATTACAGGCGTGAGCCACCGCGCCCGGCTGGAGTGATGATTATTTTTAAATTATCTATTAAAGAAGTACATGCCCAATGTAGAAAACTTGGGAAATACACATTATTAAGAAAAAAATCCGGCCGGACGCAGTGGCTCACGCCTGTAATCCCGGCACTTTGGGAGGCCAAGGCAGGCGGATCACTAGGTCAGGAGTTCAAGACCAGCCTGACCAACATGGTGAAACCCCGTCTCTACTGAAAATAAACAAACTAGCTGAGCCTGGTGGCATGTGCCTGTAATCCCAGCTACTCAGGAGGCTGAGGCAGGAGAATCGCTTGAACCCAGGAGGCAGATGTTGCAGTGAGCCGAGATCGCACCACTGCACTCCAGCCTGGGTGACAGAGTGAGACTCCATCTCAAAAAAAAAAAAAAAAAAGGAAAGAAAAAAATCCATAATCCTATCCAGGCAAAACTCCATTAACAATCTGGCATACTTTTCTCCATGGACGTATTTATTTCTGCCTGCATTTTTAAAATGCAGCTGAGATCACATTATATGTGTAATTCCATAGTTCACCTCTTTTATCTAACTCTATGACTATTTTGCCATATCACCAAATACTGTTCACAAAGGTCATTTTAATGACTACTTATTGTCTGTCTTATGGAAGAGCTGCAATTCATTCACAACCATTTCTCCACAATCAAAAACCAAGGCTGTATTCAACCTTTTGTTGAACTATTGAAAATTATTGTGTCTGGAAGATCTTGGTGCCTATTACTTATCTACATTTTGGAGGCTTTCTTGAGAATGGCTTTCTAGAAGTAGAATTATTGGGTCAAAGAATATAACAATTTAAAACCTACATATATTGGAATAATTTTTAGATGCTTGACTAGCATTGTAGATGAAGGCCTTACAGGAAAAAACTAGAAAAAAACTATGGACTTCCATTTTCACATTTTTCTTGCTGAGAATATCCCACTCTTGTCTCATGCCTATAGTTATAAACTGAACGTTTTCATTATTTCTGTTACTCCTTCCGATTCTGTCTGTGGCTGTGGAATGCTTCAGATTAACTGGTAGCTAAAACTTGCCTGAATTCAGCATCACATTTTACCTAACCACTAACCAATCAATAACTGCAATGTTTGCATGTCTACTCTGCTAATGTAGTCTGACTATAGCTCCAATAAACTAAAATATTCCTTATGACATCATATGAACACTAGTTGCTAAATTTCTAAGAAAGTAGTTTCAGCTAGGCACAGTGGCTCACACCTGTAATCCCAGCACTTTGAGAGGCCAAGGCGGGTGGATCACCTGAGGTCAGGAGTTCAAGACCAGCCTAACCAACATGGAGAAACCCTGTCTCTACTAAAAATACAAAATTAGCCGGGTGTGGTGGCGCATTCCTGTAATCCCAGCTACTCGGGCAGCTGAGGCAGGAGAATCGCTTGAACCTGGGAGGCGGAAGATGGGGTGAGCCGAGATCATGCCATTGCACTCCGGCCTGGCAACAAGAGCAAAACTCTGTCTCAGAAGAAAGAAAAGAAAAGAAAACAAAAGAAAAGAAAAAAGAAAAGAAAGAGAGTTTCAAATAAGGCATCTTACAAATCAGGAAACATTCATTCCTAGAAAATAGTTTTCTTTCTCTTTCTTTCTTTCTTCTCTTTCTTCTCTCTCTTTCTTTCTTTCTTTTTTTATTTTTTGAGACAGAGTCTGGCTCTGTTGCCCAGGCTGGAGTACAGTGGCGAGATTTCAGCTCACTGCAACCTCCACCTCCCAGGTTCAAACGATTCTCATGCCTCAGCCTCCTGAGTAGCTGGGAGGACAGGCTCTTGCCACCATGCTGGGCTAATTATCCTCTCTCTAAATAGTTACATAATTAATTTTCTTTCTCTATCTCTCTCTTCTTTTTTTTTTTTTTTTTTTTTTTGAGACTCAGGCTGGAGTGCAGTGATGCAGTATCGGCTTACTGCAACCTCTGCCTTCTGGGTTCAAGCGATTCTCCTGCCTCAGCCTTCCAAGTAGCTGGGATTACAGGCGTGCACCACCACGCCTGGCTAATTTTGTATTTTTAGTAGAGATGGGGTTTCGTTATATTGGCCAGGCTGGTCTCAAACTCCTGACTTGCGATGATGCACCTGCCTCGGCCTCCCAAAGTGCTGAGATTACAGGCGTGAGCCACTGCGCCCAGCCCACTTTTACATAATTTTCTTAAAATGCATGCATATTCTCTTCATCTTTGGTTGCCAAGCTCTATATATGTTCTAAAATTATCTCTCTAAGACTTCTAGGAATTAAGCCTTCTCAGTTTTATCTTTTCTTTGTTTGCTTTTCTGCTACAATATTGCATTGCTATTGAAGCTGAAGACAGTATTCCTGAAGTTCATCCATTGAACCTAAAGGATATTTTCAATTTTCTTCCATTTTACTACCCCCACTTCCTTCTTCATAAATGTCTCTTGGATCCCATGAAACTGTCTTCTGTTTTTCCAAATTATTCTGATTATACTTCCTCTTCTCTCTGATGCCTAAATGAATGTGTTCCTCTAAGGATTTCCCCAAGTCCTCTGTGTGACTGCAAGCTGCTATCTTAATTTCTGCCCATTTAATGATTTTAAGTAATACTGTGTCACTAGACAGTACTGACCATTATTCCAAGCCCCAGTCCTGTATTTTCAAATATCTATTCGGCTTCTCCCCTAAATGGCTCACATACACCTCCCATTAACTTTGTTCTTTTTCCCTGTCCCTTAACATTCAATTAATCCCCAATTTCTGCTTCCTGTTTTTCCATTTCTCTGGCATTCATATGCTCTCTCCTTTTCTTTTCCTCTTACAGCCTCTATCTTTTCTGGAATTAGAAAAACACTATTACCATAATCATCTTTCTAAAGCATGGTTCAGATAATATCACAGCTCTGCTCAAAATCTTTCAAAATCTCACTACTTCCTATGGGATAAAGAATAACAATAATAATAATAATAACTTTACCTAACGAACATTCAAAGCTGGCTTCAAACCAGTAGTCTAACCTAAATTCTTAAACTCTATAATCAGGAAAAAATAAATTCCATTCAGTTACATTTGTATATATACTTTGTATTTCACTTCTCACTTGGTCTTTGTCTAAGTTGTGTCCTCTGCTTATAAGGCCCAAATCTCAGCTATTCTTACAGTCCAGCTAAATGTCACTTTTTTTTTTTTTTTTTTTTTTGAGACAAAGTCTTGCTCTGTCTCCCACGCTGGAGCGCAGTGGCGCCGATCTCGGTTCACTGCAAGCTCCGCCTCCCGGGTTCACGCCATTCTCCTGTCTCAGCCTCCCCAGTAGCTGGGACTACAGGCGCCCGCCACCACGCCCAGCTAATTTTTTTTTGTATTTTTAGTAGAGATGGGGTTTCACCATGTTAGCCAGGATGATCTCGATCTTCTGACCTCGTGATCCGCCCGCCTCAGCCTCCCAAAGTGCTGGGATTACAGGTGTGAGCCACCACGCCCGGCTAAATGTCACTTCTATAAAACCTACTATTTTCTCCCTTTGCATCAGTTTTCAACACACATAGTTAGTATTCTAAAACTGGATGGCAAGTGCTTCTTCAGAGAAGGGTAATTGTCTAAGTCCACATTTGGATTAATCATTGTAACCCCTGATATTTTAAAAAATAAAAACAGTGTTATTGAGATATAATTCACCTATCATACACTCTGCCCATTTAAAGTGTACAATTCAATGGTTTTTAGTATATTTAGTATTTAGCATTTTAGATATGTACAACCGTTACCAACCACAGTTATTTTTAGAACATTTTCATCACCATACATACACACACAAAACCATACCCTTTAGCTATTACCCCAGCCTCGCCCCACCCCATTCCCTCCATTCCTAAGAAATTTACTAACATACTTTCCATCTTTATAGATTTCCTTGTTCTGGGAATTTCATATAAACGGAATCATACAATATGTGGTCTTTCATGACTGGCATTTTTCACTCAGCATGTTTTCAAATCCAATGCATAGCATGAATCAGTATTTCTTTTTATTGCCAAATAATATTCCATTATATGGATATGTCACATTTTATCCATTTATCAGGTGATGGACATTTGGACTGCTTTAACTTTTGGCCATTATGGATAGTGCTACTAGAATTATTCATGTATAAGTTTTTAGGCGGATATATGTTTTCATTTTTCTTGAGCATATGCCTATGAGTGGAAATGCTGGGCCCTACGGCTTCTTTAAGTAGCAGATATTCCATAAAAATCTGATGAAATCACCTTCCCTGTTCCATTTCAATCTTATAATTAAAATGACCATTCAAATTAATCCTTTCCCCAAAAGATAAACAAGAATATTTTTTCTTCTAAGAGGATAAGATGAAATAACAGGCATAAAATAAGTTTTTCCCTCTTCCTTAACCTCCTGCAACCTCAGGTATTACATTTATAGTGAGAATGTAGAACTGCGCCAAGAATGTAGTATTTCAGGTTTTAGGCCCTTGGGCCAAATAAACAATCCAACTAGCACGGAGTAGAAGATTTCATCAGAGATGTGCAATTGAAATAATTTTCTTCGCAAACACTTCTTTATTCTAAGAAATGGAAACCTTCTAACAATGGTAATCAAGTAAATTATTTCTCACAAGACATTCTAACTTACTATAAGAAAGAACACTGGTGGCGCATGCCTGTAATCCCAGCTACTTGGGAGGCTGAGGCATGAGAATCACTTAAGCCCAGGAGGCAGAGGTTGCAGTGAGCCGAGTTACACCACTGCACTCCAGCCTGGGTGACAGAGCAAGACTCCATCTCAAAAAAAAAAAAAAAAAGAAAGAAAGAAAGAAAGAAAGAACACTTGATAGAGAGTAGAAATATATATTTTTAAAATAATTTTCCCTTTCCCAGAAACTTCAAGAAAGATGATTCATTGAAGATCTTAGTTGTGTTTCAATGTTTTTTTCAACAATAATGTTCTTCTCAACAATGTTTTTCTCTGGCAGCACTATCCTGGAGCCAGTGAATTCGAAAACTCCACAATATTTCAGTATTAATAAAGTAAATAAGAATTAGAATGTTTCATACTGGAAAGAATTTTAAAGATACACCATTTCAACTCCTTTTTTTCTTTTTATACTCAATCTCAGAAAAGTTAAGCATCACATCACACCTCTGTGGCAGCATTATCCCCAAATTAAAATCCCAGACTTCTGGCCAGGTGCAGTGGCTCATGCCTGTAATCCTAGCACTTTGGGAGACCGAGGTGGGAGGGTTGCTTGAGTCCAGGAGTTTGAGAACAGCCTGGGTAACACAGTGAGACCCCCGTCTCTATGAAATAAAATACAAAAAAATTAGCTGGGCATGGTAGCACGTGCCTGTAGTCCCAGCTACTTGGGGCTTGAGGTGGGAGGATTGCTTGAGCCCAGGAAGCTGAGGCTATAGTGAGCCGAGATTGTGCCACTGCACTCCAACCTAGGTGACAAAGTAAGAACTTGTCTGGAAAAAAAAAAATCCAGGACTTCTGATTTTCCATTACAGAAATTTATTCTCCTGAACCATGCTGCCCTAAGTCATACTTTACTATTTTGGAGGGTAATCAAGAAAATTTTAAATTTAATGTAAGATTGAACTTCTGTTACTATTCCTCCCAAGGATCTCAGGACATTTAAAGATATGGTGCTAGATTCAGTTCTTACGAGGACTGCAGAGTAAACAAATTTGAGGGCCTCTTTAAGAAAAAAATAGGGCCAGCGCGGTGGCTCATGCCTGTAATCCCAGCACTTTGGGAGGCTGAGGCAAGCAGATCACAAGGTCAGGAGATCCAGACCATCCTCGCTAACACGGTGAAACCCCATCTCTACTAAAAATACAAAAAATTAGCCAGGTGTGGTGGTACACGCCTGTAGTTCCAGCTATTCGGGAGGCTGAGGCAGGAGAATCGCTTGAACCAAGGAGGCAGAGGTTGCAGTGAGCCGAGATCGGCACCACTGCACTCCAGCCTGGGTGACAGAGCGAGACTCCGTCTCAAAAAGAAAAAAAAGAAAAAGAAAAAAATAGGTCGGGCATAGTGGCTCATGCCTATAATCTCAGCACTTTGGGAGGCTGAGGCAGGTAGATCACTTGACGTCAGCAGTTCAAGACCAGGCTGGTCAACATGGTAAAACCCGTCTCTACTGAAAATAGAAAAAAATTAGCTGGGCGTGGTGGCGCATACCTATAATTCCAGCTACTCAGGAGGCTGAGACAGGAGAATAGCTTGAACCCAGGAGGTGGAGGTTGCAGTGAGCCGAGATCGTGCCATTGCACTCCAGCCTGGGCGACAGAGCAAGACTTTGTCTCTAAATAAATAAATAAATTCTCACTTAAAATTAAGTATAGAGTCTTAGATGAAGCTGGTATAAGAAGCTCTGAAACACGCTTCACAGTAAACCAGCCTTTGAAAATTCCTAATATTTCATTCATTATCTTGCTCCCAGAGGGTAGACTGAGGCAGGTAAAATCTTAACTTTACAGCAGTGAAAAATGAAGTATAAATATATAGTATCTTTTTCGAAGTCACATAGTTAGGACTAGTCGAGTATTTGGTTTCTTCCCCCGTTTCCTTCCACACGACTTCCCATAAGACTTGAAGAGAACTGTCTAAAAAAAACAAACCAAAAAAACAAAAAAAAAACTAGCAAATTTTGTTGTAATTGCTGTTCCTGTTTGCCACCAATATTTAACTATTATCCTGAGGTAAGAGAACTGCTTTTAAGGTACTTTCACGTTGAAAATGAAACTAGATGATAGCTGCTTTTTATGCCACTATGGTTCTATAGCCCAACTGTGAACAAATATCCTCACATTTAAGAGCTGAAAAAGGACCTTAGTGATCATCTAATTTCTACGTGGCAAATAATGCAGAAGTAGCTGGGGTTTTGAGGATCCTAACAATGATAACCTTTAGACTACTCCTGGGTCAACTGACATTAAATTATATGAAGATTCTTCTAGTCACTCTTTAAGACTTTATCTATGTAGGCTCAAAAGCAAAAATATCAATTATTTTGATTTCTTATGGAGTATTATTTTCTTCCTCCCTTAATAAAAAGAGGTTTAAGATAAGAGACAGATGGGAAAGTAGAGGCCCCATTGGATCTCTTAAATTTAACACTGAATATCTTTTATTTTTAAAGACAGTCTCACTCTGTTGCCCAGGATGGAGTACAGTGACACCATCTCAGCTCACTGCAACCTCTGCCTCTCAGGTTCCAGAGATTCTCGTGCCTCAATGTCCCAAGTAGCTGGGACTACAGGCACGTGCGACCACACCCTGTTAATTTTTTTTTTTTTTTTTAGTAGAGACAGGGTTTCACCATGTTGGCCAGACTGGTCTTGAACTCCTGGCCTCCCAAAGTGCTGGGATTACAGGCGTAAGCCACCACGCCCAGCAACACTGAATATCTTTGTTCTGTCTGATACTTTGATATGAGGCCAGCAACTTGAAATCAATTATGCATCTACTTCAGAAAAAAATGGCACCTCACATGAATCTGAAAATTAAGACCAGTATAAGAATGGTGGTGATGTGTCTACATAAATCCCAAATTATTCTAAAATATTTGACTGGGTTTTTGAAATCTTCATTTTGCACTATAACTTTTTTTTCATTTAAAAAAAAGTTTCATTTTTTAGAGAGACAGGGTATTATATTACTCTGTCTCCCAAGCTGGAGTGCAGTGGTGTGATCACAGTTCACTGTAGCTTCAACCTCTGGGGTTCAAGCAGCCCTCTTGTCTCAGCCTTCCAATTAGCTGGGACTACAGGCGTGTGCCACCATGCCCAGCTAACTTATTTTTTGTAGAGATAGGGTCTTGCTATGTTGCCCAGACTGGTCTCCAACTCCTGGGTCAAGCAATCCTCCTGCCTCAGCCTTCCAAAGTGCTGGGATTACAGGCATGAGCCATTGTGCCTGGCTGCCCCATTATTCAATCTTATGCCCCAATATTCTGTTATATAAAGAATGTATAATATGAAAACTTTATGTAACTATAATACACAATAATTTGCTCTTAGGATTTCTCAAACATGATTAATAATCATTCATATCTCTTATTTTTAAAATCCTCACAGATCCCTAACATTTTCTTCAATTACTTTTAGTCATTTACTTTACTCATTTATTCATGTATCATTCATTTGGCAAATATTTATTAAGTACCTAATATTCATCTGGCACTGAACAAGGCTTTAGGTTCTTTCCTGTTCTCATACAGCTTATATTCTAGTAGAGAGATATATAAATATTTATACATGAAGTATTAATAAATATAAAGAGAAATATAAAATGAAACAGGGCCAGCAGGCAGGATAGATCTCTCTGATAGGTAACAGTTGAGTAGAGACCTGAAAGATGAAGGAAGTGAAGGAGTAAGCCCTGAAGGTCCTGGCAAGGAAGAGTGGTACAGGCGAGGGAATAGCAAGATTGTTTTGTGTACTCCAGAAAACGCCAGAAGGCCAGCGTGGGTAAGGGAAAGTGAACAATGGGGATGTAGTAGGAGAAGAGATAGGGCCTTTCATAATGTGATGGAGATTTTGGATTTTATTATAAGTGAGATGGGAAGCCACCGAAGCATTTCATGAGAGATGCCACTTCTGTGTTTAAAAGGATCACTCTGACTATTCTGTGGGAAATAGATTGTGTAGAAGCAAGGTTAAAAACACTGAGACCTGAAAGAAGCCATTGCAAAAGTCTAAGAAAGAAATGATGACAGCCAGCACCAAGGTGCTGGTGGTAGAGGTAATAAGAATTGGTTGAATTCCAGAATAATTGAGAAGGAACAACCAAATGCGCTTTGCTGCTTTGATTGGAATATGAAAGAAAGAGAGGAGTCAAAGATGACTCCAAGCCTTAGGGCCTGAGCTACCAAAAGATGAAATTGCCCATTTATAAAACTGTAATATGGCCGGGCGCGGTGGCTCACGCCTGTAATCCCAGCACTTTGGGAGGCCGAGGCGGGCAGATCACGAGGTCAGGAGATCAAGACCAACCTGGCGAACACTGTGAAACCCTGTCTTTATTAAAAATACAAAAAAAATAGCCAGGTGTGGTGGTGGGCGCCTGTAGTCCCAGCTACTCTGGAGGCTGAGGCAGGAGAATGGCATGAACTGGGGGGGCGGAGCTTGCAGTGAGCAGAGATTGTGCCACTGCACTCCAGCCTGGGCAACACAGCGAGACTCCGTCTCAAAAAACAAAAAACTGTAATAGGCTGGGTGCAGTGGCTCATGCCTGCAATCCCAGCACTTTAAGAGGCCAAGGCGGGTGGATCACCTGAGGTCAGGAGTTCGAGACCAACCTGGCCAACATGGTAAAACCCCGTGTCTACTAAAAATACAAAAATTACCTGGGCATGGTGGCTCACGCCTATAGTCCCAGCTACTCAGGAGACTGAGGCAGGAGAATCACTTAAACCCAGGAGACAGAGGTTGCAGTGAGCTGAGATCACGCCACTGCACTCCAGCCTGGGCAACAGAGTGAGAGACTCCGTCTCAAACAAACAAAACTGTAATAAACCTCTTATGGCTTTTATACAACTTATATGAAACAAATTCACAATGTCTCTCCAAATCAAACTCAACAATTGCTTTGACAGTACAGATGTTATTATTTTGTTGATACAATAACTTCCAAAACAAATATGGCCCATTCTACTGTGTTTCTTATTATTCAGTATGGAATGCTCATTCACCATTAGACCACGTTTCTCTACCTGTACTCCTAGGAATACTTCATTTGTATAACCTGGCTTGATATCATCTGGCCTTCACAAGATGTGAGTTTAACAGTTACACATTAATTCCACTTCCATTTCTATTCTTTTCTCATTTGTCTAAGACAATTCAAGTGGTACCACTTGGCATTATGGTAAACACAAACACAGGCCCTGAAATCCCAGCAACCCATAGGACTCTTTAGTGATTATGTGGTCATCCAGATGATCCACCATGTATTTTTTTTTTTTTAAGACGGAGTCTTGCTCCGTCGCCCAGGTTGGAGTGCAGTGGCATGATCTCGGCTCACTGCAACCTCTGCCTCCTGGGTTCAAGCAATTCTTCTGCCTCAGCCTCCCGAGTAGCTGGGAGTACAGGCGCGCACCACCATGCCTGGCTAATTTTTGAATTTTTAGTAGAGACAAGGTGTCACCATACTGGCCAGGCTGGTCTCAAACTCCTGATTTCGTGATCCACCCACCCCGATCTCCCAAAGTGCTGGGATTACAGGCATGAGCCACCGTGCCTGGGCCCACCATGTATTTTTTAAAAGATCATCATCAAAATGAAAACATAACATTAAAAAAGTTGTGGAGAACTTTTAGACCTATTTTCATATCTTTAAGTTCCCAGGGGTCTATAGATTTACTTGAAAACACTAGGGAATATAATCTTGTCTTACCCAAGGTGGTTGGGTACAAAGGTCAACACCTAAGGCCAAAACTGCATACAGCTCTAATTACCCTTGAAAATTCCAGTGTTTGTGGTTTTGTTTACAAAACTCTTTAAAGCAATTTTCACACACAGTCAAGTTTGGGAACCACTGAGCAAGTCAAACCTGCCCCCACCCCAAAAGCCTATTTATAAAAGGGATTTTTTTTTTTGCACCCAGCAATAAAAAAGTAGAATTTGAATTTATTTTTTAACATTTACTTTAGGTTCAGGGGTACATGTGCAGGTTTGTTATATAGGTACATTGCACAGGGGTTTGGTGTACAGATTATTTCACCACCCAGGTAATAAGCATAGTACCCAATATGGTAGTTTTTTGATCCTGACCCTCCTCCTTCTTTCCACCCTCAAGTAGGCCCTGGTGTCTGTGATTCCCTTCTTTGTATCCAAATGTACTCAGTATTTAGCTCTCACTTAAAAGTGAGAACATGCAGTATTTGGTTTTCTGTTCCTGTGTTAGTTCATTTACTAAATGACTCCCAGCTCCATCCATGTTGCTGTAAAGGACATGATCTCATTCTTTTTTCATGGCTGCATAGTATTCCATGGTGTATATGCACCACATTTTCTTTATCCAGTCCACCGCTGATGGGCATTTAGGTTGATTCCATGTCTTTGTTATTGTGAAAAGTGCTGCAATGAGCATATGGGTACATGAGTCTTTATAGTAGAATGATTCATATTCCTTTAGGTAAATAACCAGTAATGGGATTGCTAAGTCAAATGGTAATTCTGCTTTAAGTTGAGAAATCGCCAAACTGCTTTCCACAATGACTGAACTAATTTACATTCCCAGCAGCAGTGTAAAAATGTTCCATTTTTTCTGCTACCTTGACAGCATCTGTTATTTTTTATTTTTATTTTTTGAGATGCTGTCTTGCTCTGTCGCCCAGGCTGGAGTGCAGTGGTGCGGTCTCGGCTCACCACAACCTCCGCCTCCCGGGTTCAAGCAATTCTCCTGCCTCAGCCTCTTGAGTAGCTGGGATTACAGGCATGCACCACCACACTCAGCTATTTTTTATATTTTTAGTAGAGGCAGGGTTTCACCATGTTAGCCAGGTTGGTTTCGAACTCCTGACCTCTTGATCACCACAGGTGATCTGCCTGCCTTGGCCTCTCAGAGTGCTAGGATTACAGGTGTGAGCCACCAACAGCCATTCTGATTGGTGTGATATGGTATCTCATTGTGGTTTTGATTTGTATTTCTCTAATGATTAGTGATGGTGAGCATTTTTTCGTATGCTTGTTGGTTGTGTGCATGTCTTCTTTTGAAAAGTGTCTGTTCATGTCCTTTGCCCACTTTTTAATGGGATTGTTTTTTGCTTGTTGATTTGACTTCCTTATAGATTCTGGATATTATTAATAGATCTTTGTTGGATGCATAGTTTGCAAACATTTTCTCCCATTCTGTAGGATGTTTATTCTGTTGATAGTTTCTTTTGTTGTACAGAAGCTCTTTAATTCTCATTTGTCAATTTTTATTTTTTTTTTGCAATTGCTTTTGGTGTCTTCATCATGTAATCTTCGCCAGGTCCTATGTCCAGAATGGTATTTCCTAGGTTACCTTCCAGTGTTTTTATAGTTTTAGGTTTTACATGTAAGTCTTTAATCCATCTTGAGTTGATTTTTTTTTTTTTTTTTTTGAGAGAGAGTCTCACTCTGTCACCCAGGCTGGAGTGCAGTGGTACAATCTTGGCTGACTGCAACCTCTGCCTCTGGGATTCAAGCGATTCTTCTGCCTCAGCCTCCTAAGTAGCTGGGGCTACAGGCATGCAACACCATGCCCAGCTAATTTTTGTTTTTATTGTTGTTTTTTTTTTTTTTGAGACAGAGTCTTGCACTGTCAACCAGGCTGGAGTGCAGTGGCTTTGATCTCCGCTTACTGCAATCTCCGTCTCCTGGGTTCAAGCGATTTTCCTGCCTCAGCCTCCCAAGTAGCTGGGATTATAGGCGCCCGCCACCACGTCCAGCTAATTTTTTGTATTTTTAGTAGAGATGGGGTTTCACTATGTTGGCCAAGCAGGTCTTGAACTCCTGACTTCGTGATCCGCCCGCCTTAGCCTCCCAAAGTGCTGGGATTACAGGCGTGAGCCACCGCGCCCCACCTTTTTTTTTTTTTTTTTAGATGGAGTCTCGCTCTGTCGACAGGCTGGGGTGCAGTGGCGCCATCTTAGCTCACTGCAACCTCCGCCTCCCGGGTTCAAGTGATTCTCCTGCCTCAGCCTCCAAGTAGCTGGGACTACAGGCGTGCGCCACTACGCCCAGCTAATTTTTGTATTTTTAGTAGAGACAGCGTTTTGCCACAGTGGCCATGCTGGTCTAGAACTCCTGACCTCAAGTGACCCACCTGCCTCAGCCTTCCAAAGTGCTGGGATTACAGGTGTGAACCACTGCACGTGGTGTGATTTTTGTATATGGTGTAAAGAAGGGGTCCAGTTTCAATCTTCTGCATATGGCTAGCCAGTTATCCCAGTACTATTTATTAAATAGGCAGTCCATCCCCCATTGCTTGTTTCTGTCGACTTGGTCAAAGATCAGATGGTTGTAGGTGTGCGGCATTATTTCTGGGCTCTCTATTCTGTTCCACTGGTCTATGTGTCTGTTTTTGTACCAGTACCACGCTCTCTTGGTTACTATATCATTATAGTTTGAAGTCTCGTAACAGGTAATGTGATGCTTCTAGTTTTGTTCTTTTTGCTTAGAATTACTTTGGCTTTTCAAGGTCTTGTTTGGTTGCATATGAATTTTAAAATAGCAGTTTCTAATTCTGTGAAGAATGTCATTGGTAGTTTGATAGGAATAGCACTGAATCTGTAAATTGCTTTGGGCAGTATGGCCATTTTAACAATATTAAGTCTTCCTATCCATGAGTATGAAATGTTTTTCCATTTGTTTTTGTCATCTCTGATTTATTTAAGCAGTGTTTAGTAGTTCTCATTGTAGAGATCTTTCACCTCCCTGGTTAGCTGTATTCCTAGGTATTTTATTCTTTTTGTGGCTATTTTGAATGGGATTGCATTCTTGATTTGGCTCTTGGCTTGGACGCTCTTCATATATAGGAATGCTACTGATTTTTCTACATTGATTTTGTATCCCGAAACTGCTGAAGTTGTTTATTAGATCAAAGAGCATTTGGGCAGAGGCTATGCGGTTTTCTAGGTATAGAATCATGTTGCCTGCAAACAGGGATAGTTTGACTTTCTTTCTTCCTATTTGGATACCTTTTATTTCTTTCTTTTGCCTGACTTCCCTGGTCAGGACTTCCAGTGCTATGTTGAATAGGAGTGGTGATAGGGTCTTGTTCTGGTTTTCAAGGGGAATGCTTTGGCTTTTACCTATTCAGTATGATGTTGGTTGTGGGTTCGTCATAGATGGCCCTATAAAAGGGATTTGTCACCTTTTATGTGACACTGACCTCTTTGGCAGTTCAAGGATGCCTATGGACACCTTCTCAGAATAATGTTTTACATGAAAAAAATTAACCACTTAGAATTATGAAGGAAACTAGTTATACTGAAATGAATTTATAAAAATATTAAAAAGCGTCCAGGTGTGGTGGCTCATGCCTCTAATCCCAGCACTTTGGGAGGCTGAGGCAGGCGAATCACCTGAGGTCAGGAGTTTGAGAACAGCCTGGCCAACATGGCGAAACCCTGTCTCTACTAAAAGTACAAAAATAGCCGGGGGTGGTGGTGGGTACGTGTAATCCCAGATACTCAGGAGGCTGAGGCTGCAGTGAGCCAAGATTGCACCATTGTACTCCAGCCTGGGCAACAAGAGTGAGACTCTGCCTCAGAAAAAAAAAAAAGAAAAAAATTAAAAATTAAAAAGCAAATTTGTCACGTAGTAATATATGTGCTTCTTTATTAATGCATTTAGTAATAAGAGAGAGACAGGAGTCTAATAACTACAATAATTTCAACAAGTGATGAGCATAAAAAATATTTTGATGTACATGTAACAACTAATGTGATATAAAATATTTGTTATTTTTATTGTGAAAAAGTCACAGGTATTGCTAATACTCTTGCGGTTTGTGGCCAACATTTAAAATTATAGAAAATGCTAAATTTCAGTTAGAGTTTAGTAAAAACAAAAATGGAATGTTTTCTAGAAGATTCCTTGATCTACAGTAACCTGGCATACAAACCACTCACTCTTTCAAATAACCAGTATAAATGGGTATTGGTGAGGAATTCTAAAAGTTCTTCTTATGTGTAGAGTTTATTCCGTTCTGTTTTCTACCAAACCTCTATAACCTCTTTTGGTAGAAATGCATAAAATGTTGTGAGGATTAAATGAGATAATATACTCCAAGTATGTAGTAGGTACAGAACAAAAGGTCTGCCAGATGTGAATCTAATCTTACTTGATCACATTGTTATTTAAAAAGTTATAGAGAATTACCTTGGCATTTCCCACTGTGATTCCACTGAACAGCTATCACTCCTATGCCTTTTGGCATTGGTAGTTCCCTTACTGTAGAATTTCATCTTATGTTGTGGGAGTTCATTGAAATGTATTGATGAGGCTGTTCCACTGTAAGTACTAATGAAAATCATCACTGTTAGGGTTTTTAGTTGCAAATAATAGAAACCAACTCTGGCTAACTTAGGCAGAAAATAAATGTATTTGTAAGATAGCTCATAGAATGAATTGGGAAGCTCAAAAAATGGGTAGGCCCCTAGGGAGGAAAGACACAATCAAGATCATGTCATTTGCTTAGGATGCTGTTGATGCCATCATCATTCGATTCTGCTCTACTGGACTCTTATCATCTTCACAACTGCCACAATCATCTCTGCTGTGCCCTGAGCTTGCAAGATTCAAAGTTCTGGGTGGGAGTATCTGATTGACCAAAGTCACATGCCCGCCTGAAAGCTGCCAGGCAACTGAAGATGGAATATCGACCTGTACTCCTTTCGCTGTATCCACAGCAGAAGGAAGAACACTGGCTTCCACCTATCCAAAATAGGATAGTGTTCAAGCAATAGGCAACCACACTATAAATAACTTATTAATGATCAAGAGCCACAGCACAGCTCAAAGGATAAGTGACAAACTTGGATTTAGAGTGTTCCAGTTTCTAATTCTGTCTCCTTAATTCCCTGTAGCCTGAGTAAGTTTTACAACCTGTTTAAGCTTCTTCCATATCTACAAAATATTATTCTTCTCATGAGTTTTATAAGAGGTATAGTAGCTGAAGCAGTGCTCAAGTATTCATTCATTCTTTCAACATTTATTGGATACCTGCTATACTTAAGATATTGTGTTAGGTGCTGAAAGATATATAACACATAAAATATGTATACAGATATGTGTTCACCAGAAACTCATTACCTAGAACCAGTGAATGTTGCAAGTACTATGAAAGTTCAAAATAGGGAGCATTTTTCACTCTCTAAGAAGCAGGGGATGGAGATGGGTAGGTGCTTAATGCTTTAATGGAAGAGACAGTATTTTGATTGTTCTGTAAAGAACAGGCACAATTGGCCGAGCACAGTGGCTCATGCCTGTAATCCCAACACTTTGGGAGGCTGAGGTGGGCGGATCACAAGGTTAAGAGATCGAGACCAACCTGACCAACATGGTGAAACTCTGTCTCTCCTAAAAATACAAAAATTAGCTGGGCATGGTGGCACGCACCTGTAGTCCCAGCTCCTCGGGAGGCTGAGGCCGGAGAATTGCTTGAACCTGGGAGGCAGAGGTTGCAGTCAGCCAAAATCATGCCACTGCACTCCAGCCTGGTGACAGAGCAAGACTTCATCAACAAAACAAAACAAAACAACAACAACAACAACAAACAAACCAGACAGAATTTTTTATAGGAAATGGTGGGCACAAAGGATTGGAGGTTGCAGCGTATTAGGAAATGGCATGTTACTTAAATGTCTGTTCTGCGGATTTGGGAAATCATTCATTGGAAACAAAGCTGGAACAGTCTATTGGGTCTAGATTGTCAAGGAGCTTGAATACCATGTAAAGGTTTTTAAGCTTTTTTTCTACTGATGAAAACGTTTTCAATTAGATTCAGGCTTTAAGAATAATACTGTAGTTGCCTGGAGTAACATACAGGCCGGACAAAGAATATTTTGTTTAAAAATATTGTGCACACATCACAGAAAAAGAATTGAAAGAATATAAACCAAAATGTTAATAATGATTATCTTTGGGTATAAAGATATTTTCTGTTTATCTTTCTTTGTTTTTGATATTTTCTACATTGAACATGTAGAATTTATTTTTTGTAATGAAAAAATAAATTAAAAATATTTTTTGAAGACTGAATTGGAATAGAAGGAGACTAGAGCAGGGAGGTCAGGTTATGGCTACCAAACAACAAAGAACGATAATCTTATTCCAGAATGTTGGCAATAAAATTGAAAGCAGAAGGCAGTTACCATACCATGGTTCCATGAGTGTGGAGGTCAAGAGAAACACGGTAGTAACACAGTGAAGAGTCAGCAGTTGATTGGCTACAGAGCCTCGAAAAGACATGGGAGTTATTAGCTCTGAGGCCCTAAGAACAAGAGATAGGAAGATGTTTGTTCTCTGAATAAAAATGGGGAATTTAGTGGAAGAAACAAGTTTAATGGGAGAAAGATAATGACTGTTTTCTAGTAAAACTGAATTGAAGGTGATGGATAGACATACAGGTAGAGATATAAAGAAAATAGAAAGAGATGGAGATTGGTGTGCAGGGGAAATGTTGGCGCAAGGTCGGATCTGGGAGTCACTTGTGTAAGGTAGACAGGAAGCTCAAGAAGCAGCTATGGTAACCCAGGCAAAGACTGCAGACAAAAGAGAAGGTTAACAACAAAAGTAAGAATTCAACTTTGAGGGTAAGTTGAATTCTTAGCGAATGTCATGAAAGCTAAGTATAATATTATAATTCTATAATTAGGCATTCACCTATTAAATATATAGTCAAAAGGTTAAAATGACTTCCTTAATAGCAACAAATTGAGATGAGTAGTCAAAAGATTATTACCAGAAATAAAATTTAGATTGTTATATTTTTTAAAGATTACTCTGGCTTTTGCTTCATTGTAAAAAAAAAAAAATCAAGCCCCTTGTCTTTCTATGGGAATATATATTTTTAAAAGGGAATTCTGTGCATTACAGTAATAAAATGAACAAACTAACCTTTTAATTGCTGAATTAATCTATATATATCTATATATATAGATTCTCATGCCTCAGCCTCCTGAGTAGCTGGGATTACAGGTGCACGCCACCATACCTGGCTAATTTTTATATTTTTTGTAGAGACGGGGTTTCTCCATATTGTCCAGGCTGGTCACGAACTCCTGACTTCAAGTGGTCTGCCCGCATCAGCCTCCCAAAATGCTGGGATTACAGGCGTGAGCCACTGTGCCAGGCCTAATCTATTTATTTTATTTTATTTTTTGAGACCAAGTCTTGCTCTTGTCCCCCAGGCTGGAGTGCAATGGCGTGATCTCAGCTCACTGCAACCTCCACCTCCCGGGTTCAAGTGATTCTCCTGCCTCAGCCTCCCAAGTAGCTGGGATTACAGGCGCCTGCCATCACACCCAGCTAATTTTTCTATTTTTAGTAGAGAGGGGTTTTCACCATGTTGGCCAGGCTGGTCTCGAACTCCTGACCTCAGGTGATCCACCTGCCTTGGCCTCCCAAAGTGCTGGGATTACAGGCGTGAGCCACCATGCCCAGCCATAATCTATACATGCTATATAATTTTTAAATATTCTCTTGTGAACCCAGAAAATCTGAGACAGGTTTCAGTTAATTTAGAAAGTTTATTTTTCCAAGGTTGAGGACGTGCACCCATGACACGGCCTCAGGAGGTCATGACAACATGTGCCCAAGGTGGTCAGAGCAGTTTGGTTTTGTACATTCTAGGGAGAAATGAGACATCAATCAACATATGCAAGATGAATATTGGTTTGGCCTGGAAAGGTGGGACAACTCGAGGCAAAAGGCGGAAGGACTCCAAGCGGGAAGGTGGCTTCCAGGTCACAGGTAGGTAAGAGACTAATGGTTGCATTCTTTTGAGTTTCTGATTAGGCTGTCCAAAGAAGGCAATCAGATATGCATTTACCTCAGTGAGCAGAGGGGTGACCCTGAATAGAATGGGAGGCAGATTGGCCCTAAGGAGTTACCAGCTTGACTTTTCCCTTTAGCTTAGTGATTTGGGGGCTCCAAGATTTATTTTCCTTTCACACTCTTTATAATCCGAATTTTAGATTTAGAATGAATCTAAGAGAGGCTCAAGGAGGTTAAGTTGCTTCAAAGTAGTTTAATAGTAATGACTTAGTACTTGTGCCATTAGAAGCTAGGTTGAATTCCTACCTGCAGAGTGGGAGAAAATCTTCACAATCTATACATCTGACAAAGGACTAACATACAGAATCTACAACAAACTCAAACAAATTAGCAAGAAAAAAACAAACAATTCCCTCAAAAAGTAGGCTAAGGACATGAATAGACAATTCTCAAAAGATATTACAAATGGCCAACAAACATATGAAAAAATGCTCAACATCACTAATGATCAGGGAAAAGCAAATCAAAACCACGACACGATTATCACCCTACTCCTGCAAGAATGGCCATAATAAAAAAAAAAAAACAGATGTTAGCATGGATCCAGTGAATAGGGAACACTTCTGCACGGCTGGTGGGAATGTAAACTAGTACAACCACTGTGGAAAACAGTGTGGAGATTCCTTAAAGAACTAAAAGTAGAACTACCATTTGATCCAGCAATCCTGGTACTGGTTATCTACCCAGAGGAAAAGAAGTCATTATACAAAAAGATATTTGCACATGCATGTTTATAGCAGCACAATTTGCAATTACAAAAATGTGGAACCAATCCAAATGCCCATCAATCAATGAGTGGATAAAGAAACTGTGGTATATATATTTAATGGGATACTCTCAGCCATAAAAAGGAATTAATTAATGGCATTTGCAGTGACCTGGATGAGACTGGAGACTGCTATTCTAAGTGAAGTAACTCAGGAATGGAAAATCGAATATAGTATGTTCTCACTCATAAGTGGGAGCTAAGCTAAGAGGATGCAAAAGCATAAGAATGACACAATGGACTTTGGGGACTCGGGGAAAGGACGGGAAGGGGGTGAGGGATAAAAGACTACAAATTGTGTGCAGTGTATACTGCTTGGGTGATGGGTGCACCAAAATCTCACAAATCACCACTAAAGAACTTACTCATGTCACCAAACACCACCTGTTCCCAATAACCTATGGAAATTTTAAAAAATTAAATTAAATTTAAAAAAGAACCTAAGTTGAATTCCTTTTTTTTGAAATGGAGTCTCACTCTGTTGCTCAGGCTGGAGTGCAGTGGTGCGATCTCTGCTCACTGCAGCCTCCACCTCCCAGGTTCAGGCAATTCTCCTGCCTCAGCCTCCAAGTAGCTGGGATTACAGATGCACACCACCATGCCTGGCTAATTTTTGTATTTTTAGTAGAGATAGGGTTTCACCATGTTGGCTAGGCTGGTCACGAACTGAATTTCCGATCAAAAAACACTTGCCAGTTGGGTAGCACTATGACATAGTGGAAATAACCCTAAACTGGAAAACAGAAGTCTTAGGTCCTAGTGTCACAGCAGCTCTGAGTGGCTCTGTGGTATTGATCAAGTGGTTTAACTTCTCTAAGCCTCAGTTTTCCTGGTCTTGGAGTTGGTCAAGACAATTTCTAAGTTTCATTTCAACTCGAAAAGTCTATGATTTTGCCATGTTGCTCAGTTTAAAAATCTTTTATTCAGATACACACATACACACAGACACACAACATACTCTGAGTTCAATATATAAGTAAAATTCCCAGCATTCTTAATTGTTCCAAAACCAAATAAAAGAAAAATCCAAGATGTAAACACCTTTAGCCTCTGCAAATTTTACCTGCCACTGATCACCAAATACACAACAGCACTGTGAGAGCTCTGTATTTATAACTTTTGACTCCCTCCTACAGGATTACAATGCCAGGCACTGGAGATAACAGAACATGCAGAAATAAAAGCTTAGAAAATAAACCTTCATACAGCTAATGAAGGATTATCTAGTGTGCAATTTTTCTAAAATGTCACAGCTATTAGCAAGTTATTTTTTTGTTTGGGACAAACAAAATTTCTCCTGTTTCTCCCCTGTTTCTACTTTGTTGCCCTGAAAAGTTTCCCTTAAGTATTATCAGATTTAGAGACTCAAAAACTTCAAAATTATAATGTATATACTTAAATTTATAAACTTATATTTACTTCTCCGGGAAAAGGTCTGCTCAGGTTCTGCTATGGACTGAATTGTATCTCCCTCCCTCCCCCAATTCATATGTAGAAACTGGAACCCTCCAATGTGACTGTATTTGGAGATAGGGCCTTTAGGACATAATTAAGGTTAAATGAGGTCATATGGGTGGGTGGCCTTGTAAGTAGAGGACTAGACAGTGATAAGAAATGCCCATATGGGCTCACAGTGGGAAGGTTAAGATCTGTAAGCCAGGAAGAGAGCCCACACCAGAAGCTGAATTGGCTGGCACCTTGATCTTAGACTCCCCAACCTCCAAAACTGTGAGAAAGTAAATTTTATTTCACCACAGAACTGTATGCCATTCAACTGGTGGTATTTTCTTAGAGTAGCCCAAGCAGACTAAGATAACATGCTTAAGCCAGGGGCGGTGGCTCACGCCTGTAATCCCAGCACTTTGGAAGGCCGAGGTGGGTGGATTTCCTGAGCTCAGGCATTCAAGACCAGCCTGGGCAACACAGTGAAACCCTGTCTCTACTAAAATACAAAAAATTATCTGGGTGTGGCAGCATGCACCTGTAATCCCAGCTACTTGGGAGGCTCATACAGGAGAACAGGTTGAACCCAGGAAGTGGAGGTTGCAGTGAGCCGAGATTACACCGTTGCACTCTAGCCTGGACAACAGAGCAAGACTCTATCTCAAAAAAAAAAAAAAAAAAAAGAAAGAAAGAAAAAGAAAGATAGCATGCTTAGGAACTATTTGGACAATTTTCATATGGCTACTAATTTAGAAGTCAAAATTCGGCTGGGCATGGTGGCTCACACCTGTAATCCCAGCACTTTGGAAGGCCAAGGCAGGTAGATCACTTGAGGTCAGGAGTTCAAGAAACAGCTTGGCCAACATGGTGAAACCCTGTCTCTACTAAAAATACAAAAATTAGCTGGGTGTGGTGGCATGCGCCTATAATCCCAGATACTCAGGAGGCTGAGGCAGGAAAATCTTGAACCCAGGAGGTTGAGGCTGCAGTGATCTGAGATTGCGCCGCTGCACTCAAGCCTGGGTGACACACCAAGACTGTCTCAAAAAAAAAAAAAAAAAAAAAGAAAACAAAAGTGTTATTCTTCTTCAGGTATTTAGAATAACTGATCTTTTGATGATCCTTTTCCTTCCAAAAATACATCCTGTTAATTCCAAGAATTGGGTAAAAATTATTCTTTGAAATAGAGGGAAAAGTTTACAATTATATTTGTCTATACCCAAGAACTTAAAAAAAAATAGAGTATACATCCTTCTTAAGTATAAAATCTTGACCTAAAATATGTTTCCAAAGACTCTTTAAATTTATTTGATCTTTCAACAATACTATCTCTAAATACGAACACAGATGTTTACATTCCTCAAGATGTAAGTAATTACAAGTACTTCCCTGTTTAGATATTTAAAGCAGTTTCTTTATCCTTCAAAGATTTATTTAAAATTTAGAAACAGAATGAACCTGGCCAGGCGTGGTGGCTCACAGCTATAATCCCAGCATTTTGGGAGGCCAGGGCAGGCGAATCACCTGAGGTCTGGAGTTTGAGACCAGCCTGGCAAACATGGCGAAACCCCCATCTCTACTAAAAGTACAAAATTAGCTGGGCGTGGTGGTGGGCGCCTGTAATCCCAGCTCCTTGGGAGGCTGAGGCAGGACAATAGCTTGAACCCGGGAATGTAGGTTGCAGTGAGCCGAGATCACACCATTGCACTCCAGCCTGGGCAAAAACAGTGAAACTCCATTGCAAAAAAAAAAAAAGAGAAAGAAATAGAATGAATCCTATCAGTCCTTATATACCATCTGATTTTAAATACTCTTTAAAGCTGTTAATGGAACCCATCCTCTATACTACTGCCAGTGTTATTAACCTGAAAGTAAAATCTGACCATGCCACTCTCTAACTTAAAACCCTTTAATCCTCATCATGTACAGGATGTAAGATCCAAACTCCTTGTAAAGGGCGTATGAAATCCTCTGCGATCTGCTCCTTGTCTACTCTTGGATCTTGTCCTTAGTAACTCCAAGGCCTCACACTGGATGCCTCAGCTATCTCAGACTACTTCCCTGAGATATCAAGTAACATCGGTTGGCAAGAAAGCAAGAAAAGTTATCTGCCTTCCTAGCTAACCAGAATCTGTTCAAGAATCTGCTTTCCTTCAGGGAAATCTTCCTGACTGTCCCCTAAGCTAGGGTAGGTTTTTTTCCTTTATGCTCCTGTAGAAGTGTACTGTTAACATTTATTTCAGACACAGGACTTCACCACACAAGATTTAGGTTATTTTAGGTTAAGTATCTCTCCATTAGGACCATAAGCTGCTTAAGGTTAGGAATCTGATTTATTTATTTATTTCTGCCACCCAGGCTAGAGTACAGTGGCCAGATCTCAGCTCACTACAACCTCCGCCTCCTGGGTTCAAGCGATTTTCCTGCCTCAGCCTCCCAAGTAGCTGGGACTACAGGGGTGTTCCACCATGCCTGGCTAATTTTTGTATTTTTAGTAGAGATGGGTTTTTGCCATGTTGGCCAGGCTGGAGGAATCCTATTTATATCGCCACTACTTAACACGGTGGCTGATACACTGCCTGTGGCTAAAAAATGCTTGTTGAACTATACCATCATATGTCAAAAGTATTAGGGCGTTTACTTTTTTTTTTTTTTTCCTGAGACGGAGTCTGTTGCCCAGGCTGGAGTGCCGTGGCGTGATCTCGGCTCACTGCAACCTCTGCCTCTCGAGTAGCTGGGATTACAGGCGCCTGCCACCATGCCCAGCTAATTTTTGTATTTTTAGTAGAGATGGGGTTTTGCCATGTTGGCCAGGCTGGTCTTGAACTCCTGACCTCAGGTGATCTGTCTGCCTCGGCGTCCGAAAGTACTGGGATTACAGGAGTGAGCCACCGCGCCCGGCCGGGTTTTTACTTTTTTTTGAGATGGAGTTTTGCTCTTGTCTCCCAGGCTGGAGTGCAATGGTGAGATCTCAGCTTACTGTACCCTCTGCCTCCTGGGTTCAAGCAATTCCCCTGCCTCAGCCTTCCGAGTAGCTGGGATAACAGGCATCTGCCACCATGCCCAGCTAATTTTTTTTTGTCGTTTTAGCAGAGACAGGGTTTTACCATGTTGGCCAGGCTGGTCTTGAAGTCCTGACCTTAGGTGATTCGCCCGCCTCGGCCTCCCAAAGTGCTGGGATTACAGGTGTGAGCCACCGTGCCCAGCGGGGTTTTTACTTTTTAAAAGGAATTATAGTAAATGTTTTTGTAAAGCAAGTAACCATTACTACTTCATGTGCTTTTTTTGAATGACTATTTCCATACACTGTTTTACTTAAAACTAACCTGACCTTTATTCCGGAAGTTCATTACTTTATTAAACTACATGGTATCCAAATGCCAATAATTTCAGAATTATCAGCACTCTCAACTAATTTGTTCAATAATCTGTTTTAATGGACGTCTTAAGGAACTGGCATTTGAGATCATTCGATTTAAACATTTATAAACCCCCTTGCAGTCGGAGTCTAGTCTATGTTATTTTTAAAAATTGAAATAAAATGTATACTACATATGAAATGAAAAAAAATTTTTTTTTTGAGATGGAGTCTCGCTCTGTTGCCCAGGTTGGAGTGCAGTGGCATGATCTCAGCTCACTGCAAGCTCCACCTCCGGGTTCAAGCGATTCTCCTGCCTCAGCCTCCCCAGTAGCTGGGACTACAGGTGCGTGCCAACACACCTGGCTGATTTTTTGTATTTTTAGTGAAGACGGGGTTTCACCGTGAGGATGATCTTGATCTCCTGACCTCGTGATCTGCTGGCCTTGGCCTCCCAAAGTGCTGGGATTACAGGAGTGAGCCACTGCGCCCAACCCCATGAAATGAAAATTTAATCCTGCTATACAATATTTTTTCCCCGTGGATAGTCATAATACATGGTGGCTTTGCACTAAGTAGTTTAGAACCCATTACTTGGGCCTGTCTTCAATCGACAAGTCTAAAATATCACTTACATTGATTTATAGGGCTTCATTCAGTCTTTTATTAGAATTTTTTTGAACATTCACTCATTGTTGCCTTTGGTAAATGAACTAATCTTGGAATAGAAAAGAGAAAATCCATAAGCCTTTATCTTAGACTATTACAGGCACTGAAGACAGAAAGAAGTAAGAGTTACTTTTTTTGGTTGGGCCTAGTTTAATGTAATCAACAACATCATCATCACCACACTAACATTTACTGAATGTTCACTCTGAGGCAGGCACTGTACATTATCTCATTTTACCCTTAACACTATGAAAGAGTTACTATTCCTGATCTCTTATTACAGATAAAAATCTGAGGCCCAACTTCACAGAACATGGACAGTAGAGCTGGATGCAAATCTAAGCTGTCTAATCTCAAGCCCAGTCTTTTTAACAACTATGGTATAGCTTTCAGTTAAATCATGACATGAAGGATTTCAGAATTAGTGGCTTGATAAATTATAAAGAACTACAAGACTGCTGAATACTAAGCCCCTCCATCTAAAACTTTCTTTTCATTTTGTGCTTTAATAAAAGGCAACGTCATCATTGGGAATTTCTGTTCAATGAAGAGGAGTGTACCAATTCAAGACAAGGGAAGCCTAAGTATTTATTCCAAAATCTTTTCAAGTAATCCTGTAATGGGACTTTTGGGGATGCCTTTATACCCTAGAAAGCATTTAAAACTTGAAACTCTTGCCTAATTTCTAATGTCGAAAGGACAATTCAGCATTCTTACTCACTTTTAATTTTGCTTTGCCACTAGCAGATATGGCAAGCATGCATACATGCTGACATGATGCATGTTAGAGCAGTTTACTCCTGTTGAAAGTTGCTTCACACTGCTTCAGCAATTCTCTCACAGGAACTGGAGAAACTGCCTTTTTCAAAAGTATATGAGACTGTATCTATTCCAGCTAATATACAAGTCAACATGGAAAATCAATATTTAATTGCTTTTAAAAAGTAAACAGTTCTATAACAACTGACTTGGGATGCCTCTATGTTCTTAAATTGACTTTGAGGGGTTAAAGTGTAAAAGGTACCAAGCTTAATTAATATGCAGACGAATGTTAGCGATACACAGTCAAGTTTTATGCTTAAGGTGTTTATTACATAGAAGGAGAGACAAGCCACTTGGCTGGGTGTGGTGGCTCACGCCTGTAATCCCAGCACTTTGGGAGGCTGAGGTGGGTGGATCACAAGGTCAGGAGTTCGAGACCAGCCTGACCAACATTAGAAACCCAGTTTCTAAAAAAAATAAAAAATTAGCTGGGCGTGGTGGCACGCACCTGTAATGCTAGCTACCAGGAGGCTGAGGCAGGAGAATCCCTTGAACCCGGGAGGCAGAGGTTGCAGTGAGCCGAGATCACACCATTGCACTCCAGCCTGGGTGATAGAGCGAGACTCTGTCTCAAAAAAAAAAAGGAGAGACAAGCCACATAAGCAAATAATGATACAAAAGTGATTCTTCTGATGGGTGTGGTGGCTCATGCCTGTAATCCCAGCACTTTGGGAGGCCGAGGCAGGCAAATCACCTGAGGCTGGGAGTTCGAGACCAGCCTGACCCACATGGAGAAACCCTGTCTCTACTAAAAATACAAAAAATTAGCTGGGCATGGTGGCGCACGCCTGTAATCCCAGCTACTCAGGAGGCTGAGGTAGGAGAATCGCTTGAACCCGGGAGGCAGAGGTTGCGGTGAGCCGAGATCATGCCATTGCACTCCAGCCTAGGCAACAAGAGGGAAACTCCATTTCAAAAAAAAAAAAGAAGAAGGCTGTTATAACTGAGGTGGTGTCATGAACCAAGTAGACAGCAGTGGAGGTGGAGAGAATCTATTTTATATATGTATATTTATATATGTGTATGTGTATCAATTTTATTGAGGTATAATTTACATAATAAACTATATCCATATAAAATGTACAACCTGATGAGTTTTGTCAGATGTATGTACTCATGAAACCATCAACACAATCAAAGGAAGATTTTCATCCCCCGCAAACTTCCCTTTTGCTCCTCTGCAGTCAGTAAACGTCTCTCTCCAAATCTATCTCCTAGGCAAACACTGATCCACTCTCTTTCACTATAGATTAGTTTACATTTTCCAGAATTTCTTTTCTTTTCTTTTTTTTTTCTTTTTTTGATAGAGTCTCGCTCTGTGGCCCAGACTGGAGTGCAGTACTGCACTCTCGGCTCACTCCAACCTCTGCCTCCTGGGTTCAGGCGACCCTCCAGCCTCAGTCTCCCTAGTTGCTCGGACTACAGGTGTGCACCACCATGCCCAGCTAATTTTTGTATTTTTAGTAGAGATGGGGTTTCACCATGTTGACCAGGCTGGTCTTGAACTCCTGACCTCAGGTGATCTGCCTGCCTCGGCCTCCCAAAGTGTTGGGATTACCTGCACCCAGCCTAGAATTTCATATGAATACAATTACACAGCATACACTATATAAACTTTTTTGTATCTGGCTTTTTGTCATTCAGTATTAAGATTCTGAGATTCACACACATTGTTGTACCATAGATACTGGATTTGTGGACGGACTAGATTTAGAGTTTGAAAAAACGTAACTGAGGATGATTCCTCAAGGCTTTTGGTCAGAGTGACCGGAAAAATGGAACTAACATCAAGTAAGATAGAGAATGATCCAGGTGAAGAGGCTGGGGAAAGATTAGGAATTAAGCTTTTGATATATTGAGGATCCAAGTGGACGCACTGAGTTGTATGCTAGATATAAATATGGAGTTCAGAAGTGAGGTGTAGACTGGAAATAGGAATTTGGGAATGGTCAGCATTTTTTTTTTTCTTTTGGAGACGGAGTTTTGCTCTTGTTGCCCAGGCTGGAGTGCAGTGGCGCAACCTCTGCCTACCGGGTTCAAGCGATTCTCCTGCCTCAGCCTCCTGAGTAGCTGGGGTTACAGGTGTGCACCACCCCGCCCAGCTAATTTTTGTATTTTTAATAGAGATGGGGTCTTACCATGTTGGCCGGGATGGTCTCAATCTCTTGACCTCGTGATCCGTCTGCCTCAGCCTCCCAAAGTGCTGGGATTACAGGCGTGAGCCACCGTGCCCGGCCTCTACTAGCTTTTTATTACTTCATCCCTTTAAGCCTTGGTTTCCTTGTTTGACAATGAAGATTGAAAATGTGTTTTAGAGAGGATGAAATAAGAAAACATGTTTCTGACCTTGGTCGGTATACTCATTATATGTTAGCTGCCCTCTCTTTCCTCTCTTTATTTATAACTCTTAAAATGAAAGTAACCACATTTCATTTTGTGTAATAGTTAAAAATGTACATGTTTTCTCTCTCGATTATAAACTTCTTGAAGGCAGAAATGGTCTTTTGGCCTTATGCTCCTTAGCACAAGGTTCTTGACTGAAACAGTTTCTCAATAAATACTCTATGAATTTGTTTCAATAATACTGGAAGAAACCTCTACAAATTGTCAAAAATGTGAATAATTCTATCCAGTCTCTAGGTTCTAGTCCTGTTTGTCCATCTTTTAAAAAATCTGTGCCCATTTCTGATAAACATAAAAATCTTCTCTTTATAAATGATTTAAAATTTCAAAATATCTCACCCACATCCATTCTGAGTAAAACATTGCATTTACTAGGCATTAGAAATCATTGTTCTAGTATTAAAAAATAGGAAGAATGGGCAAGATATGGTTAGAGCAGGCAGTAGCTAATACAAAATATTCATGTGCCAATTGATTCAAATCCCCTAGAAAGTCCTAGGATGATACATTGACAAATGACTAGATCACCTGTGTGTATGTGTATGCATATGTGTGTATCTGAGTGAGTTAGATCCAGGGAGTGGGGAAGAAATAAAACATTAAATGTGGCAAACACTTAAAATTTGGTCAATAAAGGTAAAACGTATGTGGGACTTCTCTGATTTTTTTCTTTTCTTTGTGCAATGGTGCGATCTTGGCTCACTGCAACCTCCATCTCCAAGATTCAAGCGATTCTCCTGACTCAGTCTCCTGAGTAGCTGGGATTACAGGCATGCACCACCACGCCCAGCTAATTTTTTTGTATTTTTCGTAGAGACAGGGTTTCACCATATTAGGCAGGCTGGTCTCGAACTCCTGACCTCAGGTGATCCACCCTCCTGGGCCTCTCAAAATGCTGAGATTATAGGCGTGAGCCACTATGCCTGGCCTGATTTTTTTCTAATGGACAGAGCAATATGAACACAACTTTTCTGAATTATTCTTATAACTTCTATAAGTTTCGGGAAAAAAGAATGGGACGGGGGAGACTGTCAGTCACTTCTCTTTAATTAAATAGTTGACTGACAATGTAACACCTAGGCTGTCCATGTAACCTCTGTACCTCATTTTATTTTCCTGTAGCATGGGTGATATTTTCAGTGTCTTAACAGTTAAGATACATGACATTTAATTGATATATGTGCATTCTCAAACTTTTACAAAAGCCAAAGTATTTTCACCTAAAATTTTAAAAAAGAATCAATATTTCAAATTACATTTAGCCTGCTACATCTAGCTATTGAGCAGCTGCAATAAACTTCACATAACGTAGGTAGGAGGAACTGGGTCATTGTATAGGTATATGGATTTTAAACAACCATATTATAAGAGACAAAACTTACCAACAAATAGAGCCACTGGCTACTATAGTGTTTTAGAAAATAGACAAACAACTACCTGATTTGACTGCCTTCAGGCGGGACATGAACTCTTTCCTTTGCCTCAGTTTCTACTATGTGTATGGCTTCATACCCTGAAGCTTTATATATTTATCTTATCTCTCCGGTCCTGAGTTTGCTGCTCCTGGAAAGATTTCTTCTTCCGCATGATTAATAAGAATTTTTTAAAGGATGGATATAGGCCTCAGTCATATCAGAAGAGATCAAGGTAAAAGTTGCCCTGAGAATTAGAATGCAATAAATAAATAAATAAATAAGAATAGAATGCAAGAAGAAGGGCTTAAGGGTTTAAACAAAGAGGTTTTGAAACCCCAGATACCAGTCAATAGCCAAATACAGAGATATACTATGACAACTATTAGTCAAATGTTACAGTGTTAAACTTTATGTAATCTGGCCCTTCCTTACTTAATTTCACGTCTGCTTTCTATGTCATTCTCTGCTACTTTTTGTTGTACTTCAGCCACACTGGCTTTCTTTTCATTTATCAGAGCTTCACAGGGCTGGTTCCTTTACTTGCAGATTTCTGTTTGAATGTCACCACCTCAGAGAGGCCTTCCGGGATTACCCTTATGTAGAGTGCCTTTTCTCCCTTGTAGTGACCAGCACCAGACTGTTTTCATCATAGCACCTGAAATTATCTGAAATTATTTTATTCATATGTTCCTTATATGTTTATTGTTTCTCTCCTGTCTGTCCTATTCACTGCTATATCCCCTCATATATCATACATCATAGGAAATCACAAATATTTGTTAAAAGAATAAAAGGAGATATCCAAATTATGTTTCTGTATTAAAATCAATTACATGGTAAGAAGTAATCTGCAAAGCCTTACTAAGAATCCAAAAGAACTAGTATCTATTCAGATAATAATATTTACACTGAATATTAGTAGTACTCCCAGTCACTCAGGAGGCTGAAGCGATCCTTCCGGTATGTTATGGGGGAAAAATAGTAACAATAATGAAGACTATAAGCACGCACCACCACAACCAGCTAATTTTTAAATTTTTTGTAGAGATGGGCTCTCACTGTGTTGCCCAGGCTGGTCTCAAACTCTTGACTTCAAGTGATCCTTCTGTCTTGGCCTCCCAAACCACTAGGATTATAGGCATGAGCCATCATGCCTAGCCACAATTTCTTTTGAACAATTAGTTACCAATTGGAGAAGACATATTACTCTGAAATGACCTAGATGATTTTACTTTTGGATGTTTATAGAGGTCACTAAAAACAAAGGGGAGATTTTAATTAATCTGGAGAGTATCAACTCCAAATTGTAAGTAACAAATCAGAAGTTCTCAGACTTTAAAGTATATGCATCACCTGAGCATCTTGTTAAAATGCAGATTCCTAGTTTCAATAGGTCTGAGACCAGAGATCCTGCATTCCTAACAAGCTTCCAGGTAATGCCATTGCTGCTGGTCCACGGACTATACTGAATTGCAAGGCTCAAGATGAAGCTGTAAATAACCTTTAGAAAATCACTGAGAGCAAAACAGTAAGTGTTATATTGTCAAGATCACAAATAAACACTCATATAGACAAAAAACTAACAAATAAAACCCCACACCTGTCCTAATGTTATGAGAATGGATTCTTGTGTTTTGAGATAAAAATTTCTGTGACAGCATTATATATAGGTTCAAAAAGAGTTGGATAGAAGTGAAGATGATATGTTATGGGGGAAAAAAGTAACAATAATGAAGACAAAGATACCAATATTGAAGATACCTATGAAGAAAATGAGAATGAAACATGCAATGTTTCTAAATTGTTACTATCAACTTGGATATAAACCAACATATTAAATATTCCATATAGATATTTGACTTTTTCATTTACATTTCCAGAAGTTGGTATATTCAAGGTGGCTAATAAACTTTAAAAAATAATCTTGTTATGAAAAGTTGAGGTTATCCTTGTACTTGTGATCACCTTATATTCAGGCAGATGCGCTTTGTTGTTCTGACCTAAATCTATGCCAGAGCCCATAATCTATATCCTGGAAGGTACTACTTCCCTAGCTTTCATATTTGTTAGAAAGAAAGCCATTTGTATTTCATATTGCTCTTTGTTACCTAAGCTGGCAAGTTCCTCCCATGGTTCCTGTGTTCCTCTTGTACTTGCATGATACTATGCAATGACAAATTCATAAGTTACACTGGTCCCAAACTCTTTAAGACCAGGTAGTAAAAAATACAAGATTAAATTGAAAATATAATTATACAAAAAAAGTTAAAATGTAGGATCCCTCAAATACACAAAATATTAAAATCTTCCAAACTTTTGAATAATATTCACTTGTTTCAACAGTTTTTTCTTCCCTATATAAACTTCTCTCAATTTCACAAAAAACATTCAACAAACTCATATAACCTTTTGCCATTTATAGCTATCTTGAGTTCAAATATAGTACTTTAAAAAAATCAATAAATTATACCCTTTGAAGGCATAAAATGTGTTTTGAGATGTTTTTTATGGGTCTACGGTACTTAAGGTTTCTGATAATTTTGTGAATTATTAACAGAGTTCTATTTGTGGTCTGTTTAAATTACTAAGGGTTATTTATTTATTTTTTAAGACAGAGTCTCGCTTTGTCACCCAGGATGGAGTGCAGTGGCTCGATCTCGGCTCACTGCAACCTCTGCCTCCCAGGTTCAAGCAATCCTCCTGTCTCGGCCTCCCCACTAGCTGGGACTAGAGGTGCACACCACCACGCCCGACTAACTTTTGTATTTCTAGTAGAGACGGGGTTTCACCATGTTGGTCAGGCTGGTCTCGAACTCCTAATCTCAGGTGATCCACCTGCCTTGGTCTCCCATAGTGCTGGAATTACAGGCGTGAGCCACCACGCCCAGCCACTAAAGGTTATTTTATTTTTTTTTTTAAACTTTGAGTGTTTATCTTTCTGGCTGACATCTAGGAAAACAACCTCAGTTACAATATAATTGTACTCCTGCAAGTTGAGGGAGTCAAGCTTCTTCTTGTTCTTCCACTTGGGGGCAGTGGGTATTTTTGGCTTTCTTCTCCTTCCCCCACTTACCCCTGTAATTAAAGCTGAATATGTACAAATAAAGCAGAATTACTGGGCAAGAGCCATTTTCACGAGGGTACCAATTGCTTCTGTGCTAGGTCTAGAATATCAGCAGGGAAACATCATCAAAGGAAATCAAGGCAATTCCTTTGCTGATACGGAAATTGTAAAGAATCTCTTTAGAACTAGAGACAGCAAGCTCAGTAATGCAAATGTACTCACGTGTTCATCTGAAAAACAACAATATCCCCATTTACTATTTAGCAAAAATTGAAAGAGTAGGACCAAAAGCTCAAAAGATGGAAGGTGTAAAAGAAAGTCTCTTTTCTGCTCAGCACTTTGGCAGGCATCGCACTGAATTTGCATCTGTCT
Source organism: Homo sapiens (assembly GCF_000001405.40). NCBI lineage: Eukaryota > Metazoa > Chordata > Mammalia > Primates > Hominidae > Homo > Homo sapiens. Next base: position 118,300,356 of record NC_000012.12, read on the forward strand.
GAGTGGTAACTTCCAAAAGTCTGAGAAAGTAAATGTGAGCTGAATATCAAGTGATAAAAGAGATAATTCTGACAGACTCTGTTTGTGTGGGAGGATTGGGTGTTGAGTACCAAAGAGGCGAGGATTAGCATAGTCAAGAAAGCTCACAAATCTAAAACCAACCCTAAGTGAAAATGAACTCAGGGCAAGTTTTCTAAATAATCTCACTATAGCGCACACACATGCACGCACACACACTCACACACACTCACACTTTTTAGTATACTGAAGGATATTTTGTAAAGTGCTCTTTTCTTCCTGATTCTATTGTTCTTTCTGTTCCTCAACAGTTGTATGTGTCTATCACCTAACTATTTCCTTATTCTTTGCTCACCTCTCTCCTTTCTTAGGACCTTCCTTTTTGATTTTTTTTTAAATTTTAATTTTATTTATTTTTTTGAGACGGAGTCTTGCTCTATTGTCCAGGCTGGAGTGCAATGGCACAATCTTGGCTCACTACCACCTCTGCCTCCTGGGTTCAAGCGATTCTCCTGCCTCAGACTCTCAAGTAACTGGGACTATAGGCATGTGCCACCACGCCCGGCTAATTTTTGTATTTTTAGTAGAGACGGGGTTTCACCATGTTGGCCAGGCTGATCTTGAACTCCTGACCTCAAATGATCTGCCTGCCTCAGCCTCCCAAAGTGCTGGGATTACAGGCGTGAGCCACTGCATCCTGCCTATTTTTAAAATTTTTACCTCCATCATACAGCCAGAAGTATCAAATTCAATTCACTTTCAAATAGTGATGGTTTAGTTCTACAATTTTTGCCTTTTCCACACACACCTGCCAGGGTTTCCTTGGTGCTTAATAAATGTTAGATAGTGTAATGCCATAAGCAGCTGCAAATGTCACTGTCAAGCAAAGCTCCATTAAAGCTGCAAAGAGGTGGAAACATCAAGCAAAATAGTTAAGGGAGGCTAAAAACAAAACCAAAAACTCTAGCACTTAGCACAGTTCCTGGTATACAGGGAACTTGATAATAAAAGTTTGCTTAAGTGTTTGTTGAAATTTTAAGGACCTTTCTCAAGGAACCCTGTATTTTGTAGCTACCTTCCTCTCCAAAACTAGAATTCATGAATGACGATCCAGCAAAGATACTTTCCTTTTTTCCATTTACATCTGCAGTCATTAAAGCCTGAAGTAATGGTCAAAATATTCAAACCTCAGCTGGGCACGGTGGCTCACTCCTATAATCCCAGTCCTTTGGGAGGCCGAGGCAGGCGGATCACGAGGTCAGGAGTTCAAGATCAGCCTGACCAACATGGAGAAACACCGTCTCTACTAAATACAAAAATTAGCCAGGCATGGTAGCGCTTGCATGTAGTCCCAGCTACTCAGGAGGCTGAGGCGGGAGGATCGCTTGAACCTGGGAGGCGGAAGTTGCAGTGAGCTGAGATTGTGCCACTGCACTCCAGCCTGGGCAACAGAGTGAGACTCCATCTCAAAAAAAAAAAAAAAAAAAAAATTCAAACCTCAAAGCACAATAAGGGTTAAGTACATCAAAAGTAAGAAAGGCTGGGGGTTATATTATGACCATATTTTTTCTCCTCAGGCTATTCCTCTTTAACTTTTGCAGAGTTGCATTAATTGTGAAGAAAATTTAAATTCAAAATGCCTCTTTTAGAATATTTGTATACTCTCAGACACTTGTCCAGTATGGTGGGGTTTTTGATCTGTTTTGGTTTTTTTGTCATTCTCTGTCCCTATCCACTCATCTTTAAGTGGAGAAAGTACAGCATGCATTTCTGCACAGATCAAGGAAGGAAATCAGGGTGACCTGTACTATCCACACCTTACTGACCACATCCATACTCTGTTGGCAGTGACAGGAAGCAGAGCAAAAATGCTGGCAAGAGGGAAAATTAGGTCAAGAGTCCCAGGTTCTCAGAATGAACAACAGTATAGCCTGGAGGGTTTTGGCACTGCCTCATCTCTCTTGTCCACTGCTGAAGGCAGTCTAGAGTGCTAGGTAAGAACATTACTCAGATGCAAGATTATCTGTGTTTGAATTTTGCTTCTGCCTCTGACTTGTGGTATTGGTTAAGTAACTTAAACTCTCTAAGCCTCAGTTTTCTTATGGGTATAATAGGGAAAATAAAATAAAGTGAGAATAGCAGGGTCAGGTACAAGTTTTTGTAAAGAAGAGATCTTTGCTGGAGAGAGGTAAGAGGTCAAAGGTAAGAAAGAGACAGGACAGCTAATAGTCACTGTTTTTAATTGTGGCAAAGCAAAAAATATTTAGATGTGTTTAAAAAAATCTTCTGCACATATTAGTGCAGAATATTAGTCACTCAAGACATGTTGGATAAATGAATAAAAAATGGAGGAACAACTATTCAATGCTGATAACTGATAAACTTGGTATTAAAAAGAGATATGGGAACAGACAGATTTTCCTTAACTATGATGACCTCTCAAAATATTTGGAAAACACAGCATTTTTTTTCTACAAGTGAAAATTCCAATATCACGACTACCATTTTGTAAACTTCATAAATGCACACAGATCTCAGGGGAAGATGAGTGGAACCGTGCACTATTCTATCTTCAGTACCACCACTCCATTTTGACTCTACCAAAAAACCAAATATACTACTAAACACCCACCCAAACAATCAAAATATCAAGACCAGAAAGTGGATAAACAAAGTACCTGACACCACTCTCATTCCTTTACTGAATTCCTTTCACTTATTCTGTCACTAGAGAAGTGGCCCTATTTCAGCTTGGCCCTATTTCAACTTCAGCTTCCATAGATTAATATGATTTTAATAAAAGATGTATTATAAGCCCTATTTACTCTTCTTAAAATTGAAATCAGCCCCCATTCCTTATCCTCCTCCTCTGTTTTTTTGCTTCACAGCATTTGCCACCTTTTAATAAAATAGGTATTTCACTTAATTTGCATATTTTCTCTCTCTCCTTTCTAGCATGTAAACTCTATGAGGACAGGATTTTCAATCTGTTTTGTTCACTGTTGCATCTTCAATGCCTGAAACAATGTTTGGCAGAATGTACGTGTGCAAAGAACACTTGCCAAAAGTCTGAATAAATTAATCAACTCCATTACAATAGAACAATGCTATGAGACATTTCTTTTGCATTGACTTTTATCTGTGCACTGTTTTCGCCATGTTAACGTCCATTTACAAACTTCATATTATGTTCTAAGAATTGGTTTCTCTCTAGGCCATAACTTTCTTGAAGGGGAGCACTGCATATTACTTTTTAATTTTTCCCTTACTGCTCTCATATTTTATTTTTTAGAGATGGAGTTTTGCTCTTGTCACCCAGGCTGGAGTGCAATGGCATGATCTCGGCTCACTGCAACCTCCACCTCCCGGGTTTAAGCAATTCTCCTGCCTCAGCTTCCTGAGTAGCTGGGATTACAGGCACCTGCCAGCATACCCAGCTAATTTTTGTATTTTCAGTAGAGATGGGGTTTCGCCATGTTGGCCAGGCTGGTCTTTAACTCCTGACCTCAGGTGATCCACCTGCCTTGGCCTCCCAAAGTGTTGGGATTACAGGCGTGAGCCACCATGCCTGGTCCCATATTTTAAATACTAATAAATAAAGTTCAGGTAACTTCTCTCTTTACACTCCTGGTCTTGCCCTTCCTTTTGCCTCCCTCATGCCAACAACACTTTGCTGAAGAGAGTCTGGCACTGTTTCAGTGAAGTCATTATCTATACTACTTGGTTATGAGGTGAATGAATAGACTATGGTTTTAAGTTGTTGAAAAGGCAAGCACGTTTTTCAGAAGAAATTCTTTTATGAGTTCCAATGCAATAAAATAGCTCAGTGATTCAACGGGCTGAATTACATTTCATTCACTTAGAGGTAAATTCCACTGAAGAAAACTAAAGAGCACATACTTCCCCCTTTAATTTTGGCTCTCTAGAAATTTCTCATTTAGTGATATTTCTCATACCAAGAACTAGAACCCTCAAAGGTCTCAGGGAAGAGACACAGGCTGTTTGAACTAGGCCGACTACAAAATATATAATATTAACCAAAAAGAAGCCTTCACCAATTGGTGCTGAATTATTAATTACCTCTTCCTAGACTTCTTCGTATGATAACTTGATTATTTCTTCATACCCCAGTTTAGAAAAATTACCATAATTTATGCTTACACTAAGGAAATCCCTAAATATTCTTCAACAACTTTGCATGGTTACAATGTTCTCTTAAAAAAAATGTAATCTGAAATAAGAAGCCACTGATACATATTATCTACACTGCTTTAAGGCTTTTGCTTTTTGAATGTTATATGTGTACAACTTGTATTTCAGTTTGTCCTAATTTGTGATGTTTTTAGCAATTTGTTCAGATAATGTTCCTAAATCTTGATATGAACTAAACTTATGAAAATTGATTGTGCTTATAGGGATGCCAATAATTTCATTAGATATTATAAAATTACAGTTATTCCCTCATTTTCCGTTGCTATGAAAGGCAAATGGCAAAGAGAAACAACACGACACCTGGAGTGAAAAAGATTTATGTTTAAATCCTCTGCTTAAGAGTGTAGTCTTCAGCCTGCTATCTGGAAAAGCAACCATGGTTAAGAACACGGGTTATGATTAAAGTAGAACTGAGTTCAAATCCCAGATCTAATCCTAACTAACCATATGGCAGGTTTCAAATCTAAGGTTCAGTTTCCTCATCTGTACAAAGGACATAATATAATAAATATATCGAGCACAGGATTGTTTATTGTCAGGATTTAATAAGATAGTGTATGTAATGTGTTAAACAAGGTGGCATGCATAGAATAAGCATTCAATAAACTTAACCCGCCGGGTTTGGTGGTTTATGCCTGTAATCCCAACACTTTCGGAGGCTGAGGCGGGAGGATTGTTTGAGGTCAGGAGTTCAAGACCAGCCTGATCAACGTGGTGAAACCCTGTCTCTACTAAAAATACAAAAATTAGCCGGGCATGCATCTGTAATTCTAGCTACTAGGGAGGCTGAAGCAGGAGAATCCCTTTAACCTGGGAGGCGGAGGTTGCAGTGAGCTGAGACTGTGCCACTGCACTCCAGCCTGGGTGACAAAGCAAGACTCTGTCTCAAAAAACAAAAAAATAATAAAAATAAACTTAATCCACTACTACTAACAAATGACATAATTAAATGTGATATTCTATAGAGAACATATATATCAACTGTTAAGTATTTAACTGTTAATTTTTTACTATTTTATGCATGTCAAAAAGTTGGCGGCTGGGCGTGGTGGCTCACGCCTGTAATCTCAGCACTTTAGGAGGCAGAGGTGGGCAGATCACTTGAGGTCAGGAATTCAGACTAGCCTGACCATCATGGTGAAACCCCATCTCTACTAAAAATACAAAAATTAGCAGGGTGTGGTGGCGGGTGCCTGTAATCCCAGCTATTTGGGAGGCTGAGGAAGGAGCATTGCTTGAACCTGGGAGGCAGAGTTTGCATGAGCTGAGATCACGCCACTGCACTCCAGCCTGGGCAACAGCAAACGAGACTCCGTCTCAAAAAAAAAAAAAAAAAAAAAAGTTGGCTCAATTGCCATTCGATTTTCTCCTCTGCTGCTTTGGAGAGGTTAGTCTTCTTCTGTCATAGGATAGAAATCACTTTTCAGATATTTACAAGAGGACACCATGTTTCATAAAATAATAAAGAATGTAGAAAGGATTCTGTGTCATTTTTTCTGGATACTCAGAGTAATTTATTTTCTCTTAAAGCTCGACCACTGCTGGTTTTTGTTTTTTAACTTTTATTTTAGGTTTGGGGCACACATACAAGTTTATTATATAGGTTAACTGGTGTCATGGGGTTTTGGTGTATAGATTATTTTGTCACCCAGGAACTAAGTATAGTACCTGATAGTTGTTTTTTCTGATCCTCTCCCTCCATTTGGAGTTTTCTTATTCTATTCCTATTTACTGCTAACTTTATTTTTTATGTTTTTATTTAATTTTTTTAGAATTTAGATAGGGTCTCACTATGTTGCCCAGGCTAGTGTCGAACTCCTGGGCTCAAGTGATCCTCCTGTCTTGGCCTCCCAAAATACTGGGATTACAGGGGTGAGCCTCCTCACCCAGCTTATAATTTTAATTATTTCAACACTTGGTTTAAATTTTTCTTTTTGACTTATATTCTTCATGATTGTAAATGGATGTGAAACGTTTCATAATTTTTATAAAAATCCATACATGTTTCCCTCAAGTTCTTGAGTCTAAAATTAACATAGATCTGTCCTTACTTTTATTTAGTGGACCTTAATGTTCACTGAAGAAATATTATTGATACTTAGAGTAACTAAGCCACAATGGTAGGTTCCATAGTTAAAAGATAATTTTATATATTGTACTTTGGACTTAAACTAATCATTCAATTGTAAAGTAGTAACATCAAACTTTTGCTCTCAGAGTTTGTTCTGCTTCATCAGTACATTCAAATAGAATGCTCCATAATGAAGAAAATAGTCTATCACTTCATTTGCACTATCCAATAATGGTAGCCATTAACAACATGTGGCTAGTAAGCACTTGAAATGTGGCTAGTGCAACAGAAGAACGGAATTTTTAAGTGTTTAATTTTAATTAATTTTCATTTAAATAGCTCTTTGGCTAGAAACTACAATGTTGGACAACACAGTTCTAGATAGTTCAAAAAACATCAGTAATTATGTGGAAATAGAATAATAATGATTCTCATTACTAAACTATACAGGTTATATCATTGCCTCAGGAATTGCTGACACATCTCTTGACCAATTGTGCAAGAAGCAATGAGGTTTTGAGCACGGTTTTTTACCACTTTATGAATCAACCTTCCCGCCTCCTCTTCCCCCCCCCATCTCTGGAGTCCTCATAGTTTTCTCTTTAAAATCATTTGTAAAACAGAAAGCAAAGCTCTCAGATCTAACCAGTAGTCTAACTCTGACCTTAGGCTCCCACGGGAATTCAATTATTTTTGTTGGCCTAACCTCTAAGGGATGATGGATTTGCTATCTCTGTGTCCTCCTTCTTCCCTGACTCCCCCTCCCACCCTCACATCTTCTCCTCTAACTAGTCACATTTAGTTAGTTTCTTGACCTGCTGCCTTTGTTTTAAACAGGAATGAAAGAGAACCATAACTGGAAACAGAAACTGTTGCATTCAGTTATTAGGTCGCAATGGGAAAAATGAGGCTGTGTATGTATAAGTGTTTTTGCAGGGTTTAGGATAGCAGCTGCAGCTACCCCTTCTTTCCTTCCACTGCTAGACAAATTTCCAAGCACTTGATACTAGAGTTCTACCACTAGCTAGCCAGCTAGAGGTCTCGGTATCCTCTATGAACTGTTAATGAAGTTCCGGAAGTTCTTTCCTTAAAAAACAAAAGTTCTGAATGCTGACTCTCTAACCACGGAAATGGTATCTTATTACTAAAACACTAAAAATGTTAAGCTGCATACTGCTCCAATGAGTAGTCTGTAGACTTGTTACCATCTGTACTGGCCATAGCGAAAAAGGGTTTGACACTACATGATAGTTACTGGTACTTGTTCCCAATAGCTGCTTAAAATAAGCTGTTGGCAAGTTTGACTACTTTTTTTTTTTTTTTACATTTAAAAAATAACAACATTAAACAGTTATATCTGTAAATGTAAGAAGGTTAAGGCATTCTAAGTCACAGGATGGGATAGGAGGTAGGCACAAGATACAGGTCATAAAGACCTTGCTGATAAAACAGGTTGCAGTAAAGAAGCCGGCCAAAACCCACCAAAACCAAGATGGCAATGAGAATGACCTCTGGTCGTCCTCACTGCTATACTCCCACCAATGCCATGACAGTTTACAGATGCCACGGCAACATCAGGAAGTTACCCTATATGGTCTAAAAAGGGGAAGCATGAATAATAGACCCTTTGTTTAGCATATCATCAAGAAATAACCATAAAACTGGGCAACCAGCAACCCCCCGGGGCTGCTCTGTCTGTGGAGTAGCCATTCTTTTATGCCTTTACTTTCTTAATAAACTTGCTTTCACTTAAAAAAAAAATTAAACATTTACATTTGTATAAAGTACTTTCACATACCTAACCAAATTCAATTATTTTAACAACCCAGTAAGGCAGGAAAATCAGTTATTATTATTCTGATTTTTATGAGTGTCATCTGACTCCTAGGATAGCAGCATGTTTCCCAGTATACCAGTACTTCTACCTGGCAAGGGTGCTGCCCAAAAATGGTCTTGGGAGAATGTAGACGGTGTAGAAAAGTCTGTAATTTGGCCGGGCGCGGTGGCTCACACCTGTAATGGCAGCATTTTGGGAGGCCGAGGCAGGTGGATTACCTGAGGTCAGGAGTTTGAGACCAGCCTGACTAACATGGTAAAACCCTGTCTCTACTAAAAATACAAAAATTAGCCAGGCGTGGTGGCACATGCCTGTAATCCCAGCTACTTGGGAGGCTGAGGCAGGAGACTCGTTTGAACCCAGGAGGCGGAGGTTGCAGTGACCTGAGATCGCACCACTGCACTCCAGCCTGGGGAACAGCAGCGAAACTCTGTCTCCAAAAAAAAAAAAAAAAAAAAAAAAAAAAGCCTGTATGGTTGTAATTAATTGAGCACTCAAATTTAGTTCTTAAAACATTTTCTTTCCCCTCTTTGAATTATATTATTTTAAATGTCACTGGGCACGGTGGCTCACGCCTGTAATCCCAGCACTTTGGGAGGCCAAGGAGGGCGGGTCACCTGAGGTCAGGAGTTCGAGACCAGCCTGGCCAACGTGGCGAAACCCCATCTCTACTACAAATACAAAAATAAGCTGGGCGTGGTGCTGCATGTCTGTAATCCCAGCTACTTGGGAGGCTGAGGCAGGAAGAATTGCTTGAACCCAGAGGTAGAGGTTGCAATGAGCCGAGCTCGGGCCACTGCATTGCAGCCTGGGCAACAGAGTGAGACTGTCTCCAAAAAAAAAAAAAAAAAAAGCCAACCTTCTAGGGTAGATTTTGTAAAAACCAAATTATGGACATCCTAAGTTCTCAGATGTACAAATGAGTTACAGCTCTAAGTTGCATCTCTTCAATTTTATTTCTTGAAACAACTGCCCTCCTCCCTGCAAATCTACCCTCCCTTCTTGGCTCAAATGGTGGTTTTCTTTCCTTTTTTTTTTTGAGATGAAGTCTTGCTCTTATCCCCCAGGCTGGAGTGCAATGGCACGATCTTGGCTCACTGCAACCTCCGCCTTCCGGGTTCAAGAGATTCTCCTGCCTCACCCTCCCGAGTAGCTGGGATTACAGGCGCCTGCCACCACGCCTGGCTAATTTTTGTATTTTTAGTAGAGATGGGGTTTCACCATGTTGGCCAGGCTGGTCTCAAACTCCTGACCTCAGGTGATCTGCCCGCCTCAGCCTCCCAAAGTGCTGAGATTACAGGCCTGAGTCATCAGGCCCCGCCACATGGTGGTTTTCTTTATCTTCCTCCTGGCTATGTGCTGGGTAGCAGATTATCCACAATTATTATTGTAGCTCAAAAACCTGAGTTTTCCTGTTTCTCTTCTTTTACCATTTTCTTATTCTTTCCCCCCATAGGCAACTCCCTCCCTTCTCATAATTAGCTTAAGACCTTAATGTTGGCTGGGTGTGGTGGCTCACACCTGTAATCACAGCATTTTGGGAGGCTGAGGCAGGCAGATCGCTTGAGCCCAGGAGTTTGAGGCCACAAGATCAGCCTGAATAACATGGCAAAACCCAATTTCTACAATAAAATATAAAAATTAGCTGGGCATAGTGGCGTGCACCTGTGGTCCCTGCTACTTGGAAGGCTGAGGTGGGAGGATTCCTTGAGTCAGGGAGATGGAGGTTGCAGTGAGCCGTGATCGTGCCACTGCACTCAACCTCTACAACAGAGTGAGATTACAGAGTGAGACTGTGTCTCATAAATAAATGAACAAATAAATAAGACAGACCTTAATGTTTTCTAACAAGGTGGTTTTGATATTTGGTGAGCTATGTATAGACTCTTCTGAAATGTGAAATATGTATGTCTTCAAACATATAAACAAGGTAAGTTCTTCACACACTATGAAGCTTCATAAAAGGTTCCATTTAAATTTGTATCTTGGCAAAATTATTGAACTTGGGGAGTATCCCTAAACTGTTAAATCAGCAATATTACATCTGTTCCAAACTGGTATCTCATTTTTCTTGGAGTTCACAGAAAACAAAAAATAAGGCAACATAAAAATTATCCAGAGTTTTGCTTGGACAGATTTCTATTATCTGCCCATTTAATATATAATATCTATTTGATATAATTTATTAAATGTTTATAATCATCCTTCTATTATATAAATAGGTTTACCACATCTGCTTGGTGATGTTGGTAGCTTTTTTCTTCTGTTATAAGGGAGAATATGGAGGAAGGATTTAAAGTACAGGAGGTCAAATGGAGTCAAGAATGTGTAAACCGTGTAGTGTAGATAGCCTTAATATATTCTGGACTTAGAGTTTTAGGGCAGTGGGAAAACTAATCACATTCATAAGACATTTTGCAACTACATTATTCCCCCACAAATAATAGTTATTTTAATCTATATCCACAAATAATAGTTACTGGCTATATCTACAAAGTTTGTGTAGATATCTACAGATTCTATGACCCTACAGTGTTTCATAGGTATTCATGTAGCACTTTTAAAGTACAATTAATGAACTGTGTCCAGCAAAGGTTTATACTGGCCTTTCCTTCAAAATTAATGAAATAAAACTGTACATTGTTGTCTCAGTAAAAATAAAGGCACAAAGAATTCACAAATAGGGGCCGGGCATGGTGGCTCATGCCTGTAATCCCACCACCTTGGGAGACCGAGGCAGGTGGATCACCTGAGGTCAGGAGTTCGAGACCAGCCTAACAAACATGGTGAAACCCTGTCTTTACTAAAAATACAAAAATTAGCTGGGTGTGGTAGTGGGCACCTGTAATCCCAGCTACTTGGGAGGCTGAGGCAGGAGAATCGCTTGAACTTGGGAGGCAGAGGTTGCAGTAAGCCAAGGTTGTGCCATTGCACTCCAGCCTGGGTGACAGAGAGAGACTCTGTCTCAGAAAAAAAGAAAAAAAAGAAAGAGCTCACAAATAAGTTTGTTATAAGGATTTTCACCATGAGATAGGGAAAACTCTTATTAGCCTGAAACATGGCCTTTGGCCCTTCCTCATAGGAATCCCAAGAGACAAAGAATAAGTCTCATTTAGAGTTGAATAATTTTTTTTTTTTAAAAACAGCATTAGATCTATGTAAAGATAGTATTTAAAAACCAAACAAAACTAAGAAATGGGAAAAAGAAATGGCAGGTGAAGAACTCTTTTCAGAGAATAAAAGTTGTCATATAGCAATGGATGCTGTGTCAGAACATACTGCCAATAAACTTTAAGAAAAAAGGAACTCAATGAAGTTACTGTTATATAAAACAGGAGCTCACAGCAGGGATGTAAGAGTTAATGGAAGATATCGTGAGCCAAAACAGGGAATAAAACATGATTTGGCAGAAGTCAAGAGAGATGTGGGGAGAAAAATAAAACCACTAATGAAATGAAGCTGGCAAGAAGCAGCACAAAGAACTGGCAATGGTGGAGACGTGGTAAGGGACATGGGTGGAGAATTGAGGAAAGTAGCAAAACAACAGCACCTTGAATAAAGTTTTTAAAAACTAGAGTAAATTATAGATTTGAAAGATAATATATTCAAAATCAGTTTCCTTGAAAAATAGAAATATAATTGTAAATCTATAATTTTAAAAAACTTTCTACAAATGAAAATAAACTTGAAGCTACAGACTGAAAAGGCACACAGAAGCCAGGGGAAACAGGCACAGAATAATTAAACATTGAGACATAGCTTTATTAAGCTACTAAATTCCAAAGATTAAAATAAGGGCTTGACATTAAAAAAAAATCTAGTCCCTTAATTTAAGACTACTTTAAAGCCTATAGAAAAAATATGGCTAAATTATATAAGCAAGTGTAATTCTGAAAATAAACAATGCTAAGATTTTAGATAATAGTTACCCATAATGTTCCTATAACCTGTAACTAACCATACCTTGGACAACTAAAATAAATTAAGATTTTTCTTGGTCTGGGGAAGTAGACGGTAGCAAGGGATGTTTCTTGAAATTACTTATTAAAGGCTTATTACTAATATCTAATTCAATAAGCATCACAACCTACAAATGTTTTATAATAGAATTATTCACAAAATCCACAAAACAGCTTATGTTAGCCTGATTTTACACATGAAGAAATGAAAGCAAAGCTAAAGGAAATTAATTGTCCACAGTTGCATGTTGAATCATCAGAAACAGGAGAGTATCACTTCTAGTACAATTTTTTGTTTGTCTTTAACAGGTTTTGTCACTACCTTGCACTCTGACATTATTTTTGGCTACTGAGTAACACCGATCTTAACTAGAGGCCTGTAGTATCATGATCTAACACAACAAAACTATAATGAGTGTTGAAAGACTGTGGAGAAAAAAATAAATTTGGGGAAACATAACAGATGTGAATTCCATCAATCAAAAATGCTTATCTGCTGGTGAGGCTCTATTCTGCTGAGCCCTGTATTAAAATCTGGAGTGAAAATAAAACTGAACCCAAAATCCCTAACACTAAAGACGGAAAAATGCAGAAAAGAGGCTAAATAGCTATTTTAAAAGAGTTAAAAGCAAACAAAATGAAATCTTTAAAAACTGAAAATTTAAAAATCATATATAAAGAGACAGCTATCCAACTAGAGATAATGCTAGATCCTAGTAGGACAGTCAGGCAAGACATTACAGAAGACAGACATTTTCAGCTCTATTACAAGGAAAGAGAATGGCTGTTTCTTTTCTTTTCTCTTCTTTTTTATTTTTTATTTTATTTTATCTTTTTTTTTGAGACCGAGTTTTTGCTCTGTTGTCCAGGCTGGAGTGCAATGGCATGATCTTGGCTCACTGCAACCTCCGCCTCCTGGGTTCAAGTGATTCTCCTGCCTCAGCCTCCCAAGTAGCTGGGATTACAGGCATCTGCCACCACACTTGGCTAATTTTTGTATTTTTAGTAGAAATGAGGTTTCACCACATTGGCCAGGCTGGTCTCAAACTCCTGACCTCAGGTGATCCACCTGTTTCAGCCTCCCAAAATGCTAAGATTACAGGCGTAGCCACCGCATAGGCTGAGAAAGGCTGTTTCTTATAACTTCAACTAAGACTGGGACCCTCTAATATTTAAAAGGGTTTTATTTTGTCAAAAGTAACCTCATGGTAAGGTTGTATCAGACACTTGAATAGTAAGCTTTTACATTACAGAAATGACTAAACTGTCCAGTAATCTAAGGCTAAAATTTAGGGAAAAGAAAATCAAATCTATATTAAAGAATAACCAGAAGAACTTCTTATGTAAAAATCAAACTGGAATAAGTAATTATGGATTTATCTTACTTGGCGACTGAGTCAAAGAAGTTAATTTATCCTCATTGCCATTAAAGTTGTCTTTGCTCTTTTGCACAGTATAGTATTTCTCAAATTGTTCTCCTTGCCATGCCTCTAATCCTGCCTGCCTTTCTCTGGAAGTAATATAATGCAAGAGCCCACTAGTGAAGAGAAAGCCTAAGAAGGAAGTTTTAGGCCCTTCCAAGCCCACAAAATGCAAACCTTTTAACAGTGACATTTTAATTTCCATCACAGTACACACTACCTATGTATCTTCTAGAACAGTAACTGCATATTTGCCTAGGATTTCCTGAAATTAACGTTACAGGAAGCCTCCAACTTGCAAAAGAGTTGGGTCCCAAAAGTTCACTTCTAAGCTAAGTATCTGTAACTCTGAATATGTTTTTACCCAAAATCAATGTTTCATATGGAATTTAGGTTTTCAGGTTTGTCCACAAAGGGTTTGTCCCTAAAGCAAATTCAATATCTTATTTTGCATTTTAAAATATCTTTTAAAAATACTATTGAGATACAACTAATTATGCAAATCAAAAAATATTGAGTAATAACTCTAAAACAATATCGTGAATTAAGATGGAGTGCATAAAAATGACATGGTAAATGGAGACTTGAGGATATCCTGAACTTAACTTTTGGATTACTTGAGGATTTTGGGAACTAGTGACATTAGTTCTTTATTAGATCTAATGTGATTTTAAAATGTATGACTCTTATTTCTCTTGAAATACAATAAATCATTAGCACTAAAACCACAGAACATCCAAGGTTGGAAAAGACTTCAGAGATCATATTCAATCTGACCTTAATTTGGAGATGGAGAAATTGAGACTCATATGGATGGACTAACCTGACATAAGTTATCCAACTAATTAGTTCCGGAGCTGATATCCCATCCTGTATCTTTTCCACCATAACAATGCTTATCAATTATTATCAAGACCAGGTTTTTGCTCAGAATAAGGTGAAAAAAATTACTACAACCATTTTATCAGCATAATTTAGCACTATCTAGTGAAGTTGAAGATGCGCATGACTATTGCATGGGCACATGAAGGAGTTTTTGTTTCTTTTTCTTTTTCTTTTTTTTTTTTAAGATGTAGTCTCACTCTATGGCCCCGGCTGGAGTGAGTGCGTGCAGTGGCAAGATCTAAGCTGGCTGCAACCTCCGCCTCCCACATACAAGCAATTCTCCTGTCTCAGCCTCCCGACTAGCTGGGATTACAGGCATGTGCCACCACCCCTGGCTAACTTTTATACTTTTAGTAGAGATGGGGTTTCACCATGTTGGTCATGGTGAACTCCTGACCTCAAGTGATCTGCCCGCCTTGGACTCCCAAAGTGCTGGGATTACAGGCGTGAGCCACCACACCCAGCAGAAAATTTTTCATAATGGTAAAAAATGAGTAATGTATTAAACATCCATCGGTGGGGAAAAGGATAACTGATATAATCATGTGATGTAATGCCATGTTGTAGTTTAAATCAATGAGCTAAATATAAATTTATCAATATAGACACATTTCCAAAACACAATA
The DNA here is from genome assembly GCF_000001405.40 of Homo sapiens. Classification (NCBI taxonomy): domain Eukaryota; kingdom Metazoa; phylum Chordata; class Mammalia; order Primates; family Hominidae; genus Homo; species Homo sapiens. Next base: position 118,315,385 of record NC_000012.12, read on the forward strand.
AAGGAAAAACCAAGTTGAAGAATCATATGCAGGATATATTCAAATTTATGCAAATGTTAAAACCCACAAAAATGTATTGTTTGTAGCACACATAAATAAGAGTACAAATGGTAAAAAGAATAATATGCACCACCTTCAGGAGAGTAGATGGATTTGGGGTGGATGGAAAAGAATGGAATTGGAAAGAAGTACAAAGGAGACTCCAAATATATGTTTTTATTTCTTTAAAAAATTAATTCTGAGAGATAGGATCATGGATATTGGTTATATTCTGCAAGTTTGAAATATTTTGTTAACATTTTTAAAAAGAAAATAATCCTCCTCCCCCCAAAAAGGAAAATCTAAAAATGAAAGTGATAGGATTGAATAATTATTTGAAGTAATTATGACAGTGTTGGGAAAGAGGGAATACATATATGCACATGAGAGAAAAAAATTGGTTAGGGTAAAAGGAGGCAAATGCAAGTATAAATGACAAAGGAAAATTGAAACAGATAGTAAATAAAGGAGACTGTGAATTTTGGATCAGATAGTTTTCCAGGCTCACTGTGAGGTAATGGTATGGACTCAAGACAGCTTGGTTGCTGCTGGGATATTTTTACAATGGAAAAAGGAGTAGGGAGGTTATTAGGAGGTACTGATGCCAAGATCCCAAGGGGAATGTAATGAGACATCATGCACATGTGACTTAGAGACTGCCTCTAATTATTTGATTTCTTACATCTCCCTTCAATTTATTCCTAATAATGGGTGTTTCTGCCTTCTTAAATAAATTTATGTGCAGTGTCTGGTTTAAAAATGTTCAAGAAAAGGAATCTAAAAAATGGCCTAATGATCATGGATTTGTTAATGTAAATCTTACCTTTTAACTTCCCTTTAACTGCAGCATACCTGCTACTCATAAGAGTCTGGTTAAATATACTAGCTTACATACTGTCCTACTGAAAGAGCTCCTACTCATTTGGCATACATTATTTTCTTTGGTCTGATTCATAAAAGATAGGATGGTAAAAAAATATTTTGCCTCAAGGACATCATTTTTTTTTTACTCTCTCTTAGAGGTGGGGTCTCGCTCTGTCATCCAGGCTGGAGTGCAGTTGTGCAATCTCGGATCACTGCAGCATCCTACCCTCAGCCTCCTGAGTAGCTGGGAACACAGTCGTGTACCACCCTGCCTGGCTAGATTCTCTCTCTTTTTTTTTTTGATTGTTAATAAAGACAAGCTCTTACAATTTTGTCCAGGCTGGTCTTGAACTTCTGGCTCAAGCAATCCTCCTGGTTCGGCCTCCCAAAGTGCCAGGATTACAGGCATGAGCCATCGTGGCTGGCCAATGACATGATCTTATATCCAGAAAACCCTAAATAACTCACATCTACAAACTACTAGAGCTATTAAATAAATTTAGCAAAGTTCCAGGGTATAAAAATAACAAAATCAGTTGTATTTCTATATACTGGCAATGAACAATCTGAAAAGGAAATTAAGAAAACAATCTATAATAAGAGCAAAAAGAATACTTCAATTATTCCTCCTTGGAATAAATTTAACCAAGGAAGCATAAAAACATGAACAATGAAAACTACAAAACATTGCTGGGGCTGGGCACGGTGGCTCACGCCTGTAATCTCAGCATTTGGGAGGCCAAGGTGGGTGGATTGCTTGAGCTCAGGAGTTCGAGACCAGCCTGGCCAACATGGCGAAGCCCCGTCTCTATTAAAAATACAAAAATTAGCTGGGTGTGGTGGTGCACGCCTGTAACTCCAGCTACTTGGGAGGCTGAGGCAGGAGAATTGCTCGAAACTGTGAGGCAGAAGTTGCAGTGAGCCGAGATTATTGTGCCACTACACTCTGGCCTGGGCAACGAAGTGAAAGTTTGTCTCAAAAAAAAAAAAAAAAAAAAATCGCTGGGAGAATTTTTTTTTTTTTTTTTTTTTAGACAGTCTTGCTCTGTTGCCCAGGCTGGAGTGCAGTGGCGCGATCTTGGCTCACTACAAGCTCCGCCTTCTGGGTTCACGCCATTCTCCTGCCTCAGCCTCCAGAGTAGCTGGGACTACAGGCGCCTGCCACCACGCCAAGCTAATTTTTTGTATTTTTAGTAGAGACGGGTTTCACCGTGTTAGCCAGGATGGTCTCGATCTCCTGACCTCGTGATCCACCTGCCTCGGCCTCCCAAAGTGCTAGGATTACAGGTGTGGGATTACTGCACCCAGCCAGAAATTTTTAAAGACCTAAATAAATAGAAAGACATTATGTGTTCAGGAGCTAGAAAACTTAATATTGTCAAGGTGACAATATGACTCCAAACAATATACAGATCCAATACAATTTGTATCAAAATCCCAATGGTGTTTTGTACAGAAATGGAAAAACCTGTCCTAAAATCCATATGATTTCAAAGGACCCAGAATAGCAAAAATAATCTAAAAAAGACAAACAAACAAAAAAAACAAAAACCAGTTGGAGGACTCACATTTCCTGCAGCTTATTACAAAGCTCAGTAATCAAAACACTGCAGTACTGGCCTAAGGACAGACATATATAGACCAATGGAATAGAACTGACAGCCCAGAAATAAACATTCATATCTACAGCAAATTGATTTTCAACAAGGGTGCCAAGACAACAGGGAAAGGTCAGTCTTTTCACCAAATGGTACTGGGATAACTGGATATCCATAGGCCAAAAAAATGAAGTTGGGCCCTTACTTTATACTATATACAAACAATAACTCAGAATAGATCCGAGACCTAAATAAGATATAAAGCTATAAAACTTTTTTTTTTTTTTTTTTTAGATGGAGTCTTGCTCTGTCACCAGGCTGGAGCGCAATGACGCGATCTTGGCTCACTGCAACCTCCGCCTCCTGGGTTCAAGCGATTCTCCTGCCTTAGCCTCCCAAGTAGCTGGGACTACAGGAACGCACCACCACGCCCAGCTAATTTTTGTATTTTTAGTAAAGACAGGGTTTCACCATGTTGGCCAGGATGGTCTCGATTTCTAGACCTCGTGATCTGCCTGCCTCAGCCTCCCAAAGTGCTGGGATTACAGGTGTGAGCCGCTGCGCCTGGCCACAACTCTTAAATATAGGGACAAATCTGCATGACCATGGATTTGGCAATGATTTCTTAATTAAAACCACAAGGAGCTACCACCTCACACCTGTAAGAATAGTTTTTAGCAAAAAGACAAAAGACTGAGTGTTGGTGAGCATGTAGAGAAAAGGGAACCCTTGTACACTGTTAGTGGGAATGTAAATTAGCACAGTGATTATGGAAAGCAGTATGGAGGTTTCTCAAAAAATTAAAATTAGAACTACGATATGACCTGGCAATCCCACTAATGATACACATCCAAAGGAAATGAAATGAATATGTGAAAGAGATATGTACTTTTCATGTTCATTGCAACATTATTCACAACAGCTAAGATAAGGAATCAACCCAAGTGTCCGTCAGTGGGTGAATGGAAAATGTGGCATGTGTACACAATGGAATACTATTCAGCCTTCAAAAAGAAGGAAATCCTGTCATTTGCAACAACATGGATGAACATAGAGAACATTACACTCAATGAAATAAGGCAGGCACAGAAAGACAGAAGTTGTATGATCTCATTTATGTGTGGTATCTGAAAAAAAACAGAACTCAGAAGCAGAGAATACAATGGTGCTTTCCAGGGGCTGGAGAGGTGAGGAATTGGAGAAATATTGGTCAGAAGATACAAATTATCAGCTGAAATCTGGTGATGGATATGTTATCTAGCTTGATGTATTCATTCTACAATGTATGCATATATCAAAACATCACATTGTATACCATAAATATAATTTTTCATTTGTCAATTATAAAATAAATATTTTAAAAGCAAAAAACCCCTCAACAATAAAATGACACCAAAAGCTTTTACAGGAAACAAAAGAAAAATAAATTGGACTTTACTAAAATTCAGAACTTATGTGTATCAAAGGACGCTATCAAGAGTGACAGAGAAAATATTTGCAAATCATAAACCTGATAAGAATTTAGATAATCTAAAATTGTTTTATTAGAAACCTGATAATAATCTACAACATATAAAGAACTGCTATAACTTAACAACAAAAAGACAAACGACCCAATTTTGAAATGAGAACTAGAAAACTTAATATTGTCAAGGACTTGAATAGCCATTTACTCAAAGAAGATGTACAAATGGCCAATAAACACATGAAAAAATGCTTATCATTAATTATTAGGGAAATGCAAAACCACGATGAGATATTATTTTATACTCATTAAGATGATTATAATTAAAAAAAAACCAGAAAACAACAAGTGTTGGTGAGGATGTGAAGACACTGGAACCCTTTCGCACACTGCTGGTGGGAATATAAAATGATGCAGCCTCTATGGAAAACAGTTGAACAGCTCCTCAAAAAGTTATACATAGAATTACCATGACTCAGCAACTCTACTCCCAGTTATATACCCCAAAGAATTGAAAAGAGGGACTCAAACAGATACTTGTATGCCAATGTTCATACCAGCATTATTCACAATAGCCAAAAGGTGGAAACAACGTGAAGTGTCCATCAGCAGACAGATACACAGATGAACAAAATGTGGGATATAGATACAGCAAAATATTACTTAGCCATAAAAAGGAATGAAGTACTGATAGATGTTACAGCATGGATGAACCATTGTGCTAAGTGAAAAAAGCCAGACAAAAAAGGACAAATATTATATGATTCCACTTGTATGAAATATTTAGAATAGGCAAAATTCATACAGACAGAAAAATAGATAAGGGCCTAGGCAGAGAGGGGGAAATGGGGAGTAAGTGCTTAATAGGTACAGAATTTCTGCTTGGGATGATGAAAAAGTTCTGGAAATAGATAGTGATGTTCCCATAATTATTTCCTTATGACAAGTTTCTACGAGTAGCCGGGTATGGTGGCTCTTGCCTGTAACTCTAGCACTTTGGGAGGCTGAGTTGGGAGGATCGCTTGAGCCCCAGGTATTTGAGACAAGCCTGGACAACGTAGCAAGACATCATTTCTTAAAAAAAAAAAGTATATAATAAGATACTGAACAATAATATACTTGATTATCAACACATCTCTGGGTAATCTGCTGAAAGCCCAAGGCAAATAAGTGTATCAGTTTATAGCCACTGCTAACATTTTACAAACAAAATAATTAGTAATAGTTATGATTGATTGGACACATACTGGCCAGTCACACTAGACTATAAGCTATTGAGACCAGGGCTATTTTATTATTAAAGAAACAAAAAACAAAAAGGACTTCCAGTTAGCACACTGCTTTATACAACTGCTTAAACAATGCTGTTTAAACTAAAAGAGACTTTACACTGCTAGAAGTTTGTGAAAAAAGAGGGTCCCCAAGCTGAATATTTTAGAGTCAGAGTAGAATAATTGAAAATGAATCACACTGCTATTTATAATGATAATTACAGCATGGTTTGTAATAGAAAACATTTGGAAACAACCCAAATGCCCATCAAAAAGGAATTGGTACAATTACACACTTTACTAATGTGTAGCTAATATAACAAGAAGCAGATCTATAGGAAGGAAGTCCTACTAAAGTACTGTTAAGTAACACGTAATGTGCATACGTATATGCATAATGTGTTACATTTTAAAATAATGTTAATAATATAAACAACATTAAAAAAGATCATGGAAAAAATCTAGAAGAATATGCCCAAACTGCTTATAGTGGCTATATGTTAGGGAAAAGGTTGGTATGGTTTGTAACTTTTATATTTGTTTGGGGGCATCTATTTTCTAAGTTGTATATTACTATATTGTTTAACACTGTTGTTTAACATGTATACATGCAAATACACACACACACACACAAACATACACACACACATTTTTTTTCAGACAGGGTCTCACTCTGTCGCCGAAGCTGGAGTGCAGTGGCACAATCACGGCTCACTGCAACCTCGACCTGCCAGGCTCAAGCTATCCTCCCACCTCAGCCCTCTAAGAAGCTGGGGCTACTGGTGCACGCCACCACATCTGGCTAGTTTTCATATTTTTTGTAGAATGGAGTTTTGCCATGTTGCCCAGGCTGGTCTTGAACTACTGGGCTCAAGCAATCCTCCTACCTCGGTTTCCCAAAGTGCTGGGATTACAGCCACCACGCCTGGCTGCAAGTATGTTTTTCATAAAAAAGTTCAAACAAGAAAACTAGTCATTTTGCCTTCGACTCATAATTAAAATATATGCTTCAGCAATCCAGTTAGATTACAAGACATTTCAAAAAAAGAGAACCTAAACTTTCAGAAAAATAATTTTTCTACCATCACCTATATTTTTACCAAGTACATAATTTCCATTTCCTTTGTTGTTTCACTTATCTGAGATGGCAATGTTGCTACAAAAGGACCTAATGTCATCGCTATTTTTGTGAGTATATTTTATTTTTGCAAGTTTTTTTTTTGAGACGGAGTCTCACTGTCTCCCAGGCTGTAGTGCAGCCTGGAAAAGATGGAAAGGTGGAAAAGATCCCATTAACAATTGCATTAACAACAACCAACCCAAAAAATCCAGGAGTAAATTTAAAAGCAATGTGTAAGAACTGGGATGGAAGAAAATTATAAAATGTCACAAAAGATATAATAGAAAATTTGGGCCGGTGCGGTGGCTCATGCCTGTAATCCCAGCACTTTGGGAGGCAGAGGCAGGCGGATCACTTGAGGCCAGGAGTTAGAGACCAGCCCAGCCAACATGGCGAAACCACCTCTCTACTAAAAGTACAAAAATTAGCTGGGTGTGGTGGCCCATGTCTATAATCCCAGCTACTCTGGAGGCTGAGGCAGGACAACTACTTGAACCTGGGAGGCAGAGGTTGCAATGAGCTGAGATCGCGCCACTACACTCCAGCCTGGGCAGCAGAGTGAGACTGTCTCAAAAAAAAAAAAAAAAAAAAAAATTGAAGAAAGACACTGCGTTTGTTCTTTGATGATTACTCAATATTGAATAATTATTTCTCCTCAAATTAATCTATATATTATATGAAATTCCAATAGATTTCCTTTTAAACTGCCTAAAATTTGATACAGAACAGAGGTCAGCAAACTTTTCTATAAAGCTCCTGTAATCTTTTAGGCTTTGTGGGCCACATGGTCTCTGATATAACTATTCAACTCTGTGTTGTAGTGTGAGAGCAGCCATAGGTAATAATAATAAATGAGCGTGTGTTCCAATAAAACGTTGCTTATGAACATTGAAATTTGAATTTCGTATAATTTTCCCATGTCAAGAACTATCATTCTTGTGATTTTTTTCCCCCAAACATTAAAAAATTTAAAAACCTTTTTTTTTTTTTTTTTTTTTTTTTGAGACGGAGTCTCGCTCTGTTGCTCAGGCTGGAGTGCAGTGGCACAATCTCAGCTAACTGCAACCTCTGCCTCCCAGGTTCAAGCAACTCTCCTGCCTCAGCCTCCCGAGTAGCTGGGATTACAGGTGTGCACCATTTTTGTATTTTCAATAGAGACGGGGTTTCACCATGTTGGCCAGGCTGGTCTTGAACTCTTGACCTCAGATGATCCACCCGCCTCAGCCTCCCAAAGTGCTGGGATTACAGGCATGAGTCACCCCGCCCGGACTTAAAACCCATTTTAAGCATCCAGGTTATACTAAAACAGGCAGCACAACAGATTTGGTCTGCAGATTATAGTTTGCCAACTCCTGATCTGGAAGAATAAACATCCCATAAACAGCTAGGTATATTCAGGTAAAAAGAAAAAAAGTGTCATGAAGAAGGGCTTGTCCTATTGTGTAGTAAAACAAATTGTAAACCAACAATATATCTAATATTGAGATCTGGCAATGAAATAGAAAGATCAATGAAACAACAGGGTCTCAAAAACAGAACCAAATACACATAGATATTTAATATATATGTTGCCTCTAAAATCAGGGTAAGGATAAATTTCTTATTCAATAAAATGACATAAGGACAGGTGAGTAGTCAAAGTAAAAAAATGTACACTCATTCTCCACGCCAAAATAATTTTGATTTTTACACAGGAAAAAATAAAACCATTAAGCCACTAAAAATATGGGGGAATATTTTTAGAATTTCATATTTTAAGTATAACACAAAATGCAGAAACTCAAAGAAACACTTATTAATTTTGCTATAGAAAAATGTAAACCTGTAGGATGATGTTGGGGGGAAATAAGATGATAGCTTCAGCAGAGGTGCAGAGAACAACAGTTTAGTACTCAAATAGAATAGGATAGGTATATATGTACTGACCTTATATAAATATATTAAGTGGAAAAAGCATGTTGCAGAACAGTATATGTCATAAAATCTCATTTTTATTTAAGAAATGATATGCATATAATCATATATAGGTTTATGTAGGTGATGTAGCATTTCACTGTGGTCTGGAGCAGGAGAACACAGGGATCTTGTAGGGAGGTCTTCATGAAAAAGATGAAATTAATAGACTACCTGATATATCTGAACAAATTAAGAGGAATAACATATGGGAATGAACTGATACAAATTAATAAAAGAAATGAAGCAATTGTTTACCCTGGGGAAAACAAAATGCTATACGAAGGAAGTACATTTAATCATAGTCCACTAAAAATCACAGCTGTGAATAATACAGTCATAATAATGTAAGCACTGTCTGCTGAGCTAACAAAAATTATGATATAAATCTGGAAGATGGAGGGGAAATGTATATGTGTAAGAAAGCCAATTTCTCATCTTTCATCAAAAGTGGAAATATTCAGATAGCAGTATAAATATGGTGTTTAGAAATACGGAGAAAAAAATCAGAAAAACATCTGTATAACTTTAAAGTGATTGCCTCTGAGAAGGAGGAATTGGGTGCAGGAGTATAGATATGAGGCAGGAGACAGTCTTTTTCATTGTAAGACTTGAAAATTTTGACTTTTTAAACTGTAGAAATATACAATATAGATACATATCAAGCATCTATCATTTGTGTTAGGAACATTCCAATTCCACTCTCTTTTAATTATTTTAAAATATCCAATGGTTATTGTTGACTGGAATCACTCTCTTGTGCTATCAAATACTAGATCTTATTCATTCCATGTAACTATACTTTTGTACCTATTAACCAACCATGCCTTCTTCCTCCTTCATCTGTCTTCCCTGCTATCCTTTCCAGCCTCTGGTAACCATCATTCTAGTTTCTATCTGCATGAGTTCAATTGTTTTAATTTTTAGTTCCCACATGAGCGAGAACATGCAAAATTTGTCTTTCTGTGCCTGGCTTATTTCACTTAACATTAATGTCCTCCAGTCTCATCCATGTTGTTGCAAAGGACAGAATTTCATTCTTTTTTTTTTTTTTTTTTTTTTTTTTTTGAGACGGAGTCTTGCTCTGTCACCCAGGCTGGAGTGCAGTGGCGCGATCTCGGCTCACTGCAATTTCTGCCTCCCGGGTTCACGCCATTCTCCTGCCTCAGCCTCCCGAGTAGCTGGGACTACAGGCGCCCGCCACCAGGCCCAGCTAATTTTTTTTGTATTTTTAGTAGAGACGGGGTTTCACCGTGTTAGCCAGGATGGTCTCGATCTCCTGACCTTGTGATCCGCCCGCCTCGGCCTCCCAAAGTGCTGGGATTACAGGCGTGAGCCACCGCGCCCGGCCCTAGAATTTCATTCTTTTTTATGGCTCAATAATAATCCACTGTGTTTATGTGCCACATTTTCTTTATCCATTCATCTGCTGATAAACACTTAACATTGCTTCCAAATCCTGGCTATTGTGAATAGTGCTGCAATAGGCATGGGACTGCAAATATCTCTCTGATTACTGATTTCCTTTCTTTTGGACTATAACTAGGAGTGGGATTTCTGGATCGTATGGTAGTTCTGCTTTTAGTTGTTTGAGGAACCTCCATACTATTCTCCATAGTGGCTGTACTAATTTACATTTCCATCAACAGTGTACGAGGGTTCTCCTTTCTTTACATTCTTGCCAGCATTCATTATTGCCTGTCTTTTGGGTGAAAGTCATTTTAACTGGGATGAGATAATATCTCATTGTAGTTTTGATCTGCATTTCTCTGATGATTGATTAATGATGCTGGGCATTTTTTCATATACCTGTTGGCCATTTTTATGTCTTCTTTTGAGAAATGTCTATTCAGATCTTTTGCCCATTTTAAAATCAGATTTTTTCTCTTGAGTTTTTTGAGCTCCTTATACATTCTGGGTATTAATCCTTGTCAGATAGGTAGTTTGCCAATATTTTCTCCCATTCTGTGGGTTGTCTCTTTATTTATTTATTTATTTTCTTTGAGATAGAGTCTCGCTGTCTCGCCCAGGCTGGAGTGCAGTAGCATGATCTCGGCTCACTGCAACGTCTGCCTCCCAGGTTCAAGCAATTCTCCTGCCTCAGCCTCCCGAGTAGCTGGGAATACAGGTGCCCACCACCATGTCAGCTAATTTTTATATTTTTAGTAGAGGCAGGGGTTTCACTATGCTGGCTAGGCTGGTCTTGAACTCCTGACTTCAAGTGATCTGCAGGCCTTGGCCTCCCAAAATGCTAGCACAACAAGCGTGAGCCACAGCACCCAGCCTGTCTCTTCACTTTGTTGATTGTTTCTTTTGCTCTGGAGAAGCTGTTTAGCTTGATGTGATCCCATTTGTCCATTTTTGCTTTGGTTGCCTGTGCTTCTGCCAGACCAATGTCCTAGACTCAGAGTTTCCCCAATGTTTTCTTTTAGTAGTTTCACAGTTTCAGGTCTTAGATTTAAATCTTTAATCCATCTTGATTTTATTTTTTGTATATGGTTGAGAGATAAGGGTCTAGTTTCATTCTTCTGCATATGGATATCCAGTTTTGCCATTTATTGAAGAGATTATCCTTTCTCCAATGTATTTTCTTGCCACCTTTGTTGAAAATAAGTTGACTGTGGATATGTGAATTTATTTCTGGGTTCTACTGGTCTATGTGTCTATTTTTATGGCAATACCATGCTGTTTTGGTTACTATCGTTCTGTAGTATAATTTGAAGTCAGGTAATGTGATTCCTCCAGTTTTCTTCTTTTTGTTCAGGATGACTTTCGCTATTCTGGCTCTTTAGTGGCTGCATATAAATTGTTTGCATTTTTTATAGAAAAGAAATGACTCTGAATTAAAAACTATCAAATATACATTTTTAATGTATCCAGCATTGTCAGGCACTTAGGATTAATTATAATTTTAATAGCAACCCCTCTACATTACTTAATTTTTGTAATCATGGATATAATTCTACTCATTGGTAATAATAAAAAATAACTTCCTCTTGAATTTTACCAGCACATTAGGCAGTTTATTAGTTCTACTTACAGTTGTCACCATATCAGTTGCTGGTAAAACATTCAGTGCTCTGGTTTTTTTATTATAAAGGTAATACGTGTTCAACAACATTCCAGCGATACAAAGGGGCAGAGATAGAAAATTTTCTTCTGCACTTAGCCTCCCCATTCTGACTCTTCAAAGGTAATAATTACTCCTAAGAAACTATTGTGTATTCTTCAGAAATTTTTCTATAACTATGTATAATGATCATTCCCTTTTTATTACCCAAATGGAGTCACACTTTAATACCAATTTGCAACTTGCTGACATACATCTGCACATATCAGTCTAAATAACTACATGATTATTGCAAAACATCTCTTAATGTTCTTATTTAAAAGACACATTTGGGCTAATTTGGGATCACAGTGATAAAAAATAAGCAAGGAAGCAAAATAACAAAGTTAATCCCTGCATCTGGTTTTAATAATAAAAGCCACTACTAACTCCACCCTATCACCACCATCTACAATATGCTTACTTTGTGCTGGAGGCTTTATGTATATTATATCAAGTAACTCCCACAAGAATCCCAAGATGTAGGCACTATTATCCTACTTTTACAGATGAAGAAGCTGAAGTTCTGAAAATGTTAAGAACTAGAATTAGTGAAAGTTCAATTTCTTAACTTTCTAATCATAGCATGAAAGCTAAAGTTGAAACAAGTTTGAAACACTTATTTATATAATGTAAGTATATTCACTTTGAAAGAAAAACATATATTAAGAAATAATAATAGTGAAGGAAAATGTTTAAACATTCTTATAAATGCTATGTGTAAGCTATTTTGATCTTTTGCCAGAAATACTAAAATCAATCTGTGTTAGACAGAGTTAAGTTCATTCAATATCAAGTCCTTGGAGACTGGTTCTCAAACTCAAGTTTCCTTTCTGGCAGAAGAAGAACTTCTATAAAAATCCTAAAATATAATGTTCATAAATAAGCCTTAGGATTATTGGCATGTAGAATTTCCATTTTATGTCTTCCTGAAAAAGATCTACTTACAGACCACAAACATGATCCTTCTTAATTCCTATTGCTAAATAAAATTTGAAAGGTCCACTTGCTCTGTATCAATTAATTTTAGACCCATTTTGACTGAAAGAGTGACACTATTATATAAAACTGACTATAAAGTTATAATCTTCTGAATCCCAACAGGACCCTTTTTCTTATTTTCAGAAAGCATATGTTTAGACACTAACTTCCACTTACTGAATCAGTCATAAATGTATTGTTCCACATAGTGTTTATATGCAGAACTAAGATCTCCACCGTGTTTCCCCTTTCACGAGTTTATTCAACAGGTACTTTTTTTTTTTTTTGAGACAGAATCTCACTCTGTTGCCCAGGCTGGAGTGCAGTGGTGCGATTTTGGCTCACTGCAACCTGCAACCTCTGCCTCCTGGGTTCAAGTGATTCTCCTACCTCAGCCTCCCGAGTAGCTGGGATTACAGCCACCCGCCACCACGCCTGGCTAATTTTTGTATTTTTAGTAGAGATGGGATTTCACCATGTTGGCCAGGCTGGTCTCGAACTCCTGACCTCTAGTGATCCTTGGCCTCCCAAAGTGTTGGGATTACAGGCATGAGCCACTGCGCCTGGCCTAACAAATACTTATTGAGTTCTTAAAATGACCAGAGTTTGTGCTAGGTAGTAGACAGAAATACGACTAATACAAACGTTACTTTCAGGGAGCTTGCAGTCTATAGAACAAATGTATTAAAGAAACGTACATTTAATTAATTTAATCCTCTACCCCAACTTACATGGCGATGGAGAACATAATCTTACTGTTCTCTCAAGCTCAAAACTCAACAACTAGAGTATAGCAAACTGTATTTTACTATTAAAAAAACAAAAACCACAGTTATTTCAGAAATTCACAGTAATGGTAACATTTTATGCTAATTATTTCCTCTGGGATATGAGTTACAATTTTTCTTCAAGTGGAAGTGGGATCTCTTACTAAAGAATTCATTTTGCCAGTCCCAAATTTAAAATCTAACCAAATAATTGAAACTTTCCACTTGTATAAAGAAGTGCAGTGTTAATCAAGATAACAAGTGGATATTTTGGCATGAGGGATTTATAATGGTTTTTAAATCTGAAAGAAATATGAAAGTAAGTAACTATTTTGCCTGTAATTCTATTCATTCATTCGGCAAATCTATTATGTGCCAGGCTTCATGACAGGTAGCAAAGATATTATCTTGAACATGTTAAGGTCTCTGTCCTCAAAGAGATTGCATCTAGTGAGAAAGCAAGCCTGAAATGCAGGCAATAACAGAATAATGTAGCACACTTAAAGGGTATTTAACCCAGTCTCTTAGGGAAAGGAAGTAAAGAAGTACTAGAGAAGCCAAAAGATATTTGAGGAAGGGGGGCAGTTAATGCAAAAGCCTAGAGACACAGTTCATGACTAATAAACACAACTGACAGACTGGATAAGAGAATATAGATGTTTGGACCTTTAAACTCGCTTTAAACTCTACATGATGTTTCCTGAAAGAAAAGGCATGATAGCCCATTCTACTAGGAATAGTGACTTGGTTGCTAGAGTTTGGATTATTTTCTCCAGAATTAACATGAGAACACACCAGGATTTGTGTCCTGAAGGATACGAATTGCAAAGCAATTCAAACTGATTATCAAACTTTTAAAATCCAACAAAATGTCAAAAATATTATATCCATTTCAGAGTCTAATTAGGAAAGATAAAATGGAGAAAAGGAATAATTTATTAAAATTAATATTAAACATCTGTCAAAACCATCATGAGAAAAAGGACTATATTCTGTATCAAGAGTTATCTTCCATATGTCCCATACTTATGGGGGGGTTGGAAGAGCAAGATTTTTATATCAAAATATAAAGCTTGTTATATTCTATGACTTTGGTTTTTTCTAGGAAGGTCATTCTCTGTGCCCTCTTCTTAAAATGGAAAGTAACATTCAATTAACTACTGCAAAGCTAAATAAAAACAAGGGACATGGAACACAAATACTCCCTTAATTCTGATTATTTCATATATAGATCCATGATAACTTCTGATATAATAGTGGTAAAAACTTAAGATTTGCATAAAGATTTGTATATAGCCACTTCCGCCAGGACTCAGAAATGAAACTCTGGTATAACCAAAAACATAAGGTAGAGCATTGGTTATTTGCCTTTTAAGTTTCAAAAATAATGACAAGAGAATGATAATATACCATCAATCTTTCCATTCAGTCAGAACTCTGTATCAACAACAACCCCAAAAATATGTGGATATCTTCAATATTTTGGAGGAAAAATACATCAGGGGTTCAATGATGCATGCTTTCTAGAAAATAATGACAGAAGTCCTAAAATCTGAACTCTCATTTCCTGTCTTCTTTTTTCACAATTTATTTATATCTAGAGATGTGAGGATGAGAAACAAAATAGAACCCTCACTATAAAAAGTCAAAGTGACAGATGAGAAAATAAAAGTTAAGATTACATTCAAGTCTATAAATAAAATTGTTTCAAAGTTGTTTGCTTAAGTTATATTAGAACAGTGAGGTCTGATAGGTCTTTACGTCTTTTGTCTGTAACAATAGTTGTGTTTTTATATATGCCAATATAAATATATCTATTGGTGGTAGAAACAAAAGTCCCATTTCTAAGCGAGTTTTAAAATATGCCAGAGCAGCTTTGTATATTTTTAGATAGTGTTCAGATTCCTGACCCAAACTACATTATCATAACTCAGGCCTCAGGCACTCTCCAGATGGTTAAGATATGGTGTAAGTGTATGTGCGTGTCTGGCTGCAGTTGATAGTTGGGCAAAGAGGAAACTATCACAAAGAGGAAGTATACTGAATGGCAGCTCCTTTAGGTTACAAAAGAAGATAGCTGCTAATAAAACTTTAAATGTGTTGATTGATAAAAAACGAGAAGAAAAAGAAACCAAGAAAAAAAAATTCAAAAAAAGAGGTAAAGAGGAAAGGGAAAAGAAAAAGAAAGAAGGAAAGAAGAAAGAGGAGGACAAAAAAAAAAAAAGGTAGAAAGAGCCAGAAAGGGGCAGAAGGTTAAAAAGGCAATCTCAGTGAACGATGATCCTTTGGTTTGACAGTACCCATTTATCTTTATGAGGTTCATAAGTCTGAAACTGCCATAAACTGTGTGAAAATGTGGGACATCTGTTTCCTTTGGTATGAAGAACAAGAATATGGAATTTATCTCATCTATGCCCAACTGCCACCTACCAAAAGAAAAACAAGTAACACAAAACTCTAGATTATGGCATACACAGGTCTGCAGTCTCGTTTTATATTAGAAGGCAGAAATTCTAGAACAACATATACTACATATGATTAGTATTTTTAAACAGTGACTAATTACTAGAGAAAATAAATGTAATTTGGAATTCAATTCCATTTCCTCTAGAACAAGGTCTGTAATACTTAACCTTTGATTACTGAATTGACTTAGAGAGGGAATGAATGTAAGAGGCATACAGCATGGAGTCCCAGAAAATGCTAACACCAGGCTGAATTAAGAAGTAAGGAGCCAGGTTCTGCCCCCAGCTGCACCATTTGCCAACCCTGTGACTTTGGGCCCACTGCTTACTCTAAAATGAGAATAATGGCTAGGCATGGTGGCTCGCACCTGTAATCCCAGCACTTTGGGAGGCCGAGGTAGGTGGATCGCTTGAGGCCAGAAGTTCGAGACCAGCCTGGCCAACATGATGAAACCCAGTTTCTACTAAAAATACAAAAATTAGCCGGGCATGGTGGCACATGCCTGTAATCCCAGCTACTTGGGGGGCTGAGGCAGAAGAATCATTTGAACTGGGGAGGTGGAGGTTGCAGTGATCCAAGAACATACCACTGCACTCCAGCCTGGGCAACAGAACGAGACTCTTATCTCAAAAAAAAAAAAAAAAAAAAAAAGAATAATATCTGACTTTACAGTAGTCTTAAGGATGAAATTTAAAAATGCATGTAAAAGTGCTTTATAAATTGCTATAAATATATTATTAGTATTAATAAATAAAAGCATTTTGAAACCTATGAAGGTAAAGTATGATTATCACATTACAAATACATGAATTTTTTTTTTTTTTTTTGAGATGGAGTCTTGCTCTGTCACCCAGGCTCGAGTGCAATGGCACGATCTCAGCTCACTGCAACCTCCGCCTCCTGGGTTCAAGCAATTCTCCTGCCTCAGTCCCCTGAGTAGCTGGGATTACACGTGTGCATCACCATGCCCTACTAATTTTTGTTTTTAGTAAAGGAGGGGTTTCGCCATATTGGCGAGGTTGGTCTCGACCGCCTGACCTCAGGTGATCCTTCCACCTTGGCCTCCCACAGTGCTGGGATTACAGGTGTGAGCCACCACGCCCAGATATAAATTTGTTTTTAACACCTATGATACCTATGAATAGGACAGAAAATTAGGAAGTATTTCTAGAGTTTATACTAATTGTTTCTTTCTTAAGAAAGACAGATAGTCTTTATGTATTTTCTTCTCCTTATCCACCTCCACCCTTCCCCCAACCCCCACCCACATCCACTTTCCAGCCTTCAGTTTCCATTACATTATTTTTTTGTACTTAAATATAAAGCTATCTTTTCTCAGATACTCTTGTTCCACTTTTGTTTTTCATTAATAAGCCTATCCTGAAGCTTCTCTCTTTTCTCAGTCTTTTATTTTTTTAAAGAATTCACTGTTTTCTAAAAGTACAACTACAGAAATCTTTTTCTTATTTTTGCAGGCCAATGGACATCTCCATGGCACCTATATCTTGTACTTCTTTTTTATTATGAGGCTATAGCTAGATAAAAATAAATAAAGAAGATTAAATCTTTATTTTGCTGCATTCTTTCCTTAGGATACACAGAAAGAAGCCATGTTACTGTCCTGCTGTTCATTAAGTCAATTAGCCATTCCCGACTGCGGGATGACATAATTTTCCATAAACAGTCTCTTACGCAATGGTGTGGGTTGGTGGTGTAGAAGTAGATCACATAATCAACTTAAAGCAGTTCCTTTATTTAAATTAACCATTTGAAATCATGTGAGACCTTATCTCTTAAAAATATAGATACTCGAGTAGCTATATTAATATCAGATAAAGTGGACTTCAGAGAAAAGAAAATTACCAGCAAGAAAAAGAGACATCACATAGTGATAAAAGAACGAATCTACCAAGGTGACATAGTAATTTTAAATGTACATGCACCAAACAACAGTTTCAACACACACACACACACACACAGATAGAGCTAAAAGAGAAAATAGACAAATCTATAGTTATGCTTGGGGGCTTGAACACTCCACTCTCAGCAATTGATAGAATTACTAGACAGAAAATTAACAAAGACAAAAGAATTGAACAGTGCTATCAACCAACAGGATCTAACTGATATTTAATAAACACTCCTTCCAACAACAGTAGAATATACATTCTTCTCAAGTGCCATGGAATATTCACCAAAATAAAGCAGATTCTGGGTCAGAAAAGTAACTCCAACAAATCTAAAACAACTAAAAATCATACTGAATATGTCTTCTGATCATAATGAAATCAAACTAGAAATCATTAACAGAAAGACAACAGGAAAGTCTTCAAACATTTGGAAATTAACACATTTCTAAACAATGCATGAGTTAAAAAAGAAGTTTCAAAGGAAATAAGAACGATGCATAGATCTGAATGGAAGTGAAAATACAGCATATCAAAATTTGTGCAATGCAACTAAAGCAATGCCAAGAGGGAAATGCATACTATTAAATGCTTACATTAGGAGAGAGAAATGGCCTCAGATTAATAACCTAAGTTTCTACCATAAGAATCCTAGAACAGGAAGAGCAACATAACCCAAAGTAAGCAGAAAGAAAGAAAAAATAAAGAACAGAAATCTATTAAATTGAAAACAGGAGAAAACATGAGAAAAATCAATGAAATCAAAACTAGTTATTTGAAAAAAAAATCAATAAAATTTGTAAACCTGCAGCAAGACTGACAAAAATAAGGACAAAGGTAATTTTTTTTCCTCAAAAAATTAAAAATAGAACTACCATACGATTCAGCAGTCCAGTTCTGGGTATTTTATAAAAAAAAAAAAAAATTGAGGCTGGGTGTGGAGGCTCACGCCTGTAATCCCAGCACTTTGGGAGGCCGAGGCGGGCAGACCACCTGAGGTCAGGAGTTCGAGACCAGCCTGACCAACATGGAGAAACCCCATCTCTACTAAAAATACAAAATTAGCCAGGCGTGGTGGTGCATGCCTGTAATCCCAGCTACTCAGGAGGCTGAGGCAGGAGAATCGCTTGAACCCAGAAGGCAGAGGTTGCAGTGAGCCGAGATTGCACCATTGCACTCCAGCCTGAGCAAAAAGAGCAAAACTCCCATCTCCAAAAAAAAAAAAAAAAAAAGAAAAAAGAAATAATGATATTGAAGGGATACTAGCATTGCCAAGATGTGAAATTAATCTAATGTCCATCAATGGATGAACAAATACTTTTTTAAAATTGTGGTATATATATGTAGTATACAATGAAATATTATCCAACTTTAAAAAAGGAAATCTTGCAATATGTGACATGATGAACTTTGAGAGCATTATACTAAGTGAAATAAGTGGGTCACACAAGGATAAATATCATGACTCAACTTATATAAGCTATCTAAAATAATCTAACTCATAGAAGCAAAGGTTGCCAGGGCCGAGGGCTAGGGAGAAATGGGGAGTTGCTAATCAACCAGTATAAAATTTCAGCTTTGTAATATGAGTAAGTTCTAGAGATTTGCTGTACAACACTGTACCTATAGATAACAATACTGTATTGGATACTGAAAAATTTGTTTCGGAGGCCGGGTGTGGTGGCTCACACCTGCAATCCCAGCACTTTGGGAGGCTGAGGTGGGCAGATCATGAGGTCAGAAGTTTGAGACCAGCCTGGCCAACATGGTGAAACTCTCGTCTCTACTAAACATACAAAAAATTAGCTGGGCGTGGTGGCACGAGCCTGTAATCCCAGCTATTAGGGAGGCTGAGGCGGGAGAATCACTTGAACCCAGGAGGCAGAGGTTGTGGTGAGCAGAGATTGTGCCCTTGCACTCCAGCTTGGGGCTTGGGTGACAGAGCAAGACTCCGTCTCCAAAAAAAAAAAAAGGCCGGGCTTAGTGGCTCATGCCTGTAATCCCAGCACTTTGGGAGGCTGAGATGGGTGGATCACCTGAGGTCGGGAGTTTGAGACCAGCCTGGCCAACATGGTGAAACCCCAACTCTACTAAAAATACAAAAAAGTAGCCAGGCATGGTGTGGTGGTATATGCCTGTAATCCCGCTACTTGGCAGGCTGAGGCAGGAGAATCACTTGAACCTGGGAGGTGGAGGTTTCAGTGAGCCAAGGTTGCGCCATCCCACTTCAGCCTGGGCAACAAGAGCAAAACTATGTCTCAAAAAAAAAAAAAAAAATCTGTTTCAAGAGTAAATCACATGTTAAATGTTCTTACCACAATAACATAAAAAAAGAAGAGATAAATCACTAATATCAGAAGTGAGACAGGAGGTAATACAGATCTTGAAGCTATTAAAAGGATAGTAGGGGAATACTATGAACAACTTTATGCTCACAAATTTGACAACTTAGAAGAAATTGACCGATTTCTCAATTTCTCTAAAACCACAAACTGATATCTTGAGTAGTTCTTTAACCATGAAAGACATTGCCTTTGTAATGAAAAGCCTCCTGGAAAAGAATTTCCCAAGCCCAGCTGGCTTCCTTGAAAATTTTTACCAAATATTAAAGAAGAATTAACACAGCCAGGCATGGTGTCTCACGCCTGTAATCCCAGCACTTTGGAAGGCCGAGCTGGGTGGATCAACTTGAGGTCAGGAGTTCAAGACTAGTCTGGTCAACATGGTGAAACCCTGTGTCTACTAAAAATACAAAAAATTACCCGGGCGTGGTGGTGGGCACCTGTAATCCTAGCTACTTGGGAGGCTGAGGAAGAATTGCTTGGACCCAGGAGGCAGAGGCTGCAGTGAGTGGAGATGGTGCCACTGCACTCCAGTCTGGGCGACAGAGTGAGACTTTATCTCAAAAATAAAACAAAAACTATCACTTATAATTACTTTAAGCAAAATAAAATGCTTAGATATAAACTTTAAAAACATGTCTATAAATATTCATGGTGACAATTCCAAAATGTTGATTAAAGAAATCTAAGTAAATGAAGAGACATACCATATTCACAGATTGAAAGACTCAACATAGAAAAGACGTCAATTATCCCCAAATTGTATATAGTTTTAATACAATTCCTATCAAAATCCCAGCACGGATTTTCGTAGACATAGGCAAGCTAAATCTGACGTTTACATGGACAGGCAAAAGAGCTAGAATGACTAAACAATCTTGAAAAGGAAGAATATGAGGAATCACTTTACTCAATATTAAGTCTTCCTATGTAGCTACAGTAATCAAGGCAGTTTGTGCTGGTAGAGAGATAAAAATATAGGTCTACTGAACAGAATAAAGAAAGAACCCAGAAATAGACATACACGGATATGTCCATCTGATTTATTTACAAAGGTGATTATTTACAAAGTGATTCAACGGAGAAAAAATTCCTTTTCAAC
This sequence comes from Homo sapiens, assembly GCF_000001405.40. NCBI lineage: Eukaryota > Metazoa > Chordata > Mammalia > Primates > Hominidae > Homo > Homo sapiens. Next base: position 118,336,369 of record NC_000012.12, read on the forward strand.
AAATGGTGCTGGAGGAATGGGATGAACATAGGCAAAAAAATAAACCATGACCTAAACCTCTTATCTTATACAAAAATTAACTCAAAATCAATTACAGATTTAAATGTAAACATAAAACTATAAAATATTTAGGAAAAAAGTATAGGAGAAAATTTGGGGGATCTAGGAATAGGCAAAGAATTCTGAGACACCAAAAGCATGACTCAGGGAAAGAAAAAAAAATCAATAAATTGTACCTAATCAAAATTTAAAACCACTGCTCTGCAAAAGACCCATTAAAAAGATGAAAATGCAAGCTACAGACAGAAAGTATTTGCAAACCACATATCTGACAAAGGACTAGTATGTAAAAAATATCAAAAACTCAAAACCCAACAGTAAATTACAGCAAAAAAAACTCCAATTACAAAAAGGGCAAAGAGGCTGGGGGCAGTGGCTCACACCTATAATACCAGCACTTTGGGAAGCCGACGCAGGAGGATCACTTGAGGCCAGGAGTTCATGACCAGCCTGGCCAACATGGCGAAACCCTGTCTCTACTAAAGATATACAAATTAGCTGCCCACCTGTAATCACAACTACTGGGGAGGCGGAGGCATGAGAATCGCTTCAACCTGGGAGGCAGAGGTTGCAGTGAGCTAAGATTGCACCACTGCACTCCAGCCTGGGCAACAGAAGGAGACTCTGTCTCAAAAAATAAAGAAAAAAGAAAATGGGCAAAAGACATAAAACAGGAATTTCACTAAAGAGGATTTACAAATGGAAATGGCAAATAAACATATGAAAAGATGTTCAATTTTGTTAACTATTAGGGAAATGTAAATTAAAGCCACGAGAAAATATTACTACTTACCTATCAGAATGATTAAAATAAAAAATAATGACAACACCAAATGCTGGTGAGGATATGGAGAAACTGGATTTTTCAGTGCCCAACTACTCTCTTACATGTAGAATGGTACAGCCACTCTGGAAAATAGTGTGACAGTTTCTTATAAAACCAAACACATAATTACCATACAACGCAGCAGTTGCATTCCTGGGCATTTGTCCCAGGGAAATGGAGAATTATGTTTACATAAAAACTTGTACGAGAATGTTCACAGCAGCTTTATTCCTAATCGCCAAACGCTGGAAACAACCCAGATATTCTTTAATGGATAAAGGATTAAACAAACTATAATACATCCATACCATGGAAAATTACTCAACAACAAAAAGGTATTAACTATTGACACACAACTCAGTTAAATCGTCAGAGAATTACACTGGGTGGGAAAAAAATCCACAAAGGTTACATACTGAATGATTTCATTTGTATAACATTCTTGAAATGACAAAATTATAGACATGAAGAACAGATTAGTGGTTGCCAGGGATTTTGGATAGAGGGTGGTGGAAGGGGGATGGGAGGGAAGTAGCTGTGATAATGTAGCCTCATGATAACACTTCTTCAATCTTGACCATTGTGGTGGATATATAAACCGACATGGGAAAATTTCATAGACCTAAATATACACACATGTAAAACTGAGGAAATCTGAACAAGGATGGGGAACTGTATCAATATCAATATTCTGGCTGTGATACCATCTTATAGATTTGTATGATCTTATTGTTAAGGGAAATTAGATAAAGGGTACACCCGACCTCTCAGTATTATTTCTTACAAGTGCGTGTAAATCTACAATTATTTCAAAATAAAAAGTTTAAAAGAAATCCATGTAGCTCATGTACAGTTATATATTCATCATTCACTTCTTTAAGCATTTATTGAGTTGCTCTTTTGTGTGAAGCATTAGCTTATGTGCTGGTGGGATGCGGGTGGGAAGATGGAAGGTGGGCAATATACAGAGAGATACTGAACAGAGACCCCACCTTCACAGATGTCACAATTGTGATTATATGGATGTTTTTGTGATTCTTTAACATATGTGTCCTTCACTAACAGAGGGAAGAGACAGCGACTGTTTTAATAACTCTATTTCCAGTACCAAACAGTGTCTGGAACATAGTACCTTTTAGATTAATACCTCCAAATGAATGAATGATTGCATCAATCAATCAATAGAAGGGATGATTACCACCAAATGGTTACAATACAGTACAAAAGGTGTTTATGAAAACAGAGGAAGTGGGCTGGGCTTGGTGGCTCAGGCCTGTAATCCCAGCACTTTGGGAGGCCGAGGTGGGCGGATCACAAGGTCAGGAGCTCGAGACCAGCCTGGCCAATGTGGTGAAACCCTGTCTCTACTAAAAATACAAAAATTAGCCAGGCGTGGTGGCCACGCGCCTGTAGTCCCAGCTACTCAGGAGGCTGAGGCAGGAGAATCACTTGAACCTGGGAGGCAGAGGTTGCAGTGAGCCAAGATCGTGCCACTGCACTGCAGTGTGGTCGACAGAGTGAGACTCCGTCTCAAAAAAAAAAAAAAAAAAAAAAAAAAAAGAGAAAACGGAGCAAATGAATAACTAGCCCTGTCTGAGGGAACTGGGGAGGCTTTAAAGATGTGATCTTTTAGTTGTGTCTTACAAGATAGGAGATGGGAAGTGGAGAAAAACCACTCCAAGCAAAGAGAATAGAACATTCAAATGCACAATGTGATAAGAAAAGCATTGCGTACCCTGGGACCAGCAAAGAGTGTGGTGTGCTGCTTGAGTTTATAGTTCTTTACTGAGAGAGGCAAAGGATGAAGCTAGAACTGTGGATGCTACAGGAAAGAGATTTGGACTTTCACATGAACAACGTGGTGACACTAGAGTTTTGAAGCCAGTGAATGATAATCAGATTTGTCACTTATTAAGTTAACTCTAAAGGCAGTGATAGGATTCACAGCAGGGAGAAGAGACAAGCTGAGAAACCAACACAAGAGTTGGAAGTAAATGAAAATTCTCCGTTCTTCATCATACTTTTTTTTTTTTTTTTTTTTTTTTTTGAGATGGAGTTTCGCTCTTGTTGCCCAGGCTGGAGTGCAATGGCGCGATCTCGGCTCACCGCAACCTCCGCCTCCAGCGTTCAGGCGATTCTCCTGCCTCAGCCTCAATTTTCCGGAAAACTCAATTCTCAAATACACTGCGTTAATGGAAGTTAAGTCTTCAAAACTACTCTCCTGAACGGTTTATAACATTGTTATCTTTAAATCTGTGTAATGAATCATATCAGAGGGCTTTGAAAGAGAGATATTTATTAAGCATTTTAGTTGCTCTTTTTTTTTTTCGAGACGGGGTCTTACTCTGTCGCCCAGGCTGGAATGCAGTGGTGCGATCTCGGCTCACTGCAACCTCCACCTCCCGGGTTCAAGCGATTCTGCCTCAGCCTCCCGAGTAGCTGGGACTACAGGCGCGCCACCATGCCCAGCTAATTTTTGTATTTTTAGTAGAGACGGGGTTTCACCATGTTGGCCAGGATAGTCCCGCCTCGGCTTCCCAAAGCGCTGGGATTACAGAAGTGAGCCACCGCGCCCGGCTTTAGTTGCTCTTTTCTATAGATTCTTCCAATACTTTATAGATTTTAATTTGAAATTCCTCTTTTCCCAACTTTTAAAAGTTTGAAATAATAAACTACTATTCATATTTCACAAAATCTTGCATGTTGTCAAATTATTAATATCTTAACCACCAAAAAACGATCACTTCCACATACCATTCCTGCTACTGAGGAATTACACTTATTTCTCTTAAAACACAAAATAACTATTTTAGCAAAAAATTAGATACAGCTTCAGTAACTAAGATATTGATCTCTGGAGAGAATAAACCATATGCCTGAAATATGGAGAGTGACTAAGTACTTTCCACATATTTCTGTGTATATATACATGTATTTGTTTGTGATAAGATGCAGATACAGTTGAATGTTAACTATAATGTAACAATAACTTGCCTGTGGACACCCCACCTTCCCTCCCAAGAGCAAAAAAATTTTTAATCAGGTTGGAAAGGGAAGAAAAGTAAAGGTGTTATATAAAATTCATTGTAGGCACAGTAAAGTGACTCCTTCTCCCCCTTGTTTTCTTTTGACATCATGTGACAATTTTAAGAGCTCTTTTCTCACAGCAGAGAATAAGGAATATGGATTATGAGAAGAAAAATTTTTTATGAAAAGAAAATGGGGTGGAATTTATTGTAGGTAATGCTTTTATGTCATTTTACAAGGAATAAAGACATCTAAATCATTTTTATAAACCTCATAGATGGTTATTAAATATTATTTTTTGGACTTTCTAATTATAGAAAATGTTAAATAAAAAAGTAACAGAAGAATATAATAAACTGCCTCATACCCAGCTTTAACAGTTATCAATTCATGGCCCACGTACTTCCCACAGCACTCCGTTATTTTGAAACAAATCCTAAATAAATCATTTCATCTATAAATATTCAGAATGTATGTCTAAAAGATAAGAACCATAAAAAAAAAAAAAAACATTGGCCGCACATGGTGGCTCATGCCTGTACTCCCAGTGCTTTGGGAGGCCAAGGAAGGAGGACTGCTTGAGCACAGGTAGTCAAGGCTGCAGTGAGCCACGATTACACCACTGCACGACAGCCTGGGCAGCAAGTGAGACCCTGTCTCAAAAGAACAAAAAGAAACAAAAAACATTAACTCTACCATTAATATATCTAATTTTTTTTTTTTTTTTGAGACAGAGTCTCACTCTGTTGCCCAGGCTGGAGTGCAGTGGCGCCATCTCAGCTGACTGCAACCTCTGCTGCCCTGCCCCAGGTTCAAGGTATTCTTGTTCGTCCTCAGCCTCCTGAGTAGCTGGGAGTACAGGCACCTGCCGCCATGCCTGGCTAATTTTTTGTATTTTTAGTAGAGACAGGGTTTCGCCATGTTGGCTAGACTGGTTTCAAACATCTGACCTCAAGTGATCCGCCTGCCTCGGCTTCCCAAAGTGCTGGGATTACAGGAGTGAGCCACAGCACCAGCCTAAATTTTTTTTTTTAACCTAAAAATTTAACGATAATTTTTTAATGCCATAAAATACAAGGTCAAATTTTCAAATCTCCTAAATGGTCCCATAAATTTCTTTTATTCCATTTTTTTCTATATGAGTCCAAATTAGGTCCATCTGTCCAAATTTTGTTTTAATGGCAATAATGCAATGCATTTTAAAAATTAAACTTAGAAGTTTTAATAAATAATTAAATCTAATATAAAAACCAGATTAAGTTGCCCTAGCAGGGCAACGTTGACTATGTGTACTACAAATGTATGGACACATGATCAAGTTAAGTACTTAGGAGAAAAGGAGGGGAGGGTTGACTTCATTTTTGCCTTTTATCAAAACACTTCCTTCATTCACAAGTTTTAATATTATTTTTATCAAGGAATTCCACTAAACCATGCTAAAAAAACCCTTCTGTGTTGGCTAGGTGTGGTGGCTAATGCCTGTAATAATCCCAGCACTTTGGGAGGCCTAGGCAGGTGGACTGCCTGAGCCCTGGAGTTGGAGAGCAGCCTGGGCAATATAGTGAAATCTAATGTCTACAAAAAATTAAAAAATTAACCAGGTGTGGTGGCACACCTTGTAGTTCCAGCTACTTGGGAGGCTGAGGCAGGAGGATGGCTTGAGCCCAGGAGGTCAAGGTTGCAGTGAGCTATGATTGTACCACTGCACTACTGCCTGGACAACAGAGTGAGACTCTGTCTCAAAAAACAAAAAACAAACCAAAAAATTAAAACCTTCTGTGATCTCTCATTTTTTTTTTAACATTTTCACTATTTTACTTTGACCAAATACTTTCTCCTTCATTTGAAATTAACTTGAAATCACAGGATTTCAGAGTTGGGAGCAATTATGTGGCTTCCTCACCTCAGAGTAGGCAGCTTTGGTATTACTACATTATTGGTGTTTCCAGTGAGAAAGCTACCACGAGGAAGCAATCTGCTCACAGCTACAGGCTGTGTTCTAATTTGTTAACAGATACTACTATGTAAGTATGATCAGGAAAAGTTTTATTAGCACAACATGAAATAGCCTTGACTTTGATCCTTTCATAAAGGTTGGTAAAGCTAATATTTCCTTTGACATGTTGAAAATACCTTGTTATACAAGTAATAAAATAGTACATTTCATTTAAAATTTGAAACAATAAAGGTTAGAAACGTGTCATCCACAGAAGCATGCAGAAATCAACATAGTTAAAGCCAGACTTTTTACTATGCCATGACAAGATAATATAAAATTGTGTACTATCAATAAATAAAACATGCAGTATAAAATATCTCATTGTACTCTGTTTTGGGACATTTGAAACCCCAGTTAGAAATTAAAAAGTCATCTGGGCTCTACAGCTCACACCTGAAATCCCAGCAATTTTCCCGGCTGAGGCAAGCAGATTGCTTGAGCTCAGGAGTTCGAGACCAGCCAGGGCAACATGGAGAAACCCTGTCTTTACAAAAAATACAAAAATTAGCCAGGCAAGGTAGCAGGTGCCTGTAGTCCCAGGTACTGGGGAGGCTGAGGCAGGAGGATCACTTGCATCTGGGAGGCCAAGGTTACAGTGAGTGGCGATCCTGCCATTGCACTCCAGCCTGGGCCACAGAGTAAGCCTCTGTCTGCTAAAAAAAAAAAAAAAAAAAAAAAGAGAGAGAGAGAGAGAGAGAAATGAAGAAGTCTTGCAATATTTGCATATCAACTTCAGATACTGTTTCTTAGGCTTAAAAAAAAAAACTATCAGTGGTTCCTGCTACATCTATTGGCAAATTCTAGATAGCATTTCATTGTGGAGTAAATTTATTAATCAAAACATAAATTTTTAATAGAAATTCGTGGCCAGGTGCGGTGGCTCATGCCTGCAATCCCAGCACTTTGGGAGGCTGAGATGGGCAGATCACCAGAGGTCAGGAGTTCAAGACCAGCCTGGCCAACATGGTGAAACCCTGTCTCTACAAAAATACAAAAATTAGCCAGGCATGATGGCGGGTGCCTGTAATCCTAGCTACTCAGGAGGGTGGGGTGGGAGAATCGCTTGAACCCAGAAGGCGGAGGTTACAGTGAGCTCAGATTGTGCCATTGCACTCCAGCCTAGGCGACAGAGTGAGTCCCTGTCTCAAAAAAAAAAAAAAAAAAGAAATTCATGAGTCTCAGTGCACTCTATGTAAGTGACCCTTTACATTAAACCTAGGAATCAGAATGCCCAGTAAAACAATTTAAGATACTAGTTGAGCATTTGATATGTGCAGGGAACTGTATGGGGTGCACCTGCAAACTGCAGAATAAAGTATCAGAATGATACCAAATTAAATCATTAATACATTTAGTTTAAAGGAAGTATTTAAAGTCAGCAATTTAAATATGAGAATTTTTGAGATTTAATTTTTGTTAACTCTATGAGTCTTATAAAAAATCCACTAGAGGCTGGGCGCGGTGGCTCACACCTGTAATCCCAGCACTTTGGGAGGCCGAGGCAGGTGGATCACGAGGTCAGGAGATCGAGACCATCCTGGCTAACATGGTGAAACCCTGTCTCTACTAAAAATACAAAAAATTAGCCGGGCATGGTGGCAGATGCCTGTAGTCCCAGCTACTCAGGAGGCTGAGGCAGGAGAATGGCATGAACCTAGGAGGTGGAGCTTGCAGTGAGCTGAGATGGTGCCACTGCACTCCAGCCTGGGGGACAGAGCGAGACTGTCTAAAAAAAAAAAAAATCCACTAGAATTTATTTGTTCCAAGCTCTACAAGATTAAGAAAAGAAACAAAACCCTGTGTGGATTTTACAAATTTAGAACATTGGCAATGGTCTGACTTCAATGCTGTTTCTTTTATTGTTTAGATTGACTTCATTCATTTTCTCCCAGAGCCCCTAATGTATTGAGTCCTTTATCTTGTATGCAGTCTGAATTTTTTTTCCTGATTTACCAAAATACAAAGATTCAAGCTCTTGATTATTTTAAAACAAGACAAAAGCATGTGTCATAGTAAATACATTCCACCTGATTCAGGTAAGGCAATTACAGAGTTGATTTGTTCAGTTACTATACAAAAGTGCAGGTGTAAATCTCTGTTAATATACAAAACAGATGACCACATTGTAACACATCCATTCATCTTGCCTGGCTCACAGGGGAGAAGCAGTGTTCACATCAACAATACCTATTCATATTTTGAGAATGATGGAAATCCCACCTAAGAAATGTGGTATCAACAATACCACTTTACAGCATATTCAATAACGCAAAAAATACATGGCAATTGGAACTTTTTGATTTCACAGTCCTGTTTTTTAACACTTGCATTTGCCTCTCTCTCCACTGTCTCAATTCATATTTGAAACGAATGGGAAAAATTTTGCAGAAGTAAAAAAAATAAATAAATAAGGCTTCCTCTTAACTGCAAAATAAATCATGACCAATTAATAATATCACTGTTAAAAATACTATTAACAGTGTTATGGCTTTAAAAATAATAGTACTTTATTTTCTGATAATTAATAACATTTATTTTTATTTTTCTCATGCTTTTTCAAAGTATGGTGCCCCCTGTTATATTTACACTTTATTTCTTTAGTCCTTTATTGAATCACCCAGCATGTCTTTGGTTAACTTCCTCTTGTTAATACCCATGCCCCTCTTCACCTTGTCAATGCTAATTAGAACCTTAATCTGTTTTTCCAAGGTGTTAGCCAGTTAAAGGATCACTAGCAAATTTCATGAGGTTAGTCTACTGAATCACTTACTTATTAAGCAAAGTGTTAAAAAACCAATCTTACTGAACCATATCCACTTTCTGGAAGCAGCTTCCACTAAAATTGTATTTATATTTAGTGTAGTGACATAAATTTGAAGTAAGACTTTTACTAAGATGGGAATGAAATGTCTATTTTTTAAGGCCAATCATGATAGAAACTTAAAAAATGATACAAAGTAGAATAGATTAAATTAAGGAGGCTGAAATATAGTCTTCAAAATGGACAAGAAATATTCATTAATTAAATGCCTGTAATAACCGGTTACTTTGGACAAATTCAACATTTCTCCTTTCTTAAGGATGATCTCAAAAGGGTTCATAACCAAGAAGTTTGAATGCAAAACGAACAAAATAAACAAATCCTGAACAGGCAGGAATAGAAGAGGAAGGAAGGCTGGTGATAGTCTAAGAGAAGACTTGTAGCAGGAGCTCCTGTAGAGCAGATGAAGACCAAGGAAAAAGCCATGTGTTTGGGAAGATAAGTGCATGCTTTCAAGCCCTGGCTGCTCAAAAGAAATGTCAGACACTAGCTTATGTTCTGGTGGGTGGAGAAAAAAACAGACAGTTTTCAAGCCATGAGTGCCTTTGTCAGGACATACAATGTAATAATGCTGCTCACCCATCCTGCTTGAAAAAAAAAAATGAACTCATGCTCCTGGAAACCAAGTTCTTATGGTCTACCTGATGTAGAATCTCCTTATAACTGGAAAGAAACCAAGAGTTGTATTGGGGACAGAGATATTGATTAAGGAGCGACTTAGAACACTTTGTAAGAATAAAGACTAAGAAAAAAAATCCACTTTGAAAAATCCATGCAACAATGCATGCAGGCTTGAAAATGAAGTGGAAGTTATATTTAGAGACAGATGAATATTGATACGGTAATGATATACTGTTAAAGTAAAAGAAATAAAGCAGCATAGAAAACAATATATGTACTATAACTGTCCTAATTACTATTCCTAAAAATACTTTACCTAAAAAAAATTCTGAAAGGCTGTCAAAATATATCTAGGTATAGAATATAAATTTTATTTTGTTCTAACTACTCACATGTATTTTTTATTTATTAAAGCAAAAAACATGTATTACTTGTATAGCTATTAAAAATATATGAAAAGAACTATCTTAGGTCAGGGACTTCTCACCACTTTGTTGAGAAGAGGAGAAAGGGTTAAGGGTAATGAAGGAGGCTTAGCTTCCACATCTACTCATTTACTAATAAGTCTTCTAGTTGGAAACTCCCAACATCAGGACTGATAAAGAACTGATTTGGCAACATCTTAAAACAGGGAAATTATAATTTCAAAGTGACATATATTTGTCATTACTTTCAATGAAATGAATAATTGTACAGTGTGCCTGCTAAGCTATAGAACATACTACTAATAAATTTCTATTCTATAGAAAATACAAAATATTGTTTTGGGGCATCTTTTAGAAAGAATAAAACATTTATACAAAAATTTCAAACTGAAGGTTATAAACTAATTTTTAAACAAAATACTGTACTTGAGTTCCCACTATTATTAGCACTCAGAATACACAGCTTGAATAATTAGCAGAAATGTGGACTCAACAGGCCTAACTGGTAGTCTATATAATTACATCACATAGCTATGTTTTGGCAGGCAAATGCATTTAAAAGCATAGGCAAAGATATGTTCAATGCATAGCTAAAAGAATGAAACATTTATACAGAATGGAAAGTTTAATCTTTCTACATGTGCCTGAGATAATGCAAGGTATTTTCTAAATCTAACTTGTCTATCTGTAGTTACTATTCTATCTGTAGGTACTACTAATAAGCAATAATAGTATAAATTTTACAGTGAAGCCATTATGTAAGCTTCCTCAATTTAAAAATTTCTCTGTATATGCATTCGTCTTCCTCCTTCAGTTTTCCTTTATCAGGCCAAGCACTTCTGTCCAACAATAGGCCTTTTTTCTTTTTTTAGACCAGGTCTCGCTCTGTCACCCAGGCTAGAGTGCGGTGGCACGATCATGATCCTGGCTCACTGAAGCCTTGACTGCCCGTGCTCAAGTGATCCTCCACCTCAGCCTCCTGAGTAGCTGGGACCGCAGACACGTGTCACCACACCCAGCTAATTTTTTTAAAAAAATTATCATTTGTAGAGATGAGATCTCACTTTATTGCCCAGGCTAGGCTTGAACTCCTGGGCTCTGGCAATCCTTCTACTTAGGCCTCCCCAAGTGCTGGGATTACAGGTGTGAGCCACAAGGCCCAGTCCAAATGACCTCTTAATTCTTTATCCTACTACCTTCTCACTTCATTAATGCACCCCTCTCATTTTTCTTCAATCCGCAGTTGCTTCCTCTCTCCCAACTCCTCCTTTTGGCCTACAGCATGCTCAAGGTATCATTTATTGAGGGGAGGAGGGGGAGCTTTTCCTGACAGGAAGATGCTCTGGCAACTCACTAGCTCCAGCCTCCTCATTTCCAAGTCCAACAGGAGTCCTCTCAGGTCATATCCTTCCATAACCTCTATGCCGCATCTCCTTACAAGGTTGTTTCTTGGTTTGTGTGGCACTGTCCTCTAGGAGTTTCTTTCCAACCCACCTCTTCTGGCTTATCCTACTTCTCTCAACCTCTTAACACAAAATTCTGTGCTGAGCTTCCCCTCTCTACCCTGCACTTTCTCTCATTTATCTGATTCACTCCTGTTCTTTTAGCTCTCTATGCCAAGCCGTTAATGCCCTCAATAAATCTCTCACAAGCTGCTTTTCTCCTTTTCCATTGAGGCTGTCCTAGTTCCAGAACCTCACTACTAGTCCAAGTTCTCATTCTCAATTTCTTTCTTCCTTTAAGTCATTCTACAAACTATTGATAGAGTAATCTTTCAAAGGCTCTGATTGCATCAGTCTTTTCTATTCAAATATCTTAAATGGTTCCTCACTATCTACTGTTCAAAGTTCAAACCTCCTGTTATGTGGCTCTAAGGCTTTTGATTTGCCACTATCCCTGAATATCCTACATTTTGTTCACTATGTCTGTAGGCCAAAAAATACATTGATTATGTCCACCACGCCTGCTGAAAAGGTATCCACAATTCAAGACTCAGTTCAAACTCCATCTCCATGTTACCCCATCTCCCTAGTACGGAAGTAATCTCTTCCTTCTTCATGTATAGAAAGTACCTGACAGCTTCTTGCTGACCTTGATGTCATTCTATTTTGCCTTTAAAGGACATGGACCTTTCTTAATTCCATTAATTGAATATGACTTGCATCAGGATTCTTATTCGCTTTCCATAGTGCCTTCAATGGAGGAGGCAGTGTTAAACACAGACTATTCATCTGGAATTAAAGACTACTTGTCCAGCCTCTGAGCTAAAGTCTAAGTCTGCTTCTGCCTTATTTCTTTCTTTCTTTCTTTTTTTTTTTTTTGAGACGGAGTCTCGCTCTGTCACCCAGGCTGGAGTGCAGTGGCACAATCTTGGCTCACTGCAAGCTCTGCCTCCCGGGCTCACGCCATTCTCCTGCCTCAACTACCCGAGTAGCTCGGACTACAGGTGCCCGCCACCACGCCTGGCTAATTTTTTGTATTTTTAGTAGAGACAGGGTTTCACCATGTTAGCCAGAATGGTCTCGATCTCCTGACCTCTTGATCCACCCGTCTCAGCCTCCCAAAGTGATGGGATTACAGGCGTGAGCCACTGCGCCCAGCCTCTGCCTTATTTCTGAAGAAAAGATATGGGATAAGAATTAGCTAAATACACAATATTATGTGTGTTTTTGTGAGGGGGGAGAAAAAAAATAATTTCTTTTTTTTTTTTTTTTTTTTGAGAACGGGTCTCACTCTTGTTGCCCGGGTCTCACTCTTGTTGCCCGGGTCTCACTCTTGTTGCCCAGGCTGGAGTGCAGTGGCGCGTTCTTGGCCCACTGCAACCTCTGCCTCCCAGGCGGTTCAAGCAATTCTCTTGCCTCAGGCTCTTGAGTAGCTGGGATTACAGGTGCTCACCACCACACCCAGCTAATTTTTGTATTTTTAGTAGAGTTGGGGTTTCACCATGTTGCCCAGGCTGGTCTCAAACTCCTGACCTCAGGTGACCGCCCACCTTGGCCTCCCAAAGTGCTGGGATTACAGGCATGAGCCACCGCGCTGGCTGATTCAAATCATTTCAAAGCATTTTCATTTTAATTATTTTACAAAAAGTAATTATGAGCAATTCCACTCTAGGTATATACCCAAGAGAATGGAAAAATATGTTCATTTAAAAACTTGTATATTTACTGTCACAGAAACATTATTAATATCCAAAAAGTAGAAGCAGCCAAAATATCCATCAACTCTTGAATAATCAGAATGTGGCACACAGATATAATGAAATATTATTTGGCCATAAAAAGGAATCATCACTGATGTACGCTACAATGTGGATGAATCTTGAAACATTATGCTAAGTGAAGATGTCAGACACAAAAAGACACATATTGTCTTGTTCCAGTTATACAAAATGTCCAGAGTAGGCAAATCCATAGAGACAGAAAGTAAATTAGTGCTTACCAGGGGTTGGGGATAATTGAGAGTGGCTGCTAACAGGTACAAAATTCTTTTTGGTGTAATGAAAATGTTCTAGAGTTAGATAGTGGTGAGGTTAGATATTGTAACAACATCACAAATATACTAAAAACCTGAATTTCATAATTTAAAAAGGTAAGTTTTATATCATAAAATTTTATCTAAATTAAAAAAAACACAAAAAACAGTTATTAGTTTCATGCCCCAAATGACAGCTTCAATTTGTGGTATAAAGGAAAAGAGCTCTGACCTTTCAATCAGCAAATCTAGGTTTCAGCCAAGTCACTTAACTCTCTTACTTAACTGTGGCGTCTTTAGGATGCAGCTGAACTTCTCTAAGCCTTCATAACCTCATCTACAAAGTGAGGATATAATGCCTTACAAAGTCACTGTGAGACTCACAATATAACATAAAATTATTATTTCAAATGAATAAAATCTGATAGTTATTTTGCATGCCTAAAATGATTTTTTAAAAATCCTAAACTGTATTGAATAGCCCATAACTTCACTGAATAGTCCACAACTTTTTATTGTTGCCATGTTATCTAACCAGCTTTTGTATTGTCATATATGAATGACATCTTGGGGCCACGTAGCACTTATCCTGTAGGCACTAATAGAACAGTACAGAGTTATTTAATTCCAATCTTCACAATGAGGGGTACATGGCCCAACAGTTATAAACACAGGCATAGAACTGAGTTTAAGTCCAGGTTCTGCCACAGATCTTGAACAAACCACCTAACCTCTCTGAACATCAGTATACACCCCTGTAAAGTCTATGTAAGAATATGTATGTGAATCTACACAAATATCCATTATAGAGGTTCGTTGAGATACTCATTATATAAAGCATGTATTGTAATACCTAGCACCTAACAAGCACTCATTCAGCAATTGTTATTGTTGTTGTCCATCCTATGGAGTAACAAGTTTAAATGACGGGTCTTCAGCTACAAGACAAATTTGAGGCCAGGCATGGTGACTCACGCCTGTAATCCCAGCACTTTGGGAGGCTGAGGCAGGTGGATCACCTTAGGTCAGGAGTTCGAGACCAGCTTGGCCAACATGGTGAAACTCTGTCTCTACTAAAAATACAAAAAATTAGCTGGGTATGGTGGTGGGCACCTGTAATCCCAGCTACTCGGGAGGCTGAGGCAGGAGAATCGCTTGAACCTGGGAGGTGGAGGTTGCAGTGAGCTGAGGTCGTGCCATTGTACTCCAGCCTGGGCAACAAGACCAAAACTCCGTCTCAAAAAAAAAAAAAAGAAAAGAAAAAGAAAAAAAAAAGGCCAGGTGTGGTGGTTCATGCCTGTAATCCCAGCACTTTGGGAGGCTGAGGCAGGCGGATCACTTGAGGTCAGGACTTTGAGACCACCCTGGCCAACGTGGTGAAACCCCATCTCTACAAAAAATACAAAAATTGGCCAGGCGTGGTGGTGCATGCCTGTAATCCCAGCTACTTGGGAGGCTGAGGCACGAGAATCACTTGAACCCGGGAAGTGGAGGCTGCAGTGAACTGAGATCACAGCACTGCACTCCAGCCTAGGTGACAGAATAAAACTCTGTCTCAAGAAAATAAATTAAAAAAAAATCTGAGGCATAACTAGGAATAGAGAAGTAGTTTGTATACTTATTTAGGTAACTAGAACAGGGGATGATTCAGTGCCCTTCCTATGTGTTTTTCTAGCATCACATGGGTCTCTGTAGCATTGCTGTACCTAAATAGTTTGTTTCCTTATTAGTTAAGGAAGAAACATAGTCCTATTCAGCACTAGTCCAAGGCCTGACCCGAGTAGATGCTCAGTAAATGTTTACTGAGTACATAAATGGACAAAGAGTATGGTGTTACTGGCTGCATCTATAGCCAAGCATCAAAACAAACTCAAAGCATTAACTAGACATTTTCAAATATCCATACTCTTACATATATAAAACATTTTGCATTTTAAAAGTTTTCATTTAGGTGTCCTATAAGCTTCTTGGCATCAATACAAAGGAAAGTATATATTATTTAAAAAGATAAGAGACCGATTATAACACCCAATTGAAGTAATAAATATTCCTATCTTTAAGCGTCTGAATATATACTTTGTCTTGCCTAATGGAATTCCCTAATAGTTTTTGCAGGGCACACCTTCACAGAGCCTAACCTTGTAACACAGCAGGCACTTAATTGTACTTAGGTTACTTAAATAATTGGATAAAAATGCTTCTTGGTTGTGTAAAATTAAATGATTATATTTAATCTATAGTTCTTTTTTTTTTTTTTTTTTTTTTTTTTAGTGGCGGAGTCTCCCTCTTTCACCCAGGCCAGACTGCAGTGGCGCTATCTTGGCTCACTCCAAGCTCCGCCTCCCGGGTTCATGCCATTCTCCTGCCTCAGCCTCCCGAGTAGCTGGGATTACAGGCACCCGCCACCGCGCCTGGCTAATTTTTTTATTTTTAGTAGAGATGGGGTTTCACCGTGTTAGCCAAGATGGTCTCGATCTCCTGACCTCGTGGTCCGCCCACCTCGGCCTCCCAAAGTGCTGGGATTACAGGCGTGAGCCACCGCGCCCGGCCTAATCTATAGTTCTATAGGATGGAAAGCTGTTATTATCAAAACTATATCTCTCCAACGGCAGCTGGCTATATCACTTTAATAGCAGCACTTTGGGAGGCCAAGGCAGGTGGATCATGAGGTCAGGTGTTCGACACCAGCCTGACCAACATGGTGAAACCCTGTCTCTACTAAAAATACAAGAATTAGCCAGGCATGGTGGCATGCACCTGTAATCCCAGCTACTCAGGAGGCTGAGGTAGGGAGAATCGCTTGAACCTGGGAGGCAGAGGTTGCAGTGAGCCAAGATTGCGCCACTGCACTCTAGCCTGGGCGACACAGCGAGACTCTGTCTCAAAAAAAAAAAAATCATATATATACACATATATATACACACATATATAGTTTCTCATAAAGAAAAGCAAACATATCAATCTGTAACCAATTACAAAACTGTCTTCATTTGTCTCACATTTTTCTGTAAATGAGGTGACAGACTGGACCCAAATAGGAAAAATACTCAGGTCCCTTCAACATTACTGTATTACCAGGGTTACTGATCTTATCTTATTTATTTTTTGAGACAGAGTCTCACTCTGTTGCCCAGGCTGAAGTGCTGTGGCACGATCTTGGCTCACTGCAACTTCCACCACTGGGATTCAAGCAATTCTCCTGCCTCAGCCTCCCAAGTAGCTGGGATTACAGGTGTGTGCCACCATGCCTGGCTAGTTTTGTATTTTTAGTAGAGACAAGGTTTCACTATGTTGGCCAGGCTGGTCTCGAACTCCTGACCTCAGGTGATCCATTTACCTTGACCTCCCAAAGTGTTGGGATTACAGGAGTGAGCCACTGTGCCCGGCCTGAGTTGACTTTAGATAAGCATGATGAAATACATTTACTATTTTTTCTTTCTCTTCAAAATCAGTTTCCTCCGCCTTATGCTAGGAACTGTGAAAGATTTAGCTAAAAGATATGGTGTTTGTATTCAAAATGTTTACATTAGTGAAGATACAAGAGTGTGTGATAGAAGACACTACACAGATTTTTGTTCATTGGTTTGCTAAATTAAAAATCACCCGAGAATTTGCAGGAAAATAGTAGGAGTAGGAAAAGCATCTAACAGGTAGTACACTTCACACAGGATCTTGAAGGAATGGTAAAATCTGCGTAGGCAGCGAGAAGCTCCAAGCAAGGGCTTTTTGGGTGAAGTAAAAGGCAGAGACTTGAATGAGTTTGGTGTGTTTGAGAGACCGACTTCAATAGAACAGAAAGAATAGGCCCAAGATCATAGGAAATGAAGCTGGATAAATAGTGTACAGGCAAATCAGAAAGGGTGTCGAAAGTCAAGCAGAAGAAGTTAGATTTAACATAGTGGAAAACAGGGAACCACTGAAGCTCTCTGAAAAGGGAGTGACATGCTAGAAGTAGCATTTAAAGAAGATTCATCATGATGAGTTGGGAAAAAGAGACTGAAATGAAGGCAGGCCCCTGTGGTAGTCCAGGAACGAGGCAACAAGGGTCTGAATGGGAAAGGTGCACGAGGTGCAGTGCATTTTACCAGCGATGTAATGAGCCTTGAGACTATTATGTTAGGAATTCTCAGAAACAAGGAAAAACATGGAATAAGCCAGGAGCTGGCTAGGAGACAAAGGGGTTACATTACAGATTAACACCCTGAAATTTTAAACACTAAAAGTATATTCACAACGGCTAAACATTTTTTTTTTCAAGTATCCTATAAGGAGTTTCCTTGTTTGGTTTAGTGAATTGACTGCGGGTGTCCCCTAAATTTCACATCTGTTTTGCTAACACATCCCTATGAAAATCTGCTTATGTAAGAATTAGTTTTAATATTTTCAATACGTCAACAAAGTTAACTGACCCAATACAAGATATGAACCCTAGAGTCTCAGATTGTGAGAACGGAAAACATTCTTTATGCAGTAGTTGTCCTTATGTGTGGGGAATATGTTCTAGAACATCCAGTGGATTTATGAAACCATAGATAGTATGGAACTCTATATATACTATTTCCTTTCCTATATATACATAACTACAATGAAGCTTAATTTATAAATTAGCCACAATACTCTTGCACTTTGGGGATGTTATTAAGTAAAATCAAGGTTAGTTGAACACAAGCACTGAGGTACCACAACAGTCAATCTGATAACCAAGACAACCAGCTACTAAGTGACGAATAGGCACGTAGCATCTACAGTGTGGATAGGCTGGATAAAGGGATAATTCATTTCCCTGGCTAGAAGGAGTAGGTCAGCAGGAGATTTCATCACACTACTCAAAAGGGTAAGCAATTTAAAACTCATGAATGGGGCCAGGCACAGTGGCTCATGCCTGTAATCCCAGCACTTTGGGAGGCCAAGGCCAGAGGATCACTTGAGGCCAGACCGGATTTGGCTATGTCCCCACCCAAATCTCATCTTGAATTGTAGCTCCCACAATTCCCAAGCATTGTGGGAGGAACTCGGTGGGAGGTGAGTGAATCATGGGGTGGGTCTTTCCCGTGCTGTTCTTGTGATACAGTCTCATGAGATCTGATGGTTTTATCAGGGGGAGTTTCTCTGCACAAGCTCTCTTTTTTGCCTGCTGCCATCCATGTAAGACATGACTTGCTCCTCCTTGCCTTCTGCCATGATTGTGAGGCCTCCCAAGCCATGTGGAACTGTGAGTCCATTAAACCTCTTTCCTGTATAAATTACCCAGCCTCAGATGTCTTTATTAGCAGCGTGAAAACAGACTAATACATCCTGTCTCTGCAATTTTTTTTTTTAATTAGCTATCTGGGAGGCCAAGGCAGGAGGGTCCCTTGAGTCTAGGAGTTTGAGGCTGAGGCTGTGGTGAGCTATGATCGCACCACTGCACTCCAGACTAGGTGGCAAAGTGAGACTCTGTCCCAAAATAAATAAATAAAATAAAACTCATGAATGGTTTATTTCTGCAATTTTCCACTTTAGTATTTTTAGACCACAGTTCACCATGAGTAATTAAAACCACAGAAAGCAAGACAGGATAAGAGGGGACTATTGTATTCAAATATACATGTAAATATCTATGTTCTATTGTCACCAAAACAAAAAAAATTTTTTTAGCTGATCTAAAATCTTAAGACACAGTCCTAACTTTATCTGAGTGGTGTACTCAGAAGAAAACAAACACACTCTGCTGAGAAAATAACATTTTAAGAAATCAACACTTCACCATGTTGTTTCCCGGGCTGTTCCATCAAATTGGGAGGAAATGATCTCAATTGAAACAAAATGAAAAATGTTACTAAAGTGAAATTTGTCAGATTATATAATCATTTTGATGAATAATTATTAAATCTACAGTCGATCCCTGTCTCCTTCTTCCTATCCCCTTGGAATGGGTAGTACACAATGTGGTAAGAGGAAGGGCATAAATAAGATCGGTGGATTTCATCCCTGTGTTCCCTGGTACTTTCTAAATACTTCTATTATTATAACGCTGATTTTATTATCTATACATAATGCCATGTGTTGTTGTATCTCTTTCCATGATCACTTTCTGGTGAAGCTATGAATGAGAACTGAAATATCCAAAAATGGCAAAAATAAGCATAACTATTCTTGCACACTGAGCTCTTCCTTTACAGTGTGTGGCCAAAATTATGCTTTTCATACATTATTTCATTTAATCCTCACAACAATCCTGTGAAGTAGGTATTATAATTATATCAATTTTACAGAAGAAGAAACTGAGGTTTCGGGGAGGTTAAGGGATTTGTGCAAAGTCACAAAGCTAGTAGGTGGCAGACATGTTTATCTGCCACACTCTTATTAAACATTAAACTATCCTGCCAATCCCAAACCTATGTGACAGAAACTGAAAGTAAGAAATACCAGAAACCTGGATATGCTGCTGATCATGTAAAAGAATTAGGGAAGGGCATCAATTCTAAGAATTGTGTGATACAAATGATAGCTTCCTTGACTCACTTCCAACCTTTCCTTGAACTGAAAACATGGCATTCCATTCCTGAAGGAGAATGGGACACTACTATGCACTGGGAATGTAACTGTCCCCTCCCCTCTTTTAGTAGGATAACTTGCATTACTATTTGATGGTATTGACAGGATCTCAATATCTTCTCAATTTGGTCACTTTCTTTTTTTTTTTTTTTTTTTTTTGAGATGGAGTCCGGCTCTGTCGCTCAGGTTGGAGTGCAGTGGCACAATCTCAGCTCACCGCAACCTCCGCCTCCCAGGTTCAAGTGATTCTCATGTCTCAGCCTTCCGAGTAACTGGGATTACAGACTTACACCACCACGCCCAGCTAATTTTTGTATTTTCAGTAGAGACGGGGCTTCACCATGTTGGCCAGGGTGGTCTCAAATTCCTGGCCTCAAGTGATATTCCAACTTCGGCCTCCCAAAGTGCTGGGATTACAGGCGTCAGCAACAATGCCCGGCCTCAATTTGGTCACATTAAAAAAAAATGATATGGCCACGTGCAGTGGCTCACACCTGTAATCCCAGAGTTTTGGGAGGCAGAGGCAGGAGGATCTCTTGAGGCCAGGATTTTGAGACCAACCTAGGCAACACAGCAAGACTCCCTCTTTACAAAAAAAAAGAAACTTTAAAAAATTAGCCAGGCATGGTGGCACATGCCTGTAGTCTCGGCTACTGGGGAGGCTGAGGCAGGAGGATCACTTGAGCTCAGGAGTTCAAGGCAGCAGTGAGCTATGACTGTGCCACTGCACACCAACCTGGGTGACAGGGTGAGACTCTGTCTCTAAATAAACAAGCAAGCTACTACTTAGATCAGCCAGTTTAAGACTAACTAGGTTGGTTGGTAACATAAAAATGATTTCTTAATAGAATATCCAGTGACCCGAGCAACTTGCATAACTCCTACCAGTGAAACTAACCTTTAAAAAATGTTCTCAGTACATGAAATGTATTCATAAGATACTTCTAAAAATAACTCCCCACTGTAATTCCCTCCTTATGCATCTGGGCAGAGATGTCATATTTCCTTCACAAAGCTTCCTTTTATGTTGCAACAGTAAGAATCTCAATTTCAAGCTAAACCAGAACAATCTAGAACTATAAACTTTTTCATAAGACATGATTATTTGTATTAGTATGCTATATTTTATATAAATTGTCCACATGTGATGGGACATCCTTACGTTTTTAACTCAGAACTATTTTTAACTGGAAAACAAAGCAGCTGTAGTTTTAAATTCTGTCATCCTTCCCCCATCTTTTTTCTGCTAACACGTGGCTTTCCACAAAAGGGTCAGTGTGATCTTTGCAGATCAGAGATAAGGAATATAGCCACAATAAACTAGAGAAGGTTAAGCACGTTTTAAGTAATTCAGGAGTTTAAAACTTGTCATCTATGTATAAAACAAGCAAACAGTTATAAGTGGTTAAATAAACATGTACAAATTAATAGGATGGAGTTTGTAACTTCTACTTTTCCCTTCAACGAGTGTCATTTTGGCAGGCAGCCATATAATCTGCAATAATCTGTCATCACGAAGCACCACCCACTTCCTCTGCTTCACCCCCATCCAAGCTATGACTGGGATATTTCTGGACTGCTAATATAACATTCAGACAATCATAAAAGGCCTCTCAATGAAAGCTGAAATTAACATAATTTGTACTTTTAAGTTTTAAACATGCATAAATCTTAAGGAAAAAGAACGTGCTATATGACATCACATTTTAAAGATTATTTGACACTTAAAATTTCCTTTTTCATACATTAGAAAGAATAGCGCCCCCATTAGTAATATCCACTGCAATGCTTCTTAAATGAAAACATCCTATGCATAATTATAAGACTTAATTTACACATTTAACCTGCACAGTATTATGAGTTTGGATATGACAGTCACATGTTAGCCTATGCATTTTATTTAAACCTCATTCCAAGAGACTAGTGAAGTTGGTAAAGAAATTATTAAGGTAGCTTTCCTGATTTATAACATATTTTGCATTAACTTTTTAACATACAAATGATGACATGTCAAAAAAAAAGTATCTGTTTTCCTACTTAAACTAAATTCATTTTATGGACTATAGTAGTCACATAAATTGTTAATAACCGAATGGCCAACATGTTTTATTTTTATACTTTCATAAGTAGCTAACTCTATGTATTAAATTGATTTAAAAAGTTACAAAACAAAATAAATGTGACCAAACCCTCTGACTTTTCTGTCTCTAAATTTGGTATTACATTCAAGAAACAGCTCTGCTTTCTATACTATTTTCCCTTTCTGTGAATGAAGAAAAATAGGAGGCAGGCTTGTTACTTTTAAAGATCTCTAGGATGAATAGTGTGCCACTTGGAGTAGCTTGATTGTAAAATATTGTTTTAAAGTAATAATATCATCCATTAGCATAAACTGTATCCATTTAAGATGACCTTCAGTATATTTCAAGTTTTTTATTTAAAAGACTCTTCCGACAAAATATTGGTATTGTATTTCATGCTCAGCATTTACCTTAGTTATTCAGGAGAAAGAAAAAAATTAAATTTTTTTGAAAAATTGCCACTTTTATTTGTGGAATATCAAACTACAAATTAAATTAAATAGAGCACATGAATCCAATGACTTTTGAGGTTGATTACTCTCAGCTGGACTTTGAGCTAAGGCCATAAATATTTCACATGAAATTCAACAGAGTTTACTCATTTTTTTTAACAGTGTTTAGACACAAACCATATTTATAATCAACATTAAATGTAAAATAAAATACCAATGACACTTACTCACAGTAGATCTCAAACGCATGTCCTATATTTCCAGTTCAACATACTAAAGACTTTAAAAATTCCGTATTTAGCTACAACAATCAATACGATTTCCCCAGAGATGGCTTCATTTAAAAAACTGCCTCTTCCTCACAGGAAAGAAAAAACTGAACTTAAGTTATAAGAACACCCCAGGCTATCAGCACCTTCATCCCGAGAAAGGAAGTTATTACAGACACTTAGTTTTTTAAGTGAGGCTTAAAGAGAGTACTTCCTGGTCAGACAGCTAACGTCAACAGCAATTTATACAGCTTTGCATTTCGACATTTTAGAAAGAACTCTCTAAAAATTTTTCCAGAATTTTCCCCCCAGTACCTACAAAAGAGGAAAACTTGCTCAAGCTAATCTTATGTAAAAATCTATGAAAGTCTATCAATGCTCACCGTTATGGTATCAAGTAGATATCAGAACTGGTTACTATTATTGATAATTATATCAGCTTAAGTTTTAATTATTTTACACTTAGGCACCCTCCACTCTCCCTGCATACTAGAGTAAGGTTTCAAGGAACACAATATTAGAAAGAAAAGAACCAATTTACTTACAGGAGGACAACTCACCATCTCTTGATAATGAAGAAAAGGCAACCATTCTCATTTTAATTTGCAAATTGAAAGTTAATTCTCTTTTAAACTTATGTATTTAAAAATCTTCAAGAAACTTTGTACAATACTAAAAAGGAACTGCAGATAAAAACAGCGTGATCTGGGTGCCACACATTACTATCAGTATTGCAAGCTGAAGTATTTCCTGTTACAACGCCCATTGGTTCCCACAGGTGCAAGTGCCTATGGGTGGTGGCAATTCACCCTTCCTTTTGTAAGAGATCCACTAAAGGAGATTTAAGATTGGCACAAGCAATGCTAGGAACTATTCGAACAGAACTACCTTGGGCTAATACCGAGAGACACCCAAACTAGGATGATTGTGAATTGATGATTACCTAATTCAAAAAAGCTGGAGAAAATTTATTTCAATACTTTCATTATTTTTCTAAGATGCGCGATTATTAAGAATGTATGTGGTCAGGCGTGGTGGCTCACACCTGTAATCCCAGCACTTTGGGAGGCCGAGGCAGGCGGATCACCTGAGGTTAGGAGTTCAACACCGGCCTGGCCAACATGGTGAAACCCAGTCTCTACTAAAAATACAAAAATGGCTGGGCGTGGTGGCAGGAGGCCGTAATCTCAGGTACTCGGGAGGCTGAGGCAGGAGAATCACTTGAACCCAGGAGGCGGAGGCTGCAGTGAGCCAAGATTGTACCACTGCACTCCAGCCTGGGCGACAGAGTGAGACTGTCTCAAAAGAAAAAAAAAAAAAAGTATGGCCGGGCACGGTGGCTCACGCCTGTAATTCCAGCACTTTGGGAGGCTGAGGCAGGCGGATCACGAGGTCAGGAGATCGACACCATCCTGGCTAACATGGTGAAACCTCATCTCTACTAAAAATACAAAAAAATTAGCCGGGCATGGTGGTGGGCACCTGTAGTTCCAGCTACTCGGGAGGCTGAGGCAGGAGAATGGCGTGAACCAGGAAGGCGGAGCTTGCAGTGAGCCAAGATCGCGCCACTGGACTCCAGCCCGGGCGACACAGCGAGACTCCGTCTCAAAAAAAAAAAAAAAAAAAAAGTATGTGATTTCATTCAACAAATGCTTACTAATTGGCTTCTATGTGCAGGGCACTATTCTAGGCACTAGGAATACAATAATGAACAAAATAAAGTCCCTGTGGTCATTCATATAATATTTAGTGGACTTTTGAGCATTTCATATATAATGAGGAAACTTCCATAAAGGCAGAGATTAAGAAATTTGTATGGAAATTTGGAAACTCATTTGTAGTTAGTGTAGTTACTAAGAAGCATTGTAATAAGTGGTCACCAATTTAAACCTAAACAGAACTTTTCCAGAAACTGTCACACAAAAGTAGTGTTCTTTATGTTTTAATTGTTTTTAAAAGGCCATGTTGGAGGTAAAGGCATATGTTCCAGCAGGGAAAAGGAAAAACTTCTCACTATGAGTCATCAGTGACTAAGTTATTTTAATTCAGGCTTAAAACACATTTCAAACCCAATTACTTGTATATGCAGAAAACTGATAACAACCCTAAATTAACATCAGAAGCTTGATTTGACCAATTTTCAGGGTCAATATCAGCATCGAAGCAAAACAAGTGAAATTTTTTCTCAAGGGATAATGCCCCCGTACTGAATTTTATTATTATTTTGGTCTTATTAGACTTTAATGCCTAAAAGCCATGTCATCAAGCTTCCACTAGACTTCGTTACAGTGAACAGAGTTTTCTTAGGTTTTAGCCACAATGAGATACAGCCATCGTGGATGTATGGTGTGGTAGTAGGAATGGCTTTCATTTGTATTCAATGAAATAAAAATATAGTAAATTCAAGGCTGCTCCAAGAAAAATGTAAAACCCCGAGAGTAGAATTTGCAGATGAATACTACTCTTCCAAACTATCATTTACTTCCTTAGGATTTTTTTTTCTTTTTTTTTTTTTGAGATGGAGTCTGACTCTGTCACCCAGGCTGGAGTGCAGTGGCACGATCTTGGATCACTGCAACCTCCGCCTCCTGGGTTCAAGCGATTCTCATGCCTCAGCCTCCAGAGTAGCTGGGATTACAGGCATGCACCACCACATCCAGCTAATTTTTGTATTTTTAGTAGAGACGGGGGTTTCACCATGTTGGCCAGGCTGGTCTTGAACTCCTGACCTCAAGTGATCCACCTGCCTCAGCCTCCCAAAGTGGTGGGATTACAGGTGTGAGCCACTACACCTGGCTAGGATTTTATTTCCTTATTATTTTTAAAATTTCAACTTTTATTTTAGATACGGGGGTACATGCACAGGTTTGTTACATGGGAATATTGCACGATGTTGAGGTTTGGGGTATGGATCCCATCACCCAGGTAGTGAGCATAGTCAAACTATTAATAAAAATAATAATAATAAAAAAACATGCTGGTGAGGCTTCAGAGAAAGGGGACTGCTTATACACTGATGGTGCGAATGTAAATTAGTCCAGCCACTGTGGAAAGCAGTCTGGAGACTTCCTTATTTTTAAAATAACGAAACCTTTTTAGCCAACAAATCGGAGGAACTCTCAAAGTCAAATTTCTCTATTTAGTCAGTCAAGAAATATTTATTGTGCAACTACTAACTGCTAGGCACTGTTCTATGAGTTGGAGATACAGCAATTAATAAAACAAAAATCTTTGCTTTCATAGACCCTAAAATTTAGGGGTGTCCAATCTTTTGGCTTCCCTGGGCCATAATGAAAGACGAAGAATTGTCTTGGGCCACACATAAAATACACCAACACTAACAATAGCTGATGGGCTAAAAAAAAAAAAAAAAAAAGGTCCATGCATAAATCTCACATAAATCTCACAATGTTTTAAGAAAGTTTACAAATTTGTGTTGTGCCCCATTCAAAGCCATCCTGGGGTGCATGCAGCCTGCGGGCTATGGGTTGGACAAGTTTGCACGTAGGAATATAAGACAAACAAGCAAAAAATTCGGCATGTGAGGTGGTAAGTGCTATGGAGAAGGATACGGTAGGAAAGATGGAACAATAAGTTTATTTGTTCACAGTCGCAAATTGCCTAGATCACACAGTAAGAAAAATTGCTTTGGAAGACCAGAGTGCTAAGCCTCCCTCTCCCAGGCTCTACCTCTGACTCAAGTGAACATCCACCTTCTGTTGAAAATGACAATCTTATTTCAATTGTTGCTAATAGCTAGAGAAAGGAAAACAGGCCAGGTGTGCAGCGGCTCACATCTGTAATCCCAGAACTTTGGAAGGCCAAGGTAGATGGATCGCCTGAGGTCAGGAGTTCGAGACCAGCCTGCCCAACATGGCAAAACCCCGTCTCTACTAAAAACACAAAACACTAGCTGGGTGTAGTGGCATGCGCCTGTAATCCCAGCTACTTGGGAGGCTGAGGCAGGAGAATTGCTTGAACCTGGGAGGCGGAGGTGGCAGTGAGCCAGGATTGCACCACTGCACTCCAGCCTGGGCAACAGAGAAAGACTCCGTATCAAAAAAAAAAAAAAAAAAAAAAAAAAGAAAAGAAAGAAAGAGACAGGAAAACAAACTTTCAAATACCAATCTGATAAAAATACCACTTAAGGAAATAAAATAACAAATATGAAACACTGAGTCAAAGGCCACTTTAGAGAATATTATCAATGTTAAAAACGAACATACAAGTATCCATATACTTGCTACCACTGGTATCAGATTTACCAACTGTCAGGGTCACAAGTGAATTCTTCTCTTAGGAATGCACATTATCTTCACCAGCAGCAATAATTATATCTTACAATTGCACACAGAATTGTATGTATAATTATATTTAAATATTATTTTGAACCTAAAGTATTTAAATTTCCATACAATTTGACAATTAAGATACTAGTTGCAAGACACTAGGTTAGATGTATAAGACACTGTCCTTTTAAAATTAAGAATATGGATATCTAAGAAGGATAAGATAAGTACAAATCCTACAATGTAATATTAGAGAGTATTATGTAATAAGAAAAAGTACAAATCAAGTACTTAGGGAATTCAAAGCAGAGAGTAGCAAGGAGGATAATCAGAGAAGGACTCATGAAAGATGGCATTAGAGGTAGTTATGGAAAATGAGGAACAGAAGGCATACTACGTAAAAGAAATGGAACAAAATCCTGAATGGGGCACATCACTAAGCGCTTGGCTAGTTAAGAAGACCAGTCTGGTCAAGGCAGTGTGTGTGTGTGTGTGTGTGTGTGTGTGAGAGAGAGAGAGAGAGAGAGACAGACAGACAGACACACAGACACACACAAACAGGCTGATAGGAGCCTAAAAACAGGTTTACAGGCCAGGCGCGGTGGCTCATGCCTGTAATCCCAACAGTTTGGGAGGCTGAGGTGGGCGGATCACCTGAGTTTGGGAGTTTGAGACCAGCCTGACCAACATGGAGAAACCTTGTCTCTACTAAAAATACAAAATTAGCTGGGCATGGTGACGCATGCCTGTAATCCCAGTTACGCCTATAATCCCAGTTACTCGGGAGGCTGAGGCAGAATTGCTTGAACCCGGGAGGCAGAGGTTGCAGTGAGTGGAGATGGCGCCATTGCACTCCAGCCTGGGCAACAAGAGCAAAACTCCATCTCAAAAAACAAACAAACAAACAAATAAAACAGGTTTATAAATCTGTACTGAGTTTGGTAGGTCATGGGGAATTACTAAAGGTTTTGAACATGTGAGTGTCAAAATCAGAGCCGTACTTTAGGGAGAATAAAAGAGTAACAGTGTATCTAGGAAGAATGAAAACGAAAAGGAGACTGGAAAATTGTCATGGCTGTCCTTCCCTTGCACCTTATTAAGGCCCTCGTAAGATCCTTTGACCACTGAGAGGTATAAAGTGGAAGATGTTCTGAGTTGAAAAACCAGATCTAGGTCATAGTGGTCTGGTTTACCATGGTCTCTGTGACCTTTGGAAGTCATTTATCCTCTCTGAGTTTCAATTTCCCTATGTATGAATCTATTAATTATTCTTTTTGGAAAAAGTCAGGAGCCAGCTATGAGATTCAGCAAATGATTAGATACTAGGAGTAGAACACACACACAATATGAAATTGTTTCAAGTGATTAAAATAAGAGGCCAGGCACAGTGGCTGGTGCCTGTAATCCCAGCACTTCGAGAGGCCAAGGCAGGAGGATTGCTTTAGCCCAGGAGTTTGAGACCAGCCTGGCCAACACGGTGAAATCCCCCTACTAAAAATACAAAAATTAGCCAGGCATGGTGGCGGGTGCCTGTAATCGCAGCTACTCCAGAGGCTGAGGCAGGAGAATTGCTTGAATCTGGGAGGCGGATGTTGCAGTGAGCCAAGATCGCACCACTGCACTCCAGCCTGGGTGACAGAGCAAAACTCTATTTCAAAAACATAATAAACAGCTACCATTAAGCACTTCCTATGTGTCACTGTGCTTGGCACTTTAAAAAAATCACTTCACTTATTCCTTTCACAGATCCCAAGAGGTATGGATTCTTATTTTACAGTTGAGAGAATTGAGAGCTTTAATCAAGACTTTAGTAACTGCCCAGGGTCAGGCAGCAGACATAGTAAAGGGGCCAAAATAGGTGCCTAGATCTTTCCCAGTCTAAGGCCCTCTCTCCTTCCACTGTATCTTGCTGTTTTTTATGTAGCAGATGAATAATGCTAACATTTATTCTTACATTCCAAAGAAATCAGTATCTCTCTCTCTTTTTTAATTTTTTTATTTTTAGACAGGGTCTTGCTCTATCAGCCGGGCTGGAATGCAGTGGCTTGATCATTGCTCATGCAACCTCCATCTCCCAGGTTCAAGTGATCCTCCCACCTTAGCCTCCTGAGGAGCTGGGATTAGAGGCGTGCAAACACACGCCCAGCTAATTTTTGTATTTTTTGTAGAGATGGGCGGGGGCGGGGGCGGTGTTTCACTGTGTTGCCCAGCCTGGTCTTGAACTCCTGGGCTCAAGAAATCCTCCCTCCTCCCTCATTAGCCTCCCAAAGTGCTGGGATTACAGGTGTGCCCATTGTCTCTTTAGTACCTTTTAGATATATGTATTTTAAAAAGCACTCAATGAGGGTAAGAAACAAAGTGTGGACATAAATATAATCTACTAGTTTGCTGATCATTCATTAATTCACTCAATTCCCATTTACTGAGCATCTTCATACTCTGTGCTTCGTACTATACTTACCACAGAGGATGCAAAGATGAATAAAACCCATCTCTGTCCTCACAAGCTAGTAAATAACACGTGTTAACAGGAAACTGCTATAAAACAACAGAAGAGAATTTTGCCAAGAGATGATGGAGGCATATTACTATAAATTTAAATCTCTGCTATTAAATCTTGACCTAGGTCATTTAAAAACTGTATGTATACGGTTTGAAAGTATTTGTGTATTTACACATACATACCCTGAAACTAAAAGCTAATGTTCAGAACAGAATAGAAAATTGGCCATGGGCTGGGCGCAGTGGCTCACACCTGTAATCCCAGCACTTTGGGAGGCTGAAGCAGGCGATCACCTGAGGTCAGGAATTCGAGACCAGCCTAGTCAATATGGCGAAACCCCGTCTCTACTAAAAATACAAAAATTAGCCAGGCGTGGTGGTTGGCGCCTGTAATCCCAGCTACTCTGGAGGCTGAGGCAGGAGAATCACTTGAACCCAGGAGGTGGAGGTTACAGTTAGCCAAGATGGCACCACTGCACTCCAGCCTGAGCGAAAGAGCGAGACTCAATCTCAAAAAATAAATAAATAAAAAATAAAAAATAAAGAAAATTGGCTATGAACTATGATTCTGTTTAGTATGTCTGCTGCCAAGAATAATTAAGTTATTAATGTATTTAAGAAAGCATTCTGTCTTGATTAGTGCCATCTATTGTAATGGGTAAATAAAACATATTTGAATTGTCATAGCCTTGATTGCCATGGACATAAGCCAATATCATTAGAAAGTGAAACACATAAAATTAAATATATACTGCACAGAGTCCCTGTTTGAGTGGAAATAAAAGGTTCTCTTATTGACACTCAAAAATAGTGGAAGAAAGTAAAATTGATCCCTTCAATAAGTACTTTGATAACTGACTACAATATTAATATAAAGTATACAATGTGAGGTTGATTTCACTACCCATCATTTCACTGAGGCCAGAGGTGAAGTGAAAGGGCCCAGAACACTAGACTCCAGCATGTAAATTCCTACTGCTAGGAGTTAAAGTCACGTGGACCACACCTCTTTGTTTAATGGAACTAGGTTTTTCTAGGTATAAAATGTTTACTCCAGGCCAGGCATGGTGGCTCACGCTTGTAGTCCCAGCACTCTGGGAGGCTGAGGTGGGCGGATCACTTGAGGCCAGCAGTTCGAGACCAGCCTCACCAACATGGTGAAACCCCATCTCTACTAAAATTACCAAAATTAGCTGGGTGACGTGGTGGGTGCCTGTAATCCCAGCTATGAGAGAGGTGGAGGTTGCAGTAAGCCGAGATGGCACCACTGAAGTCTAGCCTGGGCGACAGAGTAAGGCTGTCTCGAAAACAACAACAAAAAAAATGTTTATTCCAGGCCATCTTCCTTTTCTCACACACTCTAGGGATTAAACATGTTTAATTGTGAGACAGCTGACAAATGGTTAGGAGACTAATCTCTGATAACAAATAAAGAAATTGGCCCCTAAGTCATTCTGTTGCCAGGGAATTAGCCCTTTAACTTGCAAATTAGAAATAACTTAGAAAGATTTTAAATATAATTCAATATCCCTAACAAATCTCAATTCAGACAGGAAAAAAATGTATTATGTTGATTTATAAAGCAGGTAACTTTAATAACGTATGTCTGGAACAAAATTTATCAATTTAATTCTATCAGTTATTACTAAAATTTGAAATAGTTTTTTTTTTTTTTTAATTTGGTGCTTGTAGCTTGGAAATGAGGGAGATCACATTTTGGCCCATAAATTCAACATAACTAATCTATAATTATAGGTGTATAGATAAATATCACTTATGTTTCTTTTACTTAGCTGAGCCTAAGAAACAGTAAAAAAACTTTTAACATAGCTTACAAATAATAAAGCAACCAATTAAATGGGTGATAAAGCTAAATTGTCACAAATTAAATTCCCTATGCTGATATGCAATCTTATAATATCCTACAACTTAAAAATATGAATTCAAAAACTATACATTACTGAAAAGTCATCTTTTTTCGGAGAGTCACAAAATCCTCCCTCCCTCTCTCCCTTCTATTTTTTTTTGGCGGGGGGTGGGGAGAGCGAGGGAAGAAATGAAAACTAGGGAAAAAATTATTTTAAAAAAAGGGGCACTTAATTAAGACTCTAATTTTTAAAAAAGTACCAACAGTTTTCATCTATTCCCCTATGCTACTGATAGCAACAAATATGAATACCGGCCGGCAATGAAAATGTTTATTCAGGTTGGCTTAAACATTACACCAAATTAGATATCAAGGTAGTCTCTAAGATTACAATAGTTTGCCTGTATACGACTCCAGTAGTATAGAAAGTGTAAAATGTGTTATTGTATATATTGGGAAGTATTTGCATCCTGCTAAACAAAGACTGAAAACAGTTTGAGAACCAAAAAGACCTTGCAATGTGTGGCTGCTGTAAGCCTTCATACGGAACTGTAAGGCTCCATCTTAACGACTTTTGGTTATTATTATTATTTTTTGAGACGGAGTCTCGCTCTGTCGCCCAGGCTGGAGTGCGAGGGCGCTATTTTGGATCACTGCAAGCTCCGCCTCCCGGATTCGAGCGATTCTCCTGCCTCAGCCTCCCGGGTAGCTGGAATTACAGGCGCCTGCCACCACGCCCCGGCTAATGTTTGTATTTTTAGTAGAGACGGGTTTTCACCACGTTGGTTAGGCTGGTCTCGAATTCCTGACTTCAGGTGATTCACCCGCCTTGGCCTTCCAAAGTGCTGGGATTACAGGCGTGAGCCACCGCGCCCGGCCTGGTTATTTTTTTTTAACAGAAAATAGGCCGGGAGCGGTGGCTCACGCCTGTAATCCCAGCACTTAGAGAAGCTGAGGTGGGTGGATCATTTGAGGTCAGGAGTTCTAGATCAGCCTGGCCACCGTGGTGAAAAACCGCTTCTAATAAAAATACAAACATTAGCCGGGTGTGGTGGCGCACGCCTGTAATCCCAGCTACCCGGGAGGCTGAGGCAGGAGAATCGCTGGAACCAGGGAGGCGGAGGTTGCAGTGAGCCGAAATCGTGCCCCTGCACTCCAGCCTGGGCGACAGAGCGAGACTCTGTCTCAAACAAAAAAAATAAAAATAAAAGTAAAATGAAAAAAAAAAAGAAAATAAAAAGTTTAAATAAACAAAAGGGCTGAGGATAGTGGGTTTATGCCTGTAATCCCAGCACTTTGGCAGGTGGAGGCGGATGGATCACTTGAGCTCAGGAGATTGAGACCAGCCTGGGCAATGTTGTGAAATCCCATCTCTACTAAAAATAGAAAAAAAAAAAAAAAAAAAGAAGAAGAAGAAGAAAAAGCCAGGCGTGATGGTATTTGCCTGTGGTCCCAGCTACTCAGGAGGCTGAGGCAAGAGGATCGCTTGATCTTGGGAGGCAGAGGCTGCAGTGAGAGAATATCCCGCCACTGCACTCCAACCTGGGTGACAGAGCTACATACACCCTGTCTCAAATAAATTAAATAAATAAATAAGCAAGTCAAGGTACAATGATTTCATATATTTATAGCTTCTCGTAGTATAGTTTTAGTTTTTTGAAACAAATGAAAAAATTTTTCACAGAATCCCTACCTACTCTCCTAACCCCCCAGGGAATGAAGTTATTATAGGCCTTTACTATCACTACAAATTCTACTGCAAAGAATCTCTCTTTAACGTCTCTGGATCAATACCATAATATAATGTGGTTGAAATGACTGCTTTAGTAATCACTTAGGGGAGTATCAGAGCACTTTCTTTTCTTACAAGGAAATAAATTTAATGTTTTGTCTTAAGAAACAACCATTTGTACCAGTCAGAAATGAGCTAACAAATATGGTGAAAGCATATCTGCTCAAATATTTCTATTACTTTGTAGAACTATTGATATTGAGATTCTCAATCCTTCCACAGGCCATTTCATACATTATATGCATTGCAAAATGAATATATGCCTGTTCTAAATACCCTTTTGAGTTAACCGACCTTATTTTTACTTGAATTCGATCTAGCATTCTGGAAAAATAAATTTAATGTAAAAAAAAATACACTCAATACATCTTAAATATAGTGTCTCATATTTTAAATCTGTATTTGCTGTTGTTGTTTCTCTCATCTGTATAATTTCTATGTCTCAGGAGAGGACTTCTAGTTAGCGGAATTTTTTTTCTTTTTGAGACGGAGTCCTGCTCTGTCGCCAGGCTGGAGTGCAGTGGCGCGATCTTGGCTCACTGCAACCTCTGACTCCTGAGTTCAAGCGATTCCTCTGCCTCAGCCTCCTGAATAGCTGGCCCTACAGGCACACACCACCACGGCCATCTAATTTTTTGTATTCTAGTAGAGACGGGGTTTCATCATGTTGGCCAGGATGGTCTCCATCTCCTGACCTTGTGATCCGCCTGCCTCGGCCTCCCAAAGTGCTAGGATTACAGGTGTGAGCCACCGCGCCTGGCCATGTTAGTGGAATTTTCATAACCACATCAAGCTGCACACTCTCTGAAGCCATAGAAGAACTGCTCTGTATCAGGTAATGTCAAATAAAATCCCTAAACAGTGCTTCTCCTCTACTTATTATTACCCTGATAAAAATAACTTCAGTAATTTTTGTCTTGGATTTACATAGCAGTTATATGTAAGGCATCTGCATTATATATTTAGGAAATAATACAACATTCCTTTATTCCTCTTAGTTGAAACTGCCTATATTGAACACTGGCAAAAGACTTCTAATAAAACACATTCTAAACCTGAAACAAAGGCGATATCTAAATAACCGACATTACATAGTAATTACATTCCTCACTATTTTCCTAAAACCATCATTTTCGATGTCTGCTTCTATAAAAAAAGAAACCAGTCCAAGAGGTGAGGAGATACAACCTATAAACATTGAAAAGGAGGTTTTAAAAATTCAAATACAAAACTGCTGGGTACAACCATAACAAAGCATGTGCATTCGAGTTTGAAAAGTAGGTAGGGCAGTATTAACATATCCTAAGTACTGTGAACAACTAGCCTGATCATTAGTTTAATTTTCACATCCCTCAGAGTAGGAGGCTGTCCCCCAACTCCCACCCCCTATTGCTTCCCACTATTTGTTTCAACCTTTTAATAGATACACTTGCCTCCCACCAGGACACACAGTGTCTGGTTTAAATAGGTTTATCTCTCTCCTTAGCTTGTCCTGGAATTACGCCTAAAGCTCAATCCTGGCAGCTTTTAGGATAAGAAATCTAATTGGAAAGAGCTCTTAGTTTTGCGACTCCAAAACCTCTTTTGAAAATTTAGTTTGACCTTCCAACTATCTCCAACAGATCAAAGTTAAACAGTCCAGATTCCAAACCTAGTATAGTTCCTTTAAATCTGCATTGTAAACATTGATACTGATATGCTGCCAAATCTAAAAAAGTTTCTTAGCTCCTTGAGCTAAAATGAAAAACCAGTAGTCCAGGAAAACGCAAGGGTCTATCAAAGAAATATTCTTATTAATCTAAAACACGGGTCTCCAAAAGGATCCCTGTCCCTTTCAACTTCTTGTGGAGGGGGAAGTGGGGGAGGTTTGAAGAAGCCCCTTCCAACTTTTCACCTGACCTTTTCATTAAGATCAGGAAGCCCCTCGCTTTCAAGACATCCACATCAGACTCTAAGGAACGAATGCGAAGCCAGCGGGCCAGTGAGAAGAGGTCAGGCCGCGCAGGTCTCTTGATCATTCCAAGATCTTTGTCCTGCAGCCAGCCCCACCAGCCCCTCCAGCTCCTCCAGCCCATGCGTTTCACTTCAGAGATGTTTCATGACATAATCCGGCTCCGGAGTCCCCCGGAGTCCCGGGGGCTCACACTCCACCCTCAGGGAGGTCGCTGATGCCAGACCCTGGGAGCACCTCCCCGCTCCACTCGTCTGCGCTGCAGCCGGTTCCTATTTGCCCGACGCCGCGACTGCGACCCAGGCTCCCCGCCGCAGCCGTTCTTGGGGGGGCTCCCGCAACTCAGCGGGCGCGACCCCCCGCCCGCTCCCTCGCTGCTCACGCCGGGCCCCCGCTATGTGACTGGGGGCCCGACCCGCACCCATGGGGCACCGCTCCTCCCTCGGGGTCCGCGCCTGCACCCGACGCTCAAAGCCCCTCTCGGAGTCCCACGCTCGCATGCGCTGTCCCGAGCCCTCTGGGGGTCCCCTCCTCTCACCCCGCTGTCCTGGCCCCTCTCGGGGTCACCCTGCTCCCACCCGCTGTCCCGGCCTCTCTCTAGGTGTCCTGCTCTCAGCCCCGCTGTCTCAGCCCAGCCCCCTTCCGGGACCCCTCCTCTTCTCCCACTGTCTTGGCCCTTCCTGGGGTCTTCTCACACTCTGTTCTAAGCCCTCTGGGGATCCCCTGTCTTCACATCCCCTGACCGGTCCCCTCTCTTTACTCTGTCCTGGATTCTCTCTGGGTCCCCTCCCCTCACCTCGGGGTCTCCTCTCCCCGGGTGCTGTCCCAGCCCCTCTCGGGGTCCCCATCTCTCAGACTCTCAGTGCCGGCCCCTCTCGGGGACCCTTCCCCTCTCCCCGCTGTCCCTGACCTTTTCTGGGACCTGGTCCTTCAGGGGACCCCCTCCCCTCATCCCCCTATCCTAGTGCCTCATGAGGCACCCACCCCTCACCCCACTACCCCAGCCCCTCTCCGGGTCCCTTCCTCTCACGCGCACTGTCCCGGCCCCTCTTGGAGACCCCTCCCCTCAGACTTTCAGTCTTGGACCCTCTCGGAGTCCTCTCCACTCAGAGCCACTGCCTCGGTCCCTCTCGGAGTCCCCTCTCCTCACCCGCTGTCCCGGTCCCTCCCGGGGTCTCCTCTCCACAGTCTGCACTGTCGAGCCCGCTCCCGCAACTCCCCTCACTCTGCCTGGGGTCCCGCCGCCTCGGCTCCCACTGTCATGCCCCGCGCCCCGGTGCTCTCACCTCAGACCTGCTGTCACCACCCCCGGGCCCGGCGCCGCCGCCGCCGCTTCCTCTCCCACACTTGTTCCTGAGTCGCTCTCCTGTGGCTTGTTCCCCGGCGGATCCTTGGGTCCGGTCGCTGAGTGCCGGATCCGGCTGTGCGCAGCCTCTGCTCGCGGTCTCGGCGTTGCGTCCCACTCTCCACGCAGGACCCCGCCGCCCGGCGCCACAAGGACCCTCCCGCGGCCGCCGCCGCTGCTGCTGTCCGAGGTGCGGCTCCTGCCAGGGGTGGCCAATCGCACCGGACTGCGCCGAGCACGCCCCGCCCCACCGTCTCAGTCCGCCCGCCCCCTGCCCCGGACCACGCCCCAAGCTCGGCTCCAATAGGCTCTCTACTGACCTTCCCTGATCGCGGGGCACAGGGCCGGGGCCGTATATAGGTATTTGATTGATGGAGCCTGGGAAGCCGAGCGGTCGATGGAACCCGAGGATTGGCGGAGTTGTCGATGGGCGGGACAGGGCAGGGCGGGGTCTCCTCAGACGCGGAAGACCTTGCAACTTTAGTAACCTACGGGCCCGCCTGGGGTGCGGTCAGTCTTGTTTGTGCTGCTCTCCGGTCAAAGTTCATGGCGCTTCTCCCCACGCCTTTACTTTTCTTGGGAGATTCCCAGGGACCACCATGTTAGAGCCTTTGGGGAGGACCCCAGTCTCTCGCTAGACCTTGCACAGCTTTCTTAGTAATTCTGCCATGAACTAATATAGCATTAATTTGCCCAGGATTTGTAAAAATTTCCTGGATTTAAACCATTTCTTTTTAAAATCTCTTGCAAGGGAGTTGCCTCTCCTTGAATTGAGTTCAGCAGCCGTCAGTTTGATACCGTTGGGGGAAAAAAAATCTATATACAGTACTAGGTGCATACTTTGCCCAACTAAGCGTTCAATGCGGGGCACATTTTGATAGGTGCAAGGACAAAGCTTTAGAAATTTTCAGTTTGTAGGTTTTTATGACAGTAGGAAGACTGTGGTAGGGGAACCCTATTATTAGCTTAACAAGGTTTCAGCAAAGCTATTCAATATAACCTTTTTCCAGGGCCACAGGTTTTAATGATTCTATGTGAACGTGTGGCCAAAGGATAACGAGCTTTGACCCAGGTTTAACATGTGATAATCAGAGACTCCTCTTGATCCACGCTAAAGGATAGTGCCTGCCAGGGGTGAAAGTGCATCATGCTACTAAGACCCATTTGTGTTATTTTTGTGAAACTGGATATGCTGATCAAATCAACACCGGAAACAGAAAACTGCTTTCCTTACTCTTAACGCCAAAAGTAAGTTTATGGACTTTAGAATTTAGCATTTTATGAAGAAATTGTCTCAGGAACACATTTTGATCCTAAGTTTTGTCAGATGTATACAGGCCTTAGTTCTCAGAGAACCCTCGATTGTTAACTTTTTAACTCCAGCTGACAAAATGTGTTTGTGTTCTAAACAGTATACATGTTTCTTCTAGTGTTTTAAGAATCATACGCCATTCATCACCTGAGGTCAAGGGTTCCAGACCTGCCTGGCCAACATGGTGAAATCCCGTCTGTACGAAAAATACAAAAATTAGCCGGGCATGGTGGCACCCACCTGTAATCCCAGCTACTAGAAAGGCTGAGGCAGGAGAATCACTTGAACCCGGAGGCGGAGGTTGCAGTGAGTCGAGATCGCATCACTTCACTCCAGCCTGGGTGAAAGAGCAAAACTCCGTCTCAAAAAAAGAAAAAAAGAAAAAGAAAAAAAAGAATCATACTCCATTCCAATTGTGATGTCCCCCTTTAAAGTTTCAGTTTGGGTGTTAGGGTAGGCAGAGAAGGCCTGGAAGCAAAGAAGTTGTGGAAATGGGGCTGGCAGGGCTTCGTTTCAAGTCAAGTCGAGTTCCTGAGCGGTGTGGCTGAGTACCGTTTTGAGAAGGGATATATAAAAAGATTTCAAGGTGGTAAAACTTGGTTTTGAGGGAACTTGATTTTTACAGGAGTATAGCGACTGTCCAAAATCATATTAAATAAATCTAAAGGTTAGGTAAGACTAAAGCCATAAGAGAATTTTTTTGAGTAGGTCCACCTTCACTAAAGAGCATTTTTTAGTTCTGCAGCTGGCAATCTGGACAGAAAAAAATGGGGTAAGTTTTCATAACCCAAGTGCTCAGTTGTGTCTATTCATTACATATAAAAAAGAAATGCATGACCATTAACAGATGCTGTTTGCAGTCAAGAAGACAGCAGTAAAACATAAGCAGGATAAAAATCTCAGCGTCTTGAAAGGAAACCATTTAGCAACGAAATAAACTTAAAAATTAATTGTATCAATGAACTCTTGATTTCTAAAATCTTTGCTTTTTCTGCACTATGATTACTGCTACTGACAGGAACGCAAGTTACTCAATATAGTTGATTGCAAGTAATTTAGATGTTCTCCAACAGCACAAAGAAAGAAAATGACTTCATCTTTTGGACAAGAGACAGTTCTGGAATCCTAGTTTAAATATAGATGGCAGACCTACGGTGCGATCTGAGAATGATTCTTATTTAGAAGGGGCTTCAGAAGATCTCAGAACTCCTGGAAAGACATCTTAGCATTCCATTCTGGAAATTCTTTAGTTTTGTTGGGAGAAAAAATCACTTACAAATAGAGCCAAGATTTTAATTAAAACAAGGTAGTAAATAAATGTCAAAATAAGTGGGATGAGAATAACGTTTCATTTTCAGAAGAGTCCATAGGGAACAATTCAGAGATAAATTTAATCACAAAAGGTCTGAGAATGGGAATATTCGGTTCCACCCTGGTTTTCACATCTGTTCATTTTCACTACTGGTTGCGTTTCCTACGGAGACTCGGGTGGAACATAAAAGTGGGGCTACTTTGGACAAACCATTAAAAACCTTACCCTTTTTTCTCGCTACACACAACTAGACCACATTGCTCTTAGCTAAAGGGACACCTTAAATCTATTCGTTCAGCAAAACTTATAACACCGTGTTCCTTTTCTACTCAGAGGGAATCGCACAAATTAATTCTTGCAGATACTCAGCTCTCCTGTTTTTTAAGCTTCCACGTGGGCCTTAGCCAAATAACTTCTGGTAGGCAAATTCTCCCCTTCTTCAGTTGAGAGCTCAGAGCAAGCTGTTGGATTAAGCAAAAGCACCTTTTAAAAAATTAATATTCAAGGCAGCTGTACCGCGGAGGGCCTGGGTCTCGGAGTCTAAAAAATCAGACTGGACGTTACTATTTTTTTTTAGGCAAACGACAGCTCGTTTCTCATTTGTAAAACCGGGGGAACATCTTACCGAATAAACCTTACACAAACAGAAAGGATTCCTAAGGGCTGGGAAAATACTATTTTGCTGTCCCCAGGATGGAATATCAGCATCCTTGTCTTTTAGCTCTTAATAAAGCTCTAACTAGTCACAGGAGGAGCCAGGCTGCATGATCACGCACACTCTGGACGTCTAGGTTTTCCGACCTAATAAGGGGGCAGGTCGCGTCGTTCCCTGCTTAAATTAGAGACCACCTCCACCTGCCAAGGGCCCTTCAAACCCTCCGCCCCTAGGTCGCTAACGATCACCGCTTTAGTTCTAGCTCCAGGCGCCGCCTGGCGGCTGTCTCCGGAAGTCGCCTGCGAGCCTCGGGGTCCTGACCGCTGCTGGGCCTGCCCGTAGATTTGCCTGACTCTAGCGAACCTGGCTCCGCCCCTCCCCCACTATACGTTGAGGATTTTAAGACGGCGATGAAAGGGCTGAGGTTGTGGCGACGGGGGCGTCCAGCGGCATCTCCACTCCCCCAAGGATGGCGGAATCAGGCCGTTGTCGGGCAGCTCTCGACCCGGAAGTCGCTCGCGGCGCGAGGCCCCCGTTGCCGAGCGCGGGCGCGGGGGGCGGAGCTCGGCGGAGACGGGGAAGGGGTCGCCGTGGCTGCCGGTCCTCGAGTTGGGGGCTGCCGCGGACACTGCTAGGCAGACGGCGAGTACCGAGCGCGGGTGGCCGCGGTGTCCGTGGGCCACGCTCAG
Source organism: Homo sapiens (assembly GCF_000001405.40). Taxonomy (NCBI): domain Eukaryota; kingdom Metazoa; phylum Chordata; class Mammalia; order Primates; family Hominidae; genus Homo; species Homo sapiens. The sequence goes on from NC_000012.12 coordinate 118,376,675, forward strand.
CTGCGGTCAGAGGCGACATGAGTGCCGCGGGGCTGCTGGCCCCGGCCCCGGCCCAGGCTGGAGCGCCGCCGGCCCCCGAGTACTACCCCGAGGAGGATGAAGAGCTGGAGAGCGCCGAGGACGACGAGCGCAGCTGTCGGGGCCGCGAGTCGGACGAAGGTGAGTCCTGCCGCTCGCCCGGCCGCCCGGAGCGGAGGTGGGACCGCTGGGGGAGGGGGTGGGGCTGTTCGGGAGAGGGGCGGGGCGGCCTCCGGGGCCTGGGGCTGCGTGGAGGGGCCGCCGGGAGTTGCGGGGCTCGGGGAAGTTACCCCCATCCGTGCTGGAGTAGCGGGGAAGCCCTGGGTGCGTTACACTCGACCGTGATGGGGAGAGGGGACTTAGATGTTGTCACGCTGGGGGTCCCTTTAAGACCCCGTCCTCCCTCCCAGCCGTTTCTGATTGAACCTCACTCACTAGTAGGAATTAGAAACTCATTTACTGAATACATCGAGTGTAGTTCGCCCCTTTTTTGTGTGTGAGAGCATCAGAGTCCAAAGTTGCCCCTCCCCACCCCCGAAATGCATAAGTCATCTATACTTTAGGTAGTACACTATTGAGAACTCAGGTTGGTTAAAGGAAAGGGACCTAGAACCAGCCAGATACAGGTTTAAATTTGGCTTTGTCACTTAACTCAGCTTTGTAAACTTAAGTTTTCCAGCCTCGATTTACCCAACTGTAATGGAGCTGTTTAATTCCCACACCTGCCCTAGAAGGCACTTCCTAGGGTCGGTATAGGGATTAAATGACATGCGCATAAAGTACTTGGCCTGGTACTGTAAATACTCCGTAAATGTTCTCCCCACCCGCCCCCCTCCCGGAAACAGGTAAGAGAGGGAGAGATTTGCTTAATGGTCCCCAGGTGTTGTGTTTTCAGTCCCACGCTCTTTGCACTGTCATCACAGAGTCTCAGAGCCTTGCTTTTCAAACTGGGCTTTATAATTTGGCAAGTGTGAGGAACGCTATTTTGGAGGGATGGAGGAGGAGGAAGGTGATGAAATGTGAGAGATCAAGGGAGGAGAAATAGGAAACAAAGAGAGACCGATATATGAGCGGAATATTCTGGGACAAAATCGGGCCGTGGAGCAAAAGCTAGACCAGCTGTTTGGAATGGGGCCTACGTTTTATTCATCTGAGTTTCCCGAGTGCCAAGTAATGTGGCTGACCATGACAGGAACTCAGGGAAGGCCTCTTGACTGAAGGAGGGGAGAAGGGTTTGTGGGGAATTGGATCTGCAACAGCCTTACAAAAGACAGCTGCATATGCATGACATACAAAGTTGAGGGACTGCATTCGATTTAATTCCATCAGAAGACACGGCTTAACCAGAGATTTTGAATGTGAAGCACTTGCACTTCATCTCATACCCACGAGGGGGCGCTGTGGAGCCAAAATTGAGTTTTTTTTTCCTTCCAGTATAGGGGCTATTAAAATTTTGTACACACCCCAGCCATTAGCTTGTTCTAAGAACAATGTTTAAGATGTTCTGAAACAGTTTTCGTTTGATCATCTGGCCTCCTCCTTGTTCCCTTTAGTTGTAACTTGGAAAATATTTATTTGTGTCAGATTCCCCTTTTTTATTGTATACAGTTGGCTCTGCGTATCTGTGGGTTCTGCATCTGTGAATTCAACCAAGCGCAGCTCAAAAATATTCAGGAAAAAAATTGGATCTGTACTGAACATGTGCAGACTTTTTTTTTGTTATTCCTAAACAGTGTAGCGTAACAACTACTTACATAGTATTTACATTTTATTGGATATTGTAAGTAATCTTTTTTTTTTTTTTTTTAAGATGGGGTCTCACTCACTCACCCAGGCTGGTGTGCAGTGTCACGATCTCAGCTCACTGCAACTTCCATCTCCTGGGTTCAAGCAGTTCTCCTGCCTCAGTCTCCGGAGTAGTTGGGATTACTGGCACCTGCCACCATGCCTGGCTAATTTTTGTGGTTTTATTTGTTGTTTTGTTTATTTTATTTTTTTTTGAGATGGAGTTTCACTCTTGTTGCCCAGGGTGGAGTGCAATGGCGCGATCTCGGCTCACCACAACCTCTGCCTCCCGAGTTCAAGCAATTCTCCTGCCTCAGCCTCCTGAGTAGCTGGGATTACAGGCATGTGCCGCCACCCCCAGCTAATTTTGTATTTTTAGTAGAGACGTGGTTTCTCCATGCTGGTCAGGCTGGTCTCGAACTCCCGACCTCAGGTGATCCACCTGCCTTTGCCTCCCAAAGTGCTGGGATTACAGGCGTGAGCCACTGCACCTGGCCCTAATTTTTGTGTTTTTAGTAGAGATGGGGTTTCACCACGTTGGCCAGGCTGGTCTGGAACTCCTGTCCTCAGGTGATTCTCCTGCTTTGGCCTTCCAAAGTGCTGGGATTACAGACATGAGCTGCCATGCCTGGCCTGGATATTCTAAGTAATCTAGAGATGATTTAAAGTGTACTGTTGGCCTGGTGCAGTGGCTCATGCCTGTAATCCCAGCACTTTGGAATGCGAAAGCAGGTGGTTCACTTGAGGCCAGGAGTTCGAGACCAGCCTGGCCAACGTGGCGAAACCTCATCTCTACTAAAAATACAAAAAGTAGCCGGGTGTGGTGGTGCACCCCTGTAATCCCAGCTATTTGGGAAGCTGAGGCAGGAGAATCGCTTGAACCCAGGAGGTGGAGGTTGCAGTGAGCCGAGATTGTGCCACTGCACTCCAGCCTGGGCGACAGAGTGAGACTGTGTCTCATTAAAAAGAAAAGTATACTGGAAGATGTGCGTAGGTTATATGCAAATACTATGCCATTTTGTCAGAGACTTGAGCAGCTGAGGATTTTGGTATCCACGGGAGGTGCAGTAACCACTCCCCCACGGATACTGAGGGACAACCGTGTATCCTGATGTAAAATGTGCGAAGGGTTCCAACTGGGTATGTATCAGAAGAGAATGTACATACTAGTTTTTTTCTGGAGCAGCGAGTAAGGCTTGACTGCCTGCAGTGTCCAGTCTTACGCCTGCATCTCCTTTCTTGAGTTGCCAGCATTGTTGTTTCTGCAGAAGTAGCAGCCTTCACCATAACTGCCTGTGCCTGAGACACCCTATTCTGTGGCTGCATTTCAGGTAAAGGCAAGCTTTTTGCATAAATCTGACTGTAAGTTGGAAATGGCCTTTTCTTTTCTGAAGTACGGCTGTCCCTCGGTATCTATGGGGGACTGGTTCCAGGACTTCATGGATACTACAACCTGAGGATACTCAAATTCTTTGCATTGGCCTTTTGTGTCCACAGGTTTCGTGTTTGCAGATAGGGATGGCCTACTAACTGTATGTAATGTTTTTCATTGATGGCTTTGTGCAAGCCTGCCTTGAATAGAAATTGATTTTACGGGAGTTTATTGAGTGCATACTCTGTGTCAGGTGACGCCAACTCCGTGAATTATGATTTTAACTAGCCCCTATTTCCTAACTTTATTCAGACACTGAGGATGCTAGTGAAACTGACCTGGCAAAGCATGATGAAGAAGACTATGTAGAAATGAAGGAACAGTGAGTATGATATGCCTATGTCTTTTTGGAACATAGAATTGACAACATCTTTATATAGATTGAGCATCCCAAATCTGAAATCTCAGATGCTCCAAAATCTAAAACTTCCTGAGTGCCAGCATGATGCTCAAAGGAAATGCTCATTGCACTATTTCAGATTTCAGATTTTTGGATGTGGGATGCTCAGCTGGTAAGTATATTGCAAATAATCTAAAATTTGAAAAAATCCAAAACACTTCTGATCCCAAGCATTTCAGATAAGGGATACTTAATCTGTAGTAACCTTGTGTGTATGAGTTTGACCATAGCGCTTCCAAAGACCATGTATGTTTACAATTTCTCCACTTTAAATTAATTACATTTAATCAGTCTTCCCGTTATAAGACTTTGTTGAGTACTCTCTAGAAAGAATCTTGAGGGCAATGGACCCAGGGGAGGGAATGAGGCCGTACAACAGGAGAGGACCTTTTACTACTTACTCTTTTTTTTCCTTGAGACAGAGCCTTGCTCTTTCGTCCAGACTGGAGTGCAGTGGCAGGATCTCCTCACTGCAACCACCGCCTTCCGGATTCAAATGATTCTCCTGCCTCAGCCTCCTGAGTAGCTGGGATTACAGGTGCACGCCACCACGCTCAGCTAATTTTTGTATTTTTAGTAGAGACAGGGTTTCACCATGTTGGCCAGGCTGGTCTCGAACTCCTGAGCTCGTGATCCGCCCACCTTGGCCTTCCAAAGTGCTGGGATTACAGGCGCGAGCCACTGCGCCCGGACCTTTTTTTTTCTTTTCTTTTTTAATGGGCAAACCAATGCACAGAGAGGGTAATTGTTGTCTTGAAGCAATTGGGTTCTCAGGTGAGTGTAAACTCACTGCACTAATGTGCTAGACAAGGTGCCGGAGGCCTGGAGAGCTCAGAGAAGCCACGATTGAAAAGCAGGCTGCTGACTCTTATTTATTTATTTATTTATTTTTATTTGTTTAATTTTTTTTTTTGAGATGGAGTCTTGCTCGGTTGCCCAGGCTGGAGTGCAGTGGTGCAATCTTGGCTCACCACAACCTCCACCTCCCAGGTTCAAGTGATTCTCCTGCCTCAGCCTCCCAAGTAGCTGGGATTATAGACATGCACCACCATGCCCGGCTAATTTTTGTATTTATTTATTTTTTTTGTGTGGAGATGGAGTGTCGCTTTGTTGCCCAGGCTGGAGTGCAGTGGCCTGATCTCGGCTCACTGCAACCTCTGCCTCCTGGGCTCAAGCAATTCTCCTGCCTCAGCCTCCCGAGTAGCAAGGACTACAGGCACATGCCACCATGCCCGGCTAATAATTTTCGTATTTTTAATAGAGACGGGGTTTCTCCATGTTGGCCAGGCTGGTGTCAAAACTCTTGACCTCAGGTGATCCACCTGCTTTGGTCTCCCAAAGTGCTGGGATTACAGGCGTGAGCGACCCTGCCTGGCCACATGCTGACTCTCAGGCCAGTGCTCTGTCCACGTTTGCACCTGCTCTCACCCAAACCTTCTCATTGTCTTCAGACAGAGCCACAGCCGAACAGATTCAGAGAAACGAAAACCTCACTCACTTTTAGCGTACACCCAGATGGAAAACGGTATAAAGTATATTTAATGTATATTTGTTGAATGTGTTAGGTTTTTAAAGTTCTTTACCTTTTAACAGGATGATCCACATTCATTTCCCTTTAGGTCCTTTTTGCAAATGTTTTGTGGCCATCCTCTGGATTCTCACATTGTTTTTGTGCTTTGGAACTCAAAGGGGTAATTCAGCTAGGTCTAACCAGTGCTGAATAAAGATGGATTACTTTTTTTTTTTTTGAAACAGAGTCTCACTCTGTCACCCAGGCTGGAGTGCAATGGCATGATCTCGTCTCACTGCAACCTCCACCTCCTGAGTTCGAGTGATTGTCATGGCTAAGCCTCCTGAGTAGCTGGGACTACAGGCATGCGCCACTACGCCTGGCTGATTTTTTTGTTGTTGTATTTTTAGTAGAGACGGGGTTTCACCATGTTGGCCAGGCTGGTCTTGAACTCCTGACCTCAGATGATCTGCTTGCTTCAGCCTCCCATCGTGTTGAGATTACAGGCCTGAGCCATCGTGCCAGGCCACTTTTTTTTGAGACAGTAGCCACTTTTTTTTGAGACAGTATCTTGTTTTGTTGCCTGGGCTGGAGTGCAGTGGCATGATAGCAGCTCACTGCAGTCTCAACCTCTGGGGCTCAATCCATTGATCCTCCCACCTCAGCCTTCCAAGTAGCTGGGACAACAGGCACGTGCCACCACGCCCAGCTGATTTTTAAAATTTTTAGTAGAAACTAGGTCTCACTGTGTTGCCCAGGCTGGTCTTGAATGCCTGAGCTCAAGCATTCCTCCTGTTTCGGCCTCCTGGAGTGCTAGGATTACAAGAATAAGCCAATGTGCCCAGCCTTTTTTTTTTTTTTTTTAAGAGACAGGGTCTTGCTCTGTCGCCCAGGCTGGAGTGCAGTGGCATGATCTCGGCTCACTGCAACCTCCAGCCCCTGGGTTCAAGCTATTCTTCTGCCTCAGCCTCACGAGTAGCTGGGATTACAGGCGCCCACCACCACGTCTGGCTAATTTTTTTTTTTTAAGTAGAGACAGGGTTTCACCATGTTGGCCAGGTTGGTCTCGAACTCCTGACCTCAAGTGATCCACCCGCCTCGGCCTCCTAAAGTGCTGGGATTACAGGCGTGAGCCACCTTGCCTGGCCTCCCTTAGTATTTGATGATACAGAAAAAATTTCGGTTAAAATGGAATGCCTTGTGTAATTCAAGGGGAAATCTAAAGTGCATCAGAATTTGCCCTGAAAGAGTGAGATGTGTGTGAGTCTCAAATTCTGCCTACTCTCCTCCCCTTACAGAGGGTTGGGTTGTATTTGCAGCCCTTATTTGAGCGCTAAAAAGGTTATCACGCCCATGTGCTCACTTCAGCAGCACATATACCAAAAGGTTATTGTGCTTGTTATATGTTGGACAGTGTTCTTTCAGATCACAAATCTTGTTTTTATCACTGTTAAATTGAGGGTGTTTTTCAGGTAGAAGCAAAAATACTTGCTGAAATGTGATTTATATGTGGAACCCACCTTCAAACCAACTTGCTGAAGTTATGACTGCCTATAATCCATTAGGTGTGAGAGGAAAAAACTAACATGCCAAATGCTTTTGCTTCGTGTGTGCTGTGTATTCCCATCCAGCTGGGGCTGCCAGTAAATGCTGCCTTTTAACTTTTCTTTCTGAATTACTATTATTTCTCTGATCCTAAAAGAGTAGTGCTTTAAAAAATGACATGAAGGTTTATTGACTTAGTTCTTACACTGCTAAGCATATCTGCATAGAAAAACATGCTGAAGGCATAATCTTACTCTCCTGTAACTTACAATCTAATTGTAGAGTTGATGTAAGAGTTGTGTTTAATGCCATTTCTACATTGTGTGTGTGCTTGCCTGTTTATAATTGTCATTTATTAAAATCTGCTATCGTTGCAAGTTTTAGACGGATTCTGTAAAGATGGGATAACATGGGAGAATCTACAAAATTAGAATAAGATTGAGGAACACAGGGTTCTTTCTTGTTCCTTTCTGATCCCTGTGGCTGCTGGTGCATTTTAAGCCAGCAAGCAGACTTTACTTTCCTCTCTTCCCTGAAGGACATTAATGACCTTCCCATAACAGCCCAGCTAATTTCTGTGAGTAGGTTATTTTGGAATTGAGTATTGAATGTTTTTATCTGTTAGTGTGACTTTTTTTTTTTTATAGGATGTATCAGGACAAACTGGCTTCTCTCAAGAGGCAGTTGCAACAACTGCAAGAAGGTTGGTGTGTGATTGAATCCTGCATTTCTAAATATGCTTCTTAATATTACAAACCCTTGAAATCTGTGTATTTCACTTCTCTGTGGGAGTTATTTAAAACACGGTCTGGCTGATCTTAGCTATCCAGTACATTTTGCTATCTTTTGCTGTCAGTAAAGTGGTGATTTTCCAGCTCCTTGATTTTGAAACATTTATTTCCAGTATGTGTGAGATTCTTTCTTCAAATGAAATCTCACTTGGGACTTTCAATGGAGCACGAATTGAACGCCACTGTGCCTAAAGCTAGAGATTTTTAGGAGAGACATTGTTATCAAAGAATAAAGTTTTTACTGTTTTTTCTAAACCAAATGTTAATGACCTTGTGGATTATTCACACTGTGTTTTCTCCTTTTTGCTTGTTACATTAAAAGTAGATTGTATTTTGTCAAATGCTGCTAGCTGCTAAAGGCAGTGCAGCATCAGAGTTAAGAGTGCAGGCTGTGAGGCCAGGCGCGGTGGCTCACACCTGTAATCCCAGCACTTTGCGAGGCCGAGGCGGGTGGATCACGAGGTCAGGAGATCGAGACAATCTTGGCTAACATGGTGAAACCCCGTCTCTACTGAAAAATGCAAAAAATTAGCTGGGCGTTGTAGTGGGCACCTGTAGTCCCAGCTACTCTGGAGGCTGAGGCAGGAGAATAGCGTGAACCTGGAGGCGGAACTTGCAGTGAGCCAAGATCGTGCCACTGCACTCCAGCATGGGCGACAAAGCGAGACTCAGTCTCAAAAAAAAAAAAAAGAGTGCAGGCTCTGGAGTTTTGTGAGGGATTGGAATCCCAGTTTCCCTGCTTCTAGTAATGTGACCTTGGACATGCCAGTTTCTCTTGTTTAATCTGTTTTCTGATCTGCAAAATGAAGCAAGTAAGAGTAGATGTGATTATGCATGAGGAGCGTCTAGCACAGCAGTGTGCACACTGCAAGGTCCTGGGGACAGTTAGCTGTGGCAGTGAGCTCTTCGGTTTCATATTGTGGAGTCCCCTTGTCAGTGAAACTGTTTTTGCTTTTCTTTTTTTTTTTTTCGAGGCTGAGTTCCGCTTTTGTCACCCAGGTGGAGGGCAGTGGCGCGATCTCAGCTCACTGCAACCTTCACCTCCTGGGTTCAAGCGATTCTCCTGCGTCAGCCTCCCGAGTAGCTGGGATTACAGACGCCTGCCACCAGGCCCGGCTAATTTTTGTATTTTTAATAGAAACGGGGTTTCACCACATTGGCCAGGCTGGTCTTGAACTCCTGAACTCAGGTGATCCGCCCACCTCAGCCTCTCAAAGTGCTGGGATCACAGGCATGAGCCACCATGCCCAGCCTGATACTGCTGTTTCTACTATGTGCTTTTATTGCTGGTGAGTGATCCACGCCCTTGGACTAGCCCATGGTCAGGCATTATAATCAGGAAACACTTCCCCCCACAAGATGGGCCCCTCATAATTAACTGTTTTGTGGGAAGAGCAATGAAATGAATAGCGATTTGGTTAGAATCTATACCTGAATTGTTTAATGCTGTCACTAGCCACATGTGGCTGTTTAAATTTAATTAATAATTTAGTTCTTCGGTTCCACTAGCTACATTTCAAGTGCTAAAATAGCCACAAATGGTTAGTGCCTGCCATGTTGGACATTGCAAATATAAAACACACCATTGCAGAAGGTTCTACTGGAGAGCGTTGACCTAGACCTTACTGAAGGAGAATGAACCTTTTCCAGTAAAGGAAGGCCCGTTGATTCAGACTGTTGCAGCAACTGATCAGAATAGTGTGGAGATATTGGCAATTTTCCACTCCCCCTCACTCACTACAGACCCTTGATCCACTGGGTTGGGTAGACTTTGAATGGGCCCCTAGTGGTTTCTGCTGTGTGCCTTGGTTAAGAACCAGAGTTAACTTTGCTGAGGTGTGTCTTCCTTTGGTGTTACTGAAACAGTCAGTGTTGATGCTAGATAATAATTTTAGGAAGCAAAATGTAGAGCAGATTTATATTCACAATAATTTTATTTTTCAAATGTTCAAAATCAGGTACATTACAGGAATATCAGAAGAGAATGAAAAAACTAGATCAGCAGTACAAAGAGAGGATACGGAATGCAGGTAAGGCTCCTTTAAATGGCAATGAATCATCTTTCAATGTTTGACCATTTGCCGATCGTCGGTGTAATGCAGCCCTAAGAGCTATTCTCCAAAACATATCCCAGATACTCTGTCAGGGAGAGTTTTCAGAAAAGAGACTTCCAAGCTGCAGTTATGGAAAGTGGTTTCATCTTCTGCTTCTGTTGCTAAGGAATGGCCCAGAAGTGGAGGGTGTCTGAGGAGGCTCCTTGGAGTTAGGTTGTTCTCCCTGGTACCCCAAGAGTAGTCTTGCACCCTCTTGCTCATTTCTGCATGGCTGGCCTGATGTACAGTCAGAAGTGCGGATGAGGAAAAGGATTGTAGGTTGTTTTTGTCCCATTTTAAGTTTTTTTTTTTGGTATTTTGTGCTAGGATTGGGGAGGGTCTTCTTGTTATTTTCCCCAAGTATTGTTTTTATAAGAATTTAGAGAAAACGCACACTTGATTAGTTGTATACAGTAAATGTATTCATTCAACAAAAATGAATTGAGCACCTGCTACATCTAAGCACTGCGAGCAATATAAAGTCATGTAACACATTGCTTTGACTTTAGGACACTTGGTGTTTCATTGACAAAAGATACCACATGTATAACGTGTAAAGTTAAGGAACACCGAGTTAAAGAGCCATGCAGAAAGTAAGATGTGACAACTGTTTAAAGTGTGTAAACATGGATTCCTGAGGTTACAGGAAATCGCGTGTATGTGTTGAATTTTTAACGCTCATCATCAGCCAGCAGTTTGGGTGCCAGCAGAGTCCTTGTTCCTGCGATGGTAGAAGTAATGATGGGTTTTAAAATGAGGGTTGGGTGCCACTCCTCATGCTGCTGTCATCTTTCATTCTGGGCCAGTGACTCTCCAACGCTTCACTGTGTCTCCTCAGTGAGAAGCTGCCCAGTGCACACCAACAGAGAGAAAAGGGGTTGAAGTGTGGGTGGGCGCTGAGAAAGTGGAGCCCCAGCTATTAGCTGTCTGCCTTTCCACCTTCTACCTCTCCCTGCTGTTACCCCCTTTCTACTCTGAGTTCCTGAAGCACCTCCTTGAGATGTCTTGAAAATCCTCAACCGGTTGCTCTTCCTAGACTTCCCTTTTAGCAGATAAAGGAGGTGGCATTTGTGGAAGGAGGTCCTGCCTCCTCACTTTAGATCTGATCCTTTAAGCAGAATATTTGCTCTTGAAACCTCAATTTCTCCATCTGTAGAGGGGAATATTAATACCTCATGGAACTGGCATAAGATGGAAGTAAGGAAAGAAAATGGATGTGAGTCATATTTCTGAAGTTAGAACAGCAGAGTGAGTATTGAGTTGTTTTTCTTCATTCTGCTCAGACTCTCAATCATGTCCTCATGTGTTCTTTTTTTTTTTTGAGACAGAGTCTCACTCTGTCACCCAGGCTGGAGTGTGGTGGCGCTATCTCAGCTCACTGCAACCTCCACCTCCTGGGTTCAAGCGATTCTCATGCCTCAGCCTCCTGAGTAGCTGGAATTACAGGCGCCTGCCACCACACCTGGCTAATTTTGTATTTTTAGTAGAGATAGGTTTTCACCATGTTGGCCAGGCTGCTCTCAAACTCCTGACCTCAGGTGATCCGCCCGGCTCGCCTTGGCCTCCCAAAGTGCTGGGGTTACAGGTGTGAGCCAACGTGCCCGGCCCTCATGTGTTCTTTCACATTTCTCTCTCCTAGGTAAAAATGCAGAAGAGCTCCTAAATCAGTCACGACTTGAGCTTTAAAAAGCACATTCTTTTCAGAGATGATCCACCTGCTTTAGTGGTGTCTGGCTGCTTTAACTGAAACAACTGCCACCTCTAAGTGCTAATTGTCATTTTGACTTGGTGCAAGGCATGATTTCTCGGAATGGCACAGGACTTCAGCTGTCTGGCCCACTTGTGCATGGTACAGATCTGAAGCTGTTATAGGAATGATCACATTGGGTTGGGTGTGCCTGGGTTCCTATGCCCAGCAATTCCCAGTGCCAAAGTGGGTAGGACTTCTGGGGGCTAAAAAATAATGAGTGGCTTGTCCCTTTCCTCAGTTAATTTTCTCTGTCAACAACTGTTAACATCTGGGCTTTTAATCTGGGGTTCCTAGAACTGTCAGAATTCTGTGGAGTTTGTATATGTGCTTTGTTCTGGGGAAGGGGTCCATAGCATTTGCCAGGTTTGCAAAGGGGCCCCTGGTAGACTGAGAATAGCACACCCTGGAGAATCTTTGTGGACTGTACGCACAGCCCCCTGTCACCCAGGAAAGAGTAGAAGCCATGGAGCAATTTTGCTTCAAGTTGCGGGTTTGTAGACAGGTTTGTGCTCTATTGTAAATCTAGTGGTGAGGGGAGCTGCTAGGTAACAGTTACTAATCATCCGGCACATGGTAGGTGCTAACTAAGTTGTTGAGTGCTGTTAGATGGGTGCTTTAAGGCATCTGAAGGGCATGATGTGTGAAGAGTCAGCAGGAAAGGCCTCAGGAGGGGGCTGCATTCAGTCAGGAACTTGGGAATGTGAATAGGAGGTCAGAGGGCATTGCAGGGACAGACAGCGTGAGCAGAGCTTGGTGGCCTGACAGTGAAGCCCCAGGTGTCCCTGGAGCCTCTGTCCTATGGATTATCTGTGGAGGTCCTTCCTTACCACATATAGCCCTTCATATAGTGCTTTAAAAAGGAGGTCCTGGCCGTAGGCAGTGGCTCACGCCTGTAATCCCAGCACTCTGGGAGGCTGAGGCTGGCGCATCACCTGAGGTCAAAATTTCAAGACCCTCCTGGCCAACATGGTGAAACCCCGTCTCTACTAAAAATACAAAAATCAGCCAGGTGTGGTGGTTTGCGCCTTTAATCCTAGCTACTTGGGAGGCTGAGGCAGTAGAATTGCTTGAACCCAGGAGGTGGAAGTTGCTGTGAGTCGAGATCATGCCACTGCACTCCAGTCTGGGTGACAGAGCCAGACTCTGTCTCAAAAAAACCAGAACCCCCCAGAAAACCAGGGGTCTCCATCCTTCAGGCTGCGGACCACTGGGCTGCTTTCCCCCACCTGCCGCCTGCCCCCCTACCCTGCCCCAGCCCGTGGGAGAATTGTCTTCCACCGAACTGGTCCCTGGTGCCAAAAAGGTTGGAGACCACTGCTTTAAAACATCACATCCACTCTGTTTCTGGAGTAATTGCATTATTTCTTCTTGACCCATCCTGCCACTGTGGAGACTGTTGGCGGGTGGACTGAGTGAAAGATGGGATAAGTTTATTTTGCCAGGGGAGTTTGGTTCCTGCTGCACGTTTTTTGCCCTCAGGCAGAACTGCCACAGCTGATATGTTCAGGGCCACATTTTTTTTTTTTTTTTTGAGACCAGGTTTCGCTCTGTCACCCAGGCTGTAGTACAGTGGCACAATCTCAGCTTACTGCAACCTCTGCCGCTCAGGTTCAAGTGAGTCTCCTACCTGCCTCAGCCTCTCGAGTAGTTGGGATTACAGGCGCCTGCCACCATGCCTGGCTAATTTTTATATTTTTAGTAGAGATGGGGTTTCGCCATGTTGGCAGGCTGGCAGGGTCACATTTTAACTAGACTTGAGTACTTGTCATGTCCTTTCCCTTCGTGTATATCAACATTTCACTGATGAAAACATTTGCTTTGTAACATGCTTTCAGAAAGCAATTACTGCTTCTAAATGAATGCTAACATCACTGTCTAGAAAGGTGGCACAGCCTAGCAAATCTAATTGCACTTTTTATCTCTTGCAGAACTCTTCCTCCAGCTGGAAGTAAGTACCACGGATCTTCTGGGTTTGCAGGCCCTGTCTGAGACTGGAATCTTGCAGTCCTGATCTGGTGGCTTTTCCTTCTATCACCAAGTAGATAGTTTGGAAGCCTTCACCACTGTTCTGTTTGACTTAAGGACATTTGGTCTCAGCTCAGACATCCTGTCTGGTCATTTGTTGTTGCGCAGCCTCTGCTTATCACAGGGGAATAAGGAATACTCATCCCTAACTGCTTATTGACTTCTATCCCGTGTTAGAGCTGTTTGGAAGTCTCTGAGTTATAACGGCCTAATAGTTTGATATTGGTCCTTGAAGCAGTTCAATCTCTGAATTGGCTCAGCAGTTCTGTTTTACAGCTGCAACTCTCTGGGCCAGTAAAAAAAGACAGATTTCTAATTTTTCCTTTCATTCCATGGACACCTGAGTGCTGGTTCTGTGTCAGACTCTGTGCTGTGATACAGAGATGAGGGCCTGAATCTTGAATGATGTACTGCTCCCAGAGTGGCTAGCATGTGTGTGGGGGTTACTTTTTGAGAAAGTCATGGTTTTTCAGAGCCACATTATTGGAACCCAGTTTCCTTAAATCAGTGTGGTGCCCATAGTCACTCAGCCAGAAGGATCACGTGATCAGCCTGAAGGTACACTCAAGTGAGGTACTCACATCCTTAGCCCACCATAGGCCCCTATGTCAGTCACCACAATGGCGAGATTTGAAAAGCGGAGGCATATACAATTTTTGTCTTAGTATAATATCAATATATGTATACTTTGGGGTTCAGGCACTTACTAAATGTTGTTCCATTCTTTTGTCTTGCTGTATCAAAAATAATAGTAACTTTTTGAATATACACAATTTATCTAGAATCTATTTTCCTTTGAAGCTGTAACTTTATGAGCGATTATTTACTACCTTTGAGAAATGTGTTTTAGTATAAAATATAGGATGTGGAAGCGAAAAAATATCTGGGTAGCAAGTGAGGTGTACTCAAAAATAAGCAAAAGTCACGTGGGTCTGATTTTATACCCTCGCTGGAAAGCTTGTTCTCAGACACACTGTTACTGCAAGTGTGTGTGAGGGGGAAACTCTCACACACTTTGCAGTTGAGGACAGGGCTAGACTTTGAGTTGGAGCCCTGGCTCCCAGGGCTGTGTACTCCCAGCCCGTGTTTCTCTTTTGCTCAGACTGAACAAGTGGAACGAAATTACATTAAAGAAAAGAAGGCAGCAGTGAAAGAATTTGAAGACAAGAAGGTTGAGCTGAAAGAGAACCTGATTGCTGAGCTAGAAGAAAAGAAGAAAATGATTGAAAATGAAAAGCTGACAATGGAACTGACTGGAGGTAGGAAAGCCCTATGGGGTGGGATCTTGGGGGCCCTGAGCGGGGGGGTGTGAAGGGCTGTTCCAGTTACTTTTGTCTTACATTTCAAGAGCAGAGCAAGGTGGAGAGTGGGTTTTGACCTCATAGATCAGAGTTCCTCCTCCACCTTCTATTGGCTGTGTGACCTTAGTCAAGCTGCTTAACTTCTCTTTTCTCCTCTATGAAATGGGGCTGATCATACCCTCTCACAGGATTGTGGTTAGACATATGAGTGCCTAGTACAGTGTCCTGTGCATAACAGATGTTCAATAGTTGCTAGACCTTTAATAGTAATTGCAAGCTCTGGCTTAGACTCTACTTAATTCCTGGGTCTGCTGCCATTTGTATCTTGGTTATGTTCCCAAATTGCTTACGCAAGTCCCTCTGTGGTGATGGGAATCCCTCGCTTTGTTTTTTTCCAGTCTGCCTTAATTACAGAAAAGGTATTGTCTCCCTTTGACCTAGATGTAAGAACAAAGGCTTTTGGCTATATCCTCTATGCTATTAGATCTCTCCTGCCAGGTGTTACTGAACATTTCAGAAAGATTTGATATGATTCCAACAGGATAGCCAAACTGAACTAGTTTCCCATAAAGGTAGGAAAGTTACATGAGACTCAGAGCCAATGCCTTTCTAACCTTCTAGAATTTAGTAATCCACATATGGGAACTCAGCAGGTTGTAGGCAGGTTTCAGGGAGAAACAATATGGGCCAACTCTTCTGTTGCCATATGTAGACTGATGATTCCTAGAAGGATACAGGGAATTGGCTTGAACTAGCTATTTTGGAACTTGGCAAATACTGCAAGGCAAGTCAGTGGTGAGTTTGTCACTTGGATATGGAGGTGGCATGCCTTTCTGTACATCCCCAAATTTAACTCTTACAATTCGGAAAGTGCTGGGGCTCTGGTGTGTCTGATTTTAGCAGGGTTCTGTAGGAAATGCATGCAGTGTTTTTGTGGACGTTCTCAGGGCTGACTTTGAAATTAAAAGTAGCCAGTTAAGATCTTTGTTCCCCTCTATATATTCCTGGTGCTGTGAACCAGCTTGGCCTTCTGACTGACACAGACTTCTGGCTCCAATCCTCATGATACACTTAAGAGAATGTGGTTGTGCCTAAGGTGGGGTCTGACTTTTGAAAAATCTCTCTTCTGTTAGCTTCCTCATAGAGAGAGTTGGCAAAAGAAATGAGCTCCTTGAAGGCCTCTGAAAGCAGCTCAGAAATGTTTTTTTGTGAGAATGGATGCCAAAACAGCAGCTAACAGCAGCTTCAGGCAGTATAGTCTTGTTCTTGTGAAAGTGCTTATTTAATGAGACCAGTAGCACCGTGGTACCTTATCTGGTACCAGTCTGCCTGCCGGCTTTTGGACCTGCACACCATTTTCTCTGACAGTGGCTGTGACTGGCATTGATGCCTCATTGTTCTCTGCTAGAGCCACCAGATGTTTGGGAGCCTTCATTAGGCTAGTGGGAAATATTATCCGTTTACAGCTGCTCCCTTTCCGTCTGTGGGGAACGGGTATCATCACCTTACCTGTGATTTGGCGTCCTAATTATTGACAAGCGATAGACATTGTTTGGCCAGGCAGTTTTACAGCCAGAATCTTAACTGGGACAGGAGGCATCCTCAGTGACTTGAGGCTGAGCCTGCCAGGGTAGAAAAGACAAATAAATGTAGGGAAATCATTTGTAACGCAATAAAATAGATTACAGAAGTGTTTAAAGCTAGCCATGGGCATTAAAGGTATGGATGTCCTTCCTCAGGGCACCTTTGATACCCTTGGTATGGAAAGCACTGCCAAGGTAATGATGGAGTGTTGGAAGACAAGGTGCTGGAGCTAGAAGGGTAATTAACATTTCCACAGATGGCGCTGCTATGGTGTTGGATTAAAGGCTTGATTTCATTCCTCTAATTGAGTGACTTAGTTCATCTTTGTGGATTGATGCCCAATATCATTGTTGCCCAGCTCTGCCCTGAAAAATACTTTTTAAAGTCTCCTTTTTTGGTTCAACATGAACGTCTCTTGAAAAGCAAAGTAGGATAAGACGCTGATGAGAAGCTTAGTCTAAATAACCCACTGGAAACGGGTGTATTTGGCGACCTGCTCTTTCCCACCATGACTTAAAGCGTTTATAAACCTCCATAGGAATTGGCAGGATGTACTGTTCACCGCCCAAACCTCTTGTGGAAAACTGGGTTGTTCAGGTAGAAATGAGTAACTGTACATAGAGAAGCTAGGAAGAATTATAGGTCAGTGCATCCCAACTTCAATGTGTTAGGTCAGTGGGGTCTTGATAAAATGCAGATTCTGTTTCAGGGGCTTTGGAGTGGAGGCTGAGATCCTGCATTTCTTTCTTTCTTTTTTTTTTTTAAATTTAATTTTTTTTTGAGACCAAGTCTTGCTCTGTCGCCCAGGCTGGAATGCAGTGGCGCAGTCTCGGCTCACTGCAACCTCCACCTCCCATGTTCAAGTGATTCTCCTGCCTCAGCCTCCCAAGTAGGTGGGATTACAGGCATGCACCACCACGCCCGGCTAATTTTTGTATTTTTAGTAGAGACAGGGTTTCATCATGTTTGCCAGGCTGGTCTTGAACTCCTGACCTCAGGTGATCCGCCTGCCTCAGCCTCCCAAAGTGCTGGGATTGTAGGTGTGAGCCACCGTGCCCCGGCTGAGATCCTGCATTTCTAACCACCTTCCCCAGGGGTCGCTGATCCTGCTGGTTGATAGCTGATACCACAAGTCATTACAATGTCAAAATAGAAGTCTGTTTCCCAAGCACTTACACTGAGCCAAGCATTACATAAATATATTAGAGCTAACTTTGCAGGCTGATGGTCCAGGGCTGAATCCTGGCACTGTCACAGATTTAAATCTGAGGTAGGGTTTTCTCATTTGGCAAGGGGATGATAGAACCTACTGCAGAGGGTAGATGTGACGTGAGATGAGATAATGCCTATAAGTTGCTTCACAAAGTAGCTGGTTTACAGAGTGAACACTCAGGGATTGGGAACTCACTGAGTTCCCGCAGCTCCCTTTGACCTTGGGGGTATCGCTTCTGATTTTATAAATGGCAGAGGTGGCTCAGAGAAGTGGAGCCATTTGCTCACAGTCCCTCAGTGAGATAGATAGTGGTTCAGCCAGTGTCTGTCTCACTCCAAGCATATTCTCTTCACCACCACTACTACTGACTCTCTGCAGATACCATAGATACATGTGGTGGCACTAAGTGACTCACAAAATCAGGCTAATGGATAAAGTCTGTGTCTTCTAGGAGGCTATTTTCTGGTAGTTAGAAAGCTGACACAGCTTCCTTGACTTCCCCAAGGTAATGTGTTGAGATGGAGGGCCCCTAAATAAAGGTAACAATTTGACAGGCTTGTTTTTGACTCATTGATTTATTTAAAGACAGGGTCTCACTCCAGTTGCCAAGGGTGGAGTGCAATGGTGCCATCGGGGCTCACTGCAGCTCGACTTCCCAGGCTCAGGTGATTCTCCCACCTCAGCCTCCTGAGTAGCTGGGACTACAGGCATGTGCCACCTTACCTGGCTCATTTTTGTACTTTTTGTAGAGATAGGGTTTTGCCATGTTGCGTAGCTGGTCTTGAATTCCAAGGCTCAAGCAATCTGCCTGCCTTGGTCTCCCAAAGTGCTGGGATTACAGGAGTGAGCTACTACATCTGGCTTTTTTACTCATTTTAAAACCCTAAGATATATGTGGTTGTACTACTATAGGAGCAGTAAGTTTCACGCGTATGCAATAGATGCTAATGAGTAGCTATTTGGGTGTCAAGACAAGAGGAAGAGGCCCCACACAAATATCTGGAGAGGGAGAATGGAAGAGGTGACCTGGATTTTGGGCAGAGTGGGCCTTTCCTCAAGATGTTCTTTCCTGGTGCTGGCATTGTGGAATCAGGGTTTTTTTTTTTTTTTTTTTTTTTTTTTAAGACGGAGTCTCGCTTTGTCCCCCAGGCTGGAGTGCAGTGGCGCGATCTCGGCTCACTGCAAGCTCCGCCTCCCGGGTTCACGCCATTCTCCTGCCTCAACCTCCTGAGTAGCTGGGACTACAGGCACCCACCACCACGCCTAGCTAATGTTTTTGTATTTTTAGTAGTGATGGGGTTTCACTGTGTTAGCCAGGATGGTCTCGATCTCCTGACCTCGTGATCTGCCCTCCTCAGCCTCCCAAAGTGCTGGGATTACAGGTGTGAACCACCACGCCCGGCCAGAATCAGGTCTTTTAATGTGCTTGAGGGTGCAGAGAGGAAGGCTCGACTGGCTCACTGTTTATTGCTCTCCCTTCATAATGGCCAACTTTGGCTTTAAAGAGATTGGTCCCTTTATTCCTACTCTGATTTGGCCTCCAAAGACCTAACATTAATTCTTGTGGATTGATTGATTGATTGATTTTGAGACGTAGTCTAGCTCTGTCACCCAGGCTGAAGTGCAGTGCCACGGTCTTGGCTCACTGTACCCTCTGCCTCCTGGGTTCAAGCGATTCTCCTGCCTCAGCCTCCCGAGTAGCTGGGACTACAGGTGCGTGCCACCATGCCTGACTAATTTTTATACTTTTTAGTAGAGACGGGGTTTCACCTTGTTGGCCAGGCTGGTCTCGAACTCCTGACCTCAGGTGATCTGCCCAAAGTGCTGGGATTACAGACATGAACCACCGTGCCCAGCCCTAACATTCATTCTTATTCCCCACCCCCACAAACCTTAGGCGCTCTTCTGTTACCACCGCAGCATTAATTTGTGTCAACATTGATGGCGCCCTCCATCCTGCTAGAGAAGGGCATGATGTCTGCTAGGATTGCTCTGGGCTGCTAGTCTAGCCTATGGGTCCCTGCCCTGGTTTGGAGGTAATTGCCAATCTGCTATAATGTTTACTCTGCAGTGGATTTTCTTTCTGCCAGTTATATCCCATTTCTTTTTAAAGAAAATTTCCTTTTTAAATTTAAAGTACATTTAATTTTTTGAGACGGGGTCTTGCTCTGCCACCCAGGTTGGAGTGCAGTGGCACGATCTCAGCTCACTGCAACCTCTGCCTCCTGTGCTCAAATGATCCACCTCAGCCTCCCAAGTAGCTGGGACTACAGGCACCTGCCACCTAGCCCAGCTAGTTTTTTGTATTTTTCTGTAGAGATGGGGTTTTGCTCTGTTGCCCAGGCTGGTCTTGAACTCCTGGGCTCAAGCAATCCACCCTCCTTGGCCCCCCCAAAGTGCTGGCATTACAGGCGTCAGCCATTGCACCCAGCCTTATATCCCATTTTTTAAGGATGACCCTTTGAATCACTGCAATTAATATTTTTCCCAATAGATAAATATGAGCTTGTTTTAATAGTTAAAGTATGTTGCATTGAAGCTTTTCCTGCCGTTGTACACTATAGGCAGGTATGCTGTTGGAAATGAATGAATGGGCCTAGAGAAGTGCACAGCAAAAGGCCAGCCAGTAAACTGGTAATTGTATGTAAATTGCAGGTAATTAATTTATCAAGAATATCTCTCCAGAGGGACTGTGCTATAATGACTCTACCACCTAGCATTGCTTCAACCTGAGCTCCCATTTTTTAGATGTCGGAATCTGTGCTCCCTGTGGTGAGGGGTGAGGGGGTTCCTGTATCCATCAGGTTTCCTAGTGAGTAGAACAGGAGGATTTGCACTATTAAAAGTCATATTGCAGGGTGGTTTGGAGAGGAGTTATATGCCTAGTCTTGTTGCTTGTTTGATGTTTTTTCTCACATAACGCTCTCTCAAGTCTGCTTTAAGTGCTTGATGTTTAATGATAAAATAGTATCTCCACTGAAGCAAACCTATGAGGAGACCTCTGGATCAGAGAGGGTTTCTAATTTCAGCCAGTTCGAGTTTTTTTATGGTTGGTGCATGATGTCGGAGAGGAAGCCTGACTGAATCCCTGCTCAGGTGTCTTCTCTGGGGTTGTCACACCCCAGGGTCTGAGCTTCAGTTCTGGAAGTTTGATTTTTGTCAGTGTAGCCAGATTGAGCGTCTTGGGACTCTTAGAGTCCCAGTCATAGGAGATTGATGGTAAAACTCAGGATACCAGCTCGTTGCTTACAGTGAGAAATAGAACTTCCAGGTGCACTCAGACCTGGGTTGTCAGACTCCATCCTTCTATGAAAAATCCACCGTAAAAGCCAACTAGACCAACCTGGCGTTGGAGCAAGGTGACTTAAGTGGATAATCTTACTGTGTCTGTTGGGGCTGTGATACATGTTGATCATGGCCTCAAATCATGTTTTCCACCTGGGCTATTGGCCAGGACTGCTCCCTTCTGTCTCCTCTTTCCTAGATGGAGATGGAGACATGCTGATAAGTTTTAGGGGCTTCTCCAGAGTCTCTTCCTTCTGCAAAGCAGTCTTTTGGATAAAATTAATCAGATTGTTGCTGTGACCAGGCTAATAAAATAGATTTTTTTTTTTTTACCATTTCATAAGAATTTGATTGTATTTTTTGGTTTGTAAGTGATACAGTTATGATTTTCAGAGTTCAGTGGCCGTGATTGGCCTTTACTTGGCTTACATCCATCATGCATTGTCCACCCTCCCCACTCCCCAGTCTTGGCAGCCTGTGGAGCAGAGCACACTCAGCCACTCTCTTTGGCAGACAGAACATTCCATAATGTTCATGGGCTATGTGCTTTTCCTTTGGTGCTCTCTTGGGTTGGGTGAGCTCCCTTTACACTTTATTTTCCAAATTAGGTGTCAGTGTTGCACAGCCTCACAGTTGACATCAGCTGCTTTCGACTATGTAACTTTTTTTCAGCTCTTTGTGCCTTGAGTTTTAAAAAGGATCTTTGTATAGTTTTTTCCTGCCTGAAAATATAATAATAAAAACTAGCATTGATAGAACTCCCGTTACGCCAGGCACTGTGCTAAGATTTCACACATATCATCACATGTAACCCTCACGGCGCACTGTGGGGGAGGCATTATTGATACTTCTATTCTCTAGATGAGGACACGTGAGACATACAGCACTTACAAACCTGTGTTAGGTCACACAGCCGTTGCAGGGATTCAAACGCACGTTTGTGTGACACTCCAGCTCTTAACTGTGGTGCTGTGTCACTGGCCAGTAACTAACTGGAGAAGGGTGGCACCTCAGCATAGGATAGGAGATTTCTTTTAGGGAGAAGCCTTCACCACTTGTTTCTGGTGTGTGTGTGTGTGTGTTTATACTTCCAAGTACACTTTTATAAATATTCATTAGGGCTTTGGTTCTTATTTTACCTCTATTCCATTCATAGGAAAAAAATATTTAATACTGCCCATTTCTCTTAAGAGCAACATGCAGAAGCCTTTTTTTTTTTTTTTTTTTCAAATTTTCTGTGGCACATGTATGACATGCTCTAAGATCCTGCACACTGCTTGGTAGAATTCCCTGAAGCTGCCCTGCCTGTTCTGCTGATTGTGTGCATAATCACAAATTAACTTCCTCCCATGATCAGACTTGACCTCATCTACCCGTTCTGCACAAAACATTATGCACCCCTACTGTGCCAGACTATTGCTAGGTGTTGGGGTGGAATTCAGACATCCAAAGGGGTAGGTAATGACCTGTACACCGTGGCACTTGGTCTACTTGAGGTTTGTATAGATGCTCTGGTTACTTGGAGGATGGAATGAGTTTCTGCCTTTGAAACCTGTTACAGAAGGGAGAGGGTATTAAACTGACTTTCAACGGGTATTATGTAGGAGTTTGCTGGGCAGAAAAGAGGAAGCTAGACAGAGGAGAGCCATGCAAAGGCTTGAAGGCGTAAAGTCTGGTGCCCTTGGGTAACAGGATAGCTAAAGGCTTGCACACGGTGTAAGCGTGAATGAAGAAGAAGGGAGGAAGACCAGAAATGAGGCCTGGCTTATATCCTGTGGAGAGTGGTGAGCCATTGAAATATTTAGTAAGAAGATGGCTGGGTGTGGTGACTCAGCCTGTAATCCCAGCACTTTGAGAGGCTGAGGAGGGCGGATCACTTGAGGTCAGGAGTTTGAGACCAGCCTGGTCAATATGGTGAAACCCTGATTCTACTAAAAATACAAAAAATTAGCCGGGTGTGGTGGCGCATGCTGTAGTCCCAGCTACTTGGGAGGCTGAGGCATGAGACTCGTTTGAACCGGGGAGGCAGAGGTTGCAGTGAATGAAGATCGTGCCACTGCACTCCAGCCTGGGTGAGAGAGTGAGGCCCTGTCTTGAAAAAATAAGAAATATTTAGTAACAAGAGTGATACACAAAACGATCTGATTTGTGTCTCAGGAAGATCACTTTGAGGGAGGGGAGGATGGATGGGACATGGGAAAGACCACTGAAGGCCGTGGAGGTAGCCAGTGAAAGGATGAAGGGATGGAGTGGAGGCAGGACCAACATTAGTTGGTGAACCTCATGCCTGGATGAAGGAAGACAAGTCACAGATGCAGATTTGTTCTCGCATGGAAGGAGGGATAGATTGGATGTCCCTGAGATACAGGAAAAGAAGCAACCTTGGGAGAGGAAACGAGGAGAACTGAGTTTTTGTGGGGCATGGAGAATGTGTGGTGTCAGGTATCTATTGCCATTCAGAGGGATGTGTGGAGCTGGAAGTGGTGATTGCAGATTGGTTGGGATACAGTCTGAAAGGAACTGACTGGACCCCAAAGATGATCAGTATTCAGGGAGCAGACAAGCGAACCCCGAGGAGGCAGGTTCACCTCCTTGTGCGCCACCTCTTGGGAGGAGCTATTTGAAGGCGTGGGGAGTCAGCAGCAGTGTGAGACCACAGAGAGGAGTGAAGAAGAAGGGAAAGAGGCTTTTATTGTGAGCCCTCATTGTGTCATCTTGATAGTCAAGTAGCTACAAAAGGTTATAGAGAAAAAAAATCCGAGTCTGTAAATGAAAACTTCGTATAAAAATGTTGGCACTGAGGCCAGTGGCCTCTAAAAGAGCCTTTCATACCAATGGGCTTCAGCACACCCACCCTCTTTGGGAGCTGCAGAAATTAGTCAGCTGAGATGACCTTCAGGTTCCTTCCTATCCCGAGAGCCTGTGACTCTGGGCTTCTTAATTTGAGGGAGAGGAGGAATATCCCCTAGGTTTTGAGGGTGCTGGAGAGATGCCCACAGTGGCTGTAATGCTTGACGGTAGGGCTGCATTTCTGAGAGGGGTGTGCACTTAGGGCAGCTGGTCTGAATCTTACAAGTATAAACGCTTTCTAAAATCTAATGGGGTGTCTGGCTACGACCATGTGTAGAACAAACACCCCCAGTAAAACAGTTCTGATTGGGTGGCTGGGGGGCAGATATTCTTATACTATAGAAATTCTTACTGACTTCAAGTGGGAGTTGGATAGATTTACCCATTCCATTCTTGCCACAGATTCTATGGAGGTGAAACCTATCATGACCAGAAAGTTGCGGAGGCGACCAAATGATCCCGTCCCCATCCCAGACAAGAGGAGGAAACCTGCTCCAGATATCCATTTACATCAAGCCTTAACCGCCTTTCTTTTTTAAGACTGTGGAATCCTATGTTTATCCGTTTGCTAGGGTACACATGGCCGTTGTCCTACAGAAAATAGTAACATTTAACTGGAAAGCGTGTGTTAAATGTTTGTCCACAGGTCAGGGGTTGCTCATTTTATCATGGTAGTCCTCATTTGCTACTGCTTTTGGTGGGAGAGATGTATAGAGTTGTGATTTGGAAAGGTGCTTTGCATGCAAAGTTCAGCCTGGTTTTAATGCTAACATCAAGATTCAGGGGCATCTGAAAACTTGATGTGCCTTAATTTTTTCACCTGTAATTTTCCACCTTCCAACTGTAAAATGAAGGCAGTAATATCTACCTTTATGTACCTCTGTTATCTATGTCCATAATGTAGTGGATTGCAACCTGTTTTTAAATTAAAGCAAATGAGATTTCAGTCAGACATAAAGCAGCCCTTTAATCATAAAAATGGTAACGGAAACAGGAAAGATGGAGAAGCGTTGTTTCTGTTCCTTTCGAGGAGATGGTGAATAGCTCTCTGCCCAAAATGGCTTAGTCATTTGTGTACCATCAGGAAAGGGCATAACTTCAGGTTGCTTCTCCTTCACAACAGGAGTTAAGTTGCTGAGGGAAGATTGGCCTTACCTTGGGTGAGTGTGTGTGGAAGTCTTTAGATCTTTGGAACAAAAGCGCTTTATACATTCATGATGAAATTCTTATTTTACTGTTTCCTTTGCTGTGTTATTGTAGATGCCTAATGAAGCTCATTCCACCTTCTCATCCTAGCAGTGGGGGATGTGAATTCTTTTATGTATTGAAGTACCATGACATTTAGTAGGAGAATCATAAATTTCTAAGAAGCAAACTGTTACTGTAGAAACATCATTTAACAAAATCATACTTTGTAAATTCTAAAATACTGGTACCATTGTGTTGATTACTCTTTGCCTGGAAACTGTACTTTTCACATACAGTCCTTTAACTCTCAACACCCCAGCTAAACTATTTGTTAACAGATGAACAGATCATGGAGGATCTGAGAACATTAAATAAGGTACGGTTTGACTTTTTTGATTTATTTGAAAACTCAGGCTTTTGTGGTTTTCTGATTTTGTTTGTTAACATGTTACTTGTTAATCATTATGATACCTTTGACACCTGAAGTTGCACCTGAAATGATTTTCTCTAAGATTTTTTGTTGTTGTTCTTCCTACAGCTTAAGTCACCCAAGAGACCAGGTGAGTGCATGATGTGTTGGCATTTGTGCAACCTTTTTATCATGTTGTTGGAAAAGGGTGTGAATACCTGTCAGGAAATGGTTGCAATTTTCAAAAATGAAATGTTCATCATTTGCCTAAGAGTAGTCATCATGAAAACTGAAGGGGACCTTAACTATACCCCTCCCTGATTTCTTTTTTTTTCATAACCCCTGCTTTGTTGTTTTTATTTTTTTCTTAGGATTTATCATAAAAGAGACATTTGATTGATTGATTGATTTCCTTCTGTGTAGGCATCAGGCATAAGATTTAAGTACACATCCATTTTTGAAAATGAAACCAGAAGGATTTTTAAGTATTACTGGCTTTCTAAAGCCAAGTCCTAGGCAGTTCTGCTCCCGTGGCTTTTCGTGGCCTGACTCTGGTAAGGCATTCCAAGGCTGCTCTGACTCGCAGTTCATAGAAGAGACCAACCAGCTCAGTATTCATAGTTGTTCCTTCCGGAACAGCACTTGAGATCATCAGTGCTAGCTGCCAACTAGAATTCTGAATTGGTGACATCTTTTTTTTGTTTAAAGCACCATGATTACTCGATTACTCGATTACTCACACATCCCTCTACTTACTGAGTCTTGTGGAAGAAAACAAGAGTCTTCTTTTTCTAGGTAATATCTTCCTGGGGGCCACTGCGGTCCACAGACATCCTGACCTTCTGAGGCACGATGGGGAGGGGTGAGGGAGTTGTGTGAGTGTAAAGTTAGTAGTTCTTTAAGTGATTCCTTTTTTTTTTTTTTGGATTATGGAGTCTTGCTCTGTCGCCAGGCTGGAGTGCAGTGGCGTGAACTCGGCTCAGTGCAACCTCCGACTCCCAGGTTCAAGTGATTCTCCTGTCTCAGCTTCCCAAGTAGCTAGGACAACAGGCATGTGCCACCACACCCAGCTAACTTTTGTATTTTTACTAGAGATGGGGTTTCACCATGTTGGCCAGGATGGTCTCATCTGTTGACCTCGTGATTCACCTGCCTCAGCCTCCCAAAATGCTGGAATCACAGGTGTGCGCCACCGCACCCTGCTGAAAACGATTGCATTTTTAAGAGATTTTCATAATACTTGCCCTTTGATCACCAGGGCTTTAGTCCTACTCTAAGTGACCTTATGTATTTGCACATTTGACCTTAATCTTCCTGAAACCCAGGTGTCTCTTCCATTTGAGAGGCTAATCTGCCTTGCCTACTTCCCAGGGTTGCTTTGATGATCAAGTTTAGATGGAATATACAAGAGTTTTGCTGAAATCCCATGCATTATCACTGTAAGGGCTCAGTGATGATTATTACCACATTCTGATAGTGTTTCAATTAAAGCATGTTAACTGGTAGACTCGCATGTGTTTGTTACATTCTTAGTCACGTAAGTATTGGTTTCCTCCAGCATCTCCATCCTCTCCTGAGCACTTGCCTGCAACACCCGCGGAATCTCCAGCCCAGAGGTTCGAAGCTCGGATAGAAGATGGCAAACTGTACTATGACAAAAGATGGTATGTTATGGGAAAACCTGGACTAGTAAGAGTCTCATATGAACCACTTGGAAAGAGGGCTGGGGCTATTGTAGTTATTTCAGATCACGGCTGCTGCTAAACTTACATAGTACTAAAAGTAGAAACCCATTAAAAAATGTATTAGCAGTCATTTAATCAATACTTCCGGTGGATCTTTGAAAGCAGCGTTTCCCAAAACCATGTTCTGCTCCCCTTCCTTCTCCATTCTGGTGTCTCTGTACTAGAATTTGCAGGCTGGTATCTTGTGTGGTACCCCTGCCAACTGGGGCTGGGGTGTATGTCCCCCCTCTGACCCCTCTTACCTCTGCTCCTGTGTGCTAAGGTTAATAGGTGCTCTTCGGATTAAAGGATTTTGTGGTCAAATCAGTTTGGGGGATGATCATGTTAATTAAGATAAGTGGGTTGCTCCCTTGTAGTACCCTTTGGGTCCTGCGATATGCTAATGTACACTGTGAATTTCTAAGATGTTATTAGATGTTTTTTGATGACACATACCCTTTTTTCTTACATGATCCAGCTGCAAAAGTGGTCAAGGACACTTGCTTGGGGGAACTGTATCCTAAAACATTCCTAGTTTGTTTTTTGTTTTTTGAGACGGAGTCTTGCTCTGTCGCCAGGCTGGAGTGCAGTGGCGTAATCTCGGCTCACTGCAACCTCCGCCTTCCAGGTTCAAGCGATTCTCCTGCCTCAGCCTCCCGAGTAGCTGGGATTGCAGGCACCCGCCACCATGCCCAGCTAGTTTTTGTATTTTTAGTAGACACGAGGTTTCGCCATGTTGGCCAGGTTGGTCTCGAACTCCTGACCTCACATGATATTACTGCCTTGGCCTCCCAAAGTGCTGGGATTACAGGCATGAGCCACTGTGTCCTGCATTCCTGGTTTACATTGAAGACTCTTTGAAACGTTCAGACCGCCTAGCATTTTTCATTGGAAAGGTAATGGCAAAACAGTATGAAAGAACCTTAAAAGCTCATACTTTTGTTCATTCAACAAACATTTCTTCTGTTCTGTATTACGCTTTCTGCTAGATATGAAATGGATACTGCCATCATTTCTCAGGTCTTTTCATTCTGATATATTTCTTTTTATTCTTTATCCATATGCAGGCATAGTCTATTCATTCTAAGGCATAGTGGACATACGGTTTGCTTTGCCTTTCTGTTTGGTTATATTGAGAATGTTTTTCTGGGTTACTGTAAGGTGTCTCATTATCATTTATAATGGCTATATAATGACCCTTTGAGTTTCAGTATCTAACCAAAAGTTCCAAAATTGGGGTAATGATTATTTATTTTGAATTCTTAAAAAAACCCAGCATTGTGTTAGGTTGGTTACCCGATAACATTGTACTTGTCAAAAATGCTTAGGGTTCTAGTCATGGCCGAAGTAAATCATTTCCACCTATTAAGTTGCAGTGAGTTAATTGCCCAGTAGATGCTGGAGGCTGGCTTTATCTCTAAGGCTGATCTTGATGACTTCTTCCCCTCTGAGTTGGTGTTCTTTGGCATTCTTCAGAAAGGTCGGTTTGTGTTATATCTTAACATTATGTCTCAGAACACATCGCCACTAGGTGGCAGGCTCTAACAGCTTAACACTGAGAAGGGCAAAATGAGATGAAAAATGTTTCTAATAATGAAAACCAAATAACCTTTAAAGATCAAGCCCACACATAAGAACCATCTTTGAAAATGATGAGATTTATCACTAACATTTTTACAAATCTATGAGTCTTAAAGCCATGTGATATTTCCAGTGATGTTCATTTTGTAATTGTGTTGCTTTGAATCTTCCTCTTTCTAAGCTTAATCCTCAGACTTTACGAGACATGTCTTGAGGGTGAAAATGCAGTAAAATAAAATTCTTGTTTTTTTAAAGAAGAGATCCACAATGTCTGGTGTTTCCTAATGTAAACAAAATGATCAGATTTGATGTGTTAGAACTCCTAAGCATTTTGAAGGAATTTTCACCATCTTTCTTACATTAACAGCAGAAATTTAGAAAATAATGTCACTGGATGCATTTTACTTTTTCAGTGAAATTGAAATTGCTTATTCTCTTGTTAAATATACTTTGAGAATGTTGTTTTTTTTCTCTATTCTGTATACTTTTCATTTTTGGCCTTGGCAGTCAGAGATCATAATGCAGTTGTTGAAGGTGGGTCTCCCTCTTCCCCAATGACAATTGAAAAGTGTTCCTGGGAATACTGGCTGAGGTGTTCACTGGTGCAGTGCCAGCCTCTCCCATCTCACCAGGCTCATGTTTGGCTTTTGTATCAGTTTGGAGGTTTTGTTTTTCTTTCTTTGGCAGACGTGGCCTGTGGCTGAGAGGTCAGCTACATTGCTTTATGCTCTTTCCAGAGGGTATGGAGTATTTTGGTGCAGCCGTATTTTTGGCAGAAGATGTCTTCCTGAGTTTTAAATGACTTCAGCAAAACAAATGGGATTCAGGCATCGCATCTTGGTGTGAATACTTGCCAAGCTCCCTTTCATTTTGAAAGATAAGGATCTTCCCTTTGCCTTGGTCTTATACTGCTTTTAAGGCATTCTATATCATGCTATGTAAATTTGCCTCACATTTTGATTTGGACTAATGATCTCTCAAAAAATACTGTGAAAAAGTAGCTGATATTTGAAAATAACTAATTGATGGTACGGGTGGACTTCTGTTTTTCTCTCCTTGTTTTAAATCTGGGGCTGCCTGTGAGTCAGAAACGAAGCCACCCACTTGCTCAAGAGCATTTTCCCCTTCAGCCTTCGGTCGACACAAAAGACTTAAAACAGTGAATATTTACCAGTAGAATTGGGACTCCTTGAGGTTCTGTAGCTATAACGTGGACTCACTTATTGGGGAAATAAAGTGTTAATACCAGGATTCTCAGTAGGATACAAAATTAAATTAATTTTCCTACCTCCTCGCCCCACTTTTGTGTCCACCTTCTTAAGAAATTGCTTTTCGAAAATAGTACAGTAGTGGTAATTTCTAGTTTTGTTCGGTTTAATAGTAGAGGTTCAAAGCTTTAAGAACTTAATTGTAGAGATTCCCAGGTCAGAATTTCCATTAGTTACAAAGTAATAGAGTCAGTTTGACATTTGGGGCTTAGTCTTTGAGGCTATTTAAATATCTTTTTTCAGCAGCTGAGTTGCAGCTTGTAAAACAGGTTAATTGGCCTAAAAAAAAAACGCACATTTTTACTACCCTGTTGATGTTGCTTCGTAGCACATTTTATATCTAAACATATTTTTAAATTTCTTCCCCCCCCTTTGATTTTTCTTTAGAAATTAAAAAGTAAATTCTTATGTTAAGGTTGTCACATACTTCTTGGTTTCATCTTTAACCGCCCCCGCCCCCCCATATGAACACTTCATTTTTTATTTTTTTGAGACAGGGTCTCACTGTCCCCCAGGCTGGCATGCAGTGGTGTGATCATAGCTCACTGGAGCCTTGATCCCCCTGGCTCAAGCGATCTTCCCACTTTGGCCTCCCGAGTAGCTGGGACTACAGTCCTCCATTACCATGCCTGGCTAATGTTTTTTTGATTTTTAGTAGAGATGAGGTCTTGCTATGTTGCCCAGGCTGTCCTCAAACTCCTGAGCTGAAGTGATCCTCCTGCCTCAGCCTCCCAAAGTGCTGGGATTACAGGTATGAGCCCTGAACACTTTAATATCTAAGGACTTATCTTTTCAGAGAATTCAAATAATTTAATAGATTTGGTATCTAGGGATAATGGTTCCCCCAAGACATCGTGTAGTGCATGAGGATCCCTTGAAGGTCTCAGAGACTGCGGTTCAGGAGGGACCTGGTGATCAGTTGGTTTGGAAGTTGGCTGCTTTGGGAAGCATGTTGGCCACCTCTACTTTGGAGCAAATAGGGACCAATGGTGGACATTCAGGCCACCACCATTCAGTGATTCCAAAGGAGGCGGATCTGGGAGGTGGCCACATTCCCAAGTTCCAGACCACTTCCCAGAGGTAATAGACCAGCTTGCATTGTTTACTCTGGGTGTTCGCTTTTAAGTCAGTTGAATTTCTTGGGTTTGGGTTCTAAGTACCACTGAAGGAAAATACAATGCATCTCATGAGAATTGTTGGAATAGCCTTCCAGAGTCAGCTGTTTTCTTTAAAAGACCTTTGTGAGGATATGATACATGGATACACATGTAACATGTATATGTGTTATTTTTGGTTTTTTTTTTTTTTTTGAGACAGAGTCTCGCTCTGTCGCCCAGGCTGGAGTGCAGTGGCGCAATCTTGGCTCACTGCAGACTCCGCCTCCCAGGTTCAAGCGATTCTCCTACCTCAGCCTCCTGAGTAGCTGGGACTACAGGCACACGCCAATATGCCTGGCTAATTTTTTGTATTTTATTTATTTATTTATATTTTTTGAGACAGAGTCTCGCACTGTCACCCAGGCTGGAGTGCAGTGGCGCCATCTCAGCTCACTGCAACCTCCGCCTCCCGAGTTCAAGCTGTTCTCTCCCTCAGCCTCCCAAGTAGCTGGGACTACAGGCACCCGCCACCACGCCCAGCTAATTTTTGTATTTTTAGTACAGACGGGGTTTCACCATGTTCGCCAGGATGGCCTCTATCTCCTGACCTCGTGATATACCCGCCTCGGCCTCCCAAAGTGCTGGGATTACAGGCGTAAGCCACTACGCCTGGCCAATTTTTTGTATTTTAGTAGAGACGGGGTTTCACCTTGTTGCCCAGGCTGGTCTCGAACCCCTGAGCTCAGGCAATCCACCCACCTTGGCCTCCCAAAGTGCTAGGATTACAAGCATGAGCCACCATACCTGGCCAGTTTTTTTTTTTTTTTTGAGACAGAGTCTCGTTCTTCCAGCCAGGCTGGAGTGCAGTGGCATGATCTCAGCCCACTGCAGTCCCTGCCTCCTGGGTTCAAGCAATTCTTGTGCTTCAGCCTCCCGAGTACCTGGGATTACAAGCGCACACCACCATGCTGGCTAATTTTTGTAATTTTAGTAGAGATGGGGGTTTCACCATGTTGGTCGGGCTGGTCTTGAACTCCTGACCTCAAGTGATCCACCCACCTCGGCCTCCCGCAGTGCTGGGATTACAGGCGTGAGCCACTGCACCCAGCTGTAACATGTGTATGTTTTATCATAAACACAGGAACATAGTTGACATAGTTTTTTTTGGTTTTTTTTTTTTTACCTACCAGTATATGGAGCATGTTTCCACACTCGTAATATTCTACACCACATCCATGACCTTTCTTTATTAAAGTGTTTAGAAAGTTGTATCAGAATGACTTGAGGGTAGTTGCATTTTGTTTTGTGTCTTTATCTCTTTAATAACTTACAGTCCCTTTAGAACAACTGTGAGTATTCTCCCTCTGTATTTTTATTTTAACCATTACTCAAGACATGACTGTTTACATAGGAGAGCTGGCTCAGATGTGAGAGAGAAACAAGGGGAAGTGTTAGTGTTAGTATGAACTTAGCCTTTTCTTATGCATTGTACAGTTCGGCCCTTGTGATAATACATATTTAGCATAATGAAGGTCCCCTGCCAGTTTACCAACTAATAAAGGGCCAAAAGCAACTTTAAAACTTGCATTTAAACCATTCTCGCTGTTCTAATTGAATTTAAAATTCTTTTTTTTTTTTTTTTAAGATAGAGTCTCGCTCTGTTGCTCAGGCTGGAGTGCAGTGGCATGATCTTGGCTTGCTGCAAGCTCCGCCTCCGGGGTCAAGCAATTCTCCTGCCTCAGCCTCCCGAGTAGCTGGGATTACAGGAGCCTGCCACCACTCCCGGCTAATTTTTGTGTTTTTAGTAGAGATGGGGTTTCACCATGTTGGCCAGGCTGGTCTCGATCTCCTGACCTTGTGATCTGCCCACCTTGGCCTCCCAAAGTGCTGGGATTACAGGCGTGAGCCACCACGCCCGGCCTAAAATTCTGTTTCTTTTAACAGTATTTTCAGAAAGTACATTGACTTGGAAACCTGAGTTTTCAGTTCATAAGTAGCAGGTTAAAGAGAATTGAGACCCTAGACTGGAAAAAGCTCATTATGGGAGTGAAGTGCATCCTTTACTTGCCATGTCTTGGCAATAGGTTATTTCCTTATACCAGCAAAACAGAATAAGCCATCATGCTTTGCTGGGAGATGTGTTTTACTAAATTTACACGAGTTTATGGGTCTGGTTAGCCAGATCTTTGCAGCCAAAATGAACCAAAGTTTATGTTATTAATCGACGTGGGGCTGGCCCAGGCCAGGGTTGCTAGCTGCAGCTCCGCTGATACTTCCAACTCTTGTAATCCAGCAGGGGCTCCTTCATCCTGTGGCAGCTGCTTTTGTCCCATTTGGGCTTTGGCCCCCAGCAACTTCACTTTCATCCTTGGCCTTGTCTCTGAACTTGTAGAAATAAGAAGTGGCCCTACACTACAGGTTGAGAGTAGATGCAGGAGTTGAAAGGGGAGTGTCTGTCTTATCTACTGTATTCAAAGCAGCTTTCCCAACTGTCCAGGCCAAATTAGATACCCTTTGGTATACGTCATGGCACTTGGAACTTTGCCTGATTAGCTGTTACCAGGTGTGGTTATTTAATGTTCCTTATCCCCAGTGTATTTGAATCTCTGTGATAGTGGAGAACTTGTGGCCTTTCTCACTGTTTGTCCCCAGCCTCCAGCATAGTCCGTGGTACACAGTAAGTGCTTAATGAGTATTTTTGAATGACTGACTAAAGGGTTAAAGTCAGCCTTCCTTCTTGTTGGTGACTGACTTGGACAAATAGAAAATAAATAACGGTGGCTTATGCCTGTATATTTTGTCTGTCCAACCTTCTTCAGTGTTCTGGTGTGGGGTCAGAAAGGGGAAACAGAGTTTTTATTTAACAATTTTTAATTTACTTTTTGAACTGGGTCATATAGTCCAAAAAAAGGGAAAAATACATAGTTTTCCAACACTTTCCTCAGCCTTTTCCCTTCTGTAGAGGGACCAAGGAATATAAGCTTTAGATCCCAAAGAAGATTAGGTGGTCTTCTAACCTAAGGATGGAAGCCTTTATTTATTTATTTATTTATTTATTTTATTTATTTATTTATTTATTTATTTATTTTTTGAGATGGAGTCTTGCTCTGTCGCCCAGGCTGGAGTGCAGTGGCGCCATCTCGGCTCACTGCAAGCTCCGCCTCCCGGGTTCACACCATTCTCCTGCCTCAGCCTCCCAAGTAGCTGGGACTATAGGCACCTGCCACCATGCCCGGCTACTTTTTTTGTATTTTTAGTAGAGACGGGGTTTTACCGTGTTAGCCAGGATGGTCTTGATCTCCTGACCTTGTGATCCGCCTGCCTCGGCCTCCCAAAGTGCTGGGATTACAGGCTTGAGCCACCGCGCCTGGCCTCAGGATGGAAGCCTTTAAATTAAGCTAAATGGGAAATCCAGGCTATTCCTCAAATGTGAATTATTAAGACTTCTTTAATTATAATTTTTGTTGTGATGGTGTTTTTGTTTTGTTTGGTTTTTACTTCCTGTCTCTGTCCCTCCCTTTTTAAAAATGTGTGCCTTGTTTTTGTCAGGTACCACAAGAGCCAGGCCATCTATCTGGAGTCAAAGGACAACCAGAAACTGAGCTGCGTGATCAGTTCTGTAGGAGCCAATGAGGTGGGAACCACACTCCCTCACCTTTAGGGAAGCAAAATGTGTACTGCGAAGTGTTGGTAGGGCAAACCTGAAATGAAAGTGCCACCAAGGAAGTACAGTGGAGTACTGTCTTCTATGTGGGTTAGATTCTAAAGTCAGGCAGAAATTGCACATTGTCAAAATCATCCTTGAAAAGTCCTTACATTCGCTTGACTACAACATATGCGGATTTGTCTATTCCATGGGGTATTTGTGAACTCCCGGTACAGCTACTGATTTGGGAACCACGGAGCTAGATTCCAGGAAAGAACAAAAAGCAAGTCTGTGTGGTGTCTGTACATTCAACTCCTGCTTCTTTTTTTTTATTTTTATTTTTTTTGAGACAGAGTCTCACTCTGTTGCCCAGGCTGGAGTACAGTTGTGCTATCTTGGCTCACTGCAACTTCCACCTCCCAGGTTCAAGTGATTCTCCTGCCTCAGCCTCCTGAGTAGCTGGGATTACAGGCACCCACCACCACGCCCGGCTAATTTTTGTATTTTTTTTTAAGTAGAGATGGGGTTTCACCACGTTGGTCAGGCTGGTCTTGAACTCCTGACCCCGTGGTCTACCCAGCTCGGCCTCCCAAAGTGCTGGGATTACAGGCGTGAGCCACCACACCTGGCCAACTCCTGCTTCTTTTTAAGGTAACCATCTACTGAGAATGGAGCTTGACTGTGGAGCATACTCCATCTTGGTTTTGTTTCTCTAGAACTTTCACACATACCAGTAGATTTGTTTCTTGCTGTGAGGATTGAATGAGGCACCTGGCACAGGGTCTAGCACCCAGTAAGTGCTCACTAAGTGAGTGCTGGCCTGAAACGACCCA
This sequence comes from Homo sapiens, assembly GCF_000001405.40. Lineage (NCBI taxonomy): Eukaryota > Metazoa > Chordata > Mammalia > Primates > Hominidae > Homo > Homo sapiens. The sequence goes on from NC_000012.12 coordinate 118,412,003, forward strand.
CACGCCACTTGCCTGCCGTCTTTCCTAGCTGAGATGTCCTATTGTGCTTCAAAACAAGTTGCCAGGGTTATGCCCTTGGTTTTTGGTCTCCTCGAGACACTCCTTTAGGATGGATGGGGTCTGGTTTTAAAGTCAGCTCAGAGGGTTATACCTGAGGATGATATGACTGCCCTCTGAGTTCTCCAAGTGGTCTTTCATGAGGAGTATATAAGCAATGTGTAACTTATGTTGTTAGTTAAAGTTAAAAACTTTAATAGCTGGATTGGCTTGATCTTTTATCAGTCCACAAATGTCTGCAAAGAAATTGATTTCTATGTGTCTGCCCTCTGTAACTTATTCGTGCCAGTGCACAGTAAATGTAATGAAACTGGATTATGAAGTAACTTAAGCCTCTTCTATTCTTCCAGCTTCCTGAATTGAAAATGCCCTGAAATGTGACTAGTTTGCAAAATGATTGTTTACTTAGAAGTTAGGGAGAGCCTTCTAGATAAATGAATGCCATTCTTCTCTGGGCTGAGGATCCGTGTGAGTCCCCTCAAGCCAAGTCAGAACCAGAACAGGGAAGCTAATAGAGAGACCTGGTCCTCAGCCAAGAGGTGTCACGATTTCATGGTAATCATTTGCACCTGGCTGTCTGGGTTGTTCCACAAGCACATGTGGCCTTCTAGTACCTGACCCTAACTTCAGAACCAGTGCATTATTCTCCTCTATGATACCTCAAGATTTTTCAGAAAAATATAAATGCAAGTTAGATTGTTTTTCCCCTCTCTCTGCCGAATATTGTCGCGTCTTGACATAATAGAGTGTCAGTGAGATCTGACAAATGGTGACACTGAAACACGTCTTCTGGAGGGGAGAAGCTTCAGTGCACTGAAGACATGCAACTCTGGCAATGGGGAAACCGTTCTCATTTCTTGAAAGTGTTCCAGCTCATTTTTCAGATCAAATTCTAGGTGACACTGGAGCTACTTGGCTTTAGCATAGCTTGACTCCAAGCAGGTTTGGTGGGTAGCTCTGAGTGTGTGGATGACTCCCTGACTTAGCTTTTCTTGGGATCAGTTTTTCATTTAAAATGATTCTGCAAGGTCCCTTGGAGGCTTAGCTTCATGTGAGGTCTTTAACTTTTTAAATTTTTAAGCCAGTGTATTTGACTTTAAAGCAGTAGAGATACTGCTGAATAATCACATTAAAGAAATTGAGATGAAACAGAATAAGCTTTTTTAAAACCTGAAAACTGAGTCCAGGAAGGAGGAGATAAATCTGTAAACTTGTATATTTGGGTGAGATGCAGACCTTTCAAAAAACTGTGCTTTTGGCTCTATTTAATTGCATGTTACAGAAAAACAGGCAAGAAGAAGCCAGAGACTGCTTTAGTAGAGAAGAGCCAGGGGCTTTGATGTCAGACACCAGAATTCACGTCGTGATAAGTGACTCAGCCTTGCTGAGCTTTGGTTTCCTCTTCTTTAAAATGGGGCCAATGATAGTAGTTATTTCATAGGGTTGTCTTGCGGGTGAAAAAGCTCAGCCTGATCAGCATGGTGTCTGGCACACAGAGCTCAGTAACCCTGGCTCAGGGGGTCAGGTGACTGGCAGCAGCTCCCCTTCTCACCCATGGCTTTAGGATGCCCCTTATTGAGTGCACTTTGTCAGCCCTGGCAGTCCCCTGTTGCAAGAGTTCATTCTCAATTCAATGGAAGAATGCATCTGCCCTGTAAAATGCACTGTAATCTAATACTGTCTGTGAGAGGGGGATATGGTGAGGAGGGAAGGACTCTCGGAAGTGCTTCAACCTTCTCATGATCCTAATTGGGCCTTAGCTCATTAGTGGGCATTTTTCTATTGTTGATATTTTTTCCCTGTTTTTCTGCACAACCATTAGCCTTCATTGCCAGGAAACCAAAGTATTGAAAGTTTGTATAATATGGAAGTCCCTTGGAGCAAGGAAAATACTTCCAAATTTGAAAGTTTGTGTTTATGAATAGATGTCTCTTGAGTGTTGATAACACAGTAATCAAACCAAATTTAAAAGCATCTTTAAGATCAAGGCAGAAATGGAACCCAAGATTGCTGTGCTTTCCATTTTCGTAATCACAGGTGTGAGAGAGATGGCTGAGAAACGAGTTCAAGGCTGATGCCTGTTCCCAGCGGCATGCCTTTAGATGGCCCGAGGTCAGGGGTGCTTATGAAGCCCTCACAAGTTGAGACAGTTTATTCCAGCAAGAGGCTACCAGCCTTCTGCTTGCATCTCACTCGTGCAGATATTTTGATGGTGTAGGAGATTTGCTCTTCTGTATTTAACTTTTCATCTTGTTCCCTTTCCTCTCCCCTGCAGATCTGGGTGAGGAAGACAAGTGACAGCACCAAGATGAGGATCTACCTGGGCCAGCTTCAGCGCGGGCTCTTCGTGATCCGCCGGCGCTCAGCTGCTTGACTTTCTACAGTGCTCTTCTCTTGACCCTTTTTCTGGAGTGGGTTTTATTTTTGTTTTGTTTCGTTTTCTCCTTAATAGAAAAATGTTAACTTACTGGGAATAGCTACTCAGCCTTGGAAATGGAGAGCACTGCAGTGAATTCTTTAGGGCACTTTTGTGGCCGGATGCTTCCAACTTTGTCAGTCTTTTCTGCCTCAACTTCTTCCAGACATCAGTCACCATGAGACTGTTTTACTTTCAGGCGTATTGGGGGGTTTGATTTACTTTCCTTTTATTTCTTTATTTTTTGCTTATACTTGTTTTTGAAAACCTCCTCTGAGTTTGAAGGGACAGCTATTTTTATTGATTATCTTTAAGTCTCTCTACCATGGAGAAGAGCAGGAAGGGATACACTCTCCAGTGCATTTTCATGTTTTGAATCTGATTAGTGGATCACGTAGCTACTTTCCCTGTCGCGTCCAATTCACTATTTGCCCAGAAGCTTGGGGCAGAGGTCCTAGCAGGAGATGATGAATTCTCGTGGCTCTCGGCCTTCTCAGAGAAATAAATGCTTTGTGTAACATCTGTGCACACCATCCATTCCGCTCGCTGAGCGATGGAAAAGCTTGCCTGGAAGACTATGTGCACTGAAGTAAATGGGGTTGGGGGAGGGGACATTTCATATTTATAATGTGCTGAAGGTACCATATTTTAAATGTTATTTAATGCAGGTGATTTATTCAAACATTTGTTCTAGCTTAAGCTGGAATAAGCAGTGGTCATTTCAGAAGTTTTCATTTGTAATTCCTTCCTCTCCCTTGTTCCCAAGTAGGTAGTAGTAAGTATGTGCCACAGGCTGATTATCTGGGTAATCTTTTACGGGTGGGAGGTGAGATTGATAGTGCAATAATCAGTGATCTATAGACCCTCATGCACGATTCAAGTTTCACTCTTGTGGCTGATGCCATTATTGCACATTGGCCATTCCAAACCTGTGGAGAACTTTGTTGTCAGGCCCTGAGCGCTCACAGCTTCATTTGGCCCAGGTTGAAGACAAGGAAAGCTCTGCTGTGGCTGCCTCTGGACTGACACCCTCCCTAATGAGTCCTGATGAAACAGCCTTTCCTACATCCTTCCCTCACTCCCATGATTGGAGAAATGATTCATTGGGTGATGAGTGTTGGGGTTTTCTATACTCATGTTGCCATCTTGAGATGTTCAAAAAATTTGGGGTTAGAGCAACTGTTAGCGTCTCTATGAGCAATCAGTAGAACTTACACATCCTAGGAAATCTTTCTTTGTAAGTAATTCTTTTGGTCTCAAGTGATTCTCTTCATGTTGTCTCTTGATGTACATACCCCCAAGCAAGTTGGGGGGACTGTGATGACAATTAAATCACCTTCTCTGAAGTTCTGGCTCTGCAGAGACCAAACCTTACTGACTTGTACAGACTTGTACAAGTAAAGACTTATACAGATAGATTTTTGTTTTAACTTACAATCCGTTTTTTCCTCTTTTTTTTTTTTTTTTCTGGTGTTGGAGTCTTATTTAGAAAACAGGATAAATGACGCTGTTATCAAAAGTTGCCTGGGGTTCTGTATTTCTTCTCTGCCCTCCAATCCCCGACTGCTATGATGTTTACTACAGTGAACCCAGCCCATGGTAAACACAGGCTTCACCTGTTCTTGTTTGTTAGCCTTGACTGTGAGGCAGGACTTCCCTCGCTTGAACTGTTACACATACGATGTGTGTGTCACATCACATATTGTGCAGCTGTTGGTTTTCATGTAGTGCCCTGCGATGGAAATTAGATATATTTCATGTATTTTTCCATTGAAGGTGGAGTTTTTCAATGATCATGTGTTTTGTCCTCCTAAACAGTATACCAAAGTTTGTTTTTATAGTTGAGGATTGTATTGATAACCACTGGGGTTCCGCATTGAAGCAGGAACAAATTGCCTCTTTTTCTGGCCTTCTCTGTGGGACCTCTGCTTTTGTGAAGCAACTATTTATTTGAAGACCAGGGTATGGGCACTTTTGCCTTCTCTCCTCTCTGACTTTTGAGGGTATTGAGGGCGCCCTTAGTCATAGTCTCGACTCCGCCATTGCCTTCTCCTCGGCGTCCTCACAACTCTTAATTGGGCCTAGTGAAAATGGGGGCAGGTGAGAAGTCCATTTTGAGAATCAGCATAGTAAATTACATTTCTAATCCCAGAGGACTTAATATTTTCTTTTGTCACCCCAGAGGTGAAAAATCAGCAGTTGAAGCCTGACAGGCCTCAGTGGTGACCAGGAACAGAAGCAGCCTTCCTGTTAGTAGATGGGGGTACTTCTGTGGTGGGCAGAAGCCTTACTAAAGGGGAAGACAGACTTTGAAGTTTCTAGACGAGAAGGAGGCTAGCTTCTAGCCTGGGTGGCCATTATTCCAAAAGGTCATTGTTTCTCACTAGACCCCAGGGCACCAGATGAATTTCCAAGTTTAAACTCTTTCCTGCAGGTGATTACTTTGAAAAAGGTTGGTCCAGACCATTTTGATCAAGAACCTGTATATGTGTTGTGTTAGAGGCATCTGCCTCAAGTCTATGTACAGTGTTTGCTGCGGGTGTGTTCCAATATTCATTTTACCTCTGCTTGGGGGTTTTGTGTGTTCCCCTCCCCCCATGCCCTGCCTACCCCCTTTTCCCTGAACCACGTCCTTTTGAATAATTTCCAGATGGATTTCTGTAGCCATACCAAAGCCAGGGTGTTTTCATTCATGCGGATACTAGTATTTATAGATGTCTGACTACCTAACTTAATTTTTGTTTTTGAACTTCTAATTGGGGCCAGTGTAAGGTCGATCCCAGAGGCTGATCTGCAAATCAAGCTACATGTATTTGTGTATAAGACCCTGTGTTCAGGACTGGGTGACTTTTCTAAGAAATATGGGGTTTAGAATGGGGTTGACTGTATTTTTTAACCTAATTCTGGAGAGAAGATTGTATTTTTTACAGTTTTTTGGGTTTGGCTTCCTTCTCACATTTCTTTAGCTTTGAATTTTTACTAAATAAATTTCCTCCTGATTAATTTTTTTTTTCTCATCTGGGAATTTGAAATCTCGGTGCTTACTGTTACACCAATTTGTCCAAAGAGTTGAAATCACTTTAATGCCAGAACATGGTAAATTTGCAGCCATTTCAAGCAGGTGATGGTCTTTTTTTATAACATCGTTAACGGGTACCATTAAATATTCTGAGAGGTGAATGTAAAATATAAAAGGTATAGGTTTTTTTTTTTTTTTAAAGAAAACAATAAACTTTCAAAGAGAAAACCAGCATGAAGTCTGTATTGTATCCATTGACTTGATAAGTGATAGAAATTTATTTTAGGTTTTTGATCCATTGCTTATGGGGAAAGGAAGTTAGGGCAGAGGAAGGGATATTCTAGACATTTAATTCTTAGTGAAGACTAAGATACAGAATGATGTCAGGCTAATACTCAGTTTTGTAAAGAGCAATCTGGGGTGTTGACCCTTAAATGTTTGTGCACTCTTCTTGTTGCAGATAAAAGTCATTAAAAATCAAGTGAATAGAATGGATCTTGGGTGGAAAAACAATCTTGAAATAAACTTGTGATTGAGGATATTGTTCATTTGGTGCATGATTAAGGAGGATATTGTTCCTGGCTTTTGAGATAGTGCCTACCAATCTTAACCAAACAGTGATGGTATTTGTACTGCTCCCGGGGTCAGCCAACAAGCCTGCGTGCTGCCACAGGTGACCGACCTGTGACCCAGTTATGGCACCCCTTTGGGAAAGACTGCTTTATGCTTTAGATGATGGAGAGGGGTGGTTTCTGTTTTTAAAATGTTTGAATTAGACAGAAATGTGCACAAGTTTTAATTGTAGAAGTTGTTGAAATCTCTCAAAGTGAATTCATCCATGTAACTATTATAGCATCCAGATCAAGAAATAACATTCCCAGAACCCACAAGCCCCTTAGACTTTCAGCTACTCCTCCCAACTAGTTTTCTCTATTTTAAGTACCTTAACCTTCAAGCTCTTGAGCTGCTTCCTTCCATGGTTGTTCTAGAAGAGCCAGGTACCTGGTATAGGCTAGGGATTGACCAGGAATGCAAAGAGCTAGCAGCAAAGGATATGACTAATTGGGGAGGGGAAAAACAGATTCAGGTCAACCTGCTCACCCTCCCCATTGTTCCCAAGGCAAGTGGGGCTTGCCCTTGATGTCATAGTCTGCCTTTTCCTGAGTACTTTGTATATATGCCAGGCACTGTACTAAACCCCTCATGGGAGGCACTTTCTCACTAATCTTCACAATCTCTGAAAGAGTACTAACTCCCAAATTTAAGGCTGGCTCAGTCTAAGCCTTGACTTAATTCTAGAAACCCAGAGCTCAGCACTGTGCCTCATACGTAAATACTCTGTAAATGTTAGCAAATGATATTAGGGTATGATGTGCCAAGGCAAACTGGTGAGTAATAGTGCATGTTCTGGGTGCTGGCCCCTTCCCTTGTGTTACCTCATTTAAGCCTCATAATAAATTAAGGAGAGTACACTGCTGCTGTCACCAGTATTCAATTATTATTTTGGTCACCCATGAAGCAAGCATCTCACCAGTTTTTAAAGAAGGAAACAGACTCCTTGAATTAGAGGAGGTGATTCTCCAAGGTCACACAGTACATAACAGTCTGGATTTAAAGTTTCCAAGCCAGGTTTCCCCTAACCACTACACTTTGCAGTCCTTCCCCATGTTAATCTGTTAAAATTACGTTCAACATTTCTGCCTTTCTTCAGGATTTCCCTGGGAGGTTTTGTTTGTTTGTTAAAATACATAAGCTGCTTTCACCTCCTATACACACATGCTCCCAGAGCAAAATGCTAGAAGTACAAACACTATTATTTGCAGGACCCTTTCCCCTGCCTGATAACTCTGGGTTTCTCTCTTGGCAATATAGTTGAGAGCCATGGTGACCAGCCAAGAGCTTGCTTTCTGTTGATCCTGCATGAGTATAACCATCCTAAAAAGGAATGGAAACAGCTCATTGGTCGTGATGAGAACTGCTTTATCCAATAAGCTACAAGAGAGCCTTTGGGCAAAAACATGTATCGGTATTTTTTCAGATCACTTCCTCCCTCCCTGCCTTATCATCTATGGAGTTGGAGCCATTGAATTGGTTTCTAAAAATGTCGGTATGGAGTTGGGCCTTCAGCATCTTGATGCTCTGATGTCACTGGACCTTTCCATGGCATGCCCTCCTGTAGAGGCACTGTAATGGAAGAATAAATACCTTAGCTCCATGTCACCTGCCCCGAAACTGCTCAGTTCTAATTGGCGACCTGCTTATCAACCAAACCAGGAGTGTGCAGTCTTTGGGCAGAGGCAGGAGTAGAACCAATTTCTGGCCTCTTGCACTATCATTTGAGGAACTCTAAGCCCCATCCTTGGGAAGGCTAAGCACTTTTCCTGCTTTTAAAAAGCACCAGATGGAATGAACTAGAAACATCATTTCACTCCCTTTGAACATAATATGGTGAGGAATACATTTGCTTTAGGAACTTTGGTGTTTACCAGAATAGATGTTTTTGTGAATAACTGATTATTAAGACAAAAAAGTAGATTTAGGAGGATCCTTAGAGGAGAGAGGTAGATAAGAGACAGCATAGGTACCGAGATGCTTAATCCCTTTGCTCATTTTCTCTAATCTGTGTTTACTCGATTCCCTGAAAGATACAGATCTATAAAATATTCACTTTACTGATACGAGAAGACCAATAACCCGAATCTTAAAGATTCATATTTTTCAGAAGTCGGAGACTTAGCGGTGTGTTGTGTTTTTCCGTAGGCTGATGCTCAGATCTGTTGGCATCACCTCTCTCTGCCAGTGGTGTGGACAGGCAGGGGGTACAGTAGGTGGCATTCCCAGAGCCAGTCAGGAAAACAATGCCCCAGGTCCTGGGAGTCAGCAACACCGGTACGGAGCAAGCAGATACTCAACGCAGGAGTACAGTACAGGTTAGCAAGCCCCTGCAGGTAACCAGGAACCCCCTTTATTTCACCACCAATTATTTTCATAAGTGTTTGAGTGTTTACTGAGATGCAGGGTGGCATTATGGCTAAGAACAGAAGCTTTGGAATCAGGATTTGAATCTGGCTTTACTGTTAAGCTGGCTAGGTGTGACCTTGGGCAACTTAATTTCTTTGAACCTCAGTTTCCTCATTTGCTAAATCATATCTACTTCAGATATGTTTTTGAGGATTCTAATAATATTAACACAGCCCCAATTTCCTTCTGGTAGGAATACAATTTAAAAACATATTTAAAACATAGCACCTACTGTGCTAAGTATTCTGTTAACTCACTGAATCCTCGTAACAACCCTATGAGGTAGCTACAATTATAGTCCTTGTTTTGTAATTGAGGAAATCGAGAAACAGAGAGGTTAAGTAACTTGCTCAAGGTCACACAGCCAGTAAATGGCAAGCCGGGATTCTGAGCCCAAGCAGTCTCTCCAGAGTCCCTGCCCTCATTCACCCTGCTGTACTGTGAGGAGTACATAACACAGGGTTGGACATGGTTACTGCCAGTCTGTGGAGACTGTCCCTACCATTACAGATGCTGTGGCCATTTGTATACTTCTCTCTTTGGATGCTAGTCTGACTACTAGATCCTAAGCGATCAGAACCATTTCAGGAAAGCTACTTCAGCTAACAGCAGACCACGAAGGTAAAGCTGCTGGCTTTAGAGACCATGCTCAGCATCACCTCCTACAAATGGGTGGGGACTGCCCCAGGTGCAGGGGTGAGAAGGACTCTGAGGCCCAAGTTCCAGTAGAGCAAGAAACAGTTGCCCAATCCATTTTTTCTGCTGTGAGCAAGGGAGTCCATTTAGTGTTCCTGATTTAGTTTGAGCCCTTCATTTGAAGATGAAAACAGCTGCAGCCCAGAGATGTTAAATGACTTTCCTGTGGTCTTAGAGCTATAGTCAGTACCACAGCTGGGCTATAGTCAGTACTACAGCTGGAATATGGTTAGGACAATCATTTGAGGACCTCTTTATGCCGGGCTGGGTGCTGGAAAGCATAGTGGACAGCTCCTGGGATATGAGACTTTCAGGACTAAAACCAGAAAGTCCCAGGCACACTGGGATGGAAATACCCTAACACTGCCATCGTTCTATGGGTTCATTTTTGCCTCTGTCTGTACCTGCCCAGTGGAGGTGATGAAGGCCCTGAGTTCATAATCCTGGCCTAGCCACTCATTAACCTTGGGACATTTTCTTAGTCTCTGTGTGCCTCAGTGTTAGGGTATTCCCATCCCAGTGTGCCTGGGACTTTCTGGTTTTAGTACTGAAAGTCTTGTATCCCAGGAGCCCTGTCAGACTGGGGCAAGCTGGGATGGTTGGTCACCCTACCCAGTTTCCACTGTAAAATGGGGGTGACAACTGCTGTTTTTTCACAGATTTGATTTGAGGGTTAAGTAATTTATTATTGATAAAGTACTTAGAAATAGTGTTTGGGACATAGTCTTTTCTCTCTCCCTTTCTGTGTATATAGATATACACACACACACGTACATATGTGTGTGTGTAATATAACACATATGCACATGTATATATACACACACATATACATACACACATTGTTAGAGATGAGGTCTCACTGTGTTGCCCAGGCTGGAGTGCAGTGGCTATTCACAGGCACCATCATGGCTCACTGTAGCCTCAAACTCCTGGCCTCAGGCGATCCTCCTGCCTCAGCCTCCCAAGTAGCCGGGACTAAAGGCAATACATATTTATTTTTCCTTGTTATTCTTGTTTTCATTATTATTGGAAGAAAGTGTTTCCACCACAGAACGGGTCCCTGGAGACCTTCACTCTTATCCCAAACAAGACAGGGAACTTTGCTATGATAATCTTTTGGTCACCTGCAGCCAGTTGTTTGGAGTGTTTCTTCATCTACTTGAAATAGTAAATAATCATAAGCTTGAGGAACACATTTGTCATTGCATTCAATTCAAAAACCATTTATTGAATTTTACTGCATGTTAGGTAGTGTTCTAGGCTCTTTTGGGGGATTCAGAGAAAGCTAGGCAGGCCTTGAGCAGTGTCTATGACCAAGAATGGGAATTCCATACAGAGGAAATGGCTTGAGCAAAAAGACAAGTGGATATGAGTCATGTTTAAAGTCAAATAGTAGCGTGTGTTTAACATACATCACAAGCCTTGAACTTTTTTTCTTTTTTCTTTTTTTTTAGACAGAGTCTTGCTCTGTCGCCCAGGCTGGAGTGCAGTGGCACAATCTTGGCTCACTGCAACCGCCGCGTCTCACAGGTTCAAGCGATTCTCCTGCCTCAGCCTCCTGAGTAGCTGGGATTACAGGTGCCTGCCACCATGCCCGGCTAATTTTTGTATTTTTAGTAGAGACGGGGTTTCACCATGTTGGACAGGCTGGTCTTGAATTCCTGACCTCATGATCCACCCACCTCAGTCTCCCAAAGTGCTCGGATTACAGGCGTGAGCCGCCACGCCTGGCCACAAGCCTTGAACTTTAAAACCAGTTTGCTCCCTGTTTGGTTATCTTTTTGCCCTTTCCCATCGAGGACTCGCCTTCCTTTCCTTTCTGCCTCTCTCCTTTCTTCTCCCCACTGTGCCTGCCCTGCTTGCTCTTCTTCCCCTTTCTGTCACCAGTGCAGTGGCTCATGGCTGACCTGCAGTGATGCTTTCCAATTTCACACTAACATGCTCCTGAAAGTATTAATAAGCTAACTCATATGTAAAACCAATAAAGGGCAACAGCACACATTCCTGTTAGACAGTAATTTTACCTGATTCCCTTTCTCCTACTTTGATCAGTCCTCTTCTCTCAAACATGGTTCTTTGACCTTCCCAGAAGTGAAAGCTTATGGGAATTCAAGCTTGGTGGAGCCCTGCGGGCATATTAGGAAGGAATAAGGGCTCAAATTTATTGAGCACTTATGATGTGTTTGGGTGAGGGCTAAGTACTTTTTATACATTATTGTATTTAATATACTAAACTGCCCTGTGATGTGTGTCTTCGTGATTTCCATTTTACAGATGATGAAAATGAGGCTTGAGGAGGGGAAGTGTTCACCTCTGCACCACGTTCACACATTTCCTTTCCCCTTTGGCTTCTGTCTTCCTAATGTAGATGGCCAAAGCATAAAGGACCCTTAGTTGTCATCTTAGCCAACCCCTTCCATTTTTCGCTTCTGGAAACAGACGCCAAGCTAGAACTCAGTTCTTGTAACTCTCAATTCAACAATCTAAATGGAGAAAAGAAATCCAGTTGTGAGACTCAGAGGCAGGGGCTTGAGACAGGTTTGAATCTGGATTGAACTCTGCTGCTTACAAGCTGTGTGAACTTAGGCAAATCACATAACCTCTCGGGGCTCCAGTTTCCTCATCTAGAAAGTGGGACTAATAATAGCAAGGTTTATTGTCAAGATTAAATGAAGTCATGCAAGCAAAACAATATAATAACTATTGTGCTTCAAACAAACTCTGTAGGTCACTTGAGTGCTTTAGAAAATATAACCTGGCCAGGTGTGGTGGCTCACACCTGTAACCCCAGCACTTTGAGAGGCTGAGGTGGGAGGATCACTTGAGCCCAGCAGTTTGAGACTAGGCTGGGCAACATGATGAAATGCTGTATCTACGAAAATTATCCAGGCGTGGTGGTGTGTGCCTGTAGTCCTAGCCACTCAGGGCCTGGGGTGGGAGGATTGCTTGAGCCCGGGAGGTTGAGGCTGCAGTGAGCCATGATCGCACCACTGCACTCCAGCTTGGGAGACACAGACCCCATCCCAAAAACCAAACAAACAGAAAATGTAGCCCACACCATGCCCGTGCCGGGTGGGCATGGTTATCACAGGGATTGCCTACCCCAACTCCTGCCCCACCTGCTCAGGCAGGTCCCATTGTGCCTCAAGGATAAGCCCATGGTGAACTTCCAAGGGTACGCCATCCAGGGAAGGCCAACAGAAGCCACTAGTCAAGTGGCTTGACTAGTTCAAGACAAGCAGATCTCCAGGCATCTGTTTTCATCTTGTTAACCTTCTCACTAGAGAAGAGTTTGAATTGCTGCCTCTCTGGGTGTGTGGAGATAGCCACTGGATTGTGAGCCAGAGAGGACAGGGACTGGGGCTTTTTGTTTTTCCTCCAAATCTCCCAACACGAGTACATTGTAGGTGCCCATTGAGTGCTTGCTGAATGGAGGAATGGTTAGCTACTGCCTCCTACTTCTCGTTGCAGGACATCAATATCTTTCTAAAATCATAGTAATGTGAAGGCTATCCAGAAAGTCAAAAGGTTCCACAGAGTTGGCCACAAAACAGAGTAGCCCCCTGCCCTCTGCTTTATTTCCCCCTCCCAGAGATTATTTTATCTCTTTTGGCTGATTATTTTATCTCTTTTAGCTGATTATTTTGGTATCTAGTATCTATTTCTAAATAGGCTGCTTATTATTAAAGCTAGATATTTCAGTTCCAGGCGTTATCTACTAAATTCCCACTGTGGGGTCATCCTTCGCTCTCCCAATGTAGTTATTTCAGGATTTTCGTTAGGTCAGTATTCAACGTTTATGTTATTATGACTATGTAAATGCTAGTTGCAGCTGAGCCGTGTTGTACACTATGATTGCTTTATCTTTCCTTGACAGCTTTTCCCCCCGGGAGTTAATAACTGTCTTTTTTTTTCTTTTTGTTGTTTGCTTAGTTTTCTGTGTACTTATTACTAATTCGACCTTAAACTCTTCACCAAGTGCCCAAATTCTCCCCCTAAGGCATTCTGATGCACCAGGAATTCCAGCAATTTTGTTACCTTGAAAAATCTTCCTTCTTGAGGACCCCAATTTGCTCTGCACTGGACTGGTTCCTCCTGGCGTGGCACACAGCTGTCACTCTGGAGTTCCTGCATCACCATGCTAGAGCTCCCTTATCCCTTCTTTGGGTTTGAATCTTTCATTTTTTGTCTTCCTGTTTCTTCCTGTTTGTCTTCCTGTTTCTCTACTTTACTCGCCCATTTTGTTAAAGCACATTTCCAGCCACTTCCCAAGCAGGGTTGAAAAGACTTTCATTCTGTTCTTCTAAGTACTTGGCACTTAAAGTATATTTTAACCACCCCACCCGTTCCTTCATTTTCATTTCATTTCCTCGTGCTGTTCATTCATTATTGTTGGCATTCTCCACTGTCAGTCTTAAGACGCAGATGTTTGCATGTCTGTGTTAATCTACTTTCCATCCACTAAAATTTGGTTGTTTCTTCTGCAATGCCCTTTATTTTGGTGGGTTTAATTCTAGTCTGGACATTTTTCTTCAAGATTTTGAAGACATTGTTTTATTGCTTTTAGCTTCCAATGTTGCCCTTGAGAAGTCAGAATTATTCTGACTATTGATTCTTCTAGATGACTTCTTAACATCTCTGGAAGCTTATAGCATTCTCAGTGTTTTGAAGTTTCATGATGATGGGCCTTGGTGTGGGCCCACTATGTTAAGCTGTTAGGAGGTCTTTCTTTCTTTTTATCATCTGGGGAGAATCAGTGCTTATGAGGGTTTTTCAATTCTGAAAATGTATGCCCTTATATTCTGGGGGAGAAATATATATATAATGTGATAGTCAGCCTCCAAATGGCTTCCAGTGATCCTGTCTCTGGTAGTCACACCCTTGTGCAGTTTACCCTTGTACTGGACCAGGGTTGATCTCTGTGACCAATAGCCTACAGCAGAAATGATAGTATGTCACTTCTGAGATTGGGGTATGAAAGATAGTGCAGTCTTGGATCACTTGCTTTGGGAAATGCCAGCGACCATGTTGACCAGCCTTATGGGAGGCCCGTGTGGCAAGAAACTGAGGACTCCTGCCAATATCCAGCTGGTAACTGAGGCTTCTTGAAGCCCTGTGAGTGAGTCACTTTGAAAGTGGATTCTGTAGCTCCATTCAAGCCTTCAGATGAAACTGCAGCCCTTGCCAACAACGTGACTGCAACTTCACGGGAGACCCTGAGCCAGAACTATCCTATTAGGCTGCTCCCAGATTCCTGACCCTCAGAAATTGGGTAAGATAAAAAAAATTGTTATTATAAGCTGCTGAGTAATTGGGCCAATTTGCTATGCAGCACTGGATAACTAATGTAATGGATAATACATTTTCTCTGTTCTTGCATTCAGAAATTTCTGTTACTTGGATTTTATACTTCCTGTAACAGTCTTCATATTTTCTTTTATCTCTTATTTTCCATCCTTGGTCTTTTTACTCTACATTCTGGGAGATTTTCTAAATTTTATTTTCTAACCCTTCTACTGAGTTTTACCTTTGTTCTTGCATTTACAATTTTTTTCTAAGAGCTATTTTTGTTACCTGATTTTTATCCCCTCCTTCTTTTTAAACAATAGTATCCTACTCTGGAGTTCTTTAATCCAGAGACTCTTTATTTTACTGTCTCTACAGAAGAAACCTCCACTATTTTGCCAGGTTAGGATCCAGGCAATTTTGCTGTGTGAAGTGGGGAACTAGGGATCTGAGAGCCTCTTAAACTGAATTTCAACCAGCCCCTTTGCTTCCCCTTCCATGAATAGAGGTCCCTGGTGCTGCTAATCTATGATTCTCAGTTTTCTCCACTGTCAGCTTAAGATTCGGCTGTGTTTTTTAAATTTACATTCAGCTTCTATAATTTTTTTCTCTCTAATTTCTTTATTCTAGTGGGTTTAATTCTAAACAAACAAACAACCTTTTTTTTGTGGGATTTCATGGAAAAGGGGAAAACAGATATGTATATTTAACCAACACTTTTTTTTTTTTTTTTTTTTTTGAGATGGAGTTTCGCTCTTGGTTGCCCAGGCTGGAGTGCAATGGCGCAATCTCAGCTCACTGCAACCTCCGTCTCCCAGGTTCAGGCTATTCTCCTGCCTCAGCCTCCCAAGTAGCTTGGATTACAGGTGCCCACCACCACACCTGGCCAATTTTTGTATTTTTAGTAGAGACAGGGTTTCACCATGTTGGCCAGGCCGGTCTTGGATCCCTGACCTCAAGTGATCTGCCCACCTCAGCCTCCTAAAGTTCTGGGATTACAGGCATGAGCCACCGTGCCTGGCTTAACCAACACTTTTTACCTCAGCTCTTCATGCCACACCTGCTCCCACCTCTCTTTGGGACTTTCTGTGATTCATTGACTATCTCGTAGTCACTGTGGTTCTGAGGTCATGGTCCTGAATAACTACAGTGGGAACATTAGTAGGTCTTTTCCAAATAATCAGTACATCCTTACTTATTGCAAAGCTGCTGACTTGTGCCTGAAGTTACATCAGTGGCCTTTAACTGCAGACTTTGATTTCAGAGCTGAGTGTCAAGATTTAAGAAAAGGAATTTACATACATGCACCTTGAAGGTCTGAATGTGTGTATATAACACAATGCCTGTGGGTTTATATGCATATATGTGGAATACACACATCTCAAGAATAAGCCTTTTGCCAAACAAAACCCACCTTTGGACTGTGGGTGAATTGAGAAGCATGAAAAATGTGTAGCCTAAAGTATATTTAAATATTCATGACGTCTTCAAAGCAAAGCTGTTGGGAAGACTAAGCCACCTGGAACACAGCTGTGATAGCACAATGAGGCCTTCTGAAAAATCACAGTCTCGTGCAGTGCTGGGAAGAATATTCGGAGGTGACCAAGTCAGACCCCCTGCTGCCACTGTAATAAAAGCTATTTTGGATTTGCCATGTCCATTAGTGAGATTAGATTAATATTTAGAAAGTGTCTTCCTGTCTTAAAGATAATTGTATTTTGAATTATACAACTTATATGGGGCAACAAATTTCATTTGTTTACTGCTTATCCTTCATGTGATAGGATTTTTAAGGATGGCAATTATGTGGCACACTTGCCACTACTCTTCCCCCTTGTACCCATGGCAGACATTAATAATTAATCATGGCCCTCATTTCCTCTAGGCTCAGATGTGAGATCTCAGAATCCTTTTCCATGCATGTTCCTGGAAGCCACTGAGAATTGACTGGGAAGTGGGGAGCACACCAGATGAAACATACACGCCATTTCTGGTTGGGTCTTTTATCCCCAGCCTCAGTTGAACAGGCTTCAGTTCACATCGTTTTAGCCAAAACTCATCTATGCACGGTCTTTTCAGAACAGATTAGGGTAGAATTTTGTGGTTTTTTTTGTGACGAAAATAACCTTAGTAATTTTGTTTTTGTTTTGGTAACTCAGGACAACTCACACCCCCTGGTTGTCTTGATTTTTTATTTAAATGCTGAGTTTAAGTGCTTGTGCAGTTGGTTTCTTGAACTGAACAGCACACTTTATGTTTATTCTATTGCATGTCATTGTCTTTTTATTCTAAGCAAGAGGTCAGCAAATTATGGCCCACAGGCCAAATCTGGCTCACCCTCTGTTTTTGTAAATAAAGTTTTATTGGAACACAGCCACGTCCCTTACTTTGTGCATTATTTATGTCTGCTTTTGCACTACAAGGGCAGAGTTGAGTAGTTGCAACAGAGATTGGCCCACAAAACCGAAAATATTTACTATCTGACCCTTTACAGAAAAAGTTTCCTAATGTGGTTCTAAGTTATCACTTAAGCCTCTTTTGGTCGTCAACTTTACCCAATATTTTATCCATGTACATTAAACTTATTTACTAACCCACTTAATTATACTTCTTTCCAGCCTACCTTTCTCCATTTTGTTCACTGATTCTCCCAAGCAATGTTAAATACCCTGTTGCCATTCAGATATACTAGTAATAACACTCCTATTTGTTGAGCACTTACTATGGTCCAGGCAGTACTAAGCAACCTACATAAATTAAGTGAGCAAAAATGTAAGTGAATTGCTTGGCATAATGCCTGGCATATGGTAAATACTCGATTATTATCTTTACTTTTTACAACAGCTCTAGGAAAGGGTAGGTATTACTAAATAAAGAGTTTAAGTAACTTACCCAGGGTAGCTGAGCTGCTAAGTGATAGAACTACATTCCAACTCAATTTGGACTGGTTGTAAGACTTGTGACCTTTCTGTTAAGCCTTATTGCCTTTTTCTGCCATATTTTCCGGGCTTACCAGTCTAGTAATCTGTCAAATAATTATAATAATGATTATATAAATATGTAATTATATAAGTGTACAACATATGTAGTTGTGTTAGGGATGGCAAATATCCAAGTTACTGGTGGTGAATCTGTATGGGTCTGCAGCAACCTCAATCTTGCCTCCTCAGAAGAAAGAATTCGACTGAGGGGGATAAGGCAGAAAAAGAGTCTGAGGCAAATTTCAGAGCAGGAGTGGAAGTTTATTAAAAAACTCTAGAGTAGGAAAGAAAGGAAAGTACACTTGGAAGACACCCAAGCAGGCACTTTGGAGGTCAAGTGCCTGTTTAACCTTGATCCTAGGACTTTATAGGCTGGCCTACTTCCAGCACCTCTCACCCCTTTCCTTTCATTCTTCCGGCATGCACGGTGCCCTCCTTGCACTTGGGAGGTGAGCATGCGCAGTGTGTTTAAGCAGTTGTATGCATGCTCACCTGAGGCTTTCTTCCCTTTTCCTGTGAAATGCCCCTGGAAGGTCATATTTCACCATTTTGCCTCTTAATGCAAGTGCTCGAGCCCACTTGCTTAATCCTGAAAACTGCCAATTACCAATTTCAGGTGTTTTTATCTATTGGGAATCGCTGGTGCCAGCTGTGACCAATTATCATTTTCATGTGACAACTGCTGGACAATCAGGAAACTGCCAAGTCATCACCTGATGGTCGTCTGACATTCCTGGTGGGTGGGGGGAGCCCTCTCTTGCCCTGCTCATACCTGACCAGCTACCTATTGTAACAGTTGTATATATGTGTGGTACAGTGCATTATCTCAGATATTCCTTTAAAAATGGCCAGGTTAGGTATTGTTCCTGTTTTATAGATGAAGAAACTGAGGCCGAGAGAATGTCATACAGTTAATAAGCTGTTTGCTGGTATAATTCAAAGTTTGTATGATTTAAAATACTTTATACCACACTGCTATGATAAAGAACCATGATATGTGGCTGAACTGACATTCATTCAGCAGTTTTTACAGTATACATTTATAGAGTACCTACCCTATACCAAGTCCTGTGCTCAATCCATGCTGTATTTTTTTCTGTAGTAATCCCCCCTCATCTGCAGTTTTGCCTTCTATGGTTTCAGTTATCCAGTATTAGCCATGGTCCAAAAATATTACATGGAAAATTCCAGAAATAAACCATTCATAAGTTTTAAATTGTGCACTGTGCTGAGTAGCGTGATGAAGTCTTGAGTTGTCCTGTTCCTTCCAGCCCAGGAAGTGAATCATCTCTTTGTCCAGCGTCTCCACACTGTAGACACTACCCATCCATTAATAATTTAGTAGCTACCTTGGTTATCAGATTGACTGTCGAGGTATCGCAGTGGTGGTATTCATTATTTTAATTTTAATAATGACCCCAAAATGCAAGAGTAGTAATGCTGGCATATTGTTATAATTATTTTATTATTGTTAATTTCTTACTGTGCCTAATTAAACTATAATATGTATATATGAAAAAACATAGTACATACAGGGTTTGGCACCATACAAGGTTTCAGGCATCCACTGGGGGTCTTGGAATGTATCCTCCTTGGATAAGGGGGGCTACTGTATAGTGAATTCCTTTCCTAAGTGCTCACAAACTGTCTAATTATCTAATGTTTGTTTTTTCATTTAGTGTATTTGGTAACAGATGTTTTGGGTTACATTATCAACCCTTCTAATGAATTTCTAATGAATTTCAAATCCTACCTGTTTTGCACCTCAATTTCCCTACCTGTGAAGTGGGAAAGATAACACCTGTTTTCACATCTTCTAATTCTCTATGTTTAGGAAACCTTGAACAAGAGGGTTTACATTAAACAGAGGTAGCACAGTGGCAATCTGTGGGTAGGATCCAACCCAGAGATTTTTGGGCTTATGCAGTGAGTTTTAAGAAACTGAATTAATTTAAAAAGCTTAAAATGGAGAGATTTTTGAACTTTTCTTTAGTAATTAGATAACCTTGCAAGACTGGGCTTGTCCCACATGGGCACAATGGACTAGAGGAAGCTTCTTTCTTTAGACAGAGCACACACTCTCCTGTTACCCATCTCCATCATGCCTATTGTCTTCCCCACATTGAAGCCATGTCACTTACTGTTTTAAATGTCCCACTTTAGTCATTTGCTCTACTGGTCTTTGTAGACATTTGAATTTGGACATTCAATCAGGAGAGATTTCAGCTGGGCATAAGAAAGAACCTCATCAACAGGATGAAATAAATGTGCTTTACAATCATTTGAACTGAATGGATGGAAAAACCTTAATTCCTTGATTCTATGTAATTTTTTTTTTTTTCAGACAGAGTCTCGCTGTGTCATCCAGGCTGGCATGCAGTGGTGCAAGCTCAGCTCAATGCAACATCTGCCTCCAGGGTTCAAGTGATTCTCATGCCTCAGCCTCCCGAGTAGCTGGGACTACAGGCGCATGCCACCCACCACGTCCGGCTAATTTTTGTATTTTTAATAGAGACGAGGTTTTGCCATGTTGACCAGGCTTGTCCTGAACTTCTGATCTCATGAGATCCACCTGCCTCAGCCTCCCAAAGTGCTGGGATTACAGGTGTGAGCCACCACGCCCAGCTGATTTTATGTATTTTAAAGGAACTTTAAATCAGAATAGGACATTTTAAATAAAAATAAATGCAAGAAAAGCTGTTTTTAACATGCACATACATCAGTATAGACTGTGATGCCCACCTGCTTATTAGGGGCAAAATGTTAACTCTTATTAGGCTACTAAGGAATACATACAAATTCCAGCTGGTCTCACTGAGAAGCCCCTGGGTACCTTGGACAGCGCACCACCATCACCAGTTCTTTTCCGAGTTTGCTCTCCTGCAGGAGAAATACTTTATTTGGTATACTCTCTTAAAGTCCAACTAACTCCGGACTCTTCTTTTTAAAACAATTGTCTCTCTTATAAACGGGACTATAAAGGGGACTAGAGGCCGGGCGCGGTGGCTCACGCCTGTAATCCCAGCACTTTAGGAGGCCGAGGCCGGCGGATCACGAGGTCAGGAGAGCGAGACCATCCTGGCTAACACGGTGAAACCCCGTCTCTATTAAAAAATACAAAAACAAAATTAGCCGGGCGTGGTGGCGGGCGCCTGTAGCCCCAGCTCCTCGGGAGGCTGAGGAGGGAGAATGGCGTGAACCCGGGAGGCGGAGCTTGCAGTGAGCCGAGATCGCGCCAGTGCACTCCAGCCTGGGTGACAGAGTGAGAATTCGTCTCAAAAAAAAAAAAAGGTGGGGGTGGGGGAGATTGAAAAGAATGGATAATTCTGCCAAAATGTCAATTCTTCTGGATATTTGATTTCCTTTATGCCCTTTTTTGGTTTGTTGACTGCCTATTTTCAAAGACTGGTGGTGCAGGGGTTTATTTCTTCTTCCTGAAAGCTACAACGCATTTGCTGTTTGCTTTCTACACTGCTATTATTAACAATGCCTGACCATCGTGAGTGGTCAGTAATGCTCAAAGAATGCATGCCTGCTTTCCTATGGTAATAGTTACAGTTGCTCATCTCAGTCACAAAGAGCATGGTCCTGATGGGAAAGGAGTAGAGTGTTTGATCCCTTTCTGGAAAGTGTGTTTTGTTTGGGTTCTCTGAAGTAGGCTGCATCTACTTCCCTGACAGTTTCCCAAAACCGTCAGCTTTGTTTATAAGCAGGATGAGTGAAATAAGAGAATCAGGTCTGGCATCCCCCCATAATACTCTCAAGACACACACACACATACACACACACACACACACTGCAATTTGAAGTGTACTTCCCACAAAACACACAGCTCATGTTAGGCACCAGTCATTCCTTGAGTCTAGGACTTTGCCCAGGCTTTACATTTCACAACCGTCCTTTGGCAGCAAAGCAAACAGCAGTTGGATCTTGTGGGGCCAAGCAGAAATCTCCTTCCCCAACCGTACCATTCCATATTAATATCATTTCTCCTTTGAACTCTTAGCACTTGCTCTCTGTACTACTCATTTGAGAGGTAATTATGCACATCTCTTGTTCTGTTATTTAAATCTGGTATTTAACCTCTTCTCTGTTAGTGTCTTTATCTCCCTACAGGATCATAGCAAATTGAATATAAAGAAAGGTAGATATTAACATGATTTCCTGTACGTAGTAAATCTGTTCCTTAGTTTAGGTTACCCTAAAAAGTATGCCTCAAGACAAGGTTTGGGTTATATTAATTGATTTGGGGGGTGATCCCACGTAAGTTGGTGAGGAAGTAGGAAAGTGAGACAGGGAAAGGAAGGACAGAAAAGGATGTGACAAAGTGAGTTACCTCCTGTGTGCAACGGGGCACAGTTCTGTGGGGGACCCTTTCAGACAGCTCTATCCAACAGAAATACAGTCATGCACCGCTTCATGATGGTACAGTATGAGAAATGCATTGTTAGGTTGGGAGCAGGGGCTCACACCTGTAATCCCAGCACTTTGGGAGGCAGAGATGGGTAGATCATTTGAGGTCAGGAATTTGAGACCAGGCTGACCAACATAGTGAAACCCCTACTAAAAATACAAAAAAATTAGCTGGGTATGGTGGCGCACGCCTGTAATCTCAGCTACTGGGGAGGCTGAGTCAGGAGAATCACTCGTACCTGGGAGGTGAAGGTTGCAGTGAGCCAGGATTGTGCCACTGCACTCCAGCGTGGGTGACAGAGTGAGACTCTGTCTCAAAAAATAATAATAATTTTAAAAATGCATTGTTAGACGATTTTGTCATTGCATGAACATCATTGCACTCACAAACATAGAGGGTTCAGCCTACTACACACCTAAGCTATATGAAGTAGCCTCTTGCTCCTAGGCTACAAACCTGTACAGCATGTTACCATACTGATCACTGTAGGCAATTATAATGGTAAAGATTTATATATCTAAACTTACAAAAAGTACGGTAAAGATACAGTATCATAACCTTATGGAAGCACTGTTGTATATGCAGGCTGTCGGTATATTATGTTGTTATGCAGTGTATGACTATAGAATGCAAGCCACAAATGCAAGCCACATGTGTAATTCTAAATTTTTCTTTTTCTTTTCTTTTTTTTGAGACGGAGTTTCGCTCTTGTTGCCAAGGCTGGAGTGCAATGGTGCGATCTCAGCTCACTGCAACCTCTGCCTCTCGGGTTCAAGCAATTCTCCTGGCTCAGCCTCCCAAGTAGCTGGGATTACAGGCACCCACCACCACGCCCAGCTAATTTTTGTATTTTTAGTAGAGATGGGGTTTCACCATGTTGGCCAGGCTGTTCTTGAACGCCTGACCTCAAGTGATCCGCCCGTCTCAGCCTCCCAAAGTCCTGGGATTGCAGGCGTGAACCACTGCACCCAGCCTACTTCTAAACTTTGTAGTGGCCACATTTAAAAAGTAAAATGAAATAGATGAAATTATATATTTTATTTAGCCTAATATATCCAAAACATCACTTCAGCATGTAATCAATATAAAAATTATAAATGAGATATTTTACATTTCTTTTTCATACCAAGTCTCTGAGATCTGGTGTATTTTTATTTTATTCTTGTCAATTTGGACTAGGCACATTTCAAGTGCTCAATAGTCCCTTGTGGCTAGTGACAACTCTGTGGAACAGAACAGCTCTAAGGGACACTAGAAAAATAGCACAGAGTTGTCTCAGAATGGGGAATGTATTTATTGGCCAATACCCGTTCATAATTGGTTGAGTGTCACTCTTGGGAACGTTATCTCCTGGGCACTTCTAGTTCACCCTGTGGCAGAAAACATCCTCAGGTAGAGAGACACAAGAGGCCATAACCATGGACAGGAAATGTCTACAGGTGACCTGGTGTATTAGTCCATTTTCATGCTGCTGATAAAGACATACCTGAGACTGGGTAATTTATAAAGAAAAAGATTTAATGGACTCACAGTTCCACATGGCTGGGGAGGCCTCACAATCATGGCACAAGGTGAAAGGCAGGTCTTACATGGCGGCAGGCAAGAGAGAATGAGAGCCAAGCAAAAGGGGAAACCCCTTATAAAACCATCAGATCTCATGAGACTTATTCACTATCACAAGAACATTAGGGGGGAGACCACCCCATGATTCAGTTATCTCCCACTGGGTCCCTCCTACAACGCAACATGTCAGAATTATGGGAGCTACAATTCAAGATGAGATTTGGGTGGGAACACAACCAAACAAACCATATCACCTGGGATATGGGCAGAGCTCCTACAGTTTCTGCTGTAATCCTTTATAATCTTTTTTTTTTTTCTTTTTGAGATGGAGTCTCGCTGTTGCCGAGGCTGGAGTGCAGTGGCACGATCTCAGCTCATGGCAACCTCTGCCTCCCGGATTCAAGTGATTCTTGTGCCTCAGACTCCTGAGAAGACAGGAAGCCGAGATTACATGTGTCCACCACCACACCCAGCTAATTTTTGTATGTTTAATAGAGATAGGGGATGGCCTTGTTGGCCAGGCTGGTCTCAAACTTCTGACCTTAGGTGATCTACCCAGCTTGGCCTCCCAAACTGCTGGGATTACAGGCATGAGCAACGGCACCTGACTTCTGCTATAATCTTAAATACTTATGTGTTGGTTGATTGAAAAACTTCTGGATTCCTGCCATGGCAGCCTTTTCACCTTAGTTTTGGACTCAGCATTAAAGACTGCCATACATGGTTGTGCGGGCTGAGCACTATGTAACTCTAGGGGGCACCACTCACCTAGGTTTCTTAGACTGCCATATGCATGGCACCCCTAAAGTTACACAGTGCCCGACCTTCACAACTCCTCTTACCCTTCGACTATTACAAAGCTCATCACTTTGGGGAAAGAGTAAAGGATTGATAGAACAGACATATACACTTGGGCTTAGCTACAATATTCTGTCTTTTAAGGGTCACTAAACATTTTAAGCACCTGCCACCATTTCCCTGCAAAGCCAGCATCATGAGTAATCAGCAGAAGCCAGCACCTCCAGGCCCCGCAATCACTCTGAAGGAGTCAGCTTCACGCCCGCTGCTAATTTTAGCTTGCAATCTACGAAGGGTATCAACGAGTCTTTTTGCCAAGCACTCTTACAGACATGGCTTGAAAGTGTCTCTCCCAGTCTGGAGCCAGGATCTAGGTGAAAGCAGTATATGTGATCCAGAGCATTCTGCCCAATGGGAGCCTTCCCCATTGCCCCTGCCTGAGCCCCTCTATCTCTACTCAGCTTTCTTACCACGGTCACCAACAAGGTGTCTGGGCTGTGAGAGTCAGTGAATTCTGGATGCCCAAGTTCAGTCATGCAGTCACAAAGGGGCTCTGAGTTGACTTCACTCTGGTTTCATTTATTCTTCTGTGGTGGGTGACAAGTCATGCAAGTAAAATCAAATTGGTGTGATTGATAGCATCTAGAAAAAAAATTCAGAGCAGTTTGTGGAAAGGAAGTCATAGAATTAATTGAATACAGAATTGGAAAGCAACTCAGAAATCATCCCAAGCATTTCCTGTTCCAGATGATGAGTTGAAGAATCAGAGGTCAAGAAGCTCACTGAGGGCCATATAGTGGGTTAGTGGGAGAGGACCAGCGTCCTCTATGGAAGAGACTATGTCTGCCTCCCCAGTGCATTATATCTGGCACATAGTTAGCATTCAACAAATGTTTATGGAATGAGTTTATGCATTTTTATAACATTCAGGTTACCAAGAGGCCAAAACTATATAGTTTTTTTCCTGTATCATGTCGTGAGCATTTGTTGTTTTTGCAAATCCAGCATCTATTACCCTTCCTGCTTATAGTGCATCCCTCTCCTGCACTAGGGGGAGGAAGCATATGATCCAATTACAGCCAGTCAGAGCATTTCATTGCCCTAGTCATGGTGATTTGTTCAATGATTGACATGCGATTCAAGTCAGACTGGTCAAAGCCAATGAGACTCAGTTCTTGGGACTTTTGGGTCGTGTTATCAACAACAGAGCTAGCCTGAGAATGAAGCCGATACAGAGGAAAGCAGAACTAAGGGCTAGAAAGATCAAGGGCAAGTTTGGGTGATGGCATCCGACCCCAATATCCATGTGTATCTGAAGCCAGTGTCTATCCCTGAAATTTTTAGTTATGTGAGCGGATAATGTCCTCTCTTAATAAAAAACCAATTAGGAATTTATCATTTGCATCTGAAATCAAATACCAGCTAGCTTGGAAGCACCATTGAAAAAACCTTCAGGTTAGTTTGGTTCTTTCAACATCTCCTGTCATTTGGATGTTCACTGTTCCATAAGCTCAGGGGAAATGGTCCCTCTGTAGCCTGAGGGGGTAAACTTTGATTAGCCTAAACCTAATGTCGCAATTTTATTCTCTTTATCAGTGATTGCTTTACACATGAACATGTGATGCAAATCTTGTGAATGAGACCGAGATGAAAGGTGCTGCATAGGTTCTGGAATAGGTTTTCTTCTTCCTACTCAAGAGGAAAAACTGCCCTTTTCTGCCTTTGTATATGGCTTTATGACGATGTGATACCTGGATCTGCAGGAATCAGTTTGAGACCATGAGGAGTCAAGTTTGAGGCTAAGAGCCAGCATTCCTGGGTGGTAAAGCCGAGAGATGGAAAAGCCTGCATCTTTGATGGCATCACTGAGCTGCTAAACTTCCATGATTTCTGGGCTTTAAAAAATTTGAGGTGCCATGATTTTTTAGTCAGTTTTAATTTGGGATTCTATTACTTGCAAATTTCCTCTGGAATCTTGTGACTCTGTTGTGTCTAGTTTGAAGACCAGCCTCTAGGCTAACTTTTTAACTATAAAACCTTTTTTTTTTTTTTTTTTTGGCTGGGCACAGTGGCTTGCAACTGTAATCCCAGCACTTTGGGAGGCTAAGATGGGTAGATCCCTTGATCCCAGAAGTTCGGAACCAGCTTGGGCAACATGGCAAAAACCCTTCTCTACAAAATGTACAAAAATTAGCTGGGCATGATGGCACATCCCTGTAGTCCCAGCTACTCGGGAGGCTGAGGTGAGAGGATGGCTTGAGCCCAGAAAGTGGAGGCTGCAGTGAGCTGTGATCGTGCCACTGCACTCCAGCCTGGGTGACAGAGAGGGACCCTGTCTTAAACAAAAAACAAGCAAAAAAATGTTTTTTAACCTTGGCGCTATTGATATGCCCAAGAAATATGCCCACCATAATTCTTTGTGGTGGGAGGCTGTCACATGCATGTAGAAATTTAGAAGCATCCCTGGCCTCTACCCACTTGATGCCAGTAGCTCCCTGCCCCCAACTGTGAAAACTAAAAATGCCTCCAGACATTGCAAATATCCCCTGGGTTGGGGCATGGGGGCAAAATTGTCCCTAGTTGAAAACCACTAAACTAGAATTACTTACTTCCCAACTATTTTAGAAAAATAAGTTTACTATATTGTGATGGTTAATTTTATGCGTTAAGTGGACAAAAGGAGGAGCAGATAGTTGCCAAACATTATTTCTGTGTATGTCTGTAAGGGTGTTTCTAGAAGAGATTAGCATTTGAATCCGTAGACCAAGTAAAGAAGATTGTCCTCCCAATGTGGGTGAGCATTGTCTAATCCATCGAGGGTGCAAATAAACAAAGAGGTGAAAGAAGGTTGAATTTGCTTGGTTTTATCTGGGATATCTGTCTTTTTCTGCCCTCAGATACCGACACTCCTAATTTTTGGGCCTTCAGTCTGGGACTGAATTACACACCAGCTTTCCTAGTTCTTTGCTTTGCACATGGCAGATTGTGGGACTTCTTGGCCTCTATAATCACGTGACCAATTCCTATAATTGATTGATCAGTCAATCAATCCTCTTGGTTCTGTTTCTCTGGAGAATCCTGATTAATACATATATTATTGAAACAGTCTTGAGATGTCATTAAAAACAAATGAGTTACCAAAAATAACAAGTGTTGGAGACAATGCAGAGAAATTGGAACCCTGCATTGCTGGCAGGAATGTCAGATGGTGTAGCTTTTGTGGAAAACAGATTGATGGCTCTTCAGAAAGTTAAATATAAAATTACCATAGGGTTTGGCAGTTCTACTCCTAGGTATATGTCCAAAAGAATTGAAAACAGATACTCAAACAGATATTTGCACCTGGATTTTTTTTTTTTTATTTTTAAGACAGAATCTCATTCTGTCACCCAGGCTGGAGTGCAGTGGCGCGATCTTGGCTCATTGCAACCTCCACCTCCCAGGTTCAAGTGAGTCTCCTGCCTTAACCTCCCAAGCAGCTGGGATTACAGGCATGTACCACCACGCCTAGCTAACTTTTTTTGTAGTTTTAGTAGAGATGGGGTTTCACCATATTGGCCAGGTTGGTCTCAAACTCCTGACCTCAGGTGGTCTGCCCGCCTCGGCCTCCCAAACTGCTGGGATTACAAGTGTGAGCCACTGCACCTGGCATACCTGAATATTAATAATAGCATTATTCACAGTAACCAAAAGATGGAAGGAATCCAAGTGTCCCTGGGTGCATGAATGGGTAAGCAAGATGTAATACACACATATAATAAAATATTAATCAGCTTTGAATGAAATTCTAAAACATGCTACAGTATGGATGCACCTTGAAAGCACTGTGCTAAGTGAAATGGCCAGTCACAAAAGAACAAATATTATGATTCCATATGAAATATCTGGAATAGACAAATTCACAGAGACAGAAAGTAAAGTAGAAGTTATCAGGGGCTAGGAGAGGGGAGAATGGGGAGTTATTGCTTAGTGGGTACAGAATTTCTGTTTGGGGTGATGACAAATTTTAGAACTAGATAGTGGTGATGGTTGCACAACACTGTGAATGTAATTAATGTTGCTGACTTGTGCATGTAATAATGCTTAAAATAGCAAGTTTCATGTTATATATATTTTACCATAAAAAAATTCTCTCCAAACCCCAAATCAGTTAAAGTACTGAACTTTTGCCAGTCCTAGAGTGTTTGGTGCAATGCATTACCTAGATGCCATAGCATATGAAAGAACATTTGAGGGGAAGGAGTAGGTGGGATTTCATTATTCTGTTTTCTGGCTATTAAGATTAGAGTCTGCTGAGCTCTAAGACACCAATGTTTTAGTTATTGGTTGATATCCAAATCTCATCTTAAGCTGTGGCTCCCATAATCCCCATGTGTCATGGGAGGGACCCAGTGGGAGGTAATTGAATCATTGGGGGGCATTTTTCCGATGCTGTTCTCATGATAGTGAATAAGTCTCATGAGATCTGATGGTTTTATAAAGAGCCGTTCCCCTGCACATGCTCTCTTGCTTGCCACCATGTAAGGCATGCTTTTGCTCCTCGTTTGTCTTCATTGTGAGGCTTCCGCAGCCATGTGGAACTGTGAGTCCATTAAACCTCTTTTTCTTCATAAATTACCCAGTCTTGGGTGTTTCTTCATTGCAATAGGAAAATGGACTAATACATGGGTTTTGCTGAGTTCTTGCCATGTACAAGGCACTATGTTAAGGTCTTTACACAAACCACCTCAATAACTCTAAAAGAGCCCCACAAAGTAGGTGTTAATATTACCCCATTATACACATGGGTAACCAGGCTCAGAGAAAAGTGGAGTCAGCATTCAAAGAAATCCAAGTAGTTTGATTCCATACAGGTCCCATGCATTTAACTATTGGACTTGGTTTTTTGCTGAAGGTTGGAGCCAAAATGCTTAACTTTGGTTTAAAGAAAACCTATTTTGAGAATTTACATAGTTAAACAGTAATAAGGGAGAAATGAAGTTGTTAGCAGCTCCCAAGCAACTCCTGTCTTTCTGACTTTGCAGTTAAAAAAAAAAATCACATTGCACAGAAGATGTGTTTGCCTCTGAACAGTGTCAATTAGATCAGAGGAGCGCTTTTCCCAGGCAGACAGCCGAAGCACTTGGGCTTTCCTGAGGTCCAGGATGCTCCTCAGGGGCAAATTTACAGTTCCCTGCTGGGGCTTAGATGGCTGGATCTGAATGTTATTGTCTCTTTCTGCCTTATTGGGGGGTGGATTATGGCACTTGATGATTTAATCTGTGTAATCTCTAGACAAAACATGTCTCCACTTTGCTGCCAGGAAAATGTTAATTGATTCTTCTGGAGATAGAGAGGTAAATGAAGTGATTGAAGATGCAGTGTGTGTATGCGCACTTGTGTGCACGCGCACTTGTGTGCACGCATGCATGTGTGTGTGTTGGTACACTAGGGTCTATGTGAAGTGAAGCAAACAGGCCTAAAATGAAGGAATTTTTAGTGGAAAGTTTGTCAGTCTCCTTTAGGGAAATGCAGTCCCCACCCCTTGCCCAAATTGTATACAACATGTTGTGTCTAAGGTGTGATTATTTTCCTGGAGGGTGTGTGGTGTCATGTTCATCAAAATGTCCATGGGGTTTTGGAGAATGTCAGTCTGAAGTTTTGGGAGCCACAATTACCTTAGGTATAAAAGACTCTCCATATTTAAGAAGGACCTTTATTTGGTAAGGAACTGGGGCAGACAGCAGCAATGGGAATTGTTATTTTGAGCTTGTTAAGTTGGAAGCTTGAAAACACCCAGCCAGGTTGAAATAATCTTTGGCAAAACAAGCACAAGCGTCCCAGTCTGCTCCTTCAACTGTCCCCCTCTCTCACTTTCTTCCAGTCCTCCTCTACTGTGCAAGGGTCTGCCCACCTTATGTGCTACAGGACTGCAACCTGGGGAATGTAAAGACCAGGCACTTCCACTTAGTCAACTTGTGTCTGGCACATAGTACGAATTAAATAAACAGTAGTTTAAAAAGTTGCAGCCATCCAGATCTCTGAGAAATGGTAATTTCTTCCAGGCATAGAACAAAGAGATTCCCTTTCTTCTCTTACAACCTAAGAGAAGAAAAAATAAACAAGCTAAGGAAAATAGACAAACTCAGAGAGTACTCATTCATGGCAAGTGAGAAACCATATATATGTGAGTTTCTTCATTTAGAAACAAGTAAGCACCGTTTGTTGACTGTCACCACATCATGCCATGCTCCGTATACGATCCTTAACATGCATCACCTTCATTAGTCATCACAGCAACTTGGGGAGGTTGGAACTCTCAAACACATTTTACAGATGAGGAAACTGGAGAAGTTTACAGAGATGAAGCAACTCGCCCAAGGTAAGTAGACAGCAAACATCAAGAGTCAAGATTTGAAAGGTCACTGTTTTGACAATGCTATGCCAACTCCTGTGAACCTTGCATTTTCTGATTTGATTAGGGAAGACTTCCTGTGGGAGAAGGACCATCACTAAATGTTGAAAAAATGATACATACAGTAGATGGGAGAGATATTATAGTCTGAGTGTAATTGGTTTAGGATTAAGCCATCCTTTTCAAACTTTATTGTGTATACACATCACCTGATTCCTGGCTGGGTGTAGTGGCTCACGCCTGTAATCCCAATGCTTTGGGAGGCCAAGGTTGGAGGATCACTTGAGGCCAGAGTTTGAGACCAGCCTGGGCAACAGAGTGAGACCCTGTCTGCAAAATAAATAAATAAATAAAATGCAGATCCTGATTCAGCAGGTTTGGGGAGGAGCCTGAGATTCACATTTCTTTTTTTTTTTTTTGAGACTGAGTCTCACTGTTGCCCAGGCTGGAGTGCAGTGGCATGATCTTGGCTCTCTGCAACCTCCACCACTGGGGTTCAAGCGATTCTCCTGTCTCAGCCTCTAGAATAGCTGGGACCATAGGCGTGCACTACCATGTCCAGCTAATTTTTATATTTTTAGTAGGGATGGGGTTTCACCATGTTGGCCAGGCTGGTCTCGAACTCCTGAGCTCAAGGGATCTACCCACCTTGGCCTTCTGCAGTGCTGGGATTACAGGTGTGAGCCACCGCGCCTGGCTGAGATTCACATTTCTAAGCAGCTCCCAGGTGATGTTGTTGCTGCTGTGCTGTAGACATTTCAAGTAGCCAGGAGATAAGATACAGTGTTTATAAACAACTTGCTCATCTGTGATATCATTTGATCCTTACCTAAGCCCTGTGAGGAATCCATTATTATTTCTACATTATAGATGAAGAAATTGAGAGTTTGGTTGAAAATAGCTACCATTTTCAAGTGTCAGGCATTTCTAGGGATACAATAGCAAACAAGACAGACGTAGTTCTCATTTCAAGAAATTGACAATCCAGGAAACAAAGCTCTAGATAATTAAATTTGAAAGGCTCTGGGTGCTCAATGAATGTTTGTTAAATGGGTGAAAAACTTCAGCTCTGGGTGTTTCCATTCATCACAGGAGGAAGAGAAACAGGCTTAGGATAGTGGAGGATGATGTATTTAGTCTTAGACATTGTAGGTGACATCCTGGTGTAGCTGTCTAGTAAGCAGGTCAGGGTCTGGAGTTTAGGAGAGAGATCCAAGGTGAGGAGAGCTGAGAGTTTGAGAGCTGTTACTGCACAGGTGGTAATTGGAGTTATAAAAGATTCGATTCAGAATACAGAGGAGAATGAAGTTGGCTAGAAGAGTTTAAACTATGAAGATCCTTGAATAGGCTCCTAAAATAGGAACCTGCCTGGCCAGAAATTACAGGTTTTAAGAAGAAGAGGAGCCCAGTGAAAATGACTAAGAAAAACTCACAAGAGAGGTAGGAGGAAAGCCACAGAAGCCATGGGATGAAGACACTTCAATGAAGAAGAGGTTCATCACTGATGATGGGATAAGCCAGTGTCATATGTGCCTCTTGATGCGATGTACTGAGGTGGACACAATATGTCTTCTGTAATATCCTTCAAAAAATGCATGTCTAGAATCTAATCATGAGAAAACCCAGACAAACCCAAATTGAGGGATATTATACAAAACTACTGGGCTGTACTTTTCAAATTTTTTTTTTTTTGTATCTTGAAAGACTAAGAAATAACAGTAAGCTTCCTGACCGGGCACAGTGGCTCACACCTGTAATCCCAGCACTTTGGGAGGCTGAGGCAGGCAGATCACCTGAGGTCAGGAGTTTGAGACTAGCCTGGTCAACATGGCGAAACCTTGTCTCTACTAAAAGTACAAAAATTAGCCAGGCGTGGTGGTGCGCACTTGTGATCCCAGCTACTCGGGAATCTGAGGCAGGACAATCGCTTGAACCCGGGAGGCGGAGGTTACAGTGATCCGAGATCATGCCATTGCACTCCAGCTTGGGCGACAAGAGCAAAACCCCATCACTCCATCTCAAAAAAAAAAAAAAAAAAAAAAAAAGAAAAGAAAAGAAAAAGAAAGGCCTCCAGATGTAATAAAAGGAGACTAAAGAGCCATAACAAGTAAATGTGGCTCTATATTTGATCTTGCATCAGCAAAGAAAAAAGTTATGAAAGACATTATAAAGACAACTGACAAAATTTTAAAATGGGCAGCTGACTAGATAATAGTATTACATCAATGTTATTTTTCCTAAATTTGATAATTGTGTTGTGATTGTATAATAGAATACCTTTGTTCTTAGGAAATATGTGCTGAGATATTTTGAGGTGAAAGTTTGGGATGTATTCCATTTACCCTTCTGCTATGATCTGAATGTTTGTGTCCTTCCAAAATTCATATGTTGAAGCCTAATCCCTAATGTGTGAAAATTTGGAGATGGGACCTTCAGAGGTGATAGGTCATGAGGGCTCTAATCTCCCATTCATGTCAGAGGTTACAGTGAGAGAACAGCTGGCTCTCACCAGATACTGAATGCCTGGCAACTTGGTCTTGGACTTCCCAGCCTCTAGAACTGTGGGGGAAAAATTCTGTTGCTTATAAACTGTCTAGGTTATAGTATTTTTTTGTAGTAGCCCAAACAGATTAAGCACCTTCCATGGTTCTGAAAAAATAAAAAGGATAAATAGATACTTAAGGCAAATGAGGCAAAATATTATTTGGTAAATCTGGGTAAGGATACATGAGTATTCACTGTACTATTCTTACAACTTTTTTATAGACTTGAAACATTTCAGTGTAAAATGTTTTTTAAAAAGGAATGCATGTACACTATCAAATTTTGTGCAGAGGGGAGAAAAACCAGTGGTCCAAGGTCTCCATTGGGCTAGGCATGGTGGATCATGCCTGAAATCTTAGCACTTTGGGAGCCTGAGGCAGGAGGATTGCTTTAGGTCAAGAGTTCAATACCAGCCTGGTCAACAAGGAGACCCTGTCTCTACAAAAATTAGCTGGGCATGGTGGCATGTACCTGTGGTTCCAGCTACTTGAGAGGCTAAGGTGGGAGGACTGCTTGAACCCAGGAGGTTGAGGCTGCAGTGAGCAGTGATTGCACCACTACACTCCAGCCTGGGTGACAGAGCAAGATCCTGTCTCAAAAAAGAAAAGAAAAGTATCCTTTGGATTCAGCAACATGGGTTTAGCCTTGAATTTACTGCACTTACATTCTAGAAAGAAATCCATAATTGAATATACAATTACAAATTGGAATAGTGATTGGAAGGAAAGAACAGGAAGCTGTATAGATAGATGAGAGAATGACATGGATGTAATTAGTGCCTTGGGCAAACCAGTTCCAGTGGAGTGCAGGAGCTGACGGCAGTGGACTGAGAGGGAAGTAATTATGTGAGAACAGAGTGTAGACACCTCCTTCAGGGGGCTTGGGTAAAGAGGGTGGATCACAAAAATTAACTACTATAGGGAGAGGTGGGGTCAAGGTAGAAAGCTGGGGAGTCATGGGAGGTTTTGAAGAAGTTGTTACATCTGGGCAGGGTATGTGATGACAGGCAGGGGTTTCCAGGGAGGTAGAATGTAAATGTTCTACACTGAGGGAACAAGGACGACACTTAAGGAAGGGAGAGGTGTTTGCAAAAGGCGAGAAACTTGGTCCGTCCAGAGCCTGAGATGTCTGTGGGTGGGCCATGAAAGGGGCAGCTGAAGAGGCCGGGAGGGGGTAGATTTAGCACCTTGTTTGCCAAGCTAAGCACCTTGACTTTTGCCAGAAAGAGGTTCAACCTCTTGTCTGGTGTCTCAGCCAGCAGATGGCAGGGTGGAACCCACACTCTCTTCCAAAAGTTTCTCTACACAAAAGAAAATGTGTTATATTAAGTGCTCCCAGGTATTCAAGCCAGAAGCTGATGTACCATCTGTATTAGTCTGTTCTCACACTGCTGTGAAGTCATACCTGAGACTGGGTAATTTATGAAGAAAAGAGGTTTAATTGACTCACAGTTTGACAGGCTTAACGGGAAGCATGGCCAGGAGGCCTCAGGAAACTTACAATCATGGTGGAAAATGAATGGGAAGCTTGTAGATGGCCACCTTCTCCCCATGTCTTCACATGGTCTTCCCTCTGTGTCTGGGTCTAAATTTCCTCTTTTTATGAGGACAACAGTCAGATTAGGACCCACCATAATCATCTCATTTTAATTTAATTACCTCTTTCGAGACCTCATCTCCAAATACAGTCACACTTTGAGGTACTAGGAGTTAGGACTTCAACATGTGAATTTTGGTAGTGGGTGGTGGGGGTGGGGAAAGGACATGATTCAGCCCACAGCAACTCTTCTCATCATTTAGAATGCAGCTTAAATGTCCTTGAGAAGGCTTTCTTTTCCTCCACCCTACCCAATCCAAATTAGATTTCCCATTATTTTCATATATAGCACCCCATTCCCCCCATACCTATTCCATTTTGTAATTGCACATTGATTTATGGGTCTCCATCTAGAATATTAAGTGTCATGAATTCAAGGACCATCTCTTTTCTGATCACTGCTATATCCCCAGGATTAGCACAGTTCCTGACCCATAGTAGGCAGTTGATATAAATTTGTTGAATGAACAAATTAATGAAAAGTCCAGAGACTGAACAGAATCTAGCAACTTTGCATCTAGTTGAACTGAGGCCAAAACCACCGAAAGGAGAGGTGATTCTTACTTACGTTTAAAGATCTGCAAAACAAGTGATTTCACACCAACCCTTAGTAACCCTCACTGCAGCCTTTTGGCACGAAATGTGCAAGGTGTGACCAGAAATCGATTCAAGCTCAGAGGTAGGAAGCTGGGAAGAACACATTTATAAAATTATTGCTGGTGTGTGCTGTGACATAGCAGCCCAGTATAGCACCATAGGCCAGTGTATGACCAAAACTAATGGCACTGGGCCTTTTGTTTAAAAGATAGGAAAATTCAACCGAAAGCAGGGACAGAACAAATTTCATTCTTGTTCAATTGTTTTAGAGGATGTTTAGATTTAGACTCAATTTGAACTGGATTTCTAGGTGGATCCATTTCAAAATGTAATATTTGGGTTGTGCTGAGGCTTAGTGCATCTGTGCAGTTTCACTCTAGCTTCTGGTTCATAGACGGTTTCCAAAAGATCACTGTGAGTCTCAGCCATTTCAGGCAAGATCATACATCCCAAGAATCTTCTTGCTAGAAGGTCCTGCAGACTTATTTTGTGTAGTCCCCTGCCTGCAAAGGGGTCATTTGATTTATCCAGGCAAGATTGTTCATTTATTTTTATTTATTTAGCAAACACTTATTAAGAGTTTACTCTCTGCCAAGCACCATGGATTAGCAAAGAAGCGTAAGATATAGCCTCCACTCTCAAAATTGCATCTTGAGAGCAGAGGCCAAATCTTGGTCTTATTTTTTCCTATCCAGTGCCTGGTGCAATTGTTGTGGCAGGAACAGTTGTGTGGTGACATTTGTCATTTTTTGGCTGCCCAGTGTTAGAATCTTCATTCTATATTTGGAAAATTTCCCATTATATGAGTCTTGTGGGGAGGCAGAATGCTCCTCTCACAAGAGAAGCTCTGACAATGAGGTATTTGCCTTCCCAGGATCCTTTGCAGCTCAGGTGTGATCATGTGACATGGAGTTGGCCAGTCAGATGCACTTGTGTGAGACTTTGAAATGGAATCAGTGTCATGCAGAATAGGGGCAATGGAGGAGCAGTTATGGAAGTGGCAGGAGCAGCAGGGGGTTTCTAGAGGGCAATAATGGTGCCAGTGGCAGCACTCAGTGCCCAGGGCTAGCAGGGGCCAAGGTCTAAACTGTAGTGCCCTCAGCTTGGGGATTGCTGCAGTCC
Organism: Homo sapiens; assembly: GCF_000001405.40. Taxonomy (NCBI): domain Eukaryota; kingdom Metazoa; phylum Chordata; class Mammalia; order Primates; family Hominidae; genus Homo; species Homo sapiens. The sequence continues at coordinate 118,448,507 of NC_000012.12, forward strand.
TGTCTTCCTTGAGCTGCTCTTGCTGCCTGAATCTGGCAGAGGTCCTGGCAGCTGGCCAGTCTTGCTTTTTGCCTATTCACTTGCCAGGCTTGGCTCTTCAGCCTTTCTGGTCATTCTATGAGCTCCCCATCATCTCCAGAATGCTTACAGGAGCCAGAGGTGATTTCTATAGCTTGCATCTAGGAAACCTGGCGCATGTAAACTCTTGGTCTACTAACCCAGGAATAACATAAAGCCACTTTCTTACTTTTCCATCATTCAATTAAAATTTTATTCTGAGCTCCCATCATGGGGGTGGTTGTTACTTGATCTCAGTCAGTTCAGAATCTCTTCTCTCCACTTCCCTCTCTTTTTTAAAAAAATAATTCAATTTAATTTTAAGTTTCAGGATACATGTGCAGGATGTGCAGGTTTGTTACATAGGTAAATGTGTGCCATGGTGGTTTGCTACAAAGATCAACCCATCATCTAGGTATTAAGCCCTGCATTCATTAGCTACTTATCCTGATGCTCTCCCTCCCCACCACCCCCACAACAGGCCCCAGGGTATGTTGTTCCCCTTCCTGTGTCCATGTGTTCTCATTGTTCAGCTCCCACTTATAAATGAGAATATGTGGTGTAATGGTTTTCTGTTCCTGCATTATTTGCTGAGGATAATGGCTTCCAGCTCTATCCATGTCCCTGCAAAGGATGTGATCTCACTCCTTTTTATGGCTGCATAGTATTCCATGGTGTTATACATACCACATTTTCTTTATCTGGCCTAACATTGATGGGCATTTGGGTTGATTCCATGTCTTTGCTATTGTGAATAGTGCTGCAATGAACATATATGTGTATGTATCTTTATAATAGAATGATTTATATTCCTTTGGGTATATACCCAGTAATGGGATTGCTGGGTCAGATGGTATTTCAGTTCTAGGTCTCTGAGGAATCGCCATTCCCCTTTTTTAAAGGTAACATTTTAAAGTACTTGTTTAATATCATCAAGTACAGAACAGATGAGAAATAGAGGAAAATGCTAGAGATAACCCCACCATTCTAATTAAATAACTATTTACTTGTATCGTCTTCACTTTTTCATGTGTATGTTTTTACAAATTTATGAATATACTCAATGCAAGCCATTCTTTATCCTACTTAAAACATTTTAACTTATTATTGCATCAACATTTTTTTCTCATGCCTTCTGGTATTTATAATTACAATTATTAGCTTTATTATAAAAATGTATTATAAAAGTTTACATATTTTTAAAGTTAAAATATGTAGAAGTTACAGAAATAATACAATAAGTATCCACATACCCCTCTTAGATCAATTGTTAACATTTTGCTATATTTGCTTTCTCTCTTTGAAGATAATTTGCCAGAAATTATGACACTTTACCTCTTAATACTTCAGCATGCATTTTCCTAAGAAAAAGAACTTTCTTCTACATAATCGCGTTACCATTACCATGGTTAAGAAAATTAGCAATAATTTTCATAGTATCATCTAAAATCTAGCTTGTAGTCAAAATCCCCCAATTATCCCAAGAATGCCTTTTATAACTGGGGTTTTAGAGCTCGACTTTTTCTTTTTTAAGTTCCAGGAGGCTTAAATAATGCTTAGTAATAGTAAAGTATTGGGGGGCAAGTGGGGAGATACTGTTTCCTGTGACTGGATTGTAGCTATTTATCCCCTTGGTTCCTTCATGGCTTCTTGGGTGAACACTCAAAACAGAGCTCAGATTCCCAGCTCTGATTCCTTTCTGGAGTTTCTGTGGCTTCGAATGGGGTAGGAGGCATGTATCCCTAATGCCCAAGCTCTCCGCCTCCTCCCTTTCCCTTTTATGGAGTCTTGAAGGCAAGAAACCCTGGTCTGACTCGTGTTTGTTTTCTTGAGGCCCAAGACCCTTCAGGGTTCACAGGGTTTTGAAATTTAAAAGCCCTTCTTCTGCTTTCAACTCTCTGTGGTCTGACCACTCAAACAGAGAAGGATCATGGGATAACATATGATAATGAGAGGAAAGGACATTGGTTCACTTTTCAAAATATTATCCTGGCTTATATGTTCTGTGCAGACATTAGGACACACGCTTAGCTGTTATGCCCCAGGACAGTCATACTGGTTGTCAAAACATTACTTCTCAACAAGAGCATGAATTTTGTCATCCAAAAAAAGGTGACTTTTGCTTGTGTAGCATTCCTTCATCTTTCTCATATGTAGATTTTTAGATATAATCCATGCATTGGTAAATGATTAGCAGAAAGTACACTGTCCCGGGGCCCCTGTCCTCTAGACAGCCCTACCTCTTCCCTGGGACACTTCAGATCTCCAACAACCAATGGGTGAATGCCTAGAAGAAACAGACGCCTTCAGGACCCTGTCTACATCTCTTCTGATGGGTCAGTGCCAAGACTTCTGGGCTGCTGAGTGTTTTGAATAGCCCCATGGAGCAAATGTAAATCGGATCATATCACCCTCCTGCTTAAAATCCATCATTGACTTCCTGCTTCACTCAGAATTAAGTTCCAGCTGCTTCACAGAGCATGTAAAACCTTAAAAGATCTGGCCCTTGCTTTCCTCATTAGCTTCTTCTCTATTTCCCCCACCTGCTTTGGACCCTGCTCTTCCTACTGATGTTCTAGCCGAAAGAGACTTGTTTGCTCCTTACAGATTCCATGCTTTTTTTGTACTCTGGATCCTCTCACGGTTGTTCCTGCTGCCTGGAGTCACCTCACTAATTGCTATTGATCTCTGGATTTTAGTTTAAATGCCATCTCTTCTGAGAAGTTGTCGCTGAACCTTCCAGGTCTGGGTTCAGGCTTCCTATGCGCTCTGAACTCCTTTTATTGTAGAATTTATCCCAACAATTTCATATTATTGCTATGCCTTCCTGTTAGGACTCCGGACTCCAGAGGGCCAGCACCCATTCTTATCTTGCTCATCATTTGACCCCAAATGTCTAACATTGTAATAAATGTTCACTGGAAGAAATAATGACATTGATATAGACATTCATATACATCTATGCGTATGTAAGTATATACACACAGAGATACATATGAGAGAGTGAACAGATGAGAATCAGAAAAAGGGGAAGATTTGGGACATGGTTAAAATTAGAATGATGTCATCTCAAGTTTCCAAATAGGAACACTGGTATAGGAGGAGATCATTTAAAAATCTGGTAGCCTGGTGGAAGGGAGGTAGCAGAACCAATGCTGATTGGGACAGGAGATTATTTCACAAATAATTCGTAACCTAGGTTTCTTAGAAATAAAGGTTCAGAAAAAAGCTATACCTTTACAACACAAAGGAAACAACCCTCCATGCCCCTGAATCCATCAACAGAGCAAAGAGACTCCTCTTTCTTGCCACTATGGGAGACAAGGTATTTGAGAAGAATATTTGATCCCAAGGCCATTACAAAAAATAATGAGGCTGCACCCAGCACTTTTTTTCACCTATCAGTGCCCCTTACCTACCACGGATGCTGCCTCCTCATTCCTACAGAGCCCCACCTGTTTCATAAATGATGACCAACCTGTCCTGAGTCATAGCTGCTCAGTCACTTCATTTGTGCTGTAATTGCGGGGCATCTGCGTAGGGGTGTTTTCCGCCCTGTTCAGCTAATGCAGTGGTCCCTGGGGGTGGAGCTAGTCCAGGCAGGGGTGCCCCGAAAAAGGCAGTGAGTGACCAGCCAGGGCATGGTGTGAAGGGATGCATCTCAAGAAGCCGGTTTTCACCCATGCCATAATAAACAGAAGGGCTTATTCATTTATTCATGTATTGATTCTTTTGCAATCCCTACTAAAAGGGGTTGTAAAGTTAAATTCCTGCAGGGAGTTGGTGTAATATACGAAGAGTAATGAATGAAGAGAAGTGTGTGTCAAACTAGAGAGTAAATGTCCCCTCTAAAGAAGACAGCTGCTTTTCAAGTTTAGACAATTGTTTCTCTGGGATAGATGTGTATTACTGCATTCCAGATGTGCTGTTTCCCCTCCTGAAGAGGGATTACATCCCATTACATCCCCATCCCACCGACTGATTTGGCCAGTGAAACATGGGTGGGCTGGGCGTGGTGGCTTACGTCTGTAATCCTAGCACTTTGGGAAGCTAAGGCGGGCCGATCACTTGAGGTCAGGAGTTTGAGACCAGCCTGGCCAATATGGCAAAATCCCATCTTTACTAAAAATACAAAAATTAGCTGGGTGTGGTGGCGGGCGCCTGTAGTCCCAGCTACTCGGGAGGCTGAAGCATGAGAATCACTTGAACCCGGGAGGTGGAGCTTGCAGTGAGCTGAGATTGTACCACTACACTCCAGCCTGGGTGACAGAGCGAGACTCCATCTCAAAAAAAAAAAAAAAAAAAAGACTGGACATGGTTTGCTTGGGTCTCATTTCCCTTCAGCCACAGTGACAGTTGATGCTCCAGTTAGAACTCAGGCAATGGGAGCAGAGCCCCGGCCTCCTACAGTGGACATGGAGTGTGAGTGAGAAATCCATCTGAGTTTTTGAGATTGTTACTGCAGCATTGCTCACCTATCCTGACAGTTGTGCAGTCATTTCAGATCTTTGGATTCTTTTCTTTCAAGAGAAGCCAGAAATTCAGATTTTTAAAAATATATATATATATTTTAAGTTTTATAATGAATTCAAATTGTAGGAAAAAAACATCTGGAGGGCAGGTCAAAAAAAATATGTATGGGCCATTGGTTTCCTACCTCTGTCCTAGGTACTAGATAACATGGTGAAAAACTAAAACAGACACACTCCTTATCTCATGGAACTTATAGCTGAATGGAGGAAATAAATACTAGATAAAAGAAACACAAAAATTGTCTGGGTGTGGTGGCTCATGCCTATAATCCCAGCACTTTGGGAGGCTGAGGTGGGTGGATCACCTGAGGTCAGGAGTTTGAGACCAGCCTGGCCAACATGGTGAAACCCCGTCTTTACTAAAAATACAAAAATTAGCCAGGTGCGGTGGCGTGTGCCTGTCATCCCAGCTACTCGGGAGGCTGAGGCAGGAGAATCTCTTGAACCTGGGAGGTGAAGGTTACAGTGAAATGGTGCCACTGCACTCCAGCCTGGGCGACAGAGCGAGACTCTGTCTCAAAAAAAAAAGAAACACAAAAACAATAATTTATTCTTGTGACAAACACTGCAAAGCAGTGGTACAGGATACAATGAGAGCTATATGAAGTGTATTAAGCTAGAGATGGGTCAGGAAAGACTTCACCGGGAGACAAGAAGGACTTAGCCAGATGAAGGAATAGCAGTGGGATTGGGAGCAGGTGATGATGGGCCAGGTGAAGGGCCCTGAGTGGGGAAGTAGGGACTCTGATCTTTACCCTAACAATGAATTTGAGGAGCTCCAAGTTTAGTGTAGCTGGAATTCCAAGTAAAAGAGATGTGGCTTGAGTGCTAAATCTTTGTAGGCCATGGAGAATAGTCTGGACTTTAGCCTAAGAGTAATAGGGAGGCATTGAATGATTCTTAGCAAGAGAATGTTGTATCTGAAGTGGTGGAAAAGTGACATTTATTTAATCATCTATTCTTTTATTGATTTATTAAACATATCTTTGAGTGTCCACTCTGTGGCAGGAATTGTTCTTATTACAGGAAATGCAAAGATAAATCCAACCCTCAAGGAACTCAGCTTTACTTGAAAGGTGGATGACACATAGACACAGCTATAAATAAAAGTAGAAAGTGGTGTATTCCATCATTCATTCATTCACTTATCTATGCAACCAATGTTTATTGAGCACTTACACATATGTGCCAGGTACTCTTTGTATATCTTGGTTGTATGTTGAACAAGACATCATGAATCTTACAATTTGGGTCATTTCATAAAACAAAGTTTCTTTCTTTTTCCTTCCTTCCTTCCTTCCATCCTCCCTCCCTCTCTCTCTCTGTTTCTCTCTCTTTCTTTCTTTCTCTCTTTCTCTTTTATAATGCTTTTTTTTGTGGGACAATGTCTTATTATCTCTATTTGCCAGAAATCTTTTTATTGTAGCTACATGTATGTCATTTTTTTCTCTTGCAGTGATTACTATTTTTTTTTAAGATGTCACCCAGGCTGGAGTGCAGTGGCACGATCTCAGCTCACTGCAACCTCTGCCTCCCAAGTTCAAGCAATTCTTGAGTCTCAGCCTCCTAAGTAGCTGAGATTATAGGTGCGTGCCACTGTGCCCAGCTAATTTTTGTATTTTTAGTAGAGACGGGTTTCACCATGTTGGCCAGGCTGGTGTCGAACCCCTGACCACAAGCGATCTGCCCACCTTGGCCTCCCAAACTGTTGGGATTACAGGCATGAGCCACTGCACCTGGCCAGTTTCCTTATTTCTAAAATGGGATATGTATCCACACCACAAAATTGTTGTAATGCTTTCATGACAGAAAGTGCTCAGCATAATGTCCGGAAGATAAGTACTCCATAAAAGGCAGCTATTGTATTATTATTATTACCATTTTATTTACCAGAAGGAAAAGAATTCCTAAGATCAATATAATTAGATATGTTGGATATAGAAGGAGTCAAGCCAGGGGAATATGTGAGTGGCTCCCAGAGAGGCTAGAATCGATCAGGAGTAGCAGGTGTATATGTGTGTGTGCACCTGCTGGGGGAGTCATTATAGCATTTCTTGGACAGTAGAAATATCAATATTATGATTGATAGGTAATATTACTTTCCCTCAGCTAAGAGAGGAAAGGAAAACACAGAGAATGAGATTGAATGGTAAAGCTGATGCATGAAGAGATTTAAAGGGAACACAGGAAGTAGATATGCAACCATTTCCTGTGTGATTCAGAATGTCTGGTCATTTGGAGTGCATAACCATTAGCAGCATGGCCATAATCCTTTCTGAATTAATAAGGTAAAGAGAAAATATAAGAACATGCCATCGAGTTTGTCATCTCTGCCAAGACCCTGCAACATCAGACTAAGTTAGTTAGGTGAATGTGTACACCTAGGCTGAGTCTAAAGGTACTCTCTGCATTGGAAGTAGGGGCTTCAGATGACAGCCATTTTACTTGACATTAAAAAGCTGGCAGCCATTTTGACACTGAACAAATTTTCCCAAGTGTTTGTAATAATATGGTGATAGATACTATTTAAAGACGCTGTATTATAAACCAGTTATAAATATATTATATGTACATACATGTGTATATATATGTATATATAACGTATATATATATGTTAGGGTGATATGTGTGTATATATATGTATGTGTGTGTGTATATATATATATATATACACACATGCACAATACTTTACTAAGACATATAGAACACCACTGTCCAATAGGCATATAATGACCACCACATATGTAATTTTAAATTTTCTAGTAGCCACATTATAAAAAAGTTAAAAGGAGCATGTGAAATTAATTTTAATAATGTTTTCTTTAACTCAGTATATCCAAAATAAAATGTTATCATTTCAACATGCACTCAATCTAAAAAATTATTATTATTATTATTTTTAGATGGGGTCTCATACTGTCACTTAGACTGGAGTGCAGTGGCGAGATCTTGCAACCTCCACTTGCAACCTCCACCTCCCAGGTTCACGTGATTCTCCTGCCTCAGCCTCCCTAGTAGCTGGGATTACTGGTGCACACCACCACACCCAGCTAATTTTTTATATTTTTAGTAGAGATGGGATTTCACTATGTTGGCCAGACTGGTCTCGAGCTCCTGACCTCGTGATCTGCCTGCCTCGGCCTCCCAAAGTGCTGGGATTACAGGTGTGAGCCATCGCACCCAGCATAAAAAATTATTAATGATATGGTCTACATTTTTTTTTTTTGAGACAGTGTCTCACTCTGTTGCCCAGGCTGGAATGCAGTGGCACTATCTTGGCTCACTGCAACCTCTGCCATCCAGACTCAGGTGATCCTCTGACCTCAGCCTCCTAAATAGCTGGGGCTACAGGCATGTGCCACCACGCCTGGCTAATTTTTGTATTTTTTTGTAGTGACTGGGTCTTGTTATGTTGTTCAGTCCAGGCTGGTCTTGAACTCCTGGGCTCAAGTGATCCACCTGCCTCAGCCTCCCAAAGTGTTGTAAGAAACGCGTGAACCGCCAAATCTGGCCCCCTTTTTCCCCACAGTTAGTCTTTGAAACCCAGTGTGTATTTTATACTCACAGCACATGTCAATTCTGATCAACCATATTTCAAGTGTTCAGTATCCACATGTAGCTAGTTACTACTGTGTTGAACAGTACAGAATACAGAATGATGACTTTCAAGCATCTTTGACCTAAGTCAGAAATATATGTTTAATCACAACTCAGTACACACATATACACACAAAAAAGCAAAAGTGGTATGAAAAAATAATTATACTATGAATCATCCTCCCTGAAATTTTCTTTTTCTGTTCTGTCTCATTCTTTAAAAAAATGCTGATCATGACCCACTAAATTGATTTCATGACTATACAAGGTAGAGTCCTGTTTGAAAATGATTGGTATGGAAAGTATGTGGGGTTATATCTTGAATAGGAGGTTAAATGTTAGTGCTTAAGGCAAAAATTTTGTGTGGCCAAAATTCTCTTAAATTGTCCTGGGTCTTTACAAGGTCAAAAGGCAAGAATTAACTTGTTTCTTTTTGCATTTTGATTGTGACCTTTCTTTTCCTGAGGCATTGGGGTCAAATTCTAGTGTGACTGGTTTTAAGAGATGCAGGATGAATTTTTTGCTTTTTCATAATCAAATTCATAAGGTAAATGTGGGTGTGTTGCCAACACCCTGGATATAATATATGTTTAATTGATTTATATATATTATATTTCTATATATGTGTAAGATCTTAGAGGATACATGGCATGGCATTAGGATAAGGGCAATGAACTGCCCTGAAATTGTATGCAACTTAAAAATATTTATTGCCTTCCAAAGGGTTGTGTTCCAAGTAAAACTAAGAAAACACATTGGCCTAGTGTGCTTATAACACTGTAGGGAAGAGAAAAAGCTTTCCCTCTACTCTTTTAGGTTCTATAGGTGGGACCCATGAGTTAGACTGACAAAAGACAGATTAACAGGAGAAAAGGCAAGCAAGCTTTATCTGATTTTAATATTTTAATTTTTATCCTTTATGTTTTTCACATACATAGAGGACTTCATAGCAAAGAAATGAAGATCCAAATAGGTGGTTAAACCTGGGATTTTATATACCATTTTAACAAAAGATGATAAATTTGTGGAGCAGTGACAAGAAAAAGGAGAAAGAATTTGGGCTTCTAGGTGTGGTAAATTGTGAGAAGATAAATGGGAAAAACGAATGGAAAATAAGCATTATTTTTGTAAGGTTTATTTGCATAGACCCATCTTTGTATCAATTTTATGCCTCCAGTGATAATGGCTGTTTTTCCTCTTTCTGGTATGGGAGAAGGGAGAGAGACGATCTTCACAAAGGGAAATTTATGTCCTGCTTTTAGGCACAGAGTGGGGAGTTAAAGAGCTCTTTCTGAATTTGCTGCTTCTTAATTCCTTTTAGCTTCAAACAATCCTTATGCCAAAATGGCATATTTTGGGTTGGCATATTATGATCCCTTTTAATACTTCACCAATTTGCCACCTTAATTATTTGAATCAATCCTGAGAATCCAAGGGGAGTTAAGAAAGTTCTCTTAAGAAAAAAAATAAATGTTTTGACATTACCTGGGATTCATTTTTGGAGGCTGTTCATTCTTTGAAAGCAGTATTCAAAACCTGTGACTGACGAGAAGCAAAAAATTGATAGAAGCAGGTGGGGACAGGCTCCTTGGCAGTGGGAGATATGTTCAAGGACTACTTGAGGGAAAGAGAGAAGGCAGATGCCATAGAAATGGGTTCGGGGATACCTGATGTGGCCACACTTCTTTCTTGAAAGCACCCCAGGTCACCTGCTGAAAGGGTGGGATCCCACGATTTTATGTTCATTCCAAATGCTGCTTCTCTGCTGGTCACAGCTTATTGGACTAGAGTTTGATACTTGATCCTGGTTTAGCCAATCAGAGTCTTTATGCAATCTGCATAAAGAGAAATATAAGTTAGCCGTTTGGATGCTGGAGCTATTAAGGCAAGGACATGTATGAGGGTCAGGGTTGGTATCATGTCAAGCTAAAGGCTGGATAGACTTAAGTTATGGGGGAGCAGAAAGGGTGAAATTTATAGAGAAAGCAATTTGCAGAACAATTTAAGAAGTAAAAAGGAGCCAAGAAGATAGAATAGTATGGGTCAACGTCTTTCTGGGCCCCAACAGGGTAGCCCACTGGTTCTCAACAGGAAGCTATTTTGTCCTCCCTGACCCCCACCAAAGGGACATTTGGAGATGTCTGGAGATATTTTTGATTGTCACGACTGGTCAGGAGGGATGCTTATTTGCATCCAGTGGGTAGAGACCAGGATGCTGCTTAAACATCCTACAATGCATAGAACAGCCCCCGCATCAAATAATTATCTGGTCTACATGCTAGCAACTTGTTAAGCACTTTACAGGGTTTATCATATTGAACCTTCAAAACCAACCTCCGGAGGCAGGAGTTATTGTTAGGTCATTTTATAGATAGAGACACTGAGGCTTAGAGACTGAGTTAAATTGCCCAAGACAGGACTCGAGGTCACGGATCCAGAAAATCTGGCTACAGAGCATAAGCTCTTAACCATTATGTGTAGGGACTAAGGCCAAGAAACTATAAGAAGCAGCACAGCCCAAAAGACCCAGTAGCTTTGGGAGGGGAGTATTTAGTTTAGGAGTGAAAACTTTGCACACTTCAATAGCAACAGAAGAGAATACTATTTTAGAGTCCAGTAACCATAATAACAATAATTAATATTTTCAAGTGTTTACTGTGTCTAATACTTCTATGCTTTATAAATATTGGCCTATGAGTCTGACTTTATTAACACCTCCCCCCTGCTTTTCTTTTGAGATTGAGTATCCCTTTGTCACCACTGGAGTGCAGTGGTGCGATCTCAGCTCACTGCAACCTCCGCCCCCTGGGTTCAAGCGATTCTCCTGCTTCAGCCTCTCAAGTAGCTGGGATTACAGGTGCTCATTACCACGCCCAGCTAATCTTTGTATTTTTAGTAGAGACAAGGTTTTGCCATGTTGGCCAGGCTGGTCTTGAACTCGTGACCTCAGTTGATCCACCCGCTTTGGCCCCCCAAAGTGCTGGGATTACAGGCGTGAGCCACCACGCCCAGCCTATTATCCCTGTTTAACAGATGAGGAAAACAAGGTGCAAGTAGTCAAGTAGCTTGCTCAATGTCACAGAGCTTGTCAATGGCAGTTGAGATTTTATTCCAGATGATCTGGATCAATGTCTATGTATTTTTCCCATCATGCTAGGCTACCTCTCAGTAGAGTGAGAAGAAACATTTATAGTGTTGAACGTTAAGTCAAGGTCCTTGTGTTTTAAAAGATGGGAATTAAAAGAAGGGATGTGGGAAAGGAGAAAACCAGCGTGAACATAGATTTAAAGGTATGAAGATTCAGATTCCAGATCAGGAGGTCCATGAATGTGGCTGTATCTGGGATGGGGTTTGGGGTATGGAGGCCTCGGATGTTTGGCTTCAGCCTAAAATGGCAAAATGGCGCTAAAGTGAATGCTGAAATCTGCTATGGTTTGAATGTATATGTCCCTCCAAAATTCCCATGTTGAAACCTCACCACCAAGGTGATGGTATTAGAAGATGGGGGCCTCTCAGGCTGAGCGTGATGGCTCATGCCTGTAATCCCAGCATTTTGGTAGGCTGAGGCAGGCCAATCACTTGAGCTCACAAGTTTGAGACCACCCTGGGCAACATGGCAAAACCCCATCTCTACAAAAAATACAAAAATTAGCCAGATGTGATGGCATACACCTGTAGTCCCTGTTACTCGGGAGGCTGAGGTGGGAGGATCACTTGAGCCTGGGAGGTGGAGGTTGCAGTGAGCGGAGATCATACCACTGCACTCCAGCCTGGGTGATAGAGCCAGACCTTGTATTAAAAAAAAAAAAGAAGAAAGAAAAATGGGGCCTCTGGGAGATGATTAGGCCATTAGGGAGTCACTTCTGTGAATGAGATTAACATCTTTATAAAGGGAAGCATCAGAGAGCTGACCCTTTCTTCTGTCTCTTCTGCCATGTAAGAACACAGCATTTGCTTCTTCCATGATGTGAGGGTGCAGCAACAAGGTGCCATGTTGGAAACAACCAGCAGCCCTCACCAAACACTGAAGCTGCCAGTGCCTTGTTCTTGGACTTCCCAGTCTCCAGAACTATGAGGAAATAAACCTCTATTCTTTATAAATTACCCAGTCTCAGGTATTTTGTCATAGCAACAAAAATGGACCAAGACAACATTCAAGGTAAAAGTTGGAGCCTTATTCTATTGGTTTAGAAGAGCCTAAGTTTTTTGAGCAGAAGGATAAAGAGATTATATTATGTATGTTAGAAAGAGCTCCCTGAGAGTGCAGAGCACACATGGGGACAGGAAGGAAGTGGAGCAGGGAGACTGGCCAGATGACACTGACATTGTCAGAGGGAAGAGTATGGGAAGGATTTGAGAAACGTTTCAGAGGTGGAAAGGTTTGGCTCAGGAAGTGCCTGGATTTAGGGATAAGAAAGAGAAAGGAGGTGAAAGTGAAGGTAAGATTCTAGTTGGGGCACTAGGTGGTTGGTGAATCTGGGAAAGGAATAATGCAAAAGACACTCATTACGATTGTAATAAAAAATAAAAACAATACAACTTATCTTTTGAACATGATCATATGGAGTAAAATTCTCCAATTCTGGTAATTAGGATCCCTAGAAGAAACCTACTTTTATCAAAGACCTAAAAATATGCTTTTACAAAAATGTGTGTGCATTAATCTTGGATCATGTTGTCGTGTGCCTTCTTTTTAACTACAACATATTGTATGCATCTTTCCAAACCAATTCATATAAATTTACAACAGTATTAATGGCTGTATAGTATTCTACTGTGTGGATGGTATGAAGATTCATGTAGCTGGCTATTGACAGAACTTTGGGTTGTTTTTCATTTTTTTTCTTTCTGTTATTACCATCAAAGCAAGAAATGACTTTGTATATCTTTGGCTTTTTAGTGCTAGTCAATTTATAAGGGTAAAACTTTTAGAGTAGCATTGCTGGGTCAAAGGCTAAGCACATTTAAAATTTTGATAAGTTCTTCCAAATTGCCAGAAGGCCAGATTTTTAGGATAGGGTAATGAGTTCTGTTTCGGTCAAGTAAGGTCCAGGTGCCAAAGGCCTAAGGTCACTATGAATACCCCCAAATCAATTAGTAACACAGGTTGCAACTCTGAAGAGAAGTAACAACAGGAGAGGTGCCAGAATCAGAGGTATGAGAACCCTAAAGCTCATAATGATTTAAGATAAATAAACTATGCTTCAAATGTAAATACAGCTACACTAGACACATTAATTATCAAAGGTTCTCAATGTACTGTGAAAGTGTATATACAACACATAAAAACACAATCCCATCTCAACTTTACCATAAAACTAATACGTTAGCTATGATAAATATTAATTACACATTCATATAATAATCTTTTTTTGCTTCCTTAAATTTGGAAGTGCTTTTGGAGGATGATTTGAATTCCTTAGATTTCTTAAAAGCATTTACAAGTGTCGGTGCCCTTCAGCTAAAGACCACTAGGTGCACGCTGGCAGCCGAACAAGTTGGGGTCATTACTCATTGCAGTGAGGGAGAACTGGCGCCATCGAACCTGTAGGACATCTTGGTAGGAGGGAGTGAGGAAGGATTTATTACAAAATTTGGACTTTTTTTTTTTTGAGATGCAGTCTTGCTCTGTTGCCCAGGTTGGGGTACCATGTCATGATCTCAGCTCACTGCAACCTCCGCCTCCTGGGTTCAAGCGATTCTTCTGCCTCAGCCTCCCAAGTAGCTGGGATTACAGGTGTGCGCCACCACACTCAGCTAATTTTTGTATTTTTAGTGGAGACAGGGTCTCACCATGTTGCCCAGGCTTCTCTCGAACTCCTGACCTCAGGTGATCTGCCCACCTCAGCCTCCCGAAATGTTGGGATTACAGGCATGAGCCACTGTGCCTGGCCACGAAATTTGGACTTTGACTGGGGAGTCTGGGTGAGGGGTTAAAGAACTGGGGCTTTGGCCGGGCACAGTGGCTCATGCCTGTAATCCCAGCACTTTGGGAGGCTGACGTGGGTGGATCACCTGAGGTCAGGAGTTTGAGACCAGCCTGGCTAACATGGTGAAACCCGATTTCTATTAAAAATACAAAAATTAGCTCGGCATGGTGGCAGGTGCCTGTAATCCCAGCTACTCGGGAGGCTGAGGCAGGAGAATCGCTTGAACCTGGGAGGCAGAGGTTGCAGTGAGCTAAGATCGTGCCATTGCACTCCAGCCTGGGTGACAAGAGTGAAACTCCATCTCAAAAAAAAAAAAAAAAGAACTGGGGCTTTCCTCAGGATTGGATACTGATAGGAAGTGGGAGGAATTCTACGATTGGGCTTCTTAATAAATCTTATCTAAAGGGAGAAAAGACTAGAGCAAGCCTCAGCCTGTAATCAGTAAAGAAGTAGCAGCCACACATATTAGGCAGGATAGGCAATATTTGGTCATTTTTGTGATTTGGATGGCATTCATGTTTTGTCTGTGTCCAGATATGCTTCTTTATGTCTTGCTCCATCATGGTCTCAGAGTGGCCTTGTCCAATTTTTTAAAAAGTTTATGCCTTTTTGAGACAGGATCTCATTCTATTGCCCAGGCTAGACTACCGTGGCATAATTACCTCACTGCAGCCTCAACCACCTGGGCTCAGGTGATCCTCTCACCTCATCCTCCCAAGTAGCTGAGAATACAGTCATGTGCCACCATTTCAGGCTAATTTCTTTTTTTCTTTTCTTTTTTTGTAGAGATGGGATCTCGCTATGTTGTCCAGGCTGGTCTTAAACTCCTAGGCTCAAGCAATTCTCCCTCCTCAGCCTCCCAAAGTGCTGAGATTATAGGTGTAAGCCACCATGCCCAGCCCAAATGCTGATGTTCCATGAAATTGTTTATGTTCAACAGAAAAGCACCAAACCCAGGCTAGGACTATCAGTAGATCAGCTCATAGCAACACCAAAGACAAGCTGACAGAACCAGGTCAGTTCCTGGATGTCAAGGTGTCTTATCTCTTTCAAGGAAGTTTCCACTATCTTTAACTGGCTAGTCCCTACTGATCCATCATACTTCAGCTTTAGCCTCATTTCCTAAGGAGTCTTTCCTGATCCACCCTCCTCCCAACCCAAATAAATAGGCCAAGTCGTCTTGTTATACAGCCCTTAACAACTTCTGCTGCTTCTTTGCAGCACTCATCACAATTGTCATTGCTTAATTGTGCAATGAGTCATCTAACACCTGTCTCATCAGCGCACATGTAAACTCCAGAAGAGGAGGGAGTGTGTCCATCTTTTTCATTTCAGTATTCTCAGTGACTCACACAGCAATGAACACCAGGTTGATGCTCAAAATTAGAATTTGACGAGGGAATATCGGATGAACACAAGACAGTGAGCTTCTTGTGTTCACTTATTGTGCCCATTTATGTCTGTACTCGAGGGGCTATCACAGTGCTCGGCATATAGTAGGTGCTGAATAAATATTTGCACAATGGGTTGTGATAGCTAATTTTATGGATCAACTTGACTGGACCACAAGATGCCCATATAGCTGGTTAAACATTACTTCTGGGTATGTCTGTGAGGGTGTTTCTGGAAGAGATTAGCATTTGTTTTTAGTTATGAAATTATGGCAGTTTTTAATTACTTTTTATTTCAATAGGTTTTTGGGAAACAGGTGGTGTTTGGTTACATGGGTAAGTTCTTCAGTGGTGATTTCTGAGATGGTGTACTCATCACCCAAGTGGTGTACATTGTACCCAATGTGTAGTCTTTTATCCCTTATCCCCTCATCTGACCCTTTCCCCTGCATCCCCAAAGTCCATTGTATCATTCTTATGCCTTTGTGTCCTCATAGCTTAGCTCCCACTTACAAGTGAGAACATACGATGTTTGGTTTTCCATTCCTGCATTGCTTCACTTAGAATAATGGTCTCCAATTCCATGCAGGTTGCTACAAATGCCATTATTTCATTTCTTTTTATGGCTGAGTAGTATTCCATTGTATGTATATACAACATTATGTTTATCTACTTGTTGACTGATGGGCGTTTGGGCTGAATTGGTTGACTGAGTAAAGCAGATGGCCTTCCTCAAAGTGGGTAGGTATCCTCTAATCCATGAGGGCCTGAATAGAACAAGGAGACACAGGAAGGTTGAATTAAATCTGCCTGATGGCTTGAGTTGGGGCATTAATCTTCTGACGTCCATGCTCCTGGTTCTTAGACCTTCAGATCTACTGGAATGGATATCACTAGCTCTCTAGCTCTCAACTACACCATTAGCTTTCTGGGGTCTCTAGTTTGCAGATGGCAGCCCATGGGATTTCTTAGCCTCTATGATTGCAGGAGTCAATACCCTATAATAAATCTCTTCTGGGCCGGGCGCGGTGGCTCATGCCTGTAATCCCAGCACTTTGGGAGGCTGAGGTGGGTGGATCATGAGGTCAGGAGTTCGAGACCAGCCTGACTAACATGGTGAAACCCCATCTCTACTAAAAATACAAAAATTAGCTGAGCGTGGTGGATGTGCACCTGTAATCTCAGCTACTCAGGAGGCTGAGGCAGGAGAATTGCTTGAACCCGGGAGGCGGAGGTGCTGTGAGCCGAGATAGTGCCACTGCACTCCAGCCTGGGCGACAGAGGGAGATTCCGTCTGAAAAAAATAAAAAAATTAAAAAAAAAATAAATAACTCTCTTCCTATATATCTGCATCTGTATCTGTGTCGACATCTACCTATGTCTATGTCTATGTAAATATGTATATTTATATATCTACATACATATATGGATCTATATATAGATTATACATAGATATACAGAAATATAAAAGTGTGTGTATGTATTCTATTCATTCCGTTTCTCTGGAGAACTCTAAGATGTGGGTTAATGACCTAATTCTTTTCCATTCATTTAATTCTGTTCAAGAAATCATTCCAGTGGCTTCAGAGTCAAATAATTGAGTATATTCAGTGCAAATATGTTGGTGGCAGAGGCTTAGATGTGTAGAGAAGTTAGCTGAAAACCATTTTGAAAAGTAAGATTTGACCCAAATTTTCTCCACTTTGCCTCACATACCTTTTTATCTTATTGGAAGCTCTGCAGAGTCTCAGATCAAATAAAGGCCCTCAAGAAACCAGTGACAGCTATCAGAGCCCTGCACACTTCATTGGAAAGCACATAAACACAATTACTAGCTCATTAAGGACTAAAACAGAGGCTTTGAAGTAACATGTGTGGAATTGCTTAGTTAGGCATGAACAGTGTCCTACACATGGCAGCGCCTCCCTGCTGGAAGCCACCTAGGAAAAGACAAAGGACTGTGGCAGGAATGAGGAAATCTGAAAATGCTAGGTTCTATTCACAATTCTAACACCCTTTAGCTGTTGCCCTTGGGCAATAAATTAATCTGGACTCTCTGGGCCTCAATTTCCTCACCTGTAAAATAGGGTATTGAGAACTGATTGCTGGCTGGGCGAGGTGGCTTGTGCCTGTAATCCCAGCACTTTGGGAGGCTGAGGCGGGCGGATCACCTGAAGTCAGGAGTTTGAGACCAGCCTGGCCAACATGGTGAAACCCCGTCTCTACTAAAAATACCGAAATTGGCCAGGCGTGGTGGCTCACGCCTGTAATCCCAGCACTTTGGGAGGCCGCGGCAGGCGGATCACAAGGTCAGGAGTTCGAGACCAGCCTGGCCAACATGGTAAAACCCCGTCTTTACCAAAAAAATACAAAAATTAGCCAGGCGTGGTGGCAGGCGCCTGTAATCCCAGCTACTTGGGAGACTGAGGCAGCAGAATTGCTTGAACCCGGGAGGCGGAGGTTGCAGTGAGCCGAGATTATGCCACTGTACTCCAGCCTAGGCAACAGAGTGAGACTCTGTCTCAAAAAACAAACAAACAAAATTAGCCAGGCATGGAGGCCCACACCTGTAGTCCCAGCTGCTCAGGAGGCTGAGGCATGAGAATTGTTTGAACCCTGGAGGCGGAGGTTGCAGTGAGCCGAGATTGTGCCACTGCACTCCACCCTGGACAACAGAGTGAGATTTGATATTAAAAAAAAAAACAAACAAAAAACTGATTGCATTAATGCCTTAATTATTTACCCTTTGTATTAGTTTGCTAGGCTGACATAACAAAGTACCATAGACCTGGTGGCTTAAACAACAGAAACTTATTATATTAGTGTTCTGGACGCTGGAAATAGGAGATCAAGATATCAGCAGGGTTGGTTCCTTCTGGAGGCCCTACAGGAAGGATCTGTTCCAGACCTTTCTCCTTGGGCTTACAGATGGTTGTTTTCTGCTGTGTTTTCATATCATTTTCCTTCTATGTGTGTCTGTGTCCAAATTTTTTTTTTTTTTTTTGAGATGGAGTCTCTCTGTCTTGCCCAGGTTGGAGTGCAGTGGTGCAATCTCGGCTCACTGCAGTCTCCACCTCCTGGATTTAAGCTATTCTCCTGTCTCAGCCTGCCGAGTAGCTGGGATTACAGTGTGTGCCTCCACACCTGGCGAATTTTGTATTTTCAGTAGAGACGGAGATTCACCATGTTGGCCAGGCTGGTCTGGAACTCCTGACCTCAGGTGATCCACCCACCTCGGCCTCCCAAAGTTCTGGGATTACTGGTATGAGTCACTGTGTCTGGCCCCAAATTTCTTTTTCTTATAAGGACACCAGTCACACTGGATTGGGGCCCACTCTAATGACCTTATCTTAACTTGGTTACTTTTGTAAAAACCTTATCTCCAAATACTTTCACATTCTGAGATTCCAGGGGTTAGGACTTCAACCTGTGAATTTTGGGAGGGACACAGTTCAACCCATAACACCTCTCCCATCTCCAGAGCCTTTGCAGTTCCTTTCATAAAAGAGGTGGAGCCGATTTCCCCATCCTTTGAATTTGTGTTGGACTTGTGACTTGCCTTGGCCAATGGGATATCAGCAGAGGTGGGGCAAACAGAAGCCTGAAAAAGTGCTTGTAAATTTCTGCTTTCACTCCAGTTCCTCTGCAATTGCCATGGGAAAATTACCAGGCTAGCATGTCAGACGGTGAGAGGCCAGTCTTGTGGAGCCAAGTTGTCCCAGTCATGATCCAAGCTAGGGCCATCCTAGATCAGCCAACAGCTAGACAACCACCAGACATGTGAGTGATTCAATCAAGATCAGCAGAGCTGCCTGGAGAGGCTGCAGTTAACCACATATGTGTGAGCAAGGCAGCAAGATCAGATAAGCCCAGATCAGCTGAAACCCATGTAAATGTGTACTGTGCTGTACCCTGATGATTTTGTGTTGTTTTGCAGCATTATTGGGGGCAATATATGACTAATACAGGATTAGCAATACTTACTGAGTTGTGAGGACCTGTAAGAAAGGTCACAGCACTTTTAGTAAGTGTTAAATGAATTATGGCCATGGTATTACAATATTTCACAAATTCTTGAGTACTCTGTAGAAATAATGAGTCACCAATATACAATAACACGCTATGTAGCAATAATGATAAGGCGGTTAGAATGAACCAAGCTAACAAATTGGGCACAGGCTATAATGTATAAATCTGAGCCTAGACTCATGCACATAAACCATTAATAGTATTAAATGTTGGCTCTGTGCAGATTCTTAGGGACCACTTTGAGAAAACAAGGCTCAAGGAAACAAAATGACTTGCTCCAGGCCACATAGGTAGTAAGTGGCAGAGCTTTCACCAGAGTTTGAGATACTCATAATTTGCCTAACATGGGAAACATGGTGTCTGGGTCCATTTGGCAGTATTATAACAAGACCACAGGCTGGCTAATTTATAAAGAAAAGAAATCTATTTCTTAGTTCTGAAGGCTGGGAAGTCCAAGGCTGAGGGATTGTATCTGGTGAGAACCTTCTTGTTGCCTCATAACATGGCAGAGGGCATCACATGGTGAGAGGGCAGGAGTATGCGGGTCAGCTCAGGCCTCTCCTCCTCTTCTCATAAAGCCACCAGTCCCATCATGGGGGTTGAGTATATAAGCATAAATACTCCACTGCCATTTTCCAGTTGCCCAAATCAGAAGCTAAACAATGTATTTCCAAAGCTCACAGTTATTTCCAGCCACCATCTATTCATTCATCTATTCCTTTGGTTACTTTTTTTTTTTTTTTTTTTGAGATGGAGTCTTGTTCTGTCACCCAGGCTGGAGTGTAGTGGTACAATCTTGGCTCACTGCAACCTCTGCCTCCCAGGTTCAAGTGATTCTCTTGCCTCAGCCTCCCGAGTAGCTGGGATTACAGGCGTGCACCACCACACCTGGCTAATTTTTGTATTTTTAGTAGAGATGGGGTTTCACCGTGTTGGCTAGGCTGGTCTTCAACTCCTGACCTCAGGTGATCTGCCCGCCTCGGCCTCCTGAAGTGCTGGGATTACAGGCATGAGCCACCATGCTCGGCCCTGTTGGTTACTTTTTATTCTTCCCTATGGGTCAGGCTCTGTATGACTACACTAAACCCATGGGTGGACACCAATCATTCTG
The DNA here is from genome assembly GCF_000001405.40 of Homo sapiens. Classification (NCBI taxonomy): domain Eukaryota; kingdom Metazoa; phylum Chordata; class Mammalia; order Primates; family Hominidae; genus Homo; species Homo sapiens. Next base: position 118,469,154 of record NC_000012.12, read on the forward strand.
CTTCATCAATCATGATAATGGCACACAATTACATAAAGCTTATTAGATGCCGATACTGTCCTAAATGCTTTACACGTATTAACTCATTTAGTCTTCACAAAAACCCTATGAGGTATGTAGCATTATTACCCCCTTTTACACATGAGGAAACCGAGGCACAAGGAGGTCACAGGAATGCATGAATATTAGGTGATAGAGCTGAGACTGGAATCCTGGCAGCTGGATCCAGAATTTGTCTTCTATGGAAAAATCCTCTCCCAAACCTCTCCTGGCATCACTATTGAAGGCGAAACCCTCCTGTGGAGCACTGTGGGGTGAGTTTGCGCTGCCACTCTTGAGTGTGCTGGGTGGCAACACTGATAGACACGTGAACGGAGGGTGCTTTCTTCATAATAATGCTACTTTATATCCCAGCCTGAAATCTGAATCCAGACCCCCCACTTTCCCCATGGACTTGATCAATCCCACAACCTTTTTTCTTTTTCTTTTTCTTTTTTTTTTTGAGATGGAGTCTCGTTCTGTCGCCCAGGCTGGAGTGCAATGGCACGATCTCAGCTCGCCACAACCTCCGCCTCCCGGATTCAAGCAATTCTCCTGCCTCAGCCTCCCAAGTAGCTGGGATTACAGGTCTGAGCCACTGTGCCCGGCCAACACCAGTGGTTCTTATAGGAGTAAGGCTGCCCCCCAGGACTCACTTCAGAGATGTCTGGGGACTATTTTGGTAGTTACAATGATGGGGAAGGTGTGATATTGGCATGATTTGCTTTAGGGGACCAAGAGAGCTAGACATATAGCAATGTCCAGGGAAGATCTGTCCTGTGTCCTGCTTGCCTTCCCAGTGTCCTGTCAAACATTCACATAGGTGAGAAATCTGTTTATAATCATCTGAGCCATTCTGCATATAAACATAGGGTATATTTGCATGGTTTTAGCATACTCTGCTTTTATTAGAATGCAACTTTCAGCGTACATGGAGAACGATTGTAGTTTACTTTGTCGCACGCTTTATCCACAGTTAGACACCATTTCGGAAAAGTGACATTATCAATAGCAAATGCTGTTCAAGCTAGTTGAGAAGCCTATACCACACCCCTGAATTGGCTTGCATTTTGTAACTGTTATGCACACAGTGGTGTTTGTTTAGGTGCTGATATGGTTTGGGTCTGTGTCCCCACCCAAATCTCATGTTGAGTTGGAATCCCCGATGTTTAAGGTGGGGCCTGGTGGGAGGTGATTGGATCACGGGGCTGGGTTTCTTATGAATGCTTTAGCACCATCTCCTTGATGCTGTCCTCATGATAATGACTGAGTCCTCGAGATGCGGTTGTTTAAAAGTGTGTAGCGCCTCCCCCACGCTCTCTTGTGCTTGCTTTTGACGTGTGAAGTGCCTGTTCCCACTCTGCCTTCTGCCATGAGTAAAAACTCCCTGAGGCCTCCCCAGAAGCGGATGTCATCATGCTTCCTATACAGCCTGCAGAACCATGAGCCAATTAAATCTCTTTTCTCTACAAATTACCCAGTCTCAGGTACTTCTTATAGCAGTGTGAGAACAAACTAATACAGGTGCTAACATCAGATAATCCCAGTGTCTTTTAGCATTTACATATAAAATTGATTTTTGAAAATGTTGGCTGGGCGCGGTGGCTCATGCCTGTAATCCCAGCACTTTGGGAGGTGGGGTGGGCGGATCATGAGGTCAGGAGCTCGAGATCAGCCTGGCCAACAGGGTGAAACCCCGTCTCTACTAAAAATACAAATATTAGCCAGGCGTGGTGGTGTGCGCCTGCAATCTCAGCTACTCAGGAGGCTGAGGCAGGAGATTCGCTTGAACCCGGGAGGCGAAGGTTGTAGTGAGCTGAGATTGTGCCATTCTACTCCAGCCTGGGTGACAGAGCAAGACTCCATCTCAAACAAAAAAAAAAAGAAAAAAAGAAAATGTTATATGTATATATATTTGCAGGTTATATTATCTCTGAATTTCATTTCAGCATACTAAAAGGCACATTACAATATATGTTATAAAAGGGCAGGTAAAATGGATCATAGCTTCCAATTCTTCATTCTCTCCCTTAATGAAATTATTAATACACATTAACACCCTTTGCTGTGTGACCTCGCAGTACCTCCCACTAGAGCTGGTGGAGACTATTTCTCTGCCTCATTGATTTTGGGCCTGGCCATGAGACTTGGCTTTAGCTAGTGGAATGAGGGCTAAGTGGAAATGTGACAGGCTTGAGCCTGGCCCTTAAGAGGCATCATGTCTTTCCATTAGTCCTCTTGCATTCCTGCTATTTGCTATGAGAAAAAAATGCTTTGGAAGGCTGTTGGTCTGAGGAGAATGGGAAGACCCTTGGAATAGACCAAAACCCACCCTGAAACCTGGTGTCAAGCCCATGGGATCCCAGATGAGCTCAGCAAAACCATAGCCAACCACAGACTCATGAGTAAAAAAAAAATATTCATTTTTGTAAGTCATTGAAGTATTGAGATTGTTACACACCAGAAACTGACTGATACAAAGGCTTATTGGATCTGATAGACTTGATAAGCATTACGTTTTGCTATTCCTTCTGTAAGTAAAGTGCTTAAGTCTTGGCACACTCCGAGTGAGTGCTTTATAATGCTTTATAAATAATTTCTTTGGTTAGCATATGGAATGGCTAAATGATATCCTGATACTGTGTTAAAGTAGATTATAGATACGTGGCTTTCAAATCCTTAGGTTTAGGGGCTCTGCCATTACCATTGAACCCTCCGACCACCAGGGTGAGTTTTGGTGGTTTGGGAGGTTGTAAATTCACAGAGCAGGCAGGTCAGAGATAATTGACGAGTTATCTTCCTTAAAAGGGGATGTGGCCCCGTGGAAACAACAAGTGCGTTCAGCTTTGTGACTGTGGATGATAATTATCAAATTATTAACCGGAGCGTTACGTGAAAGATTGATGATTCTTGCTCAATGTAATGTGTCCTTTAAATGCTAAATAATAAGTTAAATGCAAGGAATAAATAAGTTCAGTAGCTTATTTATGGGGTAATTAGGGGATATTTTCAGCCCATAAACTAGGGGCATCTGTAGAAGCCCAATGCTGTGGAGGAGAGAGAGCCCCAAATTAGAAATCAGGAGACCTGAATTCTCTGCCACCTGCCAGCTAGTAACCTCGAACAGGTTACATCATGGCTTTGAGCCCCAGTTTCTTCATTTGGAAAATTGTTTGGGGGAGGGAGTAATAAAATTACTCATCTCAGAGTGGTTGTGAGGAGTCAATGGCATGATTATATGTATGGTACTGAGCAAAGTGTCTGGCACATAATGAGTGGTTACAAAATGTTAACTATCATTATATCATCATATTTGAAATAAGACATTTGACCTGTTTAGTAAGAGATTTCCTACTTTATGTTTTCAGTCAATAAGTAATAGCTACAATTTGCAATTGACCATCAATGAATTCTTATTTTTTAAAACACCCTTTAATTGTCCTTTCCTACTTAAAAAATAATCAGAAACTTGGGTAAATAGAGACGAGAATAAAGAGAAAAATAAAAATTGCCCATCTAATCCCATCATGTAAATATAACCCCTGTTAACATTTTTATGTAGATTCTTAGTTGTTTTTTTTAACCCATGTATAGAATTTCCTTTTAAAACCTGAAATTGAAATCATGCTGTACACGCTGATTTGCCACCTGCTTTTGAGATGTTTCCAATGTCATTAAATATTCTCCTAACACATACTTGTTAATGGCTGCAGAGTAGGGTGTTTCTGAGAATATCGCCTAAGTGGAAGAGTTATTCGTAGAAGCCTACTTAGCCCATTCACTTAAATTATACTTTCAGACTTTCTGAAATCTTCATTTCAAATTGGTCTTAAATGGGCCAGGGCTTGGCTTTAAGATTCCTCTCCACCTCCTTGTTCCTCCTCCAGCTGCCCCCAAGCTCTCTGTCAAGTAGTTAATGATTGTACCAGGCACTTATTCAGTAGGGGAGCTCTCAGTGTAAAGGGTCTCTATGGTGAGCCATTTTGTAAAAGGGAAGAATGTCATTCAAATATTCACCCTCTAATTTCTCTGCTTGGCTGAGTTTTTTTTTCCCCCTGGAAACTGAGTTCTTTCTTAAAGTAAGGTCCATCTACAGGTAAAACATTCCCTTCCCTATTAGCCTTTTTTTTTTGAGACAAGGTCTTGCTGTGTTGCCCAAGCTGGAGTGCAGTGGCATGACCACAGCTCACTGTAGCCTCAACCTCCCAGGCTCAAGTGATCCTCCTATCTCATCCTCTTAAGTAAATGGGATCACAGGTGTGTGCCACCATGCCCAGCTAAATTTTAATTTTTTTGTAGAGATGGGGTCTTGCTGTATTTCCAAGGCTGGTCTCAAACTCTTGGGCTCAAGAGTCCTCTTACCTTGGCCTCCCAGAGTGCTGGGATTACAGGCATGAGCCACCATGCCTGGCCCCTATTATCCTTCTTAAACCACTTTACTTGATGCCAGGTAGCACTTTTTCTCTGAATAACAAGAAATACATTTTTCTGTCCCCTCTGCCACCCATGATCCTGGTTTATTGACTCCTACTGGTAGTAGGAGAGTCAAGATGGGTTTAAATGATCTGTACATAACTGTTAAAAAATTAATAGTTATGTACTTATATGTGTTAGAAATATATATATCTGTATCTATATCTATCTATCTATCTATCTATCTGTCTATCTATCTATCTATCTATCTAATCTATATATATCTTGTAACTCAAACCTGAGATGTCATGGATATTATTGCTTAGGGTGAGGTAGAATTTATTTAAGCACAAAAATCACTTATGTAAGAATAGTGCAGCAACAAGTCAGAGATGGGATGGGAGTTAGACATTTGGTGAATCTGATGATTACCATTTTGCACCTGTCATTTGGTAATTGACACTGGGTAAATGTTGTCCTTGTTCAAGCCATCATCATCTGCCTGGACTTCTAAAGCCTCCTCCTACCAGGTCTTTCTGCTTTGATTCCTGCCCTCCTCCAACCCACTCTCCACACAGCAGCCAAAGTGATATTTTCAAAACATAAGTTGAATAACTCTTCTCATTCACGTCTGTAAAGGGCTTCCCATTTTTCTTGAGCTAAAAATCAAGACTCTTAATATTTGATTCTAACAACAAGGCTGTGAGTTAGGTATTAATATCTTTATTTTACAGATGAAGAAACTGAAGTTCACAAAGGGTAAGTGACAGGCTCAAGGTCACACAGCTAATAGGAAGTAGAAGAAGAATTCAAACCCAGGTCTTGTGATTCTAGGTTTCTGTTTATTATACCTATGCCATCTTCTGAAGCCACCCCCTAGTGCATGTAACTGCAAGATGTCCTTTTCCCGGGCAATTATAAGAAAACAGCAGTGGCTCATGCCTATTATTCCAGCACTTTGGGAGGCCGAGGTGGGTGGATCACTGAGGTCGGGAGTTCGAGACCAGCCTGACCAACATGGAGAAACCCTGTCTCTACTTAAAATACAAAATTAGCCCGGCGTGGTGGCACATGCCTGTAATCCCAGCTACTCAGGAGGCTGAGGTAGGAGAATTGCTTGAACCTGGGAGGAGGAGGTTGTGGTGAGCCAGGATCACGCAATTGCACTCCAGCCTGGGCAACAAGAGCAAAACTCCATCTCAAAAAAAGAAAAGGAAAGAAAAGAAAACAAAACATGTATGTCAATTGGTAGTGTTTGGTTGGAAGTCAGAAGAAACACAACTCAAATTAGCTTAAGCAAAAGAGGGACTTTTTTTGGCTCCGGTAGCTGAAAAGTCAGAGTTAGGACAGTTTTCAGGCATGGCTGGATCCAGTGGCCTAAGTGACATTGTCAAGATGCATTGTCTCTGCCTCTTCATCTTCACCTCTTTGTTCTGCCTTTTATGAGTTAACTCCATTGACAGACAAATTTTCTCTTTATAGGCTTACAATGACTTCTATCAATTCCCAAGAATACACCCTTTTAGATCTACATCCAAAAGGAAGGAGTAAGATAGTCTGTCCCAACATTCTCAGTAAAAGTCTCGTTGCATCTCATGGACTCTAATAATTATTCCTGAACCAGTGGTTTTGATCAGAAAAATTGAGCGTTGATTGGCTTGAGCCAATCACAGGATTTTATCCTGGGCTAGGGATGGAGGCCCACCTATAGGTGGTAGGAATACCGTCTAATTCAGGATATTTGCCAGGAGAAGGGTGAATGGATGCAGGTTGGCAAACACTACAGATGTCCAATACCCAAAGAAAACAAACAAACAAACAAATAAATAAGACATCCAACACCTTGGTCCTTCCTAGGAACATGACCCTGAGCAGTGGTGTGGAAAATTCAAAGACTTGTGCAGGAAAGTGGAGAACTAGGTAGGAAAGGGGAGAAGTGAGTGGGCTTTGTACATCTGGGGGATGGCCACGTGGATGATGGTGAGTAGCCACTTTGGGTGATGGGGGTTATGGTTCTGGGCAGAAGCAATACTTGGCTCCCCACTTACCCTCTCTTTCCTTTGAGGCTCCTGTAGTGGTCAGATCCCAGGTTCAGGTGCTCAGGTCGAGTGCAAACAACAGTTCAGACTTAGGGGAAGTAGAGGGAAGCTGGTATTCCATTTCATTCACAGAGATCCTTTTTTATTCCTTTAAAATAAACACTTATTGCTCTTTTATAATTACAAAGATAAAGCATGTTCATAAAAAGGGAAATGCAGAAAATGCTTGGTAGGTACACAATAATTATGAGGTTATTAGAGGAATAAACATTAAAATGACCTATAATTTTATACCTCAGAGGGAACCCTTTAATATTTTGTTTTACGGTCATTCTGACATTTTTCTATCCATGTAAATGTATTAGTTGTATATAATGCACATGAATACACACATATTTTAAAGCAAAGATTTGGATCTTGTATATAAACTCTTTTTTAAAACATTTCTATTTTTTTTTTATGAGATTAGTTGTTTCTCTGCTGCCCTGGCTTAAGAGCAGTGGCATGATCATAGTTCACTGCAGCCTTGAACTTCTGGGCTCAAGTGATTCTCCTGCCTTAGCCTCCAGAGTAGCTAAGATTACAGGCATGAGCTACTATGCCTGACAATGCTGTTTACATTTGTTTTTATTTTTCTGCTTAATATATCATTGGTATTTTCCTATTCATTAAATGGTTTTGGAAAAATAGGAGTTTTAATGACTTTATAGTGTTCCGATGTATGTATGTAGCATAATTCACTTAACCAATGCCCTATTATTGGATGTCTGAAAATTTCCCATATTTTAAATAATATTGAGACAAACATCCATATGCACAAACACAGCTCTATTAATTTCTCTGCAGCATATTTTTAAAGTGTGTAATACATATCCCCAGTTTGTATGAAAACCTTAAACTGTATTTTTATTAAAACATCCTTATATATTGTTTAAAATATTCTAAAGATACAAGGGGGTATTATATAAATAGTGAAAGAGCCTAGTCACTCCTGCTTATTACTAATATGTTCTTTCAGACACTTTTTTTTTTTTTTTTGAGATGGAGTCTCGCTGTCACCCAGGCTGGAGTGCAGTAGCGCAATGTCGGCTCACTACAACCTCTGCCACCCAGGTTCAAGCGATCCTCCCACCTCAGCCTCCCAAGTAGCTGGGATTACAGGCACGCTCTACCACGCCTGGCTATTTTTTGTATTTTAGTAGAGACAGGGTTTCATCATATTGTCTGGGCTGGTCTCAAACTCCTGGCCTCAAGTGATCTGGCTGCCTGGGCTTCCCAAAGTGTTGGGATTACAGGCGTGAGCCACCACCCCCGGCCCAGACCCTTTTCTATGTGTGCACACATCTCTGTATACACACAAACCTCCCTCCCTCCTCTACTGCCTTCCTCCCTTTCTTTCTCCTCTCCCTTCCTCTTCTCCCTCCTTCTCTCCTTCCTTCCCTCCCTTTCTTCCTTTCTTTTTCCTTCCCCCCTCTCCTCCTTTCTACATTCCTTCCTTCCACAGATTATTTCCAGACTGCCAGTCTTGTGCTAGACACCATGCCAGGACATTGGATTAGTGATTGTTTTTAGGAATTTTCAGAAGAAAGAGCTAATAACGGGCCAGGTGCGGTGGCTCATGCCTGTAATCCTAGCACTTTGGGAGGCCAAGGTGGGAGGATCACTTGAGGTCAGGAGTTCGAGACCAGCCTGGCCAACATGGTGAAACCCCGTCTCTACTAAAACTACAAAAATTAGCCAGGGTCGTGGGCCCCTGTAATCCCAGCTTCTCGGGAGGCTGAGGCAAGAGACTCACTTGAACCTGGGAGGCAGAGGTTGCAGTGAGCCAAGATTGTACCACTACACTCCAGCCTGGGCGACAGAACAAGACTCCATCTCAAAAAAAAAAAAAAGTAACCAAAGGAATAGACGAATGAATGGATGATGGTTGGAAATAACTGTGAGCTTTGGAAATATATTGTTTAGCTTCTGATTTGGGCAACTGGAAAATTTCAGTGGAGTATTTATGCTTTGAGGATCTTAAATAAGACACTTCATTGCCTTTAGCAGTGCTGCTTTAACAAGGTCTAACGACAATCTGATTTCATTTTCCTTATAAGTGACTTAGTCTTTTTGGTTCAGTGCTCAAAGTATTATTATTTAAAGTTTTTTTCTAAAAGAATGTTTCAGTGTTAACCATTCTGGGTTCAATTTTTTTTTTTTTTAATTATAGTCCTTAGTCTTTGTTCTGTTTCATTGTTTTGAATTTCTTCTTTAGGGACTTGTATAAATATCCTATACCTATCATTTTCTTGATTTCTTTTATGCTGTTTTGAAATGTTAGGTTATAGTTGTCTTTTTCCTTTCTTCCCTCTTTCATGGGCATGTATTTCTTGCATGCTTTTATCGTCTGTAAATTCTCTGATATCTCAGAATTTTGGATGAGATTTGACAGTGACACTTTTTGACTTGTTTTGTACTGAAGTGAGATTTCCTATACTTTTCTGTGGAGAAATCATACTAGGATAACTTATCAAACTTCCTGTCTCTAGAGATTCATCTTCAGTTGTTTTTACTAAGTAATCAAAAATATGGCCTAATACTTTCAGATGTGTTCTTTCACTACTTCCCTCTTCTGCTTGTGTCCGGACCTTCTCTTTCCTCTGCCCCACTGTCCTTGTCCTGTTTGAATTCTTCTCTTCACAGTTTCTCCTCAGTGCACGCCTTTTCCCTAGAAGGGAGCTTTGATTTGCTAGACTGGAGAATTTGCAAGGCGAGACCATCAGGCACTCAGACCTTATCTCCTGGTGGACCCCTTGCACTCACCTGTGAGCTGCAATCTGCAGACTCCTCCCCATTTCAGCTGATGCTCTCGGGTTGGGCTGCCTTGCTTTCTTATGAGCATCAGCTGGTGGTTTGGTGATCTCAGGGGAGCCCTTTTTTCTACTCCCTATTTCGTCTTGCAAAGATGCTGATACTCTTATTAGAAAGGGGTCCTAATCCAGACCCCAAGAGAGGGTTTCTGGATCTTGCACAATAAAGAATTCAGGGGGAGTCCATAAAGTGAAAGCAAGTTCATTAAGAAGGTAGAGGAAAAAAAACAATGGCTACTCCATAGACAGAGCAGCCCTGAGGGCTACGGTTGCCCATTTTTATGGTTATTTCTTGATGATATGCTAAATAAGGGGTGGGTTATTCATGCTTCCCCTTTGTAGACCATATAGGGTAACTTCCTGATGTTGCCATGGCATTTGTAAACTGTCATGGAGCTGGTGGGAGTGTAGCAGTGAGGATGACCAGAGGTCACTCTCGTCACTGTCTTGGCTTTGTTGGGTTTTGGCCGGCTTCTTTACTGCAAACTGTTTTATCAGTGGGGTCTTTATGACCTTTATCTTGTGCCAACCTCCTATCTCATTCTGTGATTAAGAACGCCTTAACTTACTGGGAATGCAGCCCAGCAGGTCTTAGCCTTATTTTACCCAGCCCCTATTCAAGATGGAGTTGCTCTGGTTCAAATACCTCTGGCAATACCATGTGGGTCCAACAGCTGCAGATGGTTTGTTCCCATACACATATTTTGGGATTTGTGGGGACACTTTGTCACCCAGTTTTGTTGTAGATGGTGTCTGTGAAGTTCTGGTTTTGCAGTCTGTTTTTGGTCAAGTTCCCTGGAAGAGGAGTCTGAGATGAGGACTCGTGTGTGATTTTTTTTTTTTTTTTTTTTTTTTGAGCAGAGTCTTGTAATGTCACCTAGGCTGGAGTGCAGTGTTGTGATTTTGGCTCACTGCAACCTCTGCCTCCCAGGTTCAAGTGATTCTCCTGCCTCAGCCTCCTGAGTAGCTGAGACCACAGGCACACATCACCACTCCTGGCTAATTTTTGTATTTTTAGTAGCGATGGGATTTCACCATGTTGCCCAGGTTGGTCTTGCACTCCTGACCTCAGGTGATCCACCCACCTTGGCCTCCCAAAGTGCTGGGATTACAGGTGTGAGCCACCACACCCGGCTCCTTGTGTGTGGTTAACTGGGGGAGTGTTCTTAGGAGAAGAAGGAGGGATGCAGGAGAGAGCAGAGGAAAGAGCTAAGCAGAGAAGTGGTCTCAGCTGGAGAAGAGCATCAGCATGGCTTCAGGAAGGGCCCCGGTATGTGAGCTGCACTGCAGACTTGTCCTACCTTAGATAAGAGGGGTGGCCTTTTTATCCCATGTCCCTCAGTCATTGGCTATGGGCTGCTCCTGAGAGGTGTAATGTCCTGGACAAGAGACTGAAACAGTGTTTGCAAAATTATGACTGAGACAGTGAAAGAGATTTAACATAACCAACTCCATCTTGCTTCTAACCTTTAAGCTGTCCTTGTTCCTTCCTGGGCATAGGCTGAACTAACTTTGAGAGGAACTTAGTTTATAGTTTAAAACAAAGACAATAACAGCCCTTTCCCAAAACAAACCTTCTTCTTGCCTGGAGGCTAGACTGCCTTTGTAGGACTGAGAAATTAGCCACAAGATTAGAAATTATGATTTAGGAGTCATGCAGCTGGAGGCTACAAGATACTGACCTCCCGTAAACTGCTCCTTGTAAGGGGTAAAGAAAGAAGAAAGAAACACAAAAAGTGGCTCAACAGTCAAAGACAGGTTTATTTTGGAGAATAAACCTGTGAGGGGCTTCTCGACGATTTTGGTCAGGAGCATTCTCTTTTATAGACTAAGGGTATTTAAGGGTTCAGGGAGGGAGGGCTTATTGCAGGCTCGGAATGTTTCTGTGTGGAGGGGAGTTTTATTCTGGGATTGGAATGTCTTCTGGTTGGAGGGGAGGTTATCTTGGGTTTGGCATATTTCTGTTTGTGCTGGGGGTTTATCTCAGCGTTGGAATGTTCTGGTCAGAGGTGTCACTTGTGGTTTATGGTCATGCTGACATTAGCCATTAGGCTGATGTTTTGGGGCTGGATTTAGGTGGTTTTTAATCAAGGGGAACTTAAAATGATGGTGTTTGTCCAAGATGGTGATGCTCCTGCTCTGTCACTCCAGACCCTATAGTCATAAAAGGATGAGGGGTTGTGTGTTCTTTCAGGCTACTTCCTGCTGAGGGGAAGGGCAGAGAGTTTTCGGCTTTGAATTGACTATAGGAGTAACGCCACCTGTAGATGTTTCTGGGTAGTTGTTTGTGAGATGGCCATGATCCTGTTGGTTAAAAATCTTTGAAAAAGGTTACTCAGGGTAAGAACATTTGTCCTAGGCATATTATTAGGAGAGGGCCCAGGAATACGATGACCCATGTTATGATTTTGTTTCCAAACAAGAATCTATTTGGTCGTTTTGGTATTCCCTTAGCTTTTTAGCCCTTTCTTTAAGTTTTTAAGCAGTGTCTGTTACTAGGCCCAATTGGTTGAGATAGAAGCAACATTCTTCATTTTTCAGCCGTTATAAGATCTAGTCCCAATCTATTTTGGAGGACTATTCTAGCAAAGGAGTCTAGTTGGTCTTGGACTCTTATAAGGCTTTAGGCTATATCTTCTAAAGAACCCTATAGTTCTGTTGAAAGCACTTTAAAGTATGTTAAGGAGGTGACTAATCCAAGTCCGGAGGTTATACCTAAGGCAGCCGTCAAAGGAATGACATGGATGGCCCTCTTTTCTCTAACATATTGGATGGATGGAATAGGCAAAGGTTGATTAGGAGGAACTAGTCCAATGGAGGGAGAAAGATAAACTAGGGTATAGGTTATGGTCCAGTTGGTGGGGAGACAAAGATATGTGTTGGTGCCACACAAAAAGAACAAGGCTTTTTCATAAATACAGGCAGAGATATGGAAAGAAAACAAGTGAATTAAAGATGGGGTGTTTTTTCTTTCCTGTGGCCATTACTCCAGGTGGACAAGGAGAGGAGGCCAGGGAGACACCCACTATAGTAGAGATATAGGAAGAGTTATTTTTTACACATCTAATGCGATCAGATATTGCACCATTGATACCGAGCCATGGATAAAAGTGAGCACCAGGGACAGCACAAGTTAGGCTGGAGGCATTGGTTGAGGGAGAGGCCACAAAACGAGCCGGTTGCAGCAACGCTCTGTTTGCTTCAGGTGATACTTGGTAGTCAACCTGGTTAGTCTGATGGTCAGAGGGGTGTAGCGCAGTTGCATTGGCTAGGTGCTAAGGACCTTACAGGGAGATTTCCCTCAGAGGCTGAAAAGGAAAGTGAGGCTTGTTGTAAAAGGGGGCTATGTTTAGTTATGGGCCCTTCAATGGGAGGGCCTTGGGGCTCGAGGTGTTGTAGGGAGTTTTAATAGGTCTGAAATAATTTGTTGGCCTGATTGGCCCTGGAAGTGGGATAATCACCAACCAGAGTGTCAACTCTTTTAAAAAAGGAAACTCCTTTTTGGAGTTTATAAATTAGGGTTATGTTTCTGATTAAAAGGACATGAAGGGGTGTAGGAAGAGCTGTGTAAGCTAAGGAAGACAACAATAAGCACATCCAGCATTCTGGAGCAAAGGAAGAGTTAGTTTGCAGCAAGAGGGATCATGTAAGGTTTATAGAGCATTCTAGTTTGAGTGCAGTGAGGAGTGGTTGTATTGATGAGGTTAACATAATTAGGAAATTTGTATTGAAAGAAACAAGCAAAAAGAGAAAAAAGTTACTTGGGTAACTTCAAGTCCTGGAAAGTTCCTTGAAGCCATAGGTCCCATAGAACAGTAAGGAGTTGCTCAGGATGTGTAATGGGAGTTTCGTAAGGGTACCACTGGAGGTCTGTAACAAGGTTGGTTAGGAAGTGATGAAAGTTTGGGAGAGAAAGAGACATAAGTGGCTTACGTGGATTTGTCTTCTTTTTCCTCCAGGATTCAGGTGAGGTGAAGGGAAGTGGGTCCTGTGGAGACACAGGAGAAGGCTGAAGGGGTCTTATATTTGGTTGTTTGGGTATGTGGTGATTGCAAGTTTGTTTTCTTGTGAGAAGTGTAATGAAACCAGTTGGGGGGGTCCCTGGAGTTCTGCTGCCATGGTGTGGTAAGGATGATTTGGTAAGGTCCCTTCCATTTAGGTGTGAGGGGGAAATTGGGGCTAGGACTGGGATTTCTTACCAGAACCCAGTCGCCTGGCTGTAGGAAGGGATTAGAGGAGTCAGTGACAGGTTGTGGCATGGTATATAGACAGGTGGATGGTATATAGAAGAGGGGAAATGAGAAGGGTTGGTAGAGGTGGGGCTTGACCCTGAGGTGGAACAAAAGGGGCGAGTGGTCTCCCATATATGAGTTCAAAGGGGCTGAGCATTGGCCAGACACAGTGGCCCACGCCTGTGATCCCAGAACTTTGGGAGGCCAAGGCGGGCAGATCACGAGGTCAGGAGATTGAGACCAGCCCGGCTAACACCGTGAAACCCTGCTTCAACTAAAAATACAAAAAATTAGCTGGGCGTGGTGGCATGCGCCTGTAGTCCCAGCTACTTGGGAGGCTGAGGTAGGAGAATCGCTTGAACCCAGGAGGTGGAGGTTGCAGTGAGCCAAGATCATGCCACTGCACTTCAGCCTGGGCGACAGAGCGAGACTCCATCTCAGAAAAAAATGGGGGGCCGACCATTAAAGGTTTATATGGGAGCACCCAAATTTTTAGAAGGGCCAAAGGTAAAAGTGTAATCCAGTCTTTATGTGTTTGGCGTGAGACCTGGTGAGGGTGTTTTTTAGAATACCATTCATTTTCTCAACCTTTCCTGAAGATTGAGGTCAAGAGGGGATGTGTAGCTTCCAGGTGATTTGTAGGGCTTATGCAAGTGTTTGAGTAATTTGAGAAATGAATTCGGGACCATTATCAGATTGAAAAGAAACAGGTACCCCAAGCCTGGGGATGATTTCTTTTGTCAATTTGGTGGTGACAGTAGAAGCTCATTTGTTGGTTGTGGGAAAAGCCTTGACCCATCCTGGAAAAGTATCAACCAGAACTAAAAGAAATCGAACGTTTTTTACTGAGGGCATATGGATAAAATCAATTTGCCAATCCTGTCCTGGAAGGTATCCCCTAGCTTGGTGGGTTGGGAAAGAAGAGGGTCTTGTGTTGGAGTGGGGTGAAGCTTTCTGGCAAATAGAGCATTGATGGGAAATGGCTTTCAACTATTTCTTTATATCTGGGGTTATGTGTATATGGGAACTTAAGAAATGTTGTAGAGGGAGGGGAATGGCTAGCGTGGAAGAGGTTGTGAATGTCTCATAAAATATATATATATATTTTTTAGGGTCAGGTAGGACTAATTTGTTTGGTATAAACCAGTATGAGGGTTTGAATTGTGCCCCCACCATGATTAGTTGTTGTATTTGGTGTTCTGGATAAAAGGAGGGCATATGTTGTATGAGGGGAAATAGGTATTGGGGAATTGGGTGATTGATTGGTTGAGGCATGTTTTGCCCAATAGTCAGCCTCACGGTTTCCTAAAGAAACGTGGCTTTTATCTGATTGATACCCTTTGCAATGGATAAATGCAACCTTTTCTGGAAGTAAAGCTGCCTTTAGTAGATGATGGATTGGTTTTCCATTAATGATAGGAGTTCCCTTAGCTGTGAGATAGTCCCACTCACTCCAAATTTGGGCATTGGAATGGATGATGTTATAGGCATATTTAGAATTGGTGTATATATTAACCTGTGGGGTTTTTTTTGCTAGTATTAGTGCTCTTATTAGGGCAATTCATTCTGGTTGTTGGGAAGATGTGCCTAAAGGCAACGGTGCAGTCTCTACAACTCTTCTAGGTGGGAGAGAGTGGGTATCATCATGATATCCCTCAATAATGGCATATTCTGCTTGGAGGGGAGGGTGTTTTGATGCATTGCCATCTATAAATCAATCTGGGGCTCCCTTTATGTGAGTGGAAGTAAGGTAGTGAAACATGGTGAGAGAACTCTCAATTAGATCAGAGCATGAGTGTTGGTCAGGGTCCAAAATTGATGTTGAAGGTAAAAGAGTGGCAGGATTGGCAGGGGGGCATCTGTGAAGAGAGATAGAGGGCTGAAGGAGAGTTGAATGTAGGGCTTGCATGCGAGAGGATGAGATGGAGGTGAGCGCCTTATGGATGAGCATATTTTGTAGACTGTGAGAAGAAAATACCTGAAGGGGTTCATAGAACATGAGTTTTTGTGCATCAGGGATAATTAGAGAGGCTGTGGCCAAAATTTTTAAGCAAAGGGGCCAGCTTTTGTAAATGGGATCTAGTAGTTTTGAAAAATATGCCACTGGTTGGAGGGAATCTCCTGCGTGTTGGGTTAATAGTCCAAGGGCCAGATTATGAGAACTATGTGAATATCGATGAAAAGGTCTTAGGGGGTTTGGAAGTCCTAAAGCAGGGGCCTGTAATAAGGCACATTTTAGGTGAGAGAAAGCATGACAAAGGTCTGGGGTGGGAGTGAGTCATTGGTCAAGAGTTCCTTTTGTGTGTTCATAAAGGGGTTAGTGATAATGGCAAATTTGCTATCCATAATTGGAAATATCCCACTAATCTGAGAAAAGAAAGTCAGTCTCTTTTTGTCTTGGGAAATGGAATTTGTTGAATGCCTTGCTTTCTTGCCGGTGGATTTTCTTGAGTATTTGGAGTTATGATTAATCCTAAGTATAAGACTTTTGGAGAGGTTAATTGGGCCTTCCTTTTGGATACCCAGTACCCACATTCAGCCAAAAAATTTAAAAGCTTGGTGATGTGTTGAATACAATGTTCTAGAGAGGGGCTACAAAGGAGTAAATCATCCACATATTGAAGCACAATGTTAGGTTGTAGAGGTAGTTGTGAAAGTTTCAATAGAAGTGCCTGACCAAAACAGTGAGGGCTGTTCCTAAACCCCTGGGAGAGGGCAGTCCAGGTGAGATGTTGGGAGTAGCCTGTGTTAGGTCAGTCCAAGTGAAAGCCAAAAGGTTTTGAGAGGAGGGTTGTAGAGGTGTAGTAAAAAAGACATCCTTAAAAGAAAAGAAAAAAAGCCATCTTTGAGGTTAAATACAGAGAAATGGCTGGGGTTGGGAGGAATTCACGATAGGAGGGTGTAAGGGTTTGGGACAACAGGACAAACAGGAAAAATAGCGGAGCTGATTTGTCACAAATCTTGAACCAGTCTATAGGAGCCATCTGGTTTTTTAACTGGGAGAATAGTAGTATTGTGGGGAGAATGCATGGGGATTAAAATACTGGCAGCCAAAAGTCGGGAGATGATGGGCTTGGGTCCCCATAATCCATTAGGGTTGAGGGGATATTGTGGGACCTCTATATAGCGTTTAGGATCTTTCAGTGAAATTTGAATTGGAGAATGGTTGGTAGCTACCATGGAGCAGTCAGTGTTCCATACTATGGGTTTTACTTGGCTGAGGAATTTGGGACTTAAGTCTGTTTGATGTCAAGTGTTTGAGGAAGGGTCCTGTTCTTGACATAATAATAAATAAGGGTGGCTTTGGTGTAGGGCTGATAAATGAATGATTTCTCCCAGGTTGTGTAGGATGTCCCCTCCTAGTAAAGGAGTGGGGCAATGAGGAATTACCAAGAAAGAGTGAGTGAAGGTGACTCCCTGAAATGTGCAGTGTAGAGGTGGTGTTTTGTATGGGGTTTCTTGTATGCCCTTCGTGTCAAGAACAGAAACAGAAGAATGTTCTAATGGGCCTTGATATTCAGTTAATACTGATAGGCTTGCCCCAGTATCCAAAAGAAAGGAAATAATCTTACTGGATACCATCCCAATTACCCTGGGTTCCATGGACTCACTAGATGTAGGAGTGAAGAATCCTGGGCACCCTCAGTCTTCCATTGTCGGCACCAGCAGTGAAGAGATTTCCTTCTGTGATGGTCAGGGGGCTTCATTATGAGACACATCCAAATGGGGAAGGTGTCCCTGTTGGGGGCAGTCCATTTTCCGTGTCCCCAAAGGCAAGTTGGGCATGGTTTAGTCGGGGGCCAGGGGTTAGGACAAGACTTTGACCAGTGTCCAGGGTTGTCACATCAGAAACATATTTCCGGAGAGGTGGGGGAGTTTCCTTTTGGGTTACTGGGGGGCTTTTATGTAACTGACTTTTGGACAGCAGAGGCAAGCATCTGGTATTTTAAATGGAGATGTTTGTCTTTTTGAATTTTTTGTTCCTCATCTCTGTTGTTAAAGACATGGAAGGCTGCATTTAGAAGGCCCACTGAGATGTCTTGGGACCCTCCTCTAATTTTGGTAATTTTTTTGTTTTTTTGAGATGGAGTCTTTCTCTGTCACCCAGGCTGGGGTGCAGTGGTGTGATCTTGGCTCACTGCAACCTCCGCCTCCTGGGTTCAAGAAATTCTCTTGCCTCAGCCTCCCAAGTAGCTGGGACTACAGGCACATACCACCATGCCTGGCTAATTTTTGTATTTTAGCAGCGATGGGGTTTCACTGTGTTGCCCAGGCTAGTTGCGAACTCCTGAACTCAGTCAATCTGCCCACTTCTGCCTCCCAAAGTGCTGGGATTACAGGCATGAACCACCGCACCTGGCCTAAGTTTTGTAATTTCTTTTCCTGATTTCTGGGGCAGATTGAAATAAACTGAAGGTGGAGAAAAGTTTGATCTTCTTTAGATTCTGGGTACAAATTGGTATATTTTAACATAGCGTCAGTGAGGCATGATAAGAAAAGGGCAGGATTTTCCTGGGGCTCTTGTGTAATTTCTCTAAGTTTTTCATAGTTAACTGCCTTATGAGCACTTTTGTCCATGACAGCGAGCAGACAGGTAACCATGTGGTCTCTTCGGCTGATGCCATTGTCTCCCTGTTGGTAAGTCCAATCTGGGTCTCTACAGGGGACAGCACCATTGGCCACTGGATTTTGTATAGGGGCTTGATTATGGAGTTCATCTGCATGTGTTTCAGCTGAATGCCAGATGCACTCTTTTTCATCAGAAGTGAGGGTGGAGGTTAGAATTATATAAATGTCATACCAAGTTAAATTAAAGGATTGGGTTATGTGTAGAAATTCCCTGTGATAACGAGAAGGATTTTCAGAGAAAGATCTGAGACGTTGTTCAATCTGCAACAAATCAAACATGGAGAAAGGGCCATGAACTCAAGCAATGCCTTCAACCTCAGCTACTTCCTGGAGAGGGAGAATGGCAGAGGTGGTTTGACTAGCTGGAATAGTTTCTGAACGGGTAACAGGTGGAGAAGGACGTGGGTGTTGGGGCCAGAGGCTTGAGGGCAAGAGGGGCCAACAGGGAGAAGGGTTCAGATGGGCAAGGAGCAGATGCAGGGAGTTGAGTATACAGAAGGGGTCATCTGCAGGGTCAAAAGGGGTTTCCGAGGAAGAAAAGACCCAGAGAGGATTTTCATTAAGAAGAAGGATTTCATGAGGGATGCAAGCTTGACATAGGGATGGTTGGGATTTAAGGTAGAAGAAAGCCTGAATATAGAGAATCTCTTGCCATTTGCCATGCCTGGTTATAAAGATGTCAAGTCCCTGAGAATTTGAAAGTCAAAGGTGCCATTTTTGTGTCATCAGTTATCATTTTGTAATTTGTATTGGGGCCAGGCCATGTTGCAATAAAAAACTAAATGCTTTGGCTTTAGGCTCCCTCATAAGCCAAGTTTGGTGAGGTTACAAAGGAAACAGCCCAGTGGGGAGGACGTAGGAATGTAGGATTGTTTGGCACCCATGCAGACTGGTAAGAGGAGGCCAAGGGTGTCTGTTTTTGTTCCAGGCATCCCCAGACAAAAGACAGAGATCTGGCCTCCTCTTTCTAAAGAGAACATTTAAGCTGAGAAGAAACTGGGCATCCCCAAGATTTCTTCTAGCTGAGTCCCACTGGTCCTTCGAAGACTGGGATGGCAGACCTGACTTTCCCAGGTACCACAAGAAAGCCAGGGGAAGGCATCTTACCACACGGCTGGATTAGTGTCCAATGTTGGATGTTCTGGTTGGAATTGGCAAAGGGCCTCCTGGACTGGAGCTGTGTGAGGAAGAGAGAAAGAGAGAGAGGGGAGAGAGGAGAGAGAGGACAAGGGTCAGAGAGTGAAATACCCATTGCAGGTGGTCAGAGGTGGATTCCTGAGATCTGAGGGTTTTGAGAGCCCACTGGGGAGTAGCCCTGGCCCGAGCCTTGCAGTTCCCTTCAGATTAGTTGTCCTTTTCATACAAATTGCTCAAAAAAGTGAAATGAGAGAAGAGTGAAATGGTGGGTGGCCAGAGACCCTCAGGATCCAGGAGTTAGCTTGGGAGGAGCTGCTGCTGCCACTGCTTCCTGGGTTGCAAGAGAACCTGTACACCCAAATAGAGAGAGAAAGAGGACAGGGCATGTGGTCAGAGACCCTCAGGATCCAGGAGTTAGCCCAGGACAAGCTGCCACTGCCCACTGCTTCCTGGGTTGCAAGAGAGCCTCTGCCCCCAACACCTGGCCCAGGTTTTGGCACCAAATGTAAGAGTTAAAGAGAGAAGAAAGAAACACAAAAAGCAGCTCAACAGTCAAAGACAGGTTTATTTTGGAGAATAAAACTGAGAGGGGATTCTGGACGATTTTGGTCAGGAGCATTCTCTTTTACAGACTAAGGGTAATTAAGAGTTCAGGGAGGGAGGGCTTATCACAGGCTCAGAATGTTTCTGTGTGGAGGAGAGTTTTATAGTGGGGCTGAAATGTCTTCTGGTCGGAGGGGAGGTTATCTTGGGGCTGGCATATTTCTAGTCAGAGGCGAGGTTAATTTGGGGTTGGCATGTTTCTGGTCAAAGAGGGGGTTTATCTCAGGGTTGGAATATTTCTGGTGAGAGGTGTCACTTGTGGTTTGTGGTCATGCTAACATTAGCCATTAGGCTGATGTTTTTGGGCTGGATTTAGGTGATTTTTAATCAAGGGGAACTTAAAATGGTAGTGTTTGTCCAAGATGGTGATGCTCCTGCTCTGTCACTCCTAAGATCAGTGCTTGAGATATTTTGCAGACCCTGCACTTGATAGATCAACTGGCACCACACAGAATGATAAACTAGCTCATTTGATCTTGTAGCTCCCCCAACCCATGAACTGACTCAGCACAAGAGGACAGCTTCAACTTCCCATGATTTCATCACTGACCCAACCAATCACCACTCCTGGCTCACTGGCCTTCCCCTGCCCACCAAATTATCCTTAAAAACTCTGCTCCCTGAATACTGGGGTGGTGGGGAGACTGATTTGAGTAATAATAAGACTCTGGTCTCCCACACAGCCAGCTCTGCATGAATTACTCTTTCTCTATTGCAATTCTCCTGCTTTAAGAAATCAGCTCTGGACCAGGCACAGTGGCTCATGCCTGTAATCCCAGCACTTTCGGAGGCCAAGGTGGGCAGATCACTTGAGGTCAGGAGTTTAAGACCAGCCTGGCCAACATGGTAAAACCCCATCTCTACTAAAAATACAAAAAAAAAAAAATATATTAGCTGGGTGTGGCGGTGGATGCCTATAATCCTAGCTGCTCTGGAGGCTGAGGCAGGAGAATTGCTTGAACCCAGGAGGCGGAGGTTGCAGTGAGCCAAGATCGTGCCATTGCGCTCCAGCCTGGGTGACAGAGTGAGACTCCATCTCAAAAAAAAAAAAAAAAAAAAGAAAAGGAAAGAAAAAGAAATTGGCTCTGTCTAGGTAGCAGACAAGGTGAACCCATCGGGTGGTTACAGGACTCCCATTTAACTGAGAGCAAGTCTCTGGAGATGGGGCAGGTGTGAGCCATTAGTGTAGGGGATGGATGCTTGGTTACTACAGAGCATCTAGGGGGCATCAAGAGCATCCAATGCCATCTACTACGCTCTCTTAGTTATTCTCTCTGTTTTTATGGGGAGAATTGGGGCAAGCCTAGAACTGCCTTCATCACCTTTCCAGAATCTGAGTTTTCCTTTATGTGTGGTCTTTCTTTCTCTAGTAGGTACCCAATCCTTTCTTTTTCACAGAGTTTAGGTCTGAGAGAAACAGAATTCTACAATACAGGTGGAGTATCTTTCATCCAAAATGCTCGGGGCCAGAAGAGTTTCAGATATTGGGTATTTTCAGGTTTTGGAATATGTGCATTATACTTACAGGTTGATCATCCCTAATCTGAAAATCTGAAATCTGAAATGGTCCAAAATGTAAAACCTTTTAAGTACTGACATGATGCCTGCCCCCCAAAAATGCTAACTGGGGCATTTTGGATTTAGATTTTTGAATGAGGGATACTTGCCTGTAATAAGTTAAGAATTAAATAGCAATTTCCTTGAGGCAAGACTTTATGTCTCTTTAGTTTTGAGCCCCAGTGCCTTGCAGAGGGCATGTGATAGGTATAACTATTAATAGTTTATTGGATAGGTTTTTCTTGATGGGGTACTGTGAGGACAGAAGTCTACTGTTTGTGGACTTCTTGTCTCCTCTTCTTGGAAGAAATCTCTGACAGGTCCCATAGCTTCTGAGAACCATTCAAGTTACAAAGATGGGCTCTTTTTAGCAACCACAAAGCTGGGTCTGTTATCTCATTTAAATCTCCTCCTCCTCTCTTGGAAGGAGCTGGAGGAGGGAGCATGGGCAGATTTTTTTTTCTATTTCTTTCTTCATTGTAGGCTGCAGTGTTTGACACCTCAGGGTTGGAGGAGGGTGGGTGGAAGGGAGAGACTGGGGTAGGGGTGGGAGATAGCGGTGGTGAAGCTGTTCTGCAGCAGGTGCAGTAGCCATGTGAGATTTTTATCCTCTGGGTGGGGTGGAAGTCAAAGCTGACTCTTTCCCAGGGGATACTGGTGTGGGTTTTCAGGAGAGCCTCCCACTTGGATATGTGACTACAGAGCTCTTTCCACTTTCAGCCCTGACCCCTTGCTGCACCATGATCCCTTCACATCTCCAAGTGATATTCTTGGACAGGATGCCTTTAAGATGATGCCAGCCAGCTCCCTTCTATAGGAACCATATGAGAGTCCAGGAGACTCATTCCTTCATCCCCCCAACCCTCATTAGTGGAGCTGTTACATGAAAGAGACCCCAGTCCAGACCCCATGAGGGTTCTTATATCTCACTCAAGAAAGAATTCAGGGTGAGTCCATAGAGTAAAGTGAAAGCAAGTTTATTAAGAAAGTAAGGGAATAAAACAATGGCTACTCCATAGACAGAGCAGCCCCAAGGGCTGCTGGTTGCCCATTTTATGGTTATTTCTTGATGATATGCTAAACAAGGGGGTGGTTTATTCATACCTCCTCTTTTTAGACCATATAGGGTAACTTCCTGATGTTGCCATGGCATTTGTAAACTGTCATGGTGCTGGTGGGAGTGTAGCAGTGAGGACTACCAGAGGTCACTCTCGTCATCGTCTTGGTTTTGGTGGGTTTTAACTGGCTTCTTTACTGCAACCTATTTTATCAGCAAGGTCTTTATGACCTGTATCTTGTGCCGACCTCCTATCTCATCCTGTGACTTAAAATGCCTTAACATCTAGGAATGCAGCCCTGTAGGTCTCAGTCTCATTTTACCCAGCTCCTATTCAAGATGGAGTTGCTCTGGCTCACATGCCTCTGATAGAGGGGCAACTTGTTCCCAAAGCAGTCCTAGTCCTCTCTTCACTCTGTTGCCAAGCATGGAAAACCCCAGATGCACACAGCCTCTTGTCCTACTGGACAACACACCACTTCTGTTGATGTTCCAACACCACTTTGAGTTCATCAGACTCCAGGATGTGTGTACCTCTTCAGCTTGGCTTGACGCGAGAGGACGTACTTCCTTCCCCACTGTGATGAAGTACAGGGAGCACAGCCCCGCAACAAATACTCATCACAAAATTCTCACTCTACCCACCTCTAACCCCAATCTCATTTTTGTAGCCCAGAGATGTGAGATTGGCTAATGCCTTGCCAATCCAGTTTAACGATACCTTGGCATGTCCTGTACAGGTGGCATAGTACCTTAGTTTAGGATGTGAGGGTGTTGGCCCGACTTCAAGAAAGGAAATTATTTCAAGATCCTGTTCTTTAGCCATTCAATAAATATTTGTTTGGTGGCTAACTTGTACAGGATTAGCATTGTTTTTGTATTTATTTATTCATTTATTTTTTGAGATGGAATCTTGCTCCATCACCCTGGCTGGAGTGCAGGCAATCTCAGCTCACTGCAACCTCTGCCTCCCAGGTTCAAGCCATTCTCCTGGATCAGCCTCCCAAGTAGCTGGGATTACAGACATGCACCACTATGCCCAGCTAATTTTTGTGTTTTTAGTAGAGACGGAGTTTCACCATGTTGGCCAGGCTTGTCTCGAACTCCTGACCTCCGATGATCTGCTTCACCTCGGCCTCCCAATGTGCTGAGATTACAGGCGTGAGCTGCCACGCCTGGCCTTTTTTTGTTTTTGACTGAGGGTGACTAATCTTAGTTCTTTGTTGGGCAAATGTAGGGTGCAATCTGGCCTTTGCCCTGCGATTAGTGTTTCAGGAAATTTTTGGGGATTTATCAGGATTGCCTCCTCAGTTGCTTGATGTGCAAAGCCCACTAGAGGCGAAAGTAGGGATCAGTTTGGATAAGGGTTCTGGGGCTTCCTGGGAGAGTAGGAACCAATACACAAACCTTTGATTTCCCAAATTGATAGTTAGAGATATCCAGTGAGAGGGATTTGTGGGGTTACTGACCAAAACCCAGTGGCACAGAGAAGAGCTTTAAAAACCATGCAATAAAGTCAAGTTGAAGAAAAGGGGAGTGGAGTTTGATGACACAGGCTCTACATGAAGCTGTTAAAATTTCCTCTGGAATTAAAAGCAGGGACTCAGATACTTGTATACCAATGTTTACAGCAGCATTATTCACAAAAGTCAAATGGTAGACACAACCCAAATGTTCATCAACAGATGAAGGGATAAACAAATTTGGTATATTTATACAAGGAATATTATTCAGCCTTAAGGAATGAAATTCTTTTTTTTTTTTTTTTTGAGACAGGGTCTTGTCATGTCACCCAGGCTGAAGTGCAGTGGCACAATCATGGCTCACTGCATCCTCGAACTTTTGGGCCCAAGCGATCCTCCCACCTCAGCCTCCTGAGTAGCTAGGGCTACAGAGGTGCATCAGCATGCCCGACTAATTTTTTAAAGTATATTTGGAGAGGTGGGGTTTTGCTATGTTGCCCAGGCTGGTCTTGAACTCCTGGCCTCAAGTGATCCTCCTGCCTTGACCCCCTTAAGCCCTGAGATTATGGGCATAAGCCACCATGCCCAGCTGGAGTTTGTAAATATTATTTAAAAAGAGACCATCAGGCACAAAAGGGCAGTGGTTAACACAAAGGAATGTATTGATAAAGGGGGATTTCAAGAAACGATTGGGAAGATACTGCTTTGAGATGAGGCTTTTTTTGAAATATTAATATATTTTACCTACTCTAGCCCTGAACATGGCAGTGAGTATTTGTGTGCATGTGTGTTTTCAAGACACAGGGAAAAGGCAGGGAGAAGGGACTGATGAAAGAGAAAGAACAGATCACACCTATGTGGCGTCTTTAATTAGGAAGAATAACCCACCTGGGATTTTTTTATGACTGGGTATCCGTTTGAACTCCACTGGGCAGGGATCATCTTTCAAAGCCTTTAACACTCTCTCCAGAATAGCAACAGCATTGGCAGGTTTTGCAGGTCAGGCCAACTCTGTTTCCCTGACAATAAGATCATCCTAGCTAGGCTCAGGGACTGCTTAACCAAGTTAGGCACAGAATAATTTAAAGCCTCAGCACTCTGGATTTGGAAAATAGCTGGAGGAATGACAGGTTAAAGGCTGATTTATGCTTTATTTGACTTGGAGGGGTAAAGGGAAGAATAATTGAGCACATGGGTCTTGGAAAAAATCGGTATGAAGGCATCTTGGAGAGGATTGTTATATTCCCTGAATCTCATGATGTTACAGACTCTGTCCTTTATACCTGGACAATATTTTTATATCTATTCTGGTTACTATGTCTAAAAAATTTTATTCTCTGCATAAAATGCACCATGCAAGGGCACTAGGTGTCTCTGAAGATCTACTCGTCCACCCATCCATCCATACACATATTTGCTCATCATCTACCCATCTACCGACATATCCATTCATCCACTCACCTATT
Organism: Homo sapiens; assembly: GCF_000001405.40. Taxonomy (NCBI): domain Eukaryota; kingdom Metazoa; phylum Chordata; class Mammalia; order Primates; family Hominidae; genus Homo; species Homo sapiens. The sequence goes on from NC_000012.12 coordinate 118,494,641, forward strand.
CATCCACTCATCTGTCCCCCCATCCATTATCATTGGGTGTCTGTTTGAACCCCACTGGGTAGGAATCATTCATCCACTCACATAGCCACTCATCTACACATCCACCCATCTGTTTACCCACCCATCAACCCATATATTCGTTCATTCATCCATCAATTCATCCACTCATCCATCTCTCCCACCTACCCCACCCACCTTCTTAAAATCTCTCCAATATAGTAACTTCTCTCCATCCAATTTTCTTTTTCTTTTCTTTACTTTTTTTTTTTTTTTTTTTTTTTTGGAGACAATGACTCACTCTGTTGTCCAGGCTGGAGTGCAATGCTATGATCTCATCTCACTGCAACCTCTGCCTCCTGGATTCAAGTGATCCTCCCATCTCAGCCTCTTGAGTAGTTGGGACCACACTCATGTGCCACCATGCCTCACTCATTTTTTTTTTTTTTTATTTTTTTTTAGAGACAGAGTTTTGCCATGTTGCCGAGGCTGGTCTCGAACTCCTGGACTCAAGTGATCTGCCCACCTTGGCCTCCCAAAGTGCTGGGATAACAGGCTTGAGCTACTGTGCCAGGCCCATCCAGTTTTCTTTATTGCATGTCTACAATGATTTCCTCACTTGCCTTCTTGCCTCTGGCCTTTCCCATCTCACTTTTTTTTTTGTCCACAATGAAGGCTGAATGAATGATCTTTCTACACTTCAGTTTCTTCATTTAAAATAATCAAGGCAATACAATTCATTTCTCTGGATTATTGTAAATGGGATCATTCTCTTCATCCAGAAATTACTTATTGAGCTCCTACTGCAGGAGTCAGTCTCCATTTTAGGCACTGGGTAGACAGCAGCAAACAAGATAGACAGGTTTCCGTCTGTCTTATGGAACTTTCATTCTAGTGAGAGAGACAGGCAGTAACTGCATAATCAAATGTGTGATGCAATTTCAAGCAGTAATAATGCTTAGGAGAAAAACAGTGATGTACATGAAGTGCTTAGCACCGTGCCTGGCACATACAGATGTTAAATTAATGGTAGTTGTCATATTAACAGTGATTTATATTACCATGTTATTAGTCTCCCTAAAATCTTTCAATGATATTTATAATTATTGAGCATTTATTGAACACTTAATATGAACCAATCATTATGCTAAGCAGTTTAATCTCACAACAACCCTATGAGGTGGGTATGATCATTTCCCCCCACTTCAGCTGTGGATGCTGAGGCACAATCCCTCACTGTCTTCTAGGAAATGTCCAAACTCCTTATTCAGGCTTTTCGTGATTTGCTTCTGCGTGTCTCTCTGGCCTTATGTCTTGCTGACCTCCCTGTCTGCTGCCTTTTTACCCCTGTTTTTCTTTTTCTTTCTTTCTTTTTTTTTTTTAGGTGGAGTCTTGCTCTGTTGCCTAGGCTGGAGAGCAGTGGCGTGATCTCGGCTCACTGCAACCTCTGCCTTGTGGGTTCAAGAAATTCTCCTGCCTCAGCCTCCCATGTAGCTGGGATTACATGGGTGTGCCACCATGCCTGGCTAATTTTTTGTATTTTTAGTTTCACCATATTGGTCAGGCTGGTCTCGAACTCCTGACCTCAAATGATCTGCTCACCTCAGTCTCCCAAAGTGCTGGGATTAACGCATGAGCCACTACATGGGGATTTAACCTCCATTTTTCTTTTCTTTTTTCTTTTTCTTTCTTTCTTTCTTCCATTTTTTTTTTTTTTTTTTTTTGAGACGGAGTCTCATTCTGTTGCCCAGCCTGGAGTGTAGTGGCACGATCTTGGCTCACTGTGACTTCCACTTCCCAGGTTCAAGTGATTCTCCCACTTCAGCCTCCCAAGTAGCTGAGATTACAGGCGCCCGCCACCACACCTGGCAAATTTTTGTATTTTTAGTAGAAATGGGGTTTCACCATGTTGGCCAGGCTGGTCTTGAAGTCTTGACCTCATGTAATCCGCCTGCCTCAGCCTCCCAAAGTGCTGGGATTACAGGCGTGAGCCACTGGGCCCGGCTGAAAAATGATTTTAACTGTTAACAAGTTTTGCTTTATATTCACCTTTTGAGACCATCAAGAGAGAACATCCATTCAACCAGAGAATCAGAAGCTAAGTAAAAGTAAAAAAAAAAAAAAAAAGGCCAGGTGCGGTGGCTCACACCTGTAATCCCAGCCTTTGGGAGGCCAGGGCAGGTAGGTCACCTGAAGGCAGGAGTTGGAGACCAGCCTGACCATCATGGTGAAATCCCATCTCTACTAAAAATACAAAAATTAGCCAGGTGTAGTGGCACATGCCTGTAGTCCCAGCTACATGGAGGCTGAGGCAGGAGAATTGCTTGAGCCCCAGAGGTGGAGGTTGCAGTGAGCCAAGATCATGCCACTACACTCCAGCCTGGGCAACAGAGCAAGATTCTGTCTCAAAAAAAAAAAAAAAAAAAAGGAAGAGAGAATCCTGGTGGCCCAGGTGAAAAGGGAAACATGATAAAAATAGTTATGTATCTGGTTAGCTAACATGGAGCACTAGGTGGGAAGAGTCAAGTAGTAAGGCAAGCTGGGTCCTGTTGTTCTCTTTCCAAAAGCAAATTTGTCATGGGTTTGATCTTGGTGAAAAGTGATAAGCTAGTTGGCTGGGGAGAAGTTTAAGTTGAAAGGAGATGCGCTTCTCAGGGTTGGTGGATGTCTATCTCTAAGCCAGGCTAAGGATCCTAGAAGGGCCCTAAACTGAATTTAAAACTTGATAGGCCTCCAATCCATCTCCCCACACTGCAGCCAGCTAAGCAGGTGGCTCCCACTGCACCCACAAGAACATGCTCTCTTGGTGAGACATACAAGCCCTGCTTGGTCCAGCCTCTGTTGAGTCCTTAGCCTCATCTCTTACTTCTCCTTACTTCAACTTCCAGCCAGGAGGACCCCTGGGAAACTTGTATTTCCCAGGTTTCCTTTTATTTTTCGAGATGGAATCTTACTCTGTCACCCAGGCTGGAGTGCAGTGGTGCGATCTCAGCTCACTGCAGCCTTCACCTCCTGGGTTCAACCGATCCTCCCGCCTCAGCCTTTTGAATAGCTGGGATTACAGGCACCTGCCACCACACCCAGCAAATTTTTTTTTTTTTTTTTTAGTAGAGACAGGGTTTCACCATGTTGCCCAGGCTGGTCTTGAACTCCTGACCTCAAGTGATCTGCCTGTCTTGGCCTCCCAAAGTGCTGTAATTATAGGCATGAGCCACTGCGCCCAGCTGTTCTATCCTTTGTATGTGCTGATCTCCTGGAACAGCCTCCCTCTTCCATTGCCCCTGCCTCCAGCAATGCCCTTGACCCAGACAACCAGGGCCCCTGTTTGATCTTTGAGCTTCAGATGGCCCCACTCTGGCTCCCCTCTGGCCACACTCTTCCTCACAGGGAGAGGAATCCATGGGTCCAATGGGATCTGCCCATCTGGAATAGGTGCTTCCCTTCCAGATCACACTTAAGGTACCCTGGACCTCCAAATTCTCTGCCCAAACAGCTCTGAGCCCATTTCCAGGGACTGCCCAAACCTCCTCCTTGTGCCTGTCTTCCCAAGGGTGGATGACACCACTTGTGTGTGTACCTGCCAGGCCTTCTGGGGGCCAACAGATGCTTGTTGCTGGCATATGAGCAGAAAACTTGGATGCATGGGCTGGGATCTACACATATATGCAGGGCCTCTCATGGGCAGGAAGGGGAGGCAGAGAGCTGGAACTTCTGTTCATACTGGTATTTGTCAGATAGGGTTGCCATAGCAAAATACCACAGACTGGGCAGCTTAAACAGAAATGAACTTTCACACAGTTCTGGAGGCTAAGATGCAGGTGCTGGCAGAGCTGGATTCTCCTGAGGCTTCTCTCCTTGGCTGGTAGGTGGCTGCCTTCTCACTGCATCCTCACACGGCCTTTCCTCCGTGTGTGCACATCCCCGGGGCCTCTTCTTCCTCTTGTAAGGACACTTGTCCTGTTGAATTAGCCCTCCCATGCCCAGGATCTCATTTAATCTCAATTACCTCCTTCAAGACTCTATCTCAGGCCAGGCACCATGACTCACACCTGTAATCTCAGCAGTATGGGAGGCTGAGGCAAGCGGATTACCTGAGGTCAGGAGTTCAAGACCAGCCTGGTCGACACAGCGAAACCCCATCTCTACTAAAAATACAAAAAAAAAAAAAAAATTAGCCAGGCATGGTGGCACATGCCTATAGTCCCAATAGTCCCAGCTACTCATGAGGCTGAGGTAGGAGAATCTCTTGAACCTGGGAGGCGGAGGTTGCAGTGAGCTGAGATCATGCCAATGCACTCCAGCCTGGGCAACAGAGCGAGACTCCATCTCAAAAAAAAAAAAAAAAAAGAAAAAAAAGAGACTCTATCTCAAAATGCAGTTGCATTGGGCACATGTGAATTTTGGAGAGAGACAATTCAGTGGATAACAGTACTCTTTATCTTTGGGGCCCTGCAAGTGTCAGGGATGTCTTAATTGCTGTGAAGTCCTCAATGTTTAGCCCAGACCCTGGCATACATGGAACATTCCTTAAGTGCTTATGGAATGGGATGGTCTACTGTCTTAAAGAACAACCTCATCGCAATTTAGCCTTGGTGAGGCATTCGCTGACCCCACTGACTGCTTTATCTTCCAGGGCTAGAAGGCCCAAATCAGCAGCATCCTTCCCTGTCTTTCTCCTAGTCCCATCCTAGCCACATAGAATCTTTTCTCTCCTCTCCTCCCCTCCCCTCCCCTCCCCGCTTCCCCTCCTTCCCCTCCCCTCCCTTCCCCTCCCTTCCCCTCCTCTCCTCTCCTCCTCTCTCCTTCCCTTCTCTTCCCTCTCCTTCCTTCCTCTCCTTCTTTTCTTGATGGAATCTTGCTCTGTTGCCCAGGCTGGAGTGCAATGGCGTGATCTCGGCTCACTGCCTCCTCCACCTCCCAGGTTCAATCAGTTCTCCTGCCTCAGCCTCTTGGGTAGCTGGGATTACAGGCGCATGCCATCATGTCTGGCTAATTTTTGTATTTTTAGTAGAGAGGGGTTTTGCCACGTTGGCCAGGCTGGTCTCAAACTCCTGACCTCAGGTGATCCACCCACCTAGGCCTCCCAAAGTGCTGGGATTACAGGTGTGAGCGACCGCGCCCAGCTGAATTTTTTCATTTCTAAGTTGCTAAGTCCTGCCCTTCCTGCCTCCCTGTCTGTGTCCACATTGCTCCCTATGCCTGAAATACCCTCCTTTTCTCCCTCTTGTTCTCCCCTTTTCTGGCTCATACTCATCCTTCAAGGTCAATGCCAGGGAGGTGTCAGTCTCTGTGGGCCAAGCTCTCAACGCCTGTCCTGCACCACGATTCGCACCATACTTTATCATTGGCACTTGTCTCATTTTCTGCTATCCCTCTAGTTCTATAAGCACCCTGAGGGCAGAGATCCTTGATTGCAGAGGGATACCCAACACCTGGGTCAGTGCGTGGCACCTTGCGTGTGATCAGTAATAGAATTCACACACACACACACACACAGAAAGAATGAGTAGAACATACACATTCCAATTCAGGTTCTCAAACAAAAGTTCTATCTGAGCTGAACCAGGTGACCTGAAACCCTATTCTACCCTGTTTTTTGCATAGTGCTAGGCACATAAGCAGTGAGTCTTTGCTGATGAATTAGGAGGATATTTGCATGAAAAAATTCAGTCCAAGGACACAGAGCTAGTAAAAAGCTGTCAGTGTCTTGAGTTCCTCTGGTACTCAGCCTTCAGGCCCAAAACCCTCTGATATCAGTAGGTCCCAACAACAATGCATTTCTATGTATCTCTTAAGTGTGTCATCAACACACAAGCTGCTGCTGTGCTGTGGGAGGCGGGGCGCCATCACTTCTAACGGACGCAGTCTTTGGCAGACGTAAGCTGGATGGCTGCCTGCACAGTGTGGTCTCAGCCACACTGAGAATGTAATATATTCTGGTGGGGACCGGGGGATCACATACTATAGTGTGTTTATACAGAAATTGGGTTTTCCCCCAAAACTCAAATAACTCTAGTTAGTGATATTGCAGATATTGGACGTGAATATAATGTATATAATACTATAGTGTGTAATCGGGATCCAATAGATCAAATTTCTACTGGAGTGTATGCTTTCAGTTCTTTTAGACATATACCAGAAGTGGAATTGTATGTGATCGGGGTCACATACTATAGTATTATATACATTATATTCACTTTTAATATCTGCAATATCACTACCAGAGTTTGAGTTTTGGGGGACAACCAGATTTCCCTATAAACACTATTTCCTTTTCTTTTAAAATTGAGATATAATTCACATATCATAAAAGTCACCCTTTCAAAATTTTTTTATTTTGAGACAGAGTCTTACTTTGTTGCCCAGGCTGGAGTGCAGTGGTGTGATCTCAGCTCACTGCAACCTCTGCCTCCCAGGTTCAAGCAGTTCTCCTGCCTCAGCCTCCAGAGTAGCTGGGACTACAGATGCCCACCACCGCACTCAGCTAATTTTTGTATTTTTAGTAGAGACAGGGTTTCACCATGTTAGTCAGGCTGGTCTTTAACTCCTGACCTCAGATGATCCACCCGCCTTGGCTGCCACTAAGTGCTGGGATTACAGGTGTGAGCCACTGCACCCGACCAAAAGTCACCCTTTTAAAGTGGTTTTTAGAATATTCACAAAGTTGCATAACCATCATCACTACTGTAGAACGTTTTTTGTTACCATTAGAACTGATCTATTAATAAGTGGAAAAAAGCAAGGCACAGAATGGCATGTTCCCATTTGTGTGTGTGTGTGAAAGAATATATAGATGTATATGTTTGAAAAAGCACATAATATACCTCTTTCCTACATTGTTTGTCTTCACCAGTTGTCCCTCTGCTTGGAAATTTCTTCCTACCCTCCCTATTTGTGGAGTTAATTCTCATTCATCTTTAAGACCCATCTCAGAGGCTGAGTATGGTGGCTCATGCCTATAGTCCCAGCAATTTGGAAGGCCAACGTTGGAGCCCAGGAATTCAAGACCAGCCTGGGCAACATAGTGAGACCCTGTCTCTACAAAAAAAATGTAGCTGGGCATGGTGGTATGTGACCATAGTCTCAGCTACTCAGTAGGCTGAGTAGGGAGGATCACTGGAGCCTGGGAGGTCGAGGCTGCATAATCTGTGATCATGCCACTGTACTCTGGCCTGGGCAACAGAGCAAGACCCGGTCTCAAAAAATAAAAGACTCCTCTCAGGTGTCCCCTTATCCAAGAAGCCTTCCTTGATATGTGCCCCTCTTCTCTTGCTTGTTATATTAATAACAATAATGACACCAGCTGACATCGCAGAAGAGGTTTCTTTGTGCCAGGCACTGTGCTGACTGCATCACATACTCATTCTTTACCAGGAATCTAGGAGGGTGGCCCTTTAAATACTTGCATTTCGCAGGTGAGGAAAGCAAAGCTTGGAGAGAGAATGTGATATTTCCAAGTGGCTGTATAGGATGAAAGCCTCTTTGTCGCTGAAACTTAAACTCTTAATTATGACACTCTAAGTCTTCCACAGATGTTTGGTGTCTCTACAACTTCCTCTCTGGGTTATGGCCCTTCTTGGTGTTATTTTTTCAATTGCCTTATAATTATTCTTTTTGTATTGTGGTAATGTACACGTAAAATTTACCATCTTAACAATTTTTAAGTGTACAGCTCAGTGGCATTAAGTATATTCATCTTGTGCAATCATCTCTACCGTTTATCTCCAGAACACTTTTCATCTGCAAAACTGAAACTCTATATCCATTAAGCACTGACTCTCCATTTCCTCCTCCCTCCACTCCCTGGCAACCACAATTCTTTTTTTTGAGACAGAGTTTCACTCTTGTTGCCCAGGCTGGTGTGCAATGGCACTATCTCAGTTCACTGCAACCTCCGCCTCCCGGGTTCAAGTGATTCTCCTGCATCAGCCTCATGAGTAGCTGGGATTACAGGCATGCGCCACCACACCTGGCTAATTTTTTTTTGTATTTTTAGTAGAGACGGGGTTTCTCCATGTTGGTCAGGCTGGTCTCGAACTCCTGACCTCAGATGATCTGCCTGCCTCGGCCTCCCAAAGTGCTGGGATTACAGGCGTGAGCCACCATACCCGGCTTATTCTACCTTCTCTATGTCTCTATGGTTTTCACTACTTCAGGTACCTCATATAAGTGGAAACATATAGTATTTGTCCATTTGTGTCTGGCTTATTTCACTTAGCTTAATGCCCATAAGGTTAATCCATGTTGTAGTATATATCAGAATTTCCTTCCTTTTTAGGGATGAATAATATTCCATTGTGTGGATATGCTACATTTTGTTTATCCATTCATCTGTTTTTTTTTTTTTTTTTTTTTTTTTGAGACAGAGGAGTCTCGCTCTGTCGCCCAGGCTGGAGCTCAGTGGCACGATCTTGGCTCACTGCAAGCTCCGCCTCCCAGGTTCATGCCATTCTCCTGCCTCATCCTCCTGAGTAGCTGGGACTATAGGCGCCCCCCACCACACCAGGCTAATTTTTTGTATTTTTAGTAGAGACGGGGTTTCACCACGTTGGTCGGGCTGGTCTTGAACTCCTGACCTCAGGTGATCCACCTGCCTCAGCCTTCCAAAGTGCCGGGGTTACAGGCTTGAGCCACCATGCCTGGCCTCCTGGCTAATTTTTTTTTTTGTATTTTTTAGTAGAGATGGGGTTTCACCATGTTAGCCAGGATGGTCTCGATCTCCTGACCTCGTGATCCGCCCGCCTCGGCCTCCCAAAGTGCTGGGATTACAGGCGTGAGCCACCGCGCCCGGCCTATCCATTCATCTGTTGGTGGACCCTTGGGTTGCTTCCACTTTTTATCTGTTGTGAATAATGCTGCCATGAATATATGTGTACAAATATCTATTTGAGTCTATACTTTTAATTCTTTTAGATATATACCCACAAGAATTGCTGGAGATGATAATTATACTTTGAATCTTTTTGGGGAACTCCCATATTGTTTTCTAAAGTGCTTGCTGCACAATTTTACATTCCCAACACCAGTGCCCGAGGGCTCCAATTTTCTACATCCTTGTCACCACTTGTTGTTATCTGTTTTTTTCCCTTTTGGATAATGACTATTACGTGTATGTGTATGAGGCAGTATCTCATATGGCATCTCATTGTGTAACGAAGTGGTATTTCATTGTGCTTTTGATTTGCATTTCCCTAATGATTAGTGATGTTGAACATCTTTTCATGTGCTTTTTGGCCATTTGTTTATCTTCTTTGGAGAAATGTGTTTTCAAGTCTTCTGCCCCTTTTAAAACTGGTTTTGTTGTTGTTATTGAGTTGTAGGAATTCTTTATATACTCTGGATTTTTTTTTTTTTTTTGAGATGGAGTCTCGCTCTGTCACCCAGGCTGGAGTGCAGTGGCATGATCTCGGCTCACTGCAACCTCTGCCTCCCGGATTCAAGTGATTCTCATGCCTCAGCCTCCTGAGTAGCTGGGAATACAGGTGCGTGCCACCACACCCAGCTAATTTTTGTATTTTTAGTAGAGATGAGGTTTCACCATGTTGGTTGGGCTGGTCTTGAACTTCTGACCTTGTGATCCATCTGCCTCGGCCTCTAAAAGTGCTGGGATTACAGGTGCACGCCACCACACCCAGCTAATTTTTGTATTTTTAGTAGAGACGGGGTTTCATCATGTTGGTCAGGCTGGTCTTGAACTTCTGACCTTGTGATCCATCCGCCTCGGCTTCCCAAAGTGCTGGGATTACAGGCATGAGCCACCATGCCCGACCTATACTCTGGATATTAACCCCTTCTCAGCTATATAATTTGCAAATAGTTTCTTCCCTTCTGTGAGTTGCCTTTTCATTCTGTTGTGTCCTTTGATGCATAGTTTTAAATTTGATATAGTTCAATTTGTCTATTTTTTCTTTTGTTGCCATATCCAAGAAATCATTGCTAAATCCAATGTCATGAAGCTTCCCTCTATGTTTCCTTCTAAGAGTTTTGTAGTTTTAACACTTATGTTTAGGTCATTGATTCATTTTGAATTAATTTTTTATATGATTTAAGGAAAGGATCCTATACAAGGTAAGGGTCCAGACTATCTTTTCCCTATTGAAGAGTCATGGAACCCTTCTCAAAAATCACTTGGCCATGTATACAAGGGTGGATTTCTTGGCTTTCCATTCAATTTCATTGTTTTATGACAGTGCCATGCTGTCTTGATTGCTGTAGCTTTGGACTAAGTTTTGAAATTAGGAAGTGTGAGACCTTAAACTCTGTTCTTTTACAAGATTGTTTTGACTTTTCAGGGTTCCTTAAGATTTCATATGATTTTTTATTATGAATATTTATATTTCTGCAAAAAACACTCTTGGAATTTTGATAGGGGTTGTAGTAAATCTGTAGATCACTTTGAGTGATATTTATGTCTTAACAATGTTAAGTCTTCCAATCCATGAACATGGGACATCTTTCCATTCATTGCTGTCTTCTTCCTTCATGTTGTTTATTTTTATTTTTTTTTGGGACAGGGTCTCACTGTGTCACCCAGGCTGGAGTGCAGTGGCATGATCATGGCTCACTGCAACTTCAACCTTCCAGGTTCAAACAATCGTCCTACCTCAGCATCCCAAGCAGCTGGGACTACAGGCGCCTGCCACCAGACTTGGCTATTTTTTTGTTTTTGTAGAAATAGGGTTTTGCCATGTTGCCTAGTCTGGTCTTGAACTCCTGTACTCAAGTGATCAGCCTGCCTTGGCCTCCCAAAGTGCTGGGATTATAGATGTGAGCCACCATGCCTGGCCCTGTTTTTGTTTTTTTAACTTATTTTTTGTGAGTACATAGTAGGGGTATCTTCACGTCATTTTATAATTGTGTATACATCTGTTCCACTTCTAAAGCTGTGCTGCCCAGTACAGTAGCCACTAGCTACATATGACTAATGAACACTTGAAATGTGACTGGTCTGAATGAAGATGGCTGTAAGCATAAAGTACATCCTGGGTTTCAAAGGCTTAATAGGAAAATAATGTAAAATACCTCATTAATAATTTTTTGGTATTGATTACATGTGGAAATGATGACATTTTGGGTTAAATAAAGCATTATTAAATTATCTTGACCTGTTTCTTTTTACTTATTTTAATGTTGTTACTAAAAACTTTCAAATTACAAATGTGGCTTGTGTTATATCTCTATTGGACAGCCTTGCTCAAGACTGTGGCTTCCTTAAGGGTGTGGACCGTACCTTCTCTGTCTCTGTCTGTAGGCCCCAGCACAAAGTTGTAGCGTGTTCCCTGAATATGTTCACATGAAGTGTTTGGCTTCATTGTGATCTTGCTTCATCTAGCAGTTTTCTTTCTGCGCAGTGAGGCTGGGAAGAAATCAGTTGTTTAGCTCAGAATCATCATTTGATTGATCCTGCCTTATTAGCTGTGGTGCAAATAGAGGTGGCCCCTTTTCCAAAGGCTGCAGGATGAGGAAGGTGGATTGCAAATAGCAGAGGCAGAAACTCAGCACTACCATCCTCCATCCTTTATAGGCAGCTTGGAAATCTGGATGGTGGCCTCCGGAGAAATACCTACAGGACAGATTTGCCTCCAGGAGGTGAATGGTTCTGGCTTTAACAAAGAGAATCTATTCCAGAAGAAGTCAGAAAGAAGATTTTGTTCCTAAATATTGCCTCAGGGGCTCCCAGGAAAAAAACAAAACAAAACAACCCCCTCCCAACCCAGAGAAGCAGCAGATGGGGAACATTGGCCAGGATATAACAGTTCTCATTCAATTATAATATTAAATAAAGAAATAATAGGAACAGGGCATTTAGTGGTGGGCTTCTGATAACTTAAACCAGGCTAAGTGAACAGGAAGATCAAAGTAACATTATCACAAGTTGAAAAGAAACGGCCATCAATTTTTTTTTCACTTAATTTTTTCCCGTCTTAATCCTTTTTGAGAGTTGATACTGACTTATATTTGACAAGTCTGGTAACCATTTATATTTACTATTAAAAGGGACATTTAAAGCATCTATAAAAAGTCAGGTACTATTTTCCCACTTAGATTTTTTAAGTTTTTAAGTCTTAAATGTTATGTCAGGTCTTTGGGTCTGTCCAACCTCCTGCCAAGTGGAATGGGAATCCCTGGGTGACTAGGATCAAAGGAGAGAGAAGAAGCCAGTCAAACTTTTGGGCAAATATTTGCCTTGTCCCTGAGAGAGAGTGATACGGTTTTCATGTGTGTCCCTGCCCAAACCTCATGTCAAATTGCAATCTGCAGTGTTGGAGATGGGGCTTGGTGAGAGATGGTTAGATCATGGGGGCAAATTTCCCCTTCATGCTGTTCTCACAGTAGAATTCTCATGAGATCTTGTTGTTTAAAAGTGTGCAGCACCTCTCCCTCTCTCTCCCTTCTGCTCTGGCCATGTGAACATGTGCCTGCTTCCCCTTCGCCTTCTGCCATGATTGTAAGTTCCCTGAGGCCTCCCCAGCCATGCTTCCTGTACATCCTGTGGAACCATGAGCCAAGTAAACCTCTTTTCTTTATAAATTACCCATTCTCAAGCGCTTCTTTATAGCAATATGAGAATGTATGAGAATGGACTAACACAGAGGGCGTCCAGTGATTCAGTGGGTCTCATCTTCCTCAAGGATCTTTTGATTCCAAGGAACAGAAACCCATTTGGACTTGTTCAGGAAAAGAACTTACTGAAAAGGTGCTGTGAAATCTCATGGAACTGCAAAGCATCATGGGATCAATCATTGCAAGCAGCCATGTTTCTTTGTCCCTCTGGGGATGCTTGGTTTTTGTGCCTCTCTCCTTCCATCCTGTGATTTTCTCTGCTAAGTAACTTCCTTGCTACTCTTCCTTTTTTCGCTCCGTTGATTTCAGTGTGGCTTTGGCCTTCCATAGAGCCAACACCAGGCCTGACTTTTATGGGCTCAGGACCTACTGCTCTGATAATCATTTCTGTCTCTTTGTAGTAGGAGTCAAAAATCTTAATTATTGGGTGAGAGTTCGGGGTCTTCATGGCTCCTAGTAACTTAAAAGTTGTGTAAGGCCTAAATTCCTAGTTTATTTTTCCCATCTTTTAATTAAACTTTATTTTAATTTTTAAATGGACAAATGATAATTGTATGTATTCATGGGGTACCTAGTGGATGTTTTGATACATATAACACATAGTGATCAGATTAGGGTAATTAGCATGTACAACATCTCAAATATTTATTATTTTTTTGTGTGGGAACAGTCAATATCTTTCTTCTAGCTGTTTTGAAACTATGAATATTTTATTGTCAACTATAGTCATCCTACAGTGATAAAGAATACTAGAACTTATTTTTCCTATCTGGCTGCCTAATTTTTGTACAAGTCCTTTAAGTAGAAGTATGGTTTCATTGTAAGGTCCTTGCTGAGAGCTATGGGATACAGTGAGGTCTTTAGAAATAGACTTTCTCTTGGTCATGTTTACTGTTTGTTACTTCCCAACACCAATTTTTCCCTCTTTCCTAACAGAACCCTAATTTTGTTCACATATTCTCTCCAACCCCAGCTTTAAGGGTAGACCTAGGCGAGGGGTCAGCTAACTTTTTCAGAAAAAGGCCAGAGAGTAAATATTTTAAGCTTTAGGAGTGAAGGCAAATGGTCTGTATCACAACGAAAGCAGTCATAGACAACTTGCAAATGAGTGTGTGGCTGCATTCTGGTGACACTTTATTTACGAAAACAGGCCAGTGGGCTACATCTGGTCTGTGGATTGTAGTTTGCTAACCCCAATGTAGGTTAATCTAAGCCAAGGTTTCTCAAGCTCAGTATTGCATTTTGGATGGATAATTCTTCATGGTGGGGCTGTCCTGTGCATTGCAGGATATTTAACAGCATCCCGGGCCTCTCTGCACTCAATGCCAGTAGCACCCACTCCCTTCTCTCCAAGTTGCTACAACCAAAAATGTCTTCAGGCATTGCTGACTGTCCCAGGTAGGGCATCTCCCTGGTGACTGTTAATGATTCAGACATAGTGACAAGACTCTAGCTGGTTTAAATAGACTAATGGAAAGGACTTAGTGTCTGTTATTTCGGGAGAGGTTCTCTTAGACTTAGATTGAAAAAGGAAAGCATTAGCAGCAAGTGCCACTGACATCCATACGACCATGCGGAAAATCAGACTCAGAGTGAAGTCTGCACCATGGATGGCAGAGCAGAGGAACAGCAAGAACCTGGGTTCTGGCTGGGTACGGTGGCTTATGCCTGTAATCCCAGCACTTTTGGAGGCTGAGGCAGGTGGATCACCTGAGGTCAGGAGTTTGAGACCAGCCTGGCCAACATGGCAAAACCCCCATCTCGAATCAAAATACAAAAATTAGCTGGGCGTCGGGGTGCGTGCCTGTAAAATCCCAGCTACTCTGGAGGCTGAGGCATGAGAATTGTTTGAACCTGGGAGACGGAGATAGCAGTGAGCCAAGATCGTGCTACTGCACTCCAGCCTGGGTGACAGAGTAAGACTCTCTCAAAACAAGCAAGCAAACAAACAAACAAACAAACAACCTGGGTCCTTTGGAGCAGCTGAATCAACTGGATCTGAAACTCTCTTTGCATATGGGCTTTGGTGGGTGAGATGACACATTTTATTGTTTTTGATGGAGCTTCTTAAGGACACTCAGAGAGGTCCTGTGTTCAAAGGATTTCAGTATCTGAGCCTGAAGAATGGTTGTATTTGTAATGGCTGAATATCATTCTTAAGGCAAACAGGACAGCAGGGCCTGTGATTAGGGGCAGAGTCCCTCAGCAAGGGTATGGGTGGGGAGGCACGGATTCGGGTCTCACTACCTTTCTCTTTCTTTTTGGCTCCATACAAGGCTTTGTGTATTTATCTTACTTCCTGGCCCCATGTAAATGTGGTGGTGCTTCGCATACTGGGGTTGGAATTTTGTGTGGACTTGGGCAGCAGTATGTGTCTTTTAGAGGAACTTGGTCTGCCTGATGGGTTACAGAGAATTTTTTAAATGGTTATCTTCCTAGGAAGGAGATTTGACCAGAAAAACAGTGGCAGTGTTTGGTGTCAGGACCTAAATTGCAAATATTGTAGCTGCAAGGATAACGGGAAACCAATTTCTATTCAATTCAAATCAGTTTCTTAGGATCATGCCCTTGATGCATTTAAGCCTTCTTGCTTTTCCCACTGTCCTTCGCCTTCCTCCCCCACCAGCTCTTGGCTGATACTGAGATGGTAAAAATGCACACAGAACAAAATCAACAAAAAGCAAGCTTCTAAGAAGGTTTTCACAGCAAGCCATTGAGTGGTGACAGAAGTGCTGTTGGACTTGGGCTGAGAGGGCCCTGTCTTCAGAACCTGGCTCTGAGCTGGCAGTTCGCTTCACTTTGCTAAGCCTCAGTTTACCCATCTGTGGGAATGGGTAGAATGATATGCACCTACCTGCATCCTCTTGAAGACAGAATGAGATAACGTATGTGAAAGAGTTAAATGAGGCAGAGAATGAGAGGAGAGCCGCTTAAACAGAACAAGGTTGTACTCAGTGGATATTTCAGGCCTGCATTCTTCTCCCTGTCACTTTTGGTGGTGCCTGGTGACATCCTAATTCCTTTTCTACGCGGGATGTTTTTTGGTTGTGGTTGAGGTTTCCTTAGTCCGGGCTGAGATGAACCAGATAAACCGGACATACAGAACTGCAGCATTTGCTGGATATTGGTGAGGACATATGGCTCTAGGCAGCAGGCTCAGAGCCAGGTGGTCAGGGGCTCCTGTAGGCGCTTTCCTGTCTCATGGGCAACTGCTGGCAGTTTAATGGACTCACAATTCCACATGGCTGGGGAGGCCTCACAATCATGGCAGAAGGCCAAGGAGGAGCAAAGTCATGTCTTACATGGCAGCAGGTAAGAGAGTGTGTGCAGGGGAACTGCCTGTTATAACCATCAGATCTCATGAGACTTATTCACTATCATGAGAACGGCATGGGAAAACCTGCTGCCATGATTCAGTTTCCTCCCACTGGGTACTTCCCATGACATGTGGGAATTATGGGAGCTACAATTCAAGACGAAATTTGGGTGGGGACACAGCAAAACCATATCACCCCCCGCTGCCAATGGCTTCCCACTGTATCTAGAATAGCATCCATCATTTCCTACTGTCTGATGGGAAATGTTCTGCCCTGCTTCCTCCAGAGTGGTCGAATTCTCATTTTTCAGGTATTCACTTAAAATTGTCTCTGACCTATTTAAGTCAGGTACCTCCCATCCCCATTGTCTTCATAGTGTTTACAACTGCCCATTATATGCCTGTTTGCAAGTTTGTTCATTCAGTGTCTGTCTCTTTTACTAGAATGTAAGCTTGGGGAGGGCAGGAACAGTGTCTATCTTATTTACCCCTCTTTCCTTGTGCCTGGTGCATAGTAGGTGCTTTAGAAATAACTGGTTGAATGAATGAATGCCATCAGGTTTGTGAAATCCCCAGTGATTCTTCACTTCATGCCCTTGGAGGGGGAGAAGGCTTCATCCAGGTGCTGTGAAGAGCTCTACAACTGGAGCATCATTCCAGTGGGGAAAGAGGTAGGAGAAACTTGCAGGTAAATATGTGCACTGCGTGCCAGACTCTCTGGGTTCAAATCCCAGCTCTGCCTGTTGCTACTGTGTGCCCTTTAGCAAGGGATTTAACCTCTCTTTCACTCTGATTCCTCCTTTGTCAAACAGGGATAACATCAGTATCAGCCTATGAGGGTTAATTGAGGTGATGCTTATGAAACCCTTGGCAGGATGCCTGGCCCACTGGGTGTGCTGAGTGATGGTGGCTGTGATTATTCAATTAGCACGTGTTGAACATTTCCATGTCTGTGTGATATTACACCTTTTCTCTTTTTCTATTTTTTTTGAAGTTAAAGCACCATTTATTCAACTCTCTGTTGAACATCTGTATTGTACTCCACTCTGGGGATACAGAAATGAGCCCACAAACACAATCCCTGTTGTCATGGGGCTTACATTTTGATGGGGAACACAGGCTCTGAACACATAATTACAGGTGCAATAAGCACAATGAAAGAACTAGGCTGGGTGCAGCACTTTGGGAGGCCAAGATGGGTGAATCACCTGAGGTCAGGAGTTCAAGACCAGCCTGACCAACATGTCGAAACTCTGTCTCTACTAAAAATACAAAACTTAGCCAGGCATGGTGGCACATGCCTGTAATTCCAGCTACTCGGGAGGCTGAGGCAGGAGAATCGCTTGAACCTGGGAGGCTGAGGTTGCAGTGAGCCGAGATTGTGCCACTGCACTCCAGCCTGGGTGACAGAGTGAGACTCCATCTCAAAAAAAAAAAAAAAAAAAAGAAAAAGAAAACTGGAGTGTGAGGGGAGCAAATTCCAAGGGAAACAGAACTTGTGTGTGTAGTGGGGGGTGTGCAGGAGATGTCTGGGTAAGGTGAGAGTTCTACCCAAGAATGTAAATCTAAGCTACAGATAGAGCTAAAAGTAGAGTAAGATCTATCCAGAAGATGGGATGGCAGGGGGAGGTCATGCTACGTAGAGGAAACTTGTGTACAAGTCCAGAGGCTGCAGATATCATGGCATATTTATTGCTAATATATATAAATACATACATATCATGATGCGTGATCATGATATCATGGCAGATATCATGGCATATTTATCACTAATATGTGTAAGTACATGCATAGCTGGATAACCTGGTTTTGGAAAATACTTGCTTTTTCAGGGATCTTTCCAAAGAAGACCCTGAGATAAGGATTTGAATGCAAGAGTTTGTCTGTTTTGAGATAGGGTCTCTTTCTGTCACCCAGGCTGGAGTGCAGTGGTGCAATCATGGCTCACTGCAGCCTCAGTCTCCTGGGCTCAAGCAATCCTCCCACCTCATCCTCTCAAGTAGCTGGGACTACAGGTGTGCACCACCATGCCTGGTTAATTTTTAAAATTTTTGTAGGGCTGGGGTTTTGCCATGTTGTCCAGGCTGGTCTCAAACTCCTAGGCTCAAGCAATGTGCCTGCCTTGGCCTCTCAAAGTGCTAAGATTACAGTGGTGAGCCACCACACCTGGCCATCAAGAGTTTTATCTAAGAAGTGATCCTGAATAGCAGTTGAGGAACAAGAGAATGAGAGACAAGAAGGAGCCAGGAAAGGGTGAGTTTATCAATGACTGTGGGCAACTGGGTAATTCTGGGAGCCAGTGTCAACATGCACCCGTTATCCCACCCAAAGGGCGAGGGAGCTGGGGTGTTTATACTCCCTCTTCCATCAATCATTGTTTGAGTCCTGCTCCTAGAGGGCATTGATTCCCTGGCACTTTCATCCTGCCACGCGTAACAAAGTGGGCTACAATTGCCAGTGAAAGCCATCAGACAAATGAAAGCAGGTGCTGGCCATTGGAAGTTGGGCCAGTGTGATAAAGGCGAGGGGATCAGGTGGGGCACCAATTCATCTGCTACACACCCCAACCATCTTTGATGCTTAAAGCTGTTGGAGTGGGCCAAGATCGGTTTGTGAAGGCTCTTACGAGCTGGTGTGAAAGATTTTGGACTCTACCCCTTGGGGAGCCAAAGTAGAAGTGAGGTGTCATCACACCTGCAACTTAGAAAGATCACTCTGGTCACCGGATAGAGAATGAACTGTTCTGGCCAGAGTGAATACTGATGGAGCCTTTGGGAAGCAATTGCAGCTCTCCAGGCAAGAGATGGTGGTGGCTTAGAGCAGCTGGGGTGGGGATGGAGGGAAGGGAATAAGTTGGAGAGAGGTTTAGGAGATGGAATAGACTAGATTTAGTAGGAGTCTGCATCTGGGGGAGGCAGCAACCCTTTTCCATAACGTCTTCCTTATGTTAAATTAGATGCAGGTGTCCCTGAGACTTGGCAAGTGGGGCTGTAATTTTCCTGTGCTCCCCACTGCGACCCCTTACCTGATAAAGCTCTGTCATCTGCTGCAGTCTTGCTGCCCAATCTTCATGGTACCTTCCAGGCTGCAGGGGCCAGCATAAAATAAATAGCCCCTATTTCCCTCCTTGCCAGCTTTCCTTCTGCCTTGCCCACCCTGCTGTGCCTAGCAAGGGTTGGCTCCAAGTGCCAGCTTCTGAACCAGCATTATTGTCAAGGAATGTGCAAGCAGCCGGGCCAGGGAGCAAGGGGCGGGGATGAGCATTCCATTTGCCATCTGTGGCTCAAGCGAGAGCTGTGCTGATACAGCCAGGGCCATCTCTGTGTGATGCAGAGAAATGCACTTCAGCTGAGCTGGCGATGGAAAAGTCATCTGTAGTCTCACATGTATGTCCCATGGGGTCACTGTGTTCTTTGACAGTGGGGCTGGGAGTGCAAGTCTGGAGATGAGAGGCTGGTGGTGAGGGGTGTGGAGGTCTGCTTTATCCTCAAATCCATTCCTCTGCTAAGCCCTGATGGGCACAGAATGCTACCATGTAGGGCTTTATACCTGCAGAATGGTGCTAGCCCTTGCTAAGCATATCATTGTTGTTGAAAGTCATGCTATTAGCCATTTTCAAGCATAAACATTTTATCTGGCATTTAGATCTTAAGATTGTCAGAATCTGAAGGAATTAGGCCAGGCGCAGTGGCTCATGCCTGTAATCCCAGCACTTTGGGAGGCCAAGGTGGGTGGATCACTTGATGTCAGGAGTTTGAGACCAGCTTGGCCAACATGGTGAAACCCCATCTCTAACAAAAATGCAGCCATTGCTGTGGCATGCACCTGTAGTCCCAGCTACTCTGGAGACTGAGGCAGGAGAATGGCTTGAGCCAGAGAGGCGGAGCTTGCAGTGAGCTGAGATTGCACCACTGTACTTCAGCCTGGGCAACAGAGGGAGATTCTCTCTCTCCGCAAAAATAAATAAATAAATAAATAAATAAATAAATAAATAAATTGAAGGATTATCCGACAAATAATTATCTCTGGCAAATTGGAAAATTCCTTTTTTCTTCTGAGTAAAGCCCACCCCCAAATGGTACTCTGATCCCAGGGATGCCAAGAGAGCTGTTGTTACCTCCAAGAGATGCCACCTTTGGCCTTAGATGATTGGTCCAGAAATACACTTGCAGACCCAAGATGGACCAATTAGAATGCTTCCCTACACTTGCAGACCCAAGATGGACCAATTAGAATGCTTCCCTACACTTGCAGACCCAAGATGGACCAATTAGAATGCTTCCCTACACTTGCAGACCCAAGATGGACCAATTAGAATGCTTTCCCACACTTGCAGACCCAAGATGGACCAATTAGAATGCTTCCCTACACTTGCAGACCCAAGATGGACCAATTAGAATGCTTCCCTACACTTGCAGACCCAAGATGGACCAATTAGAATGCTTTCCCACACTTGCAGACCCAAGATGGACCAATTAGAATGCTTCCCTACACTTGCAGACCCAAGATGGACCAATTAGAATGCTTCCCTGGGAGTCTGGACTTAGAGCTGAGAGAAAAGTTATGTAGTTTCTAGTGCCTGAAATTGTAACATACAGATAATGGTGAGTAGCTGTTTTTCTCCCATTAAGACTGAGGAAAGAGAGAGAGAAGGAGAGAGAGAGAGAGAGAGAGAAATAAAAAAAAGGAGAAGGAGGAACAGGAAAGACATAGAGATTGTTCCTAAGGCTCAGCTGTTTTCTACTCTTTTTATTGATACATAATTGTTGTATATGTTTATGAGGTACATGTGATATTTTAATATAAGCACACAATGTGTAACAGTCAAATCTGAGTAATTGGGATATCCATGACCTCAAACATTTACCATTTCTGTATGTTGGGAACATTTTAAATCTTCTGGCAATTTTGAAATATACTATTTTTTATTCTTTCAATTCCATGAAACACTTCAATATTCTTTTTTTTTTTTTTTTTTTTTGAGAAGGAGTCTCACTCTGTCACCCAGGCTGGAGTGCAATGGCATGGTCTTGGCTCACTGCAACCTCCGCCTCCTAGGTTCAAGCGATTCTCCCACCTCAGCCTCCCTAGTAGCTGGGACTACAGGCACGTGCCACCACACCTGTCTAATTTTTGTATTTTTATTAGAGATGGGATTTCACTACATTGGCCAGCCTGGTCTCGAACTCCTGATCTCATGATCCGCCCGTCTCGGCCTCCCAAAGTGCTGGGATTACAGGCATGAGCCCCCGCGCCTGGCTGAAACACTTCAGTATTCTTAGAATAAAACTGCCCTTCTTGCTTATGCTTGGTCAAGGTGAGCGTCTTTTATGTGGATGAAGGACAAAAAGAAAGGTCTCTTTTCACAGACGGCCAACACTTTAGAATTCTTTGAAGGGCTAAAGAGAAAGTTTGTCTCAATTCCTGATCTTAGAAATTCTTTGGTGTTTACGGATTCTCCCTGCAGCGGGTACCCCCTGGGAAGTGTAGACCCAGTGGTCAATGATAATTTTTAAAATGAAAGCTGGAAGGCTAGGTGCAGTAGCTCACGCCTGTAATCCCAGCACTTTGGGAGGCCAAGGCAGGTGGATTACTGGAGGTCAGGAGTTCGAGACAAGCCTGGCCAACATGGTGAAACCCCGTCTCTATTAAACATACAAAAATTAGCTGATGGTGACGAGCACCTGTAATCTCAGCTACTCGGGAGTCTGAGACAGGAGAATCACTTGAACCCATGAGGTCGAGGTTGCAGTGAGCTGAGATGGCACCACTGCACTCCAGCCTGGGCAACAGAGTGAGACTCTGTCTCAAAAAAAAAAAAAAAAAAGGGGGGGCTGGAAGAAGCTCTATTAAATTAATGGGCTAATCTTAAACATTCAGAGAACTCTTAGAACCCCCAAAGTGTCTGCATTTTCGGAAGCATGATGTTTCTGTTTCTCTTCCTATCATCTAAGTGGCCAGGGCCAGTTGTGGGTTTCCTCCTCTTCTCTACCTACATTTACTCCCTAGTGGGTCTCATCCATCCCTGCACTCTAATTCCATCCCTAGGTTGATGACTGACACCCAACTGATAAATCTAGCCAGAACTTCTCCGCTAGTCTCAGGGCTTATGCACCCGGTGACCTATTCAGCATCTCTTCTTGGATGTCTAATGGGCATCTCACACGTTGCATGACCCGAACCAAATTCTTAATCTACCCTTCACCTGTACTTCCTCAAGTGCTCTTCATCTCTGTAAATGGCACCACTCCTCACACAATTACGCATGCCGGTTCTTGACTTCTCGCCTTGACTCATGACACACATCCAGTTTATTAGCAAATCCTCTCTGCTCTGGCTTCGAGAGATCTCACATCCCACCACTTATCACTATCCTCACTGTTCCCACCCTAGTCCATGTCACCGCTGCCTCTTGCCTGGACTTCCACAGCAGCCTCCTGACTAGTCTCCTTGCCTCTGCCCTGGCCTCCCTACAATCTATTACCACAAAGCAGCCAGAGAGTTACTTGTCTCTGTGTGTATATACATGATTTGAATGTCCTTTTTTTTTTTTTTAAGTTGAGACAAGGTCTTGCTCTATCACCCAGGCAGAAGTGCGGTGGCTTGATCATGGCTCACTGCAGCCTCGACCTCCCCAGCTCACGCAATCCTTCCACCTCAGCCTCCTGAATAGCTGGGACTACAGATACGTGCCACCATACCCAATTAATTTTTTTTATTTTTTGTAGAAACGGGGTCTTGCTTTGTTGCCCAGGCTGGTCTCAAATTCCTGGGCTCAAGCAATCTATCCACCTTGGCCTCACAAAGTGCCAGGATTACAGGAGTGAGCTACCACCTTCAGCCTCCTTTAATTTTTTTAAGCAACTTTATTGAGATATAATTTACCATGCAGTTCACCCATTTAGAGTGCACAACTTAATAGTTTTAAATATGTTCAGAAGAGTTATGCAAACATTATCTAATTTTAGGACATTTTTATTACCCTAAAATCAAGCCTGGGCACAGTAGCCATCACTCTCCTCTCCCTACTGCAGCACCCCCACCCCAGCCCCTGGCAACCACCAATCTACTTTCTGTGTCTGCAGATTTGCCTATTCTGATTATTTAATATAAATGGAATCATATATCATGTGACATTTTGTGAAATTTTTTTCTGGTTTCTTTCACTGAGTGTCATGTTCTCAAGGTTCATACACATTGCAGCATGTATCAATACTTCATGCTTTTTTTATGACTGAGTAATATTCCACTGTGTGAATAGTGGACAGATCACATTTTGTTGATCTATTCATCAGTTGATAAACATCTGTGTTGTTTCCACTTTTTGGCTATTACGAATAGGGCTACTGTGAACATTTTAGATAGCAGGTCAAAGTATGTCACTCCTGTGCTCAAATGCTCCCATGTTTTCTAAACTTAGAAGAAAATCACAAGCTCTTACCATGGTCTGGGAGGCCTCACCTGACCTGGCTCCTGCCTCCCTCTATGACCAGCCCCCTTCCCACTCGCTCTTTATCTCTGGCTCCCTCTTCTCCAGCTACAGAGGCCTCCTTGTTCTACCTTGGAGTGCTCATTTCCAGATATTTCCAGAATTCTCTTCCTCAGTTCTGTAACATCTCTAATCAAATATCACCTCCTCCAAGAGGCCCCCTCTTGCTCATTCCTGATCTTGCTATCTTATTCTTCATTGAGTTTTCCATAAATGACTGTATTAGTCTCACATTGCTCTAAAGAAATACCTGAGACTGGGTAATTTATAAAGGAAAGAGATGTAATTGGCTCACAGTTCTGCAGGCTGTACAGGAAGCATAGTGGCTTCTGCTTCTGGGGAGGCCTTAGGAGACTTAAAATCATGGTGGAAGGCGAAGGGGAAGCAGGTGTGTCTTACATGGCCCAAGCAGGAAGAAGGGGGTTGCGGGTTGGGGGCGGGGTTTGCTACATACTTCTTAACAACCAGATCTTGTGAGAACTCACTCACTACACAGAACCAAGGGGAGATGGTGCTAAACCATTCATGAGAACTCCACCCCTATAATCCAATCACCTCCCACCAGGCTCCCACCTCCAACACTGGGGATGAACATTCATCTAACTGAACATTAGATTTGGGTGGGGACACAGATCCAAATTGTATCAGTGATGCCGTTTCACTTATGTGTTTGTCTTTTTGTTTTCCTCCTAGGAGGTAAACTCGATGATAGTTGGGACTTTTCCACTGCTGTATCCTTTGTGCTTGGCATGATGCTTGGTACGTATTAGGAGCTCAGCAAATATTTGTTGAATAAATGAATGAATGAACACACTGGACCTCGTAGGTCATCTACATAAATCTCTTTACATGACGGATGAGAAACTGAGGCCCCGGGAGGGGAAGGGTCTGCTCAAGTGCACGTGAGTAGTTGCTTAAATCTGCTGGTTCTAGAACCTGTGTTTGTTTCTTAAAACCCCCCACCCCCAGACATTTTGGTGCCTGGTAGTTTATATGCTAATTTAGTCACCTTGCCTTGCAAAATTATCTTCCTGATAAATCAATAAGATCAAACCTTTCAGATTGGGCATCTCTGACATTTTCCTCATCTCTCCAGCTACCTCTCCCATGGTTTCCAAACATATCCTACCCTGCAGCCTCCCTGAATGACTTGCAGTTCCTTGATCGCTAGATGTACCCTCAAACCTCTGTACCTTTACCCATACTGTTCCCCCTGTCTAAGCACTCTTCTTATAACCACCTTCTAGAAGTGATCAACTTGGACTCATTTTCATGATGGAGGTGGACTTCGAGTCCTCTGGGAAGTCTTTCCTGCCATGCCCTTCCAGCCAGACTCAGTAAGAAGCCTCTCCACTGTGTTCCCAAGGCCCCTGTGATAGCTACATCACTCTACTGGGATTGACTGAGTCTCCTGTAGATTATAGGTTCCACGCATCTACAGTGACAGGGATCATGCTTGTCATGCTCAAGGCTGTATCCCCATCCCCCTACCCAGTGCCTGGCACATGGAAGGTGCTGCCCCTAACTATGGGCTTAGGTGAGTTTCTTTGCTTAGATTGAAGGAGGTAAAGTGGGCACAGCTGACACTGTAGTGCCATACCCAAGCCTTCTTAACTTTCAGTGGGCTCCGGCTGACTTCCAGTTACTAGTATCAGTGTCTGTGCCAGAACTTCCCAAAATCAATCAGCTCATGAGTAGCAGGCCAGAGTGTCAAAGAATTAACACCCTCTGCTTCAGAAGCCCCCCTTCACCAGTGACTTTTGGAAGCTGGTGTATAAATGCCCCAGCTCCCTCACTAGGTTATTAGGTGGGTTATTTCAGCTGAGACCTGAGGGATTAGGAGGAGGGAACATGTATGTCTTTTCCTTTTCCCCAGAGTTTCCTCAAGGGATTAATGTCTGTGGTAGCTTGCTTGGTAGTAAGCCCTTTATTTGCTATGTCTTATCTACTTCTGTACTGGTGCTTTCTCCATATTTTTTTTTTTTTTTGAGACAGTCTCACTCTGTTGCCCAGGCTGGAGTGCAGTGGCACAATCTTGGCTTGCTGCCACCTCTGCCTCCTAGGTTCAAGCGATTCTCCTGCCTCAGCCTCTCAAGTAGCTGGGATTACAGGCACGTGCCACCACACCCAGAGAACTTTTGTATTTTTAGTAGAGACATGGTTTCACCATGTTGGCCAGGCTGGTCTCAAACTCCTGACCCCAGGTGATCTGCCTGCCTCGGCCTCCCGAAGTGCTGGGATTACAGGCGTGAGCCACCGTGCCCAGCCTCTGCTTTTTAAATATACCACTTTCACCCGATTCCTTGTCCAATGCAGTAGAATTATCAGAACACCAACAGCCTAGCCAAAGGCCCCGCATGCATGGGTTCCTTTTTTTTTTTTTAATGACATCACGACGACATCAGCTTGAATGTATCAGCCAACCAAAGAAACTCATAAAGCCAATTAGTTATATTGACACACGATGTTTATGGGTTCCTACAGATCAATTCATAAATATTATAAATTACAACAATTTCTAAATAATGTCCTGTGACTAATGGCTCTGGTTGTAGTGGATTTTATCACTTTGTTGAGTACCTAATTGTCCTCAGCCTCACTGAGTGTTTCTGTGACCTCCAGCAACATGACGGTGACTCAGAGTCTAGCAGCTTCAAGGTCAAAGAGCCTGCATTTCTAGCTTCTGTAGAGGGAAACAGGGACCCTGACATTTCACTTTTGAAACTAACTCATGGCCCAGTCTTTTTAAAATACTTTTTTGGTAGTGGAAATTTGTTCCCTACTGAATTAGGAAATGTTATGTATTCTGACTTTTACCTGTGGTTTCAGAAGCCAATTCATTCATTCAGCAAATTTCTATGGAGCACTTTCTATGTACCCAACACTGTGCTGGGTACTGGGAATATAGTGATGTGTTGGTTAGGATAGGCTGGGATAGGGATACAGTAACAAGTTAACTTCAAAAATCCTAGACATTTAGTACAACAAAGGTTTTGTTTGTTTGCTTGTTTGTTGTTGTTGTTGTTTTTTCTCATTTATGCTATACATCCAGTGTAGAACAACAGAGCTCAGGGTCACTCAGGGACCCAGGCTGATAAAACGTCTGTCACTGCAGCAGGGGAACTGATAATTGGTGAGTTACCATGCCAACTTTTCTATGCTTCAGCCCCAAAGTGACACGTATCAGCCCATGAATTAATCACATGGCCCCAATTAACTGCTGTCCTTGGAGAGCTTGCATTGTAGCTTGCACTGCACTGTAGAAGGCAGAGATCAAATAAATTATTACATAAGTAATTATTAAATAATAATTGGAGCAAAGTCTACAAAAGAGAATTCAGGGTCTTATGAGAGTGTAAAACAGGAGACACAATGCCTTCTGCTTGGTCTGGGATGGCCTCCTTAGGGAAGGGTTATTTCAGAAGAGACCTGAAGGGATGCATAGGGCCCGGTCAGGTAAACAGAGGGAACGACCTGCCTCGGCCTCCTAAAGTGCTGGGATTACAGGCGTGAGCCACCGTGCCTGGCCGCAGGTTCTACTTTCAAATAACTTACAGTGGAGTTTGAGAAACAGGAAATCTATAGGAATAGAAATAATGCCAGTTAGTCAACAATGACAGCTTATACGGTTGAGCATGTGCTGTGGCCAGTGCCTTCTGTGCACTATCTCATTTAATCCAATTTCACAACAGGCTTAGAAACCACTGCTCAGCAAGTGTCTGGGCAGGACTGGAACTTCTGTGAGCACCTGAAATTCATGCTTTTTACCACTGTGTGCTACTCCCTCTGGAGTGGTTGCTCAGTGACTGGCCGGCTTAGCTCAGGGGCTCAGTGACTACCAGAGTATAAGGGAAAGATCATTTGCTTTAAGGCTGATCTTTCTCTGCCTTGCTAGTGAGTAACTGAAACTCCCTGGACCTCAGTTCATCATTAAAATTAGAGAATTTGGCAGATCAGAGCTTTTCAAAATCTTTTAATGTAGTGGAATAGTTTTAAAAATGTAATGCAATATATAAAGCAGAAAGGAGTGGTTAGTACTCTGGCAAGGGGGACCAAACCTCACCACTGCCTTTAGCAGTATTGGGGCCCCTCTGGGGAGCCTGGCATATCCTAAATGCTCAATAAACCACTGGAGCAGCTAAGGTTACTTACATCCCCCAAGGAGGCTGAGTGTTACCAGTATTATGATTAGCTGTGGCTATTTAAGGATAATGTTGGACTCCTTTCATATCCTTTGCAGCAGGTAGAAAAGTGTCCCCACCCCATGTCCACATTTTTTTTTATTATACTTTAAGTTCTAGGGTACATGTGCACAACGTGCAGGTTTGATACATAGGTATATATGTGCCATGTTGGTTTGCTCCACCCATCACCTCGTCATTTACATTAGGTATTTCTCCTAATGCTATCCCTCCCCCATCTCCCCACCCGACAATAGGCCCTGGTGTGTGATGTTCCCTGCCCTGTGTCCAAGTGTTCTCATTGTTCAATTCTCACCTATGAGTGAGAACATGCGGTGTTTGGTTTTCTGTCCTTGAGATAGTTTGCTTAGAATGATGGTTTCCAGCTGCATCCATGTCCCTGCAAAGGACACGAACTCATCATTTTTTATGGCTGCATAGTATTCCATGGTGTATATGTGCCACATTTTCTTAATCCAGTCTATCATTGATGGACATTTGGGTTGGTTCTAAGTCTTTGCTATTGTGAATAGTGCCACAATAAACATACGTGTGCATGTATCTTTATAGTGGCATGATTTATAATCCTTTGGGTATATACCCAGTAATGGGATCGCTGGGTCAAATGGTATTTCTAAATCTAGATCCTTGAGGAATCGCCACACTGTCTTCCACAATGGTTGAACTAGTTTACACTCCCACCAACAGTGTAAAAGCGTTCCTATTTCTCCACATCCTCTCCAGCATCTGTTGTTTCCTGACTTTTTAATGATCACCATTCCAACTGGTGTGAGATGGTATCTCATCGTGGTTTTGATTCGCATTTCTCTGATGCCATGTCCACATTTTAATCCCTTAAACCTGTGAATATGTTACCTTTCATGGCAAAAGGAACTTTTTTTTTTTTTTTGAGACAGAGTCTTGCTGTGTTGCCCAGGCTGGAGTGCAGTGGTACAATCTCAGTTCACTGCAATCTCCGCCTCCTGGGTTCAAGTGATTCTTGTGCCTCAGCCTCCCAAGTAGCTGGGATTACAGGCATGCCCCACCATGCCTGGCTAATTTTTGTATTTTTAGTAGAGATGGGGTTTCACCATGTTGGCCAGGCTGGTCTCAAACTCCTGGCCTCAAGTGATCTGCCTGCCTTGGCCTCCCGAAATGCTGGGATTACAGGTGTGAGCCATTGCGCCCAGCCAACAAAAAGGATTTTGAAGGTAAGATAAAGTTAAGGATCTTGAGTTATGGGGATTATACTGGATTATCTGGTGGGCCCAAGGTAATTTTAAGAGTCCTTAGAAGTGGGAAAGGTGAGTCAGAGAAGGAGATATGACGATGGAGTCAGAGGTCAGAGAGAGAGATGTGAGGAGGTTATGCTAGATTTGAAGATGGAGAAAGGAACCTACCAGACAAAAAATGTGGACTGCCTCCAGAAGCTGGAAAAGACAAGAAAATGGATTTTTCTTTAGCACCTCCAGAAGGAACGGAGCTCTGCTGATACCTTGATTTTGTCCTGTAAGACTCATTTTGGACTTCTGACCTCTAGAACTGTAAGATCATAAATTTGAGTACTTAAAATTTTTAATTATATTATTATTATTTCTAGAGACAGGGTGTTGCTCTGTTGCCCAGGCTGGAGGGCAGGGGTGAGATCACAGCTCACTGCAGCCTTGAACTTCTGGGGTCAAGAAATCCGCCCACCTCAGCCCCCAGCGTAGCTGAGACTACAGGGGTGCACCACCATGCCTGGTTAAATTTGAGTTTTTAAAAGGCACCAAGTTGTGGGACTTTGTTACAACAGCAATGGGAAACTCATATGCCCTTGAGACAAGAATCTACCCTATACCACAAGTCACTTGTGTCCCTACTAATGACCAGATCACCAATTGTTGTTACTCCTCATTGAGGGCCGCCATGTCCAGCCACTATGCTTAGCATTTTACTTCTCTGATTTCACTGGACTTTCTAAACAGCCCTGTGAGTAGAGCCTGTCCTGCCCATTTAGTAAAAAGGAGGGGACCGGGGCTCTGAGAGGATGTATCACCGGCTCAAGCTCACACAGGTAGAAAGCATGTGTGTGTGGGTGCAGGACTTGAAGCAAATCCAAGTGTATATGGCTCTAAAACCATCATTTAGCTCTTCTGCCTTCAGAAGACATCATTTCCAGAGGTTGCAAGACCCTGAGCTTGCAAACACTGCTTCCTGCAAAGTCAGACTCTGAACCCATCCTGGCTGGTGTAGGACATTGGTGTGTGTGGAAGGAGGGTGCAGTTTTGCACCATGTTTAATTTCATCTGAGCTTCCTCAGGAAGCTCAATTTTCTTCCCTAAAAATGAAGAGGAACAAACCTCCCCACTGCTCTTGAAATTTCTTCAGGAATAATTACTGAATCCTTGTCTGTTCAACATGCAGCATTCTCTATATGAAAGGAGGAGACAGGGAGAACAGAATGACTGCGCCTAGCTGGAGCACAAAACCAGGCTTATTAGGCAATAGAGCAGACGGATCTGGCTTTTATGAGCATGGGGTCTTGCTGTGTGAATATTCATGGAGTTTGGAAGATCAGTGATTGAGCAAACAGATATAATTAAAACATACTAAAAACAAAAGTCACTATGCCCTTTTCAAATGTGCTTCGGTTGTTTCTTTTGGTAAGCGGGATTTAATATAATTCTTAACATTCGTTGATTGTTTCTAATTACCAAATCATAGATACTCATTTTGGAAATGCTGGAAAATACAGAAAAGGATCAAGGACAATCACCTTAAATCCTGCCAACCAGACCAATCATGGTCAACATTTTTGCCCTACGGAAGGAAACTTCATGATCACTCAGGCGGACTCCTTTCCTGCTGGGGCAAACAGGCCCAGGTTAAGGAGATGTTTGGTGTCAGATCTCAGAGTTGAAAGCAGGAATCTCTGGTCTTTAATTTGCCACATCTCTTCCTTTCTTCTTGCTGCTCTTCCGGAACCCTTAAAAAAATAATCTCTTGAAGAAATTCCCTTGAGATCAACTTCTGTCTTTTGGGGTTCCAGCAGGTCTCCAGCTATTTTCCATCAGGGAAATTTGAGATTCCAGGTCTGAACCACATTGCTTCTTTCCTTGTCACCTTTCTCTTTCCCCTTCTTTTTTTCTCTTCCTCTTCCGTCCCTTCCTTCTAATGGAAGTATACTGTACATAGTGCCTTTTAAATTTAACAATACACTAGGGGCATGTCATTACATGCCAACAAATGTATATTATGACATCATTTATTTTTTTTGAGACAGGGTCTCTTCGTCTGTCACTCTAGACTGGAGTGCAGTGGTGCAATCACAGCTCACTGCAGTTTTGAATTCCTAGGCTCAAGCAACCTCCTACCTCAGCTTTCCAAGTAGCTGGGACTACAGACATACACCACTGCACCTGGTTAATTTTTAAATTTTGTTGTGGTGACATGGTCTTGCTAGGTTGTCCAGTCTGGTCTCAAACTCCTGGCCTCAAGTAGTCTGCCTGCCCTGGCCTCCCAAAGTTTTGGGATTATAGGTGTGAGCCACTGCACCCCAATACATTATTTTTAATGACTGTATGTCCTGGCATGTTACACCAGGATTTATATAACATATATAACCCCCTTTTATAATCCCCTTCAGGTGGACATTTAGGTTGCCTCCAGTCATTCACCATTTATTTTTATTTTTATTTATTTATTTTTTGGAGATAGAGTCTCACTCTGTCACCAGGCTGGAGTACAGTGGCGTGATCTCGGCTCACTGCAACTTCTGCCTCCCTAGTTCAAGTGATTCTCCTGCCTCCACCTGTGGAGTAGCTGGGACTACAGGCTTGCGCCACCATGCCCTGCTCGTTTTTTGTATTTTTGGTAGAGATGGGGTTTCACTATGTTGGCCAGGATAGTCTCGATCTCTTGACCTCATGATCTGCCTGCCTCAGCCTCCCAAAGTGCTGGGATTACAGGTGTGAGCCACTGCACCTGGCCTAACCATTATTTTTTAAAGTGCTTTGATGAACATCCTTGCAGCTAATTAATCATTGAGATACATTTTTAGAAGAGGCCTTGCTAGTCAAAGGGTCTGCCCATTTAGACGGTCTTGATGCTCACCCACAGGCATACTTTCTAAAAGAAGACACAAAGTATTGTAACTGTATTACCCAGTGCCAGAAAAATTTTCAGGGTTCAGACATAGCTGTTGGCTGCTGTTCCCACCATGCTGACCTGCTGTGGCCTTATCCCAAGCAGATGTTGCTACGAAGGTCAGCCTACTGAATCCCATCATTACCCTGCCAGGTCCCTGTGCTGGGCCAAGGGGTGGCTGGAGCCAAATCTTTCTTAACAGACAGGAACCAAAACACAGTTAGTTTCCAACCTTGAACAATTAATCATATACAGAGACACCTAGGTCTGGGGAAAATGGTTTATTTATAGCTGAATACTTCTTTCAGCCCCAGGTACATTTTGCAATTGTGTTTCATCTTCCATTCTCACACCTGGACTCTCTTCTAGACACCATCTGAATCATGAGCAGGAGGTCAAGTGCAACACACTGGATTTCTCCTGGCTTGAGAAGCTCATGGACTAGGTTGGCTTTTGCTTTTGTGGCCTGGACTTTATGGCTGGGAGGAAGGTGAAAAGCCCAAGAGAGGTGAACTGTGAAATGCTTTACCTACCCACACCCAGGCCACTAGAAACTCCTGCCAAGCAGTAAGCCTTTAGCAGCAATGTGCTCAGACTTCAAAATAGCAGAGAGATGCTGATAACACCCGGAAGGAGGACTTCCCCTGGCTTGAGATCACACATGAGACTGGTAGAGTTTCCATAGAAAGCTCTCCCACCCCCTAATTAAACAATCGATTAACTCAACAAGTATCTATTGAACGTTTACAAGCCAGGCGCTGTCTAAGCATTGAGAATGTAGTGGTTGGGCCAGGCGCAGTGGCTCACGGCTGTAATCCCAGCATTTTGGGAGGCCAAGGAGGGTGGATCACTTGAGGTCAGGAGTTGGACACCAGCCTGACCAACATGGTGAAATCCCGTCTCTACTAAAAGTACAAAAATTAGCTGAGCATGGTGCCATGTGCCTGTAGTCCCAGCTAATTGGGAGGCTGAGGCAGAAGAATTGCTTGTACCCAGGAGATGAAGGCTGCGGTGAGCCGAGATAGCGCCACTGCACTCCAGCCTGGATGACAGAGTGAGACTCTGTCTCAAACAAACAAACAAGCAAAAGAATGCAGTGGTGGACTATGTATTCCCCTGGGAAGCAGACTCTGAGGCAGAGACTCACACACAGTGGGTTTATGAGGGACCGCTCTTGGACATCTGTGGATGGGAGGGACTGAATCACAATTGGGCAGAGGGGAATGTTGAGCTGTGATGTCATCTAAGTGGGGGCCTCAGCCAACCCCTCCAGGGAGTTCTGAAACTGAGTCATCCTTTAGGACAGACCATACCAACCAGTCACTCAATGTGGGGGTCCCTGGGATGTAACCTTGGGTGAAACAGCTCTCTTCAGCAGAGGCAATCCCTGTAGGGGGACTGGGGGCTGAGGGCAGCACGCTCAACAGTTGGGGGAATGAGTCCTTTGGTCCAGAAGGAGGACCTGGGTGGTGTGTCACTGAGTCCAACACAGCCCTCATGGAACTCACAGTGTAGTGAGTGTCTTGGTTTGAGTTCACTCCGAAGCAGGGCCTGAGGCAGGGACTTGGATGTAGGTAGTGAATTCAGGAGGTGATCCCAGAGAGGAAGAACGAGAGAATGGGAGAACGAGTCAGGGAAGGACAAAGAGATAATAGAGGGTGCATTGTTGAGCAAGTCCACCCTGTGGGACTGAGAAGAATGCATTCAGAATGATCCCCCTGAAGGACAGGAGGTGAGGTGTGTATCCACTGACTTCTATGCCCCATTGTTTGACGTTATCCCCTGGGGTCTGAGCCCCTTTGCATTTATAGAATGCACCTGTGAAGGATGTTTCTGTAGTTTTGGGGAAGCTTTGAGGCAGAAAACCAGAGAGTTAGGGGACATCTGATGTGGGAAGTTGCCAGCAGACATGGACAAGGTCCCCATAGATGAGGCTGAAATTAGAGGCAGGTCATGTGGCACAGGTCCTCAATTCTTTAGTAAAGATAAAATCTGCTGCAGAACAAATGAGGAAATTAATCTTGTAAGACCTTTAAGTAGGTATCTCCTCCAACCCCATCCCTTGGTAACCCCCCAATTTTTTTTTTAAAGAGATAGAATCTCACTATGTTGCCCAGGCCGGTCTTGAACTCCTAAGCTCAAGTGATCCTCCAATCTTGGCCTCCCAAAGTGCTGGGATTACAGGTGTGAGCCATAGCACCCAGCTGAGTAACGCTTTAATGAAGACGATTACTTTTAAAAATTACATCCTCTCCTCTTAAAACTAACCGATTGACTGACTAAAACCAATAAACTAACCAACAAACTAACTAATGTGTATTATGCTAAGTTTCAGACATTGTTCTCAAACTGACTAACCAACCAATTAACTAATATGTATTATACTGTCAGGCATTGTACTAAAACTAACTGACTAATCAACCAACCAACCAACTAATAACCAATCAACTAACTAATGTGTATTATACTAAGTTCCAGACATTGTTCTCAAACTAACTAACCAACCAATTAACTAATATGTATTATGCTATCAGGCATTTTACTAAAACTAACTAGCTAACTAACCAATCAACTAACTGATAACCAATCAACTAACTAATGTATGTTACACTAAGTTCCAGACAGTGTTCTAAAATGAACTAACTGGCTAGCTAACCAACTAACCACCTTTGATCTCTGTCTCTTCACAGGTTCTTTCTTTGCCTACAATCTCGCTCATCTATACATACCCTGAAAAAGAAGAAAAGGAAGACTCTTTCCTTGAACTTCTCCCCTTTTTGGCTACCTTATTCCTATTCTTCTTTTCCTTTTTTTTTTGAGACAGAGTCTTACTTTGTCACCCAGGCTGGAGTGCAGTGGTGCGATCTCAGCTCACTGCAACCTCTGCCTCCTAGGTTCAAGTGATTCTCCTGCCTCAGCCTCCTGAGTAGTTGGGATTATAGGCACGTGCCACCATGTCCAGATAATTATTATTTTATTTTTATTTTTTGAGACAGAGTCTCACTTTGCTGCCCAGGCTGGAGTGCAGTGGTGCCATCTCGGCTCACTGCAACCTCCGCCTCCCGAGTTCAAGCGATTCTCCTGCCACAGCCTCCCGAGCAGCTGTGACTACAGGCATGTGCCACCATGCCCGGCTAATTTTTTGTATTTTTAGTAGAGATGGGGTTTCACCGTGTTAGCTAGGGTGGTCTTGATCTCCTGACCTTGTGATCCAGCCGTGTCGGCCTCCCAAAGTGCTGGGATTACAGGCCTGAGCCACTATGCCCGGCCTAATTTTTTTATTTTTATTTTTAGTAAAGACAGGGTTTCGCCATGTTGGTCAGGCTGGTCTCAAACTCCTGACTTCAGATGAGCCACCCGCCTCGGCCTCCCAAGGTGCTGGGATTACAGTCATGAGCTACCATGCCCGGCCCTTCTTTTTCTTCTTCAACAAATATTTGCAGCCTCGATCTCACTGCCCAGGCAACCTTAATCCAGACAAGTTTGCTTCCCTACCCTTCCCATGCCCATGTTCTGTTGAATCTGAATTTTCAAAGGCCATTGACAATCTGGCACGCACGATTCTCCATTCTTCTCATCGTCATTTCTCAGTTTTCTTCACCTCTGCAGTGTGTTTCTTCTTCTCTTTTTCAAAATTCTTCCTTTCCCTAGTTTTCGTGACACTGTCCTTCTCCCTCTATAACCTTTCTTTATTATTTTTTCCAAACTTCATCTTTCTTCCAAGAGCAAGTGCTCTTCAAGGTCTAATGCTTATAACTCTCTTCTTGCTGGGTACAGTGGTGGTTCTCAAGCTTGGCTGTACCTGAGGGTCACTTGGAGTATTCAAAAACTACTGAAGCTCACGGAGAATTTTGAGGACAGGGAAACTATTCTGTTATGACACTATAATGGTAGATACAGGTTATTATACCCTTGTTGAAGTTATAGAAGGTACAACATAACCAGGAGACTTTGGGTGATAACGATGTGTCAGCCGGGCGCGGTGGCTCATGCCTGTAATCCCAGCACGGTGGGAGGCTGAGGCGGGCAGATCACGAGGTCAGGAGATGGAGACCATCCTAGCTAACACAGTGAAACCCTGTCTCTACTAAAAATAACAAAAAATTAGCCGGGTGTGGTTGCAGGCGCCTGTAGTCCCAGCTACTCAGGAGGCTGAGGTGGAAGGAAGATTGCTTGAGCCCAGGAGTTTGAGACCAGCCTGGACAACATAGCAAGACTTCATCAGAAAGAAAAGAAAGAAGGAAAGAGAAGAAAGTAAGAAATAAGGAAAGAAAGAAAAGGAAGGAAAGAGAGAGGGGGAGGAAGGAAAGAAAGAAGGGAAGGAAGGGAAGGAAAAGGAAAGAAGGGAAGGAAAAGGAAAGAACGGAAGGAAGAAAAAGACTATTAATTAAAAACTGCTGATGCCTAAGCTGTCCCCAGAGATGGTGACTTAGTTGCTCAGGGTGGAGCCAGGGCATCAGTGGTTTTTACAAAGCCCTCTGGTGGATTTTAAGGGGCAACTAGGGTTGGGAAATGCTGGGCAACACTTTTTCCCTGAGAATCTTTGCTCTCTTTTAAGCTTCGCTGATCACTTTTAAGCAGGAAACCCCCAAATTTAACTTTCCAACTCTGCCTTTTTTCCAGGGTTCTCAGGTTTACAACCTCCGCTTTTATGGATATGTCAGAGATCGTATCAAACTTACCATCTTTTTATTTCCCCAAATTCCT
The DNA here is from genome assembly GCF_000001405.40 of Homo sapiens. Lineage (NCBI taxonomy): Eukaryota > Metazoa > Chordata > Mammalia > Primates > Hominidae > Homo > Homo sapiens. The sequence continues at coordinate 118,531,023 of NC_000012.12, forward strand.
TTTCAAGTCATCCCTGTTTCTGTTCAGCACATCCTTTATCAGCTTGGCTACCCGGGTTTTAGAAACCTCGACACTTCTCAAAAGAAGACATTTATGCAGCCAAAAAACACATGAAAAAATGCTCACCGTCACTGGCCATCAGAGAAATGCAAATCAAAACCACAATGAGATACCATCTCACACCAGTTAGAATGGCGATCATTAAAAAGTCAGCAAACAACAGGTGCTGGAGAGGATGTGGAGAAATAGGAACACTTTTACACTGTTGGTGGGACTGTAAACTAGTTCAACCATTGTGGAAGTCGGTGTGGCGATTCCTCAGGGATCTAGAACTAGAAATACCATTTGACCCAGCGATCCCATTACTGGGTATATACCCAAAGGATTATAAACCATGCTGCTATAAAGACACATGCACACGTATGTTTATTGCGGCACTATTCACAATAGCAAAGACTTGGAACCAACCCAAATGTCCAACAATGACAGATTGGATTAAGAAAATGTGGCACATATACACCATGGAATACTATGCAGCCATAAAAAATGATGAGTTCGTGTCCTTTGTAGGGACATGGATGAAGCTGGAAACCATCATTCTCAACATATTATCGTAAGGACAAAAAACCAAACACTGCATGTTCTCACTCATAGGTGGGAATTGAACAATGAGAACACATGGACACAGGAAGGGGAACATCACACACTGGGGACTGTTGTGGGGTGGGGGGAGGGGGAGGGACAGCATTAGGTGATATACCTAATGCTAAATGACGAGTTAATGGGTGCAGCACACCAACATGGCATATGTATACATATGTAACAAACCTGCACATTATGCACATGTACACTAGAACTTAAAGTATAATAATAATATAAAAAAAAGAAAAAAAAAAAGAAACCTCAGAATCCCAGCATCAAGGATTCTTTGAGTTCACATCTCTGACCTTTTCTTCAAAGCTGGAGTCCCCTCATACTCACTCTCTGCCTCTGTTTGGATCTTTGTAGCCACGAAGCTCAGTCCTTGGCAAAGATCCTCTTTTTTTAAAGAACACTTTTTTTGTTTTTCTTATTGCACAGCTGGTTCATGTGAGTGATAGAAAAAAAGCTTAAAAATATAGAAAAGCATAAAGGAGAAAATAAAAACCACCCACAGTACCATCCCCTGCCAGCTATTATTAATGTTTTGGTATAAAAATAGATGTAAAAGAGAAACAGGTTAAATCGTGACATGTTTTTAATGTCATTCTTCACTGAACGTGACATCGTGAATATTCCCCCATCATACTCTTCCAAATCATTTCAAATAGTTTTTATTTTAAAAATAATTTTGTCTAAGAAAGTAGTACATGCTCATCGTACAAAAGTCAAACGAGGAGAAGCAGGGAACTCCTCCTTCTCCCTCCCCTACTCACGTTTTTCTTGTAGGGGGAAAGAATTCGGTATTTCAAAGAAAGCTTTTGTTGGCATTCTTTGTACTTATTTTCTGGGTTGACTTTTTAAAATGGAATTATATAATCTTTTCAGAGCTCGAGGCATCTAGAGGTTTGGGGCTGTTTGGGGCTATTCTGTCCCCCTCCATCACCACCTCCCTGGGGCTCACCACTCTTAATTCCAACATGCTTTGGAATTATGGCAAAGGCAATCTTTTTAAGGGCAGTTCTGATGGTTGGAAAGCTCTTCTTTATGTCGTGTTGAAACTGCTTCTTGTCCTTTACTCTTGGCTCCAGACTTTCTTTATGGAGCTAGTGAAAAACTAAACCAAACCCATAAAACAAACAAGCAAGGCAAAACAAAAACAAACAAAAATCCATACAGACAACTGTTTGTCTAATTTGACATGTCCTCCCTTTCTCCCCCAACTCAGAACTGATCTTTGGCTGCCTTCAGAGGGAGAAATCAGGTCAAGACCATGGCTGTGCAGCCAGACCCCCTGGGTTCCTTGGACAAATTTCTTAATCTTCTCTGAGCCTCAGTTTCCTCATCTGTGAAATGGGAATAACAATAGTACCTACCCACAGTGTTACTGTGGGGATTAAACAAGTAATATGCAGGTGAGGTGGCTCACACCTATAATCCTAGCACTTTGGGAGGCCAAGGTGGGCAGATCACCTGAGGTTAGGAGTTCAAGACCAGCCTGGCCAAAATGGTGAAACCCCATCTCTACTAAAAATACAAAGATTAGCTGGGTGTGGTGGCACATGCCTGTAATCCCAGCTACTCGGGAGACTGAGGCAGGAGAATCGCTTGAACCTAGGAAGTGGAGGTTGCAGTGAGCCGAGATCGCGCCACTTCACTCCAGCCTGGGTGACAGAGCAAGACTCTGTCTCAAAAACAAACAAAAACAAACACAAAGAAGTAATACATGTGAAGCCCTTAGACCAGGCCTGGTATTTGCTGCCATCAGGTATCCAAAGGGTCTGGATTCTTCATGGAGAAGGGAAGGTGGAAAGGTTGTCAGGCTCTGAGATTCTCACCTGGAAAACTCACCTGGTTGCAGAGACCCTGTATTTGTTTCTGTCTTCGGTTTAGAACTCATTTCAGTGATTACTGTTGCATGTCTGCCTGTGGCTAGAGGCCCCCAAAACTGAAATTGTGAAGGTCATGGGAAGAACATGGGGGACAGACAGGGTGAGAAGAGGCAGCCAAGGTTGGGGAATGTGGAGAGAGGGTGGCAGAATCAAGTGAGTTCTGACCTGACGGCTGCTGGTCCCAAGCCTTAAGCAGCTGGGTGAAGTTGGACAAGCTGTTTAAGCCTCATTTTCTCACCTGCAGAATGGGTTCAATAATGGGTGATGAGGAATAATATGCCTTTGCCTTACAATCATTCAGCTCTCACTTGGCGACCATCCACCTCCCTTTCTTTCATCTTCATGGTACAGGAGTTAAAAAGAAATTATTTAGGCAGATAGTGAGGGTAAGAGAGTCCTCAGTAAGGTTTCCTTTTAATAAAAAGCAGCCCCCAAATCATTTCTTTTCTAACAAAAAGCAGTCTGTAAAATCAAGCTGCAGACACAGATAAGGAAGCTGGAAGCTTGCATGGGTGAATGCTGGCAGCTGTGCCAATAGGAAAAGGCTACCTGGGGACCAGGCATGTTCAACATGGCAGCTCCATCTTCCCTTTTGTCAACCACGGGGACAATAAGGAACAGACAACATGGTGCCGGCCAGGGAGAGACTCTATCTACATAATAGAAGATTAGAGTGGGGCGGCCAGCTTCTTCACATGCTATGTAAATGACACATCTGGTCCAACCAATCTTTGGGCCCTATATAAATCAGGTACCACCTTCTCAAGCCAGTCTGTAAAACCCCATGCACTTCACCAAGAAACTGGAAGACCCACTCAGGCACCTCTCTCTCTCTGCAGGAGAGAGAGCTATTCTCTTTTTCTCTGTCTTTCGCCTATTAAGCCTCTGCTCTAAAACTCACTTCTTGTGTGTGTCTGCATCTTCGGTTTTCCTGGCATGAGACAACAAACCTTGGGTATTTAGCCCAGACAATGATGCCACTTCACTCATAACAACTCTGTGAGGCAGATGTGAACATCCCCATTCTACAGATGAGAACATTGAGGCACAGAGGGGTGGGTCATTTTCTCAAATCCACGCACTAAAAAAGTACAGGGCTCGGATTGGAATGTAAGTGGGCCCCAGAGTTGGGAATTTTTTTTTTTTTTTGAGATGGAGTCTCACTCTGTCATTCAGGCTGGAGTGCAGTGGCATGATCTTGGCTCACTGCAACCTCTGCAACCTCTGCCTCCCGGGTTCAAGTGATTCTTGTGCCTCAGCCTCCTGAGTAGCTGGAATTCCAGGCATACACCACCACACCCAGCTTATTTTTGTATTTTAGTAGAGACAAGGTTTCACCATATTGGCCAGGCTGGTGTCAAACTCCTGACATCAAGTAATCCGCCCGCCTCCCAAAGTGCTGGGATTACAGGCATGAGCCACCGCGTCAGGCCCAGGGTTGGGATCCTAATGAGCTTTTAGGCTGACTAAATAAATAATAATAAGCCTATGATTTATTGAGCTACTTATTTGGTGCTGCTTCTCTCTGTTAATCTGTACGACAACTCTGATTCAATGCCTGGCCCCTGGAAAGTCACCCTGTAGGTGTGCAAGGACTCTCTTCCCTCGGGTGGGGGCCTCCTTTGTTTTAGAGCAGTGGAGTCCTCACACCTGCCTGCCTGTTAGGTTCACACAGGGAACTTGACAAAGGTAATGATGCCAGGCCCCACACCAGTTTCTGATTCCATTACTCTGGGATGGGAGCCCTGCATGGGGAGTTTTTAAAAGCACCCTGGATGATTCGAGGTTTTGCAGGCAAAGTTGAGAACCTTGGCTTAGAGAGGTTTTACACCCCTCCAGGTGTGATTCTCAATCTTGGCTGCAGGCTGCATGTTAGAATCATCTGGGAACTTGGAGATTCTGAGCCATTGGTTTGAGAGGGGAGTTGAGTATCGGTCTTATTCACTGAGCTAATTAATGCCTGTTGGACCTTACTAGGTGCCAGGCAGTACATTAACTCATTGAATCCTGGACTGACCAAATCATTCTGGTTTGCTAGGGATTTTCTGCCCAAAGACTTTAGGTCAGGTGTGGGCACACCTGGATGGTTGGTCACCCTACTGAATCCCTCCCTAAACTTACATTTCATCTTGACCTCACTTGCTTATTTCATGACATATCTCTGAGAAAAGTTCTACTGTTAAGCCTGTGTTGTTGGCTGGGCTCAGTGGCTCGTGCCTGTAATCCTAGTGCTCTGGGAGGCTGAAGGGGGAGGATTGCTTGAGGCCAGGAGTTTGAGGCTGCAGGGAGCTATGATTGCGCCACTGCACTCCAGCCTGGGTGACAGTGTGAGACCCTGTCTCAAAGCAAAACAAAACAAAAACCAACAAAAACCCCAAACCCATGTTGCAGATGAAGAACTGAGGCACCCAGAGTATTGGTCTCACAGTTAGTAAAGGGTGGTTGCAAGAGACTTCCATAACCAGGATTTCATTTCCTATTAGGGCAATCTGCAAGATGAGGAGGAGTTTTTTTTTTTTTTGGTCCCCATTTTACAGGGAGAGTGAGGTTCAGGGAGTTTGATGACTTCCCATGGTCAGTCGCCACTGTACTAGATGGGAAATCTGATCTTCTGACTCCCAGCTCATGGCATGACTTCTGTTAGGCTGCTTGGGAGGATAAAAGATTGTCCCCTTGCAGAGGCTTGAGGGTCATGGGCTTTGACGTGCTTTGCATCCATCGGCAGAGCTTGGGCCTCCCGGCTTTCCCTCCTTCAAGAGCTGAGAGCCTTACTGCGACCCTTTCCTCCTGGGGGATGTGGGGGTTGTGTGTTAGAAAAGGCCAGGATGACTATTAGCAGTCAGGTGCTGTTCATTTAGAACATCTGCCCTTGGGTCCCCAAGGCAGCTCCATCGAAGACATATACTAAGGCATTGTCAGATTCCATAAACAGCTTCTTGCCCTCGGGGGAGCGATCTGGACAGGGCTGATCAGGCTGGTGAAATGTCATCGGAGGTGCAGAGTCACAGGGGACATGTGGGTAGGCGTGCACAAAGGATTCTTTTAGCATAATCTGGTGTTTTGGGGATAGGTGTGGGGAGAGAAATAGGTGGCCTGGTTTCTCAACTCAAGGCAGCTGGATTTCAATTTTTTTTTTTTTTTTAACTCCAGTAAAGTGACCAGCTGGGTGCTCCAGAGAGAAGGGAGGAGCCCTCTTTGCCCTGGAGCAGTTCTATGGCGTGCTGAAAGATTTGCATATTTGAAACATCAGTGCAGGGACTCTTATTGCACAGGAGCTGACTTTAGGAGGTACAAGGACAAACTTTAAAAATGTGAATCATTCTTTAGTTATATGAATACAACGAGGAAAACAACATTATAACTATGCACTGAAATAGAAGTTCCATGAGGGTAGGGATTTCTTTTATCTATTTTGTTCACTACTATAAAGCTTACGCTAGGACAGCACTTGGCACATAGTAGGTGCCCAACAAATAAATGAATGAATGTCACAGCACATGTGTGGTTTTACCAGATGATGGAATTTGAGCTGAGATTTGTAAGGATGAACAGGATTAATTTAGGAAGAAATAAGTGAGATTAGAGGGGAGTGGAGAGGAGAAGATCCAGGTGGGGAATGCAGCCTACACAAAGGCTAAGAGGTAGGATAAACAAGGCCCATGCAGTATCAGCTAACATCTACTGTGAGCTGATCCTAGTGCCTTACTACCACACTGCTAAGCACTTTCATGTATTAACTAATTAAAGCCTCATATTAACCCTTGTTACATCTTCCCTTTACAGATGGGGAAACTGAAGCCCAGAGTGGTGAAGTACCTTGCTCAAGGACAGGCTGTACCCCTGACTTGGCTCTTTCTCAGTCCTACAAGGCTGTAGGGTCTAAGGCTCATATTGGGGGGCTGGGGCAGGTGGAGTGTGTGTCCCAGCCTGCCCAAAACCCACTGCTGCCTCAGCTTGGGTGGCAAAGGCCTGGTGTCCCTTCTGCTCTCCGGCCCACAGGAGCCCGCAGGAGCCTGATTTAACCCAGAAGCTGTTTTCACAGGTTTCCATTTTTAGCTCTCTGGACTGGAACGCAATGTTCAATGCACTGTAAACCTCCATGTCAGTTTGATTATACGAGAGGCGTGTGTGGGCTCCTGCTCTCTCGTTTCCATGTCTAATAATAACCCTCTGGATTCTCTTGCCTCTTTTCTTCCAAGGCCCTCAAAGCATTTCATATGCAACGTCCCATTTAAGCTTCCAGTTCCCCAGGGAGGCAGCTGGTGGCTATTATGTAGAAGGGTTTCCGGGACTATTCAGTTCTCTTCAAATGGAAAAGGTTAGAGTCACCTCTGTCTTAAACATGAGAAAAGCGGAGTCACGAGAGAGTGGAGAGATGTATTAAAGAGAGCTGGTGTTTCATGAATGCCTACTATGTGCATCTTATCTTACCCACCCTGGGACATGCAGCTGTGAATTGTCTTTTTTTTTTTTTTTGTAATATTTATTTATTTATTTATTTTTATGGCTGAGAAAGAATGCCCAGAGGGACTGACTTATTCAAGGTCACATAGCTCATAACTGATGAACTGTGGATTTGACCCTGGATTCACTGCCAAGGTCTTTGGTTTTTCTTTTGTATCATTAAATGAGATGTTCTAGAAATAGGTGCAGAGTGAGACCTTCATTCTCTTGGTTCCTAGGCCAAGCCAGCCCTTGTTCCTTTCCTTAGATCTTGACATGAGAAATTTACATGAGAAAATTACAAGGCCAGGTGTGGTGGTTCACGCCTGTAATCCCAACACTTTGGGAGGCCAAGGTGGGTGGATCACCTGAGGTCAGGAGTTCTAGACCAGCCTGGCCAACATGGTGAAACCCCATCTCTACAAAAATACAAAAATTAGTCAGGCACGATGGCAGGTGCCTGTAATCCCAGCTACTTGGGAGACTGTGGCAGGAGAATCTCTTGAACTCAGAAGGTGGAGGTTGCAGTGAGCCGAGATTGTGCCATTGCACTCCAGCCTTGGTGACAGAGTGAGAATCCGTCAAAAAAAAAAAAAAAAAAGATCTTTACAGGAGAAAATTACAGACTGAAAGGATTATTTCTCATCTGTCAATCATTAGTCATCTCTCACCTTTTAAAAACTATTGAAAGTAAGAAACTACTTGCTTGCTTTCCTTTCATCCCTATTATTCATTCATTCATTCATTCATTCATTCATTTGGCAAGTATTTACTGCTTCCTCTTTTGTGCTAGGTACTGTGGGCATGCCTGGGATGAAGACAATGTCCCACTCAGAGTTTATTTTGTCCAGGGCGCTGCTAAAGCCCCTGAAACAAGTGCCTTCACCTCTTTGATCCCCAGTGTCCTTATCTGTAGAATGGGGATAATAATGGTTCCTATTTCATAGGATCATTGTGAGCTAAGGATGTGTGGGCAGCAAAAATATTTCAGAGTGAAGGAATAGATCAACCTCCAGAGCAGAGGTGAAAGCAGTGAGAGCAGAGATGGGGAGATGTTTTTGGGCAGGATATGCCTAGTTCAATGTTTTGGGATAGGCTTAGGAAGGTGATGCTCTCCACTGTTAAGCTGACCAACTGGTGGACAATATCCATGTCTCACAGACTGACTGTCTTGGGGAGGTTGGAGAGTTGAGTTGATTCAAATCAAAAAGCATTGGTTGAGCACTTACTTGGTGTAGAGAGGCTGTGGAGACAGACATACCTGCATTTCAGTCCTAGCTCTATGACAACTGTGTGACGGAACAGCTGTTGCACCTCTCTGGACCTCAGTTTTTGCTTCTGTAAATGGGAAATAAAAACATCTTCAGGTTCTTGTGAGGATTAGAAATGATATATAGAAAGCACTTAGCACAGTGCCTGGCACGTGCTGGTGCCCAGTCAATGGATGTTATTGCTATGCTGTATGCGGTACTGACTGAGATTCTGAAGTATTAAAAAGCCTTGAAATGGAAGGGTTAGGTCTTCAGGTATAGCTGGATGCAGGTGCTCATATGATGTCATAACGTCATCTCTATATACCTCTCAGCTCTGCTTTCATTCATATTGGCTTCATTCCCAGGATGATGTTCTTCTCCTGGTGGCAAGATGGTCCTCAGCAGCTCAAGACTCAGATACTACCCACTAACCCAATGGAACAAGATATTTTTCCCTCTAGTTATAGAGACATTCAAAGACTTGAGTCCCCTTGGACCAACTTGGGTCTTGTGCCCATCCTTGAACCAATCACTGAGGTCAAGGGTGGACAAAACAAATCGACCAGATCTGGGTGTGTCCATCCCTCAAGCTGAAGGATGGGATTATCAGCTTTAAACAAACCATAGGGACTAGGAGTGGGAGGGGGCAGTTTCTCCAAAGGAAAGACAAAATCTTCTTCTAGGTTCTGTTACTAGAAGAAAGGGAATGGTGCTGGACAGGTGTGTTAGGCTGGGTCCTTCCAGAGGCAGACTAGAGATGAGGATTTTTGTCCAAGTAATTTATTTATTAAGAAATACAGGCCAGGCATAGTGGCTCATGCCTGTAATTCCAGCACTTTGGGAGGCTGAGGTGGAAGGATTGCTTCACTTGAGTTCAGGAGTTTGAGGTTGCAGTGAGCCATGATCATGCCACTGCAATCCAACCTGGGTGACAGAGTGAGACCTTGTCTCACCAAAAAAAAAAAAAAAAAAAAAAAAAAAGCAAGCAAACAGGAAGAAATATGCATATGGAAGAAACTACTGGGAGTGGGGAGGCAGGATAAGGATAAGGGGGAGGAAGCCAAGTAAGGGTATGATTTCAGGTGAAGTCCCAGCCTTAGCTTTGCAGTGAGTGTGAATCACACATCAGAGTGTGTCCCACCTCCAGGCAAGGAAACTGGGTGTTTGTATCCAAGAACTGGTCATTGGCAATGGCCTTCCCTGGTTATATATACACATTCCCAGGGACTTCTGGGTCTCTGAATAGGGGATGCAGCTCACTGCTCAAGGACAGTGCTCTGAAGAAGGTCACAGGTACAAAGTTTTAGCAGCAAAGCACACAGAAGCTCTGGAGTGTACAGAAGTGGTAAAAGGAATCCCAGAGGATCTGGATGGGGCTCTAGCAATGTCTCTGCAATGGGAAAATCACAGCCCTCTGGAATGGAAGGAGATGAAGGAGGAGTGGAGGAACTGGTGAGGAGATGGGGCAGATGAGATGGTCTCTCAACCTTATCAGGTTGAGGAGGAGAAAGCAAGAGGTGTAGCACAGCCCCCTACCTCCCTGTCCCTCCACCACACCACTGCTAACAATACCCGTCATCACAGTGTCCCTTACAGTCCTCAGCAACATGTTGAGGCCTCACTGTGCAGAAACAAGTGAGGAGGTGATTCAGCAAACGGCACAGGCATCAGGGAAGCAAGAGGGGCTGCTTAGCCCCCTGTGAGATGGATGAGGTTGGCATGAGGTCGCTGGGCCCTGGGAGCTCCGGGTACCTGCCCATGCCAAGGCTGACCCTCCAGCAGCTGAGGTCCGGAGGCTCAGCAGTCCCTCGGGCTCATTTAGCCCCTAATTGCCTCCTCCCTACCCACCTCTCACCCTTCCAGTGGCGTCTCTATCTATCAGGAGCAGCTATCACCTTCTTGCACCAGCTTTCATCTGTCCCCATTTTACCCAAGCCATCTGGCATTGAAGGTTTCTGCAGAGAGAGCTGAGTGGTAGTGAGAAGGAAGCCAGTGAATGCATCAGGCCAAGTCAGCAGCTCTGTCCTCAGTGTTATGGCCACTTGCTGTGCTAATCATTTTGAGGGTAATGAGGTGGTTCAGGCCAGGGAAGACAAAATAACAAGAGTCATTTTTTTTGAGCCCTTGCTCTGTGCGAAGTGCTCCACAAGCATTACTCACGCTATCCCATCCAGCCTTCATAGGAACCAGCATGCTAGGGCTCTTTTGGTTAAAAATAATAGAATTCCATGTCAAAATGGCTCCAGGGGGAAAAGATGTTTTGGTTCATGAAATGGCAAGTCCAGGGGAACGAGGCACAACTCGATCCAGGAGTTTATGTCGCCAGGCCAGGCGTGGTGGCTCACGCCTGTAATCCCAGAACTTTGGGAGGCCGAGGTGGGTGGATCACTTGAGGTCAGGAATTTGAGACCAGCCTGGCCAACTTGGAGAAACGCTGTCTCTACTAAAAATGCAAAAATTAACCAGGCGTGGTGGCAGGCACCTGTAATCCCAGCTACTCGGGAGGCTGAGGCAGGAGAACTGCTTGAACCCAGGAGGTGGAGGTTGCAGTGAGCCGAGATCGCGCAACTGCACTCCAGCCTGCATAATAGAATGAGACTGTCCCAATTAAAAAAAAAAAAAATGTCGCCAATCTTTTTCCATCTTTCTATTCTGTTTTCTTCTGGGTCGACTTCACTCTCAAGCAGCTTCTCTGTCCCCCTTTTTTCAGTGACGGCTAGTTAGCCTCTAGCAGTTATAGGGGTGCCAGTGACATGCTCAGCAAACCCATTGGGAAGGCAGGTTCTCCTTCCCAGAGGCTCATACTATAATTGGGTCTCCAACTTGCGTCATTGTTAATCTCTGAACCAATCACTGTGTTCGGACACAGAATATTCTGATTGGCCAAGCCTCAGTCATGTGCCTACATCTGGAACTGGGGGTGGAGTTAGCTTCAGCTGAAACAGAAGGACTGGGGATGGAGGAGGGGTGCGTCCCGAAAGGAAAAAATCTACATAGTCTTGCCAGAAGAGGGGGACTGAGTCATGAGAAGGGGGCATAAAAGATGAGAGGTTCACTAGGCGTTTGTGTTATTATTATTCTCCATTTTAAAAAGATGTATAAAGCAGAGATTCAGACAGATAAAATATTTTTCTTAAGATCACACATCTAGGCCTGGCGTGGTGGCTTACGCCTGTAATCCCAGCACTTTGGGAGGCCAAGGCAGGCGGATCACCTGAGGTCAGGAGTTCAAGATTAGCCCGGCCAACACAGTGGAACCTCATCTCTATTAAAAATACAAAAATTAGCCAGGTGTGGTGGTGCACGCCTGTGGTCCCAGCTACTCTAGAGGCTGAGGTAGGAGAATCGCTTGAACTCGGGAGGCGGAGGTTGCAGTGAGCCGAGATCATGCCACTGCACTCCAGCCTGGGCGACAGAGCAAGACTCCGTCTCAAAAGAAAAAAAAAATCACACATCTAATAAGTGACAAGGTGGTGAATGGATAGCAGTTCAGTCAGATTTCAGAGTCTGAGCTCTTGGCCACCCCTCCAAGGTGCTGCTTTGATGAGACAGGGTGTGGTTCTATTCTTGGGGTCTCCAAAGTACTGTGGCATTGCCTGTATCAATAAGTAATGATCCATTTATTGGAAATGAACCTTGGATCAGGAGTTGGAGGCATGGGTTCTACTTCTGGGCTGCCAGTTGTTAGATATGTGACCTTGGGCAAGAAGTGGAACTCTGAAGCTCAGTTTCATCATCTGTATGTAGAATGGCATCCCCTCTACCTCACAGGGTAGCTAATTGGATGTGAAAACGCCTCTGCATCTGATGTCCCTTTTGTTTGGCATGACATTTCCTCCAGGTTGAGTTAGATGCTCTCTCCTCTGTGCTTTTGCGATGATACATTTATGAGTCTATTTTCTCTTGAGGCCATGGACAGATTTCATTCACTATTTCAATAAAGATTTTGAATATCTGCTATGTGGTAGTCATTGTGCTATGTCCTGGCTAATTCATCTGATGCCTGGTCATAGTAGGTACCAGGTAAATTTTTATTAAACTGAACCTTCCTATTCTGTACCCAATTCAATGTGGGTGGTGCTCTCCATGAGCTCATGCCTTCTGCTTCTTACTACTTTCAACCAAACAACCTTCCTGGTACACCTGAAAAACAAATCATAATGTGGGTTTTGGAAAAATATATTTAAAACTTCAGGAATGAGACAGGAGAGAATCAAAGTCATCAGTAAAAGACTGGGCATGTTCAGGCCAATCAACTGGGTCCTGAAAAGCAAAAACAAAACAAACAGTCAAGACTGGGCAGGAAGGTGATCTCACTGATAAGCTTCCAGTGGGACTTGCTGGCTTGAGCAGCTCTGGGGGATGGAGTTGCTAGGAGCTTCAGTGGGCCTCATGTCCCTGGCTGGGCATATCCCTCAACCAGGATCTAGGGCTGTTTTGCAAAGTTGTCCTGAAACATTGCATGTTCTTACATCAGTGCTTTCTTGAATCCAGCCAGCCCAGGTCCAGGACTTGATATCACCTGTACCACTGTGGCTGTTGGGGACAGCAGGAAGAACACCGACTTGGGGGTCAGGGATCGTGTGTTCCAGTCTGGCACTGCTACTTCATTGCGTAACCATTCTGCAAGTGTTCTCCTCTCAGTGGGCCTCAGTCAATCTGCATCTGTAAATGTAAATAAATTTACATTTATTTTGTTTTGTATTATTGTGTTTCTGTAAATAGCACAATCTCCTAGTGGACCTCTTGACTTTTAGGCCTCCTTCTCATGATTCGATCCTCCTCTTCTGACAAGAATATGTAGATTTCTTTTCCTTTGGGGAAGCACCACTCCTCCAACCCCAGTCCATGTGTTTCAGGTGACGCTAACTCCACCTTCAGCTCCAGATGAAGGCACATGACTGAGGCTCAGATGTTCTACATCTGTAAAATAATCACGACTAACATTTATTGAATTGAGTGTTTACTATAAGCAAGACACTGTGCTGGGCTCTTTACCGGTAGCAACTTCTGTGAACTATGCACTGTGACCAGCCCCATATTACAGATGAGACAACTGAGGCACAGCGCACATTACATAACCATCCAAAGTTATGCACCTAAGCTCTTAATTACTGCCTAGACCAAAGAGGGAACTTGAGTGCTAAACCTCCTCCACTCACCTCCTCCCCACTGGAAAAGGGAGTGGGTTGCCTTATCATTGACTGTCTTTTAGTTGGGTTTGATGTGTGTTCTTTTTAGTAAATATTAAAAAAATTCTAAAACAAACAAGTTGTAAAGCACATCTGACATTTTTCCTGCCCAACTTCCATACCCCCTTTCTCTGGCTGCAGAACCTCTAGTTTCTGTGGGTGAACCACCTGTCCCCATTCTCAGTCTTTGGCATTCTGAATGGGCTGATCTTCCCTCCATGGCCCATTCAGATCTAGGAGATGGACTGTGACTCAGGTCTGACTAATCAGAGCACTCCTCCCTCCTTTGGGCTCTACAGTAATTGCTCCGGAAGTGAACTTGTGATCTAAGCCTGGCCAACTCATCTAAAGCTATTAGGAAAGAGAAGCTCCTTTTGCACTGGAGAGTTCTGAGCTTGTGGAATGTAAACTCTGGCTTGCTGGAGCCATCTTGTCACCATACTAGAGAAGCCTGTCAAGAATGAACTCCATACTAAGGATCACAGGCCTGAGATGTGAGGATGGACAGAATCCTGGTAAAATAGATTGAGTTCCTGGGTCCAGTCATATCAGAAGCTAGTACTATGATGGTATTTTCTGTTCTATGTGCCAATAAATTGTCTTTCTTGTTTAAGTTGCTTTGAGCTGGATTTTCTGTCAGTTTCAATAAAGATGGGGAAGGAGTACTCTTGGCAAAGGAAGGAGACCCAGGTCTTGTGTTTGGTGTCAAATCATGTAGGGTCTTATAGTTAATGGTGAGGAGTGTGGGCTTCTGCCATGAGGTGGGGACTTTTGTCCTACCCATGGATAGATACTTTCTTTCACACCCCTCGCCCTAATTGAGAATCACTGATTGAGGTGAATGTACCAGGTTTTTTTTGTTTTTTTTTTTTATACTTTAAGTTTTAGGGTACATGTGCACAACGTGCAGGTTTGTTACATATGTATACATGTGCCACGTTGGTGTGCTTCACCCATTAACTCGTCATTTAACATTAGGTATATCTCCTAATGCTATCCGTCCCCCCTCCCCCCACCCCCAATTTTTTTTTTTTTTTTGACAGAGTCTTGCTTTGTTGCCCAGTCTGGAGTGCAATGGCGCAATCTGAGCTCATTGCAACCTCTGCCTCCCAGGTTCAAGCAATTCTCCTGCCTCAGCCTCCCAAGTAGCTGGGATTACAGGTGCCTGCCCCCACGCCTGGCTGATCTTTTATATTTTTAGTAGAGCCAGGGTTTTGCCATGTTGGCCAGGCTGGTCTCGAACTCCTGACCTCAGGTGATCTGCCTGCCTCAGCCTCCCAAATTGCTGGGATTACAGGCGTGAGCCACCACGCCCAGCTGAATGTGCCAGTTTTAGTAGGCATTCTTCTGCTAAGCTAAAAGGTAGTACGGTCAAGTGGTTAAGTGCCTGGGCTTTGGATGGCCAGTGAATCTTCTTATTTCTAGTCCCAGCTTTAACTGCATAAAGTATTATTCATACATTCATTCAACTAATATTTATTGAATGTCTACTATAGAGTGGAGTTATTACATCCACTCTGCAGAAGGAGGTGGGTGCAATGGAAGTATAGCCACTGGAGAATACCATTGTGAATGAAATGGATAAAATCTCCTCCCTTCCTTATGGGGACATAAACTAAACACATAAATAAAATGTATAGTTATGCCAGGATAATGATAGATCCTAAAGAGAAAATTAAAGCAACGTTGGGACCAGGGAGTGCTGGGAAGGCATGGATGGTGGCAGTGGTGGAGGTTGGGTTGCCTTTTAAATAGGGTAGACAGAGAAGGCCTCTCTGTGAAGGGGACATTTCAACAAAGAGCTGAAGGAAGTGAGGCATTTGCCTTGGACACATTGTTTAACTTCTCTTAATCTTTTCGTGTTTCATTGAATCTAAGATGCCGTTGATAAGTGTAAGATGTACAATTATATTGAGTCATTCAGAGAAAGAATATATGTAGCCAATTAAACTATGACACAGTGTTGTCTTAAAATGTGTAACATTTATTTTTTATACTTATTGAAAAAGCTCCTTTAGGCTTATAGATAGCTATTATGTATTATTCCTGCACATACATAAGAAAGGAGAATATAAGAAAAAACAAATTGGTTAAGATATTCTCGAATCCATTGTGCATTTATTTAGACCCAGCTCTTTTGAATAATTTGTGACTTAGTATCATGGATGTCCATGCCTTTTCCCCCCACACAATATTATCCTCTGTGCCCATAGTCTTCTGGAGGTCACCTGTGTCACTGAAGTTGGAAGCTTGAAGGTGGAGAGGGACAGATAGGGGTTCCTGTGCCTCTCCATGGGTCCCAGTTTGTCCTTGCTCTTTCCTGTTTTATGTCCATCTTTCTTTCGGGATGACTTGCTCTGCCGTCCCGGAGTCTAACACCAGATTCAGAAGTAAAGTTGTCTGTAAACTCTTTAACCAGTTCCTGAAATTGCATGAGATAAAATCCCTTTAATAATACCTTATTCTGCATCCCTCCTCGTGGTTCTGCTCTTCTGATTGAATACAGACCAACACATATTTTGGTGCCAGGTGGGGAGCTGCCATAACAAAGCCTAAAATATGTGGCAATGGTTTTGAGACTGAATGACAAACAAAAGATAGGTCTTGAAGAGTCTGTTAGTAGAAGACTGATGGCTTTGGAGGAGGTTGTTGGTGAGGACTTAGAGAAGAACGAGGAAATGGTATTAAAAGCTGGAGGAAAGGGGACCCATGTTCTGCAATGATGGAAAGTTTAACACCAGTATTGCCTATGGTGATGTGGAAAGCAGAAAATAAACCTAATGGCCTAGTGGATTTAGCTAAGGAGAGTTCCCGGAAGAATGTTGAAAGTGTCAACTGGTGGCTTATAACTACATATGGTAAGAACAAAAATACAGATACATGATTTTAAAAAGAATAGTTTAATTTTCAAGAAAAATTTGGAGGAAATACAAAGAAACCAGGGCTTGCTGGGTTTACAGATGGCAAAGATCTGGCAAATTAAAAATAGCCTTAGGCCAAAGATCAAACCCAAGGTGGGCTTATAAGATCCTTTGTTGAGACCTTAGAAAGACTGGAGTACCTTCTGAACAGTCAGATGGCCTTCTGGCGTCTAAAAAGTTGTGAAAGACAGTGTGGGGATTCCTCAAGGAACTGGAACTGGAAATACCATTTGACCCAGCCATCCCATTACTGGGTATATACACCCAAAGGATTATAAATCATTCTACTATAAAGACACATGCGCACGTATGTTTATTGCGGCACTGTTTGCAATAGCAAAGACTTGGAACCTACCCAAATATCCATAAATGATAGACTGGATAAAGACAATGTGGCACATATACACCATGGAATATTATGCAGCCATGAAAAAGGATGAGTTCATGTCCTTTACAGGGACATAGATGAAGCTGGAAATCATCATTCTCAGCAAACTAACACAAGAACAGAAAACCAAACACTACATGTTCTTACTCGTAAATGGGAATCAAACGATGAGAACACATGGACACAGGGAGGGGAACATCACACACCGGGACCTGTTGGAAGGTGGGGGGCTGGGGGAGGGATAGCATTAGAAGAATACCTAATGTAGATGATGGGTTGATAGGTGCAGCAAACCACCATGGCACATGTATACCTATGTAACAAACATGCATGTTATTCACATGTACCCCAGAACTTAAAGTATTAAAAAAAAAGAGTATGTCCTGTAAATCCTCTCTTTTAAACAACAATGTGTCTAAAAATCTTAAAGTTATTGCTACTCGGAGATCCCGTAGGGAGCAAGAAAGGAAAAGATTTATCGTGGAGATATTTGTAGTTGTTATTTTGTTTAATGGAGTGAGACCCAATAAGATTAATAGGAAACTCATAGCACTTTAAAGATAATTATACTGATGGAAACACCATCAGTTTAGACTAAATGGGTCAGAGACCATATAAAGCAAAAAGAAGTGTTTGAATCCCCAGACTACTATAGGCAGGAAGCAGGCTAAAGAAACTACTCAGGTGCAAACACTATACATTTCTTATGGAAAAAGGAGGATGGCTCAGAAGGCAGAGCCAAGAGCCAAGAGTATAGAGCCAAGAGACACGAAGAATCATTCCCAGGCAGTTGGATGGAGCTCTAATTGAGACACCGGCAACATATGCCCAGTTGGGCTCCAGAAATGCTGTGAACCATTGTGTGCCTCCCGCTTCTCTCCTTTTAAAATGTCTAACAATATGCCTGCCTCACCATTGTAGGTTGGGTATGTTGGTGGGGGGGGGATATATTGCCTCTTTTTAATTTAATTTTTCCAAAGTTTAAATGGCTGATGGATACATTGCTTCTTGAGTTCACAGGTCTCTGGATCAGGAGAAGTGCACTCAAGGAGCTGTACTTGTGGAATTTCAGCTGAGGAGCCTGACCTATATTTGAACTTGATTTAGACAAAGGGATCCTGGAACAGCCTGATGCCATTCTAAATGATATTTACAGGGGTCCTTGTGGGGTGGAGGTGAGTGTTTGTTGCATGTGGGTTGAATATATAGTATTTGTGCCATGAGTGCAAGCTAAAGTGGTTTTATTCTTTCTCTATTTATTTAGAGATGGAGTCTCGCTCTGTTGCCCAGGCTGGAGTGCAGTCATGCAATCTCAGTGGTTTTAAACATGTCCACACATTCTTTCACACTCTTGTGATCAAGAGATGAAGTCTATATTTCCTGTCCTTACATCTGGGTGGGCCCTTGTGACCATGTTGATGAATAGAATGCAGTGGAGGTGACACTGTGTGATTTCCAAGACTAGGTTAGGACAGAAAGCCAAGGCAGCATCTGCCAGCTTCCCTGGGGACACAACATTCGGGACTCATGGTTCTTGCCCATGTGGTCCTGACATGATTGACTGCAGTGTTGAAACGGTGCTGTTGTCTGCTCAGGCCATAAGGAAAACCAATCAAGTTTGCTTCTCTGCAGGTGATATCCATTATATCCCAACCACCAAATGATTTACATGATGATGGGATGCCATTGATTCCAAGACCCACAACAATATAATAAATGTAACAGATTGCAACTTGGGATGATGATCTCAGCCGTAAAGTGGGAATAATGGTGTCTATCTGTGGTGTGGAGGGAGTCCCCAACACAGCCCAGGCCCAAGATAGACTATCAGTAAGCAGGGGCTGCCAGCACAGAGGTATATTATTACATCGACTCTGCAGAAGGAGGTGGGTGCAAGGTAGTGAGTCAGATGCCAGGCGTAGAGACCGCAGGGAAAGGAAGAGAAAGCCAGAGCAGAGAGAGGAGGCCCGAGGAAATGGCTCAGCTAATGCAACGACAGGACCTCATGAAAAGCAATGTGTCAGAAATGCCTTGGTTACTCGAGTGAAAAAATCAAATTAAACTTTGCATTTGGGAGTGGGGCTGCTCCAGGCCAGGAAACCAGGAAACAACGTCAGCTTGACTGGGAAAGTCTGCTGTGCTCCCTCAGCCCCAGCAAAGCCAGGAGCTGCCAGGGAGGCCTGCTGTGCTCTCCTAGGGCTGCTCTCTGTCTCGGACTTGATGTTTGAACATCTCATGTGGTTCTGTGTGATAACAGCTGTCCCTTTTTCTGTCTGTGGGTGGAGCCCCTTTCTTCTCCTAGAGAAGAGGTCTTGTTTATTCCAGACTTCTTCATTCCTCAGAGAAAGTCAAGAGAGTTGCATGAAAGCAGCAAAGAAGGACTGTGATTAACATTTTATAAAGGCGAGGTGCAGTGGTTCATGCCTGTAACGCCAACACTTTGGGAGGTCAAGGCAGGAGGTTTGCTTGAGCCCAGGAATTGGAGGCTGCAGTGAGCTATGATGGAGCCACTGCATTCCAACTGGGTAATAGGGCAAGACCCTCTCTCAAAAAAAAAAAAAAAAAAAAAATTGTAGCTGCAGGCTGTTTTGATCAAATGAAATCTCATTACAAACTCTAACACGGAAAGCGATCTTTTTTTGTTGTTTTTGAGACAGTCTTGCTCTGTGACCCAAGGTGGAGTGCAATGGCATGGTCTCGGCTCACTGCAACCTCCATCTCCTGGGTTCAAGCCATTCTCCTGCCTCAGCCTCCCCAGTAGCTGGGATTATAGGCGTGCACTACCATGCCCAGCTAATTTTTGTATTTTTAGTAGAGACGGGGTTTCACCATGTTGGGCAGGCTGGTCTCGAACTCCTGACCTTGTTATCTGCCCACCTCGGCCTCCCAAAGTGCTGGGATTACAGGCGTGAGCCACTGCACCCAGCCAGAAAGCAGATCTTTAAAGGAACTCTGGCACAATCATTTTGGACAGCATTTTTGCAACACACAATAAAGCTAAAGAAACATGGGCACTTAGTATGTCCTAGCAATTCCACTCATTGGTATATCCCTAGAGAACTGCTTCTCAAACTTCAATGGGGAGATGAAGAAACTGGAGATCTTATTAAAATATAGATTCTGATTCAGGAGGTCTGGGATGGGGCCACAGAGTCCGTATTTCTAACCAGCTCACAGGTGAGGCTGATGCCCCTATTTCTCTGATCACACTTTAAATAGTGAGGCCCTAGAGAACTGTTTTCTAAACTTTTTCTTTTGGCTGTGACTGCCAGTAAGAAATATATTCTACATTGCAATCCAGTACATTCTTATCTATAATTGAAACAAAAGTTTTATGAAGCAATACTAACCCTTGGTATATGATGCGCTTAATATTAATCTTCTCTTTTGAAAATAAAACCTCAACAAAAAACAACAAAGCAATGCTGACCATAAAGCCACCAGAATGATTTTATTATTCACTAGTGGGTCTCAACCACAATTTGAGAAACAGAACCTAGAGAAATTCTCATAAAGTACAGACCAGGAGACATGAAGTTTCACTGATGCATTGTTTGTAATAACAAAAGAATTGGAAAAAAAACAAAACAAAAACCCAAAATGTCTATCCATAGGACAGTATATCAATACATCTGTGATCTATGCACACAGCAGAATAGTGAAAATGAATGAATTCGAACCACATAAATCAGCGTGTATCTTGAAAACGATGTAAAGTAAAAATTCAAAGCATCCTTTGGCAAAGCATATGTGTTTTAGGACACCAAGTATACACAGTTTAGGAAGAGGTAAGAGAATTCTATTTGTTACTTAGGAAGTCATACATTTGTAGTAAAGGTATAAAAGCTCATAAGGGAATTATTAACACCAAATTCAGGACAGTGTTTGCCTCTTGTGGGGAGAGCGGAATGGGATTGGGGTGCCGTGGGGCTTCATTAGTATTTGTAAAGCTACATTTCTCAAGATGGGTGATGAGTTCATGGTGCTCATTATATTAGCCCCTATCCTTTTTTTTGCAGGCATGAGTCATTTCATAGTAATTACAATTTTAAAAAGAAAGTGAAAGAACGGGAGTTCTTGGGTTTAAATCTGTAGGGGATTGTATTCGTTTCCTAGAGTTAGCATACATTACTAAAAACTTAGTGGCTTAAAACACTGGAAATTTGTTATTTCACAGTTTTGATGTCCAAAAGTGTGAAATCAAGGTGTATTAGTAGGGTTGGAGGCTCTGGAGGCGCCAAGGGAGAATTGGTTGCAAGCTTCTCTTGCAGCTTCTGGTGACTGGCAATGCTCAACATTCCTTGGAGAGGGGATTCATAACTCTAGTCTCTGCCTCCATGTTGACATGGCCTTCCCTCTGTGTCTTCAATCTCCCTCTCCTTCCTCTTGTAAGGACAACAAGCATTGGATTTAGGCTCCACCCTAAATCCAGTATGATCTCATCTGGAGATCCTTAACTTAATTATATCTGCAAAGACTCCATTTCCAAATATGTTCACATTCACAGGTACTACGGGTTAGGTGTTAGACATATCTTTTCAGGGGACAAAATTCCACCCACTATAGGGGTAGAAACTTGTCCATTCAACTCTTTGCTCTCAATATTATCATGATTTTTTGCTTATGCAGGATTTCTCAACCTTGGCACTGTTGACATTACGGATTGAATAATTCTTGGTTATGGGGGGCTTTCCTGTGCCCTGAAGGATGTTTAGTAGCATCCGTGACCTCTACCCATTAGATGCTAGTTGCACCCCATGCCCACCAGTTGTAGCAACCAAAAATGTCTCCACACATTGCCATATGTCTCCCGGGGGTAGGGCCAAGATAAGATACATTATCCTCAGTTAAATGTGAATTTCAGATAAACAATGAAAAAATTTTTAGTATACTGCAAATATTGCATGGGACATACTTATATTAAAAATTATTCATTGTTTTCACTGGGTAGCCTGTTGTTGCATTGAATCTGGCAAACCTGCTAGAGGGCAAATTTACCCCTGGTTTAGAATCACTGGTTAAGAACCATCGTTACAAATTCATATTCCTGGATTGCTTACTCTGTGCCCACAACTATGCTAAGTTCTGTCCATGACTTATTGAATTTACGTTTTGCAGAAACTCTGAGAAACAGGTGGTATAATTATCTCCAGCAAATAAGTAGAAGGGTTAAGTTTTGAACCCAAATCAGTGTTTTCAAGTTGGGTAGGGATAGGGGGGTGACTGCTTGGCAAGCTGTGAACGCATTGTGTGCTTGGGGGAAAATGGTGCTGATGTCTAGACCATCATAGTGAGAGGTACTAGGTTAGAGAGAATGAGAACTGCAAAAGGGGGAGGGCTAGAAGAGAAGGTGGGAGGGTCTAGGAGGAGCTGCTTGTTGAAGATGGGATATTATGGGTGATCCTGGGTTGTGAGATCTTTTACCAAGAGGAGAAGCCACTGAGTTGCGAGCTACGAAGGGAAGGTCACAGTGTTTGGCAGACCTGGATTGGAATGTTGGTTCCACCACTCAGCATGGCCTTGGGTAGATGTTGTAGAGACAACAGTATTTGACATTTGTGCACTTCGTGTGTGCCAGTCCTGCTTTAAGTGCCAGCCCTACATTATCTCATTTAATCCTCAGAGGATGCCCTTAGGGTAGGTCATTTTACAAATGAGGATGCCAAGGTTTAAGAGAGGTTAAGAAATGTGCCCCATATTGCAGGACCACTCTCCAGGTGGTCTTAGACCAACCCATTTCTCACTGGGAGATACACCATGGAATACTATGCAGCCATAAAAAAGAATGAGATCATGTCTTTTGTGGGAACGTGGATGGAGATGGAGGCTATTATCTTTAGGAAACTAATGCAGGAAAAGAAAACCAAATACTGCATGTTCTCACTTATAAGTGGAAACTAAATGATAAGAACTTACGAACAAAAGAAGGAAACAGCAGACACTGGGGTCTGCTTGAGGGTGGGAGGAGGAAGAGGAGCAGAAAAGATAACTATTGGGTGCTGCACTTAATACCTGGGTGATGAAATAATAGGTACAACAAACCCCCGTGACATGTGTTTAGCTATGTAACAAACCTTCACATGTACCCCGAACCTAAAATAAAAGTAAAAAAAAAAAAAAAAAAAAAAGAATAATTGTAGAATGCACTGGGAATGCAACATCTTGAGAGAGGGCAGGACTGGCCTCAACAGTTTAGTCTCTGCTCCAGACTTCTAGAAATAGTATATCCTTCAATGTTCTAGTGCAGTGCATTCTTTTCCCTGCGGGGTATAAAGCCCAGGGCAGGCTGCTTCCTGGGGTCCTTCAACTGTGGTGCAAATGGGGCATATACAGATAAGATTCCATCTGCCCTGGGTGGCGTTCCTGAACCTTGGGGGCCTGGCTCACCATGAATCCTCAGCTTCTGTTGTCCCTTGCTGCCTATCTGTAAGTAATTAACCTGCTTCATGCAACTTGTTGGTGTGAGTGTTGTGTCTCACCAGACTTAGGCAACTGGTAGTTAGCACACAGTGAACCTGCTTCACATATATCATGAGCTAGTGAGCGGCAGAGCTAGAGCTCCCACCAGGGACTGCGGGATTCCAGAGTCCATGTTTTGAAATCACTGTTCTCCTTTGTCTTCCCTCAACACCTCTTAAGTCTCAGCTTCCTTCTCTCTCCAATAGAAGTAACACTCCTTCCCTCTTACATTCCCTCTTACAGATTTTTTTTTTTTTTGAGACGGAGTTTTGCTCTATCACCCAGTCTGGAGTGCAGTGGTGCGATCTCAGCACACTGCAACCTCCACCTCCTGGATTCAAGCGATTCTCCTGCCTCAGCCCCCTTAGTACCTGGGACTACAAGTGTGGGCCACAATGCTGGCTAATTTTTGAATTTTTAGTAGAGATGGGGTTTCACCATGTTGGCCAGGCTGGTCTTGAATTCCTGACTTCAGGTGATCCGCCAGCCTCGGCCTCCCAAAGTGCTGGGATTACAGGTGTGAGCCACTGCACCTGGCCCCCCTCTTATAGTTGTTCTTAAGACTAAATGAGTGAGTCTAAATCATAGGGCCTTCCACAGAGTTATTGACACTTATTTTTATTAAGGGAGGGGGAGGAGCCTGAAGCTGTCATCCCTCCTGCCCTCCTCACAAGATATGTGTGTTTATCAGGGACAGTATCTCATTCATCTTTTTCACTTCATTTTTAAACTAAGGTACAATGAGCACTTACTATATTCCAGGCACGGTTCTAGACCCTAAGCATGCAGTTACAACTAAGACACAATTGCTATCATTAGAGTTTAGCGTTTCCCCACCAGGCCTGGAGCCCACAGTAGGCCCACAAGAAATACATGCTGAATGAATGAATAAAAGAACCCAGAGAACAAATGGGTTCTGCCTTCCCAACAGAGGTATGGATTCAGCTGTGAGAATTGCCAGGGGCTGGTCCTGGGATAATGGATTAGCATTGTCTTCCATTAAGGGTGATTTCACCCATCTGAAGGATGGAGATAATAATATATTCCTTGCAAGGCTGTTGGGTGGCTTAATTAACTAATATATATAAAGTGCCTTCAAAGCCACAGATGAAAAGCAAGGTAAAAATGCCTTGCGCTATTGGTATTAATAATTTACTGTACCCCTGTGCTGGGTCTTTTAGATGTGTTTCTTGTACTTCTTGAAAAAGTAGCACCTAGTTTTGAGATAATTAAAGCCTAGATAAAGATCATCTACTTTTCGAGTGGAGCAAAAACAAGCCCTTTTTCCTCTTTGCTTGGCTGCTGCGTTTTCCTTGTATTCAGGTAAGCTGAGATTTTCTTTGTATCTATCATTTAAGGCAGGCATTTTAGCTTAAAATCTTCCTGGGGCCTCATCTGGGCCTATGAAATTGTTAGAAGGGCCCCAAGAGCATCAGCATAATTAACTGTAGATTTGCATGCAATTTGCATATTATTTGCATGCCTGTCTTGGTCTGCAAGGTTATACATTACTTGACTTCCAAAAGCTTTGTCATTTCTGTTTATATCATCACGGAAGTGGCAAAGATCTCAGCTCATACTAGGTACTCATTCCTCCAGAACCATTTTAGGGATAGGGGAAAGGACATTTGTTAGAACTTTCCACGTGATTGCAAACTGGTCAATCCACTGGTTCTCAAGTTTGCTGTACTCTGGAAGCACCCAGGGAACTAAAAAATACTGATGCCTGTGCCCCATGCTCAGAGATTATGGTGTGATTGTTGTGGGGATGTGGGCAGCCTTAGCACCAGGAGCTTCACAACTTCTCCAGGTGATTCCAAGGTGCAGCAAAGACTGAGAACTACTTATTTCATCCTCATAACAAACCCAGGAAGTGGTGCTCTCCAACCCATGTTCAAGGTGTGGAAACTGAGATTTAGAGAGTTAGGAGAAAGTCATTCATTATTATTAATGTTCATAGCTGATCATTCTTACGCACCAAATTCTGTGCTAAGCACATTGCGTGTTTAATTCTTACAATGACTCTTTCAGTCAGAGATTAATAGATTGCTTTTACAGACGACCAGATGGAGGCACAAAAAGCAGATAATCTGCCCAAGTTCTCCCAATTGGCAAGAGACCACCTACAGGGGAGAAAAGACTGCATGGAGGAGGATGACACTGTGTTGGGATTTGAATTTTGGTTCAAACCTTATACAGGATCCAGCTTGGATATTCCTTGAGGATCCTAGGTTTTGTTTCTCCATGCTTAGCATAGAGCTGGGTTCTTGGCAAGCACCTAGAAAATACTAAGGGGTGGCATGGAGTAATTAGGGCCAAAGAGTGGATGCTCCAGGCAATAAGGAGTAAGACTTTTTCACTTGGTGGGCCTGTACTCTCCCACCTTCTAATATTTATCGAGCTCTGTTCCAGAGACACAGGACAGGCAAGGGATATTACATAGCATCCATCATTTGGCAGCCAATATTGGAGTTTTGAATTGGCCTGCAGAAGTCGGGTAGTGCTGTTTTTTCCCTGTAAAATAAACTGAAGGTGATGTGAGGGAATAGTCAGTTTCTGCACACTGAAGGGAAGGATGGTGACTATTTATTTATTTATTTATTTAATTTTTTTTTTTTTTTTTTTTTTGAGATGGCATCGCGCTCTGTCGCCCAGGATGGAGTGCAATGGCATGATCTCGGCTCACTGCAACCTCCGCCTCCTGGGTTCAAGCAATTCTCCTGCCCCAGTCTCCCGAGTAGCTGGGACTACAGACGCCTGCCACCATGCCCAGCTAATTTTTGTATTTTTAATAGAGACAGGGTTTCACCATGTTGGCCAGGATGGTCTTGATCTCTTGACCTCATGATCTACATGCCTCGGCCTCCCAAAGTGCTGGGATTACAGGCGTGAGCCACCGCGCCTGGCCTGTTATTTATTTATTTGGAGGGCTTTTTTCCCCCTTCTTATGTGGGAGGTGGTAAGAGGAAGGGAATTTTATCGTGTTCATCCAGCCAAATGTGCTCCCAAATGGAGTGGTTTGGTGCCATGCCATTCAAATATAAATTTGTTCATTCAGCTGGGTGCGGTGGCTCATGCCTGTAATCCCAGCACTTTGGGACACTGAGGCAGGCAGACTACTTGAGGTCGGGAGTTTGAGACCAGCCTGGCTTACATGGTGAAACCCCGTCTCTACTAAAACTACAAAAATTAGCTGGGTGTGGTGGTGGGCGCCTGTAATCCCACTACTCGGGAGGCTGAGGCAGGAGAATCGTTTAAACTGGGAGGCGGAGGTTGCAATAAGCCAAGATTGCACCACTGTACTCCAGCCTGGGTGACAGAGCAAGACTCCATCTCAAAAATAAAAATAAATAAATTCGTTAATTTAATACTTTTTGAGCTCCTGCCAGGTGCCAGGCACTATTGTAGATGATGGGGACACATTAAAAAATCCAGGGCGACCTGAATGATGAGAAGCAGCAAGTCACGTATAGATCTGGAGGAATAATGTTCCAGGCAGAGGGAACAGCCAGTGTAGAGCCTGAGATGGGAATGAGCCTGGGGGTAGGGGGAGTTAAGGAACAGCAGGATATAATGTGGCTCACAGAGGATGAAGTGGGGAGAGGGTCAGAGAGGTGGGTAGGAGGAAGATCACACCATGCCCTGTCACCATAAGGCATTTGAATGTTACTCTGAAGGACATAGGAAGCCATTGGATGATTTTAAGCAGGGAAGCGACATAATCCGACATATTTTTGAAGGATCACTCTGGCTGCTGTTGGGAGAATAGAGGGGACAGGAGTAGAAGCCTGGAGCTGAGTTAGGAAGTGTTGAAACAGTCCAGGTGAGAGATGGTGGCCGTTTGAACCAGGGGGTAGCAATGGAAATGGTTAGACGTGGATGCACTTGGCATGGGCAGCTTGCAGAACTTGCTGATTCATTTACAGTTTTGATTGAGAAAAAGAGAGGAATCAAGGTTGACTCCTGCCTTTTCAGCCAGAATAGACTGAAGCATTATCCCCTATAATGGAAAAGACTGAAGGAGACACAGTTCATAAACAAGTAAATCTGAAAAACATCACCTATTGTATTTTCTTTTTAGTAAATTCACAGTAGCATATTCAAGTTCTGAGATGTCCTGCATTGAGGAGATCTGCTTAACATTGGCTAACCTAGTGCTTCCCAAAGTTATTTGATCAAGCAATTGTCTGTCTTTGCCACACAGAACATGTGGTAAGATTCTGCAGACTTTCCTTGAATAACATCAGTATTAGCATGTTAGAATCTTGTGTGTGTGTGTGTGACTTTGTCGGCCTACATTGGGCAAGTGACTTGCAGTTGTGCAGTGTTCTGTATTCTGATAGATGTGCTTTTGCTCTTTGCACCTCCAAATACTTCCCCAAATTAAGCCACCATCTTCTTTCATCTAACTCGTATTCCTGCCTCTAGCCTAATGCAAGCATATCTGCACACCAAATCAAAGAGAGCTAATAGGAAGAATCTGACTGTGCCACTCCCCTGTGTAAAACCTTCAATGGCTCCCCATTGCCTTCTAGATGAATACCAAATGCTTTACTATGGCTTTGCCATACGCTTGATAATATGGCTTCTGCCTGTCTTCCCAGATATCCTTTTGCTCTGTGTTCCAGCTAAACTGAACTTTTTAAAGCTTTTGTGTGCTCTCCCACCTCTAAGCTTTAGTACATTCTCTTCCTTCTTCCTGGAATACTGTCCAAACTCCTTTTGCTCAATCTTTAGGTATTATCTTGCGTAGCACCTTTCTTGGAGGAATCTTCTGTTTTCTCATGATTGAGGCAGGCATTCCTTCTTTGTTCTCATGGTCTCCCTAGCTTTTATAGAATTCATCACATGACATTTTCATTTGTCTCTTTCCTGCCAACAGTTGAGTTCGATGACAGCATGGCTGATTGTCTTGTTTCCCATGAAAACCCCCAGTGCCTAGCACAACGCCTGGCACAGAGTGGATTTTAATTTATTTTATTCACCGAGTGAGTGTAACTCCCTGGATCCTTATCAAATCCAAACTACTGACAGTTCCCTATTCCTCTGCTTCTTAGCACTGGATGTCAGCATCCTGATCTGGGAGTCTTAAAATTGTCACAGAATTAGGAGGCTCAGAAGGTCATTGAATGCTTCTCTCTGTCTTTAGGCTTAATACTGCTCAGAGGCCATCCATGATTTGATGGTCTCCTTTTACAGATGGGGAGGCTGGAGGTCATGGGACATTGACCAAGACAGTGATTCAATTCAGCAAGCCTGTGCTGGGAGTTCAAAGATGAATAAGACACAGTTCATGTCTTGGGGAGCATGCAGACAGGGAAATAGACTCACAAATAAAGTTCAGGGAAGAAAATGCTGAAATGGAGATTTTTGGAGCATTTTATGGGAGTATAGAAGAGGGAATAGTTAACACAGCTCTGAGCCAGCCGAGGGATTGGAGAAGCTCTAGGAGAAAAAATAATACTTAACCTTGACTTTTAGAGGTGCCTAGGAATTTTCCAGCTAGGAATCTCAGGATGGGAGTGTGAAAGGAGTATGCTCAGGGTAAAGGAAGGACATGGAGATGTGAGGGTTGGTGGCATATTTGGGGACCAATGAATGAGTCATATGCCTACGGGATCCAGCCATGATTGAGACTAAGTGTGTATTAGTTAGGGTGCTTTTGCCTATGAGTAAAAGAAAGCTCTGTCAGAAATGGTTCAAATATTAGGAAAGAAATATTTTGCATCACAGGAAGTCTGGAGGGAGATGATTCCAGAGTGGCTAATTCAGTGGCTCAGCTAGGTCACTAAGAACTCAAAGTTTTTCCGTATTTCCACACTGGCATTCCAGTGAAGGAATTTGAGGCTGTGTTCTCCTCTGTTGATTTTTCTAGTTTTAATCCGTGAGGGAGATATATCCCAGAGGACTCACCAGCCCTCTTACCCCCAAGTCCCGTTGGCTAGGATTGTGTCACGCGCCTAAGCCTAAGCGAGTCTCTAGAGAGGGATGTGTGCCCACCATGACTGACTTAGGCTAATCAAGATTCACACTGACACCCAGGGTTGGGGAGGGACACGAGTGCACGTGGCTGCTCAATAGATGAACAAAATCTGTTAGCAAGAGGCAGGAGGTCACTGGAATAGACAGCCAGTTTTGGCCACTGACAAAGACCTGGAGCGCCTGAGCTTTGTCCTGAGCTCTGGCCCAATGTTGCCACAAGGGAAGGGACCTAGCATTGTCAGACCTTGCAATTCTTAAAAAAAATAAAATCCAGAACTAGAGATTTTTCACACAAAGTCTTGTGATTTCCAAATGTCGACAACCAGCTCAGATAAAAAACAATTTGTTTAGTCCAAATAAAGTGTTTGTGGTCAGACAATCAGATACATATACAGAGTCTAGAGGGAAGGACTTCCTTCAGCACGATTTCAATTCTCTTACCCGCTGCAGAAATGAACACTTTTAGCAGTGCACCTGTCATTCCAGACCTGTCATTTTTCTCTGAACTTGCATACACTAAGTATACATAGATAGTTTTGTTTTCTTGGTGTGTATTTAACCTCAGTGGGATCTTACTATGCATATTGATTTACAACAAGCTCTTTTCAGTTAACAGTAGTGTCTCAGAGATCATTCCATGTCAGTTCATAGAGATTCATGAAAGAGAGAGAGATTGAGTCACGGCAGTTATGCCTGTTTAGAATACACTGTTTCCTGGCAGTGCAAGTGACAAGTGATATTCTCCAGCACTAGATGGTGATACAGCTAGAGCCGTGCTGTCCAGTATGGAGGCCACTAGTCCCACCTGGCTGCTGAGCATTTGGAATGTGTCTAATCTCAGTTGAAATGTGCCGCAAGGTATAAAATACACACTGGGTTTCAATGACTTCGTATGAATGAAAGGATGTAAATTATCTCATTTATAATTCTTCATAATGTCACAGGTTGATGTTATATTTAGGACATATTGGGTTACATAAAATGTCTTATTAAAATTAATTTTGGAGCCAGGCACGGTGGCTCATGACTGTAATCCCAGCACTTTGGGAGCCTGAGTGGGGAGGATACCTTGAGCCTAGGAGTTTGAGATCAGCCTGAGCAACACAGTGAAACCGTGTCTCTAAAAAAAATTAAAAAACGAATTGCAATAGTTTATTTTTACTTCTTTAATGTGGCCAATAGAAAATTTAAGATAAAAGATGTATCTCGCATTCAACTTCTATTGGACAATGCCAATAGCTAGACTGTGAGGCCCAGGAGGGCAGAGACCTTGGCTCTGTGCTTTATCCCTGAACCTTCAGTCTCTAACACAACACCTGACATATAGCAAGTGCTCGGTGAGTTTTTATTAAATAAGGCTGGACATGTGAGTAATGCAAAGGTTTATAGTTTACGAACTTCAATGATTGGTTTAGTATCCAACTATAATATCTCTGCTATTTCTTGGGCTTTACTAATTTTTTTCTGCAAATCTTTAGGAACTCTCCTTTTTTTTTAATAAGTGTCTTACATAATGATTTAATTTAGATTTAACAAGCCAGTTATTATAGGTCAATTAAATGCCACTTTATGATTTAAAACCTATTTATCCAGATTAATAGCCATTAAATGGTTTTATCACACCTCATTTTGGTTAATATTGTTTAAAAATATTTTCAATTATTTAAAGCCTCATTTTACACCCACTGACACTTAAAATAAGTCCTTTAAAGTTAAGATAATTTGCCTTAAAAAGAAAAACTCCTTAGTCATTTGCAAACTGATTTATTATGGAAGAATAAACAGAATTTGCTAAAAAGCAAAATACACTTAAGGGTTCTACAAACAATTAATACAAGGTGATGAGCAAGTAGAAAAAGTTGACTCAACAGTGAGCTCACATTTAAGCGTTACTATATTTCTTAATAACAGCTTTATTGAGATATAATTCACATACCATAAAATTCACCCTTTTAAAGTATACAATTCAGTGATTTTTAGTATATTTACAGTTGTGTAACCATCATCATTATCTAGTTCCAGATCATTTCCATTGCTCCAAGATGGAATCCCATACCTATTAGCAGTAAGTCCCAATTCCTCCTCTCCCCAGGCCCTGACAACCATGAATCTACTTTCTGTCTCCATAAATTTGCCTATTCCGGACATTTCATATAAATGGAATTCTACAATATGTAGCCTTTTGTGTCTGGCTTCTGTCACTCAGCACAATGCTTTCAAAGTTCATTCATGTTGTGGCATGGATCAGTACTTCATATTTCTATGGCTGAGTAATGTTCCACAATAGACCACATTTTGTTGATCCACTAATCAACAAATGAACATTTGGGTTGTTGAAAAGTATTAGTCTTTTAAAACTACGCAGCTTATAACATAAATCTCATATGGTAGGTATGTGTGCTACTAATAATCATTAATATTTATTGAGCACTTATTATGTACTAGGTGTTGTTCTCAATGTTTTGTATGTTTAGTTCATTTAGTTCTCAAACAGCCCTATGAGAGAAGGGCGCCTGTTACCCACTTTGTTCTTGTGAGGAAGTCGGGAAATAGGGACATTAATTAACCTATCTCAGGACACACAGCTAGTAAGCAATTCAAACCCAGAAAGTCCGGCTTCAGAGCCTGCACTTTGTTTTTCATTAAAAATTTATCATATAATAAAACTGAGTTTTGTTGGGCAGGGGGAGAATATACAGCTCTATGAATCTTAACACATATATACACTTGTGTAATCACCACCAAAATCACATAAAGAACTGTTCCATAACCCCCAAATACTCTCCTCTGTTCTTCCTTTATAGCCATGCCCTCCCCATCCCTAACCTTTAGCAACCACTGATTATTCTTCATTGTATAGTTTTTTTTTCCTGAGAATATCATATAGGTGGAATTATGCATTATGTAACTTTTAAAACTTGACATCTCACTCAGAGATGGAACCCATTGGCATTCATCCAAGTTGCTGCATGCAATGATAGTTTTTTCCTTTTTCTTGCTGAGTAGTATCCAATTGCATGGATGTGCCAATTTGCTCATCATCCATTTTTTTTTTTTTTTTTGAGATGGAGTTTTTTCTTGTTACCCAGGCTGGGGTGCAATGGTGTGATCTTGGCTCACCGCAACCTCCGCCTCTCAGGTTCAAGCGATTCTCCTGCCTCAGCCTCCCTAGTAGCTGGAATTACAGGCATGCGCCACCACGCCCAGCTAATTTTGTATTTTTAGTAGAGATGGGGTTTCTCCATGTTGGTCAGGCTGGTCTTGAACTCCGACCTCAGGTGATCTGCCGGCCTCAGCCTCCCAAAGTGCTGGGATTACAAGCGTGAGCCACTGCACCCAGCCATCATCCAGTTTTTTAAGAGTAAAATTTTAATTGAGGTGCAACAGCCAACTAGAATGTGTTCAAATTATATATACACAGATTGACGTATTTTCACGAAGTGAGCAAACCTGTGTAATCACCCTCCAGATTCAGAACTTGAACACTGCCAGTGCCATAGATGGTCCAGCCAGGGTGCTCTCGTACAGGTAACCTTACTTCTTATTCTTATTTCTATCACCATAGGATAATTTGGCCTGTTTTTGAACTTTATAGAAATGAAATAATATAAAACATATTATTTTAACCTGACTTCTTTTGGCCAATATGTTTGTGATATTTTTTTCATGTAGCAGTAGTTTACTCTGTCTCATTGCTCAATTATATTTCATCTTTTAAAAATATGTCACAATGTATTTATTTATGCTACTAATAGTGGACATTTGGATTGTTTCTAGTTTGGGGCTATTTTGAGAAGTAAAATTACCGGATGATAGGGTGTGTGTATGTTTGGCTATAGTAGATACTGCCAAATATTTTTCTAAAGTGAATGTATCAATTTTCACTGCACCAACAGTATATGAGAACTTCAGTTGCTCCACATTGCTAACAATACTTGATGCTGTCATTTTAAAAGAATCAAGCTAATTGCTGGGTGCAATTGCTTATGCCTGTAGTCGCCGCACTTTGGGATGCTGACATGGGAGCATTAGCTGAAGCCAGGAGTTTGAGACCAGACCTGGCAACATAACAAGACCTCGTTTCTACAAGAAAAAAAAAAATTAGCCAGGTGTGGTTGTGTGTGCCTGTAGTTCCAGCTACTTGGAAGGCTGAGGCAGGAGGATTGCTTGAGCGCAGGAGGTTGAGGCTGCAGTGAACCATGATGGTGCCACTGCACTCCAGCCTGGGTGACAGAGCAAGACCCTGTCTCAGTAAATGAGTGAATGAATGAATGACTGAGTGAATCAAGCTACTTTGGCAGGGGTACAGTGGTGTCTTACTGAAATTTTTGTTTACATCTTCCTAATGACTAATGATATTGAACACCTTTCCTTATGTTTCCTGATTATTTACATATCCCGTGTGAAGTGTCTGCTTGAGCCTTTTACCCATTTTAAAAATGGATTGTCTGTATTTTGTTATTGATTTGTATATTTGAATGTGTGTTTTCTAAATATGAGACATTTGTTAGTAATGTGTATTACAAATCTCTTCCTTCTCTTGGGTGTTGCCCTTTCACTCTCTTATTGATAAATTTTTAATTGTGGTGAAATAAAAACATAAATTTATTATTTTAACCATTTGAAAGTGTACAATTCAGTGGCTTTAAGTATATTCACAGTGTTGTACAAGCATCACCACTATCTAGTTCCAGAACTTCTTTTTTTGTTTGTTTTTTTGAGACGGAGTCTCGCTCTGTCGCCCTAGGCTGGAGTGCAGTGGCGCGATCTCGGCTCACTGCAAGCTCCGCCTCCCGGGTTCACGCCATTCTCCGGCCTCAGCCTCCCGAGTAGCTGGGACTACAGGCGAAACCCCGTCTCTACTAAAAATGGTTCCAGAACTTCTAAATCACCCCAAGAGGAGACAACATACCCGTTAAGCAGTTATTCCCCATTCCTTTCTCCATTCAGACCCTGGCAAACGCTAATCTGCCTTCTGTTTGTATAGATTTGCCTATTCTAGATATTTCATATAAATGGAATAACACAATAGATGGCTTTTGGGCCTGTCTTCTTTCACTTAGCATAACGTTTTTAAGGTTTATCTATGTCGTAGCATGTATCTACTTCATCCCTTTTTATGCAAGAGCTGCAGTAGAGAACTGCAAATGAAAACCACAAGATATTACATCACACACACTAGGAAGGCCATAACAATAATAAAAAGAAAAATAACACGTATTGGTGAGGATGTGGAGAAACAGAGAAATTGGAACTTGCATGCACTGATGGTAGGGATATACAATGGTACAGCCACTGTAGAAAACGGTGTGGTAGCTCCTCAATATTTCATTGATTTGTTTGATGAATAGAAGTTCTTAATTTTAATGAAGTCAAATTTATCAATCATTTTACTTGGTCTGTGCTTTTTATGTCCTGATGAAAAAAACTTTGCCTATTCCAGGTTTATGTTTCACAAAACCTTTGATTATTGTACCTTTGCATTTAATTATATGATCCACCTGGAATTTATTTTTGTATAAAGTATGAAGCAAGATTCTTTTTTAATATCCATATGGACTTCCAATGACCAGCCACCGGGTTTTAAAAACACCATCTTTCCCTATTGCAGTGCAATGGTGTCTATGTCATAAATTAAGTAACCATATATTGTGGGCCTATTTCTGGACTGCATATTCTTTTACTGAACTCTCTGTCTATCCTTGTAATAGTACCCTCCACTATCTTAATTACGATAGATTTATCATAAATCTTAATATCTGGAAGGGTTAATCTCGTAGCTTAGACAATTATCAAAATTGTCTTGAATATTCTTGGCCCCCTTTGTTTCCGTTATAGAGTCAGCTTATCAATTGTGACAAAAAAGAAACCCGCTGATATTTTGCTTGGAGTTTCATTAAATCCATAGATCAATTGAGGGAGAATGACTTCTTTGCAATATTGAGCCTTCTACTCCTTATTTACTCCGCATTTCATTAGGTCTTTTATCAGTTAGGGTCCAATGAGGAGACAGAAACCAGATTAGTAATTTGAACAGGGAAAATTTAATATAAAAAATGTTAACTAGTCTAACCAGTAAAAAGGTGGATAACTACTTAAAAAGAGAGAGGAGGACCCAAAGAGGTACAAAAAGAGCAACTGCAGAAAGCAGCCACCAAGGCACAGGGATAGTAAATAGGTGAAGATACTTAGAAACTTAAAAGGGTCCCCTTCTCACTGCTAAGGGTGCGAGACTTCTTTGGAGAAGGTGCGGCTGCCATCACCAGTGATGAAGAAATAGGAGGATGTGGGTCACAGCTGACCCATAGGAGTGGCCTACCATTGAATGATGGAGAAGGTTGCCCAAGGAACTGAGCCAAAATGCTGGTCTGCAGGATTTCTGATGTAGTGAGTAAAAGAGGTGATAATGCACATCCTTACTCATTCCCCACCACAGAGAGAAACTTTCAGTATTTCACCACTATGTGAATGTTTTTGTTGGCTCTAGTGTTTTTTT
This sequence comes from Homo sapiens, assembly GCF_000001405.40. NCBI lineage: Eukaryota > Metazoa > Chordata > Mammalia > Primates > Hominidae > Homo > Homo sapiens. The sequence goes on from NC_000012.12 coordinate 118,566,688, forward strand.
TTTGGTAGCTAGCCTTTATCAAAACTACTCCTAGTTGGCCAGGCACGGTGGCTCACACCTGTAATCCCAGCACTTTGGGAGGCTGAGGCGGGCGGATCACGAGATCAGGAGATCGAGACCATCCCGGCTAACATGGTGAAACCCCGTCTCTACTAAAAAAATACAAAAAAATTAGCTGGGCGTGGTGGCGGGTGCCTGTAGTTCCAGCTACTCGGGAGGCTGAGGCAGGAGAATAACATGAACCCGGGAGGCGGAGCTTGCAGTGAGCTGAGATTGCGCCACTGCACTCCAGCCTGGCGACACAGCGAGACTCCATCTCAAAACAAAAAAACAAAAACAAAAACAAAAAACTACTCCTAGTTTGCTAAGATTCATCCATAAATGAGTATTGAATGTTTCACATGCTTTTTCTCATCTGTTGAGATAATTCTACGCTTTTTTGTTCTTTATTTAATTAATGTGAGAATTATATTAATTTCTTTTCAAATGTGAAACCAATTTTGTACTCTTAGGAGAAACCAAACTTGGTCATAATACAGAATCCTTGTTATGTATTGCTGCATTTGATTCAATAATATTTTGTTTAGGATTTTTGCATTTGGGTCCATGAACGAGATTGGCCTATGATTTTCTTTTCCATGCAATTTCCTTGTCAGGTTTTGATTTCTGGGTGTATGTATCAAGGCTATGCTGACTTCAGAAAAAAAAAAATAGAGAAGTGTTTCATTTTTTTCTATTTCCTATTAGAGGTTGGGGAAGGTCATCACTATTTCTTTTATAAAAGCTTCGAAGAATTCACCAGTGAAGATATCTGGGCCTGGAGATTGTGGGAAAGTTAATTACAGATTCAATTTCTTTAATAGATATGGAAGTATTCAGATGTTTTTTCTTGTGTCAGTTTTCACAAGGTGTGTTTTCCTAGTTTTTATGCTTCATCTCAGTTGTCAAATTCTATTGGCATGAAGTTGTTTATAACGTTCTGTTATTATCTTTTCAACACACATAAAATCTTGCTTGGCATTTATCAATTTTATTAGCCTTTTCAAAGAACAAATTTTAGGCTTTGTTGACTTTCTCTATTGTAAGTTTGCTTTCTATTTTTATTGATTTCTGCTTTTATCTTTATTATTTTCTTTCTTCTTTCTTTGAGTTTGATTTGTTGTACTTTCTCTAACTTCTTGAGATGGCTATTTATATCATTGATTTCCATCCTCTTTTCTTTCCTAATTTATCCATTTAAAGCTGTAAGTTTTTGTCTAACCAAAGTATCATTCAGTTCAAAATACTCCCTAATTTTCTTTATGATTTCTTATTAATTTCCATGCAGATTTAAAAATAAAAAATGTGTTTAGTTATTTGTCATTATTGATTTCTATCATAATTGCATTGTGGTCAGAATATGTATTCTTATGTATGTATGTATGTATATATGTAGGTATTTATTTTACTTTTTGAGACAGGGTCTCACTCTTGTCACCCAGGCTGAAGTGCAGTGGTGCAATCGTGGCTTACTGCAGCCTTGAACTTCTGATCTCAAGTTATCCTCTGGCCTCATCTCCCAAGTAGCTGGGACTACAGGCATGCCCACCATGCCCAGCTCAGAATATATATTCTGAATAATATTAACCCTTTGAAATTTGTTTAAATTTGCTTTATGACTCAGTGTTTGATTAATTAGGTAAATGTTCACTGTGTACCTGAAATAATATGTATTTTGCTACAGTTGGGTACAGTGGATATTTATCTTCTGTTTTACTAATCCCCCACCGCTTTTATAGCTGTGTACAATCTACTGTTAAATATGCTACTAAATTCTTAATTTCAGTTATTTGTATTTTTAGGTTCTAGGATTTACATTTGGCCCTTTTCTATGGATTTCAGTTAGCTAGTAACATTCTGTAAATGTCAAACAAGTCAAATTCATTAATTGTGCTGTTTAGATCTTCTTTACTGCTCCCACTTTTTTGTCTGCTTGTTTTATTATTTACTTAGTGAGGTTGTTAAAATATTTAATAAGTTATAGATTTATCTACTTTTCTTTTTAATCAATTTTTTTGGTTTATATATTTTGAAAGTATGCTATTATGTGCATGCAAGTATAAAATTGTTTTATTTTCCTGGCAGATTAAACCTTCCATTGAACTTGTCCTCTTTGTATCTACTTATGCATCTTGCCTTCAAGTTTATTTGCCCTGATAGTAGTATAGCTACACCAGTTTTCTTTTGACTGTTGCTTTTCCCCTCTTTTTACTTTCAACTTTCTGTGCCCTTATTTTTAGAGCATATCTCATGTAAACAGTATTTAACTGTTTTATTCTAATGTAGTCTGCCAAGCTAGATCTTTTAATTGGAATAGTTAGTCTATTTACATTTAATGTAATTACTGATATTTTTGATTTTATATCTACCATTTACTATTACTTTTTCTATTGGTTCCACTTGAGTTTTTTTCCTTTTTTCTTTCATTTGGACCAATCCATTAAAAAATTAAATTGGTATTTCTTCTATTAACCTGTTAGTTATACCTGCTTTTAGTAATTACCCTAGAAATAAAGACATGCCTTCTTTGTTTTTTTGAGTCTGATATAAATCCGTATCTTTATTACTTGTAAGTATCTTTATTACTTGTAAATACTAAGGACTATGAACACTATAAATTAATTTATCTTTCTCCTGCCTTTTGTGTTTTTGATTTTATTTATTTAAATCTATGTATATTTAGAAACTCATAAGAAATTATTGCTATTGTTTTCAGTATTCATTCAGATCTATTTAATACCCTTTCTGTTGCTCTTCAATCCCTCCTGTATTTCTGTCTGTGATCATTTTCCTTTACCTGCAGAATCTCCTTAAATGTTTGTTTTTAGTTGGCTCTGCTGGTGACAAATTCTCTGTTTTATTTTATTCAAAATATATTTACCTTCCTGTTTAATGATACTTTCAGTATGTATAGAATCCTATCTTGAATGATACTTTCTCTGGTTGTCTTTTTGCCTCCATCATCTCTGCTGAGAAGTCAGATCTCATGTACTTGCCTCTTTGATATCAATGTCTTTTTTTCCCTGATTTTAAGTTTTTAAATTTCATTTGTTTTTAGGTTTCATTGTATTGTGATGTGTCTAGCTGTGGTTTTCTTTGTATGTATCCTGCTTGGGGTTCTCTGAACATCTTGAATCTATGTCTTGATGTTTTTACTCAGTTTTGGAAATTTCTTGGCTATGATTTTTTGCAAATATTGCTTCCACATTCTCTGTATTCTTTAATTCTGGGGCTCCATTTATACATATGTTAGAACTTTTTACTGTGTCTCTTTTGCTTCTGATTTTCTTTTTTGATTTTCCATCTCATTTTTTTTCTTCAGCTTTAGTCTGGATATTTTCTACTGACTTATCTCCTGTTTCACTAATCTTTTTTCTTTTCTTTGTTTTTAAATTAGTCTATAATCTACTGCTAGACATTCTAGTAAATTCTTACTTTCAAATTTGTATTTTCAGGTTTTAGGATTTCTACTTGGTTCTGTTTTTATAGATTTAAGCTCCCTGGTCAAAATATCCATCTTGTCATCTATTTTCTTGATTATGTTAACCATAGTTATTTTAGATAACTCCAATATCTGGATCAGCTGGATCAGAGATTTTTTTCCCACTTGTTAACTAGTTTTTTTGTTTTTGTTTTTGTTTTCTTGGCTTGGGTTTGTACTATACCTGGTAAATTTTGGTGGAATAATAGACATTGGGTATAAGACTTGTACAGGTTCTAGGTGATACCTTTTTCAGGGAGTATCTTCCCTGTCCTCTGGCTGGCAGCTAGGCATACAGAGGGCCATATCACCTCTATTCACTTAGGGAGTAAGCTGGCTAAGGGGTAGGTTGTGATCTTCATAATGCTCAGCCTGCCTCCAATTGACACCCACCCCTCTGGAACCAGGGCTCCCAGATGAGAACCAGGGCTGTGTTTACTAAGGCATCTCCTAATTGGTGGTCCTGGACTCCAATTTTGTGCCACAGTATTAGAAGAATGCCAAGAACTCAGCTCAGCTTTTCAACTGCTTTTGCTTTGATTCTAAAATACTTGCCTTATACGGCATTAATAAGGGAAAAATTGGTGCAGTGTTTGTGAATCACTTCTCATTACCTCCTTTTTGTGGGAGATATTTGGACTCTCATCTCCTAGATGTTTTGACACCCTAAAATGCTAATTTCCATCTCTGTTGGGAATAGGCCCCCAAATCTGATAAACTGGCCCAAAGACTGGCCATAAAAAAAAAAATCCCTGCAGCACTGTGATATGTTCTTGATGGCCATGATGCCCACACTGGAAGGTTGTGGATTTACTGGAATGAGGCAAGGAACACCTGGCCCACCCAGGGCAGAAAACCTCTTAAAGGTGTTCTTAAACCACAAACAATAGCATGAGCAATCTGTGCCTTAAGGACATGCTCCTGCTGCAGACAACTAGCCAGAGCTCATCCCTTTACTTTGGCCCATTCCTTTATTTCCCATAAGGAATACTTTCAGTTTCTAATCTATAGAAACAATGCTTATCACTGGCTTGCTGTCAATAAATATGTGGATAAATCTCTCTTGGAGGCTGTCAGCTCTGAAGGCTGTGAGATCCTGATTTCCCACTCCACACTCTGTATTTCTGTGTGTGTGTCTTTAATTCCTCTAGTGCTGCTGGGTTAGGGTCTCCCCGACTGAGCTGATCTCGGCACGTCTCTATTCTCAGGGGGTTTCCTCTCATTCTGATGACTTCTCTGCCTCTTAGCAGTATCCCTGTCTTCCATTTCTCAGCCTTTCATTCCATGGCATTTAAGAATCATCAGTGCCCCAAGGGAGAATGTGGTGCACAAAATGTTGATCATAGCACACTAAACTCCCTTGCTTTCCAGGACTCAAGTATTTGTTGCTCCCTGATCCTTTCAGACGTTTTGTGTGTTTGTGTTCTATCCTGCTTTTCTAGTCATACTTGGTAGGAACATCAGTCTGCCTGGAACTACTCTATTACACCTGCACTTGAAAGTTTTATAATTTATTCTTTCTTGTGAATGCCTTCTCTTCCAGGCTTCATATTTTGTTTATGCTTCTGGTCCCTTGCAGTTTCTATTTTCTGCACATTGTCTACCAGGGCTGCTGGTTTCACGACACAGGTTGTGTGTACAGTGTCGCTGGAGTCCCCCATGGTTGTACAATGTGGCATTTCTGCGGCTCACCCTAGAAGGCCCAGAATGATCTGGCCGCTTGCTAACTGTCTTGGTGCCACTTAGGAAAATATGTTCACAATTCAGAATGAGCCACAGAGATATTCTTCAGGGAGGCCTTTCTTTGCACCTCAGCCAAGTCCTCTTAGTAAACTCTCATGAACCCTCCACATTATTTCTACATGGATTTTCCTGCAAGTGAACTTTTCTCTTGATTTGTGAAAGCGGCTGGGTAATCTACTCACTTCAGAAGGTAGGCTGGACTGTGAAGATAGTGACCTTGTCAATCTTTTTTACCACTACATCACCAGTGCCCACCAGTTTGTCCTACACATGTATTGACTTAAATTTTTTTTATTGTTAAGAACATTTGATTTCACAAACTATCCTTTTATTTAAAAAATTCAACTTTTATTTTAGATTTAGAGGGTATATGTGCAGGTTTGTTACATAGATATATTATGTGATACTGAGGTTTGGGATACGATTAAACCTGTCACCCAGGTACTGAGCACAGTACCCAATAGGTAATTTTTCAACTCTTTCCTCCTTCCTCCCTCCCTTCTCTCGTAGTCCCCAGTTACCATCGTTCCCATCCTTGTCTCCATGTGTACCCAATGTTAGCTCCTCAGTTATAAGTGAGAACATGGGGTATCTGGTTTTCTTTTCCTTCATTAATTTGCTTAGGATAATGGCTTCCAGCTGCATCCATGTTGCTGTAAAGGACATACTTTCATTCTTTTTTATGGCTGTGTAGCATTCCATGGTACATATGTACCACATTTTCTTTATCCAATCCATGATTGATGGGCACTTGTGTTGGTTCCACATCTCTGCTATTGTGAATAGTGCTGTGACGAACATATGAATGTATGTGTCTTTTTGGTAAAACAATTTATTTTCTCTTGGGTATATACCCAGAAATGCGATTGCTGGGTTGAATGGTAGTTCTATTTTTAGTCCTTTGTGAAATCTAGTCCTTTGAGTTAATTTGAACCTTATAATGATAGAAGTTGAAAAGGAGAGAATGAGAACTAACATTCATTAACATTTTACTATTTATCATCTTAATTTTCATCTTAACTCTTTGAGGTGGGAGGTATTTGTATAGAGTAAACTGTGTCTCAGAGAAATTATAGTATTTTCCCAAAATCACACAGTTGGTAAGTGTCAAGTCTGGAATTTAAACCCAGGCCTACCTTGTTCAGAAGTAACCCTGACTATATGAATTGTTAAACACTTCTCTCTCTTCCAAGATTTTTGTACCTTCCTTCTTTCTTTATTGACTTTTCAATCATTATGTGATACTCATAGAATGCTAAATTAGTATCTTAGCCCATTTGAGCTGCTATAACAAAACAACACAAACTGGGTGGCTTATAAACAACAGAAATTTATTTCTTACTGTTCTGGAGGCCGAGCTGTCCAAGGTCAAACTGCCAGCAGATTTGGTGTCTGGTTGTCTGGTGAGGACCCACACTCTCTTTCATAAATGGCACCTTCTAGATGCGTTCTCACATGGAGGATGGGAAGAACCCTGGTATCTGCAGCCCCTATAAGGGCACTAATTCCATTATGAGGACCCCACTCTCATGATCTAATCACTTCCCAAAGGCCCCACCAACTAGTGCCATCACACTGAAGATTAGGTTTCAACACAGGAGTTTTTGGGAAGCACAAATATTCAAAGCAGTTAGATGAAGTGATTTACCTGAAAGAAATAATAAAGAAGAGAAGCTGACCACTTATTCCTATCATCTCAAAAACAAAATGACACGCTTTTTATTTTGAAGTGAAAGAATTGGATGGATCAAACTAGATTGGCATCTGAACGTGTTTCCCTCAAATGGCCCAGTGTCGGGGGGAGGGACATTAATTTCTTTAATGAACATTGACTTAACTTCAATCATGAAGAGGTACGTAGAGTCATAGCAATAACTATGATGTATTGAGTACCTCCCATGTGCCATATGCTTAGGTATACCTCATCTATAGCATGCACGTTATATACCTTATCTTCAATCAGCTGAACACCTCTGGGGAGTAGATATTATTATTTTCATTGTACAGATTTGGAAACTGAGCCTCAGAGAAATAAAGTAACTTGCCTTAGGAAGTTTCAGATCCAGAATTTGAACGCCTTTAGGAACTGCCATAAAGATTTTTTTTTCTACATACATTGCTTAAGGTATGAAGCCTGGAACACAGAAGGAATTTAATAAATGCTGTTTGCTTTTTCCAGATTAGCAATAATATAGTGAGCTTCCGGGAAAGAGTTGCAAAGTAATATAATGAGGCTTCTTTGTGTCTTGCCAGGGAATGTGAATAGTACCTCCAAATTGGCCCCTTGGAAAACCTCAAGTTCTGAGTTGCTATAGCTTCCAAGTGTCAGGTAAGAGTCGTGTCAGTCTCAATTGCAGGCTCTACTCTGTTATTTGCTCTAAATATTTTCTGGTTGCAAATGTTATTGATTTGACAGTTTATTTCCTGAGACACACTAGTTCCAAACTGCTGTGATATGAAAGTCTCATCCTAAGGAAATTGGCCTTGTGAATGGTTATCCCCTGGGAAGAGTATGCTGTACTTATGGCTGTGCTAATAGGATAAAGAAGTAAATGCAATTAGCGAGCTTGGTTGGTGATTTTCCAGTAATGATGTTAGGGGTATATTATTGTTTTAGCTGTAATTGAGCTTAAGATGATCTGGAAATGTCTAAACTGGTGTGAAAGTCATTCGCAGCTTTGGCTCCAGTATGGATGTTCATGAACCAGGTGGCCTGATAACATCTGGATGTGCTGAAACGGGGGGGTTATGTTCCAGGATGGCAGTGGTGTGTCCCTGAAATACTATTTAATTTTGCTCTATCACCAGTAAGGTGATTACTTCTTCGCAATCTTCTATCCTCTCCCAAATCTCATCCCCATCATTATAATTGAGAGCTTACTACATATTGTCTAGCTCTCTGGTTCTCAGGCAAGTATAATTTATCTGATGCACATTAAAGTCATCTTTATTAGTCAGGATAATTAATGCTAGCTGCCACAAAAAAGACCTGAAATCTCAGTGGCGGAACAGCACAAAAGTTTATTTTTTGCTCACATAAAGTCTGATGGAGATCGGCAAGGCCTCTCCTCCATCTGGTGACTCAGGGATCCAGATTCCTTCCATCCTGTTCCACCTTGGGAGATAATTCTCTCTGGATTTCTTGTGTTCTTGTATGGTCCAGGCTTTCCCAGCTAAGGGTATTGACAAGTTTTGTTCAGGGATGAATGAACAACAAACAGAAGATAGGGACCCTCTTCTTCCTTGGAGATATTCCAGATAATAAAGTCCCTTCCTCTTCCAGGAGGATATTTGCTTACATTCTAGGGTAATAAGCCTAGAGACTTCTTCCCTATGCCCCAGAGATATTTGCTTATTTTAGAGGGTAAGAAGTCATATGTCTCCATAAGGGAGGATAGGCAGGTCACCTCCAGCTTGACTGAAGCTCACAGGCTCCTAAGTTTAGCGTCCTGTGGTGCAGGTGAACATCATGTTGCCCAAGAAGATTGGGGCATGGAAAGTTGGTGCTCTCACTGTTTTTTCTGTTGTGATTAATAAATGGCCTGTGTCCTTAACCTAGGGATCGGTTGTCATCTTTAGTCAGTGTGTGTGTGTGTGTGTGTGTGTGGTGTAGGGGTGTGTGTATGTGGTACACATGTGTGCAGTGTGCGGTATATTTGTGTATGTGTGTGTTGTATGTGGTGTGTATGTTTTTGGTGTGTGTGTGGTGTTTGTGTAGGTTTGGGGTGTGTGTAGTATGTATGTGTTTGGTTTGTGTGTGTGATGTTTGTGTATGTTCAGTGTGTGATATGTATGTGTGTCTGTGTGGTGTGTATGTGTATATGGTGTGTGGTAGATGAGATGTATGTGTGTTTGGTTTGTGTGTATGTGTGATGTTTATGTATGTTTGGTATGTGTGGTGTGTACGTATGTGATGTGTGTGTTTGGTTTGTGTGTGTGTGATGTGTGTGTGTGTTCAGTATCGTGTGTGTGGTCTGTGTGATGTGTATGTGTGCATGGTGTGTGTTGTGGATGAGTGTGTGTGGTTTGTGTGTACAGGTGATGTTTATATATGTCTGGTATGGTTGTAAGTGTTTGTGGTGTGTGTTTGATTTGTGTGTGTATGATGTCTGTGTGTGTTTAGTGTGTGGTATGTATGTGTGTGTATGTATGTGATGTGTGTGTAGTGTGTATGATATGGATGTGTGCTTGGTTTGTGAATACATGTGATGTTTATGTATGTTTGGTATGGTTGTGTGTGTGTGGTGTGTGTGTTTGGTTTGTGTGTGTGGTTTGTGTATGTGTGATGTTTGTGTGTGTTTAGTGTGTGGTACATATGTGTGTATGTATGTGGTGTGTGTGATATGGGTGTTTGTTTTTTTTGTGTGTGAGATGTTTGTGTATGTTTAGTATGTGGTGTGTATGTTTGTGTATGGTTAGTATGTGGTGGGTGTGTGGTGTTTGTGGTGTGTATGATATGTGTGTATGTGATATTTGTGTATGTATATTTGGTGTGTGGTGTATGTGTGTGTAAACTTTAGTGGGCTAATTTGGTAGCTTGCAGTAGGGTAAAATCTTAGGCCCTTCACAGTTTCAGACATAACAACAGTTTCCAGGTTGGCATGGCAGAGGAAGAAAGGGTGGGAGAGACTCTCTGATCCTCAGGAAGCCTGGATTAGAGGTGATGCATCCTTACAGCCCGCATTCCCATTTGCCAGAACCTAGTCACATGGCCCCCACCAGCAAGGGAGGCTGGGAAATACAGAGGGGCACATGGGTATCTGTACCAATCATCCCCACCACATCACCTAACCTCGTGTCTTTTTTAGTAACTGTGCCACTTTGTGATAGAGGAGCAGCTTAAGTCAAGGTAACACAAATCTGGTTGATAACAGTAAGAATAAGAACTCACAGTTGTGTGTTGTTTACCTTTCCACTGTAAATTAATGAACAAAAGCTTTATAAGTGCTTTGCTTCTGTGAATTCAGTCCTCACAATAACCCAGTGAAGATTCTTTTGTTTTGTATTGTTTTGTTTTGTATTGTTTTGTTTTGTTTTGAGACAGGGTCTCACTCTATCTCCCAGGCTGGAGTGCAGTGGCGCGATCTCAGCTCACTGCAACCTCCGCCTCCCAGGTTCAAGCAATTCTGGTGTCTCAGTCTCCTGAGTAGCTGGGATTACAGGCTCACGCTACCACACCTGGCTAATTTTTTGTATTTTTAGTAGAGATGGGGTTTCACCATGTTGGCCAGGCTGATCTCGAACTCCTGACCTCAGGTGATCCACCTGCCTCGGCCTCCCATAGTGCTGGGATTACAGGTGTGAACCACTATGCCTGGCGAGGATTGTTCTTATCACATTCTTACCACCGTTTTACAGAGGAAGAAGTGTCTGGAGAGATCAAGTGACTTGCTCAGGCAGCTCGGAAGTGGCAGAGAAAGGATTAGAACTCAGGATTGGCTCTGGGTTTTCTGATGTTGTATTACCTCTGGTAGGTAAGTGCCATGTAAATGTTAGACACCAGCTTATGCAATCTTTGTCCAGTTTTACCCCTTTCTGACATAGCACATTATATGCCTAGGGTGAGGATATGGGGAAATGGGATTGGTGGGAGGGAGAATAGGCAGTTGGATGTGGTGAGGTGAAGGGCAGGGGATGCTCTTTAGACCAGTATTTCTCAACTGGGGGTGAGGACATTTGGCAGTGTCTGGGGGCATTTTTGGTTGCCACAGCTGGGATTGAGGGTGCTACTGGCGTTTAGTGGATAGAGACCAGAGGTGCTGCTAAAATCCTACAATGAACAGGGCAGTTGCCACCACAAAGAATTATCTATCCCCCAAAATATCAATAGCACTGAGGTCGAGAAACATTGGTCAAGAAATACAGATTTAACTCACCTAAGGACTGTTCATAAATGAAATTTCATCATAATGGCTCGTGGAAAGTTATGCTCCTTTCCAGAGAATGACTCTTCTTTCTTTGAGTCAATAGAATGACACCTTCATCCCCAAACACCAAATAAATATGGCATAAGAAGTAATATTTTGACAGTACAATTTTAGGCAAAGACATGCTCACTGATGTACACGGGAACAGTTTCTAGTCAGAGAATATTATTATATGTGGAACAAATTTGAAATGTATGCATGTTTAGATGAATCCAAAACGTTTTGGTTTGCATACATGGGACAAATGAGAGACAGGAAGAGGTCACATCTTCTGCAACTCATTTAGACCACTGGGTGCATGTGCTATTTCTATGTGCTGTGGAGTGGAGTGCTCTCCTTTACTTAGCCCTGAAGGTGTTTTTTTATTTGTTTATATTTATTTATTTAGGCCAGGGATTGGCTCTCTTCTGTAAAGGGCCAGATAGTAAATGTTACAGGTTTTGCAGGCCATACTATTTCTTTGCAATTACTCAGCTCTGCTGTTGTAGTGCAAAGGCAGCCATGGACAATACGTAAATGTCTGGGCAGCTCATATTTGGCCCAGGAGCTGTAGTTTGCCAACCTCTATTCCAAAACTTTTAATTTTTATATGCAGCTTGAGCATAGGATAAGCATCGACTCCCAAAATGTTGGAAAGTTTGTAAAGAAAATAATGCAGAAATAAGAATGCACCTTGTAAAGAATGACTCCCTTGCAGTCTTTCCCATCAGTATCCACCCGCCATCAAGTCTTCTCTTCCTCCTTTGATGACTACGTAAACTCTCATTGCATTACACTTGATGAGCAAACTGCATTTATTTACTCTCCGATTGTTATTACTTACATAAACTCATTCTCATTGTTCAATGGATACATTTTTCTATCTGTGAGGATTATTTGAGTGTCTTGAGTTGGAAGGGAGAGCATCATAATTTATTCCCTAAAAATGTTTAAAAAAGATATGTTTTCATTTAACAGCTTTTCACTTGGGCTCGTGAAAAGTCCACAGCTCAGCAAGCATATGGCAGGCTTTCATTTTCAGGAAGAATGAAAGTTGTTAAGTGAGGGAGAGGTGCACAGGATAAAGCCATGTGCCACCTCCTCCTCTGGTTCTGAGACTCCTCTGCTATCACCAGGCAGAGCAATCTCTCCTTGTCCAGAGTTGTTACTTCCTTTGATAATCCAAGTAGGGCAAGGCCAGCTTCTTCTCACTTCGTGCTCTTATCCAACGTCATGAACATACATCCTTCCCCTTTTACAAGGGGCTGCAATTCCAGATTGCAAGAGAGAATTTTTTTTTAAATTTTAAGTTCTGAGGTACATGTGCAGGGTGTGCAGTTTTGTTACATAGGTAAACGTGTGCCATGGTGGTTTGCTGCACCTATCAACCCATCACATAGGTATTAAGCCCAGCATGCATTAGCTATTTTTCCTAATGCTCTCCCTCCCCCTACCCCACCCCACCCCACCCCATGACAGGCCCCAGTGTGTGCAACAGAGAATTATAATGCAATTTATGGGTAAAGAAAGGACCAGTTATGGGTTAGCTAATGGTTAGGTCATACACTTGAAAGTTTCCTCTCTAAGTTATTAGACCTCATTAAAATTCATACTCAGCTACTATATGATTATCAGTATAACTCTTCAACAATGAGTATACTGGGAATTTGCAAGTATAATACTATGGCAAATTCATTATTTAAGGGATGTTTATGTTGAATCATAAATGCAAAAGATTTTTTAATAAGCCCATTTAAGTCCACAAATATTTTTTGAATGCCCAATTTGTGCTAGGCACTGGAAATCCATTGCATCTGAACAAAGACACTGTTACTACCTCCAAGAAGCCTACGGTTTAGTGAAGAATTCCTTGCTTTAATTACAGTGTAGAGTAAAAAAATCCTTATATTAGAATAGGTTAAAGGCAGACATATTTGTTCTTAAATCTATCCCGATTCCTCTATTATATGCTCATATTTACCCATCTAATTTGTTTTGTAAATATTCCTTTCATGTTCCAGCTCTGGTTTTTGATCTTCTCCTTTCCTTCCTATTTCCTTGGGATCTACAAGTTCCTTAATAATCAAATAGGGGCTATGTTAGTTAAAGCTTTTTTTAGTTGCAAGTGACAGAAACCCAACTCAACCTGGCTCAAGCCACAAAAAGGGATATTTAGTGGCTTACACAAGTGAACTGTCAAAGGGGGTAGGGCTTTTTTCAGGCTCAACTGGATCCAGGGGCTCAGATAATGACATCAAGACTCAATCTCTGTCTTTTCATTTCTCTATATGTTATATATATATTTTTTCCTGTTTTAGCTTTTTCAACATGGTAACCCCATGCAGCTTTATTTTACATTGTCTTCACAACACCCAATCGTACAGATGAAGAAGTTCTCTGTACTGAAGTGTGTGGTTTTTGTTTGTTAAAGTTTAGATTGAATCAATCACCTTGACTAAGGGGAGGAAAATATTTTGGCCAGATCTGGTTCACAGATGGTCATGGGCTGAATTGTGTCCCCTCAAAATTTATATGTTGAAGCTTAACCCCTAATACTTCAGAATGTGACTGTATTTGGAGATGGGGTCTTTAAAGAGGGATTAAGGTTAAAACAAAGTCACTAGAGTGGGCCCTAATCCATTATGACTGTTGTTATTAGAAGAGGTGATTAGAACACAGACAAGTATAGAAGAAAAACCTAGTGAAAACACAAGAAGAAGGCGGCCGTCTGCAAGCCAAAGAGAGAAGCCTCAGCCTCAGAGGAAGCCAACCCTGCTGACACCTTGATCTCCAACTTCCAGGCTCCAGCACTATGAGAAAATAAATTTCTTTACTTTGGGAGGCTGAGGTGGGTGGATCACTTGAGGCCAGGAGTTCTAGACCAGCCCAGTCAACATGGTGAAACCCTTTCTCTATTAAAAATACAAAGATTAGTCGGGTGTGGTGATGCACCCCTGTAATCCCAGCTACTTAGGAGGCTGAGGCACAAGAATCACTTGAACCTGAGAGATGGAGGTTGTAGTGAGCCGAGATTGTGCCACTGCACTTCAGCCTGGGCGACAGAGCAAGACTCTGTCTTGAAAAAAAAAAATTACATTTCAGCTGTTTAAACCACCCAATCTGTGTTACCTTGTTATGGCAGCCTTAGCAATCTAATACACAGGTCCTGCTCTGGAACTGACGGTGGTTTTATTTAGGTCCCACTTGAACTAGTCTATGAGTAGAAGGGGAGTGGTTCCCTAAAGGAAAACCAAGAGACTCTTACCATAAGGAAGAATAAAGGGTGCTGGTAGAAAAAAAATGACAGTGTCCACCGCTGGGTTAGAGTCATAATAATTATCGAACACCCATTATCTGTTGGGCTTGAAAGCACCTTATACTTAATACAACAACCCCATGAGGGCGATACTATTATTTTCCACACTTAATAGGTGTGAAAACTGAGGCACACACAGGTTAAGCGACTTACCAAAGGTCAGGCAGTCAGTAAGTAGCAGAGCCAAGATTGACATCCACACCTGTCTGGCTCTAGAACCTCCTCTTTTTATTGCTATACTCTTGAGAGCCAATGATGGTTAGCTTTGGATCCTATAGCTCTTTTTTCCCCAAGATTGAAAAAGCTCTGGCATGAGGCATGGGAAGGATGTGTTTCATGTTAATTAAGGAAAATTCACAGTCTGCAGAATTCACAAGTTTGTTTTGGAGCTGTGTCTGATCTAAGCAAGCCTTTGACTGATTTGAGTTAATTAGCATTGCAGAACATGAAGTAATTGCTGTTGTTCCTCAAAATTGGGGGTGGGGAGATACTCAGTGACTTGTAACCACGCCAGCCCTGATTCCTAAGTCTAAGGCTCAGAACTTCAAATCCTCTGCTAGGAGATGAGTTGGAGAAATTCATCAATTACTCTGTCTCTTGTGTGTTTACTATGTTTTCTGTCACACGATTACCAAGGCAAACCTCCTACCTTCCTGAATCAGTGGGCTAAAGTCTACAACTGAGTAGAGGACCTGTCCTGAATTTTATAAACAGGATTTCCAGTTGGAAGCATGTAAGCTTGGGAAACAAATTCAGAAAATATCAGACCCATACATGGTCATCATAACTTTTCCAAGTGGGTCTGATATTTATTTTGAAATCATCTTGTGACCCTATTTGTAAATCCTGATTGTTTTTGGCAGGATTTGTTGGTTGCAAGAAAGCACAATCTATGCAAGCTCGTTCAAAAACAAAATTTAAGGGGCTCTTGTTATTGAGTACTTATCATCTGAGTCCTTGTAGCTGTGAAGTTGTGTAGAGAAGCGAAAGTTGTTGACTAGGAGTGGTGGCTCATGCCTGGAATCCTGCTACCAGAAATGGGTCTAGATCCAGACCCTAACAGAGGGTTCTTGGCTCTCATGCAAGGAAGAATTGGGGGGGAGTCCACAGAGTAAAGTAAAAACAAGTTTATTAAGCAATAAAGAAATAAAAGAATAGCTTCTTCCTAGGCCGAGCAGCCCCGAGGGCTGCTGGTGGCTATTTTTATGGTCATATGCTAAACAAGGAGTGGATTATTCATGAGTTTTCTAGGAAAGGGGCAGGGATTTCCTGGAAATGAGGGTTCCTATTCCTTTTTTTTCTTTTTTTTCTTTTTTTTGTCACCCAGGCTGCAGTTCAGTGGCGCGATCTCGGCTCACTGCAACCTCCGCCTCCCAGGTTCAAGCAATTCTCCTGCCTCAGCCTCCTGAGTAGCTGGGATTATAGGCACGCGCCACCACGCCCGGCTAATTTTTGTATTTTTAGTAGAGATGGGGTTTCACTGTGTTGGTCAGGCTGGTCTCAATCTCCTGACCTTGTGATCCGCCTGTTCCTTTTAGACTATGTAGGGTAACTTCTAGATGTTGCCTTTGTAACTTGTAGATGTAATGCATTTGTAAACTATCATGGTGCTGGTAGGAGTGTCTTTTAGCATGCTAATGTATTATAATTGGTGTATAATGAGTGGTGAAGATGACCAGAGGTCATTTTTGTTAGTATCTTGGTTTTGGCCAGGTTACTTCTTTACTGCATCCTGTTTTATCACCAGGGTCTTTGTGACCTGTATCTTGTGATACCATTCCTGCTGACCACCTATCTCATCCTGTAACTAAGAATGCCTAACCTCCTGGGAATGCAGCCCAGCAGATCTCAGCGTCATTTAGTTCGAATGCCTCTGACAATCCCAGTACTTTGAGAGGCCGAGGAGGGAGGATTGCTTGAGGCCAGGAGTTCCAGACAAGCCTGGGCAACATAGAATGACCTCATCTTTAAAAATAAAAAAGAAACATCAGTCAGGCATGCTGGCATGTGCCTGTAGTTCCTGCTACTTGGGAGGCTGAGGGAAGAGGATTATTTGAGCCCAGGAGTTCGAGGCTACAGTGAGCTCTGATCATGCCACTCCACTCCAGCCTGAATGATGGAGCGAGACCCTTTCTTAAAAAAAAATAAGGCCCAGCATGGCGGCTCACACCTGTAATCCCAACACTTTGGGAGGCCAAGGCAGGCAGATCACCTGAGCTCAGGAGTTCAAGACCAGCCTGGCCAACATGGTGAAACCCTGTCTTTACTACAAATTCAAAAATTAGTCAGGCGTGGTGGCAGGCGCTTGTAATCCCAGCTACTCAGGAGGCTGAGGCAGGAGAATCGCTTGAACCTGGGAGGCGGAGGTTGCAGTGAGCCGAGATCATGCTACTGCACTCCAGCCTGGGTGACAAAAGTGAGACTTCATCTCAAAAAATAAATAAAATAAAATAAAAGTTGTTATATAATGTTTTTCAATAATTACACAATTTGAACTATGAAAAATTTTAATAATTAAATGACCCTCCCTACTTAACATTAGTATGAAGGCTTTTCCTTTTTTTTTTTAAATTTTACTTTAAGTTCTGAGATACATGTGCAGAACGTGCAGGTTTGTTACCTAGATATACATGTGCCATGGTGGTTTGCTGTACCTATTGACCTGTTCCCTCCCCTCACCCCCCACCCGCTGACAGGCCCCCATGTGTGTTGCTCCCCTCCCTGTGTCCATGTCTTTGCATTGTTCAACTCCCACTTATGAGTGAGAACATGTGGTGTTCAGTTTTCTGTTCCTGTGTTACTTTGCTAGCATGAAGCCTTTTCTACTAAATCAATTTCCTCGTGACTCCATCTCTCAAAGGCCCCCCCAAATTTTGAATGCCCGTCACATGTCCTTGCATGGATTGCTGTTTCTTACAACCAATGGGTCCTGTCAAAGAGAATCAGTCTCTTACTAACTGTCTGACCCTCTGGTGCATGTACAATATAAGCCAACTGCAAATGTGTAATTGAAAATCTTGTCCAAGATGTAGGATTCCATGAAGCTGATGAAAGTGATGTTAAAACATGCTTAAAAAACAGACACAATCACAGATGACCCCTGAGAATCCAGCAGCATTGGAAGAATCAGTGCTGATATTCAGCCTGAATCTGCACGTTCAGCCATGTAGGTTGTCGTGGTGACTGTTCTGAGAATTGTTCAGTGCCTGTATCATACTGGTTATTCAATATTTTGAATACTATCCCAAGAAGAGTTAACAGTTGAAGAAAAAAAAATGACAAGGAAAATGACTCAGTGAACACTTCAAAAGAGAAATATGTAAATATCAAAAGATTCAAGACAGCCTTAGGAAAAATTGGTAAAGCCCTTTAATATTTTTTTTAAATGACCTTTTTGTTATATGCTATGGAAGCCAAACCTGAAGTGAAGGATTTTGTCAGAAAAATTACAACAACAAAAAAAATCACTGCTTAATTCATTTTCTGTTCCTTAAAGAATTCATGCACAGTTGAAATGGTCACCTAGATTTTGTTATTTTGATAGGATATAGTTTTATTTTTTTAAGATCACATTTCCAATCAAGTCCCTTCTCTCTTCTACAGTTTGCTATGAAAATTTGGGCTCAGTATTGAGTCATTTTATTTAAAAACTTTTTTTTTTAATTAAAAACTTTTTTTTCTTCCATGGATCAGGTGTTCCATTTTAAAGAGCCACTTTAAATGTCTTTCTTCCAGCAGGGGCTGCAGAGTCTTCCCCTTCTGCTTTTTGTCTTGCTGGCTCCATTTCTCTGCCTCCCTCTTCACATTTATGCTCTCTGCTCACTCATGAGCCATAATGATGACTGGTCCCTCCCTAGCCATAGGTTATTGGATTGGGGGTGGGCCATGACCCAAGAGCATCTATTCCACAGGCTGGCCAAGGACTAGACTTGATAAAAACGACATGAGACTGAACCAATCAGACTCATTCTCAAGACTCTCTAAAGAACATGGTCAGAGTTAGCTAGATACCACGATGACCCTGATAGTAAAATGACACAACAATGCTCTTGTCATTTTGGGTCAAGAGCAAGCTTCAGGAGCAAAACTGAGTAACCCAGCAGAACCAAGATGTTAATCAGGCCCTAGAGTTCTCACCCAATGCTCTTCTTCTGTGTCATATGTGTTGGGTACTCTTCTCCTGGTGACAATATTGCAAATTTTCTCCATCCATGTAATATGGTAGAACCGATCTTATCCTTAGATTAGGGTCATCATGTGACCTAGTCCTGGACAATCAGCTCATTATGTGCCCTTAGCCATAATGATTAGTTATGAAATGAGCATGTTGCCTAACTTAAGCCCGTAACAGTCAGATGAAGGACTTTTGTTTAAATTTGTTAGAGAAAGAGAACCTAGGAGGATGTACATCTGAAACTACTAGCAGTCATTTGTTAAGAAATAAAGCAACTTGGAGGACATCAGGACCAAGAGGTAGGTGGAAAATAAATCCTGTTGGATCAAACTATGTCTGAAAACAGCTACTGCCACAGACTTCTAGCCAACATTTCTCTCTTTGCCTAAGCTGGTTTGAATTGGGCTTTATGTTGCTTGTTACGAAAAGAGCCACAACCAACACAACATGCTTATTTGATTATGATAATAATAATAATAATCCCTTTTAACCATTCCAAGATATGTTTTTAGCCATATTTCCCTCTGATTCTCTTAACAACATTGTGATGCAGACAGGGCAAGGGTTATCATCTTGATGAAGATTACTGCCAGATGTAGGGAGCTACAGTGATGCTTTCTCAAGCACTTGGAAAACACAAGGAGTAAAGATTGCCATCTGAGGGTTAAACCATGAAGTTAATATAGATCAGAGCAGAGTAATGCAAAGACACCTTAAAGAGACAGGATGGCTCCCAGGCTTGCAAGACTTGGCTGTCATGCAGTCAAATGTATTAACATATTTAAAGAGATACTGTGTCCACCATGGAAGCCCAGAGAACAGAGAGTTGCAAGGCAGCTTGTCCAATAGAGGAGTCTCAGTCTTTGAATATTTCTTGTTCCAGTGGCAAGACTAGATCTAGAGACATGCTTTCAGCTACAAGTCATATAAAAGCAGATTGGTAACAGCAGTCAATTAAAGGTGGCTGAAACTTCTTTGCCACACCTCCCATTGTGAGGTGGTCTCCTTCCTTTCACCTTGAATCTGGGCTTACTCTCTGACTTACTTTTAAAAATAGAAAGAAGCAGAAGCAATGCTGTATCATTTCCAAGGCTGAGCTGCAAAAGATTTGCAACTCCCACTTTTGCACACTTTGAAAACTCCCTTTTGGAATCCAACTGCCATGCTGTGAGAAGCCTAAGCCATATAGAGTGAGCTCTCAGCTAACTGTCAGCACCAATTGCCAACCATGTGAATGAGCTATTTTGGATATTCTGGACATTCTGGCTCCATTGAGCCTCCAGTTGACTCCCAGTCAACACCCTGTGGAACAGAATAACCACCTAGCTGAGCCCAGTCAACTCATAGAATAATGAGAGATAATAAATGGCTTAAACCACTGGGTTTTTGGGTGACTTTAATGGTGCGACAGATAACTGAGATAACAGTGGCTTAAACAACAAAGACATTTAATGGTCTTCTTTAATTGGAAGCCTGGATGCTGGAAAATTCAGGTTTGGTGCAGTAGATCAACAATGTCATCTATTGTCTGTACTCTTTCTTCTATTCCATTCTGCAATTCTTAGCACACTGGCTTTTTATCCTCCTTATGATATCATGTCATGGTGGCAAGAAGGCTGCTGCATCTCCAGGTATCACATCCATATTTAAAGCAGAAAAAAGGGAAAGGGGTAGTGCCAGTGAGGCACTACCTCTGTTCACTTCATCAGGAAGCTGAATGTCTTTACAGAAGCCCCTAGGATAATTTGACATTATATCTCATTGGCCAGATGTGACCATCCTTCTTAGCAGGGAAAGTGAGTCAGTTTTTCTAATCTCTATAGTGTGAAGCAGCCATGGGAAGCGAGATTGGCAATGGCCTTTTGGTAGCGACCAAAAGTCTCTAGTTTTGGTAGCAACCAAAAATCTCTGCCATAAGATAAATGCAGGCTGACTTGTGATAGTTATTATCCCATTTGAACTATCCTTTCCATAAGATGCTTGCTCCTAGCCATTTCACTCTAGTGCCACTAAACATTCAATGAATGCATCCATCACTCTTTATCCCAATTTTATTAATCAGAAATCCACATATTATTTATTTCTCCAGGTTGGTCTTCTTACTAGGAGAAAAAGTGCTGGTTGTGTAAACTTTCTGAACCAGTCTATTTCTACAACAGTCATTTCTCTCTCTCCCCTCCCTTCTCTCTCTCTCTCTCTTTAAGAGATAAAGTCTCATTCTGTTGCCCAGGCTGGAGTTCGGGGGCACAATTACAGCTCACTGCAACCTCCTGGGCTCAAGCAATCCTCCTGCGTCAGCCTCCCAAGTAGCTGGGATACAGGTGTGCACCACCATGTCCAGGTAATTTTAAATTTTTTTGTAGAGATGTGGGTCTTGCTAGGCTGGGAGTATTGCCTAGGCTGTTCTTGAACTCCTGGCCTCAAGAGATCCTCCCACCTCAGCCTCCCAAAGTGTTGGGATTATAGGCATGAGCCACTGCACCCAGCCATTTCTCTTTATAAATGAATAAATTGCCATCTGGTTTATACTTCAGTATTAAGGTACGGCTAATGTGAGTCTAATTCTGAGTTAATACCACTCTTAGTGTGTTGAAAAAGTCAAGTCTTAATATTTGTAAGGATCTGGTTAAAGTCATCTAATCTTCATGCTGTCATATGAATCTTTTTGGGAGACAGCTTGCTGGTTCTTTCTTTTGGTGGAGACAACTGACGGCTGAGAGAAAACACTGAATTTGCTAGAGATGAGAATTAATCGAGCTGAATAGTCATTTGTCCTGCTCCCTGCCCTCTTGAATACACAGAAACTCTGATGACTTTAGGATCTTGGAGATGTTTGACCTCATGTTCCATATCTTATAATTCTACTCTGATTTTGAACAATCTGCCCATTAACCTCAGGAGTCAGTGTCATGGCTAAGAACATCGGCTTGGGCTTGTCTCCCAGCTCTACCCCATGTTGACTGTGTGACCTTGGGCAAATGTTTTCCCCTCTCTGAGCCTCAGTTTCCTCATCTGTAAAATGGAGACAATATTCAGACCTCTACCTTGCAAAGCTGCTGTCAGGATTGATAGCTTTGATGTATGCAATGTGCTTGGCAGAGTATCTGGCTGGAGCTAGTGCTCACTAAGGGAAAGGTATTTTTATTTTTATAGACCTTGGCCGGGCGCAGTGGCTCATGCCTGTAATCCCAGCACTTTGGGAGGCCAAGGCGGGTGGATCACCTGAGCTCAGGAGTTAGAGACCAGCCTGGGCAACATGGTGAAACCCCATCTCTACTAAAAATACAAAAAATTAGCTGGGCGTGGTGGTGCATGCCTGTAGTCCCAGCCACTGGGAAGCTAAGGCAGGAGAACCACTTGAACCCAGGAGGTGGAGGTTGTAGTGAGCCGAGATCACGCCACTGCACTCCAGCCTGGGTGACAGAGCAAGACTCCATCTCAATAATAAATAAATAAATAAATGAATAAACATTTTTGCAGACCTTGTATCTCAAACTGGAGGTCAGAAAACCTGGTCACCCAGAGTCTCACTGTCTTCATCCTTAAAGGCCCTATTCATGCATTCTATAATTATTCAGTGAATGTCAATGGTGCACAAAACACTGCACTCTTCATTGAAGGGGATAAAAGAAAAGAAATGTAAGACATGCCCCCTGGGCTCAGGGAAGGTATAACTTGGTTGGACAGGCAATATATAAAAACATGAAATGGTTACATAACCGAGCGCAGCAGATCAAGATGACGGAGTAGCCAGGAGTACAATGAAGCCTGCTTCAGCACCATTGTCCTGTCCTCTTGTAGTGGAACTAGCAGTGGACTTGAAGTCAGACAGCCTTCCCTGGACACTCCACACCCCAGGCTGGGTTAGAGACCATCTATTGTCCCTGGGTATTCCCTTTGGCAGTGCTCACCATGTTTAAATGCAACTGCCTGTTTACTGGTGAGTCTCCCCTATTAAATTGGCAGCAATGGCAGGCAGGCACTCATTTGTTTATTCACTCATTGAGCAAATATTTATTGGGCACCTGCTGCATGCCAAATGCTGTTGTAGGCAATGAGAACAACACAGTCATAGCCTATGTCCCTGGAAAAATCACAGTCTCAGGATGCAGAAATATGGTAAACAGGGAAATACATAGATATGTACATATATACAATGTCAGGTGGCGCTAAGTCCTAGGAAGAAATATAAAGCAGGGTAAGGAATGTTGTAGACATGGAGATGCGTTACCCACAGCCTCTCCAAGGGAGGTCTTGCTGTCCAGCTGTGGGGAGTGTGGTCAGCAGGCTGCCTCCACCTGTTTTCTCCTTCAGGGTCTGCCTCGGCTGCGGAGAGCCACCTTGCTCAAGCTTCTGTCTGTCCCAGGGCAATCTACATCCTGTGACTTAAGTGAGGTGGGGATATAAAAGTACAGTCATTTTAGCCTGACACAGGACAACGATGGACAGCATTCTCTGCAGAGCTCCTTGCCAGGGTGGATGAGGCTTTGTGGAGCCTAAAATGGTGTATCTCCCCCTCTGCCCAATCCTGCTTCTTCCCCTTTTGCTTTCACAGGGTCTGATTTCTAGAGAACCTCTTAGACCCCACACCCCATCCCTGTTTGCTTCAGGAGAACCTGATCTGTTAGAAGGCAATGGAGCATGATTACATGGGACTTGTGGGGAGGGTTGGCATCTTGGATAAGATGGCCAGGGAAGGCCACTTTGAGAAGGTGATGTTTGAGCAGAGACCAGGAGATGAGGGAGTCAGCTGTACTAAGGTCTGGAGGAACTGTGTTCCAGGCACCAGGTACAGCAAATCCCAAAGCACTGAGATAGGAATGTACTTGGCGCATTTGAGCATCATCAGCAAGGCAGCCTGGTGGGCTGAAGTGCAGGGATGGGGGCAGACTGTTAGAATGTGGATGAAAAGGCAGCCAGAAGGTCACACACACATGGGCATCTCCACCTTGTATCCCTAGTGCATATGGTAGGTGCTCAATAAATGTCTGCCGAACCTAACTGCGTTCTCATTCCAGCTCCTTTCTCCTCTGTGTGACCTTGGACAGGTGGTTACTTAACCTTTCAGTGCCTCAGTTTCTCCACCTGTAGTCAGCAGCAGAGGTGGGACTCCTGAGCTCTGATTTAGAGCTCTTGCTGCCATATTATTTTCTCTCCTTGCAAACTCTCTTCTCTCTCCCTCCAGAGATTTGGAGCACACCTGGTCCCACCCCCAGACTCTCAGCAGATGGTTCCCACTAGAAAGGTGGATGCTCTTGGCAGCTCAGCCCCACATCCTGGACCTCCTAAGCTGAGAAGCAGCTGCATCAGGGTGGTGGGTGGGGGAGGTGGCAGAGCTGGGAGGGAAAGTTAGATTTTTCTTCTCTGATGATAAATAAACCCGATTAAGGTGTCCCCACACCCGTGGGGCAGGGTGCTCCGTTGGTGGTCCTTATTGCTTTGATAAAAACTGCAATATCTGAAAATTGTCTCAGGCACCTAAGAACTCCTATTTTATGACTTGCACGTGCCTGGAATAAATTGCTTTTGCTGCCTTGTTATATATAATTCAGATCCTTATGGATGCGGGTGGGATGCATAACGCTCCTGTAATGATTTATTCATTGGCAGAGGGGAAGCAGAGTGCACCCACTGGGTTCTGCCCAGCCTGTCTGACAGCTCGCAAGGTTGGTGTTGCAGGCATATGTTGGATTAGCCTTGAGAAGGAGGAGCCAGTCTGGGCTCTTTAGCTTTCCTGGAACACAGTCCTGGCTGGGTAGGGGCCACTTGTCAGTACAAGGCTTTCTTTAAGGCAGTCACTAGCTGAGTGAGGGGCTTTGCAAGTGTGATTTGAAGCTTCCTCCTTGCCAGCTTGGATACTTGCATCCCCATTTTACTGATGAGGAAATGAGGATCAGAGAAGTTACGTGACTTGCCCAAGGTCACCCAGCCAGCCCAGCAGTAATGGGATTTTCATATCAGATGGATTGGCCTCCACTTGCCCATTTGCCCCTGAGCCAGGTGCTTAACACACATGAACTCACTTCCTCTTTGGTACCACCTGGGGAGGTACAGATGATTTATTTCTCATTTTCTAGACAAGGAAATGAAGATCAGAGAGGTGAAGGGGCTGCCCAGGTTCACCCCTCTAGAAATGGAATGCCTGGGATTTTAACTGAGGCAGGTCAACAGTCATTCATTCATTCCTGTGTTCATTCATTCAATTCATTCAACCTCTCCATGCCTCAGTTTCCTCCTTTGTCAACTGGGGATAATGTTAGTACCTACCTTGTAGGATTGTTGTGAGGATTAAATGAGGGATTAAAAAATGAATTAACACAAGTAAAGTGCATAGAATTAACACAAGTAAAGTGCATAGAACAAGTAAAGTGTCTGGCCCCAGAAAAGTATACAATAGATTTTAGCTGCAATAATAATTATTTTATCATTCACTTATTCTTTCTTTTATTCCACAGGTATTTTCGGTAGCCTACTATGTGTCAGGTACTTTCTTAGGAGTATTGCACATGAGCTCATTTTTATTCTCACTACTGCCTTCATCTCATAAATGAGGAAACACCTCCTAGAAATGAAATAAATTGAGGGTGTTCCCCTGGTTAGGAGGTTTGTTCCATTTTCCAAAGTAGATGAACATTCATTCACACATTTATTCATTTGTTCATTTGATATACTTTTATTAAGAATATATTATGTGTGGTGTAGGTGCTTCACTCATTTTTGTTGATTAAATGCATGAATGAACACAATGGGGGACAAGGCTGGTCCCAGTTCTCAAAGCACTTATGATTTCTTGCATGGGATATGAACAAGTAGACAGGAAATGACCACACTTCATGAATTCTACAGTGTACTTTTTTTTTCACTTATTAACTTCTTTGAAATTGGGATGCATTTTGCAATTGAAGGTGTTGTAAGATCACCGTAGGCTAGTAGTGGTTAGGATGAGGTTGGTCTTTCTGGGAGAGAACAGTGAAGCTATCTTTTAAGAATTCTTGTGGCCAGGCATGGTGGCTCCGCTTATAATCCCAGCACTTTGGGAGGCCAAGGCGAGCAGATCACTTGAGGTGAGGAGTTTGAGACCAGCCTGACCAACATGGTGAAAACCCAACTCTACTAAGAGTACAAAAATTAGCCTGGTGTGGTGGCGGGTGACTATAATCCTCACTACTCGGGAGGCTGAGGCAGGAGTATCACTTGAATCTGGGAGGTAGAGGTTGCAGTGAGCCGAGATCACGCTACTGCACTCTAGCCTGGGTGACAGAGTGTCTCTATCTCAAAAAAAAAAAAAAAAAAAAAAAAGAATTCTTGTATTTTCAAGTGTTTTTTTTTTGCATGTTTCTTTGAGATAGTCTTGCTTGGTTGCCCAGACTGGAATGCAGCGGTACAATCATAGCTCACTGCAGCCCCAATATTCTGGGCTCATGTTATCCTCCCGTCTCAGCCTCCTGAGTGGCTAGGACTATGTGCACATGCTACCATGCCTGGCTAATTTTAATTTTTTTTTTTTTTTTTTTTGTAGAGACAGAGTCTCCCTATGTTGCCCTGGCTGGTCTGGAACTCCTGGCCTCAAGTGATACTATTTCCTTGGCCTCCCAAAGAGATTATAGGCATGAGCCAACACACCCAGCCTCTTTAATGTTCTTAATGGCACAGTGGAGAATATCTTGTAGGAAAACGTGGACACTGGCAACCATGATTTTAAAAATCATTTAGAAGATACAGACTTTGTACTGAAGACATTTTTGGAATATCTTAGTTAATGTATTTTACTTGTCTTTTCTTTTTTCAAAAAAAAAAGTATGTGCAGAGTGATATGTGATTAAAATTGATGTCTAAATAACTCTAAAAGTGCTTTTTAAATAACACAAACAAAAATTCTAAGCGATAAGAAAGCACTGTGACTCCTAGGTATACCCAAGAGACTTGAAGACATATGTCTGCATAAAACACATGTACACGAATGTTCATAACAATAGCAAAAAATGTGAAAACAACCAAATATCCATCAACTGATGAATGGATAAACAAAATGTGATCTATCCATATGGCAGAATATTATTTGACCATAAAGGGTCATGAAGTATGCATACATGCTACAACATGGATAAGCCTTGAAAATGTTATGCTAAGTGAAAGTGCTGATCATAACCCTGAAAAACACAATCCCAAACACCATAATCTCGAACGTTGAAATCCTTAAAGATCAAAATTTCTAAAGATCAAAATCCCTGAAGTCTAAAACCCCCAAAATCACAGTTATTGCGATTTTGGTTGCATGCAGGATAGCTGTATCATGTTAGTTGCATCATGTCAGGTGGAAGTGTTACCTAGTTATGGTCTTTTCTTTTTTTTTTTTTTTTGGAAATTAAGTATGTTTTAAGGTGATATGTATGGGTACCAAGTTGACAAGGGTGGACTTGTGGACGTAATTTGATCAAGCTTAACCTGGCCAAGTGTTCTTTTGGGTGTGTCAGTGAGGGTGTTTCCAGAACAGATTAATGTGTGAGTCTGAGTGGACTGGGGGGGATGATCTGTCCTCAATGATGGTTGACACCATCCAATTGGCTGAGGATCTGGCGAGAACAAACACAAAAGGTGAATTGATCTCTCTCTTCTGAGAGCTAGGACAGACTTTCCTTCTGCTGTTTTTGATCGGTCTCATCAATAGACTTAGGTTGCCCGTCATGGTATTTCAGATGATCACAAGTTATATAAAGAAATAGCTGGTCATAACATTTATATGGGTGTGACTGTCATTGGTATACTTGGTTTATGCTTGCAAAAATACATGTTATTATTGGTTATTTTATTGTGTCGTGTGGCCTATCAAGTGTTCTGTCATGTTTTTGTTTCTCAAATAAATCCCCTTTACAAATGTCAACAAATGTCTTTTAGAGAAATTAAAATTTTTTTTTTCAGAATTATATTTTCAAGATTTTGATATTTTGAGATTATGATTTTTGGGATTTTAGACTTTAGGGATTTTGATTTCTCCAGATTTCAACATGGTGTTGGGATTGTGGTGTTTGGGATTATATCTTATGGCCCAAAACCAAGAGAAAGAAGTCAGCCATATTAGTTCACATATTATATAACTTCATTCATGTGAAGACCCAGTATAGGAAAATCTGTAGAGACAGAACATAGATTAGTGGTTGCTTACGGCTGGGTGTCAGGGGTACAGGAGGGGTGGGAGGTGATAGGTGATAGCAGTAGGTACAAGATTTGTTTTAGAGTTGATGAAAATGTTCTAACATTGACTGTGGTGATGGTTTCTCAGCTCTGTGATTATACTAAAACACATGGAATTGTACCTTTTAAATGGGTGAATTGTATGGTATGTGAGTTACACATCAATAATGCTATTTTTAAAAAAGAAAAGCATGTGTCAGTCTTTTTTAGGGTTACACGCAATAATGATGGTGGCTTAGATTGGATGAAATACAGTATAATGTAACGTGGTCAGTGTTATGTTGGAGTAAAGGTGGGGCTGTGGAGGTGCTGGGGAGGCATCCAGGCCTGTCTGGGGGAACAGGGAAGGCTTCATGGAGGTGGTGGTGGTAGGACGATGTCAAAGCTGAAGCTGTGGGGATAAGAAAGAGTGAGAGTGAAACACAAGTGATCCAGCAAAGGCTGGGAGGTAAGAATCTGTTCTTTAAGGAGATGGCCTCTTCCCAATACAGACACCTGGCCTTACCCCTTGGACTTTGAGGGAAGTAAAGATGAGTGAGGTTGAGGTCTAGCAGCGAGGATAAATAATCTGTGCCTATTCTCCTAGGTTGGCATCTTCAAATAACACATCAGGTATGTTCAAAGGGAGGAATGAGAGAGGGAGGATGGGGAGTCACTCCTGGATGAGGTTTTAAAAAGCAGGAGGGTCGTGACAATTTCTGCACTGCTAGTGGGGGAATAAACAGCAGAGCCTCTCTGGAGGGCAATTAATTTGGCGAAGGGCTGACCCTTTCCAGCCATTCCACAACCATGCTTTTGTCCTAAGGAAATACTTATGGCGATTCCCAGCTGTCTATTCACAAGGATGTTCTTCAACACGCCTGTAGAACAAACAGAAAATCATAGAATCAGTCTGAATACATGACAAGGGGCCTGTGGATTCTAGACACCACAGCACCATCACTAAAGGGTCAAGTGTGTTGGGTGAGGGCAGACCTGGATGTCAGGCAAACCTGACTTTAGGCAAACCCCGTGCAAGCCTCAGTTTCCCCATGTGTAAGATGGAGATGACCATAATGAAACTTACAGGGCTGAGGTAGGGATGAAATGAACAAAAACACAAGAAGCACTTAGAACAATGTGTAGTGCATGAATAGTAGCTTTATTGATTATTATTTCTTATGGAGCTAATAAAATGGATGTGCTTGGAGGTTATTAAATGATAGTGAAAGATAGTCAAGACTTATCATGAAATGAAAAAAAAGGAGGTTGAGAAGGGACCCCATTTTCATGGGTGGAGATATAGACATAATTTATTTTTCTTCTTAGTGCTTTTAAAAAAATTCCTAAAATTTCGAAGGGAACAAGAATGCATTGTGTGATCAGGGTGGGGGAACTTTGTTTTTCTAAAGAGATACTTTGAAGACATACATCTCACTGCAAGAGCACAAAGCATCTCCGAGCTCCGTTTTCCATTGGCCAAGGAGATCCTTTCTGAGGCTTCCCTGAGCAGGAGGGCTACAACCTGCAGTTTTGATGTGAGTTGGAACTCAGTGCAGGGTGTGTGATCTAAAAATAAGCAGAAAGACTCGAGTCAGTGGCTGCCCCAGTTTTTCCAGTTCTGACGAGGCACTTCGGTTAATAGAGATCAGAAGTTTTAAACCAGACAGGACGCGGTGGCTCACGCCTGTAATCCCAGTGTGTCCGGAATTGGTGGGTTCTTGGTCTCACTGACTTCAAGAACGAAGCCGCGGACCCTCGCGGTGAGTGTTACAGCTCTTAAGGTGGTGCGTCTGGAGTTTGTTCCTTCTGATGTTTGGATGTGTTAGGAGTTTCTTCCTTCTGGTGGGTTCGTGGTCTCACTGGCTCAGGAGTGAAGCTGCAGACCTTCGCAGTGAGTGTTACAGCTCTTAAGGCAGAGCGTCTGGAGTTGTGCGTTCTTCCCGGTGGGCTCGTGGTCTTGCTGGCTTCAGGAGTGAACCTGCAGATCTTCGCGGTGAGTGTTACAGCTCATAAAAGCAGTGTGGACCCAAAGAGTGAGCAGTACCAAGATTTAGAGCAAAAGAACAAAGCTTCCACAGTGTGGAAGGGGACCTGAGCGGGTTGCCACTGCTGGCTTGGGCAGCCTGCTTTTATTCTCTTATCTGGCCTCACCTACGTCCTGCTGATTGGTAGAGCCGAGTGGTCTGCTTTGACAGGGCGCTGATTGGTGCGTTTACAATCCTTGAGCTAGATACAAAGGTTCTCCACGTCCCCACTAGATTAGTTAGATACAGAGTATGGACACAAAGTTTCTCCAAGGCCCCACCAGAGCAGCTAGATACAGAGTGTCGACTGCTGCACTCACAAACCCTGAGCTAAACACAGGGTGCTGATTGGTGTGTTTACAAACCTTGAGCTAGATACAGAGTGCCCATTGGTGTATTTACAATCTCTGAGCTAAGGCCCCACCAGAGCAGCTAGATACAGAGTGTCCATTGGTGCACTCACAAACCTTGAGCTAAACACAGGGTGCTGATTGGTGTATTTACAATCCCTGAGCTAGATATAAAGGTTCTCCAAGGCCCCACCACACTCAGGAGCCCAGCTGGCTTCACCCGGTGGATCCCGCACCAGGGCTGCAGGTGGAGCTGCCTGCCAGTCCTGCGCCATGCGCTCGCACTCCTCAGCCCTTGGGTGGTCGATGGGACTGGGCGCTGTGGAGCAGGGGGCGGCGCTCGTCGGGGAGGCTCGGGCTGCACAGGAGCCCACGGAGGCGGGGGAAGGCTCAGGCATGGCGGGCTGCAGTCCCGAGGCCTGCCCCGCGGGAAGGCAGCTAAGGCCCGGCGAGAAATCGAGCACAGCGCCGGTGGGCCGGCACTGCTGCGGGACCCAGTACACCCTCCGCAGCCGCTGGCCCGGGTGCCAAGTCCCTCACTGCCCGGGGCCGGCAGGGCCGGCCGGCTGCTCCGAGTGCGGGGCCCGCCAAGCCCACACCCACCTGGAACTCTAGCTGGCCCGCAAGCGCCGCACGCAGCCCCGGTTCCCGCTCGCGCCTCTCCCTCCACACCTCCCTGCAAGCTGAGGGAGCCGGCTGTGGCCTTGGCCAGCCCAGAAAGGGGCTCCCATAGTGCAGCGGCGGGCTGAAGGACTCCTCAAGTGCCGCCAAAGTAGGAGCCCAGGCAGAGGAGGCGCCGAGAGTGGGCGAGGGCTGCGAGGACTGCCGGCACGCTATCACCTCTCACCAGCACTTTGGAAGGCCGAGGTGGGTGGATCACCTGAGGCCAGGAGCTCGAGACCAGCCTGGCAAATGTGAAACCCCGTCTCTACTAAAAATACAAAAATTAGGCTGGGCGCCGTGGCTTACGCCTGTAATCCCGGCACTTTGGGAGGCTAAGGCGGGTGGATTACCTGAGGTCAGGAGTTAGAGACCAGCCTGGCCAATGTGGAGAAACCCTATCTCTACTAAAAATAAAAAAATTAGCCGGGCATGGTGGCACACGCCTGTAATCCCAGCTACTCGGGAGGCTGAGGCAGGAGAATTGCTTGAACCCGGGAGGCGGAGGTTGCGGTAAAAAAAAAAAAAATTAGCTGGGCATGATGGTGGGCGCCTGTAATCCCAGCTACTTGGGAGGCTGAGGCATGAGAATCGCTTGAACCCAGGAGGTGGAGGTTGCAGTGAGCCAAGATCGTGCCACTGCACTCCAGCCTGGGTGACAGAGCAAGACTCCGTCTCAAAAAAAAAAAAAAAAAAAAAAGTTTTAAACCAAGCAGTGCTCCCGGCAGCTCCCTGGGATGAAGTGGAAGGAGTAGAGCTCCACTTCCTACCCTTTCCACCCATACCCTGCCCACAGCTGAGATCCAGGCCTTCCTGGTGCAGCTGGCTAGGGTGGCTGGGGTGGGGGAGCTGGACCTCACTGTCTGGACCTCACCATCTGGAACTCTTGCCAGTGATTTCCTTTACTCTGGGAAACTCCTGTCTCTTGGAGCTGTGTCTGCCTCAGGGTCAGCCCTGGTTTGTGGGACAGCCTTGGCTATGAGAGGGAGCACACTGCTCATAAGTTATGGGACAGAGCTGTCAGTGGCACCAGGAGGCCAATTTCTCTTCCAAGCTGCTCGGAGAGGAACCAGGGCTCAGACCTGTTGAGTTCATTCCCTTTTCTCTGTTTCCACTGCTGCTAGCCTGGCCCATTCTATCACCATTTTTTTTTCTTTTTGTATGTTTTTCTCCTTTTAAAATTAGGTGTAACACTACCATAAAGCCAAGCTGGATGAGTTTCACATATGAACACACTCATAGTATCACCACATAGATCAAGAGATAGAGCATTTCTCAGACCGCAGCAGGCTGTCTTGCGTCCTCTCTCAGTCGGTATTACCCCAAGGGTAACCACTCCCTGGCATCCATCACCATGGATTCATTCTGCCCATTTAGAACTTTCTGTAAATGGAATCAAATAGAATGTACTGCTTTGTGTCTGGCTTCTCCACATTATGTCTGGGAGATTGATTCATGTTCTTGGGGATAGTAGTAGCTTTTCCTTTTTCATTGCTGTGTAGCATTCCACTGTATGAATGGACAGCAATTTTTAAATATATTTTATGTTGATGGGCATAGGGATCGTTTCTAGTTTGTGGCTGTTATGAATAAGGCTGCTGTAGACATTTCTGTTGATGGACATAAGCCTTTATTTCTACTGTCATTTCTTGCATGGGCAACTGCAATAGTCTTTTCCCTAATATATTTTCCCCCTTTAATCTATTTTGTGCATAGCTTTCAGAGTGATTTTTTTTTGGAGACAGGGTCTTGCTCTTTCACCCAGGCTAAAGTGCGGTGGTGCAATCATAGCGCACTGTAACCTTGAACTCCTGGGCTCAAGTGATCCTCTCACATCAGCCTCCTGAGTAGCTGAGATTACAGGTGTGAGCCATTGTACCTGGCCCAGAGTGATCTTAAATAAAATTGTGTGAGTTAGTTGCATAAGCCTCTAAAGTCTCCCTATTGCCCTTAGGACAAGCCCCAAACTCTTTACTCTGCCTAAAATAACCCTGCACACTCTGGCCTCTGCCTGCCATTCTTGGTTTTTCTTGAAGCTCTCTCCCCTTCACTATGCCTCAGACACCCTGGCTCTTTCTGTCCTTTGGATATGCTATGCCTGTTCCCTGCATGCATCTTGGCACTAGCTGCTCCATCTTCCTGGAATTCCCTTCCCTAAACCTTCCCCAAGATTAATCTCTTCTGGTCACTTATGTCTTATCTTTAGCAAGGTCTTCCCTGACCAGCCCATCAGAAAGAGCCCCCAAAGTCATTCATTCTTGGTAGCATTTCTACCCTCTAATATTCTTGTCTTCCCTCACTATGAGAGCAGCGCACTTGTTTAACTTAATCTGTGACCCCAGTGACTAGTCTGGGGTCTGGCTTGTGAATGTTTGTTTGTTCAATGGCTGAATGAAGACATTAGTCATACTGTATTCATCCATTTTCACACTGCTATAAAGAAATACCTGAGACTGGGTAATTTATAAAGAAAGGAGGCTTAATTGACTCAAAATTCCACATGGCTGGGGAGGCCTCAGGAAACTTACAATCATGGCAGAAGGGGAAGCAGGCACCTTCTTCACAAGGCGGCAGGAGAGTGAGCGAGCACAGGGGAAATGCCAGATGCTTATATAACCATCATCTCTCATGAGAATTCCTTCAGTATCATGAGAACAGCATGGGGGAAACTGCCCTCGTGATCTAATTACTTCTCTCCCTTGACACATGGGGATTACAATTCAAGATGAGATTTGGCTGGGGACACAGAGCCAAACCATATCACAGATCCTTTTTTTTTTTTTAAAGGAAATAGTGTGGCCTAGTGTAGATGACCTTGGAGCTCAGTAATCAGTCCGCCTGAATGTGAGGTAACTCTCCATCTCTTACTAGCTGTCTGATCATAATCTCACCTCCTCGTGCCTAACTTTCCCCATTTGTACAATGGGGATCATAGATTGTTGCAGGCATCTGAGACCTACTCTTGCTGTTTATAGAATAGCCATTTTTCAGGGCAGCTGTACTATCCCTATTTTACAGACATAGAGGAAGAAAACATTGGTTGAATGAAGGTTCAGAGACTGCTTATATCACGCAGGTAAGAGTGGCAGCACCAGGACTTGAACCCAGGTCTGGCTGACCCTAGAGCCCATGCAGACGCCAGTGGGAAGCCTCAATGTGAGAATGAATTGAGATCCGAGGTTCTTGCTCGGATCAGGTTGGGTGGCCTGTTGAGTGTTTATATAATAATAGAATTCCACTACCATGTCCGTAGCTCTTAAAGGTTTATACAACAGTTCTACTTGGTTAACTCACTTGGCTCTCCCAGGAGACCTGGAAAACGGGCAGGGCCAATACAGACTCCTTTATTTTTTTTTCATATTAATTTATTTATGAGATGGAGTCTCTCTCACCCAGACTGGAGTCCAGTGGCATGATCTTGGCTCACTGCAACCTCTGCCTTCCAGGTTCAAGCAATTCTCCTGCCTCAGTCTCCCATGTAGCTGGGATTACAGGCACCTGCCACCATGCCTGGCTAATTTTTGTATTTTTAGTAGAGATGGGGTTTCACCATGTTGGCCAGGCTGGTCTTGAACTCCTGACCTCAAGTGATCTGCCCGCCTTGGCCTCCCAAAGTGCTGGGATTATAGGCATGGGCCACTGTGCCTGGCCGGGACTCCTTTATTTTACAGATGAGAGATCTGGGGATTCAAGACTTGCCCTGCATCACTCTTTGGCCCTCAAACCCACTGCTATTTCTGCTGCCAATAACTGCCAACACTCTGGCCATGCTATACAGTGGTTTCAGCATTTCCACACCTATTGTCTTGTAGCTCCCTGAATTGTAGGCTTTTGCATGTCACCTTTAATGTCTTTTTAAAAATCTGCTCTCTTAAAAGCCAAAACTGAAAACCAAAAAATGTGAGCCAATCCTAAGCAATAATATCAGTGAACTCATGGTTTGATATTCTTTCACCAAATATTTATTGAGCACGTAGTATGTACCTGACACTGTTTTAGGTACTGGGAGTACTTCAGTGCACCAGAAGAGAAAACCTCTGATCATAGAGTAAGGAGAGACACACAATGAATGAATTAATAAATGTATACAGTATTAGTTGGTGATATGTGATGTGAGGTAAAATAGAGCAGATGAAGGCAACAGGGTAATAACTATATACATAAATTTTCGGATGCACATGAAATCAATGCATACCTGTGAGAATAAAAATGTCCTTTCAGGTACCATCTGGATTTGTCTTATACCACCAGGATTATGTGAAATACATAGTGCCCTTTGGAAAACCTTCAAGCAGCCCCAGGAAGGTGGATCAGGTGGGAATACCCTTTATTTTTACTGAGCAAGAAACAGGTTCTGAGAAGTGCGGTGATTTTACCAGGCTTACGTAGCCAGAAGGTGCTAGAATTGGGCCCTCTGATTCCGTCTCCTGCCTCCGTCATTTTCTAAATTGGATACACATTCTACCCTGAAAGAGTTTAAACTTACAACTAACCTAATTTCCCCATGGAGCTGGACTGCCCATCCACATCTGACTTGGTGCTTAGCCTCACACGTGTGGACTGGTGGCATTTCCCAGCATCCTTGGACAGTAGGACGGGTTGCAATTGATCGCCCTGTTGCCTTTGCTCCCCTGACCAGCCTGAGCCACTGCCAGAGATAAACTTGCTAATATTTCAGGGTGGAGATAGCATCTTTCCAACTATCTTCCTTAATAAGCTTCCAGTCACTGGAGATGGTGATAACCTTATCTCCTTTTACAGATGTTCCTACCTGCCTCCCAGCTCCTCATTCAGTTGGTTTCCCCAGGGGCTAGAATCCCACCATCTATTCAGGGTGAAAAACAAAACAGGACTCCCTACTTACAGAATGGGCATTGGTAACATGCTGTTTCTTTGAAGAATGAGTGCCCCATTCAAAGACGTTGTCTTGTTTGGCCTCAAAATATCTTCCTCTCATGTGAGGTATCCAGGGTTGATCTATTTCACTTGGGAAATATGAAGCTCAGAGAGGCCAAGTGACCTGCCTAAGGTTGCACAGCATAGGTGGAGAATAGCCTTGAAATAAGATAGGCGGGGCCGGGCACGGTGGCTCATGACTGTATTCCCAGCACTTTGGGAGGCCGAGGCAGGTTGATCACCTGAGGTCAGGAGTTCAAGACCAGCCTGGCCAACATGGTGAAACCCCATATCTACTAAAAAATACAAAAATTAGCCGAGTGTGGTGGCAGGGGCCTGTAATCCCAGCTACTTGGGAGGCTGAGGCAGAGACAATTGCTTGAACCTGGGAGGCAGAGGTTGCAGTGAGCCAAGATCGCACCACTGCACTCCAGCCTGGGTGACAGAGTGAGACTCCATCTAAAAAAAAAAAAAAAGAGATAGGCAGGATAACCTCAGGGCTGTTATGAAGACAAAATTAACACCGGTTATGAAAAAGAGCCTGGCAACAAGATATTGCCAAATGTTAATGCGCTCACCCTCCTGGGTGAACCCCACTGTGTCAGGCCCAGAAATGGTACGCTGTTATGGTTATCTTTATTAATAGTAGTGGAATTGTCTTCAAATATGAAGGATTAGGAGATCACTGGGGTTTGTCATGTCTCCTGTGGTGATGCAGGAAATATCTGTTGATGGATTGAGAAGGCATCCCCAGCAAGGTCAGGAAAATAATAATCCTTGCTACCATTTATTAAGCACTAACCATACAGCAGTCATGGCACTAAGTACTCTATAAAAGTATTTTTTAAATTAAAATTATACAGACAATTTAGACCAGTGGTTCTCAACTGAGTTGAAGGAGGGCAATGCGTGGGGATATTTTTGCTTGTCACAGCTGAGGATTGGGGAGGGTTGCTCTCAGCCTCTGGTGGGCGGAGGCCAGCATCCTACATGGTCCAGGACAGCATCACACAACCCAAAATTATCTGTTTCCAAATCTCAATGGTGCCGAAGTTGAGAAATCGTAGTTTAGATTCAAATAGTTCTACAAAACACGTTGCATAACATAGCAGTTTCTCAGCCCCTATCTCCCTTTCCTCTCCTTAAAAGCAACCACTTTTGCCTACTTGGTGGGTTATTTTATTTACCTACACTTCTCTAGGTAGCCTGCTTTTTCTTGAGATTTCCTGATTACTCCATCCTGGACATGATCTATTGGCTTCTCACTATGAAAAGTGTGAAATTAGCTCTCCCTTCTCTGCCCCCAGCTGTTCCTGCCCATAGATAAGACCTCCCCCACCCCAGCCACAGCTACAGATCTGTGGTAATTTCTGTTGGATCAATATTCAGTGTTTACATTACTCTAACTGTAAACGATGTTTGCTATGAATGTTGCAGTCAACTCAGAAGACTTTTCCCTTGTACAAAACCTTTTGTTCTCTCTGAAGTTAATAATTGCCTTGTTTTTCCCTTGGCTTCATTTTCTATGTACTTTCTACTCACTCAACCCTCAAATCTATGCCAATTGTCTAAATCTCCTTTCAAGATATTCAGATCCATCAGGGAGAAAAATCTATCAAGTTGGCCTCTCAGAAGGAGTCTCTCCCAGAACAGGCTGTTTTGCAGGAATTGTTTTTATGTAAGACTCACAGCAAGCCTATTAAGCAGGTGTTATTATCATCATCATTTGACACCTGCGGAGTTGGTCCTCGGGAGGTCATTTGGGTGCTTAATATGACACAGCAAAATGTGGAGGAGTTGAGACTTGATCCCAGGACTGTGTGACCCCATAACCTTTGGATTCCTTATGTCCCAGAAGATCACTCTAGGAGAAAGCCCTTTTAAAATACCTCCTCTAGGTTGGGTGTGGTGGCTCACAGCTGTAATCCCCGCACTTTGGGAGGCCAAGGCGGGTGGATCACTTGAGGTCAGGAGTTTGAGACCAGCCTGATGAGCATGGTGAAACGCCATCTCTACTGAAAATACAAAAATTAGCCGGGCATGGTGGCGCACGCCTGTAGTCCCAGCTACTAAGGAGGCTGAGGTGGGAGAATCACTTGAAACCTGGGAGGTGGAGGTTGCAGTGAGCAGAGATCACACCACTGCACTCCAGCCTATGTAACAGAGTGAGATCTTGTCTTGGAAAAAACCAAAACCAAAACAAAACCTCCTCTAAGTAGACTGTGATCTGCCTCAATGAAACCATAGTAGCTTATTCATTTCTGTATCTGTAGCACCCACCACAGGGCCGGGCATCAGGCAGGACTCTGAGTACTACTTGTTGATGAATAAATGAAGAATTTGGAGAGGCAGTGAGAGGAGGGCACAGTGCTTCTCAATGGGGAATCAGAGGAGGTGGGGCGTGATCTAGGAACTGGGGGCAAGTTGTTTAACCTCACCAGCCTCAGTCTCCTTGTCTGTGAAATGGAGCTGAGAATATCTGTTTCACAGGGCTATTTGCATGCAGCCAGAAAAAGCAACTGCTCAGGAATCTGGAAGACATTGCACAGAAGATACAAGGGCACATTTGTGATTATGTATTTCTGTGAAGCTTCTCCTTTCCTTCTTCCCTTCCTTCTTTTCTTGTAAGTGAAACATGGTATAATTAATTTAGAAAGGAAAAAGAAATGCCTCATACTGGAGAAAAAGATATAACTCAAGCTAGTTCTAATATGATAAAATATTTATATTAACGTGTCATGAAAATGGATTTGCTCTTCTCTTGCCTGGTGTCATTAATGGGTAGATATGTAACATCTTATTTTCTTGCCTCTTTTTTTTTCTCTCTCTCTTCTAGCAATGTATAGATTCAAGTGAGTATGAGGAAACCATTTTTCATGAATGATAATAACAGAAGACATTTATTTAGTGCTTACTATGTGCCAGTCACAATTGCAAGCCCTTCTACGCATTCAGTCATTTAATTCAAACCATAACTCTAGGAGGTAGGTGCTGTCATGATTCCCATTTGACAGATAAGGAAACCTAGGCACACGCTGTCCACTGGTTCCCACTCATACATTCTGACTCCAAAGCCCTTGGCTGCTAACCACTCCCTTCTGCCATCTTTAGATGCTGTGCACCTTCAAATTTGCAGCTTTCAAATAGAGGCAAAGTGTCTTGTGGCTTTTTACTGGGGAAAGACACCTAATAGCCAAAGCCCTTTCAGCTTGCAGTAAGTAGATGTACCAAGAACTCTGAATTTCTGCAGTGTGGATTTTGGGTGATGATGTAGGTTTTCTAGCCAGGAATGGAGAAATCCCAGAAATTCATTTTCAGTAAGGTTTTCTGTCTTGGCGGTGCAACATTGGCACCAGCGCAACAATAGTGGATACAGGAGTCCCTGGAGAAGACCTGGGACAGTCAGTCCCTGTGAAGCCAGTTCTGCTGTTGTAGGAACACGCCTTCTTGGTTCTCAGACCTTTACTCCCTGGGATCTTCCTTCTCTGCCTTGCAGCTTTACTGTCAGCTCTTCCTAATTGTGAAGTGTGTGATCCCGTGAAGATCTCAGGATCACAATCAGGCTGTGGTGGAGCTCCCAGACCCACAGCTGCCCTGGGGGCGAACACATGCACAAATGCACATGCACACATACAGACACACACACAGACACAGACCCACATGTATATACATATATACATACATAAACATGCACAGATACAGACAGACATACAGAGACACACACAGACATGTATACACATAGACACAGGCATACATAGATACATATACATACACAGACATACAGACAGATACATCTACAGATAGAAACATACAGACACATAGAGAGGGACACACACACAGGCACACATAGACACATAGACACAGATACACACAGAAAGACACAGATACAGACATAAAAACATACACAGAAACACACAGATGCACAGACACACATGTATCTACATACAGCCACACACACAGATACACACATATACATACATATACAACTTACAAACATACACACACAGACACACACATATACATATGCAGACACATACACATATACATACACAGACACACAGAGACAAACACAGGCAGAAACATACAGACACACAGATACATACAGAAGGACTCATAGACACATGCATACAGACATACACAGATACAGAGACATACAGACACACACAAACAGACACACAGAAACCTACAGACACACACCCCTCTGCCCATTTGTTTCATTTACTGTCTGTTTAATCACAATATCCGCAGCCTTCAGTTTCAGGTACTGGCACATAGTAGGTGCTCAACAAGTGTCTGTTGGATGAATAAGCGCATTAGCGGTTCAATTATTCTCTCTTTGCCCTGTCCCTGAATATTCTGGTACTTGTTCTCTTGGCTTGCCTAGATGCAGTTGGAAAAGAGAACCAGAAGGGATTCCTGCAATCATTTCGGGTAGATGCCAAGCTCCTCAGCGTGGCTTGTAAAGTCCTTTGCGATGTGGCTCCTGCCAACTTCTCCTGTCTCATTCCCCAAAGCCCTCTGATGTGGCCAACGCCACTCTCAGTGGTTTTTAATCTTTTCCAAGACACAGATTTCTTAAGGAGCTGATAAAAGCTGTAGACCTTCTCCAATATGTAGTCACCTGCGCATTCAAACAATGTTCTGGATTTAATTTTTGGGGATCCCTAAGGCCTGTTTATGGATCTCCAAGGAGTACACAGGACCCAGGTTAAGAACCACTGTACTGTCATATTATTTGAGGGTACAGGGCTAGGGAAACCCAGAAAGGGAAAATGACTTGCCTAGGGTCATGGATGACAGAATTGGAACCGAGAACCCAGGTCTCTGGATCTCAAGTTCAGAACTTTCTCCCTTTCCTCATCCTGTGTTGATGAATGAATGCCATGTAATTAGTTAATACGATGAACAATTAAATCAGACAATCCCCTCAGCCTTCTCCATTGATCAAACCCTCAGCCTTGGCAGCTCCATCGGGTGCTCAAATACCAGTGGTTTCTGGAGTATAGCATTCTTCCTTGTAGTTTGGTATTTTCTTGATGATTATAAATGGGAGTGATTACAGGAAAGTCCTGTTGGCTGTTTCACTGAGCACCTGCCACGTCACTGAGACAGCTCTTCCTCTAACTTGCAATCCAGTTTGAGATCAGGAGAGCACCCAAAATATATGTTATTTGTCCTTACCGTTTGACCTGCTATGTTCAGAACTCTTGGGTCAGGAGCATGTGGTCACCTGGTTCCTCGGTGTTCCTATATCTTCTTTAATGGATCCACCATTTTCCCAGTTTCCTAAAGCAGAAACCAAGGCATCAGCTGACACATCTCTCTCCTCATCCCTTTCGTCTAATCCATCACCAAGACTCGTTTCTTTTTGCCATGCATCCAATCTATGCACTTCTGTCATTTTTGCCACCACCACTTTCACAAACCAGGTCACCATTATCTGTAGCCTGGAGAATGGCCACAGCCTCCCCTGGATCAATGACCTGCTGAGATATTAGCTAGGAGGCACTGTTCTTTTCACTTTTCACCATCCTCTGTTTGGGCCAGAAATGTGCTGTACTAGTCAGGATAGGCAATGCTATGCTGCTGTAACAGACAACCAGTGGGTTCAGAACAAGTTTATTGCACACTCATGCAAAGTCAGCTACAGGTCTCAGTGATGCCCTAGGGTAGACGTCTGTGAATAGCTCAGCGTTCCAGGCTGTTTTGAACTTAGGCTTCCTCCATGTGAATATATGCTTTCATCAGGTGCGGTGGCTCATGTGTGTAATCCCAGCATTTTGGGAGGCTGAGGTGAGAGGATCACTTGAGTCCAGGAGTTTGAGACCATCCTGGGTAACGTAACAAGACCCTGTCTCTACAAAAAATTTAAAAATTCGCCAGGCATGGTGGGGCACACTTGTAGTCCCAGCCACTCAGGAGACTAAGGTGGAAGGATGGCTTGAGCTCATGAGTTTGAGGCTGCAGTGAGCTATGATCATGCTGCTACACTTCAAACTGGGCAACAGA
Source organism: Homo sapiens (assembly GCF_000001405.40). Lineage (NCBI taxonomy): Eukaryota > Metazoa > Chordata > Mammalia > Primates > Hominidae > Homo > Homo sapiens. Next base: position 118,608,460 of record NC_000012.12, read on the forward strand.
GCAAGACCCTGTCTCAAAAAAAAAAAAAAAAAATACATGCTTTCCCAATTGCTGCAGGGCGAGAAAAGAGAGAAAAGAATCCGGAAGTGACACCTGTCTCTTCTGCTCACATTTTATTGGCCATGGCAAGTCATATGATCATGTCTAATTCGAAAGAGAAGGAAAGGAAATATTAACAAGCAGCACTCATATCTAATTACATCCCCCAGGGAGTGGGTGGCAGAAGAGAAGCTGAAAATAAGGGTGATGATTTATCAGCTTTTAAATTCAAAATAGTGATCCAGCTGTGAGACAGAAAGATTAAAGAACTCAACATCAGCCAGACCAAATTTCCCTTCCTCCAGCTCTAGTGACTAGAGGCAAGGTAGGGAGAGAGCTGGAAGAGGAAAGGAGGGGAGAGAGGGAAAGAGAGAGGACAGAAAGGAAAAGAGAGAGAGGGACAGAAGGAGAAGAAGAAAGAAAGAAGGAAAGACAGAAAGGAAGGAAAAAAAGGAGGAGCATGAGAAGGAAAAAGAGGGAGAAAAAGAAGAAAAGAGGGAGAGATGAAGGAAGGTGTAGTGGGGAGAGAAAGGAGGTAGGGGGAGAAGAAGGAGACGAAGAAGGAAGAGCAGGGAGGAAAAAAAAAGAGAGGAAGGAAGGAAGAGGGAGAGACAGAACATTTTACCTAAGTGTGCTTGTTGCACCTCCTTGAGTTGAATACTGGTAGCACCACTTGAAGTATAGAGATCCAAGGTTGGGGCACTTGTGTCTATTGGGCCCCCTCTGATACGCTGATCATCAGCAGCCTTGCTCTCTTCAATGGGGACAGAGCTACGGATCAGGATGGCTGTGAGGAGTGTTGGACAGAATGAAGGTGGCCCCAGAGGGGATGGGAAAGGAACCAGTTGAGGGGAAGGAGGGAAAGAGGGATGGAGAGAGAGGGAGAGAGAGAGAAGGCTGGTCCCGGGATGAAGGCACTTGTGTAGCAGAGGATGTGTAGATGAGCCAAACAGATGAGGACCAAAGGAAGATGCCACTCTGTCTCGTGGAGATCAGTGTATTGCAGAAGACCAGAAGGGACATGCTGCATCCAGGGCAGGGCAGGGCAAGGCAGAGGCAGATAAAGAGTGAAAGGAGAAGCCCTTCCCCACACAGAACATTGGGCTGGGGTGTGCATGAGTTCCCTGGAGTGGAGCAGGGAGAAAGAGGGGGATGAAGAAGGTGAAGGAGAATAATTACACCAGATGTAACTGAGTAGTAACCAGCAGATTTATCTCCTTCAGGATGAACACAGGCTAGGTGTCAGAAATTCAACTAGGTTCCAGAAAATAAGGTAGCTTTATTTTTGGATGCTCGAGTCTCCCTTGGGGCCATGAATATGCTATGGTTGTGCTACTCAAGCTGTCACTGACGAACTGGTGACAGTCAGCAAACTGTTACTGGTCCACAATGACTAAGTAATTGGGAGTGTTTGGAAACTTTCGTAGTGATTTGACATTGCTGCAACATCCCAGTGAATTTTGCTCTATTTTACAAAAGTAAAATATAACAGGTATGTGATAAAGGTAAGGTAACAGGTAAGGCATGTGATGAATTGGGGGGAAATAGTCCTTCTTGACAGATAGTCTGAGATGCACTGCACTGGGTTGCCAAGTGAATTCTCTCATTCCACACAGGTTTCTTTCTAATCTGCTTTCCTGAGCAGTCTTTCTAAAATGCACACAGGATCCTGAGACGCCTCCATTGACAACCCTGCAGTGACTTTTCTCATGTCCTTTTGGATAAGGACCAATGTGTTTACACTGGCCTGCCTCACTCTGCATCACCTGGTCCCTGCGTAACCGTAATAGGTTCCTCACCCGACATGCATGGCAAATCAATACACCAAGACACTGAATGGCAGCAGAAAAAGAGGTTTAATCATAGGGCTGCCAAATGAGGATATGGGAGGAAACCTCAAATCTGTATCCAAGGAGAAGTTTGGGGCTGGCATTTTTAAGGGTATTGGTGTGGGCTGGTGTGTGGATCGTGGGCTGGTGGAAGAGTGCTGGGTGAAGTCATGGGTCAGGGAGAGGAAGCAGCTGTATTCTCATGCTGATCCTGTTCCCCCTTGAGAGTCTTCAAACTGGTTGCTGGAATTAGGGATCACATCTTAAGGGATCCTTAAACAAAAGCCTGATGATCCTAATGTCAGAGATTCCATCTGTAGGAACAATGGGGATGCATTGGTCGGTATGTAGTGCTACATATGGCTTTTGGTTACGAGGAAGTGGGTCAGAGTGCAGCCTGATTAATGCTTAATTATAACTACATTTCTGTCCAGAATTCTTGTTATCCCTGCGAGGACAGCTTCACCTGCTCACCTCTGCAACCTCTTCCCTTTTCTCTTTCCCTGGCCCCTCTCTGCTTCCTGGTCACACTTCCTATTACAGCTCCTCACAGACACCAAGTTTCTTCCCACCCCAGGGTCTTTGCCTGTGAGCTACCCTCTGCCTGGCATGCTTTCCCCCTCCATCTTGGTGGAGTTAACTCCCCTTCTGCCTTCAGATCACAGCTCAAGAATCCCCTCCTCAGAGAGTCCTTCTCTATCCCCTGGACTATTTGAGGGCCCTGCTTCTAGCCTTACACCTCTTACTTACTTGGAAGTGCCTATAAGTAACATGTAGTGTGTCTACCTCCCCTTCAGGAGGTGTGTAATCCCCAAGAGGGAAGAGGCCTTCTGTCTTTTGTTTACCACCATTTCCCGCAGGCCAAATCCAGCTCTAGGTCCTCAGGAAATATTTGTTGAATGAATGAACGAATAAATGAATGCAACATCCAGAGCTCCCAGGATGGGTGTTTGAGATTATAAAGTGTGTTTTTTGGAGATCGGGCCTTTATTTAGTAAAATCGTTCCCATGCCTCGTTTTTCTGCCCCAAACCTGGCAGCTTGTCCCAAGCTCCTGCTGATAAATCATTTTATTGGCACAGCTGGACAGGAAAGGACAGAATGAGTAATGGGAGTCGGGCACCATGTCGTGGACAAAGGCCCGAGTTGACATGGTAACAACAGGCAGACCGATGTGGCCCAGGCAGTAGTCTGGCCTCTGGACAAGTCGGAGAATAGGCCCCAGGTCATTTCTCCTTTGTGCTTGGAAGCCTGAAAGGGCCGGGGAGGGGAAGGAGGGAGGGGCCTGGTGGAAACTTGCTTCTCCCTGCTGCAGGGTGGAAACAGCTTTGGCCAACAGTAGTAGTGCCCTGTGTTTTGGGGTATGAAAATTTGATATTTGTTTTCCACATATAATATATGTATTATTAATTAAAATATTATTTTAGATGTTATTTTGCACCATTTTTTAAATTGCAAAAGTGCTTTTAACACGAGCCGTCATGGATGGCCATGTGTGGTTAGACATAAAGACCTGGGAACCCACCGACCTGGGTTCAGAATCTGACTCCATCCCCTATCAGTTTTGGGAACATGGGCAAGTTACTTAATCTCTGTGTGCTTTCATTTCCTCACGTGCAAAGTGGAGATAAGGACGGAATCTACTCAGTAAGGCTGCTGTGAGGATTACATGAGACAATGCATGTCAGGCACTTAGCATATAGTCAACAATAATATCTGATTTGATAAGAACAGTGAACCAATTTAGAAGTAAATGAAGAAGGAAAGTCTATATTTCCCAGCCCATTTTCCATTTTCTAACATGTGAGTTCTCTCAGCTGTGTGTCTGCCCAGGTGTTTAAGCTTCTGCAAACATATACGGGTTAGGACTGGCATAAAGGGGAGGTAAATGAGGTGCCCAGGGCAAAAAATGTAAGGATGTGCTCATTCTCAGGTGCCAGCCCTGCATTTTATAGACCTGCAGGGAGCAGCGCCTTCAGTTTTGTGTCCCAGATACCTCACTCATCTCACCCTAGACCAACCCTGACACAGATAGGACAGAGACCTCTGCTTCTGATAACAGCCGACAAGGCAGTTTGAACCAATCCTCCCACTAGACAGTGTGAATAATAATAATAATTATATATATATATATAGCTGGGTGCGGTGGCTCACGCCTGTAATCCCAGCACTTTGGGAGGCCATGGTGGGGGGATCACCTGAGGCCAGGAGTTTGAGACCAGCGTGGCTGACATGGTGAAACCCCATCTTTATTAAAAATACAAAAATTAGCTGCCTGTGGCGGTGGGTGCCTGTAATCCCAGCTACTCAGGAGGCTGAGGCACGAGAATCGCTTGAACCCAGAGGTGGAGGTTGCAGTGAGCTGAGATCACGCCACTGCACTCCAGCCTGGGCAACAGAGTGAGACTCTGTTCTCAAAAAAAGAAAAAAAATATGTATGTGTATTCACACACATATTTGTATAAATATATACATATATAAATATATGTATGTATACACACGCATACACACAGACATATATGCACACAGATGCACAGACACACATACACACACACACTACTTCAAGACATCAGAGAGCTAACAAGTAGTAAAAATTCACCAGAATCTAGAGGCCCAGGGAGATGAGACTAGTATCTGGTAAATCTGGTTGTGATGAGAGGCTAAGAGGTTGAGTGATAATTTTGTCACTCTCATAGGGCCAGAGGCACAGGGGTTGGAACTCATGGTTTGCCAAGGAAAAGAGGCCTTGGTGAAACCTCCTTATTCTTGGTTGGAACCCTGAAGGGCGGTACCCTAGAGGTAAGGGTGAAATGGAAGTAGACAAGCTCTGGCAGAGACTACCTCCTAAGGCCTCCAAATATTGGAGTTATCAAACAAAGACTTTAAAATAACTCTGCTTACCATGTTCAAGGACATAAAAGACAAAATTGAGAATTTCAGCATACAACTAGAAATAATAAAATGAAGCAACTGGAAGTTCTAGAAATGAAAAACAAAAATAAAAACAAAAACAAAAACCAACTTAAGAAGTTGGCAGATGGGCTTAAAAGCAGATTAGACAGAGTCCAAAGAGAACTTGGTGAATTGGAAGATGGGTCAGAAGAAAATAGTAAAATCCAGAATGAAGACACAAAAGGTTGGTAAACTCAAAGGAGAAGTAAGAGACTTGGGGCATGTAATGAGGTCTAACTGGAGTCCCATTAGAAGAGGAGGGAAATGTAGCAGAGGGGATATTTGTAGAGACAGTAGCTAAAAATGTTCTGAAGCTGATGAAAGACACCAAGCCATAGATTTAAGATGTCCACAAACCCCAAACATGATAAATATAAGGAAATTAGGCCAGGTGCAGTGGCTCACACCTGTAATCCCAGCACTTTGGGAGGCCAAGGTGGGCAGATCACTTGAGGTCAGGAGTTCAAGACCAACCTGGCCAACATGGTGAAACCCCATCTCTACTAAAAAACACAAAAATTAGCTGGGCGTGGTGGTGTGCTCCTGTAGTCCTAGCTTCTCAGGAGGCTGAGGCAGGGAGAATTGCTTGAACCCAGGAGTTGGAGGTTGTAGTGAGCTGAGATCATGCCACTACACTCCAGCCTGGGTGACAGAGCAAAACTCTGTCTCAAAAACGAAAAAAAGAAAGAAAGAAATCAGTACCTGGGCACATTCTAGAAAAATTGTAAAAAAGCAAACCAAAGAGAAAAAGCTCTCCTTATTTGGCCTCACAGTGGGAGAACTATCTCCCTACCAACTCACCCTATGTGGAGGATTAGGAATCATCTGACACCACAAAACTTTACTCACTATGCTATGGCTGCCTTCTTTTATAGTCTAGGAAAAGGCAGAAGCATGGAATGAGAACTGGGGGTGGGAGGGTCAGGTTTACTTCTCTTGGTAAGCCTCTGAGATAGATGTCTGAGCTCAAAGTTGGGTGGGCTCTTTTTAAAACACAGAGGTACTCAAGATATCTTTGGTGTCAGCTTTGGGCCCTAGTCACAATTCTGGGGCATTGGTTCATTCAGTTGACGTACATCTGTTGACAACCTACAAATGTGCTGGGCACTAGGAATATAACAGATTTTAAATTTGTCTTCATGACATATTATGATGGAGTAAGACAACAACAAACAAAAGAAATAAAATGTTCGTTATGTCAGATGGTTATAAGTGCTATAGAGAAAAGTGAGCAGGGAAGGGGAAGAGGGAGTGTTGGAATTTTAAATAAAGTAAGCAGAGATCACCTTACTGAGAAGGTAGCAGTTGAGCAAAAATCTGAAGGAGGTAAGAGAGTGAGCCAGGCCGACGTTGGGAGGTAGAGTACGGCTCCTATATTTTGTTCTATTGTAAGTACATAGATTAATCAAATATTACAAATCGCCAATAAAAAATACAGGAGTTAGAGGAGTTGTTTCTATGAACACCAAGGTAAATGCTTTAAACTTGAAAAGATGAGCTGCAAAGAAATGTTGTCAGATAAAGGGACAAAAACTGAGAAATAGGTAAAAAAAAAAAAAAAAAATTACAGGCTGGGCACGGTGGCTCACGCCTGTAATCCTAGCACTTTGGGAGGCCGAGGCGGGCAGATCACGAGGTCAGGAGATCGAGACCATCTTGGCTAATAAGGTGAAATCCCGTCTCTATTAAAAATACAAAATATTAGCCAGGCGCGGGGGTGGGCGCCTGTAGTCCCAGCTAATCGGGAGCCTGAGGCAGGAGAATGGCGTGAACCCGGGAGGCGGAGCTTGCAGTGAGCCGAGATGGCGCCACTGCAGTCCGGCCTGGGCGAAAGAGCGAGACTCAGTCTCAAAAAAAAAAAAAAAAAAAAAAAATTACAAACCTGGAAGAGTGCTACACTCAGGTTACTTTACATGTGCTTTAAAGTAATTGTAAAGAAATTACTTGTAAAGAAATTGGAATTGGATATAAAAAGTAATGTATTATGATTTTGGTTTATGCAAAAATGAGAAAGGGAATTCCATTAGGGCTCTTATGCTCCCAGACAAGTCCTTCTCCCTACATCAAAAGATTGGTGGACAAATGACATTGCTTTGTTTTAGGTTAAATGAAAACATTTAAGAAATGAATGCATTATGTTTTATGATTCCTCACTTTGCTTTCTTGAATAAGCCACCCACTACTAGTTCTGATATTGGAAGCAAGCCAATTTGCTGAATATCAATAGACTGAAAGCGATTTTTTTCTGAAAATCAATATGTCAAACTGACATTGTCCCTCCTTGCCTAAAGCCTAAATCCATTCAGTGTTTTTTTATTTCTTGGAGCTCACAGCAGCGAAGAGGCAGGAGAGGGAGGGAATCTATGAAAAAGAGGAGACAGTGTGAAGTTGATAAGCGAAATTAAGGAAACCTAGCCCAAGTTCAGATGGTAACTTACTATGAGAGTTTGGGCAAGTCATTTTACCTCTTAGAACCTTGCTCTCTTTATCTGTATCATGGGCACCTCATAGGACTTACCTGATAGAGTTCTTATAAGGATTAGACGAGGTGGTGCATATTAGGTGCTTAGTACACTGCCTGGAATATTGTAAGTGCTAAGGAGTGAGGCAACAATAATTATTTTACTATCAACATGCATTGAAACTTGAATTGCTACAACCGCATTTTGGTGGCAGGTCCTCTCTTCTAAAGCCTGGAGCAGACAGATTGGAGTAGACTCAAAGGACAAGGGGGCATTTTACCAACAGGAACAAAATCAACACTAGGAGGAGACAGGGAAGCATTGACCTTAAGTGGTAGATGTAATGGTCATTGGTGGGGTCCCGTGTTCAGCCGACAGAACCTGATTGTGAACTAGGAAAGGTCAGCCCCAGACTCTGCAGTCCTGCCTGGAATTGAGATTGGTGATCAGAGGCCCAGACACCAAACATTTGCAGGTGGACCTGGGAAATGATGCAGTTGGCACAATCTCCAGATATATTATTCTGGATTTTGAGATATGGATAAAGAGATGACCCACATGATGTTGAACTCCGGTGTACACGCCTTCTGGGTCCTGCAATTTGCCTGTGGTCTGGCCTTATAGCATGTCTTCCTACTTAGCGTTTCCTAAACTTAGTTCTGCAGTGTTTCTTAAGATGATAATGAATGTTTTGTTAAAAAGTTCCCATGTCATATACATTTAGGCTATATAACGTACTATAATAACAATGATTATGGCTAATATTTTTGGAGGAGAGCTGACCATTGTGTGCAGGAAGCCTATCAAGTATTTTCCAGAGCTTGTCTCTTTTAATTCTCTCAATATCCCAATAAGGCAGATAATGTTAATATCCCTACTTCACATATGAGGAAATGGAACATCAAGAAATAAGGCCAGGCATGGTGGCTCACGCCTGTAATCCCAGCACTTTGGGAGGCCGAGGCAGGGGGATTACATGAGGTAAGGAGTTTGAGACTGGCCTGACCAACGTGGTCAAACCCTGTCTCTACTAAAAATACAAAAATTAGCTGAGCATGGTGGTGGGTGCCTGTAATCCCAGCTACTTGGGAGGCTGAGGCAGAAGAATCACTTGAACCTGGGAGGCGGAGGTTGCAGTAGCTGAGATCATGCCGTTGCACCATTGCACTCCAGCCTGTGTAACAGTGAGAGACTCCGTCTCAAAAAACAAAAAAAAAAAAAAAAAAAGAAATGATGCTCAGAGAGATTAGTTAACATAACCAAGGTTGCACAGCCAGTGAGCAAAAGAACAAGAATTTGAATCCAGTTTTTGACCCCAAAGCTTCTGCTTTTAAGTTGAACTAAGTTTTTATTTTTAAATCCTTGCTTTACATTGAGATGACCAGGGAATGTATCCAATATCCCATCTAGTAATATTTTGAACTGCGTATAGGCCTTCGTTTTCAAACTTGGAAGAATGATATTGAGGTAAATGGAAAGCATGTTCTTTCCCTGTTGGCATCTGTGATGGTTCATATTGAGTGTCAATTGATTGGATTGAAGGATGCAAAGTATTGTTCCTGGGTGTGTCTGTGAGGGTGTTGCCAAAGGAGATTAACATTTGAGTCAGTGGACTGGGAGAGCCAGACCCACCCTCAGTCTGGGTGGGCACCATCTAATCAGCTGCCAGCACGGCTAGGATAAAAGCAGGCAGAGGAATGTGGAAAGAGTAGACTGGCTGAGTCTTCCGACCTTCATCTTTCTCCCATGCTGGATGCTTCCTGCCCTTGAACATTGGACTCCAAGTTCTTCAGCTTTTGGACTCTTGGACTTACACCAGTGGTTTGCCAGGGGCTCTGGGGCCTTCAGCCACAGACTGAAGCTGCACTGTCAGCTTCCCTACTTTTGAGGTTTTGGGACTCGGACTGGCTTCATTGTCCCTCATCTTGCAGACGGCCTATTGTGGGACTTCACCTTGTGATCCTGTAAGTCAGTACTCCTTAATAAACTCCCTTTCATATATACATCTATCCTATTAGTCCTGTCCCTCTCGAGAACCCTAATACAGCACCTTATGTCTGTTTGAAAGGATGGCAGCTGTTTCTGTCTCCAAAGTCAACATGTGCCCTCTCTTTCATATTTAATTAATAATTAGCATACCAAAGGTTCTGAAAAGTCCCACGGTAAAGAAACCTCTTTACATCTGTGTAGTAAATATATATTTTTTAAGAAGAAACCTCTTTACCTTTCTTTAATGCAGCTTACTTTTCCTCCAGAGTCCCTTCCTTGCCTCCTATTTTCTTTCAAAACAGTTATTAGCATCCACAGGAAGAGTATTCCATGAAACACAGTTCGAGTAATTCCTTTTTGTAGGGGAGGCATTGAAGGCTGTGTGTAATGTATTCCCCAAATGGGTGGGGGAGGGGGGTGGGAAATCCATTTTGTCATGCATCCCATGCTGGTAGTGAATAGGACAAGAATTCTTTCTTTACATAAAGGGCAACATAAAATAAACCAGGACCTACCCTGTAAAAATCCCCTAGAAGATATTGTTCTAGGGATTAGCTATGTGGAATTTCACAACAGGGAGGGCTTTGGCAGGAAATGGCAAATCATGATTTATTGATATACCCTAAAATTTTCAATGTGTCATAAAGGGAAACTTGACAAGAGGGAACCTCTTAAGAGTCTTGGATGACATTTGCTTGAAATTGGCTTAAGGTATTTTCATATCTCCTTTGCAGACCCAGTCCTGGATGACTATGTGAATAATATCTTCCTTTTGAAAGCTTTTCATTCTTTATATCATTTTCTTAGTCCTTGGCAAGGTTGCTTAGGGGGCTGTATTCATTTCTAATCCATGGAAAAGAAAGCATCTCTCTCCCTGAGACTCTAACTTCTGCAAATCATGCAGGATAATGATAGTGTCAAGCAGTTATACACACTTTAAATAGCTATCAATGTAAATATAAAACTGTAAGGCACATGAATAAAAAAGCTCCTTGGATACTCCAGAAGGGAAAGGAAGCTTAGGGGAATGTTTGCAAGCACTCAAAAGATACAACCCATATAAATGGATTATTGAAAAGTGGTGTGGCAGGAGTATTAGCTGATCATGGAACTAGTTCCCTTTGAAACACGGACAGACTACATTTCCCAGCCTCCCTTGCAGTAGGTGTCCCATGTGACTGAATTCTAGCCAGTGAAATGTAAACTAATAATATGGACCACCTGGCCCATAATAACCTCCATCCAAAATCCTTCCTGTCCTATTCCCACACTGTTAACCTTGGAAGCCCTTTTATTTTTGAAGATGGTGAAGCCAGGAAATAAAAAGGTTCTGGGGTTGTGAGTTATTATTTGGAGAATGTTGCTCACCATTCAAGAACACCTGCTTTGGAATATGTGAGTGAGAAGTAAATTTCTATTGCTTTTGTGCTATTGCACCCTTTGGGGACTGTTTGTTACTGTGGCTGGAAGCCTGGACAGGGAGTTTGTACTTGGTAATGGTTGGTTGTAGCACTTCCTGAGAAAGAGTGTTATGTAGTAGAAAGATCATGGGCTGCAGAGTGGGACAGATAGGGGTTAAAAGCTTGACTCTGTCATTCGCTTGACTCCCTGGTCTTGGGCAGGTTCCTTAATCTCCCTCAGCCTTAGCATTTTTCCTTTAGAAAATGAAAATAGTGTCTGGATGCGGTGGCTCACGCCTGTAATCCCATCACTTTGGGAGGCCAAGGCGGGTGGATCACCTGAGGTTGGAGTTTGAGATCATCCTGGCCAACATGGTGAAACCCCGTCTCTACTAAAAATACAAAAATTAGCCGGGCGTAGTGGCACATGCCTGTAATTCCAGCTACTCAGGAGGCTGAGGCAGGAGAATTGATTGAGCCTGGGAGACAGAGGTTGCAGTGAGCCGAGATCATGCCACTGCACTCCAGCCTGGCTGACTCTGTCTCAAAAAAAAAAAAAAAACAAAAAAAAAACAAAAACCAGAAAATAATATTTACCCCGTAGGCTTGCTTTGAAAGTTAAAGAAAATGCATTTTAAACATATCTGGTGCATTGACGGTTATATTGTAGGTGCTCAATAAATAGGTAGCTGTTGTTATTGACTTTTCCAATCACTTTAAAAAGAATGTTATCTTCCTACTTTGATTCTCCAGGTTGTAATAGTGGTCCCCTCCACAAATTTCATCCTCAGATAAACTAAACAAACATCACAAAAAACTGAGAGAGGAAGAAATTGCCATCTTCTTTTCAGTTCACCATCATTGTAATTAAAGTTATTTAAATAACCATCAGTTGAATGTCTCCTCCCTTTCCAGGCAGGCTCCATGAGGTCAGGAATTATGTCTATTTTGGTCTGATGGGTATGCCCAGCCTAGCATACAGCATCACACAAAGTGGAGCATCAATAAATACTGAATGCATGAATTGACCAGGACATGAATCCTCCACCTGTAAATCTTTGCAGGGCTCCATAAACACTGACCCCACACATAATCCTAGGAGAGATACCACAAGGCCAGCTGGGTCAAAAATGTCTTCATCACTGGCCTGCCTGAAATGATGCCTTGAGAGTCACTTTTTGGGTTTTAAGTAGAGGTTACGAGGGGGTAGCCTGTACCCCAAATCCAGTTCATCAGTACATTTTGTCTGTTCTGTATTGTGTTTTAGAAGTTTGAATTTATTGCCAACATTTAAAACTTGGGACACTTCATGTAAAAAGCCATATTTTCTGCTTCTATTGAAAAATCAGTTCTCTTGGCAACTCTGGACTTGATTCTGACATGGCAAGAGTTGTCTGGAGTTGACTAGCAGTTCCCTCACTTAGGACATGCCCTCCAGTTCCCCCTAAAGCCCTGTCAGGTCTACTCCAGCCCACATTTATGTTACCAGCCTGGTTCTTGAGTTTGCAACCCTTTCTATTATCTCTTAGTTCACCCATTCAATCATTCATTCATTCAACAGATACTTAGGTGTTTATGAAAATGAGGGATCCGAAAAACATTACACATGCCTCCTAATCTCAAGGAGTTTATAGGGTGGTTGAGTAATAAGAGACATACACATAGAGTCAAACCTTAAAAAAAGTAATCAGTTGATAACAAAGTTCAACTGTAGTGGGTTAAATAGTGTCCTCCCCAAATTTACATCCACCCGATCCTCAGAACGTGACGTTATTTGGAAATAGGGTCTTTGCAGATATAATTAGTTAAGATGAGTTCATACTGGATTAGGGTGGGCCGTAAATCCAACGAGTGGTGTCCTTATAAGATGAGTAGAGAACAGACAGAGACACACAGAGAAAAGGGTCATCTGAAGGTGGAGGCAGAGATTGGAGTGATGCTTCCACAAACCAAGGAACACTTAGGGACAGCAGAAGCTAGAAGAGTCATGGAAGTCTTCTTCTCTAAAATCTTCAGAGGGATCATGGCCCTGTGAACACCTTGATTTCAAAATTCTCCCCTCCAGAATGATGACAGAACAAATTTTGGTTGCTTTAAGCCATCGAGTTTGTGTTATTTGGTTATGGCAGTGCTAGGAAATTAATACACCAATAATATAAAAATATAAGAAAATGTTATTTACATATATAAGATTAGATATTTAAAAAGAGGGGCTGGGCCTGGTGGCTCATGTCTGTAATCCCAGCACTTTGGGAGGCCGAAGTGGGCAGATAACCTGAGGTCAGGAGTTTGAGACCAGCCTGACCAACATGGAGAAACCCCGTCTCTACTAAAAATACAAAACTAGCCAGGCGTGGTGGTGCATGCCTGTAATCCCAGCTACTCGGGAGACTGAGGAAGGAGAATCGCTTGAACCCGGGAGGTGAGGTTGCAGTGAGCTGAGATTGCGCCATTGCACTCCAGCCTGGGCAACAAGAGCGAAACTCTGTCTCGAAAAAAAAAGAGGTGGTTGAAGTTATGTTTCAACTCTTCGTGGAAGGGGTGAGATCTGAACAGAGTCTTCAAAAACCAGTAACAAGGAGAAAAAGAACGAATCAGCCCCCAAGACTACATTGCAGTCACGAGTATAAGTATTGGGGTCAGACGGGTCTGGACACCAATCCAGCTGTGTAATCTTAGGCAAGTCAGTGAATATCTTCAAGCCTTCCTTTCCTCATCTGTAAAATGGGAACAGTAATATCATGCCTGTTTGTAATGAGGATTAAATAAAGTATGTACAGCATTTAATACCGTGCTGGCAATTAATACATGCTCAATATATGGGATATTATTATTATTTTGAAAGGATGTACGGATGACAGGCCCCATTAGAAACAAATATATGATAAAGCATGCCACTTAATAATACTTCACATCTCCACAGCATTTATGCTGGAGTCTCCACTTGCCCCTCTAGATTCACTTTCTCTTTCTCCTTCCCACTCTGTTCCTTGGAAGGCTAAACTGTACAGACAGCATCAACCAAGGTCCCTTGCCCTCTGGCTTCTTGCTGAATTCAGCCAATAAGGAGGCGAGTGGCAGGGGATTCAAGGAAAGGAGGAGAGAAGGATCAGTCATTCTCTCTACCTGTTGCCAACTTCATTCTTGTGTATTAAGCATGTCTTTTTATTCTGATACATCAACATCTTGGGGCCTTGCTGACCCTAAACAGAATGCCCGTCCCAGGGTTGGGCAATTCCTATAGAGAGCAAACAGCTCACTCCAGGAGTGCAACTTCCATACGCAAATCAACTGATAGAAGCCCACCCCTACATCTTTCCATATGCAAATCAACTGATAGAAGCCCATCCCCTACACATTTGCATATGCAAATCAACTGATAGAAGCCCATCCCCTACATATTTCCATATGCAAATCAACTGATAGAAGCCCATTCCCTTACACATTTCCCATATCAGCCTCCCACACTCTGGGCCACTACCCACCTGCCCTAATCACCCCAGAGCCCGGTACCAGAGAACTAGAGACAGCCTATATGCCCCAGAGCCTACTGAAATTATTCAAATGAGCTAATATTACACCTGCTTACCCTGCCTCACCTATTTCTTCCCTCAGAAATCACAATAAAGGCTCTTACTTTTTCTTCCTGCTCCCTCTGCCTCTTGACCGACCATGTTGACCACGGTGCTGCCCCCATGTGGCCCTGCAAGGCTTGGGAAGCTCCCTCCACTTGGGATCTGTGGGTAACAAAGATCTTTTTTTTTTTTTTTGAGACAGAATCTCGCTCTGTCACCAAGGCTGGAGTGCAGTGGCGCATCTCGGCTCACTTCAACCTCCACCTCCTGGGTTCAAGCAATTCTCCTGCCTCAGCCTCCTGAGTAGCTGGGACTACAGGTGCGTGCCACCACGCCCAGCTAATTTTTGTATTTTTAGTACAGACAGGGTTTCACCATGTTGGGCAGAATGGTCTTGATCTCTTCACCTCGTGATCTGCCTGCCTTGGCTTCCCAAAGTGCTAGGATTACAGACGTGAGCCACTGCACCCGGCCAACAAACGATCTTTCTAATGGCAGTTGGTCTTCACCATCCCTGAATATAATAAAACCTACATTTTAAAACACCCTGCTGGGCTGGGGTTTGATAATGGCCATATTCTTCCACCTGTGGCCGCAGCTTCTGTTATACGCTCTTGTGAGGTTCTGGTCTCACACTCTTCCCCCTCAACCCTTAGTGCTTTCCTGGTGGTAACAGCTTTCTCTGCTACTGTTAGTCTCTGAGGGGCTCTCTATCAATCATTCCCCTACCTCTATAAATAGTCCTTTCATTAAATATTCTTCGTATAACTCTTTGAGTATGCCAACCAGGGCCATGAGTGATAAGCACTTTCCACAGCATTCTCACATCCTTCATATCTGAGATTTATAATCTTTGTGAATTGGGCAGGATCACTCTCATTTTGCCAGTGGGAAAACACATATTCTGAGGGGTTAAACCAACCTGCTCAAAGTCCATGTTTCACCCCCATATCCGGTACTCTTTCCAACTTGTCCCACTCACTGGGTCTGTCTTGTTCACTATTGTATATCCAACTGCAGTGCCTGGCATGGACTTGTTGCTCAATTAGCATTTCTTGGACAGAATAAAACAAACGACCAGAGAGCAAGATCTTGAAGGAATAGGATGGAAGATGAGGAAAGTCTTTCTTCACATAGGGAGTCTAGGATTACCTTCAGTACAACGCGTAGAATATAGTAGGTGCTCAGTAAATACTTGTTAAATATTGAATGAATCAATGGGACTTTGGAGGTGGCCTTTCTGGGGCACCACAGCAATGCTCTGTGAGCATTGGGTGCTTGATGTGGAGTGTCCAGAAGGAAACTGCCAGATATAAGCCCCATTTGCTTCCCAGTCTGACCAGACCTTATTCTACCTTTTCTATTCCACCACTGTCCAGAACAGGGAACTTGACCAAATTAAATCATGCTAGCTTTATCCCTACCTGGTGTTCTGCCCACTCCCTGCCACCTATGCCATGGGTATGATAGATATTGGTTTGCAGAGGTTAAAAAGCTGGATATGAGCAAGGCTGGCAGCTGAGGGCTAACAGGGCTGAGGTCTTCGGCATTTGAGCTTCTCCATGGGATCTGCATTCCTCTGGGGGCAACTCTGTGGGTCACACAGGACTCTATTAACAGAAATTTTCCAAAGAATGGGAAAGAGTGATGGAGGAATGGGTGTTAACCTCATCTCATTATTTACTTTGGTTATAAAATGGGTCTTTGTAAGGTAACATACATTGGGGGCCTTCTCGCAGTGCTGCTTGGTGACACTCCATATTTTGTTGAGCAGATACTCCCTTGGTACCTCTGCCTGATTAATGACACCTTCAACTTGGCTCTGTATGCCTTTCATGTCTCCCTGGGTCTCCTGCAGAGCTGCCTGGCTGGCTTCTCACCATGATGATAGCGGACAGAGTGACTTTATTGCAAATTTCAAGGTCACCTCCTCTTTGTTACCCTTCCCCCACATACACACATATACCACTGAGACTGGTTCACTTGAAGCAGTCTTGAGGTTCAGGCTGCTGGCTGAAAACTCCAAGACCCCTCAAGAAAAACCCTGCACACCAGCTTCTAAAGATACGCAAATCTTCTGAGAGAATTAGCATTGGCTCTAAGAACAAAGTCTAGGGATGGTGTGAGAGAAAGATGGGATTGGATTCCCAGGCAGCAGAATAGGATGATTAAGAGCATGGAATCAGATGTGTCTGGGTTTGCTCTTCCTAAGTACATCACCTGAGTCTCTAAGCCTTAAGGTTTTCACTTGGTGAATGGGGATAATAGTACCAAGTCATAAGTTTACATTGAAAGGTGACTGAGATGAAGCATGTGCAGTACTTTGCATGTAGTAGCTGCTCAATAAATATTAGCTCTATTACTGTTACTCATAAAATAATAATTAGGCCATTTCCCCAAACATCAGACCAGGTAAAGCAAGCTGTTACTACAATATGGGAGAAAGGGCTTGAAAACAGACACAGTACTGAGAATGCTATCCTTGGCCCACGGTCTTGGAAAAGTTATCCCTAGCAACAAGGCAGGAGGCTGTACAAGGAGTCAGAGACTTGAGATGTAGAATCAGGGCTGAAAACAGAAACCTCCTGAGGTTTTAATACAAAAGGAAGTTAATACAGGGGGTAGGTTACACAGATGCGCAAACAATGGAGAAGCCAAACTAATGTCATGAGGCAAAACTCAGAGATGGGTAACAGCAGGAAGCTGTTATCTCTTCTAGGCCAGAGGAACAGAGAGGGGATGGTGTGACCAGAGCCTAGGAGCTGAGGTCACTCTTTGGAAGCTGGAACAACAGAGAGCTTTCTGGCAGGAGCTAGAGTTATAGAGGAGACACAGCTGCTACTAGAGATAATGCCTGAGGCAAAGAAGAAGGGAGAAAATGACATTGACTTCTCTCTTACTGTTTCTCCCACCTGGGCTTTCCATTTGCAAAACCCAGCCAAAGCCAGTTAGCAAAGGCTTCTGGGAAACGCAGTTTGCCGAGTTCACCTAATCCTATTATACAGAGGTCATCTATATTCCATTATACAGAGTTGAAGAGAGGGCATGGAGCTGAGGGACAACACGGTCCAGGTTTGGTACAGGGGTTGAAGTAGAGTTGCCAGGTAAAATATAGGTTTCCATGTAAAATTAGAATTTCTGATAGCAAAACAAAATTTAGTGTTAAGTATGTAAAAATTTTATTTCATTCATTGTTTCATTCATTTCATTGTTTATCTGAAATTCTCACTTTGCTGGGTGTCCTGTGCTTTTATGTATTAAATTCGGCAACTTTAGGTTAAAGGCAATATTGGAACCATTGGAGGGTCCCAATTCTCAGGCCAAATTAGGTAGATGACAGGTTAGGAAGAGGAAGGAGAGAAGAATGAAGATACCATGCAGCTCTCATGAGGTCTGACAAATGGATTAATGCTGCCTCAGTTTGTCTTAAAGGGTTTCATTCATTTATTCAGTTGTTTACCTATCCATCCATCCTACATCCACCCATCTATTCATTCCTCCATCCTCCCTCCCTCTTTTCCTCCCTTCCTCTATGGGTTCATCCATTTATTCATTTATTTCCTACTTATTGAACATCTGCTGTGTGCTGGTAATATGCTGGATATTGGGAGTATCTTACTGAAGAGACAGTATCTTCCCTCAGGCAGCTTACATGCAAGACAAGAATGCAGATATTAAGCTACAAAGCACATGAGAAACTACCCATTACAACTGTAGCTGGGTTTATGAATGATTGCACAGAAACCTCAGACAATCAGGGAATGCTTTCTTGAGGAAGTGTCATTCGGACCGAGATGTGGGGGATTGGTAGGAGTTAATTAGGTGAAGGAGAGCTGAGGGTGAGTGCATCTAAAAAGACAGAATGGCATAGGCAAAATTGGGAGGGAGTTTGGTGTGTTTGGGGGCCTAGAAGAAGGTCCATGTAGGTCCAATGTGAGGAGCAAAGGCGGGAAGTGGTATAGATGAGGCTGGAGAGGTCAGCAGGGTGGGTTGGCTGTGTATGGTAGGCAGATTGTACAGGGCACAACTCCATGGCTTGATAGTCACATCATAATCTAGAGAATGGTGTGCCCTGGAGTTCTTCAAGATTCACCAGCATGGCCATGTGTAGCATTTCTCAACCAGAAAGTGCAGAAACTTATAAGTCATGGTAAGAAGTGTGTGATGTTGCTTGTTAGAGCCATGGAGGTGGCATGACTAGATTTACATTTTAGAGAGAACTTTTTTTTTTTTTTTTGCTAGGTAGAACATGGATGTAGTGGGCCTAGAAGAGAAGAGGGTAGACCCACAAAGATGCCTTTGTAGTCATCAAAGTGAGCAATGATGGTGGATTGAACTAGGGCGTTTGTGATGAAGAGAAAGAGGTGTGGGCAGAGAGGGGTGAGATCTTTAGGTGGGAGGAGATACCTTGTTTAGACATGGATTAGATATGGTGGTCAAGTTTCTGGTGTGGCCAGGTGGGTGGATGGGTGGTGGCAGTGTTCCCTGTGATGGTGAGCATAGATACTGTAAAATCATTAGAGAAATAAAACAAAGCATCAAAGAATTTTTAAGGCTAAAATGCAAATATAGTCAGCCAAATCCATCTCATATGTCATTTTATAATCAAACTTAAATAAACTTCTTGATTTCTTTGGCGCAATATGTTCTAGATATATTGAATTGTTCCCCTCTGGTGGTTTATTTTCTCACTTCCTTTCTTAGGGAAGTAAAGTCCTACCTCACGACCATTTCTCCATTTCTTATTATATACTAAAGCAAAAATAAGTACATTAAATTATACTGGATTGAGGACCATGCACAGTGGCTTGTGCCTGTAATCCCAGCACTTTGGGAGGCTGAGGCAGGAGCATCCTTTGAGGCCAGGAGTTCCATATAAGACTGGGCAACATAGCAAGACCCCAGTCTCTGCAAACAATAAAAAATTTAGCCAGAGGAACAGGGGTGGGGCAGGGGGTGGTGGTGGTGCGTGCCTGAAGTCCCAGCTACTTGAGAGGCTGAAAAAGGAGGTTCAATTCAACCCAGGAGTTTGAGGTTATGGTAAGCTAGGATCATACCACTGCACTCCAGTCTGGGTGACAAAGTGAGACTCTCTCTCTAAATAAATAAATAAAAAAGTTTACTGTATTTATTCTAAAATACATATTTAAAACATTGCATCATCTAATAGTTGTGATGTTATTGATGGCCTCTTATAATCACTACCAGCTACACAGCCATTTTTATGTGGTTGTCATTGTCTGACCAGTTGCAAATTTTGTTCTTATTCTAGGTGGTCTGACCAGACAACTCAGCTCCATAATGTGTCAGTCAACAAACTGTTAAGGACCATTTGAGGAAGAAATATGAATTCCAGTTGTTGTCTGAAAAACTCTCATTGACACTTCTGGTAAGTTTAAGAAAGTGCCAGCATTAAAACTTGCAGACTGGGGCGAACAGCATGGAGGAAAACTCTGCTGACGATAGTGGGACCCTCTATAAAGAAAAAGCTGTATCACCAATTCCATGGTACAATGGATGACATGGTGTGAAAAAACCAGGCCTGGCGCCGTGGCTCACGCCTGTAATCCCAGCACTTTGGGAGGCCGAGGTGGGCGGATCACGAGGTCAGGAGATCGAGACCATTCTGGCTAACACGATGAAACACCGTCTCTACTAAAAATACAAAAAATTAGCCAGGCGTGGTGGCGGGCACCTGTAGTCCCAGCTACTCGGGAGGCTGAGACAGGAGAATGGCGTGAACCCGGGAGGTGGAGCTTGCAGTGAACCGAGATCGCCCCACTGCACTCTGGCCTGGGCAACAGAGCAAGACTCCATCTCAAAAAAAAAAAAAAGAAAAAAAAACAAAGCAAACATGGATCTCCTTGACTGTGAGTCAAAAGTGATTTAGAATTAGATTCTGAACACAAAGTGGTTTTAGGAACATAATACCAATTTGTTTTGTTTCTATTTCCCCTTTTTTTGTGAGTGTGTAAGAACAATGTTATAAAAATGTGAACAAATAAGTCTAAAAGAGCTCTTTAGGTATAAAAGAAAAAATATAAGTGACAAGAAAGCCTTGTGCCATAGTTTAATTGGTAGTGATTTTTTCTTTCTTAGGGCTACATAAAATAGGAAGGAATTGACGATGAATCTCACAAACATAATGTTGACTGATAGAAGTCATAAACAAAAGATTATAGGATGTATGATGCTGCTTTCATAAAGTTCAAAAAAGCAAGTAAAACTAAGATGGATTGTTTTAACCGTCAAGGCAGATGCTATCTTTTGAGGGGATGGAGGGAACATGGCGGGGCTTTGGAGAGACTGGCACCGTTCTATTTCTTGACCTGGGGGATGATCATACAGGTGTTTGCTTTGTTTTGCTTTTCACTAAGGTGTTGCTTTTCATTGAGTTGTGCACTTATGTTTTATACATTTGTCTATACATGTGTTATGCCTCAATAAAATTTTTTAAATGGTGTGTCTTGCCATTGCTATCATCTTAGATTTGATGAAATGCAGAGATGTTTACGTGTGTGTATGTGGGTGTGGGTGTGCTGAAGGGGAGCTTTGCTTTTCTCTATTTCCTTGTATGTATGTTCCCCTAGTTGGTCATTTTGCTTTGAGAATTAGGACTATGTAGCAGGAATATAATTATAAATATGTGTACAGTTATAACAAATATATGCACATATATTATAACAGCTGCATATACAGATGCTCCTCAACTTACTGTGGAGTTACCTCCGGATAAACTCATCGTAAGTTGAAAATATTGTAAATAAAAAATGGATTTAATATACCTAACCTACAGAACATCATAGCTTCGCCTCACTCACCTTAAATGTGTTCAGAACACCTACCTTAGGCTACCATTAAGCATAATCATCTGGCAACACAGTACACTGTAGAGTATTCGTTGTTTACCCTCGTGATCATGTGGCTGACTGGGGGCTGTGGTCTGCTGCGGCTGCCCAGTGGCGCAAGGGTATGGTACCTACATGTTACTAGTCCAGGAAGGAAGAGATCGAAATTCAATTTTTTTTTTCCCATGCCCAGCCTATGTTTAACATTTTGAAGAACACCCAAACTGTTTTCCACAGTGGCTGTGGAAAAACATTTCCACATTCCCATCATCAGTGTATGAGGGTTCCAGTGTCTCCACATCCTCACCTCAAAAGCTTTATCTAATTTAAAAATGGGCTGGGATTAGGTTGTTTATGGCGCTAGTGCCTAGTGGTCCCTATGGATGCTCTTACAGTCCAGATAACATATTTATATCATCTTAACTTTTCTACTCTGAATGTAGAAAATGTCTACTTTCTGCTTTGTTGAAATTTCTAAATTTTACTCTGTTCCCCAGGCTGGAGTGCAGTGGCATGATCATGGATCACTGCAGCCGCGACCTCCCAGGCACAGGTGATCCTCCCATCTCAGCCTCCCAAGTAGCTGGAACTACAGGTGCATGCCACACCTGGCTAATATTTTGTATTTTTTTTTTGTAGAGATAGGGTTTCACCATATTGCCTAGGCTGATATCGAACTCTTGAGCTCAAGTGATCTGCCCACCTCAGCCTCCCAAATTGCTGGGATTACAGACGTGAGCCACTGCGCCCAGCCAAAACTCAAAATTTTAAGTAGGTTTCTACTGAATGTGTGTCACTTTCACACCATCATAAAATTGAAAATTTAAGTCAATCCGTTGTAAGCAAGGACTGTCAGTATAACAGATACATTTATAATAACTATATATATTATAAATCTATAATAAAATATATAACATATATATATAACAGATATAGCTATTAATACACCCCCACACACTATAATTTTTGGCTTATAAAATAGGCTCTTGCCGATTCCAAAGGAAGGGCCTGAGAGGAACAGGACACAGAGTTTATGCCATAACTGCAAATATAAGAGAACAGAGAGGGAGCAGCAGACAATGCTTATTGTCTACTTAAAGTAAGAGTCACTAGGGCTGGAGGGACTGGAGACAGTTGCGGGTATAAAGAGGCACTGAGAAGAAGACCATGCATGGCAGAAACCAGGCAGAGCACAGTGGAATTAACATGAAGATACAGTCAAGCACTCTCTGAGGCCAGTGCTAGGACTGGTATATAAGAGTCTAGAAGGAGCCAGGAGCAGTGGCTCATGCCTGTAATCCAGGAGTTTGAGACCAGCCTGACCAACATGGTGAAACCCCGTCTCTACCAAAAATACAAAAATTAGCCAGGCATGGCATGCACCTGTGATCCTAGCTGCTTGGGAGACTGAGGCAGGAGAATTGCCTGAACCTGGGAGGCAGAGGTTGCAGTGAACCAAGATCGAGCCACTGCATTCCAGCCTGGGCAACAAAGCAAGACTCTGTCTCACAAAAAAAAAAAAAAAAAAAAAAAAAAGAGCCTAGAAGGAGTTATGGTGTTTATTTCTAGGTACTAGTATCATATGTGTTTTTTAAAAATCATTTTTGCTTCCTTGTATTTTCTAAATCTTCTACAATTAGCATGTATTATGTTTGCATTAATTAAAAAAAGCTTTTTTTTTCTGTTTCAGTGACTTTATTCTGGACATTTCACATAAATAGAATCACATAGTATGCTACTTTTTGTGTCTGGCCTCTTTCACTTAGCACAATGTGTTCCAGGCTCATCCACTTTGAAGCATGTAGCAGTACTTCATTCTTTTCTTTGGTGGAATACTATTCTATTGTATGGATATAGCACAATTTGTTTATCCATTCTTCTGTTGATAGGCATTTGGATTGCTTCCACCTTTTGGCAATTGTAAATAGTGCTTCTACGAGCATTTGTAACTTGTTGAGTCTCAAGAATTTGAGTACCTATTTTCAATCCTGCTGGATATATACTTAGGAGTAGAATTGCTGGGTCATATGGTAACTCTACATTTAACTTTTCTTCTTTTTTGAGACAAGGTCTCACGATCTTGCCCAGGCTGGAGTGCAGTAGCATGATCATAGCTCACTGCGAGTTTAAACTGAGCTCAAGCGATCTTCCCTCCTCAAAGGCCTTCTGAATAGCTGGGACTAAAGGCAAACACCACCATGGCTGGCTAATATTTTAAAATTTTTTTAAATAGAGCCTGGGTATTGTTATGTTGTCCAGCCTGATTTCGAGCTCTTGAGCTCAAGCAATCCTCCTGCCTTGGCCTCTCAAAGTGCTAGCATTACAGGCATGAGCCACTGCGTGGAAAAACATTTTCACATTCTCACCATCAGTGTATGAGGGTTCCAATTTCTCCACATCCTCACCTCAAAAAGTATTAATATATCTAATTTTAAAATATAGGCTGGAATTAGGTTGTTTACAGTGCTGGTGCCTAGTGGTCCCTGTGGATGTTCTTACAGTCCAGAGGATGTATTTATATTATCTTAAATTCTCTACTCTGAATGTAGTATTCCTAACACCAAAGGAAGGGCAGGCACCTAGAGTTTCCAGTTGAGAGAACTATATGCAAACTCATCATTCGGAATGGTGCAAGCTTTCAGTTGTCTTAACTCTTTTTTGGTGTCTTTTGTCTTGTGTAGCATAAGTATTGACTGTACAGAAGTTTGTACAGATGTGATCTGTTGGAGGCAAACATGAATTTGATTTAAAGTGCTCCCTTTTTTTGCCAGTGGCAGCAGCTTTTCTTTCAACTACTACCTAGAAGAGCACTTCAACATATGGTACCCACCTCCATCCCTCTGTGAGTGCCTTGAGGACAGTTAGATATATAGAAAAATAAAACATAGTTTATGCCCTCAGGGAGCTCACAGTCTCCTAGGAGAAGCAGATTGTGTAAAGCTAATCAAAGTACAGTGTGATGATAATTGTGATAGGGGAATGGAGGGACATATTTTTCCTCTTCCACTCCTTCTTGTGGCACATATTAAGGCTTATATAGCAGTAGGAGATAGATATTCTTTTAGTATAATCATGTGTAATGTATGAGCTAGCTGGAGGTTAATCTTGGGAGTGTGATTTTGCTGATTGCTTTTTTGATAATCCACTGTAAGGGAGCCAGTGTGAGTATCTCTTCTTCTCCCCTCAAGGGATCTGGGTTCCCTTCCACTCTCCAATCTCTCACCCAACAGTAGAATACAAGGAGGATCCAAACGGCTGAAAAACCATCCTGGAAACTGAACACATGAGGAATGAACAATGACTGGAATAAGTAGAGGATCTGGAGGGGAGGTAAAGTTAAGAATGAGGGTCCATGTGGAAGAGGCTTCCAAGTTGGATAGTGTGTCACGGATATCATTTCCGAGAATCAAGAAGAAAATCTTGTATCCGCTGGAGTGGCTTGTAGGCATTGGCATAGAGTTATAATAGAACAAAAAACAATTCCAAGACCTGTATCCTCTTTGCAGTCTGTAAAGATTAGACTATACCACCCAAATCTCAAGTACAGATCTGTCTGTATAGTCTTCCGGGTTCAGTATGGGGGACTGATTGTCCATGCATATTCGTTTATGGGCTTTATAACCACACCCTTCTGGATAAAGGGCATAGTTCTGGGGTCATAGAGCTATAGTTAATATTTTTCAACACATACATCAAGCATCCATTATGCGCAAAGAGCTGTCCCTGGTGCTGAAGAATCAGCCAATTAAAACCCCGGAAATTTCTGTCCTCTTGGAGCTTATACTTTGTGGGGGAGATAGTCTTATAGGATCTGAATCTGAATTTAAATGTTTTTAGAGGGCCTGTCTTCTCAGTTCACCATGACCCCTACCACTTTTTTTTTTCTTACACCTGGCACAGTGTCCCATTTATCTCACATACATCAAGTAGATGTAGTGGCCTCTGAAGGCATTGGGTTTACAGCTCATTGCCCAGAATAATTTTTAAATTCTGAAACATTTAAAATAAAGTATAACCAAGGTATAGCAAAAATCACAGATCATAAGTGCATGTGGTGCAGCGGATATTTGAAATCTGAACAACATATCCATGTAACCAACACTCAGATCCAGAAGTGGAGTATTGCTAGAACATCTCCACATCCTCCATATCGCCTTTTGGTCACTACCATTGCCAAGGGCATCCACTCCCTATCTTCTAACAGAATATTTTGCCTGGTTTTGAGGTTTATATAAATTGAATAACACACGAGTACTCTTGTGTCTGGCTTCTTTCACCCAACATTATATTTGTTGTATTCATCCATTTGATTGCCTGTAGTTGTTTGTTCATTTTCATTACCATATTCCATTATAAGACAATACCACAATATATTTATCTATGTTATCCATTCTACTATAGGCATCTTGGTCATTTTCAATTTGGGGCCATCGTAAATAGTGACGCTATGAACATTCTTACACGTGTCTTATAGTGAACATAAATGAATATTAGGTATTTGCATATTAGACATACATTAGGTATTTCTGTTAAGGAAATACCTAGGAATGAGTCATCAGGTATGCTTATGTTCAACTTTATTTATTTTTTTGAGACAGGGTCTTGCTCTGTCACCAAGGCTGGAGTGCAGTGGTGCAATTATGGCTCACTGCAGAGTTGACTCCCTGGCTCATGTGATCCTTACACCTTAACCTACTGAGTAGCTGGGACTACAGGTGCACACCACCACACCTGGTTAATATTTTAATTTTTTGTAGATACGGGGTTTTGCCATGTTGCTTAGGCTGGTCTCAAACTCCTGGGCTCAAACAATCGTCCCACCTAGGCCTCCAAAATGCTGGGATGACAGGCATACACCAGACCTATGTTCAACTTCAGTTATAAAGTTTAGCAAGCTGCCAGATAGTTTTTCAAAGTACTTGTACAAATTTACATTTCCACCATCAACGTATGAAAGCTCCAGTTCCTCTATATCTTCACCTCACCTACAGGCTCAACAGCATGGTGGAGAAAAGGGAGAGACAAAACTGGAGAAATTGACAGCAACAAGATATTGCAAGATTTTAAGAAAGAGTACTATAACATTTAGTGATTCATTTTTTAATTCTTGACCAATACTTAATGAAGATTTGTCACATATTTGGGACTGTGATAGGCCCTGAGGATACATCTGTAAAAGGATAGACAGAATTCCTGTCCTCATGTAGTTTATACTTTATGGAAAAAGAAGCATTAATTGAAAGAAGAATTGTTGTACCAGTGTCAACCCTTGCTTTCTGATTTCCATTCCAATTCTGGCCTGTGGATTGATTTCCTTTAGGCCCTGTCCAATTTCTTCCATGCCACAGTCTGCTGGGCCCTAGCTAATTTGACTGGCTTCCTTGGGGATTATTGATTGCTTGGACATCTGGATGCATTTGGTTTCCAAAATTCCACTGTCATTCCTGGAGGTCAATTAGTATGTGGACTGAATCTTTGCAGATTGATAATGATTCCAGATTTCTGATTTATCATATCCATTTCTCTAGGGATGGCAGCTGTAAAAGATGAGTTCTGCACCTCAGCCACCACAGAGACCTCATTAAATTCACATTCTTCCTTCTTGATTAATCACACCTTCTCTTTTTTTGGAACATCTATCCCTCCATACACTTCACTTCCATGATTTTGTTTTAGAAGCCTTTTCTTCCTTGAATCATTGTGTCTTTCCTCTTGAGATCCCAAATATCAGATTTTTCTTGATACGCAGGTATGAAAAGTATGATCCCATCGCTACACCACACAGCAAAGACTTCCTCCATGGTCCATGGTGAAATTGTCTATATTACATCAAAGTGATTGCCAGAACTGGAACTGGATCAAATTGGGAGGGGTTTAGGGCATCACGTAATGTGGGTATGGGGCAAAGTTCACTAACCTTTACCCCACATTTATGCAACCACAATTTATTAACTACCATGTGCCAGGTGTTTGTGCTGGGTACTAACAACATATTGGTGAGCAAGTCATGGTCTCTGCCCTTGCAAAGCTCAGAGTCTACTGGGGGAGACAGATGTGTCAGCAACAAGAAAATACAATGCCATATATGAATACTACCAGTGGGAAAATCCATGGTGCTATGGGATTGTAAAGAAGGGGTATCCACCCAACCTATGGGACAAAGAAGGCTTCCTGGAAGAAGAGCCACTAAGCTGAGACCTGAGAGAGCTATAGGAGTATGGGAGAGTGGGGAAAAAGTATTACAAGCAAGGGGAACAGCCTATGCAAAGGCCAGGAAGAAAGAGAACATGGTGACTCTGAAAGACATAAATGAATTGAGTATAACTGGGTGGGTCAGACAGAGTAAGGTGAGAAGAGATCATGGTTTAGAGGCAGAAAGGGACCAGGTGGGCCTTTTCAGCCAGGGTAAGAAATTTGCACTTCTTCTTGTATTACAGTTGGAGGTAGGATGGGGTTTTAAGTAGCAGGAGTGACATGTTCTGTTTTGTACTTTAGGTAGATCATTCCTAATTGCGGTTTGACCAAAGAATGGTTCCCTGAGTGCTGTAATAAATTTGGCAGTGCAGAGAGTAGTCAGAGCTGCTTTGTGTGGTAGAAAAACAATTCTCTTAGGGTTGTTCTTGGTTAGCAGTCTTGTGCTTTAGTTGATATTCCTGATGGCCCAACCATATGCCCTTGGCTTTCACCATTCTGTGCACTCTTGGCCTAAGGCTTCCAAGAGCCAGTGCCTGTGTTTCTGCCTGATGGCTTTTGCCAGTGACTGGAGGAACCTAATGGCCCTGTGCTCAGGAAATGCCAGAGAGTTAATGCTCCTCCGAATTAGTTCTCAACCAATACCTGATGAGAGTTGGTGGATAAATACACAAGCTCCCTTGCTAGCACAGATGGGATAACTCTGATTGCCCACAGCGGTAATCTGCTCAATAGTACACGGTTTATTGGCTTATTTCATATCATTGTTTTATCCCAATCCCTAATGTGCTGGGTACTGTGATGCACCATCCAGATGCCCCATCACTGATGAACTTGCTGCCCAGCTGCTGGGAGTGTTGCTGGTGGATTAACTTCAGCTGTTTGTCCCTTTTGGCATTGCCTCATCTACAGAGAGCTGCTTTGTCCAAGGACACATTGTGTTCTGGGGAAGCCCACATCCACTGACTAGTCGAGGTGGGGCTATAAAGCCCTAACCATCCCAGTCAAATTTGGGACAACTCTGAAGGTCTGTTCTAGCTCCAGAGCTCCCTGTAGGGTTGCACAGCCTGCACTGTGGCTCACCTTCTCTCTCTGCCCATCCCTACTACCTTCTGCTCTTTTCCACGAGTGTTGATTCCAAGTACATTCTTTAAGAAACATCCCATATGCTAACTTTTTTAGCCTGCTTCCCAGAAAGCCCAACCAATGACATCCACTTTCCTGGGATCACCTATCACATAAACTATTTGAATCCTCCCTCTCTGGCTTTTTCTGGGAAAACCAAATCCAAGCTAATACTAGAGCTTGTGAATAAGGTAGGAAAACAAAGTGGGCTCAGCTCAAGTTCTAGGGTAGGAGGGAAAAGACAGAGCCCAGTGGCTATAATTAGGACAGGGGATATTTCTTTGGATATGGTCACATATTAGGTACCAACTGCCCCCATGCTCCAGACTTCATTGTTGGAATCTCTAATCATTACTCCATAAATAAATCCCATCTGTGTCCTCTTTAAAGCACACTGCACAGAGTTGCTCATAGGAATCAGCTTAATTTCAAGTTAGTGATGTATTTTGAAGGGTCTATCCTTCTCACTTCAATTTAGGGGCTAACTGTGGAAACTGCTATGTGTTTCCTGTGTCCACAACTTAATAATATATCATGGTCTGTCTGGACAGTCATACCAGACTTCTCATATACCCATTTCACCTGCTCTGGGGGATGGCTGCTGTAGCAGATGTTGTTGGTGTGCCATCCTGTATCCTCCTCAGCCTGTCTGAAACTACCTGCAGCTATGGACAGTTTCCACCTGCATTTGTCTTCTCTGCCCAAGAGCTTCCTCTGGCAGCAGGGAGAAGGGTTCTCAGAGTTAATGCCCAGGTGGGCAACACTCGGCCACTCGGGGAAGGGAAATTATTGGGTAAATGATTGTTTTATCCCAATCCCTAATGGGGATTTATCCCAAATGCCCCAGTCTCTGGTGGGACCATTTTGAGGTGTGTTTCCCATGATCTCAGAGGACTCTACCTACAAAACTAGTATAAATTCTCTGAGTCAAAAATCCAGTCTTTGGGCTGAATTGTGGATTCATAAGAATCTCTTTCCATCCACAGGCCCATTTTCCAGTCCAGGAGAAAAGAATAGAGTTTCGAGGTTTGTGCCTTGCCATGCATGTGTTGGGAAGAAAGCGTCTGGCTGTAACTGAGTTTGGAAGAAAGTCTGTGCAGCAAGTCACCAGCGTTTTTTTCCCCTGTGTGCTTTTCAGGGCCACTTTTTCATTCCATGTCACAAATTTAGGAAGGGCCATCTGCCTGTGTGACTAATGAGCCTTTTCTGCAAAAGCAACGGAGATAAATGTCCTCTAGGAGCCCAGCACAGAAAAATGAAGAAATAGGATGGCAAATTTTCAGCCATTATTTTGGAGTCTGAACTCCCTCCCTGCATCAATTTAGCTATTATTTCAAAAACTAATTAATCTTCACTCAGGCAGCTCTGAGGGACCCGTGCTTAGATAATTAACAACCCGTGGATTATGAAAAGTCTCACTTGCAAATTTGGCTACAGCATTTGGGTAGAACACTTTCAGTATTATTCCGTTTAAACCCTCTTCCATCTATCCTTCATTTCCTGACAATTAAGAGCAAATAATTAACCATGATGGATTTTGCTTGGCTACTTGCTGCTCAAATAATGTTCTCTCTTCCTCTTTGTTCTTAAACCACCACCATCTGAACGTTTTTGACCAGCTTTGTAGGTAATTGGTTTGAACCAGGTAACAGTAGGCTTCATTTGCAATTAACAGGCATCAAGAACATTTGGGTTTGCCTTGTGTAAGGAGTGGGAGGAAATTCCAGAGCTCCATCAGAGAAGCAGCTTGTAACTTCTCCTTGGCTCTCAAAGACTACAGAATTCAGGTATAACTCTATTTGTGAAGTGTTTTCTTTGCCAAGAGTAAGAAAGAATTTAGACAAAACATTAAAATCAATCTTGTGACTGAAAGGTTGAAACACTCTAGAACAGGTTACTGCCCTCCACCCCCGATAAAAAAGTATTTATATTAAATTTTACAATTACTCTCTCCTGGAAATTTCATTTATTCAATAAACTGGGTGCCTACTGTGTTCCAGACACTATAGAAATTCGTGGTAACACAATGGCAAGGAAAGCATATGATATTCCTGCCCTTAAAAAACTTATAGTCTGTTGAGGAGGCCAGGCATTCATGAAGTGATAACCTGAAATTTACAAAAAAAATTTACCTGCTGGAGTACAGAATGATGTGGAAGCATTTAATAGGAAGACCTGGCCTATGTAGAAGTAGCGGTAAGAGGTTGGAAAGACTTCCCTGAGCAAGGAACATTTGAGCTGAGATGTGGAGAATGAGTAAGTGTTAAGTATCGCAGGAAGAGTGTTGCATCCAGAAAGCATAGCATGTGCAAAGCCTCTGAGCTTTTCAAGGAGCTTGGGTAGACAGGAATCTTGGGGTAAATCAGTAGATTTGGAGTACAGAGAATACAGGTAAAAAGAGTGGTTCAAGATACATCTATTTTCAAAGCTTATATAGGCTTCCCCTTATTTATTTTATTTTATTTTATTTTTGAGATACAGTCTTGCTGTATCGCCCAGGCTAGAGTGCAGTGGCATGATCTCAGCTCACTGCAACCTCTGCCTCCTGGGTTCAAGTGGTTCTCCTGCCTCAGCCTCCCAAGTAGCTGGGATTACAGGTGCCCGCCACCACGGCCGGCTAATTTTTTCTATTTTTACTAGAGATGGGTTTTCGCCATGTTAGCCAGGCTGGTCTTGAATTCCTGACTTCAAGTGATGCGCCTATCTTGGCCTCCCGAAGTGCTAAGATTACAGGCGTGAGCCACCATGCCCATTACCCCCTCATTTTAAAATTAATGCTCAGTTAAAAAGTAGAAAAGTGGGGAAAAATGGAACACAGTCATGCCAAGTTCAACTACCTAAACATATCTCTGGAATTTCAGAATCATAGCCTATTAACCATGAAGTGGACCAGGAAACTGAAACTCAGAAAGGTTAAGTGACTTGGCTAAGATCATGCAGCTAATTAGTGGCAGATATCCTACCAGGAATGTGCATATGATTGGGGGTTCTTATGAAGGCTTTAAGCTGTGCACCTACAAATGTTTTCTATATGACTAGTTAATTTTTAATTAAATGTGTCAGAAAAAATGCAACTGGTTCATTAAGCTTTTGATCTCATAAATCATATTGCTCAGAATGAGGCTATGTGGATAAACGTGAGTTGGTTTAAATTAAACAAAAGCTTAGTAAATAATGGTTCAGTTGATTACATACATATGGCAAAAATAATCAACATGTTAAGCAAATGGGAAATGTGTGCACAACACCATACTGAATGGTGACCCTGTGCCCAGAGCAGTTTGGGGCAAATTGCTAGGGGCAATAGATTTCCCAGCTAACTTTGGAAAGTCCCTTTAAGGCTTCTGGCTCCAAAGCAGTCAGAATCCTTTTCAGCTTGTCTCTCTCTCTGGTTTTCCTCTCCATAAAAACATTCACCTTTGTTCATTGCTCTTTAAACTCTCAAAAAAGAAAGTAAAAGGTGGCTGGGCATGGTGGCTTACACTTGTAATCCCAGCACCTTGGGAGGCCAAGGCGGGTGGATCACTGAGGTCAGGAGTTTGAGACCAGCCTGGCCAACATGGTGAATGAAACTCCATCTCTACTAAAAATACAACATTAGCCGGATGTGGTGGTGCATGCCTGGAATCCCAGCTACTCGGGGGGCTGAGGCAGGAGAATCGCTTGAATGCGGGAGGTGGAGGTTGCAGTGAGCTGAGATCGCGTCATTTGCACTCCAGCCTGGGTAACAAGAGCAAAACTCCGTCTCAAAAAAAAAAAAAAAAAAAGTAAAAGCTTACTGACTTCTTGTAATCCTAAAAGTAACAACCACGAATATAAGTTGGTTTACAGCATGTGAGAGATCTGTGAAAGGGGCTGTCTGTACCCTTAAGAGACTGGGCAGTTAATACATATGAACTTTGGAAGCAGATGGCAGATAAACCCCTTAGCAGGAAGATTATGCTTATTAAGGAGCCCATAATTTACTTGGTTTCTCTCATAAATTACTTGCTCTCTCTCTCCCTTTTCTCTAAGTCAATTCTGCAGGAGAATTGGCTGTCCCTCCTCATGAGCTCTCAGGACAGGCTGGACGATGACGCACAAGGCAGGTACAGGAAGAATACTTGCTGACCACTTAACACAGGTAGCTGCTTCAATTGTTTCCTTCAGAGAGCAGGTTTGGTCAGGGCTGATTTATCCATTGGGATAGTAAGTGCATTGCCTAGAGCCCATGACACTTTTAGGGGCCCTTAAAAACGTTTTAATTTCTTTTAAAATCAGAAGTAAAATATGAATATAATCCAGCCGGATTATATTTGTCTTCATACCAACACAGTTATATGCCAGACTTTTCTTAATGGAGGAAGGGACTCAGGGAGGCAAAAGTGCCCAAGACCCAAAACAATCATAATATGGACTTGGGAGTGGTAGATATTTGTATTTTTTCTGCCTACAATATATTCCACCTTCTTGTGGTCACAGGACCTCAATCGTCCTTTGGAGGAACAACTCTTCCCATACTTACAATCCTGTGAGATTCAGATGTGTTTTTGGTCAATCCTGGCTCCAGGAAGGGTCATGTGACTCACGCCCAGCCAATCAGAGCCACATATTTATTGTCCTATGTGATTGGTTCAGGATGAGTAAGTCACCCAGGTGGGGCCAATCAGGGCCAAAACTCAATTCTCAGACTTTTCTTGGAATCGTGGCAAGTGAGGAATCAAAGGTAGGCCTGGAGTTGTTGTTCATTATCTTTGCCAACACATGGGGAGAGTTTGAGAAGTTAGAAGCAGAATAGTTTCTGGGTCTCCAGCAGCAAGAACTTTAACTTTAGAGGAGGGATACCTACCTAAGCTAGACTTTCTTGGGGTAGAAACTGATTGGTTCATCCTCAGTTAGTTGTACACCTCTGGTCTAATAAGCCGTGGCTACATGGTTGAGGGGCCGGGACAGAATAAAGTTGGACAAATGTGGTTAAGACTCAGTGCTGCCTGGGGGGTTGAAGTTGGGCAGAAGATGTCAGATATGGGTTATTGGCTGGAACGAATTTTTGTCAAGTTGAGAAGCTGTGGAATGTCAGATGACATGACTTGGCTTCTGATTTTGAGGGGAAGACTTCAAAAAACTTTAATTCAGAGCTTCTCAAACCATGTTCCTGGGATACCAGTGTCAGTAGGAGTATTCAAAATAATTTTAAGGTCAAATATATTTGGGAAATGCTAGTTTAAATAACATCATGCAACTTCTTTCTTAGAGGACTTCTCAGACCTTTAATATGTTTATGTGCATTATGGATCACCAAAGGAAAGGGAGATAGAAGGTCCAGTATTTCTCAAACTTGTATGACCACCAAACTAGGAATTTCAAGGAATTTTTAGCTTTGAAGGACACCACTATTTTGAGAAATACAGTTTAAGAAATCCTGGTCAAGTTCATTACATTGAGAGCATTAAACGCTGTAAAGGAAAAACATTTTAAAATCTAAAGCCCTAAAAAAATTCCCTCTGTTTTTTTTTTTTTTTTTTTTTTTTTTTTAAATGCCCTTTTTCTTAAGAATGCATGAGGAAATGAGACCTGGAAAAGTTCACATTTTTTTTCTTACTAAGAGACCTGAAATCTTGTATCAGCTCCATTAATATTAAAAATAATTTAAAGCAAGCCAGGCATGGTAGCATACACCTATTATTCCAGCTACTCAGGAGGCTGAGGGAGGAGGATTGCTTGATCCCCAGAGTTAGAGGCCACAGTGAGCGATAATCACACCAGCGCATTCCAGCTTGGGCAATAGAGTGAGATCCTGTCACTATAGTTTAAGAAATAATAATAAAAAGCAACTGTTATACGATGCTTATTCTAAACCCCAGGAACTGTGCTAAGGAGTTTATGTTCACTCTCTCATTTAATCCTCATCATAATATAAGGAGGTAGGTGCTGCTATTAGTATCATTTTTTAGCTAAGAAAATTGAGGCATAGAAAGATAAAGTCACTTGAATGTAATGGAGATAGAATTTGAATCCAAACAGCCTAACTCCAGAGTCCTACTGTCAACCCCTATTCTAATACAAAAATAATTTGCACATGACATTAGGCAAGTTTCTTCTCTTTCTGAGTCTTGGTTTCTTAATCTGTAAATTCAGGGTGTCAGATTGGAGACTTTTGGAGCCATCGTGCTCTGTCTAGATTTCCCACAATTTCGCAAGTTCACATCTGTTAGTTCCACCTTGAGAAAAGTGGCCATTGATAACATGTTTACCTTGTCTATAAGATGAAGTGATTTAAAACATGACGGAGAGTGGAAGTAGAACTGGGGAAACTTCAGACAGTTGCTTATAAACGGGAGCCAAAGCTCTGAATGAAGGTCTCACCACTGCAAAATGACATGCTGGTGAGCTAAGAGAACCTGTAAAAATGAGGTCTCTGGAGGAGTCTTCATTGATTGCCAGTCTGAATTTAGCTTACATCAGACAGTCAGACAGACATCAATGGCTGCTCCAGAAACCCACGCTTCTTTCCTAGCATGTGGCAGACGGGCATTTGAGCCAAATTCAGCACTTCACTAGTTTGCCATCAGTCAACCTGAGGCAGGCAGACGTTGAGTCATCTTATGGTCTTCTGGCTCTGCATAGTTCAGATGGGGCAGGTGTCATGTGCCAGAACTGATGCTTCCTTTGAAAACAAGAGGACAGAATGGAGGAAGCAATGTTAAGAAAACATTGGTGATGCTATGTATCCCTTGATCACTTTGTACCTTTAATCTCATGAGGGCCTCACACTGCCTCTGAGAGGTGGGTAATAAAAACAGCAAAAACATGTTGAGCACATACTGTTTCAAGGTTGAGGGTAAATGCCTTAAATACATTATTTCATGTCATTTTATACAACTGGAGTGACCTATATATTTCTGGTTTACCTGGGAAAGTCCTAATTCACATCTGCTGTTTTGGCCTTATCATTAACAGCACCCATTTCATATTCAGAAGAATGCTATTTCTTTTGTTTTGATTTTAATTTCTTTTTATTGAGGTAAAATATGTACATATCATGTACCATCTTTACAATTTTAAGTGTACAGTTCGGTGGTAATAAATATATTTATAGTCGTTTTTTCCCCTTCATCCCCTCCCCTTACCCTTCTCTTTCTCAGCCCCTGGTAACCACCAATTTACTCTTCTTCTTCATGAAATCCACTTTTATGGCTCCCACATATGGGTGAGAACACGTGATAATTTGTCCTTCTGTGCTTTGCTTATTTCCCTTAACATAATGACCTCCAGTTCCATCCATGTTGCTGCAAGTGACCGAATTTCATTTTTTATGGCTGAATAATATCCCATTGTGCATAGACACCGTATTTTCTTTACCCATTCATCCGTTGATGGGCACTTAGCTTGATTCCATATCTTGGGTATTGTGAATAGTGCTGCAATAGATGTAGGCGTGCAGATATCTCTTTGATATACTGATTTCCTCTCTTTTGGATATATACCCAGTAGTAACATTGCTGGAACACATGGTAGTTCTATTTGTAGTTTTTTGAGAAACTTCCATACTGTTTTCCACAGTGGCTGTATGAACTTACATTCCCACCAATAGTGTATGAGGGTTCACCTTTCTCCACATCCTTGCCAGAATCTGTTATTGCCTGTCTTTTTGATACAAGCGATTTTAATTGAGATGAGATGATATCTCATTGCAGTTTCGACTTACATTTCCCTGATGATTAGTGATACTGAGCATTTTTTTCATATACCTGTTGGCCATTTGTATGTCTTCTTTTGAGAAATGTCTGTTCAGATCTTTTGCCCATTTTAAAATCAGATTTTTTTTGCTATTATTTGAGCTCCTTATATATTCTGGTTATTAATCCCTTGTCAGATGGATAGTTTGCGAACATTTTCTCCTAATCTGTGGGTTGTCTAGAAGAATGCCATTTTTGCACAGTAAATTAAATAGTCACCTTAGTTATGACTAGATTGCCTCAACTGAATTCTGTTACTGCTATTCAGAGCTATGTACTACCTGCCTCAATTTCTTCACATAAAATGGGGCCAATAATATAAGTATCTTTCACTGTCTAAATCATTTTTCTTCAAAGTCAGGAACTGAATAGATCCACATAGCAAAGTATGTCAGTGTAACATCATAGGATTGTGGTGAAGAGATTTATTGTAGCACTACATTTG
Organism: Homo sapiens; assembly: GCF_000001405.40. Classification (NCBI taxonomy): domain Eukaryota; kingdom Metazoa; phylum Chordata; class Mammalia; order Primates; family Hominidae; genus Homo; species Homo sapiens. Next base: position 118,645,033 of record NC_000012.12, read on the forward strand.
TAGATATGGAGTATATCTGTATATATATCTTAGCAGAGTGTCTGGCATTTAGGAAGTGTATTATATGGTAGCTTATTAATCCTCTGCTTTTGCATACATAAAATGACAACAATGTCTTACATTTCTGGCATATAGCAAGTACTTAGTGAATTATTATTGTCTTAATCTTGCTAAATATAAACATTTTCCTCCAAACTCCCTCTGAGGAAGATTGCCATATTTCAAGTGAAATAAATTATTTTCTCACGCCAGCCCATATTGTTTGCTTAATTTTGTTTTTTTGTTTTGTTTTTTTCTGGCTAATGTCAAGAAGAGAAAATGCCATCCCGTGGATCTCAGGGAGGTCCTGGAGATATTGACCTTGTGTTAACCTGGAAGGGCGCTCTCCAAGGTCCTGAAGCAGTGTCTCATTTTGTAACCAGAAGGGCACTTTGAGACACTTGGGTGCATTTTGTGGTAGACAAATAGATGGTTTGTGTTCCATGAGTGTCATGGCCCTGCAATTGAAAAAAACAAGTTGAAATATTAATAGGTCTTACCAACTGCTGTGTGATTGCAGAGTTGAAAAGGCACAGGAAGCCTTTGGGACAGAATTGCTATGTGCTAGAACAGAAATGATAGGAAAGAAAAAGCTGTGGGCTCGGGGAGTGGCTGTCCAAATAGAGCAGAGCTATTATTTGAGGGCAGAAACCACATAGTCTCTCTGCTATTAGGTGAATTGTACCCCATAGGATCATCAATAAGCCACTTAGATCCACAATAGGGAAATTCACCAGAGACTGGGTTGAGTTAAATGGTGGTCACAAGTATAATAATGAAATAGAAGTGGTTCTGCTTTAGCACCCTCTTCATCTTACCCTCCATATCATCCTCACAACTTGGATACAAGAAGATCCTCCTGTGTGACCTTGGAACCTCCTATCTTGATCTGCCTGCTACAGCTCCAAATTCTGTGGAAGGATCTATAAAGTTGGGAATACATTGAGCTGCAAGTAAAACACATCTATAGTAGCTTCTAACAAGAATTCAGGAGGTAGATTGTTGCTAGTATTGGTTCAGTGAATGGCTTGGAAATGTCAGGCTGTTTTTTTCCTCAGCCTTTCTCTGATGCTTGTTATCTCAAGGTCATGCAATAGCTGCTTCAGTGTCAGATGTCTCATATATATTCAAGATGGAAAGAAGAGGAACAGGGAAAAGGCAGAGACATCACACCAGCTGCTTCTGTCTCCTCTTTTCAGAAATGCAAATGTTTTCTGAGGACTGCATCCTTAGTAGACTTTTGCTTATGTTTGTTGGCTATACCTGGGTCACATGACCATCTCTAGCTGCAAGAGAAGGTGGGAATCATAAACAAGATTGTCATGATCAACTGAGACCAATCACAACCCACCACCTAGAGTTGGCACTTTACTCTTCCAAACAAAATTTGATTTTGTTATCAACAAAGAAGGAGAATAAGTATTGATGAGTTGATTAATAGTGTCTGCCATTGCCCTTTTTCTTTACAACCTGAGCTTATAGTCTTGGGAAACTCCTTTTTTAAGTTTTTTTTTTTTTTTTTTTTTTTTTGTATCTTGAGAGGCTTGAGCTATGCTTATAGCTGCTTAGAAAGTGTTTAAATGAATAAATGGCTGAGAAGATTTCTGATGAGTTGTCAAATAGGTCAGGAAGCCTCTTTTTTTCTTAATATATTTTGGCTTGGGGCTAGAATTTTTTAAATTAAAACACACCTTAATTTAAAGGTGTGACTCCAATAATGAGAATTTCAACCAATGACACATTATGGAGGGCAAATCTAACTTTTCATAGAGCATTGTACTGTGCAGTATCCTTCGGTTAGGACTTTTGTTGCCTTTTACTTTTGTGAGGAGAGTCCTAGTATGTCAGCCCTGAAGGGAGTCTTTGATAAACGTAGTCAAAAGATAGAATGCATTGAAATCTTACCATCTACTAGTCACTCTACTACAGCTTTAAAATTACAAACTCCTTCAATCCTTATGAAAAACCTATGCAGTAGATACTATTATAATTTCTGGTGGAAATTAAGACCTAGAACGCTTTAATAACCTACTTAAGTTCATATATATTGCATGTGGAGGATCTTGGATTCTAATCCAGACTGCCTGGTTCCAGAGCACATAATCATGTCACTTAGGCAAAGCAGCCTGTCTAATAATAACAGCCAGGCTTGAATGAGAGTCTGTTTATACAAAATTAGAAACTGTCACATAACAGGCATTTATGTAAGCATATTACATACATTTTTTCATCTGATTTTCACAACCATCCTATGAAGTAACTACAATTCTTATCAACATTTTACAGATGAAAAAAACAAAGGCAAAGAAAGGTTAAGTTACTTGGCCCTGGATTACAGAGCTTGTGCAGGGTGAACTCAGGTTTATCTGGGCACTGAACTCAGGATCTTTCCTTGTGTCATTCTGTATCTCTTGAGATCCCTTTTTTTCAAACCCCTATTTCTAGAGATGAGGTTCACTAGGAATAGGATAAAGAAATGCTCATTGAAGGTAATTAGATGTTAGGAAGCTTGTAAGGGTTATTAACTCCTTTTTACACATATTGCTCATAATAGCATGCAAAAATGCTACCACCAAGAGGCTTCCAAATACAATGGCTTAAACAGGATAGAAGCTTATTTCTCTCTTGTTAACTGGCAGAGTTTGGTGGTCTGAAGCTGGCTTTCATTTATGGATCTAAAGCAGCTGTTCCACTTGCAATTTCTTATTCAGCAGAAAGGAGAAAAGAAATATGGAAGGAAAACAGCTTGCTTTTAGGTACACAATATAGAAGTTACATACACCATGTAGTTTCTCCTACTTACATGTCATTGGCCAGAATGTAGTTACATGGCACCTCACTGGGAGGCAGGTTGAGAAATATCTGGGTGGTTGACCATATACTCTGGGAAAGGAAGGAGAAGATAATAGATGTTGGTAGATAATCATCAGCCTCTGTCACATGATAGATGAGGAAATGGAGGCCGAGTAAAGACTTACCCAATGATGGCAAACATACAACATGCACATTTTAAAGACTAGATTGGGAGAAGTATCAGGATGTGGGGCAGTAGCTTGGCAAGCCGTATAGGGATGCAGAGAAAGCATATTGGAAACCCTGAGTGGAAATAATGGGCCACAGTGAAGGAATCAGGAACCTGGAAAGCCCAATCTTAGAGGTCCATAGAGTAAATAGCCAGGTACTCATTTATGCTTATGGGATGAATGGTATGATTTAAGGCACTGACAGGAAGCAGGGCTTCAGGATTGCCCAACTCCAGGAAATACCATTTCCAAACAGTAGAATGTTGGCTCTGCCAGTTAGGCTTTTCTACTACCCTGCTGTAGGTTGGATACCCCTGGGAGGCAGACTGTGAGTTGGGGATTGCCAGGCCAGAGGTTTATTAAGGAGAGCTTTTGGAATCAGTACTTACTGGGGGAAGGGAAGGAAGCAGGATTGAAAAAAGAAAATCAGCTGCAATGTAGTCTCAACAGAAACCTCAGCCAAAGTTATGGGGAGTTCTGAAAATGCGGTGATCCTTCATACTTGTCACTGAAGTTGTCTCAGCAAAAACGCTGGGTCTGTATACCCTCTGTTAATTAGTAGTTGGATGCAGGCTGCCCAGAGATGGGGGCATGACCTTGGATGAGGTAGCTTGGATGAGATAGCTCTCTTCAGCTGAAGCAAGAAGGGGCTGATTGCAGAGGACACTTTTCCAAAAGTACTCCAGAAGTTAGGATAATAAGTCTTTCGTCTCTAAGCAGGGGGTCTTGGCAGCATGCGGTGGCATCCACCACACCCCTCAATCACTGCACTATCTGCTATTCCTCCATTAAACAGTCTTTATGCCTTGAAGAATTTGGGCACTTCTGAAGCTCTCTCTTTCAAATCTCAAATATCCATGGTGAGGAGGGTATATCTACAGCTTAGATTTCATTTATTATTTAATTAACTGTTTTAACTATCAGTTAGCCCCTTCTAGGCAGTTGCTGTCAGTACAAAACAGTAATAGGACATATAACACCAAGACTGAATAAGACAAGTCAAAAAAGGTCCACCAGGAATTAGGAGGAGAAGCTGGGAGGGAGGCAAAGCCATGCTTCTCTTTTCCTCACCTAACTCAAGGTAGAATCTGCCTAGGGCGGGAAGCAGGGAGAGGATGGGGCACTGTCGAGTTCTGAAGTCAGACTTACCAACCTCACAATTTTTGCCCAAGGCCAACTCTACCTCAGATATTCCCTCTTCCTTTTGTTTGAATTTCTAATTTTCCATTTGCCAAGATGGCTGCCTGTTCAGAATGAAAGATCACAGTTTGATCTGATTCAGAGTTTGATTTTTTTCCCTCTTCTGTCAGCATAGCAGCTCATGCATCTGAGGGCTACAGCTAAAAAGTGATTTTTAAAGACTTCTCATTGGCAAAGAGATCAATGGAAAGAAATCTCTCTCTCTCTCCCCCACCACTTTCTATTCTGCCTTTAATTTTTCTCCTTCTCCAATCCCCTGCTAGGAAAGTTTTGTCTGAGGGCATCTAACATACTTTGTCAGAAAGTTGCCTTGTTAAGGATTGGTGTCCTGCTGGGTGAACCGAGGAGGTGGTGTAATTTCCCCCACAGTCTTGGCAATTAACTCAGCTTGAGGAAGGGGTGGAATCAAAGAATTCCATCGGGGAGATGGCATCCCAAGGCAAAGTCATCTGTCAAGGACAGGTTTGTCGCTAAAACAAACTTCGTGGCAGCCTCCAAGAAACAAGTCCCTGGAAGGGATGGTGGTGAGGATGCTAACTAGTGGGACATATCAAAGAGGGACAACCTTTCAAAGAAGATATGAAAGAAAGGGCTCAGGCATCCTATATGCTCTGCACTCCAGGCTCGGTTGTGCCACTCAATGGCTGTGTGATCTTGAATGTTTCTGGGTTTCAGTTTCTCTATCTGTGAAGTGGGTGAATCCTATCTACATGTTTTAGAGAGGTAAGGCAGTGAACTGACAGCAAAGGACATAGGCCAGTGTAAATTAAAGGGGTTTAATGGTAAAGTCTCTGGAACTGGAAAGGGAAGTTCTCAGAATATGAAGTAGCTCTAGTGACGGTCTTCTCCCTCTTCTTTTTTGTCACACCTTGTGTCTATTTTGGGACTGTTTCACTCCCTTCTCTGCGAACTATCAGCTTCATCTCTAACTCGTCGTTTCTGCTCATCTAAATAGCAGCTTGCATAAGACTTTTGAGGTGGCTCCAACCGTCACACTCTGCCTCGTGACTTTTCAGCTTCTGTTCCTGTTCAGTTTCTGTTCTGTCCTTTTTACTTTTTTGAGACGGATTCTCGCCCTGTCACCCAGGCTGGAGTGCAGTGACGCAATCTCGGCTCACTGCAACCTCCGCTTCCCGGGTTCAAGCGATTCTCCTACCTCAGCCTCCTGAGTAGCTGGGATTACAGGCACGTGCCAGCTAATTTTTTGTATCTTTAGTAGAGACGGGATTTCACCATGTTGGCCAGACTGGTCTCAAACTCTGACCTCATGATCGGCCCGCCTCAGCCTCCCAAAGTGCTGGGATTACAGGCGTGGCGACCACGCCGTCTCTGTTCTGTTCCTTCAGCTTCCATGACAGATCCTTCTTTCATTTAAGCCACACTCCTGAGAGAGAGAATCTGATTGGTTCAGCTCCATCTTATGTACTCAGCCTCTGGATTGGCTGCCTTTAGGTCAGGTGATTAAACTTAAGCCAATCAGCTGTCCCATGGCAGGGCGAACTCACATCACATGCATGGGATAAAACCTGATTGCTTGAGGCTGCCCAGTCAGAAGGGACTTGGCCAGGGCATGGCCACCTGCATTGAACCTTTAGCTAGTTCTTATCCGCAAATAAACATGTTATGAAAATTCCGTAGGCCCCAAGGCAGTGCAGTAGATGCAAGGAGCACTGACTTTGGGATCAGGAGATGGTTATAGGTCCTGGCACCAACCCATCTGATTGGGTTCACTTCAGTTCACTTTCCTGGGTCTCCACTTTTACATTCCTCACTGAGGGGTTGAGCTTGACTACAGTATTTGTGATATTATTTTCTTGTCTCCACCCACCTTTCTCAGAATCATCTCTAGCAAATGACCAGATAAATGGAGGCAAAGCTGCCCAAACCAATGGATTCACACAGAAAATCTAAACCAACTAGGAACACGGAGTCAGTTTAGTGGCTTGTGAGGCTGCTAGCTTGACTTTCTTTAGCTCTAACCTAATCAAGGCTGTTTGGAGAAGGTAGCTACTTAACGTAGAATGCTTTATTTGGAGGGTGGGAGGTAGGGGAGTGAGAGAGTAATTAGCTAAGTATGGCAGACTGTATTTTCTAAAGATGACCATAACAATATATCCAATCTCACATGCTTTTCCAGAGCCTTAGCACTCCCCCATCAAGAGTCTGTGTCCCTTCCCTTTGAACCTGGGTGGACCTTTGAGATGACCTTCAGCAATAGAATACCATGGAAGTGGTGCTATATGACATCCCAGGCTATTTCATAAGAATGCTATGCAATTCCTCCTTGTTCTCTTGGGATATTCACTTTTGGGACACAGCCACCCATGCTGTGCAAAAGCCCAAGCAGCCTGTGGAGAGGCCCATGTGGAGAGGGACCACGCTCCCCAGACCACAGCTTTGGCTGAATTCCCAGCCTAAAGTCTGCACCAACTGGCCAGCCATGTTATTGAGCCATCTTGAAAGTGGAACATCCAGCTCCCAGTTGACCTCCCTCATTCAATGCTGCATGGAGCAGAGAATTGTCATCCCTGCCAAGTCCTGATCAAATTGCAGATTCGTGATCAAAATAAATGTTGTTGTTTTAGGCCACTGAATTTTGGGGAGTGGTTTTTGAGACAGCAATAGATAGCAGATACAGTATTGAATAAACACTCACGTGAACTTTCCTAGTTCTGTCTGTCAATGGGAAGTGAGGAGGGTTCAAGACTAAGCAGAGAGAGGGAGAAGGGCTAAAAATGTACAAGGGGAGTTTATGGGCTGTAAAGAGAAGGGTCTACTGCAATTCTAATAATAACTGCTGATTGAGAACTTGCTATGCACCAGATTCTGAACATTTCTGAGAGGTGGGGACTACTTTTTTTTTTTTTTTTTTTTTTGAGACAGAGTCTCACTCTGAGTGCAGTGGCGTGATCTCGGCTCACTGAAACCTCTGCCTCCCAGGTTCAAGTGATTCTCCTGCGTCAGCCTACCGAGTAGCTGGGACTACAGGTGTGCACCACCATGCCCAGCTAATTTTAGTGTTTTTAGTAGGGACGGGGTTTCACCATGTTGGCCAGGATGGTCTCGATCTCTTGACCTCGTGATCTGCAGGTGGGGACTGTTATTGCCTCCATCTGACAGCTGAAGAAACTGATGCCTGGAGAGTTTAAGTCTCTCACTCAAGGTCACAAAGTCAGTATGTTGGGGAGGTCATGTTTCAACCTGGTTCTGTCTTCTCAACCATGGCATGAAGCCAGACCAAATTCACCCTTGACTAGCGGCCTATTCTTAACAGATGTAAAACCATTTACTCAGGAAAATTGAGTCCACATGGTGATTCATTGTGAATTTAATAATCACTTCTAATAGAAATTTAGTGCTTACCATGTGCCAGGCACGATTCTAAGCACCATACTTACATATTTCATTTCATCCTCACAATAAGCCTCATTTTTCAGAGTAAGGACCTGAGGCTCTGAGAAATTAAAATACTCAAGGTCACACAGGTAGTAAATGGTAGAGATGAGTCTGACACCAAATCCCTAGCTGTTAACCACTACTGCTTCCTAATTTTATGGGCAAAGATAGGAAATAAAAGGAAGGAACAGCGGGGGGAGGGAGAGAGTTGGAAATCCGGAAGGGGAAAAACCTAAGGTAAGATATAAAGGAAGAAAAGATGGAGGAATGTGGAAGGTGGGTTTTGTTAATGCCTGAACTGGTCATTTCCAAGTGGGGACATCCTCAGTGGGGAAGGAGTTTGCAAATTGTCAAGCCGTTGTGATGAAGACATCAAGTTTGGGGCTGGAGATAGAAGGACACCAACAGGCTGACTGCAGAACCTGCATTCCATAGAGCTGTTCTTCCTGTAATATTGTAGAAACATATAGAGTGAAAGAGGAGAGTGAAATACTGTATAATTTATTTGTCTTCTTTACTGAGAAAATCTCCATATAATTTATCAGTTTAAGTGAATTTTTGAGTTCTTTTTATAAGCCCTTAAGAGACAGGTTCTATGTTGCCAATAGGGGTTTTTTCATGATTTCCTGAACCACAAGTGGGGATCATACTTTAGAATAAGGAGAGGGCTTAAGAAAAATAAGCAAGAATTCTCATAACCAAAAGCTACATGCCCAAGTGCAAAGAGAATGCATAATGTTACACAGAATGTAAGTTTCTTTCTCTCTTCCCAACACAGTGTGAGTACATGTACATACACACAAATACATACAGTCTAAAACATGCATATACTCACACAGACACACCTGTAGAACACACAGAGCCACATATACAGCCACATACACGGTCACACACCTAGATCCACATAGACATATAGCCACATACAAAGACACATACACATAGAACATATGTAGTCCTATGTACAAATACACATAATCATACATACATAATTGCACACATGCATAGACCTACACATGGTTTCATGTACATATACACAGTCTAATACATTTGTGTAGTCACATAATCCCACCTACATAGTCACACACACAAATAGATATATACACAATTATGCACATAGACTTAGAGACAGACACACACATACCACTGGGATTCCCTGGGTTTTTTGGGAGTCTTCAAAAATTCTAACAAGTTCCTGGCTCCGAAGCTAGTCTGCCTGGGTTCAAATTCTGTTTCTTCTACTTGCTGGCTTTGTGTCCTTGGACAAGTTACTTAACCTCTCTGTGCCTCGGTTTCTTCATCTGTAAAACAGAGATGATAATAGAGATGATGTGAGAATCAAGTGAATTCTTGCATGTATGGGCTTAGAAAAGAGTCTGGCACATGGCAGTTGTCCATAAGTGTTGGCAATTATTGTCGTTGCTGTGAGTTGGGCAATATCACTATCATCATCATTTGTCATCATTACAAACTTCCTTTTATGTAACCTTGGTGTGCTAGACTCTGTGCTAAGTGGATTACTTGTGGTATCTTATTTACTACTGAAAATGGCTGCATGAGGTGGGTACTATTATCTTAATAGAGGACTGGAAAGATTTGATAACTCATCCCAAGTCACACATCCGGTAAGTGGCTAAGCTGGGGCTTGAACCTAAGTCTGTTTGGGTCTAAGCCCTGGTTGTGAACTATATACAACACATGATCTCAGTTGTGAACTACTTTGTACACTAGAATTCTCCTGTTTGGGTATCAGCTCCCTGAGGGACTGTGCCTGTTTTGTTCATTGCTGTGTCTCAGCGCACAGAACAGGGCCTGACTCCAGATCTACTCTTTGAAAGAAAAATGGGTTCATTCACCTGCAAAATGGGGAATATCCATCTCATAGTGCTGCCAAAATTAAATAGTGTAATTTTTATGAAAGTGCTTGGCACATAGCAGGGCTCGGCTCAATAAACAGTGACAATGATGATTTTTGTTAAAGAATAAAGGATGATTCAGAGGCCTAACACTTCAGGAACAAAACAGCATTGCCATCAGTGAAAGAGAAAAGGCAACTTGGGCTGCTTTAAGGGATCACAAAAAAGTTGGTTTGAAGTAGGAAGAATATGAGGTGGCAGCAATCTCTCATGTCCACATGGAATCATTTAGCAGGTGGTTGGGATGCATAGAAGGGAGAGATAAAAAGTCATGACAGAGGTGAGGACTCCTCTTAAATGGGAGAGCCGTGGGGTGGTACACAGACCTTAACAAGGTCCCAGTGGTCCTCGTCTCCTGGTATTCATGCCTTTGTATAATTCCCCCAACCTTGAGTGTGGGCTGGACTTATTGACTCACTTTAATTGTGGAGAATACAGCAGAAGTGATAGGATGTCAAGCTGAGATTAGATTATAAAAAGACGGGTTTCCATCTTGTGTTCTCTTTGATTGCTCACTCTATGGAAGCCCACTGCAATGTTGTAATGCAGTCCTGTGCAGAGCCACATGTGGTAAGGACCTGAGGCCTGCGAACAGCCATTTGAGTGAGCTTGGGAGTGGGTCCTCCCCGAGTAAACCTTGAGATGACTGCAGCCCTGGTTGACACCTGATTGCAGCCTCATGAGGGACCTTGAGCCAGAATCACCTGGAGAAGCCACTCCTGGATTCCTGACCCAAAGAAAGTGTGAGTTAAGAAAAGTTTGTTCTTTTTAGCCACTAAGTTTTGGGGGTACTTTGTTATGCAGCAGTAGGTAACTAATAATACACATGGAAATGACTGAGATCAGGAGAGAAAAAGTGTAGAGAGAGGAGTCTGAAGTTAGAGCTTGGGAAAATGTCCTTGTTGTGGGGATAGGAAGAGTCAGAGGAAACAGTAACACAGAAGATATGAGAGAGTTAGAGAGAGAAAGAAGAAGAAAAAGACAGGGATAACCAGTGGGGTACCAGAACCCAGAAGGAAGTAGACCAGGCCACCGAGTAGATTGGCTAAATTATATACAGCAGAGAGATTCAGACTGAGAAACTGAGAAATATGGGTCCCAGAGCAGGCTAATACTTTTGCACACTTCATACTGATGTTCTTTAAATATTTGCTTGGCATTGATTTAGAGGACAGCCTGAGCACTGCATGGGGCAAAGGCCTCTCCCCTCTTGACCCAGACAATGAGCTGTGGCTCCCAGATTGCATTCCATATTCAGCAAAACCAAAGCCCTGCAGTTAAAGTGACCAACCCTCAAAGGGGGCAGTTAGAAATCATTTGCCAGCACTCAAGCATGACTTTTGGGGAGATCTCTCAGCCCTTCCCCAAGTAACTTCTCAAAATTTGTTTTCCAACAGCACATTGTACTATCCCTGGAAGGAGTTCTGGTAAACACAATTTTCTTCCTTTTGTGATATTAGAGTGATATTTTAGAGTCCTATATAGACTGGAGCCCTGGGTACTTGCCTGACTGCCCTGCCCATTAATCAGGTCCAGAAGGAAGGAGCATGGGGAGAAGCCATTTGAGTGGCTATCATGAGGTTGCTGATAGCTTTGGGAAGAGCAGTTTCAGTGGGGAGATGGGGAGGATCCTAGATTAAGGGAAGTACATGTATGCTGAGGATGTGGAATCTGTAGGTGTGAAGACGGTACTTTTGAGAGGTTTGATAGATTGAGGAGAGAACAGGGTGAAGGGAAATGGCTCTCATTTTTTTCTTTACTCATACGGAAGATCTGAACATTTTGCTAAGCAGAGGGGAAGGATCTGTCAGACAGGGATAATTCTGCATAAAAGAGGAGGAGAAATTGAGGGGCAAAAAGCATCAAGAGGGGACAGGAGTAGGAGGACCAAGAATGTTTGAAAGCTTGGGTTTTTGTGTTGGACAGACTTGGATTTGAATCTTGGCTCTGCCTCTTGCTAGGTGTGTATCCCTTAACCTTTCCAGGCTTGATTTTCTCAACCCTAGAATGGGGATAACAGTGCTTGTCTCACAGAATTGTTGTAAGGGCTAAATAAGATAATGTTTTGTAGAGTGTTTAGCAGAGTACCTGGTGCTTATTAATACTCAGGAAATGTTGGTAAAGTAATAAACAAAATCAGAGTGGAGGCTAGGGGAAGGTCTGGAGACATTTAGGAATGGAGCAGAGAGAGCGTCAAGGCTTGATAAATTTTACTCCTGGGAAGTTTGAGAACTTTTTGGTCAGTAAAAATTTGAGAGAAATTCTGGTGAGGGCAGGAGCTCTGGGAAAGTCCTCTTCTGAATGCCTTTGGATGCTGTTGTGTGAGTTGTGATGCCTGGAGCTGTGGCAAATATTTTGCCACCCTAAGGGTGGAAACACCTGAAGATAAAAGCCAACAGGAAGCAAGTGGATTGAAAAGGTGGAAATGTTCTTTATGTCATTGTTGAGCTGCTGAACAAACTAGTTTAAGTTCCTTATAATTTAAGCTATTTTTTAGTTGGGTATTCTGTTAATTACAGTCAAATGCATTGTAATTGATAAAGTGTTGTCGGAGGAGGACTCAGAAGCTGCAAAAGCAAGGAAGCTGGGGCAAGTAAGCATGCTCAAGGAACTGTAAATAGTTGGGCTGCAGAATTGGGCGGAAGGTAGGAAAGAGAATTCTGAGTTCAGCAGAAACACAACCATGGAAGTGGGAAATCACTCAATGTAAATGTCATTTATTTAGAGGAGAGTTTTAGTACTGCATTGGGCAAAGCCATCTCCTTCATTGACGCAAAAAATTAGCTTTAGCAATGCTTCAAAAATCCCTCGATGCCAAAGTAAGAAGCAGGAAATAGTGACAAGGTCCAAGATACTGGAAGAAAATAGATCATGAAAGGTTTTTTTTTAAATTTTATTATTATTATACTTTAAGTTTTAGGGTACATGTGCACAACATGCAGGTTTGTTACATATCTATACATGTGACGTGTTGGTGTGCTTCACCCAGTAACTCGTCATTTAGCATTAGGTATATCTCCCAATGCTATCCCTCCCCCCTCCCCCCACCCCACAACAGTCCCCGGTGTGTGATATTCCCCTTCCTGTGTCCATGTGTTCTCATTGTTCAATTCCCATCTATGAGTGAGAACATGCGGTGTTTGGTTTTTTGTCCTTGCGATAGTTTGCTGAGAATGATGGTTTCCAGCTTCATCCATGTCCGTACAAAGGACATGAACTCATCATTTTTTATGGCTGCATAGTATTCCATGGTGTATATGTGCCACGTTTTCTTTTTTATTTTTATTTTTTTTATTATTATTATACTTTAAGTTTTAGGGTACATGTGCACAATGTGCAGGTTAGTTACATATGTATACATGTGCCATGCTGGTGTGCTGCCCCCAATTACTCGTCATTTAGCATTAGGTATATCTCCTAATGCTATCCCTCCCCCCTCCCCCCACCCCACAACAGTCCCCAGAGTGTGATGTTCCCCTTCCTGTGTCCATGTGTTCTCATTGTTCAATTCCCACCTATGAGTGAGAACATGCGGTGTTTGGTTTTTTGTCCTTGCGATAGTTTACTGAGAATGATGATTTCCAATTTCATCCATGTCCCTACAAAGGATATGAACTCATCATTTTTTATGGCTGCATAGTATTCCATGGTGTATATGTGCCACATTTTCTTAATCCAGTCTATCATTGTTGGACATTTGGGTTGGTTCCAAGTCTTTGCTGTTGTGAATAGTGCTGCAATAAACATATGTGTGCATGTGTCTTTATAGCAGCATGATTTATACTCCTTTGGGTATATACCCAGTAATGGGATGGCTGGGTCAAATGGTATTTCTAGTTCTAGATCCCTGAGGAATCACCACACTGACTTGCACAATGGTTGAACTAGTTTACAGTCCTGCTAACAGTGTAAAAGTGTTCCTATTTCTCCACATCCTCTCCAACACCTGTTGTTTCCTGACTTTTTAATGATTGCCATTCTAACTGGTATGAGATGGTATCTCATTGTGGTTTTGATTTGCATTTCTCTGATGGCCAGTGATGATGAGCATTTTTTCATGTGTTTTTTGGCTGCATAAATGTCTTCTTTTGAGAAGTGTCTGTTCATGTCGTTTGCCCACTTTTTGATGGGGTTGTTTTTTTCTTGTAAATTTGTTTGATTTCATTGTAGATTCTGGATATTAGCCCTTTGTCAGATGAGTAGGTTGCGAAAATTTTCTCCCATTTTGTAGGTTGCCTGTTCACTCTGATGGTAGTTTCTTTTGCTGTGCAGAAGCTCTTTAGTTTAATTAGATCCCATTTGTCAATTTTGGCTTTTGTTGCCATTGCTTTTGGTGTTTTAGACATGAAGTCCTTGCCCATGCCTATGTCCTGAATGGTAATGCCTAGGTTTTCTTCTAGGGTTTTTATGGTTTTAGGTCTAACGTTTAAGTCTTTAATCCATCTTGAATTAATTTTTGTATAAGGTGTAAGGAAGGGATCCAATTTCAGCTTTCTACCTATGGCTAGCCAGTTTTCCCAGCACCATTTATTAAATAGGGAATCCTTTCCCCATTGCTTGTTTTTGTCAGGTTTGTCAAAGATCAGATAGTTGTAGATATGCGGCATTATTTCTGAGGGCTCTGTTCTGTTCCATTGGTCTATATCTCTGTTTTGGTACAAGTACCATGCTGCTTTGGTTACTATAGCCTTGTAGTATAGTTTGAAGTCAGGTAGCATGATGCCTCCAGCTTTGTTCTTTTGGCTTAGGATTGACTTGGCAATGCAAGCTCTTTTTTGGTTCCATATGAACTTTAAAGTAGTTTTTTCCAATTCTGTGAAGAAAGTCATTGGTAGCTTGATGGGGATGGCATTTAATCTATAAATTACCTTGGGCAGTATGGCCATTTTCACGATATTGATTCTTCCTATCCGTGAGTGTGGAATGTTCTTCCATTTGTTTGTATCCTCTTTTATTTCACTGAGCAGTGGTTTGTAGTTCTTGAAGAGGTCCTTCACATCCCTTGTAAGTTGGATTCCTAGGTATTTTATTCTCTTTGAAGCAATTGTGAATGGGAGTGCACTCATGATTTGGCTCTCTGTTTGTCTGTTATTGCTGCATAAGAATGCTTGTGATTTTTGCACATTGATTTTGTATCCTGAGACTTTGCTGAAGTTGCTTATCAGATTAAGGAGATTTTGGGCTGAGACAATGGGGTTTTCTAGATATACAATCATGTCATCTGCAAACAGGGACAATTTGACTTCCTCTTTTCCTAATTGAATGCCCTTTATTTCCTTCTCCTGCCTGATTGCCCTGGCCAGAACTTCCAACACTATGTTGAATAGGAGTGGTGAGAGAGGGCATCCCTGTCTTGTGCCAATTTTCAAAGGGAATGCTTCCAGTTTTTGTCCATTCAGTATGATATTGGCTGTGGGTTTGTCATAGGTAGCTCTTATTATTTTGAGATACGTCCCATCAATACCTAATTTATTGAGAGTTTTTAGCATGAAGCGTTGTTGAATTTTGTCAAAGGCCTTTTCTGCATCTATTGAGATAATCATGTGGTTTTTGTCTTTGGTTCTGTTAGTATGCTGGATTACATTTATTGATTTTCGTATGTTGAACCAGCCTTGCATCCCAGGGATGAAGCCCACTTCATCACGGTGGATAAGCTTTTTGATGTGCTGCTGGATTCGGTTTGCCAATATTTTATTGAGGATTTTTGCATCAATGTTCATCAAGGATATTGGTCTAAAATTCTCTTTTTTTGTTGTGTCTCTGCCAGGCTTTGGTATCAGGATGATGCTGGCCTCATAAAATGAGTTAGGGAGGATTCTGTCTTTCTCTATTGATCGGAATAGTTTCAGAAGGAATGGTACCAGCTCCTCCTTGTACCTCTGGTAGAATTCGGCTGTGAATCCATCTGGTCCTGGACTTTTTTTTGGTTGGTAAGCTATTAATTATGCCTCAATTTCAGAGCCTGCTATTGGTCTTTTTGGAGATTCAACTTCCTCCTGGTTTAGTCTTGGGAGAGTGTATGTGTCAAGGAATTTATCCATTTCTTCTAGATTTTCTAGTTTATTTACGTAGAGGTGTTTATAGTATTCTCTGATGGTAGTTTGTATTTCTGTGGTATCGGTGGTGATATCCCCATTGTCATTTTTTATTGCGTCTATTTGATTCTTCTCTCTTTTCTTCTTTATTAGTCTTGCTAGTGGTCTATCAATTTTGTTGATCTTTTCAAAAAACCAGCTCCTGGATTCATTGATTTTTTGAAGGGTTTTTTGTGTCTCTATTTCCTTCAGTTCTGCTCCGATCTTAGTTATTTCTTGCCTTCTGCTAGCTTTTGAATGTGTTGGCTCTTGCTTCTCTAGTTCTTTTAATTGTGATGTTAGGGTGTCAATTTTAGATCTTTCCTGCTTTCTCTTGTGGGCATTTAGTGCTATAAATTTCCCTCTACACAGTGCTTTGAATGTGTCCCAGAGATTCTGGTATGTTGTGTCTTTGTTCTCGTTGGTTTCAAAGAACATCTTTATTTCTGCCTTTATTTCGTTATGTACCCAGTAGTCATTCAGGAGTAGGTTGATCAGTTTCCATGTAGTTGAGCGGTTTTGAGTGAGTTTCTTAATCCTGAGTTCTAGTTTGATTGCACTGTGGTTGAGAGACAGTTTGTTATAATTTCTCTTCTTTTACATTTGCTGAGGAGTGCTTTCCTTCCAACGATGTGGTCAGTTTTGGAATAGGTGTGGTGTGGTGCTGAAAAGAATGTATATTCTATTGATTTGGGGTGGAGAGTTCTGTAGATGTGTATTAGGTCCACTTGGTGCAGAGCTGAGTTCAATTCCTGGATATCCTTGTTAACTTTCTGTCTCATTGATCTGTCTAATGTTAACAGTGGGACAGTGGGCTGTTAAAGTCTCTGATTATTGTTGTGTGGGAGTCTAAGTCTCTTTGTAGGTCACTAAGGACTTGCTTTATGAATCTGGGTGCTCCTGTATTGGGTGCATATATATTTAGGATAGTTAGCTCTTCTTGTTGAATTGATCCCTTTACCATTATGTAATGGCCTTCTTTGTCTCTTTGGATCTTTGTTGGTTTAAAGTCTGTTTTATCCAAGATTAGGATTGCAACCCCTGCCTTTTTTTGTTTTCCATTTGCTTGGCAGATCTTCCTCTATCCCTTTATTTTGAGCCTATGTGTGTCTCTGCACATGAGATTGGTTTCCTGAATACAGCACACTGATGGGTCTTGACTCTTTATCCAATTTGCCAGTCTGTGTCTTTTAATTGGAGCATTTAGCCCATTTACATTTAGGGTTAATATTGTTATGTGTGAATTTGATCTTGTCATTATGATGTTAGCTGGTTATTTTGCTCATTAGTTGATGCAGTTTCTTCCTAGCCTTGATGGTCTTTACAATTTGGCATGTTTTTGCAGTGGCTGGTACCAGGTGTTCCTTTCCATGCTTAGTGCTTCCTTCAGGAGCTCTTTTAGGGCAGGCCTGGTGGTGACAAAATCTCTCAGCATTTGCTTGTCTGTAAAGGATTTTATTTCTCCTTCACTTACGAAGCTTAGTTTGGCTGGATATGAAATTCTGGGTTGAAAATTCTTTTCTTTAAGAATGTTGAATATTGTTCCCCACTCTCTTCTGGCTTATAGAGTTTCTGCTGAGAGATCAGCTGTTTGTCTGATGGGCTTCCCTTTGTGTGTAACCCAACCTTTCTCTCTGGCTGCCCTTAACATTTTTTCCTTCATTTCAATTTTGGTGAATCTGAAAATTATGTGTCTTGGAGTTGCTCTTCTCGAGGAGTATCTTTGTGGCGTTCTCTGTATTTCCTGAATTTGAATGTTGGCCTGCCTTGCTAGATTGGGGAAGTTCTCCTGGATAATATCCTGCAGAGTGTTCTCCAACTTGGTTCCATTCTCCCCGTCACTTTCAGGTACACCAATCAGACGTAGATTTGGTCTTTTCACGTAGTCCCATATTTCTTGGAGGCTTTGTTCGTTTCTTTTTATTCTTTTTTCTCTAAACTTCTCTTCTCGCTTCATTTCATTCATTTCATCTTCCATCGCTGATACCCTTTCTTCCAGTTGATCACATCGGCTGCTGAGGCTTGTGCATTCGTCATGTAGTTCTTGTGCCATGGTTTTCAGCTCCATCAGGTCCTTTAAGGACTTCTCCGCATTGATTATTCTAGTTAGCTATTCGTCTAATTTTTTTTCAAGGTTTTTGACTTGTTTGTCATTGGTTCGAACTTCCTCCTTTAGCTTGGAGTAGTTTGATCTTCTGAAGCCTTCTTCTTTCAACTCGTCAAAGTCATTCTCCTTCCAGCTTTGTTCCATTGCTGGTGAGGAGCTGTGTTCCTTTGGAGAAGGAGAGGCACTCTGATTTTTAGAGTTTCCAGTTTTTCTGCTCTCTTTTTTCCCCATCTTTGTGGTTTTATCTACCTTTGGTCTTTGATGATGGTGACGTCCAGATGGGTTTTTGGTGTGGATGTCCTTTCTGTTTGTTAGTTTTCCTTCTGACAGACAGGACCCTCAGCTGCAGGTCTGTTGGAGTTTGCTGGAGGTCCACTCCAGACGCTGTTTGCCTGGGTATCAGCAGTGGTGGCTGCTGAACAGCAGATATTGGTCAACCGCAAATGCTGCTGCCTGATCGTTCCTCTGGAAGTTTTGTTTCAGAGGAGTACCCGGCCGCGTGAGGTGTCAGTCTGCCCCTACTGGGGTGGGGGGATGCCTCCCACTTAGGCTACTCAGGGGTCAGGGACCCACTTGAGGAGGCAGTCTGCCCATTCTCAGATCTCAAGTTGCATGCTGGGAGAACCACTACTCTCTTCAAAGCTTTCAGACAGGGACATTTAAGTCTGCAGAGGTTACTGCTGCCTTTTGTTTGTTTGTGCCCTGCCCCCAGAGGTGGAGCCTAGAGAGGCAGGCAGGCCTACTTGAGCTGTGGTGGGCTACACCCAGTTCGAGTTTCCCTGCTGCTTTGTTTACCTACTCAAGTCTCAGCAATGGTGGGCGCCCCTCCCCCAGCCTCGCTGCCACCTTGCAGTTTGATCTCAGACTGCTGTGCTAGCAATGAGTGAGGCTCTGTGGGCGTAGGACCCTCTGAGCCATGTGCGGGATATAATCTCCTGGTGTGCCATTTGTTAAGCCTGTTGGAAAAGTGCAATATTAGGGTGGGAGTGACTTGATTTTCCAGGTGCTGTCTGTCACCCCTTTCTTTGACTAGGAAAGGGAATTCCCTGACCCCTTGTGCTTCCCAGGTGAGGCGATGCCTCGCCCTGCTTCAGCTCATGCGTGGTGTGCTGCACCCACTGTCCTGCACCCACTGAGGAACCCGGTACCTCAGTTGGAAATGGAGAAATCACCCGTCTTCTGCATTGCTCACGCTGGGAGCTGTAGACTGGAGCTGTTCCTATTTGGCCATCTTGGCTCCACACCCCATGAAAGGTTTTGAACACCATGCTTGATAGATGGATATCTTGAATGTAGCAGGGAGCCATTGAAACATTTCAAACATTAGGAGCTTTATGGGCATTAAGAATTAGAGTAGTGATGGGGTAAGACTGACTTTTTAACACTTATATATTGTCTGTTTCTAAATGGGGCCAATATTCCTTTTTCTTCCTTTGGGATGAAATTCTTACTCATTCTAGATGAATGAGCCCTTATTCCTCTTTCTTTGTCTAGGTCACAAATCCTGGGATAAATGAGGGCCCTGGTTGTGTTATAAGGACAGACGAGAACATGTGTTAATCTTTAGCACTGTGATATTTCTCATGTACTTTCATTTAGCAGCCTTGTCTCTTATTAAATCTAATTAGTTTCTTGGCTGCTAAGATATTGAGGGCATCCTCAAAATGAAAATGTGTAGCCAGAGTCAGATTTAGCAAAGGACCATGTCCAGAGTTTTCTGCCATCCCCTTCAGAGGTTCTTAGTGAAGAGGGACTCAAGGGGCAACCCCTCTCCCCTATTATCAATTGTTTGCAGGATAGTGGACTTTTTAGAAGTTGAAGGATCTTAGAATGTGTACAGTATCATCAGTCTGCAGTTGAGGAAACAGTTCCAGTGAGAGGAAATGACTTGCTCAATGTTAAACAGCAAATCAGGATCAGAGGTGGAGCTGGAACACAGGTCTTCTGACTCCTAATCTGTTGGCTACATCAAGATGAGCATCCACTGTAGAGCTTGGATGCCATCAATGCATGAAAATATTAATGAGTGAATTATCTACTTTAAAAATTAATCCCCATGCAAATACATCTTTTCACTGAACACTAGTCTATCCTCACCCATCTGGTCAGTGTCTCAGCCAGCCTCCCTTTCAATTATCAGATGTCATGAACATCCAGCAGTGTTAAGGAGGTATAGTGCATATTGACTGCAACGTGAAATTGCACATCTTGCCTATGATGCAAGATTTCATGAAACTAATGACAATGATGCCAGAGAACTGCTCAAATCTCATGCAAAGCCATTAACAACTGAACAGCTGGCAGAGTCAGGCAATTAAAGAGGAGAAAAATCCACAAAGCTGACCCTACAATGGGTGCTGCAAAGGGGAATGAAGAGAATAACAAAGGATGAAAAGAGACTCTTGGGAAAATTGATGAAGCGCCTTCTTAATGAACTTGTTATAAAAGTCAATAGGAGGTGATGCAGCTCTACAATATGTTAGAATAGAATTTGCTTAGAAAAATTATGTTCTGGCTGGGCACAGTGGCTCATACCTGTAATCCCAGCACTTTGGGAGGCCGAGGTGGGCAGATCACGAGGTCAGGAGTTTGAGACTAGCCTGGCCAACATGGTGAAACCTCATTTCTACTAAAAATAAAAAAATTAGCCAGGTGTGGTGGTGGGTGCCTGTAATCCCAGCTACTTGGGAGGCCGAGGCAGGAGAATTGCTTGAGAATCAGAAGGTGGAGGTTGCAGTAAGCCGAGATCACACCACTGCTCTCCAGCCTGGGCAAGAAGAGTGAAACTCTATCTCAAAAAAAAAAAAAAAAAAAGTTCTGTCCCAAATAAATCAATGATACATTCTTGGTCTTCAGAATTAGAGCATGGAATCATAGCAACTTCATTATAACTTAAATTTTTTTTAATATGAGATCTAAACACGTTTTCATAAGTATAAAATTGCTTTTCAAGATAAAGTCATAATCAGACCTTTCTTTTTACTATTTTAATCACGTAGGATTTTATTTAGCTACAAGTAGCATAAGCCAAAGTACAGTGGCTTAAATTCAAAAAATAAAACAAAACATGAAATTGAGGGAAGGTGGTTTCTGGCTCTGGTGCATTGGCTCAGTAATTCCAGAATAATACCTCTACAATTCTCTTCTATCTTCCCTTAAAATTGCAAGATGGATGTTGCTGTTCCAGCCTTCACAGTTGAATCAAATTCAAGAAGACAATGGAGAGAAGGTTGTGCCAGTCTTGTCTGCCTTTTTTATTTTTAAATTTTTAAACCAATTTTTAAATTTTAATTGACAAATTAAAGTTGTATGTATTTATGATGTACAACATGATGTCTCAATAGATGTATACCTTGTGAAATTACTAAATCAAACTATTTAACATATGGATTACTTCATATACTCCTTTTTATGGTGAGAACACTTAAAATCTACTCCATTAGCAAGTTTCAAATATACACTGTATTATTATTAATTACAGCCATCATGATGTACAAAGTCTGACTCTTGTTTTCAATTGGAAAATCAAAGTATTTTCCCAAAGTCTCCTTTGCAGATATCTGCAAAGGCCTTATTCCATAGGCCATCATTCACCCTAGCTGCAACGGAGTCTGGCAATTGAGTGTTTGACTTTCTAGCCTTCAAACTGTGGAAGGTGGCAAGGGATAAATAAAGGAATTGTGAATAACCAAGGTGTACCACAATGTTTCAAGTGGCCTTTAAACTAATTTGGGTATTAATTTTCTACGATAAAGCTCATTCGTATCTGGAAATTCATTTTTAAGGCCCAAGAAGCTCCCAATGATCGGACCTTGGCACATCTTTAGCAGAACCTGAAACTGAAATAGAAATTGCTTTGGGCAATGTTGACTTGACAAGTGTCTGGCTTTTGTGTGTGTGTGTGTGTGTGTGTGTGTGTGTGTGTGTGCTTCTGGCTTTTAGCAACAGCAACAAAATACTGCAATGGGCAAGTGGTCTACTTTCTATGTGTAGTATCTTGTTAGATTCTTGTAATCACCCCCATGAGGTACATAAAGGAGACATTGTTACAATTCAGAATTAGAGCATGGAATCATAGCAACTTTTATAACTTAAATTTGTTTAATATGAGATCTGTAACTGTAGATCTTGCCTACCATGAGAGATTTCATGAAGCTTATGACAATGATGCCAGATTCTTCATAGATGAGGAAACTGAAGCTTGGTGGGATTAAGTTACTTGTCTAAGGTAACCCAGCTGGAAGTTGGTGAAGTTGATCTATGAATCCTGGTTTATCTGACTCCAGATTTCTTGACTATGGAAACTTTAAGAAAAATATAACATCTAGCTGGGTGTGGTGGCTCCTGCCTGTCCAGCACTTTGGGAGGCCAAGGAGGGAGAATTGCTTGAGCCCAGGAGTTGGAGACCAGCTAGGCAACATAGCATGATCTTGTATCTACTAAAAAATATTTAGCTGGGCATGGTGGTGCATGTCTGTAGCCCCAGTTTCCTGGGAAGCTGAGGTGGGAGGGTCACTTGAGCCCAGGAAATTGAAGCTGCAGTGAGCTATATTGTGCCACTGCACTCCAGTTTGGATGACAGATTGAGACCCTGTCTTAAAAAACATCCAACATCCCATAGTACTATCCATTTATTTTACATATAACAAATAAAGTTGAACCCTAACCATGTTGCAGGCATTTTTCCTGCTCTTGGGAAACCCTGGTGATCAAGACAGACCCTGTCCCTGCCCTCACAGAGCCACCTGTCCATCTTACAGACCACTTCTTCAATTACACTTTGGGGAAAATTGTGATTCTAAGTTGGGTTCAACCAGTGAACCTCCTTGGAAGGAGGTATTCCAAGGGCAGCCAGTGAATAGACCCTAGTACTGGCATTGAATGGTGGCCTGGACACAACCTGAAGTCTTACTATTGGCTTTCCAGGTATAAAAAGGCACATTCTCTTCCCTTCCTGTCCCACACAGAAGGAAAGAGAGGTGTGCTAACACAGGCAGAATGTTCTAGGAGGAAGTGCAATGGGTGGGGGTGGGGTGAGGTGGGGTGGTAGTTGACCAGATGGTCTGGTGATACCTGCGTCCCACAGGCTTAGAGCCTATTAGGGCAGATGTCCCAAGATCCTCAGCTCTCCTTGAGGGACTGGCTCTTCTCCCCCCTCTACTCATCCCTCTGACTTGTCCCTGCTGCTTTCCTTTTCTCGTCCTGTTAGTTTGAGTTCCTTGCTTTCCCTGACGACAGCTGGCCTCTCTGTTTCCAATCCATTGCTAGAGTGAGCAACTGGCCATACAATTTTAGATGCTAGTAAATATTACTGTCACTATCACTGTCACATTAATTTAGGCTTGTGAATTGAGGGGTCAGGATTGGGCTAATGAGTGGGACTACCAGGCTTACTTATTACCACCAATGCCGTCACCCCTCCTACCACCACCATCACAACTGCCACCACTAGCTACTTAATGAAAAGCCATCCCTTTGGGCCCTTCAGGGACTTTTCATTCTGCTTATTCATTTCACTATCTACTTCCTAAGGTGCAGAAGGTATACTCAGGAGGAACATTAAATTTTAAAGAGCTGTGGCTGAAAGGGGCATCCTGAGACCCCCAAGGCAAATTCTAATCTGGATGGTGAAACATGCTACTCTCTACTCTACCCTTAAGATTTCACATCTCATCACTATCATATGGTCAGTATAATTCCTATTAATAGTGTAATAAATTGGTAAACTTAAAAACTATTTCTCTCAATGTTGAGAGAAGTTGCTACATTTCCAGCTCTTTTATTTTTATTTTTATGTATTTATTTTTATTATACTTTAAGTTCTAGGATACATGTGCACAAAATGCAGGTTTGTTACACAGGTATACATGTATCATGTTGGTTTGCTGCACCCATTAACTTGTCATTTACATTAGGTATTTCTCCTAATGCTATCCCTCCCCCAGGCCCCCACTCCATGACAGGCCCCGGTGTGTGATGTTCCCCGCCCTGTGTCCAAGTGTTCTCATTGTTCAATTCTCACCTATGAATGAGAACATGCGGTGTTTGGTTTTCTATCCTTGTGATAGCTTGATCAGAATGATGGTTTCCAGCTTCATCTATGCCCCTGCAAAGGACATGAACTCATCCTTTTTTATGGCTGCATAGTATTCCATAGTGTATATGTGCCACATTTTCTTAATCCAGTCTATCATTGATGGACATTTGGGTTGGTTCCAAGTCTTTGCTATTGTGAATAGTGCCACAATAAACATACGTGTGCATGTGTCTTTATAGTGGCATGATTTATAATCCGTTGGGTATATACCCAGTAATGGGATCACTGGGTCAAATGGTATTTCTAGTTCTAGATCCTTGAGGAATCACCACACTGTCTTCCATAATGGTTGAACTAGTTTACACTCCCACCAACAGTGGAAAAGCATTCCTATTTCTCCACATCCTCTCCAGCACCTGTTGTTTCCTGACTTTTTAATGATTGCCATTCTAACTGGTGTGAGATGGTATCTGGTGGTTTTGATTTGCATTTCTGTGATGACCAGTAATGATGAGCATTTTTTCATGTGTCTGTCAGCTGCATAAGTGTCTTCTTTTGAGAAGTGTCTATTCATATACTTTGCCCATTTTTTGATGGGGTTGTTTTTTTCTTGTAAATTTGTTTGAGTTCTTTGTAGATTCTAGAAATTAGCCCTTTGTCAGATGGGTAGATTACAAAAATTTTCTCCCATTCTGTAGGTTGCCTGTTCACTCTGATGGCAGTTTCTTTTGCTACGCAGAAGCTCTTTAGTTTAATTAGATCCCATTTGTCTATTTTGACTTTTGTTGCCATTGCTTTTGGTGTTTTAGTCATGAAGTCCTTGCCCATGCCTATGTCCTGAATGGTATTGCCTAGGTTTTCTTCTAGGGTTTTTATGGTTTTAGGTTTAACATTTAAGTCTTTAATCCTTCTTGAATTAATTTTTGTATAAGATGTAAAGAAGGGATCCAGTTTCAGCTTTCTACATATGGCTAGCCAGTTTTCCCAGCACCATTTATTAAACGGAATCCTTTCCCTATTTCTTGTTTTTGTCAGGTTTGTCAAAGATCAGATGGTTGTAGATGTGTGGTGTTATTTCTGAGGGCTCTGTTCTGTTCCATTGGTCTATATCTCTGTTTTGGTACAAGTACCATGCTGTTTTGGTTACTGTAGCCTTGTAGTATAGTTTGAAGTCAGGTAGCATGATGCCTCCAGCTTTGTTCTTTTGGCTTAGGATTGTCTTGGTAATGTGGGCTCTTTTTTGGTTCCATATGAACTTTAAAGTAGTTTTTTCCAATTCTGTGAAGAAAGTCATTGGTAGCTTGATGGGGATGGCATTGAATCTATAAATTACCTTGGGCAATATGGCCATTTTCACGATATTGATTCTTCCTATCCATGAGCATGGAATGTCCTTCCATTTGTTTGTGTCCTCCTTTATTTCGTTGAGCAGTGGTTTGTAGTTCTCCTTGAAGAGGTCCTTCACATCCCTTGTAAGTTGGATTCCTAGGTATTTTATTCTCTTTGAAGCAATTGTGAATGGGAGGTCACTCA
Organism: Homo sapiens; assembly: GCF_000001405.40. Lineage (NCBI taxonomy): Eukaryota > Metazoa > Chordata > Mammalia > Primates > Hominidae > Homo > Homo sapiens. Next base: position 118,670,355 of record NC_000012.12, read on the forward strand.
TTATTTGGCTGTCTGTTTGTTTGTTATTGGTGTATAGGAATGCTTGTGATTTTTGCACATTGATTTTGTGTCCTGAGAATTTGCTGAAGTTGCTTATCAGCTTAAGGAAACTTTGGGCTGAGATGATGGGGTTTTCTAAATATACAATCATATCATCTGCAAACAGGCACAATTTGACTTCCTCTTTTCCTATGTGAATACCCTTTATTTCTCTCTCTTGCCTGATTGCCCTGGCCAGAACTTCCAACACTATGTTGAATAGGAGTGGTGAGAGAGGGCATCCCTGTCTTGTGCCAATTTTCAAAGGGAATGCTTCCAGTTTCTGCCCATTCAGTATGATATTGGCTGTGGGTTTGTCTTAAATGGCTCTTCTTGTTTTGAGATGCATTCCATCAATACCTAGTTTTTTGAGAGTTTTTAGCATGAAGGGCTGTTGAATATTGTTGGAGGCCTTTTCTGCATCTATTGAGATAATCATATGGTTTTTGTCATTGGTTCTGTTTATGTGATGGATTACGTTTATTAATTTGCATATGTTGAACCAGCCTTGCATTTCAGAGATGAAGCTGACTTGATCATGGTGGATAAGCTTTTTGATGTGCTGCTGGATTTGGTTTGCCAGTATTTTATTAAGGATTTTTGCATTGATGATCATCAGGGATATTGATCTAAAATTCTCTTTTCTTGTTGTGTCTCTGCCAGGCTTTGATATCAGGATGATGCTGGCCTCATGAAATGAGTTAGGGAGGATTCTCTCTTTTTCTATTGATTGGAATAGTTTCAGAAGGAATGGTACCAGTTCCTCTTTGTACCTCTGGTAGAATTCAGCTATGAATCCGTCTGGTCCTGGACTTTTTTTGGTTGGTAGGCTATTAATTATTGCCTTAATTTCAGAGCCTGTTATTGGTCTAGTCAGAGATTCAACGTCTTCCTGGTTCAGTCTTGGGAGTTGTATGTGTCAAGGAATTTATCCATTTCTTCTAGATTTTCTAGTTTATTTGCATAGAGGTGTTTATAGTATTCTCTGATGGTAGTTTGTATTTCTGTGGGATCAGTGGTGATAGCCCCTTTATCATTTTTTATTGTGTCTATTTGATTCTTCCCTCTTTTCTTCTTTATTAGTCTTGCTAGTGATCTATCAATTTTGTTGATCTTTTCAAAAAACCAGCTCCTGGATTCATTGATTTTTTTGAAGGGTTTTTAATGTCTCTATCTCCTTCAGTTCTGCTCTGATCTTAGTTATTTCTTGCCTTCTGGTAGCTTTTGAATTTGTTTGCTCTTGCTTCTCTAGTTCTTTTAATTGTGATGTTAGGGTGTCAATTTTAGATCTTTCCTGCTTTCTCTTGTGGGCATTTAGTCCTATACATTTCCCTCTACACAGTGCTTTGAATGTGTCCCAGAGATTCTGGTATGTTGTGTCTTTGTTCTCATGAGTTTCAAAGAACATCTTTATTTCTGCCTTCCTTTCTTTATTTACCCAGTAGTCATTCAGGAGCAGGTTGTTCAGTTTCCATGTAGTTGTGTGGTTTTGAGTGTGTCTCTTAATCCTGAGTTCTAATTTGATTGCACTGTGGTCTGAGAGACAGTTTGTTGTGTTTCTGTTCTTTTACATTTGCTGAGGAGTGCTTTACTTCCAACTATGTGGTCAATTTTGGAATAAGTGTGATGTGGTGCTGAGAAGAATATATATTCTATTGATTTGGGGTGGAGAGTTGTGTAGATGTCTATTAGGTCCACTTGGTGCAGAGCTGAGTTCAAGTCCTGGATATCCTTGTTAACTTTCTGTCTCGTTGATCTGTCTAATATTGACAATGGGGTGCCAAAGTCTCCCATTATTATTGTGTGGAAGTCTAAGTCCCTTTGTAGGTCTCTAAGGACTTGCTTTATGAATCTGGGTGCTCCTGTATTGGGTGCATATATATTTAGGTTAGTTAGCTCTTCTTGTTGAGTTGATCCCTTTACCATTATTTAATGGCCTTCTTTGTCTCTTTTGATCTTTGTTTGGTTTAAAATCTGTTTTATCAGAGACTAGGATTGCAACCCCTGCTTTTTTATTTGCTCTCCATTTGCTTGGCAGATCTTCCTCCATCCCTTTATTTTGAGCCTATGTGTGTCTCTGCATGTGAGATGGGTCTTCTGAATACAGCACACTGATGGGTCTTGACTCTTTATCCAATTTGCCAGTCTGTGTCTTTTAATTGGAGCATTTAGCCCATTTACATTTAAAGTTAATATTGTTATGTGTGAATTTGATCCTGTCATTATGATGTTAGCTGGCTATATTGCTCGTTAGTTGATGCGGTTTCTTCCTAGCATCGATGGTCTTTACAATTTGGCATTTTTTTGCAGTGGCTAGTATCAGTTGTTCCTTTCCATGTTTAGTGCTTCCTTCAGGAGCTCTTGTAAGGCAGGCCTGGTGGTGACGAAAATCTCTCAGCATTTGCTTGTCTGTAAAGGATTTTATTTCTCCTTCACTTATGAAGCTTAATTTGGCTGGATATGAAATTCTGGGTTGAAAATTCTTTTCTTTAAGAATGTTGAATATTGGCCCCCACTCTCTTCTGGCTGGTAAACTTTCTGCTGAGAGATCCACTGTTTGTCTGATGGGCTTCCCTTTGTGGGTAACCCGACCTTTCTGTCTGGCTGCCCTTAACATTTTTTCCTCATTTCAACCTTGGTGAATCTGACAGTTATGTGTCTTTGGGTTGTTCTTCTCGAGGAGTATCTTTGCCGAGTTCTCTGTATTTCCTGAATTCGAATGTTGGCCTGTCTTGCTAGGTTGGGGAAGTTCTCCTGGATAATATCCTAAAGAGTGTTTTCCAACTTGGTTCGATTCTCCCCATCACTTTCAGGTACACCAATCAAATGCAGATTTGGTCTTTTCACATAGTCCCATATTTCTTGGAGGCTTTGTTCATTTCTTTTTACTCTTTTTTCTCTAAACTTCTCTTCTCACTTTATTTCATTAATTTGGTCTTCAATCACTGATACCCTTTCTTCCACTTGATCAAATTGGCTACTGAAGCTTGTGCATGCATAACGTAGTTCTCGTGCCATGGTTTTCAGCTCCTTCAGGTCATTTAAGGTCTTCTCTACGCTGTTTTTTCTAGTTAGCCATTCATCTAATCTTTTTTCAAGGTTTTTAGCTTTCTTGCAATGGGTTCAAGCATCCTCCTTTAGCTCGGAAAATTTTGTTTTACCAACCTTCTGAAGCCTACTTCTGTCAACTTGTCAAAGTCATTCTCCTTCCAGCTTTGTTCCATTGCTGGTGAGGAGCTGTGTTCCTTTGGAGGAGAATAGGTACTCTGGTTTTTAGAATTTTCAGCTTTTCTGCTCTGGTTTCTCCCCATCTTTGTGGTTTTATCTACCTTTAGTCTTTGATGTTCATGACCTACAGATGGGGTTTTGCTGTGGATGTCCTTTTTGTTGATGTTGATGCTATTCCTTTCTGTTTGTTAGTTTTCCTTCTAAGAGTCAGGTCCCTCAGCTGCAGGTCTGTTGGATTTTGCTGTAGGTCCACTCCAGACCCTGTTTGCCTGGGTATCACCAGCGGAGGCTGCAGAACAGCAAATATTGCAGAACAGCAAATATTGCTGCCTGATACTTCCTCTGGAAGCTTCGTCCCAGAGGGGCATCCTCCTGTATGAGGTGTCAGTTGGCCCCTACTGGGAGGTGTCTCCCAGTTAGGCTACAAGTGGGTCAGGGACCCACTTGAGGAGGCAGTCTGTCCATTCTCAGAGCTCAAATGCCATGCTGGGAGAACCACTGCTCTCTTCAGAGCTGTCAGACAGGGACGTTTAAGTCTGCAGAAGTTTCTGCTGCCTTTTGTTCAGCTATGCCCTGCCCCCAGAGGTGGAGTCAACAGAGGCAGCAGGCCTTGCTGGCTGTGGTGGGCTCCGCCCAGTTTGAGCTTCCCTGGCTGCTTTGTTTACCTACTCAAGCCTCAGCAATGGCAGACGCCCCTCCCCCTGCCAGGCTGCTGCCTCGCAGGTCAATCTCACACTGCGGTGCTAGCAGTGAGCAAGGTGCCATGGGCATGGGACCTGCCAAGCCATGCGCGGGATATAATCTCCTGGTGTGCCATTTGCTAAGATCATTGGAAAGGTGCAGTATTTAGGCAGGAGTGTCCTGTTTTTCCAGGTACAGTCTGTCATGGTTTCCCTTGGCTAGGAAAGGGAAATCCCCCAACCCCTCATGCTTCCCAGGTGAGCTGATGCCCCACCCTGCTTCAGCTCGCCTTCCGTGGGCTGCACTGTCTAACCAATCTCAGTGAGATGAACCGGGTACCTCAGTTGGAAATGCAGAAATCACTCGTCTTCTGCGTCAATCATGCTGGGAGCTGCAGACCAGAGCTGTTCCTAATTGGCCATCATGGATCAACTATTTTTATTTTTTGAGATGGCATCTCACTCTGTTGCCCAGGCTGCAGTGCAATGGCATGATCTTGGCTCACCAGAACCTCCGCCTCCTGGGTTCAAGCAGTTCTCCTGCCTCAGCCTCCCAAGTAGCTGAGATTACAGGCACGTGCCACCACGCCCAGCTAATTTTGTATTTTTAGTAGAGACAGGGTTTCACTATGTTGGTCAGGCTGGTCTTGAACTCCTGACCTCAGGTGATCCACCCACCTTGGCCTCCCAAAGTGCTGGGCTTACAGACGTGCCAGCTCTTTTATTTCTAAAGGTGGAGACTTTGCTTGAGTGTGGATTATGAATATGCAAAGCAAGTTAGTATTCATTGTTCCACAGGAGAAATACAGCATGTATATTTTTGGATAGATAAAGATTTTTTCTCCCTAAATTCCTTATTCTGTGGACCTTGATGACTTATGGGGAGGAGCTGGATACATTTGTAAAGGAATCTCAGAGATTCTTGGGAGAAAAGAGATTGAGGTCTTAACCCCTGCCTTTTAAAATTTAATGTTAAATTAAACCTCGACTAATGTCAGGGAACTCTGAGGGCAAATTCATTATGAAAGAAGGATGGAAGAAACTGTGATGATGGCTTGGGTTCAACATCAAGGCCTGGGTCTCCTTAGGAAATGTCATGGTGTATGGACAATGCTGAAGTGCCTTCTGACCTGACTGTCTTGGCACCATGGGTGTGCTGTATGTCTTACTGTTGTGTATTTTGTTTGTGTATGTTATCAATTTTGTGATGAATATCCTTCAACTTGTATCTATTTATGTATTAGGCAGGATAGGTAGGATATGATGCAGTAACAAACAACTCTAAAAACCTTAAAACAGGCCAGGCACAGTGGCTCATGCCTGTAACCCCAGCACTTTGGGAGGCTGAGTGGAGTGGATCACCTGAGGTCAGGAGTTTGAGACCAGCCTGGCCAACATGGAAAAACCCTGTCTCTACTAAAAATATAAAAATTAGCCATGCGTGGTGGTGGGTGCCTGCAATCCCAGCTACTCGGGAGGCTGAGGCAGAAGAATCACTTGAACCTGGGAGGCAGAGGTTGCAGTGAGCTGAGATGGTGCCATTGCCCTCCAGCCTGGGCGACAAGAGTGAAACTTCATCTCAAAAACAAAAAACAAACAAAAAACCCTTAAAACAACAAAACAACAAAGGCTTATTTCTCACTCATCCTACACATCTAGCCGGGTTATGTTTAAATCTTTTCACTCTGGGACCAAGGCTGGTGGGACTGCCACCATTTCAAACATGGCTAGTCACTACAGAAGAAGCAAAGAGTTCTATAGATGTTACATAGGCAATTCGATGCCCAGGCTTGGAAGTAGTACTCATCATTCCCTCTTACAACTCATAGGGCAGAACCAGTGACATGGACATCTAGGGGTCGTGAAGTTCAATTCCACCACATGCCTGGCAGATGGAAAGCTGGAGCTATTTGGTGAACAGTATTCATGACTATTTCAAAGGGTGTGAACATTTCAAAGGCTTCTAATACATATTGCCAGATTATGTCCCAGAATGGTTGTGCCAGTTTATACTCTTACCCATTAAACTGTCCAGTACTTGTTTTAATAATGACATCATCCTCCATTGCATAGATGTACCATAAATTATTTAATCAGTCCCCTGCCAACGAGCATCTCTATTTTCTTCTATTACAGTGATGTGGTGAATATTACTGGACACACATATTTTTGTCCCCTTGTTTCTTTAGGATAAATTCATAGAGATTACGTTGCTGAATAAAAGTATATGAATACTCTTAAGGCTTTTGATACACACTATCAATGCTACCCTCTCAAAAATGTACCTTTTTATACTCCTGTGGTCAGAATAGAAGAGTGCCTGTTTCATTGGTTTGGAAGAGTGATAGTAATGGCTGCAAGCATCTTCTAAATTCCTTGATTCCAATCTCCAACTCTGGGTGATCCTGACCTTGGGTAGTCAGCGCTTGAGTTCAGAAACATGGATTTGCATCAGGTGAGGAGTAAAAGAGAGAGAGAGTTTTTCTGCAAGGGCTATTTCCAGGCTGGGCAGGCACTGAGTGCTCTAAGTTGCTTTTGTCTTCACTTAGAATGTGTCTGCCTGTTAGGTTTACCTTGAAACTTTGTCTTAAAATCAGCCAAGTTAATAGATGAGGCTTGCCAGATGATAGAAAAACGAATGGGGCACTTGTTCGACACACTACATCAGCAGACTGCTCAGTTTTCTCTCTGACAATGGCCAGGTCAGCCCCACCCTCCTGATTACAGTGTAAGCAGAGAGGGCAACTGGCAGATTGAAGCCATTAGTGGAATGACTGGGGAAAGGACAGATAAAGGAGAGAATGAGAACAAGGACTTGTGGATGCGTTTGCTGACAGTGGATTTATAACTTTGGGGAGAGTTAAAGAGCTACATACATTGAGAGGGACCAGAGTTTTGCTGCTTAAGACAATAGTGCAAATACAGTATATGGGGATAAGGGAGGCTCACCTTAAAGGGGGGCACTGCTTCAAAGATTCATAGACACTTGGGAGAGGATGAATTCTCAGATTAGGATGCCCCTATTTGTTTCTCTTTCATGTTCGTTGTGTTTCCACAATAATGAAATGAAACGACAAGGGCAGAGTGGAGAATGGCATGCCTCACCATCCAGATGAGAATTTGCCTTGAGGTCTCAGGATGCCCCTTTTGGCAACAACTCTTTTGTTTTTTTATACTTTAAGTTTTCGGGTACATGTGCACAACGTGCAGGTTTGTTACATATGTATACATGTGCCATGGTGGTGTGCTGCACCCATTAACTCTTCATTTAACATTAGGTATATCTCCTAATGCTATCCCTCCCCCTCCCCCCACCCCACAACAGGCCCTGGTGTGTGATGTTCCCCTTCCTGTGTCCATGTGTTCTCATTGTTCAATTCCCACCTATGAGTGAGAACATGCAGTGTTTGGTTTTTTGTCCTTGTGATAGTTTGCTGAGAATGATGGTTTCCAGCTTCATCCATGTCCCTACAAAGGACATGAACTCATCATTTTTTATGGCTGCATAGTATTCCATGGTGTATATGTGCCAACAACTCTTTAAAATTTAATGGTCCTACTGAGTACACCTTCTGCACCCCAGGAAGTAGTGAGTGAAGAGAATAAGCAGAATGAAAAGTCTCTGAAGGGCCCAAAGATAATGTTTACTAAAGAGAAAAGAAGAGAAAGCATAGACAATTTTAAGTAGAGGTTAGAGCACTCACCCTAAACTTTGGCATAGTCATGCATGTGCTTACATGCATGTATAAATATGCACATGCATGTACACACGTATGTGCTTTGTACCACTCTCTAGCTCTGTATTAATCAGAATATTTTAGCTACATAGAATAAACTGAACTCAAAGTGACTTAAATAATAAGGACATTTATTATCAGTAGGGAGACCGTATAACTTATCCAAACCAGCACATTTTTTTTTTAGGACAAATACTGTATCAGACCATATGCTGGCACAAATGTAAACTGGGGGAGTTCCAGGAAATCCAGGATGTATAATTATCATAATTATCCTATATATCAAGACATTTCTTGGCAGGGCAGCTCCAGGGTTAGTTCTGGGGCTCAAAGCCATTGGGACTCTCAAAGTCCCAGTGGCTAGCCTTTGTCCTTATACTTTTTGCTTCAGGCTCAGAGATGGCTGCAACAGCTCCAAGCATCAAGACATCAGTCTTATCCAAAGGCATTGACTTTGTAAGAGGAAGGAATGCATTTCCCAGAAGCTTCCAGAAGATTTCCCATCACATTCACTGGTTAGAATCATGTCACACATCCATGCTTCAATCATTACTGACAATGGAATTACTGTGAATTGGTTTTGACCAGTCAAGGCTCACTCCTCCCCTTTGGGTTGAAAGGGGTACAGGCTCACTTCAAACATTTAGCTGTTGGGAGAGTGAATAAAATTAAGGTTCTGTTGAAGAGAAGGAAGGGGTGGGTGAATGGATGTTGGGTATACATCCCAGAAGGCCCACCCCACTACCCAATCACTTTGGCCAGATCTCCCATCTGAGATCTGTAAAGAGGCAGAGTCAGGAGACAGCTATAGATAATCAATGGAATGTATAGACGTGTTTGCAAATAACCAAGGTCTAACAATATCTGCATATATAATGATTTAATGTTAAAAAGATCTTTGTATCTTTTATCTGTATAGATCCCCACAACAACTCTGTGAGATTAGCAGTATAGGTATTAGGGTCCCCAATTCTCAGCAGCAGCTAAGATTTGGAGACTGAGATACCAATGGCTGTATCCAGTGGTGGGGAAACATGGGGAGCTCTGAGTGGTTCAGTCACTTGCTACTGGTTTCAGAGCTACTAAATATCTAAGGAAGGATTAGAATTCAGCTTTTTTTTTTTTTTTTTTTTTTTTTTTTGAGAGAGTCTCACTCTGTTGCCCAGGCTGGAGTGCAGTGGCATGATCTCGGCTCACGGCAACCTCTGCCTCCTGGGTTCAAGCAATTCTCATGCCTCAGCCTCCCAAGTAGCTGGGATTACAGGCACCTGCCACCATGCCCAGCTAATTTTTTGTATTTTTAGTAGAGATGAGGGTTTACCATGTTGGCCAGTCTGGTCTTGGACTCCTGGCCTCAAGTGATCCACCCACTTTGGCCTCCCAAAGTGCTGGGATTACAGGCATGAGCCACTGCGCCTAGCCAGGAGCTCAGTTCTATCTGACTTCAAATTCCATTATCATGCTATGCTATGCTGATCTAAAAAGCCAAAACATTTTTTTCTGTTGGCATGGTGGATGGGTATGAGAAATAAAGAACAAACAACAAACATTATTCATAACTGAGTTGGGAAGGTGAGTTTGGTTGGGGTTGTAAACCATACCTGGAACCCTGTATTTTTCTCTGCCATGTAGGACAGGATATTGGAATATAAGTGCCAGAGAATGATATTACTAAAGACACCTTGAACCTGTTTTTTTAATTAATTAATTTATTTATTTATTTATTTTTGAGACAGAGTCTTGTTCTGTCGCCCAGGCTGGAGAGCAGTGGCGCGATCTTGGCTCACTGCAGCCTCCCTCCCGGTTCAAGTGATTATCCTGCCTCAGCCTCCTGGGTAGCTGGGATTACAGGCACACGCCACCATGCCTGGTTAATTCTTGTATTTTTAGTAGAGATGAGGTTTCACTATGTTGGCCAGGCTGGTCTCGAACTCCTGGCCTCAGGTGATCCTTCTGCCTTGGCCTCCCAAAGTGCTAGGATTACAGGCATGAGCCACGGTGCCCGGCTGAATCTATTTTAATTTATATTTTTTTAAAGAATGGAAGAAAGGTATAGAAGGAAGGGAGAAAACTGTCAGACTTTGTTATTTTTCAATTTGTTGTGATTACTTTTTAACACAGGGTGGTTACTTTTCCCACTTCTCATAACCAATTTCCATACATAAGAGGGTGCCAACCTAGCTTGTTGAGAACTGGTGTACTACAAGTCATCCGTGAGGGGTGGACGGAAGGGGGCGGGGAAGAAGCGGAGAAAACCTCCATTTTTTCAAAAATACCCCATCTTGTGTGTGTGGGACCCACGGTCAACTGCCACACACCATTTCTCTTCCCCTCCTTTCATGCTTCACCTCCTCCCCATTTCTCCTCTTCCAATTAAGCCTACTTGGGACCCATCTCTAACAAGGAGCTGTGTGTGAGTGCTTCCTAATGATTTCATTTTCAACATGTCATGAGTCAGGAAGCAGCTGGGAGTGGAGCGGCTCAGATATGAGCAGCCCTGGCTAATTAGGTTTCCAGCTTCCTTCTTCCTCTATCCACCCCCTGCCGGCCTGCCGCCCTGTCACGCCCTCTGTTGGATTGCATTCTGCTGGCTGTCTTGGTTAATTTGAAGATCTCATGCAGAACTACACCATCTTCTACATTTATTAAAGGTTTCTCTGCTGGGGCTGATAATGCCAGAAATAATTAGCGAGTTCTTCCTCCCCTGGGGTATCTCCTCAATGGGTGACCTCATAGTGATCAGGGAGGGTGGACTGCACCAAAGGGTCATTTGTCAACTTGTGGGGGCACTTTTGGCTGACAAAATGACTGGAGGAGGGGTGTTATTATTTAGTTGAGAAGGCCAAAAACGACAAGCTTCTTGCAAAGTCTGTCCTGCACAACAAAGGATTGTTGTTCTCCGTATGCCACTGGAGATTCATTGAATACCATTGCAAAGTATGGAAAGCAGGGGGATAACTGCTCCCTTTTAAAAGGCAGGGATGTGGGAGAAAAGGGGTTCTTCTTCTTATCTAGTCAGGGAGGTGGGAGAAAAGGGGTTCTGCTCTGTCTTTGAAAGTAAAATATTTGGGGCACTTCTGGGACATTCTGTTTCTGTTTTACCTCTCAGTCTCCAGTCTCCAGGACCGAGCACATCACAGATGCTCAGTTATCCAGAGTTAATGTGAGTTGTTCATGCCCTTGATGTGCCTATAGATGCCAGTCACACTGTAGATGCTCAGTTATCCAGAGTTAATGTGAGTTGTTCATGCCCTTGATGTGCCTGTAGATGCCAGTCACACTGTAGATGCTCAGTTATCCAGAGTTAATGTGAGTTGTTCATGCCCTTGATGTGCCTGTAGATGCCAGTCACACTGTAGATGCTCAGTTATCCAGAGTTAATGTGAGTTGTTCATGCCCTTGATGTGCCTGTAGATGCCAGTCACACTGTAGATGCTCAGTTATCCAGAGTTAATGTGAGTTGTTCATGCCCTTGATGTGCCTGTAGATGCCAGTCACACTGTAGATGCTCAGTTATCCAGAGTTAATGTGAGTTGTTCATGCCCTTGATGTGCCTGTAGATGCCAGTCACATTGTAGATGCTCAGTTATCCAGAGTTAATGTGAGTTGTTCATGCCCTTGATGTGCCTGTAGATGCCAGTCACATGGTAGATGCTCAGTTATCCAGTGTTGATGTGAGTTGTTCATGCCATTTTCTAACCCGTCTGTGGCTTTAATGAAATTTTAGTTGAATGTCAATTACATAATCAGAATCTAGTGAAGAAGACAGAAACCACATTAGGTATTTCGACAGAGAGAATTTAATTTCAGTATTTGGAAGGACAGGTTATGGAGGATGGAAAAGTGAAGGTAGATCAGTGAGATAGCCCAGAGATAATAATCGAGGGAAGCAGCTACTGCCCCTATAGGTGGGGGAACAAAGAGAAGGACATGTGTTTCTCAAAACCTAGAAACTGGGAGGAGGGATCATGGAGCTTGGACTTAAACCTCTGATAAAGGGACACCCCTGGTTTGTAGTGGTATCCATCAAAGGGTGCAAACAGGCTGATTCTAGGAGTGCTGGAAGCAACTGGAGATGGGAACTACCTACCTAAGTGAGGTGGTGGGAGGAGGGAGAAATTAGGGCTGGGGTAGAAGGGAATAGAGGATTGGGAAAATTGCTTTGCTGGGGAGGTGCTTAAAGGGACAGGATGCAAACAGGTAGAAAGAGCAAATCCCTTCCCCCTCCTCCAGGTTTCACATCTCCTCCTAGTGACAAAACCAACAAAGAAATCCTGCTGGCAAAACAGAAACGCAGTTTGCAGACATAGCACCACTAGCACAAAGCAGAATAATAAAAGGTGAATTTAGAGCTGAGAGACAAGAATTAAAAAGTAGTAAACCTATTTATGTATTGGGTTTAATCTAGATTATCTTGTCCTATTATGTACTAAATTAGGTCTTGGGAGCCCAGAGGTGAGCAAAATAGATACAGTCTAGACTCTCAGAGCTTACAGTCTATTTAGAGATTCCAGTCTGGAACATGACATGAATAATTACAAACACAATTAATTGTCATTATGATATGTATTTTAAAGCAGAAGTACAGGGCACAGTGAGAGCGCTTAACAGAGGGACATGAACTGGTCTGGGGTCTGAGAGGCTTCTCTTGAGGAAGAGAGATTTAAGATTTAAGATCTTAAGATTTAAAAAAGGTGAGGAGGAGAACTTAGCAAAGCAAAGCGGAGAGAGACAGAGGAAACAGCAAAGGCTGGGAGGTAAGAAGATGGTGGAGCCCTTGGGGAACTGAAAGAAACAGTGTGTGGGTGGCACTTTCCGGTGGTTCAGGGCTCCAGTCCTGCCTTCTCCTCCTCGAAGTCTCCCTTTCAGCTCCAGGACAGACAGGCACTGAGCTCTTTCCTGCTAAACTCTGTTTTGACTTCCTCTGGCACTTAGTTCTGTATCAGGTCATGCTGTCCCTGGGCTGCTGTCTTCTTCTGCTGTGTGGTCCTTGTGTTGAAAAATAACTTTCTTTGTGTTACTACTCCTCCCAACTCCTCTTCTCTTTGCTGAACTTGGAGCAGTTACTCAATAGATGATTGATTTAACCTCACTTGTAATAAAAATTGCAAATCAAACTATCCTTGAGACATCATTTCTCACCTCTAAAATGGAAAGATATGTAGAAAATGGGAGAACCCAGTGAGGGTACCAACAGGAAGAAGTAGACACTCTGATACAGTGGCATGGGAAGGCAAATTCAGACACACTTTATAGACAGGAATTTGGTAAAATAAATCAAAAAGCCTTATACATATGCACAGCCCCTAATTCCATAATTTCACATCTAGGAATTTATCCTAAGGAAATTATCACAAATGTGTCCAAAGAGACAGCTAAGATATTCATGGCAGCATTCTTTACAACACTGAGCCAGTTAAGTATTTAACAATTAGAGACTAGGTAAGTAAACTGTAGTGTACACATATAATGGATTTTGTTAGAGCCTTGAAAATGAAGTTTAGTGATTCCTCCAGAAACCCAGACCTGAGTCCAAATTCTGGTTCCCAAAATTCTCAGCCTTCCTTCTCTGGAAAAGCCATTCAATGTTTTGGAGGCTGGGTTCTCTTGCACAAAGGGAAAGACTACCTATGTCTTTCTCAGCTGGGTTGCTGTGAGGTTGAATGTGATAACGTGGTTGTGGATGAAGAGTGAAGCTTCAACCTCTGTGGGGTTTTTTAAATCCTGAAATATCCGGGTTTGCTTGTCACCCTAGACTCCATTCAAACCCAAGACTTGGCCTTTACTACCCTAAGGGAAAAAGGATTCCAGTGACATCTGTAGCTGTGGAAGTCCACAAGGCTGAGGTCTTCTTGACAGGAACAAGAGCTTAGAAAGGTTTTCTGAAGAATTATTTATTACCCTAAACTCCCTAAATTCCAGACTGGAGGAAGAGTGCAAAGTTAAACACTTAGATTCAAGTGGAACTCTGTGAACAGTGCCTCTCTGGGGCAAAGCTCTGGAGAGGTGTTAGGGAGCAGGGCCACTTTAAGTTTTGGATTCTGTGGGCGTCTCACTGCTCTGGTGAGGCCTGGCTATCTGGATTCAAATTCCAGCTCCATCTCTTAATGGCTGTGTGCATTATTCAGAGTTCTCCAGAGAAACAGAACCAATAGAACATAGATATAGAAGAAGGTATTTATTAGGGGAATTGGGACACACAATTATGAAAGTGGACAAGTCCCACAAAATGCTATCTACAAGCTGGAGAACCAGGAAAGTAGGTGGTTTAATTCATCCAAGTCCGAAGGCCTGAGAACCTGGACTTCTGATGTCTGAGGGCAGGAAAATATGAATGTCCCAGCTCAAGCAGAGACAGCAAATTTGCCCTTCTTCCACCCTCTTGTTCTGTTGAGGGCCTCACAGATTGGATGACGCCCACTCACGTTGGTGAGGGCCGATCTTCTTTACTCAGTTCACCAATTCAAATGCTAATCTTTTTCAGAAACACGTTCACAGACATGCTCAGAAATAATATTTGACCAGCTATCTGGGCATCCCTTAGCCCAGTCAAGTTGGCATATAAAAATCAATGCTCACACTGTGTGACCTTAGGCCGGGGACTTAAGTGTTTGAACCTCAGTTTTCCCAGCTATGATAGGGGATAATAATGGATCTTACTGTAGAGAGTTGTTGGTGGGAATAAGTGAAGCACATCTTGTAAAGTGCTAAGAATGGTGACTAAAAAAGACTCAGTATGTTGGGTGAAAAAAGGCCAAGGGAGATTGAAGGCCTGGTGGGGAGGACACTAATGTCAACGTGGTGCATGGGAGCATGGGAGCATGGGCATGGTGGTGGTATGGTCGGGTACGTGAAATCCAGAGAGAGAGAGAGAGAGAGTATGTGTGCCTTTCCAGTGTCCCTGGAGTGTCATGGTCCCTGGCCCCTAAATAGGACTTGAAGATTAGGGGGAAGGGAGAGAGTGGGCTAGGAGTTCTACAGGCCTTCTTGTGGCCCAGACATAGGGACTGCAGCAAAGGATGTGAGGATTAGAGAAGGTGTGTTCCATGCCAGAGGGCAGCTGATGTTGGGGAGGGCATCATGGTACAGGCTACATCTTCATGGATGCCAATAGAGGACATGGATGGGTGTATTAGTCCATTTTCACACTGCTATAAAGAACTACCTGAGACTTGACAATTTTTAAAGATAAGAGGTTTAATTGGCTCACCATTCTGCATGGCTAGGGAGGCCTCAGGAAGCTTACAATCATGGTAAAGGGGAAGCAAGGCATGTCTTACATGGTGGCAGAAGAGAGAGAGGGTGAGGGGGGAAGTGCCACACCTTTAAACCATCAGATCTCATGAGAACTCACTCACTATCACAATAACAGGATGGGGGACACAACCGCCATGATTCAATTATCTCCACTGGGTCCGTCTCACAACACATGGGGATTATGGGAACTACAATTCAAGATGAGATTTGGGTGGGGACACAGCCATACCATATCAATGGGCAAAAACACAGACCTGGTCATCCCTCCCCACTAATGGCATAGCAAGATCTGAACACTCCTTGCTATCTTCCCTGTGGAGAGTAAAGGAGTGAGAAAAATCTAAAATCTGACTTGGTTTAACCTGAAGTCAATGAGAAGAATAAAAATCACTAAAGCAATTGAGTTTACTTGGAAGTGACAAGATTAAATGTTCTGCTTCAGAGAGTTTGGGAGACTCAAGACAGAAATTCAGTTCAGTGGGAACACGCGCACACACACACACACACACACACGCACACACAAAGCTAATATGTTTTCACCCTTGAGAAGATGCTGGGAAATTAATAATTACTACATTGGCAAAGGGTTTAGCCTGTGGTAAGTGCTCCCTAAATGGGAAATAAATACATACTATATAATAAAAACAGAAAAATCAAAAGCCACCCTTGGCAATGGCCCGTGTTTCAAGTTGATAGAGGGGGTGGGAGCTGAGAATCAGCCTAGGCTCCATTCTCTTCCTCCTTCCCCCTGACTATCCCTTTATTGGTCAACACTTTTTGCCTGCTGAGTCTCAAAAGCAGAGCACAGCAAAAGACAGTGGACTCTGAGTGCCTGCCACACCATAAATACTTCCAGCGGGAACAGAGATTTATGGTGTTATAAATGTCAGTGGCAGGCCCAGTTTGTGTTAATAGCCTTGTTAGTTACATTGCTGTAAAATCCAGATCTCCACACTGTTTAACAGCTACAGTTCTGCTCAGCAGCATTAATTCAATAAATTGAGGCCCCTTGACATGAATCTTAAGGTTCCTGGAACTTGATTAGGAAATCCCTCCTGATAGGTTAGGGATAGACAGCTGGAGTGAGGCCACTGAGCTTCTAGCAGGAACTATGATTCACATGATGCAGCTGTCTCTTGGGCTGTCACTGTGGGCCACTTCCTACCTATCATCCTGAGTGGGCTCAACCTTGCTCTTGAGCATGATGGGGCCAAGAAGGTTAGCTGATGGTCCAGGGGTGGTGCTTTCAGGCCCCCATTAACCTCTCCTGTGCCTTTGTGCAGATTAGAAAATGGCCCCCTCTCCAGGTGGATGCAGCCTCCAAGGTGAATGGCTTCATGGGAGAATGGCATCTTTAAGGCAAGAGGAGCTGCAGGCTGGATTTCAGTACCCCTGCCACCCTCAGTTGGGGAGCCTCTTGCACTGAAGAACCCACACAGCCAAAATGTGATGGCCTGGGTGAACTTGTAAAATTTAACTCCAACAAAAGAAGTGAGAGCCTATAATGGAAAGACTTAGAAATTATAAAGTCAAAAACAAGAAAGGTGAAACAATTTCTTGTTAGGCATACATATGTTAAAAAAAAAAATCAATGGAATGGTCAATCCAACATCTAGGACTGTGGCTACCAGGAAGAGAAAGGCAAGAAGCAGGAGGAGAGGAGCAGATAGGTAGATGAAATTATTGTTAATATTTAGGTTCTTGGTTTGGACAGTGGGTTCATGGTATTCATTATACTATTTATTTTATTTTTATTTGTATACATTTATGGGGTACAAGAATAGTTTTGTTACATGAGTAGATTGTGTAGTGGTAAAGTCAAGACTTATTAGGGTATCCATCAACTGAATAACATACATTATACCCATTAAGTAATTTCTCATCATCCACCCTCCTCCCACCCCATCGCCCCTCCCAGTCAGTGTCTATTGTTCATTACTCTACACTCTACATCCATGTGTACACATTATTTGGCTCCCACTTATAAGTGAGAACATGTAGTATTTGTCTTTCTGTGTCTGACTTGTTTCACTTAAGATCATGGCCTTCCAGTTCTATCCATGGTGTTCATTATATTATTTGAAAAGTACAATAAATAAAATAAAAGGGCCAATCATTAGGTAATGATGGATCCAATTCTATGTATCTGGGGAGAGAAAACAGTCACAAGAAAGAAACTAGACAGGCGAGCTCTGCTGTTGCCTCTGTTTTTCTTCCCTCCCTCCCTTACTCCTAAGAACAGTCCATACATACTGAGCCCTGTGCCAAGCACTTGACAGTCCTAATTCCACTTAGTTCTCTTAGAATTACCCTGTGTGCCTGAGATGACCGGGGTTGAATCCTGACTCCACTGTTTACAAACTGTGTGATCTTGGGCAAGTTACTCAATTACTTTGTGCTTTGGTTTCCTCATCTGTGAAATGTGGTTTCAGAAAACAAACAAACAAAAAAAACTGCAGAGATCAACATAAAACAAAGTGAGAGTGATTTGGAGCATAAAAATATACAACAAAAATCAGTGAATAAATTGTGAGTGGTAATGGTAGGGGTTTTGTAGGCTATGAGGATTAAATGAGATATTAGGTTTGAACCTGTGCTTGGCATATAGTAATTACATCTGCAATAAACGTTAGATAACAGTACTATCATTATGTCCATCTTACAGATGAGGAAGGTAAATGATGGTTTGAAAAGGTAGGTAACTTGCCAAGGCTACACAGTTGATACCAAATGGCCATTCCTTTCCTCCCTTTCTATCCAACCCATTCTCATTCCTTTCTTTCTATATCATACACACATTACTTGAGTATTTAATGTGAGCTAAGGAAGTGCTAGGTTCTGAGGTACATAAATGAAAGGATACTGTATATAATACTCACCCAGAGGGATCCCACATTCTTTGAGGGCTGGGTGGGGGTGGGCTTCTGAGGGTGTAGATTCCTCAAGAGACAGTAGAGGTGTAGCCTGTCCTAGAGGCAGAGGTTGGCTTGCACTCATTACAGTCACATTTCTCCTATGCTAGTGAAAATCTGTCCTTGCTTTATCTCATGACTAAGTGGCAGACCTGGGAGGAAAATGGGGTCTCCAAGGCCCCTGGGGACAGAAGGATTCTGATTTCTTCTGCCACCTGTGCGAGGTTTACAGGCATATGAATGGAGACCTGGTCTTCCAGGTGTTTCAACCAAGCTTAGTTGTGTTGAGAGCTCTCCAATGTCACCTCCAACTTCGCACATCACAAATGGTGATGGACAGCCCGGGCTGCTTTAACAGCGGCTGTGTTCCTCTCTGAATGAAAGCAGAAGAGGCTTTGTAGTCTGTTGAGGTCTGGAATCTGAAGCCCCAGAACATCACTGCTGCCTCATTCTATTGCTCAAAACAAGTCACATGGTAAGCCCAATTCAAGGGATGAAGAAACACACTCCATCTCAGGTTGGGAAGAGCAGCATGGGTGCATACAGAGATGGAGAATTGTTGGTGTCATCTTTGTAGACAATCCAACACAGGCATCTCATCCAATGAAGGCTTCCTGGAATAGGCAACATCTAACTCAACACCTGCAGTTTACATATGAATAGGCAAGAGACCATGGACTGTTGAGCACAGAGAAACAGGATATGTGAAGGCCCAGAGTCAAAAGGGAACATGGAACTTTCAGAGAATTGAAGGAAGAGCAGCAACGAAACGATGGAGGAGTGGTAAGAAGTGAGGCTGGGGAGGTGGCCAGGTGGTGGATAATGGAGAGCCTTGTAGACATAGTACTTTATACTGAGGACAATAAGAAGTAACTGAAGGAATTCGAGCCTTAGAGTGACAGGACCTGATTTAAGTTTTAAAAACATTCCTTCACCTGCTCTAAGGAGAATAGAGTGTAGCAAGGTAGAATGGATGTTCTGAAATCAGTATGAAGGCTGGTGGAGTTTCTGAGCAAAATATGGCATTGGTGTTAGTGGAAATGGAGGGATATGGATAAATGTGGAGGATTTTTAGGAGGTCAGTATCATGGTGGGATAAGGCCTGAGCATCTACTCTTGTGTTCGACCCAAAATGAGTCACCTTTTCCTTTTATGCAGGTCTAATTCACCTCCAGATGCACTAAAACTTCCCTTCCATTCCCTTCCCTTCCCTTCCCTTCCCTTTCCTTCTACAGCAAGCACCTACTATCCCCACCCCATGCCTAGGTGGCTTCCATAACCTACTGATTAGTCTCTCTGTCTTCTGGGTCTTCCCTTTCTGGTCCATCTTGCATACTGTCCCTAGAGTTAAGTATTCTAGTATGTAGCTTTACATTGTGTCAGTTTTCTGTGCAAAACAACAAAACCATGCTGGGGTCCCCTGATCCTTACAAGAGAAAATGAAAAGTCTTTCCCATGGTGTTTTAGGTATTCCTCAGTGTGGTCTTCTAAAATTTATCTCTTATTGTTGTTCAATGGGATCCCATCTGCCAGATATAAAAATGTTACTGGTGGGTGAGGAATTCTTGAATGACAATGATAACAGGGACAATAGTGTAGTGTGGTCATATCTATCAAAATTAATTAAATTTTGTTTTAGAATTGGTGAGGTAGACATGGAGATGCGCCTCTCAGATCCCCCTTTAAGGGAGGATTTGCTGCCCAGCCATGGGGAGTGTGGTTAGCAGATGGCCTCCAGCTGTTAGCCCCTTTGACAGCTGCAGGGAGCTCCCTCCCCCAAGGTCATGCCCTTCCGGGGCAGTTGACATGCAGTAACTGAATGAGACAGGGGTATAAAGGCTTGGCTGTTTCAGTTCTGCCTGGTTGGCTGGCTTCGTTGGGCCTGCATTGTCATTTTGACTTTTTTCTCTGACCAATTCTGCTTTCTCTCCCTTCCTTTTTATTGAAACATAATGCATACACCATGTAAATCATCCATTTATAGTGTACAATTAAATAAGTTTTTAGTGTATTCACAGAATTGTGTAACTGTCATCACAATCAATTTTAGAACATTTTCATCACCCCCTGAAGAAACCCCATACCCATTAGCATTCACTTTTCATTTCCCTCAAATGCCCAGTCCTAGGCAACGACTAATCTACCTTCATCTCTAAAGATTTGCCTGTTCTGGACATTTCATACAAATGGAATCATATAATATGTGGTCCTTTGCATCTGGCTTATTTTTCTTAGTGTTTTCCATGTTCATCCATGTTATTGCATGTATCAATGGTTAATTTCTTTTTATTGTTGAATACTATTCAGTTGTATGAAAATATCACGTTTCATTTGTCCATTCATAAGTGATGGACATTTGGGTTGTTTCCACTCTTTTTGATTCTTATGAATAATGCTGCTATGAACATTTATATGCAAGTTCATGCATGGACATATGTTCCTAATAAACATTTTGCAACCCAAACTCCATCTCAGCATCTGTTCTAGAGAATCCAATCCGTGACACTTGGCAGTTTCCTCTTTAGGAATTTATCCTGCAGAGAAACATACAATACATGTGACATCTGTGCAACAATCTTTACAGTGGCATTATTTGTACTGGAAAAATATTGGAAACAATAGAATGATTATCTTGGGGTGATCAGAGAGGTTAGGTGACCTTTAGGGTAGCACGGTAAGGAAGTGGAAGACCAAGATTTGAATCTGGGTCTATGACTCCATTCCATGTCCTCTTTCTTCTCCCCTCCCCACGTCCTCCACATTTGGATTCTAAATGGGCTTTGTACACATAGCTCACAAATTAGCTGCCCTCAGTTTAGAAAGGAGCTCATACATGTGTTTAGTTTGGACCACACAAGTTTGCAATGTTTAAAAGTCTGGGAATTTCATATGAAAATGCAGATTATGAGCTTCTTTTTTTAAAAAAAAAATGAAAGGGCACAATCTGCCAACACTTGACATGAATGTCTACATGGCAAGGCTGGCTGCTGCTGAGTGGTGGCTTGCATATTTGCAATCCCTACCTCTCCCCTTTTGTGCACATCCAGTGCACTTCACTCGCTTTTGTTCCCTGTCTGT
Organism: Homo sapiens; assembly: GCF_000001405.40. Lineage (NCBI taxonomy): Eukaryota > Metazoa > Chordata > Mammalia > Primates > Hominidae > Homo > Homo sapiens. The sequence goes on from NC_000012.12 coordinate 118,691,286, forward strand.
CTCCTCTAGGCATGTGAGGCATCGACCTTTACAATTTCAGTGTTTCATTCATTTAGGGTATGTGAGGTTCTGAGAGGCCATCTTCATCTGGTGACCTAATCTTCATGCTAAGGAAACACGGTTTCTAAGTTTTCCCTTTGTTGATTTTCTTTCTTCATCTGGAGGGAAAGAAAGAGGGTGTCTTAGCCTGCTTAAGCTGCCATAACAAAACACCATAGACTGTTGGCGTAAACAACAGAAATTTATTTTCTCACAGCTCTGGAGGCTGGAAAATCTAAGGTCAAGTTGCTGGCAGGGTTTAGTTTCTGGTGAGGGCTCTCTTCCTGGCTTGCAGATGGCTGCCTTCTCATTGTGTCTTCACATGGTGGAGAGAGAAATCTGTGTCTTTTCCACTTTTTATAAAGGTAGAAGCTCTGTAGTAAGATTAGAACCTCACAGTTATGGCTTCATTTATCCTTTATCACCTCTTCACAGGCCCTATCTCCAAATACAGTCACAGTGGGGGTTAGGCCTTCAATGTTTGAATTTTGGGGAGACACAAACATTTAGTTCATAACAGAGAGATTGCTTTTTGTTTTTGGTTCCTATGGCAAACCAATGTCTAAGTCCCAGGTGATCCCTCAAATTCAGCTAATTCCTTGCTTATAGATTCTGTAGTACACCCTAATCTCCTTCCTTATAATAAACCCCTTCTGTACTTAAGGTAGCATCAGTGGGTTCCTGTTACTTGGTAGGAAGGGTGACAACAGCAACTATGAATAACCAGGCATGAATGCACAGTGGATGTGAGCATGCATCTAGGAGGCAGCTGCCTTCTGCCACTCAGTTGCTTGCTGTCCACAAGTAAGGAACTTAAACTCTGGGATTCTCGGTTGTCTCATCTGTAGAGTGGGGATGACATGGTATGTAATAGGCTGGGTTATTGTAAAAGTTTAGTGACATGATGAATGTAAAGTCTCAGCAGAGTGGTTAGTACATAATAAACACATAATATGTGATTGTTTTTAATAATGATGATTATTATCATTATTATTCAGCGGACCAACTAGGCCAGATAATTTTGACTTCCTCCAGTTCTGACATTCTTATCCCTGGATTTTAACCTAATCTCAGAATTTTTGGAGTGTCTACCATGCGCCTGAAATTGTGTCTAACATTTTGTGAAAGAGGCATTTTTTTTGAGGGGGGGTGGGTGCGTAGAGGAGCCCAGAGCTTTCATCGGATTCCTAAAAGAGTCTGTGACCCCTATCCCAACCAGTTATGGATCCCTTTTCTGTGCTATAAGGATTCCACAATATTTCAGGGTGACCCTGAAGAAGTATAAACTGACCCTCCTGAGATTAGGTCAGTGCTAAGACAGATTTCAGTTAAAAACTTTATCGTAACTTCCAGGAAAGCTCAGGGATCTAAGGCCCATAATCAACTTTATCAAAGCAATTTAGCAGGAATCTATCTCCCAGCAGCACTTGGCCCCATGGGGAAATAAAATTTGATGCAAGCAGCAAGGACTCTTGTGTCCTTGGGAAAAGTCAGCTGTGTGAAGAATCCTTGCGATATGAATGACTGGAGCAACTGGAAAATTCCAGAACAAGGTAACAGGCTTGACCTCTTGTCAAGGTTCACGTGGGATTGTAGGAACATCTGCTGCAACCTTGACCCTGGAAATTATGGACACAAGATATCAAGGCCCAGAGTTATCTTCCAATGTACAGTTAAGATTAGGCTACATTCCACCCCCCCCCAAATTTCCATGTCTGCCTCTTATTTAAAGCCATATATCTCAAAGTGGAGCACCTATAGCCCTGAAGATATGTGACAATAAACTAGGAGAGTCAGAAAGCCACAGATGAAACAGGGAGAACTTCCTGGGACTAATAACTTTAAGATTTTTTTAAAGGGCAGAATATTTTAAATATTAAAACTTTTTTTTTTTTGAGATGGAGTCTTGGTCTGTCACCCAGTCTGGAGTGCAGTGGCATGATCTTGGCTCACTGCAACCTCCACCTCCCAGGTCAAGTGATTCTCCTGCCTCAGCCTCCCAAGTAGCTGGGACTATATGTGCGTGCCACCACGCCTGGCTAATTTTTGTATTTTTTTAGTACAGATGAGGTTTCACCATGTTGGCCAGGCTGGTCTTGAACTCCTGACCTTAGATGACCCACCTGCCTCAGCCTCCCAAAGTGTTGGGATTACAGGCGTGAGCCACTGTGCCCGGCCTAAAACAAGTAATCAAAGTATGCATGTGTGTATAGAAGCTGAGACAACAAGAGTTGTTGGTGATATTTTGCAGTTGAAGTCATGGGTTCAGTACTTCAGAATGAACAGTTACATAATTTGTCCTTCTCTTCTGTTTATAGATACTCTGGCAAAAAAAAAAAAAAAAAAAAAAATTCGGACGTTCCCTGCCCTCAACTTCAGGGCAAAGCCTTCATACTTCTTAGCATAACATAAAGGCTTCTTTACAATTTGACCCAAATCTTCTGAAGCAAGATGTCTCCAAGCAGCCATAGCCTAAAGCCCGCTAGCTGATCCAACCAGTGAGAAGGAAAATCTTTTCCCAGTAGTTTGAACAAAAGTTCCATGGTTGATGCCCATGGACATGAATTAGGTCACTGCACATCCCAAAACAAATTATTGTGATTCTGATTGGACAATATAGCGGGTGAGTCATCAACTCCATCTGAACTTTAAGGGCTGAAAGTGTGTGGTGTAGTGGGGGATATTTCTTAAAGAAAATCAGAGAACTTTTATCAGAAGAGTGAATGGATTCTGGGCACGTCAAACCACATATGTTCATTTTCTATATAAAGTGTGCTTGATTCCAAAGCCCACACTTTCTTTATCTGCACTCTTCTCATCCCTTTTATAGAGCCAGGTGCTGAGATCAGAGAAGGGCAGGGTCATCCTGAAAGTCACACATTACGTCAGCGGCAGAGGTGGGTTTGGGACTCAGGTCTCCTGAGTTCAGCCAAGGCTGCGCTGTAAGTTGTGCTGGAGACCGAGGAGTGAATTAGCTTGGCAAGCAACGGGGAATGGTCACGGTGCATGCTGTCATAATTCCATTGAATACTTTGCAGATGTTAAGAATAACAAGAGGATAAACAGCAGTGAAAGTGGATCAGATGGCTAATGCCGGCAGTAGCCTTAAACTTCAAAATTGGGGCTGCCAATGCATCTCTGTGGGTGGGTGTTGGGATGTCTGCTTGTGAGTGGGTGACAGGCTCCTGGAAAATTGGTGAGTTTGGCACGTTACAGCCCCTTCTGTGGATATCCTCTTTCCCTGTTGCTGTAATGTGTCTTCCCCTAGAGCCCTCTTGGGGGATGTTTTTTTTCGCACATGCCTCATACTCTTGGCCCCGGAAGTGAGGTCAGTGTTCTCCTTGCTCCTGCTAGCCACTTCCCAATCCTTCCTCGTTCCCAGCTCTGAATTTCCTGTTATCCCTTCCTCATCCACTACCCTACCTTGTTGCAGTCACCTCTCCCTCTCATTGTTACTCTCCCTTATTGTCTGATGACTTAACAGCCTACTCACCATCAACACTTGGATGTCTAAAGAGCAAGTCAAACTTAACCATATCCCAAAGTGAGCTCCTGATCATTATTGTCCACCCACCTCATAGCTACTCCTCCCACAACTCTACCATCTCAGCTAATGGCAACTCCATCCTTCCAGAGGCTTGAAACGAGACCCTGATTCCTCTCTTTCCCTCACACCCAATTAGCAAATCCTGTAGATTCCATCTGGAGACAGTAGAACATGAGACAGCAATAAAAAAGAACAGGCTACAAATACATGCAACAACATAAATGAATCTCAGAGTCATAGTGATGAGTGAAAGAAATCAGGTACAAAAGAACTTTTATATCAGCCAGGAGCGGTGGCTCACGCCTGTAATCCCAGCACTTTGGGAGGCTGAGGCGGGTGGATCACCTGAGGACAGAAGTTCGAGACCAGCCTGGCCAACATGGTGAGAGGCTGTCTCTACTAAAAATGCAAAAATTAGCTGGGCGTGGTGGTGCACACCTGTAATTTCAGCTACTTGGGAGGCTTAGACAGGAGAATTGCTTGAACCCGGGAGGAAGAAGTTGCAGTGAGCTGAGATCATGCCACTGCACTCTAGCCTGGGTGACAGAGCAAGACTCTGTCTCAAAAAAAAAAAAAAAAAAGGACTTTTATATGAAGTTTAAGAACATCTAACACTTAGAGAAGTCAGAATACTGGTTACCTCTGCATGGGTGGGTGGTTTTGATTTAGAAGGAGTCCAAAAGAATTTTGTGGGCTGCTAAAAATGTTACATAAATGATTCTCTGTATGGTTGTTACATGGGTAAATACAAATGAAAAAATTTATTGACTAAAAGAAGTTGATTCATGGGTACAAATATGCAGTTTGATAGAAGAAATAAGACCTAGTGTTTGGTAGATCAGTAGGGTGACTGTAATTTACAATAATCTATGGCATATTTCAAAATAGCTAGAAGAGGATAATTCAAATGTTTCTAACATAAAGAAAAGACAAATATTTAAGATGATGGATATCTCAATTACACTGATACAATCTTTACGAATTATATGAATGTATTAAATTTTCACAGGTACCCCCAAAATATGTACATCTATTTTGTATCAGTAAAAATTATTTTAAAAATTCATTGGGCTATACAGTGAAAGTTTGTGTATTTTGCTGTCTGTATTTCGTGCTTCGATAAGAAATAAAGTATGTATATATCCAGATTCTAAGCCTAGCCCTGAAATCATCCTGTATGATCATCTAGCTCTCTTTCCCCTGCTGCAGCAATGGGAGAAGTATTCTTCTCCTTCCTTCATCCTCCACATTCAAAATATAAGTAAGTCTTCTCAGCTCCACTGTCAGAAACATCTAGAATTTGCTCCCTATCTCCATCTTCCCTTCTCTACCCTAGTGCAAGTTATTACCATTGGTCACCTGGACACTAAAATAGCCTTATTCTTTTCGATGACTGCATAGTGTTCCATCCCATACAGTATGTAGTGAGCTGAATGGTGGCCCCAAAGATATGTCCATGTTCTAATCCCTGGAACACTGTCTCAGCCTCCTCAGACTGCCATAATAAAATATCATAGATGGGCTGGCTTAAACAACAGGAACTTATTTCTCACAGTTCTAGAGGCTAAGAAGTCCAAGATCAAGGTGCTAACAAGGTAGGTTTCATTCTGAAGGATCTTCTCTTGGCTTGTAGGTGGCTACAGTCTTGCTATGTGCTCACATGACTTTTGTGTGCATGAGGGGGTGAAAGAGAGAGCAAGCTCTATGGTGTCTCTTTCTATCAGGGCAGTGATCCCGTCACAAGAACCCTACCCTTATGACCTCATCTAATCCTAATTACCTCCCAAAGGCCTCACTTCTAAATACAATCACACTGGGGGTTTAGGGTTTCAACTTAGGAGTTTTGGGGGGACACATTCAGTTCATAACAAATCTGTACAAGTTACTTTAATTTAAAAAAGGATCTTGCAGATGTGATTAAAGATCTTGAGATGAAAAGATCATCCTGGATTACTCCATGGGCCCTAAATGTCATCACATGTATCCTTATGGGAGAGATGCAGAGGGATATTTTACTCACAGACAAAAGCCCACATAGGAGAAGGTGCATATGAAGACAAAGCAGAGGGATGTGGCCACAAGCCAAGGATGACAACAGCCACCAGAAGCTGGAAGAGGCGAGGAATGGATTCTCCCCTAGAGCCCTTGGAGGCATCATGGCGCTGCTGACACATTGATTTCAGACTTCTCCAGAACTGTAAGAGAATAAATATCTGCTGTTTGCAGCCACCCAGTTGGTGGTAATTTGTAACGGCAGCTGTAGGAGCTAATACACTATATAATAATTTATGTGGCCATCCCCTATTGGACACTTAGGTTGCTGTCAGTTTTTCATTTCAAATCATGTTGCAATGAACATTCTTGCACATTGTCTTTTCACAGCTGCACAAACTTTTCTATTGGAGAAGCTCCTAAAAATTAAATTGCTGGATTAGTAGACATGAGCAGTTAAAATTTTGATAAGTACTGGGGACTGGGTTCTTTAAAAATATTGCTCCTATGCCACACTCTTTACATGGATATGAGTTTGGTATTATTATTGCTAACCTCTTACAAATTAGGAAACTGAGGCTTAGAGAGCTTAAATCACTTGCCCAAAGGTAGGCATTTGGGAAATGGCTAAGTCAGGATATAAATCTTGCCTCTCTGACTTTTTTTGTTTAAGATAATGGATGTAAGCCATTAACACTCTATTGGTTGGCTAAATATTATTATTACCATACTTGTTGTTTTGTTCCTCAAGCAATATCATGTATGATGAAATTAACATATATTTATTGAGTAATTACTATGTGCCATATACTGGGTTTGATGCTGGGGGTAGAGCCGTGAATATGTCAGATATGACCCCTGTCCTCCAAGAGCTAATATTCCATCAGAGAAGACAGATTTTAGTATGATAATCCTAAATGTGATTAGTACTATGGAGGGAGACGTGCCAAGATGAGGAGGCATTTGGGGGTTGGGGACCCCTGTGGCTTTTTGAATCTGTGCCTAGTAGGTGAAGCAAGTCTGATTCCTTTCACTGGTTTCTGGCACTCTTTAAACCCCCATGTTAGGTAGAACAGTCCTGGGAAATGGTGATTTGTCAGTACCAGGCCTTAGGGGCCCTAACTGGGGTCTAAATCAAATGCAGAAGCTGAAGAGTCAGCACTGAGTTTAGTGTGGATTTTACAAGTCAGTGAGGCTGAACTGTGGCTCCCAGGCTGGTGATAAATGTGTTGGAATCTCTCGCTGGATCTTTCAAGGCCACTGTCAACTCAGTGTCTTCATTTCCCTAGACTGTTAAGGAGAGGCTGGAAATAGTCATCCAGATTGGAATACCACCCTCCAGCAGGGGTCTTCAGGAGAACTTTCTTGCGGGGATTGAGCATCTGCACTTGGCTGGGTCCTGGATCATCTGGAGCATCCTCCATCCTAGGAGGTGGATAAAGATGGAAAGAGATGAGGACAAGCTCCTAAAAGCAGAGACCATGTATCACCATCCCCATATCCCTGTGCCAAGAATTGTGCCCGGCACAAATAAATACTTGTGGAATGATCAAGTTAGCAAAAGAAAGGCGCCTTACATAAAAAGCAGTCAGAATTTATGAATGTATTCCTATCTGTGACATTTTGCCTACTTCTCATTCTCTTGTGATGATTTCTGGCACTGTCCATTTAGTATTATTTCCATTCTCGCTTACCCCAGGCTCAAATGCAGAAAATGCTAATCAGTGGATGAAGAACCAGGGGAGGAAAGGTGGGATTTTCTTCTGAAACAACATAGACTGACTTGTCAGGGAGAAAAAGAGAACAGAATTATATGAGAGGGAGAGATTGTATGAGACACTCATGAATAGGGGGATTTGGAGGTTTGGAGGGAGAGTTGGGAGCGAGGAATGTGCTGAAGAGGTGTAGGGGGAATTGGTGAAAGAAAGGGGTCCTTTAAAGAAGGGTTTCTGTAGATCGTGAATTTGATCCCCCTTTAATGCTGACCAAGAGATGCAAAAGACTGGACTAGCATACTTTTGGTTGCTGGGCTGAGTTTCTTTAAATTCTACAGTGTTCCAGACTGCGCCACATGGGAGCCTGAATTTGATTCACGTTATGTGTGTACTTTTGAATCAGTTCTGGCTTTAGTAACTCCTGTTCTTGACTGTTCTGAGATCCCACTGTAATTGTTGGTGGTCTTGATGCTTTTGCACAATAATACTCATAGCTAGCAAACAGCAAGAACTTACTAGACACCAGGCACTGTGCTAAGCTCTTTAGATGTTACCCTATTTAATGTTCGTGACAATATTTTAAGGTATATATTATTATTATTTCCATTTTACAGAGGAAGAAACTCATGAAAGTCAAGCAACTTGCCCAAGGTCATACAGCTAGCAGCTGGTAGAGGTGGGATGTGCGCTCATATATTTTAAATCAAGAAAAGGTTCAAAAGGATGTCAATGGTGCTTATTTATGGACTTTTTTACTTGCCCACTAAAAGTTTTTAAAATAAGCATTTATTGTCAAGAAGAAAGAATAAGAAATCACTTCTATATTGGCTTGGATTGCTTTTGGCTGCAAATAAGAGAAAATCTAACAGTGGCTTAGACAGAAAATGGAAATGGGGGTTGTTTTTATCTCTTAGCAAGATGTCTAGAAGTGCATGGCTGCTGTCATTAGTTCAGTCATGAGGGACCCAGGGACATTTGCCATTCTAGATTCTACATTGATTCTAGAACCTGTGCTCTCAACCTCTTTTCTAAGCAGCTGTTCAGGCTTTCAATTCTCACAGTGCCGTGGTAGGTCAGTATTGTGTTGTGAAGTGTGAAAATACATTATCTGTCCTTGCTACATTTAATTTGAAGAGGTCTCACCTCAATATTTATTAGAATCTCTTTTCTCCCCAGGACACAAATACTCACACACACATAGCCCATCATTTGGCTTATGTCAAGATCCAGCTGTTGCATCTTAACCTAGACCTCCCACTTCCCTCTTCCCTGCAGATTCTGTAGTTGGGTCTCCTCAGTGCCAGTCTCCTTTTCATTTTATGATGAAATTTCCCTTAGGACCTGAGCCATCCCTCCATGCAACTGGGCTTCCACTGCCTGCTCCATCTCCTCTTAGAAAATGTTCAAACATGTATACATCCCAACTGTGGATAGGATTCAAGGTTTTTCCTCTGTCTTATGTTTCACTGGGATGTATATAAATACTTGGAGGAAGAACCATTACTCATCTCCACAGGTGGAAATCTGTCAATCCCAGTTCTGATCCTGCTGGGTTCCCCATGAGATTTCAAATAAGTGATATTTTCAGACTGAAAGCAGCCTTATAAGTGGAGTTATTAATAAGGCCTAAATTGTTGTAGATAATAACTAGGATAAATGGTGGATGCTTGGGGTGGAGATTTAGGCTCCATAATTGGAAGCTGTGATAGACATGTGTGTACCCAGTATCTAAACCCCCTTGTTGCTTGATGGCAGAACCCCGTTTTTGGTTACAGGCAGTGGTTTACCCAATCCTAGGCTATGAGTCCTGACTAGTCAAAGTCAATGATGACAAACCTGTTCCTCACATTGCCAGCCTCTCTTGCAGCTAGAAATGACACAAATCAGGTCAATGGGAACTAAATGAAGTCTGTTGTGAGTGCTTCTGGGAAAATGGTGTTTCCCAAGAAAAGGGAAAAGATAGCTGACACTATCTTCCCTCTCTTTTTCTGCTTGAAAAGTTTGTCTGTAGATGAAGTGATCATCTTGAAGCCATGAAGTGACAAGGATGAGGAAGAACATTAATATGCTAAGAATGACAAATGTCCCTGGGTTCCTGATGACTGAACTAATGACCACAGCCACCTACTTCTGGACATCTTTCTAAGAGATAAAAACAACCCCCTCAACTTTCCTTTTTTTGTTTTTGTCTAGGCCACTGCTAGTTAGGTTTTTCTGTTATTTGCAGCCAAATGCAATCCAAGCTAATGTAGAAGTGATTTCTTATTCTTTCTGCTTGAAAGTTAATGCTCATTTTAGAAAAAAATTTAAATGAGCAAGTAAAAAATCCATAATCACCATTGACATCTTTTTGAAACTTTTCTGCAATTAAAAAAATTTAGTTAACATTTATTTAGCATTTAGTGTAACATAAGAAGTCCGTATTAAATATTTTACTTGCTTTATTTCATCTCACCCTTGCAGCAACTTAGGAGGTATGTATCATTACAATTCAGAAAAATATGGACTTAATCCCTCTGAATTTCCCTCTTCCCAGTAAAGTTGACCATTGCTACTGATTTGTGATTGCAGATTCTTTTCCTATGCAATTACATATGCACTTAGAAGGTTTGCATACTAATTAGATCATTCTAGGCATATAGTAGTCCATCAACTTGCTTTTTGCCCTTAAGAATGCATCTTGGAGATTTTTCTGTTTCAGTTCAAATAGATCTATCTCAAAATTTTCAACAGCCACGTAGTAAGGAAGAAAACCATTTTAAAGAGTCAGGGCAGTTCAAAGATGTCATGGGCTGCTTAAGAGCTAATGTTTTCCTTGTCCCTGGAGGAACCAAGTAGAAGGAAGATAACAATTTGGAGAGGGGGGTTAGCATCAGATGATAGGCTGGACTATGGTGGCCTTGAAGGACCATACTTACCCTGGGATCCTATCATTCTCTGGCTTGACAGGAAGTTATCTAGTTTTCTTCTCCTTGGAATATGGTTGCTTGACTACCTGGCAGTGATTGACTAAGCTGTGTTAAACATCATGACTTGGCCAATAATGCCACATGGATGACTAAATATGGAAAATTAGGTCCATGGCTGAGCACAGTGGCTCACGCCTGTAATCCTAGCACTTTGGGAGGCCAAAGTGGGTGGATCACCTGAGGTCAGGAGTTTGAGACCAGCCTGGCCAACATGGTGAAATCCTGTCTCGACTAAAAGTACAAAAATTAGCTGGGCATGGTGGCCCATGCCTGTAATCGCAGCTACTCTGGAGGCTGAAGGAGGAGAACTGCTTGAACTCGGGAGATGGAGGTTGCAGTGACTGAAATTGCACCACTGCACTTCAGCCTGGGCGACAGCCAGACTCTGTCTCAAAAAAAAAAAAAAAAAAAAGAGCGAGAGAAAGAAAATTAGATCCATGTGATGCCAAACAATTTTGTAAACTGTCACCCTACTTAATGGGCTGTTCCCTTGAATGCTTGCAGTCAAAGTAAGACACACTGCTCCTGTGGACTGGGGTTGCCTGATTCCTTGGCTGTGAGTGAAACAGCCTCCATGATGAGAAAGCAGGTGTGGCAGGCAGAATAATGGCCTCCCAAAGATTTCCACATCCTAATTTCCAGAACCCGTGAATATGTAATTTTACAAGGCAAAGAGGAATTAAGGTAGCAGTTAGAATTATGTTTGCTAATTAGCTGACATTAAGACTGGAATTGCCAGGTGGGACCAATATAATCACAGGGTCCTTAGACGTGGAAGAAAGAGGAAGAAGGGCCAGTGTCAGAGTGATGCAGCATGAGAAATACTTGACCCCCATTGCTGGCTTTGAAGACAGAGGACGTGGCCATGAGCCAAGGAAAACAGCCTCTGGAATCAGGAAAAGGCAAGAAAATGGATTCTCCCCTAAAGTCTCCAGAATGGAATGCAGCTCTGCGAGACACCTTGATTTTAGCCCACTGAGACCATTTAGCACAAACAACCTTCACAACAGTAAGATAATAAATGTGTGTTTTTAAGCCACTAAGTTTGGGATTGTTTGTTACAGCAGCAACAGAACTTCCATCAGGTAAAGAACTTGGAGTATCTAGCAGCAACCTGCATTTAGTGGAAGAGAAAGCCATTTTCCAGTTTTCAACATATCTTAAAATAGTGGTTAAAGACACAGTTTACTAGATATGCGACCTTGATAAAGTCATTTCACCTCTGTGAGCCTCAGTTACCTCATAAGCAAAATAGGACATTGCTTATACCTGGCTCAGTGGTTTGCAAACTTGGCTGCATACTAGAATCGCCGGGGAGGCTTTTTAATCTGCATCAATGAATAGGCCCCTTCCTATACCAGCTGAAAATAAATCTTTTGGTTGGGGTCTGGGCACCTGTAACCAGAAAAAAAAAATGCCCTCAGGTGCTTCCAGCACATTGTTGGAGTCGACAACCATTGATCTGGCCCAGGTAGTTGGAGGTGTGGGGAGAGAGGGATGTTAGGCCAATGATTAGAATCACCTGGAGGAACTTTTACAAATGCTGGTACCCAGGTCATATCTCAGACCAAGGAAACGAGACTTTCTGGGAGTGAACCCAGGCATCAAGATTGTCTAATCACCCAGGTGATCCTTATGAGTAATCAAAGTTGACAATCTCCAGTGCAGACACAGTGAAAAAAAGCACTTGTTATAGAAGGGGTTTGCTCACTATTATTATTGCTTTTTTTTCTCTTGGAGGGCAATATAGCAATTGTGGTTGATCATATGAGTGTTGGGATCAGCCAGACCTGGCAGGGATGACAGAGGTCACTCTGGCACTTTCTGGCTGTAAGACCTGAGGAAGTGCTTCTCTCTGAGCTTCACCTTCATATCTAGGAACTGGGGATAAAAATATGTGCCTCAAAACATGGTGATTGTAATGATTGGACAAGAGAATTTTTGTAATGTACTGTGCATTGGGTCAGGCAAACAGTGGGCACTAAAATGTGTTTTGGGGGACAGTAATTACTATGATTAATAATAAAACCCTAGAGTTGGTTGACAACCTTGGCTTCACTTGCTAAGCTAAGTGGCTTCACCTCTCCAAGCCTCAGTTTTCCCATCTGTGACATTGACACTACTTACCTTAAAGACTTCTTATGAAAGCAGGATAATGGGTATAAACTCTACAATGTACTGTATACACTTAATAAATGGCAACTTGAATGATTACACACACACTAAAGAGAGGTCGCACACCTCCCCTGGTTGCTCTGTCAAACACACCTAGTTTTAGAGCTGACATCACAGTCTGGCTACATCTATCCAAAATATGTAATTATTTGGTCTGAATCATGTTAGTATATATTTTGAAACTACTCTCCATTTCTTTAAAAATCAAAAGCTTGTGTATACATACATGGATGCTCAGTTTCTCTTGAAATATGAAGAGTTTTGGCAGCTGTCCCCAAGTTCACGGGTCATACTTTACTTTCCAGAGCTCAATAGTAGCATTTAGATGATGTCAGTCCTTAGTCAGACTCAATGCCCCTTTTTATAATAGAAAAATTTTATAGCACCCTCTTTACTCTCTGGAAATGATTTTCACAGATAATATAATCTATATATACATATAACTTCAAAAAATCAGTATTACGTCCTAACAGTATTATAATAGAGAATAAAGTGAAAACACTTACAGTAAGATAGTACCTGTATAGTATTTCAATATGTCAGTGTTGCATAGGACTCTACCATAAAACATAATGATAACGCCAAATAATTACTTCTATATATAAAATCTCTGAGAGCCACAACTACAAACACAAACTTGTACAGATGTGTTGTGTCACCTATCATGCGCAGGGCTGCTATCCATGACCTGATTTTCTGAAACAGCACACAACTTTTATTAAAGCTCTTAACAAAACGAAGATTAATCCTTGATCAATTGACCTAGTAGTTGTATCCCTTTACAACTCAATGTCTACTTAAACCATGCAGAAATTTTTAAGAGGGTTTATATGTACAAGGGAGTTAGAGTTAGGCTCAGACGATTATGATGAATTTGTTTTTTACAGATGTGCATGTTTGGGAGGATATTTATGTGAAGGCATTGCACATCGCCAGTCCTGGTCACAATCTAAACAAGCTCCACAATGTTCCAGCTCTCCCCCAGGGGGCAACACCATCCCCATTGAGAGCTTTTGCTTTAGGACAAGAAACTTGCGGACACTGTAGGGCTCAAGGGTTTTTATGGAACTTGATTGTGGAAACGATTTAGCCACATCTCATATTTCCACTTAGCAAGTGCTTGCAGCAGGAGATTGTTTTTATTTTGCTTTTGCTTTTGTTTTTCATGGTGAAAGCCATTTCTGTGGGTAAGAAGAATCTCTTATTGTCATTACTGAGTCATCCAAGGAAGCACAGATTTATTATCCCAAGCCAGGAAAGCCATAAAAATATGAGATCTGTCAAAAAGAGCAATTATTTACTCAAAATGTAATAATTATGATAACAGCAATGGCTGTCTTTACTGAGCACCTACCAGAAACCATGCTGAGTGCTTTCTAAGGGCATTCTTATTTAAAATCAAGACGCACTTTTATTTAAATCAGATACAAGCTATCAAGATCAAGATTAGTCTCTCTCTCTCTCTCTCTCCCTCTCCCTCCCTCCCTCTCTCCCTCCCTCCCTCCCCCTCTCTCTGTTTCTCTCTCACACACAGATGTGATCCTTGGATATAGACACACAGGGAGTGACAATGCAACATTTATTGAGCACCTACTATGTGCTGGCTCTCAGGTATTTTATATTTTATCTCCCTTTAAATTGCTCAAGTCAAAAACCTTGGAGCTACCCTTGATGTTTCTCCTTTTTCAGACCTCTGCATCTAATCTGTAGGTGGTTCTGTTGGTGCTACCTGCAGAACATTTCCAGGGCTAGATGGCATCCTCATACCCTTGCTGCCAGCAGCTTGGTCCTGCCCCCTGTTACTATGAACCCCGATTATTCCACCCGTTTCCTAACTGCTCCTACCCTTCCTTGTCTTCCCTCTCCTCTCATTACAGTTGCCCAGTTCTATGCCAAGCTATATGGGAGTCTGAGGCAAAAGGAAAAATCAGAACGCTAATCTTATATTTTATTTAAAAATGTTGATATTTTGTTCGTGATGGATTTTTTTGCATAAATTTTGAAATTTTAAAAAAGGTTGTATTAAAATATTATTTATCTTGATTACTGGGGGGATTTTTAGCTCAAAGCAAGTGTCTCACTTGCCACACCCTAGTTTTTAAAACATAAGCCTGGTTGTATCACACCATGGCTCAAAAGCAACAGCTTACTCAGGAAAACACCAGTCCTTACTGCAGCCCACACAGCCACGCATGGTCTGTGAGAGCACAAGCACTCAGGTCACACCACTAGAGTTCCTCTAATCTCCTTCCCTGCAACTCTCTGGTTGGATCACTCCATTCCAGCCACCCTGGCTTCCTTGCTGTTCCTTGGACACTGCAGGTCAACTCCTGCCCAGGGCTTTGCTTCAGTTTTCTAGAATGTTCCTTCCCTACCTATCTGCTTAGCACATTCCCTCACCTCCTTCAAGCCTTTGCTCAGAGCTCACCATTGCGAGGAAGACCATCCCAACCATCTTCATCACCCAACCTGCTGCAACCTCAGCCCACACCCCTCCCCTGCTCTGCCCTGGCACCCCTGGCCCTCTAGAACCTGATCTGTGTTATTGGTTTTTGGTAAAATTTATCACTTTGTAAATCCTAGATAATCTACTCATTTATTAGGATTGTTGTTTGTCTCCTTCCTAGTGTGTAGGCAACTCAGGAGGAGGAATCTTGAACTCTTTTGCTCATTGATATATCCCACGTGCCTAGAACAGTGCCTAGCACATGGTGGATGCTTCATAAATACTTGTTGCATGAATAAATAAATTTCATATAGTTCTTATATTCTTCTTCTGGACACTATTATTATTCCCATCATACACTTGAGCAAACTGAGGCTCAGACATAAATGGGTTTGCCTGAGTCACACAGTGACTGAGCAGAGTTTCAACCTGGTTTCTTGACTCCCACATCCTCTTTGTTTAATTGTGGCAGCATTGGGGGTGGTGGTTAAGAGCACAAGCACTCAGGTCAAACCACTAGAATTCAAAGGCTGGGTCAGACTGGTCCTAGCTGTGTGATAATTTACTCTGCATGACTTATATGATCTCTCTAGGTATCCTTCCACACTTGTAAAAATAAAGCAAAACAAAAAGACTAATGCAGTAAGGTCATAAATCCAGCAGTCACATGAAATAAATCCTTTCTTTCTCTCAGCTCAACATCAAATACGAGGTCAAATCTTGACTGTTTTATCTTCAGAGTATGTCTCTTAAATCTGTCCCCTTCTCTCCATCTTCACTCTACCACCCTAATCCAAGCTGTGAGCATTTTTTGCTTGGATTATTGCAGTAGCCTGCTAGCTGGTCTCCCTGCTTCCTCCCTTGCCTATACATCATCCTTTACATGCCAGCCAGAGTCATCTTTTATATAAATCAGATCTTGTTTCTCACATGCTTAAAACCCTTCATTATCATCCCATCAACCTTAGAACAAACCTGGCCTCCTTACCTACCCTGTCCAGCACTGCATGGCCTGGCCCCTGCCTCTCTCCCTTGCTATGCACCAGTCCCTCTGGCCTTCTGTCACTGCCTAGGACCTGCCCAGACTTTTTGCCACAGGACCTTTAAACTTGCTGTTCCTTCTGCTTGGAAGGCTCTTTCCTTGTCATGTAAAGCTTAGCTCAAATGCAGCCTCCTCAGAGGGCTAATGCAGAGTTTGGGGATGGTGATGTTGATGGTGATGGTGATGGTGGTGATGGTGATGGTGTTGATGGTGGTGGTGGTGACGATGGTGATGGCAATGGCGATGGTGGTGGTGATGGCAATGGTGGTGGTGGTGATGGCAATGGTGGTGGTGGTGATGGTGATGGTGGCAGTGATGGTGATAACGATGGTGATGGTGGTGGTGATGGTGGTGGTGGTGGTGGTGATGGTGGTGGTGGTGGTGATGGTGATGGTGATGGTGGTGGTGGTGATGGTGGTGGTGATGATGATGGTGGTGGTGATGGTGGTGGTGGTGATGGTGATGGTGGTGGTGATGTGGTGGTGATGGTGATGGTGATGGTGGCAGTGATGGTGATAGTGATGGTGATGGTGATGGCAGTGGTGATGGTGATGGTGGTGGTGATGGTGGTGGTGGTGGTGATGGTGATGGTGGCGGTGATGGTGATGGTGATGGTGGTGGTGATGGTGGTGGTGATGGTGGTGGTGGTGGTGATGGTGATGGTGATGGTGGCGGTGATGGTGATGGTGGTGGTGATGGTGGTGGTGATGGTGGTGGTGGTGGTGATGGTGATGGTGATGGTGGTGGTGGTGGCAGTGATGGTGATGGTGGTGGTGGCAGTGATGGTGATGGTGGTGGTGGCGGTGTTGGTGATAGTGGTGATGGTGATGGTGGTGATGGTGGTGGTGATGGTGATGGTGATGATGGTGATGGTGGTGATGTTGGTGGTGGTGGTGATGGTGATGGTGGTGGTGATGGTGATGGTGGTGGTGGTGGTGATGGTGGTGGTGATGGTGATGATGGTGATGGTGGTGGTGATGGTGGTGGTGGTGGTGGTGATGGTGATGGTGGTGGTGATGGTAATGGTGATGGTGGTAGGCATTGCAGCAGGAGATAGGACTCACCTTCCTTTGCTCCTTTTTTCATATCTCAGGTTCGCCCTGTGTCTCCTCACCATGTGTACAGCCCCATTCATCCAGGGCCCCAACCTTGGGCAGGTGACAGTTTTAGCTCTACATGTGTCTACAGCTGAAACTTCTCCCCTCTTCCCCCAGAAACTTTGTTTTGTTTTGCTGATGTTCTGCTATGCAGTTTTCATTTAGGACCTGTTTAAATGGAAGACAACTGAGCATGGCACTTCCCTTCTCAGTGAGTCCAGTGTAGGGCAGGCAAGAAGGAGCTTGGTGCTCCTTATAGTGGGCTGTAGTGCATATTCAAGGGTTGGGGGTCACCTGGAGTAAGGGATCACCAAGGAACTGATGAAGCCCAAATGAACCCCTTGGGGCTCTCTGCTGTGGATCACATCTTCTGGACCAAGGGAGCCTGCCTTGCTGCTTCATTTCCAGCTGCTCCCCTAGGTGTGTCCTGGTCCTTGGCTGTTTATGGTTCAATGCTGTGTGTTTTGCCTGGAGGCTTCTCTTTCACCTGTCCACCTGAAAAATGTCATTGCAGCCTACAAAACTCAACTTGAAAGTCACTTCCTCCTGGAAGCCTTCCCAGGTCTGCGATCACATTCTTACATGCACTTCTGTAGTTCTTTCCATGTGCCTTGTTAGGATGGCATTTAATCTCATTACATTATAGGTTGTTTCCTGTTAATGACTCAGTCCATTCTAGTCACTCATCAACTTTATACAAAGCTCTTGTGTACTGAGCAGTATTCTAGAAAAGTGTTTCTTTTATTTTCTTTCTTTCTTTCTTTCTTTCTTTCTTTCTTTCTTTCTTTCTTTCACTCTCTCTCTCTTTCTTTCTTTCTCTTTCTTTCTTTTCTTTCTTCCTTTTTTTTTTTTTTTTTTTTTTTTTTTTTTTTAACGAGATGGAGTCTTAATCTGTCGCCCAGGCTGGAGTACAGTGGTGCAATCTAAGCTCACTGCAACCTCCGCCTCCCAGGTCAAGTGATTCTCCTGCCTCAGGCTCCCAAGTAGCTGGAATTACAAGTGTGCACCACCACACCCAGCTAATTTTTGTATTTTTAGTAGAGAAGGGGTTTCACCATGTTGGCCAGGCTGGCCTTGAATTCCTGACCTCAGGTGATCCACCTGCCTCGACCTCCCAAAGTGCTGGGATTACAGGCTTGAGCCACTGCGCCCAGCCAAAAACAGTGTTTCTTAAGAGTGTTTTTGGAGAACTTTCTGCCTCAGAATCAACAGGAGCCCTTGTTAGAATGCAGTCCCAGTCCCCACACATGCGCTATCAAGTTAGATTGTCTGAGACTAGGGCCCAGGGATCTGCATAATAAAGATGGAGATCTTTATTATGCTATACTTGCCTGTAGATCAAAAGATCTAAAGATCTACTTGCTCTTGTAGAGGGTGCAGAGTTGACAAAGACATGGTCCCTATTGCCGTACTCAGTCTGGTGCACTGTCTGTCTTCCTCACTAGCTGTGAATTACTCAAGGGCAGGGACCATCAGAACCTAGACCAGGATTTTGTATGAAGCAGTGCATGTTTGTGAATGAATAAATAACACACTCATTCTAAAATGTTTATAGAGTACCTACCGTGTTCTGTATACCATTCTAGACAGGATACAGCAATATCTGTATCTGTTTCTGTATTTGATACTGCAAGAGCAGTATCATGTCTAAACCAAATAGACAACATTTCTGCTGTCTTAGTTCATTTGTGTGTTGCTACAAAATAGTACCCGAGGCTGGGTAACTTAAAAGGAAAAGAGATTTATTTGGCTCACAGTTCTGCAGGCTGTACAAGAAGCATGGTACCAGCATTTGCTTCTGGTGAGGGCTTTAGGCTGCTTGCATTCATAGCAGAAGGCAAAGTGGAGCCAGCATGTGAGGATTTCACATGGCAACAGAGGCAAGAGAGAGAGAGAGACTGAGTGAGCGCCAGGCTCTTTTTAACAACCAGCTCTTGGGGGAAACTAACAGAGCAAGAACTCACTAATTACTTCAAGGATAGCACCAAGCCATTAGTGAAGGATCTGCCCCCATAAACCAAACACCTCCCATTAAGCCCCACCTCCAACATTGGGGATCAAACTTCAACATGAGGTTTTGGAGGACAAATATCCAACCTATAGCACCTGCCCTCACAGAACTCACAAAAATGAAGAAGTAAATAAAGGGAATCCTAATTTTGCTTTGTGACATTGGTCTGAGCCTTTGGCTCAAGTCCCAAGTCCCCTATGGTCTGATTCCTGGTGGTGTCTCCAGCTTCACCCCATAACATGCTCCTTTCTCTCTCTGCTGCACCCAGTCAAGTCTCCTTTCAGTCTCTCCTACTTCCATGCTCCCTCCTGCCACAGGGCCTTTGCCTATGCAGTTTCTTCTACATGAAATGGCTTTCTCTCCCTCCTTCATGTGGATAATGACTTTAATCGGTCACACCCTATGTTGGCCATTGTCTTGGCAGAGAAGCCTTCTCCAACCCTCTTCTTGGGTCACTTCCTCCATTGCAGATCCTCTGAGCACCAATACCACTCTTTCTAGGCACAGCCACAATTAGATATTTGCATGAATTTTAGATGAATGTCTGCATCCCCTGCAAAACTGAGCTCCATGAGGTTCAGAAGCCAAACCTGTCTTGCCCATCACTTTGTTCCCCACACCTATTTTAGTGCATGGCACCATAAATATGTAATGAGTGAAAAAAATGCATGGAGGAAACCTTGAATATTGACTTCTGTGTCAACAGCATGCAGTTATGTGTGACTGTGACAAAAACAAGCCATTGGAAGAGCAACAGAGGGTCTTGCAGAGGACAGAAGGCTTGACCTTTTCTCCTTCCCAGGGTGAAGGCACAATGAACAGGTACTCTATGATAATGGGATAGTATGAATGGTAAAGGGCAGAGCACTAGGATGTGAACAGCTGAGGCTCCAATCTTGTCTCTGCACTCATTAGCCATGTGGTATTGGGCAACTCACTGCACACATAAGGGCCTCAGTATTCTCATCTGCAAAATGGGTTGATGACCTACTTCACAGGGTCATTGGGAGAGTCAACACTTGCTCACATTTATGGAATGCTAACCATGTGCTCATCTCATGCTCACAATAGCCCAGTGGAGAGAGTAGCATTAATAACATCATCCCATTTTAGAGATGGAAACATTGAGGCCCAAGGTCACGTAGTGACTGGTGGATCCAGAGTTTAAGGCAGTCTGGCTCCAGAGCCTGTGTGTCTAATTGCTGTGTTATATTGTCAGATGACCTCTGCTGTCTCAATGTGGTTCAGGAGAGCACCTAGCAAGGTGCCTGGCACATAGAAGCACTCACTAAACATGGTCTGACTTTCTTATTGTCCCCATGGTTTGAGTTGGGGGTCAGAGAGGACTTCTCTGGCATCTATTTATGGCTTGACACAGTCAGGGAGAGAAGGAAAAGGACTGAAGAGGGAACTGCACCCTTTGAGATGCTAAACATACTTCTGGAAGTCACTCAGCCCCTCATGAAAAGGCTTTTTGACAAACATCTTTATCATCAACATGTAAGAGATCCTTTTGTGCTGGGGGAATGGTGGTGTTCAGACCCTGGCTTTCCAGCTATTTCTAAAGGTGACCTGAAGCAGGGAAATTTAACCCTTTTTCTTTTGGCACTTCTGAAATCCTTCCCATATTGTTCATCCATCTCAGCAGATACTTATTCAGCAACTACTGCATGCATAGCACAGTGCCAGGCATCATGGGGCATACAAAAGAAACAGGAGATGCAGCCCCTGTCCTCCAGGAGAGTGTAGTCTTACAGGGTAGGCTTGGGATTCAGACAAACTTGGTTTGAATCCCAGCTCTACATGCAAAGTGACTTCAGATGAGTGACTTAACTTCGCAAAACCTGTTTCCTCACCTGTAAAATAGAGATGGTAACACCGCTTTCTTCAAAGGCGTGTCATGAGCTAATGAGCATAAAATATTCAATACGAAGACTATTTGAATAGTCTAACAATATAGAATAACAATAAATTTTATCCATTAGGATGGTGATGATGATCACGGTGGTGATTCTGGTGGTGAGTAATGATTATGGGAATAATAGTGATGGAGATGATGATGATGACACTGAGTTAAGCCCCAGTTTGTGATGGCCAGATTTATGAGATATACTTACATGGATTCAGATGGACCTGGGTTCAGATCTGAGCTCTGCCACATCTTAAGTTGTGTGACCTTGGGCCATTTCCTCGACCTCTCTGAATTTTAATTTCACCATGTTTAAAATGGTGATGAGTGTCCCAATCTTGTACAGTTGTCTCACATTCAGGAGTGCACTCACAGAGGAGCTGCTATCCAATAAGGGCCCATTAAGTGGTATTTTTCCTCCCTTTCCTTTCCTCTCTCGTAGAATCCCTTATTAAATCCCAAGGAATTGCATATACTCAAGAAAAGGGCCTGGGCCCTGAAGTCTCTGCTTTGGTCTCAGCACTCTTCTCCAAGTAAGAGAAATCTCCTTAGACTAGCTTAAGGAAAAAGTGGGGCTTGTTAAAAGCCCCCGGGACTGTATCAGGAAGTGTATGGGGAGCAGGTGCATCCAGGTCTTCCATGACCCTGGAACTGTGAGCTGGAAAAGGTCTAAAACTAGAACGAATACCTATATTCTTTCTTTCTCTCTCACTCGGTGGCCACAGACTCTTTCTCTTCTTTTGTGATTACATGGTGGCAAATGTCATCCTCCTGACTCCTGAATTTCCATGTCTTCAGTTTAAACAGCCAGCAGAGCCTGAATAGCCCCTTTAATTCTATCCCAGGGATTCGTGGGAGGGAGAATCCGATTGGTCCAGTTTTAGGGAGGTGTCCTCCACTGTCCAGCCACCATTGGCTGGGAAGGTGGGATAAGGGGGTGGGGCTCAGAGAGAATAAATATAGCTGCCAAGGGTTTCACTGGAGCGTGGAGTGAGGGATATTCTTAGAGAAGGATGAACACCAAACTGCTTATTATAGCTTGGCTAAGATTTGCTGCACATTTCCCATGAGCAAGGCACTGTGCTAAGACCTCTGTATTATTATTGAATCCTCCCAATAACCCTCTGAATGAGGTTCTGCTTTTATCCTCATTTCAAAAATGGGTAAACTGAGGCTCAGAGGAAGATAGCAATGTGCCCAAAGTCACACAGTTGGAAGTGACAGAGCCTTCACCCAACCTCCCCTCATGTTGCTCTTTCCTTGGGGAGCTGCTGCCAGATTGATGTGCTCTTGCTCTTTGAATCTCGGAGAACAAGAGGCGCCACGCTTTGGTGAAACTCCAGCTGCCTGATGACGATTGTTATAAAGTTAGAGCACCTCAGGTTTGATCATTTAGCATTAGCTATGCTGGTCATACCCTGTATTCCAGAACTGTGTTGAGAAATGCAGTTTGTAGCATCCCAGGTGGAAAATTTCTGATTCTCTCTGATGGAGGATGCCAAGGAGAATTGGTCTCTATCCTGGTGGAAACATAAACATCAATTCTGAGAATGAAGGGGGGAAAATTAGGTCCTGGAAATTGACGGAAAGCTGTTTGGCATCTTGAAATTAACCAGGACTCCCCCTTTTGCCGCCTTCTTGGGCTCTGTCTATGGATTTCTGAGATACATTTTTAATCCTCCTGTTATTTCCTTTGACCTGGAAAATAATATAGATTGTTAGGTGCTTGGGCCATAGAATTTACACATAGGGAGAATTGACCTGATGGGGGGATGATGAGGCTGTTCGCTCACAAACCACACAATTTCATGTGCAGATGATGGACGTGTCCAGGACATTGCCTGGCACACAGCGAGTGCTCAGTACATGTCTGTTTTCTTCCTTTCTGTTCCTTCAGAGCAAATGTCATGCTGAGTTTGGGCGGTTATTTGTTGTTATTGACAAATATCTGTTGCTAGCCAGCAGAGGGCGCTATGAATGCAATTGGTGCAAATTGAAGAGAGGGCTTTCTAGGAAGGAGGAAGTAGTACACTACAATGCGATATCACACTCTGTAGCAAGTCTATTGATATTTAATGCCTCCAGGGACACACTCTTGCAGATATTCAGCAACAAGATATGAAACACTCATTATGTGCTTGATCCTGGGTTAATGCTAGTAGGGATGTAATAAACCACATTATTCTCTACCTCCATCAGGTATAGTAAAGCAGAGCCCTCAATTTACAAGGTTAAAGTTAAGGGGGACAAGGGTAACAAAAGATCTAAAGTGATAGCTACCATTTATTAAGCACTCACCAAGTGCCAATCATTGTGCCAAATGCATTTCGTATGTTATCTCACTTCAGCTGCCCAACAACCCCTGCAAATAGGTAGACATTTTACAGAAGAGGAAAGTAGGCTTATGAAAAGAGGTTAAGTAAACACAGTTTTGAAGGGTAGAATGGGGATTTAAACACGGGACTGTATGGCTTCAAAGTCCACAGATTTAACTTCAAAGCATAGTGGCCTCGACAAGTAGTTTAGGCAATAGACAACTGTGACTGTGGGGGATGATGAGAGTAACTATTCTTTCATCTTGCCACGTTAGGTATCTCTGGGCATTTGGTATTACAGTTAAACTGTGTGCTTTTTGGCAAGCAAATTTAGGATGCTGTATTGTGATCTCATGTCTGTAACAGCATATATAAAGCAGAGAAGCAGGTATACCCTCTCCCTTCCATACACCTTTCTTAGAGTCTTCAGAGTAAGTGGAAAAAGAATAAATGCTGAAAGTGAGAAAAATATGGTCTTACGCATTCCGCCTCTGAATAAATAAAGTCTGGGGCACCCTCACCCTTAACATTCACACATGAATTTGATATTAAAGAGCTTGAATAATGTTTCACATTCATTAGGATATCAGTTATCTGTTTATACCAAGTTTATTTTCCAAAATATTCAAGGTAGCTTACAAGGATGCATGAAAAACAACAGAATAAAATAAATAAAAATTAAGATAAATAAGACAAAGAAGGGAAACTATCTGGAAAAATAAGATGAACTCAGGAAAGAGATTAATGCATGAATTACATGGCAAATAGTATGATCCTGGTCTGTAAGCATCCCAGTGCAGAGAGAGAAATGTGTCAGTCAAAGAATGCGTAGAGCTCATAAGGCGAAAAATCTGGTGGCTCGGGAGAGACACATCTATTCCTGATTCTAAGACCAGAAAGTCATTGATATTTTCTCCTGCAGCCTGATAGAGAAGACACTATGTAAAGTAATGGACAGTATCCTCAGTGATGCCCTTATAGAAAACATGGATTTCATTTGACTGTCTTATAATATGTCCCACCAAAGTGCAATTTAGAAAAGTAAAAGAGTTCTCATGAAAGGAGGCAATATAAGATGCAAGTAGTCTGCTCCGTGATGACATAGGATGCTATTAAGATCACATTGTTAGAGACATAAAGAGAAAATAGTTAAGGAGATTGTTAGAATCATGAAGATTACACAAACAGTGTGAACATTCAGGTCAAGTTTGGAAAATGGGTTTAATATTGTATGGCATCCCCAATAAATTACAGTGGAGAAGCATTTGAGGCTGTATCTGTGGTGAAAGTGTGCTGCAATTGATTAGTGATGTCTGCCATGGGTGAGTGGTATCATTTATGGTAAGAATTTGCCATCTCAGGTTTGGACTGCTCTTGATGCTTGTTAAGGACCCTAGCTCTGAATGAGGTCAAGGGTCACCTCAGTCACTCGAGCCCTTTGCTTCATGACAGTTTTGTTCCTAATCGATCTCACATAGATGGGTATCTCTTATTTTGATATACTTCCTAAATTAGCCAAATGTAATGTTTCATGAAGCACTAAAGGAGAGTCAATAAATCTTCATCTTTGTGTCTACATCCCACTTTGCCTCCAACTGTCTGGGGCCACTGGAGGAATCCCAGGTCATTGTACTTCTTCCTCACAACACACAGTTGGAAGACGGGTGGCCAGTAGACTGCTTTGGGCAAGGGAAGTGGCTTGAGGAGAGCTGGTTTTCTTATGTGTTTCTGGAGCTCAAATGTTTCCCAACTAGGAGGAGCTCTTCATTCTCCAGGGTGCTCATCCCAGCCACAGCAGCTTCCTGTTGTAGGAACTGCATCTGGAGTTCTTCACTATCCCAGATAATCAGAAGCTTGTAGTGAGCATGACTGATAGGAAGGACCCTTGGTTTTCTCAAGTCATTTTCCACAGCAACAGCCAGGAGGGAAACCAGGGTAGCCACAAAAAGCCGGCAGAGTGGAATGCAGAATCTTGATTATACACTTATTCATTCATTTACTCATTCAACAAACACTTCTTGAGCATTTCCCATGTGCCAGGATATTTACGTTTGTTGAAGATAAAAATATATATATATTTTTCTATCCCCAGTCACTTAGAGCCCATCTGGATAGACAGTCATGTATATAATTCCAATGCAGAATGACAGGACGTATATAGTCAGAATATGTTCAGAGTACAAATTGGAGAAATAGTGAAAAAGAATAATGGCAGCCATTTACTGAAAGCCACTTGCTATGTGTCAGGCACTGTGTGGAGTGCTTATATACATTATTTCACTGAGTGTTCACAACAATCTATTCAATAGAAAGGCACTATTATTGTCCCCATTTCACAAAGAAATTGAGGCTTATGGTAAGGGGTGCTCAAGGTACCAAGTAGCAGAACCAAGATTTGAAGACAAACTGTCTTTAGATACAATGAGGGGACAGGCAGAGGATAACTGCTATAGATATTCCTATTCACAAAGGGGAAATTGTGAGGCATACAGAAATCACTGGTCCATAGCAATCCTAAACTCTAGCTGGGCTCAGATTTGCAGTTTTTTGGTTCGGCTCTACTCTCTGGGCTCTTGGTTCCACCATTTAAGTTATCCTTTTTTTTTTTTTTTTTTTTGATGGAGTCTCGCTCTGTCACCCAAGCTGGAGTGCAGTGGCATGATTTCGGCTCACTGCAACCTCTGCCTCCTGGGTTCAAGCGATTCTCCTGCCTCAGCCTCCTGAGTAGCTGAGATTACAGGTGCATGCCACCATGCCCAGCTAATTTTTTGTGTTTTTAGTAGAGACAGGGTTTCACCATGTTGGCCAGGCTGGTCTTGAACTAAGTTATCCTTCCTTAAAAAAAAAAAGGTTGTGTGTGTCATTGCTGAGTAATTTTTGCAGCCTGCCTCCCGCTTATAGAAATTTTATGGTCTGAAGGTCTCTTTTAGTTTTGTCCTCTCTCTGTCCTTATCAGTTTAAGATCACAGTTTTTTTTTTCAAAATATAATTCTCTTAAAAATGTTGTGTGTTCCCAGTGAATAGTGTCTAATTTCCTAGTCCATGTGCATAAACCACTATTCTATACACTGCAAAGTGAGCAACTTTAGAAGGGTGAAAGTGTCAGAGAAAAAGTCACAGAAAAGGATGAGACCCTTATGCTGTCCTGTGATGTCTGCAGCAGCTGCAGTCATATTACATATGTGAGGGGAGGGACAAAATAATTGCAGAGAAGCTGATACAGGACTCTTCTGTAGCTGAGCCACTGAAACAACTCTAGAACCATCTGCCCTTAAACTTTTTTTTTATGAGAAAAAAATATGTTTTTTAAAAGCCCAAACAGTGTGCAGCTGAAAGCATCCTGACTACCTACATTCTCCTTTTATTTTGGCTTGGCATGCCTTGCCTACCTGACCTTTTCTTGTCCAGCTAATTTGTATTGCCCTATATGACTCAGATCCATTCCTTTCCTGACACCTCCTCCCCTTTCTCACCCCAGGCTAGGGGCCCTTTCTCTGGGCTCCAGCAACTCCTGTGCTTACCTTTCTTATAATACATATCATAATACATTAGTACCTCAGATTCTTTCTGTAGAAAGCCAGGGTTGAAATGAATAGTAGTCAATGCATGGTATTACAAATTGAGAGATTACTTGTCTGTGTAAGTTAATCTGACCCACATACTAAGTGGTGTCTTTTTCTTCTTTGTCCCAAAGCCCATTGTTTGGTATATGAGAGACATTTGGTATATGCCTTTCAAATGAAAGTGTGAATGAAGAAGGTGCTCATATGAACTTCTCTCAGAACTGAGGCATGCGTGTCCTCTGTTCAGGGCACCTAAAAAGAAAGAAAAGACCTGGGTCCCTGGTAGCTGAACTAGTGTCCCTAACCTCTGGACTTCTTGTAATGCGGTAGGAACAAACACTCATTTGTCGGCTGTTACTTGCAGCCAGATGCATCCTGAGCTGAAACAGAACTGTCTTCAGGAATGCAAAGGAGTACCTAGACTAAAACTGATTGCAGTCAAAGACCCGCGCTCATTAAGACTGGCCTCTCAGCCAGAACTTATGGCAAAAGGAAGGGCTCTGGGCCCAGGCTTAGAGGTCAAGAGAAGTGGCTAAAAAGGAGTACCCCAGAGTCAGACTGAAGCAGTTCAAGTCTTGACTCTACACACATACTTGGGCAAATGGCTTAACCTCTCTAAGCTTGCATTTCCTCCCCTAAAATGGGGATCCTGATGGTGCTTACCTTATAGGGTTGAGTGGAATAATTAAATAAGATGATGCATGTAACTCCTTGGCCCATAGTAAGGATGCAATAAATATTAACTCTGTTGTGTGTCTGTGAATGAGATCAATGCTGTAGGTCAGTGCCCAAATGAAAGGTTTCTATTTGGAGATGCTGCACACCACAGCTCTCCCTCTCTTGGAGATTCACAATATCATGAAATGTTCTGAGAAATCCTGGAGTAAACTTTGTTTCTCTACCTTTTAAAAATATGTAGCACATTAAAAGCTTGAGAGAAAACATTGTCATATAAAATGCCCTAGATTCTTGCTACTCAAAGTAGCATCAACATCACCTGGGAGCTTGTTAAAAATACAGAATCTCAGGCCCTCCCCAAGACATACAGAATCAGAATCTGTACATTCTAACAAGAATCTCCAGTGGAATCATGTGCACATTATGGTGTGAGAAGTGCTGGACTAGGAAAGATTGCTAAGGGGGATATTGAGGAATGTGAGTCAGTCTCAGTGTTCAAGGGGGCTCCAAGATCTCACATACCTGAAATCAGTAAGGCATAATGTAAAATAATAAAAGTGGTAGGGGGAGGAGTTAAAATGTTTGATGCAGACTGTGCCAAGGGATAAAGAGATGGGAAACAGAGTATGTAGCTTGCAAAAGCCTAGGAAGGCGGCCTGGATGAGGTGAGCCTAAAACTGAGACTCAGGAGACAGGGATGTGGGAAGAGATGGGGAGTTGGAAAGCTGTGAGTTTGAAGAGGAAGAAAAGAGTAGGCTCTTTTGGGCCAGTTGGACTCACAGGCTTTGGGATGTTCACCCTGATGTGAGCTCCCTGCTCCAGTTTCTCAGCCAGTCAGCTATCTTTGGACTATCTTAAGTCAGCCCTTTTAGTCTTAGAAGACCTTAAAAGCAAAACTGGAGCTGCGAAACTCATAGCTTCAAAGCCTCCACTTTAGTTGTGTGCAGCAAGTCTGTTGGTGCCAATATACCAAAGTCCTGGGTTGAGAAGCCTTTCTCTCCAGGCCCCTGCCTGTTCTAGGCACTAATGTGTGATTTGCATCATAACAATATTTACCACTTAGTGAGCACCTACTGTATACTGACTGATATGGTTTGGATCTGCATCTCTACCTAAATCTCATGCTGAAATGTAATCCCCAGTGTTGGAGGTGGGGCCTGGTGAGAGGTGATTGGATCATGAGGGCGGATTTCTCATGAATGGTTTAGTACCATCCCTCTTGTTATCTGTCTTCCTGATAGTGAGTTCCCATGAGATCTGGTTGTTTAAAAGTGTGTAGCATTTCCCCCTCCCTCCCTCTTGCTCCTACTTTTACCATGTGACATGCCTGCTCCAACTGTGCCTTCTGCCATGATTGTGAGTTTCCTGAGGCCTCCCCAGAAGCTGAGCAGATGCCAGCATCATGCTTCCTATACAACCTGAAGAACCAGGAGCCAATTAAACCTCTTTTCTTTATAAATTACCCAGTCTCAGGTATTTCATTATAGCAATGCAAAAAACAGACCAATACACTGGCTCTTGTCACATATTATCTCTGATCTTTACAAGACCCTGCGGGTGTTATTTATTCACAAGTATAGCTCATCCCAGGTTCATACTTTAAGCTTCCCAGACTCTCTGACCAATGCTGAGGAAGATAATACAAAGTCTGCCTTTCTCTCTCTTTCTCTTTCTTTCTTTCTTTCTTTCTTTCTTTCTTTCTTTCTTTCTTTCTTTCTTTTCTTTCTTTCTTTCTCTCTCTCTCTCCTGCCCTTCCTTCCTTCTTTCTTTTCTTTTCTTTCTTTCTCTCTCTCTCTCCCTCCCTCCCTCTCTCTCTTTCTTTCTTTCTTTCTTTCTTTCTCTCTTTCTTTCTTCCTTCTTTCTTCTCTTTCCTTCTTTTCCCTTCCCTTCCCTTCCCTTCCCTTCCCTTCCCTTCCCTTTCCTTTCCTTCCCTTCCCTTCCCTTCCCTTCCCTTCCCTTCCCTTCCCCTCCCCTCCCCTCCCCTCCCCTCCCCTCCCCTCCCCTCCCCTCCCCTTCCCTTTCCTTCCCTTTTTGACAGGGTCTCTGTTGCTCAGGCTGGAGTGTAGTGGCACCATCTTGGCTCACTGCAGCCTCTGCCTCCCAGGCTCAAACAGTCCTCTCACCTCAGCCTCCCCGGTAGCTAGGACTACAGATGCACACCACCACACCTGCCTAATTTTTTGTAGAGGCAAGGTTTTGCCATCTTGCCCAGGTTGGTCTTGAACTCCTGGGCTCCAGTGATCCTCCTGCCTGGGCCACCCAAAGTGCTGGAATTACAGGCATAAGCCACTGTGCCTGGCCAATAAAGTCCTTTCATTTGGGGCTTCCCTATCTATCTCTCCTGGCAATGCTGGGGTCTTTGTTCTTCAAAGCTCTCCAGGGCACTTTTGCCTTCTAATATGGTGTCAAGCTCAGCAGTGATGAAACTTGACTTTCCTGGAGGGACCGATTTGTCTTGGTGCTTCCAATAGTCCGTGGCCTCATTCCCTACCCCATTCTGGGTGAAAATATTGGGAGGCCAGGGATATTGTGATGTTTAGAAGCCTCCAAAAGGTTGTTAATTTGCATCAGTTTATTAGGAACTGGGAACTTAGAATCTCTTTAAAGGATTATTTGCAAGAGCTGTTTTTATTAGCATGCTGGGTTTAGGTTTCTGTTTAATAATGCCCTGGTGGATGAGTTGGAGGGAGAGTTGATTGTGTATGGGAAAATGCATTAATCAAGAGTACTGATGCAGACAGTGTTGGATTAAGAAGCATGTAATCAGGGCAGTGGTCCCATTTCAAGAGGGGCTAAAACATCACTGGAAATAAAATCAGACAGAAAAAAAGTATGTTGTCCAGAATGTCTCTCAGGAAGATTCCAGGGTGGGATAACTTGTGTAAGATGCTTTGATGGGGATAGGGGGGACATGGTGTCACAATAACTGAAGCTCAATTTCCTTCTAGGTAAGTGGGGTCCTATTACTGTGGGGGGCTTTGCTCAGTGGGCTATGCAGGCTTGGGGCTGGAGCTGAGTTCCCTGGGCAATGGAGGAGAAGCTCTGGTGATTTAGATAGGGCTTTCCATAAACTCATTAAGTTTGTTCATTCACTAATTTATTCACTATATCAATCAATCATTCAATCATTTGTCTAGTAACTATTTATCTGGCTCCTACCTGGAGCCATGACTATTCTACATGCTGGGGATATGGCAATGACCATGACAGACCATGACAGACAGGGTTTATGTCCTTCAGGAACATTCTAGTAGGGATGGCAGCAGACAATAAACAGATACATGAACAGAATAATTTCAGGTTGCACTAAGGTGTGGGCTGGCCAATAGCCTATGAGTTGAGTTTTCATGGAAACTGCTCAAACAGGGATGAAGGTGAATCCCTGCACCAATTGTATCCTCTCCTTTGGGAATTTGAACTAGAGAGATGGCAAAGTCGGTCAGTTAATAGCTGTAAGAGAAAAAAAAAAATCCATCTCATTCCTGCCTAATCTATCATGGTTCATTAAAATATCTACTTCTTTATCTTATTTTATTTTAAATTCTGGGGAACATGTGCAGGTTTGTTACATAGGTAAACCTGTGTCACGGTGGTTTGCTGCACCTATAATACCTACTTCTGCTCTCTTGGAAATACTGGGGAAGGCATCAGTGTATCCTTCCTCCTTTCTTCCTTATTCTACCCAATGGGAGTAAATATATGATCTGTTGGTGACGCTAGGAACAACGCCTGAGCATGACCAGCTCAATCTTTTCCTCAAGCTCCAGTTTCAGAGTTGCCCTGCGATAAGGAATGTCCATGCCTGGCTCTTGCTTCTGTGTCACAGGATGAGATGCTCTCCGTACCCCCTCAGGTCTCTCCTGGCTCAGCAGATGTGAAGCAGGCTGTGCTGGGAGCCTCTACTCTTGGCTCAGATCTCTGCTCCAAGTTCTAGTCGCGAAGAGAAAGAGTGGAGTTCTTGCCACTAGTCACAGGTCTACATTGCGTTTGTAGCCCAACTTTACCTCCTCTGAAGCTGATATCTTTATTTTTATTTGACTCCTATGACTATTTATCAGTTGGGTCAGAACCCACAAGGGGAAAAAATGTAATTGGAAACTCAGAGAACTCAATGGAACTAGAAGCTTGTACAAAGAGAGGCAAGACAGAACTAGTGAATTGTGTCAGCAATAGATCTCTAGAAGGAAAAACATTCTGCAGCTCAGGGAGTGACAAGATAACCCAACCACTAGAGCTGTTCTTGGATTTTGAGCCTTCATACTTCCCAATTATTTTCCTGCCTTGGTATGGTCTGTGGTCTGGCTGGCTGATTGTTCTACAGTTCCCTAGAGATGCGTGTCTCTATTCTTACAGTCACAGCCTTACAACAAGCTTCCTTGCTTGTTGTGTTAGCTTGAGTGAATTCTTGGCAACCAGAAGAACCAAACTAACATGGAGTGAAAAGGCTTAATAGAAAGCCTTTCTCCATCCCCAGAGATTCAACGTGATTTAATCGGCAAACCTTTTTTTTATTTTTGAAGCTGAAGCATATGTTCATTTCTAGACCCTGAGAATAATAACAGCTACGACTTAGAGTGTTTTCTATATACCAGGCACTTTCCAAGCTCGTATTAGTTCATCTCATCCTCATAACACAATTCCGTAGGTAAAATTATTTCCACTTACAGATGAGAAAACTGAGACATGGAACATTTAAGTAATGAGCTCAAGATTTCATAGCTGGTAGGAGTTATGGTCATAGCTAGCAGAAGTTTGGTTTCCTCTAGAAGTAGCTACTCATTCAAGGATTTGAGAGCAAGTGGGGAGCAAAAGGGAGTGAGGGAGTGAGGCAAGAAAAGGAAGACAGATACTCAAGGGAGAATTGTCCAGCTAGCTACCACTGTGGGCATCTGGAACTTAATTATACTGGAGAAACACTGGGAGCCAGGTAGACAATGTGCCTTAGATATATCCCACCTGAGGGATGAGGGAACTGTGGATGTATACAGTTGACCTTTGAACAACACAGGCTTGAACTTTGTGGGCCTACTTGTATTCAGATTTTCTTTTGCCTCTGCCACTCCTGAGACAACAAGATCAACCCCTCCTCTTCCTCATCCTCCTCAGCCCACTCAACGTGACAAGGATCAAGACCATTACGATGATCCACTTCCACTTAATGAGTAGTAAATATATTTTCTATTTTTTTTATTATTATACTTTAAGTTCTGGGGTACAATTCTTTATTACTTTCTTAATAACATTTTCTTTTCTCTAGCTTACTTTATTGTAAGAATGCAGTATATAATGCATATAAAAATATGTGTTAATAGACTATTTATGTTATTAGTAAGGCTTCCAGTCAAAACTAGACTATTAGTAATTAAGTTTTGAGGGGAGTGAAAAATTATATGCAGATTTTCAATTGTGTGAGGGTAGGTGCCCCTAACTTCCTCATTGTTCAAGGGTCAGCTGTATACAGTACTTACTTCTATCAGGCGTTGGCTGAGCACTGCTCCTGAATTGGAGGGCAGGTATTAATTCTCTGGCACTTCTGCCTGGCCATACAGGCAGCAAAGTGGACTCCATCATCAGGCAAAGGCCTTCAGGTAAAGAAATGCAGTTGCTGGCTGTTGAAAGAACATGAGCTTAAAAGTCAGACTGCCTGGGTTCAAATTGTGGCACTGCCACTTGCAGCTATGTGACCTCAGAAAATCACTCAGTCTCCTACCGAGCCTCACCTTCCTCATCTGCAAAGTGGGAATTAAAAGATGACTGGCAGCTGGGGATTGCTGAAAGCAGTAAATGAGATTACACATTGGAAATCCTAGCACAGAGTAAGTCATCAGTCAAAATACCCAATACTGCTGCTGCTGTTGATGTTACTCTGGTGCTGACCTGTAATTATTCTCACTTCTCTGTTCTTCCCAAGTTCAGCCATACACGGCTCCTCAGATATCCCCATGCTCCTTCATAGGTCTCTGCTGTGGCTGGGATATTTTTCCGTACACCTCACCCACTTCCCAGCCTGTCCTGTTCACTCTGCTAGGCCCAGCCCCACAGTCACCTCCTTAGAGAAGCCGCCTAGAGCTCCTACCCAAATCCCAGCAGAATTGAGTGGTGGGGGTTGAGGCATGGGAAAGATGGCAGCTGCTTACAGGTGGATCTGGAATTTGAACCCAGGTGGTCAGGCACCAGATCTGCATCCTTGGTCACTTTGGTGTATGAATAAGTCCCTGCACCTCCCTTGAGGAGCTCACCATCAGGGAGCCAGGTAGGGACCTGGCTTCTTTCTTACGTGACAGCATGCTCAGATTTTGACAGAGTGAGAGTGAGCGCTGGGCAGACAGAGCTGGATTCTGCTGGGATTGGGGTAGGGGCTCTAGGTGGCTTCTCTGAGGAGGTGACTATGGGGCTGGGCCTAGCAGAATGAACGGGACAGGCTGGGAAGTGAGTGAGGTGTAGAGAAAAATATCCCAGCCACAGCAGAGACATATGGAGAAGCGTGGGGGTGTCTGGTGAGCTGGGTATGGCTGGAATTGGGAAGAACAGAGAAGTGAGGTTAATTACAGGTTAGAACCAGAGTAACATCAACAGCAGCAGCAGTATTGGGTATTTTAACTGATGACTTACGCTGCGTTAGGATTTCCAACATATAATCTCATTTACTGCTTTCAGCAATTCCCAGCTGCCGGTCATATTTTAATTCCTACTTTGCAGATGAGAAAGGTGAGGCTCAGTAGGAGATTGAGTGATTTTCTGAGGTCACATAGCTGCAAGTGGCAGTGCCACAATTTGAACCCAGGCAGTCTGACTGTTACTCTCATGTTCTGACACTTAACCATAATGATCTCTCAAAAGGCCTTGTAGTTCATGAGAGAGATCTGAACTTGACTTTTTAGAGCAGGAGACTGATTTAAGAGACTTTTCAGAGATTGCACCAACAGGAGATGGTGACCAAATGAATATGGGCTGAGGATGGTTGACCCCAAGGACTATAGATATTTGCAGCACAGAAGAAGAATAAAGGGATGTAGGATTTGGAATTAGATCTGCCTGTAACATATATTTTTAAATGCTGTCTTGTCTGGGCACAGTGGCTCATGTCTGTAATCCCAGCACTTTGGGAGCCCAAAGCAGGTGGATCAGTTGAGGTCAGGAGTTCAAGACCATCCTGGCCAACATGGTGAAACCCTATCTCTACTAAAAATACAAAAATTAGCTGGGCGTGCTGATGGGCTGCTGTAACCCCAGCTACTTGGGAGACTGAGGCAGGAGAATCACTTGAATCCGGGAGGTGGAGGCTGCAGTGAGCCAAGATTGCACCACTGCACTCCAGCCTGGGTGACAGAGCGAAACTCCATCTTGAAAAAAAAAATGCTGTCTTAACCCCGTTTTGAGGCCCTGGCTAGTTGTCAGTCAGTTCCCCTTCGTGAACACCTGATTAAGTCATACTCCAAGCAATTCCCTTCTGGGGCTCTCATACTTGGGGCCACTCTGCACCGCCCTAATTGCCCCAGTGCCAGGTACCAGACAGCTAGGGTTAGCCTCTTGTGCTAGAACCCACACAATTATTCAATTTAGCAAATCCACCAGAAGTCAGTGAAACCTAACTAATTCCACCCTGCTTGTCATATATAAAGTTGTCCCTTATGGTCCAGCTTGTGCCGTCCTGTCCCCAGGTACAGTCCCTTGTGTGGCCCTGCATGGCAAACTTCTCTGTTTCAGAGCTGGAAGTAACAACGTGTTCTGTCTTCCATCTATCCGAGTGTCACTGGATTGTATCCCACCATCCAAAGAATCCTTAAATCTCACACACCACCACCTGGGCTTGAGTTCCTGGCTCTGCCACTTAATCACCGAGTGATCCTGGGAAACGCATTCATGTCTCTGAGCCTAAGTTTTCTTTTGTTTTTGTTTCGTTTTTTGAGCATTTTTGAGACAGAGCATTTTTTTGAGACAGAGTCTCATTCTGTCACCCAGGCTGAAGCGCAATGGTGCTATCTTGGCTCACTGCAACCTCTGCCTCCTGGGTTCAAGTGATTCTCATGCCTCAACCTCCCGAGTAGCTGAGATTACAGGCTTGCACCACTACACCTAGCTAATTTTTGAATTTTTAGTAGAGATGGGGTTTCACCATGTGGGCCAGGCTGGTCTCAAACTCCTGACCTCAGGTGATCTGCCCACCTCAACCTTCCAAAGTGCTGCGATTACAGGCGTGAGACACCGTGCCCAGCCTTGAGTCTCAGTTTTTTCATCCATAAAGCAGAGTCAATAATCAATGCCTTGAATGGACCAAGGAGAGGAGAAAATTAATGTAGACGGAGTCTCTGGCATGATGCCCCCTCTTCCTCTCATTTTTACAAAGAGACAGTTTGAGTATTAGAGAGCAGAGTTGAGGCTTCCCAATGGTACCTGGAAATCCCAGAATAAAAATATCATCTATTTAGTCCACTAGGAAGACCCTGGTCAAGTCCTACCTTGTAAATATCAGCAAAAGATATTTGGGGGGCAGTACTGAGAGGCTCAGGGGAGACCCTTAGATGAACAAATAAGCTATTTGTGCCGTGTGTGTACCTTGCTTTCTTGGCACCTGTACACCTATTTCCTCTTGGCCTACAAATGCCAGAACACCACTGAGCGTGCCTGTTCAACTTCGGAGATGTTTATGCCACAGGGCAGGAAACACAATTCCTCCAAATAACTCAAATAACTGTGGAGCGGGGAGAAGGTCTGCAAATCACAGCATGGAGCCCCCCCAGCTTCCATCACAGTGTTTCCTTCTACCCCGCAAGCAGTAGAGGAAGAGTCCCCTGAGACCATCAAAATGAAAAACACCAGCCTGTTTTCCACGCATGGGGGATTGTCGATGCATCCGGAATCAGCTATTTCACAATCTGTTTGTCTGGAATCTTATATCTAAATTATGTTCCTAGAAATTTAATAAATGAGGTTTAATAGAATGCACTCAGGTGGCACTGATGAAATCTGTCATGGAAAATATTACGATTTCATTGTTTTTCTATAACCTCCTTGGGACCTGTTTCTTCTTATTTCCACACCTCCTCCTTTCCCTCCCATTTTTAGGTTTTTTAGTTTTTAGCTTAGCTTTGAAGTCTGGTGAGACCGCTGGAGAGTGATTCGCTCTCTCTCTCCTCCATTACCCACAGCAGGGAGGGGCTGGATGCCTTGATCTTACCCTTGCTGGGAGTAAACAAAGTTATAAACAGTTGTTTTAAAAAAATAGTTGGTTTCAGATGAAAAATTTCTGTATTCAATTTGTCTTGTGTACCTAGAATGCCACGGTAGCACTTCTCCCCCAGGGAAATATGTTGGACATTTCTGTTTCAGTGTACCGCCTGTCACTAATGCCATGGAAACCCAGAGCTGCACAGAACAGATAAGATCATTGCAGCCACAGAGAACTGCCTGGTCCATGCTGGGCACTGCACTTAATAACTTTACATGATGTTTAATCCCTAGGACAACCATATGAAGTAGGTCCTTTTGCCACCACCAGTTACTACAAAGGAAATTGGGACTCAGAAAGGTTTAATAACTTGCTCAAGTCACACAGCACCAAGCGGTGAAGGCAGAATTTGAACTGAAGTCCATCTGGATTGAAGGCTCATAGCTTCAGCTTCTTTACAGTACTGCTTTCTGATGTCTTACTTTGCAGATAGGAAAACTGAGGCACAGGGAATGTGAAGAATGAGTCGTGGTTAAGAGACTGGGTTCTAGAGGACAAATTCTTTTTGACAGGGTCTCGCTCTGTCACCCAGGCTGGAGTGCAGTGGTGCAATCTCGGCTCAGTGCAACCTCCACCTCCCAATCTCAAGTGAACCTCCCACCTCAGCCTCCTGAGTAGCTGGGACCACAGCTGCGCACCACCACACCTAGCTATTTTTTTTTTGTATTTTTTGTAGAGACAGGGTTTGGCAGTCTTTACAGCCTGTTGCTCAGGCTGGTCTCAAACTCCTGAGCTCAAATAACCCACTTGCCTCGGCCTCCCAAGGTGCTGGGATTACAGGTGTGAGCCACCATGCCCAGCCACTAGAGATCAAATTCATTTGTGGTATCACCTTGGGCAAATTACTTACCCTCTTTGAGCCTTGGTTTGTACATTTATAAAATGGATTAGTGTGAGGATTAGGAGAGAATAGATGTGATGTGTTTAGCATATGCTTGTCATGGAGTAAATGCTCAATGAATTTTAAGTGAGAAAGAAAAGACTGCTTCAAGGTTAGTTAGAATTGTGTGTGGCTGTGAGTAACTGAAGACCTGGCAAACTTGTCAGGAATTGTATTTGATTCATAAAACAAGAGGCTTGTGATCGGATGCTCAGGATTACATCCACAAGAACATCCCCAGGGACCCAGGCCCCTTCTATTTGCCTGCTGTACCATTCTCCATTCTCATAGTGTGACTCTCTTACTCATGGTGTCAGAATGGCTGCTGTTGCACCTTCAAGCATTCTGTCCATGATCCAGGCAATAGAAAGTGGGTGTGACAAACCCCTTTTTCCACAGAAGCTTTGTCTTTCTGTCCTAGAAGACACTCTCCCTAGATTTGTGTCTCCTCATTGGTCATAACCACCCCTAGCTGCAAAAGCCTCTGGGAAGGTGAAGGTGTTGGCCACATGGGCTGAGTGTGTCTGAGTTGATATTTGAACTTGGATCTTATTAAGGCCAAAGCCTCAGGCCTTACTACAATGTTACCCTTCCCCTTACTGTCTCTGGTGTGGCCCAGTTGTACACAGGAAAACCAAGGCCCCAAGAGGAGAGATGAGTGACCATTGCCATCAGAACACAAGTTAGAACCAGAGCTGGTTTCCTGATTTCCAGTCCAGCCTTTCCACCATGCCAAGCAGTCTTACCAATGACAATTTTATATTTACATAAATTGAAGGCCTCTGGTTTTAAACCCCAGACCTTATCTTCAAAGAAATAGGTCAGAGGATGTGACAGGGGCTGGAGGACAAAGTCAGCTCACGGGAAGTGCTGGCCTTGGGCAAAAATCACTCAATAACCCTTCTCTAGCTTCCAGTGTTTCATAGCGAGAGCCCTTTGATGTTTCCTCAATGGCTCAGACCATTCCTCATCCCCCACGCTCACCTTAGGGATCCAAGTGTCATCTATTCCCATCCTGTGCCCTTACTCCATGGAACTTTGCCTGCTGCTCTGCAAGGGGACACTCTTGTCACACAGGTGCGTCCACAGTCAGACAACCCAATAGGCATCAGTGACATTGAATGAATCAGTAAATGAGCTCATTCTCTGGGTGGACTTTGCACATCCATATGAGGGATGCTCCTCTGAAAGAGCATTTTATTTTATTTTATTTTTTTGAGACAGGGTCTCACTCTGTCACTCAGGCTGGAGTGCAGTGGTGCGATCACAGCTCACTGCAGCCTTGACTTCCCCAGGCTCGTGATCCTCCCACCTCAGCCTCCCTAATAGCTGGGACCACAGGCATGCACCACCACACGCAGATAATTTTTATATTTTTTGTAGAGGCAGGGTCTCTCTATGTTGCCCAGGCTGGCCTTGAACTCATGGCACCTTGGCAGATCACTTGCAATCCCAAAGTGCTGAGATTACAGGTGTGAGCGACTGCACCTGGCCTGAAAGAACATTTTAACAGGGGACTTCTGGAGACAATTTCCTCATCCAAGGATGACTCCACTAGGGAAGGTCCTAGTTCAGCAAGTGCTTAGGTGGGTGATATTTTGAGAAGTTTCTAAGGGCCTCTCAAATTCTCCTATCTCCTAGTTATCTGTTGACTTGCTACAGTCTGGATGAAAGATTGGAACAGGATATGTATGGGGCGACCCCCAAGGGACACTCAATCTAAAATGAGATCTGGGGACAGAGTTGAGCTGGAGTTGTCACCTTGAATGGTCTCTGGGGCTGTGTGGTGGGAAGCTAGGAGACAGGAATGCAAGCAGCCAGGCTGAGTGCCCAGGTGGGATGAGGGACTGAGAGGTGGACTGAGGAGATGGTACATCCTTGGACACTAGCACACCTTTCCTTGATATGTGTCCCTGCCACTAGCACATAGGAGGCACCCTTCAGCTGGCTCAGATACTTCTGGTGGGAGTCCTATTGGGATGAGCTGGGATGTTTTGTGGGGTAGGATCTTAAAAAATGACAACTTTGACTGTACATTTCTTAGGGTAGGAATTAACAGCCAGTTCTGTAGAATCTCCTGCCTTGGCTAAAATCTCACACTATTTACTGTGAGACCTTTGGGACAATTACAAAAATGACCTTGGACAACTGTTAAGAGTATGGAATGAGATAACATATTTTGAAACATTTCATGCATCCTAGGTGCTTGTATTAGACAGGGTTCTCCAGAGAACCAATAGGATATCCATTTATTTATTGAATTGGCTCGGGCTATTGTGGAGGGTGACAAGTCCCAAGACCTGAGTTGGACAGCTAGAGACTGAGGCTAGCTGATGGCATAGTTCCAGTCCAAAGGCAGGTTGTCTTGAGACCCAGGAAGAGCTTATGTTTCAAGTTCAAGTCTAAAGGCAGGGAAAAAAACCTGATGTTCTGGCTTGAAGCCAGTTAAGCAGGAGGAGTTCCTTCTTTCTCAGCCTTCCTGTTCTATTCAGGCCTTCAACTGATTTGACATGGCCCATCCATGTCAAGTAGGAGGGGCAGGCATCAGCTTTACACAGTCTTCTGATTCAAATGTTAATCTCATCCCCCCAAAACCCTCACAGACGCAACCAGAATAATGCTTGACCAAATGTCTGGACACCCTGTGGCCCAATCCAGTTGATGCCTAAAATTAACCATCACAGTGTTCAGCAATTGTTAATCCATATTATTATTTTTATTGTTTAGACTGTCCTTCAGTTTCTTTATGTCCTACAGGGGGATAACAATTCCAATCCTGTCTGCCCTCTTGGGGATGTTATGAGGCATAAATGAGATAATGCTTATGAATATGTTTGGTAT
Source organism: Homo sapiens (assembly GCF_000001405.40). NCBI lineage: Eukaryota > Metazoa > Chordata > Mammalia > Primates > Hominidae > Homo > Homo sapiens. The sequence continues at coordinate 118,731,734 of NC_000012.12, forward strand.
CTTTTAAAGCAATATGTGGGTCCAGACATATTCAGGAATTGAAGGCAGATAATTGGCCCAAATTACCTCTGGAGATGTCCTTGGTTTCTAGAAGTCTGTGGCCATGGATGGACATTCAGTGTATACTAAGCCAGCAGTCCCCAGTCTCTGGACCATGGACTGGTACCAGTCTGTGGTCTGTTAGGAACTGGCTGCACAGCAGGAGGTGAGCATTGGGTGAGTGAGCATTACCCTGGGATCTGCCTCCTGTCAGATCAGAGGCAGCATTAGATTCTCATAGGAGTGTGATCCTATTGTGAACTGCACATGCGAGGGATCCAGGTTGCGTGCTCCTTATGAGAATCTAATGCCTGATGATCTGAGGTGTAACAGTTTCATCCCCAAACCACCACTTCTACCATCCACAGAAAAATTGTCTTCCATGAAAACTGTCCCTGGTGCTAAAAACGTCAGGGACCACTGTACTAAGCACTGCTTGTGGGTTTGGGGATACTCAAGAGAATAATAATTTCTACCCTTAGGAAATGTATAATCTCATTAGGAGAACAAAATCTTTAAGAATCCACATGTGCTTGGATTCCTGGCTGAGTTTAAATGGAGACTGGTATGTGGCAGAGACAAACTACATGGTCAATAATCTCATACCCTCCTCTTAGCCATGCAGGAAAATCAAATTTCCCAGGTTTCTTTGCAATTAGGTTGGAACCACATGACGGGGTTTTAGCCAGTGGAAGGCAGGTGTCTCATTGAAGATTCCTTAATGCTCCCTTTGTTATAGTGGGTAGCTAGTCTGGCATGAGCAGGGCAGGAGAGGGCTCCCCCTACACACACACACACACACACACACACACACACACACACACACACACACACACACACACACATGCCAGGAGTGTTGGGAGATCATCAGGGGATAGTCAGGCTGTTGTTAACTGTCTCTGTAAAGTAATAATTGGTCACAGCTGGTGACAGGGAAAGGCAGGCTCCCAAAAGATAGAAAACATCTGAAACTGGTGATCAGCAGCTTCCCAGGAAGATCTCAGGAGTTGGAAAAGTGGGCTTAAGCATGCACATGTGGACAGCCCACCCCAAGGGAAAAATCAGGAGAGATGTAACTCAAGACCTTGGAATTGGCCAGGCGCGGTGACTCATACCTGTAATCTCAGCACTTTGGGAGGCTGAGGCGGGCAGATCACGAGGTCAGGAGATCGAGACCATCCTGGCTAACACGGTGAAACCCCATCTCTACTAAAAATACAAAAAATTAGCCGGGCATGGTGGCGGGCACCTGTAGCCCCAGCTACTCGGGAGGCTGAGGCAGGAGAATGTCATGAACCCGAGAGGCAGAGCTTGCAGTGAGCTGAGATCACGCCACTGCACTCCAGCCTGGGCGACAGAGTGAGACTCTGTCTCGAAACAAAACAAGACAAAACATAAACCTTGGAATTATGCCAACGTATAAAACTCTAAGTCAAAAGGTCAAACCATACACTTGATCTCTCAAGTGGCCCGCTTGGCCCTCTTCCAAGTGTACCTTCCTTCCTTTCCTTCCTGTTCTAAAGCTTTTTAATAAACTTTCACTCCTGTTCTAAAACTTGCCTTGGCCTCTCTTTCTGTCTTCTGCCCCCTGTTGAGTTCTTTCTTCTGAGGAGGCAATAATTGAGGTTGCCACAGACCTGTACAGATTCACCACTGGTACCATACTTTGGTGCCATGTCTCAGATATCTTCCACCACTAACCCCTTTCTCTCCTCTTCTGCAGTGACAGTGGAGGTCATACATTGCAGATTACAGCAACACATGACGAATGGAGCCTGGATCATTGAGTCACTGCTTGGAGGAGAGCCATCAGGAAGGCCTCCTGAGCTGTATCAGACTGTGAAGTTAGTGAGAAATAAACCTTGCTTGTCTTAGGCCACTGAGATGTTAAGTTGGTTTGTTATGGCAGCCAGCAATGTCTTCTTATATCACACAGGGTCTATGATGCCAGAAATTGCTGTCTATTTGCATCTACTGATTTGCACTGGAGCCTTCTGGGGGAAAAATGCCACCAGCCTCAGTGGCTCGGTGTTCAGACAACACCATGGATGATAGCTTGGGTAGGGGGAGATGGGGCTGAATAACGAAAAGTTGTAAAGTGGCCAAATGATCCATTCAGGTGAATCCACTTGGAGGGGAAAATTTCAATGGGCATTGTGACTCAGTTTCAGCTACAAGTCCTGGGGGCTCAAGGAAAAGAGCAGTTCCAAAAAAAAAAAAAAAAACAAACAAAAAAACGGATACTTACTTTTATCATCATAGATTTACTGCTGTTGGAGAAAAGGATTGTATGGGTAAAAATACAAAGTGCTGCAACAATGTGGTCCCCAGCACCAGTGCAGTGTGGTCCTCCTGTGGGGCAGGTGATGGATAAACTATGTACACCGCTAGAAAAGGCAGTGCCAATTTGAGGGAGCTCTGAGTGCCACAGGTGGGAAACAGTGCTGTGGCAGTGGTGGTATAAAAACAGCAGCTTCCAGGAGTACCAAACACTAATGCAACGTCATCCCCTAGGGACTTCTGGATTGGAATGAGAAACTTGACGGGAATAAGGGATTTTGCCAGTTATGCCAGTGGGAAGGGACTGTGGAGCTGGAGAACTCGAGTCTGTCCCTGCATGTGACTGCATTTGTGTGCATACCAGCCATAGAGTCCTGGCAATGCCCAGGGTACTGTCCACAATAGGCAGCATATCCATAAATGCAAAGTGAACCCAGAGCAGCTGCGCAGAGAAATATCAAGGGGATTTATAGCAAAGGAAACAGTAGGACAGACACTAGCGGACTCATCCTTGTTGCCTGAGCACACCAGAAGATAGATTGTGGCTCTAAAATATCTCAACAACGCCCAGCTGGTGGGGGCCCCTAACTTCTCTTCGTTTCTTCCTTCAAACTGTTTGTCTTTTCAGACTTAGCTGTCAACTCCCTTCCCCTGCCATCTTTCTATAGGAAATCACAGCCCTTATCCAGCACGGATGTTCTCTCTCTCACCAATTTTTAGCTGCTTAGAATGTGAACACAAAGGGAGAAATGCAATTTTTAAAAAATACGTGACTGTAACTGATTTATTAATAGCCCATAATGTTGGTAATGGGCAATCTATAAGTCTGTTCTTAAGAATTTATAGGGCAAATATTCCAGAACCATATTAAAAACACCCCTCATAAATGCCTGCAAGCCTCAATCTATTAACTTAGGTGGTGGGAGAATATCATTATCTGTAGGAAAACAAACAGAGATCCAGCCCCCAGCTCTGATTTCCTTAGATGCTCCAAAAGGCGCATAGTAAGTAAGCAAATTGTATGACATGCCGTAGGCAAAAGTGTCCTGTGCATAGATATCAGCCATTGGCTTTCTTAACATGTGTGCGTGCATTTCAGAAAGGCTTGAGCTTCGGGAAGCATGGGGGTGGGGTCAAGAAGTCTTAGCCAGGCTGAGCTCGGTGGCTCACGCCTGTAATCCCAGCACTTTGGGAGGCCAAGGTGGGTGGATCATGTGAGATCAGGAGTTCGAGACCAGCCTGGCCAACATGGTGAAACCCCATATCTACCAAAAATACAAAAAATTAGGTGGGCGTTGTGGTGGGCACCTGTAATCCCAGCTACTCGGGAGGATGAGGCAGGAGAATCACTTGAACCCAGAAGATGGAGGTTGCAGTGAGCTGAGATGACGCCACTGCACTCCAGCCTGGGTGACAAAGCAAGACTCCGTCTAAGAAGTCTTAGCTGGTGAGAGTAGGGCTGGGGAGAGGAAGAATCAGGCCAGGCATTAGAATTATTTCCCTTTTTTCTTTATTTGTTAATATCCAAAGTAATTCTGAATATAAAATTAAATCATGCTCCCTATTGAATATTTAACAAATATTGGCAAATGTTAAAGAACAGGAAAAAAATGTCCCAGCATGCAAGCCACCATGGATAACCTTCTTTTAAATCACTGTTTCTTACAGAGTGGTGCGTAGGCCGCTTGCATCAGAATTGCATCAGGGATGAGGGGCGGGGGCCTCATTATGAATGAAGATTCCCAGGTCCCACCCAGATCTACTGAACCAGGGTATCTTCGGAAAGTGGCTCTAGCAAACTCTTCAGGTGATTCTGAGGGAAGCATGCTGAAGTTCAAGAAGTTTGTTTTTTTTTTTTTTTTAAGTGATTGTAACCCCAGTACTGGTTCCCAAATGCCAACTCTCAACTTGGTAAAATCAAAATCACTTGGGGACAGTATTATGCACAATTGCCAAAAGGTGAAAACAACCCAAATATCCATTAACTGATGAATAAATTAACAAATTGTAGTATATCCAGGCTGAGTGCTGTGGCTCACATCTGTAATCCCAGAGCTTTGGGAGGTCGAGGCAGGCAGACCACTCGAGCCCAGGAGTTTGAGACCAACCTGAGCAACATGGCGAAAACCTGTTGCTACAAAAAGTACAAAAATTAGCCGGGCATGGTGAGCATGCGCCTGTGGTCCCAGCTACTCAGGAGGCCGAGGTGGGAGGATCGCTTGAGCTTAGGTGGTGGAGGTTGCAGTGAGCCATGATTGTGCCACTGCACTCCAGCCTGGGCGACAGAGTGAGACAAAAATTAATAATAAAAAATAAATGAAGTGATACATGCTTCGATATGGATGAACCTTGAAAACATTATGCTAAGTGAAAAAAGCCAGTCACAAAGAACAGATATTCTATGATTCCACTTATATAAAATGTCCTAAATAGGCAAATCTATAGATACAGAAAGCAGGTTAGTGGTTGCCAGTTGCTGGGAGGGGAGAGTGAGATACGGGCTTTCCTTTTGGGTTGATAAATATGTTTTGGGATTGGATAGAAGTGAGGGTTGCTCAACATCGTGAATGTACTAAAATACCACTGAATTGCACATTTTAAAATGCAGAATTTTACCCTGCAAATTTCACCTCAATAAAAAATTAATTTTAAAAAATTAAATTACTTGAGGAAAGAAAAAAAATCCAGATTCCCTGGCTCTGTACTCAGAGATTTTGCTTTAGTGTGTCTGGGGCAGAGCCCAGGACTTTGAATTGTAGAAAGAAACCTTAGCAGCTACTTCTTATGCGAGGCCAGGTTTGAGAGCCCCCCCGTCTGAGCTAGAACTAAAGCCATAAAGATCCAGAAGGTGTTTGGGCATGGTGGCTCATGCTTGTAATCCCAGCACGTTGGGAGGCCAAGGCAGGAGGATCGCTTGAGTTCAGGAGTTTGAGACCAGCCTGGGCAATGAAGCAGGACCTCGTCTCTACTAAAAGAAAAAACAAACAAGGTGGGCATGGTGGTGTGTACCTATGGTCCCAGCTACTCTGAAGGCTGAGGCAGGAGAATCGCTTGAGCCCAGAAGGTTGAGGCTACAATGAGCTATGATTGTGCCATTGCCCTCCAGCCTGGGCAACAAAGTGAGACCCTGTCTGAAAAAAAAAAAAAAGATTCAGAGAGACAGGATCTATCAAAAATTTAAGCCACATGCAAAATGATAGTTTCCCTTTTTGTTTCCCTTAAGTCCCTGTATGGACCAAATGTTTGTGGCCCTCACCCTGCCCCAAATTCATATGTTGAAGCCCTAACCCCACTGCAATTTATGTAGACGCGGTACCCTTGGGAGATAATTGGGCGTAGATGGGTCATGAGGCTGGGACCCCCATAATGAGATTAGTGTCCTCGTGAGAAGAGGAAGAGTCCAGAGCTGTCTACCATGTGAAGGTACAGTGAGAAGGCAGCCATCTGCAAGCAAGAAGGCAGCCATCTGCAACCCTGCAACAGGGTCCTTACCAGGAACTGAATCTGCCCTCACCTTGGTCTTGAACTTCTCAGTCTCCAAAAGCGTGAGAAGTGTTTCTTGTTTAAGCCACCCAGTCTATGGTATTTTGTTATAGCACCCTGAGCTAAGACAGCCTTCTAAGACTTCCATGCCTTTGCTTGTGCATCACCTCTGCCCAGAATTCTCTCCTCCTTCTTGACCTCTGCAAGTTTATCCTAAACCCCAGCTCAAGTTCTGACTTTGGAAGGCTTGTTGAGTGAGTCCTCTCTCCTTCCGAGGGCTTAGGCATTTCATCATTAATCAAGGCATTTAGTGAGTTGACTTAATTCAGTCTTTGACTGCATTTGATTGCCTTCATCTTGCATCTGGTTCTACCAGCTGCATAATTTTTTCTTCTACTTTCATTTGCATTTATTTTCTGTTGAATTTATTCCCATGCCATCAGTTTTGGTTTCTTCAGTTTCTTCTGGGATATCTTTTTCTTCTGTGCAATCTCCTCTTCTGGTTTAGTAACAATCTGTTCCTATTCCATAATGATCAGCTCAGTGTGGCAGGGAGAGCTCATGTATGGGTTAATCCAACCATGAGCTCTTTAAATCTGGCCGTGCATTTTTAGGTGCTTTGTTTACCTGCATAAGCTCAATGACCAGAGAGTCTACATCTAAATCCCTCAGTTCAACATGACTCTGCATTTTTATGCACATGCAAGAAAAATTCAGCACTCTTTTTGGGCTACTGTCCCTGTGTCCAACCTCACTGTTTGGCCTGGGCATACCCACAACGCTGCCCTTGTAACATTGCAATGGTACACATTGTTTCTGTACAGTGACATCTTTCAGATACTTGGTGACTTTTTGTATTTGAACACCATGATGGCCCAGGCAGTTCCACGCTGTTCTTAAAGTGAACATGAAGATTTGAACCCCTTGATTTGTATGGTTTTGTGCAGTTTTCTGGGTCAGGTAAATTGCAAACCATTTTCACGGGTCACCTCAGGATGCTTGGGCTGTGTAATTTTTTCATCATATGTTTGTTTCATTTTTCTTCAGTGTTTTAAAAATATGAGGTTCACACTTTTTCTTGGGTGAGAATTCATCTGTCTCCCTCACTCAGCTCTGAGCTTCAATAGGGCAGGGTTCCCATCTCGTTCATCTACGGGACACCATCACAATGACCCCTTCTCCATCAGGCTCTGCATCCTCAAGTCAGCCCATTCCCTTCTCTCCCCACACTTCCCATAGTAATAACAACACTGATCAAAACAATAGAATATTAACAGTGTGTCTTATTGAGCACTTATTTCCCAGGCATTGCAGAAATTCATTACATAAATCTTTTTCTTTGATACTTACAACAACCTTACAAAGATACTGTTATAATTATCACCCCTTTACAAATAAGCAAACTGAAGTCCAGAGAGAAATTTGGCCCATGTCAAAGATAGCAGAGTCAAAGGTGAAAGCGAAGCTGGAGTTGAATTCACCTGTGTCTGACTCCTAAGTCTATGCTACCTCCCACTTGCCTCCCATTCTTTATGCCTCAGTTGGTGCTCTTAGCACTATTTGCCTTGTAGGCTGTGGTTTTCCCATCATTCATTCATTCAGCAAACTTTTTGAGACACTGCATGAAGTGGTGGAGACTCAGATGAGTGAATGAAATGAAATCCCTGCTATATTTGAGATTTCTGTTGTTTGTTCACTGACCAGCACCCACTTTCTTTTCACAGATCATTGTCTTTATCGAGGTAACATCTCCCCACTGGAGAGAGTATGATGGGGCCATAATTGGGGACTCTGCTCTACTCTGACCAAGCAATGGGCCTTTGCTCTTAACAAGGCCAGTCCACCATCCCCTCCCTGGGACTTGATGCTGAGCAGAGGGACAAGGGGCTGGACAGGTCTGAGGTTCTATTTCCATCCCAGCTTCCTGGAGCATTCTTGGTTCATTCCCAAGGCCGATTCTCCAAACTCACATTGACTTCTTGAGCCCTGACATTCTTCCAATCAACTCCCTTGCTGTTTTAAGTTAGCCAGGGCAGTCTCTGTCACTTACAACCAAGGAGCCCTGAATTATACAGGTAAGTAGTGTGTGCAGTAGGGATGCACCACAAGAGCACCCAGTTGAGCCTGAAGAGGTCAGGGAAGGCATCCTGGAGGAAGAAACATCTGAACTGAATCTTGGAGGAGTAATAAGATATAGAAAGGAATGGGGGAAGGGTACACAGGCTGAGGGAGAAGGATGCTCATAAAAAAATCATCAGTAGCTTCTATTGGGCACTTTTTTCGCTTAGCTCCTATAATAACCCCTTGAGGTTGGTGCTGTCACTGCTCCTATTTTATAGATAAGGCTCAGAGAGGCAGTGTGGTTTGTCCAAGGCCACACAGCTAATGAACGGTAAAGATGGAGTTTGCACCTAGTTCCATCAGCTTCCAGAGGCCTTGATTTCACATTAAGGGGATTAATATTTAGTCTCTAGACACCAGTCCAGGGGCCATTGTGGTCAGCTGACTACATCCCTCCTGGGGCAGTGGTGACTTTTTTGGTAGTGTGATTCCCATTTCTGGGCATTCCTCAAGGAGGCCTCTCTGCAGGCATGTGGGGCTAATGGCTGAGTCGTTTCTATTTTCTCAGAAAGAGCCATTGTTTATTTCTTTTTAGGGGTTTGGTCAATTAGAGAAGCCAGGTGGCAGGCCCTTGTGAATTGCCTTTGTTTGTGGATCTGATGCAGCCTCCACTGCGGCTGGGGTAGCAGGGAGCTGCTGTGCATCTAGCTTCTGGGAGGGCATGAGGGGCTGTCAAGAGCAGAGAGAGCCTGGAAGGCAGCCAAGGGCAAGGCCAAGTCCGGGAGGGGGGGCTTCCAGATGTGTGTGTGTGTGTGTGTGTGTGTGTGTGTGTGTGTGTGTGTGTGTGTTTATGTATGAAAGAGATAGAGGATGGAAGGATGGAGGTTGGGGGACATGGGCTGAATTTCCACAGCCTAAATTAATTTCTTCTTTACTTAGCCTCCTCCTTTCTTCCTTCCCATTCTTTCATTCAATTTATGCATTTATTTTTCTCCTTTCAAATATTACAGCTCATTTTAAAGAAAAATTCAATTATACAAACGGAAAAAAAAGGAACCCAAGTTCATGACCCCAAGTCAATCACTGTTAACAGTCTGTCACTTTGGGAGGCTGAGGCGGGTAGAAAACTTGAGGTCAGGAATTCCAGACCAGCCTGGCCAACATGGCAAAACCCCATCTCTACTGAAAATACAAAAATTAGCTGGGCATGGTGGCGGGCACCTGTAGTCCCAGCTACTCAGGAGGCTAGGGCACGAGAATCACTTGAACCTAGGGGGTGGAGGTTGCAGTGAGCGCAGACTGTGCCACTGCACTCCAGTCTGGGTGACAGAGCAAGAGACTCTATCTGGAAAAAAAAAAAGTCTGTAATTACCCACTTTTATCCTCTTCTGTAATCTGTCTTTAAAAAAAAACAACTAAGTGGGTAATGGGTGCACCAAAATCTCAAGAAATCACCACTAAAAAACTTATTCATGTAATCAAATATCGACTATTCTCCCGAAGCCTACTGAAATAAAAAAAATTAAACAAAACCCAACTGAGTGGCATATTGTATATATTTTTGTAGCAGAAATTTTTGTTGACTGCATAATTGGTTTGTTTTAACTACTGTTTATTGGGTGCCTACTGTGTTTCAGGCACTGTTGTAGGTGTTGAGGATACATCAGTGAACAAAAAGACAAACATCCCTGTCCTCCAAGTACAAGCAAAGTCCTCACTGTGACTTATGAGACTCTATGTGACCTGCCCTCCATGTTATTTCCCTGACATCATCTCCTGCCACACTCCTTTGTCTGCTCTGATGCAGCCACAATAGTCTCTTCTTTGTTCTTTGAACAAGGCAAAGAGGGAAATTCCTGCCTCAGACTCTTTGCACTTGGTCTCTTTGTCACAAAGCCTTCCCTTAGATATTACATGGATCACTCTCATTTCCTTCAAGTCTTTACTTCTTAGCAATGCCTTCCCTGGCCACCCTCTTTAAAATTTCTAATTCTACCCAACTAATTCATACCCTTATCTGCTTTGAAATTTCACATTAGTAGGTATCACTAACAGACTATCTTATTTCTTTTTCTTTGTTATTATTATGTTCAGTACAGAATACACTCCCTAAGGGCAGGGATTTTTGTCTGCTTTGCTCACTGCTGTATCTCCAGTGCTCAGAATTGGCACATACCAGTTATTTAATAATGTTTGCTGAACTAATTGAATGAATGAATGAAAACAAGTCAACTTATATATGTTTCCCAAAATGATGGGCATAAATATTATCTTGTTTTAGTTTTTATTTTCTGGACTGTAGATGAGGCTATGAATCTTTCCATATATTTATTGGCCATTTGTGTTTCCTCTCCTGTGAACTGCCAATTTTTCTCTTGAATTGCTTATTTTATCCTTATGGTTTACAGGAATTCTCTATATACCATTGCTTTTAACTCTTTGTTGGTTTTGTGCATTGCAAATATTTTCTCTGGTCTGTGGCTTTTAAAAAAATTATAGTTTGCTTTTACTTATGATTTGTTTTGTTGTGTATAATTTTTTAAAAAATCTCTGTTGCAGAACTTACATTTTAGTGGGATGAGACAATAAACAGAATAAAAAATAGTTATATAGTGCACACACATATTTTAATATATATACAAATATTAGAAGGACATAAGTATTAGGAAGAAAGAAAAAGAGGGAAGGGGATAAAGAGTATGTGTAATTTTAAATGGAATGTTCAGGAAAGGACTCACGGAGAGAGACATTTGAGCAAGGTGTGTACATTTGTTAGTACTGCTTCAGTTGTAAGTTGCAGAAACTTCCTTGATCTTGTTAATTTAAAAGGACATTTATTAGAAGAATGGTGCTGGACAGACCCATGGACTCCCAGGGCAGGTGTGTGCCTGGGACATGAAAAGGTTGACACAGAAAACTGGAGATCAAACTAGAACACGGCAGGTCCATCTCTACTTTTTTCTGCACACTTGTTTCAGCTTTCTTAGCAGATGGAATTTCTCTGCCACTTAGTCCACATGGGGTGAAAAAGATGGCTCCCGACCAAGTTCATGCATTACAGGTCCAATTACCCAGGGAGACTGATTTTCTTGGTTCCAATTCTGTATTCCCAGGGAATGGAATCTGATTGGCTGAGCTTGGATGAGGTGTTCATCCCTGGTCCAGTCAGCAGCAGAAATAGTCCCATTGTACAAACATGGCTGCTGTGGTGGTTAAGGGTATGGCGATTGTAAGACTCCATTTAAATACTGATTATGCATGCATGTGCATGGGCAAGGCACACACACATATGTACACACACACACATACACACATACACATAATGAGGCTTCTCATCTGCTATTCTAAATGCTCGGTGTGGGATTTCCACCTTGACTTTATAATCAGAAAAGTCTTTGTTTTTAATTAAAGAGATAATTGGACTTTTTTTTTTTTTAGTGAAATAGAGAACAGGGAGGTATCTCCCCCCTGAAAACACAGTGTTCTTTGGTAACAAATTTCTGCTTGTTATGACTATTCATGATGCCGACCAATGGTGCCAATTACAGCAGTCAATCTTAGATTTTTCAACAGCTTGACATTTATCTAGTGGTCCACTTTGCCTCTCAGTTTTGTTGATAGCAATTGGAGGAAGGATTACGGTTCTTATTTGGAAAGGCCAATAAGCAAAGGCCTGGGAGCCATTTGAATCCTCCTCTCTCCTTTCTAGTTCTGACTCAATTCTGACTCATGTGATATGGTTTGGCTGTGTCCCCACCCAAATCTCACCTTGAATAGTAAATCCCCACATGTCAAGGGCAGGGCTAGGTGGAGATAATTGAATCATGGGGGCAGTTTCCCCCATCCTGTTCTCTTGGTAGTGAATAAATCTCACAAGATCTCAAGGTTTTATAAATGGAAGTTCCCCTGCACAAGCGCTCTTGCCTGCTGCCATGTATGATGTGACTTTGCTCCTCATTCGCCTTCCCCTATGATTGTGAGGGCTCCCCAGCCTTGTGGAACTGGGAGTCAACTAAACCTCTTTCCGTTATAAATTACCCAGTCTCGGGTATGTCTTTATTAGCAGCATCAAGACAGACTAATACATCATGCAAATAAGTTAGGGAAACAAAATGGGGATTACAAAATGGACCAGGTTTTGTCTTAAAAGAGCTTACAGCTTTAGTGGAGAGATAGACTAAATAATCACACCAATCAATCTGTGATTATAAATGGAGATAATGCTGTGAAGGAAGGAAACACATCCATGAAAATGCACAGTAACGAAACGAAAGTAGGTTGGGGAGTTAGGAAGGAAGTGACATCTGAGTTGATATATAAAGGTAGAAAATTAACCAGGTGAGGGAGGGACCTAGGGTGTTAGGAGACAGCAGCCTATGTGAAAGTCCTATGGTAGGACATTTGAGGTCCCAATATCTCTTGCCTAAGGGCCTCCTATTCCTCATTTGGAAAATCTCATTGCTTCCAAATATGGTGGGACATCTGAGAAACCATGAGGAGGCCAGTGTGGCAGGTAGACAGAGAGTGATCTGGTGGGTGATTGGAGAAAGAGGGGAGGCAGGGCACACCCTGTATGCATGGCCTTCTGAGCCATGATGAATATATTGATTTTTATCTGAAGGACAATGGGAAGCCATTTAATGGGCTTTAAGTGGGGACCACATGATTATATCTGTGTTTTGAAAAGGTTCTCTGCCTAAAGATTAGATTAGAAACTAGAGTGACTATAGCAAAGTCAGAAAGGCAGTACTTGGCAGTTGTCCAGGCAAGAGATGGAAGTGGGTTAGATTAGTGTGGCTTAGATTGAGACAGTGATAAGAAGATGGATTTAACATATTCAAAAGCTATTTAACAGAGAAAATAGTCAGGGCCCAGCGATAGGCTAGAAAAGGAGAGAGAGAAAAGAGAAAGAGGAAGGGATGGGAAGAAAGGGAGAGGGCAATGGGGACAGGGAAGTGGCAAGAAGAGGAGCAGTGGGGAGGGGGAAAGAGGGGAAACCCTGAATGATGCCAAGTGACTTAGGGAACTACGTGGATGGCGCTGCTGTTCACGAAGACAGGGTGTGTTGGAATAGAAGAAGATCATGAGTTTGACCTTGGACATGCTGAGGATGGAATACATTTTAGACTACAAATATGATGCATTATATTCAACAAAAGATTTTGAATACAAAGTATTTTATATGAGTCTGTAGCTGAGAAGAGAAATCTCACTTGAAGATAGATATTTGGAAGTTGTTTGTCAATAAGTGGCAGTTTAATTTTGGGCATGGATAAAACAACCTAGGGAGAGAATAGAGTAAGCCTTGGTGTTCCTCACTAAAACTCAGTGAAAAGGCAAAGTCTAATGTGCCTCCTGTTTTTCAACACTCTCGATAAATACAGCAAAATAGCCTCTCTTCTTTCTCCTTGGGGCAGAAAATAGGGCATAGTGAAACAAAGTGAATTTTAAGCAACGAGAATCATTCTATATATGAAGTGAGGGCAGCAGTTCCTACCTCCTAGGATAGGATCATATGGCTGGCTTTTATTGGACTGCATAAGTGGCTTAATGACCAGGGGCAAGTGACTTCATTAGAAGCCCCTCCTGATCGTGGCAAAAGCATGACTGCATCACTGCAGAATGAAGACACGGTCCCCATCTCTCTTGCCTCCTATAGGTCCTCCTATTCCATAGGTCCTATTCCATAGGTCTTGCCTTCTATAGGTTCTTCTATTCCATAGGTCTTGCCTCCTATAGGTTCTTCTATTCCGTAGGTCTTGCCTCCTATAGGTCCTCCTATTCTACATTTGGAAAAGGCTATTGCGTCTCTTAGCAGGAGCAACACATGAATCACTGCATCAGGGTATAGAAACCTCATTTCAGGATTTCTAGCTTGGCCTGAGAGCAAAGTCTCTAGTCACTTAGAGAGCGGGGGTGGCTGCATAGGCAGCAATAATGGAAGAACAATAGTAACGGGCATCAGGAAAAACAGCTTCTGGAATATCAACTAGGCAGCCCTCTGGCCTTGGGAGAATGCATATGAATTGATACCTGACACCTAGCCTGATATTAGGACATATTAGTGTTAAAAGACCAAAGAGGGACTATTTTTTTTTCCTGTACATTTGGGCAGTTAAAGTCTCCCTGTTGAGGTGCTCCCAAGTATCAGTAAGAGGATGGCATTACATGCCCCCAACCTAGTGGAAACTGAAGATACTGCTCACAGACATTTAGATAATGTGCAAGATTTCCTGCGATTAATTAACAGCAATGAGCCCTAGAGGATCATGTTGGTGGAAAGTGGGAGAAGATGTTGCTCTTGGTCTGCAGAGATGTGGGAAGAAGGACCACAAGCCATTCTGGGCTAGGGAAGTAGCAGTGGAACATTATTCTAAGAGTAAAGAAAGCTGGGCTTTGCTGTTTGTTCATCCCCTAATCTTTGAAGTCCTGGGAGATCTTGAGCAAAGAATTCTACCTTTGTGAGAGCTTCCAAAGACTTTTCAGAAAATGGGAGCGATGACATGAGGCCCCCATATCAGAATAATTTTTTCCGAAAGGGATTAATTTTTTTCTCTGGATGACTGCTTCTCATTTTATAAAGACTTCATGCCTTTTCCTCACCATCTGGTTTGTACTAGTTACCATTTACTGAGCACCTACTATGCACCAGGCATTGTCCCAGGCACTTTACATATGCTTCCTCACTAAATCCTATGTGGTAGAAGTGATGATTGTATGTCTCCATTTAAAGAGGCAGAATCCAAACCTTAGAGAGGTTAAACAAGTGACCCAAGGTCACGTAGCCAGGAAGGGGCAAGGCTGCCGTACCCACACAGGTCTGCTGAGGGCAAAGCAGGTGTGCTTTCTCTTTTGCTAGACAGACGAGAATAACTGACAGTTCCTTTTATTCTCTAACTCTCTCAGGATGAAGTACAAAACTCTTCAGAAAAAGCTTAGCATTGCAAAACCAAGCATCCTGGAATGAAACTGTAATGAAACTGTAAAAAATACATTTCAAAAGAACATAACAAAGTTTTTTTTAATGTCTTTCCATTGTTTTTCTTTTTTCCTTATTATAAAAGCAATTCATGTTCACTATGAAAATTTGGAAAATACAGAAAAATATAAAGAAGAAAATAAAAATCACTCTAATCTTATTACACAAAGAAAATTGCTGTTAACATTTATTTTATCTCTCAACAGTCTTTTTTGTATGCCTAAATGTACATACATATATATTTTTAACATAATTGGGATTGTCTTGCCAAATTGCCTTCCAGAAAGGATGAACTAATTTACATTCCCACCAGCAGTGTTGGAACATATATCCCTCACCCTGGCCAGTAGAGAGGTTTTTTCTTTTTTAATTTTAATTTTAATTTTTTTATTTTTTGTCTTTGCAAGTGTAATATGTTTAAAAGGCAGTCTTATTGTTTCCATTTGCATTTTTTGATACTGAAAGCCTGACTTAATACAAATTTTCAAAGCTTATTAGACATGTATATTTATTCTACTGAGAATTACATCTTTTGTTAATCTTTTATTGGAGTTTTAGTTTTCTTTTATATGTCATTGATTTGTAAGAGCTCTTTACATATGACAGAGGTTTTTATTTGTCTATGCTAGATGGGGAAACGAACACTTTCTCCTTCATCCTTTATCTTTATTAAAATTTATTCTTAAGAAGTTGGTGTTTGGCTTTCTATTTAGCTTATGATTTTTGGAGGAGCAAAAAATTTTAAGTTTTTAAAACAATCTTGATCGAATAGATAGATATTTTCTTTATGCTAAAAGTTAAAAATGTGGATTTAAGGCCAGGTGCGGTGGCTCATGCCTGTAATCCCAGCACTTTGGGAGGTTGAGGTGGGCAGATCATGAGGTCAGGAGTTTGAGACCAGCCTGGCCAACATAGTGAAACTCTGTCTGTACTAAAAATACAAAAAAGTTAGCTGGGTGTGGTGGCGGGTGCCTGTAATCCCAGCTACTTGGGAGGCAGAGGTTGCAGTGAGCTGAGATCGTGCACTGCACTCCAGCCCAGGCAACAGTGTGAGACTCTGTCTCAAAAAAAAAAAAAAAAAAAAAAGTGGATTTAAGACTTTATCACTCTAGATTATTCATTAACTAGTTGATGCCTCCTAGTTTCCTTAGTTTCCAGGGAAGGTAGGTATACTCTATAGAAAGGGAGAAGGGATGGGCTCTGATCTAAGTCATATGAAAAAGAAAAAGGAAATGCAGAGGAAAGAGAAAGCAGTGGAGAAGCCTACTTTTATTGTGTCCATTTTTACTCATGAAGAAACTGAGGCCTAGAGAAGTAGAGCCAGTTGCCCAAGGTCACTCAGCAATCTGTAGACTGAGTCACATGTTCAGATTTTTAAGGAGTGGGGAGAAACATTCACTGGGCCTTCTGCCATCCATCCATCCATCCATCCTAGTGAGTGCTTCATGGGGGTTCTTCCTTTGGGGTCTTGTCTGCCTTTTGAACAACTGAGAATGATAGAGAAGTAAATGACATCTTTCTCATTCTCCAGGTATGGTGGAAGTTCATGAAAACAGTTAAAATCAATTACAATTGACCTTTGAAGAACATGGAGGTTGGAGGCACTTGATTTGACCCCCTGCTCAATCAAAAATCTGCATATCTTTTGGTTCCCCCAAAAGTTAACTACTAATAACCTACTGTTGACGGGAAGCCTTACCAATAATATAAAAGTCAATTAACACATATCTTGTATGTTATATGTATTTTATACTTATAATAAAGTTAGCTAAAGAAAATATTTAAGAAAATCATAAGAAATAGAAAATATATTTACTATTCACTAAGTGGGAGTGGATCATCATAAAGGTCTTCATTCTCATTGTCTTCATGTTGATAAAGCAGAGGAGGAGAAGAAAGAGGAGGGGTGAGTCTTGCTGTCTCAGAGGTGGCAGAGGCAGAAGAAAATCCAAGTATAAATGGACTTGTGCAGTCTACAACCAGTTGTTAGTGGGTCAACTATACATTCAAGAGTCAAAAGTAATTTTTGGTTAGTTGTATCTAGGATTGCCCAAGCCACAATTGCTTTCTGGTGACAAAAGTAGTTGGAGGTTAATCATTGACTAGGCTGTTACTTTTATTAAGGATGTGGGTCTACAGTCCTGTTGGCAGAGAGCAGGTAGATTTCCTAAGGTCTTGTAGTGTGTTAAGCACAATATCCTGTCAACTGGGGGCCAAATTGGAGTTGTTTGGATGCAGGTACTCTAATAAGACCCTATTCAATTTTCACAACAGCTCTAAAAAGCAGGCACTGTTACAGGAAAGGGGTCCTGATCCAGACCCCAAGAGAGGGTTCTTGGATCTCGCGCAAGAAAGAATTCAGAGCGAGTCCATAGAGTAAAGTGAAAGCAAGTTTATTAAGAAAGTAAAGGAACAAAAGAATGGATACTGCATAGATAGCAGCCCCAAGGGCTGCTAGTTGCTCATTTTTATGGCTATTTCTTGATTATATGCTAAACAAGGGGTGGATTATTCATGCATCACCTTTTTAGACCACATAGGGTAAGTTCCTGATGTTGCCATGGCATTTGTAAACTGTCATGGCGCTGATGGGAATGTAGCAATGAGGACGACCAGAGGTCACGCTCGTGGCCATCTTGGTTTTGGTGGGTTTTAGGCAGCTTCTTTACTGCAAACTGTTTTATCAGCAAGGTCTTTATAACCTGTATTTTGTGCAGACCTCCCATCCCATCCTGTGACTTAGAATGCCTAACCATCTGGGAATGCAGCCCAGTAGGTTTCAGCCTTATTTTACTCAGCTTCTGTTCAGGATGGAGTTTCTCTGGTTCACACGCCTCTGACAGTACCAGCTTTATTCCCATTTTACAGATAAAGAAATTGAGGCACAGAGTTTAAGCCACAAAGCTCAAGATCACTCATGCTGATAAATGGAGAAGTGGTAATGCTGGTGAAGGATACAATAATCTGCCTACCTGTACCCCAGCCCAACTAGCAGCAGGTCCCCCAGTTGTATATCTGTTACCACCTCCTCTCCTCCTCATCACCTTCCTACCCCAACCTCCACCTGGAAGAACTGCCTTATTAAATTTCTTCCTCATCAGAGGGAGACAGTGTTTCTCTCCAGAGCGGCTCTTGGCGTGTAATTACTAATCAGATGTAGGCAATCAAGAAACATTTCCATCCCCACATTTTCCTTCTCTCCTCCCCTCAAAGGACACCTTTCTGGGGGAAGGTGACTCCTTCAGGAGTTCAGATTAGCATCAACAGCGGGGTGGGGAGGCGGAGAGAGGATGAAGAAAGGCATCAAACTCCTTTGCAAATTGCAAATGACAAGGCATCTTTTGCCGCTGGTTTGCTCTCTGCTATTTTAAGGGGCCTCATTTAGCATAATATTTGCATCATTTGTGTCTTACCGGATAATTAGGAGTAGAGACAAATTCTTCTTGTTCCCAGACTAAGGGCACTGGGGTGGAGAAGAAAGGAATCTCTGGAGATGTCTCTCAGGCTGGAAAGCTGTTAAAAGTTACTCCCTCCAGCCCCAATCTCTTGCTAAAATTCCCAGAACATCAGACATTCTGAACTGGGGTCATTGCTCATTGTTTGGCTTCAGGGACCCCTCTAAAACTCTAAGCAGAATTCTGTGTTTATAAAATTGCTTGCAAATTTTTTTTCCCTTGGAGAGAAGGTCCATAGCTTTCATCAGCCTCAGAAGTCTGCAACTCTTAAATTAAATGACGTACAATGGGCATCTGTTTTGCTTCACCAACATCCATTTGCCCTTTTTCAGGTCCCAGCATCTTCATTTTCCTTTGGGGAAACCAACCCTCTTCCATCCTCGTTCCATTTTAGGGTTGTCCTACAGGACTTTCTGTGATGATGGAAATGTGCTCTAGAATCCACTTCTCCACGGAGGGCCAGAGAGCTGCCCGTGCTTGATGCAGCAGCCATTAGGGTCCGTGGTAGTGGTCTATATTTTAGCCTGGTTTCTCCCGAAGCCTGACAAATTCTTCCTTCCCTCTCATTTACTTGTGTTTCCAGTGGCTACTGCAGTAATGAGTCAATGGCTGAATATATTTAAATGCAAAATACCATTACCCTTCATTAAAAGGCTTGTCATTGCTGGCCTCTATAGAAGAAAGTGATTATGCTATTAAAGGCCCCTTGACACATGGCCCGGGAATGACCAGGCCTTATTCCCAGGATTTCTGCCACTCTTCCTAGGACAATCTTCTTCTGACTCAGCTGTTTATGCTGATGAGGGCAAGTCAAATCCCTGTGAAGCCAAATTTGTAGTTGGGGGAGGGTGCCAAGGGCTTAGGACAATGCTGCCTTTTTTGCAACATCCTCCCAGGTGTCTGAGCAGAGCCCTATTCCCTGCTAGAGATCCACTTCCCATCTGTCTGACCACCGGGTCCTCAAGCCTGACTTGAAATCCTTCTTCTCTTTCAATGTCCTTTAGAAAACAGTCCACCATTCAACTTTTAAAATCTAATCATTGCCTAGGACAGGATTTGACAGTAGTTAATAGCAGCATAGGCTGTGGAGCTGGGCTTAACAATGTTCATAATTCTGCCACTTATTCACTGTGTGACCTTGAATAAGGGCAGACAATTTTCTTTAAGACTGTTCTCTTAATTTCAAATAGAGATAAATACTGTGGCAGACATTGTTGGTCCCTACTCGATAGCCATGCCACATTTCTTCCTCTCTTGCCTGTCTCTCACTATAGAGGCTGAAAAAGCCAGATACATTCCCAGCCTTTCATGTAGCCAAGGGTAACCATGTGACTAAGTCTTGGCCAATGAAATAAAAGGGAAGTTGACTTAGAGGATTCTGGAATAATTTTTCTCCAATAAAAAACAGAGCAGTGCTCAAGAAGAGATCTTTTGCTCCCTTTCCTCCTTTCTGCTTTGAATGCTGTTGTGTGAGGTTGTGATGTCCGGAGCCATAGTAGCCATCTTGTAACCATGAGGCAACACACTTGTGAATCTACAACTAGCAATCTGAGGATGATGGAACAGCAGGTTGTAAGAACCTGGATCTTTGATGATGTCATTGAGATGCTGAACCAATAGTGGGGCATTCTATTTCTTTGTTCATGATGTCTTTATTGCTTAAGCCATTGGCAGTCATGTTTCCTGTTATGGGCAGAGAAATATTATTTCTAAATGATATATCAATCCTAGGCTCACAGATTGTTGTGAGAAATAAATAACATAATGTATGAAGAATTTCCCACATAGTCCCAGAAGCATGATAGCATACAATAAAGAGCAGCATTTATTATTGGTAGGAATAGCTGTACCGAGATTCACAGGTGAGATTTGAGGAAGCATTGGGAAATTTGTAATGTGTAAAATTTGACCCTCTTCTGCCCTCCCCTCTTACCTGGATAGATACTGGAATCTGAAAATGTTAGCATCAGAAGGGAATCTTTGATCTTAGATTAGCTTAACCCTTGTCTTTCTATAGACAAGGAAACTGGCCCTCAGAGTAGGAAAGAGACTATCTGAAAGTCACATAACTTCATGACACATGGTGGCAAAACCAGGGCTGAAGATTAACATCTCTTGGATTTACAGGCGAAAATTCTTCCTCCCGCACTCAGTTGCCTCCATTCCCATTCCAACAAGCTCAAACATTGTTGGCAGGGAGAGGTTAATGAGACATCATATGGGGAATCATTTTGAAAGTTTTGGGAAGCGCTTCACACAAGGAGGGTTATAATTCTTAGTGCATGCGGTTTAGCATGTTGCTCCTCTGTCCAATGGGCAGGGGATGTCCTGGAAGGGGAAGGGTCTTAGCTGGAGGCTCTGTGCCTAGCTGGGTGGTACATCTATATTCACTGACTCATTAATCCATTCACCGATTGATTCATTTATTCAAGAACTATTTACAACATGCCTACTCTAAGCTAAACACTGGGTAGATTTTATTTAAAATTTGTGGGAATGGGCTGGGTGCAGTGGCTCATGCCTGTAATCCCAGCACTTTGGGAGGCCAAGGTGGGCAGATCACTTGAGGCCAGGCGTTTGAGACCAGCCTGGCCAACCTAGCAAAACCCTGTCTCTACTAAAAATGCAAAAAATTAGCCAGGCATGGTGGCATGCACGTGTGGTCCTAGCTACTCGGGAGCCTGAGGCACGAGAATTGCTTGAACCCAGGAGGTGGAGGTTGAAGTGAGCTGAGGTGGCCCCACTGCACTCCAGCCTGGGTGACAGAGTGAGACTCTGTCTCAAAAATAAAAAATAAAATAAAATAAAATAAAATAAAATAGGCGGGGGGTGGTGGCTTATGCCTGTAATCCCAGCACTTTTGGGGGCCAAGGTGGGCGGATCATCTGAGGTCAGGAGTAAAAGACCAGCCTGGCCAACACAGTGAAACCCCTTGTCTACTAAAAATACAAAAATTAGCCGGGTGTGGTGGTGCGCACCTGTAGTCCCAGCTACTCGGGAGGCTGAGGCAGGGGAATCGCTTGAACCCAGGAGGTAGAGGTTGCAGTGAGCCGAGATCATGCTGCTGCACTCCAGCAGAGTGAGACTCCATCTCAAAAATAAATAAATAAATAAAAATAAATAAATAAATAAAATGAAATTTGTGGGAATGATTGGGGCAGAGAGTGGTAAGTGAAACTCCTACTCCCCCCACCACCCCCCAGAAAAGCCCTATTGTTTGTCAGTTTTAGTTATCACATGTAAGGATGGATTTATAATCCACTTGTCATAGTGGATTCTGTTCTGTTTGGATTCTCCAATAATGTGCCATAAAACCTGATGCTATTCCCTATTTCTGGGATTACTTTTTTGGGACCTGTGTTGAGAAGGTCTTAGTTACTTAGTGAAGGTTTTGGGAATGGTCAAACTGATTTACTGGCCTCTTCCCTTGCAGGGTGAGGGATTATAGTGAGATGGGGCCTGGAGCCTGGAAGATTTCGCAGAGGGAGTGAAAGGACCTGACTATGGAGATGGGTAGCTTTGGGTTGAAGGCAGATGGCAGTGGGTAGAGGGTGAATAGAAGTAGAAGAACCTAACCTTTCAGGTCAGAACGGCTTGTATTTGAATATTTCCCTGCTAATTCCCAGCTGGGTGACCTTGGATAAGTTGCTCACCCTCTCTGTGCCTCAAGGGGCTACAAAATGTTGTAGAGATAAAATGAGATGCTATATTTAGAGCTCTTTGCATAGTGGTTGGCACACACTATCCCAAGATAAAGATTTGGGTGCAAGTAGTGCATTTGGAAGGTGATGCCAAGAAGTACCCATGGAGGTGAGTGAAGTTACAAAGGAAAGGGAAAAAAGTCGATACTGGGTTATTATTGGATAAACTAACACTAGGGGCAACTGAAGCTCAATCCCATTGCAGACTTCTGGGAAATGTCGTAGAACATCTCTCAGAGTTACCTCACTTATGAGGTACAGAAGCTGGGCTATTTATCCTCCAACTCCCACCTACTATGGGGTAAGTAAGTCCTGCCACTAAGGCATGAACTCCCAGAACTTCCAGCATGTCCTGAGTGAGCAGGGAGGAAGCCCTCAGGTAGAGACCTGCAACGCAACTCTTCACTCTTGGAACAGTGAGCACCAAGGATATATGGATAGACTGATCTGAGTTCAAAGTCATGTTCTACCACTTACCACTAGCTATGTCTTCTTGAGCAAATCATCTAATCTCCTGTCTACTACAAGTGTAGTACATGGAGGCATGGGTGTTGCCAGGGAGCTGTTAGAAATGCAGGTTTTGGGGCCCCATTCCAGATGTATTAGTTATCTATGGCTGCAAAACAAGTTATCCCAAACCTTAGCAGCTTAATCAACACACAGTTACTATCTTGGCCACAGTGTGTTCCTTTCATTGACATGCAGCGGGGCTGCTGCTTTGTGGTTAAGAACAAGGGAGATTTAAGGCCAGAGGCCTTGGGGAAGAAGGAGAAAGAAATAAAGTTAGCTGAGTGTCTGTCCCTCTTTTTACCAACTCTCCACACCTAGCCTAATGGCCTAATTCTGAGGTCCAATAAAGTCAGCAGCTGTGATGAAAAGTCAAAGCTGTCTGGTTCAAAAAATATGTCAGACGCCGGACCCAAGCAAGGCTTCTTGGGGATAAAGTGAGAGCTTGAGTTAAGGAAAATTTCATCTCATCATCTCTGCTTGAGGCCTCAGTGCTGAAGGTTCATGCTGGCCTTTAGAGGATACGGCTGGGGATGGGGGGCGAAAGTCAAAGAGAGAGCACTGAGCGACTGTAAGACCCAGCTTTCTGCTCTCTACCCTCCTCCAGCCAGTGGCTCAGGACCTGTGCCAGCACATGGGGGTGTCATGGAGTAACTGCTCACTACGCTTATGGTGCTATTTTAAACTCCTTAGGTGTATTGAGTAATTTAATTTTTACAACAACCCCATGAAGTAGGTATCTGTTATTATCCACATAATACATATGAGGAAACCAAAGTTCAGAATTTTTAAGTAACTTGCCTTGCCCAAGGTCACACAGCCAGGAAGTCACACAGCCAGGAAGTTAATATGACCTCAGTCAGGTATACTCACAGGATGCCAGTTCTGACACATCAGGTTGCACACCTTTAGGCCATCAAGAAGTTGATGATTGCACTTCAGGGAATATCTTAGGTTGGTTTTCATGTCTTTTCCACATGTCTTAGTCGGTTTGTGTTGCTATAAAGAAATACCTGAGGCTGGGTAATTTATGAAGAAAATAGATTTATTTGGCTCACAGTTCTGCGAGTGTACAAGAAGCATGGCACCAGCATCTGCTTCTGGTGAGGGCTTCAGGCTGCTTCCATTCATGGTGGAAGGGAGCCAGCATGTGCAGATCACATGATGAGGGAGGAAGCAAGAGAGAAAGGGAAGGTGCCAGGCTGTTTGTAACAACCAGCTTTTGGAGAAACTCTCAAGGGAATTAGCAGAGTGAGAACTCATTACTGGGAGGACAGCGCTAAGCTATTCATGAGGGATCTGCCCCCATAACTCAAGCACCTCCCATCAGGCCAACTTCTAACATTGAGGACCAAATTTTAATATGAGGTTTGGGTGGTCAAATATCCAAACTATGGCACCACAGTTACCTTTGCTTCTTCCAACCATCTTTAGTAAAACACATTTTTATATTCCTACTGATTCATTCACTTATTCAACAAATGTTTATTGAGTGCTTACTATGTGTTGGTCCCATTCAAGGGGCTGGAGATGCACCAGGGAATGTAACAGACAAAATCTCTGTGTTTGGGGCACTCATATGCTTGAGGGTGGCGGGAGACAGATAATAGACAGACGAATTAGCTACTATATTAGAAAATGACAAACGTTACAGAAAAAAATGATCAGAGTAAGGGCGATTGGCAGTGTGTGTTGCAGTTTTAAATAAGGTTGTCAGGAGGTGAGGGAATGAGCCATGTGGCTACCTGGGGGAAGAGCAATCCAGTCAGAGGGAACAGCCAGTGCAAAGCAGATGGCCAAAGCATGCTGGGTATGTCCAAGGAGCAGCAAGGAAATTAGTGTGATCAGAACAGAGTAAGCAAGCAGAGGGTGGTGAGAGAGATTATCACAGAGGTAGCAGGGGCTAAACAGGTAGGGCTGTTGCAAAAAAACTTTTGCTATTCCTCTGAGTGATATGCAGAATCACTGGAGGGTTTCAAGAAGAGGTGTGACTTAACTTGAGTTATATTTCAAAAGGAACACATAATAAAACAACGTTGTTGTATTGAGAATAGGCTATAGAAGGGCAAGGATGGAATCAGGAATACCAGTGGGGAGGCTACTGCAAGAACCCAGGTAAGAGATGATGGGGGGTTGGACCATATGGAGTTGGTGAAAAGTGACCAGATTCCAAATACGGAGATGAAGAGTTTCCAACAAGCATGAGTTTGAGATTTGTCTTCTCCACTTTTCACAGCTGTCCAGGCCATGGGGGCTTGTGTAACTGAGATCCTTTGGCACCAAAGGCAGCTACTAAGACCCTAGGCTCCTTCACTGGGCTGCATATATCAAACATGTTGCACCCAGGAGTTATTGCTGGCAACATCTTTAGTCTCTCTGGCAGTGAGATCAGTGGAAGCTTTTATCTTAATTAAGTTACATGGGGCACCATCATCCATCCATCTTCTCCAATTAACTTGGGGGAGAATATGAGGATGATGGTGGTAGAGAAGACAGCCCCAAGCTGATAAACATGGATCAAAACAGACTGATTGGAGTCTCTGAGGACTCATCAGAAAGGAGGATAGAGGAAAAGAGGATTTGTCAAAGATGTTTTGGTGGAGAAAAGAGTTCAGAAGGCTGTCTTCTGGTGGAGGATTGATTTAGGAATCACTCCAGTGGACTGAGCTGTGCTTCCTAAGCTTGCCTTAATGAGAAAACACCATCTGCGCTCCCCAGACTTGTGGTCAGAATGCCAGGACCCTGGAATCTACTGATGTCTGCAGCTGGGGTGGCTTGCATGGGCTGCCACAGCTGGAGGTGATGTGATGGCGTATCATTCTGGATATACATTAAACTCATCAGTAGAGAGCTAGAAGGATGAAGGAAGAAAGGGGAGAAGGAAGGAGGGAGGAAAGGAGGGATGGAAAAAAGGTGGGAGGGAGGAAAGGCAGGAAAGAGGGAAGGAGGGATGGGGTAGGGAGGGAAGGAAAGAAGGAAGGAGAAAGTGAGGGAGAAAGGAGGGAAGGAAGGAAAGAAGAAGGGAGACAGGGGTTGGGCGCAGTGGCTCATGTTTGTAATCTCAGCACTTTGGGGGGCCGAGGTGGGTGGATCACTTTAGCTCAGGAGCTCGAGACCAGCCTGGCCAACATGGCAAAACCCTGTCTCTGCTAAAAATACAAAAATTAGCCAGGTGTGATGGTGCACACCTGTAATCCCAGCAACTCGGGAGGCTGAGGCGGGAAGATCGCTTGAACCCAGGATGTTGAGGCTGTAGTGAGCCGAGACTGTATGTCTCAAGAAACAAAACAAAAAAAGAAGAAAGGAAGGAGGGAAGGAAGGAAGAAATTCAGAGTCCTATATGAGATTGCAATCTGTTGGGCAGCCAGGGATAAAACTCCCTGGAAGAAGGGCAGTGGGTTTCTGTCCAAGGTGCTGACTTTTTGGCGCTCTCTCTCTCTCTCTCTCTCTCTCTCTCTCTCTCTCTCTCTCTCTCTCTCTCTCTCTCTGTCTCTCTCTCTCTCTGTCTCTCTCTCTCTCTCTCTCTCTGTCTCTCTCTCTCTCTCTGTCCAAGGTGCTGACTTTTTGGCTCTCTCTCTCTCTCTCTGTCTCTCTCTCTCTCTGTCTCTCTCTCTCTCTCTCTCTGTCTCTCTCTCTCTCTCGTCTTCCTTTGATGCCTCTTCTTGCTTCCTACATTATTTTTGTGGGGTGGGGGGTGGGAGCAAGGTCTCAGTCTGTCACCCAGGCTGGAATGCACTGGTACCATGTCGGCTCACTGCAACCTCTGCCTCCCTGGTTCAAGCAATCCTCCCACCTCAGCCTTCTTAGTTGCTGGGACTACAGGCATGCACCACCACACCCTGCTAATTTTTGTGTTGTTTGTAGACACATGGTTTTGTCATGTTGCCTAGGCTGGTCTCGAACTCCTGACCTCAACTGATCTGCCCCCTTGGGCTCCCAAAGGGATTACAGGCATTAGCCACCATGCCTGGCTCTACATTCAAATTTTGATAGATATTTATTGAGCACCTATCACCCCTCAACACACTCAAGGTCCTGTGATACACCCTGGCAATTCAAGGAGTGAAGCTGACAAAAATTCCTGCCTTCTTAAAGCTTATGTTCTAGTGGGTGGAGATATTTAAGAATTGGGGGGCAGGGGATGGGCAGGGAAGGTACATTGTCTATTAGAGGTGAAAAGTTCTTTGGAGAAAAAATAGAGCAGAAAAGAGGAACAAGGAGGGCAAATTTTGATGCATCTGTAAATGGGATTGTCAGCTTAGGCATCACTGAGATGGTGGCTTCTGAACAAACATTTGAGAGGACATGAGCTATTCGGGTTTGCCTGTATTTTCACACCAACCAGTGGTATCGTTCACACTTCCCACCAAATCCCTATTCTTTCCCACACCAGTGCTTTTGCTTATGATATATCCTCTTCCTGGTTGCTCTTCTCCCCAGTTGCGATCACTACTGTGTTCAAAGCTGACCCCTTCTTTTAAAAAAAACCTTGTATATTAACAAATATCACCTCCCTTAGATTGTCCTTTGACAGGAAGCGATATTAACCCTCACAGCACAATATAGGCATCACTCCCTAGCTCTTTGTATTTTTGACTGTGTTTCTGCATTGTTCAAGTCCTGAGGTTGTCTCCTCTATTTGGAAATTCCTAAAAGGTAGAAACTCTGCCTCGATGGTTAAGATCGCGGTGTCTGGAGTCAGACAGACCTGCATCCAAATCCCAGTTTCTCTACTTGATAGCTGTGAGGTCTTGGACAAGTCACTTTACTTTGGTGAACTTCGGTTTTCTTATCTGTAATGAAGAGGTCATAATATCACCTGCCTTATGGGGTTGTGGTGATAATTAAACATTAATGAATGCAAGACATTTAGCAAGGTTCCTAGGACATGGTTAGCATTCAGAAAGTTACAGCTGGCATCATAATTACCTTTCCTCTTATCTGCTATGCCTATCCCAGGTCCTGACATACAGTTCTTACCTTATAAAATATGTGAATGAACACATTTCTTGGTAATTCTTTCTCAAAGAGTGGTCTATCAACCATAGGTACAAGAGCCAAGCAAGGGAACTTATTAAAATGCATATCCCTGAGCTCTCTAGCCCATCCCTCCTGAATTTAGAGGGCAGGAGCTCAAGAATCTGAATTTTAAACAGTGTCAGGGTAATTCTTATATGCACTACATTTTTAGAATCACTCAGAGTAAATATAGCGCAGAGATAAAGGACATTGACTCTGTAACTCGACTTTCTGGGCTTTAATTCTGGCTCCACCACAATGAAGCTGTGTAACCTTTGGCAAGGTATTTAACTTAACTCTGCCCCAGCTTTCCCCTCTGAGACATGGGGATGATAATAATAGTAGCCATGATGTAGAGTTTTTTTGATATATATATATGTGTATATATATATATATTATAATCTACAGTAGATATCTGTATTTTATATACAGTAGATATATATATATTTAGTAAGTATACACATATACACATGATAGCTGATAGCTGTTCTAAGTTATACATCTGGCATACACAATTAGTCTTAGTTATTATATTCTGTTTGTAAGCAACCTCTGTGAATAGTCAGTTCACATGAATTTGACCAGGGGGCTTTTGAGATTGCTTCAGAGGTCTCCTTGCTTGACAGCCTTACTCCACTCTGTGTGCACAGCTGTTCTGAAGACATGAACCTTTAGTCAGAGAGAGAATCAACCCAAAATGAGCCTCAAGCACTTGCCCTGCTGCTGCTACTGCTGGTAGGAAAATAGCATCCTCTCTGCTCTTTAAAGAGCTCCTCTGGCAGATGTGCGCACAGCTGTTCCACCTCCTTCCTGCAGGCAGAGAGCAGGCAGATGCTGACAAGAGTTTGAGAAACATTGCCATCACCAACTCACACAAGTATTGCCTGCAATGGCTTCCCTCCCCTTCTCTTTCTGTGTTTCTTCTCAAGGAGGTCATGGGGTGAGAGACATCTCTTAGTTTGAACTACCTCTAGAGGGAGAACTTGAGGTGGGAAATCAAGAGGGGAGAATTTCTAGGAATGAAGAAGGAGGTAAAGAGGAGACAATGTGGAAGGGTGGGGGTGGCTAGGATACACAAGGTATGTCGGTTGAGTCTAATTCTGGTAAGGATGTCTTGCTGTGTGACCTTGGGAAAGTCACATTACCTCTCAGATTCTTATTTCAAGATGACAAGCACAGGGTAGTAGAGTGAGCAAAAGATTTGGAGCACAATCTAGGTAGGTTGGAATCCTGGCTTTACCTATACCAGCTGTGTGACCTTGGACAAGGTCTCTTCGCTTCTTTGTACCCTTCATTTTCTCTAGAGAAAGACGGGGTGTGGAAATATTTGTCCTATGTGCTCAACAGGTTTACTGCAAGGATGAAGTGACCCAATGGATGTTCAAACACATCCAAAAGTATGAAATGCTACAGATGAGTGAGGTTTCATCCATTCCGTCTATGGAAACTTGACTCTCATCCCCCCTGAGCCTCTGGCAATATTGTGTGGGAGCAAAGAATTGAAGACAAGCTGCCAGGAGAGGGGTTGCCTTGTTATGGGTGCTGCTTGCAGAATAATTAGGTTTCAACATGCAGCTCACTCCATTTGCAAACATAGCTCCAGGCATTGGCAGAGGAGAAGGACATGGCTTTCATCCATCACAACAATGCTTTCTTTTAGGAGGAGGTTTGGTGCAATGGTTGAGCACAGGAGGCATAAGATGGACTTATTTCAAATCCCAAGTCTATCACTTATATCTTTGTGACTTTGGGAAAATCACTTCACCTCTCTGAGCCTCAGCTTCCTTTTCATTAAAATGGGATAATTATAACTACCTCACATCATTATTGAGGATTAAAAGGGATAAAGTGTATATAAAGTATTTTGCCCAATGTGTTGTACTTAATAGATTTTCAATGAACAAATGCTAGTTTTTATTCATTTATTTATTTTTTGAGTTTGAGGGAAGGACAGCCTTCTTAGGGTTGACTAGTGATCTTGCAGCCACTGAAGCAGATATTTCATCAGCTAGAAATCTGAAGTGTGTTCAAAAGAGCCCCAGACTTGGGATCACCATGGCTGGAAGTTGAGACCCGTTGGTGCTATGTGATTTTTAGATGTGTCCCTTCCCTTCTCTAATTTTTAATTTTTAATTTTCATAGCTGTAAAATGGGAGTAAACAGCCTTAATCTGTCTCAGAGGATTGTTATGAGGCTCAGATGTACAAATTCATGAGAAAATGCCTTGTAAATTTGAAAGTGCCATATAACCGAAAAGAGGGTGCTATTGTGTGTGACAGCTACATACCATCTTGCCACCATAGACTTTCTATTCTTTACCATTCTAAAGCTTACCGTGAGCCAGGCAGACTAGGCCAGATGGAATTTGGCCTCTGAAATCCTGAAGCCTGAAATTCCTCTGTTTCTGGAGCCTGGATCTCCGGAAGTGGAGGACTGCCCTAGCCACAAAGCTCCACCCTCCTCTGATGACATCACACAGAGTAGAACCAATCACTGCAATTTTCTTAAAGTTCCTCCCACTGGCAAATTTATTAATACCCAAATAGCTGAGCCAAGACAGTCCAACTCCTTGAGGACATATTACAAACTGCCACCCACTCTCTGTCCCACCTCCTCATACTCAGGGCCCTATGAGGAAACAGAAAAATGGGAGTTTAGAGAAAATTTAATGAAGGTACTACTCACAGAGGAGCAGGCAAGGTTGGGAGAACCAATGAGAGATGTTGAGGCACCAAGAGACTAGCAATAGTTGGGAAATGTTACCACCCCTAGGCTTAAATATGCAGAGAGGAGTGGGCCTACCAGAACTTGGTGATAGGTAGAACCAGGGAGGGAACCAGCAGGAGCTGTAGTCGAGAAGGACTTAGCCACAGCTGTCTGGGAGCAGTGGCTCATGCCTGTAATCCCAGCACTTTGGGAGCTGAGACAGGCGGATCACTTGAGGTCAGGAGTTTGAGACCAGCCTGGCCAACACGGTGAAACCCCGTCTCTACTAAAAATACAAAAATTAGGTGGGCATGGTGATCCACACCTGTAGCCCCAGCTACTTGGGAGGCTGAGGCAGGAGAATCTCGAACTTGGGAGGAAGAGGTTGCAGTGAGCCAAGATCACACCACTGCACTCCAGCCTGGGTGACAGAGCAAGACTCTGTTAAAAAAAAAAAAAAAAAAAAGAAGGACTTCACCACAGGTGGAGTTGCAGCACTGAGGCTGGGGGAGTGGTGGTAGGGTTGGAGGGAGAAATACTTAGAACTTCCTTCTAGCTTTTTAATCTTTTCTGGTGACATCCTGTTGGTCAAATCCACAGAGAAGCCACAGGAAAAGTGAGCCTGTTGATACCATCCATACAGGCCAGCATGCTAGGACCTGGGGCAGTGCAGAGCATGGCAGAGAGTGGATCTGGTTGGGGGAGTGTCACAAACAGAGAATAACCAGTCCAATCCCAAATGCTCCTCTTTACTTGCTCTGTTGGGCCCCCAGACCCTGCGTGAAAAGTATGTTCTCCACTTTTCTGGAGCCGTTTTCAGAGCAGCATTGTCTCCCTCAGGGACTCTTAAGAGAGCTGACACAAGAAAATTAAAGTTTTGAGAGAGGCCAGGATGTTAAAAGCAAAATGCAGGGAGAGTTGGAGTCTGAATGCTTCAGTCATAGGCTGGGCAGTGAGCTCCAGGAAGGCAAGGAGGTCAATAAACACAGTGCCCCACTCTTTCCAGGACTGCTCTTGCTTTCTTCTTTCCTTGCTGCTTGAGGGGCATTTAATATTCTTGGCTACAGCATAGTGATTAAGAGCACGGCTTTGGAGTCAGACAGACCTGGCTCTTCCACGCCTGACTGTGTAAACTTGGACATGTTTGTTAACCTCTCTGAACATTGGGTCTCTCATCCATAAAATAGGAATAAAGCTACTTCTATTCATAGAGTTGTTGCCAGGGTTGAAGGAGATGCTTAAAACAAAGGATTTGGCCACCTAGTAGACTGTCGGGAAGTGATAGTTGAACTATTACACAGTTACTAGTGCATGACCTTCCCTGGTGGACTTACATGGCTGGGGTGCAGCCCCCTCTCAGCCCCCATCTCAGCTTCCTTGCCTCTATCAGATGCATGCTGCTGGCCCTGTGCCCCCAAGAAAGGCTGCTTGTCTGGCTCAGTCTGCAGAGCTCTGGGCAGGGAGGCTGGGAGAATGCAAATGTGCTCTTATCTGAGCAGCTGCAGCTGCTCCCTTCCTAGAGTCCATTCCCAGGAACAAGGGCAGGCTCTGAGCCCCCCAGGATGCCTCAGGCTTCTTCTGGCCCTGCTGAATCTATAATACCAACAATAATATCCAGTAATACCTCAGGCTTTTCCATTTGCAAAGTGCTTTGATTTTCATCCTCCTATTGTACCCTCCCACTGGTCTTGAATTTTTATCACCTACCATATTCTACAGAAGAGGAAAACCAAGGTCAGAATGGTCAAGAGACTTGCCCAGGGTCACATGGCTAATTGTTGATGGAATGAGGATTAGAATCCATGCAGTCTAACACCAGAATTAAAGTTCATTGTATTAGAGAGGGGGCTTCTGGCTGCAAGTAATAGAAAACCATGATTCAATATATTTAAGAAAGACTTTCATAAAGTTCATAACAGGTAGTCTGGAGGTCATTTGGTTCTGTGGTTAGTCAACATTTCAATGATGTCATCTGACTTGGATTCCTTCCATCTCTGAGTTCATGGGAATTACCCTCAGGTCAGCTCCTCTCAAGGTTACAAAGTGGCTGCTGTGGTTCCAGGTGTCATATGCAGATACAACATCCAGGGAAGATGAGAAGCCTGCTCTTAATTATGTTGCTTTAAGTGCAAGGAAACACTTCCCAGAAGTCACTGGTCAGAAGCTAGGTCCCATGTCTTTTTCCCAGACCAGTCTCTGGCAAAGGAGTGGAACTTCCTTAGACTATTAGACTTTACATCTGAGACGAGAGAGAGGGGGAAATGAGCCTGATGGGCAATGAATTGTCCTCTGCCTCCATGTTTATAACTACTATACTGTTAATTCTGGGCCTGTGACTCATCCTCTATTTGTGTCTATTATTAGTTGCAAAGTAGACTTCATGATATATAAGATAAATCTGGAGTCAGAATGCTGGAACTGTGGTCTTAGATGTCATTGCTTGGAGTTTAACTGGGACAAGAAACTTTCCTTCTCTAGAGGGTGTGAAATGTAGTGGGTATGCACTCTACCTCTGGAGTCAGAAAGTGCTGTTTCCCAATTCCAGCTGTGTGGCCATGAGCAAGTCTTCTCAACGTTCATTCTTCTTCAGTAAAGGGGGCCTAATAATGGCCCATGTCTCTAGACTAGTGAGGATTATAAAGAAAACAATGCAGAAGCACCTAGCATAGTGCCTAGTGCTTAGTGGGTACGTAATAAAGACTGGCCAGTATTACTCTAGGCGATAAGTTTCCTTATTTTGAGAATTAGGGACTTCGTAAAATATCCCTTTGAGTCCACATGGTCTATGAATCCTGTTTGGTCTCAGGGATCCTGGCTTTGCATTCAGCCCTGTGGTCAGCTCACTGCTCCTCTGGAAGAGACGGAACTGTTGATATCCCTTTGTCTCCAGGGAGAACCTTCCCAGGCAGCCATGATGTTCAGCTCCATCTCTCTGTTAAGCTATCCCACAGTCAATGTGCCATGCAAAAAGTCCACCTGACATTTCCTTCCAGGTGGTCAGTGCTATCCAGTGTGGAGGGACCTAGAGACCATAGCCTTCCTCAGAGATCACCAGGTGTCTGGTGGCATTTTCTTTCCCCTAAAGGGGTGGGGACAGCAAGTGACACCCACGCATCCACTGAGCCTCCCTGGTAAGTGGCTCATACAGCTGTTGTCCTGGAGCTGTTACAACAGTGGCAGACTGGGAAGAGTCTGTCATCAGGAGAAGCTTCCAGCATCATGGATCTAGGCTGGAAGTGCCCATGGCATGTCAGCTCAGATGTGATGGACCATGCAGTCAGGAGGCAGAGGTCCAGGCCATAGCCCAACTCTGCCCTTTGGCCTGGGTGATCCTAGGTAAAGCACTTTGTCTCAGAGAACCTCAGTTTCCTCACCTGGAACAGTAGTCAAAAATGTAGATTTTAGATACTGTCTGGGTTTAAATCCCAGCCTCATCACTGGTGCGTGACAATTGGCCTTAGAGTTAACCAATCTGGGCCACATTGTTAAAACACGGGTCCAAATCCAGGATAGTCTCCCCATCTCCCAGTCCTTAATCACATCTACAAAGTCCTTTTGCCAGACAAGGTGACATGTTCAGAGATTCTGGGGATTGGGATGTGGACATCTTTGAGGGGTCATTATTCTGTCTATCACAATTCTATATGATCCCATTTATATAAAGTTCAAGACAGGCTAAATCAATCTAATCAGGAGAGTTATTAGGCCTTGGGGGGAATGTGTGGGGACCCCTGATGTGAGTACTGGTTATACAGGTATATTTGCCTTGCAAAAAGTCACCAACCTGTAAATTTATGACGTGCACTTTTCTGAGTAACATGTTATAGTTCAATAAAATAATTAAACAGAATAAAGCTGGGACCCAAATGGTACCTACTTGGTCAGGAGGTGATGGGGGTTAAATGTGGTGTGACATGGTAAACACTTATTATTATAATAAGGAAAAGAGGGTTATATCGACTGTATAGCTTGTTCCTTCAGCAAACACTTTTCTGGTGAAAAATATTCCACAAAAAATTAAATAGAATTCATCTTCATCATTTACATGCATTTCATCATCAGAAAATTTTTTGAGAAAAAAATTCTCTTTTCATTAAACTTGTTTTATTTTATGTGAATGTGTTTATTTGGGAACAGAACGAAGCTGATGAGAAACAGCTGAATGAACATGTGGTTTTTAAAATGTTACATAACGAAAGAGAAGGAAACAGGAACAAAAATTAAATAGGATAATGCATGTGACAGAGAAGCCTAGGTCCCCCAGATACTTAACAACAAAAACATCTATAAATGTTGACACTCATGTAGGGAGGAATTAGGGCCACTTATCAAGTACTTGCTATGTGACAAACATAATGACATATTTCATTTTTAAAATCTTCAACATAACCCTACAAGGGAAGTATTTTATTATGCTGCTTTTATGAGGAAGTACTGGAGGTTTGAAGAAGTGAAATGACTTACCCAAAGTGTTTCAGCTAAAACCTCGTAGTGCTGGTATTTGAACCTAGGTCTGGGTGACCCCACAACCCCTTATCTGCCCTGCTGGTCTGGTCTCCAGTATTCCAACTCTGTGTATGCTACACCAGGCCTCCAACCTGGCTTCCGTTGCAAAGTAGAAACATGGTCATTGGAGTGAAAGGTGATCAAGACCCTAAATTCCTCCCTCCCCAGCCCAGGCAGAGGTAACGGCTGCTGCTCTGATTTATCAAAGCTCAGGGCATTCCTGCTTGTCCAGCTTGCGAATTCTCAGGGTCTTTCGAGAGCCTTTTGTGAGGATCATCCATATTCCTATCTGGATTCAGCTGGCTGCTCTCCATCCACGAAAAATTTGATATTTGGCTTCCTGTTTGTGCTTGAAAAACAGGGCTGACTCTGGAGCTATATTTTATTTAAGCCAATAAATAAAATTTTAGAGGAGTGAGTTTTGGAGGGGTGGAGGTAGGGTGCTGGAAAAGCCTGCAGGGAAGAAACCTCTTCTGCTTCTACAGCTTTTGGAAAGGAGACAAGAGAGTATGTCCTGTGGTAATCAAGGAAGAAAACAATGAGTATGTATTGAGTCTTTCCCAAGTGCCAGCTACTGTTATCTGGAGTGTGGTTTGAGCATCAGGATTTTTTAAAGCAATGAGGAGAAGCCAAGAAGCATACAGAGCCAGCTAAAGGTGCTCAGAGGAAGAAAACCTGAGGATCGAGGGTTGTTGGGGCAGAAGGTAAAAACAGTCTGTGAACAGGCAGTCTCTCTGACCCCTCAAAAAAAAAATCCACCCGCCTCGGCCTCCCAAAGTGCTGTGATTATAGGCGTGAGCCACCATGCCCGCCCTCAGGCCAAGTAATTTTTATGGAATAAAGTAGGCTTATCGGATTGCTCAAGCTTCGTTACACAGATGGGCAGAAGAACTGAAGTGGAACCGAAAAGGTTGCACCTGTCCCCATGTGTTCCTTTGTGCGTGGGAGTATGTAGGCATGAGTGAAGGCAGGTAGCATGAACACATGAGTGGCATGTGGATGAACGTGTGAGTGGTTGTAGGGACATTGCATGTGTGACTTTATGTGGGAATATCTTAGGTATATGTTTACGTATGTTTGTGTGTGTTGATCCATGTGTATACAGACCATGAAAGTATATCTCCAAGGGCTGGGCGCCGTGGCTCACGTCTGTAATCCCAGCACTTTGGGTGGCCAAGGCAGGCAGATTACGGGGTCAGGAGATCGAGACCATCTTGGCCAACATGGTGGAACCCTGTCTCTACTAAAACACAAAAAATTAGCGGGGCATGGTGGTGCATGCCTGTAGTCCCAGCTACTTGGGAGGCTGAGGCAGGAGAATTGCTTGAACCCAGGAGGCGGAGGTTTCAGTGAGCTGAGATTGCACCACTGCACTCCAGCCTGGCAATAGAGCAAGACTCCATCTCAAAAAAAAAAAAGTAGCGTATCTCTATGTGTCTGTTGAGGATATCTATGGGTGAATTTATGAGATGAAACTTGTGCACCTATAGGTACATGGAAACAAAAACATAGGCACGTGAGAAAGTGTCTGAAGTGTTTGTATTTGTACATATGAATTAGCCACTGCCACAATCATGCAGTGTAACAAGCCACCCCAATAATGTCTTACAACAACTAGCACCAATCCTGGGGTTGGAAAACTTCTTCCAAGCCTGGGCAACTTTTTCCATAAAGGGTCAGATGACATAATTTTAGGTTTTGTTGACCACGCGGTGTCTATTGCAACTATTCAACTCTACCCTTGTAAAGTGGAAGCAGCCGTAGACAATATATAAATGATGGGCATGGCTGTGCTCTATTAAACCGTTATTTACAAAAATAGGAATAGTTTGGATTTGGCCCATAGGCTATAGTTTTCTGATCCCTGGTCTAGTCTCACCACTCCGGGTTTGTATTTTGTGGTTAATCTAGATTGGGCTCATCTGGGTGGCTCTACCTTGGGCTGTGAGTCCAGCTGGGCTGCTGTACACACTGCACATGAAGTTTAGATCTGCTCTGTGTCCATCCTGGGGTCCCGGCTGAAGAGGCATGCTCTATTCCTGGCAGACTATTGGAGACCAAGAGAACAACCCAAAGCTTACAAACATATTTAAACCCTCCTTAGATAACCATTTGCTAATGTTTCGTTGGCCAAAGCAACTTATGTGATCAAGTCCACCATCAGTAGGTGGGGAAGTAAAGTAGGGCCATAGTGAGAGGCAATTTTGAATCTTGTGATGATGGGCATGGACATATGATTTTAATGCAAAGAGGGTGTGAATAATATCTTTCTTTTTTTCTTTCTTTTTTTTTTTTTAAGATGGAGTTTCACTCTTGTTGCCCAGGCTAGAGTGCGATGGTGCAAGCTCGGCTAACTGCAACTTCCACCTCACGGGTTCAAGTGATTCTCCTGCCTCAGCCTCCCAAGTAGCTGGGATTACAGGTGCCTGCCACCACGCCCAGCTAATTTTGTATTTTTAGTAGAGACAGAGTTTCACCATGTTGGTCAGGCTGGTCTTGAACTCCTGACCTCAGTTGATCCACCTGCCTCGGCCTCCCAAAGTGCTGGGATTACAGCTGTGAGCCACTGTGGCCAGCCAGGAATTTCAAACAATGATTCAAAATACTGCAACATGTATAAAGGCATGTGTGAGACTGTGTGTGGTGGGTTGTATGTTAGAGAATGTTTTGTATGTGTGCGGTTTTTAGGGGATGCATTTGTGGCCACATGTATAAGAGCATATCTGAGGAGGATATTTAGAAGATGTCATGTACCTGGGAGGCTATGTATGTGTGTGCCTCTGGGTGTATATGCATGACTATGAAGATGTCTCTGAATACGTCTGTGTGATATACATGCTGGCATGTGTGTGTGTGTGTGTGTTGGGGTGCATGTGGGTATATACGCATGGCTATAAAGATGTCCTTGGATGTATATATGTGCAGGGTAATGAGTATGCATGTGGGGTATATTTGTTGGGGGGCGTGTGTCAGGGGTGCATATGGGAGCATCGGTACACTTCTCAGGAGTGTGTGTGCATATATTGGTTGGGGGGAGAATGAGGGCAGAGAGTAGGGGTGAGAGACAAGAGATGGCACACACTCCCCTTCCCCTGGCGCAGCCTCAAAAATCACTCCAATCTCACAACGTGAGTTCTTTGTAGCTAAGATTAATTTTCTTATTTAGCATTTATGTGGCACTTTGGATCTGCAAAGTGCTTTACAATCAGTTTTATTAGCTGTGCTTGTGTGTTATATATAGCAGCAACCTCAGCTGCACCCAGACACTGTCTCCAGAGATGTGAACCAAACCAGGCAAACTTTATCCTCTTCCTCAAGCTTAGCCCATTTCCCGAGATAGTGTCAGCTTTTTTTTGTGGGGACAAGTATTAAAGTGGATTGGTGATGGTGGTGATGCTTGGAAGTGCTAATGTGAACCTGCCTTCTAAGTCTTTCCCTTATCCAGTGAGAAATCAGTGATTGTAATCACTGGATTACCTGCTTGCTCAGATCAGGGTTGTTGAATGAGGGGCTATTTGCAAGGCTAGTTTAAAACAACTCCCATTCTTGTGTTAATGCACCTGTTTCTTGTATTTGTCCTGATTTAAACTCTTGCAATGTGGCTACTGACCTGCCTTAGTGTGAGTTTCCCCCAAAGCAGACTATGCAACAAAGACTTAGGCACAAAGAATTCATTAGGGAGGTGATTCTAGGAAGCATAAGCCAATCAAAGGTGTGGTGTTGAGCAGTTGCTGCTGTGGGCAACTGGAGCTTAATTCTGCTGAGAAACCATGCTTAAGAAGCATTTCCTTAGAGAACTGAGAAACTGGGGTACTTATCTACCCATTCCCACACCAGACTGGTTAGGGGTTGTCCCCCAGGATGTTAACTCCCCTACACATCTGAGTTGAGACTACTTGAGGCCAAGCAAGCTTCTCTGGAGTTGGAGAAAGTCCTCAGGTGAAGAGGATAACTGGACACGGTTGTTCAAGGTAAGAAGTTTCTGCATGGGGGAATAATCTGCTGCAGCTGCTGGTAAATTCACATGGCCCAAAGGCAGGGGTAGGGATCAACAGTGTCTGCTCTGCCCTCCTGCACCCTAGTGAAATCTTTTCTCAAGGTTGTAAATTCCATGAGCAGGTCCTTGCCTCAATGTCTTCACCCTTTGCAGCAATTGACTGTCCTGGGACTCTGTGCCATCCTGGTTTCTCTGTCTCTCTCTCCAACTGCTCCTTCTCTATTTCTTTTTTTTCTTTTCCCCAAATGTGGATATTTCCCAAATATCTCTTTGTTTTTTCCTTGCCCATACTCATGCTCACCAACATCCTATATGATGTGCCAAATTGAAAGCTGTAATCATCGCCCCTCTCTCCAGTGCCTAGTCCTGTGTTGTTAGCACTGCCTCATTGAAATATTCATCAGATAATCACTTGAGCAACTCAAGCTCAGCATTTCCAAATCCAACTCACCATCCTTGACCTCCTGCTCAAATCAGCTGCAACCTTGCTTCTCAAGTGTGTTTCAGGGCCAGCCTCATCAGCATCACCTGGGAGCTTGTAGACGCAGAATCACAGGCCCACCACAGACCAAGTGAATCAAGATGTGTGTTTTTAACAAGTCCCTGGATGACTCGCGTGCATATTAATGTTTGATAAGCATTGGTCTACACTACCGATTCTCTTGATTTCTATTAATGGCACCAGGGTTTTTCCAGTTGCTCAGTCTTTCAAACTTGGCAATCCCTTGAATCCTAGGAGTAAGTATCCACTAGCTTTCTCTAACTCAGGATTTTTGTGGGACCTGGGTCTCAGACAACAAGTCATAATAATAATGTAACTGGTATTGATATGTTTCAGTTGAATAAGTCCATGTCAATACCATCACACATACAATTTCACTTCTATAAATATTTATAGAGCTCCTTCTCTATGGTTGGTTCCATGCTAAGCTGTGATGGTGTAATGTTGAACAAAACTCAGTCTTTAGCCTCAAGGAGTTCACAGTTCAGAGGAAGCAGATACAAATAGACACAGAGAGAAAAAGTAAAGAATGCCATGGAAACCAGAGGAACCCTAACATAGCCCTGCAGGGTCAGAGGAGAGTCTGAAAGGAACCAGAAGGATGGGCAGACCTAACTAGTGAAGGTGAGAAAAAGAAAGGGCTTTGGGCAGAGGAATGGTTTGTGCACACACTGGGCTGGGATTGGGGCAGGGTACATTGGAGGACTCTGCCCTGTTTGTGATGTAGGGGGACATCACCTTACCTCTCCTGCCTCATTTGTCTCAACTTTTAACATGCAAACAGTAGGGTCATTGTGAAAATTCAGTAAAAATCAGGACATTTCAGAACTGCAACTACTTGGTCCTCATAAATATTGATTGAATATAAATTGTCAGCAACCACAGCTCGTACCTTAATTATGGAAATAATAATCATGGTAGTGGATTGAATGGTGGCTTCCCCCCTCCCCCAAAAGATGTCCCCATGTCAAATCATCTGAACCAGTGAATGTAATTTTATTTGGAAAAGGGGTCTTTGCAGGTGTAAAGATTTCAAGATGAGACCATCCGGAATTATCTGAGTAGGCACTATATTCAATGTCAAGTGTCCTGATAAGAAAAGGAGAGGACACAGGACAGGAGACAGGCCATGTGAAGATGGAGGCAGAGATTGGAGTGATTCAGCCAAAAGCCAACAAATGCCTGGAGCCACCAGAAGCTGAAAGGGGCCAGAAAGGATCCTCCCCTAGAGCCTTTGGAGGGAGCGTGGTCCTGTTGACATGTTGATTTTGGATTTCTCCAGAACTGTGAGAGAGTACATTGGAGTGGTTTGAACCATGAAATTTGTGGTAATTTGTACAGCAGTGGCAAGAAACTGATACACATGGTTATTGATTTTTTCAAATTCTCTACCTGTCAGGTGTGGATTCCTCCTCAATGATGTTTTGAAGTAATGCTATTATGCCCATTTTATGGATAAGGACTACTAAGGCTCATGGAGGAGAAGCAACTCTTTCTTGCTCATTCGTTCACTGAATATTGACTGGCCTCTTAGCTGACCAGACACTGGGGGACAGAGTCATGGGTAAAGGTTTGCAGAGGTCTCAGGGCTTGTAAGTTTAGAGGAGGGAGAATGAATAACCATTACTGGGTTATATGAATAACCCATACTGGGTTGAATAGTGCTTCCTCTCCCCAAACTTATTTCTACCTTGGACCTTGGAATGTGACCTTTTCTGTGAAATGGGAGAGTTCCCTGATTCCCCTGGCAGGATGTGCAACAGAGGTGCGTCTTGCCTATTCAGTCACCCCGCAGCTCAAACACCTAGGGGGAGCATGCAGATGGGCAGGTGGAGAGGCTGGGCAAGTGCTTTGGGCTCTTGGCCCCACAGTAGTGTCTACGGGTGGGTGCTTGCAACCCCAGTGTTACAAAGCTCTTTCAGCTTTGCCATCTGCAGATGGCTTGAGTGTTAATCAGCTCAATGGACCCTCGGCCTTATCAGAAGGGCAGAGGGCCAATGTGACAGCTTTCTGTATCCTGAGCTCTTGCCCAGTGTCTCAGAAGAATCACATCACACAAGGGTTTGAAGGATGAATGCAAGGTTTTATTGAGTGGTAGAGATGGCTCTTAGTGAGATGGATGGGGAGCGTGAAGGGGGATGGAGTGGGAAGGTGATCTTCCCCTGGAGTCGGGCTGCCCAGCCGCTGGACTCTTCTCTGACTGGCCCCAGCCAGACTCCTCTTGGCGTCCAGACATCTCTCCTCTTCTCTCTTTCTCTGCCACTTTGTTCCACCATCCATCTGCTTGCCTCCTTGTCTCCTCGCCTGCTGGTCTGTATTCTGGAGCTTGGGGTTCTGGGCTTATATGGGGGCAAGATAGGGGGCGTGGTGGGCCAAAAGGCAACTTTGGGGGCTTGAAAACAGGAATTCCCATTCTCATTTAGGGCCTCAGGTATCCAGGCTTGAGGGTGGGGCCTTTGCTGGAGAACCACCCTCTTCTACCCAGTGTCACCCTGTCTCCTGTCTGTATCATTTGGAAATAACATTACAGATATAATCAAGTTAAGACAGGTCATTCTGGGTTAGGGTGAACTCAAATCCAATGACCGGTATCCTTATAAAATGAGGGAAATTAGGACAGAGAGACACGGAGAGAAACTCACGTGACCATGGGCAGAGATGAGAGTGATGTGTCCACAGGCCAAGGAATGCCAAGGATGCTGGCAGCCACCAGAAGCTGGAGGAGGCAAGGAAAGATCCTCCCCTGGAGTCTTCAGAGGGAGCGTGGCCTTACACACATCCTGACTGCCAATTTCTAGCCTCTAGAGCTGGGAGACAATGCATACGTGTTGTTTTAAGCCATCCAGTTTGTGGTCATCTGTTACAGGAGCCGCTGGAAACTTATACGGCATTTAAGAAATATATATGATTGTAGACGTGGAAAGCACAGCTTAGGGGGCTGTGGGAACCTGGGAAAGGGAATGGAGGGGTGGGCAGGGAAGCTTCTTCCAGGAAGGCACGCTGGAGCTGAGACTGAGGGTCGGGTAGCAGTTAAGTGTGCAAAGAGGGATGGGAAATCTGAGCCAGAGGGAAGAACAGGTGTGAAGCCTCTGGTTTGAGAAGGACCTCGGTGCAGGAGGAGTGGAAGGTCAGCGCGCAGAGGGGAGTAAGGCAGGCAGCGGTGGGGCCACAGCCTGTGCGCCAATCATGACACATTCCCGTGCCCTGCGCTTCTGGTCCCTGGCTTCTCTTCTGGGGGCTGCTGGGTCAGTATGTCTGTGCGTTCTTCACTGGCTAGGTCTGCTCACCCTTTGGGTTCCTTCCAGACTCTCCTCTGACCCCCCCACACTGCCTACCACGCGGGGCGTTTGAACACGAATTTGGAGGTCCTTGTTTGTCCTTGAACGCGGCAGGGAGTGGAGGAAGGCGCCGGGAGGAGGCACAAAATCGCTTTGTGCGACAGCGCCCGACAGCTTCTCCGCCCGGAGCCGGCTCCGCCGTGAATGGGCCGCGGACAAAGGCGTCCCCTCCCAAGTACCTGTAATTGGAGCGTCCATGTGCGCGGGCGCTGCTGAAATGCAATGGACAAAAGGGAGAGGAATGGCCGCATCTTCCGGCTGCCCGTTGCTATGGTTTCCGCGGAGCTGGTGAAGGGGAGGGCTGTTACCAGGCAACGGGAGAGGGACCAAGACAAAGGGAGCTCAGGAGAGGGAAAGGTCTGGGGCAGGTGTGAGTACGTGTGCCGTGAGGTGGGGCGGAGACAGAGGAGGATGTGAGAGAGACACCGAGGACAGAGGGAGACAGAGGGGAGAGATAAGAGAGAGACAAAGAGCAGGGAGAGGCAGAGAGAGAGAGAGAGGGAGAGAGAGAAAGAGAGAGAGAGGAGAGAGAGAGAGCGAGAGCAAGAGGGCCACATTAAAAAACAGCTAACAGAGGCTCATAGAGACAGACAGGGACACGGAGACATTCATTCACTTACTGTGTGCCAAGCCTGTGTGCTTCTGGAGACAGGGCTATTAGCAAGAGAGACACCATCCCTGACCTAAGAACTCAGAGACCCAGAGAGAAAGAATGATGCTAGAGATAGAGCCAGAGGTAGATGCTTCCCTGCCTCCCCTGGGGTGACTGGGGCTTTCTCTTCAGGCCATTGTCTCCTGGAAGCTGGTGACTTCCGGGTAGGGTGTGCTCAAAGTCATCGTACCCTTCCTCCTGACTCAGGGCAGTGTCCACAGGCAGCTCCACTCCCAGGAGGCTGTTGTACAAAGTGACTTCTGGTTGAACAATGCTCAATCTCTCCCTAGCAGCTCTTATGGCTTGCCAACTATGATGCTTGAATTTCCCGCCATTATAGTGATCGTGGATAAGTTAACTCACTTAGTAATTATATAGCAACAAAATGCTGTTAAGCGTGTTGCTCAATTGCTCCTGTATGCTAGGTATTGTCAGCATTCTCACTTTACAAGAGTGGAAACTGAGGTTCTGAGAGATGAAATATTTTACCTGGTGTCACACAGTTACTCAGTGCAAAGCCACTAAGGTCTTCTGATCTCTAGCCTGATGTTCTTCCTTCTGCTTATATCCCTGTCTGGGCCATGTCTTATTTGTTTACAAGGAACAGAAGCCTACACAAATTAACTCTAGTGAAATGAGAGCTTTATCAGAAAGACACTAAAGAGATTCCTGAGATCCAAGGGCAGGAATCAGAGCTGGTTTTCACAAGAAACTCCACTGGGTACTACAGAGAGCTCAGAAGTCATGGAGACTATTCTTTCTATCTCTTTCTGAGACCTCCTGGTGGCTCCTCTCTGCTTCTGTCTGCACACTGCTCAGTGCCAAAAATGCCAAAATGACCTTCAAGGAAGTCTTTCTTTTCCAGTT
Source organism: Homo sapiens (assembly GCF_000001405.40). Lineage (NCBI taxonomy): Eukaryota > Metazoa > Chordata > Mammalia > Primates > Hominidae > Homo > Homo sapiens. Next base: position 118,775,826 of record NC_000012.12, read on the forward strand.
TACATTTTCAAGAGACAGCCTGATTGGCTCACTTAGATCAAGTGTACAGTTCTGATCCAATGAATTCTGGCCAAGGGTCAGGCCCCTAGCATACAACATGAGTGGCCAATTGACTTGTGGCCAGTTCTTCAGCAGGGGCTGCCAAAACAGGTGCTGTGGATGGGACAGACATCATGAGTTATCTATGTAAACTCACTCACTTCTATCCTGGGGATACCAAGAGTAACCTTGCCTGCCTTCCAGGGCTGTTGTAAGGAGCTCATACTTATCGAAGGAGTTTGTAAAGTGTTAGGTGCCACAGAAGACCAAGTAACTACATAGGTTAAATGGTAGTATCTGGATGACAAAACCGTATTGTCCTTCTTCATCTTCTTTGCCAAGATCATGGCCCGAGGCCAATGGGGCAGCATGCAAGAAAGTTGTTATTGACAAGGGAGTGAAGAAAGGAAGAGTTCAGAGGATACCTGAGCTAAAGTGTGTACCATGATGAAATGAAAACGACGAGGAGGATGTTATTCCTCCATTCTCTCACTCACCCATTTAGTAAGCCCCGTGAGCCTACAATGTGCAAGAAACTATACAAGATGATAAAGATACAATGGTGAAAAAGACATGGCCTCTGTTCTTCAGGGACTCAAAGGGGGTGAGGCACCAGGCACATAACCTGCCAGATACTATGTATTTTAAGATGTGCTATGAGAGAGATGTAATGGTATCAGAGGAGGTGACTTAACTCAGACAGCAGCACCAAGGAAGGTGTTGTACCAAACACCTGTCAACTCCAACTGAAATGGCACTGTGCCCTGGAGACAGTGAATGAGACCTAGGGTTTACTGGAGGAACTTAAATACAGGGACATTTGATGCTCAAATGATCTCATCTTTGGCTAGTGGAAGACTATTAAAGTTGGTCCTTGAGTTCTCTAGAAATAACCCTAATATATCAACAGCTTTCTCATACTTTGGTATGATAATCTTTTCAGACTTATCTTATACATTTGCTACTCAAAGCCAGAGTCAGCCATTTCTCCAAGGAGCTCAGACCTCTTTGAGTGGGAAAATGGTATTTGAGACCATCATCTGGGTGGTGGGAGTGCTCACTGCTCCTGGGTTTGTTATTGGCTCTAGGTCTTTTAAGAGGACAGTTAGAAAATGCATACTTTTTAGGAGAAAACACATCATGAGTTTATACTGATATTTCTCATTCAAAATCAGGATACAGTGTTTTTCCTTTGATCATATATCTCTTTTCAACTGAAAACCTTGATTTTTAATGACATGAAATTAGGTACTCATTGCTTTATTTTACAATACAAATATATTTTGGAATTGCAATAACAATATTATTACTAAAAATATCATTGAAAAAAGATTATCAGCTAGGATTTATTCAGTTTCTGGCTTTGTGCCAGGCATGATACATATATCATATTGCTTAATCCAAAAACAAACCGGGAGGATGATGAGATTATCATCTCTATTTTACTCCTGAGAAATTTGAGGTTTAAGAGGTCACAAAGTCACAAGTCAGTATGTGATGAAGGCAGCATTTTAATCCCCAACTATCTGACTCCATTACTTTCTACTACTTTGGGTTTTAGTTTTTTTCCTCTTGTCTTTTGGCATTAATGAGGTACCTGCTCTCTAATTGCATGGGCTACATGGTTATTTAATACTCCAAGGATGACTTGACATCGATTATTTGAAAATGCGTAGCTGAGAAAGAGAGAGAGAAAAAGAGGGAGAGAGAAAAGAAAGCAGTTTACTGGCTCAATGTTATTGCAGGGAATAGAATAGTTCTTGAGAAACATGTTGGCTCATACTTTCAAAGTGACAGATTATTGCTTTCAGTTATATTAGCAGATGGATTCTGTTTAAAGGTGTTGAGTATTTCTCCTCTGCTGCCAGATTGTTTTAAGTAGGGGAAGCAAATGGGAGGAGTCCCAAGGGCCTTGGGAAAACATATTATCAGGCACAAGCTTGAACCTACTGGGGAAGTTTTACAGGGGTCACTGGCTCCCCACCTTTGGGTGTTTGCTCAAGCCGTTTTCCCAAAATGAAATATCTTTTCTTTTTTACTCTGCCTGTGCAAATAATATTCAACCTCAGAGAACTAGTTTCTCTTTGAACCTTTCCTTGATCTTCCCAGCCTCTAATACTGTTCCCCTCTCTAAACTGGTTGTACTGGGTTGAATAGTATTCCCCCAAATTCACATCCTCCTGGAAACCTAAGAATGTGACCTTATTTGAAATAGGGTCTTTGGAGATGTAGCTGGTTAACATGAAGTCATACTGGATAAGGGTGGGTCCTAAATTCAATTATTGGTCTCCTAATAAGAAGGTGCAAAGACACACAGAAAGAAGACAGCCATTTGAAGACAGAGGTGGAGACTGGAATGATGTAGCCACAAGCCCAGGAGTGATAGGATTTGTCAGCAGCCACGAGAAGCTAGAAAGGAGCAAGCCAAGATTCTTCCCTAGAGCCTCTGAGGGAACATGGTCCTGCTGATGTCCTGAGTTCAGACTTCTAGGCCCCAGAACTGAGAGATAATAAATTTCTGTTGTTTCAAGGAAGCAGTTTGTGGTAATGTGTTTACAGCAGTCCTCGGAGACTAATACAGCACCTAATTCAGCACTGGAGGAGGAGGACAAGAATGGAAAGTCTGGGGTGAATTTTAAAGGATGATTAGGGTCCTCCTGGACCCTAGTGGCCAATGAGAGGGAATAGGGAAAGGGCTTTCCAGGAAGCAGGGGCTAAGTCCAGGAGCAGAGAAACTGAACATAGTCCACGAGAAGAGAAACAGATCGGGGTAGGCAGGCACCTGCATGCAGGGGCAGCATTTCTAAAATGATGCAGGACAGGTATGAGATGAAGCTGGGAAGGTAGGCAGAGGCCAGATTCCTCAGGGTCCCAAAGTCCACATGAGGAACTTCAAGGCTTCATGCAGACACCAGGGAGCCCTTTGAGGCATGTAAGCCAGAAAGAGACACAGCAGTCATCCTGAACATGTCTGGAGGTTGCAGAGGGTGAGCTCAGTGCAGGACTGATTTCTTCTCCACATTGACATTCAGTTTGGTGCCCACAGAAGACATGAAATTTCCTCCTTGGGTGGGGGCCCTGCCTCTGGGTCACCTCCAAGGCCGGCCTCCCATGGAGGTGGTGTTCATGGAGCTGAGTGTTCCTCCAGCTACTGTCTTGACTGTATCAGACACTGCCTGGAAGACCATCCAGCCGGCAGCCACCGACCTTTATTTAGTCATTTCAGAAGGTTCTGTTTTAAACTTGCTAGCCCGGAAAGCTGAGGAGAGGCCTCCCCTCGCTTCTGCCAGTCCCCAGCCTAGGTCCCAGCTGCTCTCTCTGGAGCACAGGGAGAGCCACGCTGTCTCCAAGGAAACTAAGGGATTCTTTTTTTTTTTTTTTAAACTCCCCACCCTGCTTTAATTGGCAGTTCCATGACCTCCAGGATGCACCTGGCAAGGTCCTAGGATTCCTTCTGGGGGTTTAGCGGAGGGAGACGAAGGGGACGGAGGGCTGGCCCAGACTGCTGGCCCCTGGTTTAGCTTTCTGTCCATCAGGTTTAGCCCTAACTTTGCCCCTTCCCCCAACATTTCTCTCTCTAATTCTTGAGTACCTCTCCCCCCAACCATCCCCTCGTCAGCACACCTGCTTAGATATTGGTCAAAGGGAATGAGAGAACCTGGGATTCTCATGGCAGGTGGAGGATGTCTGTTGAGTAGACCCTATAGCTTCACAGAATACATCCCAGTGGTTAGTGAAGAGGCTCTGGAGTCATTCCCCAGATTGCCACTTTCTAGTTGTGTGACCTTGGCCAAGTAAAACCTCTATGTGCCTCAGTTTTCAACTCTGTCATATGAAGATAAATACCCACTGCCTGGGGCTGTGGAGATAATTATAGAAGAGAATGCTTGTAGAAGGCTTAACCTAGTGTCTTGCATATCTTAAATGAAATAAATATGAATTAGCCTTAATAAGTGTGGCTGCATAAAAAAGGATGAGTTCATGTCCTTTGTAGGGACATGGATGAAGCTGGAAACCATCATTCTGAGCAAACTATCACAAGGACAGAAAACCAAACACTGCATGTTCTCACTCGTAGGTGGGAATTGAACAATGAGAACTCTTGGACACAGGATGTGGAACATCACACACCGGGGCCTGTCGTGGGGTCGGGGGAGGGGGGAGGGATAGCATTAGGAGATATACCTAATGTAAATGACAAGTTAATTGGTGCAGCACACCAACATGTCACATGTATACATATGTAACAAACCTGCGCATTGTGCACACGTACCCTGGAACTTAAAGCATAATAATTAAAAAAACCAAAAATGTGTTTCTTGAAAAGACAGTGTATATAGAAGCACCTTAAAAAACTACAAATTGTCATTTGAATTTGTTTCTATTTTTATTTTCCAAGTTTTACATGATCACAACATATAAAATAAACATTTCTATTATAATTTTAAAAAAAGTAAGTGTGGCTGCTTTTATTTCTGGGAAATATTTGTGGGAACGAAAGGTGGTTGAATGAAACCTGCGCTAAGAGACAGACCTAGGCTTGCATTCCCACTTTGCTGCTTACTTGCTTGGTATTCTGGGCTTAGCTAATTTAACTCTGTGAGCCTCCATCTCTTCATCTTTAAAACGGAAACAATAATCCCTAACTCTCAAAGTTGTTTGGCGGAGATGAGATAATATTTATAAACTGCTTTGCACTTAGCAGGGGCTCTGTAACTGCTTGACTCTACCACTTACTTTGTGCAAATGACATTCCCTCTGCTGACTTAGTTTCCCCATCTGGAAAATGGGGACAATAATAGTACTACCTCATAAGCTTGCTGTGATGATTAAAAAATGTACTTTAAGCAAAGCTCTTAAAATGTGCTGGCATTATTAGATATAATAATTATTGTAGTACTAAAAGTTGATAACCAATATTTATTAGGTATTTAATTTATTAACTACTTACTATATTCCAGGCACTGTGCATTGCAGCCCTATGACTTAGGAGCTCTTATCAGCTCCACTTTACAAAGACTAAGTTGAGGCTTACAGAGTAAGATCTCTTGCACAAGGTCACCCTGCCTATAAGTGGCAGAGTTACTGTCATTATCAATGACTACAGTGGTGTGGATATGTGGGAACAGTGACCAGAACCCTACACAATTGCCATCTTTGTGGTTCCAGGTTCCAAAGGCCCCTAGGGAAAACTGGACTTCGGGTGCAGCCTAGCCGGGGTGATGGATGAACAGTGACAGCTCCTGCCGAAGAGTAAACACAGAGAAATATAGGTCAGTTCCGACAGCCAAGCCCCCATCCGCTTGTTTTACCCCAAAGCCAATCTTGTCAACTTGATCTTCTGCCCTGAACTTCAGCTGTCCTCCGGATGTTCTTGTGTTTCATGAATTATGCAGACTTGACAAAATGTGTGCTGCAAAGATTAAAATCTCTGTTCTTTTTATTGGAAGATCTTTCTTTCCTCCACGGAATTTTTTTTCTTCCTCTTGCTCTCATAGCATACTTTTTAGCCATCCTGCAGAGCACCTTCTCTCTTCTTTCTCTTAACAACTCAATTTGTGATTCCATTGCATGGTGCTAGTCTCACTGCAGATTCTGTCTCATTAATGAAATATACTTTACGGAATCCCAAAAGGTGTCCTCGATGAGCTTCCGGGAATTTCCATGAACAAATTTAGCAGATCAGGACTCCCACAGAAAAGCCCTGAATTGTATGTAGCATGTGCTCATATCCATGGTATAAATACCACCACGGTCAATTTCAAGCTACCATATGAAGTCGCTAAATATGAACTTGAGAAGAGATACCCACAGTCAGCTCTCATGAGCTCGTAGGATCTGGCTTCAGACATGACTGGGTTCAATTCTTAAATGCGATGGAGGCAATTATTATTATTGGTCTGAGTATAGGTCCTGACCATGCCACTTACCAGCTGTGGGAATCTGGGCAATTTACTTAACCTCTTGGAGCCCCAGTTTCACCATCTGTATATCAGTCAGGATAGGCTGGGTGTTGCTATAGAAACAGATAACCCTGAATCTCAGAGTCTTAACATAACAAAACTTTATTTCTCATTCATGTAGTGTGACAAAGGCATACTGGTTTGTTTTGGGGGTGGGGGGGTCTTTGCTCAAAGCTTTTCAGGAAAATAGGCAAATCGAGGCTTCATGTTGATCTGTTTTCACAATCATTTCCATAGCAGGGAAAAGGTGATATGCTGAATTGCATGCTCTGTTTTAAAGCTTTCACCTGAAAATGGCATATATCACTTGTACTTACATTTTATTAGCTGAAATGAGCAAATGGCAATACATAAATTCAAGAGGGTGAAGCAGAGTAATCCTAACATGTGCCTGGAAAGAGAACCAGAATTTCTTGGGAAACAGCCTTGATGATTACCCTAAGCTCTTAGATATCATTTTCTCTAGTGGCTTTTAATTTTTTTCATTAAGCAGCTGTGGCTGAAAGTGAGCAGAAAATATGGGTGGGCATTACACCTCTAGTCAATCCCCATTTTTCCACAGAGGCCCTGGAGACAGCCATTTAGAATGCTAGGATCTCAAAGAACATGATTGAAAACCTACAAATCTTGTTCCAACTCTCATTTTTTAGATAAGAACATTGAGAAGGTTATGGGACCTAGCTCAAGTCACACAGTAGATGAAGGTCAGAAATAGGACCAAGACCTAACTCCCAGTCCAGTGCACCTTCCCCTTAGTGACAGTCCACCACCCCAAATATCATCCTTGTTCATGAGGTTCACTGGTACAGCAGGTGGAGCTGGAAAGGTACACACTAATTATGTAACAATGAAGGGGTTTAAGCCAGAGGAAGGTGCTGGTTATATGTGGGTAGGACATGTACCCAAGAGTCTTTGAAAGGGGAGTCCCCACCAAGCACAAGCTGGAGGCATCAAGAGGAGGGAAGCACTGGGGGGAGTAGAGTGGCTCTGGGGCCACAGCAGGGGGTAAGGAATCATTCAGAGCTGGATTTTGGAGGTGGATGGTGCATCAGTCAGGACTTTATGTTGCAAGTGACATAAAAGTCAATTCACACTTACTTAAACAATCAGGAGAATTTATTGCCTAGGGTAATTGAAAAGTCCAGAGGTGCATCAAGATGCAGGCTGGCTTTATTGTAGCAGCACAATGGATGTCACCAAGAATTCAGGTACTTTGTTTCTTCCCAGGCTCCAGGATCTCCTTTGTGCAGCCATAGGATGGTTGTCAGAGTTCTTCCCACCGTGTTGTCTGAGGGATGAGGGACAGTTCTTTCTAATAGTGCCTGTGGAAAAGAGAGAAAGCTTTTCTTTCCTAAGAACCTCTGCAAACATGTTCCAATAACTCATGGATCTTGAGGCTGGCTACATGTATTTATCCCTAAACCAATCATGTGCCCAGGAGGTGGGCTATACTAATGGCTGAAGCCAGTCTACCCAAATAATATGGCTGAGAAGAGGGGAGTGCTGGCTTCAGAAAGGATATTTAGGCTACTGTTTGGAAAGGAAACATGGATGTTGGGAGACCCCAAACATAAGACTATCCATCACTGCTGAGTGGACAGAGGGGAGAGAAGATGGGGTTTGAGGTGGGAGGAAAGCAGCTTACTCAATAAGAGTGAGTCTGTCCATCAGAACTTCCACTAGGCCTGGTGAGTCCTGGACCCTAGTCTCTATATTATGCCACTGTTTCCCTGTCTGAAATATTGTATGGCCCCTGGCTGCCTTTCAACAGATCTAGATTTTCCATTCGGGGTGCAAGAGCCTTGGAAAAGTAATCTTGGAGTGTGTTAACCATGCCTTTTATTTTCCGTATGTTGATGCTTTGACTTCTGAGGCCTTGCTGACCCTTAGGGACTGCCCTTCCCAGGGTTAGCCAATTATTACAGGTAGTAAACAACTAGGCTACTGAGCATGCTTTTCATCTGCAAACCAACCACCAGAGCCCACACTCCAACCACCTCCTGTATCAGTCTCTCATACTCTGGGATCACTGCTATAATTACCCAAGGCCAGGTACCACACAACCAGGGACAGCCCCTATACCGCAGAGACTGCCGAAATTATTCAAACTAGCCAAAAATAAGCATGCTTACCCTGCTTTGCTTGTTCCTGCCTGTGATACCACAACAAAGTCTTTGGCCCACAGCTTCCCCTCTCTCCCTTGCCTCCTGACCAAGGTTAATGCTTCTCCATGTGCCCCCCACTGCCCAGTGGCACACATCCTCCTCTTGGGAACTGTGAGTAGCAAACTATCTTTTCAATGGCAGTCATCCCTTGATCTATTGGATTCACACACCTCAAATTTTCTATTCACACACTATATTTTTTAAGTGAGGATATGAAGATGGCTGATTTTAACCCCCTACATCTCTTACCTTTGGCTCTTTGTCTCTGGAATCTTCCCTAAATGATACATGGTCTCTGCTCTAGATATACCTTCTCCAACACCTGCAGCAATTGTTTCTGCAGAATGAGGTTGAAGAAAGCAGCAGTTGCCTCCATCTGAGTGGAGGACCAATCTTCACAGACAGGTGAGCCAAATTTCTCTTCCCACTCAGCTCCACTCTCTCTTTCAATATCACCACATTCAGCAGCTAGAATGCATCTCTCCTGAAGCATTTACCTTATTCACCTTCTAATGCATCCTCTCTATAGGCGCCAGTGCTTTGGCAAAACTTCTTAACACTTAGTTGATGTGGCTGCTACATTCTGGAATTTGGGAGCATATTCCTGCAGTTGTTGCCAAGTAAGAGAACAAAGAGGCAGGTTGGAATGAGAAAGGGGATCTGTATTCATCAGGGTCCCAGCAGGAAACAGATGGTACGTTCAAAAAAGACAAGAAAAGTTTATGGATCTATTTACAGGGGCAGGGACAGGGGCAGGCTCAAGGAGACAACCAAGGAATGGTAAAGCACCGAGGGGCTGGCATCAGAGGCGAGCTACTAATACACCAGATCTAAAGGGGCCAGGGAAGGAGTGGTGTTTCTGGAACCCTCCACATGACCTGTGATTGTGCAAGGGAGCTCACCTGACAGGAGCCATGGCCATAGGTAGGCAAACAACCATTGCCAAAACTATAGCCTGGCAGGGAGGGAGCAGAGGGAAGAAATATCTTCCTCCTCCTTCCCCACCTATTCTCTTGCTGCTGCCTCTCATTGCTCTAACCCAACTGAAAGCTAGAGGACAAGGCTGGACTTTCATGTGGTTCATAGTGATCAGCCTCCTAGGGACAGAGCAGGGCAGAGAAGAGCAGATGGTAGTTCTGAAAGGGCAGATAACCAGTGTAAGGTCTGTGTTCTATGTTGGTTACCCAGAGCACAGCTGAAGAAAGCTTTGGCCAGAGAAGTCAAGGAAGCAAGGAAGTATAGGTGGAGACATATATGAAATCCTCTACTTAGCCAACTGCTTCTTTTTCGGCCACTTTAGGATGGTTAACAAAAGAAAACATGGTGGTATATTACAAGGGGAGTCATGACGGGCATCAAGTAAAGAGTATAGGACTTGGAGTCACAGGACATAATTCATACTAAAGTGTCAATGACTGACAATGCCATTGCTCCACTAAGGAGACACACTAAACCTAGATTAGTGAGACATACTATCCAGAAGGAAATGGGCCAGGTTGATGAAGGATGAAGACAGGGTCTACTGAAAGATAGTAAGGATGAGAGACTGAGAGGAAAAAGGATTCAGAGACAATCTCTTTCCATTTTTCAGTTTGTTCAGAATGCATTTCCACTAGAATTTGCCTCATCAATCCAAAGATGTCACACCTTCATTACCCTGCTTTTAGAGCCATTTTAATGTTTCCATATGGGGAACAAGAGTAGAGATGAGAAGTTACCATGGCCAAGCCAGGAGGAGACTGACTTGGATCCCAAGATATATCACCAGAAATTGTATGTTTGGGTTAAACAAAAAGAATTTTTTTGCAGTAAATTGATAGCCCTTATCTCCCTTGTATAAGCTTGTGCTGGTCTTAAAGGGATGAACTGGGAAGAAGTGAGGTATTCTGTCTTTATCACAATTACATATTAGAAGTGCAATTCAGAGAACTTCAACTTCAAGACTCAAATCTAAGAGATGAATGGTGGCCTCCAAGATGGCCCCCTGTAATCCTTAATGCATGGCATTTATGACTTTTTGTAGTTTCCTCCTCATTTGAATGAGGGCTACACCACTGGACCATTAGAACTTGTATGACTTCCAAGGATAGGTCATAAGAAAGACAGCAGCCTCTTTCATAGTCTATGGAATTGCTTGCTTTGAAGGAAGCCAGCCGCTATGCTGTGATGATGCTCAAGCACGCCTGTGGAGAGATCCATACAAAGAGGAACTGAGGCCTCCTGCCAGCAGTCAGCACCAGTTTGCCAGTCCTATGGATGAACAACCTTGAGAGCAGATCCTCCAGTTCTCGTCAAGCTTCAGATGACTGCAGCCCTGGCTAACATCAACCACATGAGAGATCCCAAAGCAGAACCAAGTTTTTGACCCACAGGAAGAGTGAGAGGTAATAGATGATTATCATTGCTTTAAACCGCCAAGTTTGGGGTGGTGCAATACATCACTAATACAAGTGGTAATAATTTTCATGAAAATATATGCTTCCACAGTTTATAATTTTTTTTCCCATCCATTTACTCACTTACTCAACATTGAATCACTTGATAAATATTTGCTGAACATCTGCTATGTGCCCAGGAAAGGAAACATAGCTGTGAACTAAACAGGCTACAATTTCTGTTCTTGTTGAGCATACAGTCTCATGTCTCTTGATTAAAGGAACCATAGTGTCATAATTAGGTTCATGGGCTCTGGGGACAGCCTGCCATCAAGTCTTTTCTTGGCCATCAAGTCTTCCTAGCCATATAGCCCTGGACAAGTTGCTCCATCTCAGTTAACCTCATTTTCCTTATCCATAAAATGAGCTTAAGAATAGTAACTACTCCATAGGAGCATTGTAAGAAATAAATGAGATGATAAAAGTTTTTTCTAGTGCTGGGCACCTAGTAAGTGCTCTGTAAATTGTACCTGCTGTTATGAGTAACCTTAGAGCATCTCAGGAAAGTATGTGAGTGTTCTTGGTCCCATTTTACAGGTGATAACTCAGCCTCAGAGAGGCCAAGTGACTTTGCTCAAGGTCACAAAGATGAAGGACTTGCATTCCCATCTTCAGACTCTATGGCCGAGTGCTCATCTGAAGTTCCACAAGAGATAGTTCCTCTGGGAGAGACCATGATTTGGGCCCCACTTCAGATGTAGGCTGTATCCTTAGCTGACAGTGTATTGCCTTCTCTTGGTAAAAAATTATTCCCCTTTATCCTCAAAAAGTTATTTTTAGTAGAACTTTTTTTTCTTAGAATAGTTTTAGATTTACAGGAAAATTATGAAGGTATTCCAGAGAGTTCCCATATCTCCCATACTCAGTTTCTCTCATTATTAATAGCTTATATTACTATAGCACATTTCTCACAAATAATGAACCAATACTGATACATTATTATTAACTAAAGTCCACGGGTTATTTAGATTTCTATAGTTTTTGCCTAATGTCTTTTCCTTTCTGGGATGCCATTGGATACCACATTGCACTTACTCACCATGTCTCTTTAGTCTCTTCTTGGCTGTGACAATTTCTTAGACTCATCTTGTTTTTGACGGCTTTGAAGGTTTTGAGGAGTACTGGTCAAGAATTTGTAGGATGTCCCTTTGTTGGAATTTGTCTGATGTTTTTCTCATGGTTAGGTTTGGGTAATGGGTTTTTGGGAGGAAGAGCACAGAGCTAAGGTGCCATTTTATTGTGTCATATCAAGGGTACATACCATCAAAATGATTTATCGCTGTTGATACTGAACTTGATCACCTAACTGAGGTACTGTTTGTCAGGCTTCTCAACTGTAAAGTTACTCTTCCCCCACACTTTCCATACTGTATTTTTTTTTTTGGAAGGAAGACACCATGTGTAGCCTACACTTAAAGAGTGGAGATTTGTGCTCGCCCTTCTGTGACAGCAAAGAGTACACAAATTATCAGTTTTAACCTGATTTTCAGGTGGTGGAATTTCCCCATTTCCCCATTATTTTTGAAGCTAAGAAGGGGGATCTAGACCCATACAGTGGAGGACAGGATCTAGTACCAGAAGCTTTGAGCTCTGAGTAGCCCCAATTGGTCTGGAAAAATGTGTCCTAGAGGTGGGGGATTCAAAATATCTCATTCAGGAGGGATCAGAATTAATTAGTAAGTCAACTGGGCTGATTCATGTTCACAATTAATTATGCCAGAAGTTGACAATTACTCCTGGCAACAGGATATTGGAGAAGCCTAGGAGACTAAGCAAAGCTCTGAGAAGGCATCTTATCTGTTGGGGGAGAACACCTCCCCCAACCTCAAAAGCAAACCCTATAGTGGAGTGATGGGCAAAGCATTAGGCTTGTAGTTTACAAAATAAGAAGTATGAATAGCCTACACTTATATGAAATGCAAATAAAACACATATCCATTTTTGCTTCCCAAAATGGCAAAGGCCAAAAACTATATAATACCTAGTACTGATACGGGTGTAAGAAAATGGATATTCTTATATACTGACAAGAGGGCAATTTATAATATAGAAGAGTTAAAAAATATTCACACTCTGAATTAGACACTCAACTGCTATGAATTTATCCTAGCTTATCATAAATATTGGCAGAGATTAAGCTATAAGGATATTTTCATTATTCTATTATTTATAATGTTGAAAAATCAGAATTAACCTCAATGTTTAGTGACAAGTGATTGGCTAAATACATTTTGTTTTGTCTATGTGATAGAGTTTCATGAAGTTGCAAAAATAGTCCTATAGAAAAGGGTTTCTCAAACTGTGCTGGGGGAGATGTACATGGTCAGTGCCTCACCTATTTCCCCTCCCTCACGATTTCGCTGTATGCTAGCAGGATTCCAACTGCCAGCGCCTGACTTCTTTGCCTGAAGGCTGTCTCTGGCCATTGAACTTTTGTTTGCCTTCCCTGATGAAATGACATCCCTTTCTCCAATATCGTTCAACCAATGACTGGCAGGAGCTGATCTATAACAGTGGTTCTCAACTGAAGGTGAAAGTTTGCCAATGCCTGAAGACATTTTTTGTTGTCATGACTGTAGAGAGGTAGGGGTGCTACTGGCATCTAGCAAGTAGAGGTCAGGGATGCTGCCAAACGTCTTGTAATGCACCGGACAGCCAGCCCTATAACAAAGAATAATATAGCCCTAAACATCAATAATGCCGAGGTTGAGAAACTCTTGTCTATAAATATTCCCGTTCAGATCCCTTCAAATGGGATAATCTTGAAGTGTGTGTTTTACCCTAATTCCCACTGGAATTAATCTCTAGTTGCCCACATTGATGGCTGGCTTGACAATGCACCTTCCCTCCCCTCACTTCCCTCCATCACCCACTGCTGTTTCCTGTACCTCTCAAATAAACTACTTGATCTTACATCCTTGCCTCTGGATCTATTTTTGGGATAACCCAAACTTAGCCAGTGGAACCATATACTTGCCGGAGGATTTGATGATACCTTCCTTGGTCAACAAAGTGTCAACAAAGGGAAATACTACATACTCTAGCACCTTTTTCTTTTCTTTTCTTTTCTTTTTAAATTCACAATGCACAATTGCATGTTCCTAGGACTCCCAAAGCAGAAGTAATCAAACCTCTTTTTTCCTTTCTCTTCCTTTCTTTTCTTTTTTTCCTTTCTCTTTCTTTTTTTTCTTTCTTGGAAACTTTTGAGGGAATATATCAACACTTTAGCTCTTGAGACCTCATGGAATTAGTGGTAAATTCACCCGAACATATCTTAGAAATTGCTGGTATAAAGGAGTATTTAATAACATAAAAAGTTGTTTATACCTTTTCCTCCATTCTTGTCTAGTTCTCTGAGATATTTTCATCTTGGTGTCTGCATGCCTAGCAGAGCCCTGTTCAGAGCTGGACTGACATGTAGTTGGTGAATGAATGAATGAGTGATGGGCTGCAGTCCTTCTGCTTTCCTCCTCTGTCTAGGCCCTCTCAGCTTCACATCTCAGCTCTCCCCAGAAGCCAGGGCACCCTTACCCCTGGGTTTTAGGGCCCCCAGTACAGTTGGGAGAGAGGAACGAATGGAGACCCCACTGCTGAGCTATAACCAAATATGTGTATTGAGCACCTACTGCATGCCAGCCCTGTGCTGAGGACTCAATATACATCACTTCATTTACTCCTCATGCCAATCCTATGAAGCAAGTGCTATCAGTTTCATCCCTATTTTGGGGGATGTGAGGCCCAGAGAGGAGAGAGCACCTGCTCAAGGTCACACAGCCATCAGTTACTAGCTACAATTCCAGCACCAACTTGGCTGACTACATAGTCCTTATCCTTAACCACTATTCTATGTTAGCAAGGGGTTGAGGGTAGGGTGAGGGTCTTGGAGAGTGAGACACAGCTTGCTCAATGGAATGAGAGGCAGCATAGTAAAGTAGTTAGATATTTAGACTCCAGAGCCAGGCTGCCTGAACATGCATCCTAACTCTGCTTTCAGCTGAGTGACCCTGTGAAAGTTACCTAACCTATGTCTCAATTTTCTCATCTATAAAATGAAGACAGCAAGGACTTTTACCTCCTAAGGTTGTTATGAGGTTTAAATGAAATAATATCTGTAGATGTGTTTAATAAGCACTTTTAAAGCACTGCTTAGTAAACACTATGTAAGTGTTAAATAAATAATTTATGCATCTCTGTGTGCCAGGCTTTGTCACCAACATTATCTCATTGAAGTAAACAGAAAATGGAATATGCAAGGGTGAGCTCTGATATCAAACTGCCTTGGTTTGAATCCTAGCTCTCATAACATACCAGCTATGTGTCCTTAGGCAAATTACTGAACCTATTTGGCCTCAGTTTTCCCATCTGTAAAATGGGGGATAATAGGTTCTTCACCTCTCAGGGTAGTAGTGAGAATTAACTGGAATAATAGGCATAGTCAAGTGCTGTGTTAGTTATAAGCATTTATTTTTATTTAACCCATAACAATATATGACGTAGGTACTATTATTACCCCCATTTGCAGAATAGGAAACTGAGGCACAAAGGAATGATGTCACTTGTCCAGGTCACACAATTGGGAGGTGGCAGCATCAGGATTGGAGTTTATACCTGTCTGACTCCAGTAAAACTCCACTTTTGAGGGGTCTGTTCTTTTTTGAGAGGGAGCCACCAGCCCCTCCCCTACATGCATATGGGGACTCAGAGGGATATCATTGGCTGAATCTAGGGGATTCTTCTGCAGACCAAGGTCTAGGATAACTCAACAAAAGCAAAAAGACAAACAGTCATTGCAATGGAATTGCTGCCTTGCTTAAAGTAAACATCTCAATTAACACAGAAGACCTTTTTGGTTCTGTAGCTGAAGGCAAGTTCATCTTTTGGATCAAATTGTTAACAGCCTGTATAGGAGGCTACACACAAATCAACAGCCATGGTGCCTTTTGGTGCAGATGTGTGCATGTGGTGTGTGCTCCAATGGGGCTGTGCAAGGGGGGAATGGACTAGAGTCAGCTTCAAATATTTCGATGTGACCCTCAGTAAGAAATACATTTTACATCACAACCAATACATCTCCTCAATCTCTCTCTCTCTCTCTCTCACACACACACACACACACACACACACACAGAGGCATACATATATAATTGCTTGCATTGGGTTATTTTTTCATTTTTTAAAATGCTAGTTCAACCCAGTAAATTAGTTTCATGACCTTGTGGCACCATGTTGCAGCCCACAGTTTGGAAAACCTTAGATTAGATTGTGGTTGCCCAAACCATATGTTGGGACACTCAGATATTGCAGGGAAGATGGGAAGATGCCCTTGAAGTGTTGCCATAGGATTAAGGGCAAGTCTATCAACTGGAGTGAGATAGACCCTCTCACTAGATGTTTGTAAAGTTCCACTGCCTTTCAGAAGCCCCTGCCTTCTTGTCTGACCACCTCTCCCACCATCCTCCTTTTCACTAATTTCATCCAGCTACATTGACCCCTTTGCTTGCTCTTCCTATAACACATCAAGCATGTCCACATCTCAAAGCCTTTGCATCCAGCTGCTCCTAATGCTTTGAACCCTTTGCCTCCCAGGTCTTGCTTCCTTGAGGTCGGTCTCTGCAAAGATACCAGCTTATCAGCAAAACTTTCCTGCACTTCTCCTGCAAAATGGGAGCTCTCCGTCATTTTTATATATGTGTCTTGCTTTATTGTTCTTCTTAAGTTATCACCACTTAATATATATTTACTCATTGTCTAGCTCTCTCCACTCAAAAGTAAGTTGCATAAAGGCAAAAAATTTGTTTCTTTTCTTGCTGTATCCCAGGGTTTAGAGTAGTGCCTGGTGCATAGCAAGCACTTAGTAAGCTTTTGTCAGATGGCACAGTGCCCACCACACCATAAAGACTTTGTAAATATTAGTGGTTATTTTATCGTGTAGGGTCATTTTTTTGGCATATATCTCCTAGGAAATCTTTAAAAAAATAACTCCATTGAGAAATAATTCATATGCCATACAATTCACCCAAAGTATACAATTCAATGTTTTTTAATATATTCAGAGATGTGTGAAAACATCACCATAGTCAATTTTAGAGCATTTTTATAACTGCAAAAAGAAACCTTGTACTCTAAAAAGTTTTCAAATCAACAATTAAAAATTGTATATATTTATCATGTATAACATGTTGTTTTGAAATACATATTTATTGTAGAATGGCTAAATCAAGCTAATTAACATATGTATTACCTCACATATCTATTTTTGTGGTGAAGACATTTACAATCTAATCTCTTAGCAATTTTCAAGAAATTTGAATTTTCAAGAAATCTGTATTTCAGTCAATACATTGTTATTAACTGTAGTCACCATGTTGTACAATAGATCTCTTGAACTTATTCTTCCTAACTGAAATTGTGTACCCATTGGCCAGCATCTCCCCAACCCTCAGCCCAAGCCCAGTCCCTGGGAACCACCATTTTACTGTCTGTTGTGAGTTCAACTTTTTTGGAGTCCACATATCTATGAGACTATGTATTTCTATTTGTCTAGTTCTATGCCTGGCTTATTTCACTTAACGTAATGTCCTCCAGTTTTATCAATGCTGTCGCAAATGAGAGGATTTTTTTAAATGACCAAATAGTATTCCAATGTGTATACATAATGTTTGTACCACATTTTCCTTTTTTTATTATCTTATTTTACTTTAAGTTCTGGGATACAAGTGCAGAACGTGCAGGTTTGTTACATAGGTATACATGTGCCATGGTGGTTTGCTGCACCTATCAACCCATCATCTAGGTTTTAAGCCCCACATGCATTAGGTATTTGTCCTAATGCTCTCCCTCCCCTTGCCCCCCAACCCCCGATAGGCTCCCGTGTGTGATATTCCGTTCCCTATGTCCATGTGTTCTCATTGTTTAACTCTCACTTATGAGTGAGAACATGTGGTGTTTGGTTTTCTGTTCTTGTGTTAGTTTGCTGAGAATGATGGCTTCCAGCTTCATCCATGTCCCTGTAAAAGATATGAACTCATTCTTTTATGGCCGCATAGTATTCCGTGGTGTATATGTGCCACCTTTTCTTTATCCAGTCTATCATTGATGGGCATTTGGGCTGATTCCAAGTCTTTGCTGTTGTAAATAGTGCTGCAATAAACATACATGTGCATGTGTCTTTACAGTAGAATGATTTATAATCCTTTGGGTATATACCCAGTAACGGGATTGCTAGGTCAAATGGTATTTCCGGTTCTAGATCCTTGAGGAATTGCCACACTGTCTTCCACAATGGTTGAACTAATTTATACTCCCACCAACAGTGTAAAAGCATTATTTCTCCACATCCTCACCAGCATTTGTTGTTTCCTGACTTTTTAATGATTGCCATTCTAACTGGCGTGAGATATGGTTTTGATTTGCATTTCTCAGATGACCAGCGATGATGAGCTTTTATTCATATATTTGTTGGCTGAATAAATGTCTTCTTTTGAGAAGTGTCTGCTCATATCCTTTGCCCACTTTTTGATGAGGTTGTTTGTTTTTTCTTGTAAATTTGTTTTAAGTTGTTTCTAGATTCTGGGTATTAGCCCTTTGTCAGATGGATAGACTGCAAAACATTTCTCCCATTCTGTAGGTTGCCTGTTCGCTCTGATGATAGTTTCTTTTGCTGTGCAGAAGCTCTTTAGTTTAATTAGATCCCATTTGTCAGTTTTGGCTTTTGTTGCCATTGCTTTTGGTGTTTTAGTCATGAAGTCTTTGCCCATGCCTATGTCTTGAATGGTATTGTCTAGGTTTTCTTCTAGGGTTTTTATGGTTTTAAGGTTTTACATTTAAGTCTTTAATCCATCTTGAGTTAATTTTTATATAAGGTGTAAGGAAGGGGTACAGTTTCTGTTTTCTGCATATGGCTAGGCAGTTTTCCCAGCACCATTTATTAAATAAGGAATCCTTTCCCCATTGCTTGTTTTTGTCAGGTTTGTCGAAAATCAAATCAGGTGGTTGTAGATGTGTGGTGTTATTTCTGAGGCCTCTGTTCTGTTCCATTGGTCTATATATCTGTTTTGGTACCAGTACCATGCTATTTTGGTTACTGTAGACTTGCATTATATTTTGAAGTCAGGTAGCATGATGCTTCCAGGTTTGTTCTTTTTGCTTAGGATTGCCTTGGATGTATGGGCTCTTTTTTTGGTTCCATATGAAATTTAAAGTAGTTATTTCTAATTCTGTGAAGAAAGTCAGTGGTAGCTTGATGGAAATAACATTGAATCTATGAATTGTTTTGGGCAGTATGGCCGTTTTCATGATGTTGATTCTTCCTATCCATGAGAATGGAATTTTTTTCCAGTTGTTTGTGTCCTCTGTTATTTTCTTGAGGAGCAGTTTGTAGTTGTCCTTGAAGAGGTCCTTCACATCCCTTGTAAGTTGTATTCCTAGGTATTTTATTCTCTTTGTAGCAATTGTGAGTGGGAGTTCACTCATGATTTGGCTCTCTGCTTGTCTATTATTGGTGTATAGAAATGCTTGTGATTTTTGCAGCTTGATTTTGTATCCTGAGACTTTGCTGAAGTTGCTTATCTGCTTAAGGAGTTTTGGGGCTGTGACAATAGGGCTTTCTAAATATACAGTCATGTCATCTGCAATCAGAGACAATTTGACTTCCTCTCTTCCTATTTGAATATGCTTTATTTCTTTATCTTGCCTGATTGCCCTGGCCAGAACTTCCAATACTATGTGGAATAGGAGTGGGGAGAGAGGGCATCCTTTTCTTGTGCTGGTTTTCAAAGGGAGTGCTTCCAGCTTTTGCCCATTCAGTATGATACTAGCTATGGGTTTGTCATAAATAGCTCTTGTTATTTTGAGATATGTTCCATCAATACACCTAGTTTTCTGACTGTTTTTAGCATGAAAGTGTGTTGAATATTATCAAAGGCCTTTTCTGCATCTATTGAGATAATCATGTGGTTTTTGTCTTTGGTTTTCTTTATGTGATGAATTACATTTATTGATTTGCTTATGTTGAACCAACCTTGCATCCTAGGGATGAAGCCAACTTGATTGTGGTGGATAAGCTTTTTGATGTGCTGCTGGATTCAGTTTGCCATTATTTTATTGAGGATTTTTGCACTGATGTTCACCAGGGATATTGGCCTGAAATTTTTTGTTGTTGTTGTGTCTCTGCCAGGTTTTGGTATCAGGATGATGCTGGCCTCAAAAAATGAGTTAGGGAGGGGTCCCTCTTTTGCTATCATTTCGAATAGTTTCAGAAGGAGTGGTACCATCTCCTCTTTGTACCTCTGGTAGAATTTGGCTATGAATCTGTCTGGTCCTGGGCTTTTTTTGGTTGGTAGGCTATTAATTATTTAATTTCAGAACTTGTTATTGGTCTTAATTTCAGAACTTTTTATTGGTCTATTCAGGGATTTGACTTCTTCCTGGTTTAGTCTTGGGAGGGTGTATGTGTCCGGGTATTTATCCATTTCTTCTAGATTTTCTAGTTTATTTCTGTAGAGGTGTTTATAGTATTCTCTGGTGGTAGTTTGTATTTCTGTGGGATCAGTGGTGATGTCCCCTTTATCATTTTTTATTGTGTTTATTTGATTCTTCTCTTTTTTCTTTATTAGTCTGGCTAGTAGTCTATCTATTTTGTTAATCTTTTCAAAAAACCAGCTCCTAAATTCATTGATTTTTTTGAAGGGTTTTTTGTATCTCTATCTCCTTCTGTTCTGCTCTGATCTTACTTATTTCTTGTATTCTGCTAGGTTTTGAATTTGTTTGCTCTTGCTTCTCTAGTTCCTTTAATTGTGATGTTTGGTTGTCAATTTCAGATCTTTCCCACTTTCTGATGCAGGCATTTAGTGCATAAATTTCCCTCTTAACACTGCGTTAGCTGTGTCCCAGAGATTCTGGTACATTGTCTCTTTTTTCTCATTGGTTTCAAAGAACTTCGTTATTTCTGCTTTAATTTCATTATTTACCCAGTAGTCATTCAGGAGAAGGTTGTTTAGTTTTCATGTAGTTGTGCAGTTTGAGTGAGTTTCTTAATCCTGAGTTCTAATTTGATTGCACTGTGGTCTGAGAGACTGTTATGTTTTCCATTCTTTTCCATTTGCTGAGGAGTGTTCTACTTCCAATTATGTGGTCAGTTTTAGAATAAGTGCTATGTGGTGCTGAGAAGAATGTATGTTCTGTTGATTTGGGGTGGAGAGTTCTGTAGATGTCTATCAGGTCCACTTGGTCCAGAGCTGAGTTCAAGTCCTGAATATTCTTGTTAATTTTCTGTCTCATTGATCTGTCTAATAGTGACAGTGGGGTGTTAAAATCTCCCACTATTATTCTGTGGGAGTCTAAGTCTGTTTGTAGGTCTCTAAGAACTTGTTTTATGAATCTGGATGCTCCTGTATTGGGTGCATATATATTTAGGATAGTTAGCTCTTCTTGTTGCATTGATCCCTTTACCATTGTGTAATGCCCTTCTTTGTCTTTTTTTATCTTTGTTGGTTTAAATTCTGTTTTATCAGAGACTAAGATTGCAACCCCTGCTTTTTTTTGCTTTCCATTTGCTTGGTAAATATTCTTCCATCCCTTTATTTTCAGTGTATGTGTGTCTTCACACATGAGATGGGTCTCTTGAATACAGCACACTGAAGGGCCTTGACTCTTTATCCAATTTGCCAGTCTGTGTCTTTTAATTGGGGCATTTAGCCCATTTACATTTAAGATTAATATTGTTATGTGTGAATTTGATCCTGTCATCATGATGCTAGCTGGTTATTTTGCACATTAGTTGATGCAGTTTCTTCACAATGTCATTGGTCTTTATAGTTTGGTGTGTTTTTGCAGTGGCTGGTGCTGGTTTTTCCTTTCCATGTTTAGTGCTTCCTTCAGGAGCTCTTGTAAGGCAGGCCTGGTGGTAACAAAATCCCTCAGCACTTGCTTGTCTGTAAAGGATTTTATTTCTCCTTCACTTATGAAGCTTAGTTTGGCTGGATATAAAATTCTGGGTTGAAGATTCTTTTCTTTAAGAATGTTGACTATTGGCCCCCACTCTTTTCTGGCATGTATGGTTTCTGCAGAGAGATCTGCTCTTAGTCTGATGGGCTTCCATTTGTAGGTAACCTGACCTTTCTTTCTGGCTGCCCTTAACATTTTTTCCTTCATTTCAACATTGGAGAATGTGACGATTATGTATCTTGGGGTTGCCCTTCTTGAGGATTATCTTAGTGGTGTTCTCTGTATTTCCTGAATTTGAATATTGGGCTGTCTTGCTAGGTTAAGGAAGTTCTCCTGGATAATACCCTGAAGTGTGTTTTCCAATTTGGTCCCCTTCTCACTGTCACTTTCAGGTACACCAATCAATCGGAGGTTTGATCTTTTCACATAGTCCCGTATTTCTTGGAGGCTTTGTTCATTCCTTTTCATCTTTTTTCTCTAATCTTTTCTTCATACCTTATTTCAGTAAGTTGATCTTCAGTCTCTGATATCCTTTCTTCTGCTTGATTGATTCAGCTATGGATACTTGTGTATGCCTCATGAAGTTCTCGTGCTGTGTTTTTAGCTCCATCAGGTCATTTATTCTCTACTCTAAACTGGTTATTCTAGTTAGCAGTTCCTGTAACCTTTTATCAGGGTTCTCAGCTTCCTTGCATTGTGTTAGAACATGCTCCTTTAGCTCAGAGGAGTTTGTTATTACCTACCTTCTGAAGCCTACTTCTGTCAATTCGTCAAACTCCTTCTCTGTCCAGTTTTGTGCCCTTGCTGGAGAGGAGTTGCAATCATTTGGAGGAGTAGAGGCATTCTGGTTTTTGGAATTTTCAGTATTTTTGCGCTGATTTTCCCTCATCATGGATTTATCTACCTTTGATCTTTGAGGCTGATGACCTTTGGATGGAGTTTTTGTGTGGAGGTCTTTTTTGTTGATGTTGTTGCTGTTGCTTTCTGTTTGTTAGTTTTTATTCTAACAGTCAGGTCCCTCTCCTGCAGGTCTGCTGCAGTTTGCTAGAGGTCCACTCCAGATGCTGTTTGCCTGGGTATCACCAGCAGAGGCTGCAGAACAGCAAAGATTGCTGCCTGCTCCTTCTCTGGAAGCTTTGTCTCACAGGGGCATCAGCCTGATGCCAGCTGGAGCTCTCCTGTATGAGGCATCTGTTGACCCCTGCTGGAAGGTGTCTCCCAGTCAGGAGGCACAGGGGTTAGGGACCCACTTGAGGAGGCAGTCTGTCCCTTAGCAGAGCTTGAGCGCTGTGCTGGGAGAATCCTGCTTATCTCCAGCACTCTTCAGAGCTGGAAGGCAGGAAAGTTCAAGTCCATTGAAGCTGTGCCCACAGCCGCCTCTTCCCCCAGGTGCTCTGTCCCAGGGAGCTGGGAGTTTTATCTATAAGCCCCTGACTGGGGCTGCTGCTTTTCTTTCAGAGATGCCCTGCCAAGTGAGGAGGAATCTAGAGAGGCAGTCTGGCCACAGCTGCTTTACTGTGCTGTGGTGAATTCCACCCAGTCCAAACTTCCTGGCCTCCTTAGCACTGTCAGGGGATAACCACCTACTCAAGTCTCAGTAATGGCAGATGCCCCTCCCCCCACCAAGCTTGATCATCCCAGGTCAAATTCAGACCTCTGTGCTGGCAGTGAGAATTTCAAGCAAGTGGTTCTTAGCTTGCTGGTGTCCGTGGGAATGGGACCCACTGAGCAAGACCACTTGACTCCCTGTCTTCAGCCCCCTTTCCAGGGGAGTGAATGATTCTGTCTCGCTGGGGTTCCAGGCACCACTGGGATATGAAAAAACAACAACAACAACAACAACAACAACAAACTCCCACAGCTAGCTCGGTGCCTGCCCAAACAGCTGCCCAGTTTTGTGCTTGAAATCCAGGGCCCTGGTGGTGTAGGCACACGAGGGAATCTCCTGGTCTGCAGATTGCAAAAACCATAGGAAAAGTGCAGTATCAGGGCCGGATAGCACAGTCCCTCACGGCTTCCCTTGGCTGGGGGAGAGAGGTCCCCAGCTCCTTGCACTTCCCAGGTGAGGAAATGCCCCACCCTGCTTCTGCTCACCCTCTGTGGGCTGCACCCGCTGTCTAACCAGTCCCAATGACATGAGCTGGGTACCTCAGTCAGAAATGCGGAAATCTCCCACCTTCTGCCTTTGTCTCACTGGGAGCTGCAGACCAGAGCTGTTCCTATTCGACCATCTTGCCAGGTCTGTACCACGTTTTCTTTATCCATTCATCCATCAGTGGGCACTTAAATTGGTTCTATTCCTTGGCCATGTGAATAATGCTGCAATGAACATGAAAATGCAGATATCTCTTTGATATACTGATTTCATTTCCCTTGGAAATAGACCCTTTAATAGGACTACTGGATCATATGGTAGTTCTATTTTTAATTTTTTTGAGGAACCTCCATACTGTTTTCCATAATGGCTGTGCTAATTTACATTCCAGGGTTCCCATTTCTCCAAATTCTCTTCTACACTTATCTTCCGTCTTTTTCATATAGCCATTCTAACAGTTGTGAAGTAATACCTGATTCTAGTCTTAATTTGCATTTTGCTGATAATTAGTAATTTTGAGCATTTTTCATCACTCTTTGGCCATTTGTATGTCTTCTTTTGAGAAATGTCTCTTCAGATCCTTTGAATTTCTAATTGGGTTATTTGTTTTGTTACTATTGTGTTGTTTGAGTTCCTTATATATTTTGGATATTACCCTCTTATCAGATGTATAATTTGCAAATATATTCTCTCATTCCACAGGTTAACTCTTCATTCTGTTGATTGTTTCCTTGGTTGTGCAGAAGCTTTTTAGTTTGATACACTCCCGTTCTTCTAGTTTTTGCTTTTGTTGCCTGTGCTTTTGCGTTCATATACAAAAAATTATTCCCCAGACCAATGTCATGGAACTTTCACCCTGTTTTCTTCTAGTAGTTTTAGAGAGAAATTTCATACTCTTTAGTTATCACCTTCCCAAACCTCCCCCTCCCCATCAATAAGCAACTGCAAATCTACTTTTTGTCTCTATAGATTTGACTATTCTGGTAGTTTTAAATGGAATCATATAATATGTGTTTTTTTGTGTCTGACTTCTTTCACTTAGCACAATCTTTTCAAGGTTTACCCATGTTATAGCATGTATCAGAACTGTATTTCTTTTTACAATCAAATAATTTTCCATTGTATGGATATATAATACTATATTTTGTTTATTTATCCATCAGTTGATGAGTATTTGAGTTGTTTCCACTTTCTGGCTATTATGAATAATGCTTTCATAAAGATTCCTGTACAGATTTTTGCATGAACATATATTTTTGTTTCTCCTGGGTAGATCTGTAGGGTGGAATTGCTGGATCATATGATATCTCTATGTTTAACAATTTGAAGAATTACCCGACTGTTTTCTAAAGTGGCTGTGCCATTTTACATTCCATCAGCAGGGTTTGGGGGATTCAATTTCTTCACATCTTTGTCAATATTGTTATCTCCAACTTTTTTTATTCTAGCCAATCCTAGTAGGTGTAAAGTGGGTACCTCACTGTGGTTTTCATTTACATTTCCCTGAAGACTAATGATGCTGAGCATATTTTTATGTGCTTATTTCTATACCTTCTTTAGATAAATGTCTATTTTCCCTTGCCCAATCTCTAATTGGGTTATTTGTTTTTTATGAGTTGTAAGAGTTCCTTACACTCTTTAGATAAAAGTCCTTTATTGGATATATGATTTGCAAATATTTTCTCGCATTTTGTGCTTTGCTTTTTCACTTCCTGGATTCACCCTTTGAAGCACAAAAGTTTACAATTTGAAGTCTAATTTATAGTTTTCTTTTGTTACTTGTGCTTTTGGTGTCATATCTAAGAATCCATGCCAAATCTAAGGTCGTGAAGATTTATTTCTCTGTTTACTTCTAAGAGTTTTACAGTTTTAACTCTTACGTTTAGGTCTTTGATCTACGTTGAGTTAATTTTTATGTATGGTTGAGGTAGCTCACATTTCATTATTTTGCATGTGACTACCCAGTTGTTCAATCACTATTTGTTCAAAAGACTATTCTTTCCTCATTCAATGGCCTTGGCCCTTTTCTTGAAAATCAGTTTACTGTAGACACATGGTTTATTACTGAACTCTCAATTCTAATCTATCTTTTTCTATGTGTTCATCCTTATTCCAGGACCACATTGTCTTGATAGTTGTTCCTCTGTGGTAAAATTTAAAATCAGGAAGTATAAATTCTCCAACTCTGTTCTTCTTTTTCAAAATTGTTTTGGCTATCATGGGTCCTTTGCAATTCCATATGAGTTGTAGAATCAGTTTGCCAATTTCCACAGAAAACGTCAGTTGGGATTCTGACAGGGATGCATTAAATCTATAGTTCAATTTTCAGAGTATTACCATCTTAACAATACTAAGTCATCTGGTCAATGAACATGAGATGTTTTTCTATTTATTTACATCTTCTTTAATTTTTTTCAACAATATTTTATAGCCTCCAGAGAATGTTTTATACTTTTGTTAAATATGTTCCTATATATTTTATTCTTTTGGTGTCTATTGTAAATGAAATTTTCTTAATTTTATGGTCAGATTGTTCATTGAAAGTGCATGGAAATACAATTGATTTCTATATATTAATCTTGTATCCTTGAATAAACTGAACTTGTTTATTTTTTCTCATAGTTTTTAGTGGATTTCTTAGGATTTTCTATATGCAAGACCATGCAATTTGCAAAATGACAGTTTACTTCTTCTTTTCCAATCTGGATATATTTTATTTCTTTTTCTTGCCTAATTGCTTTGGTTGGAAATTTAGTATGATGTTGAAGAGAAGAAGTGAGAGCAGACATCCTTTTTGTATTCCTGATCTTAAAGGAAAACATTTAGTCTTTCACCATTAAGTATTATATTGGCTGTGAGGTATTTTATAGATGTCTTTTATCAGGTTGAGGAAGTTTCTTTCTAGTCTTTGTTTGTTGTGTGTTTTTATAATGAAGAGTTTTGGATTTTATCCAATGCTTTACCTGCATCTATCAAGATGCTTATGTGGTTTTTGTTGTTTATTCTACTGATACGGTGTATTACATTAATTGATTTTCAGATGTTAGATTAACCTTTCCCTTGTACTCCTAAGATAAATGATATCCCAATTGGGTATGGTGTATAACTTCCTTATATGTTGCTAGATTTGATTTGCTAATTTTTTTGGAGGATTTTTGCGTCCATATTCATAAGGGATATAAGTCTTTAGTTTTCTTTTCTTTGTCTAGTTTTGGTATCAAAGAATGGGTTGGGAAGTGTTCCTTCCCCTTCTATATTCTTTAAGTGTTTGACAAAATTGACCCACAAAGCCATTTGAGCTTTGGATTTTCTTTCAGAGTAGTTTCTTGATCACTAATTCAATCTCATGACTTGTTATAGGTCTATTCAGATTGCTTGTTTCTTCTTGAGTCTGTTTAGGTAGTTCGTGGCTTTACAGGCATGTGTCTATTTCATCTCATTATCTAATTTATTGGCATAAAATGGTTCACGATGTTCCTTTATAATTCCTTCTTATTTTTGTAAGGTCAGTAGTAATTTCTCCTCTTCATTTCTGATTTTAGTAATTTGAGGCTCCTCTCTTTTTCTCTTTTGCACATTAGCTAAAGGTGTGTCAGTTTTGTTGATCTGCACAAAGAATCAGCTTTCGGTTTCATTGATTTTGTGTATTCATTTCCTATTCTCTGTTTCATCAATTTTCCTTTAAACTTTATTATTTTGTTCTTCTCTTTGCTTTTGGTTTAGTTTGTTCTTCTTTCCAGTGCCTTAAGGCAGAAATTTATGTTATTTGTGTTATCTTTCTTCTTTTTAATATAGACATTTACAGCTATAAATTTCCTTCCAAGCACTGCTTTAGCAGCATTACATAAATTTTGGTATATTGTGTTGACAGTTTCATTCATCTCAAAGTATTTTCTATTTTTCCTTTTGATATCTTTTTTGACCCATTGGTTATTTAGGAATAGGTTATTTAATTTCAATATATGCTTAAATTTTCCACATTTTTTGGTTCATTCCTAATTTTATTTCATTGTAGCTAGATAATATACTTTGTATTATTTCTATCCTCTTAAATTTGTTGAGGTTTGTTTTATGGCACAGCTTATGGTCTATCATGGAGAATGTTCCATATGCACTTGAGACAAATGTATATTCTGAGTTTAGGGGTGGAGTGTTCAATAGTGCCTGTTTTAATATGTTTATAATGTTGCTCAAGTCTTCTGTTTGTTGGTATTCTGCCTAGTTTTTTTATCCATTATTAAAAGCAAGTTATTAAAGTCTCTAACCATTTTTGTTGATTTGTCTGTTTCTTTCCTCATTTCTGTCAGTTTTGTTTCACATATTTTGGTGTTCTGTTGTTTGATACATATATAGTTGTTATATCTTCTTGATGGATTGACCCTTTTATCATTATAAAAATTCTCCTTTATCTCCAGTGACATGTTTTGTTTTAAAGTCTATTTTGTTTGATATTAGTATAGACACTCTAGTTTTCTTGTGATTTTTATTTGCATGATACATCTTTCCCATTTTTTTACTTTCAATTAATTTGTATCTTTGATTCTAAAGTATGTCTCCTAAAGATAACATATAGTTGGATCTTGTTTTCCATCTAGTTTCATAGTCTCTGTCTATTGATTGGACTTCTTAATCTATTTACATTTAATGTTATTGTTGATATAGTTGAATTTATGTCTGTCATTTTACTGTTTGTATTCTAAATATTTCATGTCTTTTGTTTCTCCCCTCTTTTACTGCTTTCTTTTGCAACAAGTGAATATTTTCTAATGTAGCATTTTAATTTATTTAATCATTTTTTTTCTTTCCAACTTTTATTTTAAGTTCAGGGGTTACATATATGTAGGTTTGTTACATGGGTAAATTATATGTTGTGGGGGTTAGGTGTACAGATTATTTCATCACTCAGGTATAATAAGCATACTATCCAATAGGTAGTTTTTTGGTCTGCACCCTTTTCCCATCCTCCACCCTCAAGTAGGCCCCAGTATCCATTCTTCCCTTTTTTGTGTTCATGTGTACTCAATGATTAGCTCCAATTTATACATGAAAACATGTGGTGTCTAGTTTTCTGTCCCTGTGTGAATTTACCTAAGATAATGGTCTACAGCTCCATCCATGTTGCTGCAAAGGACATGATTTCATTCTTTTTCATGGCTGCATGATATTCCATGGTGTATATGTACCATATTTTCTTTATGCAGTCCACTGTTGATGGGCATTTAGGTTGATTCCAGGTCTTTACTACTGTGAATAGTGCTGTGGGCTGGGTGTGGTGGCTCACGCCTATAATCCCAGCACTTTGGGAGGCCAAGGAGGGTGAATCACCTGAGGTCAGGAGTTTGAGACCAACCTGGCCAACATGGCAAAACCCCGTCTTTACTAAAAAAAAAAAAATTGGCTGGGCATGGTGGTGCATGCCTGTAATCTCAGCTACTTGGGAGGCTGAGGCAGAAGAATTGCTTGAACCCAGGAGGTGGAGTTGGGAGTGAGCTGAGATTGTGCCACTGTACTCCAGCCTGGGTGTCAGAGGGAGACTCCACCTCAAAAAAAAATAGTGCTGTGATTAATATATATGTGTGTGTGTTTTTATGGTAGAATAATTTATATTCTTTTGGGTGTGTACCCAGAATGGGATTGCTGGATAAAATGGTAGTTCCATTTTTAAGTTCTTTGAGAAATCTACAAACTGCTTTCCACATGGCTGAATTAATTTACATTCCCACCAGCAGTGTGGAAGCATTTTCTTCTCTCCACAACCTTACCAGCATCTGTTATTTTTTGACTTTTTAGTAATAGCCATTCTGACTGGTGTAAGATGGTATCTCATAGTGGTTTTGATTTGCATTTCTCTAATGATTAGGATGTTGAGCATTTTTTCATATGTTTGTTGGCCACATGTATGTCTTTTTTTGAGGAGCATATATGCATGTTTTTGCCTATTTTTAAATGGAGTTGTTTGGTTTTTGCTTGTTAATTTGTTTAAGTTTCTTTGAGATTCTGCATATTAGACCTATGTCAGATGCACAGATTGCAAATATTTTCTTTCATCCTGTAGGCTGTCTGTTTACTCTGTTTATAGTTTATTTTGCTGTGCAGAAGTTCTTTAGTGTAGTTAGGTCCCACTTGCCAATTTTTTTTTCAATTGCTTTTGGAGTCTTTATCATGAAATCTTTGCCAGGGTCTATGTCCAGAATGATATTTACTAGGTTTTCTTCTAGGGTTTTTATAGTTTTAGGTTTCACATTTAAGTATTTAATCTACCTTGAGTTGATTTTTGTATATAGTGAAAGGAAGGGGTCCAGTTAAAATCTTCTGCATATGGCGAGCCAGGTAACCCGCACCATTTATTGAATAAGAAATCCTTTCCCCATTGCTTGTTACTGTTGACTTTGCTGAAGATCAGATGGTTATAGGTGTGCGGCTTTATTTCTGGGTTCTTTATTCTGTTCCATTGGTCTATGTGTCAGTTTCTGTAGCAGTACCATGCTGTTTTGGTTATTGTAGCATTATAGTATAGTTTGAAGTCAGGTATTGTGATGCCTCTGGTTTTGTTCTTTTTGCTTAGGATTGCTTTGGCTATTCAAGCTCTTTTTTGGTGTCATATGAATTTTATAATAGTTTTTCCTAATTCTGTGAAAAATGTCATTGGTAGTTTGATAGGAATAACATTGAAGCTGTAATTGCTTTGGAAAGTATAGCCATTTTAACAATATTGATTCTTCCTATCCATGAGCATGGAATGTTTTCCCATTTGTTTGTGTCATCTCTGATTTCTTTCAGCAGTGTTTTGTAATTCTCATTGTAGAGATGATTCACCTCCCTGATTAGCTGTACTACACCTAGGTATTGTGTGTGTGTGTGTGTGTGTGTGTGCTTGTGTGTGTTGCTGCTGTGAATGAGATTACAATCTTGATTTGCTCTCAGCTTGGAAGTTGTTGGTGTGTAGGAATACTACTAATTTTTATACATTGCTTTTGTTTTTTTTTATCCCCTTAAGCATTTATCCTTTCTGTTAGAAACCGTCCAATTAAACTCTTTAAGTTATTTTAAATGGTACAATTAAGTTATTATTGGCTATAGTCACCCTGTTGTGCTATCAAATAGTAGGTCTTATTCATTCTATTTTTTTTGAATCCATTAATCATCCCTACATCTCCACCTCCCTGAGCCCCACTACCCTTCCCAGCCTGTGGTAATCATCCTTCTACTCTCTATGTCTATGAGTTCAGTTGATTTGATTTTTAGATCCCACAAATAAATGTGAACCTGCAATTTGTCCTTCTGTGTCTGGCTTATTTCACTTAACATAACAATCTCCAGTTCTACCCATGTTGTTGCAAATGACTGGATCTCACTCTTTTTTTATGCCTCAATAATACCCCATTGTGTATATATACCACACTGTCTTTATCCATTTATCTGTTGTTGAACACTTAGATTGCTTCCAAATCGTAGCTACTGTAAACAGCACTTCAACAAACATGGGAGTGCAGATATCTTTTCGATATATGGATTTCCTTTCTTTTGGTTATATACCTAGCAGTGAGATTGCTGGATCATATGGTAGCACAATTTTTAGTTTTTTGAGGAACTTTTAAACTGTTCCCCATAGTGGTTGTACTAATTTACATTCCCATCAAAAGTGTAAAAGGGTTCCCTTCTCTCCATATTCTTGCTGGCATTTGTTATTGCCTGTTTTTTTTGGATATGAGTCCTTTTAACTGGGGTGAGATGATATCTCATTGTAGTTTCGATTTGCATTTCTCTGATGATCAATGATGTTGAGCACCTTTTCATATGCCTGTTTGCCATTTGTATGTCTTGTTTTAAAAAATGTCTATTCAAATATTGTGCCTGTGTTTTGATCAGAGTATTATATTTTTCTTATAAAGTTGTTTGAGCTCCTTATATAGTCTGATTATGAATCCCTTGTCAGATGTGTAGTTTGCAAATATTTTCTCCTGTTCTGTGGGTTGTCTCTTCACTTTGTTTATTGTATTCTTTGCTTGCAGAAGCTTTTTAACTTGATGTGATGCCATTTGTCCATTTTTGCTTTGGTTGTCTGTGCTTGTGGGGTATTGCTCATGAAATTTTTACCCAACCCAATGTCCTGGAGATTTTCCCCAATGTTTTCTTCTAGTAGTTTCACAGTTTGAGGTCTCGGATTTAAGTCTTTAATTCCTTTTTATTTGATTTTTATGTGGCAAGAGATAGCGGTCTAGTTTCATTCTTCTGCATGTGGATATCCAGTTTTCCCAGCACCATTTATTGGAAAGACTGTCTTTTCCCCAGTGTATGTTCTTGGCACCTTTGTTGAAAGTGAGCTTGCTTGTGAATTTGTTTCTGGGTTCTCTATTCTGTTCCATCGGTCTATGTGTCTGTTTTTATGCCAGTATCAAGCTGTTTTGTTTACTATAGCTCTGTAGTATAATTTGAAGTTAGGTAATGTGATTCCTTCAGTTTTGTTATTTTTGTTTAGGATAGCTTTTACTATTCTGGTGCCATATAAATTTTAGGATTGTTTTCTCTATTTCTGTGAAGTACTTCTTCCTCCTCTATTTTTTGGAATAGTTTGAGTAGGTTTGGCATTAATTGTTCTTTAAATGTTTGGTAGAATTCAGCAGTGAAGCCATCAGGTCTCAGGCTTTTCTTTTGTGGGAAATTTTTATTATGGCTTCAATCTCATTACTTGTTATTGGTGTGTTCCGGTTTTGGATTTCTTCCTGGTTCAATCTTGAGAGGTTGTATGTGTCTAGGAGTTTGTCCTTCTAGATTTTTCAATTTATTGGCATATAGTTTCTCATAGTAGCTGCTAGTGATCCTTTGAATTTCTGCAGTATCAATTGTAATGCCTCCTTTTTATTTCTGATTTTATTTATTTGCATCTTCTCTCTTTTTTCTTAGTCTGGCTAAAGGTTTGTCAATTTTGTTTAACTTTTCAAAAAACCAACTGTACATTGATTTTGTATCCTGAAACCTTGGCAAAGTTGTTTATCAGATCTAGGAGCTTTTGGACAGAGGCTATAGGGTTTTCTAGGTATAAAATCATATAGTCTTTGAAGAGAGATAGTTTGCCTTCCTCTCTTCCTATTTGGATGCCTTTTATTTCTTTCTTTTGCCTGATTGCTCTGGCTAGGACTTCCAATATTATGTTGAATAGGAGTGGCAAGAATAAGTATCTTTGTCTTGTTCCAGTTCTTAAGGGGAATGCTTCCAGCATTGGCCTGTTCAATATGATGTTTGCTGTGGGTTTTTCATAGATGGCTTCATTTTTTGAAGTATGTTCCTTCACTGCCTCATTTGTTGAGAGTTTTTAACATGAAGGGATGTTGAATTTCATCAAAAGACTTTTCTGTCCAGGTGTAGTGCCTTATGCCTATAATCTCAGCACTTTTGGAGACCGAGGCTAGCATACTGCTTGAGCCCAGGAGTTCCAAACCAGCCTGGACAACATGGCAAAGCACCATCTCTACCAAAAAAGCAAAAAAAAAAAAAAAAAAAAAAAAAAAACTACAAACAACAAACAAAAATTAACTGGATGTGGTGGCACATACCTGTAGTCTGAGCTACTCGGGAGGCTGACATGGGAAGATGGTTTGAGCCTGGGAGGCAGAGGTTGCAGTGAGCTGAGATCATGCCACTACACTCCAGGCTGGGCAACAGAGAGAGGCCCTGTCTCAGAAAAATAAATATTAACAAGTAAAAGGATTTTCTGTTTCTATTGAGAAGATCATGTGAATTTTTTCTTATTGTTCTGTTTGTGTGATGAATCATATTTATTGATTTGTGTATGTTGAGCCAACCTTGCATCCCAGGAATAAAACCTACTTGATCATGGTGGATTAGCATGTTCATGTGCTGCTGGGGATTCAGTTTGCTAGTATTTTGTTGGGAGTTTTTGCAGCTATGTTCAACAGGGATATTGGCGTGAAGATTTTTTGTTTTGTCTCTGCGAGGTTTTGGTGTTAGAAGGATGCTGGCCTCATAGAATGAGTTAGGGAGGAGTCCTTCCTTCTCAATTTTTGAGATAGTTTTGGTAGGACTGGTATCAGTCCTTCCTTGTATGTCTGTGAATTTGTCTGGTCCAAGGCTTTTATTCACTGGTAGGCTTTTTAGTACTCATTCAGTTTTTTGAACTCATTTTTGGTGTGTTCAGGGATTCAATTTCTTCCTCTTTCAATCTTGGGATGTTGGATATTTCCAGGAACATATTCACTTCTGGGTTTTCTAGTTTGTGTGCATAGAGGTGTTCATAATAGTTTTTGAGGGGTGTTCGTATTTCTGAGGGGCCGGTGGTAATGTCCACTTTGTTATTTCTGATTGTGTTTATTTGGATCTTCTCTCTTTTTTTCTTCATTAGTATAGCTAGAGTCTATCAATCTTATTTGTGTCCTTTTACTTTTCAAAGGAAGTTCCAATTTTACTATTCTGCCATCTTTATGGAGAGAACTTACTGCCATGGCTTTGTATGTGTTTTCTTTCACATTTGTATACATAGTGAGTCCTTTCACAGGTGGACCCCAGTGACGTCCCATTTCCTTTAATAAGGGTGGCGAGTCCTTCTCATTTGGGAAACCACTATTACCTTTGTGAACTGGTTGGGGTTCTGAGTCCTACATGTTTTCTGACCAAGACACAGGTGTTATTGTCATCAATTCTCAGCTACCTGGTGGATAACTACTTTCACAGAAAGGGATTGAAATTGTGACTGAAATGACATTTCAGTATTTTGGTATTTATTTTATACGGCACTGAAGTACTGGCATTTTATTTTTTTAAATATGAGGTAGAGTTGCCATTATCTTTACTATTTCATTTTCTTAACTTTTATTTTAAGTTCAGGGATACAAAAGCAGGTTTGTTACATAGGTAAACTTGTATCATGGGGGTTTGTTGTAAAGATTATTTTATTACCCAGGTATTAAGCCTAGTACCCATTAGTTATTTCTCCTGATCATCTTCCTCCTCCCACTCTTCACCCTCCAAAAGACTCCATTGTGTGTTATTCCCCTCTATGTGATGAAGGATAACATAATTGAAGTGTGCAAGTCTTAAACCTACAATCACCTCCCAGATGAAGTTATAGAACATTTGCAGTATCCTAAGAGACCCCTTCATACTTCTTCCCAGCTAATGTTCCATCTCCAGAGGTGATCAGTTCTTCTGACTTCTAACACTGTAGATTCATTTTGCCTGTTTTTGAACTTCACATAAAATCCTGAAGCAACAGTTCATCCCTTTATATCGCTGTATAGTTTTTTATTGTATGGATGTTCCACAGTTTATTTATGCATTCTTCCATTGGTGGACACCTGGGTTGTTTCCAGTTTTTTGCTATTATAAACAAAGCATGAACACAAGTCTTTGTGTGAACATATGTTTTCATTTCTCTTGGGTAATGTATTAGTCCTTTGCACACTGCTAATAAAGACATTCTGAGAATGGGTAATTTATAAAGGAAAGAGGTTTAATTGACTCACAGTTCCACATGGCTGGGAGGCCTCACAATCATGGCAGAAGGCAAATGAGGAGCAAAGTCATGTCTTTCATGGCGGCAGGCAAGAGACCTTGTGTGGGTGAACTCCCATTTTTAAAACCATCAGATCTCAACAGACTTATCACTACCCTGAGAACAATGTGGGGGAAACCGCCCCCATGATTCAATGATCTCCACCTATTGGGAGGCTGAGACAGGTGGATCACCTGAGGTCAGGGGTTCGAGACCAGCCTGGCCAACATGGTGAAACCCTGTCTCTACTAAAAGTACAAAAAAAAAAAAAAATAGCTCAGCATGGAGGCAGGTGCCTGTAATCCCAGCTACTTGGGAGGCTGAGGCAGGAGAATTGCTTGAACCTGGGAGGCAGAGGTTGCAGTGAGCTGAGATGGCATCATTGTACTCCAGCCTGGGCAACAAGAGCGAAACTCCATCTCAAAAAACAAACAAACAAACAATTATCTCCACTTAGCCCTGCCCTTGACATGTGGGGATTACTATAATTCAGGGTGAGATTTGGATGGGGACACAGCCAAATCATATCAGAAAACCTAGGAATGGGTTTCTTTGGGTTATAGGGTAGATATATGTTCAATTTTATAAGATACTTCCAGACTTTTTTTCTCAAAATGGTTGTACACTTTATATCCCCATTTGGAATGACTGAGTACTTGGCTGCTTCACATCCTAGCCAATATTATGTTGTCTGGTTTTTAGTATGCCATTTTGATGGACACATAGTGCTTTCTCATTGTGATTTTAATTTGTATTTCCCTGATGACTAATGTCATTGGGTACATTTTCCTGTGCTAACTGATTATTTGTATATCTTTTTTTGCGGAGTGTCTGTTCAAGATTTTTGACCATTTTAATTGGATTATTTTTTATTATTGAGTTATAGGACTTTCTTTTATATTCTGGATACAAGTACTTTATTTTAGACACATTTATGGTGACTATTTTCTCTCAATTAGTGGCTTCCCTACTGATTTTCTTAATGGTATCTTTTTAACGAGCTGCAGCTTTAAATTTTTATGACATCCAATTTATGAATTTAAAAAAATATGGTTAATGCTGTGAGACAATACATTTTTGTTGTTTTTATTGCCCAGTTATTACTTCGTTATAACTACCCTTGAAAACGCATACATTGGTCATTCGCTCTTTTGTAAAATTTTAAAATCAGCTTGTCAATCTCTTCTGTCTGGGATATTGATTTGAATTCCATTCAATCTGAGGAGGATGGGCATCTTAAAAATATTGGGTCTTCTGATTCATGAACATGGTATATTATTCCATTTATTCAAGTCTTCTTTAATTTCTCTCAGCATCCTTTTTTAGTTTTCAGTATACAGGTCTTCCACATTGTAAATTAAATTTATTTCTAATTATTATATCAGCAAAGATATATCAGCAAAGATATTTTTCGGCAAAGATAGATATAATAATTAGAAATAAATTTAATTTAAAATGTGCAAGACCTGTATATTTATATGCTTTAATAAATTCTGTTGTTTTCTTTGTTTTCCAATTGTTTGTTGCTTATAGAAATAAAATTTATGTTTATTATATATTGGCATGGATCTTGTGACCTTGATAAATTCATTTATTATAGTAGATTTTTTTGGATTAATTCATTAGGATTTTCTACACATAAAAGCGTGTTGTCTGTCATGGTTGACATTTGTTTAAAATAATTTGCAGTAGGATATAGCAGACTCCCTCTATGACCTTGGTCAGACATCTAATCTCACTGAACTTTGGGGGACCTCACTTACAAAGGGAAGTTATTATATAGACTCGTCTTTGAGGTTCCTTTTTGGATCTAAAATGTAGGGACCGGGCTCTACCATTTGCTTATTCTGTACCCCTGGGCAAAATACTATACCTTTCTGAGCCTCAGCTTGCTCATTTGTAAAGTGGGCATAATCATAGTAGAATATCTGTGTCATAAAGTAGTTATTAGTCTTATGCTTCCACACATAAAGACAGCTTGGGCTAGGGAAGTTTTGTAAAGGCCAGTCCAGGCACGTGGGGACATGGGGACACCATCATCAAGTGTACCCTGAGATGTGTGTATGTGTGTGCATGTGAGTGTTTATGTGGCTTCCCTAAATCCCCCAGCTTCAAACAATGGTTCTCAAAATGAAGTATTCCTTGGAATCCCCAGAGGAGCTTGTAAAAATACAGTTTCTTGGGCTCCACACCCATAGGTCTGACTCATAGCCCTAGAAGGACCCAAGAACCTTCATCTTTAACACTCTCAAGTCATTTTAATACACTGAGTTCCATGGGACTTACAGTTCCACATGGCTGGGGAGGCCTCAGAATCATAGCAGGAGGCAAAAAGCACTTCTTACATGGCGGCAGCAAGAGAAAATGAAGATGCCAAAGTGGAAACCCCTGATCAAACCATCAGATCTGGAGAGATTTATTCACTATCACAAGAACAGTATGGGAGAAACTGCCCCCATGATTCAAATTTTCTCCCACCGGGTCCCTCACACAACATGTGGGAATTATGGGAGTACAATTGAAGATGCGATTTGGGTGGAGACACAGAGCCAAACCATATCATCAGGTAAATATGTAAGCCTCCTCTCCTTACGTTTTTCTCTCTCATTCTGTATATCTCTTGTTTTGTGTCTTTGTATTTCTGTCACTCTCTGTGTTGGTCCCTTCTTTTGTCTGTCTTTCATGTGCACACATATTCTCTGTCTCTCTCGTCTGTCTCTGTATACTTGTGTCATCTCTCTGGTTGATGTCTCTGAAATGCTGCCTCTCTACATCTCTCTCATTTCTTCTTTTTCTCAAGTTGTTCTTGTGTGCTGCGGTCTCTGCCCTGTCTCTCTTGGCCTGACTCTGGCATCTCTTGCCTTTCTCTGGTCTTGCCCTGCTGTGCATCTCTCTGTGCATCTGAGCCTGTGTGTTTGTGATGCATACGTCTCTGTTATTCTCTACCTTCAGTCCTTTTCTTTTTCTCTTTTGTAAATCCCCACCCCTCTTCCACCCAGCCCGGCAGCTCTGCAGTTTTTCCTGTGAAATACAAGAAGAGTCTCCTGTGGAGAAGCCTGAAATACCAGGTCAGACGCCCAGACTCCTGTAGACCTCAGAATGTTTAGCTCTAATCAAGAGCCCCTATTGGAGTCTGACCCACTCTCCTTTAGGGCTTATCTGGGGCCCTCAGCGTCCTGTGCTGCCAGAGATAAGGTGCCTTTGGTGGCAGAGATGACTTGGGCATGACCCTCAGCAGACTAGATAAAAAGCACAGGCTCCGAGATCCTGGAGAGACCCCATCCCCCAGGTGGAAAACTGACCTTTCTATCATTGACCCTAAGCATCTCAGAGTGCACTCTTGGGGTTTATGACCCATTTAAATAGTCCTTGGAAAGATTAGACTAATTTCTTTCTTTGAGCTAATATTGTTAATTCATATTAATTAAATACTTGATTTACTCAATATTTATTGAACACACTATGAACCAGATTCTGTTCTGAGAATGTAGCAGTGAAGATTTTAAAATGCAATATTATAAATCTCAACACTCATATTATTGCGCCATGCATTGAGCACCTACTGTGTTCTAGGAGCTTAATTTATAGGAGAAGCTTTATACCAGAATTCCTTGTGGGGAGAGAACTGCCCCTTCACTGTAAAATACTTTAATTATCTGCATGTAATCATTTTAGTGATTAATTAATTACAGCTATTAATACAGTGGACAGTTAACTCCTAATATTCAGGGGTGATATTTAAATGTTTAATAAATGGTAACCTACTGCCATTGACCAATGAAAGCATTTGCCCCACTTCTCAGTTCTATTCCAATTATTTGAATAAACATCAAATTTGTCATTCATTTATTCACTCATGAAATCATTCAGTTATTCTTTCTTCCAGCATATTGTTAAGGGACTCCTGGGTATCAGCACTGTGTTAGGAACCGGGGATGTAATTAAAAGGACATCATAAGGAACTCAGAGGAGGGAGATAGAGAAAGATACTGACTGAGTTCATGGAACATGACAAAGGAAAGGTTCAGGAGTGCATACCTGGGTGTTTAACTTAGAAGAATCAGGGAAGGCTTTCTGGAGGAGGGACATTAATGCTGAGACCTAAGAGATGAACAGGGGATAATTCGATGAGGTCTGTATCTTGCCAGTTTTGAATATTCCATAGAATAGAGCCTGAACATAGTAGGGATTCACTAAATCAATAAATGAATAAAACATGATGATTCTGAAAGCAATTCTCTGGTTGAATGGTAATTGACTAGGGAAGCTATAATGGAGATGTATTATCTTTTTCAGAAACAGTACTATTAGCATGTCCTTTGTCAATGCCTGCACCCAGCACCTGACCAAGAATCAAGTGCCTTTTTCTCCACTCAAAATTCACCGTGATGTCAAAGCTTTCAGCAAATTATTCTCCTACTTACTAGCCCCAGACCAAGGGGACAAATAAGAGCCCAGGAAAATAGGCCTAGGAGGCAAAAATAGGTGAGAAAGAACATTAAGTCCTACATTTTCAAACTCATGCTTGTTGGAGGCCATGCTGATTTGTGTTCCTAGAACTTCTGTTCTTTTAGAAAAACACAAGTCTGAATTTTCATGTGAAATTTTCTAATTTTTATGTTGGAATCTAATTTTTTTAAAAAAATATTACACATAGCAAACCAGGTATCTATGGCTGTATTTGGCTGTTATTCCAGATTTAGAAGTTATTTCCTACAAATGAGGAAGGAATGAAAGGGACTTTTGTATTTACTATGCAGCCATGTTGTTTTGAACATTGTACTACATGTTCTATGGATCTTCATCATAAATATTCGTTACATGAAAATTCCTGTTATCTTATTTAATTATTGCAACAACCACATGGGACAGTTATCATAATGTCTGTTGAGGAAGATTACCAAGTTAAGTCTGCAGGGACTCAACATTAACCATAAGGAACTTAGTATTCAAACAGAATTAGAAGTAAACTAAGAAGAGGAGAATGGTTTTGAATTAGAGACCTGGTATTATAAGACTCTCAGTGGAAAGAGCCTTGAATAACCAGATAATTGTCTAGAAACCATCCTTTTGTTGGTTGGGCATCTTTTTAATTGCTTTAAATACCACTGCTCTTTTCTGCAACTTTCTTGCCTAGAGAGTTTTAACATCCTGGGATAGGAACTTGTCTCCCCTGTTATGTAAAATGAATGTAACTCATAAAGTGATTCACTATTAATTAATGTCGTGTCTGTGGTATTTCAGATCCACCTGGCTGAGCAACACTACTATACTGTCAGTTTCTGTTCTCCTGATGTTTCTGAAATAGTTAAATTGTTTGATTTAATTGTCTGTAGGAGTTGCATTTTAGAAAAGACAGTCAAAAAACACTTTCCTTAACCGTGGACTTCTGTCATTTTTGCCACTGAAGTGAGCATCCTATAACACTAGCATATCAAGAATTCCTGTATCAGTGAGGATTTCACCAGATGGGCTCTGAGGCCCCTTGGAGTGTCTCCAGGTGGGATTTAGCCAAGTTGTGGATCTGCAGATCATCCCTGTGGAGATGTTGTCTGTTCTAAGATCTGAACCCCATGAACAATCTGATAAAAGGGTTTAACTATTAATATCTCAGAGGTATTGGACAGTCAGAAACTGACCTCCCTCGTTGCTTAGCAGAATGAATCTCAAATGCCGGTGTGCATTAAACCATCAGGTTGCTTTTTAGATTGCAGATTCCTGATCCTGGTACCTAGAGAGTCTGATTCACTGGGAGTGTTTGTTACAGGAAAAAGCTAAGCAAGAGGCCCAATAATAACATGGCTTAGAAAACAAAGAAGTTATTTCTTCTGCAAGCACAACAATCCAAAGTGAGGTTTCCTTATTGGTAGAATCTGTTTCATGTGATGTGGCAGAATAAGGAGGGCCACATATTATTTGACAATCCTCTCATTGAGAAATGAGGTTGCTGTCTGCTCCCCTTGAATCTGGGCAGGCTCTGTGACTGCTTTAACCAAGAGAATGTTTTAGAAGTGACACTGTGCCAGTTCCTGGGCCCAGGATTTAAGAAACGGTAGGCTTCCACTTCTTTGATCATGTAATACTCACTCTTAGAACTCAGCAGCCATGCTGTGTGGAAGCCCAACACCCTGTGCAGAGGCACATGTGGAGAAGAGGTGGAGTTCCTAGCTGTCAGCCCTAGATGAGCTCAGTTTGCCAACTACGTGCAAGGGCTTAATTACCTCAGAGGCATTGGGCAGCCAGAAACTGACCTCTTTGTTACTTACCAGAGTTACCTTGGAAGTGGATCCTCCTGCCCCAGTTAAGCCTTCCCTCCTGGTGCCATCCTCATCAATCTCTGCCCAAATTGTACATTCACAGGTCCAATAAATGACTGTTATTTAAAGTGTCTGAGATGTAGGAGTGGTTTGTTAGGCAGCTGTTGATAACTAAACCACATAGGCATTCAAAGACCCAGGTTTCTTTCCTCTTGAGGCACCACCCCCATTCTCAACAAACATTTCTTAGTCAAGGTTAGTTATCATTTACTTAGTCAAGCTTAGGTTACAACCATATTCAGATTCTAGGCAATGGGAGAGCGTAGAGAGGCCATGCATATTTCTTATCCAGCTTGCTGAGGCCTGCCACGCATTACTTCTATTCACATTTCATTAGTGAGAACTTGTCACATGGCTGCATTCAATCACAAAGAGGACAGGGAAATGCAATCTCTAGATATGCAGCCATTTTCCAGCCACAAAGACAGAAGGGGAGAATGGGTGCTGCTGGAAGTCTAGCCGTCACCATCATACTGAGTCTGGAGCAAAGAACAGAGATCTGCCTTTGGCAACCCCCCAGGAAATTTTGATATAGGTGATCCAAGCATAGCTGTGAAAAGTATGAGTTTTGAAGTCAATCAGATCTGAGCTTAAAACTAAATTCTATTATTTACCAGCTGGGTGGCACCTGAGAGTTTTAAGTTTTTTTGTATATATAAAAATGCAGAAAATAGTAATTCCTACCTCAGGAGGTAGTTGTGCTGATTTGATAATGGCCTGCATGAAAAGTGCTAGCATAGACTTGGCACAAAACAAGATATAAAAATACGAAATAAAAATAAAAACGAGAAAAAGAAAAAAGAAAGGTTGTATTGTCAACTGAATCAAGCGTTCCATTCTATCTTTTAAAACCACCAATGTATTCAGTCATTATACTTAAAATATTCTTCTTCACCCTCATATCAACTCTAGGCTTATTCCCAATTTACAGATGAGAAAACTGAGATTCAGAGAAGTTAAGGAAGTAGACCAAAAACATCATTGGTAAGTGCTGGTGTCAAAATGTGAGCCAAGATCATTTCTGGTGGTGTTTGATTACAGATGCTGTATTAAAAATAAGTGAAGAGAAGTCAAAGGATGTTTTGGGGGCAAAGAAATCACATATCAGGACTTTGCTGTACACAGGGGAATCTGGGAGTGTTGCCATGAGATGTGTGGAATGGGGAAAAACTGAAGGCAGAAGGAGCAGCTTAGGAATAGGGTGAGGAGGTTTTGAACATGGATAATTAAAGTAAAGGCTAAGTGAATATCTGTCTTCCTGCTGCAGTTATTTACCTACACAGAGGCAAACCTAGAAATAGCAGTTCCATTCCTCACTCAAGAAGGCCCTGCCAAACTGACCACCCAGTGCTTCCACTCATGGGGGATATGACTGAAAATGTTTTTAGCATTGGTTCCAGAAACTAGAGACAGTTTTTGTGTGCCTCAGTTTCCCTATTTGGAAAACGGAAATTCAATGCCAGTGATGGCTATTTCACAGAGATTCAGTAAGAAAATGCATGGAAATAGACTTTTTAAAGTTACAGTCGTCAACCCGATGTTAAGGTTTTACTGTACCTTGAGCAACATGCAACAGCAGAAAGCACTCATATAAACTTCAACTTCATGATTGATTCTTTGTATCTTAATTTTGTAAATTTAAAATTTCAGATATTAAAGAATGAGGTAGTGGAGGGAGATTTTCTTGTGTTGTTTCCATGGTGACCAACTTGCAGGCATTAACTGCTGGCTGAAATAAAGATAAGTAAGAAAAAGATGGCAAAGTGACTGGATATGGTGGCTCACGCCTGTAATCCCAGCACTTTGGGAGGCCAAGGTGGAAGGAGTTTGTAAACAGGAGTTCAAGACCAGCTGGGGCAACATAGGGAGACCCTGTCTCAATAAAACATAAAAAATTAGCCCTGTGTGATGGTGCATGCCCGTGGTCCCAGCTCCTTGGGAGGCTGAGGTGGGAGGATCACTTCACCTCAGGAGGTTGAGACTGCAGTGAGCTGGGATCATGCCACTGCACTCCAATCACAGTGACAGAACAAGACCCTGTCTCTAAAATAAAAAATGGCAAAGTGCTTTGCACAGTGCCCGGATCATAGTAAACAATCACCACCTCTATTAAAGCAGCATAGACATAGAGGCTTGTCATGAAGAGTATCATGAGAAATTCTCTTCTGCTTTGGAATGTTTCAGCCTGAATATTTTGAGATTTAAAACATTTCTAAAGCAGGGAAACTTTACGGGATAAGACTTGGACAAGGAGTCTGATTTGTGGATTTCCCCTTATTCTGAGCCAACTGCACCATGGGGCTTCACCTATCCCAGTTTCTTTGTGTCTTGTTTAAGAAACCTTTGCCTATCTCAAGCTCAAGATATTCTTCTATATTGCCTCTAGAAGTTTTATCATGTTTCCAATCACATGGAGATCTACAATCCACCTGGAATTGATTTTTGTATATAATATGAGGTAGAGACCAAGATTCAAATTTGTCCATGTGGATGGCCAATTGACCCAGAACCTTTCATTGAGAAAGCTATTGTTTCTCCATCACTCTCCAATGGCACCTTTCTTATAAATCAAGTGTCCCTGGGCTGGGCACAGTGGTTCATGCCTGTAATCCCAGCACCTTGGGTGGCCAAGGTAGGAGGATTATTTGAGGCCAGGGGTTCGAGACCAGTCTAGGCAACATAGGGAGACCCCGTCTCTACAAAAAATTAAAGAATTAGCTAGGCTTGGTGGTGTCTACCTGTAGTCCCAGCTACTTGGGAGGCTGAGGCAGGAGCATCACTTGAGCCTGGGAGGTCAAGGCTACAGTGAGCCATGATCACACCACTGCACTCTAGCCTGGGCAACAGAGCAAGACCCTGCCTCAAAATAAAATAAAATAAAATAAAGTGTCTCTATGTGTGAGGGGTTTCATTCTGAGCTCTTTATGCTGTTCCACTGGTCTATTTTTTTTTTCCTGTATCAAAGTGTGCTCCTTTAATTCCTCTGGCTTTATTATAACTCCTGATATCCAGTCATGAAAATCATCTGACTTTGTTCTTCTTTGTGATAATCTTGGCTTTTGATTTTCCACACATATTTCAGAATCACCTTGTAAATTTCCACCAAAACAAAAACTTGCTGGGGTTTTCATTCTGATTACAGTGTCTATATCAATTTGGGGAGGATTGATGTCCTCACAGTATTGATTTTTTT
Source organism: Homo sapiens (assembly GCF_000001405.40). Taxonomy (NCBI): domain Eukaryota; kingdom Metazoa; phylum Chordata; class Mammalia; order Primates; family Hominidae; genus Homo; species Homo sapiens. Next base: position 118,820,486 of record NC_000012.12, read on the forward strand.
TCACAATAACCCTGTGCAGTAGGTTCTGTTGTTATCCCACTTGACAAATGTGTTCTTCCTGTGTAGCTGGGGCACAGGAATGTGAATGAATCCTGTGATCTACCAAGGAAAAAGAGTGGGCATGGTTTGCCCCTCCTGGAAGATATATTTTATCATTGACTTTGTTTAGAATTACTGGCACATGACAGTAATATAAAGCACACTGATTGTAGTCAGTATGATTATATTGCTTTTAAATTTTTTCTTTCTTTTTTTTTTTTTTTTTTTTTTTTTGAGACAAGGTCCCATTCTGTCACTCAGGCTGAAGTGCAGTGGCACAATCATGGCTCACTGCTGCCTTGACCTCCTAGGCTCAGGTGATCCTACTGCCTCAGCCTCCTGAGTAGCTGGGAACCACAGGTGTGCACCACCATGCGTGGCTAATTTTTTAAGCATGTGTAGGGATGGAGTCTCCTTATGTTGCCCAAGCTGGTCTTGAACTCCTGGGCTCCAGCAATCATCCCACCTCAGCCTCCCCAAATTCTGGGATTACAGGCGTGAGCCACTGTGGCCAGCCCTTTTAAATTTTCTACTAATCATGCACCTGTCACTCTGTGCAGCTGGGGCAGGCCAGTCCCACTGCCCTTAATGTGCCGCCAACCTAATCTCACCAATTTGATTAACCAATGAAAGACATCAATCTGGAAGTGAGAAACACAGGTAGGTAAATATAAGTGATGTCTTTTTTTTGGATGAACATGGTGGAAGACACACTCAGCTTTTCACGGGGAGCAATGGCAGGGGAGTTGTGATATAAATGAGCCATAAATGGCCTCTGTATATTAACCCTAAGTTGGCCTCTGTATATTGGCCCTTGGTTGTTTATTTTTTCACTGTAGGCTGAGACCTATTAGGTAAAAAGCCCAAGAAATGAAATTCAAATTTTTGCACATCCAATTGTTTTAAAAATAGCCCGAACAGATTTCCCGTCATTTAGAGCCTATGCTGGAAAACCTCAGCTCTTAGCCATTGATAAGAAAGGGCCTTGTAATTATGAGGCCCCAGGCCACTGCTGCCCTTTGGAGCTCTCTGACTCAGAGACCACTGTGCTGATGAGCCCCAGCATCTAGACAAATAACCTACTGTCTGATCCCCTTTCTTTGAGGAGTCCCCTTGCCCTCCTCTCCTCTGGATGGTCTCCTGCTGTAAGGACTTCACCTGTCATGCAGCCACTTTCAAGCACTGCTCAGTAATGCTTGTGGTGTATTACTGCCTCTGCTGGTCATATCCTTTTCCTTGATCAGCTTCGAAATGGAAACCCCTAACAGAGGTGTTGTTTAAAACAGTTAAACTGAGGTGTCTGTAGCATAGCGGTAGCAGTTGTCCTTGCTGAAGTGTCGCAGGTTAGATTTATTCCTGACAATACAGCAGTCCCTCTTAATCCTCAGGGGATATGTTCCAAGACCCCCAGTGGATTCCTGAAACCACAGATAGTACTGTACCTAATTGCCATCCACTGGAAGACATTTCTGTTCATGTCTTCCACCTACAAATGTAATGCATTTTCCTTCTTAACTAAGCACTTATCACGCACTGTAGCCATGACTTTTGCAGTCTGAGATACAATAGCAAAACTCGCATGAATTTCTTTTTCCTTTTTCACAATTTCACGGATAGAAGATTCGTTCTTACTGTAGATCTTAGCAACCTCAGCATATGATTTTTTTTCTTCCGTCATTAAGTCGAGAACTTTCACCTTTTTTACATTAAGGAAGCATTTTGGCATATCCAAATTGCTAGCATCACCGCTCTTGTGCTTTGGGGCCATTATTAAGTAAAATAAAGGTTACTTGAACACAAGCACTGCAATACTGTGACAGTCGATCTGATGACCTAGATGGCTACTAAGTGACTGACAGGTGGGGATGCTGGACAAAGGGAGGATTCCCCGTGCGGGGTGGGACAGAATGAGATGGCTGGAGATTTCATCACGCTATTCCATGCCTCCCCAATCTAGTTCATTTGTTGCCATCTTTCTCTACTGCATGCCAACCCAGACTTCCAACATACCAAATTTTGCCCAGCTCACACACGTCAGACACCTCCTTGTCCAGAGCCAAGGATGAGAGAAATAGCAATTAGGATTCTGTCATTGAGCTGGAGTATAATGAATGGTGTCTCCCTTTGTAGTGGCCCCCCTTTGGGAATGACTCCATGTGTTCAGGAGCCCTTGAGCTCCCCCGTCCATTTGGCCAGTGTTCAATGACATCATGCAGAAGGAACCAGCATGCTGCTGGCTAAAGGACCCCAGTAAGTCATGCTGTGGATGTGAGAAATCAGCTAGGCCTTCCCAGAAAGGCATCCTCATCCAAGGTACCATTAGTAATGCTGCTATTTGCAATCATAATAAAAATAAAAGTAATAGGAAAATCGCATAGAGGCAATTCTGCTGCCTACTGGATTTTTAATTTTCTTGAGGATGCCAGCGGCAATCTTGGGCCCATTATGTCTAAATGAGGCACATTATAAAAGGCTTGCAAAGTCCAAACTGCTTTTACAGTCATTAATTAGCCAGACTTGTAAATAGGCCCATAAGATTAAGCTTGGGTATGGTCTCTGGTCTCTAGAATGGGGCTGTAGTATGCAGGGAAGTCAAATATCAGTTGTTCAGTCATTATCTGCCCTTCTTTCTTATCTCAGTTCTAATCAGATGTTGCCTTTTTGGGGGGTTGAAAGAGGGAGATGCTACACAACCAAACACCTGATGAGAATGCTCTGAACTTCCCTGCAAGGCTGTGGGCAGTGTGAGCACAGGGACTGATGGTGTCATCTTAGTTCCTGTACACACAGCATCTTATACTCAGCAGGTGTATCAGCCAGCATTTCTGGCAAGTGAAAGGAATTTCACTCTGGCTTTCTTCACCTAAAAGAAAACATACAAGAAGGATTTGGGGGTGCATGAAATGAATGAATGAGAAACTGAAGAATCAGGCTTGCAAGAGAATAAGCACCAGGAATTCCAGCAAATGTCCAGCAGCAGGAATGGTGTGGTTCATGACTTTAACCGTCTTCAGGCACTTGCTCAAGATTCAGAGCCTATATATATATATATATATATATATGTGTGTGTGTGTGTGTGTGTGTATATGTATATATATGTGTGTGTATATATATGTGTATGTATGTATATATACGTATATATACGTGTATATATATACATATATATGTGTATATATAGGCTCAGAATCTTGAATGTATATATGTATATATGTATGTATATATGTATATATATGTATATATGTGTATATATATGTATATGTGTATATATGTGTGTGTGTGTGTGTGTGTGTGTGTATATATATATATATATATATATCCTAACCACCAAGACCTCAGAATGTGACCTTCTTTGAAAATAGGGGTTTTGCAGAAGTATTAGTTACGGTGAAGTCATATGTATGGCAGGTGTCCTCATAAGAAGACAGCCATGGGGAGGCACAGAGATACAGGGTGAATGCCAACTGAAGAGAGAGGCAGAGACTAGAGTGATGCATTTGCAAGCTAAGGATTGCTGGAAGCTACCAAAAGCTAGGAGAGACGCATGGAACAGATTCTCCCTTAGAAACTTTGGGAGTAACCAGTCCTGCCATTCCCTTGATCTCAGACAGCTCGACTCCAGAACAGGGAGACAATTTCTGTTGTTTGAAGAAACCCAGTTTGTGGTACTTTGTTATAGGAGCCCTAGGAAAATAGTAGAGATGATCTGAAGGCTTGAACCTGAGCAACTACAAGGTTATGGTTGCCATTGATTAAGGTAAGGAACACTAGATAAGGTTCTCCATAGAGAGGGTAAATGACAATTGTATGCATATGTGATTCTGGGTTTACCAGACAGATTAAGTTTATTCCTATAGAACAGAGTTTCTCAGTCATGGCACTAACTATATTTGAAGCCAGATAATTATTTGTTATGCAGGTCTGTCCTATGCATTGTAGGATGTGTTTGCAGCATCCCTGGCTTCTGCTATACAGATACTACTAACACCAGCCACCCTACCCAAGTCATTACAATAAAAAAAGTCTTCAGAGGCCGGGCGCGGTGGCTCACGCCTGTAATCCCAGCACTTTGGGAGGCCGAGGCGGGTGGATCATGAGGTCAGGAGATCGAGACCATCCTGGCTAACAAGGTGAAACCCCGTCTCTACTAAAAATACAAAAAAAAAAATTAGCCGGGCGCGGTGGCGGGCGCCTGTAGTCCCAGCTACTCAGGAGGCTGAGGCAGGAGAATGGCGTGAACCCGGGAAGCGGAGCTTGCAGTGAGCCGAGATTGCGCCACTGCAGTCCGCAGTCCGGCCTGGGCGACAGAGCGAGACTCCGTCTCAAAAAAAAAAAAAAAAAAAAAGTCTTCAGTCATTGATATGCTTTAGGAGGTGTTTTAGTCCACTTGGGCTGCCGTAACAAAATAATCTTAGATTAGGTAATTTATAAACAGCAGAAATTTATTGCTCACAGTTTGGGAGGCTGGGAAGTCCAAGATCAAGGCACCAGCAGATTTAGTGTCTGGTGAGCATGCTCTCTCTCTCTCTCTCTCCCTTTGAGACAGGGTCCTGCTCTATTGCCCAGGCTGATGTGCAATAGCATGATCATGGTTCACTGCAGCCTTGACCTCCCAGGCTCAAGCAATCCTCCCACCTCAGCTTCCTGAACAGCTGGGACTACAGGTGTGTGACACCATGCCTGGCTAATTTTTAAATCTTTGTGCAGAGACAGGGTCTTCCTCTCTTGCGTAGGCTGGTCTTGAACTCCTGAGCTCAAGCGATCCTCCAGCCTCTGCCTCCCAAAGTGCTGGCATTACAGGTGGGCTTTCTCTCTCCTTCAAAGATGGCATTTCCCTCTGGTAGAAGAAGCAAGCAAGCTCCCTCAAACTTCTTTTATAAGGACACAAATTACATTTATAAGGGCAGAGCCCTCATAGCCTAATCACATCCCAAAGACCCCACCTCTTAATACCACCACATTGGGGATTAGGTTCAACATATGAATTTGAGGGGAGGGTGCACAAACATTCATATCATAGCAGGGGACAAAATTGTCTTTGGTTAAGAACCATTGTATAAAAAAACTGGAGCTAGGCTGGGCTTGGTGGCTCATGCCTGCAATCCTAGCATTTTGGGAGGCTGAGGTGGGCAGACTGCCAGAGCTCAGGAGTTCGAGAACAGCCTGTGCAACATGGTGAAACCCTGTCTCTACTAAAAATACAAAAAGTTAGCTGGGCTTGGTGGCATTCACCGGTAGTCCCAGCTTGGGGGGCTGAGGTAGGAGAATCGCTTGAGCCCAGGAGGCGGAGGTTGCAGTGAGCCAAGACACGCCACTGCACTCCAGTTTGGGTGACAGAGCGAGACTCTGACTCCAGAAAAAAAAAAAAAGGAAAGAGAGAAGAAGGAAGGAAGGAAACAGAGAGAGAGAAAGAAAGAAACAAAAAGAAAGAAAGAAAGAAAAGAAAAGAAAGAGAAGGAAGGAAGGAAGAGAAAGAAAGAGAAAGAAAGAAAGAAAGAAAGAAAAGAAAGAAAGAAAGAAAGAAAGAAAGAAAGAAAGAAAGAAACTCCCAGAACCTACATTTACTGAAACTTGAATCTTTATTCATCTATGGATTCCTCAACATATTTATTACTTCACTGAAAGTTCTCATGAGAGCCTCCTTTCGGTTTGAGCCAATTAATACCATCTGGTCATATTCATTTAATTGTTTATCATGTATTTCCATTCTAGAATATAACTCCACGAGGGCAAGGATTTTGCTTGTCTTGTTCCCAAATGTATCTGTCTCAAAAAAAAAAAAAAAGATTGACTAGAACAATATTGGTGGAAAAGGTTCTGAACTGTAGAATGCTGCACATATGGAAGCCACTAGACATTTCCTGCCTGGCCCATTTAGGTGTCTCTGCAAGTAATTCAGAAAGGCTCTTTTGAACCAATTTTTAAAAATTATTTTTGAGTTACACATGGCTATATTCTTCTTTTTTAAAAAAATTAAAACATTATAAATAAAGATAGAACTCTTTTAATCACCCCCTCAATCTTTATTCCTTTTCCACCTCTTTCTTCTGGAATGTATCCTTCCACACCTTTCTCTGTGTTGCAAAAAGTGTGCATAGAAAATATGTAGGGCTGGGTACAGTGGCTCACACCTATAATCCCAGAACTTTGGGAGGCCAAGGGGAAGAATCACTTGACGCCTGGAGTTTGAGAGCAGCCTGGGCAACATAGTGAGACCCCATCTCTATTTTTAAAAATCACAAATCATAAATAAATAAAGAAATATATAGCATTATTTCACCTGTGTTTTGTATATACAGACATAAATCATATTACACTGTATGTATCATATTGCAACTTGCTTTTTTTAATTCAAAGGGGAAAAGTATGTTGTTAAAATCCTTGAAAAGTAGTATGGCTTTTGGAGCTAGATGACCTGGTTTTGAATGTCCTGTGTACTCATGTGAACTTGGGCACATTATTTAACATCTTGGTGCCTCAGTTGTTCTGTTAGCATAATTTGGGAACCTCCTCAATAACTGTTGTAAGGATTAAGCTGTTTATTGTGGGTAGGCATTTAGGAGAGTTTCTGGAGCATCCCTGCCCCTGGACAAGTGTGCATGGATATTATTATCTATCTGACAGAGGACGTGGTCCTTTTGCTGCTACAAAGTATTTCACAGTGTGGTTATTTCCCCATTGATGGATATTAGATCATTTCCTGTATTTTGGCTATTACAAGCAACTCAGTGTTGAAAATCTTTGTGTAGCTCTCATTGTGCACATCCATCTGCATTCTTCTCTAGGATAGATGCCAGGGAAAGAAATCTCTGGATCCTAGGGCACATGCATTTTTTAGTTTTAATAAATATTGCCAAACAGTCCCCCAAAGGGGCTGAACCAAGGTACACTCCTATCTGTAGAGTGTGAGGATCAAATTCTTACCAGGTTGAATCTGTGTTTTTGGATAAACCTAACCCCTCTCATGTTCATTAAGCCACATCTATTTTCAGAGCTCAGTCGACATCTCTGGCTGCTCCCTCTTCATTTTTCCAGCTTTGTGTCCTCAAGCAGCTCCTTGCTATTGTTTTCCTTCCTGACTCTTGTTTAATGCGGCCAAGTGCTTTTGGAATCCTGGGTAATAATGGCAGACAACATGCAGTGGGTATGGGAAATTGGAGGTGCTGAATATAGCATTTGTAAGGAGTCTTTGGCATGATTTCAGCCTGAAACGGAGCACTTTGCACTCAACCTAAATTGCCTCAATTGCACCTGGCATGCTGGGTGGAGGTGGCACAACTCATACGGTCTGAATATTTCTCCGGAACAGGATGGGCTGTCTTCCCCAGCCTTCGAAGCAGGACACCAACTTACCACGGAGATAAGACTTAAACCTAGCTTTGGACTTGAAACAGCACTTTCCTTTTAAACCCTACAGATGTCAGCAAAAGACCTTTTGTTGGTAATCTTGGGGGGTGGTAATTCCTTAATATAAAGAAAAGAAAAATTTGGTAATTTAGGGCCTCAACTGACTATCCTAAAATCCACTTCATTTATTCATTATTATTTTGGGAGAAGTGTAAGATTTGCAAAACAGAACTGAAAAGATTCTCCAAAAATTCCAAATAAGCACCTTAGCAGCTCCCTGGGAGGAGAAGATGAATTTAAAGCGATCATATATTTTTATTTTTTCACCCAAAGTTTACCCCACAGCAACCTTTCATCATGATGATTGTGTTTAGTCAACTATCAGCTTAGGTGACTGTTTTGTTCTATTTGCTCTCCCTGCCTGGAAAAAAAAAGGGCTTTGAAATAAATTTCTGGAATAGTGCTTGGCATTCAAATGCTAATGAGATAGTGAGGCAAAGCGTTGGACGCTAAATGTTTACATTAAAATGGAAATATGTAATCGATTTTTCCAATAGGGTCTTCTATTCACTGTTAAAATATACTTTATGAGACTAAAAACAAAACAACCACAAAAAAATCGCCCTCTGTAAGTAATACCGGCTGAGGCAGCAACTTCTTGGTGAGCTACAGCCCCGACCAGGTATAGAGATAATTGTTTCCAATACTGCATCAGTACACACCATTGTCCTTGTTATAATAAAAAGAAAGGGAGATTCATTTCTTATCTAAGCATGGGATTATTATCACTGTAGGTACTTTCTTTCTTTCTTTCTTTTTTTGAGACGGAATCTCACTCTGTCACTGAAGCTGGAGTGCAGTGGTGCAATCTGGGCTCACTGCAACCTCTGTCTCTAGGGTTCAAGCAATTCTCCTGCCTCAGCCTCCATAGTAGCTAAGAGTAAAGGCACGTGCCACCACGCCTGGCTAATTTTTGTATTTTTAGTAGAGACAGGGTTTCACCATATTGGCGAGGCTGGTCTCAAACTTCTGACCTCATGATCTACTCACCTTGGCCAAAGTACTGGGATTACAGGTATGAGCCACCGCACCAGCCACTGTAGGTACTTTTTTAATGGTGGTGATTACTGAGTAAAATAATATCTTCTTTTTAGATGCCTCTCTCCAACCCCCCACCCCCAAAAAGTTGATCTTTCGAAATGATAATGTTGAAATTCTTTTAGTCTATTTGTTTGACCATTCTAGATGGTTTGAGAAAAAGTGGATTAAACACTAGTGTTTTGGAGTTTGAGAGATGTAAATTGGAATTGAAGCTCTGCCATTTCCTGGCTGTGCAGCTTAGGGTTTCTTTGAGCCTTGGTCGTCACATCTGAAAAATGCTGCTCAGGCTGAAAGAAGAGCTGGGTTACCAGAAAATATGGAAAAGAAAGCCCACTTTAGATAAAAATTCAAAATATCTTCCTATTATGGGCACAAGATATCAATAATAAAATGAACTAATGTTTATCTTGTGTTCATTATATGCCAGTCACTGTTTAAAAGCTATTTGCATTAACAAATGTAATTCTTCTAATAACTTTATTAAGTAGATACTATTATTAGGTAGGTACTTATATCAGTTTTAAACATAGTGGTTAACTTATTCAAACAAATATTTACTGAATGTGTTTGCATTTCTCAGCAAAATAGGATTAGTTGATTTATTCATTAAAATGTATATTAAGTACCTACTGTGTACCAGGCATATATAATTCTGGAGATATATTGGTGAGCAAAATTAAGAGTCTTTGCTCTTAGAGAAATTAGCATCTTGCCTACAACCATACCACCCTGAACGTGCCCGATCTCATCTAATCTTGGAAGCTAAGCAGGATCGGGCCTGGTTAATACTTGGATGGCAGAAGTTAGAGTCTGGGTAAAAAGGTAGATTGTATTCAGCTTCTCTAAAAAATGATGAATTGTTATAAAGTGAACAATATGTGAAGGATACAGCGACTTGCTCCTGTAAGAGAAGCTAACAAAGACATCTGTTGTAGACTGGGAAAGTGACTTGGGTGCTGAAATCTAAAGGAGATGCCAGAATTGATTAAGTGAGGAACAGAGCATAGGTGGGTGTGTTCCAGGCAGTGGGAGCAGTCCTTGCATAGGCCCCAGAGTGGGAGGAACATGGGTTGTGAGAGAGAGCCCCCCTTTAACCCATTTCCATCTCTCTTTCCCATCCTGGAAAGTGAAGAGGATCGGGGCATTTTTCCAGCACTTTAATTAAGAGGGCCACTGTGCTGTTGAGTGGTAAAGAGGAAAAGGTGTGTTATAAGATGTGGAATCATGACCATAACTCAGTTTTGTTCGAAAACGATTTTCTGGGGCTCTTGCCAATGTCTCCTTGCTTCCCTAGAAGCTGAGAGACCCAAGTCAAGGTAAAGAGAAGAAGGAACCTCTGTGAATGAAGCCTAAAGAACCAATATGGCAGCTCAATATGCCACAAGCTACAGGGAAAGCCTTGAGGGGAGCTGTTGTCTCAGCATCATGGAACAGGTGCGTAACACAGTACATGAATGATGGAGACAGCACCATGTAATTGCCTGACAGATGTTCTGGGATCTTATTACACCATGTTAGACTTGGGCAGGAGCATCTCAAAATTGCAATTCCTCCCATGGGTGGGGAGTGTGTGTGCACCCACCAGTGACTGAAAGTATGCCAAGTGTTCTAAGCCTCCTGAAACAAACTGGAATAGAAGTGTGAAATTTTGTAACTGTGATGGTTAATGATACTCTGCTTCTCAGCAGAACCAGAAATATTCTTGTTAAAATGCCCTGTGTTCTACCAACAAAAGCGGCAATGCGTGTTGAATGTTTCCAGCCTCAAGGGCCTTCCTCAGCTCTGTGTGTATGTGTGTGTGTGCATGCACGTGTGCCCACACATGCATGCATGAGGGTAAACACTAGACATAGAGATGGGGAAATGTATCTAATTTGGAAAATATCTCCGAAATTGCCACCGTAGCCTGTAAAATTGAGAAATAAACATGAAATTCTTGTATTTTTCCCAATAATTACCACAAGGACAGTCTCTGTTATACTTCCCACACTCATCTGGCCTTCTTGCTCCCTGGTAAGTCAATTAGATCCCATAACTTTTCAATCTCCATGGGCTATTAAAATAGCCTAGTTACTGGTCCATGTTTTTCTATTTTTTATTATATTAAAATATAACAAAATTTATCATCTTAACTATTTTTAAGTGTATAGTTCTGTGGGATTAAGCACCTATCGTTGTCCAACCATCACTACCATCCGTCTCAAGAGCCCTATTCATCAAGCAAAACTGACTCTGTGCTCATTAAATAACTCCCTACTCCCTTTCTCCCTAAATCCCTCGTAACCGTCATTCTACTTTCTGTCTTTGTGAATTTGACTACTCTCGGCACTTCATAAGTACGTGACATCATGAAGTATTTGTCTTTTTGTGACTGGCTTATTTCACTCAGCATAATGTCCTCAAGGCTCATCCATATTGTGGCATGTGTCAGAATTTCTTTCTTTTCTTTTTTCTTTTTCTTTTTTTGAGACAGAAGTCTTGCTCTTTTGCCCATGCTCAAGTGCAATGGTGTGATCACAACTCACTGCAGTCTCAACCTCCTGAGCTCAAGTGATCCTCCTGCCACAGCTTCCCAAGTAGCTGGGACCACAGACACACGCCACCATGCCTGGCTATTTTTAAAATTTTTTTGCAGAGATGGGGTCTCGCCATATTACCTACGTTGGTTTTGAACTCCTAGCTCCAGCAATCCTCCTGCCTCAGCCTCCCAAAGTGCTGGGATTATAGGCATGAGCCACGGCACCTGATTCCTTCTTTGTTTAAGGCTAAATAATAGTCAAATATATATATATGTGTGTGTGTGTGTGTGTGTGTGTATATATATACATATATATGTATATATATATACACACATATATATATACACACACACACACACACACACACATATATATATATTTCACATTATGCTTATCCATTCATCCATTGATGGACTCTTGGGTTGCTTCCACATATTAGCTGTTGTGAATAATGCTGCTGTGAATATGGGTGTACAAACATCTTGAGATCCTTCTCTCAGTTCTCTTGGGAATATGCCCAGAAGTGGGATTGTGGATTATATGATAACTCTTTTTTTTTAGGAACTACCATACTGTTTTCCACAGTGGCTGCACCATTTTATATTCCCACCAACCATGCACAAGGGTCCCAATTTTACAATCCAGTCGATTTTTAAACTTCGATTTTATACTCACTTCCAAGTTCCCCCTTTCAGTTCTCCAGCATTGGCTGGGCTGGCGAGGTTGGTCTGGCCTGCCCTCTTCCTGCCTCCCACACACTTTCCTGCTTCTTTTCTGCTATGTTAAAGTGGGAAGGAGGAAGGGGAGAAGAGGGCGTTTCCTCATGACATTGTTGTTGGTGAGCTGATCGTTTTCCTGTCTGTTGTCTCCACACGGGAGCATCTCCGTGCTAGGAGTTAGGGCTGCTTCTTTCTGTTGGTCATTTCCACAGATCTGGCTTCATTGTCCATAAACTCAGTGTGGTAGGTGGAGACCCCAACAGACTTTCCTGGTAATGAATTCAATCTTTACAAAATGTTATTGCTTTTCTTCCTACTGGGCCTCAAGAGCTATATATTTATGTTAATTTCTTGTCTGAGGATTTCTATATCATGTGGGGAGTATAAAAATCAGACCCACACACCATGATATGTGCATGCTTGGGGTTCCAGTTTCTTATAGGAGACTTTTTTCCACATTGTAGTAATGCCCTAAGCTGTATTCCTTTGAGACTTTTTTTTTTAAGAGACAAGGTCTCGCTCTGTTGCCCAGGCTGGAGTACAGTGGTGCAATCATAGCTCACTGTATCTTCAAACTCCTGGGCTCAAGTGATCCTCCCACCTAAGCCCCCTGAGTAACTAGGACAACAGGCATGCACCACCATGCCCAGCTAATTTTATTTTCTGTAGAGATGGGGTCTCACTATGTTGCCCAGGCTGGGAGTTTTTTTTTTTTTAAGCTGCAACGTTTCCCAGTGTGTGTCTGACAGCTTACCTTCAGCCTACCTTAAGTGCTTGCTTCTCCTTCTCTGTGTAGGAGCTCTCTTGGGTTTCATAGGAGCTTTTCTGGCTGAGTTCTGTACAGTGTGGAAACACAAGGGAAGTTAATACCCTCAGAGCAACCCTCAACATTTGGGGGATGAGAGTTGATGGATAAATGTACCATCCCCCATCTGAGGTGGAATGATTCCTAAGTGAGTTCTACACAGGCTCCCAGAGGTCCCCAGCAGGACTGAACCTCAATTGCCCACGACAGTGACTTGCTTATTATGAACCCATTACTGATTTTTCTTCTCTTTTCCTCTCTTTCTTCCCCCATTTCCTCACTATGCTTCCTGAGATCACCTCCTGAATAAACTAACTGAATCCAAATCTTTGTTTCAGAGTCTGCTTTGGGGGGACCCAGACTAAAAGACCCACCGAGAGCCCAGACTCATCTGTGCTAGTGGGAAACCTTTCTGCTTCTGTTCCCTTTGAGAGACCTCACTTTATTCAAGTCTCACATTCGGCTCCCCTCTTTGCAGAGCCCCAAATCCATGTCCCTTGTTGCCATAGTGACATTAGAACTCCAGCCCTCAGCCGCTCGGAGCTTGTGTTCTGTGTCTGAACTCCCCCGGGTTGCCCTGGTCTCAGCTGGAGTTCACCCACATAGTATTTAGTTCTTTTTGTTTTACTTTTGACCCTTTGGGGTGGGTGTTCTTTTGTTTGAGCCTGGCTCTCCATTACTTAATTATTTCTAATTAGCATTTTTGTGGCATTGAGGTTGCCTGTGCCCGTCAATGGGTCATGTTCCCAGGAGTCTATGTCTTTCAATCAGCAGTGTGGTTGGATGATTCTACTCACTGGAGTTACATCAGTGAAAGACCAGAAGGCCCTGCCCTCAGGGGTCTTACATTCTAGTATGGGGAGATGAAGTATAAACAATAAATAGATACACATGGAATATATAAGTCAGGTGATGATCTGTGTCATGGAGAAAAATAAAAGAATAAAGGAGGATGGAGGAGGAAGGGAAGGAGGGGCTAGAGGACTGATACTTTACATAGGGCAGCTGGGGAGTCCTCACTTATAAAGTGGTATTTGAGCAGAGACCTGATAGAAAAAGGAGAAGGAATGCTGTGGCTCTCTGGAGGAAGAGCATTCCAGGCAGAGGCAGTCACAGGTACGGAGGCTGTAAGGCAGGAATATGCTTGGCATGTTCCAGGGGCAACAGGGAGGTGGAAGTGGCTGGATTGGAATGAGGGAAGGGGAGTATGGAGGAGAAAGACAGAAGGTAGCTGGGTCAGAAGGTGGCAAGGACAGAAGGTAGCTGGGTCAGATCATGCAGGGACATGTTGGCCATAGGAGGGATTTGGTTTATATCATGAATAAGATTGAGGGGGTCATGAGTAGAGAAGTGATGGGATCTGACTTCAACCCAGCAATTTTGCTACTGGGTATTTATCCAAAGGAAAAGAAATCATTATATAAACAAGACACTTGCACTCATATGTTTATCGCAGCAGTATTCACAATAGCAAAGTCACAGAATCAACCTAAGTGTCTATCAATGGATGCTTGGATAAACAAAATGTGGTACATATACACAATGGAGATACTATGCAACCATAAAAAATAATGAAATCATATCTTTTGCAGCAACATGGATGGAGCTGGAGGCCATTATTCTAAGAGCAATAACTCAGAAACAGAAAATCAAGTACCGCATGTTCTCACTTATAAGTGGAAGCTAAACAGTGAGTACACACAGATACATAGATTGAAAGAATAGACACCGGGGACTCCAAAATGGGGGAGGATGGTGAGGATTTAAAACACTACCTATTGCATATAGTGTTCACTGTTTGAATGATGAGTACACTAAAAACCCAAACCTCACCATTAAACAATATATTTATGTAACAAACCATCACATGTGCCCCCTGAATCTAAAATAAAAATAAAATATTGAGCCCAGGGGCTCAAGACCACCCTGGGAAACCAACATAGAAAGACCCCCCCCATCTCTACAAAAAAATTAAAAAATTAGTCAGGTGTGGTGGCAGGTGTCTGCAAGTCCTAACTTCTCAGGAGGCTGAAGTGGGAGGATTGCTTGAGCCCAGGAGTTTGAGGCTGCAGTGAGCTATGATTATGCCATTGCACTTTAGGCTGGACAACAGAGTGAGACCCAAAATAAATAAATAAAATAAAATAAAAGTCAAAGGGGGAAAATAAATAGAATATAGGGAAGCAAGGGTAGACCAGGAGACTGCTTAGAAGCCTGTTGCATTAACCTGAGTGAGGGGGCACAGTGGCTTCGATCTGGGTAGCAACACCAGATTCTGGGAATATTTTGAAATGTGAGTTGCTGATGGATAAGATGTGGGAGATAATGAAAAGAGAGGCATTGAGGATAACTCCAGGGTTTTTGGCCTAAGCAATTGATTGGATAGAGTTGCCATTTGCTGAGATAAGAAAGACTAGGGAGGGATGGGTTTGGTAAGAGTATCAGGAGTTCAGTATTGGATATGTTAAGTCCATCATGTTACAGGACATACAGATGAAGACGTTGAGTAAGCAATGGATTATGAGACTATGGGGTTCAAGGCAGAGGCCGTGTAGCTCACGGTCTAGTGGGAAATACTGGTAAATAAATGGGCAAATTGTTCCAAAACAATGTGTAAGTGTGACTATAGTGTGAGTGTAATGGGCTAGGGAAACACACAGAAGGGACACGGACTTGTGCTGTTGGGAAATGCCATTGGAACAAGTGATATTTAAGCTGCAACCTTGAAGCCAAATTAGAATAAGGGGACAACATATTTTAGTCCAAGAAAGCAGCCTGTGCAAAGGCCCTGGGTTAAGGGGAAACATGTTGCCATTTTGGAACTAAAGACAGTTGAGTTTCACTCAAAGACAGTGGTCAGGAGGAAGGATGGAGAAAGAAGCATCACATGGTCACGTCTTGGAGGCCACAGTAAGGAGTTTAGATGATTTCATGAGCACACAAGGATATCACTGAAAAGTTTTAAGCAGGGCGCTGATGTGGTCAGATTTAACAGATGCTTCTGCTCTAGAGAGCTTTCCCCAGGAGTGTTTTGAGCCAAGTCCTGTGAGCTTATCTCCCTTGGGCCATCCCAGGCCTGCCTTCTTGTCCATCTCCATTAGCTCCACTCCCAACCTCATCAGGCTTGTCACATCTAAGTAGGTCAGGTTAGGCAGAGATGGTTCCTGGGGACTTTATCTTCCAGTGGTCAGGCCCAGACACAGGGGATAGTAATCTGCATGGACAGCCTGGCTTCCTACACTGAACTGGGGGCACCACAGGGAAAGGCAGCCTTGACTGCTTTCCAGGGCAACTCAAACAGAATAGATTTCTCTTCCTTGTGATCCATGAGTTTCCTAAAAAAGCCTCAGCCTTTGGCAGGTAAGACTGATAAGATCTAAGGCTCGAGTTTGTTGGTTTTGCCCTGGACAGCTCTTTCTCTCTATCACTAGATCATGCTAAACACTGCAGCATGGGGCATTTGAAATGCATGCGTATGTTATTCCTGGAAAGATCCTCAGAAAATCCCCCTGTGGTCTTTGGAAGTAGGATAAATCTGGATGAGGCAGATTAGGAGAAATGAACTCAGCACATAAAGACCTGAGTTCTGTTGATCTGTCATTTACTGTGTGGTCTGGGGCATAGTAATTGTCATATCTAAGCTTTAGTTTCTTCACCTTTTAAAGGAATGGGTTAAATTTGACAACTTAGGTGAAACGTACAAATCCCTCAAAGTATACAACTTAAAATTAACAGAAAAAGAAATAGAAAATCTACATAGCCCTGCATTTAAGATATTGGATTATCCTATTAAAACCTCTCCCTGCCTTTCCTCCCCTACAACTACAGGCACATTTCATCAAATATTTAAGAACAAAATAATGCCAATATCACATAAACTCCTTTATAAAATAAAGGAGAGAATTGTTTTCAACTCATTTCATTAGGCCAACATAACTCCAATAAGAAAGCCTAATGAGGATATTAATTTTTTTTTTTTTTTTGAGATGGAGTCTCTGTCACCCAGGCTGGAGTGCAGTGGCGCGATCTCAGCTCATTGCAAGCTCCGCCTCCCGGGTTCACGCCATTCTCCTGCCTCAGCCTCCAGAGTAGCTGGGACTACAGGTTCCCGCCACCACACCCAGCTAATTTTTTGTGTTTTTAGTAAAGACAGGGTTTCACCGTGTTAGCCAGGATGGTCTCGATCTCCTGACCTCGTAATTCACCTGCCTTAGCCTCCCAAAGTGCTGGGATTACAGGCATGAGCCACTGTGCCCTGCCAAGGATATTAATTTTTTTAAAAAAAGAAACTAATAGACCAAGATCTCTCACAAACACACAAAAAATTTCTTAGCAAAATATTATCAAATAGAATTTAGCAATATATAAAAATGATCAATGAGATTAGAGCAGTGGGTAATTGCCTTTCACTCTCCCATATCAAACCCTTGACAGACATCACTAATCAATTGCTTTGGTTTTTTATTCCAGCTGAATCATTCTCTGCCTAACTCTCCAGGCAGCTACTACCAATCAATTAAAGTTGGCATGTGAGAGGATATCTATTCAACATCATTGAACCAAGTAGACCCTACCAATGTAAGGCTGAGACACTATAATTCTATTATCCTATTATGATTTTGAGTTTATTTTACAGGCAAGCATTTCCTTCAGTGTGGGATGATTTACTCCAGACCAGACATGGAAAGACCAAGAATCAGTTGTTTTGCACAATTTATATGAAGGAAGAAGCCATAAAATATTAAATGCCTATCAGGACCATAACCTTGTCTGTTCTCATTTACAGTTGTATCACCAGCCCCCAAGGATAAAGTCTGACACACAGACATCCAAGACTATGGAATAAATGAGTGAATTCTGAGGGAAGCAGACAAGTGGTTCTATCTTCATAGAGTTGTTACGGTTACTGGCATTGAGTCAAGGAAAACCAGCCACAAATGATGAAACCAGGGATTAGGGTCCAACTCAAAGGCTTCCATGTGAGGTTTGGGCATCTATATCCTGATTATTCTTATATTAATAACTTCAGCCTTGTCTCTCCTCTGAATTGCAGACACATATATCCAGCTGCCTTCTTGATATTTTCACCAGGCTGCCTCAATCACTTCTTAAGCTGGTATTTTATTATAGATTACATTGCCTTCCTACTCCCCTGCCCCTAAACCTGGTCCTTTTCCATTATTTTCTGTCTCACTGAAACTCACAACCATCCATCCATTTATACATCCATTATCCATCAGACTATCTTCTAAATTTCTGAATTTATCCATTCAGAACGTAATTAATTCTCAGATATATTCACTTTTCTCTGTCTTCCCTAGGAGCGCGCTCCTCTGAGCTCCCATCCTCCCTTCTCTGAAAGACTGAAAGTCTGCTGATAGACCTCCCTGCATCTGTTCTATCCTACTCCACGCCATTTTCCACACTGCAGCTTAAGTGATCTGTTTGAAATACAAAGTACGTCATTTCCTCAGTGCTGAAAACCTGTTGGTGGCTTCTCATTGCTCATAGGAGAAACACAAAACTCTCCAGACTGGTCTACAAAGCCCTGGGTGATCTGGTCCCTGCTGTCTTCTTAAGCTGCATCACATACTACTTACCCTTTACTTTCTGTGTGTTTATCCCACGGGACTTTTCAGACCATCTGACACAGCATACTCCTTCCCACTTCTCTGCCCAGAACTCTCTTCCCCTTCCTCTTTATCTAGTTAATTCCTACATATGCTTCAGAATTCTTATCACTTCCTTGAGAAAGACTTTCCTAACCTTCCACCTTCCCCCTTTTCCCCACAGGCTATTATAAAATCTGTTCCATTCTCCCATTTATTTTAATTTATAATGAAACACTCAGTTATGTAATTACTTGATTAATTTATTAATGTCTGTCTCTCCAAGTAGAATATAAACTCCATTTGAACAGGAATCGTGTTTATTTTAGCTCCTATTATATCCCCAGGGCCTAGCACAGTGTCTGGCATTCAACAGACATTCAATAAATCATTGATTAGTAATGAGAAAAATGAATGAATGAATGAATGAATGGAGGAACCCAGTTACTTCTTATGGTAGGTTAGGGTTTCTCAATCTCGCACTGTTGACTTTTGGGGTGAGATAATTCTTTGTTGTGGGGGACTTTCCTGTGCATCGTACAATGTTTAGCAGCATTCTTTGACTCTACCAGAGATGCATCACCCCTGATGCAACAGCAAATAATGCCTCTAGACATTCTCAAATATTTCCTTGGGGACAAAATTGAGAATTGCTGTGATAAGTTACATTCAAGGTATTTGCTTGACATGTTGGGCTCTATAGTTTTTTGTTGTCCTGTGCATTATAGAATGTTTAGCAGCATCTCTGACCTCTACCTACTAGATGCCAGAGCCCTTCTCTAGTTGATAGACTCATCTGTCAATGATAGATTCATCTATCAACTAGTGCTACTTCCTGGTGTCCCTCCCTGGGTAATAAATACACTTCCTGCCCTGCTGATGTCATTACTTGGTAACACAAGTTGCTTTGGCCAATGGAGTTTCCATAGATATTAATTTCATGCCTAGAGAAGGAATTTTAAGAGCTAACAGTGATTCTAATACTGCTGCTCTTCTTCTGACTCATGACTGAGAATGGGACTGTCCTTCATTCAGTTCTGGAATAATGAAGATATGGATATAAGACAGAGCTGAACTCCGACTCAAGGAAAACTTGCAGATGACATGTACACAGGCAACAAATAAATATCTGTGGTTGTAACCCATGGACATTTTGGAGTTGTTTGTGACCACAGCATAACTTAGTGAAAGTGGTCAACAAAGACTCATTATTGGATGGTAATTGATCCAGTTGTATTCGGTTTTTTAAGGACATATGAATGGCAAAAGAATGAGGGGAAAAAGAACCAACTAGGTTCAGACTTCAAGATATTTATTCAGGTTCTTCCTGGGGCTTTTGGAGCTTTGGACCCACCATAATTGTGGAGATAATTTGATCTCATTTCTCACATTTATATGAATCTTTTCAATAATCCCTATTATCAAACCTGAGAGTGCTCCCTTTTTTTGCAACCCCAAAGAGCACATTAAAGCAAGAATGTGAACACTATATGGATAGAGAGAGAATCTGATTTATCCACTGAGGTATCACCAGCATTAGCACACTGTCAACCAGAATAGGTAGTCACTAAATGTTTATTGAGTAATTGAATCCTCATGGAGAGATTCCCATGTGCTCTTTCTCCCTTGTAGTTAGGCTATGGCCGGTGACCCACTAGCATAAGCAACACTTCTGGTCTGAGAAAGTCAAGAGGGGGGTGAGTTCTCCATTCTCTATCTCTTCCACATGCATGGCAGGAAGTGAAGAACTTTGAGATAGCAGAGTATAGATGGAAGCATCTAGGATCCCTGTGAACCATTACAGGGGAACTGTCAAGGATAGCTGATGGCACCTATTTGCATTCTCATGAGTGAGAAATAAACTTTTGTTGTCCTAACCTAGTGGTTCTCAACTGGGAATGATTTTGCCCCCCTTCCCCACCAGGGTGCATTTGGCAATGTCTGAAGACATTTTGGTTGTCATGACTAGGGAGATGCTATTGACATCTAGTGGGTAGAGGCAGAAATGCTGCTAAAAATCCTACAATGCACAGGATAACACAGGGCTGTCTAGCCCCAAAATGTCAATAACACTGAAGTTGAGAAACCCTCTGCTAAAGCACAGAAATTTGGGGGGTTTACTGGTACTGCAGCATAGCAGACCCTTTCCTCACTAAAATGATGAATAATTGAAATATATTACACATCTTACTTCTCTGACTAACAGGATATCTGTATTTTCTCCATAGAGCTAGAACCTTCACAAAGGCAATAAAGAAATTATAAATGAATTGAATAAACCAGCTGACTCCATGAGGAGCCAATGCATTTTCTAAGTGAAAACAGGTAAGTACAAGAAACTGTAAAGCCCAAATGGTGAGAATTAATGCCATGTAACTGTTAAGAGTAGAGGTTGTCATATTATGGCTCATAGGCCAAATCAGGTCCTGCCCCCCCACATCTGTTTGTATAAATAAAGTTTTATTGGAACACAGCCCTGCACATAGTCTGTGGCTGCTCTTGCACTAAAAGAACAGAGGTGAGTAGTTTCAAAAGAGACAATATGGCCTGCAAAGCCTAAAATACTTATTGTCTCACCCTTTAAGGAAAGTTTGCCAACTCCTGTTAAGAGCATAGGTTTGAGTCCCACCTCCAACACTGACTAGTTTTGTAACCATGAGAAAGTCATGTCACCTCTCTGAGCTTTAATTTTCTCATCAGTCAAATGAAGAGAGTAATAGGACCTCCCTCATATGATTGTTTAAGGACTTCATAAGTTCAAATACTTTGCCTGGCACATAAAATATGCTTAATAAATGATAGATACTATTAATAAGTTAGTACAATAAATGACATATAATAATAATAATAAAACAAAGCCACCATGTTTGCCTCAGGTGGAAGTAGATACTTCCCAGAGGCCTGGCAGTATGTTTTCTTCCTCCATCACAGACACTCCAGCAGCCTGTAAGGAAACGTGTTTATCTTGAATGCACCTGGCAGAGACGACATGGATGGGGCTGAGCTGGTGGAAAGACCCCATTTCTCAAACCCAGCTTTCTACGTGAAATTATTCAAAAGGAAACCTTATCAAGCAGCCTTCCAGCCCAGTGTCATCCATCTTCCAGAGGTAATTCAATAGCCCTTGGTAGCAGATGATTTATGGGGTGGGTGGCCGCAGGGAGGTTACTCTTTGTATTACAGGCTGTTTTTTTTAATCAATGGCCAGCAACCCACTGGCTGGGGCCAGAAGCAACAGGCTCTTTGTTTAATCCTGTTAACCTAGGCTTCGGCTGCAGCCAGCCCCAGGCCAGCAGAGGGATGCTGGCCAGTTGGACAGAGAAGAGACTTTGATCGTTCCGAGTTGAGTCTAGCTGTTAAAATAGGACTGCTTTATCTTAATGGTAGTAGAGTTCTGTCTCTTATATAAAGCTTATTTAAGCCCTCAAACCTCCTTTGATCAGTGCTACAGTCCTGTGAGGAAGAGATTGTCTTCTTCACTTTACAGATGAGAAGCTGATGCTGAAAGGTGGTTACTTGTCTCATGCCTATATTAAGAATACCAAGTGTCAATGTCCTTTATGAGGAAGCCTAGAGCGTGAGCTGTCTCTGATGTACTGGTCTTAGCTTTTGTCTCATTGCTGAACATACCAAGGCAACCTCCATGAGGCAGGATCTTGCTCTCTCATTTATAGCTTTATTTGCAACATCTAGCATTCAGTCTGGCACATAGTAGGTGCTTAATAAATATGTTTAAAGAATAAATGGTGCCCAGATCTTTGCATATGTTGCTTTTGATTCCTGAAACACTCTTCCCATCCTGTTACTTAACTAACCACCAGTTATTTCACAGCTTAGATACCATCTTGGGTCAGTCAGTGTCTAATCTGGAAAATAGGAATTATGCCAGTTAATTTAACTGAGAGCATTTAATATAGGGAATTGGTTAAATACCTATTGGAAGATGGAAAGATAAAGAGGGAACACTAAGACAATCAATAGTAATTGTGGTGGATTTGTTATCCACTTCTGCATAACAAATCACCCCAAAACTAGCAGTTTAAAACAACAAACATTCATTATCTCATATTTTCTGTTGGTCAGGAATCTGGGCATGGCTTCAATGGATCCTCTGCCTCAGAATATCCCACAAGACAACAATTGAGGGATCAGCGGGGGCTGTCATCTCATCTGAAGTCTCAACTAGGGAAGGAGCTGCTTCCAAGCTCATTCAAGTGATCGATGGCAGAATTTGGTTCCTCATGGGCTGTTGGACTGAAGACTTTAGTTTATCACAGTATGCTGGCTGCAGTCCCCACTCAGTTCCTTGCCATAAGGGCCTCTCCATAGAGCAGCTTGGCAACAGAGCAGCTGGCTTCATCAGAGTGAGTAAGCAAAAGAGAAAACCTGTGATGGAGGCCACAGTTTTATTATTTAATCTCAGAAGTAACATCCCATTACTTGTGCTATGAGAAGTGAGTCAGTAAGTCCATCCTCCTTTCCAGGGGATGGGATTGATGGCAGTGGCAGCCTGTTTGGAGCAGCCACGGCTGAGACACCAGCTGCAGTGGGGGAGATGTGGCTGGGGCTGTGTGCTTCATGGAGCTGGCAGGAGCCAGGAACCAGCAGGAGCTCCATCCCCTTCCGAGTTGGCAGGGTGAGAGCCCTGTGCTCCTGGACGCAGCTGCAGTCTCCCAGCCATGGCTGCAGACCCGGGCATCCCTGTGCTCTCTGGGACTCAGGAAGCCCCTCTGCCCCTGTAGGCTCAGAAATGCCTGCTTCTTCTCCCTGGCCTCTCCCAGCTCCTGATGCCCACTCTGGGGTGGAGCAAAGTAGTGGCCAAGCCTGGGTGCTGTCACAACCCAGCCAGGTGTGCACATGCCTGGGGTGGTGCTGACACATCAGCCCCCTGCTGCCTCAGGCCCTTCCAGACTTTGGGTGCCGAGGAGTGCAGGAGGGAGATAGTGGGGTAGGTGGGGGGTGTTGAGGACTGCAGGCACCCCTCAGCACGGACAGCCTGGGTGCTGTGGATAGCAAATTGATGGTGGCAGGAGGCAGACAGGCTCCTGGGTGGGAAGGGGCAGATTCCTAGTGAAAGCCTCCCTTCAAGCCAGGGATGGCCTGAAACTTGGGGGCGGGGCTGCCAGTTCCGGGTGGAGTCCACGGCCGTGAGTGAAATCTTATGGTGATTCTTCTGGGTTGCCCATGGCTGCTCATGGAGCAATCAACACGCACTTCCTCCCTTCTGAGCCCATAAAACTACCCCCTCCCCCAGCCAGGTTCACACAGATGTCGGGACTTACCAGCTGTGGGAAGGAGCTGCCCACTTTGGGTCTCCTCACTGCTGGACACTCGTCGGGGAAGACCTGCCTGCAGAAAGGAGCTACCCACTTAAAGTCTCCTGAGAGCTATTTTGTCACTCAGTGAAGTTCCCCTCTACCTTGCTCACCATCCAGTTGTCCTTGTACTTCATTCTTCCTGGATGTGGAACAAGAACTCCAGACCCACCAAATGGTGGGATTGAAAGAGCTGTAACACAAACAGGGCTGAAACACGCCCCCTGCTCACCCCATTGTGGGCGGTGAGAAGGAGAGAAAAGCTGGGGCCCTTTGGGGAGCCCAGACCTAGGGGTTCCCTGAGCCAGGGCTGTGACACTCTCTTTGGGACTCTGCAGATTCTGGCATCTCCAAGCTTCTGGACACCACCACACCCCCCAGTGCCCACAGTGGAAGCCATGCGTGGTATGCCTTGTCCAGCCACAGCCTCACAGAGCTGGCACCTGTGCCAATGCCTGGAGCTACACCAATGCCTGGAGCTACCTGCCCTTCCACAGCTGGCATGCCTGGGTGTACGCAGTGGCCAGACCCTGTGTTCACTCACCCCTCGCAGTTCCACATCTGGTTCACCCTTGGCAGGCATGGGATCCAGGCTGGTAGTGTGAGCTGAGCTCAGCCTGCTGGGCCGAGTGGGCGGGACAAGCCCAGCAGGCCTGAGCAAAACTCGGGCAAAGATGCCACCAGCCACAAAGGTTTTTGGCTGGAAAAGTGACACTGCAAGGATCCTGTGACAGTATTACCCAATGGCATGAATATCAGGGGACATGTGTCACTGAGGACCATCTCAGAGGATGCCCCTCACAGGCAGAAAGAAACTAATAAATCCCATAGGGCTGGAAGAACAAAGAGGAAAGATTGTGGTTTTAGAAACTAGATGTTCAGAGAAGGGTTCCCATGGGGCTGAGACTGACTCTGAGGAGGTGGCCCTGGCCAGCTAATACTGGTAAATCTGACAGGGTACAATGAGGTTGTTTCCGGGAGTATAAGGAAAAAACACCTGGAAACAGGACATGATGGCTGTTTCTGCAGCCATCTGGCACTGACAGGAACAGGATGCAGACTTCTGTTTCCATTATGGGTTGAATTGCATCCCTCCAAATTCATATGGTGAAGCCCTAACCCACAGTATCCAAGA
This sequence comes from Homo sapiens, assembly GCF_000001405.40. NCBI lineage: Eukaryota > Metazoa > Chordata > Mammalia > Primates > Hominidae > Homo > Homo sapiens. The sequence continues at coordinate 118,845,072 of NC_000012.12, forward strand.
ATGAGACATCATTGAAAATAGGGTCATTGCAGATGTAATTAGTTAAGTAAAGTGGATTCAGGTGGATTCTAGTCCAATACAACTAATGTCCTTATAAAAAAGTGGAGATTGGGACACAAACACGAACACAGAGAGAAGTTAGTGGGAATAGGAAGGCCAGAAGGTATTTCTACAAGCCAAGGAATACCAAAGATTGACAGCAAACCACCAGGAGCTAGGGGAGAGGCATGGAACAGATTCTCTCTCACAGACCTAGGAAGGAGCCAACCCTGCTGACACCTTGATCTTGGACTTCAAGCCTCCAGAACTCTAAGATGGTAAATTTCTGTTGTTTAATCCACCCAGTTTGTGATACTTTGTTATGGCAGCCCTAGCAAACTAATACAGCCTCCTCCGTCCTTGAAGTCATCTCTGGAGCCATTCATCTTACAGAATCTACCAGGGAGGCAGGCAAGGCAGGATGTCGTTGCAGCCCAGCATCGCCACACAGATCAGAGGGTGGGTGGAAGCTGAGTGTTGGTATCGATAGCTGACACTCACTTCTTTTGGGGAAGCCTTTAGTGACCTCCTCCTTCATTCAGTCTCCAACGTGTACCCTTGGTCCCCAGCACCACCTTCTGTAAGGGCACTTGCTACTCTCTTGTACTAACTGATTGTATCTTTCCCTAGACTATAAACTTCATGAGGACAGGCACTCTGTTCTTTTTTCCGCACTGTATCTCTCGCATCAAGCATGGTTTCTGGAACACAGTGGGTGGTTAGTAAATATTTGCTGAATGAATGAAGGATGGTAGAAGTAGAGAAAATGATGCCTGAAGGCAGGAAGGTTGGGTGAAATAGATTGGGACACTATCATTTTATATACATAACCTCATTTAATGCTCATAATAATTCTGCAATGCAAGTACTTTTATTCCTATTTCGCTTATGAGGAAATTAGAGATCAAAGAGATAAAATGACTTGCCCAAGACCACATAATAGCTGGCAAGAGGCAGAGCTAGGGCTTGAACCTCCTTTCTATTATCCAGCTCTCCTCCTAAATTTTAAAGCCATCATGTATTAAGGATTTATGATATGCCAGGAATTGGGTGAGATGCTATCTGCATATCCCTATCTATATCCATATTTGTATTGGCTACATTATCATTTAATCCTCATTTCATAGAGTAAGCAATGCTGATTAAGAGCTAGAAACTAAAAAGAATATTCCAGTTAAGTCCAATTCCACCGTGCAGCCATTCAGCTCAAAATCAACCAATGTCCCTCCACTAAGAGTGGATTAATAGATTGTTGATACATCTAATGATTTGTTTAATTGATGGCTTCTGCCATTATTAGAGGAGAGTTTAAAGGGGTTTTTATGAGTTTAAGACCCACATCAATTAGCCTTGGAAACAAGAGTGTAAACACAAATGTTATTTGTCCTGTTGCCAAGGAAAATAAGCACCTATACTTGTAGCCAAAGCTTTAAGAATTTAGTCAGCAAATATTTGAGCGTGTACTATGTGTTTGGCGCTGCTCTCACAGCTGTGTGGGATATAAAAGTATAAGATGCACTTCCTGTCCCCAGGGACCTTGCAATGTAGTTAAGGAAGAGAGATATGCACACATGGAATGTTAATTAACAAAGCAAGGCCATCTAGGGTAAATAGCAAATTAATGGAATGAACAATAGGAAAATGGTGCTTAGGGAATTCAGAGGAGGGAGTGTTGATGGTGATAGTAATAAAGAAATTTAGTATCATTTTATTGAGCATTTATTGTATCCCAGACACATGGCATTAAGTGCTCTATGTGTATTACCATTTTACAGCTGAGGAAACTGAGGCTTAGGGAAGTTGAATGACATGCACAAGGCCACACAGCCAGTGGGTGATGACAGGAGAGTGATCTTGGGGTATCTCACACAAGAAGGAGCTCTTAATTTCTTGACATTCTTTATATTTAAAAAATTATTTTTAATTTTTGTGGGTACATAGTAGGTGTATATATCTATGGGGTACATGAGATGCTTTGATACAGGCATACAATGTGTAATAATCACATCATGGAAAATGGGGTATCCATCCCTTCAAGCATTTATCCTTTGTGTTACAAACAATCCAAGTATACTCTTTTATTTTTAAATGTACAATTAAGTTATTATTGACTATAGTCACTCTGTTGTGCTATCAAATAGTAGATCTTATTCATTCTTTCTAACTATTTTTTTTTTTTGAGATGGAGTTTTTCTCTTGTTGCCCAGGCTGGAGTGCAGTGGCACAAGCTTGACTCACCACAACCTCTGCCTCCCAGGTTCAAGTGATTCTCCTGCCTCAGCCTCCTGAGTAGCTGGGATTACAGGCATGTACCACCACACCTGGCTAATTTTTTATTTTTAGTAGAGGTGGGGTTTCACCATGTTGGTCGGGCTGGTCTTGAACTCCTGACCTCGCGATCCACCCACCTCGGCCTCCCAACATGCTGGGGTTACAGGCGTGAGCCACCACACCCGACCCTCTATTTTTTTGTACCCATTAACCATTCATTCTATTAATACATTTTGAGAATGGGTTGTATTCTGTATGTCCACAGGCAGCAGTGACTGTGTAGGGAGGCTGGGGAAGCTCATGTAAATCTTCTTAGAGTTGATGAAATTTAAACTGGGTTTTGAAGCATGAATAAGAGTACAATAGTTGGAGAAGGAGAGAAGCCATTCCATGCAGAAGGAACAGTGTATGTAAAGCATGTAGGCTTCTTCCTTATATTTTTCCTTCTTCCTTTAGCTATATCCACCACACCCCTGTCCTTTCTTTCTTTTCTTTTTTTTTTAAGTCATCCTCACTCTCTTATGTCCCTTCCTCCAGGAAGGGTTTGGATATTTACCTTTTTACTTTGCTGGCACTAGCCTTTTTGAGGGGGAGAGAGAACCCTCTGTGATTTCCAGAGTAGACCCTGATCTCATCAATTATTTTAAGCACTTGGAAGAGAAGGATGTATGATCCCTCCTCCCACAACACATACCTATTAAAAATGCTAGGAACATGTTGTTGAGTGAACAATCCTTGGGAGAACTAAAGTGCTTATTGCCAATTTTAAAAAAAGGCATTCTGAGAGAAAACTAAAGCAGATGGAAATAAATTGAATTTTCTGCCCTAGGAGATCTTGAGCTGTGAAACCCACATAACTGACCACTGGTTTTCAGAGGGGGTGGGTGGATATGAGAAGTAAGAAGGCAGGGGGAAAGAAGAGGAGCTCACAGGAGCTCAGAAGAGCATTTGCAAGGGAGGAAAGAATCATTTTGCAGAATGAAGAGTGCAGTCCCATAGGACATCCAGGTTCTTTCCCAGAGGCCAGAGGAAACTTGTTAGGCATACCAGACATGATAACCTCTTAGAGCTTCTGTTTTTTCATCTTTGTAATGGGGTAATAGCACTGAACCCGTGAGAAAATACAAGATGAGTTGTATAAAGAGTTGTTTGGCACATAGTAGAAGTTCAAAAATATTATCTATTATTAACAATAACATTGGGTTAGAGAGTAGAGTGCAAGGTTGAGATTTTAGGTTAGGTTCTGTAGAAGAAGAATATGAGATTGAGATTCTCATGAATGTAATATATTGAGTTAAGACCCTTAGAAGAAAAGGAGAAGGGGAGGAAAAGAAGCAGGAGTGATCAGGGGAAGGAGCCAAGCAAGGGTATGGCCTCAGTTGGAAACTATGGCCTGGTCCCACAGGGAGCTCTGGAGCATGAATTGTGCAGAATTGATCCCATGTTAAAGCAAGGGGATGAGCCTTTTAAAACTCCAGGTCAGTCAGTTGTTGGATGCAGGCTGTCTTGAAGGAAGTTGTGTACCTAAAATGAGCTTTCTGGGTGAGACAGTTCCTGTTTGGCTGACAGCAACTTTCCTCTAGGGCAGATGTCAGCCTTGCAGCCAATACTCACAACATCTAGGGTATGGACGTCTTGGGCTAGTAAAGTGGATCAGATTTGGGTACACCAAAAATTGTCAGGGTGAAGGATGATGAATGGGAACTCAACAAAGTGAGCATATCACTTCTGTTCTTATGTAGTGTGAGGATGAACATCTTGATGCAGAGATTAAGGGAAGACCCATGCTGATATCACCCAGGAGATTTCCAGCTAAGTCCTCATAAGGATCTCAAGAACTTCCAGCTTTCCATCAGGACCTATCTTATAGTATGCTGTTGTTTAAAGATGAACACTGTTAAAGATGAACACTTCTGATCTGTGACTTTTGAGATTCAATTGACTTCTCAGGGGCAGAAATGATGTCTTATCTTTCTTTGCATCATACATGTTGCCAAGCATGGTGACTTTTATGGACAGTTGGTGCTCAGCAAGTGTTGGCTGATTGAAGATCATCTTCCCCAGGTATTCTCAGGAATCCCAAGCTGTTGATTTTCTGGAGTAAATAGAGAAAACACTTTCAGTTATGAATGTCTAGGCTTCTTGGTTTGGCATTTGAGGTCCTCCCCTTTCACTTCACCCTCATGTTCTGGTCTCCAGAGTTATTTCCGAAGACCCTCTCGCCCACCTTTACAAGCCTTATGTTAATATTCGATGCTTTCAACCTTTTTATCATACTGTAGTATCATCATTTACTGTATTCCATACACATGGTATTCAGTGCTTTATGTGCATTACCATTTTACAGATGAGGAAACTGAGGCTTAGAGAAGTTGAGTGACTTGCACAAGGTCACACGGCCAGTGAGTGATGAAGGGAGAATTTGATCTTGGGTTATTTCACACAAGAAAGAGCTTTTAACTTCTTGCCATTCTCTATATTTTTTTAAAAAAATATTTTTAATTTTTGTGAGTACATAGTAGGTGTATACATCATACCTAGTTGTTCAGGCTAAAATCCTAGGAATGATTTTTGATTCCTGTCTTTCTCTGATTACGTCAAATACACTGGCAAGTCTGGTTTATTTTACTTTCAATTATGCCCGAATCTGCCCACTTTCTGTCCTTTTCTTTGCTATCATCCCAGCCTGTCTCTCCCCTATCCCTCACCCAGATTACAAGAACCTTCTCAGTGGTGTCCCTGGTCCAAATCTTGCTCAGAAAAGCAGGTTGTGTTGAGTACAGTGCCTGGCATATAGTGGGTTCTCAATGAATTCTTGCTGAATGGATAGGGAATGAGCATAAGGATCTCTTTTTGACATTAAAAAAACATGGATTTTTAAAATAGCAGGTATCTGAATAAATTTTGTTCAAGGAGCCATTTGTTGACCAAATATATCTACGCATTCAGTAACTCTTTCAAAGGGATGAACATACAGACATTGGCAAGTAATTGTACTGGGGATGAGACATTAACAGATGCCTTGCAATACCTCTGCAGCCCTCTAGGAGGCGGTGGCTTGCCGGTTAGATACCACTGCTCTGGTTAAACAAGGTCTTTGCTATTCCTGCAGCATGATTCATTCTGGGATTCTCTTGCCATCCTTGTGCCTTTGTTCTGGCTGTGTCCTCCACCTGGAATGCCCTTTCGAATTCACCTCAAACGCAATGTATACAAAGCTCATCCATCTTTAAAGTCTCAACCCAAATGTCAACTCTTTTGAAGCCTTTTCTGATTTCACCCAAGTGAGAAGAGATATCGCCCTCCTTGCTAAGCCTCCATAGAGCTTTATCTATACTGCCTTTATTTATAGCTGTGGCTGTCTGACTTGGAAATTTCATGATTTTTTTTAAAGAAGATGTCTGACATTGATTCGGCAACTTTGGATTTTGCTAAAAAGCCTTTGAAACAAACAGATCTTGTCACCACCCTCATTTTATAAAAGAAATTTAATTCTTTATCTTTTATTTTATTTTTAGTATTTATTTTTTAAAGATTTTTTTTAAAAATAGAGATGGGGGTCTCCCTGTATTGCCCAAGATGGTCTCAAACTCCTAGGCTCAAGTGATCCTTCCACCTCAGCCTTGCAGAGTGCTGGTATTACAGGCATGAGCAACTGCACCCAGCCAAGAAACTTATTTAAACATGAGAGAAAGGGAAGGAAGTGCATGATTTCAAAATAAAGAATTATTTTAACAAACGAATTTAGTTCTATGAAAAATTATTACAAGGGTGGTTCTTATTTTTCCCTTGTTTCTGAGTCCTAGTAAAGAATTCATCACAGCAAAGCCCTGGTCCAGAGAGGGGAATATGAAAAATTTGTCATCTAATTCTTCAGGTCCTTACTCCATTACCACTTCTAGCCTGAGCTTCTGAAGTGTCTGAATCACCACCATCTCCCCAACAAATCCTGTCTCATGGTGAATGGTGTAAGACTATTTGATAGAGGACAGTGCAGAGCAGAGACCCTGCTCTTTCTCTCAAATAGTTTTGGTTCCTCATCCTTTGGTCTCTGTGCCATTGATGATTAAAGAAAGCCCTTAGAGTAGGCTTACCCTTTTCTGGAAGGTGAGGGCATTGTAGAGCCCCTTGCATTTTTGTGCCACTTACTTAGCACTAAAGGTAATCACTCAGCCTTCCAGGAAGACATTTTCTGTCCAATGTGGGGGAAAGAGGCTATGATATTCTTGATTTTTTATGTTGTAGTAGGCTCAATAAATACTTTTCAAGTCTCTATGGCTCAACCTTGCACTCTGATGTTAGCTCTTCCTTTTGGTCCTGAGAGTTTTCTTTGCTGAACATGAGCCTTGCCATGGTTGGCATTATGTTGCAGAATACAGCTGTTCCTTTAAACAATGGCAAGATGCAGTGGAGACTAAAGGTGGCTGAGTTCTGGGTCCCTTCCAGCCATGGGAGAGTTCTTGTGGCTCATCCGGAGCTGCTTTTGATGACTGCTCTTTTTAGAGCCCCTGGGAGAACTTGACCAAAATAAACAGCATATTCTTGGGTCAAGGTGCTAATCACAGACACCCTAGGAATTTAGGGGACAGAGATGTCTCAGGAGGCTGAATGCCTAGTTCTCAGACCCTCTGTCTGAGGGATAATGAATTCTCATTTGATCATCTGCTGTGTAAATCACCAACGATGGGGAGTTAATCATGCATATGAAATGAATCCCTTCTCTGAGTTAATGAGCACAGAGCTCAGAGCAGCATCTGTTTACTCCCTCTACTTTCACATCTCTGGCAGTTTGAACAATTAATTGTACCCAATAATCTCCCTTTGTTTTCAAGCACTAGGGAAAGAACCCTGTTCTCCCGAAAACACATCTTTCTACTGAGCAATGGGTAGGGAAACTTCTGCTCAGTGTCTTTACACATTAAAAGTGTTCTAAGAATCAGAGGATGTGTGTTTGCTTGTGTGTGTGTGTGTGAGAGAGAGAGAGAGAGAGGGAGAGAGAGAGAGAAGAGACAGAGGAGAGAGGAGAAGAAAATCAAGAAGAAAGAAAAATTTTCAAGTTTATTTTATGAGTATTGCATAATGATTCACACAATGTGCCAAGTTGCCAAGGGCTTCACTTGTGGGATCGTGTTTCATCACCACAGTTACAGATAGAAGTATTATTATTTACCTTTTATAGAGGAGAGCGCTGAGGTTCAGAGGGGTAAAGTCACTTGCCCAAGCCACTGGGCTAGGAAATGGGTGGGGAGGGATTGGAGCGCAGGCTGCTCTGACTCCAAGGCTTAGAGCTTTAGTTAGCCCTTCTACTCTACTCACCCTTTCCTTGCAGTGTAGACCTCACTCACCTTCAAGTCCCTGTCCTAATGCCTCTTCTCTGATCCCTCTAGGACAGCCCACAGGCAGAGGCTCTGAACTTGCCACTTAGCAGTATTGGGCAAGTCATTTCACTTCCCTGAGCTTCAATTTCCTCATTTTTCTGCTGGGAACAACCCCAATGCCTTTGTAGATGTTGTTGTGAGGATTAAATGAGATAGTACAGAGAGAGGGGTAGAGGAGGAGAGAGAGAGGGAGAGAGAGAGAGAGAACACAGAATCCTTTATTAGTAATACTCTTATTACTGTTCTTTATGAAGCACTTACTATATCCCAGGCACTTTGTTAAGTATTTTATATACAGTATGCATCTCTAAGTCTCACAACCTCCCTGGCAAGTAGATATTAATCAATCAATAACCAGTCAATCATTCAGCAAATATTTACTGAGTATCTTCTATGTTCGGGCATGTCTTGGTGCTAGGGCTAGAGTCTAGTTGGGATGGTAGACAATAAATAAAATGATATAATTAAATGCTGGTGAAAGTTAGACAGGGGAAGTACATGTGCTGTAAGAGCACCTGGTAAAGGGAGGGGGACCTGACCTATGTTGGGGGAAGGGTTATCAGAGATGTCTGTTTGGATAAAATGACGTTTCAGCTGAGCCTAGAGGATTGAGTAGAAGAAAGTCAAACCAAAGAAAAAGGTGGGGGAGAACATTCTGAGCAGAGAACAAGGTATGTTATGCTTATTTAACCAGGATATTTCCTATTTTAATCCAAAGATGTAACCAAATGTGGGTGGCATTAGGGTCTGTGGCACACTGTTGGAGCTGAGGGAAGGGAATTGTTTGAGGCAAGAATATGTCCTATTCAGATCACCTGGACTATTTCCATGCACATGACTATAAGGTCATCAGTTGATTTTTTGCAGTGAATATTCTGCTCTCGGTAACCTTAGAAAATCAAAATTAGAAGGAAACTTGGATGTCATCTGGGGATCAGAGAGTGCACAGAGATTGCACCTAATGTGGCAGCTGTTGTCAACTGGTAGCATCTGTGATATGGTTTGGCTGTGTCCCCACCCAAATCTCATCTTGAAGTGTAGCTTCCATAATCCCCATGTGTCGTGGGAGCCACCCGGTGGCAGGTAATTGAATCATGAGGGTGGGGTTTTCCCATGCTGTTCACATGATAGTAAGACTCACGACATCTGATGGTTTTATAAAGGGGAGTCCCCTTGCACATGCCCTCTTGCCTGCTACCATGTAAGATGTAGCTTTGCTCCTCATTTGCCTTCTGCCATGATTGTGAGGCCTCCCCAGCCATGTTGAACTGTGAGTCAAACTCTTTCCTTTATAAATTACCCAGTCTTGGGTATGTTTTTATTCGCAGCATGAGAACAGACTAATACAGTCTGGCTACACTTACCTGTTGGGAAGAGGCCCTATTGGTAGCAAAGAGTGGTGAGATTGATTAGTGATGACTGTTTTGGGCATGAAATCAGAGATTGGTGGCAGGTATCAAAAAAAGCTCTTTGGCATCCAGAGGTCCTTTTAGAGAGAAAACCATCTTTGTCTTGGATATATTTTTACAGGTTGTTTTAGGTGTTAAAGACAGGGCCTGATGGACATAAGCTATAACAAAATAGCAAAACAAAATAAGAGGTCAATTGTTCTGCCAAATGAATAAGAATTCAAGATCATGGATGAGCAGGAGAGGCAGAAAAGAGAAAGGAAGTGTAGGAGAAAAGAGGCTGAGCTACATGCTGGGTAGTGGAGCTTCAAAGAGAATGGAAGAGAACACGGGAAATTCCTTATGGTAGAGCAGACAAAGATTTCAAAAGTCAGAATACCTCATTTCCAATTTGTTGATCAAAACTGACAATTCTAGTCTTTCATACTTGCTGACACTTGTGTTGGTGGCATTTGGGGAAATAAAGGAATGGGAGCAGTGTTCAGTATGAGATGACATAATAAGGGAAAAGAAGAGAGCATGTAAGGTGCTTAAGTGTTGATCCACAAAAGGAACCAACTCAGCAAAACAGAGAATCCAGGCTGGATGTGGTGGCTCATGCCTGTAATTCCAGCAATTGGGGAAGCCGAAGTGAGAGCTTCAGCGGAGCCCAGGAATTCAAGAACAGCCTGGGCAACATAGTGAGACCTGTCTCTTCGGAAAAAAAAAATGGCTATGCACAGTGGCACACACCTATGGTTCCAGCTAATTTGGAGGCTGAGGTGAGAGGATCGCTTGAACCTGAGAAGTCAAGGATCATGCCACTGTACCCCAGTGTGGGCAACAGAGACAGACCCTGTCTTAAAGAGAGAGAGGAGAGAGAGAGAGAGAGAGAGAGAAAGAGAGAGAGAGAGAGAGAGAGAGAGAGAGAGAGAAAATCTGGATATAAAGAAATACAAGCTCCACCTTCACCCTTAAGTTTCCCTGGACCAGTTTGGAAAAGAACCTGTCTTCTGCTGCATGTGGGATGAGGGTCTGGGCTAATTTCTTTTGAATTTTAAAAAATAGGATACTACAAGGTGATGTATGTAAGATAGATACCTACCTGCTTCCCTGTTCCCTGCTATCCTCCTAATTTTACAGATGGGGAAACTGAGGCCCATACATCAGGAAGAAACCTAACGGAGGTTTCATCTGGTGACTGCCCAATGAGCCTTTTTCTGTGAGACTGTGGTAGGAGATACTAGGCAAGGTTAATGAGCCAACCCTTCCTGTCTGCCGTCATCCTTGGTCTGCAGCACTCAGCTCCATTTGGGCGAAATATCACAGACTCTCAGATGCACTGTTATTTTTAAAGGGAGAATTGTCAAAACTTAAATGAAGGCTGTTTAGTCATATGCATGCTTGTGTGTGTTGGCATATTTGGGCAGGTTACGGGGTATAGTTGGGAATCTGGGTATGACTGGAAGGGAAAGGGAAAGGAAGGGGGTTTCATGGTCCAATTGCTTGCTTTTAGTTTTTGCTGTAACCTTCCTCCCCAGAGGGGTCATTTCAGTAGAATGCCCTGAAACATTAAGTCTTGCATGTAAACAGTGGGTGGTCACTTAGTAATGGGAATCTAGGGGAGCCCAAAGGGCGGCCTGATGAAAAACTGGTTCCTCCATTTTCCTCCCTACAGTGCCTAACATTTCCATCATGAGGTACCCCCTTGGGATGAAGCATGGCTATGCAAATGTCTTTGCTAAGAAGGGAGCAAACTCTGTAATATCTACCAATGCTCTGTAAGGATTCATTATTGATAAGCCCTCAAAATGTACTGCTGTTTCTGTTTTCAAAATATTTGCATGTAGACATTGTTATTTGAGCCTCATCACATTTCTATGTCAAGAACAAATAATGTCCCCATTTTTCAGAGGAATAAACTGAGCCTTGGTCCTAGAAGATAGTGACTTGTCCGGGAGCAACCTAAAGAGCAGAGGTGAGAATCCAGGTCTCAGCATATAAACTGTCAGAGTATTAGATGATTAGTGTTTTTACCTTCAAACAGGATTACATTAAAATGTTTTGCAGTTAGATTTTGGTTGTGCGAGTGATAAATTTTTGTTGTAGAAAAATCAGAAAATGAAGAAAATCCAACAAAGAAACAAAACTTTAGCCATCATCCTACAAAGATTGTCTTATTTTCATTTTGGGGTATAACCTTCTTGTCTTCTTTTCCATAGCATTATGACTTTTTTTTTTTACAAAAATGGAATAAGAATATATAGAATTCCATGATGTGAATGTATCATTACTTACTTGACAAGCCATATGGTAGCAAGCATTTACTGAGCTTATTTGTTGAAAAGCAAAATGCCAGGACAGTGATGGATATATGAATGGATAAAGCATGGTTCTTATAATCCAGATTAACATGCTGCTGAGCTAGGCAGAGGCAGACAATTCTCATTTGTTCAAAACTAGATTGAATATCTGCTATGTTCCAGGCACTGTCCAAGGCATCAGGGATGCGTCTGAGATCAGTATAGAAAAGGTCTTATGAGGCTCTTTTATTGTTGGATGGAGACGGATGATAAGGAAATAAATGCAAGAGTAGATGGGTATGTGTTTATAAATATGATGAGTTGGTAATAGGTTTTATGAAGGAAAATAAAATGGGTTCAGGAGAGAGAATGAGGAATGACAAGACATTATTTTATTTTGTTTTGCTTTTGTTATTTTTAATTGATGCATAACAATTGTACACATTTAAGAGGGAAAATGTGATATTTCCATACATGGATGCAATGTGTAGTGATCAAATCAGGATAATTAGCATATCCATCACCTCAAACATTTATCATTTCTTTGTGTGGAAACCATTTAAAATCCACTCTTCTAGCTATTTGAAAATATACAATAAATTGTGCTTCATGATAGTCACCTTGTAGTACTGTAGAACACTAGAACTTATTTCTCCTACTAGTTGTACTTTTGTTTCCCTTAACTAACCTTAGCTATCCCCCCTCCTCCCATCCTTCCCCACCTCTAATAAAGACTATTCTATTCTCTAATTCTGTGAGATCTGTTTTGCAGCTTCCACATATGAGTGAGAATATGGGGTATTTATTTTTCTGTGCTTGGCTTATTTCACTTAACATAGTGTCCTTTGAGCTCATCCATGCTTCTGTGAATGATAGAATTGTGTTCGTTTTATGCCTAAATAGTATTCCACTGTGTATATAAACCACATTTTCTTCATCTGTTGATGGACAGCTAAGTAGATTCTATTATCTTGACTATTGTGAATACTGCTGCAATAGATAGGGGAGTCCAGATATCCCTTTGACATACTGATTTCCTTTCCTTTGGGCATATACCCAGAAGTGGGACTGCTAGGTCATGTGGTAGTTCTATTTTTAGTTTTTTGCGGAATGTCCATACTGTTCTCCATAGTGCCTGTACTAATTTACATTCCTACCAACAGTATATGAGTTCCCCTTTCTCTGCATCCTTTGAGTGAAGAATGAACCAGCAGCAAGTTCAAAGGAGGTGGGAAGGAGGTTGGTGCTGGGGAGCACCATAGGAGGAGAAGAGTGGAGGAGAGTTAGGTTTGCTTGTAGATACGTTAGGAATACCCAAAAGTATTGTGAGCAGAAAGAATGTTAGTGTGGTTGAAGAGGTAGCCTGGGACAAGGTTGTTTAGGACCTTGAAGGCCACAGTAAAATAGCTAAATGGTGGAGGGATGGTGAGCTTTAAGAGAGGCTTAAGCAGATGAGTGATATGAGCTTATGTCAATTTTCAAAGGTTCATTTTGGCCTCTGTAGAGACAGTGAACATGGTGAAAGGCAGTAAGAAAAGCCAGAAGACCAATTTGGAGGGTGCTGAAATTATCCAGGAGGGAGACAATGGTGGCTTGGACCAGGGCAGTAATGAAGGGGATGATGTGGGTTCCAGTTCAGAATATATGGTGAAGGTTGAACTCTCAGGACTTCCCAAAGAATTAGCTCTGGGAGTGAGAGATGGAAAATGATCAAGGATGATTGAGACTGGGTGATTAGTGGTCCCACAACTAAGGTGGAGAGGACCGTGGGAGGAGAAGAATGGATGAGAGTTAGAGGTTTGGTTGTAGATAGGTTAAAATCATTGTTAGACTGCCAAGGGGAGATCCTAATCACTCAGATATACAAGCCTGGAAGTAAGGGGACAAGTTGCAATTAAAAATGTAAATTTCAGGCCAGACATGGTGGTTCATGCTTGTAATCCCAGCGCTTTGGGAGGCTAAAGTGGGAAAATGGCTTGAGGTTAGGAGTTTGAGACCAGCCTGGCCAACATAGCAAGACCCTGTCTTTAAAAAAAAATTTGAAGTAGCTGGGCATGGTCCACACACCTGTAGTTCTAGCTACTTGGAAGCCTGAGGCGGGAGGATCTCTTGAGTCCAGGAATATGAGTCTGAAGTAAGCTATGATTACATCACTGCACTCCATCCTGGGCCATAGACTAAGACCCTATCTCTACAAAACAATAAAATAAGATATAAATCTCAGAGTCATCAGTGTATAGAAGCTCTTGAAAGCTATGGGACTGGATGGGAAAATGACTCTTTGGTGTGGGGTTGGGAGAAGGGAGGCTTGAGTTTCAATGGGGTTGGGGGATAGTAAGAATATGAAGACTACCTTCACTTAATTTGTGGTTGTGCTGAAGACGGGCTGGTTCTATATGCTTGATGATAATGGGATTGATCTTGATGAGAAAGTGGTCCCAATTTTACCTCTAGAGAAAGATAGAGGTGAGGAGCACTGAGCATTGAACAGAAGGTTATAAGACCCTGAGAACAAGACAGAGGGAAAGGCAGGAAATTAAGATAAAAAGGAGGCCAGGTCAGGAAGAAGAGTGGAAGAAGAAGAAGGACTAGGTTATATTCAAGTTGGCAAAAATGAGCCCAGGGAGGCTTGTCTCTGCAAATAGGCTGTGGCTTTAGGTTAATCACTGACACCTAGGGAGCCAGTCATGCTGGTTGGCACAGATGCTGACACAGTCCTTTCACATCTTCCAACAGAGTCAGGCTTTCCATTGCCTCCCTCCTTTGTCCATTAGTTGGCATGGATTTTGGTGCATCCTGTGAATACAGTCATTGCATCTTGCATTATTCACCTGCTGAGATACTACCCATTATTTTATATCTATGGATTTTAAAAAATGCTTCTGAGAACTTGATGCAAGTTTGTGTGTAAACAGCAAGCTCTAGGAGACCCCAAAGTGATTTCTCCTTCCTCCCACCTTTGTTTGTTTCTCCCTCCCACCCTTCTTCCTCCATCCTTGTATACATACATGCATGCATCCATCCTTCCACTATCCAGTTCTCAATCCTTTTAGCCAATCAATAACTCTTATTAAGCTCTTGTGTTTTGACAGGTTTTGGGCTAGGTGTCAAAGACATAAAGAAAATAAGATACAGCTACTCTAAAGGAAATAGGAAGGACAAGATTGCTGTGATCTGCTCTAGACAGGTAGTGATGTCTTACTTGTAATTCCCCAAAGCAAGTCAGTCCACATACTAGTTACATTGTAATTACTTGAAGACCTTTTAAAAATACATATTCCTGCACCCACCCCAGAATCAAAATCTTCCAGGGAGTTGATTTTGAAAAGGTCCCCAGGCCATTCTAATGCTTGGTCAGGTCTGGGAATTCAGCCAACTGAGGTTCAAGTGGGTTCTGAGTCTCAGTTGCCTCTGATGAAGAATGGTGTGATTTATAATTGTTCCACCACCTTGTGGCATTGTTAGAAGTAAATGAGGTTGCATTAGAGAAAACTCTTAGCACAGGAATGCTTCCTAGTGGGTCTTCTGGACATATGTGTGGAGGCTAAGTCCTCCTCAAGACTCAAAGAACCAGCAGCATCAGCACCACCTGGTTAGAAATGCAGAATCCCGGCCCCACCCAGGAAGAACCAAATCAGAATCTCCCTGGTGATTCACATTTACGTCTGAGTTGGCTGGTAGAAAGGGTAAGCGGCTAGTCCAGCTTGTCACTGAGGCAGTCACACCTGGGAGCAGATCGTCTCTATTAAGGAACACTAATGAAACATAAAAATGATTTCCTCGGTTGTAATTGTGGGATGCTGCTCTGGAGTTGTAACTCTGGGTTGCTCTGTTTGTGGGTTATTGAAGTGCCCATTGCACAGCATGGTGTGTCATTCCTGGAAGGCAGAGGCAATAGACAGGCATGGGAGCTCTGGATAACTCCATCTCCCTGGCTGAAGTGGTCCTCTCCTCTCTATTTGAAGAGTCACACCTGCCCCTCCCCACCAGGGCAGGCTGCTCCTCTAAAGACACTGTGAGTGTCACAGGGCACAGAGCAATGTCTTCTCCCAAGAATTGAAGCTAGATTCGGGGGAGTTCCTGTCTCTTAACACTTCTTGAACTTGAATGTGCACATGAACCATCTGAATTATCTAGGGATCATCTGAAAACACAGATTGGGATTCTGCACGTTTGGGGCAGGACCTGAGACATGTGCGTTTCTAATACACTCCCAGGCAATGCTGACACTTCAGATCCATGGACCACACTTTCATGAGGAAGACACCAGCACTACTCAGTAGCCTTCAAAGAATGCCAACTTTTCCTCCCACCCACAATGAATTAAATCAGAATTTCTGGAGGTAGAACCTGCACATGAGTTGGCTTCAGAAGCTCCACAGGTGATTCAGATATGTAGTGAGGATTGAGAACTGCTGATTTAAGAAAACTCTTTTTCTTTTCTTTCCCCTTCCCTTCTCCTTCCTTCCTTTCTCCCTTCCTTCCTTCCTTTCTTTCTTTCCTTCTTTCTTTCTTCCTTTCTTTCTTCTTCCTTCCTTCCTACCCTCCCTCCATCCCTCCCTTCCTTTCTTCCTCCCTCCCTTCCTTCCTTCTTCCTTCCCTCCCTCCCTTTTTTCCTTTTTCCTTCCCTCTTTTTTTCTCTCTTTCCTCCTTTTCTTCCTTCACTTTTTTTGGAAACATTGTGATACAGAGCAGACAGGTGAATTGAGAAAGAGCTGTCTGCTCCAATTAAAGGAATGATCATGGAGAGACTATTGATAGGAATACTCTCCTTCAAGAGAATCTCTCGGTTAAGGAAGTCTTTCCAGGAGTCTAGTTTGAATCCTGCATGCTGCAACTGAATTATGTCCTACTTTTATTTCTTCTCCCGTTTATGGGAATTCGAATTCTCCTGTTGTTCATGTCTAAAGAGACACAGCCTGCACAGATAGCCCTTGGCATGACCCACTTCTATCTCCTACATTCCCAAAGCTTGCTGGGATGACATGCAGTGAAAGTTTGAGGAGAAGGGAGAATGCATCTGCAAGACTTGGCACTCTGGGTCCCAAGACACAGAAGCCTAATTCAAAGATAATTAGGCCCCCAAAATGATTTATATTTGTTCATGTAACTGAAACATTGGCCATTCCAGCTGGATCCCTTGGGTCAAATGACATCCTCTGTAGCCTCCTCTCTCTGTTCCTCTCTGTCTCCTCCCATCCTTTCCCCTTCCCCCGTCTCAGCTCTTAGTTACTGCATGTTGGTTTCATTCTCAGGCAGGCTCTCCCTTTGTGATAACAAGAAGATAACCAGCAGCTCCAGGCTCATATCCTATTCTTTTAGAAAACCCGCAGTGGCTCAGGCCTATAATCCCAGCACTTTGGGAGGCCAAGGCGGATGGATCACCTGAGGTCAGGAGTTCAGGACCAGCCTGGCCAACATGGCAAAACTCCATTTCTACTAAAAAATACAAAAATTAGCCAGACGTGGTGGCGGAAGCCTATAATCCCAGCTACTCGAGAGGCTGAGGCAAGGAGAATTGTTTAAACCTGGGAGGCCAAGGTTGCAGTGAGCCAAGATTGCACCACTGCACTACAAGCTGGGCAACAGTGAGACTCTGTCTCAAAAAGAGAAGAGAAGAAAAGAAAACCCAAAAAACAAAATGGAGGTATTTCCCTTTCCTGGCATTTCCCGCAAATTCAAAGGATAGAGTCTTGTTTGTTGTGATTGGTTCATAATCCTATCATTCAGTCAATCAATAAGACCAGGGTGATGTGAACACCTGATTGGCCAGTTCGGGGCTATCCTATCTGCAGATATGGAGCCAGCCCCACCCACCCAAACCAGAAGGAGTCCTGGATGCTGAGCAGACCCTGCAAGATGCCCTGTGCAGCCTCCTAAATGCTCATAACCCACAGTCCTGGGGCAATCAGGCCTTGCCCAGCCCAGCATGTCATTCCTCTAGGGCCCTTCATAAACTCTTCTTCAGTGTTTATTGTGTGAGGAGTTTTCTGATAACTTTGCTCTCTGGAGAACACAGCAGAGAGACTCATTTCCAGCAGGTATGGAATTGAAAAGATGGTAGGAAGGGGAGCAGAGCACACAAACATATGGAGAGGTTTTTCCTTCCTGTCCTCGTGACCCCACATTTAATTTCAAAATAGACTTCTATTCACCCTCTGGGAGAGTGGCCAAGGGCGTGGGATGGAGGCTGAAGAGCACAACTCCTGGCTAATTTTCCTCCCAGGATTCCAGAATGGAATCAACTCTTCAGTTTTGAAAAGTGCAGTCTTATCCATGGACATGAGATGATTAAAGTACTATAGGGGTGGGAGGAGGCCCTCTGCTGTTTTTGAAAGGTTGTAAATTCAGATAATGTCAATTCCCACTTCAAACCTTCCAGCAGCTTCTCACCTGTCTTAGGGTCAAATCTAAACTCCTGACACATGAGGACCTGGCCCTGTGTCCACTCCATTCTGAATTTGTGACACATTGATCAAAATGCTGATTTTGTGATACACTGGTCAAAATACTGCAGCCCCACCTGCCCGCCTTCTGTTCCTTGGTGCGTCTCTGCCTCTTGTCTTAGGTGCTTCACATGTGCAATTCCCCTCCTTGGAGCTCTTTCTTCCCTTCTCACCTGGATTCTCACCCCAGCCTCGTTCTCTTCCTTGTTCACTTCTAAACTTTTAATTAAAATGCTGCATCTGGTGATAACCTCACCTGGTCACCCACCTCCAGTCTGAATTAGGCTGACCAGCATAACTCCCTGATTTTCCCTTTTCCAGCTCCCACGTAATTTGACCTTAAACATTTCTTGCACTCTCTATGACACTTCCATTGTTCTGTTTGACTCTAGGCTCCATGAGTATGGGAACCTTATCTGGTTTTGTTCATCAGTATGTCTCTTGGTCTTAGTTTGACCCTGCCACATAGTAGGTGCTCTGCAAGTAATTGCTGAATGAATGAATGAATGAATGAATGAGTCTGATGATGTTCCCTGTGTCTCTCAAATTTGTCTACACATAAAATTCAATTTGGGGGTCTTGTTAAAAATACAGCTTTCCTGAGCTGCGTTGCAGCAGCTCACTCCTGTAATCCCAGCACTTTGGGAAGCTGAGGCAGGAGGATGGTTTGAGCCCACGAGTTCGAGATCAGCCTGAGCAACAAAGTGAGACCCTGTCTCTTTAAAAAAATTGCAGACTTCCTAAACCCTTCTCTTGGATCTTCAGATGCAAAATATCAGTGGATCCTGGGAAAACCACTAGGTACTTTTAAAAAGGTTTGCCAGGGTTAGAAATAAACAGGGCGCCCAGAGAGGACCAGGGGCAAAGATAATTTTTTGTTTTAATTTAGTTTTCAATGAATCAGAGGAGTGAAAGAAAACATGAGCAAACAGTATTAAAAATTTAGCAATGGAAGGAGAGAGAGAAATGTTTGTTTGTAAGAATGCTAAGTCATGGTTGTCCTGAACATCATAAGCAGAACCCTAGCTAAGTAGATAGGGTTCAATTTGAGTTAGTTTGTGTGCTGCTTGCAGTGTGTGCTTGTTTCTATCTTGATGACAATTGGGTGATTTCTATACACAGAGAGCTAGGAAGTCCAATAATATTCTTTTGCTGGCTCTATCGCATTTCTGATAGAACCTCCCACTTCCATGCCCAGACACTGCATTCATAGTGTGATATACCTACCTTCCCTGCTGGTTAGAATATTTTCAGCTCCTTTCCCCACACTCTGACAGAATGGATTCAAGGAATTCAAACACACTGTAGCTTCCTTTTGTTCTGTGAACACAGGTAATTAAAAGCCCACCAGCTTTCTATGCTGGCAGTAGCATGGATTAGCTTATTATTTCTTGGCATGTTCTATTAGCAACTCACTCCTGAAAAAGAAACAAATAAACAAACAAATCAGCCTTCATCTTAACTGATAAACTTCTACCTTCTTGAGGTCAGGAAGTGTTTCTTCCATTTTTCAGATATCACCTTCATTAGAACTTTGCACACATTTACCACGGCTTGTCATTAATTAATACTAAGGATATGCGTTATTATTATTATGATACTTCATAGCATTTTTATGTCACTTTGCAGTTTGCCAACACATTTCTGTATTATTTTATGTAATTTTGCAAGTGACTCATAATTAGAAACCCTTTGGGTATACTTTAAACATACATTCCTAAGACCTACTCCAGAAAGCCTATACGAATGGAATCTGAATGTTTAGCACTCTCTCGGGTGATTTTTAGGATTAGCCAGAAAGGGGGCCCACCAGTGTGGTGGCTAGGTATCTGGGCTTGGGAATCAGCCTGAGCTGGGATTATATCCTGGCCTCTCTAGGACCGTATACACATTACTACAGCTCGCCAAGCCCTAGAGTTGACCCATCTGTAAAATGGGGCTGATGAGACCAATATCAGGGGGATTAAATGAGAGCACATGGGTATAGAATGTGCTCAGTAAGCAGCACCATCTGCAATAATGTATTTCTTTCTTCTAGTGGCATAAAATAGCAGCTAAGGACCTACATTTGGGGTTCAAACCCTGTCTCTTCCATTTATAACCTAAATTACTACTGAGTCTCAGTCTCCTCATCTGTAAAATGGGGATAATGGACATATTTACCTCGAAGAATTGTTTTGAGGATTAAACTAATTGATTATGAAAAGTGGCACTTTAGAACAAAATCTGGCACACCCTGAACTCTGTATCAGGGCTAGGTATGGCAATTTTTACATCCATTTTATGAAAGAGGATGCATATACCTGCTAGGAGGGGAAATAAGACTGCAAAGCCTGTCTTCTCTGCCCAAATGCTGGGCTCTTCCCAATTGACAAAGCTAACTGTTGATGCTAACCTTTCCTAAGACTCAAAAGCAGGACAATGAATGCTCATCTCTGTTTTTTCCCTTGTGGGGAGAGAAAGGATCAAGTCTTTACCACACTCCATTGCCAGTTCTCCTTCCCTCCTGCAGCCCTTCTTTGTTTTCCTATCCCAGAGCCAGGCCCCATCACCACTTTTCAGAAATGCCATCTTACCGGGGCACCACCCTCAGAGGCCCTAAAAGACAGAGTGATTTGGGATTCTCATCTCATCTCCATTTGTCTGCTAGAGTCTGGGCAGACAGCAGAACACAGTCATCTAATTAGAAGTCTCGTCTCCTCTGGGGCTCGGGGCTACTGGTGCATGGCTCCCACATTTCCCAGGCAGGGATGGGATGCCTCATCAGCTAGGCTAGCAGTGGAGGCTTCCCCACAAAGGCCTGAGAGGCAAGAGTGTTTCCCAAACCCTGGATTAGGAAGTCAGGAGCCTGGATATTGCAGACCCAGGACCAGGGTTTACATGGATGTGGCTGCTGAGAAGGACATCACCCTGTCTCTCTGAGCCTCACTGTCTTTATCTGTATGGTAGAATTATCATTGTACCTACCTCCCAGGCTTGTTGGGCTTATGTATATAAAGTCATGACCTCAAGATCCCCTGACCTCTACCCCATTCCTTTAATGTCCCCCTTGCTTTTTCTCCTCCCTTTCTAAACTCTTTATTGGTATGGTTAGAGAGGAAGAATATAGCAGTGATTGAGAACATGCACATTGGAGTGACCTGCTTAACTATATATTTGGTCCCTGACTTTTTCAGCTATGATATCTTGAGCACATCACTTCACCTCACTGAAGCCCAATTTCCTCATCTATAAATTGGAGATGATCATCCTGGACCCTCCTTGTATGATTGTTGTGATTGTAAAGTGGGGCATATAGTAAGTGCTCAATAATTATCCTCTGTCATTATCATGAAGCAAATATGGGGATGCACTCTTACTTCTCATTTACTATGTGGATGATAGAGCAATGTTCTCTTCCAGGAACCTCATCATCTATGTGCTTTGACAACCTCAGGACTCAGCTTGTGGGGGCCCTCCTCTGCAAAGCTTTTCCTGAGAGTTGTCCTCCTCCTAACCTGTGTTCAGCTTTCCTTTCAGCCCTCTGAGCTTCCTCCATCATAGGGCTTTGCATATGGCATTCTTTAAGTCTGTCTTCTGTGCTGGACTTGGATTTCTTTGGGACAGGGCTCATGCATTAATACCTGTGTTTTTGGTACCTTGGGCAGCACCTCGGACAGCACCTTGCATCTATTTGGAACTTTGTTGAAAGAATGAAGACACTAAGAGCTTAAAGCAGTGTTTCTCAAAGCAATTTGACCATGCAAAATACATTTTACATGGCAAAACTGGTGATGCATGTGTGCACACACACACACGGTGGGAGATAAATGCTTATATCGGTTTGATATTTGTTTCACATTTCATTACACCCAATGCACTCTGATAATTCCTCCCTTCTCCCCTCCCCTCCTCTTCTCATCTATTTCATTTTTAAATGTCTGGGATCTACTAAATTCATTTCAGAACTAACTGTTCTGAGTTGAGAAGCAGTATCTTGTAATGCTAAGAGCATGAACCACTGGAAAAAGTTAGGCCAGGGTTCAGATTCCAAAACCATAGCTTACCAATTATGTATCCTAAGAACATCACTTTAACTCTATAAACCTCAATTTATTTATCTGTGAAATGGAGCTAATAATTGTACCTGCTTCGTAGGTTTCTTGTGAGAAGTTAATGAGATAATAGGAATAAAGCAGTAAGCATAGAGCTTGGTATGTATTGAGTCTTTAACAAATGGTTGTCGTTATCAGAATCATTCATGGAACTCTTGTATGACTTTACTCTTTTCCCTCAAGACCTTCCCAAGTCTCGGTATTCTCTTAATCTTTGTCCTCGGTCTCATTCACTTCCCCATAGGCCACTGACAATGATCTCACCACTCTCAGAAGCATAAGAATGAGCCATGGATTCACAGTGGTGTAGCCTGAGGAGGTGATTTGACGGAAGACAGCAGAAATCTCATCACTGACCCAGGAGGTGAAGGAAATACCCAGTGGTATGGAATCTGCCCTTTCCCTGATTCCTCCTGATGCTAGTGGGAAGTATTTAAAGATCTCAATTAATTGCCACATCTAATTTAATCCCTCCTCCAGTGACTCGATGGAGCCCAAAGACTTTCCTCCCCAGCTCTTCTCCCTCCGCCTCAGCAATTTCAAGGTCCAGGACCCTGGCCAGCATGAGAGGAGAGAGTGGAAACTAAGACATAAATCAAACTTACATCAGGAATACAGTCACCTATCACCAGGACCTCAGGATGCCTGGTCATCCCTCCAAGAACCATGAGCACTGTTAGAGAAAAGTCACAAAAACAATTCAACATTATTCCAATTCTTGCTTGCCATCCTGCATTTCTTGGCCTGGAGATTCCCTTACCCTCAAAGTCAATGCTTCTGGAGTAAGCAGAGCAGTACCAAATGGCTAAGGGCCCCTCTTGGAGGCTGGACCTATATCACAACAGTATATGCATGTGATACCTCCTAGTATGGTGCTTAGGAGTCAGGCAGATCTGGTTCTAACACAAACTCTGCCACCAACCAGCTGTGTGCCCTTGGTCCAGTAAGTTAACTTCTGTTTCTCCATTTCCCCTTTGGAATTTTAACAATATCAAAATACTACCTATTATATTATACAACAAAATAAAATAATGCACTTTAAACATCTGGTATCTTTGTTTCCTCAGTAAATTTCAGAGTCATCCTTATTATTGCTGTTACTGTTGTTGTTTTAATTAACAATAATTGCAAATAAGCACTTTAGCTTCTGAATTTAATGCTAGAATATCTTTTAACATGAAGAATTCTTGACCTCCACTCTCATCATCTCCTTTTGACCCGGGAGAACCCAGTTGTTCCTGTGGACTTGCAATCTTGTTATTTCCTAGGCAAGGGCACTAGATGCACTGACATTTGCTTGAACTTAAGCCTGCAAGGAAGGAAGAAGCAGTTCTTTCCTTCTGAATACCAGATAGTTTCTAACTGCTGCTGAATAGGGGTAGAATATAAATAGCGGGTCAGAGAAAAAATACCCTCGTTTCTTTTTTTTTTCTTCTTCTCTGGCCTCAAATCTTTCTCTCATCTCCCAGAAATGACTGATTTCACTGCTATCCTGCCACATACCTTGCACTGTGAGTTCCTTAAGGCCAGATGTGATCACTTCTTACTCTATTTCAATGTCCAGATCAGTGTGTAGCACTTAACAGAAGCTACATATATTGGGGGCTGAATCTGTGACCCCTGCTTATCTGGCCTTTGCTTTCTCTCCTCCATCACTTCCCCCAACTCAGACACATTTTTATTTAACTAATTAGTTTAAAGAGCAGAAATTTAGCAAGCTGTATCAGCTATTTCTCCCCCTCGCTGATGCTGAATTTTAGTAAATTCAGAGATGTTTCCTTCATAACTTTGAAGGAAAGAATCTCATTCTCTGATCTTGGTTAGCAATGAAAGAACCAGAGGTCAGAAGACACAGCATAAAGAATCAGAGCAATTTGAGCACCCATGTAACTACCACTCTGGACAAAAAAGAAGACATTGCCAAGACCTCAGAAGCTCCCCGTATTTCCCTCCTCCCTCCTTCCTTTTCCCTGGAGACAACTACTATCTTGCCTTTAACTGAAATCACTTTATTGTTTTCCCTTAGATTCTAACTACCTGTGTTTGCATCATTAAAAATAGTTTAATTTTCCTATTTTTGAACTTTATATGATAGAATTGTAATCTGTTATTATTGTTTTCTTCTTTCACTTGTTATGTTTGAAAGATTCACCCATGTTGTTGCATATAGTTCTAGTCCATTCATGTTTATTGCTGTGTAAGTCATTGTATGAATATACACAATGCATTTATCTATTCTGTTGATGGGCAGTGTCATAATTTCTTTACATGTTGTGGTACTGTGAAATATATATTTGGTCTTTGTTCTGGTTTCCCTTTCTTGGCATACAACTCCTAAAATCATTGCAATCTTCAAAGAGATGAGTGCCTTTTGGTTATGCTAGTAGATTGACTGGTGGGGATGGGAGGTGCTAGCAGAGAAGACCAAGGCAGGATTAGAGGGTTAGGACTTTTCAGCCCCACTCCCTAACCTCTGGAGAGGGGAGAGGGGCTGATCACCCATGGGCAGGGATTTAATCAATCGTGTCTACGTGAAGAAGCTTCCATAAAAAACCAAAAGGAGAGGACTTAGAGAGCTTCCAGAGAGATTAACAAAGGTTTCCAGAAGCTAGAGTGCCTGGAGAGGGCATGGGAGTTCCATGCCCCTGCATACACACCTTGCTCCTATGCGTCTCTTCTATCTGGCTGTTCATCTGTATCCTTTGTAATATCCTTTATAATAAACCAGTAAACATAAGTAAATGTTTTCCTTAGTTCTGTGAGCCGTCTTAGCAAATTAATTGAACCCAAGGGAGAGGGTCACGGAAACTCTGATTTACAGCTGATTGGTCAGAAGCATAGGTAGCAACCTAGTACTTGAAATTGGCATCTGAAGTTGGGGGCAGTCTTGTGGAACTGAGCCCTCAACCTATGGGATCAGATGTTATCTCCAGGTAGATAGTGTCAGAATTGAATTAGAAGACCTCCAGCTGGTGTCCCTTGTAGAACTGATTACTTACTTGATGTGTAAGGATAAAAACCCACATATCTGGTATCAGAAGTATTATACTGATTATGTGGTGAGAGTACAGTAAGAGAAAACAGAGTTTGTGTTTTCTTACATTATAACATGTTAAGGTTGTTAGTGACATTTTCTATTATTGATAATGATGGCATGGATATCTTTACAGACATCCCTAACTATTCAAATAGGACAGACTTCTAGATGCAGAATTTTTGGATCAAAGACTATGGCCACTTTTTAAACTTCCTCCAGAATGGTTGTACCAATTTGCACTTCCACCAGCAAAGTACATTTCTGTCTGTGTCCCCACACTATTGCCAATGTCAGTTTATTTGCATTTGTTTTAATTATGCCAATTTGACAGGAAAAGGATGTTGTCTCAAGATTGTAGAAATTTTCATTTGAGTGCTGGTGAGTCTGGGCACCTCCCTTCTTTACATTTATTGGCCATTTGTATTTGTTCATTTGTGTATTGCCTTTTTATATCTTTTTGCTATTGAAATACTTGATGTGTGTGCCTTTTAATAACAGTTCACCTTAGTGCCTGGCTCTGGTGAAGCATCAGTTAGTGATGTTGGAGTGTTTGGGAAGTACAGGGTGGATGGAGGAGAAGGAGGGGACTTCTCAGAGGCTCATAGATCTCAAGTGGATCTGCCAGGTGGATAGTAATTTGGAAGCTTATTGTTCAGAAACCAAAGAGGAGAGTTGTGCATTCAGCCCCATGCTGGGGCGAAAACAATGCTTCCTGGACCAGAGGCCATTTGAGAACAAGCGATCCTGCTCTGATTGAATCTGCCTTCTACCTCTTTTGTGCCCAAGAAGTCTCTTTATGATGATGACTGCCTGGGTTTCAGGAGTGTGAGGGGGATGTGGAAAAAGGGAGAGAATACATGAAGCTTGGCCTGAAGCTTAGGATTTGAATTGCCAGCATCCAAAACTGAATGTATACCTCCTTTTGTTCTCTCTGCCCTTATTCTTTCTTTGACAGATATCAATAGAACGTTCACGGTGTGCCAGGCAATGTGCTGGATGTTCGAGGTGTTTCATTCTAGTCGGCTGTGTCCCCCACTTCAGTAATTGTCAACTCCATCTTCCCAGTTGTTAAACTAAGAAGTTGAGAGTTATCCATGACTCTGCTCTTTCTGCAATATGTTACGGCCTATGCACCAGAAAATTCTTTCAGCACTGCCTTCAAAATATATCAAGAATATGAAAAATAACCCAAATGTCCATCAAAAGGTAAATGGATAAACAAATGTATTACCTCCATACAATGGAACACTACTCGGGAATAAAAAGGAACAAATGATTGGTACATGAACAACATGAGTGAATCTCAAAATAATTGTGCTTAGGGAAAAAGCCAGACATGAAAGAGTATTGAATGATGCTATTTATAGAAAATTCTAGAACTTAATCTATAGTGACAGAAAGCACATCGTGGGTTGCCTGGTGATGGGCAGAGACAGGCAGGATTTCAAAGTGGCACAGGAGACGTTTGGGAGGTAGGTATGTTCATTACCTGGATTGTGGTAGTTTCTCAGGTATACACATATATCAAATCTTATCAAGTTGTATTCTCAAGTATGTACAGTTTATGAATATGCCAATTCTACCTAGGCAAAGCCATTAAAAAACTTACCCAGAATCTGACCGGTTCTCACCATCCCTGCTGCTGCTGCTTCATCCAAACTACCACCACCACTCACCTGGTTAACCCATGCTCTTCCAGCACTCTCCCTTGCTTCCCCATGCTGCCTTCTCCTCCTCATCCTCCTCCTCCTCTTCCTCCTCCTCCTCCTCTTCCTCCTCCTCCTCCTCCTCATCCTCCTCCTCCTCCTTTTAGACAGAGTCTTACTCTGTCGCCCAGGCTGGAGTGCAGTGGTGCAATCTTGGCTCACTGCAACTTCTGCCTTCTGGGTTCAAGCAATTCTCATGCCTCAGCCTCCCAAGTAGCTGGGACTACAAGCATGCACCACCACGCCTGCTAATTTTTGTATTTTTAGTAGAGATGGGGTTTCACCATGTTGCCCAGGCTGATCTTGAGCTCCTGACCTCAAGTGATTTGCTCACCTCCGCCTCCCAAAGTGCTGGGATTACAGGTGTGAGCCACCGCGCCAGGTCCCCCATGCTGTCTTCTTAACAGAGTCCACAGTGATGCTTTCAAAACAAGGTGATGTCACATCATGCCTCTGTTCAGAACCATCCAATGGCCTCCATGTCTTCCCATCACACCAAGGGCACTTACCTGACACACTGTGAGCGTATTGCCTGTCCTGCCACCATGGTGACATAAGCTCCATGAAAGCAGGTCCATTTTTCTTTTCTCTTTCTTTCTTTCTTTCTTTCTTTCTTTCTTTCTTTCTTTCTTTCTTTCTTTCTTTCTTTTTTTCTTCCTTCCTTCCTTCTTTCTTTCTTACTTTCTTTTTTTTTAATGGAGTCTTGCTCTGTCACAAGGCTGGAGTGCAGTGGCATGATCTTGTCTCACTGCAACCTCCACCTCCCGGGTTCAAGCGATTCTCCTGCCTCAGCCTCCCGAGTAACTAGGACTACAGGTGTGCACCACCATGCCCAGCTAAGTTTTTTTTTGTATTTTTAGTAGGAACAGGGTTTCACCATGTTGGCCAGGATGGTCTCAATCTCTTGACCTTGTGAGCTGCCCGCCTTGGCCTCCCAAAGTGCTGGGATTACAGGCGTGAGCCACCACACCTGGCCAGATCCATTTTTCTTCAGTGAAATAGATAATGAGTACAATAGCAAACTTGAAGAGTTCCCAGACTATTGGCGGAGACATATGTAAATACAGTTTAAAAATAGGGCAATAATTTCTATAATAAAGAACTCCCAATGAAAGCACCTAAACCATCTTAGGGTGAAGTCAAGCATGGTTTCTTGGAAGAAGCAGCATCTAAGTGGAGGCCTGAGAGACACATAGGATGCCATGAGGAAGAAGACAGTTTTTGCCTTCATGGAATGGCATATATCACACCATGTGATAAATGCTTTAGTGGGGAAAGCAAGGGGGCTGAGGAGCAGAGAAGTGGGGGCTTGACCCAGCCTGGGGAGGGTCTGGTAACACTGACAAAGTTTCTTATAATGAATCACTTCCTTGCTGGGATGCGTCCACATCCTTTCACTCAGTCTCCACAATTCCACATTTGGGAGACTGTTGCCTGGATACAGACTGTGGCCTCAGGAACCAAGGAATTGAACCCAGATTTGGGAGATGCCCAGCTGTCACATTTCCCTGTTGCTTGCTTCCTTTTTATTTAAATTCTACTGTACTAATTTCCATCAAGTATAGTTGTTCTCCACCCTCATTTTGTATCAGAATTGCTGGGAACTTAAAAAAAAAAAAAAGATAATTGTGTTCCACCTAGACTGATAGAATCTAAATCTCTAAAGGAGTAGCTTAAACATGAGTATGTTTTAAAAACTCACTGTTTTAAAAAATACCCATTTTTTTAAACTGTTAAAAACAGCTTTTTAAACTGTTTTTAAAACATACCCATGTTTAGGCTACTCCTCTAGCCTATCTACTTTAAAACAGCTAGCTACTAGCTAGCACTAGTAGCCTAAATATAGGTTTAGGGTTGGGTGGGTTTTTTTGTTTTGTTTTGTTTGTTTGTTTTAACTCACTGTGCAGTGAGTTTAAAAAATTCATTGTGGGCCGGGTGCAGTGGTTTACAACTAATCCCAGCACTCTGGGAGGCTGAAACAGGAGGATTGCTTGAGCCCAGGAGTTCAAGACCATCCTGGACAACATAGTGAGACCCCATATCTACAAAAAATAAGAAAAAATTAGCCAGGACTGGTGATGCATGCCTGTAGTCCCAGATACTTGGGAGGCCAAGGTGAGAGGATTGCTTGAGCCCAGGAAATTGAGGCTGCAGTGAGCTGATTTTGCTACTGCAGTCTGGCCTGGGTGACAGTGCAAGATCTATCTCAAAAAAAAAATAATAGTTGTGCACCTGAGAACCACAGATGTTATTCAAGGGTCAGGGGCAGTTGTCTTACTTGGAGTCCAGTCATTCACTTATTCCTTCATTTCATTCCTGCCTCCGGGCCTTTGCACTTAACCTTTCCCTCTACCTGGAATATTCTTCCTTTGGTTTTCTGCACATCTCTGTGCTTCTCATTCTTTGAGTCTCAGTTCAAATGCAGAGGCCCTCACTGACTATCTTCCTTCTCCATCTAAAACACTTTCTCTCTATTCTCTCCACCCTGGCGAATTTCTCCCTATCACATCACTTGATTTATTTCCTTCACAGCACTTATCATAACTTGAAATGATCTTATTTACTGCTGTGTCTCTAACACTAAAGAAATGAACC
The DNA here is from genome assembly GCF_000001405.40 of Homo sapiens. Classification (NCBI taxonomy): domain Eukaryota; kingdom Metazoa; phylum Chordata; class Mammalia; order Primates; family Hominidae; genus Homo; species Homo sapiens. The sequence continues at coordinate 118,874,329 of NC_000012.12, forward strand.
ATTTCAGTAAAGAGTGAAGAGATCTGAAACACATAAAGAAAGCACTTAGTGCAGTGCCCTTAACATGGTAAGGATTAGAAGATGGTTGCAATGTTTATGAATGAATTAATAAATGATTATTATGAATGAAGCAATATACAGGCCTATGATGAAAAAGATTAGCTCTCTGACATATAGAAAATGCTGTGAGACACTGAGCCACTACCTCATTTTTATTAATCAGTTAGATGCTAAACTCTCTGAAGGCAGGGACTGTGTCTTGTTCATTATGATACAACCAGAACTTAACAGAGTGCCCGGCATAACAAGATGTTCTGATTTAGAAACTGCTGGGTTACAAATAACAGAATCTCACTCAAGCTAGTACAAGCAGGAAAAAAAACGTATTTATCAGAAGAATAAAAGAGTCTCAGAGAACCCAACAATAGGAAGGGGAAGTGGGCCAATTATGGCACTTGAACCAAAAACCAAAAAGTGACCAGGAACCTAGCAGTTTTCTTGTGTCTCTCCAAAGCTGTGTGATCTTCGTTTCTTTCTGTTTGCAAACTGGTTTTCTCCCCTCCATGGGCACATGGTTGTTCCCAGCCCAGGCTTTACAATCCCCACCTGCTTCAAATGTCCTACACAGATTGAATAGTTTGCGTTCCGAATTCTCAAGGAAGAGAAAATCTGATTGACTTTAGCTCCTGCCAATCATTCACTCCCAGGCCAATCAACTAGAGCCAGGGGGTGGGAAGAATGGATAGGATCATGTTGCCTGCTGCTTAACTAGCAGAGACTGGAAATACCTCTTTGAAAAAATGGAGTGTTAGTTCAGATTTTCCCCTGAAGGCAGAGCTTGAGAGAAGAGCTTGCATGCAGGTATACTGGTTGGGAAGAGTTGCCAGGGAACAGGTGAAGGTGGCTTGGAAGATTGAAATAGGGAAAGCCAGTCTAAAGGTGTGTTACTGAGCTAAGATGTGGGCAACTAGGGCTCAAATTCAATAGGGCCCCTCTGAGAACTGTGTAAAATGCATCTCAATGGCCTCCTGAGAATGGGTGAGGGGCGAATTTATCCACCAGCTCCTGTCCTCCTTTGGTCAAGGGTTGCCCTAAGGGGTGTTAACTCCATCACATTTCCAGTTTTGCATATGCACCAGCAAGGCTCTTGGATCAAGCCCTACAGCAGAAAGCAAGCAGTATGTGGTGCCGTGGAAGCAAGATGCTAAGAAAATACACCTGCGAACAGTGATGTATCAATGGCTGGAGCGAGACAGGTGGGCCAAGAAGATATGAGGTAGAGCATATGAATTGTCTAGCACAGGAGGAATGAGCAGGTTGTCTATGAGAGCATAAGGGTGGGTGAAAATAATTCTTATCTCCAATGTCTGCTCAATGAATGTTTTCTGAATAAGTGAATGAAAAAGAGAGAAAGGTTCTTGGAGGAAGCAAGATTTTAAAACTCCCTTCAGTGTATGAAGACTGAGTCTGGAGGGCATGTAAATAATAATGATTTGTTCGCAAGTATTTTTCTACCAAGGACTATTAATTTTATTGATAAGTCTGTGATGTAGTTTGGACGGTAGATGATATTATCCCCATTTGGGGATGAAGAACAGACCTAGCCAGGCTGAGCATTTATTCTAGGTGCCTGATGTCTGCATCGAAGCAAAGTTCAAGTTTTCGTCGGCTTTGCCCTCCTGTAAATTATGTGGCTGCAGCAAGACTACAAGCTTATCTTAAGTACTAACTTCACCTCCATTTTCATACTCCCTCCTCTGTTGTAATTCAGCACAGTGAATACAGAGGCTGTTAAGATCTAAAGTAGTTTCTAATTTTGTTTCATTATGACTATGAATGCAACCCTCAGGACCCATCCCTACAGTCTTAACTAAACTTAGTCTTTCAAGCTATGAAAAGGTGAGATAAAGATCTGAATGGAGACTCCAGTGGAGGTGGAGGGCTGGGCTGACTCAGCCTCGATAAACCTGCAGTCTGCAGTCGAGAAATCAATAGAGCCTTTTGGATGTTGCCATTATACGACAAGGAAAAAAATTTCAAAAATAAATTGTGGCATGGAGTAAGATCAGATGAAGCAGATAGCAGGTTTTGCTGACTGTGGGGGCTGTGTTCGGGATGGCACAGGAAGGAGAGAATTAGCGATTTAATGAACTCACTTCTCTCCCTGCTTTTGCTATGCAAGTGTTTTCTCACTGATTGAAAAAAAGACTGAGGCCAAAGGTGAGCCAACAAATCCCAGTTTCTGCTTGAACTTCACCCCAAAGCTGACCCTCCCTTGAAATCTAGGATCAGCTTAGACTTGCAGCTTAGACCAAGAGGACTTGCAGAGTGGTTAACCCCTGTAGCCTTGAAGTCATGGATTTGAGTCAGGCTTCACCACACTGTATGCCATTGAGCAAGTTATTTCACCTGTGTATGGGCCTCAGTTTCCTGATCTTGATCGGGCTGCACACTGACTGGGGCTGGAGGAGAGCCATTGCACAAGCGAAATGTTAGGATGTTATGAGAAGAGGAGGAGATGAAGGCTGAGCAAGAACAAGCAGCAAGGGTATGCCAGGCACAGATTTGACTCTTCCTGTCTCGACTCCAGCATTTTGGGAACCCTCAAAAATGCCCCCACTGAGGTGGTCTGTGGTTAAAGTTCATATATTGATTGGTGCAGTTTTTCAATGGTAATAACTGCAGTTACTTTTGCACCAACCTAATGAGTTCATTTAAAACCTTCTTGAAGGTGCTGATTGCAGGGTTTTGCTGATTAGCAGGAGGCAGATTGGGTGCAGAGAACAACTGCAGGATAAGACAAGGATTCCCCTAAGGAGGACTCACCTGCCCCTCGGCTCCTCTGGGCTCTGCTCCCTGCCTAGTCTCAGGGCCAGGTGTTTCTTCGACTTGCCGCAGGTGACCTCTCTGGACTTTATTTCTTGCCTGCCTACACTGTTGTTACCTGCGAGACCTACCTGTCTTTTTTTTTTTTTTTTTTTTTTTGAGACAGAATCTCCCTCTGTCGCCCAAGCTAGAGTGCAGTGGCGCAATCTTGACTCACTGCAACCTCCGCCTCCTGGGTTCAAGTGATTCTTCTGCCTCAGCCTCATGAGTAGCTGGGACTACAGGTGCGCACCCCAATGCCAGGCTAATTTTTTTGTATTTTTAGTAGAGACGGGGTTTCACCATATTGGCCAGGCTGGTCTCGAGCTCCTGACCTCGTGATCTGCCCACCTTGGTCTCCCAAAGTGCTGGGATTACAGGTGTGAGCCACTGTGCCCGGCCTGCCTGATTTCTCTTAATCCTGGCCCCTCCCTTCTGGTTAGCTCAGTATTGCTAATAATGATACTTTAAGTGTTGATTAGGATATGACTACCCCCAAAGCAACACCAAAAGCCTCATACAAGCTGAGGATCGGGTCTAAGATGTGCTCCCTCTGATCTCCCCACAAAGCTCTTGTGGGTGGGTGTGGCTGGTTTTCAGGCACAGGATTCTGAATGGGATCAGCCTGTGAATACAGCTTCTTCCTCTCCCTGTCCCATGACTTCACCCAGCATTCTTCTACCAATCAGTGGCTTCCAGACTTCAGTCCACTCCAGAAACCTTAAAAAACTTTAACCTCAAATTCCTTGAGGAGATGGATTTGAGATTTCAGTGACCCTTTAATTAAACCTCTTTCTCTTCTGCAGCCTGGTGTCTTGTCTTGACTTGCTGGGCACGTCGGGCAATGAACCTATTACAGTTACAGGGGTGTTAACCCCCTGCACTTCCAGGGTTTCCCCTGCCTAAGGCTGAACAGGTTCTTGCAGCTTTAGAAAAAGCATTGAGGCAGAGAAGCAGAGAGGTTCTGGGTTCTGGAAAGATACTTTAGGTGGGATGATGTCAGCGTGCCACAGTCAGTGGAGAGCTGAGGGGATGTGACTTGGGCACCAGAAGCATCTGTTACCTCAGCAAAGCTGCTGTGTGCAAGATCAAGACTTGCAGATGTTACTGGGTCAGGAGGAAGCAAATGAAATGGCATTACCTACAGGTATTTAAAAGTCAAAATAGGCCGGGCGTGGTGGCTCACGCCTGTAATCTCAGCACTTTGGGAAGCGGAGGTGGGTGGATCACTTGAGTTCAGGAGTTCAGGACCAGCCTGGCCAACATGGAGAAATCCCGTCTCTACTAAAAATACAAAAATTAGCCGAGCGTGGTGGGACATGCCTGTAGTCCCAGCTACTCAGGAGGCTGAGGCAGGAGAATTGCTTGAACCTGGGAGGCAGAGGTTGCAGTAAGCTGAGATTTCGCCACTGCACTCCAGCCTGGGCACAGAGCGAGACTCCTGTCTCAAAAAAATAATAAATAAACAAATGTCAAAATGAATAAAAGTTCTAGAACTTTCTAATCTTAAAAACCTATTATGGTAACACACACGCATGCTCACACACAAGAGACTTCCCAGTTCTCTCTACTGCCTCTTCACCTCCCGAATTACTTTCTTCTGCTGTTCGGAAAAGAAAACATTTCTGCAGCCCGTGCCCTGAGGAGGTGGGTGCTTCTCAGGATTTCCAAGCAGCCCTTACTGGAAACCCAAGTGTATTAGGCAATTCTTGCATTGCTATAAAGCACTACCTGAGACTGGGTAATTTATAAAGAGAAGAGGTTTAGGCTGGGCACGGTGGCTCATGCCTATAATCCCAGCACTTTGGGAGGCCAAGACGGGTGGATCACCTGATGTCAGGAGTTCAAGACCAGCCTGGCCAACATGGTGAAACCCCGTCTCTACCAAAATTCAAAAATTAGCTAGATGTGGTGGCGGGAGCCTATAATCCCAGCTACTTAGGAGGCTGTGGCAGGAGAATCTCTTGAACCCGGGAGGCAGAGGTTGCAGTGAGCCAAGACTGTGCCACTGCACTCCAACCTGGGCGACAGGGCAAGACTCTGTCTCAAAAAAAAAAAAAAAGAAAGAAAGAAAAGAAAAGAGGTTTAATTGGCTCATGGTTCTGTAGGCTTTAGAAGGAGCATCATACGAACATCTGCTGGTTTCCAGTGAAGCCTCAGGGAGCTTTCATCCATGGCAGAAGGTGAAGGAAGAACATACACATCACGTGGCAAAAGCAGGAGCGAGGGAGAGAGAGAGTGGCAGGGGGAGAGGTGCCACATACTTTTAAATCACCAGATCTCGTGAGAACTCACAACCACGAAGACAGCACCAAGCCATGAAGAATTCGCCTCCATGACCCAGACACCTCCCACCAGGACCCACCTACAGCAATGGAGATGACAATTCAACATGAGGTTTGGGCAGGGACAAATATCCAAACTATATCACCAAGCGTTTAAAAAAAATTAAAAACTTGTGTACACATGTTAAAAACACAGAACCTCAGCATCTCAGGGGCAAGACCAATTAGCATGGGGTTGTTGTATATCCATTCAAAGGGAAGTGTCAGAGGTCTGATAGTTTGGACCCTGCCTATTTAAGGCCTGTGTTGGGTTGTCATCCACTCAACCGCATTTTCTCATCCCCATTTCCTCACCCTGTGGCCTTCATGCTTTGTTTCCCTCTCCAGGTTCTGTTCTGATCTTGGCTAGGAACCCTGATGCCTGTCTGTTCTGGCATTGTCCTGCATGCTAGGCATGTCAGAGACAGGAAAGATGGTGAGAGAGACAGCCTCTTAGGTGCACAGAGGTCCCATTTTCTAAATGGATATTCATTTGGATAGCGAAATGAAGCTCTGAGTTTGACTTGATACTCTGAGCTTCCCTCCTAGATAGGAGCATCAGTGATAACTCCCCATGTGATCAATGAAAACGCCGAGGCCCTGAGGGGGGAAAAAAGACTCAGCCCAAATCCCAGAAAAGCATTCATGGCCAGGCACATAGTAGGCACTCAATAGTCACTTGATTATTGTGAGAGGCCGTTTATTATTATAGCTGAGAGCTCAGGGTTTGAGGTTGGATAGACTGGTGTCATGCCCTAACTCTGCCTTTTCAGTAGCTAAGTGCTATTGAGCAGATGACTTAGCTCTCTAAGACTTAGTATTCCTGACTATAAAATGAGAATAATAACAGCACTTGTGGGTTGTTGAGAAAATTCTGCAAGATTGTGAGCTCTGCAGAATGTTTGACAGATAGTAGAAGTTACGTGATGATGATGATGATGATGATGAAGAATTAACCAGTCCTGAGCACCTGGGTAGTTAGATCATTCCTCAGCCATCTGACCTCTGAGAGTTTAGCAACCTCCCCATCTACCTTGCAGGTGAGCAGAGGCAGAGGGCTCCCAATGCTGTTTTTCTGGCTTGCCGATAATTGTTTCTCATACAAGCCAGTGTTTTATTGATTCACTATTGATTTTTGCGTGGGGCCAGGGAAATTCTTGGTTCATAAAGACAAAGGCAGCATTTTCCAGCCCAGGGGTCCCTGGTGGGTGTCAGGGGCATCACTTCCTGACTTGAATGGCTGACCTCTGCCTTGCTTGGGACAAATTCTTAATCAGAATCAGCCCTTCCCAATGGCCCCATGTCTCTCTTGTGTCCCTTTATTGCTTCCATCAACCCTTCCCCCACTATCCCCTTGCTGGCTCCGTTTGACCTTTAATAAGCACTGCTTTTGTGCAGAGCTGGTGGTGAGTTATTGCCATGTGAGCAGCTCCCCAGGGCAGGTCACACCCCAGCCCCTGGCCTCACTGCAGCTTGTAAGGGAAAATTACATTTTGATCTACATTCCTCATTTCCATTCTCTGTCATCTGGCTTTGGAGACAAAAGGAAGAAAATAATGTTTTCTTGTCCCCTCTCTCTGTCTTCCTCCTGGGTGATGCCTGTGCACACTTTCCTCTCCTCCCCCAGCTCTTTCTTCTTTCTGTTCAGTTGGGGAGAGAAAATGACCTTGTCGGGGATCTTCACCTACATCATCCACTCCTGGAAACCTGGGTTATCAAAAAAGCCCCAGCAGTCAGGGCAATATAACCCCTGAAAGTTGGAGATGGGCCTTGAGAAGAATAAAAAAAGCCATTTATCTTCAAGCCTTCCGTGACTGCTCGAGACCAGGCAGGGCTCTCCTATTAGATTGTTCTCACCACACCGTGCACCTCTTCTCTCTCCTTCACTTTTTTCTACATAACACAAAATTCACTTTTTAAACCATTTTAAAGTATACCATTCAGTGGTTTATTGTATATTCACAATGCTCTGCAACCATCACTGCTATCCAATTCCAGAACATTCTCATCACCCCAAAAAGAGGTCCTGTACTCATTAAGCAGTCACTCCCCATTCGCTCTCCCCAGCCTCTGGCAAGCACTAATCTACTTTCTATCTCTATGGATTTGGTTATTCTGGACATTTCATATAAATGGAATTACATAATATGTGGCCTTTTGTGACTGGCATTTTTTACTTAGCAAAATATTTTCACAGTTAATCCATGTTGTGGCATGTGTCAGCACCTCATTCTTTTTTATGGCTGAATAATATTCCATTGTATGGAAATACCACATTTTGTTTATCCATTCATCCACTGATGAACATTTGGAGCATTTCCACTTTTTAGCTATTATAAATAATACTGCTATGAACATTTGTGTACAAACTTCTGTTTGAACATATGTTTCCAATTCTCCTAGGTATATAGCTAGGAATGGAATTTCTGTGTCATATGGTAGTTCTTTGTTTGACTTCTTGAGTACAAGGGTTCTAATTTTTCCGCATCTTCACCAACAGTTGATAATTTCCTCTTTTTTTGATTGTAGCCATCCTAGTGGGTGGGAAGTGATATCTCTGTGGTTTTCATTTGCATTTGCCTAATAACTAATGATGTTAAGCATCTTTCCATGTGCTTAGTGCCATTTATATATCTTCTTTGGAGAAATGTCTATTCAGTTTTTTCTCCCACTTTAAAATTGGGTTGTTTGGTTTTCTGTTGTTGTTTTTGTTGAGTTATAAGACTTGTATATTCTAGATACTGTATTCTTATCAGATACGTGATTTGCAAATATTTTATGCAATTCTGTGGATTGCCTTTTCATTTTTTTTTTTTTTTTGAGACAGGGTCTCACTCTGTCACTCAGGCTGGAGTGCAGAGGCATGATCTTGGCTCACTGCAGCCTCCGCCTCGTGGGCTCAAGCAATCCTCCTGCCTCAGCCTCCCAAAGTGCTGGGACTACAGGTGTGAACTACTGTGCCCAGCCACCCATTTTCACTTTTTTAATACCATCCTTTGATGCATGACAGTTTTTAATTTTCATGTTCAATTTACTTATTTTCTCTCTTGTTGCTTGTGTTTTTGTTTTCATACATATGAAAGTGTTGCCTAATCCAAGGTTATGAAGATTTACACTTATGGTTCCTTGTAAGAGTTTTATGAGTTAACTTTTACATTTAGGTCTCTGATCATTTTTGAGTTGATTTTTGTATTCATCTTAGGTAGGGTTCTAACTTCATTCTTTTGCATGTGGCATATGGTTGTCTTAGCACCGTATGCTGAAAAGATTATTCTTTCCTCCATAGAATGGTATTAGTACCCTTGTTGAAAATCAGTTGATGATAAACACGTGGGTTTATTTCTGGGCTTCCAATTCTGCTCCTTTGATCTATGTGTCGATCATTTCCGGTGTCACATTGTTCTGCTTATTGTAGCTTTGCAGTCAATTTTGAAATTGGGAAATGAACATCCTCCAACTTTGTTTTTCTTTTGTAAGTTTGTTTTGGGGTACCTTGCAATTTCATATGAATTTTATGGCCAACTTGTCCATGTCTGCAATAAAGGCAGGCAGCTGGAATTTTGGTAGCAACTGCATTGAATCTGTAGATTAGGTTGGTGAGTACTGCCATCTTAACAATATGAAGTGTTCCAATCCATGAAAATGGGATATGTTTCCATTTCTTTAGGTCTTCTTTAATTTTTTATAACAATGTTTTGTATTTTTCAATGTACAAGAATGCTTTCTTTAAAAAAATTATAGTCATTACTATAAGATTTGTTGTGTGATTAGAGCTCAGAGTCTGTCTTTCCAGGCTACAGGCTTCCACAGGGCAGCAAGCATTTCATTTTTGTGTACCATTGTGGCAGATATGGAGATGCACTGCTCAGATCTTCCTTCAAGAAAGGACTCATTGCCCAGTTTCAATGAGTGAGGCTAACTGACAACCTCCAGCTGTTTGCTTAATCAGTATTTGCCTCAATTTTTAAACCAAAGTTATAATTCTCAGGAGAACCCCTGGCCAATGATTGAGCAAGATGATGAGAGCTGAGGGCATGCTATTCTCAAGACAGCCCCTAATCTATAGCTCAGAAAGGTGGTGGATGGTACAAGACCTGGTCATTTCTGCTCAGTGGGTCACTCCTCTAAAGGGCAGTGCTTATTCCAGAGCCTCCAGTTTGGCTAGCAGAGACTTTGTCAGGTCCGCAGTTGGGTCTGATGTCTCCTCCTGCTCAGTTCAGCTTCCTCCCTTTCCTTTTTGCATGTAGAACTCCCCAGTCACCCCTTTGAATTCCTAAGTCTCTCCTGACTTCTGATTCCTGGGGAAGCCAACTTGCATGAAATCATGTTATTCTCAGTATCTGGCTCATTGCTTGGCATATAATTCAATTTCTAGAAACACTTCCAAATAGAAAGAAAAGCACTCCTGATGTGGAGCCTTGTGCATATAAGAAAACTCTGATTTTTTTTTTGTTGCCATCGATGTATAATTTTTCATCCTTGGTTCACTTGGTAGGAAGTCCAAGAATAAAAATTAATGAAGATGCATCACCTTTTTAGAAGTTTTGGCAAAATGAAGCCTCTTGATAGTGGGGTCAATTAGGATGATAAAGGGCCTAGAATTGTGTGGTCTGAGGAAAGAGAAGGTTATTATGGGAGAAGATGAGTCCTCAGTGTGGACCACTGTGGTCAGAGTAGAGTGACAGCATAGGACAGTGCTAGGAAAGGAGGCTAGAGAGCTAACTTCAAATTTGAAAGGTGGAACATTTTTCTGTGTTGCTCCTCAAGGAAAAACTTGAATGCTAACTTCTTATCTTCCAGGTCTCAGATTAAATGTCACTTCCTCCAGGAAGCCTTCCCTGAACTTCCTCCCCTCTACCCCCAAGACTACATGAGGTCATCATGCATTCCTGTCATAACTCTGCACTTCTTTGAAACATTTTGTGAAGGCAGATCTAGGTCTGATTCATTTCCTCGTGGTATTTCTTCAGCAACAAGAACAGTTTCAGGCTTACAATAGATGCCTTATACACATAGGATGAATAAAAAAAACAAAACAAACAAAAAACAAATGAGCTAGTGGTGAAAGTTGAAAAAGGAACAGATGTGGTTTTCATTAAAACAGTTCATAACACCAAGCCATGTCTATAGTAGAAGGGGTCGCTTCCAAGAGCTGGCTGAAAAGAGTAAGGACACAAACCCAAGGCTTTTGCCTTCTGGTCCTGTGAATTTTTGTGGCACCAAAGCTTCCTTGAACCTACAGCTTGTAGCCTCCTGCATTCTTCTTGCTTCTGTCTGCATCTTTCTCCATCCACTAAGAGAGACTTGAATTGTTCTCTAAAAAGGAACAATGTGGAGTAAAATAGATTTTCCATCAGCTAGGAAAACTAATGCAAGTTGGAATATTTAAGAGCTACCCAGAAGAATAAATTTTTGGCTTCTCTCAAGCTCTAATACATTTCCCCAGTATGAGAATTTACCATTTACCATTTACTGAGCACTTACTAGGCAGAAGACACTGTGTAATCAATGTGACATACAAACTATGAATCTTCAAATTCCTCTGCTTGATGGGAATTGTTACCTCCCAAATATGAAAATTTCGTGGTTTTCTTCAACTACCTTGGAATTCAGTGCTAATATCCCACTGTTTAAGGGAGCCAGTCTAGGCATACGACCAGCTTGGTAGTGGCTTTCTACTATAGGATCAGTAGACTGACTCCAGACAGTGGGCCGAGTGTCTTCTTGCACCATTCAATGTGACTCAGATGATTTTGATAAACAGCCCAAGAAACTAGATGTGACATTTATGTTTGGACTTAGTCCCACAACCATGTAACACCCAGAAGGCTCTAACAAGCAAAAGTAAAACTTTAATTTTATTATACAGATTTTTTTTTACAGTCTTGAATAAAGGGGAGTGACATTCAGAAGTACCTCCCAAATCATCAGAGAGAGAGAGAGATTCAATTATGTTTGCTGTCATTTGCGTTATCTGTACTTTGAAGAATGCTAATTTTCTAAAAATTGGTTACCTGAGTATGGTAAAAAAAGAAAAAGAAAAAGAAAAGTATCTCCCTAATCAAACAAGCTTTAGTTCCCTGAAAAGCTTAGTGGTGGGAAAATTCAAGCCCTTTTCTTTTCTGGGAAATTGGGTTATGTTGTATAAGGTCGCCAGTGCAAGTGTGAGAGTCCTGATAAATTTTCTTTTGCATTTATAAAAGGAAGCAAAAGTGACATCTGAATAAGGAAGCCATCCAGGAGAGTTTGTGCATATAAAATTATTCATAATGGATTATATATAATTAATCTTCATGCCTCATTCTCAGCTCCCCAGAAAATGTGCGTCTACCTTTGCAAACTTGCAGGCAATTGGTCAGAATGGTGAGAGTGAGTGTTAATCTTGAGGAAACCCAGTCCCAGCCAAGTGTAGATGCTTTAGTCAGGCTTCTTTTGATTGGAGTCAATAGAAACCCCCTCCACTTAGCTCCAGCACAATGGAGGCTTTGCTGTAAGATGCAGAAAGATCTCTTGGGAGTCCAGAGAAAGCAGAACTGTAGTCCTCAGGAAGGACAAGGTGCATACCAGGAACCAAGAGGGTGGTGGTAAGAAAAATAGGCTCTTCCAATCGCTTGCTGTGTGACCCCAGGTAAGTTACTTTGCTTCTCTGTGCCTTAATCTCAACAGGGGAGATGATAGTGTATATACTGCCATTGTCAATATAAAATGAGTTAATAATTGTGCTACGCTTAGCACATACTATATGCTCAATAAATATTAGCTGTTATTATTATAAACTTTTAAAAATTACATTTGTGCAGCTGTTTCATCTTCCTTTTGGTTGCTCATGACTTCAGCCTTTACGGTGGCTCCTGAGTCCACCTGAGATTTTAAGTTCTAGTGCCTGTAACTCCCCAGAAATGATGCCTCCTCTCAGTTGAAGTTGCTAAGAGGAATAATCTGATTGACTCATCCCACCCAAATCACAGGCCCTTGCCAGCTCATGGCTGGGATCCCTCTGGGACAGAGATCTCCCTGGTCCTTCTGTCAGGGGATGGGGTCCCATCAGCAGGGTTGTAGGTGAGGAGTTTCTCATTAGGGGGCATGGGTGAGCAACAGGCAGCTGGAGCACATCTAGGAGCACAGGTGTGGTCACTTCTGGCTGGGAGGTAAAGGAAGACCTTTCGTGGGCTTCAGGAACAGGATTATGTGTGGGGCTGTAGTTATCAGTGTAAATTGGAAGCAGTAGTTAGGGATGAACCATCATGGTAGTTTCAACTTACTTATAAATGGAATAACAAATATGTATGTATATACAGTATGTGTCATTTAACGATGGGGATATGACTGAGCCTGTGTAGCTCTTAGGCTACAAACCTGTACACCATGTTACTGTGCTGAACACTGCGGGCAATTGTAACACAATGGTAAGTATTTGTGCATCTAAATATAGAAAAGATACGGTAAACATACAATATGAAAAACAAAGGGTATGCCTGTATAGGGCACTTGCCATGAGTGAAACTTGCAGGACTGAAAGCTGCTCTGGGTGAGCCAGTGAGTGAGTAGTGAGTGAGCATGAAGGCCTAGGTCATTGCTGTACACTACTGTAGACTCTGTAAACACCATACACACAGGTTACACTCAATTTATTTAGTTTTTAATTGTCTTTCTTTAATAATAGATTAACTTTAGTTTGCTGCAACTTTATTTTGTAAATGTTTTTAGTTTTTTAAAACTTTTTGCCTTTTTTGTAATAACACTTAGCTTAAAACACAAACACGGCCAGGCGCGTGGCTCACGCCTATAATCCCAGCACTTTGGGAGGCCCAGGCAGGTGGATCACGAGGTCAGGAGATCGAGACCATCCTGGCTAACACAGTGAAACCCCATTTCTACTAAAACTACAAAAAAATTAGCTGGCGTGGTGGTGGGCGCCTGTAGTCCCAGCTACTCAGGTGGCTGAGGCAGGATAATGGCATGAACCCGGGAGGCAGAGCTTGCAGTGAGCCAAGATCGTGCCACTGCACTCCTGCCTGTGTGACAGAGTGAGACTCCATCTCAAAAAAAATATATATATATATAAAAAATATATATTATACAGGAAATATATATAATATGTATTATTATATTATATATTAATATATATATTAATATATAATATGCATTATTATATTATACATAATATATATAATATGTATTATTATATTATATATAATATATTATATATATGAAATAGGATCTCACTCTGATGCCCAGGTTGGAATGCAGTAGCACAATCATAGCTCAATGCAGCCTCACACTCCTGGACTCAAGCAATCCTCCCATGTCAGCCTCCCAAGTAGCTAGTACTACAGATGCACGCCACCATGCCAGGCTATTTTTATTTTTCATAGCGACAGGGTCTCGTATGTTGCCCAGTCTGGTCTTGAATTCCTGGCCTCAAGTGATCCTCCTGCCTTGGCCTTCCAACATGCTAGGATTACTGGCATGAGCCACTGCATCCAGCCACTTTCTTTCTTTATATCCTTATTCTATGAATTTTTAAAATTTTTTAAAACTTTTTTTTGTTGAAAACAAAAACACAAATATATACATTATCTTAGGCCTACACAGGGTCAGGATTCTCAACATCATTGTTTTCCACCCCCATATCGTGTCCTACTGGAAGGTCTTCAGGGGGAATAACATGCATGGAACTGTCATCTCCTATGATAACAATGCTTTCTTCTGGAATACCTCCTGAAGGAGCTGCCTGAGGCTATTTTATGGTTAACTTTTAAAAACTATAAGTAGAAGGAGTACACTAAAAAAATAATGACAGGAAGTATGGTAGAATAAATATATAAACCAGTTACAGTCATTTATTATCAAGTATGTACTGTACATAATTGTATATGCTATGCTTTTGTAAAATATTTTTTCATTTTTTTTCTTCTATGTGGCATGGTTGATGTTGAGCCTGTGATGAGAAAGCTGGCCCCAGATTTCTCCAAGTCCACATTTCTGTCCCTCCAATTCTTACATGTCCAAAGACAAGGAATTATAGACATGCCTTTGTAGGAGGGCGTGTGTGCTATACTTTCATATGACTGGAAGTGCAGTAGGTTTGTTTACATCAGCATCACCACAAAAACTTGAGTAATGTATTGCAGTACAGCATTACAATGGTTAAGACATCACTGGGCAATAGAAAGTTTTTAGCTCCATTATAATCTTACGGAACCACCATCATGTATGTGTTCCATTGACTGAAATGTCATTATGCAACACATGACTCTGTGTGTGTGTGTGTGTGTGTGTGTGTGTGTGTGTTTTCCTTCTGAGAGAGGGAGGGCAACAGAATTTGATGAATCTAGTTGAAGGGTATATGTGTTCAGTAAACTATTCTTTTAACTTTACTGTAGGTTTTAATTTTTTCAAAATTTAAAGAATGAGAAAAATCACAGTTTAACAAATAAAGCAAATATTCTCATAATAGATACAAATAAGTATGTAAATGCACAAAGTGGGTAGTAAGCAAATGAGCTCAGGACTCAGCAAAGCCCAGATCTGCTTATCTCTTCTCTAAGTGATATTTTTCTCTCTGAGCTTCCACTTCTGCATCTGTTAAATGGGCTCACATTACTGCCTCCTAGCCTGCTGAGGGGTTTCATTTATTGACAGATATGCCATGCTGGACTGATGTTCAGCTGGTAGGCATTGGTATAGCTGTGCTGGTTATTTGCAGCTAGCATCCACTCTGACTGGTTGGGTTGTCCTGGTTGTGAAAAATATGTTTGAATACTGTTCTTGATACGTGGCATGTAGTAAGAGACAAATTCGTGGACGCTGTCTTTAGTGCCATCATTATTATTATGATCATTTGCAGCATCATTGCTGAGCGCCTTTGGTCTCCCCACCCTAGGGATTTGTAAAGAAAGAGGCTTTGGGAATAACTGCTGGATTGGGTGGGGGAGGTGGCCTCGGCACTGAGTGTTTTAGGCACCTCAGGGCACAATATTCTAACACGAAGTAGATAAAGAGATTTCAGCAGCACCTCAGGCTGGGGTGAAGTGTGCCCTCCTGGCCCAGAAGAGATATACTCTATTTGCAAACTAAATGCAGGTACAGGCTGAAAGAGCAAAGGATTCCTTGGGGCTGCAGGGAGGTGGAGGGATGGAGGCTGAGACCTTGGGCCTGTGTCTGTGGGCTAGAAGGAGAAAATGTTGCAGATAGGAGGCCAGTTGTGCATTCCTGAGTGGGCCCCAGGTACAACTGGGTGGGATACAGAAGGGTGTATATTTCTACTCTTTCTGACTGTTGCCTTGAGATCCTTTACAATAATATTGATATCTGGCATGTAGTAGGAGTCAAATTCATGTACACTGTATTTTTTTTTTTTTTTGAGACGGAGTCTCACAATGTCTCCCGGGCTGGAGTGCAGTGGCACAATCTTGGCTCACTGGAACCTCCAACTCCCGGGTTCAAGAGATTCTCCTGCCTCAGCTTCCCGAGTATCTGGGACTACAGGCACCCACCACCACACCCAGCTATTTTTTTGTATTTTCAGTAGAGACAGAGTTTTACCATGTTGGCCACGATGGTCTCAAACTCCAGACCTCATTATTCGCCTGCCTCAGCCTCCCAAAGTGCTGGGATTACAGGCGTGAGCTACCACGCCCAGCCCCATGTACACTGTCTTTAGTGCCACATCATCACTATGATTATCTTCAGCATCATCCCTGAGTGCCTTTGGTCTCCCCACCCTAGGGACTTGTAAAGAAGGAGGCTTTGGGAATAACTGCTGAATTGGGTGGGCACAGCTATGCCAATGCCTACCAGCTGAACACCAGTCCTGCATGGCACTCATTCTTGAGTGGGCCCTGGGTACAAGTGGGCTGGATACAGAAAGGTGTTTAAATCTGATGCTGTTTAAACCCATATTTCTACTCTTTCTGACTGTAGCCTTGAGATCCTTTAAAATAAGCTTGATAAATGTCCGTTTAAACCACAAATAGATGAATAGATAGATGTATGAGGGTGGATGGATTTAATACATAGAAGCAAGAATGAGAAAATCATTGAAAAATGGACAAATAAGTGAGTGGATATTTGAATGAATAAATGACTGAAACAATGAGGAGAGAAGGATTTAATAATTAATTTATGAATAATAAAAAAACTTTTATTGAGGTCTTTCTAAGTCCCAGATACTCTGCTAAGCAATGTACATGCATTATCTCATTTAATCCTTACAAGAACCCTATAAAATAGACACCATTGTCATTCCTATTTTATAAAGGGAAACTGAGGCAGAGAGAAGTAAAATAATTTACCCAAGATCACACATCTGGGAGTAATGGTGCCAGCATCCCAATGAATGCTTTTGTTTCTGTCCTTAACCACTGTGGTACCCTGTTGTCTTAGTCTGTTTGGCTGTTGTAAGAAAATACCATCAACTGCATAGCTTATCAAGGACAGAAGTTAATTTCTCACAGTTATACAAGCTGAAAAGTCCAAGTTGACAGTGCCAGCATGGTTGAGTTCTTGTGAGGGTCCTTTTCTGGGTTGCAGACTTACTTCTTACTGTCTAGAAGCAAGACCACTACCCTCACGTGGTGAAAGGGGTAATTTCCCTTGGGCCTATTTTGTAACGGCACAAATCCCATTCATGATGACTCTATCCTCATCATCTAATCACATCCCAAAGGCCCCACCTCTTAACACCACCGCACTGGGGATTAGGTTTCAATGTATGAATACTGGCGGGACAGAGATATTCAGACCATAGCAACTGTGGACCAGAAATATGTGGATTTATTTTACTCCTTGGATAGCTGTTGGTCCCAGCACCTCAAGCCAGCTTAGAGATTCATTCATACATTCCACAGATATATATTGAGCACTTACCATATTCCAAGTCCTCTTCTAAGCACCAGGGATACATCAGCGAACAAGCAGACATGGGTCCTCCATACATAGCTTACGCTTCCATAGGGAAGACTGAAAATGAACAAATACGTAGAAGTAAATGCTATGCAGAAAAACAAATCATGCAAAGAATTATAGGAAAGAGGTGTAGAGGGAAGCTATTTTAGATACAGTGGTCAGGAAACATCTTGCAGAGGAGGTACAAAGACCTGAATTATGCAAAGATCAGAGGTGAGGGCATTCCAGGCAAAGAGCACAGAAAGTGCAAAGGTGCCGAGGTAGAAATGAGCATAGAAGGTCTGAAGACTAGGAAGGAGGATGGCATGGTTGGACTGGTGTAAGCAAAAGGGGGTGTGATAGGACATACAGAGAGGGAGACAGGTGCTAGACCTTTATCCTGGATTTTATAGGTCAAGATTTAAAAAATGGACTTTGTTTTAAAGGAGATACAGTGTCTGAATTACATTGTAAAATATCACTGTGGCTGCTGTGGGTTGTTCCATTACTTTTGTCCTCAACCCAGAAAAACAATGGTATAAGAATAAAGAGCACTAGTTTGTCCTACTCTAAATGATTCCCCTCCTCTCCCTTCCTTCTTGGAACCCCATCTGCCATTGACACTACTACCAGTTGGTACCAGCACATTTACTGCAAGCCATCCTCTTCTTGTGCTCTGTCTTCTCCTGGGGATCCTGGGCCTTGCTACTCATCCCAAAGACCCAGTCACCAGAAAAGTAAAATGGCAGCAATGTATATATCCAACAATAGGGGATTGGTTATGCAAATCTATTTACTATAACACTTTTGACCGTCAAAAATGATGTCGGGACAATGACAGGATCAAATCTGTCCATACCAATATTAACCTTGAATGTATATGGGCCAAACACTCTACTTAAAAGGTACATAGTGGCAAGTTGGATAAAGAAGCAAGAACCAACTGTATGCTGTCTTCAAGAGACTTTTCTCACATGCAGTGACACCCATAGGCTTAAAGTAAAGGGATGGAGAAAAATCCACAAAGCAAATGGAAAATAAAAAAGGAATAGGAGTTGCTATTCTAATTTTAGACAAAACAGACTAAACCAACAACAACAACAACAAAAAGAAGGGCGTTACATAATGATAAAAGGTTCAATTCAACAAGAAGACTTAACTATCCTAAATATATATGCACCCAACACTAGAGCACCCAGATTCATAAAACAAGTTCTTAGAGATCTATGAAGAGGCTTAGATAGCCACACAATAATAATGGCAAACTTCAACACCCCACTGACAGTATTAGACAGATCATCAAGGCAGAAAACTAACAAAGATATTCAGGACTTTTAATGCTTGACCAAATGGACCTAACAGACATTGATAGAACACTTCACCGAATAACAACAGAATATACTTTCTTCTTATCTGCACATGGCACATACTCTAAAACCGACCACACAATGGGACAAAAAACAATTCTCAACAAATTAAAAAAAAGTCATATTAATCACACTCTGGGATCATAGTACAATAAAAATAGAAATCAATACTAAGAAGATCTCTCAAAAACCATGCAATTACATGGAAATTAAGCAATCTGTTTCTGAATGCCTTTTGAGTAAACAATGAAATTAAGACAGAAATCAAAAAATTATTTGAAAGCAATGAAAACAAAGATAAAACATATTAGAATCTCTGGGACAAAGTTAAAGCAGTGTTAAGAGGAAAGTTCATAGCACTACACACCCACATCAAAAAGTTAGAAAGATCTCAAATTAACAACCTAAAGTCACACTTAGAGGAACTAGAAAAACAAGAGCAAACCAACCCCAAAGCCAGAAGAAGAAAATAAATAACCAAAATCAGAGCTGAACTGACTGAAATTGAGATATGAAAAACCATAAAAAAGATCAATGAAACCAATAGTTTGTTTTTGACAGAATAAATAAGATTGATAGACTATTAGCTAGACTAATAAAGAAAAAAAGAGCAATCCAAATCAACACAATCAGAAATGACAAATGAGACATTACTACCAATACCTCAGAAATACAAAAAAAATCCTCAGAGACTATTATGAACACCTCTATGCAACTTACGTAGAAAAACTGGAAGAAAGAGATAAATTCCTGGAAAAATAACCTCCCAAGGTTGAACTAGAAAGAAATTGAAACCCTAAACAGACCAATAAGAAGCTCTGAAAGTGAATTCATAATAAAAAGCCTACCAAGCAGAAAAAGCTCTGGAGCAGATGAATTCACAGCTGAATTCTACCAGATGTATAAAGAAGACCTGGTACCAATCTTACTGAAACTATTCCAAAAAAGTGAGAAAGAGGGACTCCTCCCTAACTCATTATATGAGGCCAGCATCATTCTGATATTAAAACCCAGCAGATTCTGGATATTAGACCTTTGTCAGAGGAACTTAAACAAATTTACAAGAGAAAAAACATTAAAAAGTGGGCAAAGGACATGAACAGACACTTCTCAAAAGACATTCGTGTGGACAGCAAACCTATGAAAAAAGCTCAACACCACAGATTATTAGAGAAATGCAAATCAAAACCACAGTAAGATACCATCTCAAACCAGTCAGAATGGCAATTTTTAAAAAGTCAAGAAACAATAGATACAGGCAAGGTTGTAGAGAAATAGGAATGCTTTTACACTGTTGGTGGGAATGTGTATTAGTTCAACCATTGCAGAAGATGGTGTGATGATTCCTCAAAGGTCTAGAACCAGAAAAACCACTTGACCGAGATATCTGATTACTGGGTATATACGCAAAAGAATATAAATCATTCTATTATAAAGATACATGCACGTGAATGTTCAGTGCAGCACTATTCACAATAGCAAAGACATGGAATCAACTCAAATGCCCTTCAATGATAGACAATGGTACAAATATGCCATGGAATACTATGCAGTCATAAAAAGGAAAGAGACCATGTCCTTTACAGGGACATGGAAGGAGCTGGAAGCCATTATTCTCAGCAAACTAATGCAGGAACAGAAAATCAAACACTGCATGTTCTCACTTGTAAGTGGGAGCTGAACAATGAGAACACACAGACACAGGGAAAGGAACAACACACACTGGGACCTTTTGGGGGATGGAGTGGGGGAAGGGAGAACATTAGGAAAAATAGCTAAAGTGTGCTGGGCTTGATACCTAAGTGATGGGTTTATAGGTGCAGCAAACCACCATGGCACAAGTTTACCTATGTAAAAAACCTATACATCCTGCACATGTACCCCAGAACTTAAAAAAAAAAACCTGGCAGAGACACAATAAAAAAAAAGAAAACTTCAGGCCAACATCCCTGATGAACATAGATGCAAAAATCCTCAACAAAACACTAGCAAACTGAATATAGCAGCACTTCAAAAAGCTAATCCATTACGATTAAGTAGGCTTTATTCCTGGGATGCAAGGTTGGTTCAATATATGCAAATCAGTAAATGTGAATCGTCATATAAACAGAACTAACAAGGAAAACCACATGATCATTTCAATAGATGCAGAAAAGACTTTTGATAAAATTCAACATTCCTTCATGTTAAAAACCCTCAACAAACTAGGCATTGAAGGAACATACCTCAAAATAGTAAGAGCCATCTATGACAAGGCCATAGCCAGCATCAAACTGAATGGCAAAAGGTGGAAGCATTCCCCTTGAGAACTATAATAAGACAACAATGCTTATTCT
The DNA here is from genome assembly GCF_000001405.40 of Homo sapiens. Lineage (NCBI taxonomy): Eukaryota > Metazoa > Chordata > Mammalia > Primates > Hominidae > Homo > Homo sapiens. The sequence goes on from NC_000012.12 coordinate 118,895,110, forward strand.
CATCACTCCTTTTCAACGTAGAACTGAAAGTCCTAGTCAGAGTAATCAGGCAAGAGAAAGAAATAAAAGGCATCCAAATAGCAAGGGAAGAAGGCAAACTATCTCTCTTCATAGATGATATGATTTGATACCTAGAAAATCCCATCGTTTTTGCCCAAACTTGTAGATCTGATAAACAACTTCAGCAAAGTTTCAGCATACAAAATCAATGTACAAAAATCAGTAGCATTCCTATACACTAACAATTTCCAAGCTGAGAGCCAAATCAAAAATGCAATCCCATTCACAATAGATGCACACACACACACACACACACACAACCTAGGAATAGAGCTAACCAGGAAGGTGAAAGATCTCTGCAACAAGAATTACAAAACACTGCTAAAGAACTCAGAGATGACACAAATGGAAAAACATTCCATGCTCATGGATAGGAAGAATCAATATTGTTAAAACAACCATACCGGCCAAAGCAATTTACAAATCCAATGCTACTCGTATCAAACTACGAATGACATTTTTCACAGAATCAGAAAAAGCTATTATAAAATTCATATTGAACTAAAAAAGGGACCAAATAGTCAATGCAATCTTAAGTAAATTGAAAAAAGCTGTAGGCATCACATTAGCCCACTTCAAATTGTACTACAGTAACCAAAACAGCATGGTACTGGTACAAAAACAGAAACATAGAACAATGGAACAAAACAGAGAACCCAGAGATAAAGCCTGTTGATCTTCAACAAAGTTGACAAAAACAAGCAATGGGGAAAGGACTCCCATTCAATAAATGGTGCTGGGATAACTGGCTAGCCATATGCAGGAGATTAAAACTGGACCCCTTCCTTTCACCATATACAAAAATCAACTCAAGGTGGATTAAATACTTAAATGTAAAACCTGTAATTATAAAGACCCTAGAAGAAAACCTAGGAAATAACATTCTGGACATAGGTCCTGGCAAAGATTTCAAGACGAACATGCCAAAAGCAATTGCAACAAAAACAAAAATTGACAAATGGGATCTAATTAAACTGAAGAGCTCCTGCACAGCAAAAGAAACTATCCACAGAGTAAACAGACAACCTACAGAATGGGAGAAAATATTTGCAAGCTATGCATCGACAAAGGTCTAATATCCACAATCTATAAGGAACCTAAACATATTAACAAGCAAAAAGCAAACAACTCCATTAAAAAGTAGACAAAGGACATAAACAGACACTTTTCAAAAGGAGATGTACATGCAGCCAACAACCATATGAAAAAATGCTCAATATCACTAATCATTAGAGAAGCGCAAATCAAAACCACAATGAGATACCATCTCACACCAGTCAGAATGGCTATTATTCAAAAGTAAAAAAATAATAATAATAACAGATGCTGGCAAGATTGCCAAGAAAAGGGAATACTTCTACTCTGCTGGTGGGAATGTAAATTAGTTCAGCTACTATGGAAAGCAATTTGGATATTTTTCAAGAAACTTAAAACAAAACTACTATTTGGCCCAGCAATTCCATTGCTGTGTGTATACCCAAAGGAATATAAATTATTCTACCATAAAAGCACATGTATGCATATGTTCATCACAGCACTATCCACAATAGCAAAGACATAAAATCAACCTAAGTACCCATCAACAGAGGACTGGGTAAAGAAAATGTGATACATATACACCATGGAATAACTATGCAGCCATAAAAAAGAATGAGATCACGTCCTTTGCAACAACATGGATGGAGCTGGAGGCCATTATCCTAAATGAATTAATGCAGGTACAGAAAACCAAATACCACATGTCCTCATGTATAAGTGGGAGCCAAACACTGACTACACGTGAAGAAGTTGATAATAAACAGCACGATCTACATGAGAATGTAGGGTGGGAGAAGGATGATAATCCGAAAGCTACCTATCAGGTACTATGCTTATTACCTGGGTAACAAAATAATCTGTAGACCAAACCTCTGTGACATGCAATTTACCTACAAAACAAACAAACCTGCACATGTACCTCCTGAACCTAAAATAAAAGCTGGAAAGAAAAAAATGATTGCTGATGTTATATCAATATTATATATTATAATACCAACAATAGTGATAGCTACTTGAACATCTATTGTGCACCGAGATCAGTATTAATAATGAACATATTTTACTTCATTTAATCCTCTTGACACAGAGAGATCAATTCCACTTTTGTCCTTGGTTTATAGATGAGGAATTTAGGGCTTAAGCGTCTTGCCAAAAGTTGCCAACTTAGCGTGGAGTTCAGTAAGAGTAAGTTGCAGGTCTGTCTGATTACAAAGTCCGTTTTCTCAACCAATGCCAATTCTGCCTCTCATAGGAATATGTGCTGCATTGTTCAGTGAAGGCTGGCTATTAAATAATAAGCATAGCTTTCAAGCCCATCTTTTTAAGTACCAAAAGGTCATGCAGCTAAATGTAAAAAGTTGTTTTCTCTGGGCAGTTAATTATGGGAGAGTTTTGTGTGTGTTTATGATTTTTGTAATTAGAGCTCAACAAAAGCAATAAAAGTCTCTGTGTGTTTTTCTTCCCTACTCAACCCCTCTATCTTTCTCCCCTGTGGCCTTCAGACCAGCTCTGGAGTTCTCTATTAATATAAAGCTAGCATGGCCTCTTCCCCTTGGCCTCCCGGCTTTGCAATTTCAGCACAGTTCTCTAGATTGCTTCAAATTTGCTAGCATTCTGGATGCTGAGTTAGTTGCAAATTTTTCACCTCCAGAAACAGAAGTGTTGTTTCTTAGCTAAGGGCTTGAATAATACATTTGCAAAAAAGCCAGGTCTCTAACATTTTGCCATTTAGGGTATGGACTTGGTAATGGCCTCAGCTCCTGGAGTCAGGGCCAGGGGTCTTTGGTGACAAGAAAAAGACTTAATCTGCTCATAAGAGGCTGGACTTGGAGAATAACTGGAAGTGAGTGAGAATCTGTTGCCAACACTGAGACCAAAAATGGTCCATTCTCAAACAGCATCTCAGGGGGGTGGGGATTTATCTGAGTTTATCCTGTATTTGGAGGTAATTCCAGTGGGAGCTAACTCCTGGGCTCTGATATTCATGCATGCATTCATTCACAAAGGCAATATATATTGGGCACTGACTCTCTCCCACACTTTGCTAAATGTTGAAAAGTCAGCAGTCAGGAAGAACGACCCATTCTCACCTCTGTGGAGTTCACAGACTTGGAATTCATGGGGAAGACAAACACTGAACAAATGTTCAAATGTTTAAATGTAACAGAAGGTGGAAATGCAGGCTGCTATGGAAGAGAGTTAGCTGAGCCTGAGAATTTAGGAAAGACAGCCCCAGGAAATGATGTTTAAGTGGAGTGTGGAAGGATGCTTAGGAATTAACCAAGTGAAGAATGAAGCAAGAGAGTGTTTCAGGCTGAGGGGGTGACATTGCAGGACGTGAGATTGGGGAAAAGCAGGTGCTATCATCTGTCTGAAGGAATGTATGATGCACAGATGCAAGGCAGAGAGAGGTGTGAGCGGGCTGAAGGGGAACCTCGAGCAGACACAGAGGGTCCAATAAACCACATCAAAATGTTTGTATGCTATCCTAGGGATGATGAGAAAAATGCTGCTGATAGATTTAACTGGGGGAAAAAGTTTTATTTTTAGGTGTCTTCACAAGTGAAGGCAATTAGAACTGAGAATGAAATGACTTCTTTGTGATAGAAGATGCATTTGTGCTAATACATTGTCCTTTCATTCAACAAATATTTATGCAATGTCTACCACAAAACAGGCACAGTCCTGGATTTTGGGGAAATGGAGGGGAAACAGATTTCTAACTACATGAAGCTTACAGTCTAGTGGAAAGAGACAGGCAGTAAACAAAAGAACAAAAGAGTAGATAATGTAATACTGGGCGTCACTAAGAGTAATGAAGAAAGGAGAGTAAGAGGGAGGAATCATGTGGAAATCTGGGGAGGTGGGATGAGTGATGATATTCCTAGTAGGTGGTCAAAGACATCCTTCAGAAGTTATCATTTGAGCAGGGAACTGAAGGATGCGAGGGAATGAGTCAGACCTCTTTCGACAGAGTTTATGATGTGGTCTCCCCGTTATGAGCTTTTTGGGTGGCCAGCTATCTTTGGGAGGCAGGTGGGGCTTTGGAACAGTGAGGGATGCTGGCATTCCCTCCGTCAGCCGAACCCACAACCTTGTACCTTTAACCTTGGTACAGGAGAGGAGGAACAGGAGGAGGAGAGTGAGAGAAACTGATTGCCAACCTTAGTCCAGTGAAAACTTTGCTCCGATAATATTTCCTTGGCCTGACCAATCCAGATCAACAATCCTCTTCTTTGGTGATTGAATAAGGGAAGAAGCTCTGTGAGTAAGACTAAACAAATTTACTTCTACTTTTGGCTTTTTTTTTTTCCCTATTAACCAACATTTCTTATCAACCAGGCACCCTGAGGAAGACCCAGGCCTACCACTCCACAAATGAGATGTCCAACCCCAGAATTCACAGCCCATTCTGAGCTGCCTCCCCATGACTACTTAATGGCTGCTTCGGCCTCATTTCCTGATCACTAGTTGCTATACTGGATGTTTGTAGTTACTGACCTTTTTATTGAAAAACAGAGACTAGCCTGATCAAACTTGGGGCAGAACTGACACTGCTGCCCAAGCAAATTATAGCAATGTATCGCTGAGATGAAAATCTCCTGGTGATATAACAGGCATCTATTAGGGAGCCCGAGTTAGAGCTTTGCTCATTAATCAGAGCCTCCTGATAAAGTCTGCCACAGCCAGAGCGGTGTGTCCTTTCTTTCTTTTTAAAGATATAAAACACTATCATTGTCTTTATTGATCTCTACTACTATTATTGTCAGAATATACTCTTTCAAAGTCATCACCTGCAGCTTCCCTTCATACAGCCTGTCCTTCAGCCTTGTATGCAGAGAGGGTAGTGGGAAAGAGTAAAGGTTTGATGTCCGGTGTTTGGTGTTTAAACCACCGCTCTTTGACTTACAGGCTGGGTGACCTTGAACACATCACTTCACTTCCTTGAGCTTCAATATACCTGCCATCAAATGGGAACAATCATGTTTACCTCCCTGAATAGTCAAGAGGATTAAATTAAATAGTGAGGTAGGTGCTTCCTACAAATGGCTCCTCAAAAATGTAGCACATAAAAATGACTTATAGCATCTTTTAGAGTTCAGATTCATGAGCTCTATCAACAGAGACTCTGACCCAGTAGGCTAGGGATGCTTATCCCCAGGTGATTTTGTGCGAAGAGTTTTTTTAGGATACACTTGGAAAAACATTGTTCTATCATTTTGTTTTGCTGAAAATTTTCTCCTACTATTTCCTCAGCCTGCATTGTACAATGTTCAGCTCTGCCTTTACTTCCAGACCCACCTTTGATGCCTCCTCTTTCATAATTTCCCACCTCCTTTCCCAATTTCCCTAGATTTGAAGGCATTTGTCTTTCCTCTGACTGCCCACACAAGTATCTCTCTTCTGATTATGTACCTCTTATTATAGGTTATAGACTAAACGTTATCTGTTAGAAACATGAAAGTAATGCAGATATACTAGATATACATTATTCACTATGTATTACTTTCGCAGTAAAGCAGATTAACACACAATATTGTAATAGAGATAGATAGCATATTTTATAGATATCTTCCTTCATGCACTCAACTATTTTTTGAGCATGTACCGTGTGCCAGGCACTGAGCTAGCTACTGGGGATAGAGTAGCTAGGCACCGCTAGGATCTAAGCATGGAACCTAGAATCTATTTATCTCTCCTTCCCTAGATTGAAAGCTCTTCGTAAGTTCCTCAGCTTCTAAACCCCTTTATAATCCAGTTGCTACTGAGTAGAATAACATCAAGGTTTTTGAAGGACACAAGCTGAAGCAAAGTTTACCCATCTGTAAGATCCAACTTGTGCCTATGGGTCATGGTCAAACACTCTCTCCTTGAAATTGAGTTAAGTCTCTTTTTAGATTTTCAGGGTTTTTTTGTCGTTTTTTTTTTTTGGCAGCCAAGGCATTATCCACTCCCCTGGGTTTGTGCATTAGTCATATTTGCAGCAGCTGGACTAACATCTTTGGGCTTTTGCCATGTATTCATTGCTTCTAGCTAATTTCCTTCAGATTTGATTGCTTTTTGAAAATTCCATTTCCAAATGAGGAAGCATTATGGATTCCTCAGTGACTTCACACTATATAGACTTTCATTCATTTATTTAGTCACCCATTCACTCATTTAACAAGAACTGAATGTACACCCATCCACGTGCCTGACACTGTGCTGGCTTAAGCCTCACTGCTACAGGAGTCTAATAAATGTTGGTGGAATTAATGTTATATTGGCAAATAATCTCCATTTCTAGCTTTGGGAGTGTTGTTGTCTTTACCAGGCGGTGGGTGTGTGAATGTCATTGACCCAGTCATTTCTGTCATCTAAGCCAATGGTGCATTGACTGGCTTTGATGCACAGCTATCAAGGACATTAGAGTCTATTATCCTCAATGCACTGGGACGTGTTGTGTGCGACCAAAACGTTGATGTGCCAACAAGGGAGGAAGGGAATGCAGATTTTTACATTTGCAATAAAACTCCCATCAATCACACCACCAAGACTCAGAGCAACTGAACTAATATCTGAGCTGTGAGATTGCACTTTCTCTGATTTTCCTGTCAATAGGAAATGTTTGTGCATTCCAAATCACCGGCTGATACAAACACTCAAAGACAAGGGAGAAGGAAACATAAACAAGGAAACAGAAACATCCTGTCAACCTGCCCAAAGTGTGCTAATTACATTTAAGTCAGCACTGGGTACCAGATATATATTGGGCTCATATTCATTCCTTATTCTGCTGTAAATGTTACCCAGCTCATCAGCACAGCCCAAGAATGAACAGGTATAGCATTATTAATGAAGTCCTAATCAATGTCATCATTATCATTGTTATCATAGCAAATACTCATATAGGTTTGCCAGGTAGCCAAAAGATTACATGGGTTATTTTTAATTCCTTGAAAGCAGTCTACAGGAGATATACTATTATTATCCTCATGTTATAGATGAGGGACTGAGACACAGAGGATAAGTGACTTTCCCACATAAATGTCAAGCCTGGGATTTGCTCCCAGGTCCTTTTTTAGATACCTGAGGCAGGTGAACTTCCAACGGGATTGGCTTCTCACCAGAAAATAGCAATTGGATAGAGTGCAGGATCATTTACTTCAGCCAACTGACTTGTAAGAACAAAGCTGATAATTGGTTAATCTTGAGAAATAGATCTGAACAAAACTGGTGGCCAGATCCTCTCATAAGTGTGGGCCTGAAGCACAGGTTCCATTCCTCTGAGTTCTGAGAATCAGCCACACCGATGTGAACAAAACATAGTTCATGCCATCAAGATGCTTTTAGTCTGGTGGTGGGTGAGGGGATGAAGGGAACTCTGGGAGGAGCACCAGGTCTGTGGGGCTAGAGAAGGAGCCCTAAACCTATTCATTCAGGATTAGCAAAACCTACTATTTTGTTGTTGTTTGTTTTTTGAGATCGAGTCTCACTCTGTTGCCAGGCTGGAGTGCAGTGGCGAAATCTCGGCTCACTGCAACCTCTGTTTCCTGGGTTCAAGGGATTCTCCTTCCTCAGCCTCCAGAGCAGTTGGGATTACAGGCGCCCACCACCACACCCAGCTAATTTTTGTATTTTTAGTCGAGACAGGGTTTCACCATGTTGGACAGGATGGTCTTGATCTCCTGACCTCGTGATCCGCCCGCCTTGACCTTCCAAAGTGAAAACCTACTGTTTTAAGGATAATCTTACTGTAAGGGCAAGTTTGGTTTTTTTCTTTCTTTTTTTTTTATACTTTAAGTTCTAGAGTATATGTGCACAATGTACAGGTTTGTTACATAGGTATACATATGCCATGTTGGTTTGCTGCATCCATTAACTCGTCATTTACATTAGGTATTTCTCCTAATGCTATCCCTCCCCCAGCCCCCCACCCTACAACAGGCTCCAGTATGTGATGTTCCCTGCCCTGTGTCCAAGTGTTCTCATTGTTCAATTCCCAGCTATGAGTGAGAACATGAGGTGTTTGGTTTTCTGTCCTTGTGATAGTTTGCTCAGAATGATGGTTTCCAGCTTCATCCATGTCCCTGCAAAGGACATGAACTCATCCTTTTTCATGGCTGCATAGTATTCCATGGTGTATATGTGCCACATTTCTTACTCCAGTCTATCATTGATGGACATTTGGGTTGGTTCCAAGTCTTTGCTATTGTGAATAGTGCCACAATAAACACACGTGTGCATGTGTCTTTGTAGTAGCATGATTTATAATCCTTTGGATATATACCCAGTAATGGGATGGCTGGGTCCAATGGTATTTCTAGTTCTAGATCGTTGGGGAATTGCCACACTGTCTTCCACAATGGCTGAACTAGTTTACACTCCCACTAACAATGGAAAAGCGTTCCTATTTCTCCACATCCTCTCCAGCATCTGTTGTTTCCTGACTTTTTAATGATCGCCATTCTAACTGGTGTGAGATGGTATCTCACTGTGGTTTTGATTTGCATTTCTCTGATGACCAGTGATGATGAGCATTTTTTCATGTATCCATTGGCTGCATAGATGTCTTCTTTTGAGAAGTGTCTGTTCATAACCCTTGCCCACTTTTTGATGGGGTTGTTTGATTTTTTCTTGTAAATTTGTTTGAGTTCTTTGTAGATTCTGGAATTAGCCCTTTGTCAGATGAGTAGATTGCAAAAATTTTCTCCATTCTGTAGGTTGCCTGTTCACTCTGATGGTAGTTTCTTTTGCTGTGCAGAAGCTCTTTAGTTTAATTAGATCCCATTTGTCTATTTTGGCTTTTGTTGCCATTGCTTTTGGTGTTTTAGTCATGAAGTCCTTGCCCATGCCTATGTCCTGAATGTATTGCCTAGGTTTTCTTCTAGGGTTTTTATGGTTTTAGGTTTAACATTTAAGTCTTTAATCCATCTTGAATTAATTTTTGTATAAGGTGTAAGGAAGGGATCCAGGTTCAGCTTTATGCATATGGATAGCCAGTTTTCCCAGCACCATTTATTAAATAGGGAATCCTTTCCCCATTTCTTGTTTTTGTCAGGTTTGTTAAAGATCAGATGGTTGTAGATGTGTGGTGTTATTTCTGAGGACTCTGTTCTGTTCTGTTGGTCTATATCTCTGTTTTGGTACCAGTACCATGCTGTTTTGGTTACTGTAGCCTTGTAGTATAGTTTGAAGTCAGGTAGCGTGATGTCTCCAGCCTTGTTCTTTTTGCTTAGGATTATCTTGGCAATGCAGGCTCTTTTTTGGTTCCATACGAACTTTAAAGTAGTTTTCTCCAATGCTGTGAAGAAAATCTTTGGTAGCTTGATGGGAATGGCATTGAATCTATAAATTACCTTGGGCAGTATGGCCATTTTCATGATATTGATTCTTCCTATCCATGAGCATGGAATATTCTTCCACTTGTTTGTGTCCTTCTTTATTTCATTGAGCAGTGGTTTGTAATTCTTCTTGAAGAGGTCCTTCACATCTCTTGTAAGTTGTATTCCTAGGTGTTTTATTCTCCTTGTAGCAATTGTGAATGGGAGTTCACTCATGATTTGGCTGTTTGTTTGTTATTGGTGTATAGGAATGCTTGTGATTTTTGCACATCGATTTTGTATCCTGAGACTTTGCTGAAGTTGCTTATCAGCTTAATGAGATTTTGGGCTGAGATAATGGGGTTTTCTAAATATACAATCATTTCATCTGCAAACAGGGACAATTTGACTTCCTCTTTTCCTAATTGAATACCCTTTATTTCTTTCTCTTGCCTGATTGCCCTGGCCAGAACTTCCAACACTATGTTGAATAGGAGTGGTGAGAGGGGACATCCCTGTCTTGTGCCAGTTTTCAAAGGGAATACTTCCAGTTTTTGCCCATTCAATATGATATTAACTGTGGGTTTGTCATAAATAGCTCTTATTATTTTGAGATACGTCCCATCAATACCTAATTTATTGAGAGTTTTTAGCATGAATGGCTGTTGAATTTTGTCAAAGGCTTTTTCTGCATCTATTGAGATAATCATGAGGTTTTTGTTATTGATTCTGTTTATGCGATGGATTACGTTCATTGATTTGCGTATGTTGAACCAGCCTTGCATCCCAGGGATGTAGCCGACTTGATCGTGGTGGATAAGCTTTTTTGATGTGCGGCTGGATTCGGTTTGCTAGTATTTTACTGAGGATTTTCACATCAATGTTCATCAGGGATATTGGTCTAAAATTCTCTTTTTTTGGTGTGTCTCTAAGGGCAAATTATTCTTGACAGTTGTGCATTCATTAATTGCTTCTTTACATAAAGCAGTCAGGAAAAAGTTCAGAACACTAAGCGACAGTAACCTATCAGTTCAGCCTTCCCCCACCCCACTCCACGCCCCACCCAGCAAACCTTTTTATTTTCTACTGAAGGTACCATTAAGAATAACCCGTTATTACCCCATTGGTTTTTCAACTCTTTGCTCATGAGGCTCTCTTCTTACAAAATTTCAAAGGTCTAACTAAAATGAAAGCATGCCCATTTTCCTTGTCTTGCCTAGATCTTGGGAAAATGGGATGGAACAAGATTTATTCAGGTGAAACTCCTTGACCACAACCTGGTCTCTACTTCACTGCTCCTTCCCCAGGACAAATGACCTGCCTTCCACTTTGTACCCAGAATAATTGATAGTGATAAAATCCAGTTACAATTTTTTTTTTTCTGTTTGGTCAGGCTTCTCCTAGACTGTGATAGAAGTAACTAGCAAGCAAACAAAAATTTTTGTGATGTAAAACAAGATGAATTTAGTGAATAGCTCCAACGATTTTGTTTCTTCCCTTGTTGTAACTCAGGGATTATCTCATGGGCATGAGACCCCTTGTTGTAACTCAGAAATTATCTCATGGGCATGAAGTAGCCCAAATCTTTTGGTGCTGTGATCCCCAAATGGCCATTTGTATCTGTATCTGTATCTACTTACCTACAAAGGAAGGAAACCTACAAGGGAAGGAAACAATGTATCCATCTCTATGTCTACAGGGAAGTAAGCAGTAACATATAGAAAAGGCCCGGGAATAACCCAGCTGCAGAAACAGGACTGTCCAAGGGTCCCCTGACACTAATTCTTGGAGGAGGGGACATTTAGGCTGAAATATGAAGGATTAGTTAGGGAAATAGAATGCCCCAGGTAGAGACGATATGTCTGCAAAAATCTGGAGAAAGGAGTGAATCCAGTGTTTCCCAAGGTGTAACAAACGCTGGAAGGTAAAAAGCAGAACAGAAGTGCAAAGGAAGAAGGTTAGTGTAGGTAAGCAAGGGCCAGAAAATGGTGAAATTGCCTTGAAGTAAGAACCCTGATGTTAAGAGTTGCAGAGTGGAGATGGATTTGAGGAGGAAGAGTTCTGCTTTGGTGAAAGATTTCTGTTTAGGGAAAAACTCCAAGTATTTCTTATTATGTGTCCACATTTACTCATTTTATTGTCAGTTTATGATTAATGCTTTCATGTCTAAGAGAGACCATCTCACACATTCTAGTTACAGCCTAATATTTCCACAGGAATACTAACAGATGCAATTTTATCTTCAACTCCAAGTCTACGTCACTGATGCCATTTCCACTTCTCTCAACTTCATCATCAGCATTTAAAGTAACCCAGCCTGCCTGCTATTCTCTTTTCAGTCCAAGACTTTCCTAGGCACTCCCTCCTTCATCCTTCACTCCCAGTCATGGTTTTCCTCTGGGGGAGGCATTTCCTGGACAGGTTCTGTTTGGTTTTGTTGTAGACAGAGTCCCGCTCTGTTGCCCAGGCTGGAGTGCAGTGACACAATCTGGGCTCACTGCAACCTCTGCCTCTTGGGTTCAAGTAATTCTTCTGCCACAGCCTCCCAAGTAGGTGAGATTACAGGCATCTACCATCACAAGCAGCTAATTTTTGTATTTTCAGTGGAGACGGGGTTTTGCCATGTTGGTTAGGCTGGTCTTGAACTCCCCGCCTCAAGTGATCTGCCCACTTCCACCTCCCAAAGTGCTGGGATAACAGGTATGAGCCACCGCACCTGGCCCTCCTGGACAGGCCTTTGAGTTGGAGTGAATGTTTGAAGGGTACTGTCAAGAGCATGCCTGCCATCAAGTGAACACGTGAATCCTGCTCCCAAGCCACTCTTTCTCCCTCCAAGTTTTGGAGGCCATGAGGATCTCTTTCTTTGTCTAAACAAGCAGAGAGTCTTTCCTGTGGGCTTCACTCTAGTTTCCCTTGAGATTCCAAAAGGGCAGGGGAAATGTCCCTTCTGCCTGAGAGGGAGGTGGTAGTATCTTTTTTCCAATCTCATGAAGAGAAAAGAAAGATGAGTGAGAAGAAGGAGAAGAGAAGAGGAAGAGAAGAGTAGAAGGAAGAGGAGGGGGAGGAGGAACAGGCAGAGAGGGAGACATTGATTGCCAATCTCAGTCCAGTGAAACCTTTGCCCCAATAACATGTCCTTGGCTTGACCAGTCCAGGTAAACTATTCCCTTCTTTGGTGATTGAATGAGGAAGAGGAAGCTCTGTGAGTATGAATAAACAAATTTACTTCTACCTTTGGTTCTTTCTCTTATTAACCAAAATTTCTTAGGCACCCTGAGGAGAAGAAATCAATGCAGTAAGTTGGAGTGGGATAATAGATGCCCTATGTATATAGGCTTTTATAGGGCCAGGGACTCTCAGCCCTTAGGTGACAGAATACTTTAGATCCTTCAAGAAGAAATATTTATAGTCTGAATTCTTAGGGCTTTTCACATTAACCAACGACCTTCCCAGATTCTACAAAGCTGAAAAAAAAAAACTCACACTTTAAATTTGAAGACATAATTGGTTAAAGTTATTTGCAGGGGGTAGGGCACACATTAGCAAGATGTGGCCATGTTAAGTCACACCGTTTTGTGTCAATTAGTTTCACAGCTTAACAAACCACCTCTAAGCAAGCAATAGCATTTATTATTGCTTACCAGTCTGCAGGTCAACTGGGCAGTTCTACTGGTCTAAGACAAGATGAACTGATTTTGGCTGGGTTTTCTCATGAATCTGTGGTCAGGTTGCAGTCGGTGGAGGCTTGCTAGTCTAGGATGGCCTTGCTCACTTGCCTAGAAGTCGGCTGGCTGTTGGATGGTGTGAGGGGCGGTAACTGGGCTATGTATCTCCCACCATGCAGTAGAGTATGCCAAGCTTTTTACAAGAAAGTTGAAATGTGCATGTTTTCAGCCTTTTGAGCCCTAACCTTGGAACTTGCATGCATTCACTTCTGATATCTTCTTTTTAGCCAAAACAAGTCATTAGCCTAGCCCATATCAAGGATTGGAAAAGAGTTTTTGCCTCTTGATGAGAGGAGCTGTTAGGTCATTGTGCAAGAGGTGTGCAGAGAGGGATGAAAAGTTGCAGATATTTTTGCAATGAATCTCCTTCAGGCCTTAAGGAAGCAAAAGGTTTCTGAGAGATACCAAACCTGTGAAGTGAGTTTCATAACCTATGCAACTGACTTCATGGATTTTTGACAGATCTATCACATTTCTGAAAGTTATGAGATTTTTTTCCCCTCGGGGAAGGCAGGGTAGGAGGGTAAAGCATATCCTCCCTCCCCACCTTCCTCCTACCTTCCCAATGCTATGGTGATGCCCACCCCATGCCCCAGTTACCTGTAATCTGTGTTTAATGGAGTCGATTGAGGAAGTCAGCGAGATGGAAGAAAGATGCCAAGAACGAGGCAGCAGAGAAACAAACCCAGACTCTTACTCACTTCCCGACTCTGCCAGATGCTCAGACCCCTTCCAGATGGATGAATCAGAGCCTTTCCAGAGCTCTCAGCTCGGGCCTGCCATTGCCACACAGGTATTTAATATGGGAAAATTTTAATCACGTTTGTTTTCCCATGTTTTGTTCTAACGACAAATCATTTTTAATGGGAGACTAGGGGGTGGAAAAAAAAGATGTAGCAAATCTTGGCTGACGGTTTTATCACTAGTCTCAGATCTCTGGTCCCAGGGCTGGATTTGCCACCAACTGCAAATCATCCTGAGTGAATGAGATGCGCAGGAAGTAGAAAGAGGGGCTACAAAGGACCCATGGTGTCCCTGCCTCCTATTTGTCCACCACCTCCCAATAAGAATTCAGGGACAACTACTCTGTTCTAGTTGTTACATTTTAATCCTCTCCATAATCCTGCAGGGTAGGAAATTGCTCTTCCTAAATGGCATCGTGGGAACTGATGCTCTGAGGTCCCCAGTGACTTGCCCAAGTTCACCTAGCCAGTAAGTCATGGAGCAGGGGCTTAAATCCAGGTCTGTTTCACCTGACAGCCTGGGTTCTTCACCGTGGCACCATGCTGCCTCTCTTTACAAATCACATTTTAAAATTCCTTGATAGTTACAACTTCTCTTAGAGAAGTCTATTTTCTTTTTTTTTTTTTTTTTTTTTTTTGAGGCGAAGTCTCACTCTTGTTCCCCAGGCTGGAGTGCGATGGCACGATCTCGGCTCACTGCAACCTCTGAGGTCTATTGTCTAAGTATGTTTACAGACATGGAGAGGTTCACTTTGTCATGGGCAAATATGCCATTCAAGGCCCCATGTATGGATCCTGGCAGGGCCAAGCCAAAAACCCAAGTCTTCTGAAAACGTGGAGACTCCGTGGTTCATTGCCTTCCGTAAATAAGGCAGAAACCCTATCACCCCTGACTCTGACTAAGCCCTCGCCTGGATCACCTGAAGTATGTCCATCTTTGTGGTAGAAAGACCATTGATTTTAGGAGTTTTAAGGAGACCTGGGTTTCTAAAGTGGAATAATGGTAGCAAGGCATATAATTTTTATTTTATTTTTCAACTATACCTACCTTTAAAAATTATATGAATAATATTTGACTATATCTGGAGTAGTTTATTTATTTATTTATTATTTTAAAATAGGCTCTCACTCTGCCACCCAAGCGGGAGTACAGCGATGTGATTACTGTAGCCGCGAACTCCTGGGCTCAAGTGACCCTTGTGCCTCAGCCCCCTGAGTAGCACCACCACACCTGGCTAATTTTTTAATTTTATGTAGAGATGGGGGTCTCATTATGTTGCCCAGGCTGGTCTTGAATTCCTGGTCTCAAGTGATCCTCCTACCTCAGCCTCCGAAACTGTTGAGATTGCAGGTGTGAGCCACTGCACCCAGCACATCTGGAGTATTTTACAGCAATTCCAAGGTATTGTATCATTTTACTGAAAAATACTTTAGTGAGTATCACCAACAGATGAAGACTTTTTAAAAAGAACATATTCACAATCATGTAGCTTATCGTAGCCTTACTTTATTCACTTGTAAAATGGCATGAAATACCCAGGAAGTTCGATTAAGAGTAATAAATGAGAAATTGCAGTGAAAGATGTAAGTGAAGAGCCAGGAATTATTCCTGCATAAATCAAGAGATAGTTTTTCAGCAGAAGGCAGGTGGTTAACAGCATCAAATGTTACCAAGAAGCCAAATAGAATGAAAGCTGAAAAGTAACCATTGAATTTGGTATTGGGAGGTCCCCAGGGATCATTAGAGCTATTTTGATGGAACTATGTGGATGGAAGCCAGATGGTAAAGGAAGTAAGGGATGATGAAATAGAAATAGTGAATCTAGACTATATTTTCTAGATATTCGAGCAGTGGAAGGTTGGGGGAAGCTTCTACTCTTAGGGAGAAGCCAGGAGCAAATGACAGTGCTCTTTAGGGTGAGGAAACATGAATTTCTTGTTGTGGGTAAGGATATAGTCAAGTTGGTGAGCTTGAATATGTAGGAGTGAGAAGGAATAATTGACAGAACAAGGTCATTCTGAAGTAGGAAGAATTGGTATCAATAGCACAAGGAGAGGAGCTGGCACTTGAAAGAAGGAAGAGCTCTGCCATCATCCAATGTGCATCTATTGAGCTCTTCTTGTATGCAGTGCACAGAACACTGTATAGGACAATGAGGGATATAATGAGAAACAAGGACTGGCCTTCTTGTCAAGGTTTGCACAGTCTACTGATTGCTAAAAGCTAACTAAACAGACAATGCCAGTTGTGCAGAGAGGGTCAAGAAGAATTTGCAGAAAAATCTATCTGAGACTGGGAATGTAAGTACAAGTAAATGAGTGAGAGGAATGAGGGAAGAATGCTCCTGGCAGAAGGAATAATGTGTGCAAAATCTGGAGGCCAGAGCAAACACCATTAAACTTTTACTCTCGGGAAGAACGGAAATAAGTAAGCATGGGTAAAGATGCAGGTAAGTAAAGCGTGGTGGCTCATGCCTGTAATGCAGGCATTCTGGGATGCCAAAGTGGGAGGACTGCTTGAGCCCAGGAGTTCAAGACCAGCCTAGGCAACATAGTAAGATCCCATTTCTTAAAAAAAAATGAAAAATAAAAAAATTCTGGGCATGGTGGTGCACACCTGTAACCCCAGCTACTTGAGAGACTGAGGCAGGAGCATCTCTTGTGCTCAGGAGTTTAAGGCTGCAGTGAGTTATCATCACTCTACTGTACTCCAGTCTGGGAAACAGAGCAAGACCCTGTAAAAAAAAAAAAGATGCAGATAAGTTTGGAGATGAAAGGCAAAGTGGCCAGAGTACATATTGAATGGCTTATGTTTTCTTGGAGAGTTTGAGGCTGAGAGAGTTCATCGGGGTGATAGAGACATATTGAGCAGAGCTCATTAGAATGGAGATGAGATGAGCCCATTTATTATGTATTTAAAGGGCAGGCATCGACTTTCACCATGGAGAAAGTTTTCCTACTTCTCACCTCCACTGTCAGGAAGTAGTCCAAGTTATCCTTGCCTTTCCCCTAGATCACAGAAATAGCCTCTTTTATTGGTCTTTGCCCATCCATTCTTGTCTCCTCCATTTCCTTCTCCATGCAGCAGCCTTTTAAAAAGATGACATAACTGCCTTGTTTAAAACCCTCTGATAGCTTCTCATTGTACTTAGAAAAAAAATCTAGGCCCTTTGCCACATCCTGCAAAGCCCAGTGTGTTTTCTTTGTCCACCTCTGCAGCCTCACCTCAAGCTTCTTATTTCACTCTGTTCCAGCCACTCTGCCTTCTTTTCCCTGGATCTTCCTCTTACCTCCTGGCCTTTGCACATATGGCTTCCTGTGGCTGGATTCCTCTTGTGTCTGTTCTTTCTTTAGACCTTAGCTCTATCATCACCAACTCCAGGAAGCTCTTCCTAACTTCACAGAAGAGGTCACATTTCCCTCTTTACAGCACTAGCAGAATTGTATACCTCTTCCTGTGGGCACTTAATAGACGGGCAAGTTCACATTTAATTGCCTAATTATCTGATAAACATCCCTCTCAACCATTACTGTAGGTTCCATGAGAGCAGTTCCACAAGTGTCTATTTTTACCTCTCTCACTATTATGACCCCAGGATCGAGTGAAGGGTCTAACACAGTAGACACTCAATAAATACTTTATAAATGAATGAACAAATACATGGCCATTAGTACTCCTTGAAAAACCATTGAATCCTTAGCAATTCCTTGTAGAGCTATTGATTCAATCTGATTTCATCTGAGCATGAGCAACCTTGCTCTCCCAGTCATGTCCCTGTGATGATTTTTATCTTTCTGCACAAATATATCTACTTCCCACATGCCCATGCACGTATGTCAGTGTGTATAATCCCAACTCCAGTAAATACTTTGCTTAGACAAGAGACAGCAGACACGCACTCATCAAATCCATGCTTGCAACCAGGAGAGAAAGCAGCTGTCATTGCTTTCGCACACATGTTTATTGATGATGCAGATTAAACTTTAATCATATTGCACAGTTTCAATTTCCAATTGAAATTGAAAGTCTGAGCCATGTATAGGTTTTTATTACCATCCACTTACACTGCTGATGGAAGCGATCGGAGGGGAGCCATCTTCCTGGGCCTCAGGTGGGGCGGCTGGGTCATAAATCAAATTAATACTGCAATGTAGCAGAGGTGTTAATGCACAATAGGAGATGAGAGGGGTTAGGAGCAATTTAGGGAGTGGGGGACCTTGTCGTCAGGGTGGAATGGTGCATGACGTGCACGGCTCCAAAGTGAAGAGTGGGGCTTCTGCCTCCAGTTATCTCTGTAGTGTTTTTATAAGCAAAGAAAAATGCTATTTAACCATGCTTAGGTTAACAGTTTGGAAAACTGTTGCAGTAGCGAAAGTTCCTCCTGAGGAAGAGATCGGCTTCTGCTTGTGAGTGTTTTAAGGTGTATATCCTTAAGAGCAGCAGACACTGCCAAAAGGGATTACAGTTGGTATTAGACCAAAAGAAATTTCTGCAAACTTTTTTTAGTATTACTGTAATAATACCCATTGCCCAAAATGTGGATATCCGTATGCCCACAAATACAGAACACTGATGTCCGTGATTTTTACCTGGGCTTTTATTCTAGGGCTAGAAAGGTCACTCATCTTTTTGGGGGAGATGGCAGTATCCATGAAGTTGTCTTGGGTATCAGGCTGGTACCAGATCAAGAAGTAGAAATTAAGCAAGACTTCATGCCCCAAGTGGAGAATAATAATACCAATAAGTAGCATTTATTGAGCACTTACTATGTGCCAATCTCTGTGTTGACCCTTACCTAGCTTGCATAATAATGGTATGAAATAGGTACCTTTAATAATATGTGTAAAGTACTCATTCAGCACTTGGTACATGGTAAGTGACAGTAAGTACCGAGCTCTTGTTCAGTGTTCCATTGTACACTTGGGGGAATGGAATGAAGAGCTAGAGAGGTGTGTGGCCAGGTGCAGTGGCTCCTGCCTATAATCCCAGCACTTTGGGAGGCTGAGGCAGGAGGATATCTTGAGCCCAGCAGTTCAAGACCAGCCTGGGCAACATAGCAAGACCCTGTCTCTACCAAAAAAAAAAAAAGTTTTTAAAACATTAGCTAAGCATAGGGGCATGCACCTGTGGCCCTAGCTACTCAGGAGGCTGAGGTGGGAGGATTGCTTGAGCTTAGGAGGTCGAGGCTGCAGTGAGCAATGATGGCACCACTGCACTCCAGCCTGAGTGACAGAGCGAGACCTTGTCTCCAAAAACTTAAAGTGAGAGCGGCGAAATGACTTAGCCAAGGTCACACATCTAGGAGGTGGCAGGGATGATGTGATTGGCATCAAGATGTCTGATTTTAGTGTGTGAGTCTTTAACATCTATGCACTGCTGCCTCATCATGTAGAAACCCCACTCTGAAGAACAGATCTGTGAGAAAACCCACCTGTGTTGGGAGGCTCAAAGTTGAGTTGCTAACCAGTGAATTCAGTGTCTGTGAACTGAAGAACTTTGGGGCTCATGACAAATCAGAGGGCCGGATGAATAGCTGCCAGGGTGAATCAGTGATTGGATACTGTTTATAAGGGATCCACTCTGGGGTAGACTTTTGGGATGCAAAAATGAAAAGATAGCCCTGTTCCAAGGAATTGTAGTCTACAGGGGAAATCCATTGTTTTACATAAGTTTTGCTCAGCTCCTCAGTGTCCTTCACTGCAAGTCTCTAGTTTGCTCAGACCTCTTTCCCAACATGAGAACTCACATAGGGGTGGAAGCCTGGCTTCTTCCCCAAGCCCCTAACCCTTGTATGGCTTTGTTTTTGCTCAGCTCTATCAAAAACACCATGGGAGAAACAGCTTGAGTTCTGCCTTGTACATCCTTAAAGAGCCTGGCAATCTTCCTTCACCTAAAACAAATGCTTAAGTCAGCACAAGAAAATCCCCATCACTGGCAGGTAGAAAGGGGAAATGGGAGGAAAAAATCTGAGCTAAAATATCTAAAATCCCAGCAGGATTACTAAAGATAATAGCGGCCCCACTGGCCTGCATTGTACGATCATAGTCCCCGCTATGTGCTGAATATTTCACTGGGTGCATTGGTTATCATATCTGATTTAATCTTTCAAGGAAGGTGGAATAATCCCCATTTTACAGAAGAAGAAACAGGCTCTGAAAGGGTAAAGCATCTGCCCAGAATCACACAGCTAGAATCTCAGGGCACAGATGTGTATGTCTAATTCCAAGTGCAGGCATTTTCAACTCAGCAACGTTGTCTCTGTTTTCATTATAAATTTTAACCTCTCTTACCTTCTTGAATAAGTAATATCTGCAAATGTTATAAAGTCCAAAGGTGCAGCAGTGTACAGAGCAAAGTCTGCTTCTCAGGGCTGTCTCCTAGCCCCCAAACTCAACTGTGAACATTCCTGAGAGGAAAAGGTGAGAGATCTATGAACTTTATCCTCTGTGAGTTTCCAGGTCAGCTGAGCAGCTAGAAAAGCAACTCAGAAGCAAACTTACTGGAAAAAAAAAAGAGAGAGATGGTGTTATAGGTGCCTTCCAAGATGGATACAAATGCTCTGGGAAAACAGCTGCAATATTTTCAGATATTAGAGAAGGAAAATCATGAATACTTGCTTGTAGGAAGTGGTATTAGATCTGTCATTGGAAGTACAGAATGTGGATAAGAGAGTAGGGAGGAAGATTTGAGAAGAATGTCATTTATTTTGTGTCTTTTCTGTCCCAGGGTCTTCCAGACTCTGTTCACTTTTCCTGAAGCATATGCTTTCTTTCCCCCTAGCCAGACCAAATCCTACTTATTCTTTTAATCCAAGCTGGAGTGTCTCATTCTTTTTTTTTTTTTTTTTTTTTTTTTTTTTTTTTTTTTTGGAGACGGAGTCTCGCTCTGTCACCCAGGCTGGAGTGCAATGGCGCAATCTCAGCTCACTTCAAGCTCTGCCTCCCGGGCTTACGCCATTCTCTGCCTCAGCCTCCTGAGTAGCTGGGGCTACAGGCGCCTGGCACCATGCCTGGCTAATTTTTTGGTTTTTAGTAGAGACGGGGTTTCATCATGTTAGCCAGGATGGTCTTAATCTCCTGACCTCGTGATCCGCCTGCCTCGGCCTCCCCAAGTGCTGGGATTACAGGTGTGAGCCGCCGTGCCAGGCCTGGAGTGTCTGATTCTTAAGAAAACCTTTCCTGATAAGCCATACTAGGTTAGCCACCCCTCTTATGCAGACTCTGATGTGCTGTCTTAGTGTATGGTGCATTTTTATTTGTAGAACTTACCACACTTTGAGTTATTTGGGTAATTCTCTGAATATGTCTGTCTCTTTCTTCTAGACTGGAAGTCCCATGTTAGCAGGAACTGAGCCTTTCTTGTTCACTGCTGCATCCCTAAATACATAGTTGAGAATCGGTGAATATAACCTGGGTTCAGTCCTCACTCTGGCACGAACTTGGGCTACTGGCACTACCTTGGGCATGACCTTGGCTCTGGCTGAACAACCTTGGGCAAGTGAATTAAACTCTCATTGTTATTTTTAATTATAATAACAAACACTTTAATAACATTTTTTATATGTCAGGCCCCAACCTAGGTGGTTTTACATATAACAACCATTTACTATATATAACAAACTTTTGGGGTAGGTACTGGTGTCACCATTTTACAGATGAGAATATTGAGACCCAATATGGAAGGCAGACTTCTAAGATGGTCTCCACTGATTCCCACCTCCTGGAATGCATGCTCTTTTTTGCCTTTTCCCCCGAATGTGAACTAGACTAGTGACTTACTTCTAGTCAACAGAATATGGCGAATATGTTGGGATATCAGGTCCATGATTAGGTTCCAGAAGACTGTGATTTTGTCTTGCTAGCCGACTCTTTTAATTGCCTTCTCAGCTTGCAGGCTTTGATGAAGCAAGCTGCCATTTGTAGATGTTCATGTAGCAAGAGCCTGAAGGTGGCTTCCTACTAACAGCTTTGTAAGAATGGAGGCCCACAGTCCAACAACCCTCAGAGAACTAAAGGAAGCCAAATGTGGGTGAGCTTGAAGGTATATCCTCCCCCAGTCAGCCAATGAGATGACCAAATCCCTGGTTCACACCTTGATTTAAGGCAGATGAGAAGACCCAGCTAAGCAATGCTCACATTCCTGACCCACAGAAGCTGTCAGATCATAAATGTGCATTGTTTTAAGCTACAAGGTTGTAGGGTTGTATGTTACACAGCAATTGGTGACTAATACAAGAAAGATTAAGTCACTTGCCTAAGATTGCTCAGTAAGTAGA
The DNA here is from genome assembly GCF_000001405.40 of Homo sapiens. Classification (NCBI taxonomy): domain Eukaryota; kingdom Metazoa; phylum Chordata; class Mammalia; order Primates; family Hominidae; genus Homo; species Homo sapiens. The sequence continues at coordinate 118,917,255 of NC_000012.12, forward strand.
GAACCTTGATCTGAACTCAAAGAATTCGGCTCAGGAAAAGTTCACGCTATTAAGGACCATATTCTATTGCCTTACTGTAATCTGGTAAGGGATGCTTCTGGTACATACTTCAAAGGCTTTTCTAGAAATTAAATGCTACCATGAATGTAGAAATGCCTGGCAGAGTCCATGACACACAGTAAGTGCTTAGTGAATGTCAGCTGTAATTATTATTATCCTCGTTGTTATTTGGTACCTTCAAGACATGAGCAAAGAAAAGGGAAAACCCCATAAACATGAAGTCAGAAAAGACACTCATAGTAGCCTTGAGAGAGCAGCCATTTTCCTTCATTAAGAACCATTCCAAGGAAGGTATTTAATAAAACATTCATGAGCTACCACTGCCTGAAAGGCTGAAATGGCAGCCCCCGCAGTGACCCACAACTTTAGGCAGATGTACTTTCTTGGTCTCTCTTTCTCCTTTCTAGCATTATCAGGGAAGCCCCCGAGAGCAAGGAGGGAAAGAATAGTCTGAAACTAAGTAGATATATTAGCTGGAAAGGAATAGATTTGGAAATTCTAAACAACACTCCCAGGATACAGTTTTCCTCCAGAGTTACAGCATCACAAGCAGAACTGATGCGGGCTTTTAAAGACTGCTTTCCTCCCGATTTTTAGGGAGCCACAGGACAGAGGATATTTCTGGAGGCTGTACCAGGGGGAAAACTGTCAATATTATTCGGTGACCTTTCCCCTTTCACAGAGTTCAGGACCAGGGATTCCAAGGGCTGAGACAGTGGGTGAGGATACCATGTCCTGATAATCTCTGACTTGGGGACCCAACAGAAGGGAGGAGAACATGTAACTGCGTTCAGAGATCTGTCATCTCCCTACTCACGATGGGTACTGATGATAGAAGAGTCATAACATTATTAACAGGAAAACCTAATGTTCAAATGGAATTGGAATGCATCCTTTCCAAGGCAGAAAAATGTGAAATATATTCTGGCTTCCTCTTTATCTTCCCCACTAGGAATTTGCATGAAGCTGAATTATCCATGTTTACATAATGTCCTCTATTAGCTTTTCTCAGTTAATTTTTAGTATATCATCTCTGATTCTACTTTTTTTGCCTCCCCTGATGGAGACCTAGTTTTCTTCTTGGTAAGTATGTATACTCTAAATAATTTAAGACTCTTGATATATGACTACTGGCCTTTAGGAAAGCACAAATACATTTACAACATTATAAGAATCTGAGAAATGCAGAATGTTTGAAGACACTGATGACTGGTCTGTTAGCAACATACCTTGAAATGTCAAAACTTATATTCAGAGAAGTCAGTGCTTGAATTCTTCCCTTACTTGTTACTGCTTCTACCTTTTCATTATATAGTGTGGGTTGTTATGGTGATGGGAAACTGGAATATTGAGAGGCTCTTGGAGAAAATATCTATGTGAAATGATCCATTTCTAAGTCAAGTTGGGGATGGCAAATATTCTACTATGGCCTAATCAGTCAAGCATCATAAGGTTAAAAATATACCTAAATGTTACTTGACGTATACGGCTTTGTCTTCTTTAAAGTGCTTGAGACTCAAAGGGTTTGATGCTGTAGGACAGGGAGGGTCCTTCATGTACACAGGGATTTATTTAGTACGGGTTGGCAAACTGCAACCATTTATCAAAAAAGCCAGCCACTTTTTTGGTAAATAAATTTCTATTGGAACACAGCTACACTTTTTTTTTTTACATGTTAACTAAGATTGTTTTTGTGCTATAACAGCAGAGTAGTCATGAAAGAGGCCATATGGCTTGCAAAGCCTAAAATATTTACTATCTGGCTAACTAAATGTTTGCCAACCCCTGATGGGGTCATAGCCATGGAAGAAGCATGGTCCTGCTGCAATTGAAGTTGAGAAATATGAGTTTCAAAGACCTGAGCTCATATCTCCTCCTCTTGACTAACTAGCTATGTGAACTTGAATGCACCTATGCCCTACCTTGGTCTATCTCATTTACACAATGCAAATACTTCTGTCCATAGCTGACATCCTGCTCTAGGACAGGGTCTATTATTCTTTAACCTTTCTTTTATTTCCTCTTTCATTCCCAAAAGAATGTTGCTGATATATATAGCAGGATCTGAGCACATTTGTTGAATGAATGTGTGTGCAACATAATTATATCACAGAGCTGTCATTAGGCTCAAATGGTATAACAGTGCACACAATGTGAGACATATAACATGCTCCAGGCACCAGAGGCTATTTTAGACAGATCCATTTCTGGCTTGAAAGCTAGGGTCAGAGGAAATAGGGATTAGTTCACATGTTCTCCTCGACCTTTGTGGCTGAATTTCCTTTGTTTCAGTTGGGTTCTTTCAGTTGCAAGACAGAGACTCCTTCAAGTTACCTTTTTAAAAAGCAGTTTATTATTAGGAGCTGTGAACTGTAATTAGAACTGGAAAGTTTTCAGCACCTACAGCTGTTTTAGGAATCAGTCTCTCTTTCATTCTCTCTCTCTTGTCCTCTCTAATTATTTGTTCAATTCTCCTTTCTCTCGATTATGTTTTCCCTCATATTCTTCTTCTTTTTTGCTCATGTAGAAATTTGGTTTATTCATGATTTTGCCTGCCATGTCTCAAGGTGTCTTTTCATCCTCAGTCCTTATGCTATCTCAATTTCCCAGCTTGATAATGCTCAGTACTCCAGAGGAATCTGATTGGCCAAAGAGATCTTTTTATCCCAGATGATACAGGTCCCAAGTCACTGGCCACAGGTTGGATCCATCATACTTGTGTCGCAGAGTCCATACAATGCCCCAATTAGCTGGCAAGGTGGAAGGAGGTTGCTGAAGCAATAGGGATTGTGAGACAGACAGTTTCCTTAAATGGGTGTGTGGGAATAAGCACTGACTGACATCCCTATTCCTCTCTTTGCTCCTTCTTGTTCCTTTTTATAGGTTCTGCCTAATAATGGATTCAGAAACAGAACTTCTTACCTTTGTGGCATGTGAGTGTTGTCAATTAAAGGCAGAAGACAAATTTTACAAGCCTCTAATTTGTTTCCTGACTTATGGGCCATTGGAAAGCCATGGGATTTTCAGACACAGTATCCCTGCAATATCTGTGAGGTTTCCTCTCCATGTCGTTTGTGACATTGGGCCAGTCTGTAGAGATAAGGAAGGGGGAACATGTGACTGAGCACCCAGACCCCCTGGGAAATCAGACAGAGAAACTGGGTTCCAGGAAGACTTGTATCAGGAAGGCCTTTTGAGCCCTGTTAGTCATGCAGGATCTCTACCTCCCTATTGGAGGCTTAATTTATTGGAATCTTTTAATTTACTGGAGGCTGAAGGGGAAAAATCATTATATAAAAAAGACACATGCACGCGCATGTTTATAGCAGCACAATTCACAGTTGCAAAGATATGGAAACAACCTAAGTGCCCATCAACCAATGAGTGGATAAAGAAAATGTGGTATATCTACACCATGGAATACTATTCATCCATAAAAAGAAGCAAAATAATGTATTTTACAGCAACTCAGATGGAGCTGGAGGCCATTTTTCTAAGTGAAACAATGTAGGAATGGAAAACCAAAAATCATATGTTCTCACTTATACGTGGGAGCTAAGCTATGCGGATGCAAAGGCATAAGAATAATATAATGACCTTTGCATACTCAGGGGGAAGGGTGGGAAGAGAGTGAGGGATAAACGACTACATATTAGGTACAGTGTACCCTGCTCAAGTGGCAGATGCACTAAAATCTTAGAAATTACCACTAAGAACTTATCCATATAACCAAAAACCACCTGAACTCCCCCAAAACTATTGAAATTAAAATTAAAATTAAAATATATATATTGTACTTGAGGCTGAAGCCAAGCAAAAGAGGCAAGGAATTTGTTTCCTTTGGCAGCTGTCTCCAGTTAGCTTTTCACCACCTCTAGGGCTTGTCATCTTCATGATTCTACACTGAAATTTCTCCCCCTCCTTTTTCTCACTAGACATTACATTCATCTGGGTTCTTTTCCTTGGAAGAGTCTAAGTAATAAATGTGATAAATTACCTGTCACTGGAAGAGAGTTTCAAAGCCTAGGTGATGTTCACCTCTTGCCTTACCTCTTGCTCCTCAACTCAACAGCATCAATTAGAGATCCTGTAAGCTAATCGAGAAACAGATTCAGGCTAATTTAAGCAGAAAGTGAACTTATTAGAATGATATTAGAAGGATATTGGATCATAGAATCAATGAGAAGGCTGGAAAACTCAGCGTAGAAGAAGAGAGGAATGCTCTGATATTGGTAGTGTCAAGTGGACCACTTTCTTAAAAGGGTGTCACTCTGGAAGAAGTGGTGTCAACTGCCTTTTCCTCCTTATGACACTACATTCAAGATCCACAAAAGCTACATCAGGAAAGGGCTGATTGGTCACCCTTGGGCTATAGACTCTTGGGTGGGGGAGGAAAATTGCCTTGACTTTTGGTATCATTAAGACTACACACATCAAAGGAGAGGAAATTCTCCCAAAAGAAAATTTAAAACTATTATGAAAGCCAGATGCAATGGATGTGAAGCAGAGGTGGGGGGCATACCAAAACCAACAAATGTTCTCTTCTCTAAACCAGAGACTGTAACAGTAGGGATCTCAAACAACAGAGGTGATGACAGGAGGATGGCAGAAGGCCGCCCCATTCAGATCACATCCTATCAGCATCAGATGGCATTTTGTCAGACACTTCACACATTTTAAGAATTGAGTGGTGTTCTTTGCTCCTAAGACAGTTTCTGTTCACTGAAGCCAGTCCAGCATGTAATCGGAGCAGATAGACATCTACAAGCTGTGGTTTGATGAGTTCTTAGAAGCACTCCCTTTTTTGCCTCTGGTCACTTCTTGATGCCTGGAATCACACCACACTCGAGCCATCTCTTTGGATTCAGTAGAGCAATCTCCATTCCCTCTTTTCAAATGGTAGATGCCTCTAGGAAGAGCAAGATTATGAGTCCCTAACATCTCAGATTGAACACATTTTTAGCTCAGTAGCATTAAATCAATTCAAGAGAACACATATTGATCATCTACTGTATACCAGACACTATGACGTGTGTGGCATTTAATGGCAAACAAGATAGGAGCCCCTGAACTCACTGACCTTATGAACTAGCAGAAAGGACGGACACATCAAAATGCAATGATAATAAAGTGATAAGAGTTTTGAGAGCATAGTTTCCTGGGAAAAAAAAGAGGGGAGTCAGAACAGAGGAGGCAGGAGAAGAAAAGGGGAGTTTTGTGACTTTTTTGGAGTGAGATGAAGCTCTCTCCAAAAAAGTTCAGTGCCCTACCTTCTGCTAAGCACTCTCCAGGGTGCTGAAACACCTCAGCTGGGCTCTTTTTCATCTTCCCCTCCTATTGGAGCTCAGTGTAAGAATCTCAGTATAATCTCAGACCTGAGACCTGCAATAAGCACTTTTGGCAGATCCATGTGTTTAAAGACAAGTAAGAAAACCCTTGCTTATTCCAGAGGCTGCCAACCAGCATGGGGTACGATGACCCAGGCTGTTTTACCCAGCTGTTTGCTCTATATCTTGCAATTAAATATTACTTTAGTATCTTTTTCCTTCTACCAGATCATTAATTCTCATTATTTTGGCATCTAAACATTTTTTCATGAGCATCAGACAGCTGGGTTTTAGAGCGAATGGCTTCAAAGAATGAATCTGTCAAGGCTATGATATATGAGTTTAAATCATTTCTTGCCTGTATTTTTTAAAGGAACCCATTTCCCCCTTTTCCTATTCCTCAAAGCATGAGGCTAATGTGGTTACACTAACAAAATTAGCTCATCACTTACTAATTGTTAATTTAATTTTTAATTGTCCATTAAATCAGGCTCTGAGCTGTTTATATTTTAATTTTTAATGTCAGGGAGTTAAATTGCTTTCCAAATGAGGGTTACAAGAGAAGGCTATTCCTGACTCTCAAAACAAGTGAAATCATCTGAAGTCATAAACATGATACTGCTATTTTCTGGGGAACAAGGCAGAGTGTGGACAAAGCATGGGGAATTAAGATAATTCTAAGTATTTATTGAATACTCACTATGTACCAAACTCTGTGCTAAGTGCTTTAGATGTATTACCTCATTGATTCCTTAATAAATTATATGATGTAGCTTTTATTCTTACTGTCATTATATATATGGGAGAACTGAGGCTCAGAGAGGGGAAGACATGAACTTAAGATTCACAGCTAGTAACTGGTTGAGCAAGGAATTGATCCAGTCTCTCTTACTCTGATTCTAGTACTTTGAACTAGAATGCTATACTACCTTGTTTGAAGATGTTGCACTGAGGAAAGGATGGGAAAAGATATGAGGGTGGGAAGATAGTGTAGAATAATTGGGACAGTGAGACCTCAGAGGGATACTCATGGACTCCCCAAAGCCAACTCTCTGGGTCTCAGATTAAGAATTCCAGCCAGGCTCAGTGGCTCAAACCTGTAATCCCAGCACTTTGGGAGGCCAAGGCAGGAGGATTGCTTGAGCCCAGGAGTTTGAGATCAGCCTGGGAGAGATAGTGAGACCCTGTCTCTACAGAAACCAAATACACAATAGCCAGGTGTGGTGGTGCCTGTCTGTAGTCCCAGTTACTTGGGAGGCTGAGGTGTGAGGATCACCTGAACCCAGAGTTTGAGACTGAAGCGATCTGTGATTGCATTGCTGTACTTCAGCCTGAGTGACAGAGCAAGGCACTGTCAAAAAAAAAATTCTAGACAAGCTAATCTAAACAAGCCTGTTTGGGCTATTGCATTCTCAAATTCTGTGACATTTCACCTGTAGCTAAGTGCTATTACTAGCTGAAGTTCTCGTGGACAGAGAAGAGGTGGAGCTGGGGGCATCAGTGCTGTTAAAACCAGAGAAGCCAAAGTGATGCCCCCTCTTGGGTCCTTTCTCTGGTTCTTTGTAGGACAGAGAAGAATGGTGAAAGATGAGGTCCCATTGCCTAGCTAGTTGCACAAACAGTGTTGTGTAGGGCTGTGTGTGTGTATGTGTTTGTGTGTGCATGTGTGTGTGTTTGTGTGTTGAAGTTCAACAATAAATAAGGGATGTGGAAAGCCAGAGAAAACATATTGCAGAGGAAAGAGGCAGAGTGGGCAAAACCTACATCAGCTTCTGAAACTATTAGTTCTTTTGAGAGCATCTCTCAGGTAACCTTTTGAGAGTATCTCTAAATATCCCTAGGAGGAGCAACAATTCAAACTAACCCACAACTGGGAATTAGATGATGGCTAGCTGAAAACTAAATAAATAGCTTTCTCTCTCTCTCTCTCTCGCTCTCTCTTTCTCTCTCTCTCTCTCTTTCCTCTTCCCTCCCATTTTCCTCCCTTTTTTCTTTCATGCTTCCTTTTTCTAACAAACACTGGGCATTCTTTAATTTAGGCACTGCGTTCGATGCTGTGGATACAGTGGTGCAAAGGGTAACCCTATTCCTGCATATTGGGAATTTACAGTTTAGAAGTTACTCAAGAACAAGACCAGGCATCGTGGCTCATGCCTATAATCCCAGCACTTTGGGAGGCTGAGGCGGGTGAATCACTTGAGGTCAGGAGTTCAAGATCAACTTGGCCAATGTGGTGAAACCCCATCTCTACCAAAAAATACAAAAAATGAGCTGGGCATGGTGGTGCCTGCCTGTAATCCCAGCTCCTCTGGAGGCTGAGGTGGGAGAATTGCTTGAACCCAGGAGGCAGAGGCTGCAGTGAGCTGAGATTGCACCACTGTACTCCAGCCTGGGCAACAGGGTCTTCGCCCTCTCATCCTGAGTGAGTCACAACTGAAAGAGAAAGTATATCATTGCCAGAGAGATGTCATCAGTTTCACAGCTTTTCCAAGATCTGATTCTTCCATGACATCTTAGGAGCATCACAGCACAGAGGTAAAGAGTATGGACTCTGGCAGCAGACTGCAGGGGTCCAACCCTGTCTGCCCTCTTTCCTTCAAGCTCCTGGACTTTGGGTAAGTTACTTAGCCTCTCTGTGCCTCAGTTTCTTTGTCTGTAAAGTAGAGATAATAATAGTTTCTACCTCTGATGGTTGTTTTGGCATTAAATAAGTTTATATTTACAAAGTACTTAGGAAAGTGTCTGGCACGTCATAAATGCTAGGCCAATGTCTGCTGACTAGATAACATTTCTTTTGCATATCCTACATAGATTCTGGATTAATAGCCAAGCCTACACTTAGCTGAATTCCTTTTGGGCTTCCTTATATGCTGGGGGATCTAAAAATAGGAAGGAAGTGGGGCTTTCAAGCTAACTTCTGCTTTTCTTCCCTGACCCCTTATGAACAGGCTCCAGCCACCACCAGTCTTACTCTGTACCAGTAGTGCCCAGGGACATTTGTTTTTCAGAATTCTTGGAAACATTACTGGACAGTGAGGTTGCCTGGGTGACGTGGATCATTTCCTCATATGCTTGATACCTTTGGCCCAGATTTTATCTTCTGGGAATTAAATGTTTATGCCCTAAATCATGCCCTAAATGAAGAAGTTATATGTATGTACCTTGTACATGTTCAGGAATATTAGTCTGGTGGCAAGCCCGACTGGGACCCCAGATGTCTCCAGCTGTCTCTGTCCTTAGGAGAACATTAGGAAAGGTCTAAAGTAATAAAAGGACAGAATAAAGCCAATATTCTGATCCTGTCTCCTAGAGCACTTTCAGGCCCATCCAACGGCTTCTGATAAACAAGTGAGCCCTAATAAGAAACAAGAGGAGCAGTCAATGCAGCTTGGAGGCGTTGGCTAAATTCCCACTGTGATGAAATTTTATATTTTACCCTGGGCTGGGATGGTTTCCAGAGATCAGTTTGTGAAAACAGCTATATTGAGCCAACTCTGTTTTCCTAAATAACTGAAATTCAGAGCTCTCTTCTGAGTGGGCAGGGGCTGAGAGAGGAAAGGGCTCTCCCTGGTGAAAAACAAACCATCTTGGGATCTGATACCACTCAGTTTCCCAGATTATTAACAGGAGATGTGCAGAAAAAGACATTTTCTCAAACCAGAATGATCTAAAAGATGACAATGGATTTAGGGCTAAGACGTCTTGAGTTTGAGTCCTGGCTCTGTCATTTATTAGGTGAGTGTCTTGGGCAAGTCACTCATCTCTTTAAGCCTTAGATTCCTCATCTGTAAAATGGGTATGTTAGTTAGCATAAGGTAGTTATGCTATGGTAACAAACAGAACCCCAGCTCCCATATCTTGGTGGCTTACAGCAACAAACATTTATTTTTCACTCATATCATATTCTGGCTGTAAAGCAGAGCTCAGCTATGGTTCTGTGGCTCCTTTCCATGTAGATTTTCATTCTGGGGTCCAGGATGCAGAAGCACCTGGTTGCTATCTTGGCTTTGAGACTAGGAGACAAAGGGTGATGGCAGAGTCATGCAAGATCTCTTAAGCTTTTGCTCGGATATACTCTGTAATCACCAGTGCTCATATTCTATTTGCCCTGGGGTAGGAATGTTACACTTCTCCCACAGAAAGGCAGTGTAAGTTACATGGAAGTTAGAGGGTCCTATACCAACTCTCTTACAGAGAAGGCAGCAAATAATTTAGAACAATAATATAGCCTACCCCAGTGGAAATAATAATACTTCTTCTTCACAGGGTACTTATGAAACCCAAATGAAATCATGCTTATGAAAGTTTATTACAAACTATAAAGTTCACTGTTCACGCCACTCATTCTCTTTAATGCCAAGTTATCCATGGTTCTCATAAAGGCTGAATGGAGACATATTGTGTGCATATCTCTGTTTGTATGGAAATCTATTTGTTTTCAAATATACTTCCCATTTATTTTGAGGTGATTATCTCAGTATCAATTTTACTCCACACAGCCCTCCTTATAAGAGCCCAGAATCCAAAGAGTTTAGTTTTGTGTGAAGATGAATATTGAGCCCAATATTTCAGAAATTTGTGATAGAGAATTGTGGCATTGCCTGGCTTTGTGTCACTAAGAATGACAGACTCTCCTAAAGGGAACCAGGCTTTGTCAGTTGGAATTTGACCCTTCATTGCCAACTACTCATTGATTGACTTTTTGTTCTTACTACTGGAGAAGACATTTACAGAATCACATCAGAGACTGGCACAAATCCCCATGGACAATTGATTAGGCAACTGGAGACCTGGAAATTTTTTTTTTGAGACCTGGAAATTTAAGAAGAGGATTGGGAAACATGATAACACCAGGGAAAAACTCATTTTGACATACCAGAAGACTTCATTAGTTGACGAATTTACTCAATAAGTTATATTGCCTGTCTGCTGTCTGCTAGGCAGTTGGTATTCAAATAATATGTTTATTCATTTGCTCTTTTATTTATTTGACAAATATGTGATGAACATCTGCTGTGTGCCAGGCACTGTTGTAGGCACTGGGACTATATCAATGAATGGAACACTCAAAACTCTTGCCATTAGGGAGCTGATCTTCGGGGGATAGAGGATTCAGGATATATACAATGAATAAAACAAACAAGGAAAATATGTGGTATAATGCCATATAATTAAGAAAATAAGAAAAGAGGATAGGAAATGTTGAAAAGGGGGCTGGAACTTTAAATATGGTACCCTAAAAGGGCTGGCTGAAGGAGTGCCATTTGAAAAAACACCTGGAGGAGGAGATGAAGAAGGAAGCCTTGTGAAAGAACAATCCAGGCAGAGGGAATAGTGAATGTGTACTCTATGAGGCAGGAGCATGCCCCTGGCATGCTGGAGGAACTGCAGGGAGGCCACTGGGACTGGTATGGCATGAGCTGGGAATAGAATAGTAGATGATGATTTGAGGAAGAAACAGGTGGCCATATCCTATAAAGCCTTGTAGGCCATTTTAGAAACTTCAATCTTTTTCCAAGTAAATGGAAGCCAAATGTAAGGTTTTGAGAAGAGGATTAATGTGAACTGAATTACATTTTAAAAGGTTGCTGGCTGCCATTTTGCCATGGATTTAAGGGTGGCCAGGACAGAATCAAGGAGGTCTTGTTACAAGGCTGATGCAACAATATAAGTGGGAGATGATGGTGGCTTAGACCATGTTAGTAGATGGTGGTGATATTGGGTGGTTAGATTTGGAGTATGTTCTAAAAGTTTTAAAGGTAGAGCTGCCAATATTTGCACATGAATTAGATGTGAGGTGTGAGAGAAAGACAAATAAGACAGAGCCCTTCTCTTCATGGGGTAATAGGCACCCAAGCATACAATCATAAAGCAGATAGAAGTGTAGGGATAGAGGTACATACAATTCCTTCTGAGGTACCTAACATAGAACTGAAGAAGGTGTCTCAGCTGGATTTTAATTGATGAATGGGATGTTCCCAAGAGAAGAGCCTCTAAAAATGGTGTGTGGTTTGAATGTGCCCCCTCCAAAACTCGTGTGTTGAAACTTAATGGCCAATATGATCGGATTAATATGTGGGACCTTTAAGAAGTGATTAGGTCATGAGGGCTCTTTCCCCTCACTCATGAATGGGTCTAGGTGTCCTCATAAAAAGGGCTTGACAGAGGGAATTTACTCTCTCTTGCCTTTTTGCCTTCCGCCATGTGAGGACACAGCAAGAAGGCCTTCACCAGATGCCAACACCTTGATCTTGGAGTTCCCAGCCTCCAGAACTGTGAGGAAATAAATTTCTGTTCTTTATAAATTGCCGAGTCCATGGTATTTTGACATAGCAACACAAATAGACTAAGACAAATGGTATGAACAGAGAAGTAGAAGCCACCCAATGTTGGTGAAGGGAAAACTGTGGTTTAGAGGGTGCTAAGACATGAGGCTAACAGTGGTCAGAATCCAAACTTTGGAGGATTCTATAGGCTAACTTGAAGAACTAGGACCCCTGGTTGTAGATGTTACACTTTGGTCTTAGCAACAAGTGGCCTGGTCAGATTTGAGTTCTCAAAGGGTCCTCTGCTGCAGTGTGAATAGTAGATTTGAGGTGGAGGCAAAAGGGGAGGCAGGGATGCAAGTTAGAAGTGGGAGTGAGGCTTAACTCAAGGAAGAATAATTGTATTGAAAGACTGACATCCAGTTCTCAAAGGGGTCACAGCCCTGAGAAGGAGCAGGACAGAGTTTTGAGGCAGGGCTCCAACGATTGTACTTACTGGCTGCACCACTTCCTCCCATGTGGTAGAGGCTCCCTGCCCTTTTCAAGAACTTGCAGTGAGGTTTCGCAGCATTCAGGTGAATGCTGGAGAAAGTGACCATTTTGGAGGGCAAGGGACAGAAACCCAACTTAAGCTATAATAGCATGCAGCATGGAAGAACACTGGAGCAGTCTCATGTCCATTTCTTTCAGCTGCTTACCCACAGTAAGAAAAGTATTAACTTTTTCCAAATATCTCTTCATAAAAAACAAAGATAAGACATGGTTGGTTGTGTTTGGGTCACATGCCTACCCCTAGACCAATCATAGTAATTAGGAAAACATAGAATGTGATTGGCTTAGACTCCATCTTATGATAACCCCTGTGGACCTGGAAAAAAGTGTCTTTTCAAAGAGAAAGAGGAATAAGGAAGCTTACTGGGTAGACACAAAACAGCAGCATCCATAAGGTTTGAAGAAAGCTCTCAGGAAGGATGTTGAGGGAGAAGAGATAACCTGTGATTGAGGAGTCAACACTAGCTCCACGGTTCCTTATCTCTTGGCTGACCATGTAGGCTGCATTAAAATCACGCAACTATCATTCAATTCCAAATTAAGCAATGAGCTCTCAAACTGTATAGGCTTTCTTAGGTAATTCTCTATGCCAGAATAACCTGCCCTTCTCAAACTTGGCCTCATCCTCAACATAAATGTCTTCTCCTCTATGAAATGTTTCTGTCATAATCAAGGCAGATCGATTCTGTCTCTCCTCTGTGTTCCTGTGGCAGTTCATTATACCTCTGCTGTAACAACTGGGATGTTGCATTGTACTCGGCTGCTTACTGTCTGTCTACAAGCTTTGCCTTCTAGACTGTGAACTCCTGCAAGATGATGACTGTGCCTCATTCATCTTTGTATCTGAGTTCCACGAACAGTAACAGGCACATAATAGACTCTCAAAAAAGATAGCTCAAAACGATGATTTTCTTTTTGTGTGTTGGGACTGGGTTTGTACAAAAGTCAGCATTACTTACTGGCCATGTAAGATGGAATGCTAAATATTCAGAGTGAATACATGGTGTCTGTCATCAACTCTTCTTTTGGAGAAATGCCTTCCCTCCTCTTCTCTGCTTAATTTATTTTCACCTGACCAAACATACCACTGCATACCCCTGGCCACAGAGATTGAATCAGACATGAGTCCATGACTCAAGATGGGTAAATTGGGGAAAATATTTTCTTTCTCTGTATCATATATTGCAAGCTTGAGATTTCTATGGAACAATATTGCTGTCAACTGCAAAAGCCAAGAATGAAGCCAGACAGAGAAAAGCTGTTTTAATAGAAGAGGAGAGAGAAAAGAGAGAACAGGAGGACATTGAAGGGAAGTTGAAGGAAGAGTTAGCTGGATTCAGCTAACCTAAAGTATGTGCAATCCTAGGACTTAGAGTTACATGAACAAATAAATACTCTTTTTGCTTAAGCTGAATTCATCTGGGTTTCTACCATTTGCAACTGAAAATGTCATGATTAATACAGTATTACATCTGCTTCTTAGAGAGGCACAAGTCCTTTGGGAATATAAAAGGCTCTGTCAAGTCCTGCAGGAAGGAAACTGATGTCACCTTGTTTTTATTTAACCATGTATCTCCCAGATTTGTTTGATCACTAATTCCTTTTTTCCAGTAACAAGTATTAATATCTGCAGGCCTACTATTTTTACATTTTGTGAAATATCAGCTAAAACACTGGATATTTTAGATTAAGAGAGCATACACTTAATAATGTAAAACGAAGTTAACTAGTGTTCACAAGGTGTAGATTCATAACTTAAATCAGCTTAATTGGGAGAGCTGATATCCTGAGTTAGGGGAAATCCTCTGTCCCCAGAATTATTTGTAATGCTCGAGTTTATAATGCTAGTAATGAAGTAATAGTAGTATTAGTAATTACTACTGCTAATTAATGGCTACTCTAGTAATTAAAACAACTAATATTTGTCAAGCACTTACTATGTGCCAGACACAGTGCTAAGAAATTTATACAAATTATCTCATTTAGTCCTCACCTGTAAGGCTGGCATTATTATATTTTACCCATGGAGCAAACAGGTCAGAAAAGTTAAATGACTTACCCAATGTCATAAAATCAGGACGTGAAGGGACTAGTATTCGAACTCAGGTCTGGCTGATATTGAAACCCATGATCTTTGTCATTGCATGTTCATGCCCACGAGCTTGAAAATAAGTCATCTAACTACATGCATTGGTCAACTCCGATAACTTGCTTAATTGGCACACGTACATTTCCACCAAGGAACCTAGTCAAAGAAATTCCTCACATTTTGACATGCACATTTTCCACTACTCACTGGCCAAAGCAGCTTGTGTGGATTATAAATAGGGGCTATTAACATTATATTGTGATTTTTCTATGTGCTCTTTCAATAGACCCAGTGTTTGCAGTTCTATAGAGATGCAGAACAAAATAGAAATTTTGAAACAACAACAAACCTGGCTACTGTCTGAACACTGCTATTGGAGGGTGAGGTTGTGGTATGAACACAGGAACTGACATAGCTGGATTTCTTATCTGTCGATAGATGCTGATTTGCTAACATTGCTCTACGGCATTGCAGCAAAAGCCCCCACTTGCAGCACAAGAATCTACTCAACCCTGACTCTGATGAATGACTGTCAGAGCTTAGTTTGACTGCTTCCTGGTGTGGGAAGGTCGCTACCTGATACTACCAGTCACTATCAGCCACAGTGAGGAGCTGGATGCACCTAGACAAGCAGAAAGGAAGGCCATGTGTGTATTAGGGATACAGCATTTAAAGGGAAGGACCCTGGATGAGAAGTCTAGGACTTGGAATCCTGGCTCTGTCACCTGCAAGTTGAGTGACTTTACTGAGAAATCACCTAATGTCTCTGGGCTGTAGATTTCTCCTCTGGAAATGGAGAAACAGAGTTTGCATTTGCCATCTGAGAAGGCACTTGTCAGAGTGATAAAAAATGTGTTATGTGAAAGCATTTTTTTTTTTTTTTTTTTGAGACAGAGTTTCGCTCTGTCACCCAGGCTGGAGTGCAGTGGCACAATCTTGGCTCATTGCAGCCTCTGCCTCCCAGCCTCCAGTGATCCTCCTGCCTCAGCTTCCTGGGTAGCTGGGACTACAGGCACATGCCACCACACGTGGCTAATTATTGTATTTTTTGTTTTGTTTTTTTTTTAGTGGAGATGAGGTTTCACCATGTTGGCCAGGGTGGTCTTGAAGTCCTGACCTCAAGCGATCCGCCTGCCTCAGCCTCCCAAAGTGCTAGGGCTGCAGGCATGAGCTACTGCGTCTGGCCTGTGAAAACACTTTTAAAACTCTTAAGTGTCTGTAAGATATAAGGTGGTCACACACTACATTATTGATAACAGTTATCTGGGGGAAGGGCAGGGAGGAGTGCTGAGGTGTTAAGAATCTTTAAAAAGAGTAAAAAAGATAAGATTTTTAAAGTCAGCTGTAAAAAATACATCATAATACGATGCCATTTACATAAAATATAGATATAGATATGTGTAGAAAAATATATGGGAGAATATTTTCCAAAATACTAGCCGTTTTAGGTGGCGTTTACCTTTTTCCATTTACTTTTCTACTTTCTCATTTTTACAATGGACATGGATTATTTATATGGTCAGGAAGAAAAAAAGAAAGTAAAACACCTCTTTTCGTTTGGGAGTTGTGGCAGACACAGAGATACATTGCTCAGATCTCCTTCAGAGAAAGCACTGGCTGCCCAGTTGTAAGAAGTGGTTAGCTAACAGCCTTCCACTGTTAACTCCTTCAGCATTTGAATCAAGGTTCTGTCCTTTGAGGGGCAGCTCAAGCCAATGGCTAAACATGAGAAGGATAATAGATGCCAGCTATTTCCATTCAAGGTAGACTCATCTTTAAAAAAAACAGCTTTATTGAGATATAATTAATATATAAAAACATGCACATATTTGATACACAACTTGATGAATTTGGACATATGCATATGCCCATGAAACCATCAGCACCATCAAGGTAATAGGCAATACCTCCAAAAGTTTCCTTGTGTTGCACTGATTTCTGTTTCTTTTTTTCTCCCTTGAGACTTAGTATGTAACTCAATTAGAGCATGCATCATGTTGTATTAGATTATCTGCTTTTGTGTTTGCCTCTATTTCACTAGATGGTCAATGACTTAAGGGTAAGAACATGTTTTATTTGTATTTGTACTGCCAGCCCTCATTTATAGCTCAGAGTGTGGCACATAATAATTGCACAGTAAAATTTTGCTGGATAATTCTGACCTCATAAGTTATATATATGGGCTGGGTGTGGTGGCTCATGTCTGTAATCCTAGCAGTTTGGGAGGCCAAGGCAGGAGGATCGCTTGAGGCCATGACTTCAAGAGCAGCCTTGACAACATAGAGAGACTCCATCTCTACAAAAAATAAAAAGATAATAATTAGCCAGGCCTGGTGGTGTGCACCTGTAGCCTCAGCTACTTGGGAGGTTGAGGCAGGAGGATCACTTGAGCTTAGGAGGTCAAAGTTGCAGTAAGCCATGATCATGCCACTACTCTCCAGCCTGGGTGACAGAGCACAACCCTGTCTCTAACAACAACAACAAACTACATACATGCCTTAACAGAAGCTTGGAGTTTTTTTAATAAGTGAAACCTAGCTTGAGGAGATAAAACTGTATTCGCTGATATAAATACAAAATGTAGATGAAAATACTTCAGAAACAGCTGAATATACCCGTACAAACGAAATCATCTGCACTCAGTCTTTCTCTCCATCTTTCAGCCTGTTTTGCTCTCTGTTGTCTTCATTCTCAGGTGGGCTCTCCAAGGACGTATGTTGCCCTAAGTATATGTCACTCCAGCCAACCAATTGCAAGAGAAAGAGAATAAATATTGTGTATTATCCACTTTCACACTACTATAAAGAACTGTCTGAGACTGGGTAATTTATAAAGAAAAGAGATTGAATTGACTCACAGTTTGGCATAGCTGGGGAGGCCTCAGGAAACTTATAAACATGGTGGGAGGCAAAGGGGAAGCAAGGTGCCTTCTTCACAAGGTGGCAGGAAGGAGAAGTGCAAGCAGAGGAAATGCCAGACACTTACAAAACCATCAGATCTTGTGAGAACTCACTCCCTATCATGAGAACAACATTGGGGGAAACCACTGCATGATCCAATCACCTCCCTCCAAGTCTCTCCCTAGACACATGGGGATTATGGGGATTACAATCCAAAATGAGACTTGGGTGGGGACACAAAACCTAACCATATCATCTTTATTGATGGTCCCAGTAAAATTCCAGAGTCGAATCTCACTGGACCAGCCTGGGTCACATACCCATCTCTGAATCAATCATGATGGCCAGTGAGAATATGATGACTGGCCACACCTGGGTCTTGCATTCATCCTTGGAAAGCAAAGGGGTGTCAACCCTAACAGAATCATAGCCTGAGGATAGGAAAGGGGGTGGATTACCAATGTTCTCATCAGAAGAAGGGGAATGAATACAGGTCAGGCCAAACAACAGATGTCCGTGGTACATGTTAGGATTCCACACTGGGGATACCAGCAAAGAAAAGACAGGTGTGACCCATTGAGGAAAATGCTGCAGGCAAACACCAGATGCTGGAAGCCAGATAAACAGGGGAGTGAATCTTCTTTTTGCAAAATTAATCCAACAGTTTTCCCCCTCCTTTTCTTGTACAGTGTTCTATTACATTTTTGTGTGTACCTCCAAATTATCAAATGCATATCTGTATATGAAGCCATATATTCCTGCGCCTTGGGGAAGTAGGTAAGGTATTAAGTGAAATTGCTTTTAAAATAAAGTAGCGATTCTGTAGTGACACCATGCCCTTTTTTTCTGGTCTGATTTACCTAGTAGGAATACACTGGGCACATGCAAAGCCCTCCCCTCAAGCCCAGGAAGGGACAGTATAAGTGACTCCATTATAGCACAATATTTATAAGATTAATCAAGAGAGGATTTGCATGATCAAAGTTTGAGACGCTGAATTCAACAAAGTTCAGTAGGCATCTTTCCTTTAGGGCTTATCAGATCCTTTAATATGCTAATCATCATTGAGATTTTCTAGGAGGGACACTAGGGATGGCAGAATTTCCTGACTTTATTATTATTTTTTTCCAGTACTGAACCCTTTCTAGAAAGTGCATATCACAGGGCGTGTGTTACGAAGAAAACATTTTGGGTTGGCTCTATAATACCACTTTTAAAACATTTTCAAAATTCTAATGATGGAATTTGATCATTATATAGAACTGTTAAAAACTAAAATGATTTATATTTTTTATGTGGCAGACCATTGAACGTACATAGGCACAGCTATTAAACAATACCTCTATTTTAAAAGAAATTTCATTGGGTTTATATGGGCATAAACATAACCTCAAAAGGTGGAAAATCCCTTCTTGCTAGATTCCTTATCTGGGAATGTGTCATTAAATCCTTTTCAATCATACCCCAGCCTTATTAAGTTCCAATATCCTCTTCATTCTCCTTCCCATCCCAAGACACTGATACTTCCATTCTTTGCCTTTTTCCTACCTGTTTTTGCCTCCAGGCCTTTGCTCCTCAGTTTCCCCAGCCTGAATTGCCTTTATCTCCAGTCCATTATATCACACCAAATTGTCTACAATCCCCTCCTCGCTCCTTCCCCACCTTGGCTTCTGTGTGCCAGATTATAGTTGTGGGGGCAGGGGGCACAGCTACCGGAGAAGTGTCTAATGGTATGTGTATGTGTTGGGACGGTTCATGCTTGCGAGTCAAATCCAGTTGCAGAAAGGTCAGGAATAGAATGACTCATAGGGTTCTCCTTCCTCTCCCACACCCCTTTCTCTGGCTGGAGAGACACTGAAACAGCATGGGGAAGCAATGAGCTATAAGAGGAATGGATAGGTGATATGGTTTTGCTGTGTCCCCACCCAAGTCTCACCTTGAGTTGTAATAATCCCCTCATGTCAAGGTCAGGGGCCAAGTGGAGATAATTGAATCATGGGGACAATTTCCCTCATACTGTTCTCATGGTAGTGAATACATCTCATGAGAGCTGATGGTTTTATGTGTGGAAGTTCCCCTGCACAAGTTCTCTTGCCTGTTGCCATGTAAGACGTGACTTTGCTCTTCATTTGCCTTCCGCCATGATTGTGAAGCCTCCCCTACCATGTGGAACTGTGAGTCAATTAAACCTCTTTTCTTTATAAGTTACCAAATCTTGGGTATGACTTTATTAGCAGGGTGAGAACAGACTGATACAACAGGGACTGCAAAGTATGTGAACTCTAGTCTTACTCTTCTGCCTCTTCCAGTGTATGTGACTTGGGGTGAATTGCTTTCCTCTGTGGGCCTCAGTTTTTCCTTGGTAAAATGACAGGATTGGGATAGGCCAGTGATTCCCATACCTAGCTGATCACTGGCATCATCTGCAAAGCTGGTTAAAAATATATTTTCTCTGGGCTCTAGTCCCTGACTTTGGGTGATGACTGGGAATCTGAACTTTAACAAACTCATCCAGGTGTGGGCAACACTAGGCTAGATTATTTCTAAGAGCTTTTTCCAAAACAAAGCATTGATAAATATCCTCTCCATCTTGGGGTAGTGGAAGTCTCTCTTGCCATCCTCTCTACTACTGTGGTTCTGATGAAACTGTCAGTCACAGAACACTACTGATGATCCAAACCTGTCCAATCATAGGACCACACTCCTCTGGTCACTGAAAAGTACCCATGAGAGTCATGTGACCAAGAAAAGTCAATCGAGCTTTTCCCTAGGACTTTTTACTTGGAGCTGCAGGAGAAATAGCCTATTGGCTAAGGTCATGGAACTCAAGGGATGTTATCCAGAGCTTTCAGGTGGCATATGCCCTGCCATGTGGAGAAAGCCTTTCTGCAGCAGGAAAGTGTGAGGCTGGGCAGAGAAAAGCTGAAATAAGATGGATAGAGTCAGACAATCCTAGGAACCTTCAGTTTCTCATGTCGTGAGAACTTCCCTAATTCCTATGGTCTGTTCTCTGAGTTACTCACTGTTCTGTGAACCAGTAAAGCCTCTTTCTGCTTACATCAACTGTTTGGTGTCTTTCACTTGCAACTAGGGATTCTCTGGCAAAATCAGGATTATATCTGAGTCTGACTCCAAAGTCTGTGCTTCTAACCGTTGTCCTACCTTGTACTCTTCCATGGGGACAAACATAACAAATTTCAGAGATGTCCCTCTATTCCCTGCAAAAAGCCCCATGACCTGTAAACAGCTTCAATGATGTTTAAGGTCTTAACCCTCCTGCATGAATCTATTGCACTCTTTTCCTCCTCCTTTTCACTCTTATAATACTTTTTTTTTACAACTGTTTTGCTAATAGTCATTTACTGCAGTGGACCATAATTTCTCATATCTATACTAAACCTTTGTTTAAACTTTTTTATTTTGTCTCCTCCATTAAATTATAACTTCCTGAGGGCAAAGAACATGCATTGTATCTTTAAAAACAGATTTTCGGCTGGGCAAAGTGGCTCACACCTGTAATCCCAGCACTTTGAGAGGCCAAGGTGAGCAGATCACTTGAGGCCAGGAGTTCAAGAGAAGCCTGGGCCATCAAGGTGAAACCCCATCTCTACTACAACTACAAAAATTAGCTGGGTGTGGTGGCACACACCTGTAGTCCCAGTTACTTGGGAGGCTGATGCAGGAGAATTGCTTGAACCTGAGAGGCGGAGGTTGTAGTGAGCCGAGATCTCACCACTGCACTCCAGCCTGGGTGACAGAGCAAGACTCTGTCTCAAAAATTAATCAATTAATTAAAATAAAAAATAAATAAAAACAGATTCTTCATCATTATAAGCACAGGAGTGATCAAGAGCATTTTGAATAAGACACAAGGGCTTCACTTCTAATCTCAGTTGCGCCAATTCGTGAATGGGATTTGAACCCAAGAAGGGAGGTCCTCAGAGCTCATGTGAGTTTGTACTATGTCATCTAAAGCCACAGATGTGATGGACTGGGGACCTCAAGGAGAGAACACCCAGAGAAACCTGCCTGTTGATTTGGGATGATTTGAAGGAAGTCGCTTTCCTCTGCAAAAGCAGCCACATCTTCCCAGCAGCAGGCAGGATTCCCCAGGGAAACAGAGACCTAATTTATACATCTGGCAGACAAGATGTTAGTGGAAGTACTTAACCTTGATTCCCTTGCCTCCCTTCCCTGGAACGTCAGGAGTGATGGAAGCTGCCCTCCCAAGATCCAGAGCTCATACCCCCAAATGATGTGGGTCTCACAGCCATCCGGGGCCACTGCTCAGGGAGAATCACTCAGCCTGACACTCTGCTCCAGTCACAGATGAACCCTCATTCCGAGAGTCAGAAACAGAGACCCAGCAAACCAGGGACCTGGTCCCTGCCCTCAGCAAGTCTAGGATCTATTTGAGGACACAGTTCACATCTGCACATGAAAACCAATTTGGAATATTTATAAGGCTGCCCAGTATGCTGTGTAATCAAACAGTGCATGCTGAGTACTGATAAAGACACCCCAGTCTTAGAGCAGGAAGAAGTCTTATAAATTTGCTAGTCCAGGGTCTCTGAACAGTGGCTCATGGGCCGAATTTGACCTGTAGATGTGTGTGTTTGAGTTATACCATGTTTTTTTTTCTTTTTTTTTTCAATTTTACTATTCTTTAAATGGTTTTTAAACTTGGAGAGAATTTATATAAAATACAGACTTGAGCTTCTCTTTAAAATTAGGTGATCTGGCAGCTTTGCAGGCTTACGTTCCTGCATGGTCACATCTGGCTAGAGGTAAGCAGAAAATTCCCTCTCAAGAAAGAATATACTCTACAATTTTCCAGAGTCCTCACCAGTGCCTACTGCCTCCCCGATTCTGAGGCTCAGTGTCATCTGTTATGTGTTGTTGCATGTGTCCTATTGTTTTCCTTATAGTTAAAAAAAAAATCACTCTGTATACTCATTTCCTACCCAAGAGAGAACAGCCTCAACTTTATCAAGAGGATTGCACTTAGCTTGCTTCTCTTGCTTAAATAAACTTCCTGGTGCATTAAGCTCCTGAATGTGTGGTCCCTGTTTTCTCCCAAACCCTGTATTTGAAGAAAATGAGGTTGAGAGAGAGAAAGAGACTGAAGTTTGGCATCATGGAATGAGCTCTGAGCTCAGTTCAAGTCAAGAGGACTGGAAGCCTTGGTCTAAAACCCATCAGTAAGCATCTGATGACTATATATACCTGGGAAGTTTGTAGGCTTACATTCTCTCTGAGCCTCAGTTGGTCCATCCATAAAATGGACTCAAGAATAACCATCCTGCTATAACAAGATTTATTAGAAAAAAAGAATAACCATTCTATGGGGTTATTCTGATGATTGAAAGATGTAATTCTATAAGTACTTTACAGACTATGAAAGTGTAAGGAACAAGAATAGTGTGCCTATCAGTGCTCTGAATGTTCTAGTTTTTATAGTTTGTGTTTAATTTGGGTTCCACAGCTCCTGCCATTGGTTTACCTAAATCCTTGCAATTCTGAAAAGAACATTTAGTCTTTTAGACTTTTATTTGCTTCATCTCCCCTCCATCTAATGTGGGTAATAAAAAAGTTTTATTCTTGGACCTGCATCATCTGTGTTATTATTTATATACGCAGATGTTTTTGATGCCTCTTCCAGGGAATATTTTTGTAGATATTTCCTGAGTTCTTGAATCAGAGGAAAAAGCAAATGATCTTATTTTTGTGGCTCAAAATAAGAATAATAGGTGATAGTTCCTGAGCTGTTACTATGGGCCAGGCATCATACAAGACAGACCCTTCACATGCATTCGAACTTCACAGTGGCCATATGAGGTGTGTCTACCAAGTATTTATTGCTGAGT
The DNA here is from genome assembly GCF_000001405.40 of Homo sapiens. Taxonomy (NCBI): domain Eukaryota; kingdom Metazoa; phylum Chordata; class Mammalia; order Primates; family Hominidae; genus Homo; species Homo sapiens. The sequence goes on from NC_000012.12 coordinate 118,940,316, forward strand.
AACTAAGTAACCAAAATTTAGCAACTTAAAAATTGCAATAAATATGCAGTGCCTCATATATGGTTTCTGTTGGTCAGGAATTCAGGAGTGATTTCACTGAGTGATTCTAGCTCAGGCTGTCTCATTAGGTTGCCATCATCTGAAGGTTTGACTGGGGCTGGAGGATCCACTTCCAAGATGTGTCATGGCTGCCAAGTTGGTGCTGGCTGTTGGCAGGAGGCCTCGGTTCCTTGCCATGTGGACCTCTCCATAGGCCTTCTTGAATATGCTCATGACATAGTGGCTGGCTTCCCCCAGACTAAGTGATCCAAGAGAGAGTAAAGCAAAGGCTGCAGTGTCCCTTATGGAAATCTCAGAAGTCACACTCCATCATGGTAGCAACATCCTATCGGCTGCGTAGTCCAGCCCTATTCGTTTTCAAAGAAGACTACATAAGAACTGAACTGTCAGGAGCAGGAACTAATGGAGGCTATCTTTGAGCCTGGCTAGCACAGTCTATTATTCTCATATTTTAAAAATGGAGTAACTAAGGTTTAGAAGGATTATGTAACTTGTCCAAGATCATAGTATTGGCAGAGCTGGGATTCAAATCCAGATTTGTCTATTTGAAAATATGTAAATGGAAGCCCTGAACCACTCAGCTCTACTGCATCCCAGATATTTTCAAAACTGTAAAGCACTGTGCAAATAATTCTGTTATTTGATAGAACATTCCAGGAACAGGTATGATTTTATTGATAAGTGAGAGATAATCCATTCACCTACTCATTCATTCATTTATCCATTTAACAAATATCCATGGAATGTTTCATCTATGCTAGGATCTGAGATAAATGACTTGGCTAAAGTCACATAGCTGACAAATGGCAGAGTGGGTCACAAACCCAGGTCTGTATGACCCCTAGTACTGTGCTCTTTCACCACCTAGATGGTTGCTTTGAACTTATTTTATATGTCTTCAGAGCATCTTGGTGAAGTCCAGAGAAGTGAAGTGACTTCTCACAGTCTAAGAGAATAGGCTTTAGCAAATACCAGATTTCTCCCTCAAAAGAGTTCTATGCCCTAGAGCAGAGAAACATTCAGACCTGCAGGAAAAACTCAGCTGTTGTCATGATTCAGATCTTACAGTGTTTGTGGTAATGGGAATTAGGTCTGAATCTCAACATATTTCATATGGTTTGGATGTTTTGTCCCCTCCAAATCTCGTGTTGAAATGTGACCTCCAATGTTAGAGGTGAGGTCTGGTGGGAGGTGTTTGAGTCATGGGGGTGGATCCCTCATGAATGGCTTGGTACCCTACTTGTGGTAATGAGTGAGTTCTTTCTCTGAGTTCAAGCAAGATGTGGTTATTTAAAAGAGTGTGGCACCTCCCTTGTCTCTCTGTTGCTCCCTCTCTCCCCATGTGACACACCTACTTCCCCTTCGCCTTCCACCATGATTGGAAGCTTCCTGAGGCCCTCACCAGGAGTGGCTTCTGGCACCATGCTTCTTGTACAGTCTGCAGAACTGTGGGCCAAATAAACCTCTTTCTTTTATAATTTACCTAGTCTTAGGTACTTCTTTATAGCAATGCAAAATGGACTAACACAATGCTCCAGGCACTAAGCAAAAATATTATTGTTAGTATTTAATGGGTATAGAGTTTCAGTTTTGCAAGCTGAAAAGCTTCCTGGAGATAGACAGTAGTGATGGTTGCACAATGTGAATGTACTTAATACCCTAAACTGTACACTTAAAAATGGTTAAGATGATAATTTTATGTTACGTGTATTTTACTACAATTTGAAAAACATATTGTTGTATTATCTAATTACATCTTGAAGACAGCCCCAGATGACAACATGTCTTTTGGAAGAAGAAATCAAGGCTCAGAGATGCTAAGTCACTTGCTCAGTATCAAATAGCCGAGAACCAGAGCTGGAGAATTGAAACCCAAATCCTTTCTACTAAAATACACAGTGCCCTTTTCTCTTGCTCCTGGTTTTGCAGCCAAAGGGAGGCCAGGTAACCATTTCGCCATTGCTAGGGCAGCGATTTATCAGTCACTGAACACCTTGGGAGGCAATTGGCCTTTATGGTCTGCGATCAAGCTGGGGAGAAAGAGCTGGGGCTCTGGGCTCCTTGACCAGGAACAGCTGACATAAGAGCAGCAGTCTGCAATGAGCTAATTCTCTCAAAAACATCCCAGGTGGGCCTTGGCTGCACAGCTGGTATAATTAGCTAGCCAGGGAACACCACAAAAGATATTTACAGGTCCAACTGCTGTTCTCAAATATTTTCCTGCACCAGCTAGGCCAGATATTCTCGGCTTTTAAAACCCCCTGAGATTCTGGGATTATTTTTGTGTAACTTCTGTGTGAGAAGGGGTTGCATGTGGCAGTATCATTATGGGTCCAGGCAAGGGGCTGGGAGCTGACTCGGGGCTGTCCCAGTCTCCCTCCCTTGCCTTCCAAGCTTGGTGCTTGTACTTTCCACCTGCAATCTCTTGCTGGGAAAAATGACACTTGAATTCAGAACAAGTGCAAAGGAGGCTCCACTTGGCTTAATGGGAAGTGACCAGGGAACACAATGGATTAACCAACGGAGATTGTAAAGTGCTGTGTGAATATCAACTGCTGGACCACTGGGGGTGGGAAGGCATTTGAGTCCGTCTGGAAGAGGCACCAGCTTCCTGAGGTGAGGCTGAGTTAGCAGCTTCGCAACCTGCTGAAGTTTGGGACTTGCTAGGTGTTGTCTGAAACAGGCAGGCTCGTTCTGAAAAGAGTTTTCTAGCCTTTCTGGGCCCTGCAGGTGCTGCTTACTGATTTACAGGAGTAGGAACCCTGATCAAGAAAGAGAAGAAGAAAATTTTATTTGGGGAAGACCTATCAGGAGCCAGGACTTGTGCTGTGTGCTCTCACACACAGGTGGCTAAGAGCTTCAGAGCTGCACATGCCCACCTTTGAACCCTGCTTCTGTGTCTTGCTAGGTAACTGAACTTGGGTTTGCCACTTAATCTCTCTGAGCCTCACGTTCATCAGGTATAAAAGGGGGTTAACAACATCTACCTGATGAGTTTGTTGGGGGAATTCGAGAGGATTAGCCCTATGCCTCACACATAGTCAACACCCAGTGCTTGGAATTTGTTATTTCCATTGTTTATATTGTCATCTCCTGGGGTCATCATTCCAATCTAGAGAGATGCATGGAAGGTGGGTAATTTTCAATATTGATCACCTCTTTTTTTCTCCTACAGCAAGAGCCAGCAAACTTTTTCTGTAAAGGGTCACATATTAAACATTTTTGGCTTTATGGGCCAGATGGTCTTTGTAGCAACTACTTGGCTCAAAAGCAGCCACAGGCTGGGTGCATTGGCTCACACCTGTAATCCTAGCACTTTGGGAGGCCGAGGTGGGTGGATCACCTGAGGTTAGGAATTCGAGACCAGCCTGGCCACCATGGTGAAACCCCGTCTCTACTAAAAATACAAAAATTAGCTGGGCATGGTGGTGCATGCCTGTAATCCCAGCTACTCTGGAGGCTGAGGCAGGAGAATCGCTTGAACCCGGGAGGCAGAGGAGGCAGCAAGTTGGGATCACACTACTGCACTCCAGCCTGGGTGGCAGAGTGAGACTCCATCTCAGAAAACAAACAAACAAACAAACAAAAAATCCAAAACAAAACAAAAAAAAACAGGCAGCCTGCTGGGTTTGGCCTGCAGGTCACAGTTTGCAGACTCTGGTCTTACAGTGATTTATCGGACTTTTAATACCTGATCACTTTTCATTTTGTTTTATAGCTAGTGGTAAATGTGCTTAATGTTTCATTTGAACATAAGCTCCTTGAAGTCAGCATGCATTCCAGAATGGCTCTTTCTCTCTCTCTCTCTTTTTTTTTTTAAGAGTCAGGGTCTTGCTCTGTCACCCAGGCTGGAGTGCAGTGTTATGATCATAGCTCACCGCAGCCTCCACCCCCCAGGCTCAAGTGATCCTCCCACTTTAGCCTCCCAAGTAGCTAGGACTACAAGCATGTGCCACAATACCCAGCTAATTTGTTTTGTAATTTTTTTTTTTTTGGAGAGACAGGGTCTTGCTATGTTGCCCAGGCTGGTCTTAACTTCTTTGCTCAAGCAGTCCTCCCACCTCAGCCTCCCAAGGTGCTGGGATTACAGGCATGAGGCTCTGAACCTGGCCCTTAATTGGTTTTGTGTGTCTCTAATTTTCTCTAGATGAGGAACTCAATACATGTTTCCTCATTGGATTACCACTGTGGGAGGCTCCAGGACAGTGAAGAGGTTAAGATCACAGGAGTCAAAGTCATAAATGCCTAGGTTCAACTTTTAGTGACTGGTCAAATGACTTCGCTTCTCTGAATCTCAGTTCTCCAACTATAATAACGGAGATGCAGAGAGTACCTATTCCACTGGGTTGTTGGAAAGATTGAATGAGATGATGAATGTAAGATTCTTAGTGATGTGCCTGGCAAGTAAGTATATACTTAATAAGTGTTAGCAGAAGGGACAGATCCCTGAACCAGAACCAAGATACACCAGATACTCAGTAAGTATTTGTGCAATGCTGTTTATGAAGCCTGGGGGAAAGTGTCTCTTTCTCTGGACCTCAGTATCCTCATCTGTGGACTGGCAATAGGAAGGTGTGCTGTGGGACTGGCATGAAGATCTAGTGAGATGGTATGGTTGAGAACACTTAGCAAATCATACAGGCTGTCTGATGACACAGCTACTTTTACAGGTATTGTCTGCAGTATCCTCTGTCTCCTTATCTCCTTAGTAACCCCCAACCCTCAGCTCTCCCTCCCCTAATTCTTTCTGACAACTGTTTATCTACCTTGGTGTTATTGACATTTTGGGCTGGAGATTTCTCTGGTGTATGGGGCTGTCCTGCATACTGTAGAATGCCAAGCAGCATCCCTGACCTTTACCCATTCAATGCCAGAAGCACCCTCTGCCTCCACCAGTTATGACAACCAAAACTGTCTTCAGACATTGCCAAATACCCCTGGAAGGAGGTCAGAAATGCCCTCTGCTCTGGTTAAAAGCCATTACTTTAGAACAAGCCTAATGCATATAGCAAGGCAAAATTTGGAAGGAGGAAGAGGTGTCTGGAGCCTTCTGTGCTGCAGATACATAGAGAAATGATTACTCCATCTGCAGAGACTTCAGTTTAGCAAAGTGTGGCCTCAGACAAGTGTCTTAACCTCAGACAAGTGTCTTAACCTCTGCAAGCCTCAGTTTCCTCATCTGTACCTTGGGGTAAAAATTCCCACACCCCAGGGGTTGTGGTGAGGACCCAATGGAAGAGGATAACCACAGTGAAGACTGAATAAATCATAGCTATTTTTATTGTGTCTTTTGTTATGGTTACTGAGGTATGATAAAGTTCCCCTCTGCTTCTTGAATTTCAGATTTCATTTCAGCATTCATAGCATAGTTTGCAAACTGAAATGAATAAACTGGATTTGACCTTCAGACATGTTTTATTTGGCCTTCGATGTGATTAAAAAATGTTTCAATTCTTAGCTTACATTTAAATGTTGGGAGATTTTTATCTAGAATTCCAGATTTGGGGCTTTTCCTAGAGAAGTGGGGAATTGGCCAGGGCTGGAGCTGGTACCTGCCACCCCCTTTAGATGAGGTGTGTGCTCTCCTGTTTCCCCAAAGCCTCGCCAAGCTCATTTCAACTTCACTCTATGGCATTTTCCTTTTGATTCCTGCAGGTATTTGAGTTTGCAATCCCTCAAAATGTTTTTGGAGAATTTTTTTCCAAGGCCCTCAGAGTTGGTGACTGTTATCCAAGTTTTTCTATTTCTTTCTTTAAAGCTGAGCCACTTGTGAGGTAAGGGTACGTCATTTTCGATGCTCCACCTAACCTCAATGTTCCTTTGACTTTCTGACTCTTGACAGTGAGCCAAGATGGGACCATCTCCAAACCATCCTGTCAGTCTGGGGTGCTGTGCAGGGGTCCGAGGATCTGCCACCCCCATCCTGTTATCTGTTCCCATTTGCCTGACCCACGTCCTCCCCCAGTCCAATCTTCCCCAGCGAAACCAGAACTGTCAGCTTCTCGACAACCATTTATCAGACACGAGGAAATAACAGCTTTTAACCACGCTTGAAGACTGTGATCAAATTCCGAACCATTTCCAGAAGTGCCCCTTGGGGCCCAGGGGGAGACGTGGTTTCCATGATAACAAACTCTTTGCTGTCTCCCGTCTCCAGCCTCTGGGAAGAGAAGCAGATCTTACCTCCCTACGGTGCTAGAGGAAATTTAACTACAAAAGCTGGCAGAGATGACATATGCAGAAACAACAGCATCACCTTGATGGGGACCTGTAATCAAATGTGCTGTCCATGACGGCAGCTATAATGGAGAGTCTTGCGGCACCCTTCCCTCCAGACACGTCTTCTGGGTTTGCCTGGGCCGACGTCCAAAATGGAGAGATGGGGGAGCTATGACTGGAAGAAAGACTCAAGTTCTTTCCCGACAGGATTGTAGCCTCTCCTTCACATGATCTTGGGGCTTAAGTACTTTCCTGAGAATTATTAAAAAACTAAGTAGACAAAAGAGAAAACAGAAAATGAAACTAGGAAAGGCTGGGGAGGTAGGGAAGAGGCTTCCTTCATTTAAAAAAGATAACACATGCAAATTACTTAGAGGCTCTGATATCAAGAAAGCACTCCATATTTGTGATATTTATTATCCTCTGATTGGCTGTGCCTCAGAGGCTACAGTGATAACCGTGGCAAACTTCTACTGAGTTCTTAATTTATGTTCATGATCATTTTTAATTCTCATAACAGTCTTACCTGGGCATTGTTATGGCTGTCTCAGAGATAAACTGAGGCTCAGACTGGTTAAGCTTGCTGAGGTCACACAGCCTATTAGTAGCAGAATTTGATCCCAAACTCCAGTCTGTCTAATTCCAAAGTCCACGATCCTATCTACCACATTACACTGTATGTCCTTATTATAGTCTGAGTAGAATCAGTGTTAAGTCTGTAGGGAAGTGTAGAAGAGTCTGTGAACTTCTAAAGTCAATGGATATATCTACCTTATCTGTCATTTTATCTCCCATGCCTAGTGTAGCACCAGAAACATAGTAGGTGATAAATAAATATTCATGGGATTAATGAAAGAGCAATGATTAATTCAAATAGATGTATTTTTATCAGTGGGCTTTCAGGCAGGGTAAAGAGATGTGTTTGTATTGTAATTGTCTGTTTAATAGTCTTTCTCTGCCTCTTAATTGTGAACACCTGTTTCTGTGATGGTGTCTGAATTCATTTGTTAGGGCTGCCATAACAGAATATCACAGATTGGGTGACTTAAACAACACAAATCTATTTTCTCACAGTTTTGGAGGCTGGAAGTCTGAGATCAAGGTAACAGCAGTTTCATTTCTTCTGAGACCTTTCTCAGAAGTAAAATACTTACCTTGTAAGATGGTGGTAAGTGCTAAAGAGAGAGAGAAAAAAAGCAGATATCTTTGGTAGAAACATGTTTCAAATTTGAATGTAAGATGATGTTATCCAAACATGGGTCCCTGTCCAGTGATGAGATCTTGGAGGAAGGCCTCCGACTATGGTGAACCGTAACACTCCAGATCTACCCATACATACACCCGCTCATCCACTCATCTGTCTACCTATCATCTATCCATCATCGATCCATCCATCTATCCCCTCATCCACCCATCTATTCACCCATCCAAGTATTTTACTCCTTGGCTGGAGACAGCCATCTTCTCACTGTGTGCTCCCATGGTTGTCTCTCTGCACTTGAATGTATCTGATGTCTCTGTCTGTGTCCTAATCTTCTCTTCTTATAAGGACACCAGTCATTATGAATTAAGGCCCACCCTAATGACCCCAACTTTAACTTAATTTCTCTTTAAAGACCCTGTCTCCAAACATAGTTACATTCTGAGGTACTGTCGGTTAGGGCTTTTAAATTGGAGTTAGGGGAATAGAGTATATAAATCATCCTGTAACAATATCTGTTTTGTTCACTTTCGTAGTCCTAGAACTTCACAGAGGGCCAAGTGCACACAGTTGGATAAGTAGGTTTAATTAATGAATGAAGGAAAGAATAGAAGACGGAAGAATGGATGGGGGAAGGACAGGTGTCATTTGCATGGATGAATTGATGGGTGGATCGATGATGGATAGATGACAGGTAGGCAGATGGGTGGATGGGTGGGAGTATGTATGGATAAATCTGGAGTGTGATGGTTCACCGTAGTTGGAGGCCTCCCTCCAAGATCTCACCAATGGGCAAGGACCCGTGCTTGTATAACACCATCTTACATTCAAATTTGAAATATGTTTCTACCAAAATGGACTAAATCTAAGTATCTAGGCGCAGGACCCTTGATAGTCCTTCCCCAGAATATTCTAAATTACATGGTTCTCTAATCAACTCTGAAAACTGTGTAAAACACTGGGGAACCTGAGGTCATAACTGCTTGAGAATTTAGTCGTCTTCTGTCTTTATTTCTTGCAAACAGCCACCTGGTAACTTTCCCTCTATTTGTCTTAGAAGGATTTGATTTCCTCTCATAGACATGTACAAACTGTGTCACATGGAGACCTTTTCTGATTACTAACAGTGGAGTGGGAAAGGGAGTTGAGCCCCCACAGATTTTGAGAAAGTCCACATCCTTTGGTGTTTCTGTTACAAGGTCTCAAGTGTGGGAGCTGTTACCTTATAACAGAAGTGGACAGGAGACCAGGTTCTCAGGGCAAAGGTTGCAGATCCAAGGACAAAGGACCCAGGGACCAGCTGATTTATTTCTTTGCTTTTATTCACACATTCCCTCTCTTCCCCACCCCCTACCCATGGGTTTACAATGTGGATGGTTGTGGTATTACGTTCGGAAGAGGTTAGGGAATCTTTCACTGGGGAAATAGCACCTTTTCTTCTTTGTTATCTTAGACATGTTTGGAAACTGACTAGGAGCTCTTATTTCCCTTCTTTCTCCTCTTCCTCTGTCTCTTCTTTTTCTGTCTCCTCTTCCTTCATCTCCTCCTTCTCCTTCCAACAACTACCATATATTGAGCACTCAGCATAGGCCTGCCTCTATATCAAGAGTCTTACAAGTATTGTTACATTGAATCCTTAGGACAATCCTTTGAAGTACAACTATGACCTTCCCCACTTCTCTTTTGTTGTTGTTGTTGTTGTTGTTGTTGTTTTGTTTTGTTTTTTGAGATTGAGTCTCGCTCTGTTGCCCAGGCTGGAGTGCAGTGACACAAACTTGGCTCACTGCAACCTCCGCCTCCCAGGTTCAAGTGATTCTCCTGCCTCAGCCTCCCAAGTAGCTAGGATTACAGGTGTGCACCACCATGCCCAGCTAATGTTTTGTATTCTTAGTAGAGATAGGGTTTCACCATGTTGGCCAGGCTGGTCTAGAACTCCTGGCCTCAGGTGATCCACCCGCCTCAGCCTCCCAAACTGGTGGGATTACAGGCATGAGACACCGCACCTGCCCCCACTTTACTTTTAATGAGGCTGAGGTTCTGAAAGGTGAAGTCACTTGCTCAACGTCATACAGCTTGTTACAAGGCAGAAATGGGATTTAAACTCAGGTTGTCTGATGCTGAGCAAAGCTTATGCCTATAACTGTGACACAAAGACAAATAAATCCAAATGCCTACGTGAGATGCTTAGATGACAAGCAGTGGTGGGGACTGTGGCCAACTGAAGAATTCCTACCCTGGGTAAAGGAGGCTTCTGCTACCCATCTCCATCTGAATATTGCCAAGTGCGGGGGGTGGGGAGCAGTCTTCTGATTTTTCAAGATTAGCTGGAAATCCAAATCTTTATGCAAAATCTCTTACATAAAGATTTTTTTCTCTTTTAAATGTCAGCGACTAATTAATTTTTTAATTGTGTAAGTCAAACATGCCTAGAGATGGAATTTAGCTTGAAAACTACCAATCTGTGACCGCTGCTTGAAACAACCACTAGAGTGCAGCTCCCATGGGCATGGAGCTACAACCCATGACATCCATCCATTGGCCCTAGATTCTGAGAGTCAGATTAATCTTTGTCTTCTTGTATGTTATCTGCTGACTCACAAAGAGCTATGGCTTCTGTAAAAGGAGAAGACCCAGATACTCTCAAAATAATATCTTGTAGAGCTGCATTTTCCGGTATAGTAGCCATCAGTGACATGTGGCTATTTATATTTAAATTAATTGAGATTAAATAAAAGATAACGTCCCATTTCCTAATCTCACTAGCCACATTTTATGTGTTTTGTGGCTACTATGTCAGGCAGCACAAATCTAACACATTTTCATCATCACAGAATGCCTTACTGGACAGACAGCCCTATTAAGAATCAAACTCTGGACCCATCCCTTTTCTCTGTCTTTTATCTCCCATAAAATACCTCTGCAGGCTGGGCATCGTGGCTAATGCCTGTAATTCCAGCACTGTAGGAGGCTGAGGCAGGTGGATCACGAGGTCAGGAGTTCAAGACCAGCCTGGCCAATATGGTGAAACCCCATCTCTACTAAAAATACAAAAATTAGCTGGGCGTGGTGGCACGCACCTATAATCCCAGCTACTCAGGAGGCTGAGGCAGCAGAATTGCTTGAACCCGGGAGGCGGAGGTTGCAGTGAGGTGAGATCATGCCAGTGCACTCCAGCCTGGGTGACAGAGTGAGACTCTGCCTCAAAAACAAACAAACAAACAAACAAAAACACCTCTGCATGCCCTACCCTCCCAGGGAAATATCTGCTAATGACAAGGTAGCCCACCTGGAAAGAGAAAAGGAAATAATCTCATATATATTAATGGGAGAAAGCTAGTTGATCAGTCCACCTTCCTCTCATAGTAAATATGGACATCATTAGTGTCCTGAAGACTTTTGCCTGTTTCTCATTAGTTCAGAAGAGTAATTCTTGGAAAGCATTTCAGAACAGACAGATGAGCAGCAAACCCTTGGAAATGATTTTTGAGGGTGCCCAGTGCCAGCTTTCTACCCTTGAGAACTCCCACCCTCATGCTCTGTCTACTGCTGCTTCTGCAAGGACATCAGTGTAGTAAGTTAGTCCACGTGAGTCCTAGCTCAGTGATGGGAAAGAAGATTAAATGAAGGCTCTCAAATGCGTCAAAGAGGAAAGAGTTCTTGGTGGGAATGTAGAACAGCTAATAAAAGAAGACAAGCTTGAAATTAATGATGATTCAAAAATGCCAGAGTTACCAAGATTTTTTTAAGTAGTCAACGAGAAAGACAAAGTGCAGAAATTGGAACATTTACCAGACATGAAGAAATTGCAAGAATAGTTACCAGCCAAGAGGTAATTAGAAAAGACGTGGATGAGCTGGGGCATCTGCAAGGTTGGCAGAGGGTAAGGCATGGATATAAAGTGAATCTGCCAAATTGCCCTATGATTCAGGACCTGGGTGGGTGGGGAGCCAGAATATTAGGGGAAAAGAAAGCCAGAGGAAGAGCTATCTTTGCAGAAAGTTTCCTTAGGATAGCCATCTGGAATTGTAACAAGAAGACTTAATGAAGAATTGAAGTGAGCAACATACAGAGAGAAGTAAACCTTTTCAGGGTAGTACAAAACTAATTATAAGAGACACGAAAGACTCAGTCAGATGGAGATCAAAGTGTCACCTTTATTACTGATAAAAAAAAAAGCTCTGCTGGAGGACACAGCTTGCGAATACTCTCCTGAATTGAATTTATCCCTCACTCCAACTTCACCCAAACCAGTAGGACAATGCCTGCTCCTCTAACCTCAGAATGCACATTTTCTGCAGGCAAGTGGATCCCAAGAGAGTGACGACTTAGATGAGTGCTTTCAGTTCCTTCTTCCAGAAGCGCCAATCGAGTGGGGCAAGAGGTCAGGAATGTCACTCTATTGGAGGTCCCTCTATAAAGGAACATGAGGAATGGGGAATAAATGTTCCCCCTCCTGTTCCATCCCCTCCCCCAACAACATCAGACTGTTTCAAGAAAATGGTATATTGAATATGAGAAAATAGAAATTGTGAAGTCATCAGAATTTGAGGAAAATATATGGGGCTGCCTGGCTGCCTGGAGTAGTCTCTCTCTCTCTCTCTCTCTCTCTCTCTCTCGCTGTCTCCCCCTTACTCTTTTAGTTCCTCATTACTAGATTTTTACGTGAGTGGACTTTATACTGAGGTCCTGACTCAATCACCTTCTTACTGCATCTGCTTTTCATGGATTATCACACTGACTCTATGAGTTAGGTGCTATTATCTCTCCATTTTACTGATGGGAAAACTGAGGCTCAGAGATATTAAATATCTTGTCTAAGGTCACTCAGCTAGTAGGTGGAAGAGCCAGGATTTGAACCTGGTCTTGTGCCCTTGTCCGCTCCACTCCACCGCTGCCTCATGACAGACAGAGAATCTGACTGGCTTAGCCTCTTTTTTGATTTTTTGTTTTCGTATCAGACCATGAGAGAAATGTGTGGGTCCATAGGCATTTGGAGACTTGTCCTATTCAGTGGCAACTAGAAGCCCTTCCCTTTCAGCCCTTTGTACCGCATTGTTATTCTTTGAAGGAGGTTGCTGACCTGAACAATGGTTACAGACATAATACAGACATTGGATGTACAATACAGACATAATACAGGTATTGGATGGTTGAGAGGGCAGCTCTAAAGTCAGACATATCAACATTCAAATTCAAGCTTAGCCAGTGACTTGCTATGTGACCTTGAGCAAGTCACTTCTACTCTTTGGGCCTCAATTTCTTTGCCTATAAATGGGCATTTTTCCCATTTATAAGAATTTAGTGAGCTACTGAGTGTTAACACTTAGCAGAGCAAACGTGGAATGAATGCATTTTTTTGTTATTGTTGCAGAGGACTCAGAATAAGGAAGGTTAAACTTTCCATTGTTTGCCCAATTATGACAAGCCTCTTTGTGCTGCTCTGTTTTCGCCTATGGTGTTCCTCTCACCTACACTGTTCTTCCCTACCCCCGCCAGCTCCCCCAGTTTGATGACCTCCCACTTGTCCTTTAAGACCTTGTTTAACACTCACCTTTTTGGAGCCTCCTTAGACTCTCCCAAGCAGAATAAGGTGCTGCTTGTACACATCTCTGCTAGGTCCTTCTTCCTTTTCCTATTAGATATTATGATGAGCTGGTAACTTGCCTCTCTTCCCAACTCCCAACTAGGCTAGAGCTTTTAAAAACTCTACTAGGTCTTTCTTCTTTTCCCTATTAGTGTTTTGTTTTGTTTTGTTTTTGGGTTTTTTGTTTTGTATTGTTTTGTTTTTTATTTGAGATGGTGTCTTATTCTGTCGCCCAGGCTGGAGGGCAGTGGCACGATCTTGGCTCACTGCAACCTCTGCCTCCTAGGTTGGTGCAATTCTCCTGCCTCAGCCTCCCGAGTAGCTAGGATTACAGGCATGCACCACCACACCTGGCTAATTTTTGTATTTTTAGTAGAGACAGGGTTTCACCATGTTGGCCAGGCTGGTCTTGAACTCCTGACTTCAGGTGATCCACCCACCTTGGCCTCCCAGAGTGTTGGGATTACAGGCGTGAACCACTGTGCCCGGCCTAGAGTTCTTAAAATATGATTTTACAATAATATCACAACTTGTCTCTTTCCCCAATTTCCAACTAGGCTAGTTAGAGCTTTTCAAAACTAAAGAACCATGCCTGGTTCACCCAAGTGTTCCCTCATTTCACTTGGACAACATGTTAAATGCTCAATAAATGTGTGAGTAAATGGATACTTAATGTATTAGTTATCTATTTCTGGTTAACAAATCATCCTCTAAGACAACATACTCATGATCTCACATTCTGTGGGTTGAAAGTCTGGGTATGGTTTAGCTGAGTCCTTTGGTTCTGGGTCTCTCATAAGACTCAACTGGGAAAGATCACTTCACAGACTCTCTCATGTGGTTGCTGGCAGGCCACAGTGCCTAGCAGAGTTGCTGGACTGAGACCTCAATTCTCAGTTGAATTGTTGGCTAGAAGCCTTCCTTGATTCTTTGTGATATGGGTCTCTCCATAGAGCATTTTACAATGTGGAAGCTGCCTTCAACAGACTGAGCAAGAGAAAGGACAAGAAAGAGTAGCTGCCAAGACAGTGCTAAACAAAAGAGTCATGTTTCTTGTAACCTCATCGTGGAAGTCACATGCACATCACCTTTGTCGTACCCTGTTCATTAGAAGCAAGTCACTAGGTTCACCCTGCATCAATGGGAAAGGATTGCACAAGGTTGCAAATATCAGGAGGCAGGGATCACTGGGAGCCACGTTGGCAGCTGCCTGCCTTGCTTAGCAAGGCAGAGGGTAACTGAAAGGAGAAAGAAGAAGGAAAGGAAATACCAAACGGAGAGGATGAGGAGGGGACAAGGAAGAAGAAATAGTGTTATCCACACAATGGGTGGGCTCTAGCACTTGTTGGGTGATGGCCCAATGACCACAATCAAAGAAGATTTAGCAAGGGGATTTTATTACTTGAAGTAATTAAGGAAAATAGGGGTGATAGCTCCCAAAGCAGTGCCTTCCTGAGCTGAGGTCTGTCCGGTTTTATAAGGATAGGGTAATGAGACGTGATCTGATTGGATCTTGCAATGAGGTGATGCCAAGAGGAATGATCTGACTGGCTTCCACCATGGGGTGATTCCAGAGCTCGATCTGATTGGATCTTGGATTCTGCCATGTGGTGTCCGTGTCTTAATTCAGTTCCTGCTCCTTGGTCTGAGCACTTAGGTTCCCCGTGTGGTTGCATACTTGGTTTATCTGGGCATGCTAAGGTTATGTGACCTTCAACCTGGGAGTCCATGGCAACTAAAAAAAAAAAAATGACTCTACAACTTTGTTACATAAAAGTTGACTCAGATTGGTCTAGTGCAGTTACAGTAAGAAGAAAGAAGAGAAAGGAAGTGGCAAGAAGGAGATCAGTCATAAAATACTAGGCATTTACTGTGTTTCCAGTAAGGTGATTTGAGACACAGCGCCATGACGTGGCCCCACCCCATGGGTGTCTGTCAGGATGAGAAGCCAGAAAATACACATGAGGGATGATTATTGGCAACTTAGGGTCATGGGTGGGGGACACTCCATGGTTCACCAAACCCCAAGTGTTATGAGATTAAGATTAGGGTGAACTAATTGGGCCTGGTACACTGAGAAAGCTGGAACTTGAACTGGGGCTTGTAACGTGAGTATATTTGGGACAGAAAAACAGAGTGAGGAACAACGTGGGAGACTGTTTAGAGGTGAAAGACTTCTTAAAGAAAGGGGACTCCAAAATACCTGCCATGGAGGATTCTAGGAGGGCACCACTGGGAGATGAGATTGCAGAAGCAGATGGAGACCAGGCTTTCAAGGGTCTTGAGAGTCTGTGAGATAGTTTTGAACTCATTTGGTGGACAGCTAGGAGACTTTAAAGGTGGTTGAGCGGAAGCAGCGTGAAGCCGGGTTAAGCGTAGAAATTTGGAATCAGGAACATTGGCTTTCCAATCCCTCTGCCACTTACCAGGTGTGAGAAGCTCTTTGGGCAATTTAAGTTCTCCAAGCCTCAGTGTCTTCATCTGCAACATATTAATGTCCTCTTCATGGATTTTTCTGAGGATTTGATACATAACGTATGTAAAGTGCTTAGCGTAGCGCCTGTCACGCAATGAGCTCTCAATGACAATAATAAAGTTATTATTATTACCATTATTATTATTTCTGAGTTGGGGATGGGACACTTGGAGAGAGATGGAGAATTTTTTAAATGTCAAAGTCTTCCTCTTGGTGGCAGAACATTCATCTGGCCCCTTCCCTTGTCTCTTCTTGGTTGTGGACCGTGACAGATGAGCAATAGGGACTTAAAAGTGACAGATGTGTCCATCTAGGATAGGACAAAGAGGGGAGGGCCAGAGGGAGGTAGGGTTGAGGAATGACCTCACAATGCCCGGAATCATGGTCAATGGAGCTGCAGAGGTTGAAGGAACTGTCTTTACAGAAATGTAATTCTGAGGCCAAGCCAAGGGCAGAGTTCCCAGAATTTGCTTGGGGCACTGGCCCCGCAGTTCTCATTTAGAGAGAGTGGCCTGATGTGGATTCTAAAGACAGGAGGGTCCTTGGAGGTCAACGGGACGGACATCCCTCCTTGTACTGTATTGTTATTCTTTGAAGGAGGTTGCTGACCTGAGCAACTGGATTAGGGACAGTTGGGAGGGCCTCGGACTCAAGTAAATTAAGTTCCTGAGTTCTGTGATGGTAGGGTTCAGTCCTAGGTGAGTTGGGAAGTAGAAAAACTTTGTTTTCTTTTTTAAATTCCTCATTTTGCACCCCCAAACTCCTTTTTACTCAGATAAAATATCTTTCCAGCTATGTCTTTTACTGTAATTCTTTCCTGTCTTCTTCTTCCAGTGAAAATTTACCAACCCTGGATTACATTCCCTGCAATTCTGCTTTTTACTCATTTCATAAAGCAGTGGCTCTCAGACTTGTGAATTTCAAGTACTAGCGCATTTTTCGTGTTGAAACTTCCACGTTGAAATATACAGAGACAGTGTATAGGGACAGATACAGAGATATGGATATAGCTCATTGTAGAGATTGCCAACTCTTTATTCTTTCAAATACCTTTAAAAATTGTTCCATAAATGACGTGGTTTTTAAAAAAACTCTAAACAAATAAGAATAGTCTCAAATAAAAGGCAATCCTTTAAATATAATAATTTTAGCTTTGTAAGAAACTCCCTTACATTGGCTTTATTTTTTTGCACCACGGACTATCATTTAGAAACTGCCATCATAGATAATTTATGCCAAGGTGTTAATGGCTTGATAACATGTTCATTTAGGAAATATCCAGCTCCTCCTATGTGTCAAGCCCTGTGTTAAATGCTGGACCTGCAGAGATGGAAAAAACTAGGTATCTGGATGTCAAAAAATTACAGTCTGGTTGGGAAAACATTTATAAACAGTGATGCTGATACTAATGCGCTACCTCAGAGTGATGTGAGCTTTTCTAGCAGTTTAGACAAAATTCTTTAAGTTTTCAGGAGGGAAAGATGCAGAAAGCCTCATGAGTAAGTAGGAGTTGAGGGAGGGCATTGCAGGCAGAAGGAACTGCCTGCTTGAGGGTGTATATTAAGAGCTGTCATTTATCCAGGAGCTACAATGTGCTGGATGCTTTAATGTCACCTCATTTCAACTCAGCAACAACTGTATAAGTTGGATATTAAGACTCTCATTTTATCATAAAGAAGGTTTAGGAGGGGGAAGTCGCTTGCTGAAGATCACGTAGTAAGAGACAGGCATGGGGTTTGAATCTAGCCCTTCCTGACGTTAAAACCTACGTATCAAACCACCCCAGTGATGTCCTCCAAAAGCTTTAAATGGCTCTCTGATCTCATCCATACCCACCCCCACTGCTGCACCCCCCCATACTGCTTATAAGAAAATGAAACAGGAAATGAAAGATGGAGTTAAATTGTTAGTAGGTAAGGTTGCCAAACAAAATATAAGATGCTTATTTAAATTTGAATTTCAGACAAAGAGTACTTTTTTTTTTTTTTTTTTTTTTGAGACAGAGTCTCACTCTGTTGCCCAGGCTGGAGGGCAGTAGCATGATCTCAGCTCACCGCAAGTTCCACCTCCCTGGTGCAAGTGATTCTCCTGCCTAAGCCTCTCGAGCAGCTGGGATTACAAGCGTGCACCACCATGCCCAGCTAATTTTTGTATTTTTAGTAGAGACAAGGTTTCACCATGTTGGCCAGGCTGGTCTGGAATTCCTAACCTCAAATGATCCTCCCACCTAGGCCTCCCAAAGTGCTGGGATTACAGGCGTGAGCCACCGTGCCCAGCTGAGTACTTTTTGTTTTTTTAGTATAAGCATATTCCAAATGTTACATGGGATATACTAACACTTTTAAAAATAATCCTAGTTCACCTGAAATCTAAATTTAACTGGGTGTCCTATATTTTTATTTGCTACATCTGTCCACCTTTTCAACAGGACACCTTTCCCTTTACATTCCAACCAGAACTTTCAAAACCTAAGAGTAATTTACATAAAAAGTTTCTGCCTCTCATGAAAACTCAGGTTCTCACATTGCCAAGCTGAAGTTGAATTTCAGTGAAGCAAGATGGATTTAGGTTAGACCCCTCCTCCAGACTCTCAAAAATCTTTCTGAGCAGTGTATTTGTTTTGTTCAAGAATATGACTTGCTGTATGGAGAATGTCATGGAACAGACTGGTTTCTAATGTCACAATATCCGTGGAAGAAAAAGGTGGGAAAGCACATGAGTTTTCAACCTTCCCGACTTGAGAATTTCACAGTCCTATGGGGGCTTCTCAGGGTCTGCCATCCCCATCCCATTTTCTCTCCTAGTCTAAGAAGCTGAAGTCCAGCATTGCCTCCCAGCTTGAGAATCGCTTTGTAGGCACTGGCACACCTAACCCATGGAGAGCTGGGAGGGAGTGCACTTTTAGAGCACTTAACAGTGACAAGAGCTTCCCTTTATTCTCTTCTCCCTGCTATTTGACAAACAAAAGAGTTGTTTAATCACAGAAAGCAGACCGAAGTGGAGTTTTTTTTTTTTTTATCTTGAGCCATTCACTAACGGGATCAAATTTGTGTTGCCTTTGAAGAAATGAAAAAGAGTGGCTTCTTTTCCTTCTTCTTTCCTGTTCCATCAGCTTCGAAAAAAAAAAAAGCAAGTAATTATTTGAAGAAAAAATGCTTACGGACATAGAAAGTTCCCTATTGGTTAAAGATGCATAATCAAACCTTTGAGCTAATGCTATCTAAGAAGCTGTTCAATATATTTTTCTCTTTTTTGTTCTACTATGTTTTTACAAGCCCTCTGATGAAGGGCTTCACATTTTTTGCCATCTGTCTTACTGGGACTGCCTAGAATGGGGGGGTGGTTCAACAGCTAGGTTAATCTAAAGGTTTCTTGGAAGTGTAGGCTAGTGTACAGGGAGAAGGAAATATAGAGGCAGAAACTTTGCATATGTTATCTCATGTAACCCTCACAACAATACTAACAGATAAATATTGTTCTCAGCACTTTATAGATAAGGAGACTGAGGCTCATGAAAGTTCAGGCTAGACGAGGTAACGTGAAGATTTTGGGGAGTCTTGGCCCTCAGGTGAGAGTCAGAACAAGGAGGCTGATTCTGCTAATTTGACATCCACTGAAATACTTCGTTGACTCACCCTAGTTGCACTCTTTGCCTTCAGAATTACTCATCCTTACTCTAACAATATTAAACCCCAAGCTGCTATTGTAATGTGGGTAGTTTTTTTTTCCTCTTCTCTTCACATGGGATGATGTAGAACAAATTAAAGTCTTCCCACCTTCCTGACAGCTCAGAAAGAATAAGCAAAGTAGAGCAGCAACATGCTCGTTGAAAAATAGATACCAGGTTCTCTAAGAAAAAAAAAAAGAGTGAATCACCTACTGGTGCTGGTCAATGCTGGGGTTCACTGACCACTTTGGAGAAGTCCCACTGTTCTAGCACATGGACTGCACCTGCTCACTAAGTGACTAAAAACATCCATATAAAGCCACCAAGGCAGGTTTCGGAAACCTGCCCAGTACAGTCAATTCCCTTCTGCAATTCTTTTCCACTGTACTATGGGCAATGACCTACTGGTCTACAAGGGTCATATCCTCAAATACAAAAAGACGAGTTGGATCGGGAGTAGGATTAAGGTTGAGGTGGGGACAATTCAGGTGGTAATGATCAGCTGTGTGAATCCACTCTTTTATTCAAATATTCCTGTAATCACTCAGTAATATTTATTGAGGCCCCACCATGTGCCTGAACCTGTTTAGTGTGTTGAGATTATAGCTATGAACAAGACAGATGTTATCTGCCCACAAGGAGTGTTTACTAGTAGATAAGGGGAGTGCAGATAGCTTTGAGTGATGAATTACATTATGTATTATATAATTATAACATGTGACAGTTGTTTCAAAGAAGCTCTGGGTATGTGTAATGGGAGGGGGGCTGATGTCACGGGGGAAGTCAAGCTAGTCTTTTTCTAAGGGGGCAGATTTTGAATTGAGATCTTAAGGATGAGTAAGAATTAGCTAGGTGAGATGTGGGTGGCAGTGGGGGTGAGAATGAGTGTCCCAGGCAGAGACAACTGCTGTGCAAAAGATTCAAGGGGGAAGAAAACAAAAGCGTGGTGAGCTCTTCTTCTATCACTGCACCTTCTACCCCAGTGTTGTGATATTCTGTTGCCTGCACAGAATGAGCCTAACCAATGGAGACTCCCAGGGATTCTTACCTATTTGGGAATCTAAAGTCCCTTGGAGAGTCTGATGAAAACGCAATAGTTTTATTCCAGGATAATGCACATAGACATATAAGCACAACCTTTTCAGGGAATTTATTGACCCCCATAGACCTCTGGCTTCAAAACGAAGTACAAATGCATTAGTGGGACATTCAAGCCCCTTGTACTTCTCCAGACTCTTCTCTGGCTGCTTCCCCATTTCCAACACCCAGGAACGGAGCCACTTCTGGGAAGAGGCTCTGTTCTCTCTGCCTCTTGTGTTAGCCACCTATTCTCTGTCCTCTGCCTGAGACCCCCTCTGCTTCCACCCAACACTTCTGGGGCTCATGCTTATCTTTAAAGGCTCAGCTCAGCCATCGCTTCCCCCAAGAATTATTTCATAACTCCCTCAGACTGGGCCAAGGATCCCCCTCAAAGGCTTCCCCTACTAAAGTGATCCCTCTGAATTCTGCGTTTCACCTTTTTTATGGTTTGTCCGCCTCCTACTGGACTGTGAGCTCCTTGAGGGCAGGAGCCATGGTTATAGCTAGACCCTCAGTGCCTAGTATAACACTGTGCTCTAGGAGATGCTCAGTAAATATTTCCTGAACAAACGAATGGAGTGTGCTAATTCTTGTCCCCAGACATTCACTTCCTAGCCCCGAAGCTTGGATTCCTACGTGACCCAAACCCCCCTGCAATGTGAGAATTCAGCCTCCAGCTAACTCCCCGGCAAGGGTCTCTAGTTCACGATGATCGTTATTCTTAGGCCTTCTATTCCCATCTCTCTGAGCAACAGGAGCTACTGTGAAGTTATTCACCTCAACTAAAGCCCACGCTACAGCAACAGGCCCTTTGCCTCTTGTAAGAAACTTTGTAGGTTTACTTCTGTTATTGCATCACTCCCCTTATTCCAGCACCCAGTGGACATCTTAAACATTAACATCTAAGGACATTATTACTTCTTACTGACATCTACTACACACTTAATCCAGATCCGACCTGTCCTGGGGTAGTCTTTTTTAAAAACTTTGCTCCTCAAAGTGTGGTTTGGGCACCAGCACTCCCTGGGAGCTGGCTAGAAATATGGAATCTCTGGCCCCACCTCCGGCCTGCTGAATCAGAATTTACATTTTAATAAGATTCCCAGCTGATTCTTGGAAAGCACTAGAACACACTGTTTCTTAAATTTGATGCACCTTGGAATCATCTGGGGAGCTTAAAAAAAGAGGGGGACAGGCACAATCTCGGATCAAGTCAATCAGACTCTTTGGATGTGGAGTTCATGCATCAGTAACTTTAAAACCGTTTAGGTGATCTAATGCGCCACCAGGGTCCAGAAGCATTGGGATGAGATGATCTATCAGCATCAGCAGCATCAGCACCATTATCATATCAATCCCTATGAGATAGGTACTATTATTGCCCCATTTGACAGATGTGTAGACTGAGGCTCAGAGAGGGGTTATCTGTTACTGTAAGTGACAAAGTTGATAAGTGGAAGAGTCAGGAATTTGTACCCAGGTTTGCAGCCTCCATCCCAAATCCACACTCTTCACAAACAAGGTTTTCTACCTCCTGCTGTACTAAGGCTCGAGCTTATATCATGGGTGGGCATCTTATTCCTCCAAATTTTGCTTTTCTGTTATTTAGCAAGCTTTCTTTCATAGGACTAGCCCAGAGTTCTGAAGTCAGAACATTCTCACCAATTTTCATTGCTTCCTAACTTTTCCCAAGATGTAGGTGCCTTCCCTCAAGCACTTGAGCAAAAGTGTTCTAATTTTATTCCTATCCATTTCTGGACTTATTTCTTCCACACTATTCTGCCCACCCAGTCTCTTAGGTTGACAGTTGTAGAGACAGGAACATTTTTGTGCTTGGCCCAGTATTGGAAAAGCTGACTGCAGAAAATGAGACTCTCCTCCCCAGGGGATACCCAGCGCTCGACACTGGCCTTGATCATGGCTCTCTGGTTTCTCCCCTCTATCTGTTATTATCCACTGGGATTCACAGAAAGTCCAGGAGTCCAGTTACAACTCTACTGCCTCCCCAATGCTGTGTGACCTCAGAAAGATCCTGCACCCACTCCAGGCTTCAATTTCTTGACAGTTAAAAAGAGGGTTCGGTTCTTCAAAATGTTAACCATAGAATTACCACATGATCCAGCAATCTCACTCCTAAAAGAATTGGAAGCAGGGACTCAAACAGATATTTGTACACCAATGTTCAGAATAGCATTATTTACAATAGCCAAAAGGTGGAAGCAACTCGAGTGTTCATCAACAAAAATATACATAGGCAGAATGTGGTATATCTATACGATGGAATATTATTTAGCCACAGAAAGGAATTAAGTGCTGAGACATACTACGGTGTGGATGAATCTCAAAAACATTAATTTTGGTGAAGTAAGCCAGACACAAAAGGACAAATATTGTATGATTCCAGTTACATGAAGCACCTAGAATTTAAAAAAAAATTATAGAAAGGGAACATAGAATACAGGTTACCAAGATCTGGGGCAGTGGGTGGTTGGAAGAGAGGGGAGTTATTACATAATGGTAGCTTGTTTTGGATAATGAAAAAGTTCTGGAAATGGAACTGGTGATGATTGCACAATGTTGTGAACATACTTAATGCCCTTGAGTTATACACTTAAAAATAATTAAAGTGGTAAATTTCGTGTCACATGTATTTTACCACAACAAAAAAATGCAAGTATAAAGATTGAATAGGTGAGTCTATAAGGTTAGTGATCCTGTAAAGTTAACTTCAACTTTCTAGGCCTAGGTAAGAAGCCACTGATTTTGCTATTCATTTCTATTTTTATTTTATTTTAATTTATTAATTATTTTTGAGATATGTTCTCACTCTGTCACACAAGCTGGAGTGCAGTGGCATGAACACAACTCACTGTAGCCTCCACCTCTTGGGCTCAAGCAATCGTCCCGCCTCAGCCTCCTGTGTATCTGGGACCACAGGCACGTGCCACCATGCTGGACTAAATTTTTTATTTTTTGTAGAGATGGGGTTTCATTTTGTTACCCAGACTGGTCTCAAATTCCTGGGCTCAAGCAATCCTCCAGCCTCAGCCTCCCAAATTGCTGGGATTACAGGCATGAGCCATCATGCCCAGCTTTATTTTAAATATACTTACTTAGTCCTCACCCAGCCTCCTTCTGGGGCTGGCTGTATCACATCCATGGCAGTGTTCCAAATGCTTACCTGTGTTCTAATGTGGGTCTTTCTCACCAATCTGTGGCAACAGGAGAAAAACACAGTATGGGCAATGCTGGGAGCTTGTCAGCAAGTGAGATTTAGTCCATTTAGGAGCAAAGTCTTTAATTCTGAGATAATGTTTTTCACTTCCCTACATTTTGGGTTTAAAATGTATTTCATTTTCTGAAATGATCATGATAATTTATGATAGTTGATTCTTTTAAAAAATTGTCTATGCTTGACAGAAAAAGTGACAGCCTCTATTTATTTCATTTATTTACATTTAAAAAGTTATGCTTGTTTGTGTAAACCCAATATCCAGGGACATTTGTTCTAACTTGGAAGGAGTCAATATCCTGAGAAGGATGGATGGACCGAGGGACAGAAAGCTCAATGATACTTTGAGCAATGGCCAAGGAGAAAGAGCTCATTAATGGACTCCAAGTTTATGAGGCTCCCCTCAAATCATACCTGCCTTCTTGCTCCCCCACCCACCTTCTTCATCATTGTCCTTCCATGGTTTGTCTTTACGCACTTAATCTACTTGGGCTCCCTGCCTTCTTCTTGCTGGTTTTGACCTCTGAGCTATTTTGAGTCTACTTTCTGAATTACTTCCTCCCTTATCCTTTTTACTTCACCTTATTGTCCTGAAAAAAAAATTCAATGCCTGCCTTTTTCTGGAAGACATCCCAGGTAACGCACCTGGTCTAGAGCTCCTCTCCTCTGAGCCCCCTCAGAGTCTATCTATTTTGATGACCATTGTGGGAATTCCATGGTGAGAATTGCCATGGGCTTTGTGCTTCCTTTATTCACTGAGTTTGCTGATTGAAAGCACCTACTATGTGCAGAGTACTGCATTGGGGGAGTGGTGATACACTAGGGTGAGCAAGGCAGACTGTTTTCCTCCTTTATCCAGTTACATTTTAGTAGAGGGAGACAGACAACAAACACATACTAAACGAGATGATTGCAGGTGCGGCTAAGAGTTATAAGAATAAACCAAGCTGATGGGAGAGGGAAGCAGAAGGACCACTTATTGTGGGATGATCAGAGGAAGTACCATTTGAACTGAGATCTCAATAAAGAGGAGTTCATATTTTAAAAATCTGGAGGTAGAATGTTTCAGGCAAATGCAACAGCAAACACAAAGGCTTAGAAGTAGTAACAAGCTCAGCAATTTTGAGGAACACTTATGAAGCGAAAATCCAAGTGTCATGTCACTGCTCTTATCAAAGTCCCTCCAAAGCACATTACCCTAAACATAAAACTTCAGTCACATCAGGCTTCTCATGATCTGGTTTCTCCTCTTCTCTCCAACCACACTTCTGACCACTCAACCATGAAATTCTGTACTGAGTGTTTTTCAAGCTTAAACTTGAATTAGAGCCACCTGGAGAGCCTGTCAAAACACAGATTGCTGGGTTCCATCTTGTACAGTTTCTTTTGCTGCATAGAAGCTCTTAAGTCAATAAGGCTATGGTAGCGCCTCGGAATTTGCATTTTTATCAAGTTCCCAGGAGACGCTGATGCTGTCAGCCCCGACTCCGCTTCAAGAAACACAGCATTACTGTAAGCAAAGTGAGTTCTGTCTTACCTCTGGGTCTTTGTACATGGAGAGCTCTCTCCCTGAGGTGCCTCCACCCTTTCCCTGCCTCTTTGGCTTGGATCACTCATACTTTGGGTCTTAATTTTCCCTGATTGCACCAACACAGAGAAGAATTCTTTTTTCATGCATCTCCTCAGCCTTCTAAGTTTAGCCCTTAATATCACAGATTACTCCACCCACACCCTGGATTGGAGGCAGAGATGTTTTCCTACTGCTTTGTTGAAACCTCAACACTTGGTATAATGCCTGGCACTTAGTCTGTGCCCAATAAATTTTGTTAATATGTTACAATAATTAGAAAGGGCATGTGACTTGAGTTACTTTTTTAGCAGTCAGCCACACTATCTCCGTGGTTTGGGGCTGGAGCCATGTTAAGTGGCCCACTTAATATTAACTCTGGCTTCATTCAACTCATATGGAAACCCACTGATCTATCTTTCCAGGTCAATGCCATCTTCCTTTCTTATTTATAAGTTTCTGCAAGCAGGGAGTCTAGCCATCGTTGCTGAATTTCCCAACCTCCTCATCTCCCAGGAGACCCCATCCAGCCCCAGAATCACCTGGTCTTGCTGCCCTCTGGTCACTGTCACATTCTTCATGTTTCTCAGACATAGGTTTTTTGTTTGTTTGTTTGTTTGTTTTAAGGTTTCTTTTTTTTTAAATTATACTTTAAGTTCTAGGATACACGTGCAAAACATGCAGATTTGTTACATAGGCATACATGTAGCCATGGTGGTTTGCTGCACTCATCAACCCATCATCTACATTAGGTATTTCTCCTAATGCTATCCCTCCCCTAGCCCCCTACCCCCCGATAGGCCCCAGTGTGTGATGTTCCCCTGCCTGTGTCCATGTGTGTTCTCAGTGTTCAACTCCCACTATGAGTGAGAACATGCAGTGTTTGGTTTTCTGTTCCTGTGTTAGTTTGCTGAGAATGATGGTTTCCAGCTTCATCCATGTCCCTGCAAAAGACATGAACTCTTCCTTTTTTATGGCTGCATAATATTCCATGGTGCATATATGTCACATTTTCTTTATCCAATCTATCATTGATGGACATTTGGGTTTGTTCCAAGTCTTTGCTATTGTGAATAGTGCTGCAATAAACATACATGTGCATGTGTCTTTATGGTAGCATGGTTTATAATCCTTTGGGTATATACCCAGTAATGGGATTGCTGGGTCAAATGGTATTTCTGGTTCTAGATCCTTGAGGAATCGCCACACTGTCTTCCATAGTGGTTGAACTAATTTACATTCCCACCAACAGTGTAAAAGTGTTCCTATTTTGCCACATCCTCTCCAGCATCTGCTGTTTCCTGACTTTTTAATGATCGCCATTCTAACTAGTGTGAGATGGTATCTCATTGTAGTTTTGATTTGCATTTCTCTAATGACCAATGATGATGAGCATTTTTTCATATGTTTTTTGGCCGCATAAATGTCTTTTTCTGAGAAATGTCTGTTTCTATCCATTGCCCACTTTTTGATGGGGTTGTTTTTTTCTTGTACATTTGTTTAAGTTCCTTGCAGATTCTGGATATTAGCCCTTTGTCAGATAGATGGATTGCAAAAGTTTTCTCCCATACTGTAGGTTGCCTGTTCACTCTCATGAGAGTTTCTTTTGATGTGCAGAAGCTCTTTAGTTTAATTAGATCCCATTTGTCAATTTTGGTTTATGTTGCCATTGCTTTTGGTGTTTTAGTCATGAAGTCTTTGCCCATGCCTATGTCCTGAAAGGTATTGCCTGGATTTTCTTCTAGGGTTTTTATGGTTTTAGGTCTTATGTTTAAGTCTTTAATCCATCTTGAGTTAATTTTTGTATAAGGTGTAAGGAAAGGGTCCAATTTCAGTTTTCTGCGTATGGCTAGCCAGTTTTCCCATCACCATTTATTAAACAGGGAATCCTTTCCCCATTTCTTGTTTTTGTCAGGTTTGTCAAAGATCAGATGGTTGTAGATGTGTGGTGTTATTTCTGAGGCCTCTGCTCTGTTCCATTGGTCTATATATCTGTTTTGGTACCAGTACCATGCTGTTTTGGTTACTGTAGCCTTGTAGTATAGTTTGAAGTCAGGTAGCATGATGCCTCCAGCTTTGTTCTTTTTGCTTAGGATTGTCTTGGCTATATGGGCTCTTTTTTTGATTCCATATGAAATTTAAAGTAGTTTTTTCTAATTCTGTGAAGGAAGTCAATGGCAGCTTGATGGGGATAGCATGGAATCCATAAATTACTTTGGGCAGTATGGCCATTTTTATGATATTGGTTCTTCCTATCCATGAGCATGGATTGTTTTTCCATTTGTTTGTGTCCTCTCTTATTTCCTTGAGCAGTGGTTTGTAGTTCTCCTTGAAGAGGTCCTTGTAAGTTTTATTCCTAGGTATTTTATTCTCTTTGTAGCAATTGTGAATGAGTGTTCACTCATGATTTGGCTCTGTTTATCTATTACTGGCGTGTAGGAATGCTTGTGAGTTTTGCATATTGATTTTGTATCCTGAGACCTTGCTGAAGTTGCTCGTCAGCTTAAGGAGTTTTGGGGCTGAGACAATGGGATTTTCTAAATATATAATCATGTCATCTGCAGACAGAGACAATTTGACTTCCTCTCTTCTTATTTGAATGCCCTTTATTTCTTTCTCTTGCCTGATTGCTCTGGCCAGAACTTCAAATACTATGTTGAATAGGAGTGGTGAGAGAGGGCATCCTTGTCCTGTGCCAGTTTTCAAGGGAAATGCTTTCAGCTTTTCCCCATTCAGTAGGATATTAACTATGGGTCTGTCATAAATAGCTCTTATTATTTTGAGATACGTCCCGTCAATACCTAGTTTATTGAGAGTTTTTATCATGAAGGGGTGTTGAATTTTATTGAAGGACTTTTCTGAATCTATTGAGATAATCATATGGTTTTTGTTATTGGTTCTGTTTATGTGATGGATTATGTTTATTGATTTGCATATGTTGAACCAGCCTTGCAGCCCAGGGATGAAGCTGACTTGATCGTGGTGGTTAAGCTTTTTGATGTGCTGCTGGATTCAGTTTGCCAGCATTTTATTAAGGATTTTTGCTTTGATGTTCATTAGGGATATTGGCCTGAAATTTTCTTTTTTTTTGTTGTGTTTCTGCCAGGTTTTGGTATCAAGATGATGCTGGCCTCATTAAATGAGTTAGGGAGGAGTCTCTCTTTTTATGTTGTTTGGAATAGTTTCAAAAGGAATGGTACCAACTCCTCTTTGTACCTCTGGTAAAATTCAGCTGTGAATCTGTCTGGTCCTGAGCTCGTTTTGGTTGGTAGGCTATTAATTACTGGCTCAATTTCAGAACTTGTTATTGGTCTATTCAGGGATTCGACTTCTTCCTGGTTTAGTCTTGGGAGGGTGTATGTGTCCAGGAATTTATCCATTTCTTGTAGATTTTCTAGTTTATTTGTGTGGAGGTGTTTATAGTATTATCTGATGGCAGTTTGTATCTCTGTGGGATCAGTGGTGATGTTCCCTTTATTATTTTTTATTGTGTCTATTGGATTCTTCTCTTTTCTTCTTTATTAGTCTGGCTAGCAGTCTGTCTATTTTCTTAATATTTTCAAAACACCAGCTCCTGTATTCATCGATTTTTTGAAGGGTTTTTCACATCTCTGTCTCCTTCAGCCCTGCTCTAATCTTAATTATTTCTTGTCTTCTGCTAGCTTTTGAATTTGTTTGCTCTTGCTTCTCTAGTTCTTCTAATTGTGATGTTAGAGTGGCGATTTTAGGCCTTTCCTGCTTCCTCCTATAGGCATTTAGTGCTATAAATTTCCCTCTTAACACTGCTTTATCTGTGTCCCAGAGATTCTGGTATGTTGTGTACCATTACACGTAGGTCCTTAAGACACCACAGGTGCCTTCTACTCAGCATGACAAAAAGCAAGTGAGGTAGTTAGGAGCTGGACACTTAGCCAGAGAGCTCGGCTCAGTCACCCTGGATGGTGAATATAGAAATACTCCCATTTAACTTGGGAAATAGCTTCTCCTATGATCTCACTCCAGTGCCCACGCCCTCTTCACTGACCTGGCCACTGCAACCATTTCCCTGGCACGCAGCTGTCCTATACCCAATATCCATCTGATAGGTCAGAGCCATACCATATGGGTTCATTTGTTTGTTTTGTTTTGTTTTGCTTTGTTTTGTTGAGACAGAGTCTCATTCTGTCACCCAGGCTGGAGTGTAGTGGCGTGATCTCAGCTCACTGCAACCTCCACCTCCCGGGTTTAAGCAATTCTTCTGCCTCAGCCTCCCGAGTAGCTGGGATTATAGGCACACACCACTGTGCCCAGCTAATTTTTGTATTTTTAGTAGAGACAGGGTTTCACCATGTTGGCCAGGCTGGTCTTGAACTCCTGACCTCAAGTGATCCACCCGCCTCTGCCTCCCAATATGCTGGGATTACAGGCGTGAGCCACTGCGCCCGGCCCATATGAGTTGTTAAGTGCTTTGCATATTACTCCTGGGTAAGAGCATGGGCTTTGGGCTCAGAAAGACCAAGATTTAAATTCCAGCTTTTCCATCTACCACCACTGCGTGACCTTAGACAAGACATTTTATCTCGCTGAGTCTCAGCTTCATCATACACAAAGGATGGATTCCAATAACAGCTCCCTCATTGCGTTGGTATAAGAAGGGAACGAGATGACATTTGTACTTAGTTCCAATGCAAGGCACATAGGAATCATTCAACAAATGCTAATTTCTGCTGTTATTAAAATTATTGTTATGAGTATTCTCAGGAAAGAAAAATACAAAGAAGCTACAGAGTGTCATTCCTAAGAGGACCCTCAAGCCCAGGAGTTGCAATGGTCAAGAGGGGAAATGTATATGCATGAAAAAGCCTGGATGAAATGCAATTAGGAGTGGGGGTCTGTGGCAAAAGGAGAACATTTTCCTTACCTATAGTCATTCACATTCTCGATTCTTAAATACATTGTGGCCATCAAACAAAAAACACATCTGTAAGCCAGATTCATACTCTGGGCTGCCAGTCTGAGACCTCTGAGAGCCTAACCCTGTAATTTTACAGATGGCAAAACTGAGACTGGGACTTAGGAGTAAGCGTTGCCTAAGTTCAATGAGGACCAGAATGCTGGCCCTTCAAGCCTTCAATGCATTGCCCAACCTCATCTAAAGTCCTCCTTGAAGGAGATCAGACTGGGAGTTATGGCTTGTTGCTCATATTCCTGAATAATAGATCTAGGGAATCCTTCATAAAGTCTAATTGAAAGAGATTTTTAAAAAACAGCATTTATCACCTTTCTAAAGACAAAATTCTATGGCACATTTATTATACTCATGAATACATCCCCCTCATCCCCCGCCATGGAAAAATAAAAGAGAAATCCACTCTAGATGTTCTGGCTGTCTGACCTCAGACAAGTCCCTTCACTTCTTACAGAGACTGCTTCAAAGGGTCACTGTGAGAATTAAATGTGAATATGTACATAAAGCGCTCATACCAAAGAGGAAAGATTAAACGCTCCAGAAGTTATTCTGGGTTTTTGGGTTGTCAGGAGCCTACATAGAATCTGGCTTGCCTGTAAGGCAAACTAAGTTTCCAGGAGGAAAATGATGCATTAACAATTGTGGTCACGTCACAACACTGACTATCAATTTATTCACTAATTACTTCTGCAACATCCAATCCAGGGGCAAGGCGAAAGGGAGGGTGCTGCTGCAGAGAGCTTTCTCCCAAAGCCCCTGGATGCAGAAGACACTCGTTTTCAGTTCTGCCTCCAAATCTTCTGTGTACAAGGGCATATGAACAGCCTTGAGTTTCTCTTCCTTGTCCTTTTTTTTTTTCTCCCAAACCAAAGGTCAGTTGCCTTTGTCTTCTGCTTCAAAGCATTCCAGGAGAGAATTCTGTACTCCTTTCAGTAGAAAAGAGTAACAGACAAGACAAAGCAAGCACATTCAAAAGTTGCAGCCTATCTTTAAAGGCAGAAGGCACTTGAGGCTATATATATAGTATAGACACACACACACGCACACACACACACACACACACACACACACACACAAATAAGAGCCATGACAGATAGAGAGATGCTTTCAGATGCAAAACTGGATTCTTTTAGGCAAGCTTTTTTTCCACCTTCCTGTTTATAGGAACAGAGATTTGCACATCCATATTTAAATATTACACCAGCTTCATACAACAGGTGAGATGCTCACAGTGTGTATATGTCAAATATATGTCGTTCGTAAGTGAAGGGACTAAGCTACACACCTCTACACAAAAAGGCTGTCGAGTCAAACGCCAAAATTACTCACGGATAGGTAACAGGGTGCACACAAATGTTAATGGCTTGAATACTACTTTAGGGTTTCCATAGTATCTTTCTCTCACTGATGCTCTTGTATACTATTTATGCTTTTAAAAAACGGAATAATTCTGAATGAGGAATATTTTTAAGTGAAAAGATAAACCATAAAAAATGTTTAAAATTACCTGAGGAGAGGGAGGGAATAGGGTGGACAGGAAAGGGTGTGTAGGCTTGTCTAAATATACCTTCTTGGTAGTTTTCACTTCAGAGCCATGTAAATATTTTACATTTAAAGAAATAAAGTTATATTGAAAAGCAATCCTTAAAAATCAAAAGTAAACAAATAAACCTCAATGCAATCCCATTCCAGTTGACTTTAATACACAGTCCTTTGAATATACATCCAAATGAGAGGCAAAAAAAAAAAAAAACCTTTAACTGAATTTAGTAATCATATTATGGAGGTAGGATAAGTACAGTTGTCCTAAAATATGTGTGTGTGCGTGTGTGTGTGTGTGTGTGTCTGCACACGTGTGCGTGCTGTGGGATAAATACATGAGTAATTATGTGAGTGTCACTAAATGTAGATTGTGGGCATATCAGAAAAGAGACACAGAGGGACAATTTATGAGGTTAAAAAAAAACCTGTAGCCCTTATTTTAACTAGAAATACAAGTGAAAACTCATGATACATTTTTGGTCTGAAAATAAAATTTCCTAGGTCTGTATGCTAAAAAATCCTAGAAACACTGACCAGCTAATCCGGTAATGATGAGAAACTCTGACACCTGTTGAAAGGAACCATTGCATTTTGGAGAAATGGCTGATTCCTGGTCTGGGTCAGGATATTTATAAGTTGAGCTTGGAACATCTTGACATATCAGAAAGTGAGAAAGCCACTGAAAGCCTTCTAGGTCATATCAAAGGACTCAGGAACCAATTGAATAGGCTCTCCTGGCTAAAGGTGGAACAAGTAAAGCATCAATAAGAATAATAACAGGAATTAATTGAAGCACATAAAATTTATTCAAATCTGAGTCCATTGTAAGGATTAAAAAATGGCAACAGCAAATAACCAATCAACTCAGTAGTACCTTATAAGGATACTAGTAGCCCAACCCATTATTTTTATAAGCTAGAAAATAAAAGGGAAAGAATCAAATATCATTCTGCCATTTCTATACTAATGGTGCTCTAAATTAACCAAATAGTTGATGAGGGATATTTCTTTATAGAAGTATTCCAGCTAATACATGAAAGATAAATGATAGATTAGAATATCACTATTTTGCAACCACTAAATTATAAATTATATAAATTATAAATTAATAAATTAAGCAATGATCTTCAGTGTCAGCTAGCATCACAAGAAAAGAGAAAACCATACATTATTAGCCTCCTGGTAGATTTTCTTTTGAACGTAAGTCTGATTAAGCCTCTAGCGTACCACCACTTAACAAAAAATAAAGAATGCAGAGAAACATGTTATCAATGCCACAGACTTGCAAAATCAGCAAAATACAGATTATGGAAAACTCTACTAGGCAAATAATCAAGTTTCTTAAGAAAAATAAAGAGGACAGAGGTAGAATGTTTGTGTGCATGTTGGCAATGGCAGAGAACCTAGAAATGAAAAGATATTTAAGGAGATATATCACCCAACCATGAGGAATAGGCCTTATTTGAATTCCAGTTCACACAAGCCAATGAACAATAAACAAACACTTAAAAGGCAATTGGGAATGGGGGATATTGACTGGATACTTGATGATATTCAGAAATTATTGTTAATTTTGTTTTGTGTGATGATATTGCAGTCATGCTTTTAAAAAGGAGTTCCTATATTTTAGAGATGCACCTTGTATTTACAACTGGGAATAATGCAATGTCTTAGATTTGCTTCACAATAATTTAGTAGTGTGGAAAGTGGGTGAGGGTACCAATGAAACAATTGACTCTTTATTGATCAGTGTTGAAATTAGACTATGGGGACATTGGGACTCATTAGGCTAGTCTCTTTATTTTTATGTATGTTTTAGATTTTTCATAATAAAAAAGTTTTTTAAAACTGATTTATTCATTACTTAACAAATTTACCTAAAGAGGACATTTTAGAGGTGAAAAACCAGTATCACATGCCAATGATGGAAAATAACTATAAAAATAAATTCAGTGAAAGCAAATCAAGGTTATTAAATTGTAATTGTCCTAACCTCTGAATCTGAAGTCACTTTCTTGTTGAAAAGCAAGTGCTAAGACAGGTTCAAGACATTTCAAGAAAATCAAGGTGTGTAGACTTACTTCTGGAGGTAACCCAATGGCTAGAAAAGAGAATTGAAAAAGAAATAACTTTCTCACATTATGACCATGTATTCCAATGTTATTTGTTGTGCTTGATCTGCCTGGATATCACCTAAAACATGCTTGGGGTGGGGGGATACCACTAGGGTTCCAAGGCTCCTCACTTTGAGAAATAATGATATAAAATAATTGGCTTTTAAAACTGGGTGTAATAATGGTGATTCTCTCATTTTGCATTTGAAAGAAAAATGAGACTCATTTAAAAGGAAAATGAGACTCAGAGAGTATAATTTCACTGCACACAGCACATTTTTTCATCACTAATTCCAACATTCTGCCTCCATTTTTTTCATCACTGTGTTCTCTGGGCTTCAGCCTCTCTCATAAGTCTACCCAACTCTTTCCCAATGTGTGGTCTTTGTGCGTACTGAACTCTTTTCCTGAAATGCTACCTCCCTTCTTCACTTGGCAAATGCCTCTTACTCTTAGATGAAACTTAAAAGCAACTGTCTTGGACAGACTTTACCTCTATACACTCAGTAAATTCTCTTTACACTTAGTAAATTCTCCACTTATCCAGTTTTACATCGTTTTCCTCTTTGGGGCATGGTTTTTTTTTATGATGTTTAACATAACTCAACTGGACTGAAGGGTTCAGGAGAGGAGGACCCATTTTTGTCCCTGTCCAATTGCTGTGCCCAATACATACTTGCACAATGAATGAATTTCACTTCAGGATATAAAAATCATATTAGAGGCAGTATGTAAGAATGATTAAGGGCTCTGCAAGTCAGACTAACTGAATTCATATGTTGGCTCCACCTTTTACTAACTGTGTGTCCCTGGTAAGTTACTTAAACTCTCTGTGGTTAATAGCAGGGCCTAATACATAGGGTTTTGGTGAGCATTCAATGGGTTAATATTTGTAAAGTACTTAGAAAAATGCCTGGCACTGAATACTATGTAACTATATACACATATATTGTTATAATTGCATATTATTACTGTTATACATACTACATAGAGTATACATAAAATACAGTGTTTTTCTCTCATCAATTCACAGTTAAGTGAATATATACAATGCCAGTAAGCACAGTGTGAATACTGTATTGTCACGTGTAATATGAGTATAAAATCGTGCCTCATTACCTGCGGGACTGGGTAACTTGAACATTAGTATAGTTTCTTACTGTATATGGAATCTACTCATTACACCAGCATTTACTGAACTTTTACTATGTGCCAATTCTATACTAGGCATTTGTGACTCAAATAAGAAATAGACATAGTCTGTTCTTTCAAGGATCACCCAGTCAATACTATGACAAGTAACTCTAAATAAATTATAAAGTATACCCATGGCTCAAAGGAGGGCCAAGAGAGGAAGATTTTATTATGGGTATGGAAGGCTAGCAATGCGTATGTTAAGACTTCTGAGATAATGTGATTATAAAATATCAAAGAATGAATAGGACATTTTCAAAAGGACAGAGATGTCAGAGGGGTTTGTTTTGCACGATTTGGAGAGTTATGGAGTAGAACGAGGTATATAGAGATACGATGAACAATGTGAAATAACTGGAGGGTGAAGTTCAAGGACAGATAGAAGGCAAGCACCAGTTCATGAGAGCCGTAATGCAGAGGGGTTAGCACTGACCCTACTAATTTGGGGGAGTCAGTGCAAGGTTTTCAAGGAAGGAAGTTATGAGCAGGCCCCCAGTTTGAAGGAAAAAAAAGTCCCTAGAGGGAATAAGTCCAAAGGATAGGTTAGCAGAAGGTGAATTCTTGCAGCAGGAAGGCAGATTAGGTGGCTGGTACAATTGCTCTGGGGAGGAATGGTTGCTTTATTCCAGTCTTGATTTTGAGCATCTCTCTCCTTCTCCTCCCACTGAGATTCTTCAGTTTGGTTTTCTTCAACAAAATCAATATGGTCGCCTTGGAGACTCATGTCTTTTCCTGCCAACTACCTATAAAATACCAGGTTGTACATATTAGGGTAGTACCAGGCAAGTACTCTTTGCCCTTCTGCAGGAAGAAGGTGGAGGCTCTGAAAATAACATCCTTGATAGCATAAATAGATATGCAGACTAATGGGCAGCTCTAGACATGGACACAATATATAGACAGGAGGGATACATTTTACACTCACCTAATGTTACACTTTTCTTATCCTGTTGCTGGAGGTCAGCGTAGCCTAGACTTTAGATTAAGACATATCTGGATTTGAAAGCAGACTCCTCTACTTGCTAGCTATGCAACTCTGGGCAAGTGATTCTCCCACTCAGAGACTCAGTTTCCAAATCTGCAAAATTTAGATGATGATGGTTCCTTTATCATAGAGCTGTTGTGAGAATTAAGTGAGATAATGTTTATCAAGGGTTTAAGCACATGTTGTGACTAGAACATAGTAACATATGTCTGATAAGTGTAGCAATTTTTATTGTCTGAGATGGCAATGAATCCATCTGTCTTGTAGAATCTTGGGATCTATGCAGTTGGAAGGAGGCTTTCTGGTTTATCCATACTAGTCCAGGAGTATCTGAAGTAGTGCACATGTATGTTCCAGAAGAGGAATGGACAATAAACAACAGAGGTGGGATTCAGGTTAGACACAAGGTAGAACTTTCAAGAAGTGAGGATTAAAGGAAGAAGTCAAATTGGGAACGAAGAAGTCAAGAAGTGAGGATTGATAAACATTGAGTAGTGCAATCATATTTTTCTCCCCAAATAAATAATCTTGTAATTTGAATGGTTTAGCATGATCTTGTT
Organism: Homo sapiens; assembly: GCF_000001405.40. Taxonomy (NCBI): domain Eukaryota; kingdom Metazoa; phylum Chordata; class Mammalia; order Primates; family Hominidae; genus Homo; species Homo sapiens. The sequence continues at coordinate 118,976,745 of NC_000012.12, forward strand.
TAAAGACATAAAGACCGATGAATTGGTCTCATTATCATATTTCCCATCATCTCAGTAATTATTTGAATCTTTTGCTGTTCCCTGGACTTTTAGAAATGGGTACAGACTGTCAAGTTCTCTGATGCTGGTAGATAATGGTTGGCTCCATTGTACTCAGAGAAATCGTGGACACAGAAAGATTAAGAGATTTACCCAAGGTAACATGGTAATGTTAGTGAGGTGGGATTTGAACTGCCTCAGGAGAAGGGGTAGCTATTTCTCTGAGCTGGAGGTGCTGTATCTTTGGATCACTAAGGAGAAGGTTGCATAAGAATCTTCTTAGCTCCTGCTCTAGAGTGCCTGGGTTTGCAAAGTTTAGAATCATTTCTCCCTGCTGTCCCTTTTTTCAAATGAAAGAACAATACCAATCAGGTAAAGAAACATTCTCTAGACATGGATGGCAAATTGATTTTATCTGGAATGCCAAGACCAAACTATTAGTAGTGGCTATCTAGAAACTGTGTGTTAAGAAGGATTCTGAGGGTCGGTCTGAGAAAGAGTATTGTGAAGGATCAGTGATGTCTACCATCAGTATAGCACAGAGGGCAAGGAATAATTGTGCCATAAGTTTATATTCATTAACCAGCATATTAATAGGTCCTTGTTTATGGGGTGGGCTGGCTTGCATCTGGGGAAACAGAAAGCAATACCCGGAAGGAATGAGGCACAAGATGGTTCTATTTTAATAAAGTGATGGAGGAACTGGAGTTCACGTTATATTGGAGAAGCCAGACCTAAAGCAGAAGTCACTGTGATAAGATGAAAAGGGGACAAGTGTTAGTCAGTGGAGACCCAGAAGGAGAATTAGGCTGTGAACTGCTTCAGGGAAGGGACTATGTCTGGTTTGTCTTTGAGTCCTCCGTGCCCAGGACTGTGCCTGGCCAAGATGCAAGATTGGGCATCAGTTAATGATTATTGAACTGAATATGGCCTGACTTAACATAGTAACAGGTGATTATTCCAAGATCATGAGCAAGAAGAGCTACCATTGAATGGTCACTTGCTATAAACTGGACAATTTATTAAGTCCTTTACCAGTAATATTTCATTTAATCTTCCCAACCACGATGTGATATCTCCACTTTTGCAAATGAGGAAACAAAGGCAGAGGTTAGTTATTAGCCCAAGCTCATACAGCTACAAAGTGGCAGAGCTGGGCTTCATATCCTAGTTCTCTCTAAATCCACAGGCTGGGCTTTTAACCACTTGAGTAATTGATATTTTTGAGTAAACTGTGTTTCAGACACATTCTAGAACCTGTATGTGTGTTAATTCCTTCAATCCTCACAGCTAGTTCATCTAAACATATTATTTATAATCTTTATAGAATCTTCATGAAACCCCATCTCTACTAAAAATACAAAAAAAATTAGCTGGGCCGTCGTGGCAGGCGCCTGCAATCCCAGCTACTAGTGAGGCTGAGAAAGGAGAATGGCTTGAACCTGAGAGGCGGAGGTTGCAGTGAGCTGAGATCACACCACTGCATTTCAGCCTGGGCAACAGAGCGAGACTCTGTCTCAAAAAAAAATTCTTCATAGTATTGATAAAGAAACTGTGACATAGGCAAGTGAAATCCCTCCTCCAACATTACACAGCTAGGAAATGGCAGAGCTGGAATTTGAAGCCAGGCATTCTGGATTCCAAGTCCTGAACTGATTACTGCAGACTCCCAATTTAGGAACCTCAACACCAGGTGCTTCTAAGTATGTGACTCATTGTTATCTGATTTATTTTTAAATGGTGGTCCATCCTGATATGCGTAGTATCCCACTCCATCCTCCACCCCACCAAGCAAAAACAGAAACTGTATTTTTCACAAATTTCCTTTGCTTCCTACAGGATCACCCTGGGGAAGTCACTTGGTCATCCTCAACTTCTTCATGTTTAAAACAGAGTAAGATCGAATAGCAGGTCTACGTTTTTTAACTTTTATTTTAAGTTCAGGGGTACAAGCGCAGGTTTGTTACATAGGTAGACTTGTGTCACGGGGGTTCGTCGAACAGATTATTTCATCACCCAGGTATTTAGCCTAGTACCCATTAGTTATTTCTCCTGATCCTCTCCCTCCTCCCAACTTCCACCCTCCAAAAGGCCCCAGTGTGTGTTATTCCCATCTATATGCCCATGTGTTCTCATCATTTAGCTCCCATTTATAAGTGAGAACATGTGGTATCAGGTTTTCTGTTCCTATGTTAGTTTGCTAAGGATAATGACCTCCAGCTCCACTCATGTCCCTGCAAAGGACATGATATTCTTTTCATGGCTGCGTAGTATTCCATGGTGTATATGTACCACAACTTCTTTATCCAGTCTATCACTGATGGGCATTTAGGTTGATTCCATGTCTTTGCTATTGTGAGTAGTGCTGCAGTGAACATACACATGCATGTGTCTTTATAAAAGAATGAGCAGGTCTACTTTTAGTTCTTTGAGAAATCTTCATACTGTTTTCCATAGTTGTTGTACCAATTTACATCCACACCAACAGTGTATAACTGTTCCCTTTTCACTGCATCTACACCATCTATTTTTTTTTTTTACTTTTTAATAATGGCCTTTTGGGGGTAAGGTACTATTCGGGTGACAGGTATGTAAAAGCCCAGACTTCATCACTATACAATTCATCCATGTAACCAAAAAACACTTGCACCCTTAAAGCTATTGAAATAAGATAAATAAATAAAATAGAATAAGATCAGCTTTCTCTCCCACCTCATCTGGCTACGATGGGATTTTAAAAAGGCAATGTTTTGCATATGGGAGCTCTATCAACATTTTAGGGATTAGGAGCAGGCACACAACTGGAAGATGTTGACTGATCTTGTGGGGGTAGGATCCCACCTACCTCTCTCCTGCAAGTGACTCAGTTCATACCCTAAATGTCATGACTAAGGTTAGTTTTAAAGATGCCAGTCTGCTACCTATAAGAAGCCAGCTCTAGATTGCATTTACAATGATACCAACTTCTGGGTGGGAAACGGGGGTCTAGCCCAATCAGGGAATGGGGGATTTGGGGCGCAAGGTAAGAGGGAGAGGAAGGGAAGGGGTTAGCCTAGTCTCCACTTTGCTCCATCTCCAACCTTCCCAGGCCTGACCCCCACCTCTGGGCCCTCTCCCCCGGCAACCCACATAAGAAGCCAGCAAATGCACCTCTCGTTGTTGACCAGAAGGGGTCACTGCAGAGCAAGTAGCGCTCTCAGGCACTCAAATAAGCGGACGCAGGCGTGTCGAACACACACACTTCAAACGTAGATACCCTTTGGGGCGGGTACTCATTTACTCCAAGGTTCTTTCTTCTCCTGCCCCATCTTATCCTCTCTGTTGGCCTCTTCATCTTCACCTCCTAGTTACCTCCTGTTCCCCTTCAGAGAATTTCTGGAGTTCCCATTGTTCTCCCGACCCCCCCGCCCTACCCCGCCCTCATTGGGTCCCCATTGCTATCTGCTTTAGCAAAGAGCAGGAGTTTATTCTCGCTGTGACTGGGACTCAGCACCAGGTGCTTGGAGGCATTTAAGACTGAGCGAGGCCTCCTTCCAGGAATTTACAGCCTGGAAAGTGGAAGCGGGGTTGGGGGGAGGGGGAGGGCGTTAGGTGGGAGATGGGGGAGTAACAACTCTGCTAAGATTAAAAGGCTTCCAGGAAGGCAAGGGCTGAGGGGTCCCGCCACGATCTCTTTTTTTTATAATGAAAACCCTGGGGGAAAACAAGAGTCATTCTAACCAGATCTTCTGTGTCTGGGGTTGATTTGGGATTCTAAACCTCCACTTGCTTGGGATTACGATTGAACTGCGAGGCGGTAAGGAGATGGGGAGGAGAGACCGAAAAGTAACTATCCCCCTGCTAATCCTCGAGATTTTCCTCTCCAACCCTCCCACTAAGCGCTTTCTTTTCCAAAACGTACTCCTTTCCCGAGACTAGCGGCATTAGGAAAAGTGGCTGCAGGCGGATTCCCCAGGAGTGGATGGGGGTGGGGTGGGGTGAGATGGGAACTCTTTCCTCTGGACGGGGTTGGCGGCGGGGACGCTGGGCAGGCCGGCTGTGAGACACAAAAGAGATACCCTTGACAGCTCCGCATGCACAGATGTAACGCTGCGCCCCTTGGCGGGCGGGGGCCCTGCTCGGCAGATGGCGAGAAGCCGAATTGGTGAGGGATTGTCTATCAAATGGCACTTTCTGGGTGGTGGAGACCTCGCTAACCCCCGGCGCAAAGAGGAACGCAGGGCACCCTCTGTACCGGCCTAGGCCGTGTCTCCCAAAAGTGAGGGTCTGGGGGAGGCCGGCTGGGGTGGATAGATTAAGTTTTTTACGAGCCCCCCCAACCCCCCCCCCCCCCCCACGCAGAAGATCAGCTACAAGACTTGCGAAGGGGCTGGAAAGAAAGGTGGCCTGGCCCAAAGGGGGCACCCAGGAAAGGGCTGAGGAAGGCCAGCGATGATGGGAGAGGAGAGGGGCCTGGGAAGCAGGATCTCCTGCCTGGCGCAGATTGGGGTGCCAGGATGGCTTCTCAGAGGGATCAGCGCTGCAACTCGGTCGCCGCGGGGCCCTGGTGACAGGCGCACGCCCCGCCCTTTCTCCTCCCAAGACCTGCGGGCTTTTGTTATGCAGATGGCGGCAGGAGGCTGAGCCTGAGGAGGAGGGGGTTGGTGGGGAGGAGGAGAGACGGAGAGGGGGGAGGAAAGTGCAGCTCGCGCGACCAGCCTCCTCTTCCAACGTCACATTGTGCGAGAGACAAAACCCGGGCGCGCCGGAGCTCACACGCGCACGCACACACATCCGACCCCGTCGCCTCTTCTCTCCTGGTGCTGCCCAGAAAGCCAGCCCTCCCTTCCCTTCTTGGGGCGCAGAGGCTCAGCCAGCTCAGAGCGCAGCCTGGAGCCGACCCAGAAGGGCGAAGAAAGCCCAGCGGACGAGCCTCCTTTCTCTGCTGCCTGCCCGGGCTGGGGCGTCCCATCCCCCGCCCTGAACTCCGATCTCTCCCACCCCACCCCTCTCTGGGTTTCACCCGGACAGAGCCGGGAGCTGGGTGTCGCCCCCGTTTGGAATCCACGTTTCAGCACTTTGGACAGCGCCCCGGACGCCCCGGCCCCTTTGGGTTGGCGATGGCGAGCGTTCAGCAAGGCGAGAAGCAGCTTTTTGAGAAGTTCTGGCGAGGAACCTTCAAAGCGGTGGCCACCCCCCGTCCCGAGAGCATCATTGTCGCCAGTATCACGGCCCGCAAGCCGCTGCCAAGGTAATGATCTCCTTCTTAGAAGGGGGGATCCTGAAGGTCCTCCTTTCTGGCCTGTGCCCCAGAGCCCGGAGGGGTGGATGCAGGCAGCCGGGCCAGGGCGCCTGTCTTTTCCCGTCACTACTCGGCGGCTCCCGCTGAAACATGGGAACTCATTGCTTGTGTGAGGTGGAAGATGGTGAGAAGGGACAGGAATTCTTTGGGGGAAAGCAACGCTTATTGGACCCCCGTAGCTCCTATTCAAGAGGTTTTGCTACCTGAGGGTGGGCGGTGCAGATGGGGTACGACTTGACTGAAAAACTTTTCTTGGTGTCACAGAGTCCAGAGGGCAGGTGGGCCAAGGAATGGTGGATTTGAGATGTTTGGGGGGTGTTGTACCAGAAAAGGAGAACTGAGCCAGCTCAAGCAGCGTTCAGAGATAGCACACATTTCCATCCTCGGCTCGGAAACTAGCGAGCTTTGAACATTTTTGACAAAAGCCCATATGCTGTTCCCTCAAATACACCCAAAACAGCACCCTCCTCCACGCCTTTCTGGCGGCTGCTGCCGCTGCTGCTGAATTCTCTCCTCTCCAGCATCCAAAACCAAGACTCTGAGCTCAGGAGTCAGGGAGGAGCCTTCCAAGATCGTGAAGATGATCTTGGAAGAGTTTTATTTTGTTTTTTTTTGTTTTTTTTTTTTTTTTCCAAAAAGAATCTGATTGCTTTGAACTCAGGGATGAGAACCGATCCTTGGATGGTGGTAGACATGGTGCTGATGGAAGGAAGAATAAGGGAAGAAATGAAAGAAACAGGGGAACAGGAGGTGGGGTGAGAGGGAGAGGAGGTTGGGGGAAAATGGAAGCATTCCAAGACAGAGAAAAATCCAATTCTTTTCATAAATCATTCAATTTAGAGGAGTTTAAGAATGAAGGGAAGAAGGCTGTGCTCTCTGTCAGGGAAAATCAAGGTAGTATGAAAACTCATCTTTTGCTGGTGTTGGATGAGTGGTTTAGTAGGAGAAAAGAAAGAAGTGGACCAGGGGGACCACTTGGAGGATTTATTAATCCTGGCAGTCTGCATTAGGGAGCAGATTGAAAACATGTCTGCAAAAGTGCTTAGGACAGACTGAACGTCTGTTCTGGCACAACTGATTCTGAACTTTCCAGTGAGTGTGAGGTGGAAGACGTATGGGAAATTATGTCTGAAGAATCAAAGCCAGATTGGAGAAGTTTTCCTCTTCACTGTCTTATTGAGGATCATACAGGTCTTTAGAGAAATAGGTGTCCCATTTAGGAATGGGTGGCCAAGCATCACAACAGGCCAGTAGGGTGTAGCAGGCTTCAAGCTAAAGCAGCACCAGCCAGTGTTTGCAGACGGGAAGGAGGGGACACCCACCCACCCACTGACACAGGCTGGAGAAGGGGAACAATAATACCAAATGCCATTAAAGGCTGATGCTTCTCTGCTCCGAAGGAGGTTCTGTGTATAGAGTTTTGACGTCAGTGGTTTTTATCTTCCTGGGTTTCTGCTATCTATTCCACCTTTGGAACGTACCTACTGTTGGCTAATCAGGTGCTGCACTGGCCAAAGAAAATGCCCTTGTAGAAGGAACTAGAGGAAATTTCACAGGAAACTAGAAGTATGGCATTTAGTCCAGAGTCTTCCATCTATTTTAGGGGTGCAGGGAGAGGAAAGCGGATTCTTGGTGGTGTTTTGATTCAGGAAAGCACACCTATTATCTGCCTTGCTTGGTACTTTCCACTTTTGTCTGTCTCTCTGTTACTGTCCTGCCCTTTTCTTGGTCATATTTGCAATCACATGAATGGCCCACAAGGTCTTTCAACCCTCATCCTTTCTGCAGCTTTTTGCTAATTCTAATGTAATCCTGAGACTTTTATAATACTCCACTCCCCCTCTGCAACCAGTATCATTTCACTCTTGGTGCCTTTTAATGTCGTGGGTCTCCTTTGCCCTAGAAACCACCCCTGAGGTGAAAGCCTGAACCATAAGCCCTGGATTTATGTCACGCTAGGAGAATCCTGTGTAATACTTCTGTAATAGGCGTGGCCTCTCTGTAGAACAGATTCCGGTTTTATAACTGTTACTCCTGGTTTGGGGTAGAGAGTGAGAAGGGAACATTTGTTTCCAAGTCCTCAGGAAAGGTTGGATTGGAGTTGTCTTTTAACAGACTGGATAAAACCTGAATCATCCCCATTCTCACCCAAGCCAGCCACATCCAGTGACATTCAATTTCCACTTCCTTTTCAACATTCTACACTTACTTAAGGGTGAAAGTACCATGTTTCCAAAGCTGAGTTCTCAAGAGGAAAGAAGACAGAGGCATTGGCACAATATCAGCTGGGTTTGGGTGGCTTCCTCTAGAGGCAATCTGGGGACTTGGTCTCATCAGAAATGTCGTTTAGTTCCATGAGTCAAGCCCAGATCACAGTCGGCAAACCAGCACATGTAGCAGTCTGCAGGGGGATGGCAGGGAGTGGGTGGAGGAACCACTAGTCAGTCCTGTTGGTGTCACACTTAATATTTGTTTATAGATGAAGGCCACCCCTCTGAATAAACTTCCTCAGGATATTTTAAGTCTATCTCTCAAGGTAATTTAGTACCAGGATAGAAACATATATTCAATTCATTGATTTCATAGCAATATGCATACATCATGCAACTGCAATCTAAGCAACCCCCTGCTTAGTCTCTCTTTCTCCTCTACCCCTCTGTGGGGCATACTTGATGAGGCAATAGCTTTATAATGTATCAAATTGCAACCAGATGTCTGCCTCAAATGTCAGAACAGTAGAGCAGAGTGGGAAGCAGTATATCATAGTGGTTAAGAGCTCAGACTTGAGCATGAGACAACCTGGATTCCTGTCCTGGTTCTATCATTTACTAGCTGTGTATCCTGAACAAATAGTTTTACCACACTGAGCTTGAAAATAGAAATAATAACAGTAACCCCTCAGACAACAGGTTGTAAGGATTTAGTTAGGTAAAGCTCTACCCCTATGTGTGGTGCATGGTGTTGTTTAGTAGACATTGACTCTGGAACAAAGCTTATAGTGGCCAAAAGGAAAGCAACAACTCCTCATCATTGTGTTCTCCATGCCTACCCATTTCTCCCCCAAGTAATGCTGACCATTTTTATTGGGATTTCAACTCCTGATGGACAACTACATTCAGATGAAGTTAACACACATGAGGCAGGGTAGAGAGTGGTCCCATAATCCTCGTCTCTGAGAAGAGGCTAACTGCTTTCTGATCTGACTGTTTCAGTTAGGGGGTTGGGGATAATAAATAATTATCTGGATTCAGAATTGATTGGTATAACATTTCCATGGAGCATTCTGTTGGTTTGTATAGAGAAGACCAGGTACTGTCAGTCTAAAGAAAGCTCAAACTTCTTGAAAAATCACAATTTTAATCCCACGGTTTCATCAAATCTACAGTGACTATGTGATTTATAGTTTATATCAAAATGTCTTTAAAAATGAAAGAAGGTGTCATTAGTAATTACCTAGGATGGAAGATCTAACAGAGATCATCCCAGGCAAACCAGGATGTACAGTGGTCCTTGTCAAACTTTATCTACCAGCCGGAAGGGAACCAGCATGAATCGATAAGATATATGAATCTCTAAAGTGTAGAGAGCCACCTCCCTTTTATCCCCATCCAAGAAGGGTAGTCATTTTGCCTGGCATTAACTTAATTCTCTTTTTTAATTGCTTAGCCTAGAGAAGTTTGTACCTAAGAAGTTTCAGCTCGGTGAAAACCTAGTGCTTAAGGCTAGATCAAGCCACAATATGATTTCATATCACCATATCGACCAATAGTAGCAGCTAAAGGCTTAATGAACATGTAAAAATCATTTGAAATTTGCATATCAATTGTTTATGGATGCATGAGTGTTAGTAAAGGGCTAGAAAAGATATCCCCTTAAGTAGAACACACATTTTCCTTACAATTCTTTTAGCAAGCTATTAATTTTCTTCAAAAATCCTTTCTACGCAGAATAGACCAGAAGTAGACTTCAGCCCAGGCCCTGTCCAAAAGGCCATAAATTCCAAACTATTGGAGATTTTACTGCATAAAGGGAAATTGTAAGGCAGAAAAAAAAATGCCTTTGAACCATTTAATTCAAGACTCCCCTCGGTGCCAAGAGATCAGTTAGCAGTTTGTGCTGACTTGATCATCAGGAGCCAGGTGAGGGGCTGTTGAGAGGCGATTTTCTGGCAGCAGCCTGTGGTTAAGAGCCAATGCGCTGAGGGTCACAGAAAATGCTTGCCCTGGCGGTGAATGAGCGTTTTTCTCTAGGAAGGGAGCGTTATTGTGTGGGTCAAACCTTTCTCCTTTTGAAAGGTGAAATTTGTTGAATGGGATACAGGGGTTGGTTGCAGGGGGTCATTTCTGACATTCTGCTGTGTTCACCCGGCACACGTGCTATCTTAGAGAACGAGGTTGTGGTAGATGTTCAGTGAATGTTGGATGCATTAATTAGATGAATGTGCATGGTTCAAACCCAGCAACAGATTAGCTCTCTCCCCACCCCACCTCCAGTTCTGAGACGCTGAGGCTTCTGATCAATGCAACTTGAAAGACGCACACACTGCAAATAGACTTGACTCTCCCTGGTGTCAGAATGAAGTTCCCTAGATAGAGACATCTGTCTGTCTGGGCAAGTAGACATGTTAGCCAGTATGGGGGCAGGAGGTTGGACTAAATGCCACTTGGATGTGCTTTCTAGGCCTGTAAGTCTCCATTACCTCCACCACTGCTCCAGGCCACCAAAAAAAGGGAACATCCCTAAAACCCTAACTCCTTTAATAGGGAAGGAAGCCTGGGTCACATGCCTTCTTCTCCATGAACTCTTCAGGCATGCTGCAGAAGAGCAATACATTAAAAAAAAAATCTGTTTTTTTTATTTTTTATTTTTCAGAGTGGCTGGATTTACCTTCCCGTGAAGTGGAAGAATTCACAGGGGCTTAGCAAAACTAGAGCTCTTTAATTGCTTGTTCCTAAGACTTTCGCTGAAGTGTGAGAGAATATTTCTGAGGTGGAGGAAGTAGAATGATGAAGAGTTTGAGCTCTGAAGTCAAATCTATCCAGGCTCAAATCTTTCTTTGCTACGTGCAAGCTGCAGGACCCGCTAGTCACTTCACCTCTTTGTGCCTCAGCCTCCCCATCTGTGAAATACTCCTCTGTTGGGGTTGTAGTGAGGAGTGAATGAGATAATTTATATAAAGAGCATGGCACTGTGCCTGGTACAAACCCAGATCTCCATAAAGCAGATGCTCTTGTGTACTATGCCAGGGGCTACCCAACGAGATGCAGAGAGGGGGGATGCTAAAGCCCCTTACTACCTGGGCTGCGCTTGTTCAGTAGTGATGCTTGGGTTCTGTGGACTGGACTCCTGAGCAGCTCCAATGCTCTGTATTCACTTTTAAATGTGGCTTTGGTGCTCCCTAAAGAGCCACTGGAGATTGGTAGAGCTGTTTGAAACATTTGATGGACCTCAGGGGCACACTAATCAAAGGAAGTGTTTTATTTTATTGGTTGCAAATGCTTACGGGCTATGAGACTTGGCAAGCAGCTTGACCTTCTCAATCTCAGTTTTCTCATCCATAAAATGGGGCTAATAATAGCAGCTCCCTCCAAGAGCTGCTGTGAGGACTGGATGAGCTAATTTATGGAAAGTGCTACTTGGCACCCAGTCAGAGCTCCATCAGTGTTGGCTCTTGCTATTAATAATAAATGATAGGTTTTTTCGTTACTATTTGCCAGGCCCATTGGGGAGAAAAAAGTTGAATGTCCTCTAGTGAGGGCCTCAGAGTTTAGTAGAAAAGGTAGACACAACATAAGTACATATTTCATAAGGGAGACAGTCTTTTTAATTTTTAAAATTTGTTTTCACATAATAACTGTACATATTTGGGGGATACATAGTGGTGTTGTGATACATATAATGTACAGTGATCAGATCAGTGTAATTAACATATCCATCATCTTAAACATTTATAATTTCTTTTATTAGAAACATTCAGTATTTTTCTTCTAGCTATTTGAAACTGTAAAACATATTATTGTCTTAAGCATGATAATGTAGGGAGAAATAGAGACAGAGGAATGTAAAAAAAAAACAGCGAAGGGAGAGACCCTTAATGAAGCATGGAGTCCCTTGCTTATAGTCACACAGTTATTTTTAGTTATCCGATCTGCAAAATGGGGATGATTCTTCTATTTCATCAACGTTATCTACAAATACAAGGAATGATCAGAGAAAATCAGACCTTTGCCCCCAGCAGGGTCTCAAATACCATTTCTTTTAATAGGAGAGAAAGCAGGCTAAACTCTCTGAGGGGAACATTAACTGTGGGGGAATAGTCAACGCTAGTGGAGGGGAGCCGTGGAAGGGAGCTGCTCATATAATATACATTTTCCAGCTCAAGGATGCAGTCTCTGGCGTGGGCTATTAGGCTTCTTGTCCTTCATGGACCAGCTCTAGCTAATAGGAAATCTAGTCTGCATTCCATGAACAACCACCAGTGATGGGGGGATTATAGCGAGCCTGCAAATGTGGAAGATAAAATTAATCACAGGGGAATTAATACACAAAGTGGAAGAAGCTGCACGTTGGCTAAAAAAAAATTAGGTTGTACTTTCATTCATTTATTCAGTCATTCAACATTTTTATTGAACCACTACTCAACGTAACAGTGAATGAACACAGGAACTCCCTGTTCCCGTGGAGGAGAAAGACAATAAATGAAGAACCAAATAAATAAATGAGAGCTGGTGGTAATGCATTCTGTAAAGAACAATAAAGCCAAGGAAAGGAATAGAGGGTGAGGGAATGAGCTGCTTTGTTGGACAGCATGATCCCTGAGTGAAGGGAGAGGTGAGCTGTGAGGATAAGTGAGAGAAAAGTGTTTGAGGCAGAGGGAACAGCAAGTGCAAAGGCCCTGAGGTAGAAGGATGCTTGGTGTATTTGAGAAATAGCAAGGAGGTCAGTGTGGCTAGAGCAGAGTGAGTGAATGGGAGAGTGACAGAAGATGATTCCCAGGATGCAGGCAGAAAACAGATCAAGTGGGGCCTTGTAAGCCAGTTCAGGAAATTCCTAGGTCCTGGGCTGGGGGCAGGAGGTGGTCCCAGGAGGGTTCTTGCCTTCTCAAGCAGAGTTCCAGATCTGATCTGCTTCTGTTTGACTCCTCTTTCCTGACTCTGATGCAGCCAGTGATGACTTTGAACAGCAATATCAGAAGATTGGCTGGGTCCCTCCATGTGTTATGGACAAGCATGAAATTTACAGTCCCTTTGATTGTGAACAATCACATCAGGAAACTTTAAAGATGCTGTTTAGACTTCCAAATAGCAGTGATAGATTTTGTTCCCACGGTGCAAGGGTTTGGTCTCTCATATTCATGCATGCAAACCTAGACTATCCCTTGCACCCAGTAGCCCCCTCCACTGCACACTCTTGAAGCTACAGTCTGCTCTTTCTGTCTCTCTCCCTCTGTGTATCTCTCCCGGCACCTGTCCCCCCACACCTTCCAGCCCCCCACTCCATTTGAAATTTTGCTGAGGGAGCTCCCATATGCTACAGCCTCTGTGCGGAGCTCTGTGAAATAGAACACTGAATTAAGATGTCATAGAGACAAAGCCAAACCAAATACAGGAACAATGCCGAACCCTAAAACAGTCATTAAGTAATTCATGTCTACGTGTGTCTGTTCAAAACAAATATTAAGATCCTCTGGACGCAAATCTTTCTCATCCGGAGAATCCTCTGGTTGCTGGATTCCCAAAGCTTAGATGCCGCTGTCGGACAGCTTTGCTGAGTACAAATACCAACAGATCACTGTTCTCTGGCTTCGTTAAAAGTTAAGCTTAGGCAACTGAGCAGGAATTTAGAAGACAGTTGCCACTTCTGCAGAAAGAGAGGTGCCATTTGGGCCTGAAGCGTGCATCTTCATGGTGTGTGTGCACGCTCACTTGTGGTGGGAATGTGTGTGCTAAGAGCCTTGTGTTACTATGTGCCTTGCCCTGTGCTGAACACATTTCATCTCTTATCCAGTTCTGTACTTATAATAATTCCAGAAGAGAGGTGTCTTCAAGACCCTATTTTACAGATGAGAAAACAGAGGCTCTGAGAATAGAAATGATCTGCTCACAGACACATGGCTGGTAAGAGTCAGAATTGGAATGAGAACCCAGAGCTCTTAACCAACATGTTTATAGGATAAGACACTTTGCAGAGGAGGAAAAAATGGTATCACAGAGGGGAGGTAAGCCCTGGGAATCCAGCAACCAGGGGAGTCTCTAGATGAGAAACCTTTGCGTCCGGAGGTTCTTACTATTTGTTTTGAACAGACACACGTAGATGTGAATTGCTTAATGACTGTTTCAGGGTTCGGCATTGTCCTATTTGGTTCGGCTTTGTCTCTATGTCATCTTAATTCAGTGTGCCCATGATCACACGGTGTGTAAGTGATGAAAGCAGGAGATGAATTCAGGTCTGTCTGATTGCTAGTATATTCTTCTCTCCTGGCTGGACTTCCTGTCATTCTGGTTTGGGTTTTAAGGTTGGGGGTGTTTTTGTTTTGTTTTGCTCATCTTGTTTTATGTTCAATCAGTTTAGTAACTGCCATTGTTATAATCCCATCTCATACCACTTGCAGCAATACTGCTTTCCTCTTTCCTTGCCCCTCTTATCCATTATCCACATAGACCCAGAAGAACCTCTTTGAAAAGCACATCAGACCATGTAAGCCCTCTCTCCCTCCATCTAAAGCCCTCTATCACTTTCTCTTGTTTGTGTTTTTTTGGTTTGTTTTTGTTTTGAGATGGAGTCTCGCTCTGTCACCCAGGCTGGAGTGCAGTGGTGCGAACTCAGCTCACTGCAACCTCTGCCTCCCAGGCTCAAGGAATTCTCCTGCCTAAGCCTCCCAAGTACCCACCCCGCACCCAGCTAATTTTTGTATTTTTTTAGTAGAGACAGGGTTTCACCATTTTGGCCAGGCTGGTCTTGAACTCCTGACCTCAGGTGATCCACCCTCCTCGGCCTTCCAAAGTACTGGGATTACAGGTGTGAGCCACCATGCCTGGACCCATGTTTTTTTAAGTATACAGAGCCAGCTCCCTGCCATGGCCTCTAGCCTCTTCATGGTCCACTTCCTGCCCACCTCCCTGAGACCATTTCTAAAACACCACCTCTCACTTCCTCTGTTTAGTTGCATCTTATTCCTTTTAGTTACTCACATTTTCCAGGCTCCTTCCTGCCATGGAGCCTTTGCACATGCTGCTAGGAAAGCTCTTCCTCTCCCCTGGTGCCTGATTTATACCTACTCCACTTTCCAGAGCTCAGAGGAAATGCTGTTTCCTCGGGGATCCTTCCAGAATGCTGCAGACTAAGTCATACCCCTCATTACAGACATTACTTTCTTATCACTGTTTTCAACACATTTGTAATTATATATGGATTTGGGCGATCATTGGCTAAAGCATACCTCTCCTAACGGTTGAGGCCTCATGAGGAGAGGGACTGTGACTATGAGCTCCTTGTTGAACGAATCTCTTCCCCCAGATACGCAGCAGGGACCAAACACATGTTGGTAGAATGCATGAACTGTAGCACTTTCCCCTCATCGAATCACTTTCACACCTAATAGTCTGAACCATATGGAATTGCCAATATTCAAAACCAGTAATGTTATTTCCTCTGATTCATAGGAGAATTGTTTGAACCACTGGGGATGGGGACTATGCCTGTCTCATTCTTTGCGGTATCCCAGCACCTAGTACAGTGGCTCAAGGTTGGTCATCTTTAAATATTTGTTGAATAAATTGTTAATGAGGACAATACAACCATAAGCACACTGTACAGATGAGAAAACTCAGAGATCTACAGAGGTGTAGTATTAGATAGAGCTAACAGGACCTTAGGGATCACCCGATCTCATTTTACACGTGGAGGGCTGAGGGATAGGTTTGATAACGTGCTTAACATATTGGAACCATAGTGCGCATGTGTAATTTGTAAATAAATACACATATATTGGGGTTTTGTTCTCAGCATTTCTCACTGAGAGAGATATGAGATAAAAGAAACTTTGGGGTCCATTGATCTAATTCAGCTCCTCTTTTAGCAGAAAGAGACACTGAAGCCTGCAAAAAGAGAGAGATTTGCCTAAGGTCTGTAGTCTGCAGGTGAGCTCTGGGTTCAGAGAAGTGATGTTTGCCCAACGTCAGGGCTCTTGTTTGAACTTCTCTGCTGCAACCAGGTGAGCAGACACCAGTTCTCTCTGGTGACCCCACCCACGCTGTGAGACATGACATCCCGCCCCCTCAGGGTCTCCTGTGGCACCTGCTGCCCACCCACTCGTCTGGGTATCCTGACAAGATGTCCATCCGCACCCAGCCTGTGCCTAGCAGAGCAGGTGAGCAGCTCTGGGTGTTTCTGGAATCAGATTTCAGAACTTCCAGCTGATAAAGGGCTTTTGTTTGGCCAGTGTTTTGCCCCAGCCTCCTGTCCACAGCCAGGTGGCAGGTGATTCTGGGACCCAACCCACATCCGGAAGGGGCAGGTATCTGAGCAGTGGTGCAGGATTTATCATATGGATGGTTGTTTGCTGCAGGAACGAGAGGCCATCATCATTATAGCACCTTTCAATGGTCAGTTCTTTATAAATCCTCATTGCCTCACTGGGGCACTTAGTCTACTGTCAGGATGAGAGGGCAGCCAGGGGGACCTTCAGAACTCAAATATAGCCTCTTCATTTGATAGATGGGGAGACTGAGGCACAGAAAGAGCACAGGGCATTCCATATTGCATCAGAAAATTAGTGCCAAAGCTGTAGCTAAAATATGGGCTGCTTGGCACCCAGTCCCAAGACACCACACTGCTCAGAATTCCTTGGGGGAAGAAGACAGAAAAATCAATGTATTCACATTTTACAAACGGACTAATGAAGCTAAGAGATGTGAAATGATTTTCCTAAAGTCACATCATGAAATAATGATATATCATTACTATCGTCACTGTTAAACTGTTACTATTGATCTTGTTTGATCCTCACTACAGTAAGTACCAGTGTTATATCCATTTTAAAGATGAAGAAACTGAGGCTCGAGGTCTTATAAAGACCTGGAATAAGCTCCAGATCTCTTGACTCCAAGTTTAATGCCCTCATGCCACTGTGGGGAAAGATTTCTGACCCCAAAGAGGTTGTTCACTGAGCAGGGATCACCAGGCAAGGGTGGGAATGGTGTGACCGTCTTTAATCACTGACCCAGGCTGCACTGCCTAAGCATTCCCATTCAATTCCTCTCATTCTGTTCACCCACAGAGTGTGCCAGCATCATGCCTTCTTCAACTGCTCTGTATATACTGTATCTTTTTCCTGCATGGAGAGTCTCTTAGAATGACATTCCTCTTAATGGCCTTGGGGGCATGGAGGGATTGGAGTGGGCCCCCAAAATTGAAAGGGGAACCCAGATATCAATAGCCTTAGGAAGAAACACCATGTACCCAATTATGGCAGGGACCAGACTGAAGGGGAACAGGCCCCAAACTGCAGTGGGAAGAGTGCATGTGGGTCATGAAACCTTCTTTCCATGGTGGGTCCTGGTTATAAATGGCCCCCAAAGAAAAGACACCTTGACAACCAGAAGAAGTAGGGGTGGCCTCAAGATTGCTGTAGCCCAACCCTCCCTAACTCTTCATTTTACAGAAGGAATCTGGCACAGAGTAGTCAAGTCACTTGCCTAAAGTCTCACAAGCAATCAATGCCATTGACAATGGGTTCATTGTAGGGCACTTGTGGGCTTTTGGAAAGAGAAAAACTAACATGATTGCTTTCTGCTGGGTGCTATAACACATGCCTGCAGCCCCAGCTACTCAAGAGGTTGATGCAGGAAGATCCATCCCTTAAGCCCAGGAGTTCTGGGCGGAAGTGCGCTATGCCAATGGGTTGTCTGCACTAAGTTGGGCATCAATATGGTGACCTCCCAGGAGCTGGGAACCACCAGGTTGCCTAAGGGATGGTAAACCGGCCTAGGTCAGAAGCAGAACAGATCTAAACTCCCATGCTGATCAGTAGTGGGATCGCGCCTGTGAATACCTACTGCATTCCAGCCTGGGCAACATAGAAAGACCCCAACTCTAAAAAAATTAGTAAAAATAAATAAAAAATAAAAATGATTGCTTTCCACTCACCACTCCTATCCACACCCCAGAACACTGGCTGTTCCACCTTGGCTCTATAGCATTTATGTCCTATTAACAAGCCAACTCTCAAACTGTCCCCACGTAGTGGTGTGAATTCAGGAGCTAGAGGCTATGGTCTAAGTGCTCCTAGATGCTTTTAATGTTTTCCAGGAAAGCTCAGGCTGAGGCTTCCACCACAGAGACTCCCGGCTTGCAACTTGGGCAAGATGCCATTTCAGCCACCCTGATGTTTACTACCCCTACTCTAGTTCTTAAAAGCCTTTTGCCTTTCCTCTCACTGGAAAATAGCGTGCTCTGCATTCCCACCCCTCCAATCCTCCAACCTAAGGAAAGCATCAACTCCCAGTCACCAAGCAAATGTCAGTTCTGACGCATGCCAAGGAAGGGGTGTTGTATAGTTAGAAGACTTCTGGCTTTGCAGTTAATGTGCTTGGGCTTGAATTCTACTCCACCACCTAGTAGCTGTGCGACCTTCAGCAAATCCCTTCACTACCCTGAGCCTCAGTGCCCTCATCTGTAATATGGGGCCAAAAATCCTTAACTCGAGTGGTTGCTGATTCCTGGTATGACTGAGTATTTGCAATGGTTGCCTTTGGCCATTCCGGCTTATGTTCAAAAGCGAGTCAGTTTGATGGTGGTGGTGGAGTGAGAAAAGACACTGGGATTATACCCCTGATCAAGAATGCTAAACCTCACAGTTCATGGGTTCCATTCTCTATTATGCAGATGGAGAAAGTAAGCCTCAGAGAGGGAAAGGCATTTACCCAAAGTCATACAGTGAATGGGAATCCAGGTCTCCTTACCCCTAGAGTTCACTTCTCTGCCTCAGTGACCTCATAAATGTCAATTTTAAAACTTCTTCATCTGTCAAAAGGTTTAATAATAGTTACTAATAATAGTTTTTGACTACTTACTATACACCCAGCACTGAGAAAAGTGCTTTATCTGCAATATGTCACTTAATCTGCTCAACTGCTTTTTGAGGTAGATACTGTGACAATTTCCATTCTGTAGATGAGAAAATTAAGGATCAGAGAGGTAAGTGATTTGTCTAACTTACACAGCTAGGTAATGTCAGAGCCAGAATTTGAATCCTGTGCTGCTAACTCTCACTAACTCTTATTGGGAACACCTGTTCTGCCAATCTCCTGAGATAAGGAAAGATGAGAAAACTTAGGAGCACCATATGGAAACTAGGAAGTTCTTGACAAGCTGTTTACATCTTCCAATATGTGGCTCCATTCTGCTCCATCCCAGTGCCACAGTGGTGCATCAGAGAGAATGTGGCTCAGGATATCTGTCCACCTGCACTGCCCCATAGTTCTATTTTGGGACTTGCCAATTTGATGCTACATTAATGTAGAATGCTTTCCGGAAACAAGTTTCCCTAGGAATGAGAAACAGACAAGGAGAATAAGTCTTTCTTGAGTGAGAAATTTGGGACTTCTAACTGCAACGCTTACCCCAAGCTGACCCAGTTAGGTGCAGCCATTATGCAATCATGGTTATTCTTCAGATGCACAATACTTTATGCTTGCTGAGAACTTGATTCATGCATCTACCCATCCACCCATCCGTTTATCATGCATTTACTCATCATCTATTCCTGCATCCATTTATTTATCCACCACCACCTATTCATCCATCCATCCACCCTTTATCCACCTGTCAGTCAAGCAACAATTGATGCATTTATTATTTCATTCACCCATCCATCTATTTTCCAGCAGTTTCTCTATTCATCCATTCTACAACTATTTTCTTTTTTCTTTTCCCATTGATCTACCTGTCCATCTACCCATCCATCCACCTTTGCATCTAACCAACATTTATGCAGCATCTAATTTGTGCCTTTCTTCACCATTTCCCCACATTTATGGTAAAGTGAGATTTATTTATTTCATTCAACTGACAGTGGGAACTAACTACCAGCTCAAATTATTTTTTTCAAGACCACACAGGAATAAAGTTAAACCTGATCTTCCAGTCCTAGTTCTCTCCAAAACACCTGTAAAACATTGTGGGTCCAAAGAATCACAGGCATCTTGGGTTTGTTTTTCTTCTCTGAGGTCTTTTGCTGTGCATATTTAAATAATCATGCATATTCATTTATATCAGAAACAAAGGATCACAACAAATGCTATGACCCTTTTTCACTTGTGCAAAAAGATTTCACATATGCAAAAAACAAAAAATAAAATTTTCTCTATTCTCAAGTTGCTTACATTTTAGTATAGGAGACATGTTTATGAATAACTAGTGACTAGAAAGCAGGGCAGGAGTTAATAGTATCAAAAAGAAAATTAAGGCCAAGGCAGGTAAAGTGACTTGCCCAAGGTCATGCAAGTTAATACAAATGCTGTGTAATTACTTTGATTCCTAAACGAAGCTCTGTGTTAGGCAATTTATAGACAGATTTCACTGAATTCTCACCTCAACTCTGTGTAATAGGTATCATTGTCTCCATTTTATGGATGGTAGATGTGAGACTCAGAGAGTCTAAGCAACTTGGTCAAGGTTATCACTTGGTAAGGGCCAGAGTTAGTCCAGGCATGCTTGCTTCCACAGTTTTCTCTTTCATAAAACTTTTCCCAGAGTCAAGGTATGGAGCAAAAAATGTCACTTGTGAGGTCCAACTGTTTTCCTGCTTCTCAGTTTCTAGGTGATTACTTCAGTGGAAGTCCATTCCAAGACTAGGTTCAGATAGAGGAGGAAGGTTCTGCACAGAGATGAGGTGGACCTCATGGGGCTGAATGAGGCAGGGGTGGAGTAGTGATGGTCCCAGTCTGCACTGGGCAATCGCTCAGAAGAATCAACCAGCCAGGAAGTGTCTTCTCAGCAAGAAGGTTATCCATGAAAAGGAAAAACCCTTCAAGACAAGGAAACAAGAGATATTAGTTAACCATACATGCTCTTGACCACAGCTCAACTCAAAGATGGCACCCCAGAGGGGCATGAACTGAGTCGCTAGTAATGAGGAAGGTGTTGGGAGGAGTGGGGTAAACATTCTCTAAGCACCAAATTTGGTAGGGATTTCCACTTCCTTATACTCACATGTGGAGTGATTGAAAAGAGCCTTGTAACGTAAAGGAGAACACAAGCCCAGTGAGGTTGTTGTATTTACCCAGGGCTGCGCAACTTGGCAGAGCTCTTTCTATTGGCCATCAGTCCACACACGTTACTGTGGACGCGTCCATCATCCCTGCCATGTGGCACCTTTCTGGTCTTAGGGATCTCTCTCTCTCTCTCCCTTCTCCCCAGCCTGGAGGCAATCTCTTTCTGTTCTGGAGAAATCTTTCTTCCTTTGTGTTTCTTCATGATTCTCTTCTGAATCCATAAATCCTTTTCCCTAAGGGCTTTGACTTTTCCAAAAAGGAAACATGAAAACACTCTCATATTCTTTCTGTTTTCAGCCTGACACACGTCTCCCTGAGGCAATAAGAGTAGAACCCATGGCCTGCTTAAATGGTAAAAAAGAACAGGGGAAAATATAGAGAGAGGGAAAATATCCACATAGATCAATATCTCAAAATATTGTCCCATTGCACACGCAACATCTCCTTTAAGCTGCTTAAGCTTTTGAGGTGGATACTGTCATTATCTCCAGTTTACAGAGGAGGAAGCTGAAGTATGGGGACACTATGTGCCTTCTTCAAGGTGACACAGCTAGGAAGTGGATCCAGGATTCAAACTCAAGCTTGTAAGGCACTAATTGTCAAGTTTTTAACTACCACGTCCTACTGACACACTAACTGTGTGGAAAAAATACGTATCAAAATTGTTCCCTAAGGAAAATTGACTTGCCCAAGATTGTTCAGCAAGTCAGTAGAATGGGAGCCAAGTTTGCTGGTCAGAGGCACATCAATCCGGATCTATATTTAATGGACACTATTTGCATACATCTGGGTCTAAGGGTCACGTAGCTTGGTCTCTGAGGAGGCTACATTTAACACCCAAGAAAAGTGTTCAGAAAGGAAAGAGATATTTCTTAGAGTGCCAGCCAAGCTTCAGAACTGTGCAACTGAGTGGATAAGAGCAATATGGCAAAAAAAAAAAAAAAAAAAAAAAAAAAAAAATCACAGAGAGTGTCAACATCTCTAACCAATTGGTAGTTGTGGTCTGGAGCACTGTATTGAGATGGACTCTAGGGCTATATCTGAGATCAGTAGAAAAGAGTGCTTGGATCAATTAGTAATGTCTGTCATCCTTGCAGGAAACAGAGGTTGTAGCATGCATACTATGTATTTATCTTTCCCCCACCTGGAAGGGGATGTTACAGCTTTTGGAAGAATCAGATCAAGTGCTAACTATTGAACATTTACTACGCTGTTGGTGCCGTGCTCATCACATTCACTATTTCATTTAATGTTATCACTGGATTCCCTCTCCTAACACATTTTGCAAAGGAGAAAAGAGAATGTCAGAAAGGTGAAGTTACTTGCCCAAGGCTAAAGAAGCTGGTCCATGGCTAACCAGCTATGATAATTACTGTGAAATACATAAACAATTAGGTTGATCAATAGAAATGTCAATAGAGAAACAATCCCAGAACCTGTTAATTGGTGTTTGAATGTATATATTTGGCCAGAGGGCTTTGTCTTATTTATCTCTCTATTCCCAGTGACTAGCATAGGGCTCTGGACACAGGTGATGCCCAATTCATATTTATGTAGAACTGTGAACAGGCACTGCTCAAGACAGTGGTTTGGGGTATAAAGAGATTTTGTTATGCATATAATGGGAAGGTGTTGAGTTTAAGGTTGGGCATGACTAAGTACACAATAAATATTTGTATAATCCAAGAGTGATAGAGGAGTTGGCTACTGGGTGGGATCAGGAAGACAAAATGAAGACAATCTTGGTGAAGACAGGGCAAAGGTATTCTTTATCCTATCTGGAAGGATGTTAGGGGTCCAAGGACCCAGCCCCCACACTGCTGATTCCTAGGATACCAGGCTATGCAGGCACATTTCATGGTACCATCAGGCAAGTCCAGGAGGGAGAGTCCTGCACCTGGGGAGCTATTTCTGGCCGTGTGTTCTGCCAGCAGTGTGCTGGGAGGCTGCAGGAGCCGGATCTGCTGCTGGGGCTCTGGAACTCAGAGTCGGGACAACGCCAGCTTTGCCTTGCCAGGGGCACCTGAATGTCATGGCAGGAGGGGAAGGCAGCAGGGAGGGGCGGCCTCAGGGAGCCCAATCTTATTCTGTGCATCTTTTCCCAGCTGTGTCCCACCTGTGTTAAGTTTGAGGGTGATTTATCTTATCTGCAGCATTGGCATATTGCATTTAAAAGAGTCTCAAATTATGAAATCACTGTGAGATTGGAAGAATTATTTTTTTCCATTTCATAAATGAAACAACTAAAACTAACAGAGTTATTTATAATAACAACAGTGTATGTTAGGCATTACACTAAGCATTTCGTTTACTGTAACTTATTAAAGCCTTATAATGCCCTGTAAGACAGGGAATATTCTTATAGCTATTTTGCAGCTGAGGAAATTGAACTCAGAGAGGTCAAAACTTTATCAAACCCAGTCCCATCTGATTCCAGAGCCCACAGTCTTAACCTCTATCCTATGCTACCTCTGTGTCAATCAACTAATTAACTTGTTAATACTTTGCATATATACAGTGTTTTAAATTTCCCAAACACTTTATGTATATTTGTGCCTTAGAGTGGTGCTCTAATACTAGGCACTAAGTAGAAGAAGTACTATGTTTTGTTCACACCCTTTGACACATCAAAAATAATGCCAGGAGCTGGGGAGGTACTTACTGCTCTACACTGTACTTTGTACTGTATTATGACACATGATGTTTTGTATTTTGTACAGAACGCACTACACAATATGCTACTTTGTACAGTACAGCAAAGTAACCCCTGTACTACACTATATTTCACTTCCCCAAGCCTCAATTTTGTCATCTATAAAATGGGGGAAATAACTTTTTCCCAAGGCCTGTGACCATTGAAGATGATAAATGGGAAAAGAGCCGGGCACACCTCACACATCAAAGCAGTGCAATATGCTGTAGCTGCCCAGCCACACACCTCGGAGTCGTTTTACAGGAGTGAGCAAATACTTCTCTTGCTGAAGTGAACAAGGTGACTGGCTAAAATAAGCCTAGTCATCTGTAACTGAGGCATAACACAAGTTTATTCTTAGCATCCCCTTTGCACTCCCAGTCACTGGAAAAGAAAGGACTCAGACCAAGGACCCGTGAACTTTCCAATACATTTGACCCCAGTGAACCCTGTGTTTCTCGTGACTGGCCCTGTACTAAAGACCTCAGTGTTCTTGGTCTCCATTTAGGCAAGGTCAGACCAGAGATTTAGTCAGAATTGGTTTAAACTATTTCCAGGTGGAAGAGGCATCTCTGGGAAAAGTGAGGGCAAAAGGACAGAGAAAATATATTTACCATTGGAACATAGATTTTGTGAGTACAAGTCATCTAGCCATGCACAGCCCTGTCCTTGGGCTATAATTATATTCATTCCGAGTTTTCTCAAGAAACAGCTAGAAAGGGAGGCATTTTGCCAGAGCCTAACCTAAATGGAAGCTTATCACTGTTCATAGTCATGGGATCATTTGGCCAATGGGGGAACCTGGGAGGCAGGTAAGGATTTTCTTTCATTTCCTATCCTCTTTCCAATGAATCTCTCAGACCAGCACCATTTTTCTGCCAAGGAAAGTGGTCTCTGGCCATGAGGAAGTGTCTATTGGCTGCACACACCATTTGGGCTCAAAGAAAAAGCAGAATAGCGCCATCTTGGATTGTTACAAAAAGGCCATTAAATGAGGGTGGCATAGTTAGGGTAGGCAAGATTATCAGCTAAAACAGATGAGCTCTGGGATCTAAGTGGCTTCACTGATACATTCATTTCTTGCTCTTGTCTTAGTCCTTCCTATGTTGGTTGAAGGAGAGCTTTGCTTCTCGTGGCATACAGGGACCCACCCTTATGGCATGACTTCAAAGTTATGTGACATGGTGGTGCAGCTGGAAGATGAGGAAAGTGAACAACGTTGGAGAGGCCCCACCTACTCTTGACTGTCTCTGCTGGAAGTGATTCAACACTCCTCTTTAAATTTCATTGGTAAAAGCTTGTCACAAGGTCCCCTGGGTGCTAAGATAACTGGGAAGGGCAGTCTCGTAGCATGTCTGAGTGGGAAGTGAAGGAAGCTTAGTACCAACCTCTCTCAAGGTAGGAATTGCCCTTCAGGCCAGGAAACACATATTAAGGTGAGCATTTCAGGCTTCTCTGATCAGTTCTTTCTCTGTATGAGTGGAAGAGGGCAGGAAAAATAACAGTTACTATTTATTGAACAATTACTATGGACCACGCACTATGTTAAATTTTCCCAAGCCTCACTATGTTTCATATATGAACCCTGTCATGTATGTATTGTTATTTCTATATTACAGATAAGGAAAACCCCCATGAGAGAAAGTAACTTGATCAACATCACACAGCTAGGTGGGAGTGGTGGCTTCTGCCTGTAATCCAAGCACTTTGGGAGGACGAGGCAGGCAGATCGCTTGAGCCCAGGAGTTTGAAACCAGCCTGGGCAACATGAGGAAACCTTGCCTCTATAAAATAAACAAAAATTAACCAGGTGTGATGGCTCATGTCTGTAGTCCCAGCTACTTGGGAGGCTAAGATAGGAGGATCCCTCGATCCTGGGAGGTGGAGGTTGCAGTGAGCTGTGATCACACCACTCCACTCCAGCCTGGGTGACAGAGTGAAAACATGTCTCAAAAAAAAAAAAAAAAAAATCACACAACTAGAAAATGCTGGAGCCATGATCTATTCTGATTTTGATTCCAGGTCTGATTCTATAGCCTGTGTTCTTACCCATTAGACCACACTGCCTATGTGAAATACAGCTTTCAATGTGGCCCTGAGGGGTTAAACATGACGATAGACGAAGTGCTTAGCCCAGTTGCCTGCCATGCCATTAGTCCTCATTAGATGCTGATTGCGAAAAGAAAAGAAGCAAAAAAAAAAAAATTTTTTTTCAAGTTTCTCTTTGATCTTTGAGGAGTTACCTGCTCTGACGGTTTTTTTCCCTTGCAAGCTGGTATCCCATTTATTCATTTGCACATTGAGTTAATGTATCTACTGAACGTGTTCCATGGGCTTATCATAGTGCTAGGCACTTGGTATATGAAGATGAGCCAGATATGGTCCCTCCACTCAAGGAACAGAGTGAGGGTATGGGATGGATTCATTCTCTCCAAATTCTTGAGGATTCTGAGAAATGGCACTGGCGTTGTCAGAAACCTGGGGTCTGGTTGGACATTTGGGACAGGATGAAAATCTAATTGATTTGAAGTGTTTATTTCCCATTTGTGGGGCAAACAAGTAAGAAGGTAGATATAAGGAACTATAATATTTTTATTTAGTTATCTCCAGAAAGTTTTTCCTGTCTGATACAGCCTTATCTCTATTCAACCTAGGGCCACAATAGGCACCATTACAGTTCTCGGTTACCCTAGGTACCGTGTTTGGTGCAGGACTAGCATATGATACTAGGAGAGCCAATCTCAGCCCTTCCCTGGGGCTAAGTATGAGGAGAGTGACTTTCACTGGGCTCTGGTGGTGACAAAGGCCATGCTGGACAGGAGGGATCACAGTAACACCCAGCATCTATTAGGCGTCTACACCAAGGCCAGTGTTTACACCATGCTGCTGAACACTGCATTTGAATGAAATTGCTTCAACCTCGCAACCACCCTTTAAGGCGGGCACATTTTCATTATCCTTATTTTACAGTTGAGAAACCTGGAGCTCAGAGGGGTGACAACACTCATTCAACGTCCCACAGCTAGTAAGGGATCAAGCAGGGGTTTGAATCCCACACCATGTGCTCACAGTCACCATACCACACTGCTACCAGTTATCTCTATGTAGCTACCTCTGGGTCCCAGCAAGGAAGGGCATATGGAAAGAAGGCTAGGCTTGGGCTGCAACCTATGTTCGAAGACCAGGGGCAAGTAGATTTAACCCAGCCATTTGGACTGTGCTCTCTCTACCCCCTCCCCATCCCCCGCCACCAGCGTCATCCAATCTAAGACCCAAACTGAATAGCTGTGAGCCTTCACAGCTTCCGGCATATCCTGAGCCTCAGCCCCCAGGGCTCTGTAGCATCCTTGATTTTTTATACTCTCAGGGACATGCCATAAAAGATTGAATCAGCAACTGCGTAGATTGCTGTAAAAAATGAGGGCAATTTTATACATGTTTTCAGTTCCTATTTCCCCTCCTTGCTTTCCTCCAAGGATCTGAGATTGTTAAGCAGGAGAGCTGGTAGAGGTTCCGAGGGGAGGTCACCAACTGGAAATGAGGCATCTGCCAGATAGAGATAACTACACATGGCTAAGATACCACACCCAGATCAGCTTCATAAGGAAACCCTCCCAATGGGCAGCAGAAAGATCAGAGGGACACTGGAAGGTCTTGTCACCCCCAGCTCCCCCAGGGGCTTGCTGCAGTGGCTTGAGGTCAGTCCTTTCCATGTATCTCCTCCACCTTCATATCTCAGTGAATGCTTTAGACCTCTTATCTTCATGGCCTCTTTTTTCCCAAAGTTCTCTTAAGCAAACCATCATAGAGAAAACGCTGAATTATTCTTTTCTTCTCTCTATAGACGATATTACTAAATTGTCATATGAAGAGATGATCAGAATATGCAGGCAAAAAGTACAGGGAATAGAGTATGATAGAGATGTTTCAGGCTGTTAATTATTAATGAATTGTTAATTGATCAGTTATTTAATTAATAAAAATTATGTTCTAGTCTGGATTTTGGATGTTTGTGGTTTTTCTCAGCTTCTAAAAATGAGTCATGTGTTATTATCATCTTATTCTAAATATCCACCTTGGTACCAAACTCTTTTTGAAAATTTGATCTTCTTTTTCTTAAAGAGGCCTCCAAAATTGTGTAAGCTGCAGGTCCCACACACCTGGTTATGCCCCTGGTTCTAAGATTCTGAGACCATAAGATTCATGGTTTATATATTCCCCAGATCCAAGGTTTGTCATCTCCTGATCCCTTTAGGGTCACAACCATTCTGCTCCTTGCGTCCTGTGGGATATTTTTCATAAGAACATCTGATTCCTAGACTTCACAGTCCTGGAAGTTTTCTATCTGTCTCCCAAACATTTGAAGACTAGGACTGCAAGGTCCAAGGGGTTTAAGAAAGTACAGTGGTTCTGAAGGAAGCTGCTCCTGAGAGGGGGAGGGGAGCCTACAGCAGAGAGCTTCTGAGGAGGCCTAGTTTTGTTCAGATTTCTCCATTCATTAGGATTCCTCCATTTTCCATCCTGCAGCTCACAGATGGATTGAGAGAACTAGCCTCCTGCTAGCAAAGGGTGGGTCAGAATCAGGGCTCCAACCCCCTTCTTTTACAGGCAGGGAAATTGATCAGAGTATGGCAGCCCATTCAACAAGTCAGCCCGGCTGATAGCTAGGACTCCTTTTCTCTCCTCTCGGCTCCCCCAGACTCAGAAAAGAGGACAAGCACTGAGAAGGCACTTTACTTCCTGCCGAAGACGTAGGGAGTGATTTTAAAGGCAGAAGTGAAGACGATGTCCAGTGTCTGAAAAATACAGATCTCCCCATTGCCACCAAACCACAGACCCTTCTTCCAGGATCCATTTTCCTTTGTTCCCTTGGCGGAACCAAGGCTCCCCGCTCCACTATTATTTCACTGTATTTCAGGGGCACCCAACTGGTTCACCCAGAGAAGATTAAAACAGGCTGCTAGCAGCATCACAGTTCCTGTGGCTTCAGATTTCGGTGTTTCTGATACCACAAAAACCTATTTGAAATAAACATAATAAAACTTTTACAACAGGCTCACTGTAGGCCCCTAAACTCTGGCTGACTCTGGGGGAAAGGAGGAGAAGGGACAGTCAGGAACAGACTGCTTCTGGAGCTCTCAGCTCAAAGCATTCAGGGATTAACCCTTTCCTGTCCCAACCCTGGAGAGGATGGATTCTAGTCTGTCAAAACGGAAGGGGCCCCATTTTATAGACAGGAAAACTGAGGGAAACTCAGCTGTCCCACAGCTCCTCTGAGACGATAAATGGAACAGTCTTTGAGGAGCATGTGGTGCAGTGGTTCTCGAACTTGGAGGCTCATGGGAATCAACTGGGAATCTTTAAAAAGTACTGACACCTGGGCCCCACCTCCAGACATTCTTATTTAATTAATCTCGGAAGAGACCTGGACATTGGGATTTTCTTAATCGCTCCCTAGGTGATCCTAATGTGCACCACTGCTGGAAACCACTGGTGTGGTGGAGAAGGGACAGGGAGGTGTATATTTACATCTCTGTCCACTGTTTTATAACTGTGTCCTTCAGCAGTCACGTGGGCTTCAGTCTCCTTCTTCTGTAAATTAGAGCTAACGGTGAAACCTACCTCATCCAGGGTCCAAGTGGGAATTAAACGAAATTATATGCATTAATTGCTTAAAGCAGTGCCTATCACAGAGTAATCGATCAATACCTGTTTGCATTATTGTTACTGATGTTACTGTTGTTACTATCACTAATGTCATCATTTCAAGGTCTCGGGATGGGAAATGGGGGAATACAGTCCCCACATCCATTGATGGTTGAATTAGGATTCGGGAGATCTGATTTCCTTTTTGACTGTTCTGACAACAAACAAGCCGTGTGACCTTGGGCAAAGCTCTTAACCTCTCTGAGTTTAGTTACCACATCTTGCCAGATGGGTCTCACAGCCCCTGGTCATCTATTGTCCAGGAAGCTGTGAGATTCCAATAAGATAATGGATTTGAATGAGATTTGAAAACAGGAATGCACCAGAGGAATTTGAGATATTATGATTGTGACGCCCATTGCATCCCCCTTGTGCCCTGGCTGGCCCATCTGTTCTGGGAGCTTTCCGTTCTCTCTCTGCCTCCTTTGGCCGCCAGTCCTGAGCTGCTCTGTCTGACATTTGGGCAGTTTCCAGGGAGGATTCTGTCCCTTTTCCATCTGCTCTCAACTTAACTCTTTCTCTCCCCTCTTTTGGTCTACCAGGATCTGATGTTAGGGTGTGAGGCGATGGTGTGTGAGAAGAGACACTAGGGAGCGACTACTCCTTCTTTTCCTGGGGTCAGGAAGTGGTCAGTGATCTTGGATTTCCCACCATAGAAAAATTGAAAAGTCCCTATGAAACCTTTGAGGTAGACCAGGAGATGAGGTAGAGTGGGAAGTAGAGCCAGGATTTGAACCCAGCTTCCTGGACTCCCAGATAGTGCCCTTCTGCTCCCGACTCCCCATTCCACCCCATTGCCCTGAGCTCTTGGGAATGGGTTCTGCAATATGGGATCCCTCCTGGCTCCTCACTTTCTCTTGGAGAAGTTACTGCCTGTGGGAGAATATCAGGACACGGAGGATTGCTGCTTCCTTCAGGAGCCTGGGCTGTCTCCCAAGGAGAATTTGTGTCCTTGGCCAGATCATAGAGCTTCTGCAAGACTCAGTTTCCTCTGCTGTGCAATGGGAAATACCACCACTGATTCTATTGGTCAAATGCGACCATAAGCAAGAAAGAGTTTGCAGCTTCTATTGCCTGAAATGCCAATGCTCCTGCTGGAGATGGGCATGGTGGTGGGTTGAATCTGCCAGGCTGATCTCTCCTGGCTGGAGACCGAGGCCAAGGCAGAGGCATCTGGGCTGCTCCGAGCTGTGTGGGCTGGGAGGAGCCCGTGAGAAGGCAGGGCCTGCTTGGGATTGGCAGCTGCGGGCCTGCTGGCAGATGGTCTCCTAAGTGGGCCACCTCAGGGTCAGCTTTATGGATTTGCACATTAACCCTTCCCTCCCCAGCAGCCCCTTAGCAGCTGGTTCTTTTTGACTTTGGCCTAACTGAGCTGTAGACTAGACCCTGGCCCACATCTTATCACTTCCCAGCCCTCTCTGAAGACACGAACCATCCATTGCACATGGAGTGCAATTTAAAAATGTGCAGAGTCAAATTCTGAAACCTCATGACACTCAGAGCTGGGCAAGATTGAGGAGAGAATATCCTTTTAATATTCATCACTTGTATTAATACCAGTTTTATAAATACTGATGTACAAAAAATAAAATATTACTGCGCAGGAGAACAAACAAATATTTTGGAGTTTATCCTTCTAGACTCACTAACTTACTCTTATTTTCTCTCTCTTTTTTCTCATCTCTCCCCCTCTCTTTCCCTTTACCAATATGAGATAATGTTGGACATGTTTTTTTTATTCCAGACTTTTTAACAAATTTAGCAATACAGTCTGATTACCTTGCCATGTAAATTTCCATCCATCTCATCATTTTTAATGCCTTTATAATGTTCTATTATAGGCATCTATCAAAAGAAATTCACCCATCTGCTGTTGTTGGATGATACCATTAGAGAATGAGGAAACAAACTCAGAGAGGTTCAGTGACTTGCGCAAGGTCACACAGCTTAGAAATAACAACCAGAACTTGAATTTTGGTCTTGGGACTTGAAATACGGTTCTCTTTTTTGGTTAGAGGGAGTGAGGGTTTAGCAGCACTCCTCCTGTAAACCAGTACAGACCAATCCCACTCCAAGAGGGGCTCAGACGAGTGTTGCTTTTTGGTGGTTGTTTGGCTCAGTTCTGGGTTTGAATATGAGCCCCATCTTGATTGGCTGTGTGCTTTTGGGTAGCCTGACTCCCTTCTCCAGTGGGGAGGCCTCTCTGGAGCCTCAATTTCTTCTTCCATAAAATGAGGCTATTAAGATCTAACTTGTCAGGCCATTAAGGGGATTTGTTAGAGGAGAAATTGTCCAGGTATGTGGCACATAGTGGGTGCTCAGCGGTGAGGCTAATACCCTTCCATTGCTGCTAGAAGTTTTGGTATTATAAGAATATGAATAGGCCTGGAGCAGTGGCTCATGCCTGTAATCCCAGCACTTTGGGAGGCTGAGGTGGGCAGGTTGCTTGAGCCCAGGAGTTCAAGACATGACAAAAGCCTCATCTCTACAAAAAATACAAAAATTAGCCAGGTGTGGTGGTGCATGCCTGTAGTCCCAGCTACTTGGGAGACTGAATCCAGGAAATCGAGGCTACAGTGAACTGAGATTGCACCACTGCACTCCAGCCACAGTGAGATCCTGTCTCAAAAAAAAAAAAAATGAATAAAAAGATTAATGTTATCTAATATCTATTCAAATTTTCTGATCTCTACTCTTATCTAATGTTGTGTAACACCTAACCATGTTGGAGCTACTCTTATCTAATGTTGTGTAACACCTAACCATGTTGGAGCTACTCTTATCTAATGTTGTGTAACACCTAACCATGTTGGAGCTCTAAAGGTAGTAGTAGCCCCAGTCCTTGGCAAGTCTCCTCACCATGCCTCAGTTTACCCATCTGTGAAAGTAGGCTACTGCCTTTGACTATTTCTGAAGGTGATTCTTTTCCTCACCTCCAGCTCCCGGTGAGAACGCATGTTTATCTCCTGATGGGCACAGGTCTGCCCTTGAAACCCCTCCCTCATCAGTGCTGTTTTTCCCCTCCCCCACCAGCCAGAGCCAACGGGCCGCCCCTTCCTCCACCAGCTCTCCGGCCTTTGACACTAATTGATACGGAGTTTCCCCCTCTAATCCTGCCTCTGCCTGGGGCCCTTGTTCCTAGGGCATCTGCTTGGTGAGAGGAGGAGGAGGCAGGGCCGACCGCCACCCGCCTGTCTGCCATCTGGTCCCCTTCCCCTCCCTCCTCTCATTGCCACCGAGGGAAATCTGTAATGAATCCGTGGCCCCCAGCCCAAAGGGGTGGGGTAAGACCGGTCACACGCTGGCGGTCTACACACACGCTCACACACATACTCACATACACACACTCGCTCGCACACGCAGCTTGTAGACACAATCATTAGCAAAGCTTTTGTGCGGCCCTCCCAGGCCCGCTGCAGCTGAACAGCTGCTGGGAGGGCTCCGGAGCGAGATGCTAACAGGAGGGGAACTTTAATTATCCCACCGAATGGCATCTTGGGCAGACCCCGGGGACTGGACGAGATCGGGAAGAGGGAGGAGAGTAGGGGAGAGAAAGACAATTAAAGTAGAGAATCCGGGCCAAGAAAGGGATGGGACGCACAAGCCGATGGGGAAGAGATGGTAGAGGTTCACCTCTGCTCCCTGTCTCAGAGGGCCAGATCTCTCCCACTCAGGGGCTGAAGACAAGACTTGGGAAAACGACCACTTTCTTCTCCTTTTCTGACTGGGGTTACCCACATGACTTTCTCTGCCTCAGCCATCAGAGTTGCCTTCTAAAAGCTTGGCATCAAGAGCAAGGCTTTGATCTCTGCACATCTGGGTCTAATTTAGTTTTGCTTCTTGCCAGCTGTGTGACCTTGGGCCAACTACTTCACCTCTCTGAGGCTTGGAGTTCTTCTGTGCAAAATGGAAATCACAGCAATACCTACTCACCGGGTTGCCAAATCAGTTAATATCATTCATTCAAACAGCAAATGTCCACTGAGTGCCTGCTGTATACAGGCACTGTGCTAGGAGTCAGGGATACAAGAGAATGCATGATGTGGGGTGGGAGTGCAGACAATAAACAAGGGAACCAACTAACTACAAAAAGGGTATTGTGCTTAGGGCCCAAATACCAATTGCTTCAAGCAACTTTTTCAGATGTTCCCCCTTCGACTCCTGCCAGAACAATTTTTCTCCTTTCTTCCTTAATTCCCTAGCTGATGTTCTTTACTGCTGTAACTGGATCCCATAATATTCCATAAGTGTTTACCAACAGGAGTGTATTTTCTTTGTATGGGAAGCTCAGTGCTTGGCACATAGTAGGCTCTCAGAAAATATTTTCTTTCCTGAGACCGAGTCTCTCTCTGTCACCCAGGCTGGAGTGCAATGGTGCGATCTTGGCTCTCTGCAACCTCCGCCTCCCAGGTTCAAGCAATTCTCCGGCCTCAGCCTCCTGAGTAGCCGGGACTACAAGCACCCACCACCACGCCCGGCTAATTTTCGTATCTTTAGTAGAGACGGGGTTTCGCCATGTTGGCCAGGCTCGTTGTGAACTCCTGGCCTCAAGTAATCCGCCCGCCTCAGCCTCCCAGAGTGCTGGGAGTACAGGCATGAGCCACTGTGCCCAGCCTCAGAAAATATTTTCTGAGATGAATCATTGCGAACCCCACATATATTAAGTGGTTGAAGATGAAAAGTGTCAGCCCTTACATGGGAGGCCAACAAGGGGTTTGTCCACTTTGAGAGTTCTCTTTGTTCAATCAGAGTTTAAACTACACATTTTGTACCCTCCAGATCGATTAAAACTAAAAACAGTGTGGTAATATCACATTTTGGCAAAGATATCTGGGAATACGTACACTCATACATTGCTGTTAGGAGTGTAAACTGTTGCAGCCTTTTGGGAATATGATATTTCAGCATTTATCAAAAATTTTAAAAAATCTGCCTACTCCATGACCAGCTCTTGATGTCAACACTAAAGGAAAAAGGAGGTGAGTTCAAGAGTGTTTATTGCAGCCATGTTTGTTATCAGGAAGAATCTGCAAACAGCCCAGATGCTCTTAATTAGGAAAATGGCTAAATAAATTATGAAATATGCATAATTATGGAATACAATACAACAGTTGAAAAAATGCAGTAAATTCATGTGTATTAAACATAGATCTCTAAAAGACTGTGACAGGAAAAAGCAAACTGTGGGATGACACACAAGTTGTAATGTTATTTTATATAATACATGTAGGAAAAAGCATCTATCTATGTATACAAAAGAACACTATGTACTCTATATAAATATATATGTGTAGAAAAATGCTTCAAAGGATGTACACCAAACTGTCAATGACAGCATCACATATGAAGAAGAGGGGGATATTTTAGCTTTATCTCTGTGACTACATATTTAATAAAAAATGTTTTCATCATTCACAAGCTTTCCTCCTGTGTTAGTTATGTATACAAACATGAATTTGAAAAAAAAGGAAGAGTAGGTGGAAGACACATACATGGCAAAAAACAAATAAACAAAGTACTATGAAGAAGATTAGATTTCTATAGTCAGGTTTTTCAACCTTGGCACTACTGACATTTAGGGCCAGCCAGATAATACTTCCTTGTGGGGAGCTGTCCTGTGCACTGCAGGATGTTTAGCAGCATCTCTGGCCTCTACCCACTAGATGTCATTAGCACCACCCTCCCTTTGGGCTGTGACAATCAAACATGTCTCTAGACCGTGCCAAATGTCCCCTGGGGAGCAAAGTTGCCACTGGTTGAGAATCACTCATCTAGAGATACATTTCCATCTACCCCTAGATGATCTAGTCAGAAAAATCTGAAATGCTGAAAACCTCAGGACCATTAAGACAACGTTTGCAAATCAAGAGATGTCTAAGACTTTGGAAATTAAAAAAATAAAATAAAAGCCACATTGGTTTGTGTCTCCTGCCTTCCCATGGGTTTGGGGCGTGGCAGAGCTGCACAGTGAAAGGAGGAGCATGTGATTGGAGTCTGACAGTGCTAAGCTCCCTGAGTCTGTCCCTTCTACAAAATAGGGAGACCAGTGCCATTGCCGAGTGTCAGTTGTGGGCATCTTACTGCACATAGCTTGAGCCTTGGAATTGGAAGACCTGGTTGCCAATCTCAGCTGGGCAACATTGGGCAGGCCACTTTGCCTTCCTCAGCTCTAAGCTCACCTGTAAAATGGGGATGATGGTAGTGTCCACCTCATAGGTTGAATTTGAGGATTAAGTAAGGTAACATCTGCAAGCATTTAGCACTGTCCTGATATCTAGTTAAGTGCTCAGTAAATGGTTGCCATAATGCTCTTGGTGACAATGTTTGTAAATTGTATATTAGACAGTGTCCTGATATAAATCAATAGTTTTTACATGGAAAAAGAGGACCAGAGCTTTTCTTTTTCACCTCCCTGGGATCATCGTCTGGGAATTCAGATGTCTGCCCTGAAATGAAAGGGCACCATTCATTCATTCGTGCAGCAAGGGTTTATAATTTGCTGACCAAGGGCCACTTCCTTAAGATAGAGATGAATGAGTCCTCCCCATGGGGGGATGGAAACGCTGCATCATGACCTGGCATCTGAACTGGACTCACCTGGGGGTCTTTTTCATCAAGGTTGCCATGATATATCTCCCGAGAGGATATCCCCTGACTTAGCAACATTCCTCAGAGACAAAGCTTTCTGTGAACTCTGTGAATTCTTCTCTCCTGGCCACATTCCCTGCCCCCATACTCAGCCTTTCCCCACTTTGGAACTGTAGGGCAAATTTATAACAATTATAAGAACACAGTTTTCTCTTGTTGTTCTCATTCTTCTACCTGTCTGTTCTTTTCTTTCTCAACTAACAGACTCCCCCAAGATGATCTTTGTCTACCACTGAGTCCCGCTCTCTTTCTTCAAGGGCACTCCTGCTCTCTGAGCCAAATTCTTCCTTCAGCCACATGTGGTCTCTATCCTTGTTCTTTAACCCATGATTCTTTGATATTTCTCTGCAAAGACCCTACAATGTTCCTTTATTTTTATGTGGTCAGATACTTCTCACTTGTGCATTTCCGCTTTTCTTGTCTCTATTGATACTTCCTCTGTTTGGTGATTTTCTCTGTTGATATTTACTACATCTTCATTGACTCCTACCCAAGACACAGACAGACCCAATTACCCTCTAAACCTTAGGGAAGGCGCCAAAGAAAAATTTCACCAGGTGTTTTACATCAACCTGGGAGGTAATGCTATTTACTCTCAGCATGCACTAGGCCACAGGTGGAATTAGCAGAAGGAAAGGTGAATGCTGGATCACCCTCCAGCATCTCCAGATATGCCTTCACAGTGGGGAAACATCATTATTGTTTCCTTAACTAAGTTAAGTGACATGATCTTCAAGAATACTAGATCAATGTTTGCACATGAGTAACAAACAAAATTTTGGAGTCAATCAGGCTGTTTCCTTTCTGTACCATTTTGCCCCTCCTGTAGCATAAAGAATGTCAACAACAACAAATCTGTAGCATTTCCAGTTCAGAGATGAGAAAAATCAGGCCCAGAGAGGCTAAGCAATTAACCCAGTGCAACACAGCCAAAACAGAACATGAACCAGGGTTAAGATTCAAATGATATGATTTTCAGATTTTAAGTTCAGTACTGAATGATCTGCTTTCTTCTAAATATTTTGTAAATGAGTTTTAATCATAAAAGTTACACATGACAATGGTTTATAAAAAGTACTGCAGAAGTATTAAAAAACCCCAAAATTTCCTTCATCTTAACTTTGTACTCCTTTCTTTTAGACACAACTACTATTGTGCTTTCTAATGTATTCTTCCAGAAATATTTTATATGAAAATACAATGTATTATGCTGGGAAACTTGCCTTTTCTTCTTAACTTTGTATTTTGGATTTTTAAAATATATGACTGCATTTAGAACTACCCTGTTATTTTTTTAATGGCTGCATTATATTTGATTGTATAGATGTATCATTTATTTAATCAATATCCTATTGATTTATAATCAGGTTGTTTTCAGGATTTTTGCTGTAACAAACAGTACTACTGTAAACATTTTGGTACATTTATTTTGGCCTACCTTGGAGGGTATATCTATACTATAAATTCCTAGAAACGGAATTGTTAGAAATTTCCAGAAAATGATACTGTCTCATTGCCCACCCCAAAGTGTGCATGCTACCCTCCCCTTCTTCCCAACCCAGGGTATAAGAATCATTTTATTTGACCATTACTTGATGGTCAAAGTACTTGACCATTACTTGATCATTACTTGATAAGTTGGAGAATTATCAAGCTCTTTCATCTATCCATTCTGAGAGTTAGAAAGTAGTGTATACTTGTTTTTCTTCCTTTCTTTAATGAGTGAGGCCACACGTCTTTGCATGTTTGTTGATAATCTTATATTTTGCTATGATTACCTTTTCATGTCTTTCATCCGTTTAATAGAATTTGATTATTCTTTTTTTTAATTTGTAAGAGCTCTTTGCATATTAAAGGAATTATTCTTCTGTCATATGTGTTGCCTCAAACTTTCTGTTTGTTTCCGATGAGTACAGAGATTTAGAACAGACAAAAAAAATTATAGGTAGCTTTTGGAGAAGGGATAGGAATTAAAACGGGATTTTATCTCCTTCCCCGATCCCCACCCCCCACCTCTCTACCAAGAATGACTTGCTGTAACAGATGGAGAGCTATGAGTCAGAACAGGTATGATGCTCTAATCTCTCCTCCTGCTGGACCTGGGTTCAAAGGAAGGCAGGTATTAGAGGAAAGAAAAACTGTCTGCAAGGAGGCTTGGGCTATTTCCCAGATCCAAGCTGCAGTTGGCAACCTGATCCCCATTCCCAAAATGCCACTCCATGTTTTTAAAGAGTAGACACAAGGTAGCATATGGCCTACAGGAACCCTGCAATTTTTAAATTTAGGAAGGCACAGGAAGTGAGGAGGTAAGAAGGGAGGTACAGTGGGCTCCTCTGGGGCTGTTTAGCTTCAGAGGGTTGGGAGGGGATGGCTTTTTCTGCTTCATAAGAGACCAGCTCATCCCTGGCCCCTGAAACCATGGGAATATCTTATGATTACATACAATTCTGTTAAAGCGAAAGTACCCTGCAACCCAACTACACCCCTTCTAGCTTGGAGAAACCCTCACATGTGCCCAAATGCTGTTCAAGAAATTTGTGGAAGAATTGAGTGATTGGATTGATGTTTATGGCAGCATTGCTGTAATTGTGAGAAATTAGAAACAACTTAAGTATCCAACAAAAGGGGAATTAATAAATACTCGATTGTGATCTGCCAATAAGATGGAATGCAATGAAGCAGTCAAAATGAATGAGGCTGAACTACAGGTGTGGATATGAGAAGTTGACCAAGGTGTTTGTTGAGTGAAAAATGGCAGCCGCAGGTAGATATGGAGACAGTATGACACTGAGGAGTCCAGCATCCTCCTCTGCCTCCCCAGCATGTAATCAATCCGCCAGCAGGTCTATCACTTATAAATAAAGCCAGAATCCCTTTTTCTCCATCTCCAGTGCTAGAGAACTAGTCAGAGCAGCCATCACCTCTTCAACCAGACTTACAGGGACCATCTTTCATAAACCCCACTGCTATTGACATTGCTTACTCCCCTCCAAGCTGCGCTGCATGCAATAGCTACAGTGATCAATTATAAACCAAACCAGTTCCATATCACTCCTCTGCTCAAAATCTGTGCTGCTGTGCTCTGAATAAAACCCCAAGCTCCTGTCAAAGCCCCAGCCCCTACTTTCCTTCCTCTTTTGGCCCTCACTCACCCTTCTACATGCTCTTGCCTTTTCTTCTTAACTTTGTATTTTGAATTTTTAAAATATATGACTGCATTTAGAACTACCCTGTTATTTTTTTAATGGCTGCATTGTATTTGATTGTATAGATGCATCATTTATTTAATCAATATCCTATTGATTTGTAATCAATCAGGTTGTTTTCAGGATTTTTGCTATAACAAACAATACGCAAATTCCTCAGACACACTATCCTCATCCCAGGCTTAGAGTCCTCGCACTTCACCCTGGACTGTCCTTCCCCCTGATTTCTGCATGGTCAAGTCCTCCTCATTCTTCATATTTCAGCACAATTATTGTGCTCTTGGGAAGGCCATCTCTGATGACCTGTAGTGGTCATCAGACCATGTAAATACACGCCTTGCATATTCATGCCCACCAAGAACCTTTGAATGCGATCTTATTTGGAAACTGCGTCACTGTGGATGTCATTAGTTAAGATGAGGTCACACAAGAATAGGATGAGCACTTAATCCAATACAACTGGTATCCTTATGATGAGGGGAGAAGACACAGATGCACAGGGAAGATGAAGGTGAAGGCAGAGGTTGGAATGATGCTGCCACAAACCTAGGAATGCCAGAGCCACCAGAAGCTGGAAGAAGCAAAACAGAATCTTTTTCTAGAGTCTTTGGGGGAAGCGTGGTCCTAACAACACCTTGATTTTGGATTTCTAGCCTCCATAACTGTGAGAGAATGTATGTCAGTTGTTTTAAGCCACTCAGCATGTGGTACCTTATTATGGTAGTCCTAGGAAATGAACACAATCCCCCC
Organism: Homo sapiens; assembly: GCF_000001405.40. Taxonomy (NCBI): domain Eukaryota; kingdom Metazoa; phylum Chordata; class Mammalia; order Primates; family Hominidae; genus Homo; species Homo sapiens. The sequence goes on from NC_000012.12 coordinate 119,016,342, forward strand.
AGCCCCATTCAGTAACCACCTTTCACATCACACTCTATGAGGGGGACTCTTCCTGGAAATGAGCAAAGTGTGGTTTTTGCCCTCCAGAGTTCAGAATTCAATACGATGTAATTAAAAAAAAAAAAAAGAAAAAGAAAAAGAAAAAATAGACTGCTGCATTTCCCCAGCCCAATTTCTAATCAAGAATTATGAAAACCATATAACATAGACTTTGTATTTTCCCTTTGTCTACCAGGAGACTCAAATACAAATTTATGGTTCAACACTCGTTACCCTGGGAAAGGTTAGACCTTGCAGATCCCTGTTCCATATTCTCCTCCATCACCTTGGCCACTGAGTGCCATTTACTTTTTCTTAATTCTGACTTTGCATTGTTTGTTTGTATTTTTACCTCTTTTACTATGTTTTGAGGGGCTTATTGGTAGTTTTCATTTTTCCTTTACAATATCATGCTATGGAAGTGCTTGGGAATGACAGGGTAGCATACTGCAGACAAGGCACGCTGACTCTGAACCCCAGCTCTGCCAGTTCCTGGCTGTGCAACCTTAGACCAGTCACTTCATGTTTCTGCACCTCAGTTTTCTCATCTGTAGAATGGGGATTAAATACCACCTACTTCATAGTATTGTTGTGATAATTAAATGAGATGATATTTGTAAATACTATGGGGTCTGGAATATGAAAAGTACTATCATGCTTGTTAAATAAACAGCAAACTTTAATATCCGCATGGATTATAAGACTTTTTAAGATGGAGTTCATATCACCACAGCCTAGTCTATAAATCCCCTGAGGTTGTTTTATTCCATTTTTAATCTCCAGCTTCTATGATTGGCACAGGGTAGCTGATTGATAAGTCTTCCTTGGATGAGTGAATGAATGAAACCCATCAAGTGCATCGTGGTAGAAAAGTCACTCTCCCTTTTTGGACTTTACTGTTCCCATCTTGAAACTGACACACATTTATAATTTCTTCCAGTTCTAAAATTCCCGGATGCTATGCCTGGAAAGGCACATCAGCATCCCATTTGCTTGGACTAGGCATTTCCTTCTTTCTGGATATTTACCTCTGGAGCTTTGACTAAGCCCCCTCAAGACTGTGGGCTTGTGTGTCTGGGCTGAAGACTCAGCATATACTAAGCGGGCAGATGGCTGCTGCATTCCCTGGGCTGAGGAAGATGGGAAGCAGCAGGAGGCTGGGGAAGAGTGTAAGGGGGTGGCAGGAGTGGGAGCAGGGGAGGAGACGTGGGTGGTGTGGCTATGCAGATGAAAGTGGAAGACTAATATCTTGGGGACTAGAAGAGGAATAACAAAGAAAGAGTGGAGTCCATTGCGGGGGCAGTCGAGAGTGAAGGTTTGTGGCATCCTTTGGGGAGGGGTCCGTCTCATCTTTGCTCTAGCAGAGACCCTCCCTCACTCACTTTGAACCTTCTTTAGGCTCATTACACCACAGTGAACTCATTCTGCCTCACTCCTCTCAGCTTATCTGCTCCCACCCACCTGCAATCTGGTAGCTCCACGCTGCCCATCTTCTAAATTCAGGCTGACCTGAGTTCAATCCTGACTCTGCCACATATGGGATATGTTGACTTGGGCAGGTTAGTTAACCCATCTGAACCCCAACTTCCTCATCACTAACGTGAGGCAGAATAATTTAGCAGGATCATTGTGAATATTAAATAAAACAATGTCAATAAAAGGCTTGACACAGAGTTGTTGTCAAGCAAAAGGGGCTCACTGCCGCCATGTGCTATGAGCCAGTACTATGACACTGGGTTTTTGAGAAAAGAAAAGCTTTACATTGAAAGTCAACTCCCAAGGAGACAGGAGTCAAACTCAAATCTGTCTCTCTGTGCTGGCTTTAAGGCAATATTTGCATTAGAAAAGTCTATGAGGATAGATTCTGAAACGAGTAGGTGATTGGTGGAAGAAAAGGGGGGTTTTGGAAAGTCCTTGGGCATGCACAGTTATCTCTGTGTGCTATTTCATGGATTCCTTGTGCAAATTTGAGGGGAATTAGTATGAAACATGCTGAGGAAATTCAGCATCGACTTCAGTTGGCCATCTTGGTTCCAACTGACTTCAGCCATTTTTTTAATCTCATTAATAAAGGAAGTTTCAGTGTTTCAGCAAGTTGTTCCTTTTCTTAACTGTCATCTTGCAAACTCAAGAATTTTTTTGTTAGTCATTGGTTTCTTTAACTCTTTGGGTCACAGTTTCAGTGTTAGGATGTAGTATGAGTTCAAAACTCTACAGCTATTGCAATTATTACAAGAAAAACAGAAAAGAGAGAGGTAGAGAGAAAAGCATTTGTTCAGATACCTGAAGAAAAAGAACAGGAAGAAATGGATTTAATTGAGAATGCTGGGTGGCCACTCGTATTTAGAAAGAATCCAATGCCTGGTACCCTAGAGTAATGGAAAGAATTACTCTACCTAATTTGTTTTGTTGTAAGTTAGAAATTTTGTATCCTCAGTTTTTTAAAAAGTAGGGTACCCCTACTGTCAAGTACCCTAGGAATCATAAAGACCCCACTGAAAATTCTAGGGAATCAAATCTGCAATCACTCACCCCCAGGAGTGGCTGAAATTTGTGAATCTCCTTCAGAATAATTTGGTTGCAAAAATCTCAAACTTAATGAAGCTCAAGTGAAAAGAAAGAGATTTATCACAGGGAACTTTCCCAGAACTGAACTGCTCCAGAATGACAGGTATGGTCCCCAACCCTTCATAACCTTCCTGGTCTGCTCCCCAAAGCTGACAGACTGAATCTCCTTGCCACAATGCCACCTTCCCTGCAGAGAGGATCTGATCGGTAAACGTGATGTGTAAATCAATGTGTCATAAATCAAATTCTAATTCAAATGCTCTGGGGGCCAGCTACTTAAATATTTAATGGAGGCTTTAAAAAGTTGAGCCCCAAATCCTTTGTGCAATGTGAACAATCAAATCCTAATCAAAGACACGTCAACCATCCCCCGGGTTGAAATAATGGGTGTTCGGCAGATGGGGGCTGCCTACAAATCTGAGCCTGCTGCCTCATTTCCTCTAGTCAACATGGGTAGTAAGGGGATTTTAGTAACTCCCTGAAGCTTCCCAGGGCTTGAATTCCCCCCCTCAAGCATTTCCCCTCCACCCACTCACTCCAGCTGTGTTTGTTTTAATTTTTTGCTCTCAGCCTGACACCTCAGACAACAGCAGTTCCTTCTTGCCTTCTCTGTTGGCAACTGCTCATGCACCCTGTTACCTTCTGAAATTACATAGTTTATTAACTTGCTACCCTAACCTACACTACCCTTCATAAGAACTCCCTTCTCTGCTCATGAACATCCTGCCACGGGCTCCCTGGGATTAAACTGCTTCTCTAAGAAATGAAACCATTGCCCAGCCCAACATCCCCTTTCCTGCTATTTTATTTGAGGAGTAGGGCTCTGTGGTTATTGATCACTTGAGAGGTAGAAGGAGGATGTTTGAAGGGAAAGGAAACACCAAGAAAACTTACAGAGTGGCAGGGAAGCCTGAGAGATCTCATAAACTACTGGCTTTGAAGCCTTCATGGGAACTTAGATGCTTTGAGAAGCTGGAAAGCTCTGGACAGTTCCCCCCGCTCCCCCCCCCCCCAAAAAAAAATCACACACATGCAACAGCACCCAGGCTGCTGCTTAACCGTACAGCACCTTTGTATGAATTAGGGAAGAGATTTGCTTTCTCTGGGTGGCACAGTGTGGTCAATGGAGTAGGGTAAACTCCAGCCCTCACTTTCCTTCTCAACAGGGCATCCTCGTGCGCATCAAAAATTGCACCACCAGGGTGGTGGTGCTGCATGGGGCCCCCACAAGTTCTCCCCTCTCTGACTTAGTTCACATCCCCTTTATCATACTGATGGGACCCTGAAGCCCAGAAGGGGGAAGTCACACTCTCAAGGTTGCAAAGTGTGTTATTTGTCCTTGCTATTTTATTTCCCTGTACCCAACATACACAGACCCTCTCACCTGCCTCCTCATTAAATAGCCCATTGATTATGCTCACCGTACTAAAAGGCAATACGACCAGTATGGTAGATAAAAATCTGTTGTCTAAATATCTGAATTAAATCCTTGTAGAAGATGCTTACATCCAAGTGTTGGTAAACCCAGTGGCCCCGGGCAGGGAGGAGCTATTCGTCTTATCAGTAACTGTCTGGGTAGAATGATCCATTTCAAACAGCGCAAGGAATGAAATCGTGAAAAGGATAAGAGTCCTGACGGAGGGGGAGTGAGTCGGAGCTGGTGGCGTTGAAAAGGTGTAGCTCAGAGCCAGCAGGCTGTCCTGAAGAGGATCATTCACGTGTGTGTTAAAGACAGGCCCGGTGTGAAAGCGCAAATGAATCGCTCAAAATAGATGAGATTTCTTTCCGTGGTAATTACAAGAGGGGCTGGCGAGAGGTTTTATATCAAAATCACAGAAAGGAAAGAGCTGGGGAAATAAAGAGGATTTTATTTGGAACCCAGAATGAGGAAGGACTTTTACAAAGAAAGCTGGGAGAGGGTGTGTTCTCTTCCAACGAGAGAATAGCCCTAATGGGTAGACAGGAAAAGGAGATGCCTTCTCGCCCGTAGAGGGCGCTGTAGAGGCAGCGGGAAAGTGATTCCTAGAGACGGTGGGGGGAGGCGCTGTGTTCTGCTGGTTCTCTGGGTGACTTGACCTGTGATTCCTCTTTCTGAGCCTTAGTTTCCTCAAAACCCAGACAAAACACATCTAGACGTCAGGTAAGTCAGGGAAAGGAGGTGAGAGAATCACTGGAAGTGAGTGTGAGAAGGGTGAGGGGGTGCTTCTGGAGACTGGGAATATTCTGTTTTGCAATCTGGTAGAAATTGATGCAGTTCTACCTTGATCATTTGGACACTCTTCTGTAAGTATATTCTAGTTTATTTAAAAGTTTACTTAAGGAAAAAAAAGAAGTGATCCTATGGTCATAGTGTCTCAGAAGAGATGAAACCTGTAGTTCAAGGCAGAAGATAAAACCACATGGAAAAGAGGCAGAATGACTAACAGAAGAGATTGGCTGACTTGAAGCTATGGAAGGCTGAGCTTTCATCAGGGTAGGGGTTCAGAGAATAAGAACACATAGGACTCCTTGAGTCAGATAGGCAGGCAGGAACTTGAGCAAACTAGAACTTTCCAAGGACCCAAGATGTCTGTGTGCACACCAGTGTGCACCAACTACCCCCAGTGGTCATTATTGCCAGATGTGCATTTTGAGGAGGTGCCTTCTCATAAATGGCTGAAAAGTCCAGCTTTTGTCCCCTCCCACTAGGGACCCCACCCCTGAACTAAAGTTAGCAGAAATAGATGTGCTTGCGACTTCATTGAAAGAGAAGAATGCTTGCTGAGGATGAGGCTTCCAACTTCATCCATGTCTCTGCCAAAGACATGGTCTCGTTCCTTTTTGTGGCTGCATAGTATTCCATGGTATATATGTATTACATTTTCTTTATCTAGTCTATCATTGATGGGCGTTTGGGTTGATTCTATGTCTTTGCTATTGTAAATAGTGCTGCAATAAACATACATGTGCATGTAACTTTATAATAGAATGATTTATATTCCTTTGGGTATATACCCAGTAATGGGATTGCTGGGTCAAATGGTATTTCTTGTTCTAGATCCTTGACACAGGGAGGGGAACAACACACATTGGGGCCTGTTGGTGGGGGAGGGCAAAGCATCAGGATAAATAGTTAATGCATGTGGGGCTTAATACCTAGGTGATGGGTTGATAGGTGCAGCAAACCACCTGTTACCTATGTAACAAACCTGCACATTCTGCCCGTATCCTGGAACTTAAAATAAAATTTAATAAAATTTAAAATAAAATAAAATTTAAAAAAAAGAAAGAGGAGAATGCTTATTTTCTTTCTCTGATAGACAAGCCTACACTTGACTCCGATGATTTCACATTTTTTGGTTACTTCAAACAAACAAAAACCTTTTGTCAAGACCCACTCTGTGCTCAGCACTGGTCTAGATGCTAAGGATTCAGTCACAACCATGGTTATTACCCGGTGGGGCCAAAATTCTAGGTAGTGATTTAAGGCAAAGAGATGATCTCCACCAGCCTTCCTTCACATCCACAAATCAGCACAAATAATCCACAAAGCAGCAATAGAAATGTAAGCCAGATGCCAAGAAGAACTTCCTGACTGCAATGTTAGTTGACTGTCTACCTGATGTGAAGGAAGGAAGCTTTACTAGACATAGATTTCATGTACCCTGGAGCTGAGTTTCTAGTCATATATTATCTAACATTTGCAGAGGGATTGTGAAGTTTTGTCACATGGTCACATATATCTCAGCATTATCACATATATCTCAAACTGAGCATGGTCACATATGTCTCAAACTGAGGCCCAGAGAACCTTTATCAATTGAAGTTTTTTCAGCTGCAGTTTTCAGAAAACATAATAATCAGGGAAATGCATTCTCCTACTTCATAGAAGTCCAGAGGCAGAGTTGGTTAATTGAGCAACTCAACTAGACTTCAGATTTGGCTCTGCCATTCTCAGGGTGTTAATGATGTTTCCCCTCACCACTGCAAGAGGGCTGCAGTGTCTCCAGCCATTGCATGAAGACACAATGAGCAGAGCATCTCTTTTTGTGTCTTTTTGAGAACAAACAAAGCCCTCTCTTGAAGCCCCCCAGAATTATACTCCGTACTTTTACCTACACCTGTCACGGTAAGAAGAATGTACTTTCCATGGTTGGCTTCCATCAATTCATTCTCTGGGGCTGAGAGCTCAGACTCCTCTGATGAGGTACACTGTCTTTCCCCCAATCCAAATGCTTGAACAGGAGCAGGATAGTGGTTAGCAATTCCTTGCTCCCTTTGCAGAAGAAAGTATCTGCTGGGTGGATAATGGTGTGTCTCAGTGACAAATTAGAAACCATGAACTAATCCCTGGGTCACAAAATGGAGATGAAACTGGGTGATTTTGCATAGAGGTGAGCACTGGGAACAGCTTAGTACCTGAGAGGGACAGTTAGTTCTGTTTATCCTTTCTTCCTCCTCGACCTAGTTTCCCTTAGGTGAGGGTGACTATGGAAGCCAAGCTCCCAAAAGACACAGCAATTCCTTTGATCCCTATCAAGAGCCAAATGATAAAGAAAGAGGTTGCAGGTCTCCAGTCACATGGCTAAGGGCTGTTAGTTGTGTCCTAGGCAAGCAGAGCTTGAGCAGTCCTTACCATCAGGCTCTGGTCTCCTGAAAGCAGCCAGTGTGACCTTCCCAACATGCAAACCAGATTATGTCACACAGCTGCTTAAAACCTTCCAACATCTTTTCATTACTCTCAGGAGAAAACTCCAAATTCTTATCTTGCTATCCAAGGTCTTGAATGATCTGGTCACTGCCTCCACCTTCTACATAAACTCATCCCATTTTCCCTCCCATTTCTTTGTTCCTGCCTCAATGAGCCCTTTCTTTGTCTTCATTGTTTCAGACCCAACATATAATAGGTGCTCAATACGTATTCCAATAGATAAATACTGTTCCTCAGCCAAATATTTTACTTACCCCTTCCCCTACACCCCGCATTTTAATTAACTCCTTCTCATGCTTTGACCTTAACAAGACTTTCTCTTCTTGCAGATGAGACCCTTCCTGTAATTCTCTCTCATTGTACTCTTGGCTTTTCTGCATGTTACCTATCACATTTATTTTTATTTATTTATGTGATTATTTGTTGAATGCCTACTTTCCCCATCTATTCATGTATTTCAAGAGGACTGTTTGACTTTCTCTCTTGTCCTCAGCTATATATGCAGTGTCTAAACCCAGCTCCTGGCCCATCATGGGGGCTCAAAAATTGTACCTGAAGCCCCAAGAAGGAGGTGCTCTGCCCGAAGTCATCCAACATGTTGAGGCTGACAAGGGCCAGAACTCAAACTCTGCTGACCCCCAGCTCCAAGTTTTTCCCGAGTCCAGCCTGTCCTCACCCAAGCTCACTGCTACCTTGCAGCGTATCTCTGTGTAGTTACCAAAGGTGCTCTCTCTGTGTTGTTGAATTCTAGCTGATGCAGTCTCACTGCCACTGCACGCAGGATGGCAGAGGGAATGTGGGCTGGGTTTCAGCCCCTGCAAGCCCCCTCGGCTGGGCCCCTTTGTGTAACTCAGCAACACACACACATAGAAGCCCTGCTCCTCATAAGCCCATTCTCTGTGTCTATTCTACTCAGCGTATCTCCTGTATGTCCTGGGTGCCCCCTCCCCTAACAGGCAGCTTGTCAGCTTTGATCTTTTAATCCAGGTTTCTCCAGAGCATGATTGATGTGCATTTAAACTGAGCTTCCCTGGGGCTAAGAACTGCTCCTGTCTAAACCCAAGGATGGCCAGGCTAGCCAGGCCTCTTAAGCTTGATCTTAGTGCCTTAGGATCTTTTCCAATCCCTTTACGTCCAACCCAGGCTGATGCTGGGAGTGAGTGTAACATGAGTGTTTTTCAGGACACTCTATCCTGAAAAACAAGGACTCTCTGTGTCTCCCTAGCCATGTATGGCGACAGTAGGAGGAGAAGGAGACCACTGGGCCATAAGCGCTCACTGTGTGCCAGGGCCTGTTCTGGGGACTGGACAAATGGGGAGTGAGAGGATACGGTGCTGCCCTACATAGAGCCTCATGCTATGTGGGGAAGCACTCAAGTCAGAAATTGCAGCATAGATGGATGGGTGCTTTGATGGAGGTTGGAAGAGTGTTCTGGGCATTCAGTGCAGAGACACGTAACCCTGGTGGGTGTGCATTAGGGTGTGTGTGTGTGTGTATTTGTGTGTAGGGAAAGGGAGAATAAACAATTCCAGGAGAAAGAACATTTACATTGAGATGTTAGCCAAACATGGAGTGTAGGGGGCAATGGTATTGGGGCAGAGGATCGGGCAGTGCAAACACCAGTATGTAAGGGGAGGCTGTCTGCATTTCAGGGGGGCTGGAATATATGGTGCAAGGAGTATGCATGGGACATGAGGCTGGACAGTCAGGCAGAGTCCAGATCATGGAGGTTTGTTAATCCAGGCCTGCTTAGATGTGGGTGTCAAGATAAGACTGCTCATATATGGAGTTTTTTTTTTTGTTTGTTTGTTTGTTTGTTCTTGAGACTGAGTTTCACTCTTGTTGCCCAGGCTGGAGGGCAATGGCATGATCTTGGCTCACCGCAACCTCTGCCTCCCGGGTTCAAGTGATTCTCCTGCCTCAGCCTCCCGAGTAGCTGGGATTACAGGCATGTGCCACCATGACCAGCTAATTTTGTATTTTTAGTACAGACAGGGTTTCCCCATGTTGGTCAGGCTGGTCTCAAACTCCCGACCTCAGGTGATCCACCTGCCTTGGCCTCCCAAAGTGCTGGGATCACAGGCATGAGCCACTGTGCCGGTCTCATATACGGATTTTACTAGGGGAACTGCCCAAAGGAGAAATGGGGAGGGAGGCTTAGAAAGCATCAGACCTCCATGAAAATGATCAGACCTTGAGCCAAGGAAAAAGGGGAGAAAGAAAGATTGGGCAAAAGCATCTTAGCCTGCTGTGCAGTTTGAGAAAGGTTTGGCAAGGCACTTTGGAAGCCCTTAAACCAAAGTTGGCCATCAGTGGAGTCCTATGTGTCCCTGCCTTAGAGTCACGGCCACCGAGCCATTGGCTGGAAGCAACCTGTGGGAGGTTTGATCTTCCACAAGGTCAGGGCTCCACATTGGAGGTCCTGGTGCCCTCTGTGGTTGAAGATCTGGGCGGTAGATTCTCATGGCCACCACATCTGGGTTTGGTTTTATTCTAGAGAGAATGGAAAGCCACAGAAGATTTTAAGCAATTTATGTCATGAAAAAAATCACTCTGTGGCTGTGGAGGAGATAAGTAGGAAGGGTTCAATAATGAAATTAAAAAAGAAATGTGAGGTGGAGCTGCTGGAGAGGTTCAGGAAAGAGATAATATTGACCTAGACTTGGAAGGTGACAGGATCACATAGAGAAATGGACAATTTGAAGTTATATTAAGGAGGCAAAATGCACAGAACTTGGTTCCTGTATGTGAGCGGTAAGAAAAAGGACTCAAAGAGGAAGTAACAGAGGACAAGGGCCACATCTATAAGTGTCACTTGTGTGCTAGACACAGTGTATGTACAGTGATCTCATTTTATCACCACAAATATCCTTTTTCTAAATTAATTAATGTTTTTAATTTTAATTTTTATTTATTTATTTATTTTTGAGATGGACTCTCACTCTGTTGCCCCAGCTAGAGTGCAATGGCGCGACGTTGGCTCACCACAACCTCCGCCTCCCAGGTTCAAGTGATTCTCGTGCCTCAGCCTCTCGAGTAGCTGGGATTACCAGCGTGCACCACCTCACCCGGCTAATTTTTGTTTTTTTTGTAGAGACAGGGTTTCAACAGAGGTTAGCCAGGCTGACCTCAAGTGATCCACCCACCTCAGCCTCCCAAAGTGCTGGGATTACAGGCATGAGCCACTTTGCCAGGCCCACAATGATCCTTTAAATTTTGTTCTAGGCATAGCATTGGAGAACCCCCAGTTTATCCACAACACCTCGGGTGATCAGTGTAAACTAATCATGGTAATCCCATTCTCACACCTGCAAATGTTTTAGGAATGGGAGAAGTCTGCTCAAGAGGCTTTGGGGAAAAATTTCTCCTTCTCAAGAAGGAGTCACATTTAGATGCTTCCTTTATTCCTCTGGACGCTGATGTCTGGGAGTGATGTCTGGGACTGCCTGGCATCTTGGAATCCCAAGGGGAGCAGCTGAGAGCACAGCTCTCCATCAAGAACAGGAGAGAAAAAAAGATGGGCCCCAAATGACATCATGGAGCACCAACTAAACCAACACTGGATCACCCACCCACCCAACCAGACTCCTGGGAATTGTGATCCTGTATTTCTCTATGGTTTGCACCAATGTGAGTTAGGGCTTTCTGTTTCTAAACTCATATAAAGTATCACCCCTGTTTTATAGACAAAGAAATGGAATCTTAAAGTCACAGAATGGGTAGGTGGCAGCGGAGGGACAAAATCCTAGTCTTCCTGAAAGGTCACGTCCCTTTTTCAATGGCAATTTTCCTTCGTGATGTCAACTCAAGTCACCTGACCATGAGAATGCTAGTAATCTTATCTTTTAAGATATTAATATATGGCACAATGAGTCAGATCTACAAGCACTCATTGTGCCTTTGCTGTATACCCTGCATGATGCAAATGAGCTACATATCAGCCCTGCTCATGAAGAGTTTATGTTATAACTGAGGTGAGATGAACACAATTGGAGACTATAATAATAGATAACCTGGGGGGGCACTTATTATACACTAGACAGTGGGCAAGTATTCTACATGTCTTATTAGGCTTTACTCCCCACAACAAACAACAGAGTATTTATTATTATGATCCCTGTCTCCATATTACAGGTATGTAGACACATAAAGGATATGAACCCTCCCGAGACCACAAAGCTGGTATAAATGGAATTTAGAGCAGTCTGAGTCTGACTTCGGGGCCTGTACTTTTATAACCACTGTGGTCTTTTGCATCCCCATATAGAGATTAATTAATGCAAGACAGCATCAACCCGAGTGGAGTATGCACAGGATAATAATAGCAAAGATTCTTAAACATATGCATGCAGGTGCTTTGCACGTGTTGTTGCTAATACTTAGTGGGTCTCAAACTTCAGCATGAATCGGAATCACCTGGAAGGCTTGTTAAAGCACAGATTGCTGGGCACCACCCCTAGACTTTCCAGCAGATTTGGGGTGGTGGTCTTAGGATTTGCATTTCTAACAAGTTCTCAGATGATATTTGTTCTAGGGAATCACATTTTGAGAGCCAATGCCTTAAAATAACTCTGTGAAGGAAGGGTGACTACCCCCATTGAACAGATGTGAAAAGTGGCTTAGTATAGGCAGCTGATATGGTTTGACTGTGTCCCCACCCAAATCTCATCTTGAATTGCAGCTCCCACAATTCCCATGTATTGTGGGAGGGACCCTGTGAGAGGTAATTGAATCATGGGGGCAGGTCTTTTCGTGCTAGTCTCATGATAGTGAATAAGCCTCACAAGATCTGATGGTTTTATAAAGGGCAGTTCCCCTGCACAAGTTCTCTTCTCTTGTCTGCCGCCATGTGAGACATGCCTTTCACCTCTGCCATGATTGTGAGGCCTCCCCAGCCACACAGAACTTGAGTGCATTAAGCCTCTTTCTTTTGTAAATTCCTCAGGCTCAGGTATATCTTTATCAGCAGCATGAAAATGGACTAGTACAGCAACTCATCTGTACATACCTACAATGGACAAATTCCAGAGCCAGGATTTGAACCTGGGTCACCCTGGCTCCAAAGTCCATGCTGTGTTTATTGTACCATGCTGTCCCCAGATATAAATGCACCACAAATTCGGGAGGAGAGACAACAGTGGGCTGCACATGCAGGAGAGACTTTTTGGAAGAAAAGGCCTTGAAGGAAAATAAATTTGAATCGGTGATCCCAGGCTATAGGCAAGATGAGAGAAACACTGGACTTGCCAAGTTATAGCTGATAGACACTTTGCCTGGGGTTTCAACATAGCAGGAGGGATTATGGTGAGGACACACAGTGAGAATTGCTCCATAAAAAGGAGCAGGAAAATAGCAGGGATCTTAGAGACAGAAAGGGACAACGAAGAAGGCCACCACTGCAAAAAGCACACAGGTGGGAAAATACTGTGCCCCATATGCAAAGGTGAGAAATAACTCACAATATCTTTTTTCATGAGAGGGATGGGTAGGCATTACACCATCCCCATTCCCTCAAGGAAGAAGGAGAAGCATGGCTTACATATACTCCCACCAGAACCTGCTCCCTTATTCCCACTCTAATTTCCTTAATCAAAGCAAAGGACAAGGACAGTGATTTCTCCTTTGTCACTGAGTGGAAAATGATACTATTCTAAGAGTGATTGAAGGCGCTGGGTATGCTAAGCCCTGATGAAGACATGAAGATGCAAGCATGTGAGCAAACAGAGGAGAGAAGTTTTGTGCCGTGTGATTGCCAAGATAAGAATTTGGACCAATAGGTGAAAATTCCAAGCTAATAATGTGCTAGAAATTTTTCATGTCATCCATTCAACAACCAATGAGTCATTCAACAACCACTGAGGCATTCAACAACCATTCATTAGGAGCCCTCTCTGTGCCAGGGACTGTCATAGATGCCTGGTGAGTCAAACAGAAGTGATCCTTGTCTTTCTGGTTGGCCTAAATCCATCTTGTTACAAACTAGACTTAGCTTTGAAGTTGAAGTATTTTAAGACCTTTCTCAGGGAAAGAAAATGTAGAGAGTCACCAACTCACTCTTCTCCTACACGTTTGTTTCTTCCTGCAGTGATAAAACATGTTTTGATGGTGATGGAACTTGCCGAATATGCCAAAATCACATCACACAGATCCCCTTCTCCTCCAGGTAATGGGAGCCTTGGATTAAATGCAGACATGGCAGGGTCAGAGACACAGTAGGCAGACAGCACCAGGTAAATCTGGTAGGAGCGAATTCTAATGTAGGGGAATAGGTTTCTCAGTGAGGATGACCTTCCAGCTAATGGCCCATACCTGGGGACCCATGCAGCTGTCCCAAGGCATTTCTGGAGTCTGAGAGAGAAAATCCATCAGCCATTCTTGACTAAGCTGGGGAACGTTTCAGCTTTCTAATAGGGTTATTAGCTGGGTAACAAATGAAACGGAACAGCAACAGAAGGGCAGAGGTAACTGAAATGCGAGAGAAAAATGCATAGTGATTTTCCACATTCTTTCAGCACACATGTTTTCCTCAAAATCCCCTCTACTGCCCAGCATTATGAAATGTCAGGAACCAAGGGATTTGGAGAGAGCAACTCAAAGAACCAAGGGTATGACACAGGATGGGAAGAACCTCCCCACAAGGGAGGATAACAGATTTCCGTAAGGCAAAGAAGTAATCCGGTAGAGCTGTTGATGATATCACAGGGCACCTCTAAACACACTCTCAGGGATTCTGTAAGCCCAGGAAATCAGGCAGAGTGATTTGTGAGCAACAAGGGACAGTGTTCTAAACAGAGAGTTTAGTTCTGGCTTAGGAATTTATTCCATTGTTGACTTGTATTAATTAATCTTGCTTTTTGATTACAAAAAAAAGTCTGTTGTCAGAAGTACAGAAAAAAAGAATATAAAAATCACCCCAAATTCTAAAATTTGAAGGTAAACATTATTCACTTTTTATTGGTATATCTGCAGTCTTTTTCTCTATGCATATCTGTATATCTCTCTCACAAAATTACAATCATATTTTCATTGCTTTATAAGCCATTTTTCTCACTTAACAATATATCATGAAATTTTATGATGTTCCCCCATATTGTATTTTTCATAAATACTATTTTCATGTCCATATCATACGAATGCATTAGGTTGAAACACATAAAATTAGTGCTATTCGACCTTTTTTAACCTGCAAAAATGATTTCATATGGTTCACCTGTATTATAATTGATTTCTCCAGCCTTATATTCATTGACATTTACACTGTTTCCAAATGTTCTCAATTATTAAAAAATTTGCAGTGAACGTCATTGTGTTTAGATCTTTGCACACATCCATGATTATTTTCTTCTGGTAAATCCTTATACACTAGATATGTACTGCTGGGTAATAAGTTTCCAGAAATTTAGCAGTTTAAACAACACACATTTTATTTTATAGTTTCCATGGATCAGGTTAAGCTGGTTCCTCTGCTTCAAGGTTTCTCTTAGGGCTCCAACCTAGGTGCAGGTGAGCACTGGGTCTCATCTGAAGACTCAATTGGGGAAGGGTCTGCTTTCATGTTCATTCAGGTGGTTGTTAGCAGGATTCAGTTTCTTGCTGGCTGTTAATCTGAGACCTCCCCCAGTTCCTTGCCAAGTGGGCTCCTTCATAGAACAGCTCACAGAATGGCAGCTGTCTTCATTAAAGCTAGCAATGGAAAGAGTCAGATAGTAAGATGAATGTTGCAATCTTA
This sequence comes from Homo sapiens, assembly GCF_000001405.40. Taxonomy (NCBI): domain Eukaryota; kingdom Metazoa; phylum Chordata; class Mammalia; order Primates; family Hominidae; genus Homo; species Homo sapiens. The sequence continues at coordinate 119,031,369 of NC_000012.12, forward strand.
CGTAACTTAACTAAGACATGATAGACCATCACCCTTGCCATATTCTATTGGTTAGAAGGAAGCTCTAGGTCTTGCCCACACTCAAGAGGAGGGGATTATATAAGAATGTGAACACCAGAAAGAAGGGATTATTAGGGATCATCTTGGAGTATGCCTACTACATTCTAGAAGTAGAATTGCTAGACAAAATGATGTGAACATTTTTAGGGTTTTGAGATTTACTGATAAATTGACCCCTGGGATAGCCACATAAGTTAGTCTTCCCTCTAGGAGTACATGAAAAAACCTAGCTGCCTAAAGGGTCATCATTTTTAAAGTCTTTTCAATTTGATAGGAAAACCATGATATCCTGTTTTTATTTGCATTTCTTTGAGAGCTCATTTATTTTTTCCTTTGCAAATTGCTAATTCATAATTTTTGCCCATTAAAAAAAGCTGTTCAAAGTTTTAATAGAATAAAGATTTTATTAACCATTTGTCTTTAATGCATATCTTAGATATTTTTTCTGATTTTACCATTTGTTTTAAAGTCTTGGTTGCAAAATTTACAAAAATATTTAATTTTTAAATGGTCAAACCCAGCAATATTTACTTTATAATTTCTTCTTTTGCATTTTTTCCTAAAAAGCCCATCACCCCAAATTAGATAGATTACTATCTAAAGTTCATTTTTGATAGTAATTAGTAATTTTGTTGTTTCATTATTTATCTTTAACTCTTTAATCCACAGTTCATCTTTTCCTCACTCTTCTCACCTGAGCAATGAGTGATGGTATAATAATATCTCATAGTGTGTATCCTGACTGGGAATGAAGCGTCCCCTCCCAAGAAGGGGTATTAGAATCTCTCTTGTTGGTATGGAAGGGAAGGATGGTGTGTGGAAATACCAATCCTGTTATTTCAGTTTTCTGCATTAATTAGAAATTCCGAGAGAAATTGTAAGATAAAAAAGACAGTAGTGAGTGTCTTTTTCAAGAATGTCCCCAGTGTTTCACCACTAAGCATGGTGTTCTGTGTAATATATGTCCTTGATCAAATTTATTTTTTGTGCAGAGACATTTCAATTACATCTGTAATGAGTATTGACTTTGGAGAGGAGAGTATTAATTTAAATGATCCCAATATTTTTTCTTATTTGACTTTTTGGAATAAATCTCACTGGTTGTGGCCCATTTCTCTCTTTAAAAACTTCTGTTTTCCATTTGGTAATAGTTTATTAATAATTTTGACATTTGTATTTAAAGTGAGATTGATTTCTTATTTATCAAGATTAGGGTTATGCTAATCTCAAATACTTTGGGAAGCTTTCTCCCTTCTCTATGTCTTGATATAATTTATGAAGTATGATATTGCTGGTTCTTGGAGGTTGGAAAGATCTTACTCTAGAGTGGCCAAGGCCCAAGACTTTTAACAGAGTTAACCATGTAACAATCCTTCAGATTCTTTATCATTAATAGTTTCACCAATTTTCTGTCTCTTATGTTAATATGGTAATTTATGTTTCCCTGCAAATTGTCGATTTTGTTGAGAATTTAAAATTTATCAGCTAAAAGTTATAATAGTCCCATAATATTTAAATCTAACTTTTGATCTATAATTATATTCCTAATGATATGTATTCTTTTTTCCTGCTTTATCCTTGGTTAGATATGATGAATTACCTATTTTATTGTTGACTTTTTTCAAGATCCAGTTTTTATATGTATATATCCATCCCATTAGCTTTCAATTTTTAAAAACTTCATTAATGTCTTCACTTATTTTTATTATTCCTTCCTCCTTTGTTTTAATTTTTTATGAAAATGTTCACGCTAAAACTTAGGGCAAATAATATAATGTATGCTTCCTTACAGATCCATGAGCAATATACAACAAATACCAAAATTTTGCCACATTTGCTTCATCTTTTTCTCTTTTCTTTGTATTATTTGCTGAAATGTTTTAAATAAAACCCTAGAGATTATGTTATTTCACCCCTACACACCTCAGAGTACATCTCTAAAAAATATTTTTCTCAGCCGGGTGCGGTGGCTCACACCTGTAATCCCAGCACTTAGGGAGACGGAGGTGGGCAGATCACGAGGTCAAGAGATGGAGGCCATCCTGGCCCACATGGTGAAATCCCGTCTCTACTAAAAATACAAAAATTAGCTGGGCGTGGTGGCACGCGCCTATGGTCCCAGCTACTCCGGAGGCTGAGGCAGGAGAATCGCTTGAACCCAAGAGGCGGAGGTCGCCGTGAGCAGAGAATATTCCACTGCAGTCCAGCCTGGTGACAGAATGAGACTCCATCTCAAAAAAAAAAAAAAATACTTTTCTCACCTTTAGACATGTTTCGTGTTTCTTTCTCCACCTTACTGGATTGATTTTTCTTGGTTTATTGATTTTTCATTCTTTCTTTTATAATAAAAAAGTATTTAACACTATGAATTTTCTACTGAGTATAGAATTAGCAGCACATATTAATAAACTTGATATGTAATTTTCCCAATGTCAATATGTTCAAAGTTGGCTACAGTTAAATTTTTCAGTCTTGTTCTAGTAACTATATAGAAGAAACACATACATTCATATATATCCTTCTGGTGTTTTTGCTTAAGTATTCTGGAAACAACTCTAACATTAGTTTGTTTCACAGATTGGGTTGTCTGGACAGTGGGGTCTGAGACGGAAATTAGCATACAGGCGACTTAGGAGCAAGGGGCCTTGGGGTCAAGCGACACTTGTGGAAAGAAAGGAAAGGGAGTAGGACTGGGCAGAGGGAGAAGCTGAGCTGCAAGGAGGTCTCAGTGGAGGCCTCAGCCCACACCACAGAGAGCTCTGAAGGATCTTTTCAAGTTGTCTGGAGCTGAGAACAAGAGGACAGGGTTTTATTCCCCACACCAATCATTGAAAACAGGCTGCCCCAGGAAGGGGACATGGCTTTGGCCTCTTCAGTGGGAACAGACTCTGGAGAGGGCTGACAGCTGAGTGCTGTCTGCTGGAAGGACTCTCAGTGGCTGGGAGGATCCACTCTTCCTTGTTGAAGATGACTCTGGGTGGGGCATCCCGGTCTCCATCACAGTTGCAGAATTTCTAAGTTTGGGGATTTGTTTGTTCAGTGTTCAAGAATCATGTTCATTCTTCAGCAGTCTAAAAATCTAATGCATGCATATTACTCAAACTCACTAATTTTACCTACTTGGTTTACTGAAGAATGTTAAAGTAGTCTAATAAAATTATGATTTGGCTGTTTCTCCTTGTATTTTTATTTTTCGTAGTGTTTCCTTTATACCTTTTGAAGCTGTGCCATTCAATACAGAAATGTCTATAGTATTGCATCTTCCTTATGGCTTAAATCTGCTGCCCCTGCAAAACGCCCTCTCTGAATATTGTTTTCTCTTGCCTTGAATTATTTGCTTGTGGACACTTTCGTCCCTGGTTCTTTTGGTGTGTCTGATGAATCTTTAGCCATACTTTTATTCCTAATCATTTTTTTGTCATATCCCTTAAAAATTCATATAATAGACTTGGATTTCTATTTTTTACTCACAACTGAGAATTTGGGTGATTAGCACTGAAATTTAGCCCTTTTACAATTACGGTCATAACCAATATAACATCTTGTTTTATGAGGCGAAATTTTCAGGCTTCTTTAAATTTTGCTTCATTCCCTGTCTCTCACTATATGAACTATACAATCCTTTATTTTGACTAACTTCTTACTTGGCCACAGTATATTCTTGAATAATTTTTTTCAGAGTGTATAAATTAAAAAATTAACCCTTGCATTTAAAAAAAATTGACTTTTCTCCTCTTCAATTGGAATATTACCTTCTTTAACTATATAATTCGTGGGTCACAATTTTTTCCCCCTGAAAACTGCAATGTTTTTATTGTAGAGAAGAAATTTGGGGCCTGCCTAGTTTTCTGTTTCTTAGCAGTAGTAATTCTCCCCTGCTTTGCTGGTAGAATTGCTTCTTTGTTATTGAAACTGGAAAAGTTTGACCAATGTGTTTGAGCATTTGTTGCTTCTCACCACTTTTTCCTTGAACTTAGTAGGTGCATTTAGTTTGCAGATAGAAGTAATTATTCAGCCAAGCAAAGTTTTCTTCACTACCTCTTGGTACTGTTGCCTCTCCTTCCCATTCTACAATTTTGGGTGTTGTGAATCCATGCTCTGTATCTTTTACTTTTCCTTTTTCATTTCCATGTTTCTAAGTTTTCTTAACCTCATCTTTATTTTTTAAAAATTGATCCTTTATCATTTTCAATCTACTGTTTCATGCTTCAATTGCAATTTTATTTTTAACTGGGTCAAGTTGTTTTTCATTTCCTTGGCCTTTTCCAGATTTCATAGGTGCCCCTCTCTGATTATCCCCTCTAGTTACAGAGATGTGATGTCCTGTTTCCATCTTATCAGGAACATTTCTAAACCTTTCTGCTTGCAGTAACTCTATATTGTTGAGTCTCTTTCTTTATCCCCTTCTTCTGTACTTTGAGTCTTTTCATATGGCTAAATGTCTTTATCTGCTGGCCCCTGGCTTACAGAGTGAAGTACTTGCTTCTAATAAATTGGAGGCCTACATATGTTCTAAGAGGGGCTTAGTCGATCTCTGATTGGATATTTCAGGCCACATGAAGGGAAAAGGGAAAATTCTTATTGTCATTTTCCTTTTCCTTTTCCTTTTCAAAGAGTCAGGTGCTTGGAGAGATAAGAGATAGATGGAGCCAATGATATCTTTGACAAGGAGTTTTGCCTGCATGGAAAAATTTCTTTTTCTTGTTTTTGGGGAAGCTAGAAGTGGTGTCAGACTTCAGTCAGCAAAATTTCAGCAGTGTCCCACGTCTTCACACTTCAAGTACTCTATGAACCAGTGCCACAGGCTCCACTTGGTGTGGCCATTGCCTCCGCTTTGCTTTCCAAAGATACCGCTGGATTCCAAAATTTGATCTCAATGTCTTTGATAGCCCGCTCTGGCTTCCAGGCAGGTGTTTGTAAGGCTCAGCCAGGGTCTCTTCCATTTGCTTCCAGGCCCATCGTTCTGAGCATACGGTGGCTTGCAGCTGAGCTTGGGCCTCCTTCCACACTCACTCTGACAACCCCATATCCTGCTGCTATTTTCCAGTGTGTCTTTGGCTGTGAGAGTTTCCCTTCCTCAGCTTCCAGCAGAAACAGAGTGTCTTGAGGTTGAATAAAGGAATAAGACAGGTTTCCCTCAATGTGTGTATTTCACTCATCATCTCAGTGGCAGTTTGAGGACCACCAGTGGAAGGAAATGGATGACATCCCTGAGGAGTTCTTGCTTGCCAGTTAGATTTCAAATAATGTCCCAGAAAATAATGGTCCAGGTTTAAGGGAGAAGGAAGGGGGAAAAGATGCAGTGAATGCAGAAAAGACAAAGAAAGAAGATCCTGGACAGAAAGGAAAACGGTACCTCCAAGTGTTCTGTGATGCCCATATATGCCTTATGAAAATACCCACTGCTCAAGCCAGCTGTGTGCAGGGTTTCCAGGGCAGTCCCACCACCCCGACTCGTGCTTCAGGGATATGATGATGTTAAGGGTGCTCTTCCGGGTGGGCTCCATGTCCATTCTCTTCGTTTCAGCCACTCACGCTTCTGGGGAAAGAGGACACACAAAGAAATTTCTGTCCCATTCCCGAAAGGTCTTAGAAATGGATTGTGGTGGAAACGAGGCGATATCAAACACAAGACCAAGAGAGGTCCACGCCCCCTGCTGGTGAAAACAATAAATAGCTCCACCATTTTTCCTGGGCGTGGTTCCCCCCAGTTCTTGGGTGGGTGGGTCTTGGTTTGGTCTGTTTTGCTCAAATGGTGATGGGGGTTTGGGGGATAGGGAGTCCGTGGGAGAAAGAGAGAGAGATTTACCAGAATAAATGACACCCAGACTGCAGAATACCATACCATGTGAGGCGGAAAATGCCCCAGGAGTTAAGGATCATCATCAGAAAATAGTTTTTCCAATCCAGAATGCAAACAGATTGCAGGGCCTTGTGGGTGGAGCTGGTGGGGAGGCTGGGAGGCAGGGGGAGAGACAGGGTGTCACCGGCCCTTCAGAATGAGGATTGGATTTCTGTTGAATTTTTTATGGATGCCTGTAAGCCTCCCCATCACATTATAGTCTGGATGAAAAATTATCCACCAAGGAAAATAGATCTGCGTGAATCAAGATTTCATTGCCAAGGGCCAGGTTATCACATGGAATTTCTTTGTGGGTCAGCATGGCTGATTTATTTATATGTGTACCCTGTGGGTGTCTATTAGGCCTCCCAGACTGTGATCACTGTGGGGACAGCTGGCTTATATATATGTGTTGCTGGGCATGTGGTGGAACTGAAGCTGAACATTCGCCGAAGAGAAGGGGAAGGAAGGCATGGAAATGTATTTGGGCTGCTTCTAAGCAGTCAAGGCCAGAGCCCAGATTTAGGACTTGAAATATCGGGGTTCTCATTCTAATTCCATTGATTGCTGGATACGTAAATTTGAATAATAGCATCACCTTGCTGAATTTCAGCTTCCTCAACTGTAAAATGAGGATAGTAATATTCTCTGCTGAGCCAGCAGGTCAATGAAGTATGATGGTGGCTGAAATACTATAGGAATGACTAACTTGGGTAGGGATTAATAATGCTATTATATCTATTTATTTGGTGATTCAACAAGCACTTATTGAGCAACTACTATGGGCCATGCACTTTGCTGGGTGCTGGGGACACAGCAAAGATCAAGTAGGCATGGCCTCTGCCTTCTTTGTGTTGACAGTCCAGTAGCAACACAGATAAGTAATCCTCCTCTGCCTTGCTAATACACTTGATTCTTTATCCTTGAAATTAAAAACTTTTTTTTTTTTTTTGAGACAGAGTCTCTCTCTGTCGCCCAGGCTGGAGTGCAGTGGCGCCATCTCAGCTCACGGCTCACTGCAAGCTCCGCCTTCCGGGTTCATGCCATTCTCCTGCCTCAGCCTCCCGAGTAGCTGGGACTACAGGCACCCGCCACCATGCCTGGCTAATTTTTTGTATTTTTAGTAGAGACGGGGTTTCACCGTGTTAGCCAGGATGGTCTCGATCTCCTGACCTCGTGATCCACCCACCTCGGCCTCCCAAAGTGCTGGGATTACAGGCGTGAGCCACCGCACCCGGCCGAAATTAAAAACTTTTACCAACATTTCTAGGTGTTTGTCTTTTCTCATTATTTGTTCCTGGAACTTGCTACGTCTGTTTGACTTGCAGATAGTTGTTCTCAACTCAGCAAAGTTTGCTTCATCATTTCTGTGTGCTCTTTTGTTTCCTTCTTATCAGACAGTATCAAGTGTTCTGGATTCATGCTCCACGTTTTTTCATGTTTCCTCTTCATTTTCATGTCTTCATGGGGTGCTACAAGGGGGTTCTGTCCTCAGGAATTTGCTGGTGGTATTCCTGCTGCCCAGTTAGATCCGACGTGTTATCAGCTATTTGTAGAAAGCTGTTATGATCCTCCCTCACTGTTCCTCATCCTCCAAAACACATACTGTTATTACGGGAGCCAGAGGGATGCAGTTGAGGAGCTGAACTGGCCTGAAGAGGTCCAGCTGATCCCTTGAGGTGGAACACCACCTACTAAGAGCAGATCTTGTCTACTTCAGCTCCACATTTCAACGCTCAAAATGCAAGTACTGAACAGGGAGCTGAAGAAATAAAGAAAATCTGGGATGGGACTGGGTTCAAACGCAACAAGCATCATCTCAGCTCTTACTTTTTGGAATATGCTAAGAGTTGGATCAAATCAGCTCTCATCACCAAACTGGGGCACCAACACCCCATGTCCTGCCATAGGGCTTACCCCTGCTTTCCTAGGGGAAAAGATTACAAGCCAAGCTCAGTGACGTTGCAGTCAGGGTTGACACACTGCGCGGCACACCAAGAAAGCACCATGTATGTGACAGCCTATGTAAATGGCATGCTCTTGAGTACACACAAGGGTGTCTCCTGGAGGGCCTGGCTAGGGTGGTCCCTGAGTGATGGAATTATAGGTGACATCAACTATTTTCTTCTCTATTTTATTCCTGGGTATTTCAAATGTCCTATTATTTTCACATTTTTCCACTAGCATTACTATTTCTATACAGTTATTATTTGTTTGTTTAAGGAGTTTAGTAAATCACTCATCACTTCAAAGTTTGAACCAATATGCAGGGTGACCACCTGATCCCTGCTGGTGTAGGACTTCCCCAGTTTCGTCACTGAAAGTTCCGCATCCCAGGATGCCCCTCAGTCTTAGATAAACTAAGATTGTTGGACACCTTACAAAGGTGGTATATAAACCACATGGCAGATTAATAACCAAACAAAAAACACAAAGTATTATCATAAATATCCAGCACTGAACTTGAGAAGGCTGCAGTAGAAAATGTGACCTGGTTCTGAGGCTGAATGAGGACATTTGCCTTTGATACCTGGGCTAAATCCTGAAACCTGAGACCCACATTTGCAGACGTGGCTGAAGAGAGAGAGAGAGAGAGCTTTTCTCAGCCACCCATATACCAGGGCAGGAAACAGCAGGTGAAGCACACGCACTGCCCCACACACCAATAAAGCCTGTCCCAACTATTTCCATTCTCTGACTACTTGGATGCCAACTTTCACATACAGGGGAGTGAATATGGGGAGGGCAGAAGATCAGAAATGTTAGTTATATGTAACTTTCCCAATATGGAGAAAGAGTGGATAGAAGTCACCTCCCCTAAGGGACAAGACATGTATGTGAGGAAAGGAGAAAAAAAGGCACCTGTCCCTACATTAATAACAATAAGAACAATAATAATAATAGCAGCTACCTTTTATTTTATTTTATTTTATTTTATTTTTCCATAATTTATTGGGGTACAGGTGGTATTTGGTTACATGAGTAAGTTCTTTAGTGGTGATTTGTGAGATCCTGGTGCACCCATCACCCGAGCAGTATACACTGCACCATATTTGTTGTCTGTTATCCCCTGTGTCCCTTCCACTCTTCCCCCCAAGTCCCCAAAGTCCATTGTATCATTCTTATGCCCTTGCATCCTCATAGCTTAGCTCCCACATATCAGTGAGAACATATGATGTTTGGTTTTCCATTCCTGAGTTACTTCACTTAGAATGATAGTCTCCAGTCTCATCCAGGTCATTGCAAATGCTGTTAATTCATTCCTTTTTATGGCTGAGTAGTATTCCATTGTGTATATATACCACAGTTTCTTTATCCATTCGTTGACTTGATTTGGGTTGGTTCTATGATTTTGCAATTGTGAATTGTGCTGCTATAAACATGCGTGTGCAAGTATCTTTTTGGAATAATGACTTCTTTTCTGCAGGGTAGATACCCAGTAGTGGGATTGTTGGATCAAATGAGCTACCCTTTATTTTTATTTTTATTTTGGAGGGATGGAGTCTCACTCACTCTGTTGCCCAGGCTGGAGTGCATGGCATGATCTCAGCTCACTGCAACTTTTTCCTCCCAGGTTCAAGCAATTCTCCTGCCTCAGCCTCCTGAGAAGCTGGGATTACAGGCAAGTGCCACAATGCTCGGCTAATTTTTGTATTTTTTTTTTTAAGTAAAGGTGGGGTTTCACCATGCTGGCCAGGCCGGTCTTGAACTCCAAGTGATCCACTCGCCTCAGCCTCCCAAAGTGCTAGGATTACAGGCATGAGTCACCATGCCTGGTGGTTGACTACTTTATTGACTACTCGTTATATCCAGGCATCATGTTAAGTTTCTTACATATATAAGCTTATTTGATTGTTAATAATTCTGTGAAAGGTACTCGTATTACCCCTGTCCTTCAAATGAGGAAACCAAGGCACAGAGAGGTCAAGCCATTTGCCTAAGACACCCAGCTAATAAGTGCAGAGCTATGATTAAAATCCAGTTGCACGTGGGTCTAATTAGATGGTAGGTTGGAGTCACACCTCTAAATTAATATGATTTTGATTGGGCCGCTTAACTTGTGGATGCCTCAGTTTCCTCATTTGTCCAATGAGGATAATATGCCTTGATTAATCTTACAGAGATATTCTGAAGATCCAGTGAAATGGTGAGTAGGAAAGTACTTTTCACAACTTACCCATATAAATTATTTTTTACATAACTTGCATAATATCAATGGCATTTCAATTTCAAGAATAACACGATGAACCCTACAGGTTTAAATGACAGCCCTGCAATATGGATCCCATGGACATTTCAAAGTTGCACTCTGTGTTGAAAAGCAGAGTCAGGTGATAAGGTGAAGCCTGTTTCCAGACCAAGATCTCTGATTTCTTTAGCTTTTGTAGGATGCCTTTGTATTTTTAGAGAGAACTGCTGTGGACTGGGTACAAATGGAGAACAACCAGTGCCCCACTTGATTCTTGATTGGAAATCAGGTAGTGTTGAGACTCCTATTTTTAGAGAGGGAACAGTGGGACACAGGTGATTAGATGCTCTGGATGGTGGTCAGAGGGTGATGAGCATTCTCAGTGAAAGCGGGAGAATGCCTACTGTCTACAAATAGCAATCCGAGCTCAATCTTCTCAGCATGGCTTGGTCCTACCAGGGGCCTTGCTTTAAGGCGGTGGGTAGAGGGTGGTAACAAATCTTTCCAGGACCCTGTATCTCTTGGAAACTTTAATGTCATTTGCGGTCATGGAACCAACTTCACGAACTAAGGATGACCTTGGAAATCACTCAGTCCAATGCCTTCATTTCGCGGATGACAAGAGTCTTAGAAAGACTCCAAGACTTTCCCAAGAACACGCAGTCAGTGGCAGAGCTAGGAACAAGAACTCAAGTCTCCTGACTCCCAGGTCAGTGGTCTTTTCATCTGACTAACTGCCCTGTAATGCAGTTTGAATCCCAGGTTGGGGAAGCAGGTTGTACAGTGAGGTGGGTGGGCTAAAGAGAGCTGCAAGCAGGCCTGGTGGGAGAGGAAAGGAGGAGGGGTCAGAGGGTGGGCAAGAAAGAAAAAGCGGAGAAAGAAGAGACATGTGGAAGGAACGGAGAGGCAGCGACAGAGAAACAAGACTTGCAATAAATAGGAGAGATGCTATGGAAATTACTTTTTGAATGGTATTTAATTGGTTTATTAGTGTAATTCAGTTGCAGTTTGATTTGATTCAAACTTCTGATATGTGTGATCCACCATCCACCAAGGACACTGCCAGCCTTACACAAGCAGAAGCAAAAGGCAGATCTGAGAGGAAGAGGGGGTGGTAGACAATGGAAGATGAAAGAGAAGGTGAAAAGAGGAGATAGCAAGAGGGATGAGAGGAGGAGAGGGAAAGGAAGAGAAAAGAAAGGAGAAGAGGAAAGAAGGGCAGGAAGAGGGAGGAAGGAACTGAGAGTGGTGGAGGGGAGATTGGAGATGGAGGCAGAGAAGAGAAGAGAAAGAAATGAGGAGAGAAAGAAGATAAGAAACAAGAAAGAGAGCCAGAGATGGGGGCATGTGATAGAGTGACTATGAGAGGCATGAAAGGGAAAGCAAGGGCCAGGAGAGATCAAGAGAGGTGAGGGAAAGTATAAATACAGCAAAGAGGCTGGCAAGGCTGCGGAGAAATAGAAATGCTTTTACACTGTTGGTGGGAGTGTAAATTAGTTCCACCATTGTGGGAGACAGTGTGGCAATTCCTCGAAGATCTAGAGACAGAAATACCATTTGACCCAGCAATCTCATTACTGGGTATATATCCAGAGGAATATAAATCATTCTATTATAAAGATACATGCATGTGTATGTTCATTGCAGCACTATTCACAATAGCAAAGACAGAATGAACCCAAATGCCCATCAATGATAGACTGGATAAAGCAAATGTGGTACATATACACCATAGAACACTATGCAGCCATAAAATGGAATGAGATCATGTCTTTTGCAGGGCCATGGATGGAGCTGGGAGCCATTATCCTCAGCAAACTCACGCAAGAACAGAAAACTAAACACCTCATGTTCTCACTTCTAAGTGGGAGCTGAACAATTAGAACACCTGGACACAGGGAGGGGAACAGGGGAACAACATACACCTGGGGCCTGTTGGGGAGGGGGAGGGAGAGCATCAGGATAGCTAATGCATGTGGGGCTTAATACCTAGGTGATGAGTTTATCTTTGCAGCAAACCACCATGGCACACATTTACCTATGTAACAAACCTGCACATCCTGCACATGTATCCCAGAACTTAATAAAATAAAATGAAATTGAAAAATAAATAAATACATGCATACAGCAAAAAGAAGTTTAGGAAGTCCTAGGAGACCAAGGAAGTCAGCAGGGCACAGAGCAATAGATGTGGAGAGACAATGAGAGACAAAAACAAAGAAAGGACAAAGAAAAAAGAAAGGGCATGGGGAGAGAAGAAAAGGGCGTAGGGGAACAGTGAGTTACAAACACATACACATGCACACATACACGCATACACACACACACACACACACACACACACACACAAGTCTTGGGCATCTCCTGATGCCCTTGAGGACCCACTGGCTAGACAATCCCTGGACTTTTGTTTTTTGTTTTTTGAGACGGAGTTTTGCTCTTGTTGCCCAGGCTGGAGTGCAATGGCGCGATCTCAGCTCACCACAACCTCCGCCTTCCGGTTTTCAAGTGATTCTCCTGCCTCAACCTCCCAAGTAGCTGGGATTACAGCTGCCCACCACCACACCCAGCTAATTTTGTATTTTTTAGAAGCGATGGGGTTTCTCCATGTTGGTCAGGCTGGTCTCGAACTCCTGACCTCAGGTAATCCACACGCCTCGGCCTCCCGAAGTGCTGGGATTATAGGCCTGAGCCACTGCACCCTGCCTATTTCCTGTACTTCTAACACTAGGGTGGCACCAGGACCCAGCCACCCTCCAGGCTATTTTCCAACCCAGGAAGACTTTCTATGTCAGTGGTGCTAGTCCCTCCCCAAGCCTTCTGGTGACAGCGGCGGCCCCTAGGTGCAGCTCTTGCCCTTAGATGCAGCTCCTGGTGGGTACCTTGGGAGATGTGGAGGGCGGGCTTGGGCAGGTACAGACAGTAGCATTTCAGAGCTGCACAGGCCCAGAGTTTTTATTAAAGCTAATCCTCTTCCTTTCACAGATGGGGAGACAGGACTCCAGGGAGGAGAATGGAGTCAGAAGCAGAGCTTCCTAAGCCACATGTCCTGCCTCCCAGAGCCCCCACAGCAAGAGCAAGCTGTTGGTACAGTGCCATGCCATGGTTATGGGCACAAGCTTTAGACCCAAACAGACCCAGCTGTGTAGACTTGGCCAAGTCCTTTAGCCTCCCTGAGCCTCATTTTCTGCAAAATGTGGATTGAGACAATTCCTAGGTCATAGGGCTGCTGGGAGGAACCAGGGAGATAAAAATATATGGAAAATATCTAGAAAAAAAAGCCTGGCACATACAAAGTGCTTGATATATTATGATTTTTACTATTAATAAAAGAAGGCACCTGAGACCCCCAACAGAGTTGTAGGGGGTTTCTCCTCAGCCAAAATTTGAGAAGGGCAATGGGGGCATAGTGGGTATGAATGTGAACTCTATGCATCAGAATGCCTGGGTTTGGTTCCCAGCTCTGCCACTGAGTGACCTTGAACAAGTTAATTACTTTGCTGTGCCTCAGTTTCTTCAACTGTGAAATGCAGCTAATTCCTACCTCATTGGATTGTTCACGAGAATCAATTAATACAAGTACTTAGAACAGGGTCTGACCCGTAGAAGGTGTTAGAGACATGGTAGCTCTCATTGTTAGTGTCATCGCTGGGCTCAGCTATACGGATGTGGGGACTGAGATCCAAAAGGTGGACACACCCACAGTCACATGCAGTTAGTGCAAAGCTGGGATTTGAACCCAGATATGCTTGCAGGCTCAAGACTTCCCAAGACTCCAGAATCCCTGTTCAGAAATCTTTCCACATTGCCACGCTTTCCAAAGAGGAAGACCCACCCCCGCCCCTTCCTCACAGCCAGCAACACATGTCTTGTTCCTTCTGACTTAAATTTTAACAGTATCTTTGATGAAAACGCCTCCCTTCCATAAGGAGAAAGGGCAGAGTGTGTTATAATCAAGACTTAGGAACTCCCAGGGCTTTGTCTCTGCCCCCTATGCCCCACATTCCCCTTCCCCCACTCCCCCGCTCCCCCCCGCCCCAAAACACTCACAGAGACACACCCTGCTTCTCCGTCTTTGGTCTGTGATTACAGAAGCCAACTCCATGTGGCTGGTGGTAATCGGTTGGGAACCCTGGCTAGATTTGTCTCTAATGCCGATTCCAGGGACCTGTAATTTTCATCAGCACCGTGTGACTTTTTATGGAACCGTAAGATGCATGGCACAGCTAATGAGCTGTAATTCTGAAGAGCTTCTGCCTTGATTGGGACTAATTATTTTTATAAAGAAAATAATTAGGCCAGGCATGGTGGCTCAAGCCTGTAATCCCAGCACTTTGGGAGGCCAAGGTGGGCGGATCACCTGAGGTCAGGAGTTCAAGACCAGCCTGGCCAATATGGTAAAACCCCATCTGTACTAAAATACAAAAAATTAGCCAGGCGTGGTGGTGTGCACCTGTAGTCCCAGCTACTCAGGAGGCTGAGGCAGGGGAATTGCTTGAACCCGGGAGGCAGAGGTTGCAGTGAGCTGAGATTGCTCCACTGCGCTCCAGCCTGGCGACAGAGCGAGATTCCATCTCAAAATAATAATAATAAAATTAAAAATAATAATAATTATTATTATTAACAATCCCAGCGACCCACTGATGGGGAAAGGAGGCGTGCTTTGGGCACCATTATATCCCAGGGCTGGTTTTCAGAACCTCTTGATCTCTTCTCAGCCTGGGACTGAGCAGAGTGAAGGGGAGCAGTGGTCCTATCTTCACCCTCATCAAAGAGCTTTTGCAGTGGGCCCCTGGGAGCAGGAGGAGGAAAGTCCAAGTCTGACCTCAGCCAAGAAAAAGAGATCTCTTGGCCTCTATCCACATGAAACTCACCCAGAGAATCCGGGAGCTAGAAGGGACTCTGGAGCTCTGAAATAAGTCTGGCAGTCTGGGTTTGGATTCCAACTATCTAACCTTAACATCTCTGCATTTTGGGTTGTTAGTGGGCCCTGGAAGGATTTTGTATGGATTAAATGAGACAACCTGTGAAAGAAACATCTAGAGCTTAATGGAGACATCTCATAAATAATTTTTTATACATGATTCACAGTTCAACATCATCAAAAATGCCCAGAGGAGGGAGAGCATTTAACTAAGGACACACAGTTGGCAGCAAAACCAGAATCAGAACCCAGGTCTTTCCAGGCCTCTCTGTTGCTGTTTTGTGTTTGTATGTTTGCTTCTAATTTCACCATGGTGAACTCTCCATTATCCAATCTCTCTGAAACATCTTGAACACTGATGATATGGCCCTTATTTAGTCTGAATTATCTGGATACAATTTGGTCTTCTATTTCACAGGTGTAAGGAAGCAGCACAGTCTGGAACATAAAAACGTGTGGACTCTGGTGAAACCCCGTCTCTACTAAAAATACAAAAAAATTAGCCAAGCATCGTGGCAGACACCTGTAGTCCCAGCTACTCCAGAGGCTGAGGGAGGAGAATGGTGTGAACCCGGGAGGCGGAGCTTGCAGTGAGCTGAGATCTCGCCACTGCACTCTAGCCTGGGTGACAGAGTGAGATCCCGTCTAAAAAAAAAAAAAAAAAAAGTGTGGACTCTGTCTTCACACAGTTCAATGTTTTATGGCTTAGCTACACCATTTCTTTGCTGGATAATCTTGGGAAAATCTCTGAAACTATGCCCAGTTTCCTTATCTTTAGAATAGAAACAATAATGAAATTTACCACAAATTTTATAAGATGATGAGCATAAAGTGACATTTAACAAGCATGTACATTTGTCAGCTAATGCCACAATAATGCTGTGTAACAAACCACATCCAAGCTCAATGTTCTAAAAGATTAATCATTTCTTTTATTATTAACTTTAAAATTTTTTTTTAATTTCAATAGGTTTTTGGGGAACAGGTGGTGCTTGGTTCCATAAATAAGTTCTTTAGTAGTGATTTCCGAGATTTTGGTGCACCCATCACTGGAGCAGTGTACACTGTACCCAATGTGTAGTCTTTTATCCCTCACCCTCCTCCCACCCTTTTTCCCCAAGTCCCCAAAGTCCATTGAATCATTCTTATCCCTTTGTGTCCTCATAGTTAAGCTCGCATTTGTGAGTTAAAACATTAATCATTTATTCTCACTTGTGCAACTGCAGTTAGTTTATCAATGCTGAGCCCAGCTGGGCTTGGGTTTAGATCTGTTTCACATGCACTCATTTCCCTGGACCAGTGGTCACCTGGACAAGTTCCAACGTGATGGTAGAAGTGCAAGAGAGGCAAGTGGGAAAACACAATCTTTCTTAAGGCCTAAGCCTGGAGCTGGTACACTGTCATTCTTTCCCTACTCCATTGGCTGGAGCAGGTCACATGATCAACCCCAATACTGATAGGTGGACAAATAAGCCCACCCCTAGTAGGAAGAACTGCAAAGTCATATGACAAAGGGCATGGAAGACACATGACAAGGAAGCAGAACAGAGAACCATAATGCAACCTGCTACAATACACAATCGATGCTAGCAGTTCTTATAAGAGACAAATGTTGCAATTCTAGATCTTGAGATATAATTCTGCCTTCTGTGTGCATGTTACTTTGCAGTTTTCAGAGTTTCACTGTCTCAAATATTCTTTTATGTTGCCCCCACTGCAACCCTGTGAAACAAGAATTAGAACCCCTGTTTTACAAACCCTGTGAAACAAGAATTAGAACCCCTATTTTACAGTGGGGACACTGGATCTCAGGGTGATAATGCAGCTTGCCCCAGACCGCAGCTGGAGAGGGCGGTAAAGCCAAGACCCAGCTCTGGGTCTCCCTAACCCAGTTCCAAATCAGGGGTGAGCCCATGAGTGCACATGAAGGGAAATAATTCCCAGTGGCCTTTACCTTTCTTCTTTTTCCTAAAATCAAATCATCAAGACATATTTAGCGAGCCCATGTGATGGAGGTGAAGGAGCTAGATAACACACTAAGAATAAACATGAATTGTGAGCTCTGGGAGATATTCTCATCACTTGCCTGGGATACAGTTTTCCAAGTCCCTCCTAGTGTTTAAGAGCATGGGGAACCTGAGGCAGGGAAAATCGGGTTCAAATCCTGCCACCAGCTCCCATTCTTTCTTTACACCTGGACGTTTGAATTCTCTGAGCCTTGGTCTCCTTACCTGTAAAATAAGGATAATAATAATAGCAATTGCGGGCTGGGTGCAGTGGCCTGTAATCCCAGCACTTTGGGAGGCCGAGGTGGGCTGATCACTTGAGGTCAGGAGTTCAAGAGCAGCCTGGCCAACATGGAGAAACCCTTTCTCTACTAAAAATACAAAAATTAGTCTGGCATGGTAGCACTTGCCTATAGTCCGAGTACTCAGGAGGCTGAGGCAGGAGAATCACTTGAACCCAGGAGGCAGAGGCTGCAGTGAGCTGAGATCACACCACTGTGCTCCAGCCTGGGCAACAGAGTGAGACTCTGTCTCAATAACAATAATAACAGCAATTGCATCAAGAAGTTGTGAGGACAGATTCATTCATTCAAGACATCTTTATTGGATACCTACTGTGTGCCAGACACTGTTCTAGGTGCTAGAGATGTAGCAATAAATACAGGAAAGCCTTTGCCCTTACGAAGCTTAAATTTTTGTGGAAGAAGACCGGCTATAGACAGATACACAAGTAAATACACAGTGTGAAGGAGAAAAATGACACGTGGTAAGGGGGATAGGAAAAGCGTGGCATTGGACAGGTGTCCCAGGTTGTTTTTTACATCTGGTGTTTAAGAATCTCACTCATGAAGTCACACTTGGGCAAAGAGTCAAAAGAAGTGTGGAAACAATCCAGGAGACATCTGGGCAAAGTGTATCCCAGGCACATACAAAAGCTAGTGGTGGGTGTATACTTGGCCAGTGTCATTGGAGCAATTTGAGAGAAGAGGAAAGTGATAAAATGAAATTAGAGAAATAACAGGGAGCCAATTTGTATGGCAACTTTTTTCGTTATTAGCAGGACTTGGCTTTATAATATGAGTGAGATAGGAAGCCTCGGTTTGAGAAGAGGACTGACATAATCTGACTTCCATTTGAAAGGATCACTCTGGCTATGGGGCAGAGAGTAGCTTTAAGGGAACTAGGGTACAAATTTAATGAGATAATGCATGTGGAGCTCTTAATACGGAGTCTGATCAGTAGTGTATCAGTTTTCTAGAACTACCATGACAAAATGCCACAGACTGAGTGTCTTAAACAGTAATAATTTATTTTCTCATTGTTTTGAAGGCTGGAAGTTCAAGATCAAGGTGTCAGCAGGTTTGGTTTCTTCTGAGGTCTCTCTCTTTGGCTTACAGATGGCTGCCTCACTCTAGGTCTTTACATCATCTTCTTTTTATACATATCTGTGTCCTAACCTCCTACTGGATTAGGGCCCACCCATAGGACCTCATTATACCTTAATTACCGTTTAAAAGGTCCCATTTTCAAACGCAATCACATTTTAAAAGGTCCTATTTTCAAATGCAATCACATTCTGAGGTACTGAGGGTTAGGACTTCAATATATGAATTTTGGAGAGACACAATTCAGCCTCAAACAAGTAGTAATCTAATTATTATTGTCATTATTGTCTTTATGCTTCATCTAGGAGCTCTCTTGTCTGGGCCAATCGTGCACTCTTCATACCTGAGCAATACCTCCAGGACGGTGACAGCAACCCTCTCCCACAATCTTTAGTCAACAATTATTTATTAAGCACATACTCTGTGCCAGGTACTGAGAAAGGACAGCAAGGACACTCACTTGTTCTAGGCATAACATGGTTTTCAACACCTTCACCATCTTTAACAGAGTTCTGGATCTGTTCTGGATTTGTTTGATCTCCTTTCAAGAAGTAGTTGTGATCACCTACATGTGCCAGGTTCTAGTGATGATAATGATGAACAAGACAGGGCTCTGCTTTCAAGGGCCTCTTGGGGATTTTGCTCAGCATAGCTAATCGCATAAACAAATTCATCCTGATGCATCAGTAGGTGTTCATAAATTTTCCTCTTGAGGTAATACGTGTGCTTTTAGAGACCTTGCAGTTCAATGGGGTGCATATGGTGGAACTTGCAGCAGAGTGTAAGACCTTTAGGGGAGTTATCTTTTGTCATGAAAGCTCAAAGCACACATTGCCTTGTATCCTAGCTTACTTTTTAGTATCTAACAGTTTGGTAAGAACAAGAGCCATGTCTGCCATTTTCCACTATATATCCAGTGTGTGACATCTTGGTTGGCACCTAACAGGTATTCAACAAATATTTGTTGACTGAATAGATAGACCTCAAACTATGTTATCTAGAACTGTACTGTCCAATATGGTAGCCACTAGCCATCTGTGGCTATTTATAAATTAAAAGTTTATTATTAAATGTACTATTTATTTAATATTAATTTATTATTAAAATTAAAAATTAATTTTCTAAGTCACCCTAGCCACATCCCAAGTGCTCAGTAGCCACCTGTGGCTCCCATATTGGACAGAGAGATACAAGATGTAGACCATCTCTGTCATCATAGAAAGGTTGCAGAGCCAGAACAGTGGTTCTCAATCAGGAGCAATTTTTTCCTCCAAGAGAATTTGGTAGTGGTTGGAGGTGTTTTTGGTTGTCACAACTGAGGGATTGCTACTGGTGTCTGTTGGATGGAAGCTAGGGATGCTACTAAACATCTACAGTGCAGAGGACAGACCCCCAGTAGTGTCATGGTTGGAAAACCATGTTGTAGGTTATCAGCCTCCAGGAGAGCCCAAAGATTTCTACCTGAAGCAATGTGCATTTACATAAGATTGTGATGCTGT
This sequence comes from Homo sapiens, assembly GCF_000001405.40. Lineage (NCBI taxonomy): Eukaryota > Metazoa > Chordata > Mammalia > Primates > Hominidae > Homo > Homo sapiens. The sequence continues at coordinate 119,051,274 of NC_000012.12, forward strand.
TGTGTGGGTGACAGCTCACATATTTACAACACTCAACAGTTCACAAAGTTGAGCCATCCAATGTAATCCTCCCAACACTGGGAGAAAAGTAAACTCCTACTCTACTGGGGGAAAAAAGCAAGGCTCAGAGATGTGTCTTAGAAGGTGCTGAAATGGAACCCAAGCATGCAAGTTACAGGGAAGCTGCTTTTTTTCTTAGTTAAGGAAGATTTTTTCCAAATATTAGAGGTTTCTGAAAGTGGAGGGAATGAATCTTCTCTTATTGAAAGTACCCTAAGATTACTCCATGGGGCTGTATTTCTCAAAGTACCCACTAGACTACAGAAGAAAATTTGATGACCCCAAATTTCTAAGAAAGACTACACAATACTTTCCCTTCCTTGGCCTTCACGTTGCACTGAACATATTAAAGGCACTGATAAGTCCTGCAGCAACAAAGTCTGGTTTTTTTTGTTTAATCTCTTGTTTCTTTTGAGTACACAATCCCATCCCCACTCCATCTTAGAGGAGCAAGCAACGATTAACGTATGGTAGAACTGATGTTTGGTGGAGCACATTTTGGTGAATGCTGCTTTACAGCATCGTCAAACATGATAGGTAATATCAAACAATCTTTCTGTCTTCTGGGCCCATCTGCACTTCTATTACTACCTAGGTAACCATGGGCAAGTTTTGGTATTTGGTGAGAAACATTTAGAATGTCTGGATTTGAGCTAAATGACTTACCAGTGGCCACACAGCTAGAGTGTTCCATTTTAGAGCTTGGCTGGCATTTATTTATCATTTTCCTCTTTCTGCCTCTCGGGAGTCTATTTGGATCAGTATGAAGTCTTTCTCCTCAAGAGGCTGAATCAGATGCAATGCGCCCAATTCATCTGCTTGATGCCACACTCCCAAGGGGAATTACATCACCTGCTGTGTTTAGAATAATCACCGTGGCAACTGTGGCTGCTCTCGTGGATGTGGACTGTTCCCATGTAGCAGTGATGGGTGCTGGCTCATACGAAAGAGAGGGACAGGTAGTGAGTTTCCACTGCTAAGGACCCTTAGGTTTCATGTATGTCTCTCTGGTGATAACTGGGTGTGTGGATATGTCAACATCCAATTTAGTGTTTCCAAGACTCACCTGGGAAAGAGATGTATAAAATGTAAACTTTCTTTTATAGCTTAGTTTAATTCCAACCAAGTACTGGCATAGAGATTACCTAGGATGTTTAACTGCTTTTTTGTTGTTGTTGTTGTTGTTGTTTTGTTTGTTTATTTATTTATTTTTGAGACAGAGTCTCTCTCTGTTACCCAGGCTGGAGTGTAGTAGCGCGATCTCGGCTCACCGCAAGCTCCGCCTCCCGGGTTCACACCATTCTCCTGCCTCAGCCTCCCGAGTAGCTGGGACTACAGGCACCCGCCACCACCCCGGACTAATTTTTTGTATTTTTAGTAGAGATGGGGTTTCACCGTGTTAGCCAGAATGGTCTCGATCTCCTGACCTCGTGATCTGCCCCACCTCGGCCTCCCAAAGTGCTGGGATTACAGGCGTGAGCCACCACACCTGGCCTAAGATGTTTAACTGTTGAGAGACAGAGAGGACGTGGTGTGGCATAGGAAAGGAAGGTCCTTCGGTAATAAATAAATTGGAGATTGGAGTGCTATGTTTTTCAAATTTCTGTACCCAAATTATTATTTGCCTGAGAGATTTGAGGTGGCTGCATAGAAGCAGAATGAAATTTCATGGAATCTCATGGTGAGAAAGTGATTGTACTTTCAATTCACTTTCTCTCCTTCCAATTGTCAGAGAGTTGTCTCAGTTTGGGGCTACTATGTTTTTAACACCTCTCAACACTTGCTAATCTTCCCTTTTTTTAACAAAAGAAGGAGCAGGTGTCAGGCTCAGAGCCTGGGGCGAGTAGCAGTGTATAGCTGGAATTTAATAATGTTCTCTTGTTTTCATTTGTATCTATTTTAAGGCCTTCCTCTATTTATAAACAGGACACTTATTTTCCATTTACAATTGTAATATGAAGTTTCCTTTTTAATTGCATGTATCAAGTTAAAAAGTAAGCCAATTGCAAAAATAATAATAAGCAAATAATAGTATAGGAAACACATGCATAAATGGACAGCAATCATTATTAGTCTTGTGTGGGCAGCTGAGGCTTAAGAAACATTCTATGGGAGACGTGGCTTAGGAGGAAGGAAACCTAGGTTAAGAGCCAGCTCCATCATGCACTGTGTTGCCTTGAGAAAGGTTTGTGACTCTCTGTTTTGGTGTCAATTAAACGCAGATAATAAATTTCCTATCTTATCACATAGTCAATGTGAAATAATTATATAAAGCACATAGTAGGGACTCAACAAGTGGAAACACCTGCTGTGCGTATTTTGTGACTAACATACCAATTTGCACACGTGGCATCTCTAAGGGTCCCACGTTTGGGGTAAAACAACCTTCCTTGTGATCAAAATCCCAACAGTAGTTTTTTTTTTTAATTTTGTGGGTATGTAGTAGGAGTATATGTTTATGAGATATTTTGACACAGGCATGCAAAGTGTAATTATCACATCATGGAGAATGCAGTATCCATCCCCTTAAGCATTTATGCTTTGTGTTACAGACAATCCAATTATACTCTTTTATTTTAAAATGTACCATTAGGTTAATATTGGCTATAGTCACCCCATTGTGCTGTCAAATAGTAGATCTTATTCATTCTTTCTATTTTCTTTACCCATAAACCATCCGCACCTCCCCGCTACCAACCTCCCCACTACCTTTCCCATCTGCTGGTAACCATCCTTCTACTCTCTATGTCCATGAGTTCAATTGTGTTTATTTTTAGATTCCACAAACAAGTGAGAACATGCAGTTTGTCTTTCTGTGCCTGGCTTATTTCACTTAACGTAATGATCTCCAGTTCCATTTATGTTGTTGCAAATGATGGGATCTCATTCTTTTTATGGCTTAATAGTATTCCTTTGTGTATATGTACCACGTTTTATTTATCCATCCATGTAACAGTAACACTTTTTGAGCACTCACTGTGCCAGATGCTGTTATAATCCTTAGATATGTATATTATCTCATTTAACATCCTCAGTGATTCAGTGAGGTGGGGAATATTATTATCCTACTTCACAGTTGAGGCACAGGGAAGTAGGGTAACTTACCAAAATCAAACAACTAGAAAGTGGAAAAGGCAGAACTCAAATTCAATCAGCCTAATTCCAGTGTGCATGCACTTAACCATTCTCAGAAACCAGACTTTCCTACATTTTGTGGACCTACAGCAAAGTTTTGTTGTTGATGATGAGGGTGATTGTATTAGTTAGGAGTCCTTTATATACAAGAGATATAAGCCACACAAAGCTGGATCCAATAATAAAGGGGATGTATTGGCTCTCATACATGAAAAGTTGAATGGCTTCAGTTCCAGATAGATCCAGGAGCTAGAGCAATGTCATCCCTGTATTCATTTCTTGACGCTATTCTCCATGATGTTGATTCCATTCTTATGCAGCTGTCCCTTGGGGTGGCAAGAGTGCTACCAGAGGGCCGCACTTTTATCCTTTTTTAGCAACCTCTAGCAAAGGACAGTTTCTTCCTAATGGTTTCAACACAAGTTCCAGAATTGAGTCTCACTGGCTCTGGTTGTCCTGGCTTTGATAGGTGCTCATCTCTGAACCAACCACTGTGGCCAGGGGGCATGTGATGCTTAAAATGACCAGGGTGGGGTCATGCCCCCTTTCTGGAGCTGGAGTGAAGCCACCTCTGCTTGCATCAGATAGACTGAAAGTAGAGAAGGGGCTTGTCCCTCAGAGAAGAATCTGCTGCTCATCATAACAAGAGAGAACGGATGCTCAGCAGGGAAATTTATGCCCTCTGTGAAATCTTATTTTTAAAATTCATTGAGAAGATTTATGGGCTACACAGGAGGGAACAGACTGGAGTTTCGTCACTTCTCTCCTACTGGTTTGTTCTGTGACAGACAACCAAATAAACTCTAGTGGGTCTCAGTGTCTTCAGTTGCTACATGGGGCCAGTAACTCCCTCCCCACATGCCTCACAAGACTATTCTAAAAAGCACACGCAATGATGTTATTTATAAATGTAATTAACATTGTGGCTTTTTTCCCCTCCAGGGTTTCCATAAGAAGCATATTTTAGTTCAGGGTTTTTTTCCAAGTGGCAAGTACCACTCTCAAAATCCCAATGTAGTCAGCCTCTATTGGATTTTGAAGACCTGCCTTTATTCCTCCCCGCAAGACTGAAATGCCGCACATTTGGTATGGACTCAATAGCAGTTTCAAAGAGGGCATGCTATGTGCCAAGCACTGTGCTGGATATTTTTATATGCCACCTCATTTAGTTGTCAGATGACCCTGTTCTGTCATGAGTAATAAGAAGGAGAGAGAATAACACAGGACAGTTAGCTCTGGAGAGCTGAGTTCAAATCCTGATTCTGCCTCGAACAGCAGCAGGACCATGGCAAGTCACTTAACCTCTCTGAACTTCAGTTTCCTCACCTGTGAAATGGGAGCAACACAGAGGTTATGTCATAAAGTTGTTGGGAGGATATAAGGAGCTAACACATGTAGTGGGCATCTGCCCAAGGTCACAGAGCAGGTGTAGGTGCCTGCCCTTTCTGCTTCCAGAACCCATGCTGTACTGCCTAACAATAGAACGAAATCTCTTCTGGGGCCATGTAGGGACGTCCTTTAGCTTCCAGCAATTGCAGGGTCTCTGGGCCCCTCCAGTCTCTCCAGATTTGCTGTGTACACCCTGGCTACAATTGCCTGCTGCAATGTCTTGAAATAACTCTGCTCTTCCGGCCAGCCCCCCTCTCAGCCTCCCTCCCACAAGGCCCAGAATAGCCATGTACATCCTGGCTCCAAAACAGCCTGCATGATGCTCCCTCCCCTTTGATAATAGCTCAGCTTTGTCTAAGTTCTGGCATCTCCAGGACCACAGTGCCTCGTGCAGCCACAATGAGGCTTAAGTATGCTATGCTATCATGTAGAGATGTCATTTGATGTCAGCTACAAGGAGATGTCACCTCATCATTTTACCTGGGTGGCTGGGGAGGCAGTAAAGATGATGTTATCTCACTTTGCTGATGGAGAAACCAAAAGATTAGTGACAGGTCCATCGTGATGGTCTTATGTAACATTCCGGTGAAGCTTTACCATTGATTAAGAGAGCTCACATTTCTGTCTCACTTGGAATCTCTTTGCTGTGACCTGCAAGGCATTCAAAACCTGGTGCCTGCCCACCTCTCTGATCTTATCTTCTGCCTCTCTTCTCCTTTCCCATTTTTCTCAAGTCTTTCTCACCTCTTTTCAGTTTTTCAAACCCACTAAGCTATCTGTCCCACCTCAGGGCCTTTGCACATGCTGTTCTCTCGGCCTCACTTGTTCTCACTCGGCCTTCTTTTGCATGCATGGCTATTTTTTTTTTGCCATTCAGATTTCAAGCAATTCCCTCCCAGTTGCTCAACACTTCTTCCTTTGTTGCACATATCACAAATATAATTACACATATTTTTTCCCAGAGCACTTATTTATTTAATATCTGTCTCCCATGCTAAAATGTGAACTCCATTATAGCAGAGACCCACCTGTCTTGTTCATTAAGTTTCTGCAGAGCCCACTACAGTACCTAAATCTTGGAATCTTTCTGGCAGTAAATATTTTTGAAGGAAGGAGAGATAGGTTTGCAACAATGTTATTTGGTAAGCAACATTACTCCCATTCAACAGATGATAAGATATAGGCACAGAATATCCAGGGATTTTCCTAGATCACCTCAAGGCTAAGAACATAAAAGAAATGAAACCCGCATCCTCAGACACTTGGTCCATGGTTTTTATTCTTTCTTTTTTAAATTAGGTGAAGAAAGAAATAGTTGGGTTTTTTTCTTCAATTTTTATTTTAAGTTTTGGAATACATGTGCAGGATGCGCAGGTTTGTTACATAGGTAAATGTGTGCCATGGTGGTTTGCTACAAAGATCAACTCATCACCTAGGTATTAACCCCAGTGCCCAGCATCCACTAGCTATTCTTCCTGATGCTCTCCCTCTCCCAGCCCCCTGACAGGCCCCACCATGTGTTGTTCCCCTCCCCGTGTCCATGTGTTGTCATCATTCAGCTCCCACTTAGAAGTGAGAACATGCGGTGTTTGGTTTTCTGTTCCTGCATTAGTTTGCTGAGGATAACAGCTTCCAGCTCCAACCGTGTCCCTGCAAAGGACATTATCTTGTTCCATTTTATGGCTACATAGTATTCCAGGGTGTATATATACCACATTTTCTTTATCCAGTCTATCGTTGATGGGCATTTGGGTTCATTCCATGTCTTTGCTATTGTGAACAGTGCTGCAGTGAACATACGTGTGCATGCATCTTTATAACAGAATGATTTATACTCCTTTGGCTATATACCCAGTAATAGGATTGCTAGGCCAAATGGTATTTCTGTTTCTAGAGCTTTGAGGAATCACCATACTGTCTTCCACAATGGCTGAACTAATTTACACTCTCATCAGCAATGTAAAAGTGTTCCTTTTTCTCTGCAACCGTGTCAACATCTGTTGTTTCTGGACTTTTTAGTAATTGCCATTGGTCCAGGGTTTTTTCTATCCCTCACAGCTGCTTTCAGAACAAAGGCACAAAACCATGATCTTCCCCAAGGGATGCCAGGAAGGACATCTCCTGGAAAATAGACTCTCTGGGCTGATTCTTGACCTACAGATTTAAAAAATCACTGGGAAAGAAGATGGGGAAGGGAGTTCCTGGAAGAGGGAACAGTAGGTGCAAAGCATGTAACTGCCTCATTGCAAGCACTGGGCATATAATAAATCTTTTCTTGATTTACTCATTTGTTCATTCATTTATTTATATGAAATTTATTCTATATCTGCTAGGTATTATACATTTTGGGATGTACTAAAATACATAAACAAGTAATAACATTTAACACTAATAATACTAAGTATTAATGAAGTCATTAATAAATAAAAAGGATTAACATGTGGTTAACAAATAGTAAAGATTAACAATAATTAGTCAATCTTTAATGAGTTCATATTGTACCCCAGACACTGTATTCAGTGCCTTATAACAATGAGATAGATATTCCCTGAGACTGATGGGAGTTGTCCCCATTTTACAGAAAGGTAGACTGAGGCTTGAAGAGGTTAAATAGCTTTCTCATTTTACTCAGCCCAAAAGTGGCAAAGCTGGAAATGGAATTTAGGTACTTTGAGTCAAAAGTCCAAGTTCACAATCTGTTGGTCACCTTGCTCTTCCTATAGCTCTTCTCTGGTACAGAGTCTAGCATATTATAAAATATTTCTAATGAAAATGACACGAGCATTCCTTAGAAGTGTCAGCTACTATCAGAAATCTTTTCCCCCTCCCCACTTCTTCTGATGCTTCCTAGAGTGGAGACAAGCCAGTTACTGTCTGGTCTCCCTAGAGGACACACTCCAGCTCCATTCCCCTACCTCTCTTCCTCTTTCTCCTCCCTTTTTCTTTCAGAGCCATTGTTCTCTTAACATGTTTTGCCTTCCCTCTAAGGCTTCCCCTGCCAATAGCAGCTATATTTGGTGTCTTCCACCCCATCTTGCAATGGTGTGTGTGAGTCCTGCAGTGAAGAGGTCTGTGATCACCACCCCACCCGCAGCAGAGCCAGACAGAAAAAGTTGCCTTCAAATCCTGCAATTACCTCTCCTTAGATTGCAGCTATTTAGCTGGAGACACCTCTGCCCAGCCCTCCTCTGTGCCCAGCAAGCTCAAGATCTGTGAACAATAGAGCAGCAATTCAGGGCCTCCGGAGCAGTCCTCAGCCCTGTAACCACTTCTGTTTGGGTCTTGGATTAAGAAATATTGATTCTACCAATTAAACATCCCCTTCCCTACCCACCCTGTCCCTTTCTACTTGACATTCAACCCCTTGACAACTATATTGAAAAGACTCAGAATGCTGCTTTTATTCATTCATTCATTCATTCATTCATTTGTTCATTTGTTCATTTTGTTTGTGTGACAGGTGCTGTGACAACCAGATACAGGTACCAGTTAATAACATACCTGTTTGTTTCTCGCTATGTAGTGGGGTTACAGAAAAGGCACATTTATCAAGGACTTGGGGAGCCAGAGGAAGCTTACAGAGGAAGTACTGATTAGGATAAAACTTAAGGTATATGCAATCATTGGCCATGACCAGGAAAGAAGAGAGGAGCAGTGCATGTGTCCCCACTATGTGCCAAGAGTGATGTGAAAGAGGGCCTGGCCCACATTAGGGAAATGTCTCCCTGGCTACATTGTAGGGTGAAAGTTGAGAATTGAGAGAGTGGAAGCTGGGGAGGTGGAAAGGGATTCTGCTGTGCAACATAAGGGACATGATCTTATCTTAAAGGCAGTGGGAGCCACAGAAGGTTTTAGGCAGTTGCATCTTCTCCATATCTCATGTCGCTGCTACCCTGGCTCTTGACTACTCTTCTATATCTTTCTACCAAGAAATTTTTATCCATTACCAAGTCATACCCTGTTAGCCCAGGACTATCTATCCCTCAAGCAAACCAGATTTCAAGACTGAAATGTCCAGAATCTCTGGGGAAAGGAGAGAGGGTGCAGAGTCCCTTCATGTTGGAGGTCAGTAGAAGATTTGTGTTGACTGGTTCATCAGCCAGTTCTCTGCTTCATGTCAATCCAATCTTCTGTATGCTGAGGAACCATGATTAGTAGAGTGAAAGCCCTAGGGTGGAAGTTGAAAGTCTGGACTAGGCACTGCCCTGACTTTGTGTAGATTTAACCCACTTTTCCAGATCTCAGTCTCTCCATCTATAAAATGAAGTAATTAGAGGCTCTTTCGGCTTTGATATTTCATGAACTAATGGGTATCCAGGAAGAGCAAAATGATATCTGAGAAAACAATTACCTGAAAATACCTGCATATTAATATACGATGCACAAACTCTTTTCCTTGGAATTACTCACTTCGGTGGACAGATGAACAAAATAGGAGAAAATAAAGTGTCCAGGAGAGCCATGGATCCAAAGTGGAAATGTCTATTGATATGCCACTCCTATCCCACACTGTTGAACATGGATGGGCATTTTCACATGTATCCATGTGAGCGCTCCCACACATTTATGTGACATGGATAACTACCTGTGTGTACATTAACACTCATGCACGTACACATTCACACTCATTTACACCCTCATCCATTTACCCAAATGCACTGAGGGCTTTCAGTATCTTAAGTGTTCCTTATGGCAGTCAGGTCTCTGAGTGTTCTGTAGGAATTAGTAGAGTTTGTGTATTATCTGTAATTTCTTTCACAAGACCCCCTCCCAAGTATGGCCCAAAAGAACAAAAGAATGAGGCCCGGGACTTCAACCGTGTAACACTCAGCTTCTCATTCTATCTTTAGCCCTGGAGAATTTCTCTCATATGCTGGATCCTCTGTATTTTACATTCCAGGCTTTCCAATTCCCAAAGGACATAATGACCTCTGAAGACAGCTTCTGGGATGAGATCAGCTCACGCCCGCTCTTATCAAACATCTTATCAACCTAACTCATAGTGTGAGATGAAAGGAGGAACACAATCCCTACTTGCCAATTAAATCCTGGTCACTGGCTAGTTTGCTTTAAGAATGTAGCCCTAAACGATACCACGTCCCTTCCCCACCTCCTCCTGTAGGACACTGGAGTGTTACTTTCTGTTCTCATCTGAGCATGCCTACTCCCTCCGTGCACCTCTTAGTATGGAATGTGTGTGTGTGTGGGCATGTGTGCGCATGTGCACATGCAACAGCATGTGTGACAAGCCTGTGTACTCAGCAGCAGAAAAGTCCTTGAAGGTTGAAGGAATGAATAATGGAAGGAAAACAATCGCCACCCTGTCAAGCCCCAGACCGAAAATTCTTCAAGATGGACTCAAAAATAGCAATGTTTCCCGCATGTTAATTATCTTGTTCCAACGGTGGGGGCAGAGTGTCCTTGAGATGTGGTTAGAAAAGAAAAAAAGGTGTAGCCCTGCGTGTGCACTTGGGTGTGTTGGCAGAACTTCCGCTCAAATCCAGGGGCTTTGCTGATTCATGTTTCCTAGAGCCTGACGGCGGTTCAGCACCAGGGACAGCGACCACTGATTAAATAACAGGCTGCAGTGAATCCAACCATGAAAGCACTACCTGGCTGTTGCAGCCGTCCTTGCCTATTGAACCTACTAGTTACATTACTTTTCAGGTGTCTCTCACTTTTACGGAATGCGTGCTATTGAAAAGTTCTGTGTAAATCTATATTTTATAATGTGGTCAATCTTGAAACACATTTACTTATTTCCAAACAATCTTCCAAGGGGTTGAGGCAGGAAGCTAGAAGATTTTGTCCCCCTCATTTCTGAAAAGATAGATGTGTCCTATAACTTAGTAGTTAAAAGTGTGATAGGATATACCAGAATTTCTTGGCATTATTGACATATGGGGCTGGATAATTATTTGGGTTACTGCTCTGTGCATGATAAGAGACTTGCAGCTTCCCTGGCCTCGACACACTAGATTCTTATTGTATTTCCCCAGTTGTGACAACCAAAAGTGTCTCCAGATATTTTTAAATGTCCCCAGAGGGAAAAAATATCCCACCTCCATTGAAAATCTATGGATAGATATGCAGTCATGCGTCACTTATAAATGGGAATACATTCTGAAGTATGCATTGTTATGCAAACATCATAGAGTGTACTTACACCAATCTAGATGGGATAGCCTACTTCACACCTAGGCTGTATGGTACAGCTTGCTGCACCTAGGCTACCAACCTGCACAGCATGTTACTATACTGAATTCTGTAGGCAACTGTAACACAATGGTAAGTGTTTGTGTATATAAGCATATGTAAATGCAGAAAAGGTACATTAAAATACAGTAGAAAAGATTTTAAAAGTGGTTTATCTGTATAGGGCACTTGCTGGAGATTTCAGGGCTGGGAGTTGCTCCTGGTGAGCCAGGGAGAGAATGGTGAGTGAATGTGAAGAACTAGGACATTACTGTACACTACTGTAGACTTGATAAACACTGTAAACTTAAGCTACGCTCAATTTATTTTTTAAATAAGTTTCTTTCTTCAATAATAGATTAACCTTAGCTTACTTGTGCTTTTTGGGCTGTATAAACTTTTTCATTTATTTAAGCTTTTCATTATTTTACAGTAGCACTTAAATGCAAACACACTGTGCAGCTGTACAAAAAAAAATCTTTATATCCTTATTCTACTAGCTTTTTTGATTAAAAAAATTTCTTTTTACTTTTTAAACTTTTTTCAGCTTAAACAAGTTAAACCTTTAAACTGTTTTAAACTTTCAAACTGTCTTAAAAACTAAGACACAAACACACACTTTAGCCTAAGGTCAGGATACCAAGATATCACTAGGTGATAAGAATTTTTCATCTACATTATAATCGCATGGGACCACCATCTATGTATGGCTTGCCATTAACCGAAAGACTGTTATGCAGTGCACAGCCATGCCTGGATTTGAATCCTGGCTCTGCCACTTATTAGTGGCCCTAGGCAATGGGCCTACCAGATTCATGGCTTTAGTTTCTCATATGCAAAATGAAGACAACATTAATATTACCTTATGGGGTTACTGTGTGGACTGAATAAGATATTGTTTGTCAACTTATTTAGCAAAGTGCTAGACACATAGTAAGCCTTCAGTAGATGCCAGTGTCATGAATAAGGTTGTTTTTGTCATCCTCATGATCATTATCATCTCAGCCATTTAACTTCAATGGTTTACGTTATCACATTTCTAAATAATTCATTTAGAAAACATTACTGGTATCTACTAAATACTTGGCACTCTGCTAGGCAATAGATGTTCAAAGATGAACAAGCCACAGTCTCTTTCCCTAAATAATTAGTAAGTTCCAGATTTAATGTCATGGTTATCAATGCACATGACTCCCATGGCCATGTATGCATGAGACTTTATTGTGCATTTATTAGTAAGGATAGGCTTGGTTGTGCTATAGTAACAACCAGCCCCAAAATGTCAGGGGCTTAGAACAACAAAGGTTCCTTTTCATGTTTATACTACATGTTTGTCATGGGCTGGCCAGAGACCCTCCTCCATGTTTTCCTCTCTCAAGAGCCAAAACTGAATGAATCATCTAGAATGTCTGTAGTTACTAAGACAGAGGAAAGGGGGAAAAGGCGAATCACTCTTGCCTTAAAACTTCTAGCCAGAATTTTCACACATCAATTACGTCCACACTTCACTTGTCAAAGAAAGCCATGGCACCATGGTACCTAAATTCAAGGGGAAGAGTAAATGCAATCCTATTTTGTGCCTGGAAGAAGAACCAAGGTATTAATTAACAGCCTTAATAACTACCACACAACAATTTTACAAATGCTAGACATTGGTCTCTGGGAAATATTATGAGTAAGAGTGAAAGAGTGAATCTTGTGAGTAAGAGTAAAACCCTTCCCACTAATAGAAACAATTCAGTAAATAAAGAATACCATCAAACACAAAATATAGTATCTATTCTCTTGTGAATGAAGATGGGAGAGACAGAAACAGAGAGAGATGGGGAAATTGAGATCAGTGGAGCCTCTCATCTCCATTCCTAAACCCATGTAAGAGCCCCAGGCTTTAACATACCATGATCCTGGGCTATATACTAACAACATAAGAAGAGCTCATACTTTCAAAAAGAAAACAAGAAGCAAAAAATACCCCCACATCTGGTTGATCTTATTATCTTCTGAAAATAATTAACAAGAAAATTTTAATGGGAGCAGGGTGAGAGCAACTCCATTGATTTACAACTCAAATAGGAATGAATAATCCACATCAAGGCTTCCTTGGCCATTTCATTTTGGCTTCCAAAAACCCCATTATTAATTCATTTCTAAAGTGATCTCCCTCATTCCCAAGGGGTATATCCTGGTAACTACGTGCTTACAATACTCTATTTGATTAAAATTTAACAAGCTATGTTATTGGCAAATAAACTATTTATTTCAGTGCTGTTGCCAATGCCAAAAGGAATGTTTCAAACAAAGGAATGAAGTTGACACACTAAAGAGATTGTCATTAATAATTTACAATAGCCAAAAAATGCACACATATAATTTTTTTTAGTGATGGCACTGGAGTATGAAAAGCCAGAGGAGTCAGCCAAAGTCCTCTGGTTTCCTGTTTATTAAAAGAGGAAAACCAAAAACTTGAACTTAGGTTGGCATGTGGTGTAGTGGAAAGAACACTTCAGAAAACTAGCTATAACTCCGCTCTTAACCTGCTGTGTGACCTTAGGCAAGCCACTTAACCTCATTTTCCTCTTTTCAAAATGAGGCTAAGAAAAACCTTGCTTATTTAAAGCTTAGGGGTTTGTCGGGATAAACTGAGAGAAAATATATAAATGTACTTTGGAATGCAGAAAGTGCTTTATAAATGTCTTATACTGATAAGAGCTTCTCCTCCTTGCTCCTCAAACCAGACACCAATTTACCAGGCATAAATTTGTGGAAAAGGGGGAAAAAATGGTTTTCTCTAGCATTTTTTTGGATGTGTATTGTCAGGAAAAAACACAAGTAAAGTTCAGCTTCAGTTGATAATGAAGACATTAATATGAGCGAACTGCCCCCATGAATCCTTAATTCCCCTGCTTTACTGATAACAATACGAGTTATGATTTGCTTAGCATTTAACTAACATATACTAGGAATCATGTTAACCTCTTTATATATATTATGTATTATCTCACAACCACTTCAATGAGGTGGGTACTATTAACATTCTCATTTTCTAGAGAAGAAAATTGAGGCTCACAGAAGTAGGTTACTTGTCCAAGGCCACCCAGCTAATAAGGGGTAGGACCAGCAATCAAGAACCTACCTCAGATCTGTCCAGCTCCAGAGCCTCAATTCTAAATCTCTTGTCTCCTTTGGTTCTCACATTGGTTGGGAACACACTGTTCTGAGTTGACCCCTGCCCTCCATCAAAAATGTAGACAGCTCCAAGTGAGTCAGATCCCCTGACTGAAACAGGGAAATATCAGCCAATTTGAATACCAGGCCCACTTGACTAAAGGTTGTTTCCATTGAACTATGTAGGACCTAACACAGTTGACAGCCCAGAGTAGGAGTTTAAAAAAATCCATGGGTGGCCAGGTGCGGTGGTTCATGCTTGTAATCCCAGCACTTTGGGAGGCTGAAGCGGGAAGATCACAAGGTCAGGCATTTGAGACCAGCCTGGCCAACATAGTGAAACCCCGTCTCTACTAAAAATACAAAAATTAGCCCGGCGTGGTGGCAAGTGCCTGTAGTCCCAGCTACTTAGGAGACTGAAGCAGGAGAATCGCTTGAACCCATAAGGAGGAGCTTGCAGGGAGGCAGAGGTTGCAGTGAGCCGAGATTGTGCCACTGCACTCCAGCTTGGGCAACAGAGCAAGACTCCATCTCAAAATAAAATAAAATAAAATAATCCATGGGTCAGTGGTTGAATGGATGCATGGATGGATGGATGGATGGACAGATAGATGGATGAGTGGATGGATGGATGCATAAATGGGTGGATGGGTGGATGGGTGGGTGACTGGATAGATGAAAAAATGGTAAGTGGGTGAATTAATGAAGGTATTTTCCACTTAATAGAAGAATAAATAGACAAGGTGATTTAGCAGCCATGAAAAAAATAGTCTTCAATTCCTGTCTGCCTTTGAAGTCTCGCCTGACAAAGAGTAACCCCTCAATATGCCTTATGGAATTTTTATTATTATTCACCAATATTAGCTACTTGTCACTTTACTGGTTTCAGGCTTTGTGTGCTCATTGAAGATATCATTTTTAGTCTCAGTCCTAATGTGTCATTGGCCAAGTGCTGGTTTAAGCTTCTTCTCTGGGTAATAATAACAATAGCTATTATTTATTGAGCTTCTTCTATGTGCCAAGTACTGTAATAAACCTTGTACTTGATCTACTGTAAATACACAACAAACTCACAGTGTTGACATTACCAATCCCATTTATAGATGGAAAGAAAAAACCTCAATGAGGTCATCTAATTCTGCCCAGCTTAAAGAGGGAAAGAAACTGGATTCAGCTCTCAGTGAATGTGGTTGCAAATTGAGTATGTTTTATTTTACACTACTGGGTCTGAAAATGTGGCCCCCATGTCAGCAGAATCAGCATCATTTGGGAGCTTGTTAGAAATGTGAATCCTTGGTTCCCAGCCCAGACACACCAAATCAGAAACTTCGGAAGTGGGGCTGGGCAATCTGTGCCATATAACAAGCCCTCTAGGCATTTCTGATGCACATTCCGGTTTGACAACCACTGCTCTAGTCTAGAAATGTTGCTTCCTTAGGTTTCAAGGATGTGTTTATAATAAATCGTCTACAGCCCTTCACCTGATGTTCCTTGTTACCAGAAGCATTGCCTGGAGTTAGGAAGGGAACTTGTGCTGGAGAACGAGTTACATAGTTCCTCCCTCTTTTGTAAATCCACCATCATCTCTTGTCACGACGATGAATTCCTGCAAAGGCATCCTACCTGTCTTCCTGCTACTGGCTCTAGCTCCCCCTCCCCCACATGATTCTTATGTGCACACACACATCCATTCATTCTACCCATAAATTTACTAAAGCCAGGACTCTTTCCAAAGAGTGGACCTCAGTATTTCACTCTCCTGCCTAATAACCATCAAAGGCTCCCTGCTTCTCTCAGGTAAAGTCTAATGACCTATGCATGGCCTCCAGGCTCTGCCCTTCTAGTCTCATCTCACAATTCTGTCACTCACTCACTCTTTTCTGCTCCAGTCACTGCTTTTGCGTGTCCACCCCAAATTATCCACTTTCCTTCATTTTTTTTTTTGGATAGTCATGCACTTTGTATATCTCCATCAAATTAAAACTTTTACGAGGGCAGAAACCATATCTGTTTTTCTTAACATCATATCCCCAGTGCCTAGCACCATGTCTGACACAAAGTAAGTGCTCAATAAGCATTTCTGCAAATAAGACCTGGGAGCCCATTGCTTCTTATCATATTTCTTATTGTAACAACCCTAGTATGGTTCGTTATCTTTTCATGAGTCTATCAGGTCAGATCTTGGGCTCTAAAAGTCAATAAGCCTTGGCAGGGTGCAGTGTTTCATGCCTGTAATCCTAGCACTTTGGGAGGCCAAGGCGGGCAGATTACCTGAGGTCAGGAGTTCAAGACCAGCCTGGCCAACATGGTGAAACCCCGTCTTTACTAAAAATACAAAAAATTAGCCAGGTACAGTGGCGCGTGCCTGTAATCCCAGCTACTCGGGAGGTTCAGGCAGGAGAATCACTTGAACCCGGGAGGTGGAGGTTGCGGTGAGGCAAGATCATGCCACTGCACTCCAGCCTGGGTGACATAACGAGATTTCATTTCAAAAATAAATAAATAAATAAAAATAAAAATAAAAATAAGAGGTCAACAAGCCTGGAATGGAATCCCAGCTCCTCCACCTACACATTATGTGGCCTTGGGCCTGTGATTTAATCTGTCTGAACCTCAGTTTCCTTATCTGTAAAATGGAGGTAATACAGTGGGTGGAGAGAGTAAATTAGATAATGCACATAAAGCTCTTAGCACTTTGGCTGGCATGTTAGGGCTAATGATTTGTTTTTATTAAATCCGGCCTCCCCATCTATATTGCAAGTTCTTCAAATGGTTGGTGGCACACACCTTACCTAGCAGATGTTGACAGAATGCAAGTCCACTAGGAATGTCCAAGTGGGGACAGAGCCCAGGACCGTGGCAGCGTAACCTGGTGTTTAAATACTGGGCTTCAGATTCAGACTGAGAATCATCTGGCCCCTTCTCGTCTTGGCTTTGTGAGCTTGGACAAGTTTCTGACCTTCCCTATGCTTCATTTTTCTCATCTGTAATAGCAGTGGTAACCTAGGGCCTGTGTCATAGCTGTTGTGAGACTCAAATGCATGGAGAGCACGTAGAACCATGTTCAGCTGGAGCCAGCATGTGGCAGTCACTGAACACCTGTTAGCTGTCATCACTGTCATAGCCATCATCATCACTATTGTGACCCAGCCTGGGAGCTGCAGGACAAAAAGGGAGCCAAGGCAGTCTTCGTGCAGACTGCTTCTGCCACCAGCCTAATTTCTTTCTCCTCTCTCTCTTTCTAACTTGGTCCCTTCAGCAAGCAAAGAGAAGAGCTGGGCAGCTGCAGTGAGGGTGGGGGCGCCTCATCCAAACTCCACTTTCTTCTCCTTCTGTGCATATGTGAAATCACCTTGAAGAGCCGCTGTTTCCATGGCTTGGGGAGTTTTAGATATTTATCTCCCATGCCGCAGACCCCTGGGCACGGGAATCCACACTGGCATGCCACAGAGCTTCTATTGCTCCTGCTCAGGACTCATTCTTTCCAACAACCTCCATCTCGGTGTCAGAAACAGGTGATGGATTTCCAAAGCCAAGAGATAAAAGCACACTTGTTCCCACTAATTGATCTTAAAAGGAAGGTGAGGCTTAGAAACAGAGAGGCGGGGGATGGCAAGGAGAAAGAAACAAGAAGGTCTAGAGTCTGGGAGGAATCCCTACATGAGGCGTCGGGAGGGGAGGGCGACGAGTGATGATTTGGGGTTTATCTCATTCTTATTTTAAACCCATTCCCCAAAGATACTGCTCTGGGGTGTCCTTTTTCCTGCCTGTGTAGCTCCAGGGAACAGGGAATTTGGGATTCTGCACTAAGCCCACAGATCTAATTCAAGGTGGCTGAGGGAGAGAATCAAGAAAAAAGCCATCAGGCTTAGGGAGATATCCTTGAAGGAAGTTCAAGGTAAGGCAAAAATAGAAACGGGAGAGCCCTAAATAGTAAAGTCAACAATTAAGGGAATGGAAAGCAAACAGTGGAACAAAGTGAGTGGTTTAGCATGTTACCGGGGGTTCCTGCCCCTGGCTGGGCGTGAGAACTGCCGGGAGACCTTTTTATAAATACAGATGCTGGAGTCCACCCCTCCTTCACGATGACCAATTAGATCAGAATCCCCAAGGGTGGGGCCAAGGAATTCATATTTATGGGAAGTGCCTTCCGTGATTCTGAAGTAGCTCGACCAGCATGGGGTGTGGACACACGTTGGGAGGCCGTGGATTTAGATGATTAAAATATAATCCTAGCAGCTGGAGGCCACAGCATCAGCTGCATGGCACTCTCTAAATCTGACTGGAGCTGAGCCAACATTTTAGAACTTGGGAACAAAGACCCCTGTGTACAAAAGGAGAAAATGGGTGGCTGGGTGCATCCTCCCTACAAGCCACTAGAGGATGTGGGTGCTGACCTGTGTGAGAAATTCCTGGAGCACCCTCAGCCAATGAGATGTAAATCCGTGCTCTTGCTTCTTGGCTGAAAGTAAGAGAAAAGAATGAATGTTTCCATTTTCTGGGCCAGTTTCATGGAGGCCACCTTATTTCTTAGATGGTGCCTGGAATCAGAAAACCACCATCAGGTTACCCACTATCACTTAAGCTATGGCTCATGGCAAGCGTAGACCCAGGCACGGCTAGCTCTGTGCATTTCCAACACTTTGGAGGATAACAGAAGAAACTAGCCTTTAAACCAGGGAATCTCAAAATTAAATACCTACCAGGGTCATATAGATACCATAAATGGGTAGAGTGAGCCAGGTGGAGACTAACGTGAGTTGTGAATTGCGGGGAGGTGTTAGGGGCCGGGGGCACTGCTAACCAGATCCAGCTGATGATTGCCTTGGGAGAGGAATGCAGGTCCCTTGCTTCCAATCTTGATCCTTCTTAAAATTTGTGCATGAAGTACCTGATTTTGAAATGTTGGCAATGAATTTGAGTTTATGAAAAGCACTCTACAGTATAAGCAAATGTGTTTGCAGCCACCTTCCTTCCAGAAGCTTCTTCACACAGGTGAGAAAAAAAAAAAAAAAACTAGCCACTTTTTACCTGTCCACTAAATGAACAGGCCTTTCAAGCATACGTTCATTCAATGTCTATTTATTGGGCCAAGCACTGTTCTAAGCATGAGGGATTCAGTTGTGAACAGGACAGACCACAGATCACAGCCCTCTAAGTTATAGATCCCCGGATTTTAGAGTAGGGGCATCTTAGAGTTCACCCATGTCTGCAATTTCCAAACTATATTCTGTGGAGCTATTTCAGCTTTTGCCTTGAGGAGCAAAGAGAAGGTTGAGTGCCCAGATCTCCAAATTACCACCCCCTGCCGCACACAGAAGAGCTCTATTTTTATCTGTCTAATATGGGGAGGTTTTAGGCGACCACCAAGTCTATAAATAGGAAAACTAAGGCCAAGAAGGTGGCATGATATGTCCTAGGTCACATACAATTGGTTGGTCACCAAACCAGCATGAGAAACCATTTTCCTGGCTTCATAAAAGATAGAATGGACTAAGAAACTGCTGCTTTCATATCTATTCAGTTCATCCCGTTTTATGGTCCAAAGTCCACTGTTCCACTATTCCCCTGGAGTCTGACTGGGCCATGCTTCCCTGACACCTGGAATGAAAACCAGATGACAGCAGACTTCATGGTGAGGGTCCTAGGACTTGTCCTCACTGGCCTGATTTCAGAAATGCCAGATCTGCCCCGTCTTTACTCCACTGCCTCTGAGGCTCAGAGATTAAACACAGCGGGGAGGTACCAGGACTGGCTATGAGCTGATGAAGCTGGATGCTTGGGTATGACCTCTCCCACGGGGGCTTAGGTGTGTCCTCCCTAGGACTCAGGTTTTCCGTGGCAGGCCATATTACACTGTGATATGATCAATCACTTACATGTTTGTCCTCCCACAAGCCTGGTAGCTTCTTTAGCTCAAAGTCTGGGGTATGTTTCAATCATATGATTCCAAACGTAGCCCTAGTGCCCATCACAACCAAACATTGAATGCCTGAGAGATAAATAAATGAATATAAATGAATCTTAGTATGAGAACAATAAAAAACGGGAGGCAGGATACAGCAGTGGTTGGGAGCACAGATTTTCGTGTAAGACACAGATGTGTGTTGGAATCTTAGCTTTGGCCTTTCCTAGCTGTGCGATCTTGGGCAAGTTGCTTACCCTCTCTGAGCCCCAATAATGCGGTTGTGAGAATTAAATCTGTCTATGCCTGTAACAACTCAGCACATACGAAGCACACAGTAAACAGCTGCCATCATTGTAATTTGTTTGCTTTCTAATTTTTTTGCAACATTTTAGGGGTAATTTACATACGATAAAATAAGTATACAATACCAATACCATGAGTTTGCACAAATGCAAGCCCCTGGAACTCACCCTCCATTAAGACACAAGACACTTTGTCACCTGAAAGAATTCCTTCAGGCCTCTCCTTAATCAGTCCCCAGTCCCCAGAACTAATGACTGTTTCCTGTTTTAGAACTTCACAAAAATGGAATCCCACCTCTTGTGTGGCTTCTTTTGCACAGCATGGCAGCTGTGAGATTCATCATGCCGCACGCCGTTGTCACTGTTGTTACTTTTCAACAAAGGTCTTGGCACACATCTGCTCCATCAGACTTTGAAATCTCTGAGGGTGGGCTGCATGTGTTTAGGACATTGCCTTCCTGGAACCTAGTCAGTGTCTGGCACACAGTCCATGCCCATGAATTATTTGATAAGTGAATGGCTGAGTCTTAGGTGAGAAATACGAGCTCATGTTTCAGAGTAAAGCTCTGCAGCATTTGATCATTGCCTCTGCCACTTACCAAATGGGACGCTGTCAGCTTCTCCAAGGCTCAGTTTCTTCATCTGTGTAATAGGTACTAATAATAGTACTACCTTCCTCATAGTGCTGTCATGAGGACAAAAGGAGATAATGCCTTTGCAGATACAATAGTAAGAATTCAGTGAAAGATGACTGTGAATATTGGGTATTGCTGTTCTGTCTGGCCATCCTATTTTAATAAATGGGATTCCTTTCCCCCTACTTATTCACTCCAAACTCAAGTAGAAGCCAGACTTATAAGGGGAAGGGGGTGTGGCAGCTGTCATAGAACCTCGGAGGTAGCTGACCTAAAAATAGCCCCTTCCTCTCTCCTTCCTTCCCTACCTTCTCCCCAGGCAGCCATTTGCCCAGGCACTATTAGTCCTGATCTCTCATTTGAGGGAAGGATGAAGAAAGGGAGCAGGGAGGGAAGATCTATTTTTTTCCCCAGGCTGTTGGGGAAGGGAGGGTGAAGCTGCTCTCTCTGAGTTGATTGATGTTGCGCTTGGGGATCTAAATTCTCTGATGTAATTACACTGTGTGCTCCGTGAGATAAGGAGATTAATCAGTCCATTACGCAGGGGCTGTTTTACCCGCAGATTGAACAGAGACGTCGGACACCACCAGGTCCTAGCCAGCCAGCCAGTCTGCTCCAGTTATAGGCAGGTGGCTGGCCTCTGGGCAGATAGGCTATCTTCTCCAAATAGGAACAACTTCTGTTGCTACCACTACTAACTAGCTTGTTTTTGAGCCTCCCTGAGATTCCAGGCACTTCACATGCATGAATTCTCACAATTGCCCTGTGAGTTGGCCATGATTCCTACCCCCATTGTACAGAAGGAATAACTGGGTCTCAATACTTTAAGATGTCTGTCCAAAGGTCACACAGTCTGTCAAAGCTCAGATCTGAATTTAGATCAGGTGAATTCAAAAGTGCTCACAATCATCATTGCCTCCAAAAGAGAACAGAGAAATGAGATAGGACGAACAGCTAACAGCCAAGTTGTCCACTACTGGGTGATCTGAGTGAGCAGGCAAGACAAGAGGCATGTGTAACACATGAAAAGGAAAAAAAAAAATGTGACGCTCTAAGGAAATAATTGAGTCTGGGAACTAGATTGCCAAATGAATTGCCTGGTCTGGGGGAAAGCAGGGAAGTTCAGGGATGTATATGAGGCAAGTGGTTAAGAATATTTGGTTTGATCCTGGCACTACTCCTTACTTGCTGTGTGACCTTGAACAAGTGACATAACTTCTTGGAGTCTCTATTTCTCTCTCTCTCTCCTCTTTTTTTTTTTTGTTTGTTTGTTTGTTTGAGAAGGAGTCTCACTCTGTTGCCCAGGCTGGAGTGCAGTGCAGTGGCAAGATCATGGCTCACTGCAACCTCCACCTCCTGGATTCAAGCGATTCTTCTTTCTGAGCCTCCCGAGTAGCTGAGATTACAGGCACCTGCCATGCCCAGCTAATTTTTGTATTTTTAGTAGAGATGGGGTTTAGCCATGTTGGCTAGCCTCATCTCTAACTCCTTACTTCAAGTGATCTACCCACCTCGGCTTCCCAAAGTTCTGGGATTCCAGGAGTGAGCCATGGCACCCGGCCTCTCTCTCTTTTTTGAGACAAAGTCTCACTCTGTTGCTCAGGCTGGAGTATAGTGACACCATCATAGCTTACTGCAGGCTTGAACTCCTGGACTCAAGCAACCCTCCTACCTCAGCCTCCAGAGTAGCTGAGACCACAGTCATACCCTCTGTGCCCTGCTAGTTTTTTAAATTTTTAATAGATAAATAGACATAGGTCTCGCTATGTTGCCCAGGCTGGTTTCTAACTCTTGGGCTCAAGAAACTCTACTGCCTTCCTTGGCCTCCCAAAGTGCTGGGATTATAGGCAAGAGTCACTGCACCCAGCCAGAGCCTCTACTTCTCATCTGAAAACTGCATTATAATACCTACCTGAAAGGGTTTCCATTGACTTAAATAAGATAATATATGTAAAGTGTTTTTAAAAGAGCCTGGCACAGAGTTTGAGCTCATTATTAATAATGCTGTTGCCAATGGTGGTGGTGGTGATGGCAAGGGGTGGCAGTTTCAGATATTATGAAAATCTCCTGCTTAGGCTTAATACTCTTTCTTATCTTCCCTTCCTCTGAATGCTTGCCAATGGACTTAGGAAAGGGAAACGGTGAAAAAAAAAATCACATTTACTGGGTATTTCTGATGTTCCTGTCCCCATGCAGGCCCCTTTACCCACATTATCTCATTCAATGCTTACCATAAATAGCTCCAAATAATAGATGTTCTTTTCAGTGTACGGACAGAGCAACTGAGACTCTGAGAGGTTAAACGGGGCAGAAGCACCATCTTTGTGAGCCAACAAGGGTCACGGTGTTTAGTATAAAAGATTATTGCCCAACTTAATAAATGTTTATTAAGTGCCTATAAGCCTTGTGGTAAGGCTACAGATGCAAAGACAAGTATATGACCTGTACCCAGTGGGCTTCCAGTCAGGTGGGCTTGAAAATCACATATACATATGAAGAGGAAAAGAGTAGGTATCACCTCTGGCTCTATATTAGAATAAATTGCTGGGAGAAAGGAGATGCTTTTAAAAAGTACCAGCACCTTATTACTTGCCCTAGAGATTCTGTTTTGTTAATCTGAGATGACATCGATCAAAGACAGCCTACACAATGACATTTTTTAAACCACCACACCCCTGACCCTGTGATTGTTATAGAAGCCACTTGTCTAGGGGCTTAGGAGATTATTTAAAAGCCCTATGCAACCCTAAAAATAAGCCAATGAATTCACCCCATCACATACATATGACACACTAACTACAAGGCAAGTTGCAGTCCTTGCCCTCATGATATATTAGACATTTTCTTGTGCCTCACCTTTCTTGGTGAGAAAAATGAATTCCTGTGAGAT
Organism: Homo sapiens; assembly: GCF_000001405.40. NCBI lineage: Eukaryota > Metazoa > Chordata > Mammalia > Primates > Hominidae > Homo > Homo sapiens. Next base: position 119,074,953 of record NC_000012.12, read on the forward strand.
GGAAGAGAAAATCTATGAGGCCAAAGAATGTGGAAGACACTCACAGAAGGTGGGATTGAGGACTCCAAGGGAACGGGGATTTGAGTGAGCCCTGATGGATAAGCAGTGATAGAGGCCAGTGTCCCTTCTGTAAGGTCTGATGGATCAGGTGAAAGTCAAAAACCAGTGGTCACCATCCCTAAGCTCCAATTGAAATAAATGTTAATTGGTTCAAAACTTTGAATGAGGTTCATCATTTTGGATCTTTCTTATTCATTCACAAAACATCTAACAAATATTCTGACACAATGTGCCAGATATTGTTTCTTCTTATTTAAAAAAATGAGCAAAGTAAAAAAAATTAATAATTTTCTGATATTAATAACTACTTATTGCATCAGCATGGGATCTGGACTGGATGATGATGATGACGATTATGATGGTAATGATGGTGAGGATGATGATGATGATGATAATGATGGTGATGATGACAGTAATGATGATGATGGTGATGATGATGGTGATGATGGTGATGATGATGGTGCTGATGGTGATGATGATGGTGGTGATGGTGATGATGATGGTGGTAATGATGGTGATAATGGTAGCAATGATGGTGATGATGATGGTGATGATAATGGTGATGATGGTGATGATGATGATGATGATGTTGATGATGGTGGTGATGGTGATGATGATAGTGGTAATGATGATGATGATGGTAGCGATGATGGTGATGATGATGGTGATGATGGTGATGATGAAGATGGTGATGATGGTGATGTTGATGATGGTGGTGATGGTGATGATGATGGTGGTAATGATGATGGTGATGATGGTGGTGATGATGATAGCGATGATGGTGATGATGATGGTGATGATAACGGTGATGATGGTGATGGTGATGATGATGATGATGTTGATGATGGTGGTGGTGATGATGATGGTAGTAGTGATGATGATGGTAGCGATGATGGTGATGATGATGATGATGGTGGTGATGGTGATGATGATGGTGGTAATGATGATGGTGGTGGTGGTGATGGTGATGATGGTGCTGATGATGGTGGTGATGGTGGCGATGATGATGATGGTGGTGATGGTGATGATGATAGTGATGATGGTGATGGTAGTAATGGTAATGATAATAATAATGATGGTGACGATAACAATGGTGATGAGGATAGTGACAATGAATGATGATGATGACAATGGGAATAATGATGATGATGATGACAATGATGATGATAATGACAGTGATGACAATGACAGCTGCCATTTATTGAGGGTTTACTATATACCAGCCACTGTGCTTAGCATTTTGCATGGATTAACTCATTTAATTCTCACAATCACCCTTTGAAGTGGACAGTATTGTTATACCCACTTTACAGATGGAAAAAAAAATGGCTTTGAGAGGGTTATTTGCCTAAACTTGTAAGCTAATAGGTGATGGGGATCAGAATTCCAGGAGATGGAAGCGTGGTATCAGGAGAACCCTGCATTCAGACACAGGATGCCTGGGCTCCTCCCTGCCATTCACATGGCTTTGTCTCTTCAGGCAAGTTACTCTCCTCTCTCTGCTTCAGTTCCTCATCTGCGAATTAAGTCTTTGAACTTCTCATATATTAAAATGATATCAAAGTTGTAAAGTAAGAAATGTAATAAAAGCGTTTGAGGAGAAAGAAGTAAGGGCTGGTCACACTGAATAGAAAATTTATTTTGGGAAGTTGTCGAGATCTGAAATTCAACCACCCCAAGGAAGTGCAAGAGTACAGCTGGCGCTTTGCTGATTCAGAGGAACCGCTCTCAGGGAGGTGGAAGCCAAACACACAGAATCTCTGTAATCAGAGAAAATGTCTCCATGATTTGCCATTATAATTCTCGATAGCAAACTCTGGGGCTCCAGCATCAATACTAATAACTTGTAGGAGGTGGGGGTTAGGAAAGAATTAAGAATTTTTAAAAACTGCTTTTTGGTAAAGCACTGGGAAATGTTCTGGGCTCCTAAATTTAAAGGGGGTATTTTTAGCACCTGTAATCAAACTGACTTGCGTAAACACATCTGCTGGAGTACTGGCATCAAAATGCCTTTGGAGTCTTTGTTGTATATCTCTTGCAGTTCTCCTGAGACCGAGGGAGAGTTTCACTGATTTTCTCCCTTCAGTATGCTTTTCCAAATCAGTTGAGTGATAAAGTCAAATGGGATATTTATTTTATGTTGAAAGCTACTGGGTCCCTACCTACAGAATGGCAATAAAATTCTCAAACTTTAGAAAGTGTAAGAATCACCTGGGAACGTTGTATAAATGAAGATTCCTGTGCCTTGCCTTCAAATCCTGGGGTCTGATGTGGGCCCAGAAGTTTTCATTTCACACAACTGTCCTAGGTGATTTTGATATAAGTGATCCATGGGCCACACTGAGAAATACTAGACTTGGAATTAACACACTTACGATTCTGGCTCTATCATGTACCAGCTGTTGACCTTGGGCAAGTTATTTTATCTTTTTGAACATCAATCATCTCATCTGTAAGGTGGGAAATTAATGGTACCTACCTCATAACTTCACTGAGAGGATTAAATTTGTCATATTAGCTTAGCACAGTGCTGGGCATGTAATAAATGACCCCAAAATGTCAACTATTATCATTATTATTAATGATAACTAGCTGGGCAAGTTATTTTCCTTTCTGACTTCTGGTTCCGCATCTGCAACATGGTAGCAATTATAATAATATCTTAAAATCAACTTTAATTCAAGGGTTATGTATTAAGTGAGAAAATGTCTACAAAGCTCTTAGTACCCTATCTGGCACACAGTAGCTATCCCATAAATATTTGTTCAATGAATGAACAAATGAAGGAATGAATTTAATGAGTGGTCCAACAATTACCTTCCATAAACTACAGACAATAAGAGTGATTTTAGGGGAACTTTCTCTCTCCCCAACACTATAAAGTGGACCTTTTCCAGATGCCCCACATATAGGGTTCTTGATCTCTCAATCTTCACTTCATGGAGTCACTTTGCCTCTCACTAGCTCAAATCCTAGCCTCAACTATGCTCAAATGCATCTAGGCATATCCAGCTGAGGTCTTATTCACTGGGTCTGCCTGTGGGTGGTTCTGAAGACCCTCCTCTACCCAAAGACAACATAAGCAGCTTGAGGAGTGGCAGGTGGGATGTACGTTATTCACGTGTCTACTGGATATCATTTTCATGACTTTGGGAAAACTATAGCATATAGCCTCAGCTCCCTCCTCTATAAAAGGAATCATTGAGGGACTCTATTCAACCCTTATGTCCTGGTATTATAAGCATCCATTTGCCCACTAGTTGTGTACTGAGCTATAACTTATCATGGGGCAGAGATACCACCTTAGTCAGCTTCCTGAAGCTCAGGTGCCCAGTTTGATGCTGGGCAATTACAGGTGCACAATTAATGGGGGCAGGATGTCTGAATGACTGGACAACTGAATCAATGGTGTTCATTTCTAAGAGCCCTAGTCACTGCTGCACATATCCTTAAAGGGCCAGAATAAGGAGACAGTGAGCCTAATCACACTCATTCATAGTCAAAAAGGCAAGAAAGCATCCTGAGAGAAAGATGGTGTTGCTGATGCCTCATCTTGCAAGGGGGAGGCTATACATCATCCAGTATCACTGGCAAATCTACAGTCATTCATTCCACAAAGCCTTTAAGCTGGGCATGATGGCTGATGCCTGTAATCCCAGCACTTTGGGAGGCCAAGGCAGGAGGATTGCTTGAGCCCAGAAGTTTGAGGCAAGCCTGGGCAATGTAGTGTGACCCCGTCTCTACAAAAAAAAATTTAAAATTCAAAATTTAGCCAAGTGTAGTGGCATGTGCCTGTAGTCCCAGCTACTCTGGAGGCTGAGGCAGGAGGATCACTCAAGCCCAGGAATTTAAGGCTACATTAAGTTATGACCACACCACTGCACTCCAGCCAGGGCAACAGAGCAAGACTTGTATCAAAAAAATAAAAAATAAAAAGGTGAAAACCTTAAAGCACATCTTTAAGGACGCACTCTGGGCTGGACGCTGTGTTAGATTCTGTGGACAAAACAGACCAAAAGCACAGGAGAAGGGCTGCACACCCAGCCAGGTGAGGGGGTGGTCCAGGAGGATGTGATGCAGGTGTGAGTGAATTAGGGATGGGAGAGAAAGGTGTTGCAGGTGGAGGGAACTTCATATGTGAAGACATGAAATCATGACAGCAAGAAAGATTTGGGGTGGCACTATCAGGTTGGTATTCTTGGAACCAAGGATACAGAAGGAGGAAACAAGAACTTCAGAAATGATGGGCTGAGACTGGATCGTGTCTGGCCTCCTGAGCCACAGTCGGGAGTCTGAACTCTTCTTATCTCAAGAGGAATCCAAAGGATTTTAATCATGAAAGTGACTCAGTGAGGTATGCTTTATAAAGACGGTCCTAGCTGCAGTGGACAAGAAAGATTGGCAGGAGAGAGATGGGAGACAGAGAGACCAATTAGAAGGCTACAGTCCAAGATCTGAATAGCAGGGATACTTGTCAGAGCAATTTCTTTGAGGCATTTGGTCTCTGATTGCTGGTGATCTTCCCCAGCCTCGTGTGTTTGCAATGACTCTAAACTGCAGAGAAAAGCCATTTACTCATGTTCACCTGCCGCATTGCACACTTAGCCTTGCCCTGTGGTCGCACACTTTGTCGGGAGAGTTGTGAGTTGTACTGCAAAGGAAAGAGGACTTGGGGGTCAGCTACCCCACTGTAAACCCCCGAAGCATCCTATGTTGTCACATCCTTAAAAAGTGCTGGTTATTATGCCCGATCCTTTCCACCCATGAAACTGTTGGGATCGCCTAGTCAATTACTAGTCAAGTGGGGTAATGTGCATTTCATTAGAAGCCTCTCATTTCAGATATACAAGGCCGTATATGAAATGAAATATTCTGAAGTTTTTTTTTTCAGCCAGTGATTGGGCATTGTAATTAAGAAGGCATTGTGCCTGATTTCCAATCTTTTTCTTTATTTAAATTTAATTGATTTTCTCCTTGATTTAATCAACCCGAATTCAGCTACCGGTGCCCCTCTCCACTCAAATGCTCAGGAGAACTCTGATTCTTAAAGATGTACATCCATGCCTGGAAAACGTGGGGTGTCATCCTGTCTTAACCCCTAACCTTTGTTAGCTGGTATGACAGGTGTCGGGATCTCTGGGACCTCGGTGGTTCTACTCAGGGAGGAAGGAGGAAGGGTTGGTTTTACATCTTTGAAACCTGGCTTTGCTGTGTCGTGACCTCAGGTGAATTCCTTAACCACACTGTGCCTCAGTTTCCTCTCCTTTAAAATAGGAGAAAAAATATTGTCTTCACAGCATTGTGGTGAGCACTAAATTATGTATAATATAATTATATAATTAACATATATATATTGCACTTAGAACAATGACTAGAATATAAGTACTAAGGTATTACCTGTTATTATTTCCACACCATTGTCTATGTGATAACTCATTTAATCCTCACAACAATGGTCTTAGGTTATAAACATTTAAGGTTATGAAAGAGAAACTCACAGATAGTAAGTGGCTCGACTCAAGTCCTGATGTTAATTCCAAAGCTCACACTCATGTGTGTCATCTCTCCCACCATGTGGCTCCTTCTTCCCATGTTGCACGTGGGAAAAACAGAAGTTTCTGAAGTTAAGTTCCTTAGTCAAAATCACTCAGCTAGGGGTGGCAGAGCCAGGACCTGAACCAAAGTCATTCTGGGAGCAATTACCATTGCATTATTTCTCAGCTATCTCTCAGAGCGAGAGCAGGCAACAGCTTCAAAGCCACACAGCAACAAAGGCTGTGAAGTGCCCTAAATCTACTCATTCGTTAGTCTTCAATCTCTCTTTTTTCAAGAGTCCAGACGTATAACAGGTGATGTTTACATACATAACATAGCCCCATGCATAAACCCAAGGTCACATGATGTTAACATTCTGAGCACACAAGCCCCAATCCGCACCTTTCTTTCCTGCTTAAGAAAGCATAACAGAACACAACTGAGGGTGAGGAGCTTTATCATAGAAGGAATTTGGAATCCATTTGCTTGTTCATTTAACAAATATTAATTGAGCCTTTACTGTATACCAGGCACTATTCAAAGATCCGAGAAATAGCTGTGAATGAAACAGACCAAAAACCTCTACCCTAATGAAACTTAGATTCTAGTGGGAGTAAGGGGCTCGTCCAATAAACAGCACAAATATGTAAATGATCATATTATATTACAGGGTAATAAATACTATAGACAGAAATAAAGCAGGAGGAGAGAAACATACATTGGGGAGGGAGTACCATTTTAAATCACGTTTGTATAGGCTTGTCAGGGAACACGTATCACTAAAAAGGTCATATTTGAGCAAAGACTTGAAGAAAGTAAGGAAGTTGTAGCTATTTGGAGAAAGAGTGTTCTAGGCAGTGGGAACAGCCCGTGCAAAACTCCTGAGGCAGGAGTGTAACTGGTGCATCAGGGAACAGCAAAGAGACCTGTGGGACCAGAGTGGAGAGAACAAGGGGAAAGGAGCAGGAAGTGAGGTCAGAGTGGTAACAGGGGCCGGACTGTGTAGACCTTGTAGTTACTTTGGCTTTAGGGAAGTGATCAGAGGGCTTTGACTGGAGCAGCACCATGATGTGGCTTAATTTGAGTAGGATCCCGCCAGCCGCCTTCTGGGGAACAGGATGCAGGAAGGCAAGAAGCAGGGAGACCCATTAGGAGGCCTTTGCAATAATGCAGGTGCAAGATGATGAGGGCCTGGACCAGGGCGCTAGCCATGTACATGAGAGAAGTGATTGGATTCTGAATGTACTTTGAAGTTAGCATCTAGATTTGCTGATAGGTCAGAACTGGGGTCTGAAAGAGAGAAGTCAAGGACAACACCAAGGTTACCACCAGAACAGCTAACAAGAGCTGCCATTAACGGAGATGATGAAGATTCATGTATTTATACCTTTACTTTAATTGGAAACCATTCTCAAATTTTAGTCTTTAATAATCATTAGTAGCAAAGCCATGACAGAGCTTACAGTTGATCATGACGGATCAGCACGCCACACAGTAGCTGACAGCCACTGGGTTGTTCTGCAGGGAGAGATTGTTTCTCGAGTTTGTAGCATTCCTGGCTTGGACTTGTGGGTCCCAGGATCAGCCTCATTATTCGGCAGGAGTTACAGAGAGTGGGCTGAACTCCCAGCAGGGGCCTCTAAAGGGCTCAGCCGCTCCTTTGAACAAGAGCCAAGACCCTCCACAAAGAGAAGTCCCACACCCTGTCCAGCCTCTGTCCCTCCTCCTCTTCCATTAGATGTAAAGCCACCCCCCATCCCCGCCTCCACCACGCTGGCCTCATCATTTCTTTCTTAGCATCTCCCATCTTCCTTTCAGCCAGTGTAATTTGGGAAAATGTGGACCTGTAGGGGCTTTGGCAGAAAACCTTTGATTGATCTTCTCAAATGGGCTGCTCTCTAGCGAGAAGGAGAATGTGCTCGTGATTTCCCCCCCTTCTTTTAAATTGCAACAAAAGGCAAAATCCTATTTTCTTCCTCAGACTGTTGCAGTGCATAAGGATGCATTTGAATGCTGAGCCAAGCCATCCTAGCTGGTGATTCAGCCCCGCGGGCGCTGTGATGAGATGAAGGCTTCACTTGCTGCCAGCCCTGCACCCAGCAGCCCCGTTTGACCTCCTCATCCTGGAGCCAGCCCCACCCTGGGCCTCCAGCCAGGGGAAGCAGTTCTGGCAGAGTGAGCAGTGACAGAGTCTCCAGAAGAGCCCTCCAGTGTAGCCTGAAGCACAAGATGTCAGAAAAGCAGGGCTCTGCTTGCTGCTTTGCCACTCACTGGCTATATGACCCAGAGCAGGTCAGGTCCCTTCTCTGAGCCTTATATGGAGAAGGGTTTGGACTTGGGGACTTTAGCATTCTGCCTGATCTTTATGCCCTAAGACTGCTTAGCAGAGCAGAAGCTCAAGAAAGATCTGAGGAAGGAGAGAAAGAACATAGGAAGGAAAGCGGGGAAGGAGAGGAGGATTTGATAAGGGGAGTGAAGTCTGGTGTTTCCTTCAATTCAGGACCCCCCTTGTGAAAGCTCCAGGGCAGTTGGGCAGTTGATCTTTTTTCTGGAGCACAGCCATGTGCTGCAGCCCTTCAGACCCTACTCAGTTCCCAGGCACAGCCAAAGTAGCCAGTGTTGTCACTGACCTGCCCATTTCCCCCCAACCACCCACAATTTCTGAGCACACCAGCTTGACTTCTAACTCATGGGACCTGCGACTCCTTACCTGAGTGTACTCCGGTCATGGAGCATTTTCATTTTGCCTCATTCAGCTTGATCACCTCCTGTCCATTTTTCAGATTTTAATATAGGCATCACTTCTTCCAGGAAGCCTTCCCTGATTTCTGCCATACACAAGGCAAGAATTACTGTCTCTTTGGAGCAGCCTTCAACTAATGACTGATGGGAGCTGGTGGATAAATATCCCAGCTCCCTGGTGCTTAGGTGGAACAATTCTGAGGTCTATAGCCTGCACAGGTTCCCAGGATTCCCCAGAGATATTAAGCTCCAGCCACCTGCAGCAGTAACTGGCTTTCTTCCCTGTTTCCCTTCCCAATGTCCTTACCAGAGCATCCTAGGATCATGTCACAAATAAATTACTTGCCCCAGAATTCTTATGTCTAATGCTGCATATAAGGGAATGGTCCCATTCCCAAGATGGCCAGGGACATTTGCTGGTCAGCTGGTGCTTTGGAAAATGGACTCAGAACTATTGTCCTCAGAGCTGAGCTGACAGTGCAGCTGCCCAGAACATTGCTAGGTGCCTACAGTGAGCTTGGATTTGTGCTAGAGGAGATAACAGCAGCTGGGCATCTAAATACACAGAGAAGATCCAATCAATAGGACTTGGCCATGCAGAGACACAGGGAGAAGGCATTTGAAGTGGGCAGAACAGCACAGACAAGACGTAGAATTTGGGGTTATTTTTTATGTCCTGCAAAGCATCACTGAGCTATTGCCATAAGCCATGCACATTACAAAGTGCATCACCTCATTGAATCCTCACTACGGCCCTACACAGCAAGCGCTATTACACTTCCCATTTTACAGGTGCAGGAACTGAGGCAAAGAGAGGGAAATTCATTTGCCTGAGATCACATAGCAAGTCTGTGGCACAGCTGGAATTTGAACCCAGCCCTCTGAGATCACAGTCTGACTGCTGTAGAAGGTGAATATTGGAGGAGAGGAGAGGGAAGAGAGCAGGGGAAGAGAACTCCTGAACACCAAACAGAGGGATTCTATTGTCCTCTGCACCCTGGAACTGAGGAGCTACCTCTTCTGGAAGGTGAGAGGGGAAGGCAGGCAAACAACTGGACATCACAGCAGGATATGAGGACTAGAGTCATGCACTATTTCTGTGTGCAGCATCCTCTGCGGAAACCCATCTGCCCTTCAGTACCTGCCTATCTTGAAGAAATATGTATTACATATCCCAGTGTACTGAGATTCAGGAATTGCCTCCAGTGGACTATTTGTAGCTACACTGATAGTGAGATACACTGCCATCTGCTGCCTGCCCCCTTAGTTAACCTCTCCCTTGCTGGCTTGATTGGGCTATTTCTCTAGTTGGTTCTCTCATTCAACCAATGTTTACTGAAGACGGATGGAGGGCCCATCATTTTCTTAGGTGCTGAGGATAAAATGGAGCAGAAGTCTCAGGCTATGCCTCAAAATTCTCATAGTCCGGTGGGGCAAAATAGAGAATTGCAATGGAGGGGGATTGTGCACACAAAGAAGGGACACAACAGGCTGAATAGTCAGGGGAGGCTTCCTGAAAGAGGTGACATCTGAATTGAAATCTGAAAAATGGGCAGGAGATGATCAAGTTGAAGGAGGCAAGGTGAATGATGCCAGTTTTTAAAAATATTTATTTCTTTATTTATTTGAGACAGAGTTTTGCTCTTTGTTGCCCAGGCTGGAATGCAGTGGTGCGATCTTGGCTCACTGCAACCTTCGCCTCCTGGGTTCAAGCGATTCTCCTGTCTCAGCCTCCCGAGTAGCCGGGATTACAGCTGCCCACCACCACGCTGGGCTAATTTTTGTATTTTTAGTAGAGATGAGGTTTCACCATGTTGGCCAGGCTGGTCTCAAACTCCAGACCTCAGGTGGATCCACCTGCCTTGGCCTCCCAAAGTGCTGGGATTACAGGCGTGAGCCACTGAGGCTGGCCAATGCCATTTTTTAATTAGCAAACACAGAGCACTTACTATTTCAGGCACTATTCCAACAGCTTTACATATTTTCACCATTAATCCTTGCAATAACCCTGTGAGGTAGGTGCTATTATTACCCTCATCTTACATACGATGACCTGAAGCCCTGAAAGGTAGTCAATTGCTCAAGGTCACAGAGTGGCAGCACTGGGGTTTGAACCCAGCAGTCTGGCTCCAGGCCATGCCCTTGAGTTTCATGTTCTGCTGCATCTAGCAGAAAGAACAAAGACAGCCAAGATGCTGGGACTTTTCAGAGTACTGCAAGGCCTTCAGATGGTTTGAGCATGGTGAGTGAGAAGCAGCTGAGAATGACAAACCTAGAGAAGTAGGTGACGCCAGAAATTGAAGACGCATGAGAGCCATGTTGAGAAGTTTGGACCTGCTTTTGGGGGCTCTGCACAAGAGAATAACATGATCCAATCTGCATTTTGGAAAAACAGCTTTGTCTCCTGCATGGACATCAGGCTGGCCAGGGTCAGGGTGAAAGCTAAAAGCTGCTCTGGAGGCTGCTGCAGTTGTCTGGGTGAGAGACGGTGGTGGCTTGGACCAGGAGGTGGCAATGGAGATGGAGGCTGAGATGCTTTGGAGTCAGAATGGGCAAGAAAGTGAGAGAAAGAGGATGGAGGGTGGTGGCCAGGCTGCTGCTTGGATGAGTAGGAAGCCGGTAGAGCTAGAGGACACTTTGTAAGGCAGGTAACACGTTGACGTTTGGTCACATTAAGTTTGAGGTGCCTGTGGGACTTTCATGTGGAGAGGTAGAAAGAACACTCAAGCCTCTTTAGGAAAAAGAGATGACCAGGAAGGCCAAACACCTAGGCACTTATTGTTAACATCCTTTTTGTTCCCCAAAGCATCCCAGTTTGAACAATGGATTACAGGGCCACCCTCAACGTAACTAACCTGCCTGTATGGCACATCTGGATATTGAAAACATCTGGGTCCAGGCTCCACGTCCCTCATACACACACACAAAAGGATACACCCTATATACTTATTTGGATATTCTTAGTTGGGCGCAAGTAAAAATATGGCTATGAATATGCAGTTCCTAGAGAGGCAGTTTCATTGTGGCTGAGAGATGTCTGATCCATCTAAAGTGCTTTGCTTCCATCCTGTTCCCAACCCTTGTCTCAGCCACAGGTCCCACCACCAGGGGCTGAGAAATATTTGTACAGGGAAACAAGACTCTGTCTTCACCCCACCAGCCAAATAGGTAACTGGTGGAACCAAGCCATAGCCATGAATTTTTCTGAATGTTATGGCCTCTTCTACTCAAACTATACTCTAGAGCAACCAGAGTGGTTGATGTTTTGCTCCCTGAAAAGGAGGATGCCATAGTGTACATTCACAGAGGCAAGTGCAGTCTGGGCTTATGCAGAAGGATGCAGCAGGGCCCCTTCATGGGGAAGAGGGAGTGGGCTGGTGCACAGCTTTCTGGTTGTGTGTTTCTTATCTGTATCAGCCATATAGATCAAAATAGCTGTAGGAAGAAGCCAGAGCTTTGGCTAGATGGTTGATCCCTAAGGGCAACGAATACCCCCAGAGTTTTGAGCCTAGAAAAGATCCCTCTCAAAGTCCTTGCCACCGATTTCTTTTGAAGGATCTCACTCAGCAGTGTCCATTGTGACTGAAGTCTGGAGGTAGAGTTCCAAACCCCAACTCTAAACACCAATCTCACAGCTGTAGAAGGATACAAAGCTTTCTTGCCCCATTATGTGTTGCTCTCAGATGCCCAAGGTGGGAGGCAGTGCTGGGGCTGGAGGATCTACGCGTGGTTCCCATGGTGTCCACCCCAAGAGGTGTACTATGGTGAAAGGGTTAAAACCATGGACTCTGGAGTCAGATCGTCTGGGTTCAAATTCCTTCTCTACCACCTTTTAATGGGATCTCCTATGACCTCAGTTTCTTCATTGGTAAAACAGGATTGATCATTGTACCAGCCTCTAATAATTGCCATGAGAATGACAAGATCAAACACATGCAAAGCACTTAGAACAGTACCCAGCACATAGCTGGTGCTCCACGAATATCCACTGTAACTAGTGGGAATAACAGCATTGACAATGGTGCTGTCAGTCATAAAATCCAACCATAGAGATAGAGGCAGGTGAAAGAAGCCAGGAGAAGGAACAAGGAGGAAAAAGGAGTGGAAACAGGGCCTTTTGCCTGCCAGGGCCTGGCTCAGAAGCTCCCAGAGGTCCATGTAATGACATTTCATTCGGACTTTTTTTTATTGGAATGAGAAATGAAAGTTCTGTGTCAGAAATCATTGCAAATTCCAAATTAGTGAGGTTTCATGGTCCCCAGAAACGCGCTGGAGGGAATATTGGTCGATGGGGTGTTTTTTTAGCTGTCGGAGGAAGCTGGCTGATTGACTGAGTGTCTCAGTCTATAGACTGTGCAGACAGCAGCCTGGGAACTGGGCATAGGAGAGGAAATAGGGAGAAGATGGAATAGCAGTCAGCATGGGGGATGCAGAGACATGATCCGCAGTGGAAAGAGACATAATTATACCAAAAACTGTGTAGACACAGGTCTGTCTGGAGTGGGGCCCATGCTCAGTCTGGAGACCAGGCACACGCAGCCACCTTTCCTTGAGAACACTGGGCTCCCTCACTTGCTCACTGCGTGTCCTCAGGCAAGCCACTGCACCTCTCTGAGCCTGTTTTCTCATCTAAAAACGACTCTTACAATACCCACCTCAAGAGTTTACTATGGGACTTAAATGAAATGATGGGTTTTAATTGTCTGATGAGGTGCTTAGTACATACTAGGTCCTCAATAAATGTGAGGTCCCTTTACTCTGACACAATGAGCTGGGGAAGTTGGTAGGCCCATGCTTCAGCCTTTGAACATAATTGCTGTGTTGGGAGATGACAGCTCTCATCCTTAAATTGGGGGATTATGGGCCACATTGGTAGGTTCTGGGCCCTACTGTGCTGCCCCACAATACTCAGAAGGAGATAAAATGATGGGGATGACTTCCATCCAGAGAAGAATCTGACTTACAAAAGTCCTGGAATTGGACAGCTTCATCAGAGGTCACTGGGGCCAGTCCCCTGACTTCAGGTTCCGCAAAGGATTCCAGGCAAATTAAAAGTCATGCACCCCCCTCAACGGTGATTGGGAAAGAATAATCCACAGGGCTCCTCACCAAGCAGAAATTATTTCTTATATTGAAGTTACTGAGCCTCCTTCAATAATAATTGCAATGATAATTATAATAATAAAACATTGTGCTTAGTTTAATGTATATTTCCCATAGCTACTGCAATACGTAAGGTATTATCATCCTCATCTTTAAAATGAGAAAACCGAGGCTTAAATAGTTGAAGGACTTTGCCCAAGGCCACCAGTGATGTCTTGGAGGGATTCACAAAGAGATGCTGGAACACAGTGCAGTAAAGAATTGATTCCTTTTGGGGGGCGTGGGGGTGGGTAATAAGTGGGGGGCCACAAAAGGAGGTTGGGATAGTTAAGCTGAGATATGAAGGATGAGTGAGGCTTCTCCTGACAGACAAGGGTAGAGAAGGCACTCTGGGCAGAGGGATCAGCTTGAACAAAGCCAGAGAGGTTGGAAGACTAGGTCCCAAAGGCTATTTACAATGAATAATTACAATTACAGTGACAGCTAACATTGATTAAGTGCTTACTCTGCACAAGGAATGGTGTTAAGCACTTTGCGTGCATCATCTCCAGGAGCTGGACACTATCGTTATCCCAGTTTTGCAGAAGAGAGATGAAGTGACTCGCCCGGGATCACAGCTTGAAAATGGCAGGATCAGCTTTTCAGCTCGAGTCTGCCTGATTCCCAAGCCCCCGGTGTCTCCTGGTTGTTCAGTCCCTGCCCCTCATCAACAGAGAAGCCATGCAGTTTAAAGAGAGCCCATATGAGAGCCCATCTTAGCATAGACCCTCTGCCCATGTGGTCGGGAGGGTGCTGTGCCAAGATGACCTAGTCTGTTTTTGCCGAAACCCACCGCACCACCCCAAGTCCTTTTGGAGCCACGGGGAACCCACCAATTGGTAGGAGATAATCATGAAGCTGACTGCCTAATAAAGATAAAGCTCTCTAATAAACCCACAATCCTGAGGTAATGGGTTTGACTTTTAAAAGGCAGATAAAAGTCCCAACGGAAGGACAGACATTTCCTATCAACTCCTTATTCAGAATCACTGTGGAGGAGGCATTTCCTACAGGTGGGAACAGCTGGATGCCTGGGTTGGCATTGAGAAATGGCCACTTTTGCATAAAGCCAGACATCTCCTCTCTCCAGAGCTCCCTCTCTCCCATGGAGAATCCTTTGTCAGAGAAGAATGATAATGACAAAGGATGGAGCCTACGGAATAAGCCTAAAGGAGGTTGAATGGAAAGGGTGGATTTGAGAGCTTGCTGATGATTGGTGCTGGAGCTGCAGAGTTGGAGTCTTCTGAGAACTCTGTGCTGATTGGTGGAGTTGGTATAGACCACCCTCTCTATTCATCCTGCCATCATCCTCAATATCATCATCATCATCATCATCCTCACCATTATTACCATGACTATCATCATCAGTAACATTATCACCATCATCACCATCACCATCATCATCATCAAACATATATTGAACATTTATTAGGCAACAGGGAAATATGCATTTTATAACTGCCTTATGAAGCAGGTAATATTAACATCTCTGATAACATTTCCCATTCTCAGATGGGAAAACTAAGTCTTGATAATATTAAAGAACTTCCTGTGGGTCACACAGCCAGGAAGCAGCAAAGCAGATTCAAACCCAGGTCTATTTGACTCCAGTTAATACAATCCAGTTTCTCTGTTGACAAGGGGCAGGGACCAAATAACTAGGAGACCCTGGAAGCTTAGGAATCAGGCAGACTCGAGCTGAAATGTTGATTCTGCCATTTTCAAGCAGTGATCTTGGGGGAGTCACTTAATCTGTCTTCTGCAAGTGATGGTTAAATACTTAACCATCATTTTGCATTTAGTATTAATAGTTTGATAGAGGAAAACATGGTGTGGGTCTATGTCTTAGATGGAATTCACAAGAAAGAAAGCCTGAGATAGAGGTCTGCGTGCATGTGACTTATTGAGATAGGAGAAAGGGAGTGAGGAAGCAGGATAGGACAGGGGAAGAAAGCTAAGAAAAGATATAGTTTCAACTGGACTCAAGCCTCAGCCTGATCCTAAGGGGAGCTCTGGAATGTGGATTCCACCATAGAATTGGTCTGACCTTGAGGCAAGGGGGCAGGTCTTTTGTACTCCTATGTCAGCTAGTCATTGGCTATGGGCCTCCCTCCCCACATCCCACCAGGAGTGGGCAAAATCTTCTGGAAGGGGCATCCCTGAGGCATTTGCAGCCAACATTCCCACCTATCTGGAAAGAGATCTAGGATCTGACCAACAGCATCCACTGTGCTGCAGACAAACAGAGCTGATGGTCCTTTCTTAGCCCCTAACTCACCAAGTGTCCCTGAGTGTAGCACTCGCCCCTACTGGACCTCAGTTTCTCCAGGCTTGGACTCAATGCTCCCCAAAGGCTGGCCCAGCTCTGACAAGTTCTCACTCTGATCTGGCAACAATGCAACTGACCAAGCTGGCAATCTCAGTTTCTGTAACCCAGGAGGAGAGACAAGGAGACCCCTCTGGTGGCCCCAAAAGTGTGAAGCAAGGTGTCTGACAGCTTCTCCCACTGAAGCCCTTTATCTCACTTCTTGCTGTGTTATTTTAAAACTAACAAGCCCAGACCGCAGGAGCTCACAGCCTGCCATGGAGATTTGTGGCTTGTCTGGTCTGTCCTCTCTGCAGATTTCAGCAGCGGCTTACTGTCTGCTTGTTAGGAATTTTCTCCCAAGCCTCAGCCTCTGGCACGAGTGTGTGTGTGTCTGCAGAGCAGAAAGTCCTAACTGAGCCATCCTCTCAGAAGCCCCCTGTCTGCAGTTCTAGCTGATGACAGGATCCTGTGAGTGACCCTGCAGTGGAGGGAGAGACAAATTTATCCCTGGACTGTAGAGAGAGAAGCCTGAACTCAGCAGGAATTGGGTTTCTGTAGCATTTCTAGGTTCCAGGATCATTTCTAGGTTCTGAAGTAGCCACTCAGCTTGGTGGTAGGAAGCCAAGGCCTCAGTGTAGGGGGATCTCCTGGGACCCTCAAGAGCACTTCAACCTCCCATCCCTCTCCTTCCCAGGATCCCTTGCCTTGGCTGTTTGAGGAAAGGTAGTCAGAGTCACAGTGAGTGGGTCTCCAGAGGCAATCTTTGCAAGTGAGGCTGGAGACCAGTGTCGTCTGTTCCTGGAAAATGTGGCTGATATTCAAAGTACCACCATGTGCCAGATACTAAGTGCTGGACATGCATCATCTCATTTCATTCTTGCAGCAACCTTGTAAAGTGATTGCAATTTGCGGTTTCACCAGGGAGGTGAAAGGACTTGCCCAAGGTCACCCAGCTGGTGAGTGGTCAGGCAGAGTCTATCCGATGGGTCTACTCACTATGCACTCCCAACTCTCCCTGGTTAGTAACTCTGTCCCCTCTGTGCAGCTTGCCTTGTATCCTCTGAGCACACATGCCTTTCCCCAGTCAGGATGTCTCCTTTCTCAGCCACTTCCACCCCATACCCCTATATGAGAGTTTCTAATGTACCTGCTGCATCCCTTCCTCTGGACTGTGCACTTGAGGGAGAGGCTTATGTTTGGATCATCTTGAAACAACCCTCCTCAGGAGTAAAATGATGCTTAGCAGATGAATGAGTGAATGAATAGCTGAGGAATGACTGGATGAATAAACGCACAAACAATAAATGAATCACTGTGTCTAAATGAATAACTTGGAGCTGTCAGTCACTTTATATTTTAAAAGCCAGTCCACCAGGCTGGGGCACTTCTATTGAGCCATCTTCTTATTTAAAACCCCACTGGTAGAATGCCACTGGAGCTTACCTCCCTCCTCAACTTTCACCCTTAATCTAGTTAGTTACTAGCCTGGTGTTCGTTCCATCTTACTCCCAGAAGATCCAGTCTCCTGGCTTTAAACACTGTCCAAATGCTATCATCTCTCAAACGCATTTCCCTAGCTCTGATCTCTTCTCTGAACTCCAGGCTCATGTACCCACTTGCCCACTTGCCATCTCAACATAGATGTCTAACTGACATCTCAAAATCTAACTGGCATCTCAAAAACTGAGCTTTAGAAGACTCTTCCAAAACATGCTTCCCCATCTCAGTTGTTCCAGCTCAGTGATTGGCAGCAAGAGCCTCCCAGTTGCTCAGACCTAAAACCTTGGAGTCATCCTTGGCCCCTCTCTTTCACACTCCATAGCCAATCCATGCAAAAACTCTGTTGATTCTACCTTCAATAAAAGTCCATAATCTGGCCACCTCTCATCACTACTGCAGAAAAAACACTGACCCCAGCCACCGTCTTCTTCATATGGATTATTGTAGTCATTTCTTCACTGGTCTTCCGTATCTATTCCAGATCCCTGGCCATATAGGCTCAGCAAGATGCCAGAGGGATCCTTTAAAACCTAAGTCAGAACATATCTATCCAATGAAGCCTCCAATGGCATCTCATCTCACCGAGAGGAAAGAGCCAAGTCCCTGTGAAAGCCCACCAGATTCTTATACCTGATCCCTCATTACCTCTCTGACTTTACCTCCTACTAATCTCCCCTTTGCTCCCTCAGCTCCAGCCACACTGCTAATTCTTCACTGCATTCCATATGTTCCTGCCTCAGGGCCTTTGCACTGGCTCCACTCTGCCTGTTATGTTCTCCTGGGCATGCTCAAGGCTCACTCCCTCATCACTTTCAAGTCTTTGCTCAAATCTCACCTTCTCAATGAGGGCTTCTCTGATTACCCAGTTTAAAATTGCAAGCCCCTCGCAGTAGTATTCCATCTCCCCCCTAGCACTTATTACCTTCTAATATTTACCACTTAATTATGTTTATTTTCTGCTCTCTTCCTACCTCCACCCATTGCAGTACAATGTGAGCTCCACCAAGCAAGGTTTTTTTCTCTATCTTGTTCCCAGTGCCTGCACATAATAGATGCTCAATAAATATTTGTTGAATGAAGAATAAGTGAACGGTCCTTGGAAGCACCTCTTGGGAGCAGTTTACACTCTCCTAGATCTTGTACCAAGGATCCTCCTTTCCTGGGTTGGGGGTTTCCTCTTAAGCTTAGGGCTTCTTTCCACTTCCCAGTTCCCTCTTGTTTGCTTAGTCTTTCTTCTAATAGTGGCTGTGATGGTCCCCAAAAGGGACTCACTTGTCCTGTCCCTCCCATGGCAAGAAAACATAATTAGCAACTCGCCCTCCCCGGAGAAATCCTAACTGTGTCTGCAATTCCAGCTGATCCCCAGGGGACCCTGGGCTGGAAGGAGAGATGATATTCTTGCCCATGGTGACACAACTTAGCAGAATCAGGACTTGAACCCAGGTCAGCAGGACTCCAGGTCCCATGCATTTTTCCCAGCATCACCTAATTACCTTTTGAACACCCTGCTCAAGTGGAAAACTATGACATTTTGGAATTCAGTCCCTTCCCTAGTTGGAGGCAGCCTGCATTTTAGGCAGTCTCAACAATCGAATCCAATCCACTTCTCAGCAGTTTTATCTCTCATGAAGCAAATAGGCAATTGATAGGCCAGCCTGTGGAGGGAGAAATGACTGGGTGGATGTGGGGTTGATTGGAGGGCAGTGGATGGATGTGTTCTGTGATGAGTTCAAAACCCGGTCAGGTTGGGTGCCTGACCTGCTTGGCTGAGTTGGGCAAGAAATGCTGAGCTGATTTTTCTCCACATGATTCTTTTGTCCTTTGACCTGAACTTGAGAACCAAGCAATTATTGATATATAAGAGTGTTTACCACACACTCATAAGCACACACACTCACACACATCCACACTCTTACACACTTGCTCTCAGCCCTGACAACTGGACTAAGCCATTCTCATCCATCGCCTGTGGAGAGGGAGTGGTGGGGAGCTGTGCTTGTCTATGTTGCTCATCCCTCAGGATCAAGTTCAAACTCCTTGTAGAATCTACAACATGGCTACTCAGAGTGTAGTTCCTGGAGCAACAGCCTCACCTGGGAATTGGTTAGAAATGCAGAAACTCAGGCCCTCCCCCAGACCTACTGAAGAATCAGCATCTGCAGTCTGACAAGATCCCCAGGTGACCCATGCACATGAAGGCTTGAAAAGCACCTGTCTACATGGCCCTGAAGAATCCAGCCCCTTTCTTCCTTCCTAGACTCAAGTCTTGCCTGCCACCCTCCACCTTCACTGTCTGTTCTAACTTACTGCATCCCCTGCAGTCACACGAAGGTCCACTGCTTTGTCTTGGTGCTGGACCTTTGCACTTGCTCTTCCTCCTTTTTGTTCCACTTTCCTGACCAATTTCTATTCATCTGCTAGAAACACATTCCGTGACCACCTGCCCACATTCCCCAGGAGGGGTTAGGTGCCCTCTCTGTGGGTCCACTGCCCCCGTAAGCCTCTCTCTATCAGAGAACTTCTTATATACCATATTGCAATTCCCGGTTTAGGGATCTGTCTCCCCTTCCAGGGTGAGAAGTCCTGCAGGGCAGAAACAATGTCTTGGTTACTTTTGGGTCTTTGAAATCTGATACTAAGTAGGTGTTCAGTAAACAACTGTTGAGTAATGAATGAAATAATGAGAGAAATGACAGCCTCATAAAACTTCCTTTCATTTTTTATTCAATTTCTACTAAAATGAACATTACTGCCCCTATATCCAAACGATGTCTCCCACAGCAGTGCTGTGCAATCCCCAGTTTTCCTCTAAGCTCTATTGCTTTTTCAAGCCACAATGGCAAAGCTCAAAGGGTCACAGCTCCTGAAGATTACCCCCATCCAGGCTTAATGAACTGGATTCACCTTGAAAACGAGTCGGAATGCCAAGACCTCAGGCCAGGACATTATTAACACAGCCCAGACTGAGGTCCCAGGAGCCAAGGCACAAATTGGCCAACTTCATCTTGTCTCTGGGCTAGGTCAGCCCCATGATAACTCTTGGGCTTTCTGAAGAGCATTTAAGCATGAGAGTCTAGGCCTACATTCTCTATTGAAACAGGCAGAGTGTGGGTGTCTGGCAAGTGTGGGAAAAAGGATGGACCTTTCACAGCCCTGGATGCACGGGTAGAACAAGTACCTGGGCCATGATCTCTGGAAGGAAGCAAGTACTTTTGCCTCTCCAGGTTTCAGTGCCTTCAGCTATGCAAGGGAAGGAGGTTCACCATGCTGCTGCTGCACACCCCACAGAGAGTTATAGGAATCAATTGAGACACTGGATTAGTAAGTCCTCTATACACAGAAGGAGCTATTTGTGGAATGGAGGCAATAAATGTCAGCGATGTCTCCAATCTCCTGGCCAACTGCCATTTCTGTTTGTGGAATATAAGATTCAGGCCAAACCTTGAGATACAGAGCCTCTCCAAACACATAAGACCAGTCCTATCTTACAACGTAATTACCAAGATTCCCCCTGTACCTCCACTTATCCTTTCCTATATTTTCAAAATGTTTTCTACTAAAAATACAGAAATTAGCCAAGCGTGGTGGCAGGTGCCTGTAATCCCAGCTACTCAGGAAGCTGAAGCAGGAGAATCACTTGAACCCGGGAGGCGGATGTTGCAGTGAGCCGAGATCATGCCACTGCACTCCAGCCTGGGCGATAGATTGAGCCTCAGTCTCAAAAAAAAAAAAAAAAAAAGAAAATGTTTTCCAGAGTCTTCTCCCTTTTGTTCTCAGTTGATTTTTATTTATTTATTTTTTTATGGAGTCTTGCTCTGTGGCGCAGGCTGGAGTGCAGTGGCGCGATCTCAGCTCACTGCAAGCTCTGCCTTCCAGGTTCATGCCATTCTCCTGCCTCAGCCTCCTGAGTAGCTGGGAGTACAGGTGCCCGCCACCACGCCCAGCTAATTTTTTTTTTTTTTTTTTGTATTTTTAGCAGTGACGGGGTTTCACTGTGTTAGCCAGGATGGTCTCAATCTTCCTGACCTCGTAATCCGCCCACCTCAGCCTCCCAAAATGCTGGGATTACAGGTGTGAGCCACCACGCCCGGCCTCTCAGTTGATTCTTATAAACAAGCAGGACAGCTGCTGATGTTCTTGCCAGTTAATATCTCAGGGTCTCAGTTTGTTCTTCACAGTAGGGATGGTAATGCTGGCTCATGGGTTTCTTTGAAAACTTCAATGAGAAGATGAGTGAGAAGTGCTTAGTTAGCTCAGTGTCTGGTGTGCAGGAGGTGCTTGATAAATACTAGCTGCTGTGATGATCAAGTGATGTGGAGAGAACGCTGGGCTGGGAGTCAAAAGGTGGCAACTCTACTAGCCAGAGCTATGATATGAGTCACTATTTGCCTTGGGCAAGTCCCCTTGCCTCTTGGGCCTCCCTTTCTCCACTCTGTACAGGGCTGAGCTGGATCTGGGGTTCTTCCCGCTCCACCATTGTTGGTCTCTGATTCCCCAAACAGTGTTTAACTCAATCTAGTGCTTGGGGCATGAGGATCTGCACCCAATGCTGGGCCAAATGAGAACTTTGTTGGGAGCAGCTGGCTGATTGGCTCAGTGAGCAAGAGCTTTGATGGGAAGCAGGGAAGCAGCTAGGGAGCCAGGCCTCTTGAGGAGTTTTGCAGAAAAGTTCAGCCCTGACTCTTATCGGAGCCTTGGAATCTGCCGGTTGCCATGACTACAGAGACAGCATCTAAGCTCCAGGTCTCTGATTAGCAGGAACAGAGCCGCCGGGAGGCCTTGAGGAATTCGGCACTCGTGGCTCCCTCCCTCCATCTGTGAAGTGGAGTGTGCCGGCCCTTGACTCCACTGTTTTAGCTGTCCCCAAAGATTTCGGCTTCTTTTAAGTATTTTTTAAATGCGATATAGAAGGAAAATGAGGCAACTGCCAGTACTTCTCAGCAAAGATGGAACACAGAATTTTTCTTAAGGACCTGCAAAGATGCAAGGCTGGAGGTAGGGAAGGGAGATAGGTGGGGCTGTGGAGGGCTGAGGGCTGTGGCTGAAGCCTGATTCCACTGCAGCGTTGAGTGACCTCAGACTCTTTACTTGTACCTCTGCTTCTTTATTTGTAAGGAGAGTTAGGATCCGATCTGTGGTTCCCACATGAGATCGGTAATCACAATTCATTTGTTCATCCATCCATTTATTCATTTGTTCATTCAATGAATGTTCATTGAGCAGGAAGCTACACGACGGTTTCCTTCTTCCTCCCCTCAGCATTTCCTCTCTGCCTGGCAGAATTCATTTTATTTCTGTTGGTTTTATTGCAAAATTCCAGGTGGGATACCCAACACCAGGAAGGTGAAATAAGTGCTATTGGAGAAAAAGAAAAATCTACCACATCAGAGGGTATAAAGTTACATAAATTCCTGCAACTCCATTGTGTCTTTCCTCACCAAATCATCTTCAAGATTTCCCCATATCTGATTCCTGACCCCTGTTGCTGACAATGATGGATGAGGCACTGTCCTCAACCTAAGCCTTACACCCCAGGGCTCTGGCAGTAGCATCCACCAGCTTCCCCTGTACTTCAGATAACTCACGCCTCTACTCTCTCCATTAGACAAGTCACTGAGACTTCCCACCCAATGCCAGCACACTCACCATGTGTTTATTCAATGCTAAATTCCTCACAGTTCTCAGCTTTTGCCTATCATGGGATTGCTTGTGGTATCGATTTATTTTCTACAATGTCCCAAAGAGTTCAGAATTATATTCTTATGTGTCTCCACCTTGACATAGTAATAATGTGTGACTTGCAAGAATTGGTTACAAAGGGCAGCTTCTGCCTTGCTCTCTTGGATTGATCATTGTCGGGGAAGCCAGCCGCCATGTTGTGAGGATACTCAAGCAGCCATATGGAGAGGCCCATGTGAAGAACTAAGGCCTTCTGCCAACAGCCAGCACCAGCTTGCCAGCCATATGAGTGAGCCACCTTGGAAGTGAACTATCTTATGTGTCAAGGCTTTGCTGGACAATACACACAAATCAATAAGCTCACTGATCTTTTCTAAAAGAAATATGAGGTTGAACAGAGAAGACATGGATTGAGCAGTCTGAGTAGACTGAGGCATTGGCTGAGTTACTGACCCTTTCTAAGATTCCATTCCCACCAACTATAACATCAGGAAATTAGCCCAAAGCATCTCAAAAGCACTTTCTAACTTTTTGAAACAATGTTCTCTTTGGCCAATTTTTTACCACTTTTATTGATTCATTGAAAAAATATTGCCTGATGTTCACTAAGCAGCAGGCTCTGAGGCAGAAAGACGCAGTCTTGCTCGCAGGGAGCTCATAGTCCAATTTGATAGAAGACAATTAAATGACAACATATTATTAAGAGTTGCTGGCAAGGGAGCAAAGGCATACCACATCCTAGAAAAGGGGATAGATCTTCCCAAAAGCTTGCTCCCTACTCTACCTTCTCCATCTCCTCAATGTTGACGCCATCCTTCCAGTTGCTCAGGCTCAAAACCTTGGAGTCATCCTTGACTCCTTCTCCTGTCTTACTCTCTTACTTCTCACATTTAGCCAGCAGTAAATCATGTCAGTACTACTTTCAAAATTTCTTAGAATCAGACCACATCTTATCCCCCACTCCATTGCTACTACACTGATCGGAGCTTGGACTATTGCAACCATTTCCCCATCTCTGCCCTTTTCTCCCTTCAGCCTTGTGTCCCTCAATCACTAGAGTGATCGTTCTCAAAGGTAATCCAGTCCCTATCACTCCTGTTCCAAAGACTCTTCTCCCATCTCAGCTACAGAGAGCCCCAAAGGTCTTCCCATGACCTGATCTCTGATCTCACCTCTTGCCACTCTAGCCCTTGCTTGCTGTTCCTTATTATTATTATTATTATTACTATTGTTATAGGCAGAGGCTCATTCTGTCACACAGGCTGGAGTGCAGTGGCATGATCTCAGCTCACTGCAACCTCTGCTTCCTGGGTTCAAGCGATTCTCCTGCCTCAGCCTCCTGAGTAGCTGGGATTACAGACGTGCAACACCATACCAGCTAATTCTTTTATTTTTAGTAGAGAAAGGGTTCTGCCATATTGGCCAGGCTGGTCTCAAACTCCTGACCTCAAGTTATCCACTTGCCTCGGCCTCCCGAAGTGCTGGGATTACAGGCATGAGTGACTATGCCCGGCCGCTCTTCCTTATAATATGTTAACAATTTTTGAACTTGCTATTCCTTCTGCCTAGGGCACACTTCTCACTTCGAGCAGATACCTGTGTAGAAGCTATATATAACTGTGTAACAAATTATTCCAAATCTTTTGGCTGAAAACAACAACAAACAGTTATTATGGTTCATAGTTTCTGTGACTCAGGAATTTGGCTGAGTGGTTCTAACTCATCATCTCTCATGAAGCTGTGGTCAGATGTCAACCAGGTTTGCAGTCTCATCATAAGGCTTGACTGGAGCTGAAGAATCCTCTTCCAAGGTGGCTCACTCATAGGGCTAACAAGTTGGTGCTGACTGTTGGCAGGAGGCCTCAGTTCTTCTTCACATAGGCCTCTCCATATGGCTGCTTGAGTGTCCTCACAACATGGCTACCACCAGAATCATCAACCCAAGAGAGGAAGGCAGAAGCTACCTTTTGTGACCAAGTCTTGAAGGTCATACATTATTACTTCTACTACATTCTTTTCATTGAATGTGAGTCACTAAGCCCATCCGATATTCAAAGGGAGATAAATTAAGTTCCGTCTTTTGATCTTTTGATGACAAGAGTGTCAAAGAATCTAAGAACACATTCTAAACCACCCAAATTTTAAGATTAGTCCTGAATCCTTCAAGTCTCCACTCCCTTGTTACTTCTCAGGAAGGACTTCTCTGATTATTATATACAAAGTAGCAGCCACTCCTCCCATTTCTTAGCTCTGTATGCTGCTTTAGTCACACCAAAATTTATTACCATTCAGCTGAAAATGGTGGCTCATACCTGTAATCCCAGCACTTTGGGAGGCCAAGTCAGGAGGATTGCTTGAGCCCAGGAGTTCAAGACCAGTTTGAACAATACAGTGGGACCCTGTCTCTACAAAAAAAAAAAAAAAATCTGGGTGTGGTGGTGTGTAACTGTGGTCCCAGCTACTTGGGAGGTTGAGGTCAGAGGATCACTTGAGCCAGGGAGTTCAAGGCTGCAGTGAGCTGTGATTGTGTCACTGCACTCCATCCTGGACAACACAGTGAGACTCTGCCTCAAAAAAAAAAATGTGTTACCATTCAACAAGCCCTATTTTTACTTGCTTATGTATCTATTCCTCCATCTAGAATGTAAACATTCCGTAATCACAGGAGACATCTCCGTCTTGTTCACTGTGTCTCCACACCTGAAACTGACCTGGATACAATTTAGGCACTCAGGAAATTGAAGTTAACAAATGCAGGTTACCCTAGGCCAGGACAAGTATGGGAAGAGGCAAGCCTTGCTGGGTGTTAGGCAGAAAATAGAAGCTTTGTTGTCAGACAGCAGACAGGGCAGCATTCCTCAGAGATAAATGGGCAGAAGTAAAGACATGGAAAGGTAACCCCCATAGGAGGGAGGTTTAGGGAAAACTGAGGCTGAGCAGGATGGAAGGGAGTTCTGGAAGCACAGAGTTGGCAGTGAGAAGGGCTGAGAAGCCCTAATTAGAATCTCCAGCCCTCCAGGGCTTGCAGTATCTACCAGCTCGGCTTCTAAAGATGCACTCATAAGTGGCTGACAGAGATGGATGTGTTTTGCTGCCCTTCCTTCAATATTGACTGGGCTTGACTTGCTCTCTTAGAAGCCCTAAGGAGCAGGGGGCTTATCAGATGCATTCATCCTGAGTCATAAAACCAATCTGGATGCACTGATGCAGAAGCCTGGTGCATGAGACATGCTAATGCCTTTGATCAATACTTGACATGGGGTCTGAAGGCAGGGTGAGCAGGGAGGGATGTTCTCTGCGTGTCACCAAATACGCCTGTGACTCTCAAACTCCTGACTCTTCCTAGTTAAGAGCCAGGAACTTGGGTGACAGTCTCTTCAAAAGCTGAGTAACCAGGCAACTTCTTTGCCCTCTCAGGAACTCCCATAAAGACGTGGGACTCATAGACGACGCCTCAGTATTCTCTGCAGCCTGTGTCATTGGCAGAGTTGGGGGCTGCAGGACTGCAGGCCTTCATGGGAACTGCTGTTCCAAGTGGGTGGCTCATACCAATTAAGGACATCAGATTGGAGATTTGGTTTACAAGGAAGTAAAACCAAAGAAAACTGACTTTTGAGGCCTTTCTGCTTGTATATTTTATCTCATTTTATCTTCACAATAGCTCGGAAATACATGAATTGATACTATTCACTATTTTATAACTGAAGAAACTGCAACTCAGAGATGTTGTGACTGGACCCAGATACTATAGCTACTAAATAGTTAAGACCATTTGAATCTACATATAGGTAGTCCATACAGAAATAAGGCAGAGAAATGGAATAGAAATGGCAAAGGGGGATTTACACTAATCCTATCATGCTTTGGCCTCCCATTATGTCTTGAGAAAAGAAATGAAATGCTGGTTTCCAGCATCTCTCTGTGATCTAGTCCAAATAGAATAAGCTATGCTGCTGTGACAAATAAACCTACATCAAAGTGGTTTAACCTAATTTCAGTTATTTCTCTCTTGCAAAGTCTGATGTGGTGAAGGCATCTTTCCTTCATCAAATAGTTTCACCTTTCAGAATGCGTGGACTCTAAAGTCGCTATGACAGAGGAAGGGGGAGCTGGAAAGGTACACAGATCTTGATTGCCTTGAACTGGAAATTACATGTGTTCCCTCCTGCTTAGAGACCATTGGCCAAAGATAATCTCATGGGCTCAACCTAACTGTAAGGGAAGCTGGGAAATACTAGTAATTCTATGAATATTTAATGAACATTAAGTGTCTCTGTATATTCTAACACTTTTGTGTCCTTATTTCTTCTTCTGTAGGACAGAGCCCCAGAATAACCCCGTTGTCCCAGCTCAGGATGGACCCTCAGAAAAGCTGGGTCAGCATCTGGCCACCGAGCCCTTGGGCACCAACAGTTGGGAGAGAGACAAGACCTGTCGGGAACTGGGTGCCACCAGAGGACACAGGTGAGATCCAATGAGGACGTTCAAGTTGAAGATACAGAAATAAAGTCTGCCTCTCTGGCCATGGCTCACCCCTCTCTTATGCAAGTTCCTCTTTCAAACCCTTAAATCAAGGGTTAGTAAATATTTACCGTAGAGGAACAAATCAGAAATATTTTAAGTTTGTAGACCCAGTGGTTTCTGTCACAACTACTCAACTCAGCCATTGCAGTGCAAAAAACAGCCATAGGCATTATGCAAACAAAAAGCATATCTGTGTTCCAATAAAATTGTATTTATAAAAGCAGGAGGCAGGCTAAATTGGCCCACTGGCTGTAGTTCAGCAAGCCCTACCTTAAATGATAGCGTTCCTTTGCATTTTAGTGGCTCTATGAGCCACTGACTCCCAAATCATAGTTTCAGCCCAGACCTGTCTCAGGAGTTTCAGGTCTCTGCATGTTTTCTTTTACTCAGTTGTTTAACCAGTACTTTTTGAGCACCCACTGTGTGATGGCACTGTACTAGCACACAAATGCAGAGAGCACTGTATACACATACTCCATAAAAATACTGTATACTCAGCATTTTACTGAGGCTGGGAGAAGTAAAGTGAGTTCCCCAGAATATGACAGCCACTAAGTGGCAGAGTGAAGTTTTGAACTCCAGTCTCTCTGATCTTAAATCCTTGACTAAAACCCACTCCATTATCCTATGGATGCTACTGAAAAACAAAAAAAAAATTATCCCCTGCCTCCTGTTTTCAGCATATGCTTATAAAGTCTGGCCCATCTTTGGCCTCTGGGAAATCTATTTCTAGAAGATGTGATCACTGAATTTTAGAGAAGTGGCTTGGGAAACTGGAGTCATTTTTTTTCTTTTTAATTTTTATTTCATTATTATTTTTTAACTTTTATTTTAGGTTTGGGGCTACATGTGAATGTTTGTTGCGTAGGTAAACATGTGTCATAGGGATTTGTTGTATACATTATTTTATTACCCAAGTATCAAACCCATTACCCAATAGTTATCTTTTCTGCTCCTCTCCCTCCATCCACCCTTTCTCGTCAAGTTGTTTCCTTCTTTGTGTTCATAAATTCTTATAAGTGGGAGTTAAGTGGAGTAATTTTCAAAAATGAAGTCTACCCCACCACCTAGGCTGCCCTCTCAGCTACAGGCTTTAGTTATGCTGCAATTTCAAAGAGAGAGAAACAGTTAAGCCCTATCAACTTGGAGAACTGAAGTTCAACCTCATGTCTGGAGAGTTCTCCCAAGGAAACAGGAAGAAAGTTGTTTCCATGATAGGCAGAGGGAGATAAAGAGAGAAGTGAGAAGGAAGGGAATTTCCCTACTTTTAAAACATTGGGCCAGGCATGCTGGCTCACGCCTGTAATCCCAACACTTTGGAAGGCCGAGGTGGGAGGATCACTTGAGGTCAGGAGTTGGAGACCAGCCTGGCCAACATGGTGAAACCCTTGTCTCTGCTAAAAATACAAAAATTAGCCAGGTGTGATGGTGCACACCTGTAATCCCAGCACTCTGGAGGCTGAGGCAGAAGAATTGCTTGTACCCAGGAGGAGGAGGTTGCAGTGAGCCGAGATCGCACCACAGCGCTTCAGCCTGGGCGACAGAGTGAGACTCCGTCTCAAAATAAAAAATAAAAAATATTGTCTCCTAGATGGAATCTGAGTGTACAAATCTTGACCCTGTCACTTACGAACTGAGCAACCTTGGGCAAGTTTCTTTTCCTCCATGGGCCTCAGTGTTCACAGCTATAAAATGGGAATGTTGAGATGTAATTCTCAAGGTCAGGATGAGGATTAAGTTAGACTAGGCATGTACAGATTGTGGCAGTGAGACTAGAGCAGAGGAAATCCTAAGATATGTTAGTGAGAGTTTCATGAAGCCAGAAGAGAAGATTCTGGTTATGAAAATCTGAAAAAATGATGCCATGTCATACAGCATCTCTATTGTAGAGCTGTTGTACTCTAGTGTACAGCATCTGGGCCTCTCACTCCCTTCTATCTGTGACTGACCCTCTGATGTGACAAAACCACAATAATGATGATAATAATAATAACAGTGATAATAAAAGTAATCATAATTATATTATATAATAAATTTATTATTTAATAATTAATTATAATTATAATAACAGAAACCCCTTATACTGTCCTCTTACTCTATGCCAGACCAGGGCACATTACCTAAGTCAGCTCCTTTATTCCTGGAAGCAAACTTAGGACACAGGTACCATGTTTCTTCCCATCTTGTTGACGATGATCAAGATGAGACTCAGAGAGGTCTCTGAGCCCTGTTGGAAGTAAGAGAGTTAGACTTTAAATCTAGGTTTGTCAGCTTCTGGACCAGCATTCCTTACTGCTGCATACTTTACTGCATATGTAACTTCTGCATATGTAACCACTGTGTTGGAACCACTGCATACTTAACCACTGCTTTTTTTTTTAATTTTTTTTGTTATACTTCAAGTTCTAGGGTACATGTGCACATCATGCAGGTTTGTTACATATGTATACATGTGCCATGTTGGTGTGCTGCACCCATTAACTCGTCATTTACATTAGGTATATCTCCTAATGCAATCCCTCCCCCCTCCCCCCACCCCACAACAGGCCCCACTGTGTGATGTTCCCCATCCTGTGTCCAAGTGTTCTCATTGTTCAATTCCCACCTATGAGTGAGAACATGCGGTGTTTGGTTTTCTGTCCTTGTGATAGTTTGTTCAGAATGATGGTTTCCAGCTTCATCCATGTCCTTACAAAGGACATGAACTCATCCTTTTTCATGGCTGCATAGTATTCCATGGTGTATATGTGCCACACTTTCCTAATCCAGTCTATCATTGATGGACATTTGGGTTGGTTCCAAGTCTTTGCTATTGTGAATAGTGCCGCAATAAACATACACGTGCATGTGTCTTTATAGCAGCATGATTTATAATCCTTTGGTTATATACCCAGTAATTGGATGGCTGCGTCAAATGATATTTCTAGTTTTAGATCCTTGAGGAATCACCACACTGTCTTCCACAATGGATGAACTAGTTTACACTCCCACCAACAGTGTAAAAGTGTTCCTATTTCTCCATATCCTCTCCAGCATCTGTTGTTTCCTGACTTCTTAATGATCGCCATTCTAACTGGTGTGAGATGGTATCTCATTGTAGTTTTGATTTGCATTTCTCTGATGGCCCGTGATGATGAGCATTTTTTCATGTGTCTGTTGGCTGCATAAATGTCTTCTTTTGAGAAGTGTCTGTTCATATCCTTTGCCCACTTTTTGATGGGGTTGTTTGATTTTTTTCTTGTAAATTTGTTTAAGTTCTTTGTAGATTCTGGATATTAGCCCTTTGTCAGATAGGTAGATTGTAAAAATTTTCTCCCATTCTGCAGGTTGCCTGTTCACTCTGATGGTAGTTTCTTTTGCTGTGCAGAAGCTCTTTAGTTTAATTAGATCCCATTTGTCAATTTTGGCTTTTGTTGCCATTGCTTTTGGTGTTTTAGTCATGAAGTCCTTGCCCATGCCTATGTCCTGAATGGTATTGCCTAGGTTTTTTATGGTTTTAAGTCTAACATTTAAGTCTTTAAACCATCTTGAATTAATTTTTGTATAAGGTGTAAGGAAGGGATCCAGTTTCAGCTTTCTACATATGGCTAGCCAGTTTTCCCAGCACCACTTATTAAATAGGGAATCCATTCCCCATGTCTTGTTTTTGTCAGGTTTGTCAAAGATCAAATGGTTGTAGACGTGTGTGTTATTTCTGAGGGCTCTGTTCTATTCCATTGGTCTATATCTCTGTTTTGGTACCAGTACCATGCTGTTTTGGTTACTGTAGCCTTGTAGTATAGTTTGAAGTCAGGTAGCGTGATGCCTCCAGTTTTGTTCTTTTGGCTTAGGATTGTCTTGGCAATGCGGGCTCTTTTTTGGTTCCATATGAACTTTAAAGTAGTTTTTTCCAGTTCTGTGGAAAAAGTCATTGGTAGCTTGATGGGGATGGCATTGAATCTATAAATTACCTTGGGCAGTATGGCCATTTTCATGATATTGATTCTTCCTATCCATGAGCATGGAATGTTCTTCCATTTGTTTGTGTCCTCTTTTATTTCATTGAGCAGTGGTTTGTAGTTCTCCTTGAAGAGGTCCTTCACATCCCTTGTAAGTTGGATTCCTAGATATTTTATTCTCTTTGAAGCAATTGTGAATGGGAGTTCACTCATGATTTGGCTCTCTGTTTGTCTGTTATTGGTGTATAGGAATGCTTGTGATTTTTGCACATTGATTTTGTATCCCGAGACTTTGCTAAAGTTGCTTATCAGCTTAAGGAGATTTTGAGCTGAGACAATGGGGTTTTATAAATAGACAATCATGTCATCTGCAAACAGGGACATTTTGACTTCCTCTTTTCCTAATTGAATACCCTTTATTTCTTTCTCCTGCCTGATTGCCCTGGCCGGAACTTGCAACAGTATGTTGAACAGGAGTGGTGAGAGAGGGCATCCCTGTCTTGTGCCAGTTTTCAAAGGGAATGCTTCCAGTTTTTGCCCATTCAGTATGATATTGGCTGTGGGTTTGTCATAAATAGCTCTCATTATTTTGAGATATGTCCCATCCATACCTAGTTTATTGAGAGTTTTTAGCATGAAGGGTGGTTGAATTTTGTCAAAGGCCTTTTCTGCATCTATTGAGATAATCCTGTGGTTTTTGTCTTTGGTTCTATTTATATGATGGATTACATTTATTGATTTGCATATGTTGAACCAGCCTTGCATCCCAGGGATGAAGCCAACTTGATCATGGTGGATAAGCTTTATGATGTGCTGCTGGATTTAAAATAATGGTTTGCCAGAATTTTATTGAGGATTTTCGCATCAATGTTCATCAGGGATATTGGGTCTAAATTTCTCTTTTTTTGTTGTGTCTCTGCCAGGCTTTGGTATCAGGATGATGCTGGCTTCATAAAATGAGTTAGGGAGGATTCCCTCTTTTTCTATTGATTGGAATAGTTACAGAAGAAGTGGTACCAACTCCTTTTTGTACCTCTAGTAGAATTCGGCTGTGAATCCATCTGGTCCTGGACTTTTTTTGGTTGCTAGGTTATTAATTATTGCCTCAATTTCAGAGCCTGTTATTGGTCTATTTAGGGATTCAACTTCTTCCTGGTTTAGTCTTGGGAGGGTCTATGTGTCCAGGAATTTATCCATTTCTTCTAGATTTTCTAGTTTATTTGTGTAGAGTGTTTATAGTATTCTCTGATGGTAGTTTGTATTTCTGTGGGATCGGTGGTGATATCCCCTTTATCATTTTTTATTGTGTGTATTTGATTCTTCTCTCTTTTCTTCTATATTAGTCTTGCTAGTGATCTATCAATTTTGTTGATCTTTTCAAAAAACCAGCTCCTGGATTCATTGATTTTTTGAAGGGTTTTTTGTGTATCTCCTTCAGTTCTGCTCTGATCTTAGTTATTTCTTGCCTTCTGCTAGCTTTTGAATGTGTTTGCTCTTGCTTCTCTAGTTCTTTTAATTGTGATGTTAGGGTGTCAATTTTAGATCTTTCCTGCTTTCTATTGTGGGCATTTAGTGCTATAAATTTCCCTCTACACACTGCTTTAAATGTGTCCCAGAGATTCCAGTATGTTGTGTCTTTGTTCTCATTGGTTTCAAAGAACATCTTTATTTCTGCCTTCATTTCGTTATGTACCCAGTAGTCATTCAGGAGCAGGTTGTTCAGTTTCCATGTAGTTGTGCAGTTTTGAGTGTGTCTCTTAATCCTGAGTTCTAATTTGATTGCACTGTGGTCTGAGAGACAGTTTGTTGTGATTTCTGTTCTTTTACATTTTCTGAGGAGTGCTTTACTTCCAACTATGTGGTCAATTTTGGAATAAGTGCGATGTGGTGCTGAGAAGAATGTATATTCTCCTGATTTGGGGTGGAGAGTTCTGTAGATGTCTATTAGGTCTGCTTGGTGCAGAGCTGAGTTCAATTCCTGGATATCCTTGTTAACTTTCTGTCTCATTGATCTGTCTAATGTTGACAGTGGGGTGTTAAAGTCTCCCATTATTATTGTGTGGGAGTCTAAGTCTCATTGTATGTCTCTAAGGACTTGCTTTTTGAATCTGGGTGCTCCTGTATTGGGTGCATATATACTTAGGATAGTTAGCTCTTCTTCTTGAATTGATCCCTTTACCATAATGTAATGGCCTTCTTTGTCTCTTTTGATCTTTGTTGGTTTAGAGTCTGTTTTATCAGAGACTAGGATTGCAACCCCTGTTTGTTTTTTTTTTGTTTTCCATTTGCTTGGTAGATCTTCCTCCATCCCTTTATTTTGAGCCTATGTGTGTCTCTGCAGGTGAGATGGGTCTCTTGAATACAGCACATTGATGGGTCTTGACTCTTTATCCAATTTGCCAGTCTGTGTCTTTTAATTGGAGCATTTAGCCCATTTACATTTTAAGGTTAATATTGTTATGTGTGAATTTGATCCTGTCATTATGATGTTAGCTGGTTATTTTGCTCTTTAGTTGATGCAATTTCTTCCTAGCATTGACGGTCTTTACAATTTGGCATGTTTTTGCAGTGGCTAGTATCAGTTGTTCCTTTCCATGTTTAGTGCTTCCTTCAGGAGCTCTTGTAAGGCAGGCCTGGTGGTGACAAAGTCTCTCAGCATTTGCTTGTCTGTAAAGGATTTTATTTCTCCTTCACTTATGAAGCCTAGTTTGGCTGGATATGAAATTCTGGGTTGAAAATTCTTTTCTTTAAGAATGTTGAATATTGGCCCCCACCCTCTTCTGGCTTGTAGAGTTTCTGCCGAGAGATCAGCTGTTAGTCTGATGGGCTTCCCTTTGTGGGTAACCCGACCTTTCTCTCTGGCTGCCCTTAACATTTTTTCCTTCATTTCAACTTTGGTGAATCTGACAGTTATGTGTCTTGGAGTTGCTCTTCTTGAGGAGTATCTTGTGGCGTTCTCTGTATTTCCTGAATTTGAATGTTGGCCTGCCCCGCTAGGTTGGGGAAGTTCTGGATAATATCCTGAAGAGTGTTTTCCAACTTGGTTCCATTCTCCCCGTCACTTTCAGGTATACCAATCAGACATAGATTTGGTCTTTTCACATAGTCCCATATTTCTTGGAGGCTTTGTTCATTTCTTTTTACTCTTTTTTCTCTAAACTTCTCTTCTCACTTCATTTCATTCATTTGATCTTCAATCACTGATACCCTTTCTTCCACTTGATTGAATTGGCTACTGAAGCTTGTGCATGTATCATGTAGTTCTCGTGCCATGATTTTCAGCTCCATCAGGTCATTTAAGGTCTTCTCTACACTGTTTATTCTAGTTAGCCATTCGTCTAATCTTTTTTCAAGGTTTTTAGCTTCTTTGCGATGGGTTCAAACATCCTCCTTTAGCGCAGAGAAGTTTGTAATCACTGATCATCTGAAAGCTTCTTCCCTCAACTTGTCAAAGTCATTCTCCGTCCAGCTTTGTTCCATTGTTGGCAAGGAGCTGCGTTCCTTTGGAGGAGAAGAGGCTCTCTGATTTTTAGAATTTTAGCTTTTCTGCTCTGGTTTCTCCCCATCTTTGTGGTTTTATCAGCCTGTGGTCTTTGATGATGGTGATGTACAGATGGGGTTTTGGTGTGGATGTCCTTTCTGTTTGTTAGTTTTCCTTCTAACAGTCAGGACCCTCAGCTGCAGGTCTGTTGGAGTTTGCTGGAGGTCCACTCCAGACACTGTTTGCCTGGGTATCACCAGCGGAGGCTGCAGAACAGCAAATATTGCAGAATGGCAAATGTTGCTGCCTGATCCTTCCTCTGGAATCTTCGTCTCAGAGGGGCACCTGGCCATATGAGGTGTCAGTCAGCCCTTACTGGGAGGTGCCTCCCAGTTAGGCTAGTTGGGGGTCAGGGACGCACTTGAGGAGGCAGTCTGTCCGTTTGCAGATCTCAAACTCTGTGCTGGGAGAACCACTACTATCTTCAAAACTGTCAGACAGGGACATTTAAGTCTGCAGAAGTTTCTGCTGCCTTTTGTTCAGCTATGCCCTGCCCCCAGAGGTGGAGTCTACAGAGGCAGGCAGGCCTCCTTGAGCTGCAGTAGGCTCCACCTAGTTTGAGCTTCCTGACCACTTTGTTTACCTACTTAAGCTTCAGCAATGGCGGACGCCCCTGCCCCAGCCTCGCTGCCGCCTTGCAGTTTGATCTCAGACTGCTGTGCTTGCAGTGAGTGAGGCTCCGTGGGCATGGGACCATCCAAGCCACATGTGGGATATAATCTCCTGGTGTGCCATTTGCTAAGACCATTGGAGAGGTGCAATATTAGGGTGGGAGTGTCCCGATTTTCCAGGTACCCTCTGTCACGGCTTCCCTTGGCTAGGAAAGGGAATTCCCTGACCCCTTGCACTTCCCAGGTGAGGCGATGCCCCGCCCTGCTTTGGCTCATGCTCCGTGGGCTGCACCCACTGTCCGACAAGCCCCCATGAGATGAACCCGGTACCTTAGTTGGAAATACAGAAATCACCCGTCTTCTGCATCACTCACGCTGGGAGCTGTAGACTGGAGCTCTTCCTATTCGGCCACCTTGGAACCTCCTCACCACTGCATATTTAATTGATGCATGTTTAACTACTGTGTACCTAACTGCTGAGCACTTAACCACTGAATAGTTAACCTCTGCTACTTCCCCAAGGTGTGCTTAACTACCATTTGTTTAACCACTACAGACTTAACTGCTGCACATGTAACCACTGCATACTCAACTGATACTTATTGAACTGTCATATATTTCATCACTGTATTTAGCCATGCATATGTAACCACAGCATACACAAGCATTATGTACTTAACCCCTGCACCTGTAACCAGGGTATACTTAACAACTATTCTGCCCTTTCCTGACCCTCTATGATGGTACAAGTAGAACTAGTGTAGGGAAAAATAGGGGGTAGAAGAAATGTAGACCTACCAGGGTAAAGGCGTTTGGGATTTATTGAGGGAGTTGATGATCCCCATCTCACACACCTCAAATGTCTCCAAATTCAAGGGCTTTCTGAGTTTTACCCCATTACTTAAATGCAAATCAAGGACGAAGTTCTCAAATCATGCTCTCCTGGGACCCTGGGATTCCAGAAGTTATAGCTGACTGAAACAATAGGCTCTTTCCTCATTTTGTAAGACACACTCTAAAAGATTTTTTTTTCTCTCAAGTTTTTCTCCTTTCATTTTTTCCCCACTCAAATTCCCAGTAGCTGTTGCACTGGGAAGTGTTTCTATGAAACAAGATGATTTAACAAGAAGCTCAATTATTTCATTCATTTATTCTCTCTTTTGGTCACTCAGCAAATATTGATTAGGCTTTTGCCCTGTGACAAGCACTCTTTAAGGAAATAATTTGGTGGCCGGGCACCATGGCTCATGCCTGTAATCCCAGCACTATGGGAGGCCAAAGCAAGTGGATCACCTGGGGTCAGGAGTTCGAGACCAGCCTGGCCAACATGGTGAAACCCTGTCTCTACTTTAAAAATACAAAAATTAGCCTGGCTTGGTGGCGGGGGCCTGTAGTCCCAGCTACTAGGAAGGCTGAGGCAGGAGAATCGCTTGAACCCAGGAGATGGAGGTTGCAGTGAGCTGAGATCATGCCACTGCACTCCAGCCTAGGCAAGAGAGTGAAACTGCGTCTCAAAAAAAAGAAAAAAAAAAAGAATTTGGAAGTAGCCCATCCTGTTTACACAAGCATCCTGTTTGCTTCCTGGACATGCATACTGTGCCTTGTGCTTTATAACATATAAGTGTAGTTAAGTAGTTAGGTACTTAATTCCTGTGATACTTATTTTTAACCTACTAAAAGGGACCCTCTTAGAAATGCAAATCAAAACCACAATGAGATGCCATCTCACGCCAGTCAGAATGGCAATTATTAAAAAGTCAAGAAACAACAGATGCTGGTGAGGTTGTACAGAAATAGGAATGCTTTTACACTATTAGTGGGAATGTAAATTAGTTCAACCATTGTGGAAGATGGTGGTTCCTCAAAGACCTAGAACCAGAAATACCATTTGACCCAGCAATCCCATTACTGGGTATATACCCAAAGGAATGAATATATGTCATTCTATTATAAAGATACATGCACGCATATGTTCATTGCAGCACTATTCACAATAGCAAAGACATGAAATGAACCCAAATGCCCATCAATGATAGGCTGGATAAAGAAAATGTGGTATACATATACCATGGAATACTATGCAGTATTCCATACTATGAACAAGATCCTGTCCTTTGCAGGCACAAGGATGAAGCTGGAAGCTATTATCCTCTGCAAACCAATGCAAGAACAGAAAACCAAATACTGCATGATCTCACTTATAAGTGGGAGCTGAACATTGAGAACACATGGACACAGGAAGGGGAACATCACACACTGGGGCCTGTTGGGGGAGAGTGGTGGCTGAGGAAGAGCATTAGGGAAAAGAGCAAATGCATGCTGGGCTTAATACCTAGGTGACGGGTTGATAGGTGCAGCAAACCACCATGGCACACATTTATCTATGTAACAAACCTGCACATCCTGCAAATGTAGCCCGGAATGTACAAATTTAAAATTAAAATTAAAAAAAAACAGCACATCAAAAGTTCCACATTCAGGAAAGCAAATTAGTAGAAAAGCTCAATAATATAAATAGTCTCTCCTCCAGCTGTTTAAATAAAATGACATCTGATAATTTTTAAAAAGTGGCTCTCTTGAAAATATTATAAATATAGCTATATGATTCTTATTTGCTGAAGATAGAGACCCTGGCATATATTCTAACCATTTTATCATTCTTTCTACTAACCACAATGATCCAGATTCTTAAAATGGAATTAAATACAGCAGTACTTTATGATATTCTATAAAAAGTTGGGTAATTTCCAGATGATTGGCCACACAAACAAGTTTGAGAAGGCAGCTGGTTTTGTGGGGAAAATCTCAGGGTAGGAATCACACAGGCCTTGATTCAAATCCTAGCCTGGACACATTCTAATTGTCTAGCCATCAGCAAGTTAATTAACCTTTCTGAGGCTCAAGACAGTAAAAGTCATACCATTCTCAAAGTGTTTGTATCCCAATATATAAAAAAACTTGGCACATAACAAGCGCATAAATGCTAGTTGTGTCACTGCTGAAATAATGACAATATTAGTAGTAAGATTATGTTTTCCCCTTGAGGTTCCACTAGGTTGGCATGTTCCAATTCCCAAGCAGTTTTTCATCTAAAACCATCTTCCTTTGCCATGGGATAGTGTTTTTAAAAAAATCCCTGGAGCCTGCCCCAATTATAAAAGAAGATAACTTGACTTCATTTAACTGCAGCCTCAGCATTTGAATTTAATTGAACAGGAAATAATTATTCTTGAAGAGCGGAGGTTTTTGAGGTTCTGCGAGGCAATATAAGATACGTATCTCGTTACATTAGACCTTGGCAAATATACTTTTAATAATCAGCTG
Source organism: Homo sapiens (assembly GCF_000001405.40). Taxonomy (NCBI): domain Eukaryota; kingdom Metazoa; phylum Chordata; class Mammalia; order Primates; family Hominidae; genus Homo; species Homo sapiens. The sequence continues at coordinate 119,113,857 of NC_000012.12, forward strand.
CTACTTAACATACCTTCCGCCTGCTATTAAATTTCCAGCAGGAACTACGGACACGATATATTGGGGAGGGAGGGGGCTGAACGGCTGATGAGTTATTTAAAAAGTGATTTATTTACCAAGGCAAGCCATTTGCAAATTCAATAATAAATCTATTTAGGAGTAGTTAACCTCTATAACTCTGTTTTTAATAATCAGTTGGTGTTTGGGTAACGTACAACGTCTGTCTCATTAACTCGGCATTAAGTCCTTATTTAGGTACTTAGTCTGAAGTGTGACCCAATCAGCCATGAGGTGGTAATGAGGCACTGGCTATAGGTCCTTGATCATCCAAGGACCTGGGTCCTTCCCTGGCTGCACCAGCTCTGGTTGGGGAGTTGGGGAACCATGAGTTATCTAATGCTCCTCTCTTTGCTCCTCACAGTGCCTCTCATGACAAAGACTTGACACCACCACCTTCCTCCAGGGGAAAGAAGAAAAAGAAGAAATCCACTCGGAAGAAGAGAAGGAGGTAAGAGCACCAAGAGGGAGATAAAACCTGTAAGATGCAGGCAGGGACAAAATATGGGTTTCAAAGTCAGACAGTGGCTCCCTCTTGGGTTCAAATCCCCTCTCTGATGCTTAACTAGCTGTGTGACCTTGGGCAAGTCACTTTACATCTCTGTTCCTGTTTTTATTATACTTCTCCAAAATGGTGATAATATCTACCTTTTGAGATTTCATGAAAATTACATGAAAAATTAATGTGGAAGCGGCTGTCACAGTACCTGGCACATGGTAAATGACTAATTAATAGGAAGCATAGTCTTTTTTTTTTTTTTTTTTTTTTGAGACGGAGTCTCGCTCTGTCACCCAGGCTGGAGTGCACTGGCATGATCTCGGCTCCCTGCAATCTCCGCCTCCCAGGTTCACTCCATTCTCCTGCCTCAGCCTCCCGAGTAGCTGTGACTACAGGCGCCCGCCACCACGCCAGGCTAATTTTTTGTATTTTTAGTAGAGACAGAATTTCACTGTGTTAGCCAGGATGGTCTCCATCTCCTGACCTTGTGATCCGCCTGCCTCGGCCTTCCAAAGTGCTGGGGTTACAAGCGTGAACCACCGCGCCTGGCCGGAAGCATAGTCTTTAGCATGAATATTGAATTATTTTTTGAGAGCTTACTAGATGCAGAGGACTAGACTAGGCACCGTGGTCTTCATTATCTCTTTTATCCCTGACCATTGTCTACCAGGAAAGCATTATTATTCCCATTTTAGAGATGAGAAAATAAAGGCTCACAGAGGTGGTGACAGGATCTACAGGGGCTTGACGCCAGGTTCTCAGTTGGTTCTACGACGCCCACCTAACTAGTTCAATATCTAGGATAATAGGTGGGTGTTGGAGGGGAGGGGTGCTGTTTGTTTGTTTGCCAGCTATTGACTCTTTGGTATCCTATGCATTTTTTCTACGTCCAATTCCTTTAAAATTTTTTTATATTTAAAATGATTTCCAGATTTGCTTGTAGGCTGCCACTAACTAGACTGAAAGCATCTCTAGTGTGCCAACTCCAGAGGGGCAGGCTTAAATTAACCCTTAAGGCTGCCAACTGAGAATCACAGCAAACTTCTGAGGCAGTATTTATAGAAACCTGTAGGGGGCAGCAGAGAGCAGCATCTGATGACTTGGGCTTCAACTCCAGGTTTTCTGGAACCTTGTTTCACAGACACCCCTTAGCCTCATTCTAAAAGGACAGGCTCAAAGAGGAGCCAGGGGGAAATATGGATGAAGACTCTGAGTCCTAGCCATTGTAGGGTAGGAGATGAAATTGAGGCAAGTGCTTTGGATTTCCTAATTTGAGGGGTGGGCCAGAGAATACTCTAAAAAAGGAAACCTCAGATATTAAGATTCACTAATTGACTCGTTCATCCAGTGAATATTCACTGAGCATGTGTCTGGGGACAAATGTTATGATTCCTTGAAGGCTGAATTGTTTCTCAGCCATTCCCTTCTGCAGACATGTTTTGTTTGACCTGCAAAGTGATTTGATTTTTTTTTTAATTGGTGGTCAACATTTCCAAATCGGGAGATTTCATATGAAAATGTGGAGTTTTGGAGGCTCCTTTAGAAAAGGCAGGTGCTGTAGAAGCCCAGACCTGAATTCCTACACAGGATCTTCGGCTAATCTGAGAAGCAGACTCCCCTCCAGCCAGAACCTCTCTGGTTCCCCCACAGTCCCCACTACTCCCTACTGTCTTCCACCCAGCCTGCTTCATCCATTCATGTTACCTGAGAGGGCCCTGTTAGCATTGAATTTGTAACCTCTCATCTGTTTCAACCCTGGTCTTTTGTCAGCGGGGAAATAAGAGACTTAGAGATGAGCCTTGACATGCCCAAGGTGGCTCTGTGAGTTGGTAGTAGTCAAGATTGGAACTTAGGTCACCTGAGCCTCAGTCTTGAGTCATCACCATGGACTCAGAGTAGCTCTGTTGCTCAGGTAACACTTTGATGGCACTATCCGTGCAGCCGCAGCCTGGCAAGATATCCTTCAGGGGCTCAGTCTTACCAGGGAGACAAAGGATGGGGCAAAGGAGAAACCCTGAGACTTTGAGAGGAGGGTTGCAGCTTGAAGGGAGAACAGCAGACAGAAGGAAGCCTTTCCAGCTTGACCAGGCAGGCAGCTGTGAGGTGCTATGGTGACTGAGAGCAAAAACCAGTGGGATCCCAGCTCATCTACTTCCTAGCTGTGTGTCTTTAGGCCGGTCACTTCACCTCTCTGAACTTCATTTTCTTTGTCTGAAAAGGGAGGGTAGCAATTGTACCTACCTAAGAAGTGTGTGAAAGGATTGAATGAGATAATGCTTACAAAACACAAGGTAATGGTTTACATTAACTTGTTAAAAATTAAAATCAAATGAAAAGTAAAATTAAATTTGTGAGCAATTAAAAATTGCTTACAAATGCAAGCTAGTATCAGCATGGATATTATCTTTGATGTGTGTTCCTGCAAGAGCTAAAACCCTGTATAAGGACTGGGGAAGGTTCTTTTTGAAACCAACCTTGGCCTTTAAGAGCCTCCTTCTGAAATGTGTCTTCTTGGCCCTGGCAGGTCCTCATCCTATAGCCCATCGCCTGTCAAGAAAAAGAAGAAGAAAAGTTCCAAGAAACACAAGCGACGCAGGTATTGTCCTTTTTCTCTGCAAACAAGACCTCCCCAGGTGGGGTGGGGAGGACAGTTGATGGCACTAAAAGGTCATCTGGAAGCATATCATGTCATTTATGTAAAACAATTATCTATGTCTTTTTACGTATTTGTGTCTTGTGTAAGCTGGGACTGTGGCTGCGAAGACTAGAGGTCCACACATGCTAACTGAGGCCAGAGGAGGACTTGATTATAAAGAAGCAGGAGTGACTCAGGGACCAGCCAGGCCTGAGCAAGGGGCTAGAACAAGGAGTGGAAAGCTGACAGGACCCACCTGGGACCTGAAGTGCCCGCTGTCTCCTGGTCCCCATGAGGGACATGGCTGCACCCTGCCCCATCTCTCCATGTTGCAGGCCAAGTTGCAAGGAGACACTGAATCTCTCTGTCTTGTTCCTTATTCCAAATTCCCAAGGAAATGCCCCTCTTGTCAGTCCATTGCATGCTAGAGAATGAGATCATGTTGAAAAACATGGCTGTGCTGAGATTTCCCATGCTGGTGCATGGGGATGCAGTGACGGTAGTTACAGCGCATCATGAACTGGGCCCATGTTCCTGGTGTTCACTGTGCACACACACACACACACACGTGTATGTTTACAGGGGAAGGAAAAGACTAAAAGGATACTGTAGTCCTGGCACTTTGGGAGACCAAGGTGGGCAGATCACGAGGTCAGGAGGTCGAGACCATCCTGGCCAACATGGTGAAACCCAGTCTCTACTAAAAATACAAAAATTAGCCAGGTGTGGTGGCACGTGCCTGTAATCCCAGCTATTTGGGACGCTGAGGCAGAAGAATCACTTGAACCGGGGAGTCAGAGGTTGCAGTGAGCCGAGATCGCTCCATTGCACTCCAGCCTGGCAGCAGAGTGAGACTCTGTCTAAAAAACAAACAAACAAACAAACAAACAAAGGATATACAACAGAGGGCTCAGGTTTGTGGTTTATGGCCCAAACCAACACTTTATAATTGGAAGATTCTGCAATACAGAAATACAGTTTTCTAGTTCCTCTGTAGAGTCAGAAGGTCTGTCTTCTCTGGGCCTATTTTCCCACGAGCAACCATCCCCTGGAGCTGAGGAGTTGCCAAGCATTTAGACAGAGTGCTCCAGTTGGCCTTAGGACCTGTCCAGCCTGCTCTACCCACTTACAAAGCCTGCTTGGCCCCTGGAGGCAGGAAGTTTGAAGCTCCCTATACAAGTTATTTGCTGTAGTGAGCTGCGGATAATGGGAAAAGAGTGATTTATATATTACTTTTGCTTATCCGTATCATCCAATTTTCCTACATCAATTGTAGATTACTTGTGCAATTAACAACAGAATGAATGAGAGGTAAGAGGTTGTTTGGGGCTTCCCCCTGCATCTCAAGTCCAGTTCAAAGTTGCACCAGTGTGGCTTTTCCCAATCCAGGGATATGACCACATCTCAGTGCTGGTTGCTAGAGTGGCCTCAAACTCAGTTGGCTCTCACTGGTTATGTCAACCACCTGCCCAGACTTCCTGACTGATGTTATCTGAGTTTGTGTTTACTACAAGGCATGGGCAAACTAATTAGTGAAATGTTGTTAATTTGGTGTCAGCAATCTTTCCCCAAGTGGAGTCCTTTGTAGAGGCAATGGCCCACACTTATGATTCTAGATGGCCACCTTATCACCTCCCTTTGCTGAGCAGCTCCTCCCAATTTGGGGGTTCGCTGGGGGAAGGGAGAACAACTTTCCCATATTTGGGCTCTGGAAGCCAAGTGGCTTCTCACTCACAGATTCCTTCTCATGAGAAAGACACTGACAGACAGTCAGAAACAGGCTTTTCCTGCCCGGTCAGCCCAGGTCTTAGAGCTTTACAGAGTAGGGGGTTCATATGAGGGAGATGATTAGGAGGGGAAATTCTGTTGCTATTCCTTCCCAAACCCTGACCTCCCGAGCACCATCCTACTCCTGGTCCAGCCTCTCCAGGCTCTTGAAATGTTTGGTGAATGATAGCTGACACTTTTGGAGATGGGACCTAGGGGTAGCGAAAGCACTGAGATTTTTTTTTTTTTTTTTGTCTCTCCTCAGTTAGCAAGGCTTCTGAGTTTTTAAAAATTTTTCATTTTTCTAGCTAATGCATGCTGCACTTAATACCTAGGTGATGGGTTGATAGGTGCAGCAAACCACCATGGCACACATTACATGTAGCAAACCAGCACATCCTGCGTATGTACCCCAGAACTTAGAATAAAAATTAAAATTTTTAAAAAATGATTTTTCACATCTATTTATTGAACACCCATTATGTATCATGAATGAGGATTCTGAGTCCCAGAAAAGAAACCAAAACCCAGTCCCTGCCCTCCAATTCTCACATTCTAGTGGGGAAAATCGATCATTCTAATATGGAGAAGTCTGTACCCTGATGATGATAAGCTCAGAGGCTCACCCAGAGCTTGGGGGAGTAGACAGGAGGCATCCAACCAGCCTGAGGGACTCAGAAAATGTTACAAGGAGAAGACGGCCTCCAACTGGAGCACTGAAGAATGAGAAGAAGCTACATGGGTGATGCTGTTTGACTCTGAGCAACTTAATCAACTTCTCTGATCGTCAGTGTTTTTGTAAAATGGTTGTTAATAGTACTCCACAGGGCTTGGGGAAGATTGAATGAGATTGTACGTGACAGGTGCTAAGTACAGAACCTGGCACACAGTAAGAGTTCCACATGTGGAAGCTGGCTGTCTCATGATGATGACGGTGATGATGAGGATGAGGAGGAGGAGGAATGCACAACAAGGGAGAGAGAAGATGAGATGGAGAATGGAGGAGGGGAAAGGCAGAAGACTCTCTCTACGTTCTCCTTATCCAGCCTCATCCAGGACAGATTTACTGACAGTTTTGGGGGAGGATTGGAGCACCGGTAGGCTTTGATCTGGAAATTCAGAATCAAACCAGTATCTCCCATACAATTTTCATAGTCTCTGAAATCTAAGAGAGGAGGAGGATTAGCTAGGTGTCCCGACCCCCTGTAGCGTGATCACAAACATGCTGATACCTTCATACCAGGAAAAAAAAAAACTTTCAAACTCACCTATATTTACGTTTTCCCCTCCCTCCCTTCCTTCACCATCCCTCCCTTTCTTCCTTCCTCCTTTCTCTCCTTCTCTCCCTCTCTCCATCTCTCTCTCTCTCCCTCTCTTTCTCTGCCTTTTTTTTCTTTGATTCTTCTTTTCATTTTTTTTCTTTCTTTCTTTTCAGGTCATTCTCCAAGAAGAGAAGGCACAGGTAAGACTCTTGTTCTCTGACTGCCTGTTCAATTTTCTGCTTTCTCAGCCAGCTTGGGGCAGCTTCTAGGTCAGCCCTCAGTTTCCATCTGTGCTCTTAGGCATGACCCCTTCATCTTCCTGGGCCTCAGTTTCCTCCAAAATGAAGGTCTGGGCTGTTTTTTCTGAGTATTCCAAGCCAGCTTTTGACTTCCATCAGGCCAGGGGGTTGATCTTGGACCAGCCCTATCGATGTCTCGACCCCAGAATGTCTCATTACTACCCCTGCCACTGGTTGGAATCTTGAACTGGGGCACATAGGGAAACAGTCCTGTCACACCACCAAAACCTTCCCAGATCTGGCCAAGGAACAGGGCCAAGTCCTCGTATACTGGACACACTGGGTGAACACAAATAGTTATTACTTACAGGGTCCTGACTCCAAACTGGATCCTGAGCTAAGTCCCTTCCATGTGTAGATGTTTTTAATTCTCATTAATCCCTACCACAACCTTGCACAGTGGATATGTTTATTGTTCCCATTTTACAGATGAGGAAACTGAGACTAAGATAGAATGTCACAGGAATGTCCACAGATAGAACCAGAAGGTAACGGAGCCGAAATTCAAACCCAAATCTGTAGACAGAGGGTAAGGGGAGTGACGATGGCTTCTTAAATAACAATAACCACATCTAGAGCAATCTGCAAAATGCAAAGCCCTGTCATTTGTTCACTTAATAAGTAGATATTGGTTGCCAATGTCCTCTGTCCACTCAGCTCTGCAGCTTGAGTAATGGCCCCATTTCACGGTTGAAGAAACCAGGTTTTAAAGGGACGGGTAACTACCCTGATGTCACACAGCAGCTAAGAAGCAGAGGCGGATCTTGGGTCCAGTTGAATTTGGATCTGTCAGCAAGGTCCTGGGCTCTCCCACTGCCTAGGGTGAGTCTCAACATGAAGATAGATCCTGTGGCTGGCTTCAAGGTGTAAGATAGTTAGATGAAATAAAATTGCCCCTTCCCAGGTCCTAGGCCAGTAATAGGTTCTTGGTGACCCTCTGCAACCAGTCTAGCTTAAACTACCAAATAGTGTGTTCATCCTCCCTGATCTCTATTTGATTACACTGAGACCCCAAGTCATTCTTATCCATTGTACTCAGACCCTAGCCCTATGACTCAAAAAATAATTTAAACGCAGATACTTGAATATGAATGGGCAGACCATTTCAGAATCTACCAAGCGTCATGAGAGTTCAAATATCTTCCTGGATATTCCATTTGCTTCTCTTATAAATTGATTGAACAGCAGTCAAGAGCATGGGCTCTGGGGATCCATGGTCTCAGATCCATGGCCACATCCTAGCTCACCTGCGCAATCCTAACCAAGTTTCTTTGCCCATCTGAGGTTCAGCTTAGAATGAGCACTTGTTAAATTGTGCCTCCACCCATAGGTTGTGGAGAGAATAAAATGAAGTTGTTGACGAAAGTATTCAACAGAGTGCCTAGACTGTAATTAAAGTCTCAAAAAATGGCAGACATTGTTATTACTACCTTTATTGCTGCCATTATTATTAACCTAGCAAAGCTGAGCTTGGCATCCTCCACACTCCATCCTCAACATATGTGTGTGCGTCGGTATCCCTAGCCGAATTTGCTGCATGAAAATGTTGGCAGTGAATTTTCCAGTCTGAGGCAATGATCAGTGTCCATTCCAAAACTGCCTGGATCTCACACTGTGTGTTAAGCATTTTAACTACTTGTTTATCTTTAACTAGAATTTTGCATCTTTCAATTAATTGACCATTTCTTGTTTAGCTCCTCTAGCCCAAAAAGCAAAAGAAGAGATGAGAAGAGGCACAAGAAACAGTAAGTAGATACTACCTGGAATGTACTCATCAGTTTGAGGAGTTGGGGCATCTGGCTTCTTAAAAGCCAGAGTCTTAGAGTTGCCAAATAAACAGGGAAAGGGAGGAGAAGGTGAGCGGGTGAAAGGAAGGCAGGAAGGCAGGAAGGCAGGAAGGCAGGAAGGCAGGAAGGCAGGAAGGAAGGAAGGAAGGAAGGAAGGAAGGAAGGAAGGAAGGAAGGGGAGAGGGAGGGACAGAAAGGCATAACTGCGTGTGTTGTAGGTTTAGGAATGTATGAATGCACCGGGTCGTGTGTATATGATGTGTATGTGTATGCACGCTTGTTTATGTTGCATGAAAGGGTGCATGTGTGTGCCTGGTGTGTCCCTTATGAGTATACCTTGTGTGTATATTTATACATAGTATGTATATATCTAGTGCATGCATTGTAGATGTCTGTACATTTTTACATTTTTGTACACTGTGTGTACAAATGTATACAATATGGGAACATTGTGTGGTCTATATTTGTGCCTACACCAATGCATTTGTGTGTCTGTGCTTGTGTGAGCATGAATGTGAATGGTATACATAGGACACACTAAATTCTATGCACTGTGTGTGTGCGCTGTGTAAGTACCTGTGTATATTTTGTGCACAGGGGTCGTATGGTGGTTTTTACCTGTGCATGGGTGGTCATGGGGGTGTGAGCACATGGGTGCACGTGTGTGAGCATGTGTATGAATTCATGTGCTGACTGTTGGATTTACAGTGTGGAGATGTCAGTTAAGCTCCTAGCTCCAGTCTTGGGGCCCCAGCTGTTTCACAGTTTATAGCTGGTAGTAGAAATTCAAATCAGCCACTGCTGCCTGTGGAGTTCAGTTCCCAGCCAAATTAAAAGTAAATTTGGTTACAACCTACCTACTTTATATCCTGCAAATGTTAGTGCGTGTGTTTTCCAATCAACTAATATTTTATCTCCTGCCAAGAAGCTTCTAAAGAGAGGATCAAAGACAATAAGATGAAAGGTAGTCGACTGCCAGGGAGGAAAAAGAGGAGGCAGGGATGCAGAGGGAGGGTGCCCAGCTTTGCTGCCCCAAACGGTCTTTTCACCCAAGGTCAGGACGAAGGAGGGCATTTCCGCCACCACCACAGAGGCCTGGGGAATGCTCCAGAAGAAAGCAGTAGAGCCTTGAGTTAGCTGAGGGAAGAACTTCCTCATCATCGAATTTGTTCCGCTCAAGTCAAGAGACAATTATTGGCCACGTGTATTGAATGTGCTTTCACACTAAGCACAGATAGAGTACACGTTCCCAGCAATCTCGGTGTCACTTGACCAGTGGGGCCCCAGGGTAGGCAGCCACAGAGTCAGGGGGTAGGCCCAGACCTCAACAGCGCTAGGAAGGACCATCACTGAGATAAGGACTGCCTGCGTAAGGGGAGCAAGGTGGCCACCCTCCCCGCTGGCAAGAGCTGGATGAGCCCCAGAAATTGCTAGCAGGGCATCAGAAAGCTTGTGGAAGCCAAAAGACAAGAGGCAAGAGAGAAAAAAGACAAGAAGAATAAGGCTAGGAATCTTGAGGATTCAAGATAAACGATGGCTTATTCTTACCAAGTCTACGGTCAGGGCTGCTTCTAGGCAAGTGGCTGCTGGAGTGAGTTAGCCTCCTTTCATTCAACATCCCTTAATGAGGCCCTACTATGTGACTGGCCTTGCGCTGGGCCCAAGGACAGAGATGAGCCAGACACTGTCCTGGCCTTGAAGAGCTCACAGGAGCCAGACATAGGGCTGGTCACAGAACAGCAGACGAAACCCTGGGCATTGTGGGAACACAGGCACTGGGAAAAGGGCTTGGTGGCCTCCCGCAGGAGGCAGCATCTAAGCCGCAGGTGAGGATGGGAAGTAACCATTCCAGGCTGCAAGTTAAGCAGGTGGTTTAAACTCTCTGTGCCTCAGTTTCTTCATCTGTAAGATGGGAATAATAAGAGAATCTATTTCATAGGTTATTATGAAGAATAGATGAATCCCTTTAAGAAAAGTGCTTAGAATACAGTGCCTGGCATGAAGTATGTGTTAGATGTGGGTTACCTGTCATCATCACCATTGTTATCATCATCATCCCTAAGACATCATGAACTGGGAAATGTGTGAGCCAGCATACATACAGTTCAGAGCTGCTTTAGCCCACCAGGCCAGGGCAGAAGAAGACAAGCAGTGAGGCCAGAGAACTAGGCAAGGGCTAGCTCCTGAAGCTGCCTGAGGTTCAGGATCAGAGTTTGAACTTGATATGAGAGCAATGGGAAAGTTTTAAGCAGGGAAGGGATATGGTCTGATGATTACATTAGAAGAATCCCTGAGTCCTTTGTTGAGATAACCAAGTTACCTCCCAACAGAATCATCTCTAACTCCCACTGGCTTTCTCGTTTGGCCCAAACCATTGACATCCTTTATATATCTTCAATTACCACTGCCGCTGCCACTACTATTTCTGAATTATTACTACTTAGAAGTAGCTGAAGTAACCTGCAGTAACACCACTGTTAGTGGTAGTGGTAGTAATTGGTGTTGTTCTAATTTTTGTTTTTAATGAGGTTTGTAGCCCATCCTGAAAGGTTTTTGACTCCATGCTAAGAACCTGGACTTAATTTTCCAGGTCTGAGGTTGTAAATTGGCAGCCCAAAGGCCTAATTTACTCTGCAAATGTGTTTCATTTGCCCAAAAAGGTGCCTTTAAAAAAAAATAAGCTTCCATTTAAAATAAGAACATTTTACCTAAAAATCTGTATTTCCACACTCACTTGAAAAATTAGAGGATCACCACACAAATATTCTGGAGGCAAAGCAGCACCTTCTGTTTTAACTCGGGCCTCCGGTTGATATTATGTTAGTGCTGGGCTGATCCACATATTTATGCTGCCTGAATGGCCCCTGAAGCTCTGTGACGTTGAGGCGCCTGCCTTGAGTGATGCAGAGGAGACATGGGGAAGTGACTTTCTGCCTAGGGTGTCATCTGGGGAGCAGGGAGGGCCCTGAGTCATCCACACTCCCTTCAGAGGACCCCTTTCTGCTCACCCGTATTCAGTACCATTGGTTACGGAACCCTCCACCCAATACCCAGGCAGGAAGCTGGACTAACGCATGGGGTTGAGGGAGATGGAGAACTTCGGGAGGGATGGTGACCAGTGCAAAGGAAAAACGGGTGTCACAAGATCAAATCTCTCACTCTCCCTTTTTTACTCTCTCTCTCCTCTCCTCTGACTCGTTCCTTCTCATCCCCCCAAGATCTCGAAGCCGGCCCCGAAAGTCTCACCGCCACCGCCATCACCGCTGCCCCTCGCGGTCCCAGAGCTCGGAGTCCCGCCCCTCAAGCTGTGAGAGCAGGTAACCCCTTGCCCCAGGATCCTCTTCTGTCAGCCACAGCCGAGCCCAGGCTAAGACACTGTTAACACTAGCTTCGCCTCCACACTTCCAGCACAGGGTTTGGCCCCCTTCCTCAGACTCAGCAGCTGGCACCACTTCCCTGTAGAGAAAGGGCTGGAGAGCCTGGGTGCGGTGGCTCACGCCTGTAATGCTAGCACTTTGGGAGGCCGAGGTGGCCAAATTATGAGATCAGGAGTTCAAGACCAGCCTGGCCAATATGGTGAAACCCTGTCTCTACTAAAAATACAAAAAATTAGCTGGGCGTAGTGGTGGGCACCTTTAATTCCAGCTACTCTGGAGGCTGAGACAGGAGAATCGCTTGAACCCAGGAGATGGTGGTTGTGGTGAGCCAAGATCACGCCATTGCACTCCAGCCTGGGTGACAGAACAAGACTCCATCTCAAAACAAAAACAAAAACAAAAACAAGAGAAAGGGCTGGAGACCAAAAGGTCTTGCTGCCATCACTTATAGGAATGACAACACCATACTAGCTGCTTTTTTTTTTTTTTTTTTTTTTTTTTTGAGACAGAGTCTCACCCTATAGCCCAGTCTGGAGTGCAGGGGGGCGATCTTGGCTCACTGCAACCTCCACCTCCTGGGTTCAAGCGATTCTCCTGCCTCAGCCTCCAGAGTAGCTGGGACTACAGGCGCCCGCCACCACACCTGGCTAATTTCTGTATCTGTAGTAGAGACAGGGTTTCACCGTGTTGGCCAGGCTAGTCTCAAACTCCTGACCTCAAGTGATCCAACCGTCTCGGCCTCCCAAAGTGTTAGAATTACAGGTGTGAGCCACCGCCCCCAGCTCTAGCTGCTCTTTGTACATCCACTTGCAGGATCCTCTCTACAACCGTAACAAGTGGGCATTATTGTTATCCCCATTTTAAATATGAGAAAACTGAGGCATGGGGGGGTTAAGGACTTTACTAGTCTCTTAGCAACTAAGTGACAGTTAGGATTGAAATCAGGGAACATGGCTCTAGACTTCACTAAGGGACCACTCTAAGCACAGAGAAGCTAAGCAAACTATGTAAACCCAAACAGTGCAAAGTAGAAAGTTCACTCTAATGCCTTTTCAACTCAGTTTTCTCCTAACCTGGACTCTCTCTATGCTAATACATTGGTTGTCCCAACCTGAGAAGGCATCTTGTTGATGAGAAGAAGGAGGAAGGGAAGGAGAAGAGCAAGAATAAGAACTGGAGCTTTAACTATAAATCATGCTGCTATAAAGACACATGCACACGTATGTTTATTGCGGCATTATTCACAATAGCAAAGACTTGGAACCAACCCAAATGTCCAACAATGATAGACTGGATTAAGAAAATGTGGCACATATACACCATGGAATACTATGCAGCCATAAAAAATGATGAGTTCATGTCCTTTGTAGGGACATGGATGAAATTGGAAATCATCATTCTCAGTAAACTATCGCAAGAACAAAAAACCAGACACCGCATATTCTCACTCATAGGTGGGAACTGAACAGTGAGAACACATGGACACAGGAAGGGGAACATCATACTCTGGGGACTGTTGTGGGGTTGGGGGACGGGGGAGGGATAGCATTGGGAGATATACCTAATGCTAGATGATGAGTTAGTGGGTGCAGCACACCAGCATGGCACATGTATACATATGTAACTAACCTGCACATTGTATACATGTACCCTAAAACTTAAAGTATAATAATAATAAATAAATTTAAAAAAAAGAACTGGGGCTTTATTGGTGTTTGGAATCGTTGATGTTCAATGGGGACACTGAGACCTCCAGCTTCCAGATGTGAGGAGCTGCTTTTTTCTTTCTGAAATGCATCTCACACTTGACTCTCCGTTCACATCACAAGGGTAGATTTTAAAATGTCATTGCCCTGGCCCCACTTTTCCCAAATAAAGCAGAATATCTATAGGAAAAGGGAGGAGGAGCCAGGTACAATGTCTCGCGCCTGTAATCCTAGCACTTTGGGGGGCCGAGGTGGGCAGATCACCTGAGGTCAGGAGTTAGTGATCACCCTGGCCAACATAGTGAAACCTTGTCTCTATTAAAAATACAAAAATTAGCCAGGTGTGGTGGTGGGCACCTGTAATCCCAGCTACTCGGGAGGCTGAGGCAGGAGAATCACTTGAACCCAGGAGACGGAGGTTGCAGTGAGCCAAGATTGCACCATTGCACTCCAGCCTGGGTGACAAAAGTGAAAGTCTGTCTCAAAAAAAAAAAAGAAAAGAAAAGAAAGGAAGAAAAAGGGAGAAGGAGAAGGTAGAAGGGGGAGAAGGAGAAAGAGGAGGCAGGAGAGGAATATTTACCCAAATCCTGCTCTGTGTCAGACACTGTGCTAAGATTTTCAATACATTTTCTCTCTCATCATTCTGATAATACTACGTGCTATGCTGGTGCTTGTCTACTTCGGCTGCCCTTTTCAATCACTTGGGAAGTTTTAAAAGATGCCAATGCCTGGATCCCACCCTCTCAACATTCTGATTTAATCCAGATGAGATGAGACCAGAACAGTGAGATTTTTAAATCCCCCCAGGTGATGTGTGGGAAGCATTTGAGGAAGAGGCCCTTGGTACCTACTATCACAATTAGGCCTTGGTGTTTCTGCTGAACATCAATAATTTCCAAGAATATCACCATCCAACAAGGCCACTCTGCAGCCCTGATTGCTCAAGACAAAACTAAGCCCCCTCTGTAATCAAGTCTGAGCCCAGATGAGAACACCGCAAAACACAAAAGTGACCAAGCATCTCTCTACCCTGCCTAATATGAGTGACTGCTGCTTCCTCGGCAGTCAGCCTTAGCCTCGGTCTAGTCCTCCCTCTTTCTAAATAAGACTGATGAAGACACCCAGTCAGAATTACCCCCACTTCCTGGCAGCATCCAATTCTGAACAAAGCTCCAGATCTGTAAATGCTCCCCAAACCACCTATCACCAGCCCAAAGCCTATAATAGGTTCTTTTTAACACCCCCTTACAGAGACGCCTGAAACTTCCCTATGGTATGAAGGAGTGACAACAATGTTTGTTCAACCCCAGGTGGACTCCTGGTGGCCTTTTTCTGGAGGACATTGGCCAAATGAGCTAAAACACATCTCTGATCTGTTACAGCAGAGACAACTGCCTTTTGGTGGGCAAAGGGATCTGAGCGAGGTCACATAGCTAGGAAGTGTCTGGCAGAGCTGGAATAGGCACCAGGTTAGTGTGACTCAGCCTGAGCACTTCACCTACACCCCAGGCTGAATTATCTCTCGGCAGCTAAGCCCTACTGGCCTGGGCCAGAGAATCATACAAGGCTTTAGCAACTTACCTGTTAAATAAATGGTTAACATCACAAACACTACCCCGGGCCTCCTCTGCTGTCCCATCTCCTCCTGATGGTGTTGGCATCTGAGCTCCCAGTGCCTACTGAGCTGAGGAGCTTCCTAGCAGAAATGGAAGCAAACTGAGAGCTGGCACGCAGGTTACACATTCAGTAGAAACATGATTTTCAAGCCACAGAGCAGTCAGGGGCACTCCAGGGCATGAATCCCAGGCGCTAGTTCCTAGAGGGGCAAAAAACTGCCCTGGCCCTTGCTCTGCCACTTTCAGGCTGTTTGACCTCAGGAAGATCCCTAAACATCTCTGAGCTTCGGCTCCCTCATCTGTAAAATGGGAAAGTAATACCTTGCCCTGTCTATGTCTTCAAGTTGTAGGGAAAACTGTGAAACTGCTTCGAGAGGTGTATACATACCTTGCAAATCCATAATGTGCTATTTTTATTACTTTGGTGGCTCAGATAACTAATAAGATATGCAGAGTCTAAGCATGCCCTTTCTAAGAAGTCAGACATGCCTTTGGTTTTTACTGCAGACCAAGCAGCCAGATCTAGACGTGACAAACTTGCAGAAGGCATCTCTGTCATTTTTGTCAGCCATTTTTTTTTCACTAAAGTTTTGGGTGACAGTCAACAGGATGTCTTTATTTCACAGATGGCAAAGTCACATACACAAAGACACACAGTTATACACAGTTACATTTATAGACAAACACATGGAAACACAGATGGACACACCCAGACATACACATAGTCACATGACAGACAATCAGAGAGGTACACAAGTGACATTAAACTGAATAACTGAATCTGGATGGGGACCTTTTCTGTTTTTAAAGCTGCATCCTCAGACCCTAAAGCAGTTCCAGGTACATGAAGTAGTATTTGTCAAATGAACAAGTAAGAGAATGAATAAATAAAGGAATGAATAGATGGATGGATAGGTGGATGAATGGATGAATAGATTGTTGGTTAGGTAGATGGATGGATGAATGGCTGAATGGTTAGATGGATGAATGGATGAATGGTTAGTTGGACAAATGGATGGATGGATGGATGGATGGATGGATGGATGGATGGATGGATGGTTAGATGGTTAGTTGGATGGATGAACAGATGGAAGGAAGGACAGATGGATGGATGGATGGATGGATGGATGGATGGATGGATGGATGGATGAATGCATAGATGGTTGGCTGAGTGGTTGGTTGGTTAGTTGGATGGATAAACGGATGGATGGATGGTTGGATGATTGGATGGACGGATGAATAGATGAATAGTTAGATGGATGGATGGATGAGTGGATGAACGGATGGATGGATGGATAGATGAATGAATGGTTGGATGGGTGGATGATGGATAGATGGTTGCTTAGACAGATAGATGGATGGATGGATAGATGAATGAATGGATGATTGGGTGGATGGTTAGATGGCTGGATAGATGGTTGCTTAGACAGATGGATGGATGGATGGATGGTTAGATGGAGGGATGGATGGATACATGATTGGTTGGATTGATGGATGGATGATTGAGAGATGGCTAGTTAGATGGATGAATAGATGGTTGCTTAG
Organism: Homo sapiens; assembly: GCF_000001405.40. Classification (NCBI taxonomy): domain Eukaryota; kingdom Metazoa; phylum Chordata; class Mammalia; order Primates; family Hominidae; genus Homo; species Homo sapiens. The sequence continues at coordinate 119,130,407 of NC_000012.12, forward strand.
ACAGATGGATGGATGGATGGATGGATGGATGGATGGATGGTTAAATGGATGAATGGATGGTTAAATGGATGAATGAATAAATAAATGAATATACACACAGTCCAGCTTTCATACACACACATGCAGACATACCTAGGAACAATATCACATATGAACATATACAAACACCCCCAAACACACTTTATCATCCTCAGATCCTGTTGGTCCTGCATACATCTCCCTACCATGCTCCCCTTCAAAAGACCCTCAGGTCTCTCTCCCCCATCCCCAGGCACCGCGGCCGGTCCCCTGAGGAAGGGCAGAAGTCCCGCCGAAGGCACTCCCGCCGCTGCTCCAAGACCCTCTGCAAGGACAGCCCTGAGGCCCAGTCCAGTCGCCCGCCCAGTCAACCCCTCCAGATGCTTGGCTACCTGTCAGCCAGGGGTGTAGTAAGTATTCTTCACAGCCTCCTCTGCCAGCCTTGGCCACGACACTTGGGGAATGTGGAGGCACAAGTTCAGGGCAGTGTATGGTACACTTTAATTCAATTTCTGACAAAATATCCCACTGGCTCCAGACCTCATTAATGATGAACCAAATGATCATTCACCAGACTTTGGCAACACTGGCTTGGGGATTTTGGGGGGCAGGGGGAGAAAAACTAAATACCCAGTCTTTTTATCAGGGGAATGTTGACAAATAAATACCTGTCTCCAGAGTGATATCTGCAGGAAGACATGTTTAAGATACCATAGGAGGATTTTTTGTTTGTTTGTTTGTTTTTGGGAGAGAAAGGAAAAGAAGGGCTCTTTGACATAACAGAGGCACTCCAGCTTTTACATGAAGTCTGCATCTTTTATGCCAGCTGGCTGGCAGCATTGGTTGGCAGCTGGGATTTCATTTCACCTATAAACATGACCTTGAATTTATATGAGAATTTTCTTCCAAGGAGGTCATAGCTCTTGACCTACATCCTCTCATGTAGCCACACAAGGTCTTGGGAGTTGAGGGCACAGCTGTTCTCACTAGTCCCTTCTACAGATAGGAAAGAAGAATCAAGGCTCAGAGAGGTTAAGGGCTGGGGTAAAGCCCCAGAGCAAGGCAAGAGTTAATCCAATTTAGCAACCCAGCATTGAATAGAATTAAGCAGTGCTGCCCCAAGTCAACAAGGACAAGCTGGAATTTGACTTCATATAGTTTGACACCATGAGCAAGAGACTTAGAAATGGATCTGAATTCAGTCCTAGCTTGGCCACTTCCTAGCTGTGTGGCTTTGGGCAAATTACTTAATCTCCATTTTCTCATTGGTAAACTTGAAGTAAATACCACTTCCGTATGGAATTGTTGGGACTATCCAATAAGATAAAGTACGTGAAGGCCTTTTGTAGACTCTAAAGAGACAGACGAACAGGAAGAGAGTCAACATTGATAGGGTCTACAATTGCAGCAGGCAGCTGTGAAAGGGACTGTTTTCTCTAGCTACATGTGAACTTGAAAATTTCAGGTAGATGGTGCCTAAGGAAGGGTGAGGTGGAAGCAAGGAAAAGTTCAGGGGTGCTTGTGGGGATGTCAAGAAAGGGAAAGCAATGACAACGGTTGGGCCTGGTTGACACAATAATTATCTGCAGTGCATTCCAGGAATCTTCTTTACCAGTCAAGGCACCCAGCATAACCAAGGTCTAATTTTACCCAAATCCTCTGCCTACCTGGAACCATCTGCAACTGTCCCCAGACTCCTTCTTGGTAGAGATGTCTGTGGTTACTGAGTCCTTGCAGATGGCAAATGCCCATCTGCGTACTCTCTCTCTCACAAATATCCAAAAAGGGGTCTTCCCAGCAAGATAGAAAGTATAGAGGCCTAGATTTGAGTCTTGTTTTGGCTGGACTTGTCATTTTACCCCTCTCAACCTCAGCTTTCTCACCTGAGAAATGGGCATGATTATCCCGCTTGTCTCCCAGGAGGATTGTGGCAAAGGTAAAGATAAATTTGAAATATGAGCATTAAGAGGTAGAGGAATGTTTTTAAGTTAGTAAAGGATGCCTAATTGCTCTGGTCATGGTATTTGTGGTGGTCCATCTGGAGGTCCCAATTGACCCTAGCTAAAAAGTGCCATTGGAAGCAACTGGCTTATACATTCTTACATGTCTGGGATGGTTTTCCAACAAGATATGTCTGTCAAGATGTTACAAAAAGCTGGGTCTGTCCTCCCACACAAGCTGGGGAGGTTACCAGATTGGCTATTGGTAGTTTGCTTTCCTAAAACACATGGGTTCTTAATGGCTTTGAGGTGCAATGCCTCACTGTTCTTCATGAGCCTGGCCCTATCAGAAGAGCTAAAAACCAGGGTTCACCTGTACCTATAAGAGAGGCCTTAAGAGCTCAGCTAGCCTAATGCTCTGATTACTAAGAAAGGAAACTGAGATTCACAGAAAGGAAATGATTCACATGGGCCATGGCAAGGCAGAGTTATTTAAAAACATGGAATTATTAATTCGTGGTCACATCATGTCCCTGAGATAGTAGTAATTACTTAAATGTTTCTGAGCTGTACTTTCCTCATCTGTAAGAAATAATAATAAAATAATAATAATATAGATAATAACAGTCTCTTCTTCAGAAGGCAGCTGTTGAGCCCAGTACTTGATACAGGTGCAAAACTTGACAAATAATATGATGACAACATTCCAGATCCTGGCTCTGCACTTACCAGCTGTGACTCCTTGAGCAAGTTTCTGTGTCTCAGTTTCCTCAAAAACTGCAAAACAAGGATAGCAATAAGACCTACCTCATAAGATTGTTATGAGAATTCAATGACACAATGTAAGTAAAAGTTTTAGAGTATAACAGGCAAGAAGTAAATGCTGCATAATGCTTACTGCTTGTGATAGTAACAGCAGTAGAAGTAATAGTGGTGATAGCAGTGGTGATAGTAGTGGTGGTAATAGTAGTGGTGATAGTGGTAGCCACAATAGTAGTAGCAGTGGTAATAGCAGTGGTAGTAGTCATAGTAATAGTAGTATTGTTCCAGGCATAGGCTGGGCTGGGACTAGAGCCAAGACCCCTGCTTCCCAGACCAATTTCTTTCTATCCTAAATGGTAGCTGCAGCTCACATGGCTACTCTGCCCCACTTAAGGTTGCCTGGCTCCTGGAAGAATCACATGGCCCCAGATCTGGTTCTTTGAGTACTCCTCATGCATGGCCCTTTCTCGTCTTCTCTATTACAAAAGCAGAGATGGAAGAAGTTTCCAGATTGGATCAAAGGTTTTCCAAGGTTCCTAGCCCCAAGTTTTTCTCTCTGTTAAAGCTAACAGCAGAGTCATTTTCATTGAATCACCTGTCTGATCATTCATTTAAGTCTACAAACACCTATGGAGCATCTACAAAGGGTCAGGCTCTGACTTATCTCAGGATCCAATTACTAAGAAAGAAATAGCCTGTGCCTTCTAATGAAGCGAGACAGACAAGTTAAAAACAGTTAAAGGCAATGCACAACAATTGGTGCTCAGATGCTTATTTGGGGGTGCAAGGTTAGCAGACAGGGGAGGGGACTGGGATTAGGGTTAGGGTTGGGCAGAGAAGGTAACAATTACCTGAAAAGCTAAGGGTGAGCCAATGAAGGGGGAAAATAAAGACTAGAGTTGAGGGTTGAGATAAAATTCCATGGCAAGATATGGGCTCTGGAGGTAAAGAGGAGCCCAAGCATGAAGGATTTTCTATGCCATATTTGGTTACAGATATTTCACATGCACAGCTTTTTTAAAAACTCAAGGACAGTTGCATAATATCAAGGGGCTTATTTACATATATGAATATGCAAATTTGGGGGTTGGTTCTTAATGGAAATCTTAGTTGGTGAGCTAAAGCTAACCTGAGGCTCTCTTGCTTGGTCAGCACCCAAATCCAAATAGAAGATCCCAAGACAGTTTACCTCACACATGGTCCTTATCTTCACTCCACCATCTCTGTTCAAGGTACTGGGGAGGCAGAGAGATTGTAAAAAAAAAAAAAAAAGAAGAAAAGAAAAAAAAAAACACTCTTCCTGAACTCCAGGGGCTCACAGTCTAGTAGTCAGAAGAATGCTGCAATATAGTGTGATCATTTTGTAATCAGGGCTGGGATTGAGTCAGGAGCACCAGTACTTTCTCCAGTTGTTAAAATATTCAAATACTTTCATGCCAGTTGGTAAATAGGCCCTGTCATTACCTCACCCAACCCCAGTCAACCTAGCCATCCCTTCTCTCCCTTGGCACTTTCTGGATCTTCTCAAAATCCTGAAACAGAAAAGTGACACTTACTTCCCTTCAGCATCAAAGCCAGCTTCCTCTGTGGTGGGGCAGTACCCACAACGAACTAGTTATCGAATATTGTGAATGTCACTCCTGGCAGTGATGAAAGCAACTACAGTGTGTAATGGAAGCACAGAGTAAGGGCCAGACAATGTTGTCCTGATGTCTGAGAAGGCTTTACCAATAAAGGATCATTTGAGCTGGGCTTTGAAGGATGCATAGGAGTTCATTGGGTTGCAATTGTTGATGGACAGAAGGAGGGGAAAACACCACTATGTGTCAGGCACTGTCACATACTTTACATAATTTTTGCCTCATTTGGTACCTAAAACAGTTATTTGAAGTAGGTGCAATTATTATCACCATTTCGAAGATGGGAAAATAGGCCCTGTGAGGTGCTGGTACCTAGGAATGTAACAAAATTGGGAGAAAGGGGAACTGTTATGAGTTGTGGTTTGTGCCTTGAAAGCTTACCCTGATAGTTGGCATGGAGGGTGGGCTGGATGATGGGAAGGTGGATTGGATGATGGAGAGGCTCATGGCTCCAAGGATTAGCCAAGCCCTTTCCCTGTGATATGGGGCTCTCTATCAAGTCTATCATAACCAGAGAGGAATTCTAGAAGGAGGCTGATCAAGTCTGGAGCTGGGCCAAAGATAATGGCAGGTTTCTTGTTCCTCTTCTTGCCTCCAGCCTGGGCCAATAGTTGCTAATCCTTGTCAACAAAAACCTGTACAAATGTCGAAACCAAAAACAATAATAATAAAAGCAGAACTCGTAGTCCATAAAAGAGGATCTCATGAAATTTGTAAACTGGAAGAGGCAATATGATTAAGACATGAACTTTGGAATGGATCTGGGCACCCTGGAGTTCTTGATCTCTCCCTGTGAGACCCTAGGTGACAGCAATAACTAATGCCTGTTGAGCACCTGCCATGCACCAGGTGTTTACTGAGCACCTACTATGCACCAGGTGCTAGGCCAATTCTTTACATGTATCATCATCATTGCATTTAATTTTATAATAGCTTTTCAATGGAGCTTCCATGAATATGTCCACTTTATGATAAGGAAACCCAGCCAAGAAAAAATAAGTAAAAAGCAGCTATTCAACAGAGAAGCTAGGGTTTGAATCCAGGGAGTCTGACCTCAGAGTCCACATGTTTAATTACATGACCTCCTCTGTGCCATTTCACGTCTTTGGGCCTCATATCCTTATCTGTGCCTTGGGCTAATAATAATCATACCTACTTATAGGATTGTTATGAGGATAGAGTAAGATAAGGTATCCATTCATTTCAAAAATAAACACTAAGCATCTACTGTCCTGCCCTCATGTAGCTTATGCTCTGTGTGAAAAAAAGTATCCCAATGCTTGGGACATAACCCTCAAAGTATCCTAGTTGCCATAATATTTTTTGTCATCATAGCAGCTTTACTAAACTTATCCCAAATAAACCCAGATATGATGTTCTCGGAGTATCTTTAGCCTCAAAAAGCTGAATCCATCCAAGATCGCAGGTGAACTTCACAACAACCCCAGGAGAAAGGCGAGATGGGAATATGCTTCCCCCTTTGTAGATAGGGAAAATAGGGCTGAGGGAGAATCTGGATGGCTCAGGCCTTCTGACCCCTAGTCCAGGTGCTTGCACATTCTGCAAAGCCTTTGAGCTCTTGCTCAACTGGGAGACACAATATCCAACATTCAATACCATCATCATAGTTGAGAGAAGGGAGGAACCAAAGTACAGAAGGTGGATGAAATGAGATTTGGGGATTTTCTGGGCCATTGGTTTTTGTTTGTTTTGTTTTGTTTTGTTTTGTTTAATGGGAAGTGACATAGCATTGTCAACTTTTACTTTTGCCAAGGAAGAACAGAAAAAACCACCATTTTCTATCACTAAAGGGAGATTTTACCATCAGAAGAAGTAGGAAAGACACGACCTTGGAAGAAAAAAATGAGTCTTCAAATCGAAAGTATTTAGCAGGATGAAAAACTAATTACATTGAACTTATTTTTTCTTGTTTCAATTTGGGCTGGTGATAATGTATCTAACTGGGTCCCGGTGGGGATTTCTGAGAACAGGTGGGCAGGGGGTCCTCAGGAGAGGCTTCAAAGAAAGGGTGAGCCTGAAGCTGTCATTCCCTCTGGCTCCTGCTTAAGGAAAATAATAAGGAGGCCAGACCACCTCTGCCTACCAAAGGTTCAATGCAGTGCACAGCCCCATGGGATAGCCCCAGCCCTAAAGGACTTTGTTGTCTTCCCACAATGCCCGGCACATCTCCCTTCTCTTTCTCCATCTCCTCCTCCTCCCAGATGAACTCCTACCAGGTCAATGAATCCATTCTTTTGCTGTCTTCCTAATTAGTGCACTAAGGAAGATGAACAACAGAAAGGAAAATAAACTTAATGTCTTTGTGAAACAAAAGCTTTTTTTTTTTTAAGGAATAACCAGAACCCTCTAGCTAAAAGCTCTACCATACAGCTCCACACTCACATGAGAATTTCCAGTCTCCCATATGGCAGGGAAGAAAAAAAAATGTATAGCCGCCTCTCTCTATGGGGCCATTTGAAGCTCAGTAAATGGACTTGTTCAGTTTAATTGGAATTCTCTTCTTGATTGTATTTTTGTATCCTATTAGGCCGTGCTGCCTCTTGATCTTAGAATTCAGCTGAAATTAAATTTTGAAGTGTAAGTGAGAGGTTGCCTTTTTTCCCCGTTCTTGATTAAATAATGATTTGAAACAAAAACAATAAATAACAGTGCCGGCTTCCCTGGAGGGCTGAGAGAGACTCCCAGTGAAACGCCAGGGAGCTGGAGTTCGTGGTGGGGGGATTTAACTACTTATTAGAAAAACCTGAATGTGAACACTGAGTATATTAAGGAACAAGGAGATGAGGCGAGGTTTGGAGTGGAGAGAGAGAGAGAGAGAGAGAGAGAGAGAGAGAGAGAGAGAGAGAGGAGATACTGGAGCTTCACATTGGAAGGGGTTGAGGGAGTAAAAAGGGAAATAGTTCACTTCCCCCCAATGGCCTTGAGTTCATGAAAAACATTTTGTATTTAAAATTTTTAAAATTAAATTTTAAAATGTCTGAGATTGACTACCCTGACCCAGAGAGAAAGAGTTTATAATAACTCTGATGTCTGGATATGGTTTAATGGATCCGGTCTCCTGGTTCCTTTCATTGACAAAAGTCCAAGAGGGATTAAAAAGGTCGAGATGGGAGAGATGGAGCAATACACTTCACAGATCTGGAAGGAAGAGATGAAACATACAAGATGTACCAGGTTTATGTTACTCACAGAGGGATCAGAGTGGCAACAAACTTTTAGAACAGAGGGTCTCCAACTTAGAGGTCTTGGTGGCCAGCTAATAGATATGAGTAACAATGATCTCGTGGGGTTTGGGGTCCGGAGAGCTCATGCCCCATCTAAAAGGGGCAGCTGTAATTGCTCTCAGCTGATTCTTGCCAGGCAGGGATTTGGGCCCAGTGTTGCCAGATCTTATTTTTCAACAGAAACTGGAAATGGGGTTGTTACATGAAACCTCCCATTCTACCAACGTTGGCAGTTAATTCCAGTTTACTTCCTGACATACTAAGGGAGCTAACGAAAGCATGTCTGAAACAAAGCATAACTCGGCTCACCGGTTTTCCAGTGTTGACCTGGGGTACTGAAGCAGATAGTGTCCATATATAGATCCTCACCCTCTGCACTTCGGGGCGCATGGCTGACTTCCAGCTTCCAGATAGTATTCTCTGGTGCCAAAACCTATTTTCTCTGCCTGTTTGGCAGTCTGGACATACTAGAGAATTGATGCTCCAGTGTTCAGCCTTGAGTGATGGGGAACTGGTGTATAAATATCCCAGCTCCCTCACTCCTTGGTTGAGGTTAACTCTGGGGTGCATGTTCTACACTGGTTCCCAGGGTGTCCTCACTGAGATTAAGCATCCACTGCCCACTGTAATAGCTGGTTTGATAATGCATCTTTTATTGTCTCCCTCTCTCCTCTGCATCATTTCCACACTCCATTACAGAGGTTCCTTGCCCTCTCAAATTATTAGCACTCATTTTCCATCTCGACTTCTAAGAATCCAGATTAGACAGGCATTATTTCATTTGGCCATTAAGTAGATCTTGTGGAAGCTGGATTTTCATGCCATACCCCGAAAGTAGGCTTTTATGTAGACATCATGGAGGGTGAGGGCTGAGATGGAAGAAGAGGTAAAATTGGACCAAGGAAGAGAACCCTGGTGTAAGGGTTCCAGCTCTTAAAAGGGGGTCCTGGGTACCTGGAGGGCATTATTACCAGATGACAGAGGATCTGGAGTGGCTCTTGCTAATAAGTATCTTGGGACAAAGAGCAGTTGCATGCACAGAGAGAAACTCCCAATGCATGAAGAGGAGCTCTTCAAAGATGAATTATGAGAGGCCTATTATATAAATAAGGAGGCAAAAAGAAGCAAAGGAGAACCATCCTGTTGTATCAATGTCGGAGGGGGGTGACTGTTTGCACCTTATGTGCCAGAGAGAGTGGCTGACTAGGAAGGCAATACCCAGGGATGGAAGGGCAGAGGCAAGACCATGGGAGGCCCCTTTTTCAGCCCATCAGATGCTCACAACTCTAATGTCTCCTCTGCACTTCCACGGTCAGACCTCTCCCATCCTGTCTTGGGCTTCCCTCAATTGTATCTTCTTTCCTCCTCTTCTTGTGGAGTGAATGGAGAGCTCTGCAGAAGGTGGAGTCTGGGGTTTAGGAGACCATTAAACTATCTGAATATCTCTGATGATGACTTTGTGAAAATGCTCCTACCACCTGGAAGGATAAACAGAGCACATCAAGATTTGTAAAGACAATACCAAGTAGAGTTCAGCTGAAAAGAAGCAGGAATGAATGTCTTCAGGTTACCACCTCCTCTCTGCCAGAGGAATCTTCTAAGTAGGCCAGATGGAGTAAGACGATTTACTCACTCCAGATATACCCGCTAGGGACATGATGTCATGCTGGTTGTCCCCTTTGAGAGGGTGACCAGCATGGAGAGCAACTGGCAGATCAAAACCCCCCTGCCCTCCATTTACTAAGCTCTGAATACAGATGCAGGACTGCTTCAGCCCAGAAAAAGGTGTACTATCTCTTTTCTAATCTTTCTGGCCAGAAAGGGCACCTTTTTCTAATTCTTGACCCATAAGGAGCACCTTTTTTTTTCATTTAAAAAATTTAATTATTATGGCTACATAATAGTTGTATATATTTACAGGGTATATGTGATGTTTCCATACAGGCATACACTATGTAAGGATCAAATCAGGGTAATTGTGCATCCATCTCCTCAAGCATGTATCATTTCTTTGTGTTAGAAACATTCCAATTACACTCTTTTAGTTATTTTAAAATATAAGAAAAATTATTGCTAATTCTGCCGGGTGCAGTGGCTCACGCCTGTAATCCCAGCACTTTGGGAGGCTGAGGCGGAACAGATCACCTGAGATCAGGAGTTCGAGACCAGCCTGGCCAACATGGCAAAACCCTGTCTCTACTAAAAATACAAAAAAAATTACCTGGGCGTGGTGGCAGGCACCCGTAATCCCAGCTACCTGGAAGGCTGAAGCAGGAGAATCGCTTGAACCCAGGAGGTGAAGGCTGCAGTGAGCGGAGATCATGCCATTGCACTCCAGCCTGGGCAACAGAGCGAGACTCTGTCTCAAAAAAAAAAAAAAAATTATTGTTAACTATAGTCGTCCTGATGTGCTACCAAATACTAGATCTCATTTATTCTCTCTAATTGCATTTTTGTACCCAGTAACCATGCCTACTTTATACTCCACTTCCCACTACCCTTCCCAGTCTCTAGTAACCATCATTCCATTCTCTATAGGAGTACCTTTTCCTAATAGGAACAAAGTCACTATGCAGGCTGGCAGCCTTGCTGCATGCAAATGACTGAACTCAGTCCATCTTTGAACTTGAGCTCCCATAGTAGCAGAGAGTGGAATAAGAAGTAAGAAGACCCAGCACAGCTTGTTTCATCTGAAAGGTTTTGCAGGTCGGAAACTTCTCACCTGAAGGCTGCAGCTTATGCTGTTGAGAATCTGTGCAGAGCCTCTGGGTGCTTTCTCCCAGGGTCCTCGGTCTGAGGGGTATCAGGGGGAATGAGAGAAAGAACAGAGGGCTTTCTTTCTCTCTGCCAGGGGTCTGGACCTCAAACTTTCTTCTAAGACCTTCTGTTCAATAGCACAGTAGAGTGGCTCTAGTAAACAATAATCTATTTTATATTTCAAAGTAACTAGAAGAGAATAATTTTTTTTGGCTCAGGCTGGAGTGCAGTGGTGTGATCTTGGTTCACTGTAGCCTCCACCTCCCAGGTTCAAGAAACTCTCCCACCTCAGCCTCCCAACTAGCTAGGACTACAGGCACATGCCACCACACCCGGCTAATTTTTGTAGTTTTTGGTAGAGACAAGGTTTCGCCATGTTGGCCAGCCTGGTCTCGAACTCCTGACCTCAAGTAATCCACCCACTTCGGCCTCCCAGAGTGTTGGGATTACAGGCGTGAGCCACCATGCTCGGTCTTAGAAGAGAATAATTTGAATGCTCCCAGCATAAAGAAAAGATAAATGTTTAAGGTGATGGATATCTATCTCTATTACCCTGATCTGATCATTACACATTATGTGAATGTATCGAAATATCACATATATTCCAAAAATATGTACATCTATTATATATCAATAAAAATAAATATTTGATTCTAGAGGTTCTCTCGAGCTCACACACCCAGCCGAGCTGGTCTTGAGACCCCAAGCTTCAGCCAGGGGTCTCCAAGTTTCCTAGAACGATTCTCAGTGTGATGGAGGCTGGTTTCTTCTCAAATTCCCAAAGCTGGCAGACACCCAGCTGGATCCCACCTGGGCCTGATCACCCAGTTGTCTCTACAATAAATGAAGTCAGGCAGGCCCACAGAGGCTTTCAAAGGACCGGAGAGCAAACTTGTTCATTAGGCAAAATTTACTGAGTGCCTACTCTGTGCCAGGCATTGGTGAATGCTGGGGTGCAACATTGAACCAGTCATGGCCCTGCCCTCAGCAAGCTCCAAACCCAGTCAGAGAGACGGCCAATAAAATAAGCAACTACTGTACTGAGGAACAGGGCTGTGGCAAACAAATGACACTCATTTTTGAATGAGTGAGTGAATTCAAGATTCAGTGAATGAATGAAGTGCAGTGTATTGTGCTATCCTGGTCTGGAGGATGAGAGAAGGCTTTCTAGAAGAGGTGATAGGACACCTGGAGGATGAATAAATTTAGCCATGTGAAGTGGGGAAGAGAGGAGTATTCTAGGCAGAGGAAATGGCATGTGCAAATGGCCTGGGGTTAGAACAAGATGGGATGGCAGAACCAAGAAAACTCGAATCTGAATCAGTCAGCTTAGGCTGTGGGGGCCAGGGTGGGATGGTGTGGAAGAGATGCTATTTGTGAAGTAGGCAGGACCGGGCTGTAAAAAACACTGTCATCCATGTCAAAGAGTTTAGATCCATTCAAAGAAATGGGATTTTTAAACATGCAGGAGAGGTTGGTATTTTCAGGCACCAAATTTAACCCAATGAGAACATTTCAATAGTGCCTTTATCCCTGTTTTCTGGTGATGATGGAAAAGCATAATGCCTTGTAGATTTCTCAGTTCTGACCACACAAGTTACATGTGGATAAGTCAGAGCCAGGTGGTGATACTCTGAAAGTATCCCTGTGAGCTCAGAGTGTTGGGTTGAGAAGATGAACAAGGCTAGATCCACTTCTATATCCACTAGCCCAGAGGGGCCTCACATTCAAGAAATCCTTGCCTACGGGGATCCATGGTGCACCAGGAAAAATGAAATTCGTAGTCAAGACTAGGAACAAGTACTTGGGAGAGAAAGGCCCAGCCTGGCAGCCTCCAGGTAGCAAACCACAAGATAATGAAAATTATTGTACTCACAGGCCCCTGTCCTTGAGTTCTTCCAGCCTAGCTCCCTCCAGGATGGGCTTGTTGGATTCACTTGTAATACACTGGCTACCAACCACTCACCATCTCTGGGGCAAAGATTCCATGATCCCATCTTTGTACCAAGCCCAAGCCAGAGATCGCAGATCTCAGGGTCTAGTTGCCTGGCATGATACATTCCTGACAGAGGTGGTGGAGATACATGTGTTACCATTGAACTCCAGAGTTGAGAAAGATGTGGCATCTAAAATGCAAAACAAGAAGACAAATAAATAGGAGGACTGAATGGGAACAGGGCCTTTACATTATTGTTTTAAAAGTCTCACTCTAGAAAACTCCACCAGAGCAACCTTATTTTGAGGTCCCTTCTCCCAAAGCAAAGCTATCCAGTGTGCCATGCAGGTAAAGTGGCAGCTGTGCTGGACAGAACTTGCTAAAGCTAGACTATCACCTTGCCTGTATGCAAAGCCTCCTGGGAGAATCTACAAAGGAATTCCTGCCTCCCCAGCCCCAGGAGCTGACATCCTGACCACAGGAGTTATGCTATTCTCACAGTTCCAATGTGTCTGTGTTTCACCCTCATGACCAATTGCTGAGAAGGCAGAAATAGTTCTTAAGAAATTCCAGAAGTAGAAGTCCCCCCTCCTTTAGGGCCAAGATGCACAAGATAAAGTTTGGGGAAAGAGTAGGCTTTTTATGGTGAAAGCTGCCCTAACATTTGTGGGGTCAGAGCAAAGGTATAGAAGAAGACCCACAAATTAGATGTCTAAATGTTTATAAATAAGTCAGCAAACTTAATATGTTCTCTTATCTTGGTCAACATACCTTCAAAATGATCTGAAAGTTAGTTATGAATTTAGACCCTTGGACCATTTCAGAGTGCCAGGATATGACATGGCAGTGGCGGGAGAATCTGGCCCTGGAACCATCCCTTTCTCTCTCTGCATCTGGCACATCCAACACCATGATGGGGCTTACACACATGCATATAGACCCCTCAGCCTGAACATCCAAGTTCTGTCCAAATAGCTACCCTTGGACCTAGAAGTGTGGACACTTGAAGCATGGTCTACCTGCAGGAGAATGGATCCATGGATGAGGTCTACAGAGACCTGGAAAGTGGCATAGGAGTCATTTAAACAGAGAATTTTGGGATCTCAGGTACCCAGAGAGTGGTTAAGGCGGGCAGCAGTCTTAAGGGGGTGCCTTCTTGGTCCCCCAGATTTCTCATCCCATAGGGATGGTTATCTCTGGAGAAGGCCCAGGGCAGGGGTCCCTCCCATCCGCAGCTAAGCATGGTACTGCTGGCAGAGGCCAGCATCAAACTTAACTGTGTCATCCCAGCCACAACAGGTCTGAATATTTAAAGAAACCCCTCGCCATCCTGCTTCTAAACGCGTGCCCGCCTTCCCAAGTGCTGGCTTTCCATCGCCTCCTTTACTCCTTCATTGGTCCTAGATCAGCCCTAGACAGGGTTCTCGGGGCCCCTCTTTATTCCCAGTCACCCCAAAGCCCAATTTCCAAGCCCCTTCCAAAGCCCTCTGTTGCAAGCGCATCCTCCCTCCCTCGTGCCCCCTCAATATTCACACCTAGGTAGTAGATGCAATACTCTAGCTGCCACTGGCATGTTCCACAAGGGTTTCCTGCTCCAACTTGGGCCCTAAGGGATTGATTAGGTTGGCTAGGTTAGGTCCCCTTTATGACAAAACCAAAACAGAATTGATGCCCCCACCCGTCAAGGGCACTTAAAAAACCAAAACTCAAAGTTCAGGGCCAAGTTTGAGGATGTGCAGAAAGGTGTGTGTTTTTTCTTGTCAATTGCGACTCTAATGATGGACTCACGTTGCCCGCTCTTCCCTTTCTCTTACACCTTACCTACCTACTAAAGGAGGAGTTCTTGCTTGGTAAGTGGATATAATCCGCAAAGACATGAGAGAATTTATTAGAAGCCACTCAAGAGCCTTAGCTACCTTCTACAAGGGGAAAAGGACACACACAAATATCTATAGTGACCCTTTTTTTCGTTTATTTTTGGTCAGACTGTTTAACTTCCATTTTTTTTGTCCCCTCCTTTCTTTTCCCCTTTAGTTGAAAACTGCTAAAATGTCAGTTTGCGACCTTGACTTTATATTTAAAAAAACAAAAAACAAACTCTCATCTTTATTTCATTTCTTTTCCCCATGTGATATTTGTTTAGGTTTCTATTCAGGCAACTTTTTCTTTTCAAAAAAAATTGTTAAATTAATTGAGGATTTGGTTGAAGTTTAAAATTTTGGCTTTATCTGCTTTTATTTTTAATTTCCAAGATATATTTTTTCAGGCCCATAGTTCCATTTCTTTTTCCCCTTTCCCTTCCTTTATTTTTTATTATTGTTTTAGGTTAAGGGTGTTTACACCCCCTTTCTATTGAGTTGACTCTTTTGTTTAATTCATTAGAAATTAAATTTTGTATAATTTCCTTTTTCTTTTGTTTAATCTGAATCGCATGCTTTTTCTCTGCATGATACCTAAATCTTCCAGTTATCCTAGCAGGGGGTAAAAAAAAAATCTCCTTTCTGTGGTATTCCTTCAGGAATTTGTGCTTTTGTTTTTTGGCGTCTCTTCTTTCTTCTCCTCTCTCTCTCTTTCCTTTCGTTACAGTGCATCATGACGGTAAACATTTCTTGGTTATTTAGAAACAGCCCATGGGCCCAGCGCTCAGCAGTGTCCAACGGGTCTTTTTGCTTTCAGATCACTGGGTCGGGGTCTGCTGCTGACCTCTTTACCAAAACAGCCAGCCCGCTCACCACCTCGCGAGGACGTTCCCAGGAGTACGACTCAGGAAATGACACGTCCTCGCCACCCTCCACGCAAACCAGCTCAGCCAGGTCTCGGGGCCAGGAGAAGGGGAGCCCCAGTGGGGGCTTGAGCAAGAGCCGGGAGCTCAACAGTGGCAACACCTCTGATTCAGGGAACTCCTTCACCACCTCCTCACCCCAGAACAAGGGGGCCATGTTGGAGAATCTCTCCCCCACCAGCAGGGGCAGAGAGTCAAGGTCAGTGCACCACACAGGGTCGGGGGTAGACGGTCTCCCACCTTAGCTCCACCTTCTCATGCTCTCATCCCAGCCTCCCCCACTCCACCCCCAAGATTATTTTATTTGTAAGAGAGATGAAACTCAACTCAGACTGGCTTGTTTTAAAACACTAGTGGCACTAGCTTCAGGTACAGCTGGATTCAGGGGTTCAAAAATATGTTGCTGGAAATCCGTCTTTCTCATTACATCTCTTATTCTGCTTCCTCATCCTACTGGCCTTATTCTCAAGCAGATCCTCCCAAAGCATTGTCAAATATGCCAAGCAGCTAACATTCTATTGGTTTAGCCAGCCAACAGGAAAACAATGCTTCTTTCTCAAAGATTTCAGCCAAACACCAAGGCAGGTGCTTATTGGTTCTGTTTGGCCCAGCTTAGGTCATCTGCCCATCACTGTCCCAGGGGATGCTATGCTGTTGGCCAGAATGTGTCAGATGCCATCACTAGGGCTAATGAGTCGAACCTTCCCACACTCCTCTACAGGAAAAGCCAGGTTATTGGTATCAGGAGAGATGGAGGCTAGGCAGGCAAAAAAACAGATGACAATTTTACCAGTAATCTTAGAAGGAAGTCGAACATTGACCAGGCGTGGTGGCTCACACCTGTAATCCCAGCACTTTGGGAGGCCGAGGCGGGTGGATCACCTGAGGTCAGGAGTTCGAGACCGGCGTGACCAACATGGAGAAACCCTGTCTCTACTAGAAATACAAAATTAGCCGGGTGTGGTGGTACATGCCTGTAATCCCAGCTACTCGGGAGGCTGAGGCAGGAAAATTGCTTGAACCCTGGAGGCGGAGGTGGCAGTGAGCTGAGATTGTACCATTGCACTCCAGCCTGGGCAACAAGAGTGAAACTCCATCTCAAAAGAAAAAAAAAATGAAAGAAAGTCTAACATTAAATTAATTGTAAGTCATTTAAGAACATATCACAGGCCAGGTGCGGTGGCTCACGCCTGTAATCCCAGCACTTTGGGAGGCCGAGGCGGGTGGATCACGAGGTCAGGAGATCGAGACCATCCTGGCTAACACAGTGAAACCCCGTCTCTACTAAAAATACAAAAATTTAGCCAGGCATAGTGGCGGGCGCCTGTAGTCCCAGCTACTTGGGAGGCTGAGGCAGGAGAATGGCATAAACCTGGGAGGTGGAGCTTGCAGTGAGCCGAGATTGCGCCAGTGCACTCCAGCCTGGGTGACAGAGCCAGACTCCATCTCAAAAAAAAAAAAGAACATATCACAGTATTTACCCAAATGAATTGAAAACTTATCTCTACATAAAAACCTGCACTTGGATGTTACAACAGCTTTATTTGTAATTGCTAAAACTTGGAAGCAACCAGAATATCCTTCAGTACGTGAATGAATACATAAATTATGATACGTCCAGACAATGGAATGCTATTCAGTGCTCGGAAGGTATGAGGTACCACGCTATGAAAAGACATGGAGGAAATGTAAATGCATATTACTAAGTGAAAGAAGCCAATGTGAAAAGGTCACACACTGCATGGCTCCAACTGTATGACATTCTGGAAAAGGCAAAACTATGGAGAAAGTACAAAGATAAGTGGTTGCCAGAGGGTGAGGGGACAGAGGGATGAATAGGCAGAGCACAGAGGATTTTTAGGGCAATGGAACTACTCTGTGTGACACTACAATGGTGGATAACTGTCATTATACATTTGTCCAAATCCATAGAATGTATAACACCAAGAGGGTACTCTGATGTAAACTATAGACTCTGGGTGATAATGATGTGTCAATGGAGGTTCATCGATTGTAGCAAATGGACCACGTTGGTGGAGGATGCTGATAGTGGGGAATAAGGCTGTGCGTGTGTAGCAGCAAGAAGTATATGGGAGCTCCCTGTGCTTTCCATTCAATCATGCTATGAAACTAAAACTGCTCTAAAAAATAAAGTTTATTAATTATAGATACAGATATACCATAGTATAATTTATCAACATATCAGAGAACATTGAGATTTCTCCATTTTTTTACCCATCTTAACACACTCACTAGATGCAGTTTTCCTGCAGAAAACTCTTCCACACAGATGCATATGAGCCAGTTGTAATTCTACTTCGTCATCCGCTTAACTCTCTCACTCAAGAAATCACAACAAAATGCTAATCACTGAGGTTACTGTCATCATAATAGCTACTAAAATTTACTGATCACTTAGTCTGTACCATTCATTCTGTTGTTTATTCCTCAACTTGTTTATCAGGCAAGTCCTCTCTGCCAGACACTCAGCCTGGTGCTGGGGATTTAAAAATGGAACAGTCCTTTTTCTCAGGAGCTTATAATTAATGAGGCAGATGCACAGTTGCGGGATGGGTGGAAAAGCTTTGCTGGTGCCCTCTGTCATGCTAACAGTGAGGTTTTTCTACTTCTGAGGGTGGGAGTTTGCCTTTGTTCCATATAGCCAAAATTTTCAAAAGATGACTAACGCCTTAGCACTGAAGCAGCTAACAGCTTCTTCAAAGACAGAGCACTCTTTGTCCCTAACACATACCCCATTTCAGTCCTGGACAAACAGCTTGACATCCACATGCAGAACTGCCTTCCCATTTGCCTGCCCCAGGTCATCCCTGGCCTCAGCTCACACCCAAGCTTGACTGAGAACCTGAGCTGGGCCAGAGCCAATGTCAGTGTCTCCAAGAACAGGCAGTGAAGTTCCCAGAAGGGAGGAGGAGGACACATGTTTACTGATATACAGCAGTGCTATTATGCAGGAAAAATTGAAATAGCAATAACAACAACAATAATAACGGCAGTTCATATTCGTTGAGCCCAAATCACATGCTAGGTACACTGCCAAATGCTTTCCAGAAATAATCTTCCCGAGCTCCTCAAAACCTTTATAGGACAGTACTATTTGTAACCCTTTTTTACCTGATGGGGAAACTGAGGCTCAGAGTGGTTGAGAAACTCAGTTAATAAGTGGCAGCACCAGAATTCAAATACAAATATGTCCCCCAAACAGGAACTAAAGCCTGAGAGACATCTAGCAGTTACCTGTTTAATTTGATCTCCATGGACAGCCAAATTAAGTAATTTAGACCCAGCCTTTCACTTTGAAATATAAATGATGGTTGAGTCCATGACTGTTTATGTCATGCCACTTATGAGCAGAGAGGGCTCAATAAATATGGGCTGAGTGGAAGAGACATCAGCTCTAAATCAAAGGAACCATAGACACTGAAGGTAGGGAGCTGGTGAGGTGGGAGGGGTGGGGACTCTGGAGCTGCACAGATCAAGGTTTGGGGCTCTGGGTGGTTTTGAGGAAATAACAAACCCTTCTGAGACTTCTCTGTAAATCTGGGGGTAATAATAGCATTGGCAGCTGGGCGCAGTGGCTCATGCCTGTAATCCCAGCACTTTGGGAGGCCAAGGCAGGTGGATCACGAGGTCAAGAGATCAAAGCCATCCTGGCCAACATGGTGAAACCCCATTTCTACTAAAAATGCAAAAACTAGCTGAGTGTGGTGGTGCGCACCTGCAGTCCCAGCCACTCGGGAGGCTGAGGCAGGAGAATCGCTTGAACCTGGGAGGCGGAGGTTGCAGTCAGCCAAGATCACGTCACTGCACTCCAGCCTGGCGACAGAGCGAGACTGTCTCAAAAAATAAATAAATAATGATGTCGGCTTCAGAAGGTTGTTGGGAATGAAATGATGCTTGTGAAATTCTCAGAACATTGAAAAGGTCCCCAGGGAGCTGTCTCCAGGGAGCTCAATATCTGGGACAGAAGAGACAGCCTACAAGTATAAGACTAAGTAAGCCATATAGGGATAGGCAAAACATAGAACTAAGGTCTGTGGTAACACACTGGAGGTCGCCCAACCCAGACAGGGGACGGGGGTGTCAAGGAAGGTTTTCCAGAAAGGGTGAGGTCAAGCTAAAGCCAGAATCATAAGTAGGAGTTGCCAGATGAAGAGGGAATGGAGAGGGTTTGCAGACAGCCAGAATGTTCTGAGGCCTGGAGACAAGGAAGAGAATAGGGATATTTCAGGAGGAATAAGTAGTCTATGACAGCTGGAGTCAGGAGAGGAAAGAGTCAAGACCTGAGATTGGAGGGGTGAGCAGGTGCCAGGCCATCGTGAGCCTTGAAAACCATATTAATGTGATTTGAACTTGATTCTTGGCCCAATCCAAATAAATATGCCTTCACTGAGCACCTAACAGAGGTCAGCCTGGCCCTAGGCAGGGTGGGAGTACAGAAGACAGCACTCTAGCCTTCTGATAATCCTGAAGCCTCTGTCTTTTGGGAGGTCTCAATTCCTCCAACTGCAAAATGGGTTACATCAAAATTTCCCAAAACTAAACCAACAACAGGTCATCTTGATTTTTACCATATCCATGTACTACTGATATTCCTGTTTACTTTAATAAACTCATTTTTAATATATAAGTAAAAGGAAAATTACAGTACTATCTGAAATAGAAAATTAGAATCAAATGTCCTTGGCCGGGCACAGGGGCTCACATCTGTAATCCCAGCACTTTGGGAGGCCAAGGCGGGTGGATCATTTGAGGTCAGGAGTTTGAGACCAGTCTGGCCAACATAGTGAAACCCCATCTCTACTAAAAATACAAAAATTGGCTGGGTGTGGTGGCATGCACCTGTAATCTCAGCTACTCGGGAGGCTGAGGCAGGAGAATTGCTTGACCCCTGAAGGCAGAGGTTGCAGTCAGCCACTGCACTACAGCCTGGGTAACAGAGTGAGACTCTGTCTCAAAAAAAGAATCACATGTCCTAAATAAAAGGTACCTATAAAAACACATATGATTAAAACAATGGATTTAATCCTACTAGTTGCAGTTGCCTAACCAAGGCTGAGTCTGAGGTGTGCTCCTCTCTCTTAGAGAGATTACAAAGTGTTAGAGAGGTGTTACAAACCAACTAGCACCCAATGGGGGCTTCCTCATTAATGTAATCAGAAGGACAGAAAAAGACTAGACAGGGAATAAATTTCTCACCATGTAATCTGATGTTACTTACCATCATGCCCATGCCTGATGACATTCTAAAATACTCCACTGTGGCCCCAGCGGTATGTGTTTCACACTTGAGGAAATGCTAACCTGAATTGTCTACTTTTAAGGTATCTTCT
Organism: Homo sapiens; assembly: GCF_000001405.40. Taxonomy (NCBI): domain Eukaryota; kingdom Metazoa; phylum Chordata; class Mammalia; order Primates; family Hominidae; genus Homo; species Homo sapiens. The sequence continues at coordinate 119,150,838 of NC_000012.12, forward strand.
GTCTCTACTCCTCTAACATATGTGGCCTGGGAAGTCTTTCCAGAGAGAATAGGATGGGAAAAGGGGCAAAGAGGGTTCTATGAGAGCACCACAGCCTAGGCCAAGGTAGGGAGGTATTCAAACAAGATGCTCCCAGAGTAGTGGGCAGTCGGTGCTCATGGACATTTTCCCACCTGCAGGGGATTTCAGTCACCGTGTCTGGAATGTGCCGAAGTGAAGAAGTCCAGTTTGGTCCCATCCACAGCCCGGAGCTCACCCATGAAAGGGTGTTCCCGCAGCTCCTCCTATGCCAGCACCCGATCCTCCAGTCACTCGTCCCGATCCCCAAATCCCAGGGCTTCCCCCAGGTACACCCAAAGCCGATCCACCTCTTCTGAAAAAAGGTGAGTGTGGTTTTGACCTTTGCTCTGCAGCACCTTTCTCCTTAGGAAATTAGTTAATTGCAGATGTCCTTTGACCCATGGGGGAGAGAAGTCAGACGGACTTAGGTTTGAATACTCGTTTTGCCCATTTCGAGCTGGTGGCCTTGGGAAAGTCAGTTAATTTCTCTGAACCTGAGTTTTCCCATCTGCAATATGAAGAAATAGCAATTCTTACCAGAAAAGATTGTTCTGAGGGCTATAAGGCACTTAGAACAGTACACAGAACATAATGAATATCAGTTATTATTGCTGCTATTGGCATGAGAATGAGCTAATGTGTATCAATTAACTTCTGCATAGAAAATTATCCCCAAACTTAGCATCTTTAAAACAAGTGCTACTTAGTTCCTGATCCTGTGGATCAGCAATTGGGCTGGGCTCAGCTGGGTGGTTCTTCTGATCTCATTGGGCTCACTCATACGCCTTTGATTGACTGGTGGGTTGGCTGGGGGCTGGAGAGTTTGAAAGACCCCAGCTGACTCATCACTCTACTCCATGAGGTCTCTCCTCCTCCAGCAGGCCTGTCTTGGTTTGTTCACATGGTGATGGCAGAATTCCAAGAGAGAGCACAGTATTGTGCAAGGCTTCTAGGCTTGGAAGTAATTAGCATCCCTTCTGCTATTCTATTAGCCATAGCAAGTCACAAGACCAGTACAGATTCAAGGGTATTCCTCTCAGTGAAAGGAGCTGCAAAGTCACATTGCAGGGGATGTGGACACTGGGAGAAGAAAAATTATGGCCATTTTTGCATTCTGCTACCCAGTTTCAATAGCTATTGGTAATCGCTTGATTGCCTCATGTAGAATAATAATGTAGCAGAATGAGACATGAAATCTCAGAAATCGGAAGATTCTATCCAAACGAATCAACCCATAAATTCAGGGAGTCCAGCTTTCCTCTGCAAAAAGAAATTCCCAATAGGAGCTTGATTGTTCCTCTTTTGCAACTATACAATCAAAAAACAGTTGCTTATTTAGCTGGTCATCTCAAGACTGGTCCATTCCAAAAAATGAGACAAGGCAACTGATGAAAATATTCAACATGATAGAGTGACATAAATAGAAGAGCAAATCAGGCTAAAAGAAAAATTAAGGAAAGAAATATAAAATTAAGTCAGGAGACAGTCCCAAAAGTACGTCCTACCATTCTGTAAAGTTGCTATGGAGGTAAGCTGCAAATATGACGTCTGAGCTCCCTGACAGACAAAGCAAAGAGGAAAATTACTCCCTCATTTACTACATTATTAACAAAAAAAAGATAAGAATTGAACCAGTTGCTCAGAAGAGCAGCTATTTCAGGTTTTTAATTCTATGAAAAATGACTCAGATGGCTCCACAGAAAAGGGACTCTATATGGTGCAGTGAATGGAAATTCTGATAATATCCTTTCAAAGTATCCAAAAACAGGTTTCATCTTGACTCTTTCTTATATCTCTCAATGCATAGCCAAAGCATAAGTTGGCAAAAGCACATTTTTCCAGTGACCATAGCTGGACACTGCTGAGGGCACTGAGAAGGGAAGAGCTATTCCTGCCCCTGTTTTCTAAAAGTGGGAGGCATTAACAGAAAGCAAAGAAGACTAGGAGGAGCATAAGGATTAGTCATGTAGATGCACAACAATATAGTCTACAAAAATCAAGAGCACTTTGAAACCAAACAGACGTGAATTAAATTTGGCTTAGAGGCAAACAGTCCTGGGTTCACATCTCTTACCAGCTGTGTTTAGCGAAGTGCATCATCTCTCTGTGCCTCTGTTTCCCCATCTATAAAATGAAATTGATAATAGTACCTAACCCTAAGATGTGTTGAGGATTAAATAATACACACAAAGCACTGGTTCAATGTCTGGCACATAATAAAATATGTCATAGTCATAGCTAACATTTCCTATGTCCTGTCTAATTGATACTTAGCATAGGTGCCAATATGCTATGTGATTTACCCGAATTCACTCATTCAATTTACAATTGTCTAGGGTAAGGACTATTATTACCTGCATTTTATAGACAAGAAAACGGCCCAGGGAAACGAAATCATCTGCCAAGGTCACACAGCTAGTAAGTGGCCAGGATAGTAGGCACAAAATAGAAGTTGTTGGTATTATTATTAACCACCGGTGGGGAGGGGCTTTCATTCTTTGATCGGGGCCCAGTTCCTCTGCCTGGCTTCCAGAAAGAAAAAGGTCACTGCCCAGGGACCCGCTGAATAAAGCTCAAGCCGTCTTGGATAACCCAGGCGGACACTCAGCAGGCTCCTCAGAGGCTGTTACCTCTCCCCCAGGTCCTACTCCCGCTCTCCCAGCTATTCCTCCAAGTCTGGCAAGAGGAGCCCGCCCAGCAGAAGCTCTAGGTCCCGCCGCAGCCCTAGCTACTCCCGCTACAGCCCCAGCAGGTACCGGCCCCGCCCCTCAAACTAGGCCCGTCCTAGGCCCCACCCCTTTGCTCTGATCCTCCTCTCTGGCCCCGCCTCCCCGTTCTCGGGCCTTCTTCCTCTTAGGTCTGACCCTGACTCAGCATTCTTACAGTTCCCTTTGTCCAATCAGGAGTGGCAGCGAGGCATCAAATACCCTTGTTTCCTAATGTCTCCAGCCCAAACAGTCCCGCAGACATACCCCAGAATTCACATCCCCAGCCCTCAGCCTCTACAGACCGTCCCCATATTCAGAGCCCCCAGTTCTTACCCACGCACCAGGGCCTGCGTAACATTCACGTCCTCACCCCTGCAGCACCTGCCCTGCTATGATGCCCACCTGCAAATGCTGACACCCCTGCACAAGCCCAGCCCCCACCCCTACGGTACTAACAACCCTCGCAGACTCTTACCGCAGCCCCGTCATCCTCCCTCCGGTCTCCCTTGCGGCAACGTGCAGACCCCATCCCGTGACCCAGTGGGGTGGGAAAGAAAGGGAGTGTCCCTCTCCCACGCGCTCACGCAGAAAATCCAGCCCAGCCCCAGCTCCCCAGTAACCCCCCGCGCCCCTTCAGGGAGCGGGATCCCAAATACAGTGAGAAGGACTCGCAGCAGCGGGAGCGCGAGCGAGCGCGTCGGAGACGTCGGTCCTACTCGCCTATGAGAAAGCGCCGGAGAGACTCCCCGAGCCACCTGGAGGCCCGGAGGATAACCAGGTGAGGCCAGGGGGCAAGGGGGACCCACCTTCATCCTCGTTCCCACTCCCATTCTTACTCATTCGAGCCTCAGGCTCTCCCTAGGCCTCCTTGGGGCTGGGATTTAGGATTGTGCGAGCTTATGGTCCCCCCAACCCCAACATCATTGAAATTACGTGTCTGTTCAAAGCCTTGGGACTGAGTCTCCCAGCTCAACCAGCAGGGCCTGCAAGAAGGGGGCGGGGCCAGCCTGAAGAATCGGGTGTGGCATGGGGGAGTGGCCAAAGCCTGAGGGTGGAGCTGGGGCCGGGGAGGTGGAGCTGGGGCCGGGGAGGCGGAGCTGGGGGAGAGAGTGGCGTCAGGCCAGGGAATGGAGGCCAAAGCAATGGAGCAGGACCTTGGCCTGGTGGTGGATCCCGAGCAGCGGAGACAGACCTCTACCCTCAGACCTGTACACTCAGCTGTCAGGCTTAAATAAACCTATATGTAATTATACCTTGAACCAAGTGTGGAAAGGACAAACAGGATTGCTTAGTTCCCAAAGGGACCTAGAGGGAGCCACGGTGGATAAGCCGGAGAGCACTGGATGTGGATTGGAATCCTGAATGTACCACTTTGCAGGTGACCTAGGAAAGGCTCTTACCTTCCTGAGCCTCAGTTTTCTCACCCATGAGATATTGGAAGAAATAACTCCCAGAAGCATGAGGATGAAATGAAAAGGGGCAAAAAGATGTGAACGTGCTTTGTAAACTTGAATGCAGAGTACACAATGTGCCATTGTTGATTGAATGGTCAGAATAGGTGGATACCGTTCCTGGAACAGGTAAGGCCTCAGAAGAGAAAAGCTCTAGCAGAGAAGTCTGAGTGCAAGCAAATTTCTCAGGCCTTGAAAGCTGGGAGAATGATTGAATGCTGCCCTAAGATTGGGTTGGGCTCTTCCTGCTGGCCTTCCAGGCATCTGCCACTCAGTCCAGACACTGGACTGAGGAATCAGGGATTCTCCCTGGAGATGACCTGGAGGAGGAAAAAGAATGTGTTTCCCAGATAGCAAGGCTGGGGTGATGGGTCCCCTTCTCCAATATCCCACAGGGCACCCTGCCTCAGCTTGTAAAGAATTCCTAAACCCTTGGGAGGCCAAGGCAGGCGGATTGCTGGATCTCAGGAGTTTGAGACCTGCCTAGGCAATATGACAAGACCCTGTCTCTACCAAAAATACAAAACACTAGCCAGGCATGGTGGTGTGCACCTGTGGTCCCATCTACTTGGGAGGCTGAGGTGGGAGGATCATTTGAGCCTGGAGTGGGGTGGAGGTTGCAGTGAGCCGAGATCGCACCACTGCATTCCAACCTGGGTGACAGAGCGAGACCCTGTCTGAAAAAATGTAATTAATATAATATAATACAATATAATTCCTAGCATAATTTCTAAACCCACTCCCTTGATCCAGTGTCACACAGCTATTAAGTGGCCAGGATAATAAGCACAAAATAGAAGTTGTTGGTATTATTATTATCTTTGGGGTCAACCTAGAGGAAAGCTAAGATAGAGAGTGGCATTTCCAAATGGCTGTCTAGTTTCTTTAGTCAATCTCAAATAATTCATCTTGATTAACCCATTCAGTGTTTCCCAATCTTTAGTCATTCACCAGTATCTTGACCACATATGACTTGTCTGTTTATCAACTGTACTATTCTTAATTTTCTTTAAATAGATATGACTCTTTTCAAAGGTTCATACATTTATTTCTAAAGGAAACGATACAGTACAGTAAATGGAAAATTAGCCTCTTTTGCCATAAATAGATGGTTCTAGTAAAAGTAAAAATAGGAAAACAAAACTATGATTAAAGTTTAGATGTAGATTCTGTTGCAAGCTGAAGGCTCTGAGCTCCAGGCTTGCTTCATGGGGGAAAGAAAAAAGTGAGATAATCATTTTTCAAGACATACTAGCACTAAGCTGAGACTTTTACTTTGATGTGTTCTCAGCACTGCAAGAGAAGTGGAAAGGGAGTATTTTTTCCTAAGGGACTGGGGAAAGGGAGGATATTGGTTTCCCTTGGGACAAGACTGGGGCTCGCTGCGGGGAGGCACGGAGGGGCCGGCCCTCATCCCTCCTCTCTCTGGTCTCTGCAGTGCCCGGAAACGCCCCATCCCCTACTATCGGCCCAGCCCCTCCTCATCCGGCAGCCTCAGCAGCACCTCCTCCTGGTACAGCAGCAGCAGTAGCCGCTCGGCCAGCCGCAGCTACTCCCGGAGCCGGAGTCGGAGCCGGAGCCGGAGACGGAGCCGGACCCGCACGAGCAGCAGCTCTAGCTCCCGCAGCCCTAGTCCGGGCTCCCGCAGCCGGAGCCGGAGCAGGAGCCGGAGCCGGAGCCGGAGCAGGAGCCAGAGCCGGAGCTACAGCTCAGCAGACAGCTACTCCAGCACGAGGCGCTAAGTGCCCCTGAGCCAGCTGCCCGTGGGGGCCCCTTCGCGCTGCCAGCCTCCCCCAACCACCTGCCCTCCCCGCCTTCTTGGTGACAAATAGTGAGGGCTCCTATACCTTGTCCTTCCTGCTTGCCTAGGGGAAGAGGAGAAGAGGGTAAGGGGGCTTCACTCTCTAGATCAGCCTGCTAGGAGCCTCTACCAGCATCATCCTGGGGCCCAGCTCAGGCCTGGGCATATGGAAAGAACCATCATCTTGTGGCACAAAAAAAGAAGAAAGAAAAGAAAACTTCAAGGTTTTGTGAGAAGCAATGGGTCTGTGACTCAAAAATTGAGCCCTGGCCAGGAAAATGTGGAGACAGTTCTTCTCCTCCACTGCTCACAGGAGGCCCGTGGTAATTCTCCCCACCTCCCCGGATGCCCCACTAGTCCAACTTCATGGCTGCACGTGGATGGACCCCCATGTCTGAGAGGGGTGAAAGAGGAGACCAATGGCAGTTCAGGTTCAAGATAACGGGGTCAGGCCTTTAACTTCCTCAAACAGGCCCAAGCAAAGGCTGGAAGACATTTGGGTCCTAGAAGAAGGGATATCCTTGAATACCAGATGGGGACGTTTGACTTGGTGGGAGGTGTCAGGAGATAGGAGTTGGTTAAGATGATAGATAGAAAAACGGAAGGGTTCAGCTGCTGCTCCCAATACCTCAGCATGGTAAGGGGACAGAGCCCAGCAGATCCCAGCTGTGAAGAGGCCACTGCATGGCTGACACAAAACACCTCTTGGCCATTCACAGGGGCCCTGCAACCTCACGAGAAAGGAGATAGTGGAAGAGTCAGGACAGGTTGGTCTCCAGCCCCACTTCCCAAATATGCCTCAGCCCCACTAGCTGGCACCAACTTAATTCCACGGGACCATCTGCTGAACATTCCCCAGTGCCATGGCCAGTTGCCAGGCCCCAGCGCCAGCCAGTCTGGCCTTACCCTCCGGTTGGCGCCTGCCAGCCCCCTCCCCTCTGCCCAGGCTGCCACGCCCTGGATGCCACCCAGTGCAGCCTGGCACCTACCCACCCACCCTTCAGCTTAAGCCACTCCCCTTGCCTCTCAGGAATTTTGCCAGGATGGGGCACAGCAGCTCAGGTTTGGGGGAAAAGACCCGAATCCAGAGTGCAGGGGAGAGGGGCTTGGATATGCCATGTCTTGGGCTCCTGCTGGCTTCTGAGGTTTCTTGTCAGCTTGGGAAAGACCCACCTTTATTTTTGCCCTCACCCCAAGTCCCCCCTGGCTGGGGCTGGGCAGAGAGGGTAAGCTGATCTCCGATCCACAAATACCACCAGCTGCTTCATCCACAGAAGGCGCTAAGAACGGGGAGGTGAGGAATAAGATCCTTAAAATAAACTCTTGGGCATCCCCCTCACCAGCTGACTGGCTTTCCGGAGGCTTGTGGGTGAGTTTCAAGTTTGTGGTGGCAACAGCAGCAGGACAGGGCACGGAGGGAGCGAGGGAGAGAGGACCGGTCCCAGCTTTTGGATATTTTGGGTTATGGGGAAGCAAGGGCCAAACATTCTTTATCCCTCCCACCCCAGGGAAAACATTTGGAAAATAGTCCTTTTTCTTGGAAGCAGTGACGTCTCCCTACCCAATCTTTCCCATCCTATCAACCCATGGGGCTAGAGACTGCCATGCAACCACCACCACGACAGCCCTTCCTCCATCAGAAGACAGGAGTGAGGGCCCCGGGCAGCAGTGGACGACCCAGCCTCCCCATACCGGGCCTCTGGCCCAGACCTAAGCCCTGCCCACAAAGACTAATGGATGCCAGTGCTGTCACTGCAGAAGGCCAGATGGCAGGTGCCTGGGACAGGGGCAGGTGCCCCGGGGAGGGCAAGTACAGCCACTGTAAATAACCCTCGTCCCTGCCCAGGAACCCAGACTGGACTTCAGTCTCCCTCCATGGAGACAAAGGCTTCCCAGAGCCACCAAAAACCTTCTTAGCAGGACAGCTGTGAGAGGCATCAGAACCTCACGTTCGGACTGCCTTCATCAAGACAACTCTAGGGGACCATTTTGCCTGGGGCTCCTAGCAAACCTTTTTATTTATTTTATTTATTTATCTATTTATTTATTTGATGACTGTCTCTCTTTCTCGCCATTAGCAGTATTGAATTATTTATTTATACAGAGGTTTTGTGTGTGTGTGTGTGTGTGTGTGTGTGTGTGTGTGTGTGTGTGTGTGTGTTGGGGGGATCTCCTAAATTATTTCTGTGCATCTCCTTTTTTTTTCTGCTGTTTTTTATGGATGGGATTTGAGAGGCCAAAGGTGAGTGGGCTATTGGCCTTCTCCCTGAAGGCTCTAAGCCTGGAACACCCTGGGGTTGGCCCAGAAGGAGGCACATCAGTCCCAAAATTCATCACTTAACCCAGCGTCCAGGAGGGTCAGGCCTGTACCCCAGCCTCCTGTCCCCCAGGAACCTCACAGGGGTATCAAAAAGATGTAAACAGCCCAGAGGCTTATGAGCTACAGTGATGAATTGACACAGTGGAGTTGCAACTTAGGTGGGGGTTGGAGTCGAAAGTTGGCAAATGGGGCCAAGGCTGCACAAAGTCGAAATCCCTTGTGAATGTCCCTTAGGGAGGCACCAGATTGGAGACAGATGTGCTATCTCCTAACAGAGTGATGAGGCTTCAGTTGAGTACTTGCTGAAGTAGTTGCCTTGTATTTTGAGGGCCATGGTGGATGAAAATGATGTCTGGTTTAGTACTGGAATTGCACTTGGGGTTGACAAGGTGCTCACACCATGAGAATGGAGGCAGGAATTGAGCTGACTGAGGGAAGATGCACCTTGATCTCACCCTCACTCCAAGGCACATAGCAGGATCACTCCCTAGCTTCTCTGAGCACACCTAGTTGGTTTCATGTATGTTACACATGCTTCCACTCCACAGTACCTAATTTCTCTCTGTCCCCTGAGATCTGAAGGCTACCTTGGGAAGAGGCATCAGCCATCTTGCTTGAGAACCACCAAGCCAAAAGCAAAAGCTTTTATCTATGATCTCTTGCTGTTTCATCAGGGGAAAGCACAAAGCTATTTCTGAAATTAGGAAAAAAAAAAAAAAGGTGGAAGGAGCAGCCAGATGTTCCACAGGACCCCACCAAGAAGGTCATTTCCAAACCCATCCTGGAAGGGCCCAGGATCCAAAGGTCATCAGTCCTGCTTATCTGACCAACTGGCAGTGTCTTCTGGCTGCTGGCCGGAGACAGCTCTTGCCCTTTCCAAAGTCACTGTCCACTGCCTTGCAATTGCCAGCTTGTCTGGTCCAGCTTTGGGTTTGGTGAGACTTTTGCAACATCCCTGGTTGTTTCCCTGGCAATGTGACTATCCAGCCCTAACCCAAAGCAAGGGAGTGCCCCTTTCCTGGGTGAAGTTTACAAGAAGGCTGCTTAAATGCCTGCTTCGGGGAAATCTCTGCCTCTCTCTCTCTCTGTCTCTCTCTCTGTCTCTCTCTCTGTCTCTCTCTCTCTCTCTCTCTCTCTCTCTCTCTCAGTGTATTTCTCTACTTTCTTTTACATTTCCTTTTTTTCTATCCAAAAACAATGTGCTTGTTGAGGCACTGGTAACCCTGATTAACCAGAACCTCCCATTCCCAGTATCGCTGTTCCTACGCCCATTTCACCCTCATTACCTTCTGCTTCCAAGGAATATGACAGATCACCAGGATGCTGCTCGTCGTGAGGATTTATCTCAAAAACCAACATCCAAAATGGGAGGGAGATGTGGCTTGAGGTCAAGCGCCATGCATCCCAAGCCTTTGACCTTCCCGCTATGGAAGTGCACTGGATGACAGAAACTGAATACATTGCTCCCTTTCCCTAGGGCAAAGTTCGACCTCTGTTAAGTGGAGGGATTTGTGAGATAAAAATTCAAAATGTTGGCCTGAGGCCTGAGAGTGTCACCAAAGACAGAGGGAGCTTCACTGAGACTCAGAGGGAAAAGGAAAAGAGCCTCAAACATTTTTAGGAGGTTGTCCATCATGAAAGTAAAAACGAAAAGCAAGATTTGATCTCCCTTCAGTTAATTAGGCAAGGCTAAGTAACTCAAAGCCCCCTATTAGTAACATTCTGGTTCACTGAGGTTTGATCATATTCCTATCTGCATTCCTTCCCTTCTTTGAAGGACAGCTGATCTTTCAGAAGCAGAATAAAATTAAGATGTTAGAACAAAGGTCTCAGTCTCAGAGAACCGCATCACTTCATTTGCTCAGACCCATCCTCTTTTGCAAAAGGGTCTGCTTGGAGAGGCCAAAATTCAGGGTGCTCTCAAAGGCAAAGAAAGCACATTGTTTTCCTTCTCCAGTCCAACTTTCATCTTTTCTTCTGCTGTTTTCTTTTCCCCTCTTCTTTTTCACAAATGTTCAAAATGGTCTCATGCGCATGTGTCTTGCCCCACTTTCCCCTTTAGCTGAACAGAAAATTTTGTCTCAGTAAAACGAAGTCAAAAAACAGGATTCCTCCAAACATGCCTCCTCCCGCACTGGCCAGCCGAGTCCAGCTGAGAAACTTATGCTAGATTCAATGTCATTGAGCAATGCTTTATTGAAGTCTCGTTCTTCTCACTTCTGCACCAGTGAGCCAATGATACTGACAGAAATGTCATCTCTCTTCTATCTGTGGTTGCTGTTTTTGGAGTAAAAGTTTCTGTGTGTGTTTTTTTAGTTCTTTTGATGGCTGTTGTTTTGCATTGTAAATACCATGATGGGGGACCCCCATCAGAACATGGCTTATTTAATAATTTATTTCGTATTTATTGAGTAATATTGGGAAAAGAGAAGGACCACCTCTTTCCCTGAATTGCTATTGAGAATTGGTCCATCTCCCAGCTCCAGGTGCTGCTGTCTGCAGCAAGGGCATTACTGCCCAGGTAAGGAGTGCTAGAATCACCAAGCAAATTGAAATTGGCAGAAATGGAGGCTTCAGTCACACAAATTAGACTCAAATGGAACTAAAACACTGGTTATCTCCAGGAAAACCTCATTTAGATGGAAATTAATGGAAGAATAAAATGCCTACACATGAACCAACTTCTATTAAAAAGTCACAACTCCTTGAAAAAAAAAATAAAGAAAAATTGTAAACTCTTTTTTTTTTCTGGCCAAGGAAAGCTATGCCTCATCTTCTAACGAGCCAAGCCAAAAAGACTGCAATGGTATTCCTATGTGTTTCTTTGGCCTGTGTATCAGTCTGAATGAAATGGAATGGGTCTCTAGCCTCAGTCTTGTCATCTGTAAAATGGGGCTTGTCCTATATATTATCTGCAAGACGTGGGAAATGGGGGCTCAAGCCCTGATGCTATGGACTCCATACTGTTGGATATATTGTCTCTTGTGTCTTCTGCTGACTGCAGATTAAAGGGTGTCAACCAAGGAAGGAAACAAAAAAGTAGGGCCTGGACTTCATTTGCAGAATGAGGTCATAGTCGTTGAGTCCCACAGTCATATATGGGAGACCTCAAGTTGCTGTCACCTTGATAACTCTTGTATCCTGGGTTAAAGCCCTCTGTATTTAGTTTGAACTTCTCTCTAAGCCCCGTGGTCCAAAGTCATCACGGGAGAGACCAAGATGGGCTTACCTTGCCCTGCTCTGGATTTAACCATTGTTCATTGTCAGGCTATATTTTTGTACAATCATTCAAATAACCCAGTGACATAGGTCATATTGCCACTTTTCAGAGGAGAAAACTGAGGCTCAGGAGGGGGAGTTGACATGCCCAAGCTCCCTTGAGCTCAGATCAGCTTGACTCAATGTCCAACATTCCCTTGGTAGCTTTTTCTCCGGGGTCCTGTGCTATAAGAACTTCTCTCTGCACTGTATTTTTTTTTCTCCCAATTCTTAGCTATTTCCTCAAGCAATGATTGGCCAAGGACCTAGCATAATCCACCACATTGGCCAAGGGGACGTGGTGCACCCCAAGGCCATTTCTCTGCATTGGAGGCTGCGAATCTCCTCTGGAAAATTCCCAACCCGAGGACCCACCATGAGCCCAGCTCAGCCTGACCAGACAGCCTCTGCCTGGAGCATTCACATCAGATGGAAAGAAGCTGCTGTGTCCTCCAGCATCCTGGGACCCTGTCCTCTGCCCAGTGACACAGCAGCCATGGCTAGCTTGATTTCTGGTCTCCAAAGCTAAGCATAACCTTCCCGGGGTTTCTGGTTTTTCAGCCTGTACGAAACATGTCTCTGTTCTAATTAAAGTTCCCATGGTATGGTGTTCTCATATATGGCTCAGTGTTCTCTGTTTATATGGGGTACTCAGAATTAAAAAATGGGGAGGGAAACAAGGAGCTAGAGAAGACTTAAGTAGCACCTGCTGCGTGTCATACATGTTCACACTACTCAGCTCACATCTTTAATCTTCCAAACAAACCTGTATGTATTTTGGGTTTTTGGTTATATATACAGCATATATACCAAATATATACATGTTATATATATATATATATATATGTGTGTGTGTGTGTGTGTGTGTGTGTGTTAGTAGCAGCTATGGAGTGCCTTAGGCAACCTTTTTGGAAGCATTTTATATGTGTTATCTTAGTATTCAGCAACAACCAACCCTATGAAGTAGGTATTAGGAACTTCTTCTTACAAATAAGGAAACTGAGTCTTAGAAAAGTAAAGTCACCCAGGCACAGTGGCTCACGCCTGTAATCCCAGCACTTTGGGAGGCTGAGGTGGGCAGATTACCTGAGGTCAGGAGTTTGAGACCAGCCTGGCCAATGTGGTGAAACCCCATCTAAACCCCTACTAAAAATACAAAAATTAGCTGGGCATGGTGGTGGGCACCTGTAGTCCCAGCTACTCAGTCACCTGAGATACAAGAATCACTTAAACCTGGGAGGCAGAGGTTGCAATGAGCTGAGTTCATGCCACTGCACTTCAGCCTGGGCCACAGAGAGAAAACCCATCTCAAAAAAATAAAAAGAAAACAAGGAAAGCAAAGTCACTTGCCCAGGGACCACAGAATCCAGAATTGATGATAACATCCAGGCAGGCTAACTCCAAAGCCCAGGTTGTCAACTTCTTTGCTCTGTAGCACTCCAGTATGTGTAATGAGTAACCAGAGTTCTTTGGTGGAACTCTTTTTCTCTGAGATCTTCTTCATGGGTGGGAGGAAGGACACAGATTTTGGAGTCCAAAGACCTAGATTCAAATCTAGACCCTGCCATTACCAGCTAGGTGGTATTGGGAAAGCACTATACACCTTGTTGGTGCTTGGTTGGTTTGCTCATTTGTAAAATGGGATAGCAACAGCCACCTCCCTGGGATGCTGTGAGAACTAAATGAGATGGTGGCTTTAAAAAACAATGAGGCACCAAAAGTAGTCAGTGACTGTTAATGAGCAACATGACTATTTCCTCAACTGAGACTGATCTGTGGTGGTGCAGATTAAGTAGATAGCCCAAAGTAGCCAACTTGGATCTGCAGGAGCCCTGCAAGGCCCTGTGGAAATGTCCTCAGTGTGGAATTAAATTGTTTCTTTCCCTCCAGAGCAGGGACTGAAAACACCCCCAGGGACTGACAGGTGAGGGAAGCAGATAAGGTTAGAACTGTGGGGAACTGGAGAACTCAGTAGACCAATGCCAGATAGAAATCTCAGCTCAGAGTTGCCAAATCTTCCCATTTTTCAAGAGAGCCTGAATTTTTCCATTTTAAAATCTGATTTTAAAATATTTATAACTTATTGTTTTTTCAAACACTATGTGGGTCCAAAACCTTACACACAGACACACACACACACACACACACACACACACACACAGTCCACAATTGAGTTGATTCTCAACTGGGGAGAAAGATCAAAGAAAACAGGTGACTGCCACTGCTCCCCTTGTATCCTGCCCAGCAGAAATTTCCCTTAGGAGTCATTGGATGGGATAACCTCCTTTGAGTAAATCCATGACTATATACCACCCTCCCCAAGTCCCCCCAACACACTGATTTCTTTCTTCCCAAATAGGTTTGGATAAAGCAACAACCAGTGTCCTCCTCTGAGGTTCCATCAATAAATAATGGTAATTAATAATAATAAACATTTATGGATCAGTTACCACCTGCCATGCCCTTTGCGTGCATTAACTTACCTCCTTTGGGGAGGGTTACCTAATTTTTTTACTTTTAATTTTTGGGGGGTACATAGACTTATTTCATTCTCATAACAACATCATTTAGCCCCATTTGACAGAGGACAAAATTGATGCTTATGGAGGGAAGACCACATAGCTAGTAGGTATTTAAACTTAGGTCTGTGGGCTCCAGGGCTGTTTCTGCTACACCTCTTTACCCCCTGAGGGGGGATCTCTATCAACTCAGAGCTAGCCATCGTTAAGGGCCCCTGGTAACTTCTTCCCATAAATTGTGGCTGCCAGGAGACTGGAGGATGCCTGCACCTTTCTATCTCCTGCTCCAGCCCCCAGTTACCGGAATCCATGTGTTTGTTTCTCCAGCAATTGCTCTCAACAGGCACTTCTCCCAGCCCAGGTGTCTGGGCTGCAGAGGAGAGAGACATCCTTCTGGAGATATCTCTCTCTCAGGCCAGATTAACAGCTGCCCAACGATGGAGCGGAGGTGGCATGCATTCAACACCACCGCCTGGGCAGCCCTGGGGACACACACAGCCCTTCCATGGGGTGAAAGCAAAGGCATAAGCAGAGGGGCGGGAGGAATATGGGAAAAATCCTCCCGAGAGGCAGGGACCAAGACTTGTTGCATGGCCCTAAGTTAATCAAGCCCCTCTCTAGGACCTAGTTACTCTACCTGTTAAAAGGGAATGCGCTAGACCAGTGGTCCACAATCCTGGCCAGACATTAAAATCATCTGTGAACTTTACAAAACCACATATGCTGGAGTTCCACCCCACCCCAAATAATAAGAATCTCTGAGGGTGACATTGATGTTTCTAAAAGGCTCCCTAGAGCATTCTGATATGAAGCCAGGATTGAGAGTCACTGAATTAGATGGCACCTGAAATGCCGTCCAGGTGTGGTATCCTAGGTGTGCTACTGGATGTCATAAAGGGGACAATAAAACCAGCACAAAAAGCACCCAACACATATAGAGCCTGCCATGTGCTAAGCATGCTTCTAAGTTCTTCACATATATGAACATAAATTATATATTCACTGCCACGACATCCTTATAAGGTAGATAGATACAATTTTTGATGCCTATTTTGCAGATGCAGAAACTGAGGCACAGACGGTTTTCCCCAGGTCACACAGATAGTAAGTGGTAACAGCTGAATGCTAGGGTAAAAGTGAGTCCAAAGAGGCACGTGAAACAGCCTTGTGGGGTCAAAGAAGGCATCACAGAAAAAAAACTGACCTCTAGGTTGATCCTGGGAGATGAGTAGGTGTTGGTCAAGCAAAGGAAGGGTTAAAAAAGAGGAGGGAAAGGGGCAGGCACAGTGGCTCATGCCTGTAATGCCACCTCTTTGGGAGGCCGAGGCAGACGGATCACTTGAGGTCAGGAGTTCAGGATTAGCCTGACCAACATGGTGAAACCCCATCTCTACTAAAAATACCAAAATTAGCTGGGTGTGGTGGTGCATACCTGTAATCCCAGCTACTCCAGAGGCTGAGGCAGGAGAATTGCTTGAACCTGGAAGGAAGAGATTGCAGTGAGTCGAGATAGCGCCAATGTACTCCACCTTGGGTGACAGAGCAAGACTATGTCAAAAAAAAGAATCAGAAAAAAGAAGGAAGGAAAGAAGGAAGGAAAGGAAGGAAGGAAGGAAGGAAAAGAAAGAAAGAAGGAAAGAAAGAGAAAGAGAAAGAAAGAAAGAAAGAAAGAGAAAGAGAGAAAGAGGAGGGAATGGAGTCATCTCAGACAGGGGAAATTGAGTGTGTACAGGGCCAGAGTCAATGACACCCACCTGCTTCCCCCACCTCCCCAGCGTATTCCTTCCATGAGGCTTATTACCACCTATAACCAGTTTGCTTACTTGTTTACTTGTTTACTGCCCACCTCCATGAGGACAGGAGTCTTGTCCACCTCATTCATTCATCTCTGTACACCCAGCAGCATGTGGCCAGCTGTCAAGTGATTGAATTTGCCTGGAGTGCCAGCCCCGCTCCCTTCCAATACCCATTCATTCCTGAGCTGGTTAATTTTTAGCTTATGTCGGGGATGGGGAGTGGTACTAGGAGGACTGTGGCAAGGTTGTGACATGTCCCATACAGGGACTCTAAGGATCTCTCATGCACATTCTCTTCCCACCCTGGGAATGAGAGAAGACAGCATGTATGGTAGGGTAGACATGAGCACATATTGTTTGTCCAGCATTGTTGGAAGCACTGGATATATACCCTTAGATGAGAAAATGGCACAATTTTTAAAAGGCAGTGGCTGAAAGCAAGGACTTGTGAATCAGACAGACCTGGATTGGAGCCTAACTCTGCTACTTCCTCACTGTGTGTCTTTGTGTAGTGACCTAACCTCTCTGAGCCTCAGGTTGCTTATCTTTCCAATGGAAATAGTAAAAGAATCAATCTTATAAGACTGCTGTGAAGATTGGTAGAGGTGATGCCTGGAAACGACTTAGCAAAGTGTCTGACTGAGTGTTAGTTCCATTGTTACTGATCATTTAAAAAAAAGGGAGGGGTGGGCGTGGTGGCTCACACCTGTAATCCCAGCACTTTGGGAGGCTGAGGCAGGCAGATCACCTGAGATCGGGAGTTCGAGACCAGCCTGACCAACATGGAAAAACCCTGTCTCTACTAAAAATACAAAATTAGCCGGACACATGCCTGTAATCCCAGCTACTTGGGAGGCTGAGGCAGGAGAATCGCTTGAACCCAGGAGGCGGAGGTTGCTGTGAGCCGAGATCGTGCCACAGCACTCCAGCCTGGGCAACAAGAGCGAAACTCCATCTCAAAAAAAAAAAAAAAAATGGGTGGGGGGTGGGGGTAGATGCTCAGTCGCCTATGTAAGCTCATGATAATTTCTGGGAGGATTTCAGGTCACCTTGGCAAAAGATAGAACAGTGTCTTTTCCTACCTTTCATCACCGACAACACCAGATTCTCAAGAGAGGCACTCCCACCTGCCACCCTCCATAAGGATCTCTTCCTCTCAGAAGGATCTAAAGCCTCCGGAGAACTTGGCAATCTCCCTATGTAGATCCCCACCCTGATCTTTCATCAACATCTTCCACCCAAGTTGCTCTAGCATGAATCCATCAGTGGGAAGACACTGGGGCACTGTTCAGGCCTTTCCACCCATAGTGGGTTTACAAAACAGGTTTACCACTCCCTTGGAACGCTGTCACTCCACCATTGTATAGCTATGGCCAACCTATAGCCAGATGACTCATGGAAATTTTTCTTTTGGTCTTTTTTTTTCCCCCTTTGCCATGGAAACTTGTCAAATGTTTTCTGAAGGTATAACACCGTGTCCCTTAATACACTCTCAAATTGAAAACTAAAATAACACAAATCACATCAAATAGAGTCATATTGCCAAATGGAAAGGGGTTGGAATAGATGTACACACATACACACACACACACACACACACGCACACACACACACTGAGCGAGAGAGAGAGGATTTGTTTCTTCCCTTCAGTCTCTCTCACCTCAAAACCTATTTCTAGATCAAGGTATCTTAATCTAAAGAAAACCGTGCCCTCCTGCGCTTGGGCTTTGTAGAGTCTGTGAATCATTTGAAATTCCAAGCCAAGTTTTCTGTATTAAAATATCAGCATTTCAGTGCAGAGGAGGTATATATTTCCACCAGTTTTCCAAGGGATTCAACTCAATGAAACCTTCAGGATGCTTCCGCAAAACCTATCTTCATTCTCTCCAGATGTGGTGGAGTTTCTAGTTGCCTTCCAATAGCCATTCCCTCTTCATCCATAGTAATAAAAAACCCCAATTTATAACTGGGATTATAGCCACCCAGAATAAAGACTGCATCTCCCAGCCTCCTTTGCAGCTAGGGGTGGCCATAGCTGCAAGATGTCTGAGCTATAGACAGAATTCTTGGTGGTAGTGTCCAGAAATTTTTATGAAAGAGATTTGTCATGTGCTTTTTCCGTCTTCATCCCTTCCTTTTTCTTGCTGGCTGGAATGTGGACATGATTGCTGGAATGCATGCGACTCCCTGATTCATGAGGTGGCTTTGGGAATAGACTCCATATGGATAAAGCACTAAGATAGAAGCGGTCTCCAGCTTAAGGACATGGTGGAGCAGGGACACATATTAGCCTCAGACAGAATCTCTCTGGACTTCAATGTTAGGAAGAAATAAATTTATTCTCTTGTTTCAGCCACTGTTATTTTGACTGTCTGTTGTTCACAGCTAAAGCTACTCACAACTCAAATTCTAGGTGAAGCTAAGACAGTCCCCAGAAGGAATATCTTGTTCATCTCTCCTTCTCCATCTCTATACATCCTCCCCAGCTCCTCCAGTCTTCCTCCTGCTCCCAGAACAAAGCTTGAGAATGCTCTCAGCTGAACGCTCCTAAGAGCTGTCACTCCCAGACCTAGAAGAAGCTGTTTTCAAAGCAGTTGTCTGGCAGCAAAGTCACCAACTGGTCAAACCAGATTCTGCTCTGACTGCAGAGGTTTCTGGGAAAGGGGCCTCAAGATTACAGACCTTCCAGCTCTCCCTTTTGCAAAGATCTCAGAGCCACCCTCTGTATAAGGGGCTCATGTTGGAATTCTTCATAAATGCTCCAAACGGAGAGGAACATGTACCAGTTTCCCAGCCAGGCTCTAGACAGAGGAGGCAGAATGATTTACCCCTTAATATAATTTTAGCACTGGGAAAGTTCTTTTAAAGCAATACCAACAACCACAAAATTACAGAATTAGGAAGACTCTCCATCAGAATAAGCCAGGTTATGCTACAATAATAAATAAGTCCAAAATTTCAATGCCTTGAAAGAGCAAAGAACTCTTTCTCACCCGTGTCCATTGTGGGCCAGCAGGGTCAGTCTACTTGTTACTGATGTTGATGACTGTGATGTTGATGATCATAGGGCAGAGAGAAAAAGAACTCACCCGAGGGTCCTGCCTAGACACAGCCAAGATGCTCCCATGGGCTCCCAAGGTGCTTTGAACTGGCAGTGACAGACATCACTTCTGCTCACAACTCATCGGCCACAACTAGTTATATGGCCCCATCCAACCACGGTGGTATCAGGAAGTGCATTGCTACCTCACAGGTGCCCAGAAAGCAGGAGGAGGAAGAGAAACCAGAAATGTTTGGCAAACAGCACTAGTTACAACCTCAAACCACCCATTTCATTGAATCCTGACTATGGGTCAGGTACTGCTCTAGGTGGCAATGATACAGCCGTGAACAGTTAGACACAAGTCCCTGCCCTCTGCCCACATGGAGCTTACGTTCTAATGGAGGAAGCAGAGAAACAAATAACTAGAGATGTAAAATGTAACTATCAGTTAATGGCAAGTGCTGTGAAGAAAAGTAAACCAGCTAATGTGAGAGTGTGACTTACTAAGTCGTTAGAGAAGATTTCTCCGAGCAGTTGAAATTTAAGTAGAGACACAAATGAATGAAGAGACCTGCCTTATGGAGGGGGAAGAGTGTTCCAGTCTGTGGGAACAGCAGGCAGGAAGACCTTCAGGCAGGAACATGCTTGACTCTTCCATCTGAGGGTCAGAAATGGGGACCCTATGATTGAAGCCCGTGACCAGGGAGTGGGTATTAGCAGGAAATCCAATGAGAAGGGTAACCAGGAGCCTTCCTTTTTTCTTCATAAAATTTTGTAGTATTGTCACCAGAAATGGGTCCTGATCCAGATCCCAAGAGAGGGTTCTTGGATCTCACACAAGAAAGAATTCCAGGAGAGTCCATACAGTGAAACAAAAGCAAGTTTATTAAGAAAGTAAAGGGGCCAGGCATGGTGGCTCACGCCTGTAATCCCAGCACTTTGGGAGGCCGAGGCGGACGGATCACGAGGTCAGGAGATCGAGACCATCCTGGCTAACAAGATGAAACCCTGTCTCTACTAAAAATACAAAAAATTAGCCGGGCGTGGTGGCAGGCGCCTGTAGTCCCAGCTACTCGGGAGGCTGAGGCAGGAGAGTGGCGTGAACCCGGGAGGCGGAACTTGCAGTGAGCCGAGATAGCGCCACTGCACTCCAGCCTGGGCGACAGAGCGAGACTCCGCCTCAGAAAAAAAAAAAAAAAAAGGAAGTAAAGGAATAAAAGAATGGCTACTCCATAGGCAGAGCAGCCCTGAGAGCCACTGGTTGCCCATTTTTATGGTTATTTCTTAATTATATGCCAAACAAGGGGCAGATTATTCATGAGTTTTCCCGGAAGTGGGGGGGAAGGGCAATTTCTGGAACTGAGGTTTCCTCCCCTTTATAGACCATGTAGGTGTAAATATAACTTCCTTACGTTGACATGGCATCTGTAAAGTGTGATGGCGCTCGTGGGAGTGTCTTTTAGCATGCTAATGCATTATACTTAGCGAATAATGAGCTGTGATGACCAGAGGTCACTCTCATTGCCATCTTGATTCTGGTGGGTTTTAGCCGGCTTCTTTACAGCAACCTGGAACTTTGTGACCTGTATCTTGTGCCGATCTCCTATCTCATCTCAAAGACCTTGTGACCCAAGGTCTTTGTGACCTGTACCTCGTGCCAACCTCCTACCTCATCCTGTGACAGAATGCCTAACTTACTGGGAATGCAGACCAGCAGGTCTCAGCCTTATTTTACCCAGCCCCCATTCACCATGGAGTTGCTCTGGTTCACATGCCACTGACGGTATCTGAAATTCTTTCTATTGTTTATTTATTTTGTGAACCCCAAAAATCTGAGACATGTCTCAGTTAATTTAGAAAGTTTATTTTACCAAGGTTGAGGACACGCCTGTGATACAGCTTCAGGCGGACATGTGCCCAAGGTGGTAGGGGCACAGCTTGGTTTTATACATTTTAGGGAGACAGGAGACATCAATCAATATGTGTAAGATGTACATTTGTTCAGTCCGGAAAGGTGGGACAACCAGAGGACAAGGCGGGACAACTCAAAGCAGGGCAAGGGCTTCCAGGTCATAGGTAGATAAGAGACAAATGGTTGCATTCCTTCCAGTTTCTGATTAGCCTCTCCAAAGAAGGCAATCAGATATGTATATATCTCAGTCAGTGAGCAGAGGGGTGACTTCGAATAGAATGGAAGGCAGGTTTGCCCTCAGCTGTTCACAGCTTGACTTTTCCCTTTAGCTTAGTGATTTGGGGGACCCGAGATTTATTTTCCTTTTACAATCCGTTTATTGATACACATGAAAGCAGGGACTTTTGCCTCATTTACTGCTTCATCTCTAGCCCCTCGGCTAGTGCTTTCCAAGTGAGAACGTAACAATTATGGAATGAATGAATCCGTGAGTAAATGAACAGACTGTGTCTCCCACTCCCCGCATCTGCTCCTCCTCACATGTTCACTGAGTGGCACCACCATTCACCCCGTTGAAAGGTCTGAAAACCGAGACATTCATTTGATCCAAACTTCTCTCCCCCTCTCATCGCAATCAGCACTCAAAATGCTCCTGCTTCTTTAATAGATCATGATTTTATCCACGCTTTACCGCTCCTCAGCCAACAACCCAGCCAAGGTTGCCATTTCACTGGGACCACTACAACAGCCTCCTAACTGGTCTCCCTAAAGCCCCCAAAAGATCTTCTCCAAAAGCAGACGATGATTTTCCTGGAACTCAGTTCTCATCACAGCACTCTCCTCCTCCAAACAGTTCAATGGTTCTTCAGTGTGCTCGGGACAAAGTCTAACCTCTTAATAGAGTCTGCAAGGTCCAATGTGATCAAGGGCACGCTCACCTCCCAGACCATTTTCCCTGATAATCTATGCTGACAATTACTCAAGGAGATGGGTCTTGAGATCATCTCCATTTTACAGATGACAAGACAGAGGTTCAGAGAGACTAAGTTCCTTGCCCAGAGCAGCAGAGCTAATGGGATTCAAATCCATATCTGGTCGAGTTCCTACCCACTATGTTTTACTGTCTTTCTTAAGTGGGAAATAGCAGCCCGGTCACTTCCTGAAAATTCTGGTTAGTTGAGATATTGGTTCCCTGAACCTGGAATAAGTATTTGGACCATGAAAGATCCCAGAGGCCTTGATTTAGGCTCAGGTATAAGAAATAGAGCCCCTGAGAGCCCGGCTGGGGATGTCCCTCCTTGAGGATGGGTGGAGAGAGGGCAGGATGATCCTCTCCGTCCCATAGCTGAG
Organism: Homo sapiens; assembly: GCF_000001405.40. NCBI lineage: Eukaryota > Metazoa > Chordata > Mammalia > Primates > Hominidae > Homo > Homo sapiens. Next base: position 119,173,056 of record NC_000012.12, read on the forward strand.
CCCTGACTCCCTTCTGTTGGCGGCACCTGCAGCAGAGAGGAGCTCCCATTGAGCTTGCGGGGCCCCCACCCCTGCCCTAGCTCCAAGTGGCTTTCACATTAATAACATGTAAGGATCCTCTGCTCGATGTGTGATAGCTCCTTCCAGGCAGTCGTCACTCTCCCAAATGTCAGCGTGTTCCTGGTGTCATTTGTTCTGCTGAGAAAGTTTGGAAGGGCTGAAGAAGGTTTCAGAGAGAGAAGCCCAGCAAGAAGGTGGGGGAAGAGGTGGTCCAGTGACCTGAAGTTCAGCTGTGTTCTGCCGGTAGATCTGGGTTTGGAAGGCCAGTGCTCTGGCTGGGCATACACCAGGGGTCAGGTGGCACAGGCTCCCTGGGCTGCTGAAGGTACAGGCTTTGCAGCCAGTAATCCCGGATCTGACCCTGGGCCTTAGGTTGTTCAACCGTAAAATGTGGTTAACAATAGGACTTCTACCTCCAAGGATTGTTATGACGATTAAAAGAGGCACAACATATAGGGCATTTAGCAGAGCTTGGGATGTGATAGTTCTCAAATAATGATGGGTATCATTACTGTCATTTTGTTGTTGTTATTCACAACAACAGAATCACATAGTGGTTAAGAACAGACCCTGGAGCCGGATTGCCTAGACACAGCTACTTGCCACTTAGTAACTGTGTGACCTTGGGCAAGTTATTTAACCATTCTGTGCCTTGATGTTGTCATCTGTGAATGGGGATAATAATACCTACCTTAGAGCAATTCAGGTGAGAATTAAATAATTTGATATATGCAAAGCACTTACAATTGGTACTAAATGTTAAATATGCACTTATTATTATTATTACTACTGCTATCATTATTATTTGCAGAGGTGGTCAGGGAAGGCAATTCCTGGAAAGAATTTTGGAGAAAATAATAGAAGAAAGCCAGAGCTCCAATAAGTAAGTGTTACTTTCCCAGGATTGTGAGGGCATAGGCTCATTTAGGGAGGGACCCAGTGCAGGCTGTTTGTTTTATTTTGTTTATTTATTCATTCTTGCTGGGGTGTGTGGCAGAGAAAAGAGGCCTGGGCTTAAAGTTCAGACAGACCTGGGTTCAGAATCCATAAGCTGGTGGCCTCAGGCAGGTCACCTCATGTCTTTTGCCTCAGTTTCCTCATCTGTAAAAAGGGAATAATGATAGTATAAAACCTCTAGGGGGCTGTGATGAAAATTAAAAAGAGCACGCTTGGGAAACCTTGGTGCCCGGCACCTTCTATGGACTGCAGAAATTAGTTAATATGTTGATGTTGTTACTGCATGTAGAGTCTACCCAGTGGGAGTTGGCAATTCAGACCCAGGGTTGCTGATACGACATCATCTACTCATCCAAGATATGCTGGGCTTCTACAGTGCAGCAGGCTCCCTCTAGGCGCTGGGGATGCTACTGTGAACAGGACTCCCAAGGGTCCTGCTTTCATGGAGCCGAGTATGCTGGGAATTCCATTAGTGTCATTGTAGGGGGGGTCTGAGAAACAAAAGAAATAAAAAGGCATGAGCATGCTTACTTCCTATTTTCTGGAGGATGTGCTGGGATCCAGAGCCACCCAAAAGAACTAACTCTGAGATGGGTCTTCAGACCCTGGGGAGGGGCTGGGGGCTGGGAATCCCCTAGGGGAGGGTGGGAACTTTTGTTTCTTACTACATTGAAAAGAAAAGGCACAGAATCTGGCAGCTATGTCTTTGTCCTACTTGGTCCCAGCACTACCTGTGTGGCTTCAGACTACTCTGTCCCCACCAGCTGGTCCCCAGTTTCAGGCATGCAGGGTGATCTCACCTACCTCCTGGGCTGTTTTGAGAATTAATGGTGGTACGCCCCGTACGAAAGCTCTATGAGGATGGCAGCCAAGAGAAACGTGGCTCTGGTTCCCAGGATCTAACATCCTTCCCCTGTACCACAGTCCCCTCTAAGGTCTCTTCTTCCCTGGCGGAACCAGCTTGGAGGCCCCTTCTTCTCCCGGGCCTCCCCTGAGCCTGGCGTCATATTTTCACCTGATTGGTGACAGCCCATGGGGTTTAGTGACCACTTTCCTCATGTGTTAGCTAACTCCTCACCAGGTGGCCGAGTTAGCAGGAGCAGCTGCCTCCCTCCTCAGCTTCCTGAAATGAAGGGCTGACCAGATCCAGAAATGCAATGAGAGCCCAAGGGGGAACAGGACACCAGGCAGTGTGGAAGGCTCGCTGGGCAAGGCTGGGCCAATATTGTCCCATAGTGGTTATTACCGTGCACTGCCAAGTGCGCCCTGGCTTGGATTCCAATCCTTGGTCAGCTGTGTGGTCCAGGGCAGGTGGCTTGACCTCTCTGAACCACAAGGATTCCATGAGGTCATGGATAAAACTGTTGACCACAGGGCCGGGTACATGGTTAGTGTTCAATAAATGTGAGCCATGACTTTGACTTCAGAGGCAGTGTAGCAGATGAGACAAGAACCAAACTGCCCGGGGTTCAAATCCCAGCTCTGCCACTGACATAGGCATGTCAGGTAATCTCTCTGTGCCTCAGTTTCCTCATCTCTAAAATGAGTTTAATAAAACATCCTTCCTGACGGGCATGGTGGCTCATGCCTGTAATCCCAGCACTTTGGGAGGACGAGGTGGGTGGATCTCCTGAGGTCAGGAGTTCGAGACCAGCCTGACAAACATGGTGAAAACCTGTCTCTACTAAAAATACAAAAATTAGCCAGGGGTGGTGGCAGGTGCCTGCAATCCCAGCTGCTCTGGAGGCTGAGGCATGAGAATCACTTGAACCCGGGAAGCAGAGGTTGCAGTGAGCCAAGATTATGCCGTTGCACTCCAGCCTGGGCAACAAGAGTGAAACTCCATCTCAAAATAAATAAATAAATTAAAAACATCCTTCCTAATAGGATTGTGGGGAGAAGTAAAAGAGTTTAGGAACATACATTTAAAGTGCTCAGAACAGAAGCTGGCACGGGGCAAGTGCCCCGTAAATGCCAGTGATTGTTATTTCTATTTTCTACCTTTGCATCCTCCCTTTCGTCCCCCTCATCCTTGAAATGAGAAGGTGGATTAGGTCATCACAGCTCGGTTCCCTGCTCCTTCGCCAGGCTTCCCCTCCTTCCAGGTCCCCTGGTCCCAACTGAGCCTCATTTGAGGCAGAGGGGTCCTCTGGAGGTTTGGGGATGGCCTGGGAAGGGAAAAGGAGGGGAGTTTCTTCCTGAACATACCCACCAGCAGACTCGGCGATAAACAAACACAGACCTATCGGCGCATAAACACAGACTCACTCCTGCACCCACTCAAATCCGCACACAAACTCATTCCACTCTGTCCCACCCACTCAGAAACCTCACCCCAGCCCCTGCCCAGGTCCCAGGCAGGGCCAGGTTTCTCCGGTGCGTCATGCGGCTTGCAGTGATTCTCCCCACAACTGGTTTCCAACTCAGCCAGCCCCGCCCAGCTGTAATTACAGAGAGAGCTGAAGCTTCTGTGCCCAGCCATGACGTCAGCCCGAAGCTTCCAGCCTGATGAGCTCACCCTACATCCAGTGGGGGCCCAGTCACTCGGGACATGTCATGCCGTGGGGTCCCCACCATTCTTTCTCAGCTGGGGAGGAGGGCAGGGGTCTCTGTCTGTCGGTTAAGCACAGATCCGGGATTCAGAACAACCCAGGTTCCCACCCAGGCTCTGCCACTCCATATCTGTGTGCAAGGGTCAAACCTCTGTGCCTCTGTTTTTTCACCTGCAAAATGGGGGTGATGATAATAGTGACGTTTAACTATCGAGTCAGGATTTAACTCAGTAATGTCTGAAATGTACTAACTCTAAAAGCAGACGCACAGGAGGCAATGGGCGACAGTGATTGTTTTTCTCCGTATTATTATTTTTAGCAAACTGCCTCATGCACTCACTGTTTAATATCAAAACAATTTCTCAACCTATGACTCACTGAATTCCTTAATATCCTCAGTTTACCCTCATCTCGTGAAGAAGGCAGGGCTGAGACCCGAAAGCCCACACAGGGAAAACGACATGCCTAAAATTTTCTGCCTGTTGCGGACAGATCAAAGATTAGAACCCAAGCCGAAGAGGCCTCCAAGCCAAAGGAGGATTTGTAAATTCATTCTTCCAGCTGCATGGGAAGAGCAGGAAAGTCTAGATTTGGGGCTTTGAGTTTCAGACCAGACCTCCTGCCTGAGTGTAACATCTTTCAATAATTATCAGTATTAACAGTCATAATAATAATAGAAGCTACTATTCATGAACACTTCTATGGTAGTTTTCTCATCTGTAAAATGGGATAATACTGGTACTCTTACCTCACAGGATTGCTGGTGAGGGTTAAATGAATTCATATTTATAAAGCCCATAGAGCAGGGCCTGGCATATAGCAAACATTATGTAATTGATAACTCAAAATTGAAAATACAAGGAGAAAGAGAATTACCTCATGTATTCTTCATGGTACATCTGTGAGTTGGCTACTGTTATGTCCGTTTATAAGGAGGAAAACTAACAACCTGGAGGTGCCTGGGAATAATGTTACTGCCTATAAAGATGCTTTGATTGACCAAACATTAATCGGATTTCTGAATCTTCTCCTAAGCCCATCAGTGAGGTTCCTTATAAAAATTCAGTTTTGGGCCAGGCGAGGTGGCTCACGTCTGTAATCCCAGCACTTTGGGAGGTGGAGGCAGGTGGATCATGAGGTCAGGAGTTCAAGACCAGCCTGGCCAAGATGGTGAAATCCAACTCTACTAAAAAATACAAAAATTAGCCGGGCACGATGGCGGGTGCCTATAATCCCAGCTACTCGGGAGTCTGAGGCAGAAGAATCGCTTGAACCTGGAAGGCGGAGGTTGCAGTGAGCGGAGATGGCGCAACTGCGCTCTAGCCTGGGGGACAGAGTGAGACTCTGTCTCAAAAAAAAAAAAGAAAAGAAAGAAAGAAAAATTCAGTTTTGGCATGAACTCTGCTAAGTCTGTTTAGTAGCAACCACCCATCTTCGATTTCTGATCACCCTCGATATCTGATTAGTTTCCTCATCCTCCGCGGTCCCCCAGGTGATGTCTGAGCACCCTGGCCTGTCTTCAGCAAGAATCCTCTTAGGTTAGCTGAGCCCGAATCCCTCTGACTCCTGGACTTCCCTCCTAGTAAATTTCCATTCGCTGACCCCCCACCTGCTTCTTGGCTACAAATTCACACTTACCCATGACCTACTGGGAATCAAGTCTAATCTTTCTCCCTCACTGCAAAATCCCATTGCAGGGGTCCCTACATCTATGGAGAAAGTTTCCCTGCCCAGTAAAGTCTTGCTTGTCATACTTTAACAAGCGTCATATGAATATATATATACACATTAAAAAAATTTTTTTTTTCCTTTACCAATCTCCCCAGAGGGCATTGAGGCTCTAGGAGCTTGGCCATCTTGTAAGTGGGGATTGCAACCCAGGGCCATCCTTCAAATCCACTGGGCTCCTGTCTCTCTCTTCCCTTTCTGCAGGTCCCCAGGGGAAAGGCAGGATACGACACGCTCTAGGGAAGGTATTTCCAGAGGGTGACCTGAGCCCTCAGCCAGGCTCGGGGTTATTAATAGCCAGGCCTTAGTGCCCCGCTCGGGGAGGGCGGCTCCAGCTCCTGGAGCAAGAGGAGGGCGGAGCTGAGCGGAGTGGCCAGGGGAGGAGAGAGTGTCCGGAGAGGCCGGCTGAACTTGGACGCGGCCCCTCCCAGCTCCCCCCACAGCCCAGCTGTTCCCTCCGCGGATTCTCCGGGGCTGGTTCATCACCTCCGAATATTCCTGTGACAGGAGACGCTTGCAAAACCCGCCTCCAGCCTCCAGCAGCAAATAAATAGAAGGCTTGCAGCCCAGAAGGAGCCAGAAGAAGTTTCTAGGCGCGCGTGCCCTGGGTTTATTAAGCTCCTGGCTCCGCTCTAGACCTCAGCGGTTCTGGCTGCCAGCCTGGGCAGCCTGGGAAGCCTGGGAGGACGGTGGCTTGCCGGTCTGTCGTGAGGCAGTGCGGACGGGGACCCTCTGGGATTCTGCTGGATCTGCCCCGGGGGTTACCTTTGGGGGCTGGGACCCCAGTCGAGGGGACACAACCGTCCCTGGCAGTGGTTGGTTCTGCTTCTCCCTGCAGAAAAGCAGCATTTTCGGAAGCTGAAGAATAAGCTAGCCCAGCCACACCACCTTGTTGTGTGACCTTGGGCAGGTGGTTCTGTCTCTCTGAGCCTCTGTTTCTCTCTGAGCTGAGCAGCCACCATGGCTGACGGTCAGATGCCCTTCTCCTGCCACTACCCAAGCCGCCTGCGCCGAGACCCCTTCCGGGACTCTCCCCTCTCCTCTCGCCTGCTGGATGATGGCTTTGGCATGGACCCCTTCCCAGACGACTTGACAGCCTCTTGGCCCGACTGGGCTCTGCCTCGTCTCTCCTCCGCCTGGCCAGGCACCCTAAGGTCGGGCATGGTGCCCCGGGGCCCCACTGCCACCGCCAGGTTTGGGGTGCCTGCCGAGGGCAGGACCCCCCCACCCTTCCCTGGGGAGCCCTGGAAAGTGTGTGTGAATGTGCACAGCTTCAAGCCAGAGGAGTTGATGGTGAAGACCAAAGATGGATACGTGGAGGTGTCTGGTAAGTCAGGGGCAGGAGGGAGAGAGAATGGGGAGGCCGGGATGTAGCCCTCAGCCCTGGGAATAGCCAGAGAAAGTTTCCTGGGAGCTGACGTTGGGACAGTGTGACACAGGTGACCTCAGGGCTCAGGAATGCAGCCTGCAAAGTTATCTTTACGGAAAACTTCTCTCCCGGCTCCCAGCAGAGATCTTAACCTGCCTGACTCAGCTATTGGGGCCTCTGGGTGCTCATCAATCATGGTACAGACAGGAAAATAGAAACCATGTTGGATATTTTGACAGAGGGCATTTAATATAAAGAATAGGTTAAGCAGATATCAAAGAATTAAAAAACAAAGAAGAAACGGGATTTTGTGCACTCCAGCATCATAACAGAGTCTAGAAGTGCACGTTAAGGCTGAACAATGATAGTGTTAATAACCGCAACTGGTTTCCGGTGAAACACCTCTCCTTGTCCCAGACAGGGAAACTGAGGCTTACCAGTAATTGTAGTAACACTAACTGGTAACTCTGAGTGCTAACTATTCGCTCAGCACTTTGCTAACTGCTGTTGCCTATAATATCTCAGCTAATACCACAACCAGAGGAGGTGGGTACTGTTTATCTTCTTTTTTCAGATGAGGAAACTGAGGCACGGAGAGATTAAAGTAACTTGTTCAAGGCCACCAAGGAGTCAGACCCAGGTTGTCTGGGAATTAGGAGGCCAGAAAGAAGAAGTGATGATTTACTGAGCACCTACTAGGTGCCAAGGGTGGGCTGACATTCTTATACTTCTCCAAAATCATCCTCAGTCCACTCCAGGGTAGCAGGGTAGGCCCATCTTGCAGCTGAGGAGGCTGAGGCCTAGGTGGGACTCGTTCACAGTCATGCCATGAGTCAGCAATAGGAGTGGAGTAGGGACTGGGCCTATGCACAGCTTTAGGCCCAGGGCTCTCACTGCCGCATCCCACCCTGGGAGAAATAAACATACTAGGGGGAAAAATGAGAGAAGACAGGAAGCTCAGCCCCTGTGAAGCTGGGCAGTAGAAAAATCTTTCTTTTCCTTCCCTCCTGATTAACACTCCATTAAAAAGAATGTGTTCCCGGCAGAGGCTTGCCTTCCAGAAAATCAGTCAAAGCCATTGCAAACACAGGCTGGGCAGGAACAAGCCCCAGCAGCATTCAGGGGGAGTTTCAAGCCAGTCCTGGTAGAATTATAAACATCAGAGGCTCCAGCGGGTGTGGTGGGCTGGGAGACACGCTGGGGCCACGTGCTGATGACAGGGTCAGCCAGATTTCTGAGTTGGCTGGGGAGCAGGGCATGAGTTCCGAAACTGGCTCCAACTTTAACCAGCAGGATGTGCAAATTACTTCACTTTGTGCTTCTGTTTTGTTTCCTCATCTGGAAATTAGGGTTCAAATGGTTATACCATAAGGATTGTTGTTTTAAGTGAGGTGATGCTGTAAAATGTGTACATACCTGTGAACCCAGAAAATCTGAGACAGATCTCAGTTCATTTAGGAAGTTTATTTTGCCGAGGTTGAGGACACTCCCATGACACAGCCTCAGGAAGTCCTCCTGTCACATGCCCAAGGTGGTCTGGGCACAGCTTAATTTTATACATTTTAGAGAGACATGAGACATCAATCAATATATGTAAGAAGTACATTGGTTCGATCTAGAAATGCAGGACAACTTGAAGCAGGGAGGGGTTTTCCAGGTCACAGGTAGGTGAGAGACAAATGGTCGCATTCTTTTGAGTTTCTGATTAGCCTTTCCAAAGGAGACAAACAGATAATGCATCTATGTCAGTGAGCAGAGGGCTGCCTTTGAATAGAATGGGGGGTAGGTTGGCCCTAAACAGTTCCCAGCTTGACTTTTCCCTTTAGCTTAGTGATTTGGGGGCCCCAAGATTTATTTTCCTTTCACATTCTATGACCTGGAACACAAGGAATTAGTATTATTATTGTCGTCGTTATTGTTATAGTGTCAGGCATCCAGGAAGGCCCCAATAAATAATGAATAATAGATGCTCTTTGAAACCTGGGTTCAGATCCCAGCACTGCTGTTCACTAGCATGGCGGATGTGGACGAGAAAGTCTTCATCCCTCTGAGCCTCATTTCTCCTATTTGCAGAATGGAGACCATAATAATATCTGTCCTGTAAGGGTGTAGGAAAGATTAAACATATGCAGACTATCTATGATAATATATGCGGAGTGTCTATAAAATGGAGCTAATAATAGTGCTTGCCTGGCACTCTGTAAACAGACCGATTATCACCATTCCTTCTGTCCTTGTTTTAATTAGGGTCTTAGATGCTTCTAGCCCAAGTCCAAGGGTCGACTCCACCCTGTGGTCCCTCTAGGAGACCCTCTGTCCAGCCTGGAGGGTTTTTCACCATCCTCTTTTGTAGGTGCTTCATAACAGGTGGGGTCTGGCAGCTCCATGTTGAGATCTCAGCTAAGTATCTTACTAATCCAGAGGCTTTGGGTGAGTCATGCAGTCTCAATTTCCACGTCTGTAAAATGGGGTCATTGGGAGCTTAAATAAGACAAAGACAAAGCTTTTCAGACATGCAATTAGTGACATCGGCTAGACAAAATCCAAATTCCCTGAGAGTCCATACAAGGGCTTTCATAAAAGGGGTTTAAAAATAAAATTGATATCAGGAGCTCTATTTAAGAAGCAACTTTCGGGCCGGGTGCGGTGGCTCATGCCTGTAATCCCAGCATTTTGGGAGGCCAAGGCGGGAGGATCGCTTAAGGTCAGGAGTCTGAGACCAGTCTGGTCAACATGGCGAAACCCCGTTCTACTAAAAATACAAAAATTAGCCGGGTGTGGTGGTGAGCGCCTGTAATCCCAGCTACTCAGGAGTCTGAGGCAGGAGAATCGCTTGAACCTGGGAGGTGGAGGTTGCAGTGAGCTGAGACCGTGCCACTGCATTCCAGCCTGGGCAACAAGAAAGAAATTCTGTCTCAAAAAAAATAAAAAATAAAAATAAATAAAAAGCAATTTTCAAGGGAAGTTGGAAGTCAGATCCAGTTTCCCACCCTATACCACAAAATGACAAATCCGTTCCTCCACAAGCACGTGCTAAAGGCCTACATGTGGTGGCTCAGTGGTTCCTCACAAGGACCTCCTAGGAAGTGTGGGTAGGTTTGTTAACCCCATTATACAGATAAGGAAGCCGAGGCCCAGAGAAAGTAACTCACCTGAGATTACCCACTTCTCCCTGGCAGTGTCTGACATTCAATGTCAGGCCTCTCTGGCTGGTTCTGAGTCAGGATGGCTGGATCTACTTCTGGCGGTGTGGCCCTGAGCAAATCCCACAGCCTCTGGAGCCTCAGTTTTACTGTTGGTCTTATGAAGAGGTAGACAAGATCAGAATTTACCAATGTACTTCAAGCTGTTACTAGGCATCTAGAAACAGGAGCAGGAGAGTTCAAGGTCTTGTATGGTGCCAGTAAAAACAAAATTATAAACAGGTCTTCTCACTGCAGGACTTATCAGAGCCTTTAAGTCACTAATGTAGTTTATGAATCTCTAAGAGGCAGCCCTATCTTATCTGACCACGTATGAGTGTCTCATTCAAGGAAGTGTTTGGAAAATGCTGGACTAGACAATTTCCAGCAAGCCTCAGATTCCCCTACCCCCATCCTGCAACCACCAGCCAAGAAATGTTCCCTTCATGGGCCACTGGGCCAGACCCTGGCTAAGATAGAGACTGGAAAGCCCCAAGGCCTTATTTCCACCCCTTCTCCTTAGTCCCAGGGACTCTGCCTTCCCTGGAAACAGCACTTTCTTTCTTTAGCTGGGCCAATAGTGTTCCACCTACATTTCTCTGAGGCATGTTGAAAAAAGCATGTCTGCAAGGGGTTTCTGACTTCTCCTAGCCTCTGGATGTATTTCTAAAAATCATAATAATTACTTTTTTCAGTTTACAAAAATAAAATGTCTTCATGATAAAATATGTAGTTAGGAAAGCAAAATAAGAAATTAAAAATCACTCATAATCCTTAAGCTGCCCCAATCTAAGTAGGCAAATGATAAGCAAATTGAGTTTCAAGATGATCCTCCTAGCAACACTCTCTTTAAATGAGGTTAACCCCACCTCCAGGCCCCTCTTTTGGAAATCTTGGAGCTTTCCCTGCTCAGAGATCCTCCCTTCCCTCACCCCAATACCCTATTTTCAGAGCAGACAGAGGCACCTAGTTTCTGAGGAGCAGTCTTTTCCCCAAACATCAAAATAAACCACAAGTGTTTACCTTCACATGGTACTTTTACAACTTCCAAAGCCATTCTGTGACTCGCTTTCATTTGCTTCCTACGGTAACCCGGTAAGATAGGTGTCGTCATTCCCATTTCAGAGAAGAATAAACTGAGGCTCAGAGAAACTTAGAGATGTGCCAGGAAATGTCAGAGTAGAGACTTAAGTCCAACACCCAATATTCCAGAACCTGTCTGCCTGCTTTTGAATCTTTGCACCAGTCACTTCCAAGCTGTGTGACCTTGGATACAGCACTTAACCTCTCTGAACTTCGGGTTTCCTATCTACAAAATGACAATAATGAAAATGCCTGCTTATATTATTATTTTACTATTATTATTTAAGGTTGTTGCAAAAATTAAAGGAGTTGATACAGATAAGGTGCTTAGAACAGTGGCTGACACCAAGGAAGCGCTATATTACTTGCTATTATTATTTATATTATCAGTTTTTATTCCCAGGACACCAGCATGCAGGAGGATTCTAGGATGCAAAAGGGCTGAGTCAGAGGCACTGGCCTGTCCCCAGGGGAAGCAGGTCTCCCGGCGCCCTGGCTGTGGGGAGGGTACCAAAGAACAGACAGTGCTCTTCTGGGCACAGGCCTGTGCTAGAGCCAGGCAGTTGGTGGTCATGGAGTTGGCAGCACAAGGTAGACTCTTTAAGCGGCCACACATTCACAGGATAGCATGTTCTGGTTAGCCAGACACTCCAGTTTAAAATGAATTTCTTTTGCTGAGAGCAATTTAGGAACATAGATTAAGCCTTAGAAATTCTGGAAGTTGCATTAGTCCTCAGTTAATCCTAAAGAAGTCATAGGGCGGCCTGGTGTGAGGTTCTAGCTACAAGAATGTTCAGGGCCACGAAGTTCTCGCCAACGTTGGAAACTCTTCAGCACCCCAAAGTAGGGGATTGGTTAAATTAGCTCTTATGTATTCCTCAATAGAACACTGCAGCCATTAAAAATTATGTTGTCAAAGAATATTTGGTAATATGGAAAAGTAATTATAATGTGTTAGCAAGAGAGAAAAATAAGTTCCAAACATAATGCAGAGAACTATCCCATTTGATAGAATACTGATATACATGGATACTATGTAACATTTACACATTTCTGAGAAACATAGAAAAGTCGGAACATATAAAAGATATTATTAATAGCTTCCGTGGGGTGACAGGATTATAAGTAGTTTTGATGGCTTTTTTTTTTAATTTTTTCTTTTGTTATTGTTGTTTTTTTTAAATTTAGAGACCAGATCTCACTCTGTTGCCCAGGCTGGAGTGCAGTGGTGCATTATAGCTTACTGTAACCTCAAACTCCTGGGCTCAAGCAATCTTCCCACCTCAGCCTCCCAAATAGCTAGGACTACAGGCACACACCATCACACCTGGATAATAATAATAATAGTAATTATTATTATTATTTTGAGACAGAGTCTCACCCTTTTGCTGGGCTGGAGCGCAGTGGCGCGATCTCGCCTCACTGCAACCTCTGCCTCCCGGGTTCAAGCAATTCTCCTGCCTCAGCCTCCCAAGTAGCTGGGACTATAGGCACGTGCCACCATGTCCAGCTAATTTTTGTATTTTTAGTAGAGACGGAGTTTCACCGTGTTGGCCAGGAAGGTCTCGATCTCTTGACCTCGTGATCCACCTGCCTCGGCCTCCCAAAGTGCTGGGATTACAGGCATAAGTCACCACGCCCTGCCTATTATTATTATTATTATTATTTTTAGAAACAGTGCCTCTCTATGTTGTCCAGGCTGGTCTCAAACTCCTGGCCTCGAGTCATCCTCCTGTCTCAGTCTCCCAAAGTGCAGACATTATAAGAGTGAGCCACTATGCCCGGCCTATTTTCTGCATTTTCTAACATACACATGCACTATCTTAAAGCACAAAAAAAGCTATTAACAAAGAAATAATTAAAAGTAATTAGCTATAAGTTGTCAGTTTAAAAAAATCTGGACTGCTATATTCAACAAAGTTGTTTACATTCTAGATTTCAAGGCCCCTCAGAAGCACCTCCCTGTGTAAATGAGGGTTCTTGCCTCCAGAAGGTGGCCCCACAAATGAGGAGTGAAAAGTAACAGCCGAATGGCCCCACTGTTGTACTAATCTTGTTTGTTTAAAGAGAAACTACAGACACTCTCTCTATTAAAGAAAAAAAGAATGAGGAGAGACCGAGAGAATTAGAATGTGCTATATACATTACAAGATCAAAACCAGTTTAGGCCCAAGTCTTCTTGTAATTTCATCTTTTTCCTCCCTGAGGGGGTTGGGAAGCCCTCTCTTACCACAGGTTAAGAGGCGAGAGGTCTGGTGGAATTTCACATCCACAGTGCCCTTAGGAAAAGCTGGGTGTTTTTGGCAGATTGAAGCATTCTTTTTCCAGGCTGTGCTTTCACTACTGGGTACAGATAATGTGGCTTAAAGAGCTAATCGGGAGCTGGAACAGACAGAAATTCAAGAGCAGAGAGGCATCAGGACCTAGAACTTGGCCTAGACTCAGAGAGAGCTGATTCAAAGCTCAGAGCCACCAGGGACCTGCTGGGCGACCCTGGATCCATCACCAAGCCTCAGTTTCCATGTTGGAAACAAAGGGAGAACGACGTCTGGGCTCAGAGTTAGGAAAGCACTCTGTTAGCTATAAAGCAAGCTACATGGCAGAGTCGCCCTCAGCATGTGACCCCGCTTCAAGCCTGCCATCCAGTCTGGGATGTCAGACCCAGGGTTCTACTGGCAGGTTAGAGAAGAGGAGTCAGGTGGGAGACTTGGAAGATTTGGTACAACACATGGAAGATTTGGTACAACACAGAAGTTTCTGCGATTTCCTCAGACTAACCCTTAATTAACTACAAACCACGGTCTACGCCTCCTTTCCATCAATTATCTTATTTCACCTTCATAGCCAGCCTTGGAAGTGGACTTAGGTGGGTCTGTATGGCAGACAAGGTCCTTGAGGCTTAGATAACTAGAGTCTCTAGGGTAGGCCTAAGTCACACAGCAAGGCAGGTCCAGGGCCAGGATTTGAACCCAAGCCTCAGTCCTGAAGGATGCCCAAGGAACATAGATGCTGACACGCCACACTTTTCTTCCTTCCAGGCAAACATGAAGAGAAACAGCAAGAAGGTGGCATTGTTTCTAAGAACTTCACAAAGAAAATCCAGTAAGTAACCTGGAGTCATGGAGCTCAGGGTGGGAGTGGAGGAGGGGGCACACCTGGGACCCATGATCTGGGGTCTCTCCCTCTTGGGCATCTCTCTTTTAAGACACCTCCTTGGGGCAGGGAATTGAACCCTCACACCTAACGAGGAGAAAATATCCCAGCAGACCTGTAATAGGGTCCCAGAAGGGGGAGCACATAGATTGCATCATCTCATCTGCTCGGTGCCCTGTGAGGTGGGTATTAAAAACCCCATTTTATTTATTTATTATTTATTTATTTATCTTGAGACCGAGTCTCACTCTGTCACCCAGTCTGGAGTGCAGCGGTGTGATCCCAGCTCACTGCAACCTCCACCTCCTGGGTTCAAGCGGTCCGTGTGCCTCAGCCTCCTGAGTAGTTGGGATTACAGGCATGTGCCACCATGTCCGGCTAATTTTTTGTATTTGTTTAGTAGAGATGGGGTTTCGCCATGTTGCCCACACTGGTCTTGAACTCCTGGGCTCAAGCGATCCACCCACCTCAGCCTCTCAAAGTGCTGGGATTAGAGGCTTGAGCCACTGCACCCGGGGAACAACTCCCTTTTATAGACTAAGCATCTGAGGGTAAGCAAGACAATGACTTGTCCACAATCACACAGCCCCTACCCATGGGGCATAGCTGAGGGAGGACCCCTGTCACCATCCAGAAAGACCATCCCCTGATTCCCCAAATGCCCCAGCAGAATATCTTCCAGGCTGCTTGCTCAGCCTCTGCCCTGCCAGGAAAATGAGCACCTTCTCTAGGGCATCCACAAAAATGAAGTTGGAAAGTGTCCTGAGAACACTGCATACTACCCAGAGAGGTTTGGAGGCTGAGACACTGGGACACAGGAAGAGCTATTTTGCTGAGGGGAGTAGAAGGGATTCATGTTTAACAGGGAAAGGGAGCCTGGGGGAACCGTGAGAGCAGCCAAGGACAATCAGGCTGAGGCCATGAACCAAAGCCACCACGAGCCCCTAGCTGGCAGTACCTATAGGGAGCAGAGTTGCACAGTGTGGTCACGATGGCTGCACTTAAACAACTGCCAGGTGCTTCATACATACCTTCTCCCTAATCAGCAATCAGCGTCACTCCACTATGTGCGTTTCTGGCCCCTAAACTCTCTCTCTCTCTCTCTCTCTTTTTTTTTTTTTTTTTGAGATGGAGTCTCACTCTGTTGCCCAGGCTGGAGTGCAGTGGCACGATGTCAGCTCACTGCAACCTCTGCCTCCTGGGTTCAAGCAATTCTCCGGCCTCAATCTCCCAAGTAGCTGGGATTACAGGTGCATGCCACCATGCCTGGCTAATTTTTGTATTTTTAGTAGAGACGGGGTTTCACCATGTTTGGCCAGCCTGGTCTTGATCTCCTGACTTCAAGTGATCTGCCCGCCTCTGCCTCCCAAAGTGCTGGGATTACAGGTGTGAGCCACTGCGCCTGGCCCCTAAACTCTTTTCCAAGCCATCGTTGCATTTAGCCTTTGCAGCAAAAGTGTGCATCGGAGAGGAGACATGACCCTCCTTGCAATACAGGGAAACTAAGTCTCCCACAGGTGAAAGGACATACCCAAGGTCTTTACAGCTAGAATTTAGAAGGGCCCAGAATAGATCCCTGACCTCTGAGTTCCATGCTCAGTCCTTGGGCAAGGAATGCTGTTTCCTCATCTGTGAAAGGGATGCTGATTCCAGCCTTGCAGAGTTCCTGGCTGAAAGTGACATAAGGTCATGGCCCAGCGTAGGTCCTCATAAGTGGGAGTTCATTATTACTATTGTTATTGTTGACTCTTAACTTTTCCATCAGCCTTTGCAAAGAAATTCTGTGTGTGGAGAGATCACACTAGCTGAATTCTGAGGCTTCTTCCAGCTTGGGATTCTACATTCCTGTCTCTTCCCCCACATGTCCGTCCCTGGCCCTCCCACAGCCTCTGCAGTTCTTGGAAGCCTGTGGACACTTCCTGATAAGGCAAACGCCAAACCATTTGTTCTTCGTGTTTGCTGGCTTGCCTGGCATCTCCGTGCCCCACACCTCTCCCTGGTTTAGCAAGCAGATTAAACATTGCTGAGGGAGAGGAAGGAAGGCAGGGGGTGGGGGGAAGCTGATGTCAAGGCTCAAATGAGGTCTCAGGGTGGAGTCACAAGCAGGGCATAGCTGTAAAAGGGACTGTGTAAGAAAGAAGTGAATTAATCATCTTAAAAGGGGTGTGTGTGTGTGTGTGTGTGTGTGTGTGTGTGTGTGTGTATTTCACATGCTCCAAGGCCTTAGGGGAGATAGCTTGCTGGAAGTAACCTGATGAGAAATGCCTGAAATTGCTCCAGGCTGGTGCTCAGCTGCTGAGCTGGGCTAGTTGTTAAAATATTCAGTGGTCCCCAACCTTTTTGGCACCAGGGACCAGTTTCGTAGAAGGCAATTTTTCCATGGACTGGGGAATGAAACTGTTCCACCTCAGATCATCGGGCATTAGATTCTCATAAGAAGCATGCAACCTAGATCCCTCGCATGCACAGTTCACAACAGGGTTCAAGCTCCTATGAGAATCTAATGCCACTGCTGATCTGACAGGAGGCGGAGCTCAGGCAGTAATGCTGGCTGAACTGCTGCTCACCTCCTGATGTGAAGCCTGGTTCCTAACAGGCCACAGATGGGTGCCGGTCCATGATCCGGGGGATGGGGACCCCTGAATATTGGCTAGCTATTGCCCTGAGCCCTCCCTAGCCAACCCCAGTCACTCTGATCTTGTCCCCAGGACCCTCTAAACCTCTCCACCTTCCAACAACTAAAGGGTCCCAGGACCCTCCTCCATCACTATGACATGCACCCATCCCTTCTGAATGGTCAGTGCCCAGCTGCACTAGTTGTTAAATATTTTGAATCTCAGCTCCGGGTGCAGGGAGTCCTGGCTCCATGAGAAAGTGAGTGGGTAACTTGGGGCAACTTGCTTAACTGCTCTGACCTTCCATTCCCACATCCCTGCATGGAGGGGTTGTGATGGGAGTGAGAGGATGTGTATAACGCATTAAGCATGGAATACAGACTCAGGGCTTGGTCCATGGGAATTAATATTATGAAAAGGCTTCACAAGGCTGGACTCACACTCCAGCAGCTGGGACTCCTGGGAGCTCCTGGCTCTGCCCAGACTCTAGACACCTAGGAGTCGAACTGGGGTCTGGGACACCTCTGGACCAATCTCAGGAGTCCTCGTTGCCTCCTCTCCCAGGGAAAACTCCAGTCATTAGAGGACAGGGAGATTCCTTCAGCCAGGCTGAGATCCTTGGAGATTTCCACCCAGGCAGGATGCTGCAGCTGTTTGCCTTAACCATGGCAAGGAAATTCATCTCAACACATCCATCTCTGTGTGAAAAGCCCCATTTGGACTGAATAAGGAGGAGAGGGAGAGGTCTTGGGTCTCAGCTTTCAAAGTCCATGATCTTCCTATTTGGTTAGGGGAAACCAAATTACAGTCATTTGCAATACCGTCATTCACATCCCATCTTCACTATTTTTTGCCTTATATGCTTACATTGCTGTACCATGATTTACTAAAGGTTTTTTTTTCTTTTAGATCATCTCATTTTTGATAAAGTTAAATTCTTATCACTGAAATGTTCACTGAGGAAAGCGATCATGAAATAAATCCAATGAAAGCAAACTGTGGTTAAATTCTAACTAGATAATATTGCCTGCCTAAGGGCCTCAGCTCTCTCATTGTTAAAAAGGGAAGGTAGCAAGTGATAGAGGCTAAAGGCGTTAAAGGCATGTTAGTACTTAGCAGAGACATTCCTTCAGATGTAAGTAGAAGCACTGAAAGAGAACTGAAGAGGAATTACTTTCCCACCAAATGGGTTTAAATACAAGTCACTTGGTTAGAGACCTTGGACTTGTCTATCTCTCTGAGTTTCAGTTTCCCCATAAGTAATATAAGAGCATTGTCATGGACAATCAGGAAGATCCTTTGGGGCCCTGATACTCTGTGGTTCAATGATCCTGCAATTTGTATGATACTCCATCTTGCTGTCAAGATGCCAACATGTAAGGTCAAAGACTGCAACGTAATTCTCACTCCACCCTAAGAGGTGGGTACTATTATTGCCCCCTTTTTTTCTGCAAAGAAACAGGTTCAAAGAGTCAAGATCACCAGCCCCATGTTGTGTGGTCAGGAAGAGTCAGAATTTGAATGCACGTCAGCCTGCCTGCAAAACCCATGCTCTAGGCCATAGCCACCCTGTCACACTGTACCTGGTGTGCACTGGGTTGGTGTGCACATGGTTAAACAGTCAGCCCATCCCCAGCATTGGGAGGGAGGTCTAAACTTTTGACTTTGTCTCCGCTTCAAAAGCTTGACTTGGCAGCTTTCTAGTTCCCTCTTTTTCTTCCAAATGGGCTTCCCAGAAGCAGCCTTGTTCATCTCCATGGTTCCAATCTGGCAAGGAATCTCCTGGGTAGATACGGCTCATGTGGCTACAGGTTGTTGTACCCACAAAAAAAGAAAGAAAGAAAGAAAAAAAAAAAACTCCCCAGCCCCTCCAGAAGGAGTCCTGCCTATGATCAGGAATGGGCTTACCTCATGCCTTGGTTCTTTCATCAAGACCCTCGTATTTACAATAGGCAGAGCCAGCAGGGATCAGTGGAAAGATTTTGATTGAACTGCCGGTCCTTCCTGCCATAGTCCTTCTTTCAAATGTCTGGTGCTGGGGGAGGCAGGAGAGCATCATGGTCAGATACTCTGAGTTTGGAGACCAGGATTCCAATTCCATTTCCTATCTGCCATTTGCCAGCTGAGCAACCTTGGGCAAAGCAGTTCACTTCTCTGAGTCTCAATTTCCTCATCTGTAAGATGGGGATAGCAATGGAATCTGCCTGGTGGGATTATTGTTAACACCAAAATGATATGATTCAGCTAAAGTACCTGGCACATAGAAAGTACTCAGAAGGTCATGGATTTCATGGTTAAAAAAAATAATGGCACCCCAATGAGATCACTAATATGTCCTCACAGTTTTAATAGTTTGTTGAAGAAACCAAATTCTCAATAGTCTCATTCACCCAAAGCAATCCAAAAATCATAAAAATACCTTATTAGAAGTTGGACCAGATTTAGGTTTAGAAATTCCATCTTCGATGCTTTCTCACTTGTTGAGCTTGTCATTTGATTTCCCCCAAGTCTCTGTTTAGTGATCTGTAGAATGGGCATATTAATTCTTACCTCTTAATCATCCTCTTACAATACTCCAACCAAGTATTGTCTATAACTGAGTTTTAAGAACAAGATAATTGGCTGGGCTCGGTGGCTCACGCCTGTTATCTCAGCACTTTGGGAGGCTGAGGTGGGTGGATCACAAGGTCAGGAGTTCGAGACCAGCCTGGCCAACATGGTGAAACCCCATCTCTACTAAAAATACAAAAATTAGCCAGGCATGGTGGTGGGTGTCTGTAATCCACACTACTCAGGAGGCTGAGGCAGGAGAATTGCTTGAACCTTGGGAGGCGGAACTTGCAGTGAACCAAGATCGCGCCACTGAACTCCAGCCTAGGTGACAGAGTGAGACTCTGTCCCAAAAAAATAAAAGGAAGAACAAGATAATAATGATCTGCTAAGTGATTGTATTAGTCTGTTTTCACACTGCTGATAAAGACATACCTGAGACTACATAATTGATATATATATGAAAAAAAGAGTTTTAATGGACTCACAGTTCCACATGGCTGGGGAGGCCTCACAATCATGGCAAAAGGTGAAAGGCACGTCTTACATGGCAGCAGACAAGAGAGAAAATGAGAACCAAGCAAAAAATCTTATAAAACCGTCAGATCTCGTGAGACTTATTCCCTACCATGAGAACAGTATGGAGGAAACTGCCCCCTACCCATGATTCAATTATCTCCCATCAGGCCTCTCCCACAACGTATGGGAATTATGGGAGCTACAATTCAATATGAGATTTAGGTGGACACAGCCAAACCACATCAGAGATACTTAGGGTATGAACAAAATCAAGGCTTATTTTGAATACCATCGAGTATGTTGCCATCTGAAATCTACATGTGGCCAGCTTGGCCCCTTTTATCCACCAAGGTACCTAGTGCTTGCATCACCATTAATGCATTTTGTAGTGAAGCACTCTCCAGCAAGCACATGTCAGATGAAAATGTGTTGCCTGTTATGATAACACCTTACTTGCGCTCTATAAAGGGATGGTAGTGGTGCCATTTCTGCTAGTAATTGTGGTCAGTAGTGGGTATTAAGGTGATGACTTCAACCTGGGACCAAATATGTGGGCCACAGCTCTCTTTTAAGTTAAGAACTACTGTTCAAACAGCATTTTACCATTTGCAAAGCATACTCAGACTCTGAAGTTCAAATACTCTACAAGTTCAGTATTATTATCCTCATTTTGCAGATGAGAAAACAAGCTCAGAGCAACTGAATAATCTTCCCAAGACCACACAGCTAGAAAGGGGTAGAGCCAGGATTCAAACCCAACATTGTATGTCCCCAAAGCCTAAGCTCTTATCAAAAATATTTCCTCTCAAGTGAATAAAAGAATGTTTAAGCAATATTAACAACAATAAATGAATAAAATCGTGTGTTTCTCCTAGGCTTCCTGCAGAGGTGGATCCTGTGACAGTATTTGCCTCACTTTCCCCAGAGGGTCTGCTGATCATCGAAGCTCCCCAGGTCCCTCCTTACTCAACATTTGGAGAGAGCAGTTTCAACAACGAGCTTCCCCAGGACAGCCAGGAAGTCACCTGTACCTGAGATGCCAGTACTGGCCCATCCTTGTTTTGTCCCCAACCCTAGGGCTTCTCTGATTCCAGGATACATTACTTTAGCTGAACTCAGATTTAGTGCAAGTAAAATGTTAGAGGGTGCGGGGGTGAGGACTGACCACAGATTCCCTGGATAGTGTAGTGGTAGATTTCTCCACAGGATAGCGCAATTGGCAAATCATGCTTGGTTGTGTTAGGCCAAAATACTAGTTTTGCTTTCTTTACCTTTTCTATCTTGATGAAAATGTTGCACATTCTATAGTTGCAAAACACATAAAAGGGGACTTAACATTTCACGTTGTATCTTACTTGCAGTGAATGCAAGGGTTACTTTTCTCTGGGGACCTCCCCCATCACCCAGGTTCCTACTCTGGGCTCCCGATTCCCATGGCTCCCAAACCATGCCGCATGGTTTGGTTAATGAAACCCAGTAGCTAACCCCACTGTGCTTCCACATGCCTGGCCTAAAATGGGTGATATACAGGTCTTATATCCCCATATGGAATTTATCCATCAACCACATAAAAACAAACAGTGCCTTCTGCCCTCTGCCCAGATGTGTCCAGCACGTTCTCAAAGTTTCCACATTAGCACTCCCTAAGGACGCTGGGAGCCTGTCAGTTTATGATCTGACCTAGGTCCCCCCTTTCTTCTGTCCCCTGTGTTTAAGTCGGGATTTTTACAGAGGGAGCTGTCTCCAGACAGCTCCATCAGGAACCAAGCAAAGGCCAGATAGCCTGACAGATAGGCTAGTGGTATTGTGTATATGGGCGGGACGTGTGTGTCATTATTATTTGAGTTATGCTGTTGTTTAGGGGTAAATAACAGTAAATAATTAATAATAATAATAATAATAATAAAGGAGCTGACGTTCTTAGCCTTGTGTGGTTCTTTTAATGAGGAACTAAATGTAATACCACCTAGATATACAACATCAGTTAGCAATGCTGTGGCTTAAAGTAATGTTGCGCGGAGCCGCGATGCCTAAAGGAGGGAGAAAGGGAGGCCACAAAGGCTGGGCGAGGCAGTATAGGAGCCCTGAGGAGATCGACGTACAGCTGCAGGCTGAGAAGCAGAAGGCCAGGGAAGAAGAGGAGCAAAAAGAAGGTGGAGATGGGGCTGCAGGTGACCCCAAAAAGGAGAAGAAATCTCTAGACTCAGATGAGAGTGAGGATGAAGAAGATGACTACCAGCAAAACCGCAAAGGCGTTGAAGGGCTCTTCAACATCGAGAACCCCAACCAGGTGGCACAGACAACCAAAAAGGTCACACAACTGTATCTGGATGGGCCAAAGGAGCTTTCGAGGAGAGAACGAGAAGAGATTGAGAAGCAGAAGGCAAAAGAGCGTTACATGAAAATGCACTTGGCCGGGAAGACAGAGCAAGCCAAGGCTGACCTGGCCCGCTGGCCATCATCCGGAAACAGCGGGAGGAGGCTGCCCGGAAGAAGGAAGAGGAAAGGAAAGCAAAAGATGATGCCACATTGTCAGGAAAACGAATGCAGTCGCTCTCCCTGTATAAGTAACCGCGACCCATGGGAGGAGATGCCGGGGACCTGGGCCGCGCTGCCAGGACCTCTGCTGTGTCTCGCCCACCCTGTGCCCTGGCGCCGCCGCAACAGCCCCTCGTGGCCAGGAGCCCCCCATGGCCTGGGGCCTCCTCTTCATTTTGGCACAGAAATTGTTTGGGGGATGTGGGGGGAGCTGGGGGAGGGGCAGTTGCTATCTTTGAGACAGAAAGATGAGGGACAGCATTTCACATGTAACCATTTGAATGTTTTTGCTGTTTTTAGAATTCAGAGCCCTTGCTGGGGGGTGCCTGGGAGATGGGGTAAGAAGAGCTTTCATTTTTCTGGTAGATAGCATGTAAGGGGGTGGTTGTCCCAGGAGGCAGCTGCTGACAGGTTTGCTACACCCAGCCCCGGACTGTGTTGCCTAGGTGCTCATTCAGAGAGGGGCTGTCATCTGGGAGCCTGTGCCCCTGGGTCCTCGAGGGTTATGGCTTGTCCCTGGTCAGTCCTGTCTGATCGAGGCCTCGCCTCTCTGCCCCTCCCTGCCCAGTTCCTACCCACCTGGCTAAGGCCAGTGCCCATTTTTAACCCTACCCATTGATCATTTCAAGAAACCTCTGTTTACTGTGTGGCACCCAGGCAAAACATGTTCCACAAGTTCAACTTGTATATTTGGCAGATTAAACTTGACATTATCGTAAAAAAATAAAAATAAAAAATATAAAAAATAAAGTAATGTTGCCTGATGAACAGTGGCTTAAATGATATAAATAGCTGTTTTCTAACTTCACAAAAAGTTTAGAGGTAAGTAGATACACAGTTTTTTTTTCAGCTGTTATGCCACCAAGAGCCCAGGATATTTCCATTTTTTTCTCTGCCATCTCTGACAAGTGTACATAGTCACAGTCTATCCTCATGGTTACAAGATGGCTGCAGCAGCTCCAGGCATCTCATCCTCATATGACAATGTATGGGGAATAGAAGGAAGTCATAAAAAGGTATTATCACCTAGCTTCTTTTATCAGTGAGCAGGATATCGTCCAGAAGCTCCCAGCAGACTTCTTTTTCTATCTCATTGGCCAAAAGTGGGTCACATGCCTACCCTGAGACCAATTTCTGCCAAAAGGGAAAAGGATGGTCATGACAGGCTTGGATCAACATCTTCTGAGGCCTGCAACATTGCTACCTGAACAAAACAAGGTTCTGCTAGGAAGGAGGAAAGAGGCCTAGCAGCTCTGAGGGCAGTTAACAGTGCTGTGGCTGCCACGGGTTTGGATGCTGCCAGGAACACAGATCCCTGACTGTAGGGTGGGAGGGAGAAGGGCTGCTGTGGTAAGTGCCAGGAGACCCAACTCAAACTAATTTAAACCAAAAGGGGTTTTTATTGGTGCACATAGCTGAGAAGTCTGGGATAAGAGCTGCTTGCTAGGAGAGCTGGATTCGGGGCACTAATGCTATCAACAGAATTGTTTCCCTCCATCTGACGTGGCCCTGCAGTAGTGGCTTCATTGCCACTCTCCCTGTTGCCCCCGCTTCCCACGCTCTCAGCCCTCCATGCCCCATGTCCTCTCATCGGGGCCACAAGGTAGCTGCAGTCACTACAGCTCCACAATCCACATTCCAGTCCTGAGGGAGAAAAGCCAGTCTTCTCCCACAGCGTCTGCCATTTTGGATAGTGATTCTTTTTTTACTTTTTTTTTTTTAGACAGAGTCTTACATTTTGTCACGCAGGCTGGAGTGCAGTGGAGCTATCTCTAGTTCACTGAAAGCTCTGCCGTCCAGATTTAAGCGATTGATTCTCCTGCCTCAGCCTCCCAAGTAGCTGGGACTACAAGCACCCAATACCACGCCCAGCTAATTTTTGCATTTTTAGTAGAGACAGGGTTTCACCATGTTGGCTAGGCTGGTCTGGAACTCCTGACCTCAAGTGATCCACCTGCCTCAGCCTCCCAAAGTGCTGGGATTACAGGCGTGAGCCACAGTGCCCTGCTACTTATTCCAGAGTCATTCTTAGTGGACCAGCCTGATCATATGATCATCCCTGAGCCAAGTGTAGGTCAAGAAATCAGTGCTTTGATTGGCCAGGCCTGGGTCACACGCTCCATCCCTGCAGTCAATCCCATTTAATCCCACAACATTCTAGGAAGTAGATGCTGTTATTTTTGCAATGAAAACACTTGAGGCCAAGAGAGAAGTGGCCTGGGTAAGTCACGTGATGACAGCAAAACTTGAACTTATATGTTTTATTTTGGAAGGTCAATAAGGAGCTACTGGGCTGCTTCTCAAGGACACCTCCAAAACCCCCAAAAGACAGCAAAATAAGTGACTGAACACCCACTCTGCTGGGTCCTGTACTAGGAGCCAAGGGCATAGCAAACCATGAGTTGCAATCCCAGCCTGCAAAGCGCTGTCAGTTCAGTAGCAGAGACAGGCAAATAAAGAGTGGCCCTCACTGAATCTTTGATTTGTGCAGACACCATGCTGGGTGCTTTATGTATATTTAATACATTTAATTGCACTACAATCATACGAGGTAGGTCCAATTTTCTTTTCTTTTCTCTCTCTCTTTTTTTTTTTTTTTTTTGAGAGGGAGTCTCACTCTGTCACCCAGGCTGGAGGGCAGCGGCACAATCTTAGCTCACTGCACCCTCCACCTCCCAGGTTCAAGTGATTCTCGTGCCTCAGCCTCCCCAGTAGCTGGCATTACAGGTGCCTGCCACCACGCCTAGCTAATTTTTGTATTTTTAGTAGAGACAACATTTTCACCATTTGGCCAGGCTGGTCTCTAACTCCTGACCCCAAGTGATCCACCCGCCTTGGCCTCCCAAAGTGCTGGGATTACAGGGGTGAGCCACTGCACCCAGCCGAGGTAGGTCCAGCATTTATCTCCATTTTTCAGATAAGCAGAAGTGCCCTGCCCCAAATCATATACCTGGTAAGCAACTGGCCCAGGCAGCCTGACTTCAGGACCTTCACTCTTCACTATTACTCTATTCTGACTTTCTCCTAACAAAGCAAAAGATGTGTGCCTTAAGTGAGTCCATCCAAATTATGGGAAGAGAAAAGAGGTGTTTCAGATTGGGGCTTTGCGGAGCGCAGGGGGATCAGGGGTGTCTTCTTAGAGAAGGGTTCACTTGTGGCAGGCTTGAGGATCAGGCACAGATATAGGACTTGAGCAAGCAGGGTTTGGGGCAGGGAGGTGCCTCACAGGCAGAAGAAAACACATGAGCCAAGGCAAAAGGCATGTTCCTTTTAAAATCCTTTCATGGTTCCCCATTGTTTACAGGATTGAGTGCAGACTTCTTTGCAAGACTTATTAGGCTGCTGGATCAGTCCCTGGGTGACCTTTTTCCACTACAGCTCAAACCCCTACTCTCTCCCTCCTGCCCCACCTAACTTCCCTCTGTTCCTCTAACCAGACAGGTGCTTTCTTGCTACCAGGACTTTGAATACACTACTCTCTCTCTTCCAAGGATTACTGTCCCACCCTCTTCATTGGCTAATTCTTTGGGGTCTCTGCTGGGTCTCCTACCAGGCAGGCCAGAGCCCCCTCTCACTTACCCTTATCCCAACACAACACATCATATTGTAACAGCCTAGGTATTTTTGTAGCAGATAAATAATAATAACAATAACAAAAATCAAAACTGATCCTAGCTACTCTGTTTTCAAGGAAGGGAGGAGGAATCATTTCAAGCCTAGGGGAAAATCCTTACCCATCTGATATTTGCTCAACAAACATTTACTGGACACCTACCATGTGCAAGGCACTGGGCTGGGTGTTAGATACTGTTTCTTCCCACTTTTAAGAGCCTGGTGAGAGGAGGAAAGTAAGATTGTTATTTCCAAGTTCTCTAGTTCTAGGCCACTGAATGGTGAGACCCCAAGCAGGTAGAGTAGAAGCCCATCCATGAGAGGGTTCCGGAGCCAAGGGCATGGAGAACCACACAGATCCTCCCAAGCAAGTGAGCAAGGGCTCTAAAGCAAGGGGGCCTGGCAACGTGTTGGATGGCTGGACTGTAGTGATGTAACTGCCCAATGGGTTCACCTTGCCTGCTGCCTAGATACAGCTGATTTATCAAGACAGGTGAATTGCGGTAGTGAAAGAGTAGTTCACGCAGAGCCGGCTGTGCAGGAGAACTCAAATCAGTCTCTCTGAGCATTCGAGAATCAGAGTTTTTAAAGATAGTTTGGTGGGTAGGGACTTGGGATTTGGGGAGTACTGATTGGTCAGGTTGGAAATGGAATCACAGGGTGCCAAAGTGAGGTTTTCTTTCCTTCCTTCTTTCCTTCCTTCCTTCCTTCCTTCCTTCCTCCCTTCCTTCCTTCCTTCCTTCCTTTCCTCCTTCCCTCCCTCCCTCCGTCCCTTCCTTTCTTCCTTCCTTCCTTCTTTCCTTTCTTTCTTTCTTTCTTTTTTTTAGAAGGACCCTCTCTCTGTCACCCAGGCTGGAGTGCAGGCACACTGCAACTTCCGCCCCCCAGGTTCAAGTGATTCTCCTGCCTCAGCCTCCTGAGTAGCTGGGATTACAGGCACCTGCCACTGTGCCCAGCTAATTTTTGTATTTTTAGTAGAGGCAGGGTTTCACCATGGTGGCCAGGCTGGTCTTTAACTCCTGACCTCGTGATCCACCCACCCTGGCCTCCCAAAGTGCTGGGATTACAGGCGTGAGCCACCGCACCCAGCCGAGGTTTTCTTAATGTCTTCCGTTCCTGGGTGGGATGGCAGAACTGGTTGGGCCAGATTACCGTCTGGGTGGCGTCAGCTGGTCCATCCAGGGCGAGGTCTGCAAAATATCTCAAGCACTGATCTTAGGTTTTACAATAGTGATGTTACCCCCAGGAGCAATTTGGGGAGGTTCAGACTCTTGGAACCAGAGGCTGCATGACCCTAAACTGTAATTTCTAATCTTGTAGCTAATTTGTTAGTCCTACAAAGGCAGACTGGTCCCCAAGCAAGAAGGGGGTCTTTTCAGGAAAGGGCTCTTGTCAAATTTGTGTCAGAGTCAAACCATGAACTGAATTCCTTCCCAAAGTTAGTTCGGCCTACACCCAGGAATGAACAAGGGCAGCTTTAGGGTTAGAAGCAAGATAGAGTCGGTTAGGTCTGATTTCTTTCACTGTCACAATTTCCTCAGTTATAATTTTGCAAAGGCAGTTTCAGTGAGAGGTGATCAGTGAGGAAGGCCAGGTGGTGGGGGGAATCAGAAACTAAAATATGGTGCACAGTATTTAATTTTAAATTCTTTGCATTGTGGTATAAAACTCATATGCCAGTACCACTTTTAGGGAAGTCTTACACACCCTTAGGTGCTTAGTATGAGCGGTCTTGGTGGGTGAGGATGGATCAAGGTCAAGGATAGTCCAGAGCAAGGTAAATGGAGAGAATTCTTCATGGGCAGGAACTTGGAGACGGAACCACAAGAATGGTCTCCTGAGAGGCTCTTGGAGAGGGTACTTCATAGGAGTATGAGTCATTTTTATTTAAATATCTCAAAAGAGTATGATTTTTCCCAGACACCCAGATAGTTCCCCTGGTAGACTACAGACAGAGAACACGCGTTGGTGCTTCTTTCCAGTATCCCTATCTCATAACACAGTGCCTGGTGCAGAGGAAGCATTTCATACTTGCCAGATGGATACATGAATGGATTGATTGAACAAATAAAATCCAAACTCCATTCTACTGCCTTCAAAGTCCCACATGATCTGGCCCCTGTCCGGTCTCCAACTTCATCTCTTGGCCACCTTTCTGCTCCTCAGACACCATGGTCCTTCTCACCCCAGGGCCTTTGCATTCTCCTTTCCTTAGGTTGTGAACACTCGGCCCCCAGCTCTTTGACTGCCTTATTCCTATCCTAATTTCCTCAGATCTCCCCTCCCCAACCCTACCCCTGCTTGCTCAAGTCTCACAATGTTGTGAGAGGCCTCATAATCACCACCTCCAATCACCGACTATTACATAGATCACATTGCTGTATTTCCATCAAAGCACTTCTGAGAATTGTGCTTGCTTGGTTGGAAACACACGTGCCTATTAAAACGTAAGCTACCCTCAACACACATCACTTGCATAGATACACCCTGGAATGGAAACTCCAAAAGAGTAGGCATTTTATTTGTCTGTCTTGTCCGCTACTGTCTTTTATGCTAAATGTAATGCTTGGCACATCAGAAACAATAAATATTTATTAAATGGATGGATGAACAAATAAATGGTGAGTGTGGGTCACCCTGGGAAATTAGGCTAAAGGCATGATTTCAAAACCCAGAAACCTGGCTCATTTCCATTCTGAGAGGTTCGAGCTCAAAGACACAAGACTTGGCATCAAAATAGATGACTTGACCCTTCCCTGGAGATCTCCAATCAAATGACAGAGAAGTATTATTCCTGAGCTCTCACTTTGATGATACTGGGAGAGGAGATGCCCAGAACCTTCTTGCAGCCCCCTGCCTTGACCCAGCTCTGACAGAGCTTTATCCGCAGCACACCTCCACCCCCTCCCAACTGCCTTCTAGCCAGCTGGCTGCCAATGGTGATGTATAGAGATGACTTGATTTGACCTTGAAGGGAAGAAACAAATTAATGTGTCTCAAAATAAATTCCGGCAATCGGTGGCTGGCTTCTCCTCCAACCCCTCCCTTCAGTGCTTCACGGGTAGTGCATCATAATGTGAAAATCAATACTGTCTCTTAAATGAGCCAACACCTGGAGCTGGCAGAATGTGGGGCTGCCTGGAGGTCCCCTCCCAACAAATGTCCTGGGCCTAGGAGTTGTTAGAAGCAGTGGGAGTCTCAAGGCCTGCTGTGGGCCCAGCTCTCAGGTTGCTGAAGGCTGGCTGAGCAAACCCACCTGTCCCATAGCTGGAAGGCCTCCCAGGTATAAGCAGATGTGGGTTACCTGGTGGCTCCCTCGGGAAGGAGGAAGGCAGCCATGTGGAAGGGCATTGCCATTGCCGTTCTCTAAGGATGACTTGGATATGGGGGGCGGGGCAACAGAGGCTCCAAGTCTCACTACCCAACTCAGCAATTCGCTGTGTATTTACTGAGCACTTGTGCTTGGCACTAAATTCAAGTGGTATGCCCAGGTACAGTATGCCAGTGTTCAAATAATGAAATACCTCATTACCGCTTGGTGAATAGCACTGCCTGAGCCTCTCAGGACCCCCAGGGTCCTGGCCTGTATCAAGCATGTTTTCTTATTCTAATGCTTTGGCATTTGGATTCTGGCTAACCCTGGAGGGACTACCTGTCCCAGGGCCAGCCAATTTCTGGAGATAGAAAAGGACTCTCTGGGAGAGGAGCACATTTTTCATATGCAAACCAAACCCTCCAGAACCCAGACCCCCAACCATCTCCTTTATTGTGCTTTTCAGCCCTTGGCTCACTCTCCACCTGCCCTAATCACCCAGGGCCAGGAACCAGAGAAGCAGAGACAGCTCCTATGTCCCAGAGCCTGCTGCAATTATTCAAACGAGCCAATTCAAAACCTGCATGCCCTGCTTCACCCTTTCCTTCCCGCAGAAGCCATAATAAAGGCTCTTGCTCACATTTTCTTCTTACTCCCTCTGCCTCCTGAGGGACCCTGGAGTTTCCCTTTGTGGCTCCCCGTGGCGTGGGGTGCCCCCACTTCTTAGAATCTTTGAGTATAACAAGCTATGTTTTCAATGGCAATCTTCCCCTTTTCTGTTGTCCACATCTAAATAATGATAGTACCTACAATTTTGTTTTTTCCTTTTTTTTTTTTTTTTTTTGAGACAATCTCACTCTGTTGCCCAGGCTGGAGTGCAGTGGTATGATCTTGGCTCACTGCAACCTCCGCCTCCCAGGTTCAAGCAATTCTCCTGCCTCAGCCTCCTGAGTAACAGGGACTACAGATGCCCACCAACACACCCGGCAAATTTTTGTATTTTTAGTAGAGACAGGGTTTCGTCATATTGGTCAGGCTGGTCTCGAACTCCTGACCTCAGGTGATCCACCCACCTTGACCTTCCAAAGTGCTGGGATTACAGGCATGAGCCACCACACCTGGCTACAATTTCAAATATAGCCACCGCCCCCATCACCTCCAACTCCCTCTAAGAATCAACAGCTGAAGTGTTAATATCTCTTCAGCAGGAGGCCTTTGGACGAGTGGCTGTTCTGAAAGATCAGTGCCGTGTCCTACCAGCTAAAGATTTTGAATATCACACAAACACACACACACACACACACACACACACACACTGGCCTACTATATGGCAGCTATAGCACTGGGCCTTGGGGAACACACACATGGGCCTCTGCCTGCACCCAGCCTGGATGTGGTAGTTACTGGGGGCTTCTAGGAAGAAATGGAAGAAATGATGTCCAGTCGAAACCTGAAGGGGGAGTAATAATAATAATGTTATTGAATGTTATTAGCTGCAAAGCACTGTCTATGCTCTTCACACTCATGTAATCTGTAGTCAACCCTGGAAGGCAGTTGATCCAGAAATGTGCCCAAGATCCCACAGCCTGGAAGAGATGAGCCAGTTTTAAACTACAGCAGGCTTATTCCAGACCAATGTGTTAGCTAGGCCAGGGAGCGGGGAGGGTGAAAAGAAGGGTTAAGAGTTTCTGGCAGAGGGAATGATAATGCTTGGATTTAGTAGGTGTGTGTTGTTTAAAACAAATGAAACCCTTAATTCTCACTCAGAGCTTCAGTTTCTTTATCCATAAAATGGGAATAATTAATAATCACGTTTAATATCCCCCAAAGAATTGCTGGGATGATTGCAAGTTTGTAAAAAAAAACAGGGCTATTGCTTAGTTATTATCACCATCCCAGCAGCTGAGAGAAGCAGAGAGAGCAGAGGAATGACAAGGACCAGCTGTCTTGGAAACGTTGCCTAGTGACCTGATATGGGACAATTTCATTTTTCCTGTGCCTGCATGACACACCAGCTTGTTCTGGATCTGACAGTGACAGCTTACAAAATCCACAGCAGACACGATGACAGAGCTTACTACCAATAGGCAGGCATGTATGCACACACACACACACACACAGGCCCATACACACCTCAGATCTAAGCCAGCACAGACACAGTTGTTGGAGAACAAAGAATGTCTTTGCAGAAGGGACAGAAATGGAGACTTTCTGGCTGTGTCCAAGATTTCATGCTAGATCAGCAGTTCCTAGAGTGGATGCTATCAGCAGAAAAGGAGATGGGAAGAGTTCTGCAGTCAAATAAGTTTGGGAGGTGCTAGGTTAGACAAAGTTAAATACTCCTCTTTAGTCTGGTGATGTGCATTGTGAACCTCCAAGAGGAAGATATAGCTGGTAGCTGTCATTGCATAAGAGATTACCCTAAAATTTAGTGACTTGAAACAGTAAACAGTTATGATTGCAGTTTCTGAGGTTCAGGAATTCAGCTGAGGCTCAGCTGGATGAGCTTGGTTTAAATGAATCTGCAGTCAAGATGTTAGCAGGGACTGCAGCCATCTGAAGGCTAGACCAGGGCTGGAAGGTCTGCCTTTAAGTTCACTCTTGTGGCTGTTGGCTGGAGGCCTCAGTTCCTTACCACGTGGGGCTCTCCATGGGGATGCGTTAGAATCCTCATGATATGGCAGCTGACCTCTCTTAGAGCAAGTGAGCCAACAGAGAATGAGGCAGAAGCCCAACGTGTCTTTTGTGATCTATCCTCGAAAGTGGCTAGCATTACGCCTGCTATATGCTTTTGGACAGCACCACTATAAAGAAACCCTAGAGTGAATGTGAATTTGTTCCAACCTAAGGCAAGAGAGCTGGGCTTTAATGCTTCTGCACCCAACACCCATTGTCTAGTATCTCCCTGGGGTGGAAGTGCGGCTGTGAACTCCCAGTCAGGACATAAACATCACGTCCTTTGACCCTGTGCCTAAAATGGCTCTAGTAGCCCCAGGGAAGTCCTCCACAGAAGAGTCACAGGTGCAAACTCATGGAAACAAAAGCACCCTGAGGCCAGGGGAGGCATATACAGAAACAGTAAAAGGGAGCTGGGGGATGCGGACTGCCCTGTCTGCTGCTTTTATATGCATGAATAAGTGGAAGTCAGAAGTGGTTCAATTGCAGGGCATCAGTTGGACAAACGGCTGAAACAGTATGCAACCACTAAATATCATGCTCCTGAAGATGATTTATTGTCACAGAAATAACATGGGAAGAGCCAGCCTCAAATAATCAGTATGTATGATATTCCATTTAAAATAAATAAATTTAACTTTGCGTTTCTATTTTGTTTTAAAATACCACTATTTCTTGGCCGAGCACGGTGGCTGATGCCTGTAATTCCAGCACTTTGGGAGGCCGAGGCGGGCAAATCACTTAAGGTCAGGAGTTCAAGACCAGCCTGGCACACATGGTGAAACCTCATCTCTACTAAAAACACAAAAATTAGCCAGGCGCGGTGGCTCACGCCTGTAATCCCAGCACTTTGGGAGGTCGAGGCAGGTGGATCACGAGGTCAGGAGTTTAAGACCAGCCTGGCCAAGATGGTGAAACCCTGTCTCTGCTAAAAATACAAAAATTAATGGGGCGCAGTGGTGGGTGCCTATAATCCCAGCTACTCGGGAGGCTGAGGCAGGAGAATCCCTTGAATCTGGGTGGCAGAGGTTGTACTTAGCCGAGATCATGACACTGCATTCCGGCCTGGGTGACAGAGTGAGACTCTGTGTCAAAATAATAATAATAATAATAATAATAATAATAATAATAATAGTAATTAGCCAGGCGTGGTGGCAGTCGCCTGTAATCCCAGCTACTCGGGAGGCTGAGGCAGGAGAATCACTTGAACTCAGGAGACAGAGGTTGCAGTGAGCCGAGATCATGCCACTGCACTCCAGCCTAGACGACAAAATGAGACTCCATTTCTAAAAAAATTTTAAAACTTAAAATAAATACAATTTTGCTTTCTATTTTGTTTTAAAATCCACTATTTCTGTAAAGAAGTTGAGTGTTCACATTACTCTTTCCTTTGTGCTTGTTATGGACTGTGTGTTTTGTATCCCACCAAAAATCACATGTTGAAATCCTAACTCCCAATGTGATCGTTTTAGGAGTTGGGTCTTTGGGAGGTGATTAGGCCATAAGAATGCAGCCCTCATGAATGGGATTAGCGCCTTTATAAAGGGGGCCCCAGAGAGCACTCTCATCCTCTTTCTCCCATGTGAGGGCACAACAAGAAGCTGGCAGTGTGCAACCTGAAGAGGGCCCTCACCACCACCCGACCATGCTGGCAGCCTGGCCGTGGGCTTCCAGCCTCCAGAACAGTGAGGAATAAATTTCTACTGTTTATAAACCACCCAGTCTGTGGTGCTTTATTATAACAGCCCGAACTAGGAGCAGTGCTTTTCTGTGTTTTTCAAATATTCTTCATAGAGAATGGATTGCATTTCAAACAAGAAAAGTAAACCCAGCTGTTAGGTCTGAGAGATTCTCATAAGGAAATCTTTGATTTAATATATCACCTGATGCAAATTTTATTTCCTGTCCTAGAACATGGCATTGGTGTAGCCGTGTGAGGTTATCCATACACACTCCAGAGCAAGACGGCCCTGGTTTGAATTCTGTGCTATCATTTATTAGCTGGGTGACCCTGAGCAGATTTCTTAACTTCTTTGTGCCTCAGGCTCCTTGGCATAGGAGTGATGATGGAGTACCTTGTAGAGTTGCGGAAAGGAATAAATGAATTAAGATATGTAAAATACTTAGAGCAATTGCTGGCAAATAAAAAGCACTTTGGCAGCACAGACCTACCTTCCCCCACCCCTCCCTCATCTCTAATTAGTCTAAATGGCTAAGGCCTTTTTTTCCTCTCTTTTCCCTCTCATTAAAGCTACCCTGTTCCACCTTCTGTTGCATTCCTTGGGGATCCTGCCAGGTATAAGTGGGTAGTGATGAATTAATCAGGTTGGCCAATCACATTCTTCTATGTTCAGGTCTTACTTCCTCCAGGGAATGCCCTCTAACCCAGTTTTGAAGGCTCCAGAGAGCCCTGTACAGGCCTGGGGTGGAGTGGGGGTGGGTAGACACCTGTGGCTTCTGCCTGGCAGCATTTATGTGTCTTTACTCTGGTCATAGTCCCTCAATACCTCTTTGGGACATCTTTCTTACCACTTTGTGCAGATTCACTGGGAACGTCCATCAAAGGACGTCAACCTTCCTTCACTAGGGGTGGGCACATGGCCCAAGCTAAGCCAAGCAGAGCCTCTCTCCTGGGAATTTGAACCTCATGCAGAGAGACTTGAGGATGGGAAATAGTTGAAGCTGATTCATTCCAGAGACAGTGTCCTGAGATGTCCATTTTCCTTGCTCCAGATCCCCAGAGTGGCCCCATTCTGTCCTTCCTGACATCTAAATAGTGTTCAACATTTCTTTTCGATTAAATGAACTATCCCACATCCCTTTCTCCCCAAATTACGTAAAGTCTGTTTCTTTCACTTAAAAACAAAGAATACCAGCTGCTAAGCTATAGTAAGTACACTAGGAGAGAGGGAATGAGAGAGAGAGAGAGAGATGTCAGGCTGGGCAGCATAGCATCTCCCATGCTACCTGTAAGGTGACACCTGAGTTCTAAACCAGCCAAACTACTAACTCCTTCTGTGACCCTGGCCAAGTCCTTTCACCTCTCCCCCTCTTCCCCCAACCCCCATTCTCCTTTGCAGAGTTCTTTTCCTAGAAGAGTCCCATAAATGCAGTTGTGCTGGAGTCCCCTCCTAAGGCCCCTGTGCATTTTCCTGGGAGTATCCCACACATTCCACAGCCTTCTCTAAGCTAACACACCCAAGTCCCTTCCAGATCAGCTCTCTGAGGCTTCAGGTGGCTCCTAGACATCACCACTCACAGGATTCTCAAACTGCACATCTCCAAAGGAGAATCCACTATCTCTCCCTGCAAACTGCTCCCTTCCCTTCCTTCCCCCAAGTTAGTACTCAGCACAAACACCTTCCCTGCAGAAACCCCAGAGCTCTTCTAGACTTCTCTCCTTGTCAGCTGTCACCAAGCTGCTGTCCATACTCTCTGATCTGTATCTGCCAATACTGTCCTCTGCCATATGAGTTCTGTTGTCCAGCAATTGTCACTTTACAAAATCCAGTCATCCATTTATTACTTAACCCTTACAACAAGTCGAGGAGGTGGATGGATGGTATCATCTCAATTTAAGGAAACGGAGGATCAGAAAAGGAAAGCCATCTGCTTAGGGTCACACAGGAATTAGAAAGTAGAGCTGGGGTTTGAACCTAGAGATGACTGAGCCTAAAACCCATGCTGGTCCCTCCAGGACCTCCTCTGTCCATGGTGCCCGAATGCAGGAGGAGCAAGATCTAAGCCCGTCTCTCTCTGGCAGGTTACTAAGGTCCACAGTGCAAACAGCAACAGTGTTGTTCATGAGCTCATCTGCTCCATCTTGCTCCACCCAGCCCTAATCCGGGCTCATGACCTGGGAATTCATCTCCCAGGCAACCAGAGTGATGCAACAAACAGAGGAGCTGCCCAGGCAGGATTGGTGCAAGCCCAGGACCGTGGCTGACGTTCAAGGGCTCCAGCCCAGAATGCCCCCTCTGTGGAATTAGCACCATGTGCCCCTGATGAGCCAGAGGAATCCAAAACCCAGTCCTGGCAAGGACAACAGAGGCTGGAAACATGGGGAGGCTCGTGACCTGCAGTCATCACAAAACACTCATTGTGCATCCTGGGGTACAGGGGAGGGTTCAAGAGACCCACGTTTTGTGTCTTGCCCCAAGAATTACTAACTCTGCATACAATTCATCAGGAAATCCTTCGCTGCCAAATGTATCCAGTGTCCAAACACTTCTCACCACCTCCCCTGCCTCCACCTTGATCCAAGCCTATGTTACAGCAAAGGTTGTTTCCACACTTGTCCCTACAGTCAATTTTTTTTTTCTGAGACAGAGTCTCGCTCTGTCACCCAGGCTGAAGGGCAGTGGTGCGGTCTCAACTCACTGCAGCCTCTGCCTCGCAGGCTCAAGCGATTCTCATGTCTCAACCTCCTGAGTAGCAGGGACTACAGACATGTGCCACTGCACCCAGATAATTTTTTTGTATTTTTAGTAGAGATGGGGTTTTGCCATGTTGGTCAAGCTGGTCTTGAACTCCCGGCCTCAAGTGATCTGCCCTCCTCGGCTTCCCACAGTGCTGGGATTACAGGCATGAGCCACCATGCCTGGTCAATTTTTTTTAAAATTTTTATTGTAGTAAAATATGTAACATGCAATATACCATTTAAATAATTTTCACAAACGAACAACTCCGTGGCATTAAGTACATTCAAAATGCTGTGCAACCACCACCACTATGTTCCAAACTTTTCATCGTCCAAAAAAAAAATCTCTGTAAGCATTAAGCAACAACTTCCTCATTTCTCTCTGCACCCAGCCCCTGGGAACTTCTAATCTACTTTCTGTCTCTAAATTTGCCTGCTCTAGACATTTCATATCAGTAAAATCATACCATATTTGTTCTTTTGTGTCAGGCTTCTTTCACTTAGCTTAATGTTTTCAAGGTTCTTCCATGTTATAGCATATATTGAAACATCATTTCTTTTTATGACTGAGTAATATTCCACATTGTATGGATATGACATTGTATGGATATGACATGCTGTGCATACACGTATCTGTTGATGTATACCCTGCAGTCAGTTTGAACACTAAAGCTGGATTGACCTCGGTAAAATATTACTCAGTTCAAATATGACTCAGATCAAAGCCTCTTAAGGCTCCTCTATTCAGCAAAATCCATAGTCCTTATCATGACTACAAAGCCCTAAAGGATTCTCCCTACACACATACACACAGACATGCCTACACATACACAGGCACACACACACATGCACGCACGCACACATGCACACAAACTTGCATGTACACCCTGTTCCCTTTGTGCCCCTTCAGCCTCATCACTTTCCCCTCTCCCCATCCCCACTCCACTCCTTGCTGCTCCATGAATGCCCCTGGCACACCACCACCCCAGGGCCTTTGAACATCCTGCATGTGCTCTTCCTCAAGACATCTGCATGGCTGAGCCCCTCATTTCCATCAAATATTTGCTCAAATATAATCTCAGTGAGGCTCAGCCTGAACACCCCATTTGAAACTGTAGCTGTTCCCCTTTGTTTATCATTCCCGATCTCCCTTATCAGATCTGTTTTTTTTTCCACACCACTTGCCACTTTCTGACATATTCTGTAATTTATCTATTCATGACTTCCATTGTTTATTATCTCCCTCCACTTCTAGAATGTAAGTTCTACAAGGGCAGGGATTTTTCACCTGTTCCATTCATCAATGTGTCTGAAGCACTGAAGACAATGGCTAATATCCAGGAGGCACTCGGTAGAAATATTTGTTGAGTTAATAAATATAAGTTGGGACGAGTTGCTGCACTTCTCTGGGCCCCTGTATCTGTGAATTAGGGATTACAATCTGTCCCTGGAGCAGTGGGTGTTAGGGTGGGAATCATGTTAGATAACGATTGTTACCACCCTTCATACATCATAAGGTATTATGCAAGTAAGAGAGGGTGGCGGAAAACTGATCTTCACTGAGTACTCTTGATGTCAGATACTTTCCATAATGTATCTCATTTCATTATTGCCATTTTACAGATGAGGAGACTGAGGCTCAGAAAGGTGAATTAACTTGTCCTGACATCACAGTGTGTAAGTGTGGGGGAGTCTGAGCTTCAACACAGCTTCCGGGCTTTTTCTTTGTTTTCTTTTCTTTCTTTTTTTTTTTTTTTGAGATGCAGTCTCGCTCTGTCACCCAGGCTGGAGTCCAGTCGCAAGATCTCAGCTCACTGCAAGCTCCGCCTCCCGGGTTCACGCCATTCTCCTGCCTCAGCCTCCTGAGTAGCTGGGACTACAGGTGCCCGCCACCACGCCCGGCTAATTTTTTGTATTTTTAGTAAGTAGAGAAGGGTTTTCACCGGGTTAGCCAGGATGATCTCGATCTCCTGACCTCGTGACCCGTCTGCCTCGGCCTCCCAAAGTGCTGGGATTACAGGCGTGAGCCACCGTGCCTGGCCTAGGGCTTTTTCTGTAAGTTGAGTCCAGCTCTGTTATTTCATAAGCCTGAGAGCAAACTCCTTCTTCACCAGGGAACAGTGCTGGACCCAGGAGAATAATAAGAATGAAGCTATGAACAATAACCACCTTTTATTAAGAGCTTCGTACATATGTCAGGCTCACTTTTCTAGGTGCCAGGTGCTTTCCATATCTCCCCTCACAAGAAAGCAGGGAATAGGTATTATTATTATTCCCTCGTAACAGGTGATGGAGAACCTGAGGCTCAGAGAGGTCAGGCCACTGACTTGAGGCTACACAGCTAATAAATAGCAGAGACAGCATCTGAGCCCATAGCAATCTGACTCCGATGGCATCTTAAAAAGGGATGATCATAGGAATATGGTTTCTCTAATGCTATGTATGGCCCCCACCTCCATGACCACACCCAAGGACCTCCCCACCCAAAGCAGACCCCAGATGGTGCTTCTGTAGGCGGGAAGGTAAACACAACACCAACCCTCACGCCTGTGCCCTCAGTGCTAGCAGCAGGATGCAAAAGGAGAAGGCATGGGTGGGAGCTGAGATGGGGATCCCACGGGCCTGCGTTGTCAACCAAGATAAATGAATGAACCACTCAGCAAACCAGGGCACTTCCACCCCAGAGCAGAACTGTCACTGGTAAATAAATCATCGAAGCTCTACACTGGACGTGCCAATTTCAGCAGGAGATCATGAGTGCATTTATCTGCTTGGCGACACGCTGGATGTCTTCAGGCTGTGAGGGGCTATGAAAATACTCCTCAGCATGCACTCCGCCCGAGGCTGGTTCCGCGGCATGGGTGGCGGGAGTGGGAAGAGCATCTCCTTCCAGAACTGTGTTCATCTTAAACTTCCCACAGTCCCCCTGATTCAGGGGACTGATGCTTTCTATGCCTTTTAAAATAATAATAACCATCATCGTCATCATAAGTAGCGTGTATTGAGTGCTTACTATGTGCCAGGCATTGTGATTTTAAAAAATATACATTATCTCCCTAACTGGCTAAAATGTTGAGTCTCTGCTGCATAGGAAAATGACTCCTTTGAGGTTGTCTATTCTTTACAATGATTCCCAAACACTGAGTGATATCTAAGAGAGGTGGTCCAGCTCCAGGTCAGAGCTTAACTTCCAAGAACTTCCCTAAGTTCCCACTATCACCAGCAGCAGTAACCACCACCACTCCAAGCCTCCTCTCTCTGATTAGACTCCCAAAAGGAGACAACAGAGGATAGTGAAAGGAGACCAGTGGGAGGTGGGAGAGAAGGAACTGGAACTGAAAAGCCCAGCTCTTGGGGAGATAAAGAAAGTTGAAGCTCAGAAACTTAGGAACCAAGTTCTTGCCATTCGGAGGAACCTGGTCACAATGTTCCACCAAGTTCTGCTGTGCCCTGCCCAAAAATTATTGTCTTGGGAAGTAAAGCTATCAAAAATCTATTATCTTTGGGAGGGGTTGGCAGAACACCCCTGGTATCTATGGAGACATGTGTTAGATAAATGGAGTGAAGGAGGAGAAGAAGGAGATGCTGTCTAGGCCTTAGCATACTTCTTTCATTCAATTCTTAAAATGACCCATTTGACAAAGGAGGGCACTTGGCCGATAGAGGGGTGTTATTTTGAAGTCCCAAAATGTTTTCCATCA
This sequence comes from Homo sapiens, assembly GCF_000001405.40. Classification (NCBI taxonomy): domain Eukaryota; kingdom Metazoa; phylum Chordata; class Mammalia; order Primates; family Hominidae; genus Homo; species Homo sapiens. Next base: position 119,213,084 of record NC_000012.12, read on the forward strand.
GAAGTTTCCAACTTATTCCAAGCCCTCCCACATCCTGTGGAAAGACCCCTGGCCCTATAGCCAATGGCCCAGTCAGCCACAAAACACTTCTCCACCTCTCACCTCTTTGAAAACAAGAAATAAATAACCAACCATCAGAAATCTGCAGTTGTAAAAACCAAGTTGTGAAATTGTCTTTATTTATATCATCACAATACATTGAAAGGATCAGCTTACAAAATAGCAGGTACAATAGGATACCATTTAAAAATTGCATAAGAATTAAAGTGCTGGAAAGAAATATACCCAATACTAACAATGATTTTTTTTTTGGAGTAAGGGAGAGCAGATGTATTGGTGATTTTTATTTTATTAGTTTAGCTTATCTATAATTTTCTAATTTATCAGCAAGGTACATGTGGGGTGTGTCTTAATTGAATAATAAACAACAAAATAAAAGGTTGTTTTTTTTCTCAAAAGAAAGAATGAAATAAATACCTTGGAACCTGTATAAAGCTGCTGCAGGGAAACGGTGCGAACATCTACACCAGTGGCCAGCCTTGTTCTTCCACAGTTCTTCGTGCTTATTTTTATTTATTTATTTTATGTTTCAGGGAACATAATACAACTGGATCTAAGCTTAAGCAAACACGTGATGAGGGAACAAGTAAACAGGCAGGTAGGTCATCAGGATTTCTATTGTGTTTGTTTCTACACAGAAAAAAGAAAGGGGCCTGTGCTTTTGACTCAAAATTGCCTCCCACTGCATCGCCTGGTTCCTCTAATGTCCAAAAGGAAATCCTGTCAAGCCCCTTAGAACTCCCCAGGCTCCTTCACATCCAGCCCTCATCCATTCAGTTCCCACTAACAGGGCACCACCTCACCTTTCATTTCTTTTTTCATTGATTCGGTGAAGTTCATATGCCAGAGTTCAAATCCTCACTCTGCCTGAGTTCAAATCTCCACTCTCCCTGAGTTCAAATATCTACTCTACCTGAAAGTAAATCCCACTCTACCTGAGTTCAAATCACCACTCTGCCAGAGTTCAAATCTCTACTCTACCTGAGTTCCAATCTCTACTCTGCCTGAGTTCAAATCCCCACTCTGCCTGAGTTCAAATATCTACTCTATCTGAAAGCAAATCCCACTCTACCTGAGTTCAAATCCCCACTTGGCCTTAGCACAAATCTCCACTCTGCCAGAGTTCAAATCTCTACTCTGCCTGAGTTCAAATCTCTACTCTGCCTGAGTGCAAATCTCTACCCTGCCTGAGTTCAAATCCCCACTCTGCCTGAGTGCAAATCCCCACTCTGCCTGAGTTCAAATCCCCACTCTGCCTGAGTTCAAATATTTACTCTACCTGAATGCAAATCCCCACTCTATCTGAGTCCAAATCTCCACTCGGCCTTAGCACAAATCTCCACTCTGCCTGAGTTCAAATCTCCACTCAGCCTGAGTTCAAATCTACACTCTGCCTGGGTTGAAATCTCCACTCGCCTGAGTTCAAATCTCCACTCTGCCTGAGTTCAACTCTCCACTCTGCCTGAGTTCAAATGTTTACTCTGCCTGAATGCAAATCTCCACTCTGCCTGAGTTCACATCTCCACTCTGTCAGAGTCCAAATCGTTACCCTGCCTGAGTGCAATTTCCAACCCTGCCTAAGTGCAAATCCCCACTCTGCCCTCAACTAACTAGAGGATCTTAGGCAAGTCACTTCACCTATCCAAACCTCAGCATCGTCATTAGTAAAGGGGTAATTTTCATTACCAACTCCTCGGGTTGACTAAGGGAGATAATGCTCACAGTGTCTTTGGGACATGGCAGTGAATGGCAGGCAACATGAACCCCTCTCTCTCTTTTCTCTTCTGCTTTTTTGTTTCCTCTCATGAAGGTGCCCAAAGGGTCAAAATGGTGTTTGGGGACACAACAGTGCTTTCTTACTCTCCGAGGCTTCTAATGCAACTCATAGCCTTTGAATAGGGTTGTCATCTCATGACTCCCACGGTGATTGCAGGATGCCTGTCCTCAGACTGGCCGAAAGCCAGACAGACCACCAGTCTACCAATTTCTGAATTTGCCAAAAATGTTCTTGAAGACTAGCCTTCCTGAATATATCCAATGAATATTAATATGGTCTGCTTAATATATTAGTCTTGAACATATTCAGAGAACATATCCTTCTCAGCAGCATTTTAAGCTTAATTTGTCTAACACTAAATATCATGGGGGCTGTTTAGCTTTCTTATGACTATCTGCTAATGAAGAATAGATTATTGAATATCTTAAACAGAGTCTTGAATATAATTAAAATATCCTGGCTACATTTTTGGATAAGAGTATTCAAGAAGCATAAATTCACTGAGAATTACCATTGAACTGATTAAAAGAGCATATTATGAGAATGTAGTCATTGACTATGTTCAAGAGCAGGATGTTCGTCTTCAGTAATTATATTTGATAAGAGTTTTCCTTAAAATACAGTTTTGGAAAACTGGCAAATTTGACCGATTGGATCGATTGATTTCAAGCATCTTGATTATTTTAGGGAACTACTGATCATGGAGTTGATTTTTGATAAATTGGCCAAATTGACTGTGAACTGCTGGGGCAGACAAACAGAGTGCCCCCTGTGAGGTCTGCGGGGAGGTCCACAAAGATTCACCTCCAACTTCCTTTGTGCTCAACTTCGGCCAAAGCCCTAACCCTCCAGCTCTACTCCAACTCTCTGGAGCACCCCTACTCTCTCTGGGCACTGAAGGCCACCCACATTTTAAGAGGACCCTGTCCTCTTTATTAGCTTCCACATACAAGTATGCATTTTTTCTTTTTGAGACGGAATGTCACTCTGTTGCCCAGGCTGGAATGCAGTGGTGCTATCTCGGCTTACTGCAACCTCTGCCTCCCGGGTTCAAGCCATTCTCCTTAACTCAGCCTTCTGAGTAGCTGGGATTACAAGCGCCCGCCACCATGCCCAGCTAACTTTTTGTGTTTTTAGTAGAGATGGGGTTTCACCATGTTGACCAAGTTAGTCTCGAACTCCTGACCTCAAATGATCCGCCCATCTCAGCCTCCCAAAGTGCCGGGATTACAGGCGTGAGCCACCGCACCCAGCCCTCAAGTATGTATTTATGCTGCAGGAATGTGGATCATGGACTAAGAGCCAAAACTCAAATACGTAACTCTGAGTTTGAATCCTATTTCTGCTGCTGACTGGCTGTGTGATCTTAGGTAACTGACATAACCTCTCTGGGCTTTAGTTTCTTCTGTAAACCAAGGTGAAAATAGTTCCAACTCTAGAGAATTGCATCAAGGATTTCATGAGATCAGCCCTTAAAGTGCTGAGCACAGTGCCTGGCACATAGTAAGAGCTCAATGCATGATAGCTCTCATTGTCGTTATTGTTGTAATCTGAGAAATTTGCTTCTAGTTTTAGGGAAATCCCTTCATATCTCTAGTCTTTGGTTTCCTTCTCTGTAAAATTTAAAATGGTAAAGGCAGACTAGATCCATCCTTCTCAAAGAGAGATTAGAGGCTTCCAGAGGGCTCCCACTACACTTTCAGGGGGTCCACGAGATCAAAACTATTTTTTGTAACACTACTAAGGTGTTATTTGCCTTTTTCACTCTCATACTCTCATGAGTAGAGAGAAAAATTTCGCTTAGTCAACATGACCAGTGATATCACAATAGAATGAAGGCAGGAGCAGCAATGAGAATCCAGTCATCATTGAATGTTGAACATCTGAGAGATTTGCAAAAATATAAAACAATGTACTTCTTCTCGGTTTTTTGGAAAATATAGTTATTTTTCATAAAAATATGATATTTTTGTTAACATCACATGGGTTGCCTATTGTTTTTAAATGGATTTATACATAAATATTTTAAAAATGTGTCAGTTTTAATTTCTAAAGTAGTAAATAATGATAGCTATATCTATACAAACACATTATTTGGGGTCTTCAGTAATTTTTAAGAGTCTAAAGTGTCCAGAGATCAATACGTTTGAGAATTACTAGATTAGATTATTTCAATAGGTCCAAGAGTCTGGGGTTGTTACATGCCAGGCCCTCAATATATGTTGCTCATTCATCTTCATTCACTTATTCATACTGCAACAGACATTTAAGGAGTAGTTCCTATGTGCCAGGCACTTTGCAAGTTGCTGGGGGTATAATGGAGGAAAAGACACAGTTTCTGGTAGGGAATACATGAACATACTTGTTCATTGAGTGATATAGACACACAAACCCGATGATAGTCCTTATGAGGCAAGAGGAAGACAGGCTGGTGTGAGCTTAGAAGTAGGGTGGCAGGAACAAGATGACACCACAGGCAAGGAGTGTTAGCAAAGAATTCTCAATCACATTTGCAGGAATGCGCTTGGAACTGAGAGGGAGATTCGGGCAAGGAATCAAGGTGGGGCTCAGAGGGGCACACAGGGGTTGAGGGTTCAAACATCTTGGACTGTGATTCAGGAATGATGACCTCTGTCTTTGAGCCAGGTGAGAACAGCACCTCAGAGAGAGACAGCCACAACAGACATGGGTTACCTAGGAGACATCTGATGCTCTGTCTTGCAGCTGTTCATACATGTGCTTCTTTCTGCCTGTAACATTGTGGCCTGTCCTCAGTTTTCTTCAGGTGGCCAATGCTCCTACCTTTAGCACTCTGCTTCTTCTAGCTATCTCCTCTTATACCCGGGGCTCCCAAGACAGACTGCATAACCATCAATGCACCTGTCACTGGATCATCCACACCTACTTCCCTCCCTTACCAGACTGTAAGTTTCTTTTTTTCTTTCTTTCTTTTCTTTTCTTTTCTTTTTTTTTTTCTTAGACAGAGTCTCTCTCTGTTGCCCAGGCTGGGGTGCAGTGGCACAGTCTCAGCTTACTGCAATCTCCACCTCCTGGGTTCAAGCAATTCTTGTGCCTCAGCCTCCTGAGTAGCTGGAATTATAGGCGTGCACCACAATGCCAGGCTAATTTTTGTATTTTTTGTAGAAAAAGGGTTTCACATGTTGGCCAGGCTGGTCTCGAACTCCCAACCTCAAGTGGTCTGCCCTCCTCGGCCTCCCAAAGTGCTGGGATTAACAGGCACAATCCACTACACCTGGCCCTTTAGACTGTAAGTTTCTTGAAGAATAAAATGGCACTCTGTCCCCATCATACTTGTGGGGAATAGCTCAGAACTTGTATACAATAAGCGTCATCGGCAGCAGCATCATTGCCATCATCATTATTAAAGCCATCATTTGGGTTCATGTTTTTTTTTTTTTTTTGCACTGTCACCACGTGCTAAACATTTTATAGATCTGAACTCATAAAGCTTAACTCTTTTAATCATTATCACAATACCCAGGTGGTATTAGGTCACACTCTATGAAACTGCCATTTTCTGTAGGTTAAAACAGTCCAATATTAACAATTTCCTGTGGTTCAATCAAATATATTTTAGTGCCCCCATGTGACAGATGAGAAAATTGAGGCACTAAAAGACAATTATTTGATGAGTAATGAATAAATGAATGAATATCGGGGGAAATTCACCCCCGATATTTCACGTAGGTTCTTTTCTACTTTCCCTAAGTGTCAGCTGGTCTGAGAAATAAAGGGAAAGAGTACAGAAGACAGAAATTTTAAAGCTGGGTGTCCGGAGGAGACATCACATGTCAGCAGGTTCTGTGATGCCCCCCAAGCAGCAAAACCAGCAAGTTTTTGTTAGTGATTTTCAAAAGGGGAGGGAGTGTATGAATAGGGTGTGGGTCACAGAGATCACATGCTTCACAAGGTAATAAAATATCACAAGGCAATTGGAGGCAGGGTGAGATCACAGGACCACAGGACCCAGGCAAAATTAAAATTGCTAATGAAGTTTCGGGCATGCATTGTCATTGATAACATCTTATCCAGAGACAGGGTTTGAGAGCAGACAACCGGTCTGACCAAAATTTATTAGGCGGGAATTTCCTTGTTCTAATAAGCCTGGAAGCACTACGGGAGACCGGGGCTTATTTCATCCCTTATTAAGCCGTAAAAGACAGCCGCCCCCAAAGCAGCCATTTCAGAGGCCTCCCCTTACGGACATGTTCTCTTTCTCAGGCATGTTCCTTGCTGAGAAAAAGAATTCAGCAATATTTCTCCTATTTGCTTTTGAAAGAAGAGAAATATGGCTCTGTTCTGCCCGGCCCACAGGCAGCCAGATTTTAAGGTTATCTCCCTTGTTGCCTGAACATTGCTGTTATCCTGTTCTTTTTTCAAGGTGCCCAGATTTCATATTGCTTAAACAATTTGTGCAGTTAATGCAATTATCACAGGGTCATCCTCAGCTTGTGAAGATGATGGGATTAAGAGATTAAAGTAAAGACAGGCATAGGAAATCACAAGAGTATTGATTGGGGAAGTGATGAGTGTCCATTAAATCTTTATAATTTATGTTCAGAGATTGTAGTAAAGACAGGTGTAAGAAATTATAAAAGTATTAATTTGGGGAACTAATAAATGTCCATGAAATCTTCACAATTTATGTTCTTCTGCCATGGCTTCAGCCAGTCCCTCCGTTCGGGGTCCCTGACTTCCCGCAACAAATGAATAAATGAATCCTTAGAAATGAGAAAACTGATCTATGGTGAGCCCCCACTGTGCACCAGGCCCTTTGCAGGCATTCTTTCATCTTTGTAATGTGGCCTCATCCAAAGAGATTTTTAAGCGGGGGAATGATCAGTCAGGTTGCGTGCAGATGCATTACTTCATTTAATTCTTACCATGTCCTGAGGAGGGAAATAGGCAACTGTTACCACTACTGAAAAGATGAGAAAACTGAGGCTCAGAGATGTGAAGGGGCTTTCCAAGATCACACAGCCAGGCAGCAACAGAGGTAGGATTTCAACCCAGGTCCATCTGATTCCCTTCCTCAGGTCAGAAAACACATAAGGGAGGCTTCTCATTGTTGTGTAGCAGGTGGGAAGCTCAGAGCCCCTCATTATGGAGGGAGTCTGTATTAGTCAGCTCTGGCTGCCGTAACAAAATACTCCAATGGTTTGGTTTAAACACAACTGAAATTTATTTTCTCACATTTCTGGAGCTGAAAGTCCAAGATTGAGGTACTGGTAAATTCAGCTTCTGGTGAGGGCTCCCTTCCTGGCTTGCAGACAGCCACCTTCTTGCTCTCAGAGGGAGAGAGAGAGAGATAGAGAGAGAGAGATTCTCTTCTTATAAGCCTACTAATCCCATTGGATCAGGGCCTCATGCTCATGACTTCATCTAATCTTAATTACTTCCTTAGAGGTCCCATCTCCAAATACAGCCACATTAGCAGTTGAATTTTGGTGGGACACAAACACTCAGTCAGGGTCATTTCCAGTTACCCCCACCTCCCTGCTCTGAATTCTACTATCCACACCCCACTGAGAGAGAAACTGCTAGCGGTGAAAACAAAAGCCTCCTCACTCCTAAAGGGGAGAGACAGTAAAGGCAAAAGAACGATTCACCCAAGCAGCTAATATTTACAAACTTGCCAAAACCTTCCCCGACTTCCCACACAAACACAGACACCAGAGGCTTACTGCTGTCTCAGTTTATTGTACTAAAAATATTTGCCAGCACAAGGTTTTTATTAGTAGTGTGATTAGGATTATTATTTTTTTTCCACAGACAAAATCGTTACTGGAGTAGGAGGCTGTGGACATCTGAAGAAATACCACAGAGGAAGCCTATACTGCCATCTTTTTCTCATTTTTTCTGACAGGATCTATATCAATTCCTTTTTTCCATTCCTTAATTCTATTATTTTTAACTACATAAGACATTTTGTTACAGGAAAACCAGAAAACCCGAAAACCCAGAAGAAAATGAAAATCATTCACATTCCCTCCTTTCAGAGAAGGCTATGACTATTACATTTTCATTGCTTTTTTCCCATCAACTTTCACATGCACCAACATATAGAGAGTATTGTTTTTAATATTATTTTACAGAAATGGTATCAAACTTGGTGTATTTCCTCCTCTTTATTAGTACATATCACGAGTGTCTTTCCTTGCTAATAAATATGGATTGAGTTAATGTTTAATGGCTGCCTACTATTAAATTCTGTTGTATGGATGTCTTATAATTTATTTAAGAACAGTCCTATTGATGCACCTTTAGATTGTTTCTAAGTTTTCATTCTTATAAACCAAGCTGAGATAAGCATCCTGGCAGCTAAATATCTGTACTCATTCATGCTTTCTTTCTTAAGATAAATTCCTAGAAGTAGTATTTCCAAATAAATAGATATACATAGTTTTGCTGGTACTGTATTTTTGCATGCCCATAAAAAATATATATATACACATATATATATCACACTGGAGAGTTTTCCTTTCACCCTTTCCTTTTTCATTGTTGGGAAACATCTCTGAAAAGTCAGAAGTTTTTAAAAACATAATAACTGCAGTAGTCTGTTATCGCGATGCTAATAAAGACATACCCGAGACTGGGTAATTTATAAAGGAAAGGAGGTTTAATGGACTCACAGTTCCATGTGGCTGGGGAGGCCTCACAATCATGGTGGAAGACAAAGGAGGAGCAAAGGCATGTCTTACATGGTGGCAGGCAAGAGAGCATGTGCAGGGGAACTGCCCTTTATAAAACCATCAGATCTCATGAGACTTATTCACTATCACGAAAACCTGCCCCCATGATTCAATTACCTCCCACTGGGTCCCTCCCACGACACGTGGGGATTATGGGAGCTACAATTCAAGATGAGATTTGGGTGAGGACACAGCCAAACCATATCAATGACACATCAACATTATACTATGAGAGTTAATTGATCATTAAATTGGAGTTGCATCACATATATTTAACTAACTTGAGTTCAACTGTCTCACTAAATGTAAAACATCATCAACTTTAAGATATACTATTATTTTATGTAAAATTAAGAAAGAAAATTAAAAGCTCTTTCAATTAAACTATGACCCAACGCCTTATAGTCCAATGCCACACATTGATTGATCACAGCATTCCTCCTTTGAAATTCTGTTCATCTATTCTAAGGGATTGCCTCTAGTTGCCTGGCTTGGTGTATAAAAAGAAACCCTTTCGCACATATTTCAGTGACATAATGTACCATAGCTTCATCTACTGTGGTTTCTTCCTTTTTAGGGGTTCAGCACAGATTTGATTGTTGCTTTGCAGGAAAATATGAAACTGGAGTCATTCCCCCAAACACAAGAATGTGATTCACTAATATCAAGTTTCCACACCACTGCTCTGTTTGGGGACCTTTCTGTATATACACACGCTTTCCATTCCAGTGCCACACCATATCAGTGTAATCTTTTTGAAGACATTTTAAGTGGCAATTAAAATCAACATGTGAAGTACTTGTAATGTGCATAACTCAGTTGAAGTGATGACAATGTGAGCAGCTAGGACCAAGTTTGCTTAGGCGCAGGGAATGAAACTATATCATGCCTGCTGGCTGGCTGATAGCAAATTGTAAAATACATCTCAATTTCAGGGATGTGAAAATTAGAAAAAGTGTGCATATTAAAATTGATGAAATGTCATTAGGGAAGCTTCAAAAAGTTAAGATAAAAAAAGGAGGAATTTCAGTACAAATATGTGGGCAATTATGCTTCCTTCTTCCACTTGGTAAATGTGTGTCCCATGACAGGCATGAGATAGGACAAATACGTCTGTCCAACTCTCAGCTGATGCCATTTCCCACTTGCAAAGAGAGGGCATCTCGGCCACATAGAGAGTGGTTCTAGAATTTAAAGATACAGTTACATATAACTATTTATTTATTTTCATTTTTTTTAGAGACAAGGTCTCACTCTGTCACCCAGACTGAGATGCAGTGGTACAATCACGGCTTACTGCAGCCTCAAACTCCTGGGCTCAAGCAATCCTCCTGCCTCAGCCTCCCGAGTAACTGGGACTCCAGGCACGTGCCACCACGCCAAGCTAATTTTTACTTTTTTAAGTTGAGAGAAGGTCTCGTTATGTTTCCCAGGCTGGTCTTGAACTCCTAGGCTTAGGCTATCCTCCCACCTCGGTCTCCCAAAGTGCTGGTATTACAGGTGTGAGCCGCCATGCCCAGCCTACATATAAATATTTAGATAGACAGATGAGAGACACAGAGAGAGAGAGAGAGCACACAATAGATATAACTCAACACGATCCCTAAACACAAACCCAAGGAACAGCCATCTGTTTTAATTCTGGAGGAAAACTTAGTGAGAGACAGTATATAACTGCCAAAAGTTAGAAGCAATTAAGATGTCCTTTAACAGGTGAACGGGTAAGTAAGTTGTGGTACATCCAGACAATGGAATATTATTCAGGGCTAAAAAGAAATGAGTTATTGAGCCATAAAAAGACATGCAGGAACCTTAAATCTATATTGCTAAGAGAAAGGAGTCAATCTGAAAAGGTTACATGATTCTAATTATAATACATGACATTCTGGAAAAGACAAAACTTTGGGGACAATAAGATGATCGGGGTTGCAGGGAGAAAGGGCTGAATAAGTAGAGAGCAGAGGATGTTTTTTCTTGTTTTATTTTATTTCAATAGTTTTTGAGGGTACAGGTGGTTTTTGGTTACATGGCGAGTTCTTCAGTGGCAATTTCTGAGATTTTAGTCCACCCAACACCCAAACGGTGTGCACTGTACCCAATAGGTGGTCTTTTATCCCTCACCCTCCTCTCCCTGCCCTGAGTCCCCAAGGTCCATTATATCATTCTGTATGGCTTTGCATCCTCATAGCTTAGCTCCCACTTATAAGTGAGAACATGTGGTGTTTGATTTTCTATTCCTGTGTTACTTCACTTAGGATAATGGTCTCCAGCTCCATCTAAGTTGCTACAAAAGACATTCTTTTTCCTCTATATGGCTAAGTAGTATTCCATGGTGTATCAAAGACTTAAATCTAAGACCTGAAACTATAAAAGCTCTGGAAGATAACATCAGAAAAACTCTTCTGGACACTGGTGTAGGCAAATAATTCATGACTAGGATTTTTAGGGCAATGAAACTACTTTGTATGATGCTATAATGGGGGATACACATCCTTATACATTTGTCCAAACCCATAGAATGTATAACTCTGAGAGTGAATCCAAATGTAAACTACAGGCTTTAGTTGATAATAATGTCCCAATGTTGATTCATCCATTGTAATAAATGTACCACGTTAATGCGTGGGGAAACTGCGTGGGGGGGTTTGGGATGGGGAGTGGGAGCTCTGCATTTGCTGCTCAAGTTTTTCATAAACCTAAAACTGCTCAAAAATGGTCTATTCATTAAATACAAATATATACATCATATAAATAGGAATTAAAAAATATATATCTTTTAAAAACCACTGCACAGAAACAATCACTATTTAGTGGTGAAACTTCTAGTCTTGTTTCCAGGCAAATATATTCCTATTTAATTAAGTGAGAGCATCCTCAACAAGGCATGCACATTTTTAAGAGACTCAGTAAAAATACACAAATTTTCCTGCACAGAGGTATGGATTTCCACCACCCACATAAAGCACCAGTGCCCTTCTTCCTGCACCCTGACCAACACTGGAACCCCAGCCAGGTTCATATGCAACCACTTGGCTTCTTATGTTTGTTTTATTTCCCACAGCAGGTGAGAAGGTGCTCAGGGATGCCCCTCTGCTGCCCACCATACCTCGCTGTGCTGGGAAGGAGGAGATGGCGTTTGCCTTGGCTGCATGTTTGAGCCCCAGGACTGGCTGTCTCTGCTGCAGAGAATGCAAGGAGTGGAGGCTGAAAGGCCCCTGAGGCAGGATGAGATCTGGCTTTTTGTCAGGATGAGATTTGTCAATAAAGCTGTTGCAGTCTTGTCAGGATCAAGTCTCATTCCCCTATGCCTGCCCCAAACTCTGGTTCCCTTGAGATAATGCCAAAGTCAATTCTACAGAGCCTCACACTCGATTCCAGCCCAAGATCAAGACAGCCAGAGGTTAGGAGAGAGGCTGGGAGTCAGACTGACTCTGCTGGAGTTGCAGATCTAACTGTATATGACTATGGATAAATAATCTTCCCCCAAGTTGTACGGTTAATAAATATAAGAAATCTGAAATACTGTAGGCTCCACTGCTGGCATTTAAATGCTTCCAACGTTTAGTAGCTGTGTTACCTGGAGCAAGTTACTTAACCTCTCTGAGGCTTAGTTTCCTCAATTATAAAATGGGCATAATAATGCTCACCTCAAAGGATTCTGGTAGGAATTAAAGGAGATAATTCATGTAGAGTGCTTAGCACATCAGAAGCCCTCCATAAAGAGCAGCTGTTGTGAATCTTCAAGGACCATCGAGTCCACCCCTCCTCCCTGCCAAACTGGCTTGTGTTTGGGGTGGCAAAGGCTCAGAAAGGAAATACCTTGCGCATAGTCACAAAGTGACTTGCTACTCATGTCTGGAAGCTCAGTTTTTGAAGCCTCAATCCAGTGCCTTTTTTGTTACCCAAACAAGAGCCCCTCTTGCAGGACACAAAGTGCAGAAACCACGACCTCCTTTCACTTCCTTGGCTCTCGTCTGCCTCTTGAGGCACTAATGAACCACCAGGCATGTGGAGTCAGCCTCTCAGACAGTAGCTCTCTAACAGGGACATTATTTAGGACTTGAGTCAGTTCAGCATGAAATTTAATCACTGGATCAATATTGTGACACAGCTTGTCAGAGAGCCGGGGACTGGTCAGGAATACCTGGTTGCCAAGAATGCTTTCATTTGGTTGGCTTCTCCTTTGGATCTTAAAGAGCCAGTCCTGAAGTGTGGGGAGCAAAGAGGCTTCCATTCCCTGAGTAGGGCACCTTGTCTCCAACTAACAGCAAAACCCCTAATCCCTCATTTGCACTCATCTCCCTCCAGTGACGCCTGGCTCTCCATATTCTCTCACGATTACTTGTGTAATCCCACCTCTGCACCTTTGCCCACTAAGGTCCCCCCACCTTGAGGGTCATCCCTTGCTAGATCTTTCTAACTTGTCCCTCTGCTTCCACTCTGAGCCCCTCCTTCCTTAATTCGTAGAATGACACCAGTAGTGGATGATGGATGCATTGACCAAATCTTCCTTCAAGCATGAATAACTCATTTCCCAAGCTGCCCTTTCCAAGGTCACATTCTCTTTCCAAGACAGGTTGTATAGAGACTGGTCATTGCAGAAGCAGAAAGGCCCAGCCTCCTTGCTCAATTTGGGGTAACTCTGAAGGGCCATCCCAGGCTCCAAGCTCCCCGTGGCATTGGCTGAGCCCTTCCTTGCAATGCATCACAGCCTGACTTCCTTCTGCTCAATGCTGCTTCTTTCACTTACCTTCTACAGGTGTGGATCCCAAGAGCACCTCCCAATAAGCTTCCCACAAAATGATCTCTATCTCAGAGTCTGCTTCTCAGGAACTCAACAGCAGAGTGATTCTTTTAGGCACAGATCCAAGTGTCTTACTTCTCCATTTAAAATCATCTGATGGCTTCCTACTGCACTTGGAATAAAATTCAGACTGCTCATGAGGATTGTAGGGCTCCAGGTCAAGGCTGCCTAATAGCAATACACATAGGTAGGTAGCACATTTAGAAAGTAAAAAAAAAAAATCAGATGAAATTAACTTCAATAATGTTTTATTTAATATATAAATAATAATTATATATATAAATATATATTTTGTTTAACCCCAAAATCAAACATATTATCATTTTAAAGTGTGTTCAATATAAAATATGAATATTTTACATTCTTTATTTTTCATTCTAGGTCTCTGCAATCTGGTGCATATTTACAATTACAGCACGTCTCAATTGGGACTCCATGCATTTTTTTTTTTTTTGAGACAGTGTCTCATTCTGTCACCCAAGCTAGAGTGCAGTGGTGTGATCTCAGCTCACTGCAACCTCTGCCTCCCGGATTCAAGCAATTCTCCTGCCTCAGCCTCCCGAGTAGCTGGGATTACAGGTGCGCGCCACCACACCCGGCTAATTTTGTATTTTTAGTAGAAATGGGGTTTCTCCATGTTTGTCAGGCTGCTCTCCAACTCCTGACCTCAGGTGATCTGCCCACCTCGGCCTCCCAAAGTGCTGGGATTACAGGCGTGAGCCACCATGCCCAGCTGGGACTCGATGCATTTTAAGTGCTCGATGGCCACACATGATTAATGGCTACTGAAGGGAACAGGGAAGCTCTCAATGACCTGGTGCCTGCCTTCTTCTCACCCTCATCTCTACTACAGTCACTGCTGCTCTCTGTGTTTGAGACTTCCTGCTTTTCTTTCAGTTCCTTGAATACCCCAATCCCATTGATGCCTCGGGGACTTTGCACCTGCTATTTCCTCCACCTGAAATACTATGTTCCCAGCACTTTGCACAGCTGGCTCCTTCGTGTACTCAAGTCTCCACTCAAATGCAACCTCTTCCGAGAGGCTGTTCCTGAAAACTCCATCTAAAGAAGTCCCCCTCCCCCAACATCATTCATCAATGACTCATGCCAAGATAATGTCCACATAGCATGTATCACCTTCTGAAATGATCTTATTTACTATTTTTTCATGTATTTTATTGCCTGTCTTCCTCTACCAAAAAGTGAGCCCCAGAGATTTGGGTCTGTTTATTCATTCTGCATCCCTTTTTGGGCCAAGGACAGAGTTTGTCATTAGCACTATCTCTTATCTCTTAATACTTATTAATGCACAAAAAACTAAGAAAGCATAAATTAAAAATAAAATACACATCTACAATATTTGCATATATGGGTTTGCTGGGGGAGAAACTTCTTTTTATAATCACAGATAATCTAGTGTCTGAAATACCAGGCATGTGCAGTCAGCTAACACAAGATTCAGTATTTACTGGGTATTCATCACAGAGTTTACTCATTCTTATTTCCTCAAAATATCACCTATAACCCAATGACTCCCACATATTTATCTCTAGCCACTGACTCTCACCTCCAGTTTCCAATTATCTACCGGATATATCAGTGTTGCCATCTTCTCTTCTAGTTATCTCTATTGTAGCACTTATCCAGGGCATAATAACTCCATACTCTCCTTTGCCTTTTACTACCAACTGCTGGATGGCTGATTTACCTCTATCTCCGTAGTATTTATGTTCTTGAGTCATACATTTGATGTTTTATTAATTAAATGTAATACATTACCATGCTAAAAAAACAAACTTCAGAGATAAAATTCCATAACTTTCTCCTGTGTGCTTCATTATAATCTTTGCTTGATATATAATTATATATGACAGACTACTGCCATTAGGAGATTAACAGTTTGTGTACATACACATATATGTCCCATACACGTGTACGCATGTGCATGCACACGGATCCAACAGAAACCCCTGCTCTCATGAAGCTTACCCTCTAATGGAGGAGAAGGACAATAAGTCATATACACACACACACACACACACACACCCAGGCACACATACATATACACAGATGCTCCTTGATTTACAATAAATCCATCATAAGTTGAAAATATTGTAAGTCAAAAACGCATAAATAGGTTGGGCACGGTGGCTCACACCTGTAATCCCAGCACTTTGGGAGGCCAAGGCTGGCAGATCACCTGAGGTCAGGAATTCGAGACCAGCCTGGCCAACATGGTGAAACCCCATCTCTACTAAAAATACAAAAATTAGCCAGGCGTGGTGACGGGTGCCTGTAATCCCAGCTACTTGGGGGGCTGAGGCAGGAGAATCGCTTGACCCCGGGAGGCGGAGGTTGCAGTGAGTTGAGATCGCGCCACTGCACTGCAGCCTGGGCAACAAAAGGGAGACTCCATCTCAAAACAAACAAAAACAAAAACAAAAAAAACCCCGCATAAATACACCTAACTTACTGAACATCCTAGCTTAGCCTAGCCTAAATTTAACGTGCTCAGAACATTTACTTAGCCTATAGTGGGGCAAAATCATCTAACACAAAGTCTATATTATAATAAAGGGTTGAATATCTGATGTATTTTATTGACTACTAATTATTACATCAAAATTATATACATGTATAAACATGTATACATATATAAACATGTATACCTATGTATATGTATATATGTTGGTAATATGTACTATGGAGAAAAACCAGGGGAAGGAAGTCAGAGAGTATCAGGGGTTGGAGTTGCCTTTTTAAATGGTTGGGGTCAGAGAAGGCCTGGATGAGAAGGTGGCATTTGAATAAAGACTTGAAGGAGGTGAGGAAATAATGGCTAACTGAGAAAGAGTGCTTCAGGAAGAAGGTTCAACAGTGCAAAAGCCCTGAGGTAGGTAGTTGCCTGACATGTTTGAAGAAGGCAAACAAGACAGTGTGGCTGGAGGGAATGAGCAAGGAGGTGAGTGGGAGGGGATGAGATTAGAACTGGGTGGTGGGTGGGGTCATGTGGGGCTTGATAAGCAGTTCCAAAGACATTGGCTTTTACTCCAAGAGAACACCAGAGGCCACTGGGGAGTTCTGAGGAGAGAATCACATTTTAGCAGCAGTATTGTTTTCAAAATACACTGATTAGACTGCAAGTTTGTCCAACCCGCAGCCCGTGGGCTACATGCAGCCCAGGACAGCTTTGAATGCAGCCCAACACAAATTCATAAACTTCCTTAAAACATTATGAGATTTTCTTTGGATTTCTTTTTCTTTCTTTTTTTTTTTTTTTTGCTCATCAGCTAGCGTTAGTATATTTTATAATGTGTGGCCCAAGACAATTCCTCTTCTTCCAATGTGGCTCAGGGAAGCCAAAAGTTTGGGCATTGCTGGATTAGAGCAAGGGTACAATTGACAGATTATTACAATAATCCACGTGAGAGACTAGGTCCAAGACCACAATAAAAACCACCAGTTTTCCAACAAATTCCATTCTCTCTTCCATAGCCGTAAGTGAACCGTTGCTGCTCAACAGGGGACTACATTTCCCAGCCTCCCCTGGGGCAAGGTCGAATCATGTGACTAAGTTCTAACCAATGAAATATAAACAAAAGAGACGTGTGCAACACTGCCTCACTTGCTTGAAAAAAATGGTGGGTCGTGTTCTTTTGCCCCCTGCTCGTTTATACAAAGGCACAGGAATGTGCCTGGATGCAGCTGAATCATGCCGATGAGAACAACTGAAGGAAGCTGCGTCCCTGTGTGAAGGTGTGGAGCAAAGTCTAATATACTCCTAGGCTGTTCACCTCAGGACCATCTCATGAATGAGAAATAAATATCTGTCTTCTGTAATCCACTGTATTTTGGCATTCTTTGTTACAGCAGCTTAACCTTTACCTCAACTAATACACAGAATTTTACGGAAGGTTTAGCAACATCAGAAGTGAATTACAGCACAGTGTAGAATAGGAAACAACCTACAATGTAATACTCATCGCCTCTATCCTTAAAGCTCCTTAACCAAACCCTGCAGGGAATTTTTCAGACAGTCTTTTACTTCTCTGATACATGTATTTCTCCAACTTCCCAGGGCCTGGGGACATCCGCAAAATTTTCTTTCATTTTATTAAGCAAATGAATATTTTGTGAATCTCTATCACAGACAAACTCCAGGAACTTCCTTTGCATTACTCAAAAGATTTGGTGGTGCACCTAACCCAGGTGAACATCTTGACACGAATAATTATTGAAAGTAATGGCAAAAACCTCAATTACATTTGTGCCACCTAATAGCAGAAACTTTGTTATCAACAGTTTTCCTCTCATTTGCTTTACAGTAAGCTTTTCAGCACTTCCTCCTCCCCTAAAAATACTCTCAAGAAGTAGAAGTGGAGAAGGAGGGGAAACATATTTTCCTCTAACCTGACCAAATCTTAGCGTTTGCTCCTGGGGTTTTAGATGATGCTTTCTCCCATTTACTCAGACCCAGATATTTATATGACAGGCACCCCTATATATGCATCCACATGGTTCCTTCTTATAGACACACACTCAGGCACACGCAGACACACAGACAGCTGAGTCATGCTGGAAGGTCCCTAGTTGTCCATTCTGTTCTTTTCTGCCTTCAAACCCCAGCCTTCAACAACACTTCCCAAGACCGCGGCTCTGTGTCCTTTCCACTGGTTGATTCTTTGGGTTTCTCACCAAAATTCACAGTGGGAACGTTATGCTGGCTCATTTCCTCCCTGCTTTTATGGTCTGTCCTATTCATTAGTAACACTATGAAGCGGCTTGTAAAATGCATCAGAAACAAGGTCTCCTCTGGAGGACCTAAGAAGCCAAGCCCAGGTGTGGCACAGTCAGGCTTTGCCCTCATGACAGAAGTGGTCATATTTCTCCCCTGAACAAGATGAGACATCTAATAGGGCTACTTACTCATGGGATAGCTGTGGCCGGCTGAGTGTTCACACCACCAAGGAAGTGCATGGGGACAAAGCTTCATGGGATCTTGGAGAATGTCCTCCAAGGCCCTGCTCAGGTGATCTGATCAGAATTAGCCCCTTCTGCTGCCTCCCTGGGGTGTGGAGGGAGTCAGGGAGAATCAGTGAGGAATTAATTATATGTGGTTTCTTGTGTCCCTGTATGGATAGATGTGTATGCATATTGTGTGTTGACTCGATGAATTGTTAAGTGCATACAAGTCTGGATTGTCTATATATGTTAATGTCAGGGCGTTGATCTCGTTCTCTGTGGGCATGTGTTCATATTTCATTGTTCCCTGCTTATTTCTCTAGCCCATCTCACACCATTCTGTCTTCTAAACATAGGCTCTTCTTAAATTCCTTACTTCTCTCCAATCACTCTGTCCCTCCCTCTGACACTGTCTTTGCATTTTTCTTCGACTCCGTTAGCTCCGTTCCTTTATCTCACCTGCCTCTCCCTCCTTCCTCCTCCCTCCTCCCCCTCCTTCTCCTTGTCATCTTCCTTCTTCTTCTCATTCTCCTCCTCCTTCTTCCTCCTTCTTTCTTCTTCTTCCTCCTCTCTATCCCTTTCCCTCCTCTCCATCCTCCTCATCTTCCTCCTTGTACTCCTTCTTCTTCCTCTTCCTCCCCCTTCTTCCTCTCCCCTCCCTGCCCTGTCACTTCCACACACTATTTTCTTTCCTCCTTCCACACTCACCTCACCTGACGAAGCCCCCCTTCACCACTCAGCATGGCCATCACTTCTTCTGGCCTGAGCCCCTAGATGGTAACTGTTCCTGCTGGGTAAGCACCCACCAGTGCCTCCCTTCCCCGTTTGGAACTCCCACCAACTGTACTGCCACTCCCTAGTTCACTGTGTCTTCCCTGGCCACAGTGGCCTTGCATTGTGTCATCTTAGTTAAATTGAAAGCATTTCCCCAAATTCCCTTTCCTGCAGTGTTCTGTGTTAAAGTGGGCCAACCAACTTGGGTGAGCCTTGGAAAGTGGGTGTGAAGCAGCAGTTGTGTTTATGCTCCAGGGGTCAATGTGAGCTGAGGCTCTGCTGCATCTCACACTCATTGTCATGGATTTGATGGCTCATCTTGTTGGGAGATTGCAGACAGCAGGCAGGGCTGGGGCTCCTCCACCTCCTGCCGATCTCCTCTTTTACTTTTTCTAACGTCTGTGCCAGATTTGGGTGCAGCTCCATGGTCCTTCCAAAGCTCACGGCATCACTCAGATTAGAAGTCTGGAGGCACTGAGAGACTGACAGTTCCCAGGGAGGGACAAAGGCAGCTTCCAGTTTTCCTTGGTGTGTTCCAGCTCATCCTCATGGGTTCCATGTTGTTCTTGCTCTCTCCCATTTCATGTCCGTAATCACTTACCAAGGCACAGCCCTGCTGAATGTAGGTTCAGCATCCAATGCTTACATAAGCAGCACCACCAACCGGCACAGTCACGTAAGGCCCAGCCCTATCATAAACCCCTTATATCACTCATACTGGTTCTGCTTCTTTGACCTGATAAACAGCCTAAAACCTCCCAGAGGACAGGATTTCAACTCAACTCGCAAATTAACATGATTGTTCACTGTTGAATTCCCAGAATTGAGAATGCACCCACCACTTGGAAATAGCCCCATAAGAATGCCCTACACTCAACCACAACATTGATGTACTCGCCTAGTGATCTATGCGCATGTGTGCACACCTAGGCATTTCTATAGTTCTTATGAGATCAGCTGTCACAAGAACTGGCAGTGGATCTCATATTGGCAGCCCTGGATCAAATATGTCCTACTTATAGGTTACCCTTGGTCCAGAGGGCTTTTAAATTTTTGAATTAGTTGTAACATTTAGAAGTCAAATTTCACATACAAAATCCAGGTTTTAAACTTTTCTTTACAAAATTGGGCCAGGTGCGGTGGCTCACACCCGTAGTTCCAGCACTTTGGGAGGCTGAGGTGGGTGGATCACTTGAGTCCAGGAGTTTGAGAGAAACTTGGGCAATATGGTGAGACCCTGTCTCTACAAAAGATACAAAAATTAACTGGGTGGGGTGGCACACGCCTGTAGTATGAGCTACTCAGGGGGTGAGGTGGGAGAATAGCTTGAGACCGGCAGGTGGAGGTTGCAGTGAGTCATGATTGCACCACTGGACGCCAGCCTCAGTGACAGAGCAAGACTCTGTCTCAAAAAAAATCAATAGCTCAAGCAACATGGAGCTGACTTTCTCCATGGCATCAACTGTGTAAAGATGGAGAACTGATGTACCCTTTTCATGGGACTTGTGCCCTCTGCTTCCCACCCCACCCAGTCCCTTCATTTACATTCCTTTCTGTCCCCTCTAGAACTTTGAGTTTGAACTGTTCTACCTCTGGCTTCTTTGTCGTGGAAAAGAATAAACTACTTGTGCTAGCCCATATTTCTGTGTCTCTGTAACTTGCAGCAGAATATAATCCTAAGTGACAAAACCGGCATCATCATATTATACTATTAAGAGTCCAAAAAGAGGGATATACAGTATTTGATCGAAATGTCTTCCCTTGAGTTAGTTGCGCACATGTTCTGAATCCAAATTAAAATATGCAATGGTCTTTTTCCTTAAGTTTAAGCCATGCATTTCCACGTGTACAGTCTCCCCAGGGTAGGGAGATGGGAGTGGCTACTCTCCTTTGTTTAGCTTGTTCCCCAGCTCTCTAAAAGGCGTGAGACCTTTATTCTAGACTCTTCAGTTCCCCATCACCATCTTGGTGCTCTCTTGCTCAGCTCTCTCTCTCGCTCACTCAGTGTCCCTATCTTCTCCCTGTAGCAGATGACATTGGTCCCTCACTACACACCTGCACATTGTCTCTGGCACTGCTCACAAGTGCTTGCGACTCACCACATGCTGCCTTTACTGTAGCTTGGCTTCTGGATGGAGAAAATTCAATATGACTGAGCCCACCACTCAGCCATGCTGTTAGCATGACAAGCCAGGGGAGTCCCGGCCTCTTTCTCTGCCTCCAGTTATATTATTTGGTTAGTACAGCTTTATCATATGCCCAACATCATTTCTATATGCACATTTATATGCATCTTCATTTCTATATGCAAGTTTAATTCTGTAAACATATGCACTGGTGTTTCCTATAGCATATATATATATATATATATATATATATATATATATATATATATTCTGTCATTTTTTAATACATTGAGTATGTGTGCAATGCTGTGTGTGAATACATTTATAAGAGAATATCTGTATATTCAAGTGTTTTCTGTAGATTTTGATCTCATTTAATTTATATAAACATAGGTAGCGTTAGCTGCATTTATAATGAGAACATTCAGGCTTAGAGGGGAAAGTCCTTTGGCTACAGTGACACAGCTTTAAGTCATTTGTTGCAGATGCTCTTGGTGCCACCCCTTTCTCACCCTCACCCCCTTAGCAAGTGCACCTGTCACCTAGCCACTGCAAATGGAGGCTGCTAACAGGTCACACCTGCACGCCTTGCTCACAGTCACCCACAAGTTCACATCCCTTCTCAGGAGACACCCTGGGCTAATGTCTCACTGATGTGGAGGCATAAGAGCCCACCAGTTCTTACCTTCCAGGAGAAGGTGAGAGAAATATGTTCAGGCAGAAGGAGGAGTTAGACTAATGGGATTTCAGGAGCAATCTAGTCTGAATCCTTGTCTTTGGCTCTGTTGTTTGGGAACCCGATCTAGACATCATTGCATCAGAATTGGAGCATGGGTTCTATCTAACTACAAAGCCGAGGGCGGTTCCTCCACACCACACTGCGTCCTCCCTGGCTGTTTGTGTTACAATTCATGCTCATCCAGGATGATTTTCCTATACCTTTCTCCAGAGGTAGCAATGAATAGGAATTGTTTGTTTGTCTAAACGCAGAGTGGAAGCTAACTGTTTTAGACTGTGATGCTGCATAATGGACGTTGCGCCTGTTACATTACATTTTATGGTTTTATAGCAATTACGTTGCATTTTATGGTGTCATAACATATTACATTTTATGGCTTAATATCAGCTTTAATACAAGACACCACGGCCCAGAATTTTAACAAGGGAAAGCTTCTCCTGGTGAGATGGTAATGGGCTTTCTGCATGACCACATGCCTGCCAGCAGGAGGCCAGGGAAGATGAATCAGGGGACAGATTTCCCTCAAGCCTCCATAGCCACCCCACCCTGTGCCCCCTCAGTCAAGCCTGGCTTTCTTGCTAGGGGTCCTTGTACAAACTAGTTGAACTGATGCTGTAGGCACACAGCCCCTCGTCTCTCGTTCACCCCTATTTTCTCGTCCACGTAACAGACAGGATAATCTTCTTAAAGCACAAAGCTACTCATGCCATGACTCTGCTTGAAACCTGTGTATAATTTCCCATTGCTATTGGAGCCATGTCCAAACTAAGCCTATGGCTCAAGGAAGGACTTTCATGTTCTTATCCTCAGCCTTGGCTCATTTATCACCCACGATGTACCCTATGCTAAAGCCACAGTTCTCAAATGTGCCGTGTCCTTTTGCTCCTCTGTGCCTTTGCATATGCTGTTCCTTCTGCCTGGAACCCCTTCCTGGATCTTTTTTTTCTATGCATTCATTCAGTAAATATTTATTGAGCACC
Source organism: Homo sapiens (assembly GCF_000001405.40). Lineage (NCBI taxonomy): Eukaryota > Metazoa > Chordata > Mammalia > Primates > Hominidae > Homo > Homo sapiens. Next base: position 119,236,022 of record NC_000012.12, read on the forward strand.
TACAATGCTTGGCATTGTTCTGACAACTGGGAATCCAGCGGTAAATGAAACACACAAACCCTCTACTCTCATGGAGCTCACCTTCTAGTGGAAAGAGGTGACATGGTATTAGTCTTTCAAAACTCAACTCATGTCACCTCCTCCAGGAAGCCTGCCCTGATGGGCCCAGGTAGTGAGATATGCATTCTATTCCATGCCTGTGTCATAACACTTATCACAGCAACTGTAGTCATCCATTCACTTCTATGTCTTCCCCAAGGGCAGGGACAATGCCTTACCCATTTTTACTTTTGTATTGCTATCATCAAGCAAGGTCCCCGGTTCAGCAAGTTGATCAAATAAACGAATGAATAATGCAAGAGGAAAAAATGGTTAGTGTGCTTTAGGGGTGCCAGTGAGATTCCACTGCCACCAGGAAACATTTCCAGTACAAATGTAGCAAATCCTGCCACTAGAAATTCACCCCTTTGGGTTAAGCATTGTCTGTTGCCAGCAGCTCCTTTGAATTCCAATGGCCCTGGGAGTAAGATGTTTGCATGAATAATTCCATCAGAGTTCTTAGGAGCTGGCTGGAGAGAACAGGACTGAAGCAAGCTGCTCACCTGCACTGGGAGATAAAAAGAGGAGACAAAAAAGGAGGCTTTGCCCAGGGCTCTGGCCTGAGTTCTGGAAATTTGTTGCAGATGTTGACAAACACATTGGCCAAAAAGCCTTGGAAATCTCAGCTGTTAGAGGTATGCTGTAGGAGAATGAAAAGAGCTCGGCATCAGGTTCTAGCCCTGGCTCTGCCACTGACCTGCTGTGTAATCTCTCCGCAAAACCCTCAGTCTCTCTTGGCCTCAGTTTCATGAGCTATAAAACAATGAGACTGAACTAGATATAATCAGATACCTTCTCAGGAGTCAGCAGAGTTCAGTGCTTCAAATCCCAGTGCTGCAGTTATCAGCAGTGACCTTGGACAATCTACTTAACCCTATGTGCCTCAGTTTTCTCATCTATAAAATAAGGAGAGGTATAAAATGTTATACATTCTTCAAAGGGTTGGTTTAAGGACTTAATAAGTTAATACAAATAAAGAATTAGCACAGAATCCGGGGTACTATAAGCACTCGACAAAGGTTAGTGATTATTTAACAAACCAAAGGGTGAACATTAGAATCTCTGCAAACCACAGAAGGCCAAAGCTGGAAAAGACTCTAATAAAAATAACAGTAGACCTGTATCGGGGCTCACCATGCACCAGACACTGTGCCAAGTGCTTTATAAGTAGCATCTCCTCACAGTAATCCTATGATGTTAGTGTTGTTTTCCCTGATTTACCAATAAAGACCAGAGCAGGTGAGTAATGTCCCCAAGTTCACAGAGGTGGTAAATGGCATAGCCAGGGCTTAAACCAGGCTCTACCTGATGCCAAAGATTTTTATCTAATATGGGAATTTTCAGCCATTCTAGCCATTCTTTCTTTAATTTTTTTTTTTTTTAACAGGATCTTGGGTCTTGCTCTGTCACCAGGCTGGAGTACAGTAGTGCAGTCATAGCTCACTGCAGTCTCAACCTCCTGGGCTCAAGTGATCCTCCCACCTCAGCATCCTGAGTAGCTGACACTACAGGCGTGTGCCACCACACCTGTCTAATTTAAAAAAAAAAATGTTTTTGTAGAGATGAGGTCTCGTCTTGCTATGTCACCCAGGCTGGTCTCAAACTGCTGGTCTCAAACCCCTGGTCTCAAGCCATCCTCCTGCCTTGGCCTCCCAAAGTGCTGAGATTACAGGCATGAACCCCTGTACCCAGCTAAATATTTTTTTGATCCCACGTCTGTCTCCTCTCCCTTGGTGACTTCAATTACACATACATTATTAATAGACTGCTTGAATTTGTCCCACATCTCATTGATGCTCTGTTCATTTAAAAAATATGTTTTCTTTGTGTGTTACACTTTGGATAGTTTCTATTACTAAGTCTTTGAATTTACTCATTTTTTCTTTGGAATATCTAATCTGCTGTTAATACACTTCTGTGTAGTTTTCATCTCACACATTGTAGTCTTCATCTCTAGAAGTTCAATTGGGTATTTTTTATGTTTTCTATAGTTCTACAGAACATTTTTTTAAACCTATGGAATACGGTTAGAATAACTGTTTTAATGTCCTTGTCAGTTACTTCTAACATCTGTGTCTGTTCTAGGCTGGTTTCAATGGGTTGATTTTACTCCTCCTTAGGAGTCATGTTTTCCTGCTTCTTCTCATGCTTGATAATCTTTGATTTAATGCTAACCAGGAGCTGGTCACATGACCTAATTCTGGCTAATGAAACACGGACACAGGACAGTAACAGTTCTAGTCCCCTAGCCATTGATTGGCTTAGGAGTGAACACGTCACCCAACTCTGCCGGGAGCTTTTTGGGAAAGGCTTCCTCAGTCTTAGGAAAGAGACCAGTTCCTCTGGATGTGGCCATTTCCTGACGAGACAATAGGGACTGGTGCATTTACTGAGCACTTGCTGTGTGCCTGACCCTGTGCTAAATGCATTAAGTTGTGTGATTCTCAACAGCAAGCTTTTGTAGTACATAGTATCATGATGTCCATTTTACAGATAAGGAAACTGAGGTTCAGCATGGTGATTACCCTTTCCCAAGGTCACATAGGTAGCCAAGGGCAGAGGCAGAATGGGAAGCCAGACCTTTCTGACTCCAGAACCTGTGACCTTAAAACCCTCCTCTATACTTCCTCTGAAAAAGAAAAACATCCTAACCCAGATGAGCCCCCTCATCCCACTGATCAATATTCATGTTGCTCAGAACCAAGTAATTGGGGCTGCCAAAGGGTGCCGAGAAGTCCCCCTAATGAACTTGTTCAGCTACTCTTCTGAAACAGCATACCCTGCTGGGCCCAGGGGCCTCTTCTGTCAATATTGACGTCTGTCTGAGACACTGGGAACCTGCCACGGATGGAGGAGCAGATGCTGCTAAGATTTAAAAGAGAAAGGAAGAGAAGAAACACAAATCCCCTCAACGAAGCTACTACTTAGAACCGCAGGCCCAGCAAACCCCTGTACATCTGGAGACACTGCAGTAGAAGCAGCTAGATCAGAGGCCAGCAGACCTACAAGGTGCTTGGCTGGGCTCCTGAACCCAGGGTCTGCTCAGCAGCGTCCTGGAGAGCTTGCTAAGCTGGGCAAGTCTGCTCTGGCAAGGGGACGATGCCTCCTTGCCAGGAGTGCTCCTTGGGGAGCTGAGATTCTAGATTTCTCAGCCTGCTCCCAGGTCCTGCCCAGCCCACAGCCCCCTAGAGGACTAGAGTCAAGCTCCAGGAAGGCATGTTTCTGGAGAGTGATAAAGAGGTTGGGACAACAAAACTGTCCTTTTTGAGAAGGGCAATGCTATGTAAGGAGTCCTGGCTGTGGAGTCAGACAGTTCTGGATTCAAATCCATAATAATAAATTCGTAATAATCCATAATAAGGGGGTTATCCTCTCTAGCAAATGGGGATTTCTGCACTCAACAAATGTTCATATGCCTGGAGATTATGACAATATAGAGTCATAGGGATGCAAATAAAATGCCAAACATAGAGCCTGACACATCAAATGTCCTCAAGAAGTACAGAAACTCCTGATGCATATGCAGGTGCCACCACCCCCATAGCTGCCCTGTCCATAAAGATGGTGACATGGCTGTGTAAAATGGGCTTCAGAGACAGAGTTTATTCTCTAGCCTACCTGCAAATGCTGTCATGCAATCTTGAGTAGTTAATCCATGTGATGGGTAATTTTGTGTGTCAACTTGACTGGTCCATGGGGTACCCAGACATTTGGCCTAATATTATTCTTAATGGACCTGTGAAGATTATTTCTGGATAAGATTAACATTTTACTTATTTATTTATTTTTATTTTATTTTTTGAGATGGACTCTTGCTCGGTCACTCAGGCTGGAGTGTAGTGTCGTGATCTCGGCTCACTGCAACCTCTGCCTCCTGGGTTCAAGCAAGTCCCATGCCTCAGCCTCCCGAGTAGCTGGGATTACAGGCATGTGCCACCATGCCCGGCTAATTTTTGTATTTTAGTAGAGACAGGGTTTCACCATGTTGCCCAGGCTAGTCTCAAACTCCTGAAATCAGGCAATCTGCCCACCTTGGCCTCCCAAAGTGCTAGGATTACAGGCGTGAGCCACTGCACCCTGCCTGAGGTTAACATTTTCATCGGTAGATTGAGTAGAGTACACTCTCTAATATGGGTAAGTCTCATCCAATCAATTGGACCAATCCAATCCAACCCAATCCAAAAATTGAGGACCTGAATAGAACAAAAAAGCTGAGTAAGAGGGAACGTCTCCTCCATGACTGCTTGAGCTGGGCTATCCATCTTTTCTGGCTTTGAACTTCAACTGAAACATAGGCTCTTCTTGCATCTCAAGCATGCTGGCTTCCAGACTGGAGCTTACTCCATCAGCCCTCCTGGTTCTCAGACATTTGGACTCAGACTGGAACTATGCTTCCGCTCTCTTGGGTCTCCAGCTTGCCAAGATCTTGGGACTTCTTCACCTCCATAATCATGGGAGCCACTTCTTTGTAATAAATTAATAAATCTTTTCTCTCAATTAGTTATGTTTCTGTGGAGCATTCTGACTAATACACTCCACTTTCCTAATTCTGTTTCCTCATCTGGAAACTGATGAGAATCTTTCTTACTTCACGGGTTGTTGTGAGGACAAGCAGTTACGGCATAAATTGCAATACAGCTTGCAATGTGCTATGAAATGGGTAAGAATGGGGGCTTGGGGCCCAAAGAAGCACGTGACTCAATCTTAAAGAATAGCTTCTTATAGGAGGAGAGCAGAAGGAGTGGTTGATGTCCAAAAGAGAGTATGGAAAGGGTGTTTCAGGAAGTGGGAAAAGCATATGCAAAGTCTTTGAGGCCAAATAGCGCGTGGCCTTATCAGAATGTTGAACGTAGCTCAGTATTTCCAGGGCCAAACCATGGGTCTCTTTCCTGTTACGTTAATGGTTTGGTCTTTATCTTGAAGGAAATGGAAAGCCACTGAAAAAATTTTAGGCACAGCAGTGACACGAATCTGGGGATTTTAAAGAATTTATTTTAACCTCTCTGAATCTCAGTCTCTTTATGACTAACATTGAAAAATATCTCCACCTGCTTCACTGAGTTTTTGTGAAGACCAGCTGAAGTTATGTACCTCAAAGTGCTTTGTAAGTCATTGCGTGCTTGGCAAACAAAAGGTAGGGTTATTAACCAATAAGTCAATATTATTATATCAACTTCAAGGCTTTCATCCCCCGAAGTTCCTCTAACCAAAACCACGAGTCAAATAAGATATGGGGTAAGAACTTATTTGGAAAACCCTAAAACTTTTGATGAGAGTTAGCGATTTGCTAGTTGCCTTTCCAGTATTTGTGTTAATTTGGGTCTTCCAAGAGGCAGATGCCCAAATGAGGTTACACATGCAAGAAGTTTATTAGGGGAAAATGCCTGTGAGGGAAAATGGGAAGGGAGCCAGGGGGAGAGGGGAGCTGGGACATTCACCACCCAATGCAGTTCTAATCCCAAGTGAGGGGTAGACAGCGAGAAGGAAGAGTGGGTAGAGGCATCTTGGACTGCAATGCAAGGTTGTTCAGCAAGGCCAGTAGGGAGTCCTTGAGCCAAAGTCACCTGTCAGGGGAGTCGTGTCTCTCCAGAATGGGACTGCCTTAGTATTCCTGTTGCACTCAGCCACCGGCTGGAAGCAGCCCCGGGGGGACGTGTGGCCGTTGCATAAATGCAATGATGGATTTCAGAGCACAGCAGCTGAAGCCCTAGATCCATCATGCTCCCTGCAGCAGAGATCTGAGAAGTGCATGTTCACAGTTGGGACAGTATCCAGTACCCTTCTTGATTTTTGTTTAGGAATCTGCTCCTTTCCTGCTCTCAGTCCTCATACCCAGGCCTGAGCCAATCAGAGCATCACAGTGCCCTAGGTGCAGCCATTGGTGCATTCACAGACACATAACCTAAGCTGATCCAATCAGAGGGAATTCAGAGTTTTAAGAGATGCATTGGGGAAAAGATGCTCCTATCTTTTCTCTGGATTTGAACTTGGAAGGATGAAATTCAGGAGTCGGCGGGGAGGGCAGCTCACGCCTGTAATCCCAGCACTTTGGGAGGCCGAGGCAGGCGGATCACTTGAGGTCAGGAGTTTGAAACCAGCCTGGCTAATATGGTGAACACCCCTGTACTAAAAATTTAAAAATTAGCCGGGCATGGTGGCGGGCACCTGTAGTCCCAGCTACTCCAGAGGCTGAGGCAAGAGAATCGCTTGAACCCGGGAAGCGGAGGTTGCAGTGAGTCGAGATCTGCCACTGCACTCCAGAGGGAGACTCCGTCTCAAAAAAAAAAAAAAAAAAAAAGAAAGAAAGAAAGAAAAGAAAAGAAAAGAAAAAGAAATTCAGGAGTCGAGGCAGCACCATTGATCACAGGAGGAGAGCTCCACAATTGGAGAAAGAGAAGTTGCACATCAACATATCATTTGAACTCTTTTTCCTCAGACATGCTTGAAGCCAGGATTACTCTCGTGACACTTTAACTTTGAAAAATCTGTGTATTCCAACTTTTCATTTAAAAAAAATTTAAGAGCTTTATTGAGGTATAATATGCAACAAACAGCACAGACTTAAAGTCTGCAACTTGATGTTTTGACATATGTATACACCAGTAAAACCATCTCTACAATCAAGATAAAGAACATATCCATCACCTTCTGAGTTTCCTCCTGCCTCTTTTACTCCTTCTCTCTCAACCCCTGCCTTGGGCAATCTGATTTCTGTCACTGTGGATGTTTTCATTTCTAGAATTTCATATCAATGGAATCATACAGTATATACCTTTTTTGTCTGACTTCTCTCATTCAGCATAATTATTTTGAGATGCATCCATGTTATGTGTATCAACAGTTCATTCATTTCTATTGTTAAGTAGTATTCCATCAGATGGATATATCAGTTTGTTTATCCATTCACCTGTTGATGGATATTTGGATTGTTTCCAGTTTGGGGCTATTACAAACAAGGCTGCTATAAGCATTGTGTGTAAGTCTTTACAGGAACACATGCTTTTATTTCTCCTTGGTATATACCTAGGAGCGGACAAGATGAATCTGATGGCAGATATAGTTTACATTTTTTTTTTTTTGAGACAGAATCTTGCTCTGTTGCCCAGGCTGGAGTGCAATGGCGCAATCTCGGCTCACTGAAACCTCTGCCTCTGAGGTTCAAGCTATTCTCCTGCCTCAGCCTCCCAAGTAGCTGGGATTACAGGTGCGTGCCACCATACCCGGCTAATTTATGTATTTTTAGTAGAGGCAGTGTTTCACCATGTTGGCCAGGCTGGTCTCAAACTCCTGACCTCAGGCGATCTGCCCGCCTTGGCCTCCCAAAGTGCTGGGATTACAGGCATGAACCACTGCACCCGGCCTAGTTTACTTTTTTAAAGAAATGTCAAACTGGTTTCCAAAATAGTTCTACAATATTACATTTCTACCAGCAGGATGTAAGAGTGTCATTTCTCCCAGCCGGGCGCAGTGGCTCCTGCCTGTAATCCCAGCACTTTGGGAGGCCAAGGCAGGCAGATTACATGAGCCCAGAAATTCAAGAGTGGCCTGGGAAACATGGTGAAACTTCATCTTTACTAAAAATTAAAAAAAAAGAAATTAGCCTGGTGCAGTGGTGCATGCCTCTAGTTCCAGCTACTCAGGAGGCTGAAGTGGGAGGATGGCTTGAGCCTGGGACGTTGAGGCTCCAGTGAGCTGTGATCATGCCATTGCACTCCAGCATGGGCAACAGAGTGAGGCTGTCTCAAAAAAAGAAAAAAGAGTTTCAGTTCTTCCACATCCTTGCCAACACTCAATATGGTAAGTCCTTTTAATTTTAGCCATTCTAAAATAGGTGTGTAGTGGTATCTCATTGTTGTTTTAGTTTGCATTTTCCGAATGACTAAGGAGAGCGAGCACATTTTGATGTGCTTATTTGTCATCTTTATAGCTTCTCTGATGAATTATCTGTTCAAATATTTTGCCCAGTTTTTAACTGGGTTATTTATTTACTTCTTATTGAGTTTTGAGAGCTCTTTACATATTCTAGATGCAGATCCTTTGTCAGATGTATGATTTGCAAATATTGTCTTCCAGCCCTTGGCTTGTCTTTTCATGTTCTTCACAATGTGTTTGAAGAGCAAAAAGTTTTAATTTTAATAAAGTTGAATTTGTCAATTTGTTCTTTTATAGATTGTACTTTTGGTGTCAGATCTAAGAAATGTTTGCCTATACCAAGATCACAAAAGTTTTCTTCTATATTTTTTTCTAGAATAGAGTTTCTCAACCTTGGTACTCTTGACACATTATTTTAGATAATTCTTTGCTGTGGGGGTCTTTATACACATTATAAAATGTTTGAGAGTGCCTCTGGCCTCTACCCACTAGACACCTATAGCATGCCCCCTCCACTTATGACAACCACAAATATCTCTAGACATTGCCACGTATTTCCTGGGTTGTGGGGTAGGGGGTGTCAAATTGCCCCCATTAAGAATTACTATTCTAGGAATTTTATAGTTTTAAGTTTTGCATTTAGATCTATGATCCATTTTGAGTTAAATTTGCATTTCATACAAGTTATGGATCCAAGTGCTGTTTTGTTTTTTGGGGTGGTGTTTTTGGCATCTAGATATCTAATTCTTCCAGCACCATTTGATGAGAGGACTTCCTTTTACCACTGAATTATCTTTACACCTTTGTCAAGACTCAATTTTTTATATATGCATTTGTGTATTTCTGGACTCTCTATTCTGTCCCATCGGTGATGAATATGTTGGTCTTTTTTTTTTTTTTTTTTTTTTTGCCAATGCAATACTATTTGGTTACTAAACTGTAAGAGTCTTGAACTTGATTCTTCTTTATCAAAGTTGTTGTGGCCATTGTAGATATTTTGCATTTCATATGAATTTTAGAATCAGTTTGACAATTTCTACCAAAAATAAAGCCAACTGGGATTTTGATTGGGATTGCATAGATCAATTTGGGGAGAACAGACATCTTATCAAAATTGAGGCTTCTCACCTATTAACATGATATATTTCTTCATTTATTTAAGTCTTTTTTAATTTTTTCTTTAAATGTTTTGTAGCTTTCAATGTATAGTTCTTTCACCTTTTTTGGTCAGATTTATCCCTAAGTATTGAATTTGTTGTAAAGGGTATTTTAAATTTCAATTTCCAATTGTTTGTTGCTAGTGTATAGAAATAAAATTGATTTTTGTATATTGATCTTGTGTCCTGCAAATTTGCTAAACTCATTAATTAGATATGGTAGTTTTATGTAGATTACATAGGATTTTCTACATAAATAATCATGCTGTCTTCAAATAAAGATAGTTTTACTTTCCAATCTGGATGCCTTTTGTTTCTTTGTCTTGCCTTATTTCACCAGTGAGGACCTCCAGCATATTGTTAAATAGAAGACGTGGTAGTATATCCTTGTCTTATTCTGATCTTAGGAGATAGTATCCAGTTTTAGCCATTAAGTATATTGTTAACTGTGGGAATCCCCTTTAAGATTTGTTTAGTGTTTAGTTAATTATTCCCCACCAATGAGTAAGACCCGTCTGTAGTCTATTCAATGCCCTGAGATCCATGAGGTTTTCCAGTCTGGCAAATGGGAACAGACACTGTTCTTGGTCCTGTGTAAATGCCAACACTGTTATTTCTAATCCTTTCTGATAATTCTTTCCCCAAACTTGGGTCATTTCCTCAAATGTGCAGGCTGATCCCTCCTGTCTTGAAAATCCAAGGATACTCTCTGGCCAATCTTTGGCTTTCTCCCTCTATGCAACTCTCTTCTCTCCACTATTCCAATCTGGTTCCTCCAGACACCTTGGCCTCCCCAAACTTTCACTTCTGTCTCCTTAATTTAGGGAGTCTCCTCGAATCCTCCTAGGCTGCAGCGTGGAAAGTCTCTCAAAGCAGTATGCTGGAGCAAACCCAGGGCTCACTTTGTTTCCTGTCTTTCAAGGTTAACTGTCCTCTGTTTCCTAAGATCCAAAGTTTAAAAACCATTGCATCATACATTGTATCTATTTTTTGGTTGTTTTAAGCAGGAGGAAAAAAAATCTCATTCCTGCTACTCCCTTCTCATGAGAAGCAGAAGTTTGTTCAATTGTTGAACTAACACATTCCCAGTTTGTGTTGGGATTCCCATTGTTGCTAGCAAAAACATTCCAATTATTATAGTCACATGACCTGTCTGGCCTGGGAAAGACTGAGCCAGAGTCTTATCCTGCTCTAGATAAAATGCCAGAGAATGGCCAGAAGTGATGGTAATTCTTTTTAATTATTCCAAAATAAGGGGTTTGGACAGAAAGTATTTGGGTGGTATTGAGAGGTGGTAAAGCCCACAGAATCTGGAATTACAAAAGGCTTGGGTTTGAATTCTAACCCAGTGACCTCCTAGTCATGTGTGACCTGGGAAAAAGTTACTTAAATTCCCTGATCTTCAGTTTCGTTATCTATGAGATGGGAATTAATTATAACCGTACCTTACTGACAACGAGATTGTTTGAGGAGTCACTAGAATGATACCTGTGAAGCTCAGTGCCTGGCAGGTAGTAAATTATATACTATTGTATGAAAAATGATAGCTGTTATTATCAGTAACATGCTATGCTATACAGATCCAACCCTTTTGACAATGATCTAACTTTGATTTTGCCTTGTCTGCATCTATAACCCTAATAAAGCTTAGATTCATTATCTATTTCAGTTGGATAGGCCTAATACCCTGTCCCCCAAAATTGTGTGAGCTGTGATGTCAGCGCCAAAATCAGTAAGAATCAACAGTGGCTTAATTTAGTTGATCAAAGCTGAGAACAAAGACTTGGGATCTGGTTTCCATGCAGATATTTGGGCCCTGCATTATTTAAATTATTTGATTGGACTGTTGTGCTGAAGATGTCTATCACTGGGACCGTCCAACCACACAGCATCCTAAAGGGAAATGCCCCACCTCCATGCCCTGGTTAAGATATGAGCCCAGTAACCCTTGACTCTGGCCCACTGCTGATTGGACCACACCTGATTAGATATGAGCCACCAGATCAGGTCTGATCCAGTCAATGACATAGGCCTTGGCCTGGTAAAGAAGAGAGGAGTCTCTCTCTTCTGGAAATTTGGACTATGTATAGTATATCCAGAGAACTAAATATACCCGGAGACCAAAATAGTCATACTTTGGCACTGAAGTAGCAAAGTCATGAGGTTGACTTCTGGCTGGAGAGGCTCTGATAGACCAGAAGCAGGCAGAGGTTTAGAGGCAGCAGAACCATGGGTAAGCAATGAAAGGGTTTGGATGTTTGTGCCCCCAAATCTCAGATTGAAAGGTAATCCCCAATGTTGGAGGTGTGGCCTGGTGCGGGGTGAGTGGATCATGGGGGTGGACTTTTAACACCATCCGCTTGGTGCCTTCTTTGCAATAGTGAGTGAGTTCTTGTGAGATCCGGTTGTTTAAAAGTGTGTGGCACCTCCCCTTGTTCTCTTGCTCCTGCTCTCACCACGTGATACATCAGCTCCCCCTTCACCTTCTGCCATGATTGTAAGCTTCCTGAGGTCATCCAAAAGCTGAGCAGATGCCAACCATGCTTCCTGTATGTACAGCCTGCAGAACTGTGAGCCAATTAAACCTCTTTTCTTTATAAGTTACTCAGATTCAGGCATTCCTTTATAGCAACACAAGAATGGCCTAACACACCCAGTAAGTAGAGAGAGTAGAATGAACCCACAGAGGAAATAAGCCAGGCTAGAGCCCAGCTAGTCCCCAAGCCTGCTTAATTCCCAACAGTTTCCATTTCATTTCTGGCTCCTGTTCACAGCTATCTCTTTTCAAAACAGCTTTTTCTGTTTTGAAAATAACAAGTAACACATTATCACTGGGAAAAAAAAATCAGAAGAACCCCAGAGAAGAATCTAAATGTAACACAAATTCTCATCTTCCCAGAATAGTGCATTTCCTTCCCGTCTTTTTTCCACACAATTGCAGACATTTTTTTTTCCAGAAAATTTAGATCATACTATTTATTAGACATTTTATTTGTTTACTGTAACTTAACAATGTATCATTTCCCACCACTTTAGGAGGCCAAGGTGGTAGGATCACTTGAAGTTGGGAGTTCAAGACCAGCCTGACCAACATGGTGAAACCTCGCCTCCACTGAAAATACAAAAATTAGCTGGGCATGGTGGCAGGCACCTGTAATCCTAGCTACTCGCTAAGACTGAGGCAGGAGAATCGCTTGAACCCAGGAGACGGAAGTTGCAGTGAGCCGAGATCATGCCACTGCACTCCAGCCTGGGCAACAGGGCGAGACTCCACCTCAAAAAAAAAAAAAATGTGTAATTAACTGTTCCCCATGTCAATAAATATTCTCTTCTAATATTCTTTTAAATGATTTTCTAGTATGCCATCCTAACGATATGTCATCACGAATTTATATAATTCCTTGTCATTGAACAATTAGGTTTTTCAAAGATTTTTTCTTTGCTTTTGTAAATAATGTTGCAATGAACACAGCTGCAGCTAAATCTTTGCACACATAAGTGATTATCCCCTTATCATAAATTATTAGAAGGCCAATTGTTGGGTCAATGGGCATGCACATCTCTTAAATCTCTTATACATATTGTTCAATTACGCTCCAGGAAAGCTGTAAAAAATTTATATTCCTACCAGTAGCATATGAATGCATCTGACCCAAGGAGTTTTTTTACTGATTCTGCCAGACGTTGGAGACCACATTTCTACTGTCTGCTATATGTCTGGTATACAGTAGGCACTCAATACCCGTTTGTTGACCCAAACTGAAGTGGCTAGGTGTCCTCCTTCTATCTCAAGGAGTGACTAGAGAGTTTTCTTTCTCTTGGGCTAAGTTGAGGGACCTGTGCTCCTTGCAGCCACCACAGCACCTAACACTTTTCCCTGCATGCTCTTCTTTGGGAAAATCATTTCTTTTTTCTTTCTTTTTTTTTTTTTTTGAGATGGAGTCTCACTCTGTTGCCCAGGCTGGAGTGCAGTGGCATGATCTCAGCTCACTGCAACCTCCGCCTCCTGGGTTCAAGCGATTCTCCTGCCTCAGCCTCCTGAGTAGCTGGTACTACAGGGGCGTGCCACCACTCACGGCTAATTTTTGTATTTTCAGTAGAGATGGGTTTTCACCATGTTGGCCAGGCTGGTCTCGAACTCCTGACCTCAAATGATCCATCTGCCTTGGCTTCCCAAAATGCTGGTATTACAGGCATGAGCCACCATGCCCAGCCTGGGGAAATCATTTCTAATTTCACCAGGGAATGCAGAACCCCTGGGCAGCAGATCCAAGCCAGAGATCCTCCCCTCTTTCAAACTGTGACCTCCCAAGAGTGGAGTCTGTTCTTTTCTCTCACTAAAACCAGTTACTGAGTAGAGAAAGACAGAAGAAAATGAGACAGATGGAGAGCTCATTAAAACAATCAATTATTTCAGTGCATTTGGACATGACAAAAGTACACCAGGGTGTGTGGATTTTTAATAAGGCCGGTGCCGAGAGAGCAGCCGCGGGACCGACGGGCAGAGAATGAGACATTGCTTTCTAGAAGGCACCTACTGTGATAATGTTACCTGCCATTTATGCTGCGGCAGAAAATAGACACAAAATCAGAGAACGTTAAATCTGAGATAATGGGTTTTTTAATTGTTTTCAAATTTTGGATGAGCATTTTAATTGAAGTGGTTTGGAGGTTAATATAACTTTTGTATTTGATTATCTGGCAAGAAGAGGGGGGAATAAAAGAAAAGTGGGGGAAATTGAGGTAGTCTTTTAAAAAAGCCTCTCGTAACACATAGCATGATAAATTCCATTTCTGTACAATCGTTTTCATTATATGTGTCAGAGGCAAAATGATTTCTGTACATAATTAGTGCCAAGATGAGAGAAATGCTGACACCCTGAGGTTCTAAGTTAACCCGCTGCAGGCTGAGAGGGAGAGAAATTTTTTACTCTTTCAATAAACTTTTATTAAGAGTTAGAAGGGATCTCATATTTTGGAGTTGCCCACACAATGCCAGGCACTTTTTATAATTCTTTTTCAATCTCTCAACAACTCTATGAGAATTTTCTTCTTATTCTTGTTTCAAAGATGAGATGACTACGGCTCAGAAAGTGTAAGTGACTTGCTCAAGGTCACACAGCTAGTTAGAAAAGGCTGAAGTTTTGACCCAAACCTAATTGATTCTGAGGTCAGTGTAGCAGAATGAAATCATACATACCTGGGTTCAAATCCCCACTCTTATAATTTAGGAGCTCTGTGAGGCTGGGTGCAGTGGCTCATGCCTGTAATCCTAGCACTTTCGGAGGCTGAGGACTAAGGAACGCTGGAGCCCAGGAGTTCAAGACCAGCCTGAGAAATGTAGGAAGACCCCGTCACTACAAAAAAAAAATTTTTTTAATTAGCCAGGCATAGTGGTGCATGCCTGTAGTCCCAGCTACTTGGGAGGCCAAGGAGGGAAGACTACATGAGCCCAGGAGATCTAGGCTCTGTTAGCCAAGATCGCGCCACTGCACTCCAGCCTGGGCAACAGAGCAAGATCCTGTCTTAAAGAAGAAAAAATGAGCTCTGTGATTTTGGGCTTATTATTCAATGTCTTTGAGCCTCAATTTTATCTTCTGTAAAATGGTAATAAAAATCTTAAAAGAATAGATAGATAATAATAGCACAGTTGTCTATTGATAGTTGTTTTTTTTTCTTTTGAGAATTTACTAAGGTAATTATGAAACACTTATTGTGGTTCCTCGGATAGGGCAAGTACTCAATAAACATTAGCTGTTAGTATTAACAGCAATCTGCCCCCTGTATAAAGCTTCTTACTATTTCCAATGTCCTATGGGGAAAAGTTTCCGAGGCATGATCCTCACCTTCAATAGAGCTTACAGTCTACTGAGATAACAGACCAAGATCTCCAAATTTCCAGGCAATCTAATAAGTGGACAAAAGGCTGGTGACCAAATATTCCTCCCCAGTTTCCCAGGATTTCAAATATTATTTTACCCTCTCATCTAACATACCCACCAACACCTTCCTCTCCCTACCCGTACCATGGATCTTAATTCCTTATTTTGGAAAACGTGATCTATCTAATCACCCAGAAAACTATCTACAGTGTTAGACTTCATCATCCATAGGCATTGAGGGTGAAGAGCAGGTTTTGCCCTTGTTGGAAGCCATGGAAAAATGAAATTGCAAGTCTTTGGCAAACATGAAAGGTTTTGCCTTTCTACAATTGGAGAAACTTTGGCAAGCTGAAGGAAGCAGGTGATTTGAGGAACTCTGTTAACTCTTTGGGGACCAACGGCCATTTCTTATCCAGATACTTACAAGTTTCTTTTCTCTCCCAAAACTGACACTGCAGGCAAAAAGGACACAGGGCAGAATTTTCCCATTTGTTTCTGTCTGTATTCAAGCTCCATTGCCCGCCCAGCAATGGTAGCGATCATCTGTCAAGTGTTTACCCTGTGTCAAACCCTGGCCGCATCTGTCCAGTGCTAAAGGGACCTGAGGTTCTAGGGGTCACCCAGGTTGTCACTGGTGAACATGAGATTTGAACCCACTTTGCCTGACCTTGCAACAGTGCCTTCCTGCTATCATTCTACCATTCACACCAATGAGGCGAGGATTAAGTCCCATTTCTGGTCCTGTTCCTTCCTCTTAAGGAGTAGTCTAGAATTCTCTCCAAATAGCCAAAGTGAAATAGGACTTACCTGCTTATGCTTACTTGAGCTTCTTGGCCTGATATCTATTAGTCACTCAATAAATGTTTGTTGAATGACTGCTTGATTGGCTACTACAGATACAGCCACTGTAGATCCAAGATTTTAAATACAAATATTCCAATTTTGAAATTTTTGTTTCACTATCAAATCATTTTGTATTTTAAAAAAGGTGGAAAGGGCCTGGGGTCTTCACATTGTAGAAGAAAAGAGACTACTAGGGGATTTTAATGCAAAAGAGATGGCCTTGGACAAATCACTTAACCTTTCGGAGTTTCCATTGATTCACCAGGAAAATTGGGGTGATAACACCAACCTAAGCTGGTTCCCTTCACACCCTCACACCTGCTTCCTTCAGCGTCACACACACATACACTCACACACGCTCGTGCACACACACTCTCACATACGCACGCACACACTCAGGGCTGTCTCTGGACATTTTTCGTTTTACAGCCTGGGAAGCAGGATAAGGTTTAATATGGAGGAGGAAGAAGATGGCCAGGGGTCTGGTTCCCCAAGGAAACTGAGGTTGGAGTGAGCTCCTATGGCAAGAGGGAGTGAGGATCAGAAGCTGATGGAAATGCTCATGAAAGTCTTTGAGCTGTGTGGGGCACAAGCAGGATAGACTTGGGGCCCAGGTGCAAAGTATGGTCCACAGAAGGAGTAGACTTTCTTCTCACCATGCATGGGCATAGTGCCATCCTGGCAGCCCCAAGACCAGAAGCTTTGAAGCACCAGGAGGTAGCTTCCTGGCATGGACATTGCTGTTATCACAGTGAGCTCAGTGGTGACAGTGTCATCACTCCAAGTGACTTCACTGGTTGAAGACATGGATCCAGAAGAGGAGAACAGGACAGCCGGATGCTGTGAGTGAATGCACCTGCCCTTCAGGCTTCTGGGCATGGGTGAGAGCTGGAGGGAACATGGATGGGGCAGGATGGGAGCTTTCCTTCCTGCATAATCAGGTTGGGACTCAGGCCAACCCACCCTGGATACAGAATCCACTACTTCTCACCAGCCCCACTCTTACTACCTGGTCTGAGCTGCCATCGTCTCTCACCTGGATCCTTGCAGGAGCTTCCTAACATCTCCCTTGCCCCTCACAAACTGTTTTCAACACAGCAGCCACAGAGATTATTAAAACCGAAGTCAGATCACATCACTTCCCTGCTCAAGATTCTACAGTGAATCCACATTCAGAATCAAAGCTGACTCCTTACAATGGCCATAGGCCCACAGGACCCAGCACCCTGGACCTTCTCCATCTCACCTCCAATTACCCTCCTGCCTCTCTGTCCCACCTCCAATTACTCTCCTGCCTCATTCCCTCTGCTGCTGCACACCAGCCTCCTTGTTTCCCCAAACATAGCAGACACGCTCCTGCCCCAGGGCCTTGGCACTAGCTGCTCTCGCTTGCAATTAAACTTTTCTCCAAAACATGCAGATGGCTTACTTTCTGCCTTTTTCAGATCTTCACTCAAATGTTACCTCTTCAGGGAGACTTTTCTTTTTTTCTCCCCCCCTCTTTTGCGGAGAACAGGGTCTTGCCATATTGCGCAAGTTGGTCTTGAACTCCTGGGCTCAAGCTGTCCTCCAGCCTCTGCTTCCCTAAGAGCTGGGATTACAGGCATGAGCCACCACACCCAACCCAGGGAGACTTTTCTTGACCGTATTTCTCAAAGTTGCAACCTCACTCTACCCTGCACTCGCCGTCCCCATTCCGTGCTTTGGTTTCCACATAGCACTCCTCCCCGTCTGATATCCCAGACATAGTGTTAATTTGCTGTTGTCCTACCCACAGCCCACTAGCATGTCAGTTCCATGAAGGCAGGGAACACGGACTCGTGGTCTGTCTCCTTTCCTGCTACATCCCCAGTGCCTAGAATAGTGCCTGCCAGATGTCAGATGTTCCATTCAAAAAATATTTGTCGAATGACTGAATTAATGAATATAGGCAGTGTGACCCTTTCTTATTTATTTATAAATTTATTTATTTATTTATTTATTTATTTAGACAGAGTTTCGCTCTTGCTGCCCAGGCTGGGGTGCAATGGCACAATCTTGGCTCACTGCAACCTCCGCCTCCCTGATTCAAGCGATTCTCCTGCCTCAGCCTCCCGAGTAGCTGGGACTACAGGCATGTGCCACCACGCCCAGATAATTTTTGTTTGTTTTTTTTTTTTTTTTTTTTTTTTTGTGGAGACAGAGTTTCACCATGTTGGCCAGGATGGTCTCAATCTCTTGACCTTGTGATCCACCCTCCTCAGACTCCCAAAGTGCTGGGATTACAGGCATGAGCCACCGCGCCCGGCCCGACCCTTTTTTATTTTGTACTCATTTATTTTTTTTTGAGACAAAGTCTCACTCTGTTGCCCAGGCTGGAGTGCAATGCTGCAATCAGGGCCTCAACCTCTTAGCCTCAAGTGATACTCCCACTTTATCTTCCCAAGTAGCTGGGCCCACAGGCATGCGCCACCACACCTGGCTAATTTTTGTATTTTTTTGTAGAGATGAGGTTTTGCCATGCTGGCCAGGGTGGTCTTAAACTCCTGGGCCCACATGACTGGCCCACCTCAGCCTCCCAAAGTGCTGGGATTACAGGCGTGAGCCACCGAAGCCCGCCACGACCTTTTTTTTCTTAAAGCATCCACAGGTTGATGAGGCCTGACATGCATGTGTCATGCTGCCTCAGAGGGTCACAATGAGCACTAAATGGGCTTTGGTGTATAAAGTATCTGGCACATAGTAGGCACTTTTCTTAGTCTGTTCAGGCTCACAGTTTTGGAGGCTGGAAAGTCCAAATCAGGGCATTGGTAGATTCGGTGTCAGGTGAGGGCCTACTTCTGGTTCATAGATGGACAGCCATCTTCTTGCTGGGTCCTCACATGGCAGAAGGGGGCAAGGGACCTCTCTTGGGCATCTTTTATAAGGGCACTAATCCCATTCATGAAGGTCCTTCTCTCATAACCTAATCACCTCTCAAAAGTTCTGCCTGCTAATAACATCACCTTGGGGGTTAGGATTTCAACATATGGATTTGGGGAGGACACAAATACGTCTTCCACAGCAGAGCTCTATTGGTGGTAGCTGTCATTATGGTTGCTATTGTTGTTGTTGCTTTTGATCTTCTTAGCTCTAAACCTCTCTGTGTCAGAGGCAGGGCACAGTGGTTCACACCTGTAACCCCAGCACTTTGGGAGGCCAAGGCAGGTGGATCACTTGAGGCCAGGAGTTCAAGACCAGCCTGGCCAACATGGTGAAACCCCAGCTCTATCCAAAATACAAAAATTAGCTGGGCATAGTGGTGCACACCTGTAATCCCAGCTACTTGGGAGGCTGAGGCAGGAGAATCACTTGAGCCTGGGAGGCGGATGTTGCAGTGAGCTGAGATCGCACCACTGCACTCCACCCTGGGTGACAGAGCGAGGGTCTGTCTCAAAAATAATAAAAATATAAAATGAAGAAATAAACCTCTCTCTGATCCTCTCTCATTCCTTGCACTTTATTCCCAACCCCACTGACTCCCCACTTTGGCTTTCCCTGGGTCTCCTATCCTCATTCATCAGCTCCTACCGGCTCCTTGATTCTCCTCCCTTCCTGCTGCTCAGGGAAACAATCTAACCCAGCAGTCCCCTGGGACCCCAGCCTGCATCTCCACTGGGTCTCCCTGACTCCCTGGAAGAGCAAATCATCATGAATCACTTCCTCTCCGGACCAAAGACCAAAAGCATCCTTGACAACATGTGCTGGTTCTGGCTCCCGACAGACCTTTTCAGATGGGACAAGCTTCAAATCAATTCCTATTTCTTCCAGGTGAGAGAGACGGCTGTTTGGTGACCCAGGAGGCCCCCATGAGTCTCCTCCAAGAAATCACTTTGATTTCTACTTTTCTGCTTAGATGAGTTGCCAGCTTCTCTGCAAACTCGGATCTTTCTCCAAATAATTCGCAGAAATGACTCTCCCCAAAGGCAAAGACAGGCCCATCCCCTTGTGCTGGCATCCTGCAGCAGAGCAGCATTCAGTAATTAAAGTAAAAATAATAAAGGAATAACGCCAATAATAATAGCTAACCCTTATAAGCACATACTAGGTGCCAGACTCCAGACATATAGTAGCTTATTTGGCTCGCACCACAACCTTTTGCAGTACATAATATTCCCCACTTTGTCGATGAAGAAAATGAGACACAGAAAATTGGAGTAACTTGCCTGAGGTCACCCAGCTAGTGAGTGAAAGAAGCTAAGATTTCAACTCAGGCAGTCTGGCTTCAATTATCTAGAGCTGATACTATGGCTAGGCACTGTGCTGGGTGCTGGGAATATAGGAAGGGACAACAGAAGACATAGCCCCTGCCCTCAAAGACCTTATGGTCTATGGTAGATCAGGGAGAGAGGCATTCATTAAATGCACAAATAAATCTATAGCTACAGGTTGTGATGATGCCAGGAAGGGAAGAGGGTATGAGATTATCTTCGGGCTTCCTCTTAGAATAAGAGGAATTTATTTGGAATTTATCTACAGGAGAACCCAGTGGTAGCTTTTAGACCCTAGAAGCCTGGGCTTAGATAAGCCCAATGGCTACTGTTTCTTGAATATCCACCAGGTACTAAATGGCATGATTTATGCCCAAACTTCTTTCCATCATTACAAAACAGTAATCATTCTTTGTCCCTTCTCACAGATGAAAAACTGAGACTCAGAAAGATTGGGGGACTTACTCGAGGTCTTCTGCCTGAGACACAGACAGCCAGGACTGAATCCAGTTAAGTCCAATTCTTTCTACCATATTCAAGATCAGATTTCTCATCCTCAACATTTACTGGCATTGTAGGCCAGATAACTCTTCGTAGCGAGTGGTGGGACTGTCCTGGACACTGCAGGATGCTGAGAAGCATCCCTGACTGATATGGTTTGGCTGTGTCCCCACCCAAATCTCATCTTGAATTGTGGCTCCCATAATTCCCACGTGTTGTGGGAGGGACCCAGTGGGAGGTAATTGAATCATAGGGACGGCCTGTCTTTCCTGTGCTGTTCTTGTGATAATCTCACAAGATCTGATGGTTTTACAAAGGGCAGTTCCCCTGCACATGCTCTCTTGTCTGCCACCATGTAAGACGTGTCTTGCTTCCTCTTCGCCATCTACCATGATTGTGAGGCTTCCCCAGCCATGTGGAACTGTGAGTTAATTAAACTTATTCCCTTTATAAATTACCCAGTCCCAGGTATGTCTTTATTAGCAGTGTGAGAACAGACTAATTCACTGACCTCCACCCACTAAATGCCAGCAGCACCTACTCCTCTTGTGACAACCAAACATGTCTCCAGACATTGCCTAGTGTCCCCTTAGGGGTAAAAGGAAATCACTCCTATTTGAAAACCACTGTTGTAGATGCCAGCTCGCCTCCAGACTGTTTCTTATCTATCTTTGTGTACCTGGTACCCAGCATTGTAGCACAACTAAAGTTTATTTAATAATAGAATGGAAGAAAGGAGGAAAGAAAAGAAAAGATACAGGAAAAGAAAGAAAAGGAGGGAGAAGGGGAGGGAAGAAGGCCTAAGTTCACCCGGTATGTATATTATGGAAAGCTTATAGATAAATCAACCTAAATGGATGTTGTAACCCAAATTCTATTTGAACTACCCGGGGTGGAAATCAGGGCTTCAGGGAATCGTGTGATAAATTCGTACGTTAAATGAGCAGTCTTTCTGATATGAACACATACATCTGCACATCTGCATGCACACACACAAATGAAAATGTCCTGTGGGCCTGGGCGCCATGGCTCATGCCTGTCATCCCAGCACTTTGGGAGGCCAAGGTAGGTAGATCACTTGAGACCAGGAGTTCAAGACCAGCCTGGCCAACATGGTGAAACCTTGTCTATACTAAAAATACAAAAATTAGCCAGGCATGGTGGTGCGCACCTGTAATCCCAGCTACTCAGGAGGCTGAGGCAGAATCACTTGAGCACAGGAAGCAGAGGTTACAGTGAGCCAAGATCGAGCCACTATACTCCAGCCTGGGCAACAGAGCAAGACTCTGTGAAAAAAAAAAAAAAAAAAAAAACCGAAAACAAAAATGCCTTGTGGGTTTGGCATTTCCACATTAAATTTACATCAAGACCACTCCCCAAAGTGGGGTGAACCAAGCCATCCTTGTTCCCTCCCAGCGGGGAATTCAATTACCCATTTGAAACAACACCCCAGAGGTCCTTCCAAGCTTCTTCATGAAACAATATTTATCAGCAATTGTTATTATTACCAAGAGGACCCCTGCTGGCCTGGGATCTGCTCCTCTGCCACCCAAGAGTTCTCCCATTTCCAGCTCTTCTTGATGTGGTCAATAATACCACAATCTCTTCAGCTCAGAATTTCCCCCGGACTGGAAGACGGCTTTCCTGTGTGTACATTTCAATCAACAGAAGCACCGGCATTTCCAAAGCAGATGTTTCCTGTCACTACTTACTGTGTCCTGAGCAGATGGCCCTGTTAAAGCTGTATTGTTGGACAAGCCTTTCAATCAAGGCTTTCATTCCTGGATATGAGTGACGGGCGACAGGAAAGGGAGTTCTGCTGTCAAATCCAGGCAGCAGAGAATGATGCAACCTACTGTCTTCCCCATGCTTCCACATGCGACCGAGGTGTGTTCTTCTTGCATGGGGCAACTGGTTAGCTTAGCAGTATGGCAGGTGAGAATCACAGACATGGACTGAAATCCCACCTGCAACATTTGCCACTTGAGTGATTTTTGGAGGAGCGACTGTAGTTTTCTGAGTCAGTGTCCTCATTCATAAAATAGAGATACTCATATTACCTACCTCATGGGGTGGCTGGGAAAAATAATTAAATCACCCGAAGCACATAAAATCCTTTTAGCACAAGGCTTCACACCTGGTAAGTTCTCAATAAATGATTGCTCTTGTTTTGACAACAATCGCACATCAAGGGCACAATCTGGTTGCCCCAGGAGATCCAGACTTGAAATGAATAAAATCCTCATAAAGCTTCAGTCTAGCTGGGGAGCTAGACCTCAGCACAGGCGATACTGTCCTGACACTGTCTCTCCCCAGCTGTGCAACTTGGGATGTGGAATCTCACCTCTCAGAGGCTCTCATCACCTCGGAAACAGTGGGGCAATTCCTGGCTTAAATTGTTGGAAGAACTTTGGTACACGGCCCATAGCTCAGAGGAACTCAGGACATGGTAGCTAGAGGTACTGTTGGCCAGTTCCAGGCATCGTGGTAGGAGATGATTCTTATTAAAGTGAATTGGAATCTTGGGGAAAGCAGCATGATTGGGGAGGTCATCGTCATGGTGATTTGATTTGTGATGTGAGGAATGGACTTGCCTACTTTAAATCTCAACTTGACTTGGAAGGGTGTGGATCTGTGAAAAAATAACTGAGACTTGCTTCTGTCAAGCTACTTCCTGTGACAACATTAGAGGAATTTCTTTCTTTCTTTCTTTCTTTCTTTTTTTTTTTTTTTTTTTTTTTTGAGACAGGTTTTCACTCCCACAGCCCAGGCAGGCTGCAGTGGGCGCAATCTCAGCTCACTGCAACCTCTGCCTCCCAAACTCAAGTGATTCTCCCACGTCAGCCTCCCAAGTAGCTGGGACTACAGGCACACACCACTGCACCTGGCTAATTTTTGTAGAGACAGGATTTTGTCATGTTGGCCAGGGTGGTCCTGAACTCTTGAGCTCAAGGGATCTGCCCACCTTGGCCTCCCAAAGTGCTGGGATTACAAGTGTGAGCCACGATGCCCGGCCTTGGAGGGAATTTCTATGCATGAAGGACAATGTCAACAAGTCTCACTTCCTCTATTATCTGGAGTTTGGGCTCTGTGTCTTCAGCAGGCGTGGACAGGAATTTCCTGGCTCAGAATGATACCAGGGGTTTTCCGGTGCTTTTCTAAGAACAGAGATGGTAGATAAGTATGAGGATGGTGGGAAAATCCTTCAGTTTTCTAAGGAAGGCTCATGTTTATGGTAGAAGATTTGAGACAAAAATTTTCTATTTTCATCCCACCAGTCATAATTTGTGTGACTTTGACATGTCTCTTAACCTTTCTGAACCACCGTGTGATGGAATACTGGGTTGTTCCCCCAGATCATATCCCCCCTTCCTACCACGCACTTAACGTTTTCCGTAGGAAACTACATTAATTAAGGATTTGATGTAGGTTCCATAGGTAACTACTCACCATCTTCAGCTCTGTTGTTTTCACCGAGATTGATCTCACCCCCAGCTCTAGAGTAGGTCTGGATTGGCTTAAGCCAATAAGTGCCTACTATCCCTTGTTCACTGTAGTTTGGTTGAAGGATGGGCATCTGACCTAGTTCACACTAATGTGACATGTGAAAAGGTTTTCTGAGGTTTCTGGGACAGACAAGTGCTCCATCTTCCAAAAGACCTACCAGAAGCATCTGTCTGCTTTTTGTGCAGTGTGATGTGAGGCTATGAGAATAGGAGGCCAGAAATATTGTACTATGGAAGAGTCAACCTGAAGAGGAAGCCAACAAGGCAGCTGAAAGAATCATCCAGGAACAAAGCCAGAGCCTTAATGGTAGCATGAACTCCTCGATCAAACCATTCCTGAATCAGAATATTACAGGGCAATTCAGTTATGTGAGCCAACAATCTTCTCATTGACCCCTCTCCCCATTTCTTTTTTCCTTAGTATTTTAAGTTGGATTTTTCTGTTGCTTGCAACCAAAATATTCCTAACTAGTACACTGTTTTCTCTGTCCTCTCCGAACTTCTGGAAGAATAAAATAAGATAATAAGGTATGTGAAAATAATACTGTTTTGCCTTGGGCAGGCCTATGCAAACCTACCCCAAAGTCTGAGGAAGCTGAGAAGCTGAAGAAAGAGGCTGACA
This sequence comes from Homo sapiens, assembly GCF_000001405.40. Taxonomy (NCBI): domain Eukaryota; kingdom Metazoa; phylum Chordata; class Mammalia; order Primates; family Hominidae; genus Homo; species Homo sapiens. The sequence goes on from NC_000012.12 coordinate 119,260,733, forward strand.
AATCCAGTTTCTTAGGAAGAAATATTTAATAGGGGCTTAGGAACAGAAACCATGCCTGTGTCTTGGGTGGTGGAAAGACAAGATGGTGGATCCCTGCGGCACCAATAGCCTCCAGACCCAGAGATTATATACTCTAGGGGAGAGGCATACATGTTTCACAGAGAATAGGTAGGAAATTGCCCTGAGGGCAGGATTTGCAGGAAGTACAGTCCTCTTACACGACGAACAACAGATAAACTGGAAATCTCAGAGGCTTTCCCAAAACGGGTTAATCAGAAGCTAACATGGCAGATTAGCATCCAAGATGGAGTTGATTCAACCTTCACAGATATGTAAACTGTAAATCACAGTACCAATTAGATGTGAGGATTATCAGAACAATTATTATCACCACCTCAAAGACTTCCTAGCTCAGAATAATCCAATTTACAGATGTGTAATATTTCCTTCCATTCCTCTGAAATGTACCAGTTTCATTATGTTGAAACTATTAGATCATGCACTGATAATGGTGCTTAATGAAGCTAACAGTATTATTCTCCTGTAAACAGAAATGTATATAATTAATAACTCTCTTAAGGCTTTTGGTATTCACTGGTACTAATTACATTCCAGTGCTCATCAGTGTGAGTCCAACCAGAGTAGGCTGAGTGAAAACAGACACTCAGTCCTCGAGAGAAATATGAGGTCTCAGCATCTGCCTTGACTGTCAGTTGGCCGCACTTTTGTGGAGAAGAGAGCACTAGTCTGTGTTCCAGCTCTGCCACTGAGTCTCTTTGTGACCTTGGACACGTCACTTAACTGCTGTGTGCCTCAGTTTCCCCATCTATAAAATGAGGAGGATAGACTTGCCAGATTCTTAATTTTTGTTGAATGCCTATGAGAATCTGCTGAAAACTCTGCATCTTCTCCAGAGAGGTCCATTTCTCTATATAATCTATATCTACAGATATAGATATATATTTCTGGGACAGAGTCTCGCTCTGTGGACCAGGCTAGAGTGCAGTGCCACAATCTCAGCTCACTGCAATCTCCGCCTCCTGGGTTCAAGCGATTCTCCTGCCTCAGCTTCCTGAGGACCTGGGATTACAGGCACCCACCACCACTCCCAGCTAATTTTTGCATTTTTAGTAGAGACGGGATTTCGCCATATTGGCCAGGCTGGTCTCGAACTCTTGACTTCAAGCGATCCTCCCACCTCAGCCTCTCAAAGTGCTAGGCTTACATGTGTGAGCCACTGTGCACAGCCTTCCGTATTTTATATATTGAATAATTTATATACAATCACAAGAGGCCCATGGAAAACTCCATTTGCTTTTTTTTTTAATCAAGCCAAACCAACAAGTAAGAAATTCAAAATTAAATGAACTTTAAGGGCCCTGTAAGCTCTACATTTTCAGTGCCCATAATTCCACGATTCCCCTAGAAGTAGCAGAGTCATAATTGAGTTCTAGAATGTCTTTTTACCTAAAAGGTAGAAATTCTTTGAGCATGGGCATTGGTGGGGAGGGGCTTGAAAGCTGAGGGACAGTAAGGAGGTTGTTACAATCACCCCAGCAAAAGATGATGTGACTCAGACAAGAATAAAAGAAGGAGATGTACTGAAGAGATAGCCAGAATGCAGAACTTTGTATAAGAGTAGATTTAGGGGAGAATTTCCAGAATCCTATCACTTAGGATTCGTTTCATCTGTGAGGAACAATAAATCCAATTATAATGACTTAAACAGCAAGAAGAATTTGTTTTTCCTCAGGTGAAAGTCATCTGACGGTAGATAGTCCAAGCCTGTTTAGAAGCTCTTCAATACTTGGTTCTATCTATTAACTACTCTGCCACATTTGTTCTATCCTCAGGGTCCAAGGTGGCTGCAGGAGTTCCAGCCATCACACCTATGTTTCAGGGTATAAGAAAGAGAATAAGTGGAAGTGCAAAATGGAGCTCCTTTAAAGAGCTTTCCTGGAAGCAAAGCTTCCACTTACATCTCATCAGCTAGAACTCAGTCACTTCCAGCTGTGGGACAGTCTGGGAAATGTAGAAACATAGTGTTTTGCTAGGCATATTGCCCAAGATTCTATTACTAAGAAGAAGGAAGACGCAACTAGCAGTTTCTGCTACAGTTTCCATTTAAAATAAATACAGTGTGGAGAGGACAGTGGAGGAGAGTCAGGATTGGGGAGGAAGATCAAGAGTTCAGTTTGATACATGCTGGGTTTGAGTGCTTAGGAAACATTCGTGAGAGTTGTCCTATAGACAGTTGAATAAACATGTATGAAACTTGAAATAAAGGTGTGAGCCAGAGCTAAAGATGTGAGAGCCACCAAGATACAAAGGACACATGGAACCCTGGAACTTTTCTTCACAAGAATGATCTCAAAACACAAACCTGATGATCTCAAGCCTCTTTGCCATTTTTAAAATAGTTCAAGGTGTTCTTACAGCTCTCAAGATAAAGATGAAAATCCCTAACGTGAACTACACTGATTTTCATTATTTTGACCCCAGATTACCCGTTTCATCTAAACTCACTATCACCTTTGCCCATCTCACTTCAAGGCCTTTGCAGGTGCTGGCCAATCTTCCCTCTCCATCTCCACCTCCAGCTCTGCATTCTGCAATATGATCTCTGTTGGCCTTTAAAAGCTTTAGAATGTTGGAAAATTGGAATCTTCACCCCAGTTTTATAGATGGGCATGACATCAGCTCAAAGAGTAAAGGCATTTCTCTAAGGTTACACAACTATAGTAAGAGGCAGAGTAGAAATCAAAGCCAACGTCTTCTAGCAACTGGTACCTTCTCTCCACTCAGCACAGCAGGCTGCTACTTTTGGGTGGCTCTCCATGCCCTCACAAGAAAGGATAGACAAGAAGAGAGAGGGAACAAAAAAAACCCAGACGCTCAGAGCTGACTCCACGGAAGGGCTTATTCAATCAGTCTAGACAAAAGCCTGCCCCATTACTCCTTTCTTTCCTCCCTCCCACCTTTTCTCCCCACTTCCCAGAGGAACTTGATTAATCCATTAGGTTTCACCTCTATTTAACTTCCTGATTAGTTACATTTATAAACTCCATTTGTTTTTGCTTTCTCATCAAGCCAAACCAACACCCCCAGGGAAAAAAAAAAAAAGGCCAATTTTCAGTGACACTGATTTACTGCAATTTCTGAAAATCAGACCGAACCGAGGAGAAACATGACTAGAATTTCAACTCCCCCTTTTCACATTGCAGGTATCTTTGCGAACGGAAAAGAAGCTTTAACAGAAAGAGAGAAAACTCAGTGATGGCAGGATCCCAAATTTGGCCAAAGTGGCAAAATACCAAGCCTGTTAATGAAGCAGATTAATAAATTCTGTAATTTCCATCTCCTAGTTGAGTAACAAAGCTACAAAGTACAACAAAAAAGTAAAAGCTGAAGCTAAGGGATCATATGTTTTTATCGGCAAAGTGAAATACTCAAGATATTTCCTTGCTTCCATTTTCTCCCTGTAGTCTGTGATGTAGGATATTTAAACTTTTAAATAATTTTATTTTAACAAGACTAATACATGTGCATAGTAGGAAGCTATGTACATGTATTTTTTTTCTGGGGGTGTTGGTTTGGCTTGATGAGAAAGCAAAAACAAATGGAGTTTATAAATGTAACTAATCAGGAAGTTAAAGAGAGGTGAAACCTAATGGATTAATCAAGTTCCTCTGGGAAGTGGGGAGAAAAGGTAGGAGGGAGGGAAGAAAGGAGTAATGGGGCAGGCTTTTGTCTAGACTGATTGCAATTTTGTTATAAAACTTATAACAGCCTGGGTGCGGTGGCTCACGCCTGTAATCTCAGTGCTTTGGGAGGCCGAGGTGGGCAGAACATGAGGTCAAGAGATCGAGACCATCCTGGCCAATATGGTGAAACCCCGTCTCTACTGAAAATACAAAAATTAGCTGGATGTGGTGGTGCACGCCTGTAGTCCCAGCTACTCAGGAGGCTGAGGCAGGAGAATCGCTTGAACCTGGGAGGCGGAGGTTGCAGTGAGCTGAGATTGCGCCACTGCACTCCAGCCTGGTGACCGAGCATGACTCCATCTCAAAGAAAAAAAAAAGTATAACAAAATTTCAGCAATCTCATGTATGTCCATATGCAACATCAGCCCCTAATCTTGCTCCACAGAGGCAACCACATTCAGTATTTTAGGCTGCCTTTTCTGGTATTCATTTCCACATTTTAAGTAACACACTGATACTACTATTTATTGAGTTATCAACTGTAAGCATCATCTATTATATTTTCTATTTTTCTATGGAAGAAAAATTTTAATTATTTTACATCATGACCCCTCACTCACATAATCTAACTCTCTCTCTCTTTCTCTCCCCCACCCCAAATTCTTCCTCATAATATCTCAATTTTTGTTTAAACTAATAAATAGTGTTATTATAAGAATCAAGTAAATAATGTTAATTCCTTAGGTAAGTATTGTACTATGATTACATGTCTTTTCTTGTCTTTTGTTTGTTTGTTTTTTCTAGTGATAATAATTGCCTCAAAACCACAACGAGATACCATCTCATGCCAGTCAGAATGGCTAGCATCAAAAACTAAAAAAATAACAGATGTTGATGAGGTTGCAGAGAAAAGAGAAGGCTTATACCTGTTGGTGAGAATGCAAATTAGTTCGACCACTGTGGAAAGCAGTTGGAGAGTTCTCAAAGGGCTAAAAATAGAATTACCATTCAACCCAGCAATCCCATTACTGAGTATATACCCAAAGGAAAATAAACTATTCTACCAAAAAGACACTTGTACCCACATGTTTATCATGGCACTATTCACAATAGCAAAGACATGGAATCAATCCAGGTGCCCATCAATGATAGATTGAATAAAGAAAATGTGGCACACATACACCATGGAATACTATGCAGCCATAAAAAAAAGAATGAAATCATGTCGTTTGCAGCAGTATGGGTACAGCTGGAGGCCATTGTCCTAAGCAAATTCACAGAAGAACAGAAAACTAGATGCCACAAGTTCTCACTTAAAAATGGGAGCTACGCATTGGGTACACACAGACATAAAGGTGGGAACAATAAACCCTGGGGATGCCAAAAGTGGGGAGGCAGAGAGGGAGGCAAGGGCCAAAAATACTACCTACTGGGCACTATGTTCACTATGTGGATGCTGGGATCATTAGAAGCCCAAACTTTAGCATTGCATTATATACTCATGTAACAAACCTGCACATGTACTCCCTGAATCTAAAACAATAATAATAATTTCCTCTTGCTTTTATTTACTATGTACTTATTATTAGTTACTCCTAAAATCTACAATGCAAAAATCTCAATACTATTTTTCCACCTGCTCAAAAGCATCATAAAATCTACCAGCTCCTACTTTCCTCCCTCCCTTCTTGCCATCCTTCCTTCCTTTCTCTTCACCCTGCCCCATCCCCTTCTCTCTTCCTCCCTTTCTCACATCCTCCCTACCTCTTTGTCTTTCTTTCCTCATTCTTCTTCTTTCCTTTTCTTTTTTCCTTTCTCCTCCTCTTCCTCCTTCTCCTCAGTGTCCCTTGTTCCTCTTGCTCTCCTTCTCTTTTCCTGGACTCTCCATTCTCCTGCTTCAAAATGAATTGGTTTCATTTAAGGCCTGAAGCATGACTATTGTCTTCGGATTTTCCTTTGTAATTGTCCTGAGGCTTTCACTTCTCTCCTGGATCTCCTATCCAAATATCCTGTCACTTTTTTGGATTTCCCACTTGTTTTCCTGGAACACTTCCTTTAGCAACATTTTGAGAAAGGTACTTAGGAAATATTGGATACTTTGCAGATCTTAAAATATCCTTCTTCCATCCTTGAACTCAACAGACAGTTTCCCTAGATATATAATTGAACATTGAAAATAACATTTACTATGAATACTGAAAGCATTGATGCATTTACTTCAATCTTTGAATATTACTGATGCCAGTAAAATTTTTATTCTCACATACCAAGGTGATATGGTTTGGCTTTGTGTCCCCACCCAAGTCTCATGTTGAATTATAATCACCAATATTGGGGGCAGGACCTGATGGGAAGTGATCATGGGGGCAGATTTCCCCCTTGCTGTTCTCATGATAGTGAGTTCTCATGAGATCTGGTTGTTTTGAAAGTGTGTAGCTCTTCCCCCCTTCACTTCCCCTCTCTCCTGCTGGCCATGTGCTTGCTGCTTCTAATAGCATATGCTCATATGTGTTCACAAAGAGATGGTCTGAAATTGGAACTTATATTTAAATGGGAAGAAGAACATAAAAGTTTGGCAAATTTGCAGCCTGACCATGTGGTGGAAAAGAAAAAACCATTTTCTGGGGAGGAGTTCAAGGCTGCATAAATTTGCATAAGTAAAGAGAAGCCAAATGTTAATAGCCAAGACAATGGGGAAAATGCCAACAAGGCCTTTCAGAAACCTACATGGCAGCCCCTCCCGTCACAGGCCTGGAGGCCTAGGAAGGAAAAATAGTTTTGTGGGCTGGGCTCAGGGCCCCTCTGCTCTGTGCCACCTCAGGTCAGGATGCTCTGCATCCCAGCTGCTCCAGCTCCAGCTGTGGCTAAAAGGAGCCAAGGTACAGCTCAGGCCATTGCTTCAGAGGGTGCAAGCCCCAAGTCTTGGCAGCTTTCATGTGGTGTTGGGCCTGCAGGTGCACAGAAGGCAAGAGTTGAGGCTTGGGAGACTGCCTAGATTTCAGAGGATGTATAGAAATGCCTGGATGTTCAGGCAGAAGTCTGCTGCAGGGGCAGAGCCTTCATGGAGAACATCTACTAGGGCAGTGCAGTGGGGAAATGTGGGGTTGGAGCACCCACACAGAGTCCTTACTGGGGTACTGTCTAGTGGAGCTGTGGAAAGAGGGTCACCATCCTTCAGACCCCGGAATGGTAGATTCACCAACAGCTTGCACTGTGTACCTGTTAAAACCACAGGTACTCAATGCCAGCCCATGAAAGCAGCCATGGGGGTTGCACCCTGCAGAGCCACAGGGCAGAGCTGCCCAGGGCCTTGGGAGTCCACCCCTTGCATCAGCATGCCCTGGATGTGAGACACAAAGTCAAAGGAGATGATTTCAGAGCCTTAAGGCTTAATGACAGCCCTGCTGTTTTTTGGACTTGCATGGGGCCTGTAGCTGCTTGGTTTTGGCCAACTACTCCCTTTGGAACAGGAGTATTCACTCAATCCCTGTACCTCTATTGTATCTTGAAAGTAACTAACTTGTTTTTGATTTTATAGGCTCATAGGTAGAAGGGACTTGCCTTGTCTCAGATGAGACTTTGGACTAGGACATTTGACCTAATGCTGAAATGAGTTAAGACTTCAGGGGACTGTTGGGAAAGCAGGACTGTGTTTTAAAATATGAGAAGGGCAGGAGATTGATTTGGGAGGGGCCAGGGGTGGAATGATATGATTTGGCTCTGTCTTCCCACCCAAATCTCATGTTGAATTGTAATCCCCAATGTTGGGGGAAGGACCTGGTGGGAGGTGATTGGATCATGTGGGCAGATTTCCCCCTTGCTGTTCTCACAATAGTGAATGAGTTATCATGAGATCTGGTTGTTTTGAAAGTGTGTAGCACTTCTCCCCTTCACTTTCTCTCTCTCCTGCTGGCCATGTGAACATGTGCTTGCTTCCCCTTTGCCCGTTTGCCATGATTGTAAGTTCCTGAGGCCTCTCCAATCACGCTTCCTGTACAGCCTGTGGAACTGTGAGTCAATTAAACCTCTTTTCTTCACAAATTACCCAGTCTGAGGTAATTCTTTATAGCAGTGTGAGAATAGACTAACACACAATATATGTGACCTATGCTATTTTAAAATTTCATTTCTGGTCACCTTTTTTTTTGTTTCTTTTTGAGACAGGGTCTCATTCTGTCACCCAGGCTGAAGTGCAGTGACATGATAATGACTCACTACAGCCTCAACTTCCTGGGCTCAAGCAATCCTCTGCCTCAGCCTCCTGAGTAACTGGGACTACAGGTGCGTGCCACCACAACTGGCTAATTTTTAATTTTTTATAGAGATGGGGGTCTCACTATGCTGCCCAGGCTGGTCCCATACTCCTGGCCTCATGCAATCCTCTTGCTTCAGCCTCCCAAAGTGCTGAGATTATAGGCGTGTGCCACCATGCCTGGCCTCTAGTCACTTTTAAGATTTTCCTTTTATCCCCTCTGTTTTAAAAATATCATAATGTTGTGCCTTTGTGTGGATATTTTTTCCCCTTTAGGATACAGATTACTCAATAGACCCTCCTAATCTGTAGTCTCATATGCTGTAGTTCTTGGATATTCTCTTGTACTTTGATTATCTCATTCTCTCCACTTTTTTTTTTCTGTTTTCTAACTCTATGACTCACTTACTCCTGTTTTGAATCTCAGACCAAGTCTCTAATTTTCTTACCTCTTCCCTTTTATTTTCCAGCTCTTCATTTTTTGTTCTACTTTATGGGAGATTTCTTCAACTTTACAACATTTCTATTGATTTTTTTAGCAGTATAATTCATTTTATTCTACCTTTAATCATTGTAGGTTGTAAACATACATATAGAAAAGTGCACAGAACAAATATGTAACCTGAATTATTTATAGTAAAACAAACACTCGTGTTCTTTTAAATTATTTCAGTAACTCATTCTTAACTCTCATTATCCCTTTTGGTGATATTCTTTTCTTATTTCATGGATGTAATATCTTCTCTTAACTCTACAAGGATATTAAGTATTTCTTTTGTTTCTATTTTACTTTATTTTCTGTTCCTATGTCATCTCTGCTTTCTCCAAGTTTCTCATTTCTGTTTGTTAACTTTGGTATCTGTATTTTCATGTTACAATTTACTTAAGTCTTGTCCAGTCCTAATATGTCCAGACATATGAATAGATTTAAAAACTAGAAAGCTAATTGGAATGTTTTACCTACAAGCAGGATACTTCAACCAATGGATCTCTTCATTAAGGGTGACTAGATAGGAATCTGTCCCATCTTCTTTGGTGGGTCACCCAAAGGTCAGCACCAAAGAGTATATAGTTGATTCTCCATAATTATTTACTGAACGACTGATATTTAATGCTGTGTTGTTTATACAGTGGAAAATTGAAACTCTGTAGCCTATTTTCTAACTTTGTATTCATGAAAATCTCAAACACAAAAAAGCATAGATAATCTCATGTACCCATCACATTTGGCCAAGCTTGCTTTGTCAGTATCCCACTCTTGAGAGTATTTTAAAGTAAACCTCTGACAGCAGATCACTCCATCAAAAAGGAAGCCCATTTTGGCCAGCCATGGTGCTCATGCCTGTAATCCCAGCACTTCAGGAGGCCAAGGTGGGAGGATCACCTGAGACCAGGGGGTCAAGGCTGCAGTGAGCCATTATCATGCCACTGCAGTCCAGCCTGGGCAACAGAGTGAGACCCTGTCTCAAAAAAAAAAAGAAAAGAAAAGAAAAAGAAAGCCCTTTTTGACCTCTTGCCTTTGCATATGAGAGGAATATCTCTGGTTGGAACACAAGACTGTGGTGACTTTTATTCTTCAGTTACTCCTTGTATTGGTCCATTTTCACGCTGCTGATAAAGACATACCCGAGACTGGGCAATTTACAAAAGAAAGAGGTTTAATGGACTTACAGTTCCACATGGTTGGGGAGGCCTCACAATCATGGTGGAAAGCAAGGAGAAGCAAGTCACGTCTTACATGGATGGCAGGAGGCAAAAAAAGAGAGCATGTGCAGGGAAACTCCCCTTTAGAAAACCACCAGATCTCATGAGACTTATTCACTGTCACAAGAACAGCATGGGAAAGATGTGCCCCCGTGATTCAATTATCTCCCACTGGGTCCCTCCCACAACACATGGGAATTCAAGATGAGATTTGGGGTGGACACAGACAAACCATATAACCCCTGGTTCCAGGAGTAGCTCTTAGTCTTTCTCTATAATGCTCCCTGCAGTGATTTCAGGCCTGACCATGGAATGTTCTTTGAAATATTAGTCCCAAGAAAATAATAATCAGTTTCAGAAGAATCGGGACCTATTCTCACCAGGTATGGATATTAAGGACAAAGGGCAATCCTGGTAGCAAAAACTTTTAAAATCTCTATAGCCCTCAGGAAAATCTCTGCTATCAGGACAACTGTCAATGAGATGTTTCAAGCTAAACTCCCAGGAAGAAACTTAAACCAAGTTTTGTGAAGCTTAATCTACAAGCTCACTTTGCACAATCCCCGTTACCTCTTTTGTCATGATAGCAACCCACATTCCATAATAAGTAGTAAACCAAGGCATTATCAGAAGAGACAAGAGGCCTACAAATGTTGACTTCACCCCTAGTCATTCTCAATCCTTATATGTTTTCTTCTTCTTATGGTTACTTGGCATCTTGCGATCTGTAATAATCACCTGTTAGTGTTTGGAAGCATCTCCAGATAAATCAGGATGCTCATAATATCTTGACATCAGGCCAATTCACACCCAAATTTCTCAATGAACCCAGTAGTCATGCATAAATCTAAGGAATTTAGTTCAGACTTTCTATCTACATCCCAATCACAAAAGCCTAAGATAAAAGTGAGTGGAGGCAGGGCACAGTGGTTCACGCCTGTAGTTCCAACACTTTGGGAGGCCGAGGAGGGTGGATTGCTTGAGCTCAGGGGTTTGAGAGCAGCCTGGGCAACATGGTGAAACCCCATCTCTACAAAAAATTAAAAAATTAGCCACGCATGATGGCGGACACCTGTGATCCCAGCTAATTGGGAGGCTGAGGTGGGAGGATCACCTGAGCCTGGGAGGCCAAGGCTGCAGTAAGCCCTGATCATACCATTGCACTCCAACCTTGGGTGACAGAGCGAGACCCTGTCTCAAAAAAAAAAAAAGTGAATGGAAAATAGATTATTAGGAACAAACAGCCTCTCAGTTCTTCGATTCTTTAATCACAAAACAGGAGTGATATCATCCCCCTTACCTCTATCTACAGCTCAAGAAAGTTCCTATGAAAGAGTGACCACTAATCAGGCACTAGTCTGTACAGCAACCTGAGTGTTAGTTCCATTTTACAGAGGAGAAAACTGAGGCTCCAACACTCCTAGTACTTTATCCTAGTACTTTATGGCACAGCTAGAAAATGTTGGAAGTAAGGTTTGAACCTGAGTCTCTCTTATTCCAAAGCCTTCACTTTTAATCTTTGTGCAGAGAGACTGGATGACGGGCTATGGTGATTTCCATTTGTAATTGAAATGATCAATTTCTCACCAATGTAGCTATTATTACTATTTTCAGCTCTCCTTTCAACCAGACACACCTTATCCCCATTCCAGCTGAACATGGAAACCAATCTTCTAACAGTGGACAAGCTGCAAGACACAGCTTCTACACCTGCACTTCTCAAATAATCTATTATGAAAGACTAATTTTTTCCCATGCTTCATAAGCCAACGCTTGTGGTCTAAACCCTGTTCAACAAGATGAGTCCACTCATCACACACTTGGATGCTGTACAAATATTGAACTTCTCACAAAGTTTCTAAATGCTTACCCTCAATTACTCTTTTCATCTCATCCTGGAAAATAACAAATGGTTCATGAACCAGCATGGGCTCTATCAATGTCAGCTGTCATTCATGGATGGAGGGGGCATCCATCACGTGTTCATGCTTTCTAGCATCTATTCCCTCCCCTCCCAACTTAACCTTCCTAACAGCTCTCAATTCCCATCTGAGAACTCATGTTACTCTGGGGAAGATGGTACCATCCCTGGATGCAGGCATGGGACATGTAACCCAGGAGAAACCAATCAATGGATTTCATCCCTCTGGCCTCAGTGATTGGTTCTGGGGTTGACATGTGACCCAAAATGGTCCAATTGGAGTGAATCTCAAAACAATTCCTTGGAATATTGGAGACAAGATGCTCTCTTCCTCTGGATTTGTGGTGTCTGAGAATGAGATCTCAGCAGCTATTTTTTCTACCGTAATGCAAATCTCCCCCAGAGGACAAGGACACAAAGAATGGCAGATCTGAGAAGACTAGAGAAATGAAGTCACAGCCAAGATCATATCATACACCTCTGGACCCATGCTACAACCCCCCTTACCTCTGAACATTTCTCTGTCTTTTTGTTGTTGTCAAGCCAGTCTGAGTTGGATTTTCTGTCAACAGCAACTGAAAACTTCCTTTTTTATTACTTGGCTGCATATATTTCTTCAACAAGCACCTATTAAGTGCCTACTTTGTATCAAGTACTGAGTTAGGTGTAGATATAGTGCTTCTCACAAAAGATACTGTAAAATGAGTCAGAGGAGGGATGAGTGGTTAATAGAGCTGGAAGCATTTAGACATGTCAACTGGCTCACTTTAAGAGAGTCCTGTGTAATTTTAAGGTAATATTTAAAGCATAGATATTTGCAATTTATTTGCAAATTATTAACTTTGCAAGTAAAAAAACAAATACAGTGATTTTAAGGTTATCCCTGGAAGAAGGACAACCTGACTGCCTTGCATTATGGTATCTGCTAATGTCATAATCTTTACCATTTTTACATACTACCTGTTCATTTTTATTTAATATTATTAAATTGATTCACTTACAGAACTTACATAGATGTATTTCAAGACAAAATTTCTATAATACCACTAAAATGGAAAACTAGTACCACTTTACATGAATAGAAGGCAATCATAAAATAAGTACAATGAAATTATAGAATGTTACTAAATACTGAGAATGGTGACCTGACAAATGCCCTGACCCTGTGGACTGCTGTGTCTTTTGCCAAAAGGGAAATTAGCAAGGGTCCAAAAGGTGTTAAAGACATGTTAGCACCCCAACTGAGACTTTCTCCTTGTTACGTTTGGAGGGACTAAAAGAACATTGAAAAAAGGGATCAATTTCTCACCAAGTATTTCACTGTTACTTAATGCTGCCTCTGCACACAGCTATATATTACCTCCTTTGCACAAAATGTACTGCCCTTACCAGTCTTTGAGAAACACTATTTTAACCAAATCTCATTTGATAGCTGAGCAAATCGAAGCCTGGAGAGATAATGGGACTCTCCTAAGGCTTCCTGATTTCCAGCCTGCTCAACTCCCCCGTATTCAATAATATTTTATTACTTTCATTGGATTTATTTTGTGATTACCTTCTAATTAAGGCAAGTGACTCTGGGTTTTTCTTATTTATGGTAATGATATCAAGTTTCCTTTTTAAGTAAGCTTTAGTTGCTTTTAAACCATCCCATTGTTGAGACCAATTTGAAATAAGGCCCTTAGCAATGCCAATGGCCCCGTGTTCCCACCACTGATATGGGAGTTGGGGCAGGGAAGTGCTGGGTAAAGAAGGGCAGGGTCCCTGGCAAAGGATTCACCCTTGGGCCTGTGCCCACGGACCTAGGTGAGGACAGCCACTCCTGTTTTCGTGCCCAAATGGTGCATTTTCTAAGACCACTCTAACCTGCCAAATGCCCCATCCTGTAACTATAAAAACCCCAAGACCCTAGCAGACACAGACACAAACAGCTGGAGGTTGAGAGGAACACACTGGCAGAAGCACACACCAGCAGACACCAGTAGACGCCGGCAGGCCATCTACGGTAGGACAATGCAGAATTCAGTTGGGGGCGGTTGGAGGGGAGTCCAGTTGCTGAGCATTCTGACTCCAGGGGAAGATCACCTTTCCACACCACCCGCTGCTGGCTCTCCATTCATCTGCTGAGAGCTACCTTCACCCAATAAAACCTTGCACCCATCATCCAAGCCCAAGTGTGATCTGATTCTTCCAGGACACTGGGGCAAGAACCTAGGGTAAAGAAAGCCCTCTGTCCCTGTGATAAGGCAGAGGGTCTAATTGAGCTGATTAACACAAGCTGCCTGTGGACAGCTACGCTGAAAGAGCACACTGTACCACACGCCCACTGGGGCTTCGGGAGCTATAAACATTCAACCCTAGATGCTGCTGTGGGGTCGGAGCCCGCGCTCCCCACGACCTGCTCATCTGCATGCTCCCTCTAGGGGTTTAAGCTGTGGGGCACTGAAGAAGAGAGCCACACCCCCATCGCACACCCCGAGAGGGGGATAAGGGAATTTTTCCTGTTTCACCACTACCACTTTACCCCCAGGCAAAGGCAGGCACAGGGATTTATACCATCCTCTACTGCCCCATGCTGGAATCCCTAGATATGCCCCATGATTCAAGTCCTTCCCTCCCCAAGCCTAGGGGAAAAAATAGAAGCTAGGATAAGTGATTCCTCTAAAGCAGGGTTTCTCAATCTCAACACGATTGACCTTTGAGACGAGATAATCTAGCTGCTCTGTAGATGTTGAGCAGCATCCCTGGCCTCTACTCATGAGATGCCAGTAACACACCCCCCACACACAAGTTGTAACAACCAGAAATTTCTCTAGACATTGTCAAGTGTCCCCTGGAAGCAAAGTCACCCCTGGTGAAAAACCATACGCTTACTCATGGCTGGCAGCTTCCTATCCCAGCCCTCCAAATTTTCACAATAAACTTTAAATACAGAGCAGTCCTTTGCCACTACAGTTGAGGTAATTTGAGATCACTTTTTTTTTTAAGACCAGAATATTTTCTAAGAAAAAAAGAAATAATATGAACTCTCCACCAGCCATAAAGTTTACTCTTTTTAGACAATTCATGTACACTCTCCCAGGTGAAGGAAGCTTAAGTGATAGCACCTTCAATGGGTCCCTTACATTTGCCCACTGCTGGGTCCTGTCTTAATATTACTGAGCAGAGCCAATATGTGGCACCTGCTGAAGTGGGCATTCCATTTTCTCATAACCCCTTGCACCTTGACTTTGGATATTTAAAACCAGGTGCATTTCCATGCCTCATTTTAATATTTGGGGTCCATGCACTGACTAAATGCTGTGCCTGAACAAGTTTGAGCGGGACTTAGTGCCCCAGAAAGCAAATGTGCCATTCTTAAAGGAATCGTTGATGTTAAAAAGTCAAGTAAAAGGGATAGCATCAATGAATGAATGAATGAAAATGTGTATTTTTTTTTTTCTTTTTTTGAGACAGAGTCTCACTCTGTCACCCAGGCTGGAGTGCCGTGGCACGATCTCGGCTCACTGCAAGCTCTGCCTCCCAGGTTCACGCCATTCTCCTGCCTCAGCCTCTCGAGTAGCTGGGACTAATTTTTTTGTATTTTTAGTAGAGACAGGGTTTCACCTGTGTTAGCCAGGATGGTCTCGATCTCCTGACCTCGTGATCCGCCTGCCTCGGCCTCCCAAAGTGCTGGGATTACAGGCTTGAGCCACCACACCCGGACAACGTTTGTGTATTTATCCATTTATCCATGTAATACGAAATTATAGTAAAATGCTAATGTCATAGTTCGGGTTCCTTTAAAAACAGACTCTGAGACAAGGATTTGGGTTCAAAGAGTTTTTTTGGGAGTGATCCCAGGAAGCATTGTGAAGAAGTGGGGAAGTCAGACAGAGAAGGGAAGATGGCAATCCAGGATATCTTAATGAGCTGGTCACTCTCCATGGACTGTTGGGGTTTAATCCTTCACGATACTTCTAGTAGATAATGTAGAATATGCTTCAGAATTGTCCCTCCAAGGATCAAGGAAGCTGGGGTATTTGTCCTCACGGGTTGAGGAACACTCATGAAGTGTCACTCCTCCGGTGCTTTCTACCTGCTCTGAGAGGTATCAAGCACACTACCATGGCCCATGGACACCCTCAGGCTGAGAGATACTGGAAAGCATCACAGCCTACTGGAAGTCATCAGAGCATCCAAGAACTGCGGCAGACAACTGAGGCCTAGGGAGTGCAGGTTGAGTACCAACTGCACCTCCCAACGGCATCTGCCTGGAGTAGGCACATGTGGCTGCAAAAACATTGGGGGGATGAAGGAAAGCTCCCACCCCCTAGTTTAGGCTGCAGGTCTCTGGAATTATTTTAACAGCCTTCTAATAGTCTTCCTGTTCCCCTTTGTCTGCTCTCCACTTGGCAGCCAAAGTGAGCTTCCTGAAACACAAATCTGATTATTTCACCCTTAAAACTCCTCAGTGCCTGCAAGATAAAGTCCAAACCTTTCAACGCTCTAACTTTACTTACCTCTGTGGACTTATTTCTCAGCATTCCCATGCCTTCTCAGCTGAACCTGAAGTTCCCAAACAGAGCACCAACTAACTCTCAGAACTATGCCAAACATGGGGGATGAGAAGACAATATGATACGATACACTCCCTGCCTTCAGTGATGTCATTGAGACCTATGATGTGGTCTATCAGGGTCAGGGGGTGGAGGGTGTGCAGGAAGAACAAGATGGAAACGAAGAATTCCAGTCCTGCATATACCCAGGAAGCTACCATGGAAGGCACACATTACATAGATGTCATCCATATACAGAGATTTGGTTATTTTAAGATTAACCCTTTCTTGTCTGGAGTTAGCTAAGAGAAAGTCAGGGATGGGAGACAAGGCTGCTAAGTTTGGAAAAAGAATGTCTCCCTGATGTGTGCAACAGGTAGCACAGGACACTGGGAACAGGGGGATGTACTGGAGGGAACCAAGAGGGAAAAATCGGAGTTGCAGGGCTATGTGTTTTTCTCAGCAGCCTTTACAGCCCCAGATGACAGCCTCTGCAGTCATTGTCTATGGCCCCTCTACAGCCCTCTTGGAACCTTCAGAGCTCAGCAGATGCATAGACCTTCAGCTGATTAGCCTCAGAGGTGACTGGGCGGCTCCAAGAGGCTAGAAGCAAAGAAAGAGCAGCGAGTGTGGAGGTGGATGGGTCTAATTATGCAGGAGCCATTTTCTGTTTACATAAAAATACCTTGAGTAATCAGTGGTGATGAGCAAGAGGAGGAAAGAGCCTGCCTGAGAGTCTGAGGATGTTATGATCAATTAAATACCATCTTTCCAAATGTTTGCAGAGGGGAATTTTAAGATGGAACTGATTTTAATTTGACAAAGAAAACCTGAAGCGCTTTTCCTTGGGGCTCCAAAATGCATGCATATTGGCCTAGCCTGTGTCACTTGCTTCACTAAGAGTATATATTCCCTTCATGTTATTACTCCTGTATTTTCAGGATGAGTAAACAAAGCAGAAGAAATTCTCTTTATATGTTAAGTGCCTACTCTGTGCCAAGTGTTTTGCAAATATTATTTATAAACATTGAAAACCCCATAAAGGTGGGTGTTACTATTAACTCCACTTTGTGAGCAAGGAAACTGAGACATCAAGAGGGGAAGCGACTTGCAAAATGGAGGTCTAGAGTCAGTTTCACAGCTATGTAAAGTTGGTATGACTTCCATGTATCTATTTCCAAAGTCAGAGGCAGGGATGGGGATCACTACTATCCCACAGGACAGAAGCAGAGCTTGGAGCAAGGCTAAGAAGGTCCTGGACTCTGCCTCCAACTTCACTGTAAGGTTAGGCTGGACTAGATGATTAAAAGCCCCTCAAAACTACTGCAATCTTTGCTTGTCGGTGGGTTTGGACATGGCCTCGTTGCTTATGAGAAGTAGACACTCCTGGCAATAGAGCAAGGTGGAGAGTATGTGCATTTTGGAATCAGACAGGTCCCACTTGCAAGCTGGGTGGCCTTGAGCAAGTTGTTCAACCTCTCTGAGCTCCAATTTTCACACATATGAATGAGAGGTATTTTTTTTTTCTGAATAATTAGTGCAAGATTCAGTGTGATGATGTCCATTAAGTGTCTGGCACAGAGTGGGTATTTATCAAAGTTATGCACCTTCCTGTTTCCTCCATCATTCTTTCCAGGTCAACCCCATGCTTGAAGTCCTAATCATGCAGTAATACCTGCCTCATGGAGCTGCACTGTGTTCAGAATGGGTGCAGGTCTGTGAGCCTAGCACAGACACATACAGAGCTCATAGAGCACAATGAATAGTAACACCTATAATAAGAATTATTCTAATTATCATTGTTTAAAAATATACCCCTATCATCCAAAGATAATCCCTGTTAACATTTTCCAATATACCCTTGCAGATATACTGAGTGAGAGATACCATGTTACACATATTCTCTTCCTTACTTCACCCACTTAATTTGCATTGTGAATTTTTTCCTGTGTATAAATATGCAGCTACATCATTGCTTTAAGAAATTCTGGCTGGGCACGGTGGCTCACACCTGTAATCCCAGCACTTTGGGAGGCTGAGGTGGGCGGATCATTTGAAGTCAGGAGTTCGAGACCATCCTGGCCAACATGGCAAAACCCCGTCTCTACTAAATACAAAAAAATTAGCCAGGTATGGTGGCACATGCCTGTAATCCCAGCTACTTGGGAGGCTGAGGCAGGAGAATCTCTTGAACCCGGGAGGTGGAGGTTACAGTGAGCCAAGATCGTGCCATTGCACTCCAGCCTGGGCCACAAGAGGGAAAATCCATCCCCCCCCCCAAAAAAAATAAAAAGAAACTCTATAGTATTCTGGTGTGTTTACAAATCCAAACCTTTGTTGTTGGATATTTACGTTTATATTCTTTTTGCTCTTGTAAAGAAAGCTGCAATAAACACCCCTGTAGCTAAGCACATTTTTCTTTGTATTCATCAAAGATACTGTTTTAATGCCCAGAATGCAGGAATGTCATAATTTATTTATTTATCTATTCATTTATTTAAACCAGTGTCCTACTGCTGGATATTTAAATTATATACAATTCTTTTGGCTTTCATAAATAATAATATGAATGCCTAGATACCACATCTTTACATCTTATCTGATTATTTCCTTGGGATAAATTCTTAAGAAGGGGAAAGAGTGAGATCAGAAAAAATTTACATTTTTAAGGCTCTTGACACTCTCAGTAAAATCACTCCTGGAAAGGATTACAGGAGTTTATTCACTCACCATCTTACCCAGTCACTTGCATTCATTCAACAAACATTTTCTTTGTTAGGAGAGGCTTCTAACCTTCTTTTTCCTCAGCACAGTCATGCAATGATGCAACTGGGACCCAGCTAGATCTGTACCGGGCGGTCTGGCTCTGCTCCTCTTTAGCCTGTGTGATTTTTGGCAAGTCACTTCACTTCCCTGAGACCCTGCTACTACCAGCTCACCAGCCTCCAGGTTTATTGTGATGATCACATGAGACACTAGATTTGAGAGGGCTTTAAGGGCTGAACAAACAGAAGGGACTTATTGCTAACACAAAGCAAATTTCTCATGCAGTATTCTCATTATTTTGTTTTTGCACAGAACTTTAGGTTTGCCTTGAGACTTTTTATGAGGTTTCCTTAACTGTCCCCTGCTGTGGTTACCAAGACACAGCTCGAATATAATTTCTTAAGGAGGAAACAAGTCCAGAGAGACTCGGTGGCTTTCTCTAGGCGCCATGAGCCTCAGGACTGCTACCGAGCCCTTCGTCAGACTGCTGTCTGGGCCGTATTTCCTTTTTCTATATCAGCAACATAAAAATGGCTGTTACCCCAAAAAGATGCAGTTGTATTCATAATGAATCTGATGGTGCCAGCGATTCAAAACATAAAGGCAATTTTCCATTTAGTGCTTTGTAACCAAATAAAATGCAGTGACCCTTTCTTTGTCTTTCCAGAAGATTTGGAATCTTCTCTGAGGGTTGATAAAGAGTAGAGGGAGGAAATAAGATTGTAGATTCCTTGAGCATTCGGATCACCACTTATTTCTGTATGCAGCAGAGCACCTAGCACAGAATGAGGCCCTCTCCAGAGGCAGCAACTGAGCCATAGAATAGGCATTCATCTCAAAGCTTAAAACCTAGGCTGGAATCACAGTAGGTCACTTACTATCTGATCAATTAACACATAACTTATTAGTTGCCTACTAGATGTCAGACATTGCACTAGGTGCTGTGCAGCTTTAAGCAAATTAGTTCACCTCTCTGAGCCTTTGTTTCTTCTCCTGGGTAATTACTGGAGAATCTGGAGAAAGGCCTGGTCACACAGTAGAGGTTCAGTGACAAATGACACAGCAACACTTCTTTGTTCAAATGTGTAATTGTGCGTGATTTATAGAGACACCCATGAGGTGCACCCCAAAAACTTTGACAAAGGGAAGTGTGATTGCCCTCCCAGAGTAACTCTTCACAGCATATAAATAAGGCAGGGTCAATAATTCATGTCACATATGCCTCTGTCATCCTTCCCTCACCCACAGCAGACATTGCTAATCAAACATGTTGATCTTTGCTGAAATCCTTCTAAAGGAATTTCAGCCAGTTAAAACCAACAGAACAGGGTTGACTAATGTGACGACTAGCCAATCCCAGATTTAGTCCATCAGAGCACAATTATTTTCAATAATTATCCTCAGGTAATTTTCTTCCTGTAGTTGCTAAAACACAATGCCCCTTTAAAGACAATGTTATAGAAGTACCATTTCCTCT
The DNA here is from genome assembly GCF_000001405.40 of Homo sapiens. Lineage (NCBI taxonomy): Eukaryota > Metazoa > Chordata > Mammalia > Primates > Hominidae > Homo > Homo sapiens. The sequence goes on from NC_000012.12 coordinate 119,281,095, forward strand.
GCACTGAAGGTCATCAAAACAACCCATTTAAAAGTGACCTTGTAACCCATGGGCTGCAGAAGTAGCTTCTTATACATATCAGGAAATGCCACATACCCCTCAAGCTGGAAATCACCCAAAATTGGGTTTATAAAGGACAGGGGTTTTGTTTCAGCTGAATCCAAGTGTCCTTATGTTCTGCCCTTCCTCTCCTCCTCTAGAGAATGTGTTCAGTCTTATGTGAAATTCGCCTTTTCTACTAGATGTTTGACCTTAGACAAGTTGCTTAACCTCTGTGCCTCGGTTTCCTCAACTGTAAAATGGAGCAATTAACAGTATCTGCCTCATAGGGTTGATAAGAACACCAGATGAGATATTATGCGGAAAGCGCGGGCCCATGGCATCTGCTCAGTAAGCTCTAATTATTAGCTATTATTATTAAGCACTTACCAAGTGCTACGCTTCATTGAGCATTAACTGTGTCTTGAAAACAATCCTATGAGGTAGGTTTTGTGTTATTAAAATTGTTAAACCAATTGTTGTTGATTGATTTGCACAAGCACATGGTGTTTGCTGATAGAAAAGCATTTAATGAGAAGCTGGTTTCGTTCCCATGCCCACATGATCCGGAAGCCACAGCCCCATGATAGAAGAATATTACGTGGTAAATATGACAACGTTAATTGTACATGGCTTTAAACAGGTGGTGCAACAATTACGTGGCAGAGTCAAGATTTGAACTTGTTTTGGTTCCATGCACCATGAGGCCTCCCCTGGTCCCCTTTTCACTACTCTCCCCCTCCACCTACCCCCTCGACACTTTATTAGGAAACAAAGACACAACCATAAGATAAACAAAGCCAGCATGTGTGCTGTTATTGTGTGCCAGGTAATCTCTTATATGTTTACTTCCCTGACTTATGTGATTGTCACAATAGCCCTGTGAGATAGGTATTGTTAGTATTCCCATTTTCCAGGAATCCTAGAGACACTCCGAGAACTAAATGAAATAATGGCATCTGAAAACAGAGTTTTTGGCTTAAAGCGCCTCCTGCCACTCACTAGCTGTGGAAACGTAGGTCAGTTACAGAACCTCTGTTTCTGTATCTTGAAGAGTAGTTAGCTCCACCTCACAGGACTGTCATTCATTCATTTGTTCACTAAACATTTATTGAATATCTAATGCAAAAAATTGTGCTGTATACTGGATCTACACTGGAAACCAAAATGGGCATCACGGCCAGACATGGTGGCTCATCCCTGTAATCCCAGCACTTTGGGAAGCCAAAGTGGGAGGATCACTTGAGCCCAGGAGTTTGAGACCAGCCTGGACAACATAGTGAAGCCCCATCTCCATAAAATATGAAAAATTAGCCAGGTGGCTGGGCGTGGTGGCTCACACCTGTAATCTCAGCAATTTGGGAGGCCGAGGAGGGTGGATCACCTGAGGTAGGGAGTTTGAGACCAACCTGACCAACGTGGAGAAACCCCATCTGTACTAAAAATACAAAATTAGCGGGACGTGGTGGCGCATGCCTGTAATCCCAGCTACTTGGGAGCCTGAGGCAGAAGAATCGCTCGCACCCAGGAGGCAGACGTTGCGGTGAGCCGAAATCACCCCATTGCACTCCAGCCAGGGCAACAAGAGCGAAATTCCGTTGCAAAAATAAATAAATAAATAAATAAAATTTAAAAAGTAGCCAGGTGTGGTGGCACACACCTCTAATTTCAGCTACTCGAGAGGCTGACACAGGAGGATGGCTTGAGCCTGGGAGGTCAAGGCTGCAGTGAGCCATGATCGCACTACTGCAATCCAGTCTGGGCAACAGAACAAAACCTTGTCTCAAAAATTAAAAACAAAAAAAAAACAAGCATCACCCCTGATCTTAGGGAGCTTCCTGTCTAGGATTAAATGAGATTTTTTTCTATATAAAACTCACAGCACAGAGCCTGGCAAACAAAACATGCTCAATACAAGTTAACGTTATTATTAGTATTATTTCTATGGCCCAGTTGGGATTTGAACAAAAGTCTTTTTGACTCCAAAATCTTTTCCATAAAGATAGCGTTTTGTAGGGGGCCCGCTGAGATAGGAATAGAAGGGAACTTGAGGATGTTCAGAACAGACTTCAAATGCTAGATTTTTAATACATAGAGCAGCAAGCTACTGTATATATTATACTTCCAAAGCATTCTTAGATCTTCTCATTCTCTTTCTCATCATCCACCCCAGCCTGATGTGCACATGTCTTTACATTTCCGTAAGCACACCCCTCTCCATGGGAATAAATTTATTTCTCCCCTGAATGTGGACCCCGTGTGTTTGATTTGCTTGGAAAGGTGTGGAAACCACCCAGACACAGTGCTAATGGGATGTGACAGAACTCACAGCTTCTCCAGGCCTGGAAGGAAGAATGTTGACAAAGGGGAGCTTAATGAGCTTCCACCCACATTTCAATTATCCTAACAAGCTGCCAGAGGAATCCCTGTTTGCTGTACTGCATTCTGGAAAGTTTTGACAAGCCCAGGAGGAATCTATCCAGGCTGAAGCTGAGGGTGCCTAAGGAAAAGAAAAACAGTCTTCCTCTGGAAGGGATGTGCATGGATGACAAGGCCAAGCCAGCAGTCAGCTTTGTCCCCTGATATTTGAGAGGGTCCTCTGCTCAAAAAACACTCCCTCATTAGCTACCCGGTACAATGTATTGGTTACCATAATGCTGCATAACAAACAACCACAAAGCCTCAGCGCGTACGGTAACCATCGATTATTTTCACTCACAAGTCAGTGGGTCAGCTGGGCAGTTCTGATCACCTGAGCTGAGGTTGGTGGGGTTTGCATATATTTCTGTGGTGAGGCTAGGTGGCTCTGCTAATCTTGGTGGGGCTTTCTCACACATCTGGGACAACTGAGCTGATTCTGCTCTTATTCACATAGTCTGTCATTCCGCCCACAGGTTTATTCACAGGACAGCAGGAGAACTCCAAGAGACAGGCCAAAATCATTCAGGGTCTCTTGTTCCCAGGCTCAGAAAAGGTATAATGTTCCTTCTGCCACATTCTGTTGGTCAAAGCAATCACAAGACTAGCCCAAATCCAAGGATTGGGAAATAGACTTCAACCCTTGATGAGAGGGGCTAACAAGCCATGGCAAAGAGTGTGGATACCATTGATGAGGTCCATCAGTGCAGTAAATCTCCCACAACAACGTAAAAGTTACAAAGCACCATGGACTGAACAGCAACTGTATGCATATAACAGGATGCTAAAATGGAATATTTGGGTATTGGTTTCAGTTGAGGCTCCATGGGCCAAAAACAAAATGAAATGTTCAAATACCTGACATTTCCAACCTTGCAAAGGGTCTAAATGGAAATAGTTTTCTGACTCTTGGTCCAACGGCCATCTCTGAAAAGGCTGAAGTTGGAAACTGGGGAGAGGATTTTTCTGGAGAAAGTAGTCCAGTATGAAGTTAGTCTCAGTCCCCTTGGAAGAGGAGAGAGGCAATGACTCCTGACCACAGCCTTGCCTGGTGAGAGGAACTTACAGGAAATATCTCTAGTTTGCTGTGAATTCCCTGAAGTCTGGGGAGACTGGCATCTGATTGAGACCTGAAAAATGTATAGATTAGTCAGACCATGGCTGGAGTCTATCAAGATCTCAGGATGAGGATTGAGGATAGCACTAGAAGCAGGACTTACCCTGATCCAGGTGCCAAGGATGCATGAGCTTCCCATGAGTCAAGCAGATGTGCAGAAACTGGAATGGAGGTGTCTTAGAAGCATCCCACCTGAAAGGAGTAGAAAGAGGTACTCACAGCTACCACCTGGCATGGGATCTGGGAAAGAGGCACCACAAGAAGGGAACTGAAGAATCCCCACCTGAACACAGTTCTCAGGTGAACAATTGGGGGACTGTGCAGCGTGGACGCCACTAACAGGGACCTCAAAGAATCCACAATACACCTCAAAGAATTGACTCAGCTTTGATCACTTGCCAAACCTGAAGGAAGTTTAAATACCTGCCAGGCAGAGAGCACCAATGCCAAACTGTGACACTACTGGTCAAGAGAGCCCTTATCTGCCCTCACCTCTCCTCCCTCTGCTCCCTTGGGCCTTTGGCTAGCAATCAGAGAAAAGGTGAGGACCTAGGGAAGCCAACCACAAACCCCTTCCCCAACATCTGAGCTGAGAGAGGGGTGACCAGGGCTATTGCTAACCCACACTGATACTACTTCTTTGTTTGAACTAGAAAAAAAAGTGCCCCCTCCAAGAACTGTACCTCCATTTATCTGAAGTTTGTCATTATATAATCTATTTGTTGTCTATTACTGCATAACAAATTTCCCCAAAACTTGGTAGTTTAAAACAGCTATTATCTGACAGTTTCTGTGGGTCAGGAATCCAGGCACAGCTGAGCGGAGTCCACAGGCTCAGGATCTCTCACCAGGTTGCAATCAAGGTATTGGCAGGGCTGCAGTCTCAGCTGAAGGTTTGAACGGGGAATGATCCTCTTCCAAGCTCATGAGTGTGGTTTTTGGAAACATTCAATCACTCCAGGGCTGTTGGCCAGTGGTCATGCTCTCAGTTCCTTAATATGTGGGTCTCTCCACAGAGTAACTCACAACAAGGCAGCTAGTTTCTTCAGAATAAGCAAGAGAGAAAAGCTGGAGAGAGGTAGTGCCAGACAAAAGACAGTCTTTTATAATCTAATATTGGAAGTGACATTCCATCATTTTTACTGTATTCTATTCATCCGAACAAAGTCACTAGGCCCGGCCCCAAGGGGGTGTGATTACACAGGATGTGAATACCAGGAGGAGAAGATAATTAGGGGGTTATCACAGAAGTTCATCTACCAATATAATAAATATGCTGATTTTATTAAAGCAACAGACCACTGCCATCGGCCAAAGAACTGTTATAATAAATACATAGATTGACAATGTATATTATATAAACAATACCCACTAGACTTATGTGCTATACAACATGCCAATTATATAAGGTTGTTTAGGAAAGATGCTTTAAAATCTTTTTCAAACTTTTATTGTATAAGTTTTCAAGCACTTATAAAAGTAGGAGATAGGATAACAAAAAAATAATAAAATAAACATGATCATTCTTGTTTCACTAATACCCCAACCCTTTACCCCCAAACCACTAGTTATTGAAAAGCAAATCTCAGACACCACCTTACTTCATCTTTAGTAATTCAGTGTAAATATCCACATATCTTATGTACCATTACTCAATTAAGAATACCTTAATTTCATCTACTATTCAGTTACTGTTCAAATTTCTCCAATTATTTCAGAAATGTCTTTTAAAAAAAAACAGTTGGTTTGTCTGAAAGAAGCTTTAACTTTAAATGAAACTTGGAGTTTTAACCATTACTTAAGAGCAGGCATTTTAATTACTGACACAGAACTATTCTGTGAGAAAAATGACTTCAGGACATTTTATTATCCAGGAATCACCAGCAAAGTGATGGGGGATGCTGAAAATTTTACCCACGGGCAGAGGAAGCTTCAACTCATCAAAGCCTTGCCAATGGACAGTGGAGAAAACAGTGAGGGTGCCTTCTCACACTCAACAGAGTCCCGCTTATTCACCAGGTGAGTGACACACAGGCTATCTCTAAGCCTCACTACAGTCCTTTGGTTGGGTGTTATAATCCTCATTTTAACAGATGAAAAACTTAAACATAGGCGAATTAACTCGCCTAAAGTCATACAGCTATTATTAGGTAGAACCTGTATTCCAACTCAGGTCTGTCTGACCTCTCCAAGGGGCTCTGGAAGTCACCTACCAAGTAACACTGTCATAGTCTTAGGACATTAAGACACTGTGAAAGCCTTTTTTACAGTTGTGACAGAAGTTAGCAAGAACCAAACCACATCTTCTATTCATTTTTGTTTCCTGGGACTTGACACAGAACTGGGTACACAATAGGTGCCTAATAAATATAAAGCCTTGAAGCCACCATAGCACAGAACCTTATTTAAAGAAACGTCCATTATGGCAGCCAGCCAGTCAGTCTGAAAAACAATTTCCGCCCGCTGCCCCATCTACCATCAGCTTTATCTCAACTTGTTTTCTTGGCAATAGTGGCAGGGGTAGAATCAGCTGCAGAGGTTGGGAGCAAGACAGATTCAGGCCCACATTACAGGAACTCACCTGAGAATATTCAATTTCACTGAAACTAGAAACTAGATATTGAGAAGAGTCTGGTGGAGAAGTTCGCAGCATTGTTACTTTTGATAGGACAGCTTTGGCCAATAAACTGGATTCTTTCATTCCATGAATCCCTCTCAAAAGCCATTATCTGCGTCTGAAACTGTCCATACTCCCCACCCGCGTCTCTTTGCCTGACAAACTCCTAATCCTTCAGAGTTCAACAGAAATCTCATTTGCTCAGCGAAGGCTTCTCTGCCTTCCTGGATGAAGTTCCATCCTTCTCATATGTGTACCTATCATGTATTCAGTCCTCTTTCACTTGGAACGACATGCCAGATAAGGAAAAAATTGCATCTATCTTGTACCTGGAACATAGTAGGCATTCAATAAATATTTTTTGACTGATTTTTTTTTTTAAGCAAGTTTAAAACTGCAATTACAGCAGGGCACGGTGGCTCATGCCTGTAATCCCAGCACTTTGGGAGGCTGAGGTGGGTGGATCACGAGACCAGGAGTTCAAGACCAGCCTGACCAACATGGTGAAACCCCATCTCTACTAAAAATATAAAAATTAGCTGGCCATGGTGGTGCGCGCCTGTAATCCCAGCTACTCAGGAGGCTGAGGTAGGAGAATCGCTTGAACTCGGGAGGTGGAGGATGCAGTGAGCAGACATCACGCCACTGCACTCCAGCCTGGACAACAGAGTGAGACTCCATCTAAAAAAATAAAAAAAAGAAAAAAAAGAAAAAAAATACCACAAAACTGCAATTACTGAAGTCTCTTAAAAAATATCACAGAGCACAGAGGCATTCCATTCACACAACAGAGCAAAGCTTAAAATGCACTTCCTTCTTCTCATTGTGTTCCCCACAAAACGCTCCACTACATTCTTCTCTTCTCTTTTATGAACTCCCTAAAATCTTCAAACCTAGCCATGCCCCCTGGCTTGTGTTCCCTAGTCTTCTCTTCCCATGCAGCAATTTCTCCTATGAATCTACTGAGCCTTTCTATCTCTTTTGAGTTTTCACATTTATCCATTATCCAGATTCTAGAAAGCAAAGAAAGCCTTCAAACTGACCCAATAATCTTCCATCCTTGGAAAGTGAGACAGGACCATAAACTCCTAAAGTAATGGATTTATGCCCATTTTTGTTCCCTGCTGTGTTCTCAGTCTTTAACTGATGCTTGATCAAGATTTACTAGTTGAACAATATAGTTCTCTTAAGCTTATCATATATTTTTATTGTTGATGATGAATAAGTAACAAGAGGTGTTGCCAGAGTGAAAGAAGGGAAGGAAAAGTTTAATAAGGAATCATTTCTCTATTTGGAGGTCTAAGATGGGAAGTCTGCCTGAAGAACCATACCAAGTGGAACACAGCCCCTGGTCATTCCCAGACTAGACGAGCTGCCATGTGCTGCTGAATCAGCAGGAAACAGCACGGGGGGCAAGAGCGAGGTACAGCTCGGCAGCGTGGCAGCAATTTGGCTGACAATTTCCTTCTATGTTTCAGCATAATTGAATTAGCATCCATGGAGACTGTCTCCCAGACATCGGCAAATGCAATACTGTGGAGCAGGCGCTGCAATTCATCTGGCATTATGAGGCATTGAATTGCCATCCAATCCCGCACCTCTCCTTGTTGCTTTGTGTGTGCTCGTTAGAGAAAATTACGTGGATGCGACAAGCCTGGGAACAATTAAAATCTTCCCACTTAGCCAATTCCCAGCAGTGGTGTCCAAGTTCTTCTGATAGGCACTCGGCTTGCTCAGCTAGTATGCCCAACTTCCTGGACGTGCTTTCAAATTTTAAGTAATGGATAAAAGTTCATTTTGCTCCAGCTGAGAATAGGAATTGTTAGCACATAGAGGGACAGCCATGATATGAACCAACCAGAACATCATCCATAGTGGATAGTATCAAGACCAGGAGTCCTGGAACTCAGTCCAACTAGGAAGAGTATTTCTCAAGACAAGTCTAGGGCAATGGAGCTGGATGGTGAGTCAAAGTCAAGGGCCAGGGAGACAGCATCCAGCGTTGCATCCAGAGGGCTAACAGAAACTAGATGTTGGGGGTATTAAAGGCAGGATGCAGCAGACAGTGAGGAATAGCATTGAGTAAATGATTCAGAACCAAGCTTCTGAACATCAAGAAAGTGCTAGATTAAACAGAGGCTATGGGTGGCCAATTAAAGAATTGTATTCTGCTGGCTGGAGGGAATGGCTTACAACTGCTAGGGAGCAGAATGGTGTGAGGAAAAGAGCATATTTTCAGAGTCATATGGATCTTCTGCTTCCTCATTGGAGAAAAAAAGAAACCCATCTTGCAAAGTTAGGAAAGGATTAGAAATGCGCTAGGAATAAAGGTATTATCTGAATAACAGGGCTTTGTCTTGGTTTGAGTTCCACCAGAAAGGGATTGTATTCATCCATTCTCACACTGCTATGAAGAAATACCCAAGACTGGGTAATTTATAAAGGAAAGAGATTTAATTGACTCACAGTCCCTCATGGCTGGAAAGGCCTCAGGGAACTTACAATCATGGCAGAAGGTGAAACAGGCATCTCTTACATGGTGGCAGGTAAGAGAGGTGAGTGTCGTGCAAAGGGGGAAGCCCCTTATAAAACCATCAGATCTTGTGACAACTCACTCACTGTCATGAGAACAGTATGAGGGTAACCACCCCATGACGCAATTACTTCCCACCAGTTCCCTCCCATGACACGTGGGGATTATGGGAACTACAATTCAAGATGAGATTTGGGTGGGGACACAGCCAGACCATATCAGGGATCCTGAGATCAGGATTTGAGTATGAGTACTTTATTTCGGAGGAGAGTGGGATGTATTAGTCTGTTTTCACACTGCTGATAAAGACATACCTGAGACTAGGAAGAAAAATAGGTTTAATGGACTCATAGTTCCACGTGGCTGGGGAGGCCTCACAATCATGGAAGGCAAAAGGCACTTCTTACATGGTGGCAAAAAGAGAAAATGAGGCAGAACCAAAAGCGGAAACCCCTTATAAAACCATCAGATCTCATGAGATTTATTCCCAAACATGAGAACAGTATGGGGGAAATTGTCCCCGTGATTCAATGCTCTCCCACCGGGTCCCTCCCACAACACATGGGAGTTACGAGAGTACACTTCAAGATGAGATCTGGGTGGGGACAGACAGCCAAACCATATCATGGGGGAAAAGAGTCAGGGAAAAGGAAAAAAACCTGTAAAAGATTTGTAAAATCAAGCCAACTACCATTTTGGTGGGCATCAAAAATAACTTCCTAGGAACTCTGGGAAACCATGCAGAATACATGCCTCAATGTGCTTCCAACTCAGCAGTGAGGGATCTCGGAGCTTTATATACCAACTCCCATCAGTCATTGGCTGATGGCTTCTCCCAGAGGATGTTAATTCCCTGGCACTTCTGGTCTCCTTGGGAATGGGCAGACTGGTCTTCCTCATCTTCAGAGAAAGCCCCCAAGCACAGAGATGACAATACTGAGAGATGGCATTTGGCCTTTCAGGGTTGCTATGATAAATTCTGATGGGGCACTGACCACTTCTACTGCCAGTTTTGGGAGAGAACATGTCACAGAACTCCATCAATTCTATCTAAAAAATCTCCCTTCCAATTTCTTCCCCTCTCCACACTTCAACAGGAACCCTCTTATGCCCTCAAATTAGAGGAAAGGCTAAAGGGACATGAAACAAGTTCTGGCCACCTCGTTAGCTGGTTATGTTGAGAGTATTGGACCTCACTTTGGAGCACTGGGTGAGTTGGCATTTACTGTTTTGTTCTTGGCTTTCTTACAGCGGGGTCCCCAAGCCCTAGGCCACAGTCTGGTAATGGTCCATGGCCTGTTAGGAACAGGGCCACACAGCAGGAAGTGGGCAGGGGGAGAGCGAGCAAAGCTTCATCTGTATTTACAGCTGCTCTGCATCCCTCTCATTACTGCCTGAGCTCCACCTCCTGTCAGATCAGCCGCAGCATTAGATTCTCATAGAAGCACAAACCCTATTGTGAACTGCACATGCGAGGGATCTAGGTTGCATGCTCCTTATGAGAATCTAGTGCCGGATGATCTGTCACCATCTCCCATCACCCCCAGATCAGACTGTCTAGTTGTAGGAAAACAAACTCAGGGCTCCCACGGACTCTGCATTATGGTGAGTCATATAATAATTTCATTATATATTAAAATGTAATAATAGCAATAAAGTGCACGATAAAAGTAATGTGCTTGAATCATCCTGAAATCATCCCCTGACCCCGTCTGTGGAAAAATTGTCTTCCACGAAACCAGCCCCCGGTGCCAAAAAGTCTGGGGATGGCTGTCTTACAGGACTCAGTCCAAACTGAGACAATGTGTCCCATTCTAATACCAGCAGTAGAAGTGGTCAGTGCCCCGTCAGCATTCACCATATCAGTGCAGAAAGGCCAACTGTCATCTCTCAGGGAAGAGAAGGGGTGCACTCCTCCCACCTGAAGCCTAATGAAAGGGGCTTTGCAGACAGGCCTTGGAGAGCTTGATTTCTGTCCCCTAATGATTGGGGAACCCTGTGGACTGGAGTCTGAATCATACCTGAGAAATCTAAGGGGCCCAGGGATAGCTGAAGAGGGCTTCAATTTGGCAAGCAACTGCACTTCCACCAAAGGCCAGTGTTTTCTGTGGGGGGCAGGGGATAGAGAGAGAGCATGCACAAACAAGCTGACCTAGGGATATTTGAAAGATGTTTTGCCTGATCTTCTCAGGTATGATGAGCCTCTGTGAAGGTGGGCCATGAAGGACCAAGGCCAGAGGGGATGTCATGCATGACTGGACAGTTGGAATGTGAAGCTTGTGCAGCTCCAGTGCCGGAGAACTACAGGTAAGAGATGTGCATATAGGGTCCCTAAAGATGAACGTGTCCTCAGTGCACTGAACAAAAGCTCTCACTCAAGAGTGTTGCAGACATTCAGCCATGTTCTGCTCTTAGGATGTACATACCCACGCGGGCTTGCAGAAACCTAGAGAAAGAGAAAGGCTTTTTCTTTTTTCTTTCTTTTTTTTTTTTTTTTTTGAGACGCAGTCTCGCTCTGTCGCCCAGGCTGGAGAGCAATGGCGCGATCTCGGCTCACTGCAAGCTCCGCCTCCCGGGTTCACGCCATTCTCCTGCCTCAGCCTCCCAAGTAGCTGGGACTGCAGGCGCCCGCCACCACGCCCAGCTAATTTTTTGTATTTTTAGTAGAGACGGAGTTTCACCGTGTTAGCCAGGATGGTCTCGATCTCCTGACCTCGTGATCTGCCTGCCTCGGCCTCCCAAAGTGCTGGGATTACAGGCGTGAGCCACAGCGCCCGACTGGGAAAGGCTTTTTCTAACTTGCACAAGACAGCATCCATTTGCCAAGCTGAGCATACATGAGGCTGTGTCTGATTCCTTTTTTCTAATCCCTACAAAGATCTTGTGTTTCAAAGCCAATGGAGACAGAGTTTCAAAGTTCACACGAACTCCCCATGAGAGAGTGGCATCCTGTAGGACCCAGCTCACAGCAGCAGTCCCAGTTAAGTGAGACCTTTTTCTACCCCTTGTCTCTTCCCACTGTGCCCTCACCAACCTTAAAGGGTCAAGGGCAGCCTGGCTGAGGAAGAGATTGGAGGGCAAAATTACCACTCTTTTAGAGAAAACTCACGAAGCTGATGGTTCCCATTTCCCACTGCAGCTTCTGCCTGCAGCAAGTCTGAGAAAATGAAGTCAGAGGCGTGACCCTCCACTGGACTGGACACATTAATCACTGAACTAAAGTGTTTTGGGGGGCCACAGATGCCAATGACATTTTTATTACCTACACATAACAAATTTGTAGCAAAGGGGCCTGGCTGACATTCATTCAGAGGCAGAGAGGACCGGTCCTGAGATTACACAACAATAGGGGAGGGGGCAACAAAAGTAGCTTTATGATTGTATCCCACAGCCCTGCTCTTTCAATATACAGGCTATTTAGAGAAAGTGTACAATAAGCATTGCATATGGAAAGCCTCCAAAAGACACTCAATAAGTGGTTGCTCTTGTTATTATGAGCTGTTGTGCAGGTGAAGGTTAAACCAGATTTTCAGAGCTAAATGCCAAGGGGGTTGCACTTGATTATCAGCCCTGAGCTGGACAGTTCAGGAGAAGGAAATGAGTGGCTGAGAGCAAGGTCTACATACCAGAGTGGAGCATGAGGGGCCCCTCCACACCACCACTGCTGGGTCATCAGCCACAGGAAAACTGCGTATGTTGTGATCATGATGCTGGCTCCTGGGAGAGCATCTTTCTTGTCCCCGTTGGACAGCAATTCGAGAGGGAGATTTGCTAATTTGTCTTTCTGAAGCTAAACATCAGGGTGGGTTGGGGAGGGAAGTTGGGGTGGGAGTCAAGACTGTCTGCTGCCTGCACCAGCATCATAATGCAAAGAGGATTGCTCACCCAGAGCTCAGGTCCCAGGCACAGTACAGACACAGGTAGAACTTCTGTTTCTTTGGGGTTTAGGGAAAGTGCCCTGGAACGCCTCATGCAGATGCCAAAAAAATAAAATCAGAACTAAGACGAAGGGATATCCACACACAACCCATGCTTTCACTGGTTTCTTTCTTTACCGAAGGGTAATGGAGATGAGCTGTTTTATTTATACCTGATTCACATTTCAACAGGAAACTCTTGAGCTAGCTCCTTTTTCTGTAAAACACAGAGCTCCTTGAGAGCAGGGACTGTGTCTCGACTCATCTTTGAATCCCTAGGACCTAACCCAAGGCCTGGGTAATACAACAGAAGGTGAGTGGGCTTTAAGCTCATACAAATTAGGGTTTGAATTGCAGCTCTGTTGCTTACTAGCTGTGTGACCTCAGGCAGGTCGCTTCACCTCTCTGAAGTTCAATTTCCTCATCTGAAACATGGAAATAAAAATATCTACCTTCAAGTTTTGGAGAAGCAGAACTACATTTAAATTAAATATGCTGATTATGATAACTGGCCCCCGGAAAAATAGTAATTATCACCATCATCATCATCATCATTATTTTCCTTTGACATCCTCTCAATTCCTCAGTTATGTTCAGACGGCTCTGGTTCTCTTACAGAATTTACTGCAAACATTGCCAGATCATTTATATACTGAAGACACCTCCGAATTTTGGCACAAATCCTTAGTTACACAGTCTGTAAACATAGTCAGAGCTGAAAATACTTTTTCATTATCGGATAAGAAGATTCCTTTCTTGTCCTTTCTGCTGTCTCCTCATGCTCTAGTTCTGCCCCCAGTGGGTCCTGAGAAAGGTAATCTTGCGTGACATGTGAGCTTTATACCTGAAATCAAATTTGGCATCCCAGTTCCCAATGGGGCAAGTGTAGCATTTTCACATATTTCCAAAACGTCAAAGAGAATAGCCGCCCCTTTTGTTTCATGCCAGTTTCCTCCAAATCAGTTTTCTACTCAGTAATTTATCTGAGATTCAGTTGCCTAACCTGTAGAATGGATCTGTAAAGTGATCTAAAAACACTATCCTCACACATAGGAATGCTCTGAAGATGGATGGGTGGCCAGAGAACTCAGCTTACTTACATAGCCACTTTCATCCATCCCCACTGTACCAGGGGAGGAAATCAGTGGGTCTGTCCTTCCCGGCTGCTGGCCAACATTATGTCCAGGCTGAGCTTGATCAGATTTGCTCTGCTGAGCAAAAGGAACCAACTCTAGGACACTTTTCATGAATTCTGATCAAATGCCCCACCCAGCGTAGCTACGGGGTCCTGCTGTGTTCTTACTGTTTAACCGTTTTGGAACTCTATAAGCTACAGAAGACATAGGAGAGAGGAGAGTGTTTTAGGGGGAATGGAGGGACCCGTCGCAGGGTTTGTGACTGGCCATGGTTAGAGACAAGGCTGAAAGGAAGCAAGACAGGACTGCGAAGGTGAAGAAGCTGCAAGTGGAGGTGTCTAAATATCATGCCCTAGGCACCAGGACCGGGGCAGGAAATCAGAACCGAAAAGAGTATCTTTCTCTTGTCTGACTCCATCAAGTGACCACACATGGAAAACTGGATTTCTGGTGTGGAAGGTCCCCAAAAAAGGAAAAAGGAGAGGTGAGCGGGAACAGCCATTGCAGATATCACTTACTGAGCACTGTGCTAGGTGCCTTACATAGAGTATATATTTAATCCTCCCAATAACCCAAGAGGTTGGTATTATTATTATGCTTTTTATACAGAGATGGTAACTGAGACCCAGAGAAGTGCCTTCCTCGACATTCCCCAGCTCACTCTATCTGCCAGGCCTTTAATGTTTCCATCATTAATTCAATCTTCAACCATCACCGACTGAGTGTTAGGCTCTGTGCCAGGCACTAGAAGGGTTCCAATCAGGTAAGCAGAGAGAAGAGAGGAAAAGAATTTCAGACAAAGGGTAAAGGGGTGAACAGAGCACAAAGCCAGAACGCAGGAGAGTTTTGGAATTCAGAAGGTGCTTAGCATGCTAGGAAGCAAGAGGGTCAGACCCACCTAGAATGTTCCTCAGGGAAATTTTCCCTGTAGTCCCACCTCCTCCCCAGTTCCGTTGTCACAGCTACAAGAGAAGCCTGTGGGGTTATGGAGCAACTTTTGCTTTTTTTCCAAAGTTCCAGGAATAATGGTGCCAGCAACCCGTGCCTAAGTCAATCAGAAACAGAAACAGAGCCACAGTCCCTGGGGGGAGCAGGTGTCACCTAATCCCACCAGGAAGATATAAGTCTCTCTAAATCATGGTTTTCCAGAAACAGTCATGGTGACAACAGCCAGTAACACTTACTGAGCAATTTACCGTGTCCTGAGCTCTTATAGGCATTTCACACACATGAGCCCATTTAACCCTCACTCTATGAGGTAAATAGGTTAATGATCCCCCATTTCACAGATGAGCTAAACGAGGTTCGGGACTTGGAAGTGGCAGAGTCAAGATTCAAATCCAGATTTATCAAACTCTGAAGGCTTTTTCTGAACCCCTGTGCTATGCCATCCCTCCCACCGTCCTGCAACTGTGAGCTCACCCCACTTCTCTATGGACACGGGTTGGCCTACTCCTAAGAGGGCTATGGCAGGAAAACCAGCATGGTAGCCCTGCCCCTTATGAGCTAGGTGACCTTGGGCAAGTGACTTCACCTCCCGGAGCCTCAGTCTCCTCATCTGTACAATAGGAACTATATCCTAGAGTTCTTGTGAGCACTTTACACAGGACTTCGTGCACAGAAAATGTGCACACTGGAGATGATCCATCCCTCTTAGGAGTCTCCTACACCATCCTCACTGTTCCATTGGAAAAACAAAGCCAAGCAGACCCTGGAATGGTGAAGAAAAGGCCACAACTGTTTGCAACAACCAGACAGTGAGACCTGGCAGCCAAGGTTGGATTTTGCTCACCTTCTTTTCCCAGAAGGCTGGTCACATGACGACAGGCATTGAATAAATATTTCTTCTGAAAACATACACACACACACATGCACACATACAGACACACACACAGCAGAAAGGAAATACATCAGCATGTTCTCCCTGGTTATCTCTGAGCTGTGGAACTTTATCTTTCCTTTTGCTTATCTGAATTTTCTGATTTTTCTATGTTGAGCATGTACTATTTGTGGCACCGAGATCTTGAAAGACACACATCCCACTATAGATTACCTCTGGGAAATGAAAATGGGAAAACCTAATTAATTAGGAAGGCTTTTTTAAAGCTTTGTGTTCATTCTTCATTTTTGTGTTACTTTTGAAATTTTTTACACTTTCTTTTTAGTTCAAATTTATTTTCTTCTTTTTCTATTCCACCAAAAAGTGTTCCTCTGGATGGAATACTCACAAAGACCCTCTCCCCAGCCCCAAAAGATTACAAGGAAGTGAGCTTCATTCCAGATACGATGGTGGAGTCCAGCTAATCTTTTCTTGTGTCTTTGGGAATTTGCTTGCTGTTTGACCCAGATGCTCTACATATGCTCATAAAAACCTTCTGCCAAACTTCATTAGCCATTTAGGCTGCTGTGGTGCTATTCTGAGTACCTTATCTTCTGGCATTAATTTAAAGCAACATTGTCTTACCTCTGTAGGCATGCTTCCATGAGTTAGAGGCTTAAAAAATAGACTGCAATGGATTTTGTCAAAAATTGCCAAAAATCAAAATGTCTGGTTTCATCTCCTATTTCATTTCCAAATGATTAGTAGCAACTGCCTGTAGCACTTAGCAGGAAGGACCCTGAGACCATTCCCAGGTAGAGCAAAAACAATCAAATGGCAAGAATTTAAAAACACCTGCCAGGCACGGTGGCTCGCCTGTAATCCCAGCACTTTGGGAGGCCAAGGCGGGTGGATCACTTAAGGTCAGGAGTTCAAGACCAGCCTGGCCAACATGGTGAAATCCTGTCTTTACTAAAAATACAAAAATCAGCCAGGCGTGGTGGCGGGTGCCTGTAATCCCAGCTACTCGGGAGGCTGAGGCAGGAGAATTGCTTGAATCGGGAGGCAAAGGTTGCAGTGAGCCGAGATTGCCCCACTGCACTCCAGCCTGGGTCACAGAGCAAGACTGTCTCAAAAAAAACAAAAAACAAAAAAAACACCATACACCATAGCCTTTATGAATTAATGTTTTCTGCTAATGGATTACTGATGTCTGCCATGGCATGAAATCAAGGGCTATTGGCATATCTGATATCCCAAATCTAATAAAACACGTCCTCCTTTCACTCCAAAGAAGCAAACTGGTAGGACTCCCACGTGGTACAGTGTGGCAATAATACAGCTATTATTTGTGGAGTGACACATTGATTTCTTTTTTAATTTTTTTTTTTTTTTGAGATGGAGTCTTGCTGTGTCATTCCAGGCTGGAGTGCAGTGGTATGATCTCTGCTCACTGCAACCTCTGCCTCCTGGGTTCAAGTGATTCTCCTGCCTCAGCCTCCCAAGTAGCCTGGATTACAGGCACCTGCCACCAGGCCCAGTTACTTTTTTTGTATTGGAGTGCCACTTTGAGCAAAGGATTTTCCACACCTAACACATCTTATAGCAACTCCTCAGTTATCAGGACAGTTTTGGTTACAAGTATCAGACGGCCAACTCACACTAGCTGAAGCAAAAAGGGTGTGTTTGGGCTCATGTAACTGAGAGGAGAACTGAGTTAGAGCTTAAAATCACAGGAAGAGCTTTAGGACTGACAACAGTGACGGGTTCCAGAAACGACCTCTCTTTATCTTATCTCTGTTTGTATTTGCGTGTTGATCTCTCATTTCATCTTTGCTATGGTTTGAAGGTGTCCCCCAAAGTTCATGTGTTAGAAACTTGATCTCAAATGCAACAATGTTGGGAGGTGGGGCCTAATAAGAGGCAATTGGGTCATGAGGGCTCTGACCTCATGAATGGATTAAGGTTGTTATTTCAAGAGTGGCTTTGTTTTTTTGGTTTGTTTGTTTTTGTTTTTCTTTCTTGTGACAGAGTCTCACTCTATCGCCAGGCTGGAGTGCAATGGCGCAATCTCAGGTCACTGCAAACTCCACCTCCCAGGTTCAAGTGATTCTCCTGCCTCAGTCTCCCAAGTAGTGGGACTACAGGCGAGCACCACCACGCCCAGCTAATTTTTGTATTTTTAGTACAGACAGGGTTTCACCATGTTGGCCAGGATGGTCTCGATCTCTTGACTTCGTGATCTGCCCGCCTCGGCCTCCCAAAGTGCTGTGATTACAGGCGTGAGCCACCGTGCCCGGCCGAGTGGCTTTATTATATCAAGTTCCAGTCCCTCTTGCTCTTGCACTTAATTACCCTTCTTTCATGGGATGACACAGCACAAAGGCCCTTGCCAGATATAGGCCCCACTACTTTGGACTTCTCAGCCTCCAGAACTGTAAGAAATACATTTCTTTTCTTTATAAATTACCTGGTCTGTGGTATTGTTATAGCAACACAAAACAGATTAAGACACTCATACTACAAACAGGCCTCTCCCATATGAAGAGGAACATGGTTGCTGTTTTCCCAGTGCATGGAGTGCTAACTTTTCCCAACATGTGTTTATCAGTCCCAGGTGAAAACTCTGATTGGACTGTTTGGGTCATATGGCCATTCTTTGGACCAATCACTGTTTATTGTCACATAATTTGGTCAGAATTCAGCTATATTCCCATCTTTTTTGGCCAAGGGGTCTGTGTCTACCAATAAAAGAAAGGTTTAGAAAGCTTAACAGTCAGTTAAAAATCAGGGCCACTATGAACAGTTGTGCAGGTTGCATGCTGCACAAGGGCACCACCAGCTGTGTGGATAACGAAGGGATAAAAATCCTGCCTGTGCCCTGCTTACAGAGCAAGCCATAAACACTGGCCCCAGGTACATCTGCTAGAATTGTTCTAATTCATAACATGGTGTCATGCAGGCTAGCATTAGCCCAAGGAAAAAGCAACAGCTACTGAAAGACACTGCAGTCCCTAGGAAGTAAATAATGATTATCCCATTTTTAAGATGAGAAAACAGAGCTCACAGAGGCCAAGTGAATCACCCAAGGCTTTACAGGAGTCTCTCCTTATTCTGAATCCCCAGTAGATGCCTGAAACCATGGATAATACTGAACCCTACATACATATATATTTTTTCCTATAATGCAAACCTATGATAAAGTTTAATTTATAAATTAGGTACAGTAACTAATAATAAAATAGAACAATTATAACAATGTACTGCAATAAGTTATGTGAATGTGATCTATCTCTCTTCTAAATATCTCACTGTACCGTACTCATCTCTGTTCAGACAGCAGCAGACCACAGGTAACTGAAACTGGGAAAAGTAAAACCGCAAATAAGGGGGAACTACTGTACAGCAGCAAACAGTAGAGTCAGGATTCGAACCCAGGTCTGTGTGGCTCCAAAGCCTATGTTTTGCCTATCATAACCCACTCAACAACCTGTAAGAGAAATGGGACCCACCAGGCTCCTAACAGCTTGAAGAAGAAGTGAGAGAAGTGGATTCTTGTGCCTCTTCTCTCTGAAAACCCAGTTAACCCCATAGAAACAAACAATCCACTTAAGAAAGCCAACCCAAGCCCAAGACGGAACACTCCAAAAAAAAAAACAAAAACAAACTGTGTTTACAAACAGCTTGAAAGTCATGGTGTTCCTCTTAAAAAGGTAATTTCTTGCTTGGAACAGTGAGAAATTAGATGCAATCTGTTTTGATTTCTTTGCAATTTAGGACACGCTTTAGTGACCAATCTGCAGACATGCCAGTATCCTTCTGTCCTGAGGGTATGTTGGCTTAGTTTGTGTCTCTGTTCATAAAGGAAGTCTAAATCATCCCACAGGAAGAGTGGCCTAGAATTTATACCACAGGCATGGAGACAGGCTGAGCAGCCTCTTCCTGGATATTATTATTAATAAGAATAAGAATAATTACCATTTACTGGGCTTTTACTGTGTGTCATGTCTGGTGCTGAAAACATCCATCACCACAAAACCTTACTGGGATGGGGTTGGGGGGATATTTTTGGGTACTCAGCATCTGAACACCCTTCCTCTGTAGGAGGAAAATCCCCCACTGGGCAGTTCTTGGTAGGAGCTGGACCTGTCTCCCTCCACAAGAGCAAAAGAGGCTAGAAATCCGTGAGCTCCCCATGATCCTTTCAATATATTTCATTTCTAAAAAATAGACTTTTAAATTCACAACAAAATTGAGAGGAAGATACAGATTTCCCATATATCCCCTTCCCCCAACATCCTCCCCCACTGTCAACATCCCACACAGAGTGGTCCATTTGTTACAAATGACGAACCTACATTGACACATCATCACCCAAAGTCCGTAATAATATGTGCCCACCAGTACAGTCTCATGCAGAGTCGTTTTGCTGCCCTGAAAATCCCACCTACTCATCCCTTCCTCTGCCCTAACACCTGGCAACCCCTAATCCTTTTACTGTCCCCATCATTTTGCCTTTTGCAAAATGTCACATCACTGAAATCATACCATGTGTGGCCTTTTCAGTTGGCTTCTTCCTCTTAGCAATGTGCATTCCATTAAGTTTCCTCCACCTCTTTTCATGCCTTGATGGCTCATTTCTACATTCTATTTTTGCTTACATTCACCAAAGTCTATTTCTGTTGTTAGCATCCAAGCACCCTGCTACAAAAAAAGTGTTGTTATCCCCATTTTACAGATTAAAAAAAAAAAAACAAAACCCTGAGACTCAGCGAGACAAGACTAGGTGGAAGAGTAGAAAAGCTACAAAGGGCAGAGGAAAGCTGCAGGAGGCACAACGCAGGCGGCACGATGCAGTTGGCAGAAGTGCAGTTTTGTAATCAGGAACTTGGATATGAGGGCCGGCTTCATCACTTACCCGCTGGGGGGAGCCTCTGGAAAGTTGCTTAACTTCTCTCAATTTCTTCATCCATAAAGAAACGGGTCTCCATTTCTTCATCCATAAAATTCAGGCTACTGTGCCTGTAACAAGCAATTCTTGAGAGTATTAAAAGAAATCATGTATAGGCCAGGCGCGGTGGCTCACACCCATAACCCCAGCACTTTGGGAGGCCAAGGTGGGTGGATCATTTGAGGCCATGAGTTCGAGACCAGCCTGGCCAACATGGTGAAAACCTGTCTCTACTAAAAATACAAAAATTAGCTGGGCATGGTAACATGTGCCTGTAGTCCCAGCTACTCAGAAGGCTGAGGCAGGAGAATAGCTTGAACCCGGGAGGCGAAGGTTGCAGGGAGCCGAGATCTTGCCACTGTACTCCAGCCTAGGCAACAGAGTGAGACCCTGTCAAAAAAAAGAAAAAAGAAAAAAAGAAGAAAGAAAGAAAGAAAGAAAGAAAGAAAGAAAGAAAGAAAGAAAGAAAGAAAGAAAGAAGAAGGAAAGAAAGATGAAAGAAAGAAAGAAAGAAAGAAAGAAAGAAAGAAAGAAAGAAAGAAAGAAAGAAAGAAAGAAAGAAGGAAAGAAAGAAAGGAAGAAATCATGTATATATTGCACTTAACACAGTGCCTGGCTCAACATGTGTTAGCTGTGGTATCTGTTATTGTTATTATTTGTGTTCTGTGTTCATTAACCTAATTCTATCCTACCCTGTTATAAGCCAGGATCATCTGACCATCTGGAAGGATTCTGTTTGCTCTATTTTGTCCTCTCCTCAACCCCCAGAGTCGCAGGTGACGGAAAGGAGAGGGTGAGTGACCCTTCTGCCTGGAGATTCTTGACATGAGGTAACTTCTGAAACCAGACATTCCATCTGCTTCTTTCCATATCTCAGGGGAACCCTAGCACAAGGCAGTGGGGGCTCAGCCTGTGCTCATTGATTACGCTAATGATGATGGATTTCCTCCCCTTTGGCACTTGATCAACAGCTGCCCAGTGTTTTATCACCATTTCCCAGGGCAGAGCAGGCCACCCCAACCCCTGCTCACGAGGGCCTTTTCTTTCTTACTCCATGTGACCCAGAACAGAGCCCATTAAAGAACTCACTCATTTCTCCACCCTCCACCCCTTTAATTACAAACAGTGCTGAGAGTTGAATAACACAGAACAAAAGACAGATTTATTTACCCCAGGACATAAACAAGATTATCAGAAACAGGCATTCAGAAGCCCTTAGCTCCTGGGAGAATTTTAATTTGCTGACCCCTGGCTTACAGAAATCTTAGGTCTTTTCACATAATTATAAAACCCCGAGAGTTTTGCCTGCTTGAATTAGTTATTGGCACGCATCCCCAACCCGGCCGCTGGCTCTCATTGGCCAATTACAGGCATCTCCACTGGGGCTTTAAACCGGGCTCTTTTGAGACAATGCAGGAAGGCTGAAAGAAATTCTCTTTTCCTTGGTGAAGTTTTCCTACTGGCGGCTTCCTGGAATGACTGAGGTACACAAACAGGAGGGAGGAGGAGGCATAATTACATTGATTAGAACACTTTGGGTTACAAATCACTTAACCCCACATCGAAATGGCATTAAACCAAAAAGGGACTGTATTGTAACTGAAAAGTCCACCATTAAAGTTACCTTCAGGCACAGCTCAATTCAGGGGCTATCACCATGCCAGTGGGCTCAGTCTCTCTCTACATCTCTCACCTGTTTGCCTCTAGGTCATTGGCTTCTTTCTCATGGGAAAAATGGTACCCAGCCCTCCTAAGCTTCCAACCTATCAGCTCCTAGAATTAAGTCTCATTGGCTCAGCTTTGGTCACGTGCCCAGAGGGAACCAATCACTGTGGCTGGAGGATGAAATATGCTGATTGGCTAGACCTGGGTCATATGCCCAATTTTTTTTTTTTTTTTTTTTTTTTTTTTTTTTTTGAGATGGAGTCCCGCTCTGTTGCCCAGGCAGGAGTGCAGTGGCAGGATCATGGCTCACTGCAACCTCCACCTCCAGGGTTCAAGTGATCCTCCCATCTCAGTCTCCCGAGTAGCTGCGATTAAATGTGCCTGCACCATCAGCCCGGCTAATGTTTTTGTATTTTTAGTAAAGACAGAGTCTCACCAAGTTGGCCAGATTGGTCTGGATCTCCTGACCTCAAGTGATCTGCCCCCTAGGCCTCCCAAAGTGCTGGGATTACAGGCGTGAGCCACCGTGCCCAGCAAGCATACCCTATCTTGTATCTGCGGTGGGACCAATTCTATCTGAACCATATGGGCTAAGGGCATCATGGGGTGAGTCCTCAAAGAAAAGTCAGGGTGTGTACCCAGGAAAAGGGAGACGGATGCTGAGCAGATAAAGGCAACGAAATACTTTGCTTTTATCTATCCATGATAGTATTCCTCTGGGTTAGGGGTTACAGGACACCCCACACTCTTCCTGGAGCAGCTTGGAAGTGGCCATTTTAGCATCTGTTAGGGGTTAAATTGTTTTCTCCCCCTAAATGTATAGCTTGACATCGTAACCCACAGTACTTCAAAATGTGACTGTGATGGTTAATTTTAGGTGATGTGTAGGGGAAAACTCTCCTCAAACTGCGTTTTTCCTCTACTCTCACACTACAACCATCATCAACACAGAAGGCTTCTGTGACCAAATGTGGGGGGCGGTTTCCCCACATACCAAGCAGCGGACACCAGCTGGGTGTCCTCTAATTCAGTTCTGACACCATCTACCTGGAGATAGTATCATATCCCAAAGGTTGAGGGCTCAGTCCCCAAGACTGCCTTTCTACACACACACACCAGTTGCAAGTTTGGAACTTCTGGCAGACGGGCTTCAACCCCCACTTTGGATTTGATTAGTCTGCTGGCGTGGCTCACAAAACTCAGGGAAACACCTACTTGCATTTACCAATTTATTATAAAGGATATTGCAAAGGATTCAGATGAAGAGCTGTATAGGGCGAGGTAGGGGTAGTGGTGCAGAGCTTTCGTGCCCTCTGGGCACCACCCTCTGGGAGCCTCCATGTGTTTGTGAACCCCGAAACTTTCAGACAGGTGTCAGTTAATTTAGAAAGTTTATTTTGCCAAGGTTGAGGACTCGCGCCTGTGACACAGCCTCAGGAGGTCCTGACAACATGTGTCCAAGGTGGTCAGAGCACAGTTTGGTTTATACATTTTAGGGAGACATGAAACATCAATCAACATATGTTGTAAGATGAACATTGCTTCCTTCTGGAAAGGTGGAACAACTCGAAGTGGGAAGGGGGCTTTCAGATCATAGGTAGATAAGAGACAAATGGTTGCATTCTTTTAGGTTTCTGATGAGCCTCTCCAAAGGAGGCCATCAGATATATATTTATTTCAGTGAGCAGAAGGGTGACTTTGAATAGAACGAGAGGCAGGTTTGCTGTAAGCAGTTCCCAGCTTGACTTTTCCCTTTAGCTTAGTGGTTTTGGGGGGGCCCAAGATATTTTCTTTTCACATGTTCAACTATCTGGAAGCTCCCCAAACCCTGTCCCTCTTGGGTTTTCTGGAAGCTTCATGATATCACCATTCCTTCCCCTAGGATATAGGGTGGGACCCTCTAATGGGAGGGTCTTAAGATCCACAGTCAGAAAGGTGGGGGAACATTAGAGTGAAAAGAGGGCAGGAGAAAGTCAGAGGCCCACCCACGAGGCTACCCACGAGGCCGACACACACCATTCTTAAAACAGCCTGTAACAAGGGCTGTGGGAGTTATGAGCCAGGAACCATGGACGAAAACCAGTACATATTAACACCACAGAGGTCAACTTGGCTGCATTAAGGAATAACTAGAAACCTGGTGAAGCATTATTTTGGGGTATGTCTGTGGAGATATTTCCAGAGGAAATTAGCATGTGAGTCAGTGTGAACTAGATGGGGAAAAGCCATCCTCAGTGTGGGCAGGCACCATCCAATCTGCTAGGGGCCCAGAGAGAACAAAACCAGAGAAAGGCAAATATGTCTATCTGTCTGCTGGACTTAGATCCACTCCTTTTCTCCTGTCTTTGGGCAACTCTAAGTTCCCCAGCCTTTGGACTCCAGGACTTAAACCAGCACCTCTCCCCTCGGATCTCAGGTTCTCAAGCCTTTGACCTCAGACTGTGAGTCACATAATTGGCTTCCCTGGTTCTGAGGCCTTCAGACTTGGACTGAGCCATGCTACCAGAATCCCAGGGTCTCCAGCTTGCAGACAGCTTGTCGTGAGACCTCTCAGTCTCCATAATTGTGTGAGCCAATTCCCCTAATAAATTCCCTCTCATCTATCTGTCTATCTATCCATCCATCCATCCTATTGGTTCTGTCTCTCTGAAGAACTCTGACAAATACAGTGACCCTTAGGTCTTTAAAGAGAGAATCAAGTTAAGTCCTGGTGCAGTGGCTCACACCTATTATCTCAGCACTTTGGGAGGCTGAGGCAGGCAGACTTCTTGAACTCAGGAGTTCGAGACCAGCCTGGCCAACATGGCAAAACTCCATCTCTACTCAAAACACAAAAATTAGCTGGGCGTGGTGGCACATGCCTGTAATCCCAGGTATTTGGGAGGCTGAGGCAGGAGGATCACTTGAACCTGGGAGGTATAGGTTGCAGTGATCCAAGATTGTGCCACTGCACTCCAGCCTGGGCAGCAGAATGAGACTCTGTTTCAATAAAAAAAAAAAAAAAAAAAGATAATCAAGTTAAAATAAGGTCATTAGAATAGGTCCTAATCCAATATGACTGGTGTCTGTTTAAGAAGGGGGTATTTGAACACAGATATGCATACGGCGAAAATGTCATGTAAACATGACGATGGCCTTCTACAAGCCAAGTAGACGAGCCTGAAACAGGTTATTCTCTGACAGCTCTCAGAAGGAACCAACCCTACCAACACCTTGATCTTGGACCTCAAGCCTCCAGAATTGTGAGACAGTAAGTTTCTGTTGCGTACGCTATCCAGTCGTGGTATTTTGTTACCCAAGCAGCCCAAAGTAATACGGCATCCTTTGAGGAAGAAGTGAGGTGAAGTGTTCAGGTTCCTTGAGAGCCTGGCTCAAGCCTCACTCCATGCCCTGGGAGATTCCAAAGCTCTACCGGGATTCCTGTAAATCCCTGGGGGGTTATGCCACCGTGGTCCCTCCTGGTTACAGGCTCCTGTTTCCATATGGGTTTTCTCTGTTAATCACCATTGATTTGCATATGACATTCAGCCCTTTCCCGTAACTGCCACCCAGAAAAAGAATCCATTCATCCAAGACATGTCTGTGCACTTTGCTGAAGTCTGTTGGATTAGGGAGAGGAGGAAGTTAAATGGCAAGTTCACATGAAGCTACGAAATTGAACGATAAGAATCCATGTTCATTCATTCATTCATAAAAAAATGTATTTATTTATTTATTTATTTATCTGAGACAGGGTCTTGCTCTGTTACCCAGTCTGGAGCACAGTGGTGTGATCATTGCTCACTGCAGCCTCAAACTCCCAGGCTCAGGTGATACTCCTGCCTCAGCCTCCTGAGTAGCTGGGACTACAGGAGTGTGCCACCATGCCCAACTAATTTTTGTATTTTTTTTAGAGACAGGGTTTTGCCATGTTGCCCAAGCTGACAAAAAAAAAATGTTTATTGAAACCCACTTTGTGCCATCACTGAGGCATGAGAAGACACAGTAAAGAACAAAATAGACAAGACCACTGTCCTCACAGAACTTATATTTTAGTTGGAAACACAGATGATAAACAGGAAAAATAAGCAAGAACATTCCAGATTGTACTAAGTGTCATGAAGAAAATAGCAGGGTTGGGGGCCAGGCATGGTGGCTCATGCCTATAATCCCAGCACTTTGGGAGGCCCAAGGGGGTGGATCACTTGAGGTGAGGAGTTTGAGACCAGCCTGGCCAACACGGTGAAACCCCTTCTCTACTAAAAATACAAAAAAAAATTAGCCAGGCGTGGTGGCAGGGTCCTGTATTCCCAGCTACTCAGGAGGCTGAGGCAGGAGAATCGCTTGAACCCAGGAGGCGGAGGTTGCAGTGAGCTGAGATGGCACCACTGCACTCCAGCCTGGGTGACAGAGTGAGACTCTCCATCTCAAACAAACAAAAAAGAAAACAGCAGGGTCAGGTGGTGGCAGTTACATGGGAATGAGCACTTTGGAGATGACATTTTTTAGCAAGGGCGAGGGAGTCAGAAAATGACTCTTGGAGGAAAAGAAAGTGGGGGTGACTCTAAAAAAAAAAAGAGAAGGAGTGAGCCATGTGCCAGTGATGGGAAGCCGGGCTCAGATTACAGATGAGGCTGTGATGGTTAATTTCCTGTGTCAGTTTAACTGGGCCACAGGGTGCCCAGATATTTGGTTGAACATTATTGCTGGGTGTGTCTGTGAGAGTGTTTCTGAATGAGCTTAACATTTGAATCAGCAGACTGAGTAAGAAAGCCCTCCCCAGTGTGGGTGGGCTTTCTCTAATCCACTGAAGGCCTGAATAGAATAAAAGGCTGAGGCCCAGTGTGGTGGCTCACACCTGTAATCCCAAAACTTTGGAAGGCCGAGGTGGGAGGATAACTTGACCTCAGAAATTTGACATCAATGTGGGCATCATAAAGAGAACTTGTCTCTATAAAAAAATTTTAAAATCAGCCAAGCATGGTGATGTGCACCTGTAGTCCCAGCTATGTGGTAAGCTGAGGCAGGAGGATCACTTGAGCCGGGGATGTAGAGGCTGCAGTGAGCCATGATTGTGTCACTGCACTCCACCTGGGCAACAAAGTGAGACCCCATCTCAAATAAATAAATAAATAAAAATAAAGTTTTTTAAAAAAGAAAAGGCTGAGAAAGAAAGAATTCTCTCTCTCTCTCTCTCTCTCTCTCTCTCTCTCTCTCTCTCTCTCTCCCCCTCCCTGATTGTCTCTAAGCTGGGACATCAGTTTTCTTCTGCCTTCAAACTGGGATGTAGACTGGAACTTACACCATCAGTTCTCCTGGTACTCAGGCCTTTGGACTCAGACTGGAACTATGGGATTATACCATCAGTCTTTCTGAGTCTGGACTTCTCGGCTTCATAATCACGTAAGCCAATTCCTTATTATAAATCTACATATGGAAATACAAACACACACACACACACATATATATATATAGAGAGAGAGAGAGATTGAGACTGCATATCTTCTGTTTCTCTGAAAAACCCTGACTAATACAAAGGGCCCCAGGGCAGCATAACCCCTGACAATAGGGCCAGATTTTTCCCGAAGGGAGTGGAAATTTCCACTGCCAGCATTCTGGAATGAGGTCAGACAATGAGGCTGTGGAGAGGCAGACCTTCGACTGGGCCGCGGTGGGCATGGGTTCCAAGAAATTCGTTGCCCTGACCACCCAGGCCCATGCTCTGTGAACGTGTGTGTCCAGTGAGGGCCCTGGGCTCTGAGCACATTGCCTGCAGGAGTAGTTGGGAGCAACACTTCATGCCTCCTTCCCTTCTATCATCCTGGAACTTTCAGTAGACTCAGCATAAAAGCTGCGGCCTGTTCTTTGCTGGTGCTGTAGACAATGAGGAGAGGGTCTGTTCTGGGTCAGAGGGGAGGGGAAGGTGCACCTGGTGGAGCAGCAGCAGCTGGAGGCAGAAGGAGGGGAGCTGAAGCGCGGAGAGAGCCGCGCCTCGTGGGAAATGTGAGGCAGCGGTCCAGAGAGCGCAGCTGGCTACAGTGACAGGCAAGATGGATCTGCGGAGCATGCCCGTGCTCCCCAGCGAGGGAAACCTGGTCGTACAAAGGAAAGTGAAAAGGAGAAAAAAACGAAAACCAGAACAAAACAAAAAAAGCAAAAGGAAAGGAAGAAAGGGAAAGGGGAATGGAGAGAATCTTCTGGAAATCAAGTGGGATGGGAGGCTGAACATCACAATTAAGGTCTTAAAAGAGAGAGCAGGCCAGGCGCCCCGTGGCTCACGCCTGTAATCCCAGCATTATGGAAGGCGAAGGCAGGAGAATCGCTTGAGCTCAGGAGTTTGAGACCAGCTTGGGCAACATGGTGAAACCCCATCTCTTCAAAAAATGTGAAAATTAGTCAGGTGTGGTGGTGAACGCCTATAGTCCCAGCTATTAGGGAGGCTGAGGTGGGAGGATGGCTTGAGCCCAGGAGGCAGAGGTTGCAGTGAGCCACTGCACTCCAGCCTGGGCAACAGAGCCAGACCTTGTCCCCCCCGCAAAAAAAAGAGAGAGAGCAGCAGCACAGATGGGTAAAATTTGAGGTCTACTGGTAAATAATAAAAATAAATAAATAAATAAAATAAGAATAAAAACCATTTGCCCGGGTACTGGACTGAGTCCTCTCCATGGCTCAGTTAAGTTGTACCTTGCAACATCACTGAGCCCAGTATGATTACTTCACGATATACATGCGGATATTGAGGCTCAGAGAGTCTACATAAATAGCCCCAGGTCACATAGCTAGGAGTTGGTACCGTCACGAGTTAGACTTGGTTGTGTGTGACTCCAACCCTGGGCCCGAGCTTCTTAAGAGGTGTTCTGCAGAACACCAAACCCAAAAGGTCTCCGTATTAAAAAAGCAGGGGATGGGGAGAAAAGGAGATGAGGATCTCCCACCTCCCTTTCTCCTCATTTCAATTCCAAATAGAATTGGAAAATGAGGCATATTACTAGCCACTTGGAAAGTCACGACACACACAGCAGCTGTGAGAAGCTATCTTGGTTACCTGCTACTGCATAACCAACCAGCCTGCAAGGGTTAATTTCATGTCAACTTGGCTAGACCATGGTGCTCAGATATTTGGTCAAACATTAGTCTAGATGTTGCTCTCAGGTATCTTTTTAGATGAGGTTAACACTTAAATCCATAGACTTTGAGTAAAGTAGATTATTCCCATAATGTGAGTGGGCCTTATCCAATCAGTTGAAGGCCTACAGAGGAAAAAGACTGACCTCTCCGGAAGAAGACGGAATTCTGCCTGCAGTCTGCCTTCAGACTGGAGCTACTGCCAGCCTCCAGAATTGTGTGAGCCAGTTCCTTAAAATAAATCTTTCTATATGGTGGGGTGGAAGGGATTCTCCAAAGAAAGAGAACAATAGGAGATACATATATTCTATTGAATATGTAAATCCTGTAGAGATTCTATATATAGACGAAATTTGATATAGCTCTATATCAAATTATACATAGATTGATATCTATAGACCTATATCAAATTATGTATAGATCTATAGATCTATATATATAGATCTATAATCTATATAGATATAGATACAGATATGGATGATATTCTATTGGTCTGCTTGTCTGGCGAACCCTGATAAATTGACAGCCTTAACTTAGTGGCTTAAAACATCATTTTATGATGTTCATTAATTCTATGACTCAGGAGTCAAGGAAGGCACTGTGGGGACCTCTTGCCTTTGCTCTAGGATATCTGGAATTTCAACTGGGAAGCCTCAAATGGCTGGGTCTAGAAAGGCTGGACTGAAGGGTTCAAGTCGCTGGTATTATAACTTGTTAATTTTTTATTTTTATTTATTTATTACTTATTTATTTTTTGAGGCAGGGTCTCACTCTGTTGCCCAGGCTGGAGTGCAACGGAGTGATCACAGCTCACTGCAGCCTCAACCTCCATGGGCTCCAGTGATCCTCCCACCTCAGCCTCCAGAGTAGCTGGGATTACAGACACACACCACGTTGCCTGGCTAATTTTTGTATTTTTTGTAGAGACAGAGTTTCGCCATGTTGTTCAGGTTGGTCTCAAACTCCTGAGCTCAAGCGATCCTCCCACCTCAGTCTCCCAAAGTGCTGTGATTATAGGCATGAGCCACCATGCTTGGCTAGGTAGCTTTTTGTTTTTTTCTTTTCACCCAGGCTAGAGTGCATAATACCATCTCTGCTCACTGCAACCTCCGCCTCCCGGGTTCAAGCGATTCTTCTGCCTCAGCCTCCTGAGTAGCTGGGATTACAGGCACCACTACCATGCCCGGCTAATTTTTGTGTTTTTAGTAGAGACAAGGTTTCACCATGTTGGCCAGGCTGGTCTCGAACTGCTGACCTCAAGTGATCCTCCCACCTTGGCCTCCCAAAGTGATGGAATTACAGGCGTGAGCCACCGCACCTGGCTCAGCTAGGTAGCTTTGTAACTCACCCGTCTGGCACTTTGGCAGCATAGCTGAAAGGCTGGGCTTAGCTGGGACTGCAGCCTAGAGACTTTACTGTGCCTCTCAGGGGGATGGCTTCTTGGTATTCAAATCTCTCATATGACAGCTCAATGTTCCAGCAAACAAGGCAGAAGTGGAATGGCCTTTTAGGACCCTGCCTTAAAAGTCACATAGCCTCATTTCCACCATATTCTATCAGTCCCAGATTCAAGGGAGGGGACAGAGACCCCATCTCTCAATCGGAAGAGTGTAACAGATTTGTAGCCACATGGTAAAACTGCCACAGAGGCCCTGAAGTAAAGAAATCTGTTGAATTTTGCTTAACTCAGCTTTTCTCAAGATTTCACTTAGGTGTTGTTATGGGTTGAATTGTGTCCTCTCTCAAAATCCGTATGTTAAAGTCTTAACCCACAGTAACTCAGAACGTGAGCTATTTTGGAAATAGGGTGGTCACAGATTAAATAGTTAAGGTGAGGTCGCACTAGAGTGGAGTGGGGACCTCAATCAATATGACGGTGTCCTTCTAAAAAGGGGAAATTTAAAGAGACATGCCCACCGGAAAGACACCATAAAAAGAGAAGGCAGAGATTGGGTTTATGCTTTTACAAGTCAAGGTACACCAGAGATCGCCAGCAAATCCCCAGATGCAAGGAGAAAGGCTTGGAACAAATCCTTCCCTCTCAGCCCTCAAAAGAAACCAGCCCTGCCAACACCTTAATCTTGGATTTCTGGCCTCTAGAACTGTAAGACAATACATTTCTGTTGTTTAAGCTACCTAGTTAGTGGTATCTTGTTGCAGCAGCCTGAGCAACTGAATACAAGTTGTCAAACTAAAAAAACAGAAAGAAGCTCTCTAAAAGAAAAGATGTTTACTTGGGAATATAGCACAGTAAAGGGAATACATATATCATAGTAAACTATGTGCATATTCAGGGAGGTAAAAGAAGAGAAAAGCTTTTTAAAGGAAAAAAAATGAAGAGGATCACATAACTGTTTAGAAATAATTATCCTTGGCCAGTGTGGTGGTTTATGCCTATAATCCCAGCATTCTGGGAGGCCTAGGTGGGAGGATCACTTAAGCTAAGGAGGTTGAAGCTACAGTGAGCTGTGATTGTGTCACTGCACTCCAACCTGGGTAACAGAGTGAGACCTTGTCAAAAAAAAGGAAACAGAGAGAGAGAGAGAGAGGAGGGAAGGAGGGAAGGAAGGAGGGAAGGAAGGAAGGAAGGAGGGAGGGAGGGAGGGGAGAGAGAGAGAAAGAAAGAAGGAGAGAGAGAAAGAAAGAAAGAAAGAGAAAAGAAAAAGAAAAGAGAAAAGAAAAGAAAACAAAAAAGCAAAGAAAGGAAAGGAAAGAAAGAGAAAAAAGAAATAATTGTCTTTGGCTACAAAGTCCAAGGTTGGACAGGTAATGGCTGAGCAGATGTCCTTTCAAAATATATTTTCGTGTAAGGTTGCAGTGGCTTTTGTGTGAGGTTGTGGTTTTTATAGTCTTTTGTGATGGTTTTTGTTATCAGGCATACACACTTGAGAACTCTCTCTTCATGGCCTTCCTGGGCTCTATTTGTCAGGATTTTCTTAACACTAGTGACTCCCTGTTGATTCTGACAACTTTCACAAGGTGTTAGCTCCGTTCATTTGTTCATTCACTCACTCATTCAGCTAGATTCAAGGCCCTTCACAGCACGGCCTCTGCCAATCCCCACTTTCACCTCCAACTCCCTTTCTTTCCCCTCACTGAGCTACTTTGTGTTCCCTGAAACTAAAATTTTTGTAAAGATTAAATAAAATATGCAAAAGCCTGGTAAGTAGGAACTCAGCAACAAATAACCATCCCTTCTCTTAGCTGTTTATTCTCTATCAATTGTTTCTTCTTGTTCTGCTGTTCTCGCCCTTGGGTTTTCTTCTCTTGCTGCATCCTGGGCTTCTCTTCCAGACACCTGAGATTCTAGTCTCCTAAAGAGGCTGGAGTCTGACCCCTCCATGCCCATGTAAGCTCCTCCTTCTGGCTCCATGCAGAACTCCCAGGCAGCCCCATGGATAGGACGAAGGGCTTGCAAGGGCAAGTTCAGGGAAAGAAGACCGGATGTTTCCAGGTTTCATAGAAGCTGCAGAAGAAAGGGAATGCTACCAGAGCCAGGCAGAGAAAACTGCTGAGACCTGGGCAAGACATGGTGTTCAGTCCTGGCTCTAATAATAATTAGCTGTGTGACTGTAGGCAGAGCTCAGAACCTCTTTAGGCCTCGGTTCACCCATTTATGCAGCCCAGATAGCCACAGGGATCCTCTTTCCCTTAAGATCTAGATAAAATGGATAGATCCACTTCGTATAAATCATAGAAAATCTGGCACCTTCGGCAAGAATTCTGTGAACTCCCAGCTTTACAGCTCTTCTTTTGGTCTTACTTCTATTTAGGGATCATCTTTCTGTCTCACCCGTGGGGTCCGATTCTGCACTAGGGAAGGCAGAGGAGGAATCCAGTTTCTTTCTTAATCTCCACCAAGCTAACCACTCGCATAAGGTATCTGTGAATGGGCATGTTGTGGTCACATACTGTGCGTGCTGCCCACCACTGAGTCTCCTTATGTGAACCCACTTTTCCAGTAACCACTCCTTCCTTGTCCACTTCAACCCAAGTGGAGGTGGAGGTGACCCCATGGTTAATTCCAAAGGTGAACACATGATACACTCCTGGCCAATCAGAGCATTCCATCCCCCTGGCCACAACGATTGGCTCAAAGATGGTCATGTGATCCTAGGCAATCAAATGACAATTACTTCTGGTCTTTCTGGAAAGAAACTATGTATTGGGAATCAATACAAAGCGAAGTCAAAATAGAAGATATATAAAGTGGCTGGACATGGTGGCTCACATCTATAATCCTAGCACTTTGAGAGGCCAAGCCGTGCGGATCAACTGAGGTCGGGCGTTGGCGACCAGCCTGGCCAACATGGCGAAACCCTGTCTCTACTAAAAATACAAAAATTAGCTGGACGTGGTGGCATGTGCCTGTAATCGCAGTTACACAGGAGGCAGAGGTTGCAGTGAGCCGAGATCGCACCACTGCACTCCAGCCTGGGCAACAGAGTTAAAACTGTCTCAAAAAAAAAAAAAAAAGAAGCTATATAAAGCGACATAAAGTTTCTTTTTTGTGTGTGTATTTTGTTTATTTATTTATTTTTAAATAATTTTAACTTTTATATTCAGGGACACGTGCAGGTTTGTCACGTGGGTATATTGCATGATACTGAGGTTTGGGGTACCATTGATCCCATCCCCAGGTACTGAGCATAGTACCCAATAGCTAGTTTTTCAATCCTTGCCCCTCTTCCTCCTTCCCCCACCTAATAGTCCCCAATGTCTATTGTTGCCATCTTTATGTCCATGTGTACCCAACATTTGGCTCCCACTTATATGTGAGAACATGAGATATTTGGCTTTCTGTTGCTGTGTTAATTTGCTTTGGATCGTGGCCTCCAGCTGCATCCATGTTGCTGCAAATGACATGATTTTGTTCTTTTTCATGGCTGTATAGTATCCTGTGGTGTATATGTACCACATTTTCTTTATCCAGTCCACCACTGATGGACACCTGGGTTGATTCCTTATCTTTGCTATTGTGAATAGTGCTGTGACGAGGGACGCTAAGTTTCTATGCCATTAATTAGGGCCCTGGATCCAGCCATCCCTGTTGTACTCAATTTCACAAGCAAACAAACATTCCTAACTTAATCTTAATCAAATTGTTCTTAATCCAATTTGAGTTGTTTTTCTATCACTTGCTCCTGAAAGAGACCTCACTAAATGTTAAACCTTACTGAAAATTACTGAAAATTCAGTGGACAGATACATTTACAGCACAGCAAATAATATAAATTCAATATTACATATTCTTGTTTCTAAAGCCCTTTGTTTTGTTAACTCAGGTTCTGCCCTCCCCCTGTGCTACTTGGCTCAATGCTGTCTATTCCAAATTCCTGTTTATTCCTTATATAGCTTAGTTCAATTACTCCCTCCTCAGCAGCACCCCTTTCGATAAGCATTTATGAATATATTTCCCTAAACAAAGAAAATTCCCTCCCTGCAGGGAATTCCCATACCAGCTATTGCTAAAGTTAAATTTTCACTTCTCTGCATATAAAATGAAGAGGCCTGGGCAAGACCTCCTCTATGACTCCATACAACTTCAAAACTCTGGAGTTCAAAATATAATAAAGCCATTAAAATTGTGACATAGGAGAATGTTTTCCAAAATGCAAGTCACAATCCATTAATGGGTCTTGAAATCAATTTACTGGGTCATAACCAGCATTTTTTTTTTTAATGAAAGAGAATAAAATAGAAAATAACAGAGTATATCATACATAATGGAAGTGAGAATTGGTTCGTGAAACTTTTATTTTGGTTATAAATATATATGCACTGTACATACACTGTACTGGATCATAGTTTCAAATGTATTTCTCACAGTGTGTACAACAATTTTGAAAGCCAATGGGGTAAATCAGCACTCACTGAGGGAAAGATGTCATTAAGTTAAAGAGTAATATACTTAATGTGATGCAAGCTTTGTTTAAAAAAAAAAAAACCAGAAAGGCTAAGCTATACATTAGATATAGAAATACCTGAAAAAATACGGAATTATATATAACAAAAAGCTAAATTATTATGCCTTCAGGAGGAGGGGAATTATGGTATTTTTCCTTTTCGTATGAATATTTTTGGGGTTATCTAATTTTTTTTTTTTTTTGTAAAGATGGCGGGGTTTTGCCATGTTGCCCAGGATGGTCTCAAACTTGTGAGCTCAGGATCCACTTGCCTCAGCCTCCCAAAGTGCTGGGATTACAGTCGTGAGCCACTGCACCTTGCCAATCTGATTTTTTTAAAGACATATTTTACTTCTACAGTCAAAAAACATTTAAAGCTTGTTTTCATTTTGAAAGATAAGTATTTAGTCACGTATTGTTTAATGACAGGAACGCATTCTGGGAAATGTGTCCTTACATAATTTAATCATTGTGTGAACATCATAGAGTATACTGACATAAGCCCAAACGCATAGGCCACTCCATACAGGATATATAGCCCAGCCCATTACTTCTGGGCTACAAACCTGCATACAGCATGTTATTGTACTGGATACTATAGGCAATTGGAGTACAATGGTAAGTATTTGTGTATCTACACATAGAAAATATGGTATAAAACATAAAAACGGTACACCTGCATAGGATACTTACCATGCATGGAACTTGCGGGACTAGAGTTGCTCTGGGTGAGTCAGTGAGTGGTGAGTGAATGTGAAGGACTAGGACACTCGTGTACGCTACTAAAACTTTATAAACACTGTGTGCTTATTTTTTCTTCAATAATAAATTAGGTTTAGCTTATCATAACTTTTTAACTTTATAAGCTATTAATTTTTTCACTCTTGTAATAACATTTAACTTAAATAACTTTCACCTCTGTACAACCTATTTCACTATACAAAAATATTTACTTTCTTTATATCCTTATTCTGTAAGCTTTTTTAAGCTTAAAAATTTTGATTTTTACTTTTTAAACCTTTTTTTTTTTTTTTTTTTGAGATGGAGTCTCGCTCTGTCGCTCAGGCTGGAGTGCAATGGCGTGATCTCGGCTCACTGCAACTTCTGCCTCCTGAGTTCAAGCTATTCTCCTGCCTCAGTCTCCCGAGTAGCTGAGATTACAGGTGTATGCCACCACGACCGGCTAATTTTTTTTATTTTTAGTAGAGACAGGGTTTCACCGTGTTAGCCAGGAAGGTCTTGATCTCCTGACCTCGTGATCCATCCGCCTTGGCCTCCCAAAGTGCTGGGATTGCAGGCGTGAGCCACTGCACCGGGCCTACTTTTTAAACCTTTTTCGTTAAAAACTAAGACACAAACACACACATTAGGCTAGGCCTACACGGGGTCAGGCTCCTCAACATCACTGTCTCCCACCTCCACATCCCATCCCATTAGGAGGTCTTCAGGGGCAATGACATGCAGGGAGCTGTCATCTCCTATGATGACAATGCCTTCTTCTGGATACCTCCTGAAAGACCTGCCTGAGGCTGTTTTACAGGTAACTTTTTTTTATAATAAAATATATTATAGTAAACATATAAACCAGTAACATAGTCATTTATTACCATTATCAAGTATTATGTACTGTACATAGTTGTATGTACTATACTTTTATATGAATGGCAATGATATTGTTTACACCGACATCACCACAAACGTGAGCAATGCCTTGTGCTGAAACATTTGATGACTATGACATCACTAGGTGATAGGAATTTTTCAGCTTCATTCTAATCTTAGAGACCACTGTGGAATATATGGTTTATTATGGATGAAACATCATTTGCAACGCATGACTACACTTCTAAAAACCATCTAAGAAGAGCATCTGAAAGAAATATACACAAATATTAACAGTGCCAATTTCTAGATGTTTTTATTTTTGTATTTTTCTCTTTTGTTAACTGTTTGTATTTTCTGCATTTCTCATGATAAACAAGTGTTATTGTAAAAGTAACAGGGGGAAAAGTGTGTTTTGTTTTGTTTTAATTCCAAGATTCTTCAGTAGGAGAAAGAGGTTTGCAAACAAATCTTGAAAATTCAGAAAACAGGCTGGGTGCAGTGGCTCACACCTGTAATCCCAATACTTTGCGAGGCGAAGGTGGGAGGATCATCTGAAGTCAGGAGTTCAAGACCAGCCTGGCCAACATGGCAAAACCCCGTCTCCACAAAAATACAAAAAATTAGCTGGGCATGATGGTGGGTGCCTGTAATCCCAGCTATTGGGGAGACTGAGGCAGGAGAATCACTTGAACCAGGAGGAGGAGGAGGTTGCAGTGAGCCGAGATCACACCATTGCACTCCCACCTGGGTGGCAGAGTGAGACTTCATCTCAAAAAAAAAGAAAGAAAAGAAAAAAAAAGGAAAATTCAGAAAACACAGTGAAGGGAAAGAAAGGCTGGGTGGAGCTGGGTGGAGGTGGGTGGGGAGGGTGGAGTAGGAGGATATGCAAATCCTTTGCATTGATTTTCCACATCAGTGAGTTCCTTTTCTCCTTTTAGCTACTATCTGGTGAAGGTATATGTGACAATGTACTATTATATATTCCAAATGTCATATTCCTCAACATCTGTTTGAAAGAGCATAATTTATTGAGAAAGAAGTGTCACTGAAGCTCAGAGAAAGACAGTTTCTACCCAAGTGCCCCAAGTCTGGCGACAGCTAGGCTGGAAATAGTGGTGTGCCTCTGAGACTGTCCTTGAGCAGAATCCAGACAGCGACAGAGGACGAACCAAAAGAGGGGGCAGAGAGAGGCACTCCAAGGAAGATATTGTCAGGAAATTGAAAAATGCACCACCCCATCCAGATTATCTCAACAATGATGCCTGAAACAAGGTTAAAGTGAAAGTGTTGCCACCCCAATAGTTCATCCAATTGTGAGTTCAAAATCGTAAGTTATAAAAATAAATTAGAAGGAAAAAATGGGAGGGAGAGAGAAAGAAGGGAGAGAGATAAAAAGAAACCAATAGTCGTAAACTAAATTCTTGCCTGTCACGTTTTCAGAAGAGCAGGAAGAAAAGTATCAAAGAAAAGAGA
The DNA here is from genome assembly GCF_000001405.40 of Homo sapiens. NCBI lineage: Eukaryota > Metazoa > Chordata > Mammalia > Primates > Hominidae > Homo > Homo sapiens. The sequence continues at coordinate 119,319,395 of NC_000012.12, forward strand.
TGCATTTGGGACAGAAACACACAAATGTGAACATTCCAACCTTGTCTTGGTGATCAATACAGCAGCCTCACCTAGAACACTCAGCCCTCTGGGGAAGAAACGGTTGTGCCCAAGCTTTGTGCCTGGACTAAGTCATTTGTTCTTACCTCTTCATCTCTGAGGATAACACGTCTCTCTTTGCTTCTGTGTGCAAAATGAATAGAACTGACATTTATTTTTGAGTATTTTTAAAATAATGCACACATGTGGGTTAGAAAAAAAAATCAAACAGTATGAAAGGCAACTAGTTTAAAGTAAGTTACATTCTATGCTAGACATTTTCCGCTTGCTCCCAAATCTACTTTCTACCTCTATGGCACCAACCAGGCTCACATGCCCCCTGGCTTCTATGTGGGTTGAGTCAATAGGAGGCACTGGCAGGAGATTAGAGGAAAGGATCAGGATGTGTCCTGGGCATTTATTTCTCTGGCATTCTTCCTGCAGGGTTGCCTCAGACCAGCTGAATCCTTCAACTAGAGATTACTGCTTCTCTCCAGGAGCCCTCACGTGATCTTTCTCCTGCATGGTGCTGGTAACCACTCCCTCTCCTTGTCCCATGAGGATTAGGAATGGCCACAGCTTCACTGATTCTATCCCTGGGTTACTTCATTGTCTCCTGTGTTCCACTGCACCCATACTTGTGTAAATGGCCCCTTTGTAAATGATCCCTCCTCATATCATCTTAATATAAGTCTGCCATTTGTGTCCTGATGGCGCCCTGACCGACAATACCCTCTCATTCCTCATCCTTCCTCAGTGCGACTGTTCCCCACTTTAAGGTAACCACTGGTACAATTTCTTGTGTATCCTTCTATCCTTCGAAATCTCTCTCTCTAATGCTAATGTATGATATACTTTATTTATATCTTTTTTTTTTTTTGAGACAGAGTTTCACTCTTTTGCCCAGGCTGGAGTGCAGTGGTGTGATCTCGGGTCACTGCAACCTATGCCCCCTGAGTTCCAGCCATTCTCCTACCTCAGCCTCCCAAGTAGCTGGGATTATAGGTGCCCGCCACCATGCCTGGCTAATTTTTGTATTTTTAATGGAGACAGGATTTCACCATGTTGGCCAGGCTCGTCTCAAACTCCTGACCTCAGGTGATCCACAAGCCTTGACCTCCTAAAGTGCTGGGATTACAGGCATGAGCCACCGCACCTGGCCTATTTATATCCTCTTTTAAGAAAAACTTAATATATCTTGCAGATTGTGCTGAATACTTTTTGCATACCTATTTGCACAACTTCTGCCCAATCCGCTCCCACTTTTCTTCACCTTGCTCTGTGTTTCTGGAGGCTGACCTGTATGGACTTTGTCACTGGAATCCCTTGCCCTGTGGCATCTAGTTGGGCTTTGATGATTGGAGGCCCATTGGCAAGGGAAGGAACTCACAATAGACAAGAAGTCAGGAGAAAAGTGAGCCTGGGTTGTGGATTTCTTCTCCCTCCCTGCCCGGTGGTCATGGATGGCTGCTTTCCTCTTCAGAAGTCTCCTGCTTCTGTTGGCAGCTTATTCTACAGCTTCTCATTCTGCTAACTCTTCCTTTCCTTTGTCCCTTCAGGTCTAGGGGTGGTAACAGCTTCCCACTGTTGCCAGCCTTGAAATACTGCCCAATCTGTTCATTCTGCCTACACCTTTGTAAGTAACCCATCACTTAAACTCTCTTCAATTATTTCTTTATGACTACATCATGTCTCCTTCTGGTGCCCTGATTGACATCTAGATCATCTCACAACCATACACAGAGCATGACTTCATGATAATTTTAACAACTGAGTGGTATTCTGTTGTAGGACTATAACATAATTTATTTAACCAGTTCTCTATTAATGGATATTTCAAGTTGGAAGGAGTACTTTTTCACAACCTACTAAGTGCCAGGCGTATTTTTACATAAAATAGCTCATTTGGCCCTCACATCCAGGCTGTGGGATAGGTAATACCATTATATCCATTTATGAGAAGAGGGAACTGAGGTTCAGCAAGGCAATGAAAAGGCTCAAGATTATATATGTAGTAAATGTAGATGCAGGATTTAAACCGAGCATTTGATTCAAGCAGACCGGAATCCAAAGCCCATGGGATACTGGATCCTGGTATAAATCTTAAGATTTGCCCTCAATAACAAATGTTGCCATTTTTTTTATTTTTATAGCTTTAATGTATTTTAAAATAAACTTAATTATTAAAGGGTCACATACATATGTACAGAAAAGTACACAAATCAGAATCTACAACATTTAATGTTCACAAAATGAACACGCTCATAGAATCACCACCCCAAGCAAGAGACAGAACATTATCAGCAGCACAGACACTCCCAGGGTCCCCCTCTCAGTTACCATCACCCCCTTTCCCAAAGGTCATATCTATTCTCTTTTCTTCTTGGTTTAATATAATGTTACATCTATCTACTGAGTACTTAACTTTAGTTAGTACACTATATAATTATAGACTTTCTGGCCTGGATGGAGTAATAGAGATTGAATGTACCCTTCTACCCAAAATACTAAAAAAATCAAACAATATTTATATTAAATAAGAGTTTTTAGCCAGGCTTGGTGGCTCATGCTTGTAATCCCAGCACTTTGGGAGGCTGTGGCAGGTGGATCACCTGAGGTCAAGAGTTTGAGACCAGTCTGATCAACATGGTGAAACCCCATCTCTACTGAAAATACAAAAATTAGCTGGGTGTGGTGGCAGACACCTGTAATCCCAGCTACCCAGGAGGCTGAGGCAGGAGAATCGCTTGGACCTGGGAGGCAGAGGTTGCAGTGAGCCAAGATTGCACCACTGAACTTAAGCCTGGGCAATAAGTTGAGACTCTGTCTCAAAAAAAAAAAAAAAAAAAAGTTTTTAGAGCATTGGACATCAGCCAGTGAAGGACAGTAATCTCTGAGAGACAGAAAAAAAACAAGTGCAGCGAGCCCTGCAGTTTCTCTGGTTTACAGGCTGGAGGGTTTCCAGACTGCAGCGCAGGAAGAGAGAACAACAGTCTCTGGGCTGAGGAGATGAAGCTGGCAGTTCAGGGAGGCCAAGACCTCTAGAAGTCGCAGGAAAAAGTACTAAAGAGGATAGGGTTGCACAGCAAAAGGCAATCCTCAGAAGGTTCCTCTTGAGTCTCCAGCTAAGTACTGACCAGCGCATGCGTGTGAGCAAATTAACGGCGGCCACAGAAGAGCCATCCAAAGAGATTACAGAAAGCAATATCCAGATCTCATGTAGGGCCAGGAGGAGTGTCTGTTCCAGCTCTCCAGACTGGAAAAGCTCACAACTTAAGAGGCATCATAAAGGCTTGTCTCAATAACGGGGCAAGATGAGTCCTAAATTAAATCTGCCTGAAAGGGCTTAAAAACAAGACTTGAAAGGATCAAACTTAACTATGTCCCAGAATAAAGCTCATAAGCATACAAAAATATCCAGCACCTAACAAGGTAAAAGTTTCAATGTCTGGCATATGATAAAAAATTACCAGGCATACAAAAAAATTAGGAAAATATAATCCATAATAATATAAAAGTCAAACAATGAAAACTGACTCTGAAATGACAGCTGTTAATAGACGAGTACATTAAAACTATTAAGTAGCTAGAAGAAAGATTGAACATGTTAAGTAGAGTCATGCAAGTTAAAAAGAAGACTCAAATTGCACCTCTAGAGAGAAAACTACAGCATCTGAGATAAAAATACACTGAATGGGATTGATAAATATTAAACAGGGAAAGATTAATGAACTTGATGACATAGAAATATCTATTTTCTTGAATATGTTAGTCCCAGTTATTTTAAAGTCTGTGTCTGATAACTCTAATACCTGGATCTTTGGGGGTTTGTTTCTATTGTTTCTTATTGCTCTTGATTTTCTGTTATCTGGGCATATCTCCTAGCATACTGGTAATTTTTTACTGACTGCCAGACAATGTGCATGAAAAAATGTATATATTTATTTTGAAGATCTGAATAGTATTATCACCTTCCATAAAGGAATAATTTTGATTTCTGACAGTCAATTATGGAAGAGAGGATCACCTTAATTTAGTCAGGGATTGAGTTGAATTAAAGTTGAGTTTTAGTCTTTGCAAAGGCTGGTCTATTCCCTGTTCACCTTCATTCTTAGAGTAGAGCCCATCGGTGGATTCCAACTGGAAGGAAAGAAGGAAGGGAGGGAAGGAGGAAGGGAGGCACTTCCGGAGGACAAAGGACTCGGAAACTAATAATGATAGCTACAATTTATTTGTACCTATTTTATGTTATGTTTTATACCTAATACATGTATTAACATATTTTATACGTAATCTATGTTTTAATATATGTTTTATATCTAATATATGTAGATGATAGAGACAGGTATACAGACAGATAGATAGATAATTATGTCATTTAACCCCCCAGTGGCCCTACAAGTTTGGTGGAAATTTTAATTTTTAGTCTTCATAATGGAGAGATTGAAGCTTGTATAAGTTAAGAAATTTACCCAAGGTAACAGGGACAACGTATGTGATGAAAAAGCAGAATTTGAACTCAATTCTGTTTGGCTTAAATCCCAGGCTTTTCCTCCCCACACCCATAGTGCCTTTCAGCCTAATGCACGCACACCCTCAAGTCTAGCTCTCTTGATTCTACAGTCAAAGTGGCCTACCTCTTATGTGAGAGTCTATTTTAAAATCCCAAATAGGATTTTCCGAGTCTGGGGCAGGAAACTGGGTAGAAAAGAGTTAAGCTAGTCAACTCTTTCCAATGCAGATGACAAAAATTTCAACTCAAATCAATTGAAGGAGGACAGTAAAACCAACCACAGCTGCAACAATAACAAAATGGCGTTCATGGACTCACATAAATAGAATTTGAGGATAGCACTAGCCTCAAGGCCACCTGGATTCAGGCACACAAACACATTTCATTAGAATTCAGTCTCTCTCTTCAATCTGCTTTCTCTCTAACAGAAAGGCTTCTCTTTGTGGCACACACACAGAATGCCCTCAGGCAGAGTATATCTTTCTAGTTCCATGACCTGAAAGGAAGTCCCCTTTCCTCGAATGTCTGACAAAAAAATACTCTGGAAGACAATTCTGATAGACCCAATTTGGGTGACATTCTTACTCCTGATCCAGTCACTGTAGTCAGGAGGAAATAGGGTTTTCTAGTTTATGGGCTTAGGTAGAACCTCACAAGAATCCCAGGATAGGAGTAGAATGGGATCAGTTCCCCAGTGGAAGTGTAGATTCTGAAGAGCAAAAGTGGTCAATGACAACTACATGAGGTCTTGCCTATGTGCTGGCACTAGGCACCCACAATGTCCACAGGTGTAGACATTGAGCTAAAGTCTAGCTCAAGGCTCCAAAACCAACAAAATATCACCATACCTTCAAGATACTGCCCAGTTGTAGAGTCAGGATAAAAACACACCATTTCCTGTCCAGTAATAAGAAGCCAGTTGAACAAGCTGTCGGACAGTCATAAACTGGAACTCCATTCTAGCAAGCATCCATTTAAGAGCCAAATGTAAAATACATCTATAGAAATGGAAGGTGTTTTTATCTTATTATGTGAAAAAGCAGGTTACAAACAGCATGTTTGACAAAGGTGCTTACCCCTAACTGTGTGTTAGACTCCCCCAGGAACTTTATTTTTATGTCATTGAAAATCCAGTGATGCCTAATATCTAATTTTAAGTTACTGACTCTGCAGAGCTGTGCTGCAGTTTTCCTCTGTTATCCCAAACCTCCACTAAAGTCCTACTGTACACCGCCTTTGGAAAATAGCATTTTGAGGGCATAAATAAATTGGGGTGGACAGGGAAATGAAGCTGCAGCCAAGAGGGGTGGTGTATTAGTTTCTTGGAGCTGTTGCAACAAATTGGCACAAACGATGTGGATTAAAACAACAGTATTTCTTGTCTCGGTTCTGAAACTAGAAATCCAAAATCAAGACATCAGCAGGGCCATACTCTCTCTCTCTCTGAAGGCTCTAGGGAAGGATTCCTTTGCCTCTTCCTTGCTTTTGGTATTTCTTGGCAATCTTTGGTGGGGTTTTGTTACTGTTTTTTGTTCGTTTGTTTATTATTTATTTTTATTTTTTGAGACAGAATCTAGCTCTGTCACCCAGGTTGGAGTGCAGTGGCGCACTCTCAGCTCACTGCAATCTCTGCCTCCCAGTTTCAGACGATTACTCACACCTCACTCTACTGAGTAGCTGGGACTACAGGCACACACCACCACGCCCAGCTAATTTTTGTATTTTTAGTAGAGATGGGGTTTCACCATGTTGGTCAAGCTGGTCTCAAACTCCTGACCTCAAGTGATCTGCTCACCTTGGCCTCCCAAAGTTCTGGAATTACAGGTGTGAGCCACTGTGCCCAGCCTGTTACTGTTTTTTGTTAGTGTTGTTTTATTTGTTTGTTTGTTGGCTTGTAGATGTATCACTCCAATCTCTGCCTCCATCATCACTTGGCATTCTCCTTGTCATTCTCCTTGTGTGTCTTCTGTCTCTATATCTAAATTTCCCTTTCCTTATAAAGACATAAGTCATTGGGCTGGGGGCCATCTTAATCCAGGATAACGTCATCTTAACTGGATCATCTGCCAAAATCCTATTTCCAAATAAGGTCACATGCACAGATCCTGGGGCTGAAGACTCAAACATGTCTTTTTCAGGGTGATATCATTCTACCTATGCAGTTAGGAAACTGGCTGGAGGGTATACTGAACAAGAAATTGTGAGCTACTTGGAAATTCATGGGAATACTTGGAGGGAGGTGCCTTCCTACCTGGGACTGGGGCTTGAGGTGTCTTATTTGGATGTTGAAGTCAAGACTTCCTCCAGAAAGCTGTAGAAGACCATCTTCCAGACAGCTTGGAAATCCCAATTGTCTTTGTTTCTTGGTTACTTGCAGAAGTAACCTCAGGTTGTTCTGCTGAACAAGACACACACACACACACAAATACACACTTACCTTTAAGTAAAAGAACATTAAGACAGTGTGACAGAGTGCTGAAATAAATCACTAAGTTTGGAATTGAAAAAACAGGTTCTTGGACAACCTCCACCACTAACAAATTACTACATGCCAGAGCTTGCTTCAATGTCTACATTTGTGAAATGGGATTAATAGTTTCATAAATCCAATCTGGCCTACCTCCCAGGACACTGTGGCATGAAACATATACAAATGGAAAACATCACTCATGGAGGTAGCTTGGATCCCATCCTAGGACTCCAGTAGGACTCCATATTCACTAAGAATAGTCCTGGGGCTACACTTCTTCCTCTGCTACTAGGCCAGGTGATATGGTTTGGATCTGTGTCCCCACCCACATCTCATGTCGAATTAGAATCCCCACTGTTGGAGGTAGGGCCTGGTGGGAGGTGATTGGATCATGGGGGAGGTTTTTCATGGTTTAACACCATCCCTTCTTGGTGTTGTCATCGCATCGCAATAGTGAGTTCTCATGAGACCTGGTTGTTTAAAGTTGTGTGGCATCACCCCCCACCTTGGTCCTGCTCCCACCATGTAAGACACCCACTCCCACTTTGCCTTCCACCATGAGTAAAAGCTTCCTGAGGCCTCCCCAGAAGCAAATGCTGCCAAGCTTCCCGTACAGCCTGCAGAACTGTGAGGCAATTAAACAAACTTCTTCTTATTTTTAATATAAGTTACCCAGTCTCAGGTATTTATTTATAGCAGTGTGAAAACTGACTAATACACCGGACATACCAAAGTTAAAAAGAAAGGAGAGTAGAAGCAGGTTAACATTACATTTTCTTCTCTTCAGTCTCAAAGATCCAAATTCACCTCTCGCCTGGGGCTGTGGTTTGGAGGATAGAGTAGGAATGGGATGTGGGGCCAGAGACCCCACAAGGGCCCTGTAGCATGCGGTAATTCTTTAATCTAACAAAGGACAGGAATCCACAAGGTGGTACAAATACACATTATCCAGTGGTATTTCAACCTGGAAACAATTCTTCAATAGATTGCCAGCTACCAGGTGTCAAGGGAGCCCCAAGTTGTACTCTTGCCCTGGGCCCCATAATTTGTAAATCCAGTGCTGACATTTCAGTAAAAATACCCAGAAGGAGTTTTCTGGGTGCTAGATGCAACACACAAAAAAAGCATATTAAAGATATTCCAAAAATGATGACTTTTTCAATAGGTTTTTAATGCCAAACATATGTATTACTGACTGAAATTCAAGTGTTTACCAGATTTCAAGCTTTCTCTTCAGCTGCCCCAGCTGGCGTCTGACACATTCCAAAATTTTTCTTCTGCTTGATATGTCTATTTTTAATCCCTTCAGATACTTTTCTTTTTGGCAAATCGGGAGGAGAGAATGCCTGTCGCTTCACGTCCTTCAGTTAATATTTTGCATAAATCAGTCAGGAATTAAGCATTAAACAATCACTTCATATCTCGGTTGTCAAATATTTCACCGTTGGGGGATGTATTTACGTATCTGAAAACATGTTGGCCTCTCCGTGTTTAAGGGAGGTGGAGAATATCAAGAAACTCTTTATGATAAACTTGAGAGCAATGGTAAGAAGGAGATTATGGGACGAGGTGATCAAAGGAGATAGGAACCCCATGTAATGAGATGAGGGAGAGGAAAAAATTCAGGTGTCCTGACAACGCGCTATGACTCAGTGTCAGAGCCTGATTCGAGTCTGACCTCCCCAGATTATTTCAGTCAACACTAACCTAAGTTGGTTCCCCAGGAGCAGACCCAGGGAAATAGCTTGGATATAAGTAGTTTATTGGGAGGCTATCCAGGAAGTACCAGAAGGGGAGTGGGAAAATGAGACAGGAAAAGGAAAAAAGCCAGTGTGGGTTGTTTGGGTGGAGCAGGCAGTGACCGTAGGCAGTGGTGTTTCCTATAAGTCAGTCCTGCAGGGTACCACTGGGGGCAGTGTAGACCATACTCCAGACTTGTCCTACCCAAGGGTTGAGGAGGCAGAGTATTTATCCACTAATTCCCATTAGTCGTTGCTTTATGGCTATCCCCATGGGTGTTAACTTCTTGCACTTCTAGCCTGCTCTGCTTAAAGGCAGAATGGACCGGGTGCTGTGGCTCATGCCTGTAATCCCAGCACTTTGGGAGGCCAAGGCAGGTGGATCACAAGGTCAGGAGATCGAGACCATCCTGGCTAACACGGTGAAACCCCTTCTCTACTAAAAATACAAAAAATTAGCCGGGCATGGTGGCATGTGCCTGAAATCCCAGCTACTTGGGAGGCTGAGGCAGGAGAATCACTTGAACCTGGGAGGTGGAGGTTGCAGTGAGCCAAGATGGTGCCACTGCACTCCAGCTTGGTTGACACAGCAAGACTCCATCTAAAAAAAAAAAAAAAAAAAAAGGCAGAATGCATTCCTATAGCCCTGTGGTTCCCAAACGGTGTACCAAAGTGCCCCAGAGTGCCACAGCAAATTCACAGAAGAGGCTACATGTATTTTTAATTTTTAAGGGAAACACGGCAACATCTATTGAATGCCATATGAACTACTAGTGACACATAGTTCAATTTTGAAGGCTACACTGTGCCCCTCTAAGATTTACGTGTTGAAGTTCTAACCCCTAATACCTCAGAAGGTGGCCTTATTTGGAGACAGGGTCTTTACAGATGTCTTGACATTAAAACGAGGTCATGAGGTGGGCCCTCATCTGGGCTCTGCAGGGTGAGAGGTCCAGGTTCCCAAAGTGGGTACACTCTTGCCAGGGCACACAGCATGGATTGTATTAACTCTTAGCTACAGCTGCCACCAGACACTTTGAACTCCTTGTGTCCAGGAACCAGCAGGTGAGAAGAGGAGTCACAATTTTGGCAAGGACAATTGACCCTGATCAGCAGTTACACAGATAGGAGCAGGAAGGAACACATATGGAACCTGAGTGATCCACTTGGGTGCTTCCTAGTAAGTACTCTCTTGATCAGGACTGGGGTCCTTAGAAGAAGGGGAGATCTGGACACAGAAGGGTGCGGAGGAAAGACCATGTGAAGACGCAGGGAGAGGGCTGCCGTCTGCAAGCCAAGGAGAGAGGCCTGAGAAGGAACCAAGCCTGCTGATACCTTGATCCCAAACTTCTGCCACAAAACTGTGAGAAAATAAATGTCCATTGTTTAAGCCTCCCAGTCTGCAGTGCTTTGTTACTGCAGCCTGAGCTGACTAGTGCACTCAGTTTCAACAGTAGATTCCACGACATTCCTTTCATGAAATATCTTTGAAAAAGCTGGATTTGGGGCAGTTGCTGTGATAAAAAGTGAGAACTGCACAAAAATTAACGTCCTACAGAAAATGAAGGTGATGGTATCCAAACTGATTCCAAGGTTCGAGAAGCTGCACTGTGGCCACCAGAGGCACATGACCCACTGGTAAGCAATGGCAGCTATTTAAGAAGCAAATACTGTGCTCACTTCAGCAGCACATATACTAAAAGTGGAAGAATCAAATACAAATACTATTTTCTTTCCATTTATATGTGTTAGTTTTCACGTGATTAGGATGTAAATACTAAGTTGTGCAGGCCTAAGGACTTCATAAATGGGATTCTCAACATGTTTCTTTTAGCTTGGAGGTGGCATGAAAAAAATTACTGGGAAGTAAAGGGTACCAAGAGCCACAAACGGTTGGGAACTTCTGCTGTAGCCAGAGAGGAATGTCTCAGGCAAAATGGCAGCAAGGAGCTGTCCTTAGGAACTATTAATGTCAAGGGACAATGGGCCGGGTTCTGACAATGTCTGCCACCATCACTGCCCCTCTATGCCCATGGAAACTCTAGGAACTAGAAACCACCTTCACAGTGGTCATGGGATCCAGCAGTATCACATATCACCCCACCCAGAAGCAGCTGGTGTCACAGAGTTCTAGATCAGTCTATTGAAGCAAGAATGGGCTATCCTATAGTTTGAAGCACATGCATCAAATCAGACTTCTATACAACTTTGTGTTCCCAATGGGAACGAAGATCTGGGAACCCCAGAGATTCAGGAGCCAATAAGTGGAACCAGGAGTGGTTCCCACTGCCCTCATGCCCAATGAGGCACTGAGGGAGTGCGTTCTTTCCATTTCTGCAACTCTGGGCTATGTAGGGTGAGAGGTCCAGGTTCCCAAAGTGGGTACACTCTTGCCAGGGGACACAGCACGGATTGTATTAACTCTTAGCTATAGCTGCCACCAGACACTTTGTGCCCAGGAACCAGCAGGTGAGAAGAGGAGTCACAATTTTAGCAAGGACAATTGACCCTGATCAGTGATTATACAGATAGGGGCAGGAAGGAACATATATGGAAACTGAGTGATCCACTTGGGTGCCTCCTAATAAGTACTCTCTTGATCAGTTTTAACTAGGAATGGATACATGCAGCAACCCTGAGACAGTGAGGAGAGCAGATTTACTTAAAGGCTCAGAATTCTCAGGAATAAAGATTTTGGTCACTCCACTACCTAAGCCTAGACCTAGAGAGGGAAGAGCTAAGCGTGAGGGGGAATTTAGAATGTATAGTGAAGAAGGAAAAGAACAAACACCAATTTCAGCCCCCAATGCCAGTTGCAATGATGGAGGCTATAGTTGGTCCCACTAATTTCCCTTTTCTAAGTTTTCTGTCAGGAAAGGATATCCACAGGAGCCAGGAGGGAGGGACTGTTCCTTGGGCATGCATTCTAAAGTGAATCTGTGCAGCTTAAGAGATGACCTGGTAGGGCCATGGAGGTCTGCAGCTGAGATGATGCCTCACCAAGAGAAAACTGCAGGGAGCATAGTTGACTGACAGATGCTGCATTTTGAATCTACTGTGTACATCCTACACCCAGCTGTTCCTAGATAATCACTGAGCAGAATAGGGGTCCTAGAACCAGGACTTTCCTGTGCAATGGGAGATTCATCCATTGGGCAACTTTGGCTCAGGGTCTCCCTGTCAGCCTGGCTGAGACTTTCTCAGAGCTGTGTCTCAGTGCATGGCTTTTCCTACCCAATCCTTTCTTCCTTCTCCTTTTCAACAGACTCTCCTTATATACTCCTTCTTCCTTCCCCTTTATCCTTCACAACCATTTTCCTCTATAAATCCCTAGCACATGTAATCTTATTCTGGCATCTTCTTGGAGGATCCCAATTAACACCTTATATACTGTTTCGGTGTGTGTGTGTGTGTGTGTGTGTGTGTGTGTGTGTGTGTGTGAGAGAGAGAGAGAGAGAGATTCTTCTCCACCCAGCTAGAGCTAGATTGGGAGATGCCATAAGACCAAAGAGCTTTTCTTACTAACTCTAGTTGGCCCCCCAAAGCACTAAATCGTTCTAGAAAATACTTCTGTTCATACGATTAAAAAAAACAACAGCTAGCATTTATTGAGCATGTATTATGTGCCAACTGTACTAAATATTTTATGTACATGATACCATTTTCACGAATGTACTATTATCTTCACTCTGTAATGAGAAAACCAAAGCTTTGAGCAGATAAGTTACTTAGTTAAAGTCACACAGCTGGTAAATGGCTGAGTTGGGATTTAGACACCAGCTCAACTAGTACTCCATATAGTCTCTCAATATCGGTTTGGAAAGAGCCTTAAATATCATGTAGTCTGACACCCCCAAGTGATCAAAAATCCAAGAAGCCATATGGCATTTAGTTGAACACCTCTAGTGCTGGGTAGTTTGTTCCCTCTCTAAAGAATATACCCCTTCCTAGACAGAGAAGGGAAATTCGTTATTTTGCTTCATCATCCTGGTAGCAGGTATAAAATTGGCATAACCATTCACTACACATGAGTTTTATACACGTGAAAAATTGAGGCTTGGAGAAGTGAACTTGACCCAGGTCTTATTGGTAACAAATGGCAGAGCCAGGAATTGAACGCATGTCTTTTCAGTTCTAGAGCCCTTCCTATTTCCAGTTCTTACATGGCTCTGACAGGTGAGTATTATAAAAACAACAAAGGAAATAAGGGCTAATATTTATTGAGCACTTCCTCCGTGCTAGGCATTGTGCTTTGCATGAGTTATCCCATTTGGTTTTCATCACAGTCCTATGAGAATTATCATTGAAGCTGCTCAGTGGCTAATTCAGTTGGATTCCAGAGGTCACACCTTTTAAAATTATGTTCTGCTGTGTACACATTTCTTCCTATTGAGCCCAAACCTCCTCCTATTCTTTGAGCTAATACAGAACTAGTTGAGTTCCTCTTTGCCAAGCCTGTTCTACAAAATCATATGAAGACAGCTTTTGTCTGTTCTGCTCAGGGCTGAACATTTCCCATCCTGCCTTGTTTTCTCATCCCCTCATCCCCTCATCCCCAGCCCTATCTCCCAAACATGATTCCCTTTATCTGCTTCATTCTGAAAGTGTCTGCCGATTGCTTAATGCTGCCCACAAAAGAAGCCGGAGAACCAAAACTTCCTGTGAAAGGGAAGGTCAGGGTCAGTCTTTAGGCAATGGTGAGAAAATAATGACTTTCAGGCACCAGCATCTAGAGTTACTTGGCTAGGTATTTTGCATTCTGTAGAGTGTCATCTTGCAGTAGATGCCTTCTAAAGAGAAGATGAGCTGGGCGCCATGGCTCACACCTGTAATCCCAGCAGATAACTTGAGTTCAGGAGTTTGAGACCAGCCTGGCCAACATGGTGAAACCCCGTCTCTACTAAAAATACAAAAATTAGCCTGGCCTGCCTGGTGGCATGCCCCTGTAATCCCAGCTACTCAGAAGGCTGATGCAGGAGAATCGCTTGAACCCGGGAGGCGGAGGTTGCAGTGAGCCGAGATCACGCCACTGCACTCCAGCCTGGGCAACACAGCAAGACTCTGCCTCAAAAAAAAAGAAAAAGAAAAAGAAAGAAAGAAAGAGAGAAGATGCAGCCATAATGATATCATAATCCCCAGCAGCTCAAGGTTGTTGGATAAAACAGGAATCAGATCGATCCAGTGTGAAACAATGCCAAGGATAAGGCATTCAAATCCAAACATACGAAATAAATCTGCTGCAGGCTGGGAACCTACCCCGTAGGGTTATTGGAAGGATTAAATGAATTAATGTATGCGAAGTGCTTAGTACAGTACCTAGCACAGAGCAAGTGATCAATAAATATCAGTTAGTACTAACATCTGCTGTGAAATGAACCCAGCACAGTGAGAATGCCTGATTCTTCCTCGGGAAGTGATGTCAGGGAATAATAATAGTACCACTTAGCTAGGACTCCCCATGGGCTCAGCCTTCATATGCATCATCCACTTCAATTCTTAACAACCTGTGGCAAAGATAGTATCCCCATTTTAAAGACATAGAAGCCAAACTCAGCAAAGTTAGGCATCTAAGTGGTTAAAAGCTTGCTCTTTAGACTCAAACAGTTCTGGCTTTGAATTTCAGCTGCAGCACATGCGTGACTTTAAACTTGTCATTTAATGTCTCTGTGCTTCAGTTGCTTAGGCTGTACAATGGGGTAATAAAACACCTTCTTTAAAGAGGTGCTGTATGGATTGAGTCAGTATGTGACACTTAGAACAGTGTCTAGCACATCCTAAGCACTCAATAAATGTCATATGCATACATGCCCACACACACAAATACGTATATACACACATATATACATGTCTACATATGTATATTCATATATGTGTATATGTATGTGTGTGCATATATCTATATCTATATACAGCTGTCCCTTTTCTTTGCTCCCACAATACCCTATGATACTTTCCCAGCACATCATAAATCATCCTGCCTTATAACAATGTTTCTTATCTTTTGCTCCCCATCCCAAACATACACACTATAGATCGTGAAGTCCTGAAGGTCTCATTTTTTTTAATTTCATTTTTACTTTATTATATTTTATTTTAGCAGAGTCAATAAATCTTTGCTAAATAAATGGAATAACAATATTTCATTTTATGAAATGAAGGGCTTTGAAGGATGAGCAGGAGTTTGTCAGGTGGAAAAACGGGAGAAATAGGCATCTCAGGTTAAGAATTGCAGGACTACAGGCCACCCACCCCAAGGCACAAAAAATTACTAGTGGGTTAGCAGCAGTACAGAGCAGAGTTTGAAAAGAAGGATTCGCTTGTAGTCAGGCAGAGAGAAAGGGTATGGTCCTCAGGCCTAAAAACAGAAACCAATTTGTTTAGAGAATGCAGCTCCGGTGGCAGCCGGCTGCTCTGAGCCGGCGTCCCAGCAACCTGGGAGAGTTCACGACCCCCATGACCCCGCCCCCACGAATTCCAGCCAATGAGGAAGCCCTCCTCGGCGTCCCGTTGCCAAGCAACTGGGTTCCCCCCACCCCCACCCGGCCCAAGGGTTAGCAGTTGCCTACTTTCCCCGCAGTGCGATAAACCCCTCGTTGGGGCCGCCTTAGTTCTCGGCCGCTCTCGGAGGATGGCGATCTGGGAGCCCCTCCATGGGACCCCTCTCACACTTTGTCACTGGAATTTTATTTATTTTTTAGTTCATATTTTATTTTGCTTATAGAAGAGAAAGATATCCCTTCCGAAGAGGAGGAAGCTTACAGAAGTTTATAACCTTTCAAAAAGTAAATAAGTCCAGGCTTGCCTGATTCTGCCCTACCCGGACTTCCTTATCCCGTCTGTGGGAGACCCAGGTGCTTTCTCATTACTCTTCAGAAGGAAACCGCTTTGGAGTTCGTGTAATTGGGACTTGGGGATCAGGGAGAAGTTGCCGAAACTTCTCATACCAGTAACTACTGAAGTAGAAGATTCTGGAAAAATCCTTGTCTTGGGGGCACAGGCTAAAACCTGAAGGATTTTTAAGATGACCAAGGTTCCAGCCACCAAGAAGCTTCAGAGTTCCCCCAACTCGGGGGCTGTCCGGCCCTTTTATGCCTCGGAGAACCTAAGGCAGGTAAGTCTCCCCTCTGCTGAAACCAATCATGTTTTCGAGAACAAGTGAAATAGGAATTAGCTGGGTCAAATGGTATTTCTAGTTCTAGATCCCTGAGGAATCGCCACACTGACTTCCACAATGGTTGAACTAGTTTACAGTCCCACCAACAGTGTAAAAGTGTTCCTATTTCTCCACATCCTCTCCAGCACCTGTTGTTTCCTGACTTTTTAATGATTGCCATTCTAACTGGTGTGAGATGGTATCTCATTGTGGTTTTGATTTGCATTTCTCTGATGGCCAGTGATGATGAGCATTTTTTCATGTGTTTTTTGGCTGCATAAATGTCTTCTTTTGAGAAGTGTCTGTTCATGTCCTTTGCCCACTTTTTGATGGGGTTGTTTGTTTTTTTCTTGTAAATTTGTTTAAGTTCATTGTAGATTCTGGATATTAGCTTTTTGTCAGATAAGTATGTTGCGAAAATTTTCTCCCATTTTGTAGGTTGCCTGTTCACTCTGATGGTACTTTCTTTTGCTGTACAGAAGCTCTTTAGTTTAATTAGATCCCTTTTGTCAATTTTGTCTTTTGTTGCCATTGCTTTTGGTGTTTTAGACGTGAAGTCCTTGCCCATGCCTATGTCCTGAATGGTATTGCCTAGGTTTTCTTCTAGGGTTTTTATGGTTTTCATGTCCTTTGTAGGGACATGGATGAAATTGGAAATCATCATTCTCAGTAAACTATCGCAAGAACAAAAAACCAAACACCGCATATTCTCACTCATAGGTGGGAATTGAACAATGAGATCACATGGACACAGGAAGGGGAACATCACACTCTGGGGACTGTTGTGGGGTGGGGGGAGGGGGGAGGGATAGCTTTGGGAGATATACCTGATGCTAGATGACGAGTTAGTGGGTGCAGCACACCAGCATGGCACATGTATACATATGTAACTAACCTGCACAATGTGCACATGTACCCTAAAACTTAAAGTATAATAATACAAAAAAAGGAATTAGCCTCGAAACCAACAAGGGAGAGGGAGAGAGAGGAGAGTCATGGTGTGATTAAATTGTCGAGACACATTCCCGTTGCTATCAATGGCTGGTTTCTCTTAAAGAGTGAAAACGCGAACCAGATCAGTGAGCTGGGCCATCCTATTAGCCAGTAATTCCAAAATGATGGAATAAATCAGCAATGACACTGTAGAACATCAGAAAAAAATTAAGATGAATTGTAGGTTTGCCGTCTGCAGGACTTACTCTCAGAGATCTGCTGGTCTCCAGAAACAGGCATATCCCCTCTCTCTATGGAGAGGCTGCAGAGGGTCAACTTTTGGTGTTCAAAGGCTAGGTTTGCCACGCACCAGCTGTGTGACTTTAGACAGGTGAATTGCTTAGCCTCTCTGAGGCTTTATTTCCTTGTGTCTATGAATTTAGAACAGGAACATCAACTAGGCAGAAGCAGTGTGAGGACTAAATCGAATAAGCTATGAAAATTGTCCACTGTGATGTTAACGCTGGATAATGTGTTTATGGGACATGAAACAGTGTTGTTGATTTGAAAAACAAAGAAAAATCGATACGTACTGAATGACTGGAGTTAATGGTTCCTGTTTTTTAAATGATCATAACTGGACGAGCACAACTGTAAGTGTGCATTTGTTATTGTATCCTCAAACCCCACTTTGCATGGACTGGCCAAGGTCAGCAATGCTGGTCCACTCTAGTGCATCCACAAGGCACAGTTGTGGCTCACAGTCATGCCCCAGGAAGGAGGGCCTGGCAGGTGGTCAGTCTGTGAAGGAGAGCTTAAAACTCACAAGGGCTCTCCATGTGGTCCAAAATGTTCCCAAGCTGCTCTTCTCTAAGGCTTAACCCATCTCTGTGCACTCCTCATTACTCAGCCCTCTTAGCAAGACCACTCTGCAAGATACAGCCTTTTTCCATCTCCTTTCATCTCAAAATACCACACAGAAGGATGTTCAATCCAGAGCAGCCCGCTCTGGGACTGAACTTCCCAGCATAGCGGTGGGAGAATGAATGAGGGAAAGAATGAAGAGGGAAATGAACACTTCAATAGCGAGGGTGAACATCAGAGCGGGAGCAGCAGACAGAATCACCCTGGGTTTGGATCTGCCTCTTCGCAGCCCTGTGGTCTTGGGCAAGCTGCAGAGCTGCTCCGCTTCAGTGCTGCCATCTGCAAAACGGGAATGTCATAGAGCTTCCTCATGGGATTGCTGTGAGCATTAAATGAGTTAACGTACGCCAAAAGCTACGAGCACAGTTCCTGACATATAGTAAGCACACTTTAGGTTTTAGTTCTATTGTTATTTCATTTATTTAGTAAACATTTATTGCACTGCTGTTAGGTGCTAAACACTTGCTCTAGTTAAAAATGAGACTCGCCTTCAAGAATCTTACAATCTATAGTGTGTATGCTTGGGATGGGGAGTAAAAGAGATAAGAAACGTTATAATGCAGGTTGATTAATGATGTGTTGAGGAAGTATCAGAGGGTGTTGTGGGAGCAAAGAAAAGGGACAGCTAATTTAGATTCACGCATGTGTGTGTGTGTATTTGTGTGTGTGTGTGTGTGTGTGTGTGTGTGTGTGTGTGTGTCTCCATGTTGGATTTTGGGAAGAAACAAGCCATGTACTCAAATAAATGTAATAGAGTTTTTCATCCTACCATAGAGAGATGTAGAGAGTGGAGGAAGATGTAGAAGATGAAATGATCATCTCTTTCTTGGGAGGAGGGTAGTGGGACTCAGGGATGTCAAGCAATGGGAAGAAGGCTTCCAGGAAACTGTTGGATAGACCAAGACTTCCGGCCCGAAAGCCTCATTGAAATCCTTCGCACCCCTCTCTACTTTCTAGGAAATAATGAAGACCCCAGGGGTTCCTAGCTCACATTCAAAAGATCATGCCCTTAGGAATTTCAAGGTTTTAGAGTTATAGTAAAGCATTAATTAACCTAATCTAGCGTCAATAGAAAGTGACAAGCCACAAGGAAATATGTAGAGATCAGGATTGATGTCTGGGGTAAATCAAATGAATAATAACTGCAGTCATGATCATGATCATGACGATAGTTGGCATGTATTGAGTATGCATGCATCATGTGCCACGTATTGAACTCAAAAAACTCTTAAGTGTGATATTTTCAGAACCTTCTACAATCCTTCAAGCTATGAACTGTTACCTCTTCATGAGATGGCAACACTGAGGCTCAGAGAGGACAGGTCCCTTACCCAAGGGCACCCAACGGGCAAGGAACAGAACTGGGATTTGAATTCATATCTGTCTGGCTCTGAGCACAAGTCCTCTCCATCTCACCATTCTAGTCAAGCTGTGATAAATGGTTGTTCTGTTCAATGTGCCCAGCACCACAGGGGCTACAAAAATAAGGTGTAAGACACAATCATTGGCTTCAAATAGCTTCCAGGTTTGTTTGGAGGAGGAAAGGGAACGACACCTAAAAGTAGAATCACAAAATGCCAGGCGGCCCGGTAAGTGTCTAATGAGGAGGAATATGAGGAGTGGCCTCTCCCGGGGGAAGGTATAGCCACACTGGCTGCGTGGTAATATTAAGAGTCCCCTGCATACTAGTATAATGAATGACTGTTGGAAAAAACCTCAAAAGGGTCTCGAAGCCCTCTGAACTGGCCATTTTCCTTTCTCACAGGGTTGGACATTGCTATATCCTAACGAATGTTCCACTGGCAACTGCCTTGTACAGGCTCTTCATGGTTTTTGTTTTTGTTTTTTTTAACTGAGGGAATATAAATAACATATGCAAATCCTCTGTTTGAAAGTCTTTTGTTAAAGAAACCGTCTAGCTTGCCCTTATGTTGGGTTCCCTAATCTGCTTAGGGAGTCCCTTTTCCCTTTGTTTCCTAAGGAAGCAGACGAAGTCTAATGGGATCAGACATGGGGGAGGGGAGAAGCAGATTGTGTATAGGATTACCACGGACCCACGATTTCTGCCTTGGAAAAGGCTGAAAAAGAGAGGTGCTTAGAACATCCCCCTTTATGTTCTAGAATGAAAACTCAAAAGTAGCATTTGGCAAAAACTGTAAAGGTTTGCAATCCTTTATACAAGCTCTGTCTCTTAGTGTCTGAACTTTCCACCTCGTTGTCATTAAAAACCCAGAGAGAAAAGCAGCATCCCTAATTTGGGCAGATCCTAAAACTTCCAGGAACCATTCTGGGTGACTTGCTCATATCCTAGCTTTTAGTGATTAAAGGAGCAGATTCTGCCAGGCGCAGTGGCTCATGCCTATAATCTGAACACTTTGGGGGGGGCCGAGGCAGGAGGATCACTTGAGCCCAGGAGTTTGAGACAAGCCTGGGCACTAAAGTGAGACCCCATCTCCACAAAAAGTAAAAACAGAACAAAACAAAACAAAAGAACTAGCCAGGTGTGGTGGCATATGCCTATGGTCACAGCTTCTTGGGAGGCTGAGGCAGGAGGCTTGCTTGAGCCCAGGAGGTCAAGGCTGCAGTGAACTGTGATTGTGCCACTATACTCCAGCCGGGGTGACAGAGCGAGATCCTGTCTCAATAAATCAACCAACCAATAAAAGAGCAGATTCTTCGCAAACTCTGTGCTCCAGCTGGGGTGTCAGAGCGAGATCCTGTCTCAGTAAATCAACCAACCAATAAAAGAGTAGATTCTTCGGCAAACTCTGTGGGTTCGAACCCCAACACTGCCACTTACTAGGTTGTGTGATCTTGGGTTACTCAATTCCTCTCTGTGCCTCAGTTTGCTGCTCTGTGAAACAAGCGTTATCACGTTTTATCTAATCCAAGAAGCCTTCCATTTCCAGATGCATCACCATTTTCTTGTGCTGCTAAAAAAGAAAACTTAACAAATTAAACTATCACCTGTTTCAATTATATGTCTCAGTTTCAGAGGTATTAAAATGCAGAAAGAAAAGGTGCATCTTAGGATAGATGAAATACATGTAAAAATGCTTCCCCATCAAAGGGGTGTTGTGGGAATTAGATGACTTAATGTGGGTAATGCTGTTAGAACAGAGCCTGGCATACAGTAAATACCATTAAATGGTAGCCACCATTACGGCGTTGTTTAATCCTTTCAACAACTCCATAATAGAGGTATTGTTAATAAGCTTTAGTACCTAGGTAGACTGGGGCTTGAAGATCCCCAGGGTCTAGTTCTCTGCTGAGAGGTAAGTTGGCAGGTGCCTGAAGAAGGGGGCAAACCCAGGTATGGAAAAGACCTGGGCCTGACGGTCTCCATCCTTCCTGCCGCCCCACCCCCTGCCCCCCACCACCAAGTGATGAGGATGGATGTCTCCAGAGACAGCCTTAGAAGCCCAATCCAGCATATACCCAGCTGGGCTGCCTGGAGTCGGAAAAGGAGAACCAACATATTTGAGAAACATTTTCCCCAACAAGAGAAACCTGGACTCCCAGCACAATACGTTTCCATGGCAAACATAAAACGATTTTCCTCCTTGTCCAAATAGAAGAAATTGTGACCTGAAGAGATAAATGGCGGGCTGTAGTGAGTCATTGGTTTTTGTTAAAGGTGACGTCAGCGCTCAGTGATCTCTCTGGCCTCTAATCACTGAGACCACGCCCCCTGCATGGAATCACTGATTACCCTGAAAAAAATAAAACAAAATATCTAACAACCACTTGAGATTCAATTCTAAAGAATCTCAGCTGGCTGTTCCATTTTTATATCACTCATGACTTAAGCCAGGAAAAGAGAAATGAGGGAGAAGGGACTCTTTTCTCTCTCCAAGAGGTTCTTCTAGCTCCATTGCTACTGCATGAGATAAATTGCAGAATTCATGTTTTTTGTTTAGGTGGTTTGTTTGGTTTTTTGTTTTGTTTTGTTATCTTTATGGCCTAATGCTTTGGACAGGCAATGCTTGCCTTAGCGAATCTTGCTGTGTCTAATTGCATGGGCATGTGACAGTCGGCTCTTTTCCATGATAAATCAGGATGCAGGGAAGGAGTGTGTTCATTACCTCCTGACACGAGAAGAGCGATCGGCACTCTTCATGCTGGACAAAATGAAGCAGGCTATTTGTCCCATCTGCAAGGAGGCAGCTGCTCTGCAGGGGGAGGGGAGGGTGGGAGAGGAGTGAAGAAATGATCCAAGAGTCTTGTTGATGGGATAATAAGCTTTGTAATTAGTTAGAAGCTCTGCCTTTGAAGTCAGGCAAAGGTGGGTTCAAATCCTCTTTTTGACACTCTAGTGTGAGTTTCTGGTAAATGGGGTTGAAGAACAATAAGATCTATGGCATAGATGTTTTGGAAGGATTAAATAAAATAATGCATGTGAAATACTGAGCACGATACCCAGTTAGCCTCCACTAAGTGGTGACATGGTCATTATTGTTACTTGTGCTCCTCTCCCTTCTCTGATTGGACATGAGTGCTACCATGACTGTTTTGAAGATATGGCCAACCCAGAGATGAAGTCTAGAGGAAACTGAGTATTAACTGTAAAGTCACATAGTGAGGTCCATCATTAATGAGGCCAGGCCTCAGCTTAAGGGTAGAAGGGAAGAAGCAGGTCCAAAGATATTTTTAGAGTTGGTATGAGAATATATTTGCATGAGAGATGCAATGTGTTAGTTGTAGAGAAGGGGGTGCTCCTGAGCATGGTTTGAGTTCCTTGGATTTACCTCTCAGCTCAGTCCCATTATTCATCTTTTAATCCCATAGAGAGCCAAAGGGTAGTGAGGAAAAATAAAAGGAAAACACCATATATAAATTAGGGTTGTTTTTGGCTGCAAGTAAGAGAAAAACTGAAAAGCAGCGAAGTAAACAAATAGGAATTTATTTTTCTCATGTGAGAAGTCTGGAGGTGGATAGCTGTTGGCATTGGCTCGAGAGCTCACTAGCATCAGGCTGGCAAGGCCCAAGGCCCTTTCCCTCATGGTCACAAAATGGCTGTCCCAGGTCACAAAATGGCTGTCCCACATCCATATTCCAGCAGAAAGAGGAAAAAGCAGAGAGGAAAAGCTATGTTTGTCCCTTTTATGAGGGAAACAGAAGCTTTCCAAGAACCTTCCTGACCTATTTTCTCTATTTCTAATTTTCCAGAACAGTGTCACCTCTCTTTTCTAGCAGTAAGAATGGCTGGGAAAGTATGCATCTAACATGAGTATAGAAAGCAGGAGCAAGGAAGCGATGGTGATATTGAAGATGAGTACTGGATTGACTATTCAGCAGTGACTTGCACAAATGATTTCACAAAAATTCAAATAATAGGGATCCCAAGCCATGCATTGACAGAGGGTAACCCAAAAAAGGAGTCATCCCTATCCCCTACCCTACACAACAACTGCTTAGGAATCTCAAGGGCACTTGTCCATAGTAGTACCCATCAAAGAGCTGTGGGGGTGAGGGAAAAAGTAGAGTTCCCCCAGTGGGAACATTTATTCACTCAACTAACATGTATTGAGTTCCAAGGATAGGCCAAGCATGGTTATAGGTGGTGGGGACACAGAAGTGAATAAAGAAAATCAAATGAGACACTCTGGACACTCTGAAAAATGTAGGGAGAATAACACAAGCATGGATCTAAACAAATGGAATGTGTGCCATCTTTATTCCTGTGACCCCCATCTGTTTCACTGTTTGGTGAGGCTTAAGGAAATTCTGGTTAGATAAGCCTTTGCACAACTGTGGAAAGAAACTTATTCTTGACTTCCTTTCAACATCCCCACAGCCATCAGCTGTTAAATTCAAAAGCTGCAAAAATTCATATGGGGTTCAGTGGCAAATAGCACTTACAAAAAATCTGACAGAAGCCAATTAAACCTTTCTTGGACTGAATAAACCAACATATTTTTTCTCAGAGATATTTCTGACAGCTAAATTCAAAATCATAATCATCATAATGGGATACCTTCTATCATGAGATGGTGGCATTTTCCCTTCTAAATTCCTGTTTTCAAACTCTGCTGAGAAAATTTCTTGCGGGGCTCAATTTTGATCTAATGTATTTCTGCCTAAATTGGAATTTATGCAATCGGTAGTTTTATTTAATAACTTGAAAATTAGCCGCGTCTGGCAATCGGCTTGCAAGCTTGGAAATGCCTCGGGGTTTCTGGATTTCACTAAGCGGGGAGATTATACAACTGGGACAGATTCTGGGATAGGTTCAGCATTGTCAGGGGTTTCATAGTGGCTGTAGATCAGGGGCAGAACAGAGAGAGACTATCCCTCATTGCAGCCTGGTACATGATCAGGGTCATCTTTTGAGGTATATATTGAGCACCTACCATGTGACAGATGTTTTGAGGGCGCTAAAATGCAGCAGACTTGTGGTCTTCTCCCAAGGAACCCACAGTGCTGTTGGAAAGAACATTTATAAATAACTATGAATCAAGATAGTGAATAACAAGTACCAAAAGAAAGGCAAACTATATATATATATATATATATATATGTATATATAAGCTTGAGGTAGAAACAAGTTCTATCATGGAAAGACAGGTGCAGTGAAGCCATCTGAATCTTGAACGTTGGCTGGATATAGACTTGGGTGGTACTAGACACTGAGCCAAACCTAGAACTCATTTTCTAATACATCAGGGAGGAAGGGAGGGGGCGTATTACCATTCTCCTGCAAAAAACAACTTCTTTCTTGGTATCCTGTCTGAAAAAATGCTGCCTCACAGAGCTCCAGCAGATCACTCTTTTCATACTCTCCTTCTCCATACCCAAAGTTACCCAAGTTTCTGTCCCAAAGGGTTGTCAAATTAGGGAGGACTTTGCCCCATGAACTCCCACTAAAGCTTTAAATAATTGGAAATATCTAGTGTGTTACTTCTCTCCAGGCTTTACGTTTCAGCAGAGTTTCTCAAATTTGGCACTATTGAACATTTGAGGCCAGATAGGCTGTCCCTTGCATTGCAGGGTGTGAAGCAGCATTCCTGACCTCTCCCTATTAGATGACAGTTGCAGCCTCCCCATGGTGACAACGAAAAACATCTCAGTATTGCCAAATGTCCTCAGGGGGCAAGACCATCCACAGTTGAGAATCACCAGCAGAAGGATACTAAAGTCTTGACTACCCTTCCCCAGTTGAATGCCTATCTGATGGTAAAACCTTCCCCGTCTAAATAAATGATGCCGTCATGTACCCAGTTGTTCAAGTAGAAACCCAAGCTTCATCTATGACCTCTGCCTCTTCATCACCCCGTATGTCCAATTAACTACCACAGGGTGGGTGTTCAGTGGATGCTGCCTCCTTCCCCAAGGTTACTACCTGGTCCATAGCACCATTATTTCTTGCCTGGACCACCCCATTGGCCCCATTACTGTACTTTTTACCTTCCATCTGACCCATTATCTTTCAATGCAAGTGTGATACTGTCATTCCCCTTGTTAAAACAATTCAATGACCCTCTATTGTCCTGAAAATGAAGACGAATATCTTTAATGAAGTTTAAAAGTCTCTGCATGATCTGGCCCATGGCAGGTTCTTCAGCCTCATCTTTCTTCACTTGGTCACCACTAAGGAGCCACACTAGTTTTGGAATTTCTGCCTTATATCTTCTTCCTCCTCTTAGAACATTCTCTCTCTCTCTCTCTCTTTCTCTCTCTCTCTCTCTCTCACACACACACACACACACACACACACACACACACACACACACAATCTCTCCTACTTCCTTCAATGTCAGCTTTAATATCACTTCTTTTGACAAGCCTTCCCTGGCCACCACCTCCCCATCCAGGTCACACGCTTCTTTTGCACCATAAAATTCCCCTTTGTAATACTATCTTCCCTAGGAAACTGTAAGCTCCTCCAGAGCAAGAAACATGGTGGCTTTTTTGTTGCCACCACTTTGGTATCCCACAGGACCTGCCACATCAGACGTACAATTAAGACTTAGATGAGTAAGCTCTTTCTAGTGCTCTCTTGTCTCATAAGTATAACATTAAAGCCAAACCAACCCTGCTTAAGACAGAAAAAGGAGGCTGGGCACGGTGGCTCATGCCCGTAATCCCAGCACTTTGGGAAGCCAAAGCAGGCGGATCATGAGGTCAGGATTTCGAGACCAGCCTGATCAACATGGTGAAATCCCGTCTTTACTAAAAATACCAAAATTAGCCAGGTGTGGTGGCATGTGCCTATAATCCCAGCTACTCAGGAGGCTGAGGCAGGAGAATCACTTGAACCCGGGAGGCGGAGGTTGCAGTGAGCCCAGATCATGCCACTGCACTCCAGCCTTGGTGACAGAGTGAGACTCCATCTCAAAAATAAATAAATAAATAAATAAATAAGAGAGAGACAGCAAATGGGGCCTGCAGTTTAGATGGGACATAGAAAGGGAGGTACCTCTCAAGACCTCTCCTCAAACAGTCAGTTTAGATGGGACATAGAAACGGAGCTGCCTCTCAAGACCTCCCCTCAAACAGCCAAATCCTTATGGTTTTTCACGGCAATATCTTTCCAGAAATTTGAATGGTGGTGGAGCAGGCATAGCCCTTACCTGGAATTAAGAGGCCTGGTTCCCAGCTCTCTCACTATCTGGCTGTATGACTTTTGTTTTTGTTTGTTTGTTTTTTGTTTTTTTTTGTTTGTTTGTTTTGAGACAGTCTCACTCTGTCACCCTGGCTGGAGTGCAGTGGCGCGATCTCAGCTCAATTCAATCTCCACCTCCCGGGTTCAAGGGATTCTTTTCTCAGCCTCCCAAATAGCTGGGTTTACAAGCACATGCCGCCATACCCAGCTGATTTTTTTTTTTTTTTTTTTTTTAGTAGAGATGGAGTTTTGCCATATTGCCCGGGCTGATCCCGAACTCCTGGGCTCAAGAGATCTACCCACCTCGGCCTCCCAAAGTGCTGGGATTACAGGTGTGAGCCACTGTACCTGGCCTGGCTGTATGACTTTGGACAAATCACTTAACCTCTTTGATTTCTTTGTCTTCATCTGAAGAAACAGGGAATCTTAACCTGGAAATTGCTAGGCTCCCTTGATGGCACTTGAAAAAAAAATGGCTACCACTTACTGAGCATCTATTTTGCACCAATTTCTTTGCCTATATTATTAAAATGAACTCTTCAATCCAGTGTGGCAGGTGCTATCATGACATCTAACCTCTACTTGTAGAGATGAGGAAACTGAGGCTTGAAGAAGTTTTGCAACCTGTCCAGAGACACCAGAGAAGCAGGTGATGGAGTTAGGATTTGAATCCAGAACCAAGTAACTACAGAAAGCCTGTGCTCTTAAGATGAGCCTGGTAGGTTGCAGTAAGAAGGGGCAAGTATCTCTCTAAAAGGGGCAACTATTGGTGCAATTTTTAAAGAATATGTTTAAAAAGCCTCTGGAAGAAAGGGGAAAGTGCCAATTTTAGCTGTAGGCAATGCAAACAAGAATGTGACTGTGCCCGTGACCACAGACAAGGATATTTGCATTTTCTTGAGCTTTTGCTAAAATATGCTAGCAGGTTTCTGCCAGAAAAAAACACAGCTAAGGATGAGAAGAAGAGGGAGAAAAAACCTGCATGTGGCTTAGACTCATCTTTCTCTTTCTTTCTTTCTTTCTTTCTTTCTTTCTTTCTTTCTTTCTTTCTTTCTTTCTTTCTTTTTTTTTTGAGACAGAGTCTTGCTCTGTCACCGAGGCTGGAGAGCAATGGCGTGATCTGGGCTCACTGCAGCCTCTGCCTCCTGGGTTCAAGCGATTCTCCTGCCTCAGCCTCCTGAGTAGCTGGGGTTACAGGCGTGCCCCACCATGCCTGGCTAACTTTTGTATTTTTAATAGAGATGGGGTTTCACCATCTTGGTCAAGCTGGTCTCAAACTCCTGACCTCGTGATCCACCCACCTCAGCCTCTCAAAGTGCTGGGATTACAGTCATAAGCCACGTGCCCGGCCTAGACTCATCTTTCTAAATAATGTTCATTTCAATGAAGATGTATAAGCCATTTCTAATTAGAGTCACATTTCTAAAAAAGACATATTTTGATACTGGATCAATATACTGCCAAAACCTGCTAGAAAAAATGGAGAGGAAGACAGGCCCAACTAATGAGAGATGAGGCTCTGGGGTGTGTGTGGCTGAAATGTTGATAATCGTAAACAGCTTAATTGGGTTGAATACTTTGAGTAAATATCAAGTTAAATGGATTCACTCTGAATCCAAGCTCTGACCCACTGAAATTTTTATTTTCTCCAAAAAAAATTCTGTATCATAATTGCCTGTTTATTTTTCTGATCTCACCACTGGACTTGTAGCTCCTTGAGGAAGGTGACACCATGCGTTGCTCATGATTCTATCCTAGAGCCTAGCACAGGGGCTGATACTGGCAAAATGTTCAATATTCTCGTCTCTATTCTCAGGACCAAGGGTAGCTCCACATAGTGAGGCAACACATTCCTTAGGCAACTAGAAATTCCATTTGGACAAGGCCTACAAATGTTTTATTACTATATTCCCAGTACATGCTGGGTGCTCCATATATATGAATACCATTCTAATACTTACTATGTAAACTTGGGCAAGTTACTCTCTGTGCCTCAGTTTTCCTCTCCTCCATGCAAAAATAATAACAGTTCCTGCCTCATCGGGTTGTTGAGAGGATCAGGGACAGCCCCAGG
This sequence comes from Homo sapiens, assembly GCF_000001405.40. NCBI lineage: Eukaryota > Metazoa > Chordata > Mammalia > Primates > Hominidae > Homo > Homo sapiens. The sequence continues at coordinate 119,347,845 of NC_000012.12, forward strand.
CACGTAGTCAGTGCTCACAAAATGTTATCTCTTAATATTCTCCTTCAAAATCGAAGCCAATGGCTCCCAAATATCAAGAATTAAAATATTTAAATACTGACATTTCCAGAGATGACGATTCTTATGCTGATCATTTTTATGCATTCAGGAAAAGGCAGCCAAAAGGATAACATGACTAAAATGTTTCACTTCTAAGAGCCCTTGAAGAAAATGCCCAAAAGGCAATTAGCACATGACTGTCGCCTGTGTTGCTATTGCTCATTAGCTGATCCCATCCTCTGCTAATCAAACTGCTTCTTTGATATTTTTAGACCTTTTAAAAGAGGCTCCTCAAAACTCAGGAAGCAATGCTTATTGGCAGATACCAAAGAATTTGAGACACCGTGAATATGGCATTCTCATAGAGAATGTGAGAATGGTGAGAGCATTCTGCAGGGTCTTTTAGAACCAGAGTAAGCAGTTTGGATGCTTCTTTAACCCTAACTAGCCTCCTCACCTTTTCACTTCCTGCCCCAACCAACAAACAGCCTTCCCAGTCCCCTGTTCCTTGTGTTCTATGGTTCAGGATTTAAATTGCCTCAGTAAAAGCACATTTGAGTCTCCTTCACTAAACAAACTCTAGCCAGAGCTGATTGAGTTAGCATCTGGGTCACGGGCTCATTCTAGGTTTTGAGTCCCAATTCTGATGCTGTTTGCCTGCTCTGTGACCTTACACTACCCATTTCACTTCTCTGATGCTGAAAGCTCTCACCTGTAATAGAATCTCGTGAAGATTCAAGATAATGTTCATAAGGACTGAGTCCAAAATAATAGCTAAGGTTGATTTGTGATTGACATTTTTCAATGCTCTTGATGTTTTATGTGCATCCCAGCCATCTCCATGTTCTGGTATATGTAATGCCAGGCTCTTTTGTCCAGAAAAAGATGGCATAGTATTGAGAAAAGAAATCTCCTCCTGATAAATCATCATTCTCTCAAGGTCGTCCTGGAGGTATATTTTTGTATTCTCCATGAGGTTAAAAATTATGTCAATGTTTTAAGAATAAGTAAATGGTACATTATATAGCCATGATCATGATAATAGAAGTAACTCATGTTATTGGCTGAGTACTTAATTGTGTGCCTTGTGCCATGCAAACCCCTTATGTGAGTTATGCAATTCCATGCAGTCTACAGTGCTAAGAGGCAGGCATTATTAATTCCATTTTACAGATGAGGAAGCCTGTCAACAAGGGTCATACAGCTGCTGGTTAGTGGACCATCCATCATTTTTAACCATTATGCTGTATTTCTCAACAAGGTAAACTTGACTTTTTACTGGGGGTGGGTGGGTTGAGAGAAAATATGCCCCCACTCTCAAAAGAAGAGCAGAAGGAAGGAAAACCACCCACTTTGAGAAGCTTTGGGGGATAGAAAAAACATTGACTGCATCTTATAACTGTTCACTTCTGGCTTCTCTTCACCCACCAAGGCCAAGGTCCAGGGCGTGTTCCTTTTTTTTTTTTTTTTTTTTTCTTCTGAGACAGAGTCTCTCTCTGTTGCCCAGGCTAGAGTGCAGTGGCACAATCTGGGCTCACTGCAACCTCTGCCTCCCAGATTCAAGCAATTCTCATGTCTCAGCCTCCTGAATAACTGGGATTACAGGTGTGTACCACCTAATTTTTTTGTATTTTTAGTAGGGACAGGGTTTCACCATGTTGGCCAGGCTGGTCTCAAACTCCTGACCTCAGATGATCTGCCCATCTCAGCCTCCCAAAGTGCTTGGATTATAGGCGTGAGCCACTGCGCCTGGCCCAGGGCGTGTTTCAAGGACACCCTGTTCACCCCAGTAGTCCCTGAAGTTGACAACGGACAGACATTCCACAGGACTCTCAATCCACTCCATCCCCTCCAAGAACCCTGTGAAGTCTCCATCCCGTCTTTTGTAATGTCAGTAATCACGAATATACCCTGTTCATTGAATGAAGCCTGGGATTATCTAATCAACCCAACTTTATCTTTGCCTCTCATTACTCCCTTCAGATATTTTCAGTGCAGGAAGCTCTTCTCTGGAGCCTGCATAAAAATGGTGTACCCAGTGCCTTTTCTGCTCACCCTTGGGTGACAGCCACTCTAGTAGTCTCTTTAAGTCACAAAACACAGCCACAATTCAAAAACCAAAAGCATTGACATAAGATACTAAGCAACATTTCAACCTTCCCTCAAGGAGAAGAGTGGTCCTGTTCTCCTCCCTATTAAGGATGGTTTCAGGCAGGCCACCCAGGAGGGAGATGTGGGGTGTGCCCCTATCTTGAACCAGGGAGATCCCCAGCTCTTCTTTGCTTTATTATTTATTTATTTATTTATTTATTTATTTATTTATTTATTTTTTGAGACAGAGTCTCGCTCTGTCACCCAGGCTGGAGTGCAGTAGCATGATCTCGGCTCACTGCAACCACCGCCTCCTGGGTTCAAGCATTTCTTTCGCCTCAGCCTCCCAAGTAGCTGGGATTATAGGCGCATACCACAACACCCAGCTAATTTTTTTGTATTTTTAGTAGACACACAGTTTCACCATGCTGTATTTTTAGTAGAGACAGGGTTTTTCCATGTTGGCCAGGCTGGTCTCAAACTCCTTACCTCAAGTGATCTGCCTGCCTCGGCCTCCCAAAGTGCTGGGATTACAGATGTGAGCCACCATGCCCAGCCTCTCCTTTGCTTTCTAACTGTATTGGCTGGAAAAGAAAATAGGAGACATGGGAAAGCTCTTATCAGCACTGCCATAAAATGGTTCTATTCTCTCTGGGTCCAGCAGATGCCTAAAATTGGCTCATTCTGAAGGTAATTTTGTTGGCTGAAGGTAATTTTTTCAAAGTTCTCTACTACAATGCTCTGGTTCCCGCTCTCAACATATTTTCTACCAGCTGTGCACTCCCCTCAGATCCTAGTTTTTCAGAAGTCCACCCCATTCAGACTCATGATATTGGGGTGTCCTGCATACTGGTGGGAGTCATTATGGGCAGGATCCCAGGTTGCTGTTTCTGCCTTTGGTGTCACATCTGATCCCCAGGTTTCACACACCCCTGACATACCACTGAAGACAAGCACCACTTCCTGACGCAGCAGCTATTCTCCATCTCTCTACCTTCCTTGCCCCAGAAGCACTTCCCAGCCTGCGTCTGTTCTCTGGATTTTCCAGGAGGGTGTCAGAGACCAGCCCACCAGTCCCCAGCTGCAGGGATCTCATCTTCAGCTCTTGAGCAATCCCAATGGTGGCCTCTCCCTCATTCATTTTGAGGTGAAGGATAAAGCATCCTCTTCCCTTTGGGGTCAGGATTCAAAGCATCACAGAAGCTGTTGATGAAATTGCTTCGTAAGTGCCTCTCTCCCTTTCCACTCTCTAGTTTTGTATTCTCAAAGTGGGTAAGAATTGAGAGATCCATTCTCCCATAGCTACCTTGAAGATGCCTTCAGGGTGGTCTTTCTCACTTTCACTTGGTGTCTGATGCCTATCTTGAGCCCTCAGTCCATACCATCTGTATTAGTCCATTCTCACATTGCTATAAAAAAATACCTGAGTCTGGGTAACCTATACAGACAAGAGGTTTAATTGGCTCATGGCTCTGCAGGCTGCACAGGAAACATGGCAGCATCTACTTCTGGAGAAGCCTCAGGAAGCTTTTACTCATAGTGGAAGGCAAAGCAGGAGTGAGAGCCTTACATGGCAGGAGCAGGACCCAGAGAGAGAAGGGGAGATGCTACAGACTTTTAAACAACCAGATCTTGTAACAACTTTATTGTAAGAACAGAACCAAGAGGTTAGTGCTAAACCATTCATGAAAGAACCACTCTTTGCTAAAGCATAGCAAGAGTGACCTTTACTCCAGTTCCCAGTAAGTTCCTTGTTTCCATCTGAGACCACCTCAGCCTGGACTTCATTGTCCATATTACTATCAGCATTTTGGTCACAACCATTTGGCAAGTCTCTAGGAAGTTCCAAACTTTCCCTCATCTTTCTGTCTTGTTCTGAGCCCTCCAAACTGTTCCAAACTCTGCCTATTACCTAGTTCCAAAGTCATCTCCACATTTTCAGGTATCTTTATAGCAATGCCTCACTCCCAGTATCAATTTTCTGTATTAGTCAGTTCTCACACTGCTATAAAGAACTACCTGAGATTAATTTATGAGGAAAAGAGGTTTAATTGACTCTCAGGAAGCACAGTTGGGGAGGCCTCAGGAAACTTACAATCATGGCAAAAGGGCAAAGGGGAAGCAAGCACATCTTCACATGGCCAGTAGGAGAGAGAGAAAGTGAAGGGGGAAAGAGCTACACACTTTCAAAACAACTAGAGATCATGAGAATTCATTCACTATTGTGAGAACAGCAAGGGGGAAATCCACCCACATGATCCAGTCGCCTTCTACCAGACCCCACCTCCAACACTGGGGATTACAGTTCAACCTGAGATTTGAATGGGGACATGGGTCCAAACCATATCACTATCCTGCCTGTTAGTCTATCCTGTTATCCTACCATTTACTAAGGGTTCACTGTGTGCCAGGTGATTTACAAACAGTGTTTTGAAACCTGAGGACAACTTTGTGAGGAAGGTGTTATCACCTCTTTTTTACAGATAAGAAAACAAAGGCTCAGAATTTAAATATGTTTATAAGATGTTGCACTGCTAATGGATGGAGAAGCTAACCCTGAAAACCAGCCCAGTCTGGCCCAAAAGTCTCAATATTTCCCTCTGCAACATGACCAGAGCTGCTAATAATTGCTGGGATGGAGTCTTGGCTTCATTCTCAAGTTTCTCAAATTTCACTTCCCAGTCAGACATGGTGGCTCATGCCTGTAATCCCAGCACTTTGGGAGGCCGAAACAGGTGGATCACTGAAGGTCAGGAATTCGAGACCAGCCTGGCCAACATGGTGAAACCCCGTCTCTACTAAAAACATAAAAATTAGCCGGATGTGGTGGTGGTAGGTACCTGTGATCCAAGCTACTTGGGAGGCTGAAGCAGGAGAATCACTTGGACCAGGGAGGCGGAGGTTATAGTGAGCCAAGATTGTGCCACTGTACTCCAGCCTGGGTAACAGAGTGAGACTCTGTCTCAATAATTAAAATTAAAATTAAAAAAAAATAAATAAATTCACTTCCAGATGATGCTCATACAGCTTTTATGAGCCCTCCTTGCTACCAAAGACTCTTAAGCTCAGAAGTTACAGGAGCATTTGAGAGGGTGGAGTGGGGGTGAGGGGGTTATGACACTGTTCACCTCAGATGCAGCTGTCTCAGGGTCACTCACAAAACAAAGTGTCCCTTTTCTCCTTTTTTTTTTATATAAGAACATGGTCCTCCTGCAAATTGACTTGAAAGGAAGCCAGATTCCACTGTTCCTTGTCTGCCTGTGAAGGAAGATAGCCTCTTTCAGCACTTAAAGGACCTTAATCCATGATAGGGAACTTCATGAAATGGCTGGGGATGTTGATCAGAGGTCAGATGGCCCCTAAGTAGCCAACACAGATCCAAAGGAAATCAAATAATGTCACTCTCCAGAAAGCAGTTTTTATTTCACCAAAGGTTTGGAAACTGTGCATTAAACAAATCTCTCAAAATCTCTCTCTCTCTCTCACTCTCTGTCCATCTCTCTCCGTCTCTGTCTCTGTCTCTCTGTCTCTCTGTCTGTATTTCTCTCTCTCTGTCTCTCATTCTTTGTCTCTCTATGTTTCTCTCCTTCTCTCTCCCCTCTCTCCTTCTTCTTCTTCTTCTTCTTTTTTTTTTTTTTTTTTTTTTTTTTGAGATGGAGTTTCACTCTTGTTGCCCAGGCTGGAGTGCAGAGGTGTGATCTCAGCTTACTGCAACCTCTGCCTCCAGGGTTCAAGCAATTCTCCTGCCTCAGCCTCCCAAGTAGCTGGGATTACAGGTGCCCACCACCACACCCAGAGGGTGAGAAAAAGGGGTGTGGCTGGGCGCAGTGGCTTACGCCTGTAATCCCAGCACTTTGGTATGCCAAGGCGAGTGGATCGCCTGAGGTCCAGAGTTTGAGACCAGCCTGGCCAACATGGTGAAACCCCGTCTCTATCAAAAATACAAAAAATTAGCTGGGTGTGGTGCTCACCCTCTTCCTGGCTATCTGCTCTCTCTGTCCCTGCTCTCTTGCTCTCTCTCCTCTGTCTTTCTCACTCTCTCTCACCCTCTTTCTAGCTATCTGCTCTCTCCCTGCTTGCTCTCTCTCTTTCTCTCTCTCTCTCGTCTCTCTCCTACCTCTTTCCTTTCTTCTCCATTTCTCTCTCTCTCTTTCTCTGTCTACCCTCCATCATGACACCTAACAATATTTCTTAGTTCTTCCTATGCTTCCTTTTAGCTTTTTAAATAATTGTAACAATTTTATCTGTTTAAAAAGTGAACAGAAAAACCCTAGACAGCCTGTTCATTTGGACATCAAGGAAAGCAGACTTTCAGACCAATTGCTAGGCAATCCAATCCCACAGACTCCTTGTTTCGTTAATGTGCTTTCGTCTGCCTGGATTGTAATGGGTGTCTGTCTGTAATTGTGTACTTTAGGTAAATAGATCATTAGATAAGATTGATAACAGAGTGGCTTAGGTAATGTTTTAAACCAAAAGCAGAAAATCATCGGGTGTCTCCAGCTGTAAATGACAGGACCACAATTCATACAGTTTCAGTTAAGGGTCTGTCAGGGTTTTTCAGCATAAATCGCCATTTTCTGAAGGTTCACCTTTCTGCTTTAGCAAAGAAACGGGGAGACTTTCTTTCCAGCTACAGCACAGTGCACGGGGCTCCAGGCAAATGGATGTGAGTTTGTTTGCATAAAGAACTTGATATCAAGTTACTGCTCATTAATGTAGACCACAAAATGTTTTTACAAATAATTTCTTCATTTTGCAAAGGCTGGCTCTCAGCCTTTGCTGCTGCTCCAACCAGGGTCACAGAGCACTCAGACACTGTCTTTATGTTCTAGTAGCAGTAGAATTCAGGCTAACAGAGACAAAGCCAAAGAAATCTCTTCTTGGGTTAAAGAGGCAGAACAATCCAAACCAATAGATTCTCCCAGTTCTGAAGATGGGGCCTCATCATCTAGAGCCACAGAATCATAGAGTAACCTTGCAGGGCATCTAACCAGCTTCCTATCCAAAATGGGAGGATATGTAATGTTTTTGGCTATCAGGCACAGTATGAGCCATGGCTCTGCTATTTTCTTCCTGTTTGACCCTTGAACAAATCACCTCTCATGCCAAGCCTCAGTTTCCTTATCCACAAAATGGAGATAAAGACAGTGCCTACTTTTAAAAGTCTTGAAACTTGGGTAACCAGGGTGACTTGGTCTCCCTGAGAGAGGGCTGGCCTGAGGTGGGCACAGTACTAATAGGTGGTCTGATCTTCTACATTGTCTTCCTATTTGTTGGTAAAATTGTTGGCCTGGGTTCAGGCACATACTCAGAGCTCATTAAAACCAGACAGATTAGGAAGTTCCTCCCTTTAAGAAGCTTTCTCTAACTCTCTCCTTGTTTTCTTCCTCCCTAACTCTGTGCGGTTCCACAGTCAGAGCCTTCATCATGCAACTGCTGATACGTCTGTGTCACCACCAGCAGCAGATTCATCAGAGCAGGAACAGCCATTAATGATCTTTGAATTCATTCATTTATTCAAAACCCATTTGCAGCACACCTACTATGTACTGACGCAGGGCAGACGAGCCTCAAAATTGGGGCTTAGCCCGGGAGGGTTCTTGGCTTTGCCCAGGGAAGAATTCAAGGTCAAGCTGGTAATGTTAGACAACAATTTTTATTGAAGTGGCAGTGTACAGCAGCAGCAGAACTGATGCTCCTTGCAGAGCAGGGCTGCCCCATAGGCAGTGTGCCACGAGTAGCAGCTCAGAGGCAGTTCTGCAGTCATATTTATACCCATTTTTAATTATATGCAAATTAAGGGGCAGAATATGTGGAATTTTCTAGAAAAAGGGTGGTAATTTCCAGGTTGTCGGGTTGTTGCCATGGAAAGGGTAACTTCCAGTTGTTGCCATGGCAGTGGTAAGCTGACATGGCATGCTGGTGGATGTGGCTCAGAAAAAACTGCTTCCACCTTGTCCCTGTTTTAGCTAGTCCTCAATTTACTCCAGTGTCCAAGTCCCACCTCCTCAGTCAAGTCCTGCCTCCTACCTCAGTACCAGTTAAGCCCCATGGAAAAAAACATAATAAATATTTGTTGAACAAATTAATGCAACATCTTCCGCAAATAGTGGACCTATTATCTCCTTGTACAGCTACTTGCTCTAAACAGTACAAACTCTATTTAAAATGTATTGTTCTTTTTAAGTTTCCACTCATTCTTAACTTTAGATTTTCTGGATAATTCCAGAATATTCTAGAGGGCCATTTACTCCTGGAACCAGCCATCTTCAGTGAAATCTCTTTGAATATCTGAGATGAGGTGTTCTATGGAAATCAAGTTTCCCTAGGTACTGCACCTTTTGCTTTGTTATTAGAATGATACATAGTTATCCATTTCATTTCATTTTATTTCATTCATTTCATTTATATTCATATTCATTCATTCACTCATATTTATTTCATTTTCTAGAGTTCCTCACCCATCTAATGCCATATTTCTTTCTAGAGACTTTAGCAAAGAACTCATGTCAATCTTTTATGAGATTGTTCAGACCATTTCCTTCCAAAATCTAGTGCAGAATATGACCAGAATTATCTCCTTCCCAATACAGTATCAGTCCCCAGATACAGGCACTGTGGTGAACTTTCCCCAAAGTTTCCATCCAGTTTTCTTCCTTTATTGGCTCTTGGTCCATTTTTCACTTTATTCCTGTGTTTGTCCAAAGATAAAATTCCTAGCAATGCAAATGAGAAATATATCAGATGTTTCACTTCAGGTTTGCAACAAAGGCCTGAAAAATTGGCCTTTCATCATTGCAGTATCTTGCATCAGGACCAATTTTGCAATGTCTTGCATTTCTCTCTGTGTTCTGAAGTTCTTTTCCACTAGTAGAATTTTTCTAAATTATTTTATTCTCACCCAAATGCTTTAAAAAACAATTTTATTAAAGTATAACATACATAGAGAAAAGCACACAAATATAAGTACATAGTTTTATAAGTTTTTACACAGTGAAAAGATCCATGCAACCTCTTCACCAAAATCAAGATACAGACCATTACCAGTGCTGTTGTTTCAACCTTTGTCCTCTCCAAAACTCATGTTGAAATTTAATTGCCATTGTAGCACCATTAAGAGATGGGGGCCTTTTTTATTGAAATGTAATATTTGTAAATATGTTGATGGGTACAGGTGATATTTTGTTATATGCATAGTATGTGTAATGATCAAGTGAGGGTACTTAGGATACCTGTCACTAGGACCATTTATCATTTCTGTTTTGAGAACATTTCAAGTCCTCACTTCAAGCTATTTTTAAATGTACAATACATTGTTGATAACTATTATTACACTACTCTGCTATCCAACATTAGAACTTATTTCTTCCATCTAACTATATGTTTATACCCATTCACCAACCTCTCTCCATTCCCAACACCCACACCCATATCTTTCCCAGGCTCTGCTATCATTCTATTCTCTACTTCATGAGATCAGCTTTTTTTTTTTTTGAGATGGAGTTTCACTCTTGTTGCCCAGGCTGGAGTGCAATAGCATGATATTGGCTCACCGCAACCTCCGCCTCTCAAGTTTAAGCGATTCTCCTGCCTCAGCCTCCCAAGTAGCTGGGATTACAGGCATGTGCCACCACACCTGGCTAATTTTGTATTTTTAGTAGATACAGTTTTTCTCTATGTTGGTCAGGCTGGTCTCAAACTCCCGACCTCAGGTGATCCACCCACTTCGGCCTCCCAAAGTGCTGGGATTACAGGGGTGAGCCACCGTGCCTGGCTGAGATCAGCTTTTTTAGATCCCAAATATGTATGAGAGATATATTAGTCCTTTCTCACATTGCTATAAAGAAATACCTGAGACTGAATAATTTACAAAGGAAAGTGGTTTAATTTGCTCATGGTTCTGCAAGCTGTGCAGGAAGCATTATGCTGGCATCTGCTCAGCTTCTGGGGAGACCTCAGGAAACTTACAATCATGGCTAAAGGTGAAGAGGAAGCAGGCATGTCTTACACAGCAGGAGCAAGAACAAAAGAAAGTGGGGGGCAAGGCGAGCTACACACTTTTAAACAACCAGATCTCATGAGCACTCACTATCATGAGGACAGTACCAAGGGGGATGGTGCTAGACCATTCATGGAGGATCCACCTCCACAATCCAATCACCTCCCACCAGGCCCCACCTCCAACACTGGGGATTACAATTCAACATGAGATTTGGGTGGGACACAGATCCAAACCATGTCAGGTGATTACATGCAATATTTGTCTTCCTGTGGCTGGCTTATTTCACTTGCTATAATGACCTCTAGTTCCCTATAAGGTGATTAGACCAGAAAGCCTCCACCCTCATGGATGGGATTATTGCTATTATAAAAGGGTGAGTTTTGTCCTTTCTCACCCCTCTCTTGCCCTTCCACCTTCCACCATGGGATGACACAGCAAGAAGGTTCCCACAAGATGCCACGCCAGCCCCTCAATCTTGGACTTCCCAGTCTCCATTTTGAGCCAATACATTTCTGTTCATTATAAATTACCCAGTCTCAAGTAGTCTGTTATAGCAGCACAAAACAGACTAAGACAACCAGAACCCAAAAAACCCCCTCAAACATCCTCCCAGACATGGTCCTCCTTCTCCCCAATGGTAACCACCATCCTGACCTCTATCACCATCAATTATTTTTGCCTGTTTCTTGAATATCATATAAATGAATAATATGGGGTATACTCTTTTGGATCTGGATTCATTTCACAATGTTATGTTTATGGGATTCACTTATATTTTTGTGCATAACTGTCATTTGTTCATTATCATTGCTATATAGTATTCTACAATATGAATGTACCACAATTTATTTATCTGTTTACTTCTTGAAGGACTTTTGGGTTGTGTTTCAGGGAGAAGATGGGAGTGGAGCTATTACAAAATGCTATGAATGTTTTTTGTACAATGCCTTTTGGTGAATAAATGTAGATTTCCCATGAGTGGAATTGCTGGCCAGAGGAAATGCATATGTTCAGCCTTATAAGCTTTATATGCTGCCAAACAGTTATCCATAGGGGTGGTTCAATTTATACTACCACCAGCAGTGAAGGAAATTTCCAGTTGCTCCACATCCTCAACAATCTTGGTATTGTGAGTGTTTTTAATGTCAGCTATTCTGGTGGGTGCTTAGTAGTATCATATTGTGGAAATGCTTTAATCTGCATTTCCTTAATGCCTAATGAGGTTGAGCATGTTTTTTTAGGTTTATTGGCCATTTGGATATATTCTTTCATGAAATGCCAGTTCAAGTCTCTTGTTCATTTTTCCGTTGTTATACACATCTCAGATCTACTTCCAGATGTGGGGAAACAAGCACTGGTGTAGGTGAGAGTGAAAATCTGTACATTCTTGGAACATGGTTTTAAATACACCAAGACCCTTTATGTAGTCATTTCACTTTTAGGTGTTGATTGCATGGAAATATTCCTAATAAGTACTGTCCTCAAGAATAAATATTGAGAATATTGAGTACTTATACATATATTTTTAAATATATAGATAGATGCTTATCACAGGTCTTTTTTTTTTTTTTTTATTGATCATTCTTGGGTGTTTCTCACAGAGGGGGATTTGGCACGGTCATAGGACAATAGTGGAGGGAAGGTCAGCAGATAAACAAGTGAACAAAGGTCTCTGGTTTTCCTAGGCAGAGGACCCTGCGGCCTTCCGCAGCGTTTGTGTCCCTGGGTACTTGAGATTAGGGAGTGGTGATGACTCTTAATGAGCATGCTGCCTTCAAGCATCTGTTTAACAAAGCACGTCTTGCACCGCCCTTAATCCATTTAACTCTGAGTGGACACAGCACATGTTTCAGAGAGCACAGGGTTGGGGGTAAGGTCACAGATCAACAGGATCCCAAGGCAGAAGAATTTCTCTTAGTACAGAACAAAATGAAAAGTCTCCCATGTCTACTTCTTTCTACACAGACACGGCAACCATCCCATTTCTCAATCTTTTCCCCACCTTTCCCCCCTTTCTATTCCACAAAGCCGCCATTGTCATCCTGGCCCGTTCTCAATGAGCTGTTGGGCACACCTCCCAGACGGGGTGGTGGCCGGGCAGAGGGGCTCCTCACTTCCCAGTAGGGGCGGCCGGGCAGAGGCACCCCTCACCTCCCGGACGGGGCGGCTGGCCGGGCGGGGGGCTGACCCCCCCCCACCTCCCTCCCGGACAGGGCGGCTGGCTGGGCAGAGGGGCTCCTCACTTCCCAGTAGGGGCGGCCGGGCAGAGGCGCCCCTCACCTCCCGGACGGGGCGGCTGGCCGGGCAGGGGGCTGACCCCCCCACCTCCCTCCCGGACTGGGCGGCTGGCCAGGCGGGGGGCTGACGCCCCCACCTCCCTCCCGGACGGGGCGGCTGGCCGGGCGGGGGGCTGACCCCCCCACCTCCCTCCCGGACAGGGTGGCTGCCGGGCGGAGACGCTCCTCACTTCCCAGACGGGGTGGCTGCCGGGCGGAGAGGCTCCTCACTTCTCAGATGGGGCGGCTGCCGGGCGGAGGGTCTCCTCACTTCTCAGACGGGGCGGCCGGGCGGAGACGCTCCTCACCTCCCAGACGGGGTGGCGGCCGGGCAGAGGCACTCCTCACATCCCAAACAGGGCGGCGGGGCAGAGGCGTTCCCCACATCCCAGACGATGGGCGGCGGGGCAGAGACACTCCTCACTTCCTAGATGTGATGGCGGCCGGGAAGAGGCGCTCCTCACTTCCCAGATGGGATGGCAGCCGGGCAGAGGCTGCAATCTCGGCACTTTGGGAGGCCAAGGCAGGCGGCTGGGAGGTGGAGGTTGTAGCGAGCCGAGATCATGCCACTGCACTCCAGCCTGGGCGCCATTGAGCACTGAGTGAACCAGACTCTGTCTGCAATCCCGGCACCTCGGGAGGCCGAGGCTGGCGGATCACTCGCGGTTAGGAGCTGGAGACCAGCCCGGCCAACACAACGAAACCCCGTCTCCACCAAAAAAATACGAAAACCAGTCAGGCGTGGCGGCGTGCGCCTGCAATTGCAGGCACTCCGCAGGCTGAGGCAGGAGAATCAGGCAGGGAGGTTGCAGTGAGCCGAGATGGCAGCAGTATAGTCCAGCTTCGGCTTGGCATGAGAGGGAGACCGTGGAAAGAGAGGGAGAGGGAGACCATGGGGAGAGGGAGACCATGGGGAGAGGGAGAGGGAGAGGGAGAGGGAGACGAGAGGGAGAGGGAGAGGGAGAGCTCAAGTCTATCACAGGTCTATTTTATCAAAAATCTTTTAGTTGCAAGTAACAAAACCCTCTCAAATTTACACAAGCAAAAAATATTGGAATCAGAGGTTCACATTACAGAAACTCTAAGGTTTCAGGCATAGCTAGATCCAAGAGTTTAGACAAAGTCATCAAGAATCTGCCTATATTCATTGTCTCTATTTCCATTTGTGATGGTTTCATTCTCAGGCAAGAGCTCTTTATTGAGTGTCAAAATGGCCACCAGCAGCTCCAGGTTTAAATTCTTCTGGCTTAGGAACAGCAGGGAAAAAAAAATAAGCTTCTCTTTCTGTAAAGAAACATCAAGGGTCGCAAAAGAATCACCCCTGAGTTATTCACTTGGAGCCCAGAGACCAGGGTTACCCACATTTGAGCAACATGTACTGAGGATGGAGAAGGGATAAGTCCCAAGATGAAAATCCAGGTGCTTTGATCAAAAGAAGGCAGCCCAACTGTTGACAAGACAAAAACAGTTAGTGTCTATTCCATCAGCATTAATCATATTTTCAAAAAACTGGCAACAGCCCAAAATGTGCACCAATAAGAGAATCAAATAATAAGTCATGTCCATGCATACTGTGGAATATTATGCAGCCACTAAAATGAACAAGGTTAAGTCCGTACATATAGACATGGAAAGATGGCCATTGTGCATAGTTTAATGAGGGGAGTGATCATTGTATGTACAGTATAATGAGTATGGCCATATAATTTATTGCCCAACTTGGACACTTTTCAGAGTAAAATGAGGTGCATCATCAGTTATCCTGGAAAAATACATATAAATTAAGATTGTCCTGGACAAACACATATGTATTGTGGCCAGAATTCTAATCCCATTTTTATTTAAACATCTATCTTATATCTATAGCTGTGTCTATATCTATCTACTTACCTACTTGTATGTATTTATAATTTGTTTTTATTTAAGACTTGGAGGTTGATTCTAGGATGCATGAGAAGGGGCTTAGGGGAGACTCAGCCCCTTTTAAATTTGAGGTGTAAATTACATGCCATAAAATGTTTAAAACTTAAGTTACAGCTCAATTAAATTTTACATATCTATATACCTGTTAACCATGACCTTAATAAATATATAAAACATTCCAGAAGATTCTCTCATCTCTTCCTATCAATACTGCACCCACTTCTCCCTGCAATAAATAAATAAATAAATACTACACCCACCACAGATGTAACCAGTATTCTAACTTACAATATTGAGTTGTGTCCATTCTTGATCTTCATGTAATGAAATCATAGGGTATATATTCTCTTTTACCTCTGGCTTCTTTTGCTCACCATTATATCTGGGTGATTTAATCCACAGTGTTGCACGTATCAGTAGTTTATTATTTTTCATTGGTAAATAGTATTTTCTTGTATGAATATACCATAATTTATTTCTTTACCCTCTCATTGATAGACATATGGAGTGTTTCCTATTTAGGACTATTATGAGTAAATCTTCTTGGACATTCTTTTACATGTCTTTTGGGTGAACATATACACTAGATTTTCTTAGCTGGGTCATAGAATAGGAATATTTTTAGTTTAATCAGAAACTGGCCCACAAGGTGGCTCAGGCCTATAATCCCAGCACTTTGGGAGGCCTAGGTGGGCAGATCACTTGAGGCCAGGAGTTCGAGACCAGCTTGGCCAACATGGCAAAACCCCATCTCTACTAAAAATATAAAAATTAGCGGGTGTGGTGGCACATGCCTGTAATCCCAGCTACTCGGGAGGCTGGGGCAGGAGAATCGCTTGAATGCAGAAGGCAGAGGTTGCAGTGAGCTGAGACTGCACCGCTGCACCCCAGCCTGGGCGAGACAGCCAGTCTCCCTCTCAAAAATAAAAATAAAAAAGAAAGAAATTGGCAGGATTCCAGCATTCTAAGGTGTCAGCCATGTATGAGAGCTCCAGTTGCTCCATATCCTCATCAAAATTTAGTCTTTCTTATTTTAGCCTCTCTGGTGAGTGTGTAGTGATACCTCATCGTGCTTTTAACCTGAATTTTCCTGATGAGTAATGATATTGAACAACTTTTCATGTTGTTACGGATCATTTGGATTCCTCTTTTGTGAATGCCTGTTTGAGTCTGCTGTCTTTGCAAAATTTTGTCCTCTATTATTGACTTGTAAGAGTTCTTTATATAGTCTAGGTATGAGTCCTCTGTGTGTGTGTGTGTGTGTGTGTATTCACGAAGTGCCTTTTTATTCCTTTAATGGTGCCTTCCATAAGCAGAAATTCTTAAATTTAACAAAGTCAAATTTATCCATTCTTTTTATTATAGTTGGAGCTTTTTTTCTATATGTATTAGAAAGCCACAAGACACAGCTATTAATATTGCTTTAAACAGTCAGTATTCTATCCAGGCATTCATACATTTGCTCCATCTGGTCTCTTTGTTCTATTCTGTGGGTACTTGTTTCCATCTGGGATTGACTTCCTGCAGCCTGGAGAGCTGCTTTAGTATTTCTTGTAGTGCAGACCTGCTGGTGGTGAGGAATTTCCTGAGCTTTTGTAGGTGCGAAAATACCTTTATTTTGCTACCATTTTTGAAAAATACTTTTATTGGAGACAGAATTGTAGGTGAGCAGATTCTTGGGTTTTGGTGTTTGGTTGGTTGTTTGGGGTTTGGGATTTTCATTTTTTAGCACTTTAAATATGTCATTCTGTTGTTTTATGTCTTTCATAATTTCTAAGCAGCACTCTTCACTCTCTGAAATTTTAGTTCTTCTTTTGCTTCCATGGCTCTCCAGTGCCTTCGAAAATACGATCCTTGTAATCTTGCTGTTGCAATGAAAACAATAGGCTTTCACTAACTGCCACAACCTACTCAGAAATTGAAAACAAGCTTTAATTTGGGGCGGTTTCGAGCTAGGATATTTGCTTCCCTTCCTTCTTCTCTCCTTCCTTCCTTCTTTGTTTTGACTTTGATATACTCATTTATTTTTAATCAACTTTTTGAGGTGTAATTTACATATAACCAAATGCACACATTTTAAGTCTACAGTTCAATGAGATTTGACGATTGTATGCACCCACGTAACCACCATCCTAATCAAGATATAGAGCATTTTTATAGTCCCCAAAAGACCTCTCATACCCATTTGAAGTCAATCCCCTCCTCCTACCCTAAAACCCAGGCAACTCCTCATCTATACTCTATCACTATAAGTTAATTTCTTTTTTTCTGTTTTCTAATTTCCTATAAATTGAATCACATAGTATATGCTCTTCTGTGTCTAGCTTCTTTCATCCAACATGTTTTTGAGACTCATCATGTTGTTGGACATATCAGTGGCCTGCTCTCTTTTATTACTGAATATGAATATAACAGAGTTTATCCATTCACCTGTTGATGCACAGTTGGGTCAGTTCCAGTTTTTCTTTTAAAAGTCTGAGAAGATAAAAGTAATTTGCCGGTGCATCTTATAATTGATGCCCACACTGGTAACAGAGCACAGACTCCGCTGGGAACAGAGCACAGAGGAGATCCACGGGGCGATCTCCCTTTGGACAACCGCAAGCATGATGAGTGTTGCAGAAAGGCAAGCACAGGCTGTCACAGGAGCAAACAGCAGGAAGACCTTGTTTTGTCCAGGGATTCAGGAAAAGCTCCCTGAAAAAGCATTTGAGATGAGAGCCAAGGATGACTGGGAGTGAATGATGTGAAGATGGAGACAGGCTCTGAGGTGTATAGAAAACTCAGTGGACATGGAAGGCAGTTGGAAATTAGTACATCACCGAGCATCTACACAGTGAGGCAGATGTTGTGATAGACACTTCTTAAAAATATTGTTCCATTTAATCCTCAGAACACCTGTGAGAAGTATACTAAGCTCCATTTTATGAACGATGAATCAGATTCAAGGAAATGAGATAACGTGTCCCAGGTGACAGCATTAGTGGTCATAGCAGGATTCGAACCCAGCTCTATCTGGCCTCAAAACTCATGCTTCCTCCCTGTCCTGAGACGAGCCCTGGTTAGACTGATTGCAAAGGAGATGGAACAAAAGGGACAGATTCAAGAAGGATCAACATGTTCCTGGCAGTAATGAACACTAAAAAAAAGTTCTATTTATTGAATGAATAAATATCCAAGGAAAGGAAATCCTTTAGCATATTGTCTGTGTTTCCTCGTTTGTATTTAGTTCATTGTTTAAATTAAAAATAAAGACACTGATGACTGACAAATTTATTAAATCCTATGCAGTCTACCTGGAAATTGTCACATTATACAAATGTCAACTTTTGTGTGTGTGTGTGTGTTTTGTTTTGTTTTGCGGTCAGAGGCAAGGGCTAAAAGAAAGCAAGATCAGAGAAATACCAAGAGGTGTTTACTGACTAAAGGGCAAAGGGATCTATCAGTTAACCAAAGCAAGATAAATAGAACTGCCAATTAACTTTATATTCTCAGAAGCAGTGAGCAAAGAACGCTGCCTGAACAATGAAAGTGTTGCTGCAAGCTTTCATATTTGCTGTTGTCTGCATGTAATTTGTTTCCTTTTACATAGAAATATGTGGTATTAACAGAGGAATGTGATTAGAATACCAGCGGAAGCTCTCTTTGATAGGAGACACACAGGCAGGTGCCTAACAGCCTATGGAGATCAGGACAGTTTCTCTCCAGTAAACTCACAAATTGTGGGGACCATGATCTGCTTAATAAGTAAAAGGGCAATGGGGCCAAGATTACAATGTTGAAAACATCCAGGCTTCCCACCTGGAGTCCTGGCCTCACAGTAATAATAAGAATAAAGATGTATTGAGATATATCTAGACCTAACTATATAAATAGACAGATAGATATACACACATACACACACTGTGCTAAGATGCTTCACATGAACTCCCTCATTTCACCCTCAAACAACCACAGGGTAGATGGTTTATCACCGTTTTAGAGATAAGAAAACTCCAGTTAGTACGTCACTGAAGATCTACACAGTGACGTAGATGTTGTGATAGACATTTCTTAAAAATATTCCAATTAATCCTCAGAACACCTGTGAGAAGTATACTAAATATACTAAGCTCCATTTTATGAATGAGGAATCAGAGTCAAGGAGACGAGATAACATGTCCCAGGTGACGGTATTAACGGTCATAGCAGGATTTGAGCCCAGCTCTGTCTGTCTTCAAAACTCATGTTTAGGAGACTCTTCTGCTTTCCACCAAAGCCCTTGATTTGAACCTTTGCTCTCTCCTGAATCCACACTTCTCCTGAAGGAGGAGCAAGGTGGAGATGGGATAGGGCACAGGATGGCTGACTCTCTGACTGGAGGGCCTAAGAAACCCCACTTTGACACACACACAGAAAACTGTGCCCTGGGTGGGGGTGTGGGGCTTCATGAGAAAATCAAGTAGCAAGAGAGAGTCTTAACATGCTTAGATGGCATGTGCCTGTTCTCCTGATTTAATGGATGAGAAAACTGAGATCCAGGGCAAGGGCAGTGAGATAGTGAGGGTCTCTTAGAATGAGTACAGCCTTCAGGGACCCACCCCATGTACCCGTGGGATCAAGACGAGCCAGAGGATACCTCCTAAGTAAGAACAGAAGGAACAGAAAACCCTTAGGGTTTGTTGTTGTTGTTGTGACAGAATCTCGCTCTGTTGCCCAGGCTGGAGAGCAGTGGCACAGTCTCGGCTCACTGCAACTTCTGCCTCCCAGGTTCAAGCGATTCTCCTGCCTCACCCTCCCGAGTAGCTGGGATTACAGGCACCCGCCACCATGCCTGGCTAATTTTTGTATTTTTAATACAGACGAGGTTTCACCATGTTGGCCAGGCTGGTCTCAAACTCCTGACCTCAAGTGATCCACCCACCCCGGCCTCCCAAAGTGCTGGGATTACAGGCGTGAGCCACCGCACCTGGCCTGAAAACACGTATCATACTTGCTATGTGCCAGACACAATTCTAACCACTTTTCCACAGATTAACTCAGCCTTCAAACAATCCTAAAAAGTAGGTATGATTATTTCCTGCATTTTACAGCCAAAGAAACTGAAGCACAGAGAGATTAAGAGGACTTGTGCAAGGTCATGGAGGGCTATAGTCCTACCCTCTGAAGTAAGTTAAACCCTCTCCAGAAAAAGCCCTCGAGTCTCCTTTTCTTGTTCCTTCAAAGTCACTCATAGCTTTCCTTCCCTACATGATAATTCCACCGCCTATATCCTCCAAGTCCCCCAAACTCTGCATTTGAAATATTATGGGATCTTCACATATTTATTTAAAAGTATAGAATAAGATATCTATTTTAGTGTTTGTGTGCCTGAGTTATGGAGGTCTGAGTCCCAGGTTTGCCCTTAGCTGTGACCTTGGGAAAGCTTAGTACAATGTAGAGGTCAACATGACAGCTCTGCCCAAAAGTCCGTGAAGTGACAAACAGATAAACAAGATATAGCCTATCCATACAGTGGAATATTATTCAGTCATGAGAAGGAATGAAATACTAATGCAACCTGCAACATGGAAGAACCTTGAAAACGTTATGCAAAATGAAAGAAGCTGGTCACAAAAGGATGCATATGACATGATCCATTTTTATGAAAGTACAAACCAGGGAAATCTATAGAGACAGAAGGTAAATTTGGGGTTTCCAGGGGCTCAGAAGCCTGGGAGGATAATGGGGTAATATATAAAGGGGTTTTTTTTTTTTGAGCTGATGAAAAGTTTCCAGAATTGATCATGGTGATGGTTGCACATATCTGTGAGTCTCTTAAAAACTTTTGAACTGTACACTTTAAATGGGTGAATTGTATTGTGTGTGAATTATATGTCAATAAATCTGTTTTTCTGAAGAAAAAAAGAAGAACAAGAAGAAGGAGGAGGGGGAGGAGGAGGGAAGGGGGAGGAGGAGAAGGAAAGAAGGAAGAAGGAAGAAGAGAGGAGAAGAAAAGAAGGAGGAGGAGGAAGGGGAGGAGGAGAAAAAGGAGGGGGAAGGGCAGGAGGAGGAGGGGGAGGAAGAGGAGGAGGAGGAGGGGGAGGAGAAGATAGAAAAGAAGAAGACGGCTCTGATGAAAGAATTCCTGGGTTCAAGCCATAGAGCTGCCATTTTATAGCTGTACAACCTTGAGCTACTGGCCCAAACCTCATTTTTCTTGTCTAATAAATATTAGCTGAGAATGATAGTAAATGATATTAAAATGTTTAGCAATCAGTATGGCTAGGACACCGGACCCGCCATTAACTCTTTTGTGGCTGGATCATGTGAAAGTCCAAGGAGCTTGCTGGAGAGGGACTGGAGTGGTCAGGGGAACACAGGGCGGTACTCTCGGCCTCACAATAAAGAATTACGCCTTCCGACTTCTGAGCTGAGAATTTGCAACCATGGGGGAAACCATCTGAAATTGGGTTTGTCATCAGCAGCTTCTAAAGGTTGTACCAGTGGCCTCAACTTTCAAATACATGCCCTTTTGCCCTCAGCACCATTTTGCAGTGCAGCTATTTCCATGTAATTAACACAGGTTCATGAATGTGCCCACCTTGGGTTTCCATGACAATCCCTGCTCGTAATTAACGTGGCCCGGTTGCATCTCTGTGCTTCGGTTCAGGCCAACCTCCACTTAGTCGCCACTTTATCTGTAATACCCCAAATTTAATTGGTGCTAATTATTTCTCTTTCTATGCTGGTGATAACCTGATCGTTTCGTAGTTCTTTTTCCCCTTTCCTCTTGTTTTTCTGAACTAACGTCTAGAGAGGATGAAGAAAGAGGAATGGGTGGGGACAGACAATGCCTATTCTCTTTGGTGACAGAGGAAGAATTGTGGAAAGATAAGAGTCTCAATATCCAACCACACAGTGAGGTCTCAGCTGGTAGAACTCAAGGCTGCAGAACTAGGGATACAGGAGGTAAAAGCAGGCAGGCAGGTTGGTACAAGAGAAGAAAATAACACAAGCATGACCTTATACGAGGCCTTCCTTTCCTGTGCTGGAGGAATGAATGCTAAATCCAGGCCTGAGAAGTAGCCATATTTGGAGAGAAAGACGCTCGCAATGTAGGTTTTAAAAAGATTTACAAGGCACAAAGCACCAAGCTCATCTCCAAGGAAGTCTCCCCTTTCAGCCCAGAAAAGGGTGAACACTGCAAGTGGAGAGCTGACAAACAGCATTCCTGGGGGATGGGGGAAGCTTTCTAGTTTTATTGGGTTAGAAAAAACACTTGTATTGCATTAAATTTCTTAAATCTGCAGAGTGCCAGAGATTCAGAGGGCTGCAGAACTTTAAAGCCCACTGAATCCTTGAAAGCTAATGTAAGCTCCCTGGAAATCATCTTGCCAGAGAAACACTGATGCATAGTGGTTAAGAATATGGACTTGCTCACTAGCTGTGCAGCCATAGGCAAGTTACTTTGCCTCTCTGAGCCCCACAGTCTCCATCTACAAATGGAGAAAATAATAATACTTAGCTCGTGGAGCTGTTGGGAGGATGTTAGGAGGATGTAATTAGCTCGTGGGGTTGTTAGGAGGTTAATGTGTTGAAGCAGCATCCCGTATGTTGTGTTTGTTAATTACTATTGCCTGCTGCCTCCCAGTACCTAGCACGGGGCCTGGCATGGAGCAGGTGCCAGTAAATGGTTGTTGAATGAATGAATGTGGTGAAATGGGGGTTCAGAGGCTTGCCAAGGGCATCAGTAAGTGCCTCAATTATTCAGAATTTTGCCTTTCAATC
Source organism: Homo sapiens (assembly GCF_000001405.40). NCBI lineage: Eukaryota > Metazoa > Chordata > Mammalia > Primates > Hominidae > Homo > Homo sapiens. The sequence goes on from NC_000012.12 coordinate 119,369,928, forward strand.
CACCACCTAAAATCAGGGATTTCAAATGTAAATGTCTTCAAGACCCAGGCAGGAAATACAAATGAGTAAATTCAGCTTGGGGATAAGGACGTATACCTCCCTATCAAACACAAGAAGAGACCAGGCCAGACCAGCTTTGAGGCCGCTTCAGGAAAGGTGGTCACTTAACGTGTTCCAACATGCCTGAACCTGTCCAACGCCTGATTCAGTCCCATAAGCCCAACCCTGCACTTAGACAATTCCAAACAACACAATCCATTTTAAAGTTCCATTTCTCTCCAACCCACAGAATCCATAATGAATTAAGGAAAGCATATCAAATATAATCATGCACTATTGTTAAGTTCTTGGCAAAGTTGCCAAATGTCAGGCAGACAGTGCGCCCCGTGGTGCATTCCACATCCGGGACTATGGCTTAAGTTGTCATGATAATGAATTGCCGTGCTCACTTAGGCTTGGGAATAGATCCAGAATATCATGTCGAGTTGAGAAAAGAAGTGCCTCGCAAAGGTGACACCTTATACCTCATTTGCAAGGCAACAATCCCAAACACACATCACAGGTATGGATGGATGAGAGAAGGTTATTTTCAACACAGCTCTTTAAAACTGTACTTGAGGGCCTGAAGTCTATGTGAAGGGGTCACGTGGATGGAGCAGTCCACTCCTCCCTGCTCATCTCAGGAACAGCTCTGACATCTCACCAACAACCTAGGCCTTGAAGGCTGAAATGCAGAAGTTCAGTAATAATTTAAGCCTGGAACTGGTGGGGGCATTCATCAAAAACACTTACTCTTCAACAGTTTGGTTTAGAATATGAGGCAGGCATAGTGGCTCATGCCTGTAATCTCAACACTTTGGGAAGCTGAGGCAGGATGATCACTTGAGCCCAGGAGTTTGAGACCAGCCTGGGCAACATAGTGAGACCCCATCTCTACAAAATATTTTCAAAAAACTTAGCCAGGTATAGTGGCACACCCCTGTAGTCCCAGGCACTTAAGAGGCTGAGGTGAGAGGATCCTTTGAGCCCAGGAGGTTGAGGCTGCAGTGAGCCATGACCATAGCACTGCACTCCAGCCTGGGTGACAAAGTGAGACACTGTCTCTATTTTAAAAAATAAAATAAAATAGTAGCTTTTTAATCACCCTGGGCCCTGGACCCTAATGCCTCAGCGATTGGATGGGTTGGTTCTCTCTACCTGATTCCATTTCTTGAGACAGCCTTGTGTTTCTTCATTAAACCACCATCACTGGGGACTTGATTCCTTCTATAGGAGAACAAGATCAGATCATGACATTGTGTCTCCATCAGCAAAATAGATACTTGAGATAATTAATAAAAAATGCAAGACACTGCCCCCACCCCAAGTGGTACCCATGTTCAATAGGAGAGAGGGGAGGAAGGGCTTAAAGCCAGAAAACTTCAGGGATTTTTCTCCAGAGCCCAAATCTCATAGTTCCCAACCTATTCCCAAGGCCTGGATAGAGCAGTGGCTCAATAAATAGTTGTGGAATGAATGAGTGAATGAATGAAATGAATGAGTGAATGAATGACTCGGTCTGCTTTGTGTCAGAAAAAAACAACTACCCTTATAGTCAGAGCTGGGTTAGAATCCCATGTCTACCGCTTAAAAGCCATCAAATCTTGGTCAAGACACTTCTCTTTTCTGAGCCTGAGGTTTTCCCATTGGTGGGATCTCAGAAGCGCTCCCAAGTTGCTGTTTCAATTTTCTAAAACAAACCACAGCATCCATCCAGTTCTCCAGGCAGCTGTGTTTCCTAACCCCAGAGTTGTTCATTTCTTTAGGAATAGGCTTTTCTCCGGGCTTCAAGAAACAAACCAGCTTGGAATTCTTCCTGCAGAGCCTGGCCAGGAATTCCCCTCCCTGGCTCTGGGAAGAGCCCATCCACTAGAGCCTACATCCATTATTAAAAGGGGCTTGTGCTGAGTCTCTGTGATGATGCCACCTAAGGACTCTCTCAATCTGGTGATCCCAGGTGGGAGGTGGCACTAGGACAGAGGTTAGAATGGCAGGTAAGCATGATCTTAGGCCGGACGCAGTGGCTCACCCCTGTAATCCCAGCACTTTGGGAGGCCAAGGCGGGTGGATCACTTGATGTCAGGAGTTTGAGACCAGCTGGCCCAACATGGTGAAACCCCATCTCTACTAAAAATACAAAAAAATTAGCCGGGTATGGTGGATCGTGCCTGAATTCCCAGCTACTCGGGAGGCTGAGGCAGGAGAATTGCTTAAGCCCAGGAGGCAGAGTTTGCAGTGAGCTGAGATCACACCACCGCACTCCAGCCTGGGTGACAGAGCAAGACTGTGTCTCAAAAATAAAAAATAAGAATGGCAGGTAAGCATGATCTTTAAGAGTTAGGCTAGCCTGGGCTTGAAGCTAGGCTTCTCTACTTAATGGCTGTGCCACTTTGCCTCTCTGAGCTCTCATCTGCAAAACTGGGGCATAATGTCAATCTTTCAAGAGACTGTGAGGTTTAGAGCTGATGTATAGAACCCTAGTAACTAGGAACCACCCTCCCATAGCGTGGCTTCCAGGGTCCCAGGGTAACATAAATCAAGACAGAGACAATCACTGGGCAAAATCTCAGAGATTTGATTGACACATAAAAATCCCCCACATTATGGAAGTCAGGCAGTGCCATAGTCCAAAGCTGCTTCTGGAAAATGCTTCAGTGTTCAGCCTCCACCTACGAATCCCCACTCAGAGAGATATCTCGGTGCTTGAGTCCCCCCGCCTTATCAGCAGGCATGACATAGATTTCACACAACACCTGGGCCCTAGAGATGGTTGCATAACCCACTAAACAAGCCACAATGCCTGGGCCTTAGAGGTTGCTACACACGCCATGGTGACATGCAGCGTAATTTTAAATGGACAGTCACTTTCACTCTTCCTTGTTTATGATGTGTTCATTTCAATAGTGCATTAGGAAAACTCTAACAAGGCGTTTCAAAAGCATAATGTCGTGGATATTATTGCTTAGGAGAGAACTAAAGTAGATACTTAAGGTTTTTTGTTTAACGTTACTGTAAAGAAAAATATTAATAGTAAAAGTGGCAGTGCATGAGTACCACAATAGATTATGATGATTGTAAGTGAAAGTTTGAATTTTGGAAAACGTGGAATCAGGAGGAGGGGGCAATGTCAGGTTTAAGCTGCAGAGTGGGTGGCGTCTCCTTTACAAAGTACTGAAATGCAGTCAAGCTGACTGACCTGGATCTAACCCTGGAGCAACTTCAACTTCCTGATGCTAAATGGGGAGCTCAGAATATAACTCCAATTCCCTTACAGTCATAAAATGCCTAGCACATAGCATTTACTCAATAAATAATCTGTGATTCTTTTGGTGGTGCTTAAGAGAACACTGATTGACCTAAAGAAAAGCTGGCTCCAATCACTCTAAACCCCACCGGCAGCTATGTGACTCTGAGCCAGTTACTTAACCTCTCTGAGCCTCAGTTTCCTCATTTGCAAATAGGGGTTTTCATCAGTCCAACCCTGCTTATCACAATTGAGGCACTGTCAATAGAAGCTTGCTGCCAAACCACTTACTACATGCCTCTGAGTGTAGGACCATGTCTGTCACCGTGGTGAGCAATTTCAGCAAAGAGGAGCAGCGTGGTGGACTTGAAACTGCACTGGTGAAAGTTTATGCTTTAGTTTTGCCACCAAAAATCTGTGCAAACTTAGGCAAGATACTTTCTCTCCGGGGTGGGGTGGGGGGGGGTCTCAGTTCCCTTATCTGTAAAATGAGATGGGGGGCGTCCCCCTTCATTTCCACAAGTTCTCATTAATGGAAGCTTGGCTTAGCCTCTTTTCTAGCCATCCAGATGTTTCTAAAATACACCACTTCTGACATGGCAGAGACCAAACATGTGGATGATTGACTACATTTTTCACGTTTCATTTGTTATCTAGACAGGCTTTAAGTACATGGATAATGAACCTGGAATTTCAAATGAACTTGAGCCAATTCCTTTCTCACTCTCTCTTTGAGGCAAGAAAGGTTTCTTTGAAGGAAATGAAGAGAACTTTATCTTTTTTTTTTTTTCTGCTCCTGACAGAACACCAGCTCTTGCCCAGGGGCTGAGTAGTAGGAAGCCAACTTGCCAGAGGGAGAAAACCTATGCTGAAGAGGCAGTTTTCTGTGCTGGTTAGGTACACAGACTTTGAAATTCCAAAAGCTCTGGGTTCTAATCCCAGCTCTGCCACTTAATGGCTGTTAGACTTTCATCTAGAGACTTAAGATCTGAGGGCCTTCTCGTCCTTAGATGGATAATAATACCTTTGTCACTGGGTTATTGTGAGGATTAAATAGATTAAAATATTAAATATAATGTATTACACCACTCATCCATGGCAGCCATGAAGAAATTACCTATAAGGGTCAATGCTATTACTCTCCTCCTTTTTAAAGATGAGAAAACTAAAGCACAGAGAAGTTAACTGACTTGCTCAACTTCAGAGGTAGTAAGTATGAAGCTAGGAAAGGAAACCTTATAGAAATAATAAAGACAAATACATAGATAGTTGCAATCTGGACGGGAAAGGGTATGATGAGAGATGCTATAGAGGGGTGGTGGTGTTCCTGGAAAGGGGTCTTGATCGAGACCCCAAGAGAGGATTCTTGGACCGCACATAAGAAAGAATACGGGGCAAGTCCATAGAGTAAAGTGAAACCAAGTTTATTAGAGAAGTAAAGAAACAAAAGAATGGCTACTCCATAGGCAGAGCAGTGGCATGGGCTGCTTAACTGAGTGTATTTATAGTTAGTTCTTGATTATATGCTAAACAAGGGGTGGGTTTTTCATGAGTTTTCTGGGAAAGGGGCAGGCAATTCCCAGAACTGAGGGTTCCTCCTCCTTTTAGACCATATAAGGGTCATTTCTGGTTGTTGCCTTGGCATTTGTAAACTGTCCTGGCGCTGGTGGGAGTGTCTTTTAGCATAATGCATTAAAATTATGAGCAGTGAGGACGACTAGAGGTTACTGTCATTGCCATCTTGGTTTTGGTGGGTTTTGGCTGGCTTCCTTACCGCATACTGTATTATCGGCAGGGTCTTTGTGACCCATATCTTGTGATACCAGTCCTGCCAACCGCCTATCTTTCTGTGACTAGGAATGCCTAGCCTCCTGGGAATGCAGCCCAGTTGGTCTCAGCCTCATTTTACCCAGTCCCTATTCAAAATAGAGTTGCTCTGTTTCCAGCGCCTCTGACAGTGGGGTTTAGGGACAACGTGTCTTAAGAATGTATCCATATGGACAGAAACTTTTGCCCCATTGATGTGCTGGTAAATGTTTAACAACCAGCTTTCTGGAAAAAACAAACAAGCAAGCAAAAAACCCTAATTTGCAATGTTTGTTTGCCAGTTTCCATGGTGTAAATATTCCCACTGTGGCCAATTTCAAGCTATCGATCACTGAACAAAGAATTGGGAAGCAGATGCATACAATCAGCTCTCATGCAATCACCCTCACCAGCTAGTACACCATTGCTTTCTCCGCACTGGACTTGAAAGATCCCCCTGAGCTGTCTTTGCTGGGCCACATCCCTCCACCCTACCTACTGACCCATCAGAGAATGTCCCCATACAAATAAAATGTGTCCATGAGCCCCTCCCCCCAACTGTCTCTCTATGAATAGCTCACTGATGGCTGTGTTTTACTTAATCAATCAAAATAATGGGGTGTGGAGTCAGGGACTGAGAGACCAGAGTCCTTCGTCCACCTAAACTGCTCCCTGTATATGACAAAGACAGTTTTCAGCAGAATGAACAGAAATAGAGCCGTGGAGGGAAGTGGCTTGGATGTCATGAAAATTTCATGTGTTTCTGATGCATGCAGGATGCAATGTGGGGAAGTGGGTGAGCCAGAAGGCCCTGGGGACAGTTTTCGAAATGAATCAAGTCCTCAGCTTCTTCCTGCAACAACCAGCCCCTCCCTTGAAGCTCTTAGTATAAAGTCTGACAAACGTGGAGCCACCTAATCAACTTGCCCGTTGTCTCTTTAAAAGACCTCCTCTCCTGACTTTCCTCTGGTGAAAAGAGCAGAGTGGTAATCAGACAGAAAGGTCACATTATACCAAGAAATGTGGCTGTTGGAAGAGAGCCCACACACCCACGCCCATCTGGATTTGTGTGTTGGACACGTTTTCTTCTTGTATTTCATTAATAACAAAGAAAGCATGGCCACCTTCAGAAAAACGCACTTGCTAATACCCCAGTGAAGCTTAGCCCACTCAATTGGAACAGCAGAGGCAACCCTCTCTGAGCTGAAGATTGGGGTTTGCCAAAAACTGCCTTACACTACAAGGCTCATCCTTGATCACTTTGATCCCTCCTGTCCTATCTTTCCAGGAATACCTGCAGGTCTCCAATTAACCAGAATGAAGAAACAGGGCCGAGGGCAGTGGCTCATGCCTGTAATCGCAGCACTTTGGGAAGCTGAGGCGGGCAGATCGCTTGAGTCCAGGAGTTTGAAACCAGCCTGGGAAACATGGTGAAACCCCGTCTCTACAAAAAATACAAAAATTTGTCAGGCATGGTGGCACGCACCTGTAGTCCCAGCTACTTGGGAAGCTGAGGTGGGAGGATCGCTTGAACCTAGGAAATGAAGCTTGCAGTGAGCCAGAATTGAGTCACAGCACTCCAGGCTGGGCAACAGAGTAAGACTTTGTCTCAAAAAAATAAAATAAAATAAAATAAAACTCAGGGGATGGTCCTAAGTACACAGTGGTAATCTCAGGATGCTGGCTTCGTCTGGTTCATTCCCAAACCTCCCTTAGGCTCCTATATCCTTTAAACAGTGTGCCCCTATATATTTCCAACAGAGTGGCTACTTTATAGGCAATGGTATAAGTAGTTGGGGCTGGGGTCATTTACCCATTTTGGAATATTGGGGGATGTTCTGTAGCTGCAGGGATTTAGGGCTAGAGAAAGGCCTTGTCTTTCTCTGGGCTGGATAGTATTTGCAAGCTTCCACTAGACAATGTGGATGGAGACTAAGCCCTCAATATTCCAACTCAGGCCAGACACAGTGGCTCACACCTGTAAACCCAGCACTTTGGGAGGCCAAGGTGGGCAGATTACTTGAGGCCAGGAGTTCGAGACCAGCCTGGCCAACATGGTGAAATCCCATCTCTACTAAAAATACAAAAATTAGCTGGGTGTGGTGGCACGTGCCTGTAATCCCAGCTACTTGGGAGGCTGAAGTATGGGAATCGCTTGAGCTTGGGAGGCGGAGGTTGCAGCAAGCTGAGATCGTGCAACTGCACTCCTGTCTGGGCGACAGAGCAACACTCCATCTCAAAAAAAAAAAAAAAAAAAAAAAAAGAAAAAGAAAGAAAGAAAAAATTCCAACCCAAGTCTCAAGAGACGGAGAAGTAAAATAAGAAATATCTTCCAATTGTTGTAAAGCCTTGTCTCTGTAACCACAAAAATCTGGTAAATTCAAATAATCAGTTCTGTTTTCTTTTTATTCTCAGTGTTTACATGCACAAGTAATAACATCACTACATTAACTCTGTAAACAGTTACAATATTATAAATAAGGTTAAAAGTATCATTCACCATCATCCCAAACCAGTTTTACTCCAGAAGTAACAACTGGTCACTATATAGTTATTAACTAAACTAACTAAATAGTTAATAACTAACAAAATAGTTACAAAACAGTTATTAACTATTTAGTGTGAGTCCTTCCATATTCCCACTTCTACGCACAACTAGCAAATGAAAAAATTTGGAATCAAATCCAGGAAAATTTGGTTTCAAAGTCTTTTCATTTTACCTCTACACATTTTTTTCTACACCAAATTTAACCGCTGTGTGAACACAGGCTCTTAAACCCTTTGCCAAGGAGCATAAGGAAGTGCTTGCGGTATGCCAGGCACAGACGTGGCATCGTTGTCTGGGGTAAATACTCGAGGTTTGCTGTCTCACGCCAGGGAAATCGAGGACGCAGACACACAAGAAATGAGTTTAAGAGCAGAGGTTTCATAGGCGAAAGAAAGAGAAAAGAGAATAGCTCTCTTTCTTGCAGAGAGAGAGGAGCTCCCAAGTGGGACTTCCAGCTCCATGGTGAAATGCACGGGGTTTTATAGAAAAGCTTGAGGAGGCGGTGTCTGATTCACATAGAGCCCGAGAGATCAGTCGGACCAGGTATGACGTTTGCATAGTATGCAAAGAAGCTGGCCATCCCACCCTAATCTCTTACTAGCAGATCGGTTCTCTACCTGGCGGGTGCCGTGTTGTCTGTTCCTTACTGTACACGTGGTTGACAAAGAAAAGGGAAGATGGAGCCACCATGTTGAACATGCCTGGCCCTCAGGTAGCCTTTTCCTATTGACACAGCTGCTGGCATTCACCCGTGCAAGCTTCTAGCTTGCCTTTCTATGTCTGCAGCTTGATTTTACAGGCTTCTCTTTGTTAGAAAGGAAATGATTTGGGGGCTGCCTTTTATTAAAAGGGAAACCTTACCAAGGACTCTCTTACCCTCACTATCTGCCTAAATAATTTCTTTCTAGCTCCTGTATCAGCACTAAACCAAGAACCTCAATTAATCTTTACAGCAACATCATGAGGGCCAGTGTAATTGGTTCCATTTTTGCAGGTCCACAGACTGAGGCTCAAGAAAATTAGGTAACTGGTCATAGAGCTAATAAGCATCAGGGATAGGATTGGAACCCAGGTCTGTCCATGCTCTTAACAAACATGGTGCCTGCCTCCCCAGACACAGCTGAAATTTGCTGTCCCTCCAACAGTTGTAAGTGGATTGGTGAAATTGTTTTTGTTTTTGTTTTTGCGAAGATCCTCAAGGCACAAGCCTATATAGTATCACAAGCAAAGCCCTATGCACAGGCCAAGATTGACACAGGCTTGTCAAGACAGCAGGCAGTGAGCCTGTTGGATATGTGCAGAGAGCCAGACCCATAGACGAATCTTCCCTCTGTACATGGTGGGTAAGCCACCCATCTAAGATGTTGATAACAATCAATGCTCAGCCCAGGGCCAACACATTCTGGTGGGTCTGGGACAAGAGGGCAAGGTCATCAGACGACAGCTTTATTCAGTAGTTCTCCACTCATTCTGGAAGCCCCCAGCTCGGCCTGGCTTGGTTTTACCAGGCAGAGGCCAATTCCAGCATTGAAGAGGAGAAGAAAAAAAGAAAACACTAGGAGCTCATGCCAGACCTTTGCTAGGAAGCTAAAAATAGTTGTTGCTGCGGAAGGCCACAGATCATGAAACACATATGCCAACATAATAACCGTGTATAAAATCACCCCATGTGGGGTGTCCTCCAAACCACTCACAATTAAGCTTAAGTGATGATATATAGAACATCATTTTCCAGGTGGAGGACACTCAAATGTTTTGTGGCCTGGACACCCAGGAGATGTTGAAAGGGCTAGACTGGACTGAAGCCAGGGCTTGCATCTGGAGCCATGGGCAGCCTTACTGCCATCCATGAAGTTGATTGGGTACCCACGAGGTCCACAACACTGTTCTGCACTTTGTTGGGTTACAGGAACAAAAAGGAAGCATGCCATGGCATGGCAGAGGTGGGTAAGCTTCTTATCTAATCCTCATAGCAACTCTGAAATAGACACTCTAATAATCATATAATGCCTGGCACATAATGGGTCTCAATGCAATGTTACTTAGACCCAGGGCTTTCTTGAAAGTATGTATGGTGAAATGTGCAAACAGATCAGATGAAGATTTAATTGCCATAGTCATACACAGTAATTCACCTGCAGATGGTAACTGATGTGTGGGAGATGCTAAATATGGAAAGGCGATGACTGGTTTGAACTGATTCAGGGAAGCTACTGGAGGTAGGGTAGCCCTTTGGCCATGACTTAAAAGTTAAGTAAGCAGAAGCCTCAACACCCTGCTTGGATATAAAGCAAAGCTACCATTGAGAATACCCAGCAGGCGAAATGCAGATGTTAATTAAATATAGATGTGCATATACATACAGATGTGTACAGTGGACAATTGAAGGTCAAGCCCAACTCAGTGGTTACTAAAGTGTTTGTGTGGGGGTGCAGGCAAGAAAGTATCTCAATGCCTCTATCTCTGAAATGGGCACAAATGGAATCAGATTGTGGAGCGGGACTGCAAGAAGTCTTCTAGTTCATCCCTCACACACACATTCTCTAAGAGATGGCCAAGTGTCTCAGAGGCTTTTTCAAGATTTTTCAGTATTAGATATAAATCCCTTGGAAGCAGTTTTGTTTTACATTCTTAAGAGGACAACCACAGTTGGGTGGGAACAGTCATGTGTGCTAGAAGCAGCTCATACTGAACCTATTGTATTCATCTCCTTCCAACTCTTGGTCGGAATTTGGTGATCTCATATTGGTAGAGTAAAATCAGCCATGATGGGAATATTTACACCATGGGAATTGGCAAACACTGTAAATCAGGGCCTTTCCTTCTCCCCTGGAGAGCAGATTGTTAAGCATTTGCCAGCGTTTGGTGGGAAATGAATATCAAGAAAGTATAGTGAGAACCTGACGTCGTAATATCTCAGAGTTGGAAGGGATTTTAGGTCTTCTCTTACCCAACCCCAGATTTGGTGCTAGAATTCTTCTCCCAGGAGTTTCTCTGAGGATGGGGCAGTTACTAACAGCAGATGGTGAAATGATTTTTCAGTGTTACATAGACATTAACATGAAATCGCATAGCAGAAAAGGTACTTGTTTTTAAATTCTCTTTTGTCCTTTTTTATTATGCAAAGGAGAAAGTCTCAATTTAGTGCTATTCAATTTTTAACACCTCTCTAAGGACTTGTTGCTCTTCCTTTTAACAGAAAGGGCAGGCCTCAGGCTCAGAGCCTTGTGAAGATTAGTGCCTAGCTGTAATTGAATAGCTTCTTTTGTTTTTATTGTATTTACTTTTATAGTTACTTTCTATTTGTGACATGCAGGAATGGCTTTCTTCTTACAGTGATAGTAGTAAGTTTACTTTTTATCACGTTTCTAAAATGAGCTCAATTAGAGACAAATATTAAGTAAATTATAATAAAATTAGTGTAGAGAGATGGCAAATATCCTGAAGGTGGTTTGTGAATGACCAACACGTCTGGAACACAGACGTACCCTAGATCAGGCAGACTTTGCCTGAATATGCCCAGTGACAGGGAGGTCACCACTCGGTAAGGCACTTCTGTTACGGTAATCAGTGAAACACTTCATTTGAATTAACAGGGACTTTTGTTTCTTCCTCCCCATGACCAGCACCATATTTAAATTAAGTGTATTTCCTACAATATTCTCTTATTGGGCCAAAACTACTCAGTCTGCAAGGTCTCCAGTTTCTATTCTTGGTTTGCCTTTGGCTCAATATCTCCATTAATTGTCATGGGCTTAGGGTCTTTATGATGAACTGAGCCATGATGACCTTTAAAGTCGAATTCTGTCCTTGGTGTGTCAACATTTCTCCAATTGAAGCTGTTCTCCCTATACAAGAGGAATTGGAGTCTGTGGTTGCCAAGCAAACGTGGCAGGATAATTTGTTTCTGTGCCTTAAATCTCTGGAATTACTGTCTCTAGCTCCCTATCTTTGTCCTTTGGAAAACCAGATCCTCAGTGTGATATCCTGATACTCAGACTCAGTGGTAGTAATCACTGCTCCCTACTGTGGCCTTCCTGTGCACCAGGCACCAAACTGACAGCTTCCCATGCATCCTCTCACTTACACCTCATGACAACCCCAGTGGCACCTGCTATTGCCACCCCATTCTAAGGACGAGGAAGCTGGAGCTCAGAGAGTCGAAGTCACTCAAGGTCTCCTGGCCAGCAAGCAGTGGAGTCTGGACTCTTAGATCTGTGGCCCCAAAGTCTCAGTGCTCCAAACTTATGAGAAGGATTTCTTATCTCAGACCCTAAGATCTACAATGGAAAGTTGAAGCAGGTGACATGGGGAGGTGCCTGTGCTACAACCAGAGACCCTTTAAGGAAAATTCTTGTTTTCTAAAGTCAGAAGAATGTGCAGTAAGTGAGCACAAAGCAGGCTGGCTCTTTGCAGGCATCTGACACCTTCTCATGACCTTCCTATCTTTATCGTTAGTGCTTGAGAGAGAGAGATAAGGCGGGGCAGGGGCAGAGCCAGGGAGAAACCCTACTTGACCCCATCCAGGCAAATGCATACCTCTCTTCTCCTTCCACAAACATGAAGCTGATTTTCATGTGCTTTAGCCACGAAACTTTTAGCCACAAAAACTCTTTCCCTTGTCAATGTTCAGTAATTAAAATTTTCTCAAAACCTGCAAATGAGCTTCACAGCAGTCTTTAGCGTTTTACCATGAGGCAGAGATATGTCTTCCAGGCCTTTTTTTGACATTAATCCATTCAGCAGACTTGGCCTGATGCTCGGCTGTGTGACAGCCAGCGCACTGGTCACTGTGGGTACAGGGAAGCACGATGAGCACCATTTCTGCCCTCTGTCTTCATCCCAATAAGTCCTGACACAGAAGGGGAACAGGGTACAAAAGTTCTGTGGGAGCACCTAACTGATGAAGGGGTGGAGGGAAAAGTATTCGTAACAGGGGGAAGAGCATCTGTGAAGGCCCTGAGTCATGAGACAGCAGGAGCTCAAGGAGGCCCAGTATGGCCTGTACTACTGGGCTGGCCCATCACAGGCATTCAGAACAGTGGGAATGAATGAATGAATGAATGAATGAATAAGCAGAGTGTAATGGGGCACACTGGGAGATGAGGATGGAGATACACACTTAGGCTGATTCATGAAGTCTTTGAAGTCTGTTATGAGGAATTTTGACCTTGAGCCTAACTGTGAGGGGAGGCCATGGACGCATTCTACACAATAGTGATGTGATTATGTTTCATGTTTCCCCAAACATGCCGGGCCACCAAGCTGTGACTATCTCACCACCCACCCATCCCAATACACTCAATGTGAATACAAAGCTTTACTTCTCTCCTTTGCTCCCAAAGAGATGAGGTGCTGAAAATGCAGCAGACCCAGGGTAATTGGAGATCTACTGATGGCGGAACCTCTTTGTGCTTGCCTGTTAGCCATGTTCTTGAAGCTGGTCTTGCAGGCATAACCCTGGGTGGCCACTGCACTGGAAATTAAATTAATTAAAGAAATTAAATAATTGATCAAAAGTCTGGAAGTGATTGGATGAATAGAGATTTAAATCCAGATCTGGGCTGGGATCAGTGGCCCACACCTATAATCCCAGCACTTTGGGAAGCCAAGGCGGGAGAATTACTTGAGCCCAGGAGTTCAAGACCAACCTGGGCAACAGTGAGATTCTATCTCTACAAAAATAAAATTAAAAATATATTATCCAGATCTGCTTTTGCTTCTATAGCATCTCTTTCTGGATGTTCTAGAGAAGTCTTCTCGCCCCACCCATATTTCCTATTTCAGAGACAGGAAGCTATACCGACCACATGGTCCCACCCTCCAGGCTACAGATGATTGGACCAAAGGGAAACACCTGATACAAGCTGAACCAATCAGATTTCCTTATCTGGAACTTGGACTTTAGACACTGAAAGACGGATCCAGATAGCCACAGAGTATGGAGATGAGGGCCCCATAAACTCTAGGGCCGCGACAGCTATGATGGGCTGTGTGCGAGAGCAGAAGGAGCCAGGATAGAGAAAGAATAAAGAAACGAGTGTGCAGAAAATAGCATATCTGAGCATTCATGCCTTTTGAGAGCTCAAGAGACACAGCAAGTAGCTGAGCTGTCCTGTCACTGGATACCATGAGATTTCCTACATTTTTAAAAACTTGAGCTGAATGAACCTGTTTCTTTCTGCCCACCACAGATACCTGAATAAAACGCAATCTAGACAACACAAGAGACCTTCAAGAGGGCATGTTCATGAGATGGGTGAGCGTGTTATAAGCTGATGAAAAGACTTGGGGTGTCCATGGGTTTCTTTGTAATATCTCTGCCTAGCCACTTTAAAGAGACAGACCTAGGCCGGGCGCGGTGGCTCACGCCTGTAATCCCAGCACTTTGAGAGGCCGAGGCGGGCGGATCACGAGGTCAGGAGATTGAGACCATCCTGGCTAACACGGTGAAACCCCATCTCTATTAAAAATACAAAAAATTAGCCGGGCGTGGTGGCGGGCGCCTATAGTTCCAACTACTTGGGAGGCTGAGGCAGGAGAATGGTTGTGACCCAGGAGGTGGAGCTTGCAGTGAGCTGACATCGTGCCACTACACTCCAGCCTAGGGGACAGAGCAAGACTCCATCTCAAAAAAAAAAAGAGAGAGAGAGAGACAGAGCTAAGATATTGTGCAGCCAAGGGAGAGTGAAGGCAGAAAGGTGTCAAAGCACAGGGCTGCAAAATGAAAGATGCTTCATTAGGGGTTTGGCATCTGCTTCTTAAGAAAAGAAGAGGAGCACAGCTCAGGCCTTCTTCCTCCCTGCAGCTTCACCACTAATAAAGGCAGCTGGGTGATGAGTTTCTGTATCTGGCAAATCTACTTCATTTTCCATCCCTCTGTCGACTGCAATGTAAGACAGCTCAAGAAGAAATTAATACTTGGAGTCAGTGTCAGCCCCACTGACAGCAGATCAAGGCTGAAAGACAAATTGCTCATCACAGTTCAGGGAGCCGGAGCTGGGAGAAGACAGACCTGCCATTCCCTGCGAGCTCCGGGCCGCTCCCACTGGTGGCTAACTTTACAAGGGACCCATCCTGGCTTCTGCCTACCTGTGAAGTCTGCAGAGAGCTGCAAGGGGCTGGTCCTGGGAGAGCAACTTGTTGGACATCCTTAGGGCCCCTTAATGACCCTGTGTTTGCAGCATGTCACCATGTCACTGGTATGACCAAGCCTAATGCCCTAGAAAAGCTATTTCTGGGCATCACCTGTCACCAGCTCATTCCAAGTCGTGGATTCTCAATTTTCTTTATGACACCTTGACCGCTTGGCCATGAAGGATATTGTGTTTTGTGGGTTGAGTTCTGCACAAGCTCCTGACCAAACATTGAGTGGGGGGGCTGATATCCAGCCCTTGCTTCACTGGCGAAACCATGTGCCCTGGCACGGGGCTGCATTCATTTGGAGAGAGGGTGGCTTTTTCTAATTTTTACAGAGGTGCTGCTTAGATTAATGAAGTCCTGGCAACATTGTGTTATAGAGCTATGGGCTTACTTGTTTATGGTCTGTGTCCCATAGGTAGAATATTGACTCCTTGAGGACAAGGACTGTGCTGGAAATATACCATTTGCCTCTCCAGAACCACTTGCCACCCTTCTCCTCCCTGCTCTGTGCCCCAGGAGAATGACAACTTAATGACCTCCCTTGCTCTCCAGCCTCCAGTTGGATTCAGCCAATAGAAAGCACTGCTGGGAGATCAAAGGTGATATGGTTTGGCTGTGTCCCCACCCACATCTCATCTTGAATTGTAGCTCCCATAATTCCCGTATGTGGTGGGAGGGACTTGATGGAAGATAATTGAATCATGGGGGCAGTTTCCCCCGTACTGTTATTGTGATAGTGAATAAGTCTCACGAGATCTGATGGTTTTATAAAGGGTTTCCCCCTTTCACTTGGCTCGCATTCTTTCTTGCCTGCTGCCACGTAAGACGTGCCTTTTGCCTTCCATCATGATTGTGAGGCCCAGCCATGTGGAACTATGAGTCCATTAAACCTCTTTTTTAAAAAATAAATTACCTAGTTTCAGGTATGTCTTTATAAATAGCCTGAAAACAGACTAATACAAAAGGGCAGGGAGATAGAAAGGTTGGAGTCTCTGTTCCCAGTCTCATTTTTGCTACATGGACTTGGTTGTTTGTGATTCTCTGGTCCTGGCTCCTGTCACACGGCCTCTCCCTACCACTAACCTCTTCACTGCCAGTCGCTGCTCCCCCTCCGTGCCCCTTCAGGGTGGTAACAGCTCCCTGCTGTTGCTAGCCCCAGGGGACTGCACCATCCCTTGTAGGGGGATCTATGCAAACAGTCTGTGCAAATAGTCCCTTTATTCAACTCCTCCTCCAATTCCCAGTTTGAGTGCACCATCTCTTTCCTACTCAGAGCCCAGTTAAGATATAGAGATGTTGCTTGGTTCATTGCTGTGTCCCCAGCTCCTAGAAGAATTTCCAGCACAGAACAACCACTAACCATTCAACCATTTATTTGTTGAATGAATAAATTATGATCCCTGAAGGCGGCAAGCCTTGGTTTTTTGTTGTTTTGTTAAGGACTCACTGGCATCCTCTTTATTCAGCCTTGCAGCTCGGCTGTTGGAAATCACTCATGAAGACCATTCCTCCCACCTCATCTGTCCATGTTCAGCAGTCCTCAAACCTCCCTGTTCTCATTTATTTCAGACAACAATTAGACCCTATTGGAAAAATTTTTCTTCTGCTCTTGCCCTGGGTAGGTTGCAGGGGTGGAGGGAAAAATAAGTGATACCCTTAGAGAAGCATCATTTTTGATTTCTGAAAACCAATATTTTTCCTGCCATTCTTCTTTTCTTTACACCCATTTGTCAGACTCAGTCTCCTAAATTAGTGCTAGAGGGTGCTTGCTGACCAGGGTAATTCCACTCTAAGAAAAAAAAAAAAAAGCAACCAGTAACAGTGAGCTGTTTAGTCTGGGGAGCCATGGTGCGGTCGCACCAAAGGTGCACATCTTTAGGAGTAGCCGTCTGAGGGCTGCTGGGCATAATGACCAGGTGGCAGCATTCCAGCCTTGGAAAATGTGTAGTATTTTCTCTCCAGGGTTTTGCAGAAATGACACTGTCAGAGAAAACAATGATTTAATGGCCACATGACAGGAGCCTTAAGACTAATGGTACCCAACTCAGAAAAATGTAGGAGACAACTGGAAGGCAATTACGAAACAGTCCGTGCCTACAACTCAGTCATTACCAACCGAGCATTGCGAGGAAGCCTCTCTCCTTTGGAAGGTCAAATTCTTATGGTTCCAAGTGATTAGGAGCAGAGCCGGTGCTGGAAAACACAGGGTGGATATTTCTATGGAGAATTCTCCAGAATTGTGTACATCACACAGAGTACTCCATCCTCCTCCCCTCTTCCCCCTCAACTCTCTCTCTCTCTCTCCCTCCCTCCCCCTCTGTCTCTCTCACACACACACACACACACACACACACACACACACACACACTCTCCAATTAAAATGTTTCAGCTCTTCCACTTTCCAAACCCAGTCCTCACAAAGCTTTGTTTACGCAGGCTAGGCAAAGTGACATTGCCTACTTGACAAGTAGCTTTTGATTAAAAACACTGAACTCTGCCCGAGTAATTGTGCCACACACATGAAAATCATTTGAGGATCTGAAGAGAAGTTCCTCTTTGCCCCCAGGAAACCTGAAATATTGTGTTTTTCTAAACAACAACAACAACAAAAAAAACCTCTGTCTTGCACGGTTTGAACAAAACTTACATCTGTGCATTCTAGTATTTGCTAGATTTTTCTACAATGAGCATGTGGGCTATTTTCCAAACATTATCTTTTTATGACAAAGCCCTAAATTCACTCATTTGTGTTGCTAAAAGGACAAATGCCATACATAAAAAAGCACAAGTTTCTCTTAATTCTCACCCCCTGCCCATCTCCCAGCTCCAGAGGTAAATGCTTTTATGTATATGATGTGATTCCTCCCACCCCCTTTTTCTATAGGTATGAATGTATATATATATGAATCTTTACACATTTTATTTTAAGGATTATTTTGTTTTTCATAAATGGGATTATACCATATGTATTTATTTCACAACTTCTTAAAACTTAAATGTCTTAGAGATCTTGGAGATGTTGGGATCAGCACATAAAAATTTACCTAATTGCTTTTAACGGCTGCCTCAAATTCCATAGTGTTACTGAATCACAGTTTATTTCCCTAGGTCCCCTCTGACGCACATTTCAGGTTACTCTTAATGTCTCACGATTACATGCAATGCTATAATAAAATACTTGTACATTGCCTATTTGGACACATAAGGCCCCATTTCTATATGGGAGAGATAATTATATCAGTTAAGATACTTTTGGCTGCAAATAAAAGAAGATCCCAGTGGCTAAGCAATAAGGGTTTTATTTTCTCATGTTAAGGTGAACTCTGAAGGTTAGAGCAGCACAAAGGTGGTTAATTCATCGGCTCAATGTCATCATCCTGGAGCCAGGTGCTTTCTTTCCATCTTTCTGGTCTGCTTCTCTCAGAGAGTTGGGAATGCCTCCCCCAGAGATCACATGATGGCTGGAGATGTTCTAGGTGACATGTGCAGACATGCCTCTTCAGCAGTCCTTGGATCCCCTTGGCCAGGATTGAGCTGCAAACTCACACATACACCTGCCACTGGCAAGAGGAATGAGATGACCGTGACTGTCATGGACCAATTGTGATTCCTTCTCTTGTTCTTGGAGGAAGAAAGTGAGAGGAAACAGATTTTATTAATCAAATAAACCTCCAGAAAATTTGTACCAAATCACAGCCTACTTGAATATCCAAGTACCAGTTACTTCGCATCTTCATCCACCCTTTAATAAGGCATTTAAGTTTCTGCCAGTGTGATGGGCAAAGAGGACATGTTGTTGTTTTCTTGTACCTACCTGATTGTCAAGATTGAGGATCATCTATATATTCATTGTTTATTTATATTTTCTCTTTGGAGAATTACCTTATTTGTATTATTTGCCCTATTTTCTACTAGGTAGTTTGCTCTCTTTTCATTGATTTGCAAAGTTTCTATATGTACATCTTGGAAACACATATAATCAAGACATTTTAAAAGGTTCTTAAGAATAAACACTTAAATTATGTATCTTTGTTCTTACTTTGATTCTCAAGTGCTTCTATAACAGTTTGGGGAGCAGAAGAAAATCCATTTCGTGGAATAGGTTATGGTGACATGCTTTCTAAATGGTGTGCTTCAGAACAAAAGTTCCTAGACAGATGTTAAAATGCAACTGGAAAACACTGCACAAAATTTCCTACTTTTAGAGTATCACCATGTACAAACAGCATAGGGATCAGCTCTGTTTTGATCATGACCACTACCTTTCTTGTGATCTCATACCATCATTTGCCCTCTCTGAGTCTTACTTCACTCATTATAAAATAGTCCCCTTTCTTGGCTCTTCCCATGCTCATGCACATTCATGGCTTCCCACAGTAGCACCTGTGGCTCTCTGTCTGTGGTCTGGGGCAGTTCAGAAGGGACAAGAAAGGCAATGCCTTAAGGAGCATCCCTTTACCAATGGCAGACAAATGATAACACATAAGTACCTCAGTTGCCTTGCCTTCAGATGCAACAATTCTGAGACATCTTCTATATCAAGAGTCAACAAACTACAGTTCACCAGCCAAATCTGGCTGACCACTTGTTTTTATAAATAAAGTTATACTGGAACACAGCCACGCCCATTTCTTTACATATGGTCTATGGTTGCCTTCATACTACAAGGGCAGAGTTGTACAAGAGACTGTATACCCCCAAAAGCCTAGTATTTATGGTGTGGCCCTTTCTAGACAAGTTTGCTGACTCCAACTCTATATTATTCCCCTGTGGTGCCAGCAGGGTTGAGCCCCAAGTTGCCCACGGTGGTCACCTGCTTGCTCATTAACATACCTTCCTCTCCTTGTCCCACTCTCCTATGGGGGTTTCCCAGGATCACCTCCCAAATACACTACTTGTGCTCACAAAGCTGTAACATACTAGACAGGCTTAGAAAAGAAGCAAGTAGAGTGGGAAATGGCAGGGGATTGTCGATCATGGTAAGTCTGAGCCCCTGAGCCCCAGACCCAAGGCATCTTTAGGGTTAGCCCCCCTACCCACCTCCCATCACTTCCACAAATCACCACCAACACACAGGCATGCACACACACACACATACACAGAGCAAGCTTGCCATTCATTTGGGTAGTGGCTTTGCACACATTACCATTAGTGGCTGATGAATTGAAAACTAAATGGAAAATGCAAATGGAAGACAAAGATGACTTTCTCTTCTCTGCATCAGGAAGACACCCTGACTCCTGGTCAGTGTGTGGCCACATGAAAGAAGTAGACTTTCTCCAGAGGGAAATATGTCTGTTTAGTCTGTAATGATGCATATTTTCATACATAAAATAAATAGGTCATCAAATCTCTCTCCTAAGGGAGGAAGGGCTCCTAACATCTCACTATTACATGTAATGCTACCATAATGCCATTCTCAAATCGTAAAAGACAAGGCTTCAATATACCTCACATCTTCCCACCTCCAGGCATTTGCACAAGCCATTCCTGCCGCCCAGAACATTCCCTTAATAAACACACTTTTGTCCTTCTTTGGGTCTGTTTAGATACTACTTCCCAAAGACACCTTCCCTAATCCTCCCTGCAGGTGCTCCCTGTCAGTAAGCAGATCAGGGCCCTAAAACACTGTTTGTTGTGCTTACTAAATTTATCCTGGTACTTACTATAATAACTAAATAAATGTTTGTTTAATGTCTTTCTCTCCCACCATTCTATACATCACATCTCTCCTGTTTACAGTCACAGCCCCAGTGCCTGACATTTAGTGGATAATCAATATATTTTTTAAATAGATGAATCAGTGAATGGGTGAATGAATGAATGAATGGACAAATGAATGAATGTGGATGGACCCCTCAGAGAGTGGTCATTCTTTCAGTATAATGATGCCAAGATGAGTTCTTTGATGACCAGAGGAAGCTCTCTGCTTTTCAAATTCTAATCTGCAAGGAATCACTTGGAGATCCTTGTGGAAATGCAGATTTGAATTCAGCAGCTCGGAGTAGGGCTGAGACTTGCTTTTCTGACAAGCCCCCAGGTGACACAGATGCTTCTAGTTCCCGAGCCACACTTTGAGTAGCAAGGAGTTAGATGATCTTAAGCAAGAACAGTGGCAGGTGCATTTATTTTTAAAGAGCTCATTCCTTTTGCCCTCATTGACATTTATTTTTACAAAAGTTCTAAAAAGCAGCAGTGCTTCCAGGCGGGGCAGCCATGCCACTTGGCTTAATTTCCTGCTGTTTAACCTCAGGCCACCTAGTCAGACCTCAGTACACATTCAGGATTTTGTGTGATGCCATTTCTCATTTTAGGTTAGGTCTTAACCACATTCCTCAATGAAGCACCCAGTTCTGCATGACTTTACTTTTTATAAAATGTGAGGGGAGGATTTGAGGATGCTGAGATGAACCAAATTCAAGAAGCATCAGAAAATGGACTGTTACCCACACGTCTCTGTGGCTATTCTGAGCTCCTCTAAGCCACAGTAGGACCAGCAGCACCTACTGTCACCATTCATGCCAGTGTGACTTCTTTTTCCAAGTATGTGTCTATGTGTATGTGTGTGTGTGTCTTTTCTTAAAATGCCATCCACGTCTGGGTGCTTTCAGGACTTATAGAGGACATTCTGAGCTGCAGATCCTGAGGACTTCAACAATAATCATCAAATTGCTGAAGTACCAGACAATACCTTAATGTCTTAGGCATGGATATAATGTTAGAACTTGAGCTCTAGCCTCAGACTGATCTGGATTGGAGAGTCACCACCCATACCTCATAGCCATGTGCCTTTGGGCAAGTTACTTGGCCCTCTTGGGCCTCAGTTTCTGCCTCTGCACAATGACAGCAATAATAACCTCTACCGGAAAGGGTTGTTGTGAATGTCAAACAGAAAAGTGCATGTAATGTGCATGCTGCAGAGTAATGTGCATGTCATGTGATGCTGCGGTGTCTGGCACCTAGCAAATGAGAGCTATCGTTAGCGCTGTTATTACTGTTGTTGTTGGTACTCCTAGAGAAAGCTAAAAGAATTTTGTTGTGTAGGTTGACAGGGCTTTTCTGTATTAGGATTAGCAAAGGTCCAGTATCTTTTTCTTCCTTCTGAGCCCTGCAAAAATGCTTGGTCTGAAGTGGCCACCTTCTGGAAGCTTTCTGCAGTGGGGTCCCGCAGCATACCAGTGAGTTGTGTGGCACGTCTGAGTGCTCGAGACAGCTGTTCATTCTATTGCTTTGCTCCACTGTGCAATTGGGTGTGCAATATTGCAGAGGTCAGGAGCCAAAACCCAGGAGAGGGCTCTGGAAGTATTCAGCAATCTGTGATTACAAGACCAGCTAACTCAGGCCCCCCTCAATCATAAGTAACATAAACCCTTTCAGAGATCAAGAAAGGGTGATTTATTCTAGAGAAAGGGGTGTCCTGTGGAGTTCAGATGTAGGAGATGCTGTGAAACCTCCCAGTGTAGTGGTCCCAAGACCTAGGATATCACTGGTCTAGGATATCCATCACTTCATCTTCCCCAAAATCCACCCTCTGCAGCCCAGCAGACATGGAAGAAGGCAGCTACTCACAGAGACCCTGTTTCTCTGAGAACTGCCTCCTGTTGGACTGTAGCCAGCTTTGAACTAAGTGACACAGCTCCACTCTCTTCACCTCTGCTGTGAGGAGAAGTGGACACTTAACCCAAGCTAGGCCAATAAGTTTCTTCCTGAGAGTTTGGAATTATGGCTGAATTAGTCCTGGCTGGTTTTCTCATCTGTAAAATGGTGATAATAATAGTAACATTTACCTAGTAGAGTTGTGGTGGAGATCAAATGAGAGATGCCATGCCAAGTTCTTACCCAACGCAGGGTGCATAATAAGCACTCAATAAAATGACTGTTATGATCATGGTTATCCCCAATACCAAACACCACAGCATAAGGCCTAGCACAAAGTGGTGCTCAATAAATATTTACGGGATGAATGAATCAATCAATCAGGGAATGCCATAGGCTGCAGTCAGCCATGCTAGTTGATGCTCAGCCATGGCAATGTATGAACCACATGTTTGTACAAAACCTCTTTCTGGAGAACAGAGGACTTTGCCTCCTAAACGAAACCAGGTTGAACATCCTGACCCTGGGTCTCGTGTTTGTGAGGTGCAAGTACTATATAACAGTTTTGTGGCCAGGTGCAGTGGCTTACACCTGTAATCCCAGCACTTTGGGAAGCCAAAGCAGGAGGACTGCTTGAGACAAGGAGTTTGAGACCACCCTGGGCAACACGGCAAGAATCCATCACTACAAAAATACAAAAAATTAAAAATATCAGACAGTCATGGTGGCACACGCCTATGGTCCCAGTTACTTAGCAGGCTGAGGTGACAGAATCACTTGAGCCCATGAGATTGAGGCTGCAGTGAGTTGTAATTGCACCACTGCACTCCAGCCTGGGTGACAGAGCAAGATCCTGTCACAAAAAAGAAAGAATTCTGAGGGTTGCCAGGTACTCACCATACATTTTACGGCTCATTAAATCTCTAATTAGACAAACTCAATCGTGTGTTTTTGTTAAAATGAGATTTGGGCCATTTCAAAGATTTCATCGTGCAGGAAATATGGTTTAAGTTTTCCTTGGAAAGGGAGGAGGGGGAAAATGCATTTCACAATAGCATCCAAGAGTTCCAAAGCGTATTTCTGATTTTATACTTCCTGCAGTCATTCTCTCTTTCACAAATGATTCCTTGTTTTGCTTTCGCTGCTCCCGAATTGTATTTATTTTGTCTGCATCTCCACCTACGCCCTAGGCTCAAAAATGCACATCCTGGAGATTTGTACCTGCATTAAACAGGGAGCATGTTTATATTTTTAAAATGTAGCTGCAGTAAACAACTTTTGAAATGTACATGGAATAAATGCAGACAAACATGCTTAATCAACTCGCCCTTGGAGAGCAAGACACAGGGAAAGCTTTGCAAATGAAATTTTCTCCCAGTGGTTTAGAAAAGAGCCTTCAAAGTGGCAACTCGTGCCCACACCTGGACAGGCTTCAAGAGGAAAGAAATATCAGTCTGGAGCTTCCTGCTTTTGTGTGACGTTTTCAGTGAAGGGATAGAGCAAGGAAATAAGGATTCATTTAATAAATGACACAAGGTCAGATGACCTCTTCTGGTGCAACAGGGCTACAATGAAGCCATCAGACTTTAACCAGCACCTTCAGGAAGTGAGCACGTACACACGCCATGTTTGGTGTTGTAAAACAGTGTTTAACAGCCCTGATCATCTTGAGCTTAAGCATTTTAGAGTCTCAAGATGCTGGAACTATGACAGGCCCTTAATAGGCCCCCAGAAAATATTTGTGGAACTAATAATCATCATGCTAGATAAAAAATGACAGATTCCATTTACCAATAGCTTGCTACATGCCAGGCATTCTGTGTTCACTAAGTTTAATTGTTACAACTGTACCGCAAAGCAAGTATTGTTATAAGCACCTTCACCATGGTAGAAATGAGAACACAGAGGCTCAGAGAAGATAAAGGACTTGTCCAAGGTCACTCCACTGGGAAGCAGAAGCTTGAGGATTTGAAACCTATGTCTGTCTGATACTAAAATCCGCATTATTGTCTCTTGTCTCCCCAACGTCTCTCCTTTTTCTTCTTAAAAGCATTTTCCCTAGTTCCTTCTGCCTGTTACAAAGGAAACGGGGTAATTTCATGCTTCAAGAGATCTACATGCTTAGCGTCCACCCACCATGTGGTAGTCCAGGCAAGGACATACTCCGTGCCTCTGGCAAAGCCCAAGGAGACCTCTCACTGCCCCCCAGGCATCCCCTAAAAGCACAGTTGCACTTTCTAGTTACTCCCAGAATGAATACCCCCATGGATGCACAGAAAACAGTAATTCTCATGGGTGACCAAGGCATGGCATGCACGACCATATGGGCAACTGGTCTCCCCAAGACTGAATGGGAAAATTGAATATCTTTGTCCTTCATGTCCTTTTTTGTCCTTGCCACCTTCCAGCTGTTGCATCTCCTGTTAAATAACGTCACTTTCCTCCAACTTTCATTTAGTCAAGCAACAAACACTCACTGATCCCTTACAAGGTCAGCTCTGATCTCAGGATCAGATCCCTACCTGAATAGGGGCAGATGCATAAAACAAGTAACTTTAGTGCATGAGCTCAGTGTTCCAAGAAAAGAGACTTGATCAATATGCTCTGGAAACACAGAGAAGCATGACTAACTCAGCCAGTGGAGGGAGAATTGAAGAAGGGGGTGCTTACGAAGGCTTCATAATGGTGAGGATACTTAAGTTGGGTCTTGAAGGATGAGTAGTTTTCCAAGTGAGAGAAGAGAGAAACAGCATTGCCTACAGAAGGTATAATGTGTTTCCAGGAGTTCAGCGTGTTTCAGAAGTACTCAGAGTGGCTGCAGAAAAGAGTGTATCTGGGCAGAGGTGCAACCAACAGATGAAAAGTCATGAATGACTCTATAGAACACCCTGAAGAATTGAGGCTTTCCTTTGTGATCCATGGAAGCCACTGAAGGGTCTTGAGCAAGAGCATGTGTATTAGTGCATTATTGCACCACTATAAAGAAATACCTGAGACTGGGTAATTTACAAAGAAAGGTGGTTTACCTGGCTCACAGTTCCACAGGCTGTACAGGAAGCATGATGCTGGCTTCTGGGGAGGCCTCAGGAAACTTATAACCATGGCAGAAGGCAAAGGGGAAGCAGACCCGTCTTACCAAATGGGGAAGAGAGAGAAAGAGTGGAAGTGCCACACACTTTTAAAAGACCAGATCTTGTGGTAACTCACTATCATGAGAACGGCACCAGAGGGGAAATCCACCCTCATGAACCAATCACCTCCCACTAGGACCCAACAACATTGAGGATTACAATTTGACATGAAATTTGGGCAGGGACAAAGACCCAAACCATATCAGCACGGTAATGAGTTTCACTCTATAGAAAGATGGTACATTAGTTTTTAGGGCTGCCATAACCAATGATCACAAATGGGTGGCTCAAAACAGCAGACATTTATTCTCTCCCAGCTCAGGAGGTGAGAAGTCCAAAACCAAGATGTCAGCAGGGTTAGTTTCTTCTGGAAGCTCTCATGTTCCATGTCTCTCTCCCAGCTTCTGGTGGCTCCTGCAATCCTTGGTGTTTGTTGGCTTGTAGCCTCATCACTCCAGTCTCCACTTCCATCTTCACATGGCATTCTCCTCCATCATGCATCCTTTTCTTTCTTTTTTTTTTAGATGGAGTCTCGCTCTGTTGCCCAGGCTGAAGTGCAGTGGCTTGATCTCAACTCACTGCAACCTCTGCCTCCCGGGTTCAAGCGATTCCTCTCCCTCAGCCTCCCAAGTAGCTGGGATTACAGGCGCCCACCACCTCGCCTGGCTAATTTTTGTATTTTTAGTAGAGACTGAGTCTCACCATGTTGGCCAGGCTGGTGTCGAACTCCTGACCTCAAGTGATTCCCCCGCCTCAGCCTCCTAAAATGCTGGGACTACAAGCGTGAGCCACCAAACCTGGCCTTATCCTCTCCTTTTCTTATAAAGACACCAGCCATTGGACTTAGGGCCTAAGTTAGTATGACTTTATCTTGACTAATTACATCTGCAAAGGTAACATATAAGGTCCCATTCTGGGTGGATGTGAGTTTCAGAAGGACACTATTCAACCCACTCCAGATTGTATAGAGGTGAGAGTGGCAGTGGGAACCTAGGAGACCAGCCAGAAAGCCATCCCAAAAGAGGAGGAATGGGTCATGGATGCAGCAGTGGAACAGGGACCCACTATCACAACAAGGGCTTTGGTGTGGGCCCTTTCCCAGAAAGAAGGGGGTCATAATGACACAGTGAGTCCCATTGGAAGAGACCTCAAAGATCAAATTGGGCCAGACACAGGAGCCAATACCTGTAATCCCAGCACTTTGAGAGGCCAAGGCAGGAGGATCACTTGAGGTCAAGAGTTCAAGACCAGCCTAGACAATATAGCAAGACCCAGTCTCTACAAAAAAATTTAAATAATTAGACAAGTGTCTGGTGTGTGCCTGTGGTCCTAGCTACTCAAGATGCTGAGGCAGGAGGATCACTTGAGCCCAGCAGCTCCAGGCTGCAGTGAGCTGTGATAACACTGCATCCAGAATTGGTAGGTTCTTGGTCTCGCTGACTTCAAGAATGAAGTCACGGACCCTCGCAGTGGGTGTTACATTTCTTAAAGATGGTGTGTCCAGAGTTTGTTCCTTCAGATGTTCAGATGTGTCCAGAGTTTCTTCTTTCTAGTGGGTTCGTGGTCTCGCTGGCTTCAGGAGTGAAGCTGCAGACCTTCACAGTGCATTTTACAGCTCTTAAAGGCAGGGCATCTGGAGTTGTTCGTTCCTCCCCTCCAGAGTTGTTCATTTCTCCCTGTGAGTTCATGCTCTCGCTGGCTTCAGGAGTGAAGCTGCAGACCTTCATGGTGAGCATTACAGCTCATAAAGGTGTTGCAAACCCAAAGAGTGAGCAGCAGCAAGAGTTATTGCCAACAGCGAAAAAACAACACTTCCATGATCTGAAAAGGGACCTGAGCCGGTTGCCTCTACTGGCTCCAGCAGCCTGCTTTTATTCCCTTATCTGGCCCTACCCACACCCTGCTGATTGGCCCATTTTACAGAGAGCTGATTGGTCCGTTTTACAGAGAGCTGATTGGTCCATTTTGATAGAGTGCTGATTGGTGCGTTTACAATCCCTGAGTTAGACACAGAGTGCTGATTGGTGCATTTGCAATCCTCTAGCTAGACATAAAAGTTCTCCAAGTCCTCACCAGATTAGCTAGATACAGAGAGCTGATTGGTGCATCCATGAACCCCGAGCTAGACACAGAGTGCTGATTGTTGCATATACAATCTTCCAGCTAGACATAAAAGTTCTCCAAGTCCCCACTCAACTCAGGAGCCCAGCTGGCTTCGCCTGGTGGATCTTGCAAGTGGGGCAGGGGTGGAGTTGCCGGCCAGTCCCACCCCGCTGCCTGCACTCCTCAGCCCTTGGGCGGTCAATGGGACCGGGTACCACGGAGCAGGGGGCAGCGCCCGTCAGGGAGGCTGGGTGGGGCAGGGTGGGGAAGGGGGGAGGGAGGGGGGAGGGGGGGAGGGGGAGGGGGGGGGGGGGAGGGAGGGCAGAAAGTGGGGCAGGGAGGAAGGGGGTGGGGGAGGAAGGGGGCAGGGTGGGGAAGGAAGGGGGCGGGGAGGAAGGAAGGGGGCTGTGTGGGAGGGGGAGGAAGGGGGTGGCGTGGGGAGTGGGAGGAAGGGGCGGTGTGGGGGGATGGGAGGAAGGGGGCGGCGGGAGGGAGGAAGGGGCAGCGGGGGGGGAGGAAGGGGGTGGGGGGAGAGGAAGGGGCCGCGGGGGGAGGAAGGGGGCGGTGTGGGGGGAGGAAGGGGTGGCAGAGGGGAGGAGGAAGGCGGGGGGCTCAGGCATGGCGGGCTGCAGGTCCGAGCCCTGCCCTGTGGGGAGGTGGCTGAGGCCTGGCAAGAATTTGAGTGCGGTGCGGGCAGGCCGGCAGTGCTGGGGGACCCGGCGCAACCTCTGCAGCTCCTGGCCCAGATGCTAAGCGCATCACTGCCAGGCACCGGCACCGGCCAGCCGCTCCTAGTGCGTGGCCCTCCGAGCTTACGCCCACCCGGAACTCGTGCTGGCCTGGGAGCATGGCACGCAGACTCGGTTCCCACCCGTGCCTCTCCCTGCACGCCTCCCCGCAAGCAGAGGGAACCAGCTCCAGCCTCGGCCAGCCCTGAGAGGGGCTCCCACAGTGCAGCTCAGGCTGAAGGGCTCCTCAAGCGCGGCCAGAGTAGGCACCAAGGCCGAGGAGGCGCCAAGAGTGAGGGCTGCTAGCACCTTTGTCACCTCTCAGCACCACTGCTCTCTATCCTGGGCAGCAGAGCAAAACTCCATTCCTTTAAAAAAATCAAATTGCTCACTTTTCCTTTTCACTGATAAAAGTGGTCATGGACACACTATTAAGTGGTGAAACTAGCATTTTACAATTAGATAATCTGTCTTGAGGATCCCTTTATAGTCTTAAGATTGTTTAATGCGTACTGACTCTTTGTAGTAAGGTTTAGTTTAGGCCTTCAAGAGCTAAGGAGTTTATTGGCAGAGCCCAGAATTGTCTTAACAGACAACATTTATTAAGCACACACTAAATGCCAGGTACTATGTGAGGTACCTAGAATTTATTAGCTGTAATTCTCATATCTCTAAAAAGAAAGGCAATATTATGAATGTCTCCTTTTTACAGATGAGGAAATTGATGCATGGGGAGGTTCTAACTTGCCCAGAGTCACACAGTGATGACAGTGACCTGCAATATAGGGCCATGCAATGCCAAAGGAAGTTTCTCAAACAAAAACTATGGAGAAAAAAAATATAGGATGAAGGGCAGTGGGGTATGAATATTTCATCAATTCAAGAGGCCCCAGTTTATCTTGATCCTAAGGAAGAAGT
Organism: Homo sapiens; assembly: GCF_000001405.40. NCBI lineage: Eukaryota > Metazoa > Chordata > Mammalia > Primates > Hominidae > Homo > Homo sapiens. The sequence goes on from NC_000012.12 coordinate 119,399,184, forward strand.
CTTTGTGTCCCTAGCTTAGGATAAAGAACCAGCTCTGGAAGCCTGGATGACAGACTGGGGTCACCCTCTTAGTTCATGGGGTGCTCAAAAGGAGATGCACCCAGGACCCAGATGGGCATCCTCCTGTTGAAAGAGGGACCTGGGATCCAACTTAATTAATCATCTTCTCACTGCCAAGGTTTCCCTTGCCCTCCCATCTGTTCTATTCTCCAGGGATTAAGGGACCTTTACAGTTCCAGCTCATTCAGAATAAAGTTCCTTCAAATGAGTGGCCAATTTCTTTTTTTCCTTTGAGCCTGACATGCGGAGCCAGCTGTTGACTTAGGAAACTCTGCCAACAGTGCGTGTCGGGTGCAGACCTCATCTGGTGTCTGCTTGGGATTTTCCTTTTAATTATAATTATACTTCAAAGGGAATCTGGAACTTGCAGAGCCAAAGATCAAAGCCTCAAGAGGGGCTACGTTCTCCCTAACAGTCCCCAACAGGGCTCTGAAGACAGGGGGGAAGGGAAGGATGTATGTGATGCCATCAGCCTGGCTAACCTCAGCCCTCCCACATCGCACCCTGTGTTCATGTGGCTGCCACTGGGCATCCAGCTTAGCCAACTAGTCCCTTCAGTGTGGCCAGAGTAGGAAATTACCTACGGGGTATGATCTGAGGATGGAGCAGCATAGTCCACACTAAAACATACCCCTACACACCAAAACTTGCTACATGCCTAATATTACACCACTTGCCAAGCAGCTTTTTAGATTAAGTATCGTGCACTCCATGCTCTGCTATTTCAAGGTGAAAATGCTACTAAGCTAGTGATGCTATGTGTCACTCCCACCTTAGTATAAATTAGCCTACAGGTTGGTTTCCTTTTTTTTTTTTTTTTTTTTGAGACGGAGTCTCACTCTGTCGCCCAGGCTGGAGTGCAGTGGCGCGATCTCAGCTCACTGCAACCTCCGCCTCCGGGGTTCACACCATTCTCCTGCCTCAGCCTCCCGAGTAGCTGGGACTACAGGCGCCAGCCACCACGCCCGGCTAATTTTTTGTATTTTTAGTAAAGACGGGGTTTCACCGTATTAGCCAGGATGGTCTCGATCTCCTGACCTCGTGATCCACCCGCCTTGGCCTCCCAAAGTGCCGGGATTACAGGCGTGAGCCACTGCGCCCGGCCCGGTTGGTTTCCATAGGTCAGAGCAGCATGAGGATATTTAGCACTGGGTGGAGGAAGATAATTGATGGAGACGAGTAAATATTTCAATATCGCTAAAAAGGGAAAGAAATGAAGGAAACCAACATGTATTAAGCACCTACTGTGTGATAGTCTTTCACATATGTGATATTATTTGTTTTCTTAGCAACCCTCTAAAGTTGGCATTATCACCTGTATTTTGTAGTTGTCCCTCGCCTCCCAGTTGGGTTTAATCCAGTGGTTCTCAGACTTTAACAGCCATAGGAATGCCTGAAAGTGGAGATTCCTTGGTCCACACCAGAGGTTCTGGTTCACCTGGTCAGAATGTAGTCCATGAATTTGCAGGCGTAATAAGCTCCCAAATGATGCTGCTGGCATTGGTTCATGGACCACGGCTTGAGCAGCACTGGATTTGGCCAGTCATAGCTATCTTATTTGCTTCGCCAACAACTGGTTCGAATGATGGCCATCCCGGAGAGCCCATTTGGGCCAATGGGTGCAGGAAAGAAGCCTTGACCCTGGTTGCTGTCAGAAGCCACTTTACAACCATGAGGGGAAGATGTCTAAAGATGAGGCTGATTCTGTGGGCAATTCACTCTGTGCAGAGCTCAGTGACATGACAGACCTTCAAAGTCAACCCTGAAATCCCAAATCCTACTCTGTACTTCTTCTTACATGGAGTAATAAATTTCCTTATGTGTAAGCAACAGTGAGTGGAGTTTCCTGTTACTTTCAGCTCAAAGACATTATCAACATTCTCAGATGAAGAAAGAGGGGCTTGGTCCAAGGCCCATGGTCACAGAGCTGGTTACCCAGGTCCGTGTGATGTCAAGTGTCCTTCCAATTTACCACACTGCCTGAGAGGTTTTCTCTTCCAATACCTGATGTGACTCCCCATCTACTTTGGCACAAGCATTTGAGACCAGACCCATCTAATCTCCTATCACCAAGAGGTTCAGGATCCCATTCATCCATCCAACTGTCCATCCATCTGTCCATCCATCCATCCTTTCATTCATCAAGCATTTATCCAGCACTTGCTGCGTATCAAATCCTGTACTCAAGGCTGGGGATCTACTGCAAGACAAGACGCAATCTTGGCCCCGAAGGAGCTCAGATCTAGAGGAAGAGACAGCCCGACAATCTCAGCATCTCTTTCTACGTTCAAGACAAGGGCATTGAGCTCAGCCTATGGATGTCCAGATGTCCAGTTGTTGTAGGTTTCTAAGGTGTTGGCAGATAATTAAAACCCAGTCTTCTTTTGTTTGACTCAGATAGATTTATCCACTTTTGGAAGGTTGAATTTATTTTAACATCAGTAAACCAATTCAAGATATCCTCAATAATGGATATCATACAAATATTCAACCATCACATTTCTCTGTTTATAGAGCATCAAAGTGCACAGTACATTGTAAAGCTGCTAATTAATTCTTGTAACGCCCTGGTGTCATGAGCAAAAGGCAGATAATAACCCTATTTTACCAGTGGGACCAATGGCCGCTGTAATTCAGCAACTAGCCTGTGGTCATGTGGCAGATCACCTGCATTTTATACCTTCATTAACAGCACAGCTTATTAATTGTAACAATTACATTCACAATTAACATTTATTGAGAGCCCCCATAAACCTGGCTCTGTCCTAAGAACTTTATACACACATCACGTCCATCACTGGAGGTGCAGCCTCATGTTCCTTCCTCAGACTCATGAAAAAATAAGATCTCCCTGCAGCCAGGGAGGTGGAATATTCTGATTGGCTGGGCCTGCATGTGATGTTGTGTTGATTCTCCATCACAAGCCTATGAAGTAGGCTTTGTGATTATTCTCACCTTGCACACAAGGAAACTGAGGCTCAAAGAGTAATCTTATCTGCCAAAGACCCTGGCTGGTGAACTCAGGTCTGTATGACTCCAAATCCCATACCCTGCCCTTTGACTTATTGCACCTGCTGGGTGACATGTTGGAAGGAGAGGATCGTGTATTCTTGTCCTGAGTCTTCCATTCCTTTGCTGTGTGACGTTAGGAAAATTCTCCAGCTTCTCTGAGTCTTAGATTGCACATCTGTTGGTGAAGCAGAGAGAGTACAAGCTTTGGAGCCAAAGTGCAGTTTGTGTTTGAACCCCACCTCTGTTCCTTACTCTGTCATGTAACTGGAAATTAACCTCTCTGGACCTGTTTTCTCATCTGTAAAATGGAGATAATAGCAGTCCTATCCCACAAAATATATTGCAAGGGTAAATGGAAATAATATGTGTAAAACTAAGTGGGTAGCACATAGTATGCACTTAGACACTTAGTAGGTAAATGGCAGCTGTTTTTAGTGTGTCTGTCATGTGATGGAGGTGTTGTGTTGGGTAATCTCTCAACGCTGATGATCTCTGATAATTTTTAAATGAAAGATCTCCCATGGATTTTGGTTTAGCCACAGAGAACTAGTGTAACTCTCCAGGGGTGTAGTTTGGGGTTGTCTTGACAAAAATATTTGCAATATGCTAACAAAATTGTGGTCAAATCAAGATCCTGCTAGTTGCAAATGATAGAAAACCCCAATTCAATGTGGCCTACGCAAAAGAGAAAACTAATTATCTAAGATTAACAAAAAGTCCACAAATAAACCTAGCTTTAGGAATAATGAGTTCCAAGTGTTCGAACATTATCTCCAGATACATACTCTTCTTTCTTCTGTGTTGCCTTCATTCTCAGGCAGGCTTTACCAAGTTGATGGCCAAGATAGTCGCCAAGAGCTCTAGGCTCACATTCTTCCATGGGAGCAACCCCAGCAGAAAGAGATCTTCTCTTTCCCAAGAGCAGCAGCAAATGTCCTGAGACTAAATACCTTGGTTTTTCTTTGGGTCTCAGACTCATGAAAAAATAAGATCCTCCCTGCAGCCAGGGAGGTGGAATATTTTGATTGGCTGGGCCTGCATCCCGTGTTCACCTCCGAAGCCACATGGATGGAAGGTGAGAGAGGAAGGCTCCCATGGGGAGTTGACTGGAGCATCTATGCCTGGGAGGAAACTAGTACCGTCTAGCTGCCAGTCTGCAGATTTCCTGGGCTTGGAGTCTAGGAGCATAACGTCGAGCTTTAATCACCAAGTTGCAGATTTCCTGGGCTTGCAGTCCAAGAGCATAACATTGGGCTTTAATCACCCAGCTACAAATTGGTGTCCCACTCCCAATCACAGTGGCCTGGGGAGAGTCCCAGCAGCCACACTCAAACCCCTCAGCCCCATCTTCCCCCTGTGCCCTCTGCATAAAATCCCAGATCCCAGCTGCTGTCACGATCATGACTGGCCCTTTCTACCGCTCCCTTGTTCCTCACCCCTCCCCTCCACCAACCCTATTGCTATGCTCCAGCTGGACTGAGCCACCTTCACTATCAAGTTCTCACTCACCTCCATCCCGATCTTTGCAAATGCTGTCCCCTCTGCCTGGCACATCTTCCTCCTTCCTCTTCTTTTATTTATTTTTTCAATTGAAAAATGAAAAATTGTATATATTTATGGCATACAACGTGATGTTTTGATGTATGTATACATTGTGGGATGATTGAATCAAGCTAATTAACATATCCATCACCTCACATACTAATCATTCCTCATCCTTTAGAACTGTACTCAGAAGTCATTTCCTTTAGGCCGGGCACAGTGGCTCATGCCTAGAATCCCAGCACTTTTGGAGGCCGAGGTGGGCAGATCACTTGAGGTCAGGAGTTCGAGAACAGCCTGGCCAACATGGCGAAACTCTGTCTCTACTAAAAATACAAAAAAGTTAGCTGGGCATGGTTGCATATGCCTGTAATCTCAGCTACTTGGGAGGCTGAGGCAGGAGAATCACTTGAACCCGGGAGGCTGAGATTGCAGTGAGCCAAGATCACGCCACTGCACTCCAGCCTGGTTGACAGAGTGAGATTCTGTCTCCAAAAAAAATAAAAAGTCATTTTGTTTATCCTTCTGACTGTCCTCCACCCTTGCTGGGTCAGTTGTGTGCTCACACCTCCAGCTCCCTCACTCCCACCACAGCTACATCATATGATATCATAACTGCTTAATTATCTGCCTACCTCCCCCCCACCACCCTGCCATCAATGAGACCCTGAGAGGGAGTTTGGGGGTGGGTGTGTGTTTCCTAGCTCTGAGCTGGGACCCCCAGAGGGGCTCAGGAAGACCTTTTTGAATGGAGAAATATCTGGACAGTGAGGATGATTTATTGACAAGTCCACAGGTCAGAAGAGCAAGGAGCAAGGCACCAAGTGTGAGATGGACTTGAGAAGGTCCTGGTTAGTTGCCAAAGACCCCAACAGGGATGAGGACAGGTAGGTCTGTCAGAGGTTAGGCAGATAGGGCACTCTTGAATCTCAGCTCTAGATAAGATCTTAACCCAGCTCCAAAACCATGACAGATCTAGAGGGTCGTGCCCAGCAGGGCCCCTTAGAGACAAAGATCCTCACCACTCCCTCCCCAAAGGCACATGGAGATGGTTTGAAAGAAATCTTTGCAGTTCCCACAAAAAGCTTGTGATCTGCAAACAAAAATGCTCCCTCACCTACCTTTGAGGCACTTGGCTCACCTCCTTCTAATTTGCATGATGAACCTGCTTGGGTCTCTGATTAACCCCAGGAAAGCATGAAAATGAGCATTTGACATCATCAAGGGCATCCATGCTTGCTCCTCTTTGGAGAAAGGAGCTCCTCTATTCAGGCTTTCACGTTTGAAAATAATAAGCAAGTTCAGCTCATTTCTCCACCCCAGGCTGCAAACTGCAGCCTTCTCCTGTCTCCGTGCACACCCCCAGGAACCGTGTTTGCTAACAACCAAGAGGAAGGTGTTTTGCTTTTCAAACAAGCCTGAACCCCAATTGGTTTCTCAGCGACTTGATCCTCATTGGTGGCAACTGCGGTTTCTCATCCAGCGTTGTTATTGATTTGGTCATAAGTAATTAAGGAGATAATTCTTACTCAATTACATTTCCTTGAATTTCCTGAGGTTGCTAACTCTGTTCCCCGGCTGTATTTTCTTTTCCAAATTAATTTTGTCTTGACTCTGAAATGAGCATGGATATTACAAGGCTTGTTGTGCTTGTTGATTTTCACGGTAACAAAGTCGGGCTCTGTATTTTAACTCCAACTAGGGCTCTCAAACTCTGTTAGTTTTTAGAAAATTAATGTAAAACATTCTCAGATTTAAAAAAAACCAAAAACAAATATCATCAAAAATCTTCTGCTGTAAAGCAGGAGTCCCTCTTCCCTGCCCTCTTCTCATCCTTGATGCCATCCCTCAGGGCAGCCGTGTCTAACACTTTTTGCTACTTCCTCCAATGACCCGTGCCTCTAAATTATATAAGTTTTACGTGTATTTCTTAGTTTATGCATTTAAAACTTGAATAATTTTCTGCTGTGAAAGATGAGGATCTAGTTACCGCATCCCCACACCACTCCCCACCCCTAACTCCCACCCTCCAAAAGTAGCCTTACCTTCAGCTCCCCTAGTGGTTAATTCTGTAATTAAAAAATATAGATGAGGCTGGGTGTGGTGGCTCACGCCTGTAATCCCAGCACTTTGGGAGGCCAAGGCAGGCGGATCCCCAGAGATCAGGAGTTCGAGACCAGCCTGACCAACATAGAGAAACTCCGCCCTTACTAAAAATACAAAATTAGCTGGGAGTGGTGGCACATGCCTGTAATCCCAGCTATTCAGGAGGCTGAGGCAGGAGAATCGCTTGAACCCGGGAGGCAGAGATTGTGGTGAGCAGAGATCGTGCCATTGCACTCCAGCCTGGGCAACAAGAGGGAAACTCTGTCTCAAAAAATATATATATATATAGATATATATATATAGAGAGAGAGAGAGAGAGTTGGGGTCTTCTTGCCTCATTCACCCTAGACAGCGTCTTTGACTCCTTACTTTGTGGAAGAGATGAGGGTCTCATCAGCTCCCCTTGCGTCTTTATTACTATTTTTACATTGTCAAGATCAATAGCATTCACATTCCATACCCATAATTCAGTTTCCCAGGCTTTGTCTCTGAGTTGTCTAAAAGTTGAAAAATCAACACATATTGAAGTTTTATTTTCATCCCTTCATCCACTCACTGAACAAATAACTGCCAAGAAGCCACTCTTTGTTTGGCATTGTGCCTGAAACCAAAAACACAATGTGACAAGGTCATACTCCTCGCATACATTGCAATGCTAGAATCCAGAGGAGGAGAGAGAAAACAGCATTTACAATGTAAGAGGAATAGCTGCTTAAATCAGTGGTTTTGAATATGTTTAAAATATGAATACAAAACATAATAAAAAGGTAAGCTGAATATAGCAAAAAAAAAAAAAGGTTTTAAATTGGAGCTGCTTGGTTTTCTTTTTACTTCATGAATATAAGCCAAGTCTTGGTGCTCCAGCCCCACCCACTTACCTACATACCCCCACTGATCCTCAGGCTGAAGCCAGAGCACCAGAGGATGCAATACACTAGGGTTTCTCTACTTCCTCCAGGGACTGAGACATGGTGACAGGCATCACGGCTGCATTTTGGTTTCATGTTTGTAAAGTTCCTTCATCAGCAGTGAGTCTTTACAGCATTCAATGTTCATAACACGCTGGCTGGAAATACCACTTTAGGGACAGCTAAGGACAAATATCTTCTTGTCATGAGAGGTGCCAGAACAGTCACCACAATGCCAGTGGGGTCAGCAGAGAACACCGAGGGGACATCCAGGGCCATAGGGGGGTATATTCTGACTGCCCTTGGCATGAATGTCCCATCCAGGTGGGGTGTGTGTACGTAAATGGAGCATAACACTAGAAGCCAGGTGGCCAAGTGCAGTAGGAAAATTAAAATTATAAGATGATGTATCTGGCCAGGCACTGTGGCTCACACCTATAATCCCAGCACTTTGGGAGGCCAAGGCGGGACAATTACTTGAGGCTAGGAGTTCAACATCAGCCTCGGCAACATAGTGACAACTCACCTCTACAAAAAAAAAGAAAAGAAAAGAAAAGAAAAAGAAATTTAATTAGCCAGGCATGGTGGCACGTGCCTGTGGTCCCAGCTACTTGGGAGCCTCAGGAAGGAGGATCACTTGAGCCCGAGAGTTCGAGACTGCAGCGAGCTATGATCATGCCACTGCACTCCAGTCTGGGTGACAGAGCAAGACCCTGTCTCAAAAATAAATTAATTAATTACTAAAAATATGTTGTATCTATCCAAGCACACATGCATGCATATGTACCAATTAAGAAAGCCCGAGATTGTTGTTCTACTTGCTTACCTTGGAAACGACCCAGTAGTTTCTTCACTTAATGATCACCACTGGGTTCATTTCCTGACCCTGTAGTTATATGCAGTCACTCTGCCCCTCCATGCCTTGGTAGTGGCTTTTTTTTAACCCATAAAATGGGCACTCCAGAAGGTGTATTTCTTATGGCTCTTGCCCAAACAGTTAGCAAATGGCAGAGCTGGGATTTAAAACCAAGTCTGTCTGATTAAGTCTGTGCTTTTCAATACTACAATCTACTGTCTCCTGTGGTAGTTCAGTTATGGAATGATCTTGTTTACAACCAAGTCATGCCCAGGCCGTGGACAAAAAATTAAATTAAATTAAAAATAAAAAGGTTTTCTCTGCTTTATTTTATTAGAAATAAAAAGGTTTTTTTTAAATGCATATGGGAGCCAGCTAATGGCTCACACCCTGAAACAGACCAACACATTTTTCTTGCCAATAGGGGAGACTGTTATAGTCAAAGAAGAGCTATTAATTTTGTGACTAGCCCCTAAAGAGAAAGTAAATGAGTTTATGTAACCCAAATCATCAACTGTTTCTTGTGGAGAGTTTATTCCTGTATAGCTGTATTTCAGTTACATATTTCTATGTGACAAATTACTCTAAACCTTAGCAGCTTAAGGCAACAAACATTGATTATCTCACAATCTCTGTGGGTCGGGAATCTAGGCATGGCTTAGCTGGGAGCCTCTGCTTCAGGATCTCCTGAGGCCACACTGAAGATGGCAGCTGGGCCTACAGTTATTTCAAGACTCAACAGGGAGACGGCTCACTCCTGAGCTCATACACTTGGCTATTGGCTGGTATCAGGTGCTTTCTGGCTGTAGGCTAGAGATGTATTAGGCTGGTGCAAACGTAGTTGTGGTTTCTGCCATTTAAAAGTAATAGCAAGGGCTGGGCGCAGTGGCTCACACCTGTAATCTCAGCACTTTGGGAGGCCGAGGTGGGTGGATCACGAGGTCAGGAGATCGAAACCATCCTGGCTAACACGGTGAAACCCTGTCTCTACTAAAAAAAATACAAAAAATTAGCCAGGCGTGGTGGCGGGCGCCTGTAGTCCCAGCTACTTGGGAGGCTGAGGCAGGAGAATGGTGTGAACCTGGAGGCAGAGCTTGCAGTGAGCCGAGATCAGGCCACTGCACTCCAGCCTGGGTGACAGAGCGAGACTCCGTCTCAAAAAAAAAACAAAGAGTAATAGCAATAACCGCAATGACATTGGCACCAACCTAATAAGTTTCTTGCTATGTGGACCTCTCCCAAAGAGAAGCTCACAACTTGGAAGCTGGTTTTCCCCAGATCAAGAGCAGGTGCCCAAGACAGAAGCCATGTTTATCCTGTAACCTCATCTCAGAAGGGACATTGCATCACTTTTGCCATGTTCTAGTCATTAGAAGTGAGTTACTAGGTTCAGCCCAACCTCCAGGGGAGGAGATTATACAAGAGTGTGAGTACCAGGAGGTGGGTATCATGGGGGATATCTTAAGAGGCTGCCTACCACAGACTCCGGTGTAGGGGAAAGCAAAACCTAGATCCTGATCATCGCCAACCTGGGTGCTGGGTGCCCCGGGATCTCCAGGCAAAATAAAAACACAGCTCTTGTCTTAGCAACAGTGTTGCTCAACCTCAGCACTCTTGAAAGTTTGGAGCTGATACGGCTTTGTGGGGGAAGAAGGACTGTCCTGTATATTGTAGGATGTTTAGCAGCATCATGGGCATCTACTTACTAGATGCACCACCCCCCAACCCCCAGCAAGTTGTGACAGCCAAAAAGAACTTCTGTAACACCTTGGGAAGTTGCCTGGTTATCTACTGAAGGTCTCCCTTGCAATGAGGAAGAGGAGGTATTGCAGCTACTAGGCAGCAGCAAGACCTTAATGAATGACATCTTTATTGTCCCCAAAATGTACTCCAGCCCTCACACCAACAAACAATTAAGAAATGCAAAAAGATAAATGATTTGAGATTTTGCAAACATAGAAGACTGGGATTTCACTCAATATCCATTTTCTGTGTTCTAATAAAACTTTATTTACAGAAACAGGCAGGCTTTTCCGTATCTTCTTGGTCCTCTGTGTTCCTTGACAGTTTCCCCGTGTGTCAGTCTTTGGCCTTCTAATCTTCATAATCTTAGTATCCTCTTCTCCCCTCCTCCCTCCAAGGCCCCCCTCTCTGTCTCTGTCTGTCTGCCTCTCTCTGTGTGTCTCCTTCTCACTCTTTCTCTCTCTCTGCCCTCTTTTCCCACCTCCCTCTCTGACAGTTAATTCAACACTCCTTACCTTAACTTCCAATTCCATCCTCTTCTCAGAGCTCCAATCCATGCATTAATGACAGCCTCTTAGCCACCACTCTTGTTCCCAGATTCAGCTCCAAAGACTCAAGAGTTTGGCATCAACCTGCTCCAGCCTCCTTATAGTCCCACGATACTCAATACCCTGACGCTCTCCAAGATACATTGTTATGTCAGGGGAAATCAGGACACAAACAGTGCTACCATGTGTATTTGTGTGAAAGGTAGATGCTAGTGTTGGAAAGAGTGTGTGTGTGTGTGTGTCTGTGTGTGTGTGTGTGTGTGGTTTCCAAATCTCTCTGGAAGGATACACAAGAACTTGATAACACTATTCATTTCCAGGGAGGGAAATGAATGGTTTGAGGACAAGGTGGAAGTAATACATTTTAAAAAGTGATGTACCTTTTGATACATTTTTTTAAACCATTTGAAAATACTACTTGCTTTAAAAAAACTAAAGTAATAAAAAATGAAATGACAGAAAACTCAGTGCTCCATCTTCAGTCCTTCACTGGGCCCTCACCCCTAAGCTGATTTTGCCGAAATGGCTTCTCAACAGCATTACCAGCTTCAGGAATGTTCTCTCCTGCCTCGTGACATCAGGAAAACCTTCATCACCACACCCCAATACACACACACACACAGGCACACACACACATCCCATACTCTGCATTCCAACCATTCCAGCTCCTTCTGGTTCCTTCTGTCTGAAACACCTATAGGGCAGAAAAAGTAAAACCCTTTACCTCACCCATCACAGTTCTTGGATGATATCCCCATAACAAAAGACGTATTAATGAAAGAAAAGCATAACAATTTTTTTTGAGACAGAGTCTCGCTCTGTCACTCGGGCTGCAGTGCGGTGGCGCGATCTCAGCTCACTGCAGCCTCTGCCTCCCCAGCTCAAGCAATTCTCCTGCCTCAGCCTTCTGAGTAGCTGGGACTACAGGCACGCACCACTACACTCAGCTAATTTTTGTATTTTTTTTTAGTAGAGACAGGGTTTTGCCATGTTGGCTAGGCTGGCCTCAAGTGATCCCCACACCTCAGCCTCCCAAAGTGCTGGGATTACTGGCATGAGCCACTGCGCCCGGCCACATTTATTTTTTTAACCGAAGTTTTACATAACATGGGAGCCTTCAGAAATGGAGACCCAAAGACCAAGGGAAAACTGTGTTTTTATGCTAAGTCTGATGAGAAGAGTGGATAGTTGTAGAGAAACGTGATTGGACAAAAAGGGGTGTTATCTAAAGGTAGTAAACCTAAGGGGAGGTGTGCTTAGGAAGGCATGTTTGTTCAGATTCTTTTCTGTGTCTCTGTAAGACATTTTTCCCCCAGGTATGGGACCAGAAACATGTCACATAGAACCATCAGGATGGAAGGGAGGAGGCCAGACAGTAGCCTTTCTAGGTTTTATGGCTTGCTTTGGGAGAGCGAAATTCTAGTTTCTGTGAGCCAGCTTGGGGGTGAAAAGCCTCGTTCATGTTCTGAACCCGGGAGGCGGAGGCTGCAGTGAGCCGAGATCACACCACTGGACTCCAGCCTGGGCAACAGAGCGAGACTCCATCTCAAAAAAAGAAAAAAATTGTTATGCTTTTCTCTCATTAATATGTCTTTTGTTATGGTGATGTCATCCAAGACCCTTGTGATGGGTGAGGTAAAAGGTTTTACTTTTTCTGCCCTATAGGTGTTTCAGACAGAAGGAACCAGACAGAGCTGGTTCTCACCTTGGGGGTGAGAAATTCCAGTTTCTATGACCTTCTCGGGAGAGAAAGAGGAGAGGTGGAAAGAAAGTCAGAGAGACCTTGTTTCTGAGCCTGTTCCCATCTCTTTCCATCCAAAATACTTAGCATGCCAAGGCACCATGTTTTGGGGTATCATGTTCTGAGCCCCGATACACCCTTTCCCCCAAGTTTTGTGTTCAGCACAGTCTGAATCGCTGCCAACAACCCTTCCAGCCCCCACACGGTTTGATGCCTGCACTTTCCTACATTGTAGTTAAGTGTCTCCTACTAGACCACCAGATCCCTGAGGAAAGGATGGCCCCTTGTTCAGCACCACATCCTCAGATATTTTCTAACTCCTAATAGATATTTAAGAAATATGTGAGCTGCTCTTGCCCCTCACTGAGCCTCAAAAGGTAATCCATGTAAATTTCCATCGAATGGCATCCAGGGGACAGCATTGTAGAATTCATATCCCAGCATCTCTGGTGTCACACTAAAGCTCAGCCCAAGAGTCAAGCTTCATCCAGCCCCAAGCAGCTCTCCTGAATCTTGGCTCTTTTCTCTTTCACCAGTGGCTTAAGCTCAGCTCTGCTTCTGCTCTTCACATTAAAAAAAAAAAATGAGGTTAAAAGTTATTAGCCAATGGGAGGCTGTGTTTCTTTGGACCTTCAGGGGGTTCACTTGATTGTTGCAGAGATGTCAACTTTATCTTCTTCCAGGGAGAGAGAAAACGGATGGAAGCCACTTGGGGGCTTAACCACCAACACACATCCTTCTTATCAGGACATTGGCAATATGAAAGGATACTTTCTTAGGTCACTCTTTGTTTCATTTATCCAGGATGAATTGCCAAATAAATTTTTTCATTTCCAAGAAAGGAAGTAAACTGTGGTGTAATATGCAATAAACAGAGCCCTGCAGCCAACAGGATACGTTTAAACTTCTGGTTCTAGCCCTCACTCACTCGCTGGGTGACCTCTGGCAAGTTATTTAACTTCTCTGGGTCTCGGTTCTCTTAATCAGAAAATAGAGATAATCATGCTATCAACTTTTGGAGTGGCTGTGAATATTTAATGAGAAAAGACAGGTAAAGCCCCCCACCCCCCCCCACCCCCCCATGCAGGAATGGTAATGGGGCACATTGATGCTGCTGTTCCTTACTGGGTCTGTGGCAGACATTGCTAATCAATCACAGATACTTCTTCTGATAAGACTGGACTGGAGGACACTCCAGACAGAATGACTACTCGTGGGTAGATTGAAGCTAGCGCTCAGATTGGAGCCCATTTGCCATCTCAAGCCTCCCGCATTTCCAGACACGCCATTTGCAAGGTTCACGATACAGAATAGAGTGGTTGTCACATCCCGGGGCTCCTGTTTCCTGAAGCTCCTCCAGGACTTTGAACAGCAGCCGCTAGCCCATCGTACAGATTCCCATTAGCTCCCAGGGTCTGACAGCTGGACTGCTGGCCCCTCATACCTAGTCTTTCAAAAGAGCTTATGAGATTAATGCATTTGATTAATTTTTTTAACTGGGTGGATAACACATTGGCTGTTGGCATGCCAGCTCAGTCTCAGGGCTGCTGGGGGCTCATTGATGCTGGCAGCCAATTTCCATTTCAATCAAGTGAGAGAAGAGGGAGGCAGAGAAAGAGATTAAAAGAAACCAGGACTTGATTGAAAGCTATGGCATCTAGCGCCACCTACTGTTATATCGCTGCATCGCTACTTTTGCTGACCATCGGGTCACTGACAGTCTTGCTCGGCCCTTAAGGCATCGCGGGGGGAACATTTTCGTGATCTCACACAAGTTATATTTTTCATTCATAGCTCATAATTGATTCAATGTGTATAAACTACAGGTACTCCTGGTATAGTGAGAGTAATAGTGACATTTCCTTGGCTTGTTTTGGTTCACAAAGCCCTGTGTACCAAGTGGGCCTCTCAGCATCCTCATGGCCCCTGCATGAAGATTAGGCAGTGCCAGGTGGGAGCCCGGAGGTACACAAGAGATGACTTTCTTCGGGTCACGCAGGTGTGGTGCATGGAGAGGGGATTCCGACTCCACATTCTTTTCTCCTGAATCCGTCCCTTGTCCACCTCTGCTCCCCCAGCCCACCTTGGGGCCTGGCTCCTCAAGCCCCTCAGAGAGCAGTCCCCACTCCATATGTGCCAGTGCGTAATGGGGATTTTACTGAAGGGTTCACAGAAGAGAGGGAGAAGGTTACATTGCACCTCACACAGGAAAAAACAATAATACAGTCCTTTAGCTGCTTGTGGGTTCTTTTCTGGATGTCAGTTCCCCCTCCCTCACCTCTTCTCCCAGGCCCCCTCCTAACCCTGCACTGTCTATCACTCTGGTTTGCTTTTTTTTAGATGGTATCTCACTCTGTCACCCAGGCTGGAGTGCAGTGGTGCGATCTTGGCTAACCACAACCCCTGCCTCCTGGGTTCAAGCGATTCTTCTCCCTCAGCCTCCCAAGTAGCTGGGATTACAGGCACGCACCACCACACCCAGCTACTTCTTTTCTTTGTAGAAGAGAGGGGATTTCACCGTGTTGGCCAAGCCGGTCTCTAACTCCTGACCTCAAGAGATCTGCCTGCCGCAACCTCCCAAAGTGCTGGGATTACAGGTGTGAGCCACCACGCCCGGCCACTCTTGTCTTTATTAGCTGGAGCCATCCTCACTGTGTGTCTCCCTCAACCCTCTTCATACTCACCTTCCTTCTCAGCAAACCCTTCTTTAAAAACAGGAAGGATTTAAGAAAGAAAATAGTGGAATAATGTCTTTCCTTCCAGTTCAAAGGATGGGAAGACTGAATTTTCAGGGAGGCTTAATGGCTGAGGACTCAAGTTTTTTGTCTTGTTTTGGTTTTTGTTTTTATTTCATTTTGTTTTGTTTTTAGAGACAGAGTTTTACTCTGTTGCCCAGGCTGGAGTGCAATGGTGCAATCATAGCTCACCACAACCTCAAACTCTCGAGCTTAAGTGATCCTCCTGCCTCAGCCTCCTGAGTAGCAAGGGCTACAGGTGCATGCCACCATGTCCAGCTAATTGTTTTGTTTTTTGTAGAGAGAGAGGTCTCACTATGTTGCCCAGGCTGGTCTCAAACGCCTGGCCTCAACTGATCCATCTTGCCCTCCCAAAGTTCTGGGATTACAGGCATGAGCCACCACACCTGGCCTGAAACCTAGTTTTAAATGCAGGAAGACCAGGGTTCTCATCCTGGTTCTGACCACTGACCAATTGTGTAACCTTGAACAACTTCATCTATTCTTCCATTTCTCCTTCTGTAAAAGGGACAGTTATTTTTTAATAACCATCTCATTGGTTTGTTGGAAGAAGTAAATGAGATTGATAATGCAAAATGCTTAGCACAGTGCTGATGTGTAGCAATTCTTCAATAATTTGTCAGTTTCGGTGACTTAGCCTCACCTTTTTTTCCACTCACTGATTAAAGGGAGATTCCATTCACTTAGACTAAAATGCAAATAGTGTATCTCTCCAGAGTTGTGCAGCGTCCAACCTGTGCATCCTTATATGACAGCCTGCCAGGCTTACAGAGACCAAGGAATGCATCACAGCAAAGAGTTAAAGGATAAACCACAGCTAACAAATTGAAAGTGAACTGATAGCACAAAAGCATCCTAGGAAAAAAGGGCAGCAGGTGCAAAGACCCTGTGATCAGAATGAGCAAGACACTTAAGGGAGGCTCACTGGCTAGACCATAGAGATCAGGACAGTGGAGCAATGCAAGATCACACTGAAGGCAGGAGCTAGATCACAGAGCTGTGTAGTTCCCATCAAGGATTTTGGACTTTAGTCTAAAAACAATAAGGAAAATTTTAGGCAATGGAGTCATGGGATTGGGTGTGCATTTTGGAAGGGTCAGCTATGTGGACAATGGACAAGGAAAACAAGAATGGAGGAGAGAGGTCATCGGAGGCTGTGTCTGTTGTCCAGGTGGCTTGCAGCAGCGTGGGAATGACACTGGTGGGAAGACAATGGAGGGAAAAGACTGGAGAGCTCTCTAGGAAGCAAAGTCAACAACTTGGTAAATTAGCTCAGGGCTTAGTAAACTTTTTCTGGAAAGGGCCAGATGGTAACATTCTAGGCTGTGCAGCCTCTGAAATAACTACTAAACTTCGCTGTTATAACAGGAAAACATCCACAGACAGTAATAAGCACATGGGTGTGACTGTGCCCAATAAAACTGTAATATACAAAAGCCAGCTGCAGGCTGTAGTTTGCTGATCCCTGGATTAGATAAGGGGAGGGGAGGGTATCAAGGATTGGAGGGTACTGAGCTCTCCCACTTCCTGTCTCTGTGACCTTGAATAATTGACTTAACCTCTCAGATACTGGGTTTCCTTTCCAGGAAAACAGGAATAAGGATTCCTTATAGGGTTGGCATGAGGATTAAATAAGGCAGTGTTGGCGAGGCGTAGTGGTTCACGCCTGTAATCCCAGCATTCTAGGAGGCCAAGGCAGGCGGATCACCTGAGGTCAGGAGTTCGAGACCAGCCTGACCAACATGGAGAAACCCATCTCTACTAAAAATACAAATTAGCCGGGCGAGGTGTTGCATGCCTGTAATCCCAGCTACTCAGGAGGCTGAGGCAGGAGAATTGCTTGAACCCAGGAGGCAGAGGTTACAGTGAGCCGAGATCACACCATTGCACTCCAGCCTGGGAAACAAGAGCAAGACTCTGTCTCAAATAATAATGATAATAATAATAAGGCAGTGTCTGCTGTGGGACAAACAGGGAGGTCTCATTCATGAACACACTCCAGTGAGGAATATCCAGCTACATTCAAAATGGCCATCAAGGGTAGAAAATGAAGTTCTTTATTACTGAGGCCCTTACACAAAGAACAAATAGAACTTACACAGAAAAATTGGAATCTTTAGGAAGGGGAAAAAAATCCCTGCTGATTACAGCTTTCCTCACACAGCTCAATAGATTTTTTTTTACTTCAAAACAACTCTATAGGTGGGAAGAGGGCTCCAGCCTGAAGCAGGACTGAAGAACAGATAAATTGCATGGCATTAAATAGAATGCTTATTTTGCTGGTTATCTTTTTCTTTCAGGTGCCCTGAGTTTTTTCAAAAATTTCCCCACAAATCAAGGGTTGGGCCAGGATTTAGAATGGAGTCTTTATAAAGAGATTCCCGGCCGGTCGACGTGGCTCATGCCTGTAATCCCAGCACTTTGGGAGGCTGAGATGGGCAGATCACCTGAGGCCAGGAGTTTGAGACCAGCCTGACCAACATGGTGAAACCCCATCTATACAAAAAAATACAAAATTATTCGGGCATGGTGGCACATGCCTGTAATCCTAGCTACTTGGGAGGCTGAGGCAGGAGAATTGCTTAAACCTGGAGGCAGAAGTTGCAGTGAGCCAAGATCGCGCCATTGCACTCCAGCCTGGGCAACAAGAGCGAAACTCTGTCTAAAAAAAAGAAAAAAAGAACATTCCCACCCCTCCCCTCATCAAAGTTTAACTCAGTAGTGTTCTCAATTGAGGGTGATTCTGCTTCCCAGAGGACACTTGGCAATGTCTGGAGACATTTTTATTGTTGTAACTTGCAGGAGAGATGCTACATTGTATGATGTACAAGAAAATCCCCCACAACAAATAGCGATTTGGTCCCAAACTTCAGTCATCCTGAGGAAGAGAGATCTTGTTAACCAGCCTGGGATGTTGCCTGGAGGAGGAAATGGTTTATCTTTACTTTTTGGAATACATCAGCAAGATTTTTCTTTCTACCCCCCTTTTTCCTTTTTCTCTTACTTTATCTCTTTTATTGGCTTTTGGCTGACAGGCAGGCATACAATCCTCCTTCCCAGAGCACCCAATTTCCTTTTATGGAGTTACTTCTGCTCTATTAGATACAATCAGGCTCTGTCCCCCTAGTTATTTAACTAGTACCTGGTCCTGAGCAGGTGCATAGTGGCCCCAGAGAGCCCAGTAAAGGAAGTGGTTAAGGTGTGACCTTAATTAAGTCCTCAAGAAGAGGTACTGACATAGCCAGGGCCTCAACACTTAGCCAAAACAAACAAATCAACCAAAAAACTATGACAGGTGGTGACTTGTAGGTTCTGCTGGGCCACAATTTCTCCAGCCTCAGGGGCATGGGTCCTACCTTTGTTTCCCAACTTCATCCAAGCTCCCACCCTGAATGTCAGCAAGAAGCCCAGACCCTTCCTTTATTCCCAAAGCACGGCTTCCATAAGGCAGTCCTGCTTCACTGACATTTACGGAAGACCCAAGCAAATTAACTGCAGCAAAGGAAAACCTGAAACTGGGGTTTCAGTCACTTCATATTTTTTCCCTAACTTGTAAAAGATTGTAGAAGATTCCAAACCTACAGAAAGTTTGCAAAAATAGTACAACAGGCAGTCAAATACCCTTAACTTAAATTCACAATGTTATCTTTTTGTCATGTTTTTAACATGTTTCCATATTTTTCATATGTATGTATGTATGCATACATGTGTGTATATATGTATGTATGTACTATATATATAATATGTGTGTATATTTACAATTTTTTAAGCTGAGCCTCTTGAAAGTCAGTTACAGACACTTCACACCTAAACACTTCAGCATGTATTACCGAAGGACATTCTCCTTCATAGTCACAATACAGTTAACACAGAAATTTCACATTAACCCAGTGCTATTATCTTTTTCTTTCTTTTTCCTTTTCTTTCTTTCTTTTTTTTTTTTTTTTTTTTTTTTTTTTTTTTTTTTTTTTTTTTTTGAGATGGGGTCTCACTCTGTTCCCCAGGCTGGAGTGCAGTGGCGCAATCTCAGTTCACTGCAGCCTCTGCCTCCTGGGGTCAAGTGATTCTCCTGCCTCAGCCTCCTGAGTAGCTGGGACTACAGGTGCACGCCACCACGCCCAGCTAATTTTTGTATTTTCAATAGAGACAGGATTTCACCATGTTGGTCAGGCTGGTCTCCAACTCCTGACCTCAGGTGATCCACCCACCTCAACCTCCCAAAGTGCTGGGATTACAGGCGTGAGCCCCAATGCTGTTATCTAACATAAAGTTCATGTGCAGATGTCCCTAGTTATCCCAGTCATGCCCTTTATAGCCTTGTCTCCAGTCCAGCATTCAATCAAGGGACCATGCATTTCATTTAGTTGTTGTGTCCCCTTGGTGTCCTAGAGAAACAGATCTTCTGCCTTCTTCCTCTTTTATGACATTGTTAGAATACAAAGAGGTGTATCCCTTGGACTTCTCTCCAAGAAAGAACTTGCCAGCAGGCGGCACAGGTAGCTGAGACTCTCCAGCTGTTGACACCGCCAGCATCCACAGCAGCTTTCATGCAGCGGAAGTCAGAAGCTTCCCCAGAAATTCCCCATCAGTGGGCACTGGCCATTTCTGCCTTGTGCTTGGGCTCAATCAAGCAATCTTTGCTCTGGATCTCCCTGTTGCATTGGCTGGACTCTGTCAGATCTGCATCATGGTCTAGGGCTCCCCTGCCAAATCCCACTTCCTCCTCCTTTTCTCTTTCATGGGCTTACCCGCAATGAGCATTTTGTAGTCCTTTCTCCGTGTCTGCTTCCCAGAGGCCCCAACAGACACAGACATTGACATCTTTTAAGAGTCCAGATCACCTATTTTGTAAAATGACCTTCACTTTTTATTTTTCTGATTGCTTTCTCATGATTAGATTCAGATTGGACCTCTGGGGCAGGACATGTATGTAGGTGATGTAACCATGTAGGCGATGCTGTGCCCTTCCCAGTGCATCACTTCAGGTTCACCTGATAAGAGTTTGTCCTGTCATTGGTGATGCTAAGCATAGCCATGATGGTTAAAGTGGTGTCCGCCAGACCTCACCGTTATATGGGTATCTCGTTTCCTTTGTAACGAATCATTAACCTGTGGGGTTAAACCTTGAGACTGTGATGCATTCATCTTCTCATTCATTCAGCAATGACAGAAAGAATGCAGAGCCAGGCCCTGTACCATGTGCTGAGTATCAGAAGCTTCCTTCCCAGGGATCATTGTTCCTTCTCCTCTTCTTCCCAGAGGACTCCTGCTGCTTTGTCTCCCCTAAGTTCTCAGTAGAGGACTTGCTCGTCTCCCCAGATGACAGTCTCTCCTTCTACCACCTCTCCCTGACAATCAAAATTTCCTATAAAAGATGCAACCTGTCTTCAACAAGGAGAGATGTTAAATAATTCTTTTTTTTTTTTTTTTTTTTTTTGGAGACAGAGTCTCGCTCTGTCGCCCCAGGCTGGAGTGCAGTGGCACGATCTCGGCTCACTGCAACCTCCGCCTCCTGGGTTCACGCCATTCTCCTGCCTCAGCCTCCCGAGTAGCTGGGACTACAGGCACCCACCACCACACCTGGGTAATTTTTTGTATTTTTAGTAGAGATAGGGTTTCACCGTGTTAGCCGGGATGGTCTCGAACTCCTGACCTCGTGATCCACCCGCCTCGGCCTCCCAAAGTGCTGAGATTACAGGTATAAGCCACCATGCCCGGCCTGTTAAGTAATTCTATAGTATATTTCCTATTTCAGTTTGAAGGATCTGTGTGTGGATGAGGTCACTAATTCTGGGTATCTCTATGTGGGTAGGTACACATCTTACATTCTTATGACAAAAAAAATACCTCACTCTCCCCAAAAGGAACTGCCTATCAACACCATAAAACCACCAAAATGGAGTATTATTCAGCTACAAAAAAAAGAGTGAGATCCAGTTATTTGCAACAACATGGATGGAACTGGAGATCATTATGTTAAGTGTGTTAAGTGAAACAAGCCAGACACAGAAAGACAAACATCACATGTTCTCACTTATTTGTGGGATCTACAAATCAAAACAATTGAACTAATGGACATAGGTAGTAGAAGGATGGTTATTAGAGGCTGGGAAGGATAGTGGGGGATGGGGGGCAGAAGGTGGGAATGGCTAACGGGTACCAAAAAAATAGAAAGAATGAATAAGACCTGCTATTTGATAGCACAACAGGTTGACTATAGTCAATAATAACTCACTTTTTAAATGACTAAGAGTATAATTGGATTGTTTGTAACTCAAAGGATAAATGCTTGAGGGGATAGATGCCCCATTCTCCATGATGTGCTTATTTCACATTACATGCCTGTATCAAAACAACTCATGTATTCCGTAAATATATGCACTTATTATGTACCCACAAAAATAAAAAATAAAATATTAAAACCACCAAAAACTTAAACATCCGTGTGCAAGCTAAGGTCTCCGGGTTCATGTGTGTACTCCTGCCATGATCCCGCCTACTCTGTTCTTTACAGCTTCTCCATAATGAGTCTGAAATTTGTTAATCAGCAAGCTCGCTTCTCAGTGCTGTCTTTTCAGCCTCCCTTCCCCGCTCACCCCTCGACGGAGCATCCCAGCTGTTTCCCTGATGTCTGTATCAGCCCGGGCACATTTAACAGGAATTCACTTCCATCTTCATCTTATTCTAGGAAGTAGATCATGTTTTAAGGAATAACAAAGATGAGTTCAGAACATTCTTTCATAAAACACAGAGAACAACAGATATTTAGAAAATTGGCTTTCCGGCCATGACCTCCAACAAATCATTCTGATTTTCTGCCATATTAAATTCTTTATGATGAAATCTAACAAAATTCAGTGGAAGAGTTTTGGAGGTAGTATCTGTAAATCAATAGCTAGCAACCGCTACCCCTCAGGTAGTTCCCACTATGCAAAATAGGGCAAAGTGGGATGGGGGTGCAGAATGGAGTAGTGAATAAGAACACAGTCGTCAATGTCACTTGACCATGAGTTCAAATCCAGGCTTTGCCACTTAATAGCAAGTCAGTTTCACCTTTTTAAGCCTCTATTTGCTGTCCTATAGAATGGGAATAATAATATGGCAAGGACTCAATGGACTCATCTATTTCATATAAGAATGCACTTGGGACAGTGCAGAGCACATAGGAGATTGGCATTAGTCCCATTTCACAGATGGGGATTGGCATTAGTTCTGGTAGGACTGGCATTAGTTCCATTTCACAGATGGGGAAACTGAGACTGGGGAGTAAAGTTACCTCACTCAAGGTCACTGAACTCCTGAGTGACAGGGCCAGGACTCAAACCTAGGTCTTTCTGACAGCAAACGTCTTTCCATCCATTCTTGCCACACTTCACTTCTCAGCTGTCAGGTTAAACCACACCACTTCCCGATGCTACTATTTAAACAGCCCCAGCACATGAATATTAAATGTGAGTATATCTGCCAAGAAAACCATCCCCATCTAAGAGTCCACTGTTAGTCCATGCGTGCTCCATCCCTCCCAGAACCCCACCTCCATTTACCACCTTTTAACCTGGTACATTACACGACATCACATGGTGTTTCTGACGATCTTGCTCTCAAAAACTCATTGGGTCGATAAGAGAAAGGATGCTGTTCACACATGCTGTAGGAAAGGTGGGCAGGGCAGAGACTTGACTTTGTTTTCTAGGAAACAAAGAACGGAGTCATCACCGGTGCTCTGCAGAGCAATGGAAACACTGAAAGCTCTGAAGCCAATGGCACATCCAAGGGAAGCAAAGACAGAAAATCAAAATCAACTGTCCCCAAGATGGCTTTTATGCAACCAGGTTGGGAGTCATCACAGAGCACCAAACAAAGGATATCTGCAGAGACGGTGTATTAGTCCATTCTCACACTGCTCCAAAGAAATACCTGAGACTGGGTAATTTATACAGAAAAGAGGTTTAATTGGCTCACAGTTTCGCAGGCTGCACAGGAAGCATGATGCTGGCATCTGGTCCTGGGGAGGCCTCAGGGAGCTTTTACTCATGGCAGAAGGCAAAGTGTGAGCAGGCGTCTTACATGGCAGGAGCAGGACCAAGAGGGAGATGGGGGAGGTGCCACAAACTTTTAAACAACCAGATCTCACAAGAAATCACTATTGAAAGGACAGCACCAAGGGGGCATGGTGTTAACCCATGAGAAACCACCCCCATGATCCAATCACCTCCCACAAGGACCCACCTCCAGCATTAGGAATTACATTTCAACATGAGATTTGGGTGGAGACACAGATCCAAACCGTATCAGATGGTGATGGGGTTTTGCTTGGTTTTTATTTTCTCCTAATTTTTTTTATCTTTTCCTGATTTTCTATTAGGTTGGTGCAAAACTAATTACGGTTTTTGCCATTTTAATGGCAAATGAATTTTCGGCATTCATTCAATGGCAAGTGAATTTCAATGGCAAAAACTGCAATTACTTTTGCACCAACACAACATAACACAATGTTCATTAATGTCAAAACCAGATTAAAATATTAAATATGAGGTTGTATTACAAATATGTTACCGGGGTAGGGAGACACATGAATGAGTGTCAGCAAGGAGTATAAAGACCTAACAGTATGGGAAGTAGAGCAGGTAAGTTTTGATGGGAAGGGAGTTGATCTACAAAGATCTGGAGAAATTTGGAGAAGTAGGAGGGTTCTGAATACCCTAGAATCGTGATTTATGACAATTTTTGGGGGGGCGAGGCGCATGACCACAATTCTGGATATGCATTTTAGCCATGGAAAACTCTGGGAACCTCAGGCATAAGATCAAAAGGAGTATCCAAAGTTATCATCTGTAAAGGGATCCTTGATTAACTTAAGGGGAGGACCTGCTTTATAGTCCCAAAGTGGCCTGGGGCCAAGACATTTGCATAAGGTGTACCCATAATTACTTGCTTTCACTCTCATTTCCATTTCCTGCTCCCACCGGGGGCTGATCCTTGCAAACTACATTTCCCAGGGGCCCTTGCAGCTGGCTTCCAAGTAGGTTCAGCCAATAGCAGGCACCATCAGGAACTGAAGGGTGAGAGTTAAGCAGAAGCCAGGGCATTTCATCCCTTCTCTCATTCGGCTTATGGTGGCACCTCTAGCTAAAACTACATCTCCTCCATGAGTCTAGCTTATGCCAAGTGGCCCTATTCCAGGGCTTCTGAAGGCCACCTCTTCTTCCCTTAATTCCTCCAGCCCTGGAGATGGTAGAGGTTTCCTTTTGCTAATCTCTAGCTTGCCTCATCATTCCTTATGTGACTTTTGAGCTCTTCCAGCACCTTTGTAACCACTCCCCTGTATTAAATTCCCTTTGTTGAACTACCTGTCATGAGTTCTGATTTCCTGCCTAGACCCTGCCTGATCCAGTATGTTAAAATAAACTATTAGCTTACATCATTCCAGACTCTTAGATGACTCAATTTAAATTGGCATTAAACATTTCTACTTTGCCTGCCTTGAGAGAATTAGTCAAAATTGCTTTACAAACATGAAAAACGCTATTATTTTATTAAAATTAATCTATGTGAATTGTAGAAAAATTAGGAAAAAAGATAACCAAAACAAAAAATTATCGTTTAATTGCCTATAATTCAAATGCCCTGAGATAACATCTCTATTAACAATTTATTGTATTTACTTCCAGCTTGTTATATTAGTACATATATGCCTTGTCATATGTCAATATTTTAAAACCTAATTTGTATCAGATCACATACATTTCTGGAAATGTCTATAGATTTTATAAGCATAAATCTTAGAGCTTCTCTATGATCTACTATCTTTACGTTTTGTAGCATGCATTTTCATCTGAAATTACATTCCATTACCACCTTTCCACATTAGTGAATAAACAGCCATAGCAGCACTAAGTGGTAGCACCAAGACTCAAATGCATCACATACCACTGTCTGGATAGACCATGATTTATCCCCACAATGCCTATGGTGGGACATTTAGGTATTTTTCACTATTATTCACACTGCTGTGATAAACATCCTCGGGGATAAATCTCTTCATCCTGGCGACATAATTTCCTTGGCTGGGGCAAGAGGATATGTATTTCTAAAGCTTGTCACACATATGTCTAAATTGCCCTCTAGAAAGGTTGTAGAGAGAGTGATTTTTGAATGTTTTATAAACTTTTTAATCTACTATTTAACTTATTTAACTTATTAACTTTTAATTTAACTTATTATTTTTCACTTAATATCAAATGATGTTTGTAAATGTCCTGAGAACTAGTTATTTCTGCTGGCTTATTATAATTTTAATTAAACAAAACTATAATTATAAAGTTATAATCATAAACCTACCTTTATAATTATAAAATTATACTTTGACAGAAATGGTTTCCTGAGAATCCATTGAAATGCTGACATAGTTGTGAGGCTTGGGGGTGCGTGCATCTCATGCTGCTAAAGTCGGTGTCAAGTTGAGGACGCAATTCAGTACCAATCCCAGTCAATACAAATCCACTCTTACACAATGATGTGAATTCCTGGTGCACAGGCAGCTATCATTAGGTGACATTTGAAAAAAAAAATGCTTGAATGTTGGACATTATCATAGTTGTTTCATGAAGAAGGTAAAATTTAGGATGTTTAGGAGAGTGGTACAGACATGACCGTGGCATAAAACAGGGTTTCAATCATGTGTTTTCAAATTATCTGGCAGGAAAATTTCTGATGTGCTTATTTTTCCTTCATTTATAAATATGCTTAGTTCACAGCATCTTTTTGGAAAGTTACTTTGGGCCTGCAGGAAATATATAATGAGGTTCTCCAAAATAAGTGGGATTAGAAAGACAGGCAACCTTGTTTTCAAATATTTGATCTCAACATGGCCAATCTCATTGCTTTCACTATAAAATACACCAGAATGGGGGTCATCTGATCTTGATACCTCAAAAGCAGTGTTGGGAAAAGAAAAAGAACTAGTTAAAAGAAGTCTCAGTCTCTTAGCTGTTTTGCCACTCCCAAGAGAGGGATGTATTTCAGATAGAATTTTGTGGCTGCAGGTAACAGAAAACCTAATTTAAGCTGTTATAAATAATAAAGGAAATGTTCATGAAAAGTCAAGATTCCAGTGAAGCTTGATCAGTTCAACAAGGCACCGTGGAACGAGTTTTTCTCTGACTCTCTTCTCTGCCTTTCCTCCATATCATCTTTGCCCAAGGCTGGCTACCCTCATGGGCACGAAATGGCTGCAAGCAACTCGCAGGGGCTCTCTGCTTCCCCATTTCTAGTCAGTAAGGAAAGAGAACATCTCTGCCTGTGCTTCTCAGAAGCCCCTAGAAAATGCTTGCATCTCATTTGCCCAAACTGGGTCACATGACCATCCATAAACTAACCACTTTGACAGGGGATGGTTTGTGCTGTTTGGCTTCAGTCATTCAGGGCCTCCCCTGCTGCTGGTAACCATGAGCATCTCCCAAGATGCAAGTGCTGAGTGAAGGAAAGGCAAAGGGCCTAACCAGGGAACTAACTGGTATCAACAGGGAGGGTGAACAGATGTTGTATGTGTGAGACAAACGAATGTTCATTATGCAAAAGCATGGGAAAGTACTCCTAGAGTTCCTTACATGCCTCATCAGAGGGTGGTCTCTCCACCCGCTTCACCCATCCCTCAAGATGAACACTGATGGGTCTGCCATCAATTTCCAGCCAAGGGGTTGAGGCCCCCTGGTATACTGAAATGAGCAAGATAAAGTACCTGTAATTCATTACTAAGAATAGCCAAAGAGACAGTTTTTAAATTATTTCATTGTTTCCTATCCAATTGGCCTGATTCAAAGCCATCCATATGTTTTGTTTTGTTTTGCATCCTTTATGTTTTGCTTTCTTTTCTTTTTTCTTTTATTTTTATTTATTTTTGTTTTGTTTTGTTTTTTTGAGAGAGGGTCTCGCTCTGTCACCAGGCTGCACTGCAGTGGCGCGATCTCAGGTGACAGCAGCCTTGACCTCTTGGGCTCAAGCGATCCTCCTACCTCAGCTTCCTGAGCAGCTGGGATTACAGGCATGCACCACACATGCTTGGCTAATTTTTTTGTATTTTTTGTAGAGACAGGGTTTTGTCATGTTGCCCTGTCTGGTCTCAAATTCCTGAGCTCAAGCCATCCTCCCGCCTCAACCTCCCAAAATCCTAGGATTACGGACATGAGCCACTGCGCCTGGCCCCACTTTGTCAAGTGGGCAAGTAATAGCTGCAGTTACAAATACTTTGTAGAATTGCCATAGACTCTTCACCCTTCATCTGTGCTGCCTTACATGGGAACATGTATTGGCCAACCCAGGAGAAAAATGGAATCAAGCAGGCCAGAAGCAGTTCCTTCCTCCACTTCATCTCCCACTCTGCCTCCCACCCAACTCTTCCACAAGCATCATTCAACTTTGAAACAACAATGCTTTTCAACTTTCACTTTACACTTCAAAGCCTCAGAGCAGTAGGCACCATAGCCCAATTTCATTGATGGTGACTGCAGAGAAAACACTTTGCCTCCTCCCACACATCAATATTGGGATTTCTGTTAGTGAGCAGCCAACCTGTTCTCACCCTGCCTTCAAAAAACACTCTCAGTACAATACTACCAACCAGCCTTTGTCAAATTTCACTTTGCTGTTTACTTTTTAAATCTTTTCTCTTTCATTATGTAACTAATTAATATTTATTGCAAAGTTATAGGAAATGCACATCAGCTAAGAAAAAGAAATAAAACCTGCCATAATCTCACCCCCAGAGAAAATCACTGCATTTTGGAGCTATGTCATTTCATATCTTTGATATGTGTATATCCACACAGATCATTTTTCAAAAACCAAAATAGAATCATGCTATAAATATTACTTTGTAACATGTCTTTTGACTCAAAAAAATCAAACATCTTTATATATCAATAAACATACTTACATTATGTTGCCGTTATACTTAATTGCTGCATTGTATTCCATTGTGTAGATACACCATAATTATTTAACCTGTCTTCTATTGTGAGATGTAAAGTTGTTTTCCAATAGTTTGCTATTACAAGCAGCATGCTGGTGAACAGTTTTGTTGATGAATCTCTATGTCCATGAAAGGATATTTCCTTAGGATTCTTGACAGCAGAGTTGTTGGATCTAAGGACATGCTCATTTCTAAAGCATCTGGTATGCATTGAGAATTGCCCTTCTGAAATGCCAGCACAAAGTATTTACCAGATTTATCTGAGAGCACCCATTTTCCCATAATTTCTAAGTATTTTTTTATTTAAAAAAAATCCTAAGGTGCAGGAAAATTTCAAGACAAGATAATCTAGGTAATATTCTGATTATTGTTTCTCCAAACTGCAGGTTGAGAAAAATGACTTTTATACTAAAATATAATTTGCCAAGTATGATGGCTTGAACCTGTAATCCTAACCTTACTTGGGAGACTGAAGCAAGAGGATCACTTGGGCCGAGGAGCTCGAGGCTGCAGTGAGCTGCACTCCAGCCTCAGTGACAGTGTGATCCTGTCTCTAAAAAAAATAAATAAAAATATAATATAGTTAATTTATCTCTCTTCTTTATATTGAGCATGTATCAACTTCTGAGTAATGTGAGATTTCCCCTAGGTATAGACAAGGCAAATTAATAGGGAGAAAGAAAAACCCACGAACAATTATCTGGATAATTCATTCATAAACCTCCGCTATGGGAGCAGGAAGAGAGGGGAAGTACATTTGCATCTTTACATTGACAAGATTCAGCTCTCCAAATCAACTGCTAAAACCACCAATAATAATTATTTTTAATGCCTAATTTTTTGCTCTAAAGTGTAATGCTTATAGTAGTAGCTTCCATTTATCTAATGCTTGCTATCAGTGAGGAATTTAGCAATTAATTTAATCCTCAGAACAGAGTAGGAGTGATTCCCCATTCTACTGAAGAAATTGAGGCCCAAATTCTTCAGAGAGGTTGAGTAATTTGTTCAAGGTCACACAGCTGGTCACCAGACAGAACCAGGGTCAGGGCTCAGGTCCATCTGTCTCCAAAACCCTTACCATGTCCACTGTATCACACAGCAGCCCCCTCTTTGGTGTCAAGGTAGACTCTGTGCTGCCCAGGACTCCTTAAACCTAGCCATACATCTCAGAGAAACCCATGAGCCTCCTGTGCCTATCTCCATTTGGAAGCATTGTATTAACACTCCTTTTATTTTAACCCCTTGTCTTCTCATCAGGTCCCAGACAAGCCAATGAAGAGCATCAAGTATATGGACAAGGAAATAATAAACCTCAAAAAGGACCTTATACGAAGCCGGTGAGTGAGCCCAGCAGGGAATGATCCATAGACAACCCAACAGGCATGAGCAGGCTATGGGGTGTTGCCTACAAGTCCTTGCCCAGTCCCAGCATCCCCCAATTCTGAACACTAAGCAGAAGACTTACAGGAGGGTAACCCTGGGAGGAGCAGAGGGCAGGATCGCTTTCTCAGCTGGACTTTCCAGGGAGTACCCATGCCATGCCAGCCTCCAGCCGCCTAGAATTCCCTCTGCTTTTCTTCCTGGACCTGAATCCAACTCAAGAGAGTGTCCCCATGCTCCAGAAAACCTTCCCTTTTTTACTCCAGACACACGTGATGATACCGTGGAGTCAGAGTCGTTCTCAAATTCTGGTCCTGTTACCTGCTAGCTGGGATGCTGGAGGAGTTATTTAAACTCTCTGGGACTCTTTTTCCCTATCTGTAAAATGAGAATAATAGGAGGTTGTTAGAAGAACCGAGGGAAATAAAGCAGATAAAGTGTCCCTCATATGGCCTTGAATACAGGGCTGTTCCTATCTTTCCTCTCCTCACTCCCTATTCCTTTCCTCCCTGATGACTGAGGCCCAGGACCATGTTTCAGCCATCTCTGTCTAGTGAGATGGAATTTTTTTCCCTTACCCCTTAACTGTTTCCTGAGACCTGGAACATCCCAAGGTAGGATCCTAAAATGAGACTTTTGGTAAAGCAACTCAAGACAGAGTAAGAGATGAAGACTCTTTTAGCACAAAACACGTAAGATGTGTGCTGAGAGGGGTAATCTAGGTAGCGGGGAAGTTCTATTGATCTTAGACATCTCCCACTCTGAGCCAGATGCAGTGAGAGGCAAAGTGAGACACCCTCTCCCTTCACCTCCATCTTCTGAAAGCCACCCTTCTCCACCACTACCGGAATCTCCACCCTGCCCCATCCAGCAGCACAACTTCATGGAACTGATGACTGAGCCCAGGAGGACTCCTGGAAGGTAGAGGAAGGGAAAGGAGTTAAAGGGCCTAGGGGAGAGGTGAAGAGAGTGCCCCACTGACTGCAGGGGGTGGCTGTGTCAGCTATTGGAGGGTCTCTAGACACTGTCTAGTGAAATATAATTTGAGCCTTGTGTGTAATTTTAAGCTTCTGAGTAGCCACACTAGAAAAAGTAAATAGAAACAGGTGAAAGTAATTCTAATAATATTTTTAACTCAGTACCTCCAAAATATTATCATTCAACATGTAATCAGTATTAAAAATGTATTGATGAGATGCTTTTCATTATGTTTTTTCATACATGATGAAAAGTAATGAAGGGATGAAAAATAATGAATGATGAAAGATCTGGGATGTATTTCATACTTAGAACACGTGTCAATTTGCACCAGTAACATTTCAAGTGCCCAGTAATTGTCATGGACTAAATTGTGCCCCTGCCACACATACACACACACACACACACACACACACACATACACACACACACACATATTAATATGTTGAAACCCTAAGCCCCAATGTAATTTTTTTGGAGATACAACCGTTAAAGAAACAAGTAAGGCTAAAAGAAGTCAAAGGGTGGAGCCTTAATCCAATGTGATTGGTGAAAGAGGAAGCGACATCAGGCATAAGCACACAGAGAAAAGGTCACATGAGACTGGGTGTGGTGGCTCAAGCCTGTAATCCCAGCACTTTGGGAGGCCAAGGCAGGCGGATCACAAGGTCAGGAAATCGAGACCATCCTGGCTAACATGGTACAACCCTGTCTCTACTAAAAATATAAAAAAATTAGCCGGGCATGGTGGTGGGCGCCTGTAGTCCCAGCTACTCGGGAGGCTGAGGCAGGAGAATAGTGTGAACCCAGGAGGCGGAACTTGCTTTGAGCCGAGATCATGCCACTGCACTCCAGCCTGGGCAACACAGCAAGACTCTGTCTCCAAAAAAAAAAAAAAGTCACATGAGTCACATGAGGACATAGCAGGAACTCAGCCATCTGCAAGCCTAGGAGAGAGACCTCAGGAGAAACCGACCCTGCTGGCACCTGCACCTTCAGCTTCCAGCCTCTAGAACTGTGAGAAAATATATGTCTGTTGTTTAAGCTGCTCAGGGTGTGGTATTCTGTTAGGGCGGCTCCAGCAGACTAATACGTAAGAGACAATACATAAGAGTCAATGCTGGGATGTTCTTGCAGAGAATGATCCAGCTCAAAGAGGCCAGCAGGGCTCAGTCTCATATTCCTTTGCAGAGCTGAGCTCAAAGGCAGCATTTGAACTTGGATCTCCAAATTGAGGGCCTAGAGCCACAAGGATCCTCTGTTAGTTTCAGACATACTGGCCTCTCTGTAACTGCCCAGTGGATTCACCTTACCCGAATTTGTAACTGCCCAGTGGGTTCACCTTGCCTGCTGCCTAGACAGAGCCAATTTATCAAGACAGGGGAATTGCAATAGAGAAAGAGTAATTCACGCAGAGCCGGCTGTGTGAGAGATTAAAGTTTTATTATAACTGAAATCAGTATCCCCGAGCATAAGGGAGTCAGAGTTTTTAAGGATAATTTGGAGGGTGGAGGAAGGCCAGTGAGTCAGGAGTGCTGATTGGCTGGGTCAGAGATGAAATCACAGGGAACTGAAGCTATTCTCTTGTGCTGAGTCAGTTCTTGGGTGGGGACCACAAGATTAGATGAGCCAGTTTATCTGTCTGCATGGTGCCAGCTGATCCATCAAGTACAGGGTCCGCAAAATATCTCAAGCACTGATCTTAGAAGCGGTTTAGGGAGGGTCAGAATCTTGCAGTCTCCAGCTGCATGACTCCTAAACCATAATTTCTAATCTTCTGGCTAGTTTTTTAGTCCTACAAAGACAATCTAGTCCCCAGGCAAAAAGGAGGTTTGTTTTGAGAGAGGGCTGTTATCGTCATTGTTTTTTGTTTTTCTGTGTTTGTGTTTGTTTGTTTGTTTGTTTTTTGTTTTGAGACAGAGTCTCGCTCTGTTGCCCAGGCTGGCGTGCAGTGGCACAGTCTCAGCTCACTGCAACCTCCGCCTCCCGGGTTCACGCCATTCTCCTGCCTCAGCCTCCTGAGTAGCTGGGACTACAGGAGCCCACCACCACGCCTGGCTAATTTTTTTGTATTTTTAGTAGAGACGGAGTTTCACCACGTTAGCCAGGATGATCTCGATCTCCTGACCTGGTGATCTGCCCGCCTCGGCCTCCCAAAGTGCTGGGATTACAGGTGTAAGCCACCATGCCCGGCCCTTTGTTTTTAAACCATAAACTAAGTTCCTCCAAAGTTAGTTCAGCTTACGCCCAGGAATGAACAATGACAGCTTGGAGGTTAGAAGCAAGATGGAGTTCGTTAAAAGTCAGATATCTTTCATTGTCTGTTACAATTTTGCAATGACAGTTTCATCTACAGTGTTTGAACCCAAGTTAGAGGGCTTTTGAGGCTGATGCCTTGGGAACCTTGGAGCCCCAGGGACTGGTGACATGTAGGATCAAGAAGCCAAGAGCCATCTGAGTAGGGACAGCAACTGTGGCAGGCAGCTGAGAAAGAAGATGGCATGGCGAGGGATGAGCCTCCCAAAAGGGAATTGCACTCTGTTCCACAGCTTTGCCCAGAGATGTTCCAGGCTTCACAAGGAATGGTGCAGCAGGGACGTTGGATCAGAAGAGAGGTTCCAAATACAGAATTTCATGGGCATCAATCAGTCATAACAGACACTGGCCATACCCAACCATCATGACCATGTTAGTTCTTACTAGCTGAGTATTATCAGCCTTCAGGTAGATGAGGCCAACTAAGAGCCCCAGATGCAAAGACATGTCAGAATCTCTAGAGCCTGAGGAATGAGGGTCTCCACAAGAATCTGTACACTGTAGACAAATGGCTGTTGATGAGATAGACGCCAATAGATGCCTTGACCTAGACTTGACTCAGCCTAAGGAGGGCGACAAAGCAGTGGCTTGCCAGCTTGTAACTAGAGCCCACTGCTAAATTTTCAGTGGAAAATTATTGAACCAATTATTAAACACAGCTATTGTTAAAGATTAATTATATAAATGTATATCTATAATTGCAAACCGATCGTTAAACACAGCTATTATTAGAAATTAATTACATGAATTTACAATTAAGTACAATTAAATAAATTCTATTAAAGCACAGGTAATAAATACTTAGAACTCATACCTTCCTAATTGTTTTATACAGTTTGCTAATCTCTATGCCCTAGAGGCTATCAATGGTTGTAGTATCTATGTGGTGGAAATAGTATATAAGGAGTGCTACAACAAATCTCTTCCCAGCTCTGTGTTCACTGACGTCACCACTTTGGTAGCTCGAAAGCAACTGGTGGGAATATCTGCACCACGGTGACAATATTTGCACCGTGGAAATCAGCAAACACTACAAATCAGGGCTCAGTTCCCCCGACAGAGAGTTGTTAAACATTCACCAGCACACCACGGGGGACGTGCCCCAAGAACGACAAAGGTTCCACTTCCCACAGACCCAGTAGAATAGAGGGGATTAATTATTAATAAAAGGTGATACAGGCAACAGTTGTTCTGCCACTCTTCAGTTGGTCAGCTGAGTCTGTCACTCCCAACAGACGCATTAAATGTTAAAGCTGAGATTTAACGTTCTGCTCGGACACCCTTAGCCTCTCCCACTGCCGGACACAAAGGAGAATGGGGAAAAGGCCAAACAGAGAAGCCACAAGCAAGCAAGAAAGAAACGACAATGAGATGTTCCATCTGGCCACACTTCTGGATCCCACCAACATTAAGGAAGGAATCAGGATTCCCCTTCAGAAGGAAACACCATGTTTTCCAAGGGAAGTCATCTCTCCAAGTGGCACAAACTCCCTGACCCCATATCCCAGTATTAAATGAGGCGAATTGTTAACAAAGATGATGTTGACTTTTCCATCCATTGTTTCTTAACTTTGTTTCCCCTCCTGTTGGAGACTAGCTCACCTTGAGCCAAACTATTTTACTGTCTCTTGGATTTTTGTTTAATATTTTAGCCCTCTTGTAATTCAATGGCACCGTCCCTGGTTTCATGGCCAATTTAACCTGATGCTAAAAAGAATAAGATTCTAACTGCTTTCCTCCTCGCCTGTTCCGTCAGATGTTCAGTGGCACTAAGCAGCACCCTAGGCACAAACTTGGTGAATTTCTAGCGGAAGTTGACAATCAGGGTCTCTTTGCATGTGCCCAGTTCTTGGCTGACTCTTGAAGTGCGATGACGTACCTTCCTGCAAAGGTGCCAGCGCTTTTTATTGTGAATGTTTTAAGGAAAATAAACATCTCTGCAGTGAAAACAACTGCAATGTTGAACATGAAGCCGTGATTGGCAAAGTTTAGTTAGGTCCAGGCAATTGCAAATAAACAATGATGAATTATCCACTCTCCCCTACCCCCAGCAGGGTCCAGGTGATGCACGTGTTTAAGGGGTCTGAGACTTTGCTTTCCAGCTGTGTTTGGTAGACAGCTGAAGCAAAGTAATTAGAAATAACAAAGGTGGAATTTGGGGCAGAGAAAGAAGCTATTCTTTTTTTTTGGCAGGGGGGTTAGGCACTTCTTCTTGGTACTTCTTTAGCCCTCTGTACTCATTCATTTTTTTTTGACAAATGTTTATTGAGTATGAGATATCACCAGGTGTACACCAGGCATTGCTGTATATATTGGAGATGAACAAAACAGACAAGACTCCTGTCTTTGATGAATAAGAGATGACGACTTGCATTATAATGAGGTAAAAACAACAATCAAATTAACAAGTAAATAAGCAGAATTTGAAGGTGGGGATCTAAAACCAGGTGATGTATAAATAGTGGTGTTGAAGAAGCTGCTGCTTTAGCTACAGCCATCAGACAAGAGTTGTTTATAAAGGGAACCCTGGGCCCAATACCTGAATAGTGAGAAAGAACCATCCCAATAAAGACATAGCAGGGTGAAAGGTGGTGTATTTCAGAGAACAATAAATGAATGGGTACCAAAGTCAGAACAAGCTGGAAATGCTGGAAGAACTGAGGTGAGCTGGGTGGCCAGAGCAGAGTGAGAGAGGATAAGAGAGACAAGAGATAAAATTGAAGAGTTGGGTAAGAGCTGGCTCAGCCCACACGCTGCCTTGTAGGCTGCGATGAAAAGTATGGGTTTGAATCTAAGTGCCACAAGAACCACAGGAGCATTCTGAGCAAGAGATGGATATAATCTGATTTTTTAAAAGAGCATCACATCCACTGCATAGAGGCTATGGTGAAAGATGACAATGGCTTCAATGAGGGAAACAGCAGTGAACTGGGGAGAAGTGGATGGATTCAGGATTCCTTTGGAGGTAGAGCCACAGGACTGGCTAATGGATTGGATGTGGGAGCCTAAGGAAAAGGCTGCATTGTGCATCCACATTCTACAATGACCTGTTTCCATCTCTCACACTAGCATGTGAGCGATCTCACAGTAGGCACCATGTCATGTCCACTGTCATGGTCCCAAGAAAGTGTTTATTGATGGGATGAATTAATTATCTTGTCCATCTCTAGAATTTATCAGTTGAAATAAGGGGGAAGGCTTATTAGCTTAGTAGGGAAAGTGAATAAGTGAGGGGGCTTATAAATTAAACTGTGGGTTAATCAAGAGATAAGATAGCTAGCCCATTGCTTTAGGCCTTCCAGGTGAGCCTGATAACTTCTGCCTTTTCCACTGCCATTCAAACAGGAGTGTCCACTTTGACTTATCGATGACTGGTCTATGGCTGGAAGGAGGAGGTAGTAATGTTGCCCTACAAAAGAATTAACCTGTCTTGCAAATCCCCAGGGTCTAGCTCAGTGCTTGGCACAGAGTGGGCACTAAGTAAATATTCTGAAGTTTATATTTACATAGCATCTTACAATCTTCCCCGAGGCAGGCAGGAAAAGTCTTGTTGATTAATTCCTCAAATGAGAAAATTAAGATTCAGAGAAGTTCAGAGATCTACTCAAAGTCATTGTATCGGTCAGCTGTTGCTGCATAACAAACTACCCCCAAAACTCAGTAACTTAAAACAATGAGCATTTATTAGTGATTATGAGGCTATGGTTCCACTGGGAGGTTCTCCAGCCTCAGATGGGCTCCCTTGTGCACCTGTAATCAGCTGAGGATCAGGGAGGTGGTTTTGCTGATCTTGGCTGGATTCTCTCATATGTTTGGAGGTCAGCTGGCTCTAGGCAGGTCTAGGATAGTCTTGGGCAGAACAACATGGTCTCTTGCTCTCAAATAGGTCAGCTAGGACTTGTAGTCCTAAGAAAGAATGAAAGTATGTGAGATCTTTTGAGCTTTAAGTTAGGAACTGGCAAAATGTCACTTCTGCCATATTCTTGTGGCCAAAGCAAGTCACAAATCCAGACCAAGTTAAAGGTGGAAAAATAGATTCTACTTCTCAGCGGGAACAGCTGCAAATTCACACTACAAATGATGGAGATTTGGGTCCATTTTTTCAGTCTACCACAATCATACAGCTAATTCTGCACTGGCCTTGGAGACATGAGCTAGCATCATTAGATAATCTGTACAAATCAGAGTCTCACTCTTGGGAATGTAAAGTGGAAAGCACATCATTTAAGCAGACAGCAGTGGGCACAGAGGTTGAAACACTAAGAGAAAGGGATGCCAGAGGGTCCATGGTGAGCTGTTTGGAGCCAGAGGTTCCAGGGAACAATGACTATAGGTGAGCAGATGCTTTAAATTAAGGAAAGATGGAGAAGAAGCCAACTAGGAAATTAGAGAACACAGCAAGCAAAGAGAAGCAAGCGAGTCCCCTTGAGTGATGCCAATACTTTTTTTTTTTTTTGAGACAGAGTTTCTCTCCTGTTGCCCAGGCTGGAGTGCAATGGCACGATCTCGGCTCACTGCAACCTCCGCCTCCCGGGTTCAAGCGATTCTCCTGCCTCAGCCTCCCGAGTAGCTGGGATTACAGGTGTGCACCACCTTGCCCAGCTAATTTTTTGTATTTTTAGTAGAGATAGGGTTTCACCATGGCCAGGCTGGTCTTGAACTCCTGACCTCAGGTGATCTACCTGCCTCGGCCTCCCAGAGTGCTGGGATTACAGGCATGAGCCACTGTGCCCGGCCGAGTGATACCAATACTTTTAACTGCATTACTCAGGTCCCTGAAGCTATCTTCTATAGAAAATCTCCAGTTCTTCTCTCTGTGAATTTCTGATCTTGGATTTCCATGAGACCTTTCATATCCCTTATGACTCCATTATGTACTCTTAAAATAATCACCTCTCCAGTAGGCTAGTTTGCCAACCAAGGAGCCCAACAAAAATGATTTCCTTGTTCATAAAGTGCAGAGAAATCAAGAAGACATGTGGCACTTTTATCATCCCACCAGCCCTATTTCTTGGGCTTCTTTTTGCATTAATAGTGTTTAATAGTGTTAATCATGGTCACTTTGAGATATGGTTTGTGTCTTGGCTGGCAGGTAGGGTGAGCTTCTCCTAACTTTTTTTGAAATAAGAAGGGAAAAAACTAATAATTGCATTGAAACAATGCAAGTTCGATGACAGTCATGTGGCACATGTACCCCACTTCTCTCTCCTGTGCCCAGGGCAGACATCGCTAATGGATCACAGCACTCTTTTATTCGAACCCAGATTTTCTAAAAACCTTCTCAGCCTAGCATTCCAGGCAGCTACCACCATGGAGTAGAATGGTTACATGGGATTTAATTTCTTTGTCATCTCCAAATTAGAAATCTCAAAAGGAAACTTTGATATCTATAGTGGCATCTTATTAACTCAAATTGAGGCTTGGAGTATGAGGGACCAGCAGGAGGAACAGACCTCACCCAAATCCCTTTATGAATGAGGCTGCTTTTAAGTGAATTTAAGTAGTTGGAAAAATTATTGTTGATCTCAGGCATTTACTGACCGCTCTCAGTCGCTTCTGCATCTCATCGTTCAACACTCAGGATGCGCACATCCATAGCCAGTAGCCCAGAACTTCATTTAGAAGTTCAACCCTGGTTCTTCCCACCATTCCCTCCCCTAGACTTGAGACCTTGCCTCAAAGCCCCAGGATTGTTTAAGATCATGGATTTATAAGTTGTTCAATATCTTGGAAGCAGGCATGGTTAAGGCTTCTGAAATGTATCTTGTGAATCATTCAAAGAAGACCTTAGTCCTCTTGAGTCACATCTTCCTCACACCCTGCAGACAGCAAGTGGCCATTAACGAGTCACTAGTTTGTCCCATAAGGACAAACACTTGACCTCATGTTCTTAGCCCAGAACTGGTAAACACAACTGCACACCCCATGGGTAGGTTGCTGCTATGGGTTGGAGGGACCTGTCTCAAGTTAATTGCGGTTTTATCATCTTGGATGTGACCCAGAGGCCCTACCTATTTTTCTCTGTTTCTGGTATCTTCATGTATCTTTGACACCTGTAGTTAACCATAGTTTTAGGGTGAGTTTTTTTTCTCTGCCTTTCTTACACTACTCTCTCCTGAGGGTAAATATCTTTTTTATTCCTTTCCTTGTGTCAAAGTCTGCCTTGGAGACCCCAGTAAAAGAGAATTTAACTAGAAGACCATGCTTTCAAATTTAACCATCAAAAATATTTTGAACTTCTGAACCTTTTGTTACACAGGGCTTTGCACAAAACTTTGTTTTCCAAAATTCTTTTCCAGATGACAAGCAATGTGCTCAGTTTTATAGCCAGGCTTGGCAGGCTCACAGAGCATAGTCAAAAGTCTTCTGGCATTGGAGTCAGCTGTGGGTTCAAATCCTAACTCTTCCAGTTATTAGCTGGGTGGCTGTACACAAATGAATTCACTTCTCTAGACCTCAGTTACTTTATCTATGTTATGGGAGAGAGAGATAACAAGATCTATTCCACACTACTGTTGGGATTTTTGAGAACAATATGGATGAGGAATATATGACTAGACCAATAAAAGGAAGTCACTGTCTTTTTTATGCTAGCTGTCTTGAAAGTATCTGAAAATATTCATGGGTGGCAACAAAGAACATGAGCTATGCAGACAGAGAGACTCAACCAGACTCCTGTCAGCTGGGTGACCTTGGGCTGGTCATTTCACCTCTCTGAGCCTTAGTTTCTCCTCTTGGGATGGGACTGTGCCTTCCTACAGGGATTTTTGTGTCTGAATAAGGACAGAATGAGATAATGTACATAAAAACCCCCGTTCTGCTTCCCTTTCTTAGATCCTACAATGCCTGGAGAACAGAGATGAGGCCAAGGAATTCAGAGCCCAGTAGCCCCACCTATCTTTAATTAACTAGAGGACATCACTCCAGCATCTTCTGCTCTCCAGGCTTCCATGGTCCTGGACCATGAGAATACATGCTCCTCATCATTGAAGATGCAGGATGAGATCTTACTCTGTAGAGTACAAACAGTATATACATCCCTTTTCTGGGCAAAAAAAAAAAAAAAAAAAAAAAAGAGTTAGCTCAGTCCCTGCATTGCCCTAGGAAACACTTAGCTACATGGGTCCTTAGGTGAATTTATTCTGTTGATCAAACTTGTGTGTGTGTGCACGTGCATGCATACACACACACATGTGAGAGACAGAGTGTGTGTGTTATCCAAAGTAGACTCCACACTATATGTAACTCCCCTAGACCTGGAGGGGAGAAGGGAGTACCCAGGTCAGAATTTGATTCATTTACATCCTTAATTTACCAGTGGGAGAGTCCAGATCAGCTACAGTCAGAAAGGAAATTTCAGGAGATAAAATGCTGACAGCGAATGGCAATTGTCCCTCTTTTATCATTTTCAATATTGTTGCAACAATGCTGACCTCTGTTCTCCCAAGTCATGAACAGAGAGAGCCAATGATTTAAAGAGACCAATTAGATTTTAGCTCCATAAGCAAACAGGTCATCTTGCTCAAAGAAGTTTCCCAGTGTATACTGAGCAGGTCACCTGTCCTACAAAATGCACCATGAAGAAAAGTGTTCTGTAGTCACAGATGTTTAAGAAATGCTGTGAACTGCACCCCCATCCCAGAGACTCTTAGTGCACAGTGATATTTTCAAGCTCAGTAAAGTCCAATAGCAAAGAAGCCTACTTAAATATAGGTAGTCCAGCATTTCCTAGTCATTAAGGCATGACCTCCATTTCTGGCCATATAGCCGACTAGACACCTTGGATGATTCTCCCAATGAGGGAAAAATAACTACAGGGACATGGAAGAAGCTGGAAGCCATCATTCTCAGCAAACACAGGAATTGAAAGCCAAACACCGCATGTTCTCACTCGTAAGAGGGAGTTGAACAATGAGAACACATGGACACAGGGAGTGGAACACCACACACTGGGGCCTGTCGGGGGGTGGGGGGCCGGGGATGGAGAGCATTAGGACAAATACCTAACGCATGCAGGACTTAAAACCTAGATGACAGGTTGATAGGTGCAGCAAACCACCATGGCACATGTATACCTATGTAACAAACCTGCACGTTCTGCACATGTAACCCAGAACTGAAAATAAAATTAAAATAAAAAATAAAATCCGACCGGGCACGGTGGCTCACGTCTGTAATCCCAGCACTTTGGGAGGCCGAGGCGGGCGGATTGTGAGGTCAGGAGATCAAGACCATCCTGCCTAACACGGCGAAACCCAGTCTCTACTAAAAATACAAAAAATTAGCGGGGCATGGTGGCGGGCACCTGTAGTCCCAGCTACTTGGGAGGCTGAGGCAGGAGAATGGCGTTAACCCGGGAAGTGGAGCTTGCAGTGAGCTGAGATCGCGCCACTGCACTCCAGCCTGGGTGACAGAGTGAGACTCCATCTCAAAATAAATAAACAAATAAATGTAAAATAAAATAAAATCTGAATATAAAATCCATTGACATTTAGTATGTGTTGTAGGATGGGTTCCCAGGGAAACGGCATCTGAGATGGAAGTTTGTGTGCAGGGGTTTACCGGGAAGTAGTCTCAGGATCGACACCTGTGAGGGAGTGGGAATACAGAGTGGGGCAGAAGGAGAAGGTAAACTGTGATGGAGCCACAAAGAGACCTTGGCCAATCCCAAGGGCAGCTCTGAAGCTGGATTGCCCTTTAGAGGTGTACCACACTGAGACACAGCGATGAAAAAGCTGCCTAATTTCTCTGATCTCCAAAGTGGAGAATGCAAAGCACTCTCTCTCCCAAGGCTGTGATGAGGATTAAATAAGCTAATACATGCAAAGCACTTGGAACAATGTCTGACACACGGTAAGTGCTTGGTAAATGGTGGCTGTGTGTATTACATCATTCACGTTCCCTGAGTGGCTGCAACTATTTTACAATATGATCATGATCTCATTAATTTCTCCCTGACCCCAGCTGTGGGGCTGCAGGCAGAGCTCAGCACCAGGTCCAGTGTATTCACCAGATACCCCATATTCTGAAACTTGGAGGTCCATGTTTTAGGGACAGCTGAAGCAAACATGATACAGGGCGGGGGGAGTCAGGATGTTCATAAGCGGAAGCTGTGCAAATGCAGCTGTTCATCTGGGATTTCCATATTTATTTAATTTTAAATCTCTTCCTGTTGGGATTGTTGAACAAGCCATTACACTAATGGATGTAACCACAGGCTTGCACGGTAAAGCACCAGTTCACCACTTAGAGTGGACACTACACGCAATAAGCTCTATAATTTTTTTGAACTTTTAATTGAAATATAACATAATGCAGGAAAGCACACAAATCATTCAGCATCCAGCCCAATACATTTTCATGAAACAAACACACCCATGTAACCCTCATCAGCATCAGAAGAAGGAACATTACCAAGGCCTCCCAGGCAACCTCCTCATGTCCCCTTCCAGTCTCTAACACCCCAAAGAAAATCACTCTCCTGACTTCTAACATTTAGATTTGTTCCTCTTGTCTTGAGCTTTAAATCAATGGAACTATTCAGTTAGCACTCTTATTGTACCTGGTTTCTTTCACTCAATATTGTCTTTCTGAGATTTATCCATATTGTCTCTATTACTTGGAGTCTGTTCTCTCTCAGTATCTGCGTAGTATTTATTGCGTGAGGATAGCACAACTTATCCACTCTAGCATTGATGGACATTTGGGTCATTTCCACTTTAAAGCCATTATGAATAAAGCTGCTATGAACACTCTTATACTTTTTTTTTGCTGAACATATGTACATACTTCTTTTCAGAAGATACCTAAAAGTGAAATAATTGGCTCATAGAGTTTGCATATGCTCAGCTTTAGAAGATACTGCCAGTTTTCCAAGCCCATTTTTTTTAAAGTTTAAAACGCACAAATAATACAATCTAGAAAAGCTAGAAAATATCAATTAATATGTATACATAAGTAATAAAACTATCCATAATTACCCCAGGCAGGAATAGCCCCTATTTTGGCAGCTCAACTTGCAACAATTTTCTATGCATTCATGGATCCACGTGTATTTTTTACAGAAAAAAAACATTCCGTATAGACTACTTGCTTTTTTATTTAGCAAAAGATTATGAGCATCTTTCACAGCCTCAATAAATGTACAGCTATATGTGACTTCATTTCTTTCAACTCTTTAGTATAAAAATGTTCAAATATCTACAAAGGCAGACAATAATATAACAAATGGGCCAGGTGCGGTGGCTCATGCCTGTAATCCCAGCACTTTGGGAGGCAGAGAGGGGGTGGATCGCCTTGAGCCCAGAAGTTCGAGACCAGCCTGGGCAACATGGCGAAACCACGTCTCTATGAAAAAGAATAATATAACAAACTCCTATGCACCCATTGCTCAGATCAATAATCATATCATAGCCAATCTGATTTCATTTATGCATTATCCTCTCTCTCATTATTTTGAAGCATTATATCATTTTATCTGTAAATATTTTAAACAACTATTTAGAGAAGATAAGGACTGTTTAAAACCATAACGAAAATAACATTATTATATCTGAAAAAAGTCTTTACTATCCAATATCCACACAAACATAATAACTATCTTTGCATGGATGCATTCTATTTCATTGTAAGAATGTAGCATTATTTACCTAACCAGTTTAAATTTTTAAGCATGCAGCTTTAAGACTCTCAATACTTAACTGAAGTTGTCTAAATTTACACGGTGCTTCCATTGCTGACAACTTCATAAATGCCTGAAACAAAATAAACTTTTCTCATAAGAAATGAAAGAAAAGCCAGAAATACGGTGTAAAGAGGCTGAAAGTACTTCAGACGTGACTTTTTGCTCTTCTGACTTTAG
The DNA here is from genome assembly GCF_000001405.40 of Homo sapiens. NCBI lineage: Eukaryota > Metazoa > Chordata > Mammalia > Primates > Hominidae > Homo > Homo sapiens. The sequence continues at coordinate 119,442,961 of NC_000012.12, forward strand.
CGTAGTCATCAGCAGCAAGTAAGCAGTTTATGGAAAGCAAAATGAAAAGAGACAGTGTTCATGAAAGTAACTCTCCCCCTAAATTTACTGGCAATGCCCAGCTGAGCCACACAGACAGTGCCAACGTGCATCAGGAATATCACTTTCTACCTGTAGGATTCTTTATTTAAAGTCTTTGTCCTACTCAGTAACATCCTAGGCTCAGCCTTTTCTTTAATACCAGCAACTTCATTAATGATTGTTCTGATGGCTTTTACTCCATTGAGCTAATTGCCAATGTCTCCAATCTATTTGCCTTTTTCAATACAGATGGAAACTTCTATTTTTCCTGAAAAGACTGTAGCCTTTGAATACTTCTTTGTCTGGGTCTTCTCTGTCATATTAACTGATATTTTGCAGTCATGATTTTGCTTAAAAGTAAAATAAAATAAAGTTATATTAAAAAGCCAGAAATCTCACAAGCTCACCAAGCTAACCTCAGAACACCTGTATAGTTCTCAGGAGTAACAACTGGGATGCTAGACGGGAAATGGCCTTGCAGCCCACTGTGGGGAAAGGGACGTGTCTGTCACTTTTCCAACCCGCAACCTACAAGAGTTCAAAGTCATGATAATAATAATAATAAAACAGCAGGCAGTTTAAACCCCATTGTTTCCAAATTATTGCTTACAAATATATTTCAACAGGTATTAATTTCCTCACGGCTCTATTCCAAAGTGTATGAAAACAAAAACTGTCTTTAAAACCAGCTTCCCAATCACCTACCTGATTTAATGTATTCACAGGCAATAGAACAAAACATGGCTTTTGGAGCCAGCATGAATCCTGGCTCTACCACCTACTAGCTTTTTGAGTATGGATGAGTTACCTAATCTCTCTGAGTCTCACTGCCCTCATCTATGAAATGGGGACAATAATAAAGTCTGCCTCACAGGGTTGTGAATTAAATGAGTTAACATGCACATACCTGGCACACAGATGACATAAGTGTTACACACAGGCACACATACACACACACATACACCAATATCTCTGAAGGCTCAATTCCAGCTGCTTAACTATGCCATCAGGACTCTGTCCACTCTGCAGGTGAGATTTTCTTATTATCTGTGCAGGGACCCAAAGTTGTCTCATTCCTGTCTGATGGGAAAATCAGATGCCAGAAAGCATACAGCTAAGAAACTTAAGGTTCTATAGTTTGTTGTTTGCCTTGAAAGACAAACAGCTAGATACTTTTCAGACATCGTTTTCAGGATAACGTTAGGTAACACAATGAAAGCGTTTAGAATAGAGTTGTCACAGTACGTGTTGGCTCTTGTCATCATCAGAGTTCTTCTTATTACTATTTATTAGAAGTAGAGCCAATGGCTTGAATCAATGGGAAAAGAAAAGGCTAGATAAGAGTTAATTCCTTTCCTTTCTCATAGTCTCGTCACTGGGAGAAAAGTGAATAAGAACATCATAAGGGCCATTTCTTTTGTAACATGAACTGAGCTACAAATTCAAGTCTCGCTTCTTTTATTTTTCCAGTTAGCCATAGGCCATTACGTGAATTATTCATGGGAAGTCTAGAGTCTCCCTCTAGGAGCCTCATCTTTCCCTTGAATTGTCTAATAAGCTGAAGTTTGTTATCCCACAGAAAGTTGGCGCTGTGTCCTCCACTGCCATTGCTTCTCATGGCCACAAGGTGGCGCTGTACAAAAACAGGTCCTCCAAGGTCTTAGAGACCACGCTGGCCACTCTTCTCTGACATCTCGCTGATCCACACCATCATCGCTCTCAGAACCCAGAGCGTTTGATTAAATACCTTCCCCCGGACAACCAGGCTACCTGGACAAGGGAGGCTACCTTTAGGAGCTATGGGATACCTTATCCCTGCTCGATCTAAGGGAAGTTGCTCTAATGTCTAACCAAAGTGATTTTCTGGCCCTTTCTTGCTGAAAAACTTACAGGAAGAGCAAAATGGCTTTTTTTTTTCTATTAGGTGCCCAGATATAGTACATAAAGCATTTTAATAGATGAACAGTGATGTGGAAGGCAATGTTTCCCCAAAGTGAAAATACCCTCAACCTCACCACAGCTGCACTTTACCATACAACTGGAATAGAAAGATCCCTTAAAAATATACCCGAACTTTATCTTCCCTAAATTTCCCATGAAAATGAGAACAAAGTCAATAAGAATGCCCTGAGGCCAGGCGCGGTGGCTCACGCCTTTAATCCCAGCAATTTGGGAGGCCGAGGTGGGTGGATCACTTGAGTCCAGGAGTTTGAGACCAGCCTGGTCAACATGGTGAAACCCCGTCTCTACTAAAAATACAAAAATTAGCCGGGTATGGTGGCACATGCCTGTAGTCCCAGCTACTCGGGAGGCTGAGGTGGGAGAATCGCTTGAACCCGGGATGCAGAGGTCGCAGTGAGCCGGGATCACACCACTGCACTCCAGCCTGAGTGACAGAGCGAGACTCCATCTCAAAAAAAAAAAAAAAAAAAAAAAGGAATGCTCTGAGAAGCATTTTTCTGCCCTGAGCTAAAAAAAAAAAAAAAATGCAGGACAACCAAATCAAGCAGGCTGCAAAGTGTTGAGAACAATTCTTCAACAAGTTCCCTTAGGTTGCATCTGAGGCAGACAGAGTTTGGGGGTCAGGAAATTCTGATGTCATCGTGCCTGCAGTGTCCCATTTTTTAAAAGTGAATGGCCTGACCCTTCAGCATCTATGACTATGTGTTAAGCTTTAGAAATTATTCAGGGTTGGATTAGCTTCGAAAGAGTGTTTCCTGGAATACTACTCAGCCATAAAAAGGAATGAATTAATGGCATCTGCAGCAACCTGGATGAGATTTGGGACTATTCTTCGAAGTGGAGTAACTCAGGAATGGAAAACCAAATATCGTGTGTTCTCAAGCTAAGCTATGAGGACGCAAAGGCATAAGAACGATACAATGGACTTTGGGGACTTGGAGGGATGGGGACGGGGGGTGAGGGACAAAAGACTACAAATATGGTGCAGTGTATACTGCTTAGGTGATGGATGCACCAAAATCTCACAGATCACCACTAAAGAACTTACTCATGTAACCAAACACGACCTGTACCCTAATAACTTATGGAAAAATTTAAAAATAATAAATAAATAGTGTTTCCTGACAGAATATGGGTGCAAAGTTAAAGAAACCAAATAGAGCATTGTTTTGCAAGACAGTCTCAAAAAAAAAGCTTACATAGGAGTCCATTAAATAAAGCCATATCTAAACAACTAGTTAAAACAGGAATCTGAATCTCTATCCTTGCTCTGAGACAGCTCAAAATGCACATTAACTGAAGAGCAATTCCTAAATCTCATGAACCTTTCCTGAAGGTCTACTATTACACAAGCACAAGGATTGGGTGGAGATGGGAGCAGTATATGTTCAGGGCAAGACTGCCCTTTTGCACAATTCCAGGGGGCATCATTCACAATATATGCTCAAGGGTGAATGTCGCCACAATTTGTAGAGTACAATGTCAATGATGCCCCTGGGGCCGTACAACTGAACAGCCCTTTATTGGTAGCTATACAAAGATAAAAATAAAAGCTTAAAGAGCTGGGATGGGGAGGTTACAGAAGGATGTGGGAGGAAGGATACAGGAAGAAAAAAAGGGAGAGGGAGAGGGAGGACGGGAGACAGAGAGAATGAATCACAGGCCAAATTATGAGTCAGAGTGTCTACGATGGTTCACTGGATATAGCTTTAAAAGCTGTGTGTGCCTGTGTGGATGTGTGTGTTTGGGTTCATTTACCTTTTACTTGCATGGCCCCTGTAAGTTTTTTGTTTTTGTTTTTTTTTAATTTGTACCCTTTGGATATTTTTGGTCTAGAAAAGATAATAGGCAATAATCAGATTTTTAAAAAGTCACAGGGAGTTGGTGGAGATATCCCAGACGGAGAAAGCAATCTGCACATGATTACAGGCAAGGACCTGGAAGGCTGGGTGCCTTCTACTAAGCTCCTGCTGTGAGTCAGGCACTGGGCTAGGATTGAGGTAAGGTCATCTCAAATGTGAGAAGAAGACGAGAGGCGATAGCTTAATCCTGGGGATCAGGCAGTTAAGGGAATAGCTTTCATACTGACACAGCTCAGCAAACTCTGGAAGAAAGGAAGAGAGCTGGCCCGTGGTCCTGGAAAGAGGTTTTACATCTGCTGGGATCCCTCTGAATATATCGCAGTGAGGACGAGTGTCAGGTAACCACCCCATGTCCAGGAGGCAATCAAAAGCCCTCTTTGCACGGTGACAGGCAAGACTCAAGTTGTAAACTCAAAAGGGAAGCTTTGACAACACCTCCTTGCAACTGCATTGCGCCTCAGACCCCTCCCACTTCCCCTTGTACTGATGCTTAGTGAAGGAGCCATTGTGAATTCCTAAGGAGTTGTGGGTCTCCAGCGAGCAGTCCCTGCCATCAATCAGGCAGAAGAACACCGATCGAACCATCACAGGCTGGTGGTCTTGTGCCTTATTCCATTGTCTGTTGTTTGTCCTGAAATTATAAACCAGGGGGTAATTTGGAAATTGTTGGTGTGCCCTGGAAAAAGCCTCTCTCCCTGCTAATGCATTTTTCTATATCCACAATGGCAGGTCCATAAGAGCAATCCCTCCCATTCCATTTAGTCATTAAGCACAATAGGTAATAACAGGGATGGCAGGGTGGAGCTTGCATTCTCGAAAAAAACATATTGAACCGGTTTATCTCAGAACTGAAAACTGACTGCTGAACAACTGCTATGCACAATACTTTGCTTCTGTTTTCTCATGTAGGGTAGCTGCCTGGGTGCTGACAGGTGGCAGGAAGTCACAGTGGCTAAGAAACTGGCTCCTGAGAATCGCCTGAACCCGGGAGGTGGAGGTTGCAGTGAGCTGAGATCGCGCCATTGCACTCCAGCATGGGCAACAAGTGAAACTCTGTCTCAAAAGAAAAAAAGAAAGAAAAGAAAGTGGCTACTGAGTCTAATAGAGGCAAACAGGCAAACTCATCGAGGCAGAGAGTATAAGAATGGTTGCCGGGGTGGGGTGGGGGAGGGATGGAGTGGAATGGGGACATGTTTGTCAAGGGTACACATTTTCACTTATGCAAGATAAATAAGTTCTGGAGCTCTAATGTACAGCATGATGCCTATAGTAACAATACTTTACTGTATACTTGACATTTGCTTAGCAGGTAGATCCTATGTTGTCTTATCACCAAAAAAAAAAAAGGTAACAATGACAGCTGATGGATATATTAATTATCTTGATTGTGGAGATAATGTCACAAGGTATACACATATGAAATCGTCAAGTGGTATATCTTAAATATAAACAAATTTATTTTAAAGAGGCGATGACTCCAGGATTCAGACAGACCGAAATCCAAATCCTGGCATTGCCACCTTCTCATAGTGTGACTTTGGGCAAGTGGCTTCAATCCGTGAGCCTCAGTTTCTCCATCTTTGAAATGATAGTGTCTACCTGTAGGGCTCTTGTAGGAATTACATGATGTAACCCATGTGAGGCTTCAGAGACCTGCCTGACACACAGAGAGTGAGCTAGAAACAGTAACTATCAAGAGCATGATTTTCCAAGCCTGAGCTTTCCCCAGGGCTTTTGCCCTCGAAGATATTTAGCTTCTTCTACACCCCTCTAAGACATAATTTGCTTCTAAATATGATGGGGTAAATAGACAAGAATGGCGGTGGGGAGGGGAGGGGGTCTGGAAGAGGCGCATTAGGTTCCTTAGCAAGGCAGACTTGGCAATATTCTCTTTCCAGTGAGCTTCAGAACTCTTAATAGCAGTTGCCTAGAAACCAGAGCTGTGGTGGGCTTCTGCTGCCTTCCAGAAATCACCCTAATTGGGATGCATATAGAACTGTTTGTTGACACTTGGCAGGTTTTTATCCCTCTTCTTCCAGAAGAAATGCAGTCCTCTTACACAGCGTTACACAAACGCTGACTCACATTAATTAAACAGAAGCCCTGAGCCAAGGCACCTTTTAACCACATAGAAGTCAGGCGGTGGGGATTGCAGCCTGGTCAGCATCCTCTAATCCATTGACCATTTTAGGTTGCTGTCACTGTGTTTCCAAGGTATGGGGTGACTTTTTGGGGGGCAGGCAGGATGCTGTGTGGCCTGAGGGTCTATGTGTATGTGTATGTATATGTGAACAGGTCACAAAAGCTTGCCAAGTCCATGAGATTCTACCGTCAATCAAAGCACAACATGTGCACACTTGTGTAACTTGATATTAAATGCCAGATCTGCCTTCCCTTTGGGGGGTTTAAACACCACTCCTAGTCATGTGGCATAAGGTAGGTCAGAGACTGCATTACAAATGAAAGAAATAACTTTCCTGAGAGGCATGTAGGGAGCTTGTTTCATTTGATCACTTCTTCCAGAACACAGCTATATTCTAGTTCCTAGCTGGAAAAAAATATATATATTTCAAAGGCATCCATTTATCTCTATCCTGTTTGGATCATTCAGCTTCTGCACATATAGTCCTATAACCTGCTCCATCCAAAGAAAATGCGAATGCACCACATCAGTGTAAGAAGGTGCCATTATTACATGCCAAAAAAAAGGCGTGTATTTAATTAGCATTAAATTCAAGAATTTCAAATGGTTTAGTTACTCGTGCAATAGATATTCTTTAAGTAGTCTCTATGTGCTAGTCACTGTGCCAGGTTCTGAGGACGCAGGAAAGACTGAGAAATTGCCCTGCATTTAAGGAGCTCAGTCTAGTGGTGGGTGTGGGAAGGGAGAGTGCATGGCCAGACAGGTCAATCAGCAGGTTCATGGGAGAGACCAGGGGTGTCTAACCTAGCCCAGGAAAAGCAGAAGTAACTTCTGGTGGCGGGGGCGGGCAGGTAAGGCTCATACCTAATCAAGTTCTAAAGGATGAGTTGGGAAGAACTAAAAATAGATCTACCATTCAATCCAGCAATCCCACTACTGGGTATACACCCAAAGAAAAATAAATCATTATTTTAAAAAGATACCTTCACTCATATGTTTATTGCAGCACTATTCCCCATAACAAAGTCAAGGAATCAACCTAGTGTCCATCAACAGATGATTGGACCAAGAAAATGTGGTATACTACTTAGCCATAAAAAAGAATGGAATCATGTCTTTTGCAGCAACATGAATGGAACTGGAGGCCATTATCTTAAGTGAAATAACTCAGAAACAGAAAGTGAATTATTGCGTGTTCTTATTTACATTAAGCTAAACAATGTGCACACATGTACATAGAGAGCAGAATAATGGGCATTGGAGACCAGGAAGGGTGGGAGGGTGGGAGGAGGGCTAGGGATGAGAAATTACTGGGTACAATGTGCATTATTCAGTGATGGCTACATTAAAAGCACAGACTTCATTGATATATATGCAATACACCCATGTAACAAAATGATACTTCTACCCCCTAAATCCATTAAAATTTTTTAAAAATTTTTAAAATAAAGGATGAGTAGAAGTTTGCCAGGTGGAGAAGAGCAGAGCATTCTAGGCAGGACAAGCAAAGGTACTGAGATGAAGAAGTGCATGGCTGTGCAGCAGAATATCTGGTATTGCTAGAGCATCAAGAGGTTAAAGACATGAGAGGCCGGGCGCAGTGGCTCACGCCTGTAATCCCAGCACTTTGGGAGGCCGAGGTGGGCGGATCACAAGGTCAAGAGATGGAGACCATCTTGGGCAACATGGTGAAACCCCACCTCTACTAAAAATACAAAAATTAGCTAGGCTTTGGTGGTGCGTGCCTGTAGTCCCAGCTACTTGGGAGGCTGAAGCAGGAGAATCACTTGAACCCAGGAGGCGGAGGTTGCGGTGAGCTGAGTTCACGCGACTGCACTCCAGCCTGGCGACAGAGCAAGACTCCATCTCAAAAAAAAAAAAAGAGAGAGAGAGAGAGAGATAAGACAAATCCAGCTCTCACAGAGCCCTGCAGCCTGGACTGCAGAGTCTGGAAAGGGTGTGTACTATATAGGGAAGCATCATTGGGAGAAAGAGGTCTGAGGCAGGGAGACCAATTAAGAGGGAGTGGCCCTTGTGCAGGGGAGAGATGATGACAGCTTGATTTTCGAACAAGGCAAACTGAATTGAAAACTTTTGTTACTCAGCCCCATGGTGGGCAGAGTCCTGAAACAAAGCAAGGTCCAGCCAACGTGAAGGGAGGGGAACCACTGAAGGACTTAAAACAGGGATGCATTTTTCCACAAGATGTACATCTGCACCTTTAGGGAGATAATTGGTGCAAGGTGGAAGAGCAAAATCATTTTGGCCATTACATTGCCAAGAGTTTTGAATTCCAAAGCCCCAGCTAAACATATCTGTTTAGCTGTTCAGTTCCTTAAGAGGTGTGTAGGGTGATAGGGGGTTTAGAACAAAGTGCCTTGCACTAGGAATCCAGAGACCCCCACCCAGCCCCACCCCAACCCCTGCACCATTATTGTCCTAGGTCTGCCTGTAATTTGTCATGTGATATGTCGCCTCTCTGGGCCTCAGTTTCCCCATCTGCAAAATGGGGGCTTGGGGCTTTCCCCAAGGGTCTTTTCACTCCAAAATTCTCAGTCTAGCTTCTGATTCAGGTCAGAAAAATAATCCCTAATGCCAAGCCATGGACATCAGGAGTGGAAGTCTCCGGCCCTCAAATGCCATCTAGAATGTAGATTCTTTGGCGGCAAAGTCCAAATCCTCTCAATTTTTGTATCTTTCCTCAGCATGGCACAGCACCTTTTACACAGTCAGTGTCCAATAAAGATATCAGGAAGGAAGGAATTAAATGAATTGCATTCAAAATTAGGCAGAACACATGGAAATGGGATTGGCAAGCAGTGAAGAGATTTAGATTAGATAAATACTTACTGAGAGTACATTTGTGAATCATGAGAAATGTTGCCTGAAGATGTTGGTCCCTAAGTTTAGAGATAGATAAGAATAGAACTGGCCCTCACCAAGAGATCAAATTACCAACATCATCTTTTCTTCTTCACTGAATCAACTAGCCATTTGATCAAAAATAGCATTAGGTCCCCACAATGCGCCAAAGGGATGAGGAGAGGGGTGGAAGAATGAGTATAATATGGTGTCTGCCTCCAAGGAATGTAATTTCTAGAGATTCGTTTAGCCAAAACTCTGAAGCTACTTTGCATAGAGATATAGCTTTTTTGCATCTTAATTTCACTCATCACCTACTCATCTATGGGCGTATCCTACACTGATGAGAGGGCTTGCTTTTCTAATTGTGGCCCTGACAATTAGCAATAATGTGATTAGGTGAAAAGAACCAGTCCTCCCTCTTTATAAAGCAGTTTTGAATATCCAATTTAGAATTGTACTTTCTCTTTGCATGGCATGTTTTAAGACCTTCCAAACTGCTTTTGCATCTATTTTCTGATTTTTTGTCTTTCACAACTACTCAGATAAGACAATATTATCTTGAAGAATGGCTGAGCGAGACAGGCTTAGGCCCGAGAACCAGTCCAGACTCTGCTCCACCCAGACTGGGTACCTTTGCATTGATCAAATCACTGAACCTCTTAGCATTTCAGTTTCCACACAATGAAATGAGGCTAGCAACACTACTGAGGGTTGCCTTGAAGGATTGTTTTCAGAAGTTAAAGAAATCAGTAGCTGCAAAAGCTTTCTCACAGTTACTGGCACACGGTAATGAGTCATATTCTAGTTGTGATGATGGTGGTGGAAATGGCGATAGTGGTGGTGATGGTGGAGATGGTAGTAGTAATAGTTATTCATTCCTAGATAACAGAACAGAGTGGTTCATGAATCTGTCTAAATCCCACAGCAATTTTTTGGTAGAGTTAGAGTTAGAATTTGGCTTGTTTTTTTTTTGTTTGTTTGTTTGTTTTAGATGGACCCTCACTCTGTCACGCAGGCTGGAGTCCAGTGACGTGATCTCGGCTCACTGCCACCTCCACCTCCCTGGTTCAAGCAATTCCCCTGCCTCAACCTCCAGAGTAGCTGGGATTACAGGCACGCACCACCATGCCCAGCTAATTTTATTTTGTATTTTTAGTAGAGACGGGGTTTCACCATGTTGGCCAGACTGGTCTCGAACTCCTGATCTCAGGCAATCTGCCCACCTCAGCCTCCCAAAGTTTTGGGATTACAGGCGTGAGCCACCATACCCAGCCAGAACTTGGCTTTTTAACTGACATTAATGTATATCCCACTTTGGCCTAAACCCTTAGATTTGATTGTAATTTACTGTTATCAGCACTGTCTTCCTGTGAAACATCCTGTGTGTTCACAGGCTGTGATATGGGATCTTCAGATTCTTCTTTCCATTTCTTTATCCTCCCCTCTTCCCTCCTCCTCCTTTTCTTCCATCGTCATTTTCTTTAATGAAGATCTGAGATAGAGATTAAATCAAAGAAGAATTAAGAAAAGAAAACCATTTAAAATAATTAGAAGGCTTCTGCATGTCATTTCCTATCCAGCAAAGCAGAGGTTAATTCCTGGGCCCCTTAGCTTAATACATTTCATTACTTACATGATAACCAAGCATTTTTCCTACCACCACTGGCACAGTGGACTCACAGACCTTTGTGAATTACTTCATAAGGCAATTTACTAAATCCCCAAATAATTGTAATCTAATTAGACTGTTCTTCCCATCACCCCCAGAGAAGAGAACCTCCTAGGCTCACCACTTGAACTAAGTGCCACTTCCCAGAACTCTGTGGGGCTTACAGCCAAACCACCATCCTGGTCATGTGCAAAGCAAGAAAGTTGTACCAGAAGGCATTCATGGTGATGACTACAATGAAGAAGAAGAAGAAAGAAGAATGAGAAAGAGGAGAGGGAAGGGAAGAGGAGCAGGAGGAGAAGGAAGAGGAAGAGGAGGAGGAGGAGAAGGGAAAGGGGAAGAAGGAGGAAGAGAAGTCGATGATAATTTGATGATTGTGATGATGATGATGATGATGATGATGAAAAATAAGAAGAAAAAAATGATAATGTTACCATGTATCGAACAGCTCCAGTGTGCTAGGCACCATACTAATTGCCTCTCATATATGATTTTCAACAATGTCCCAGGATGGCTATTAATGTATCCAAATTTTAAAGGTGAGGAAAGGACATCTCAACGAGGTAAGATGACTCACAGACATTGAGTGATAAGGAAATCATGGCCAGTTAAACCTAGAACAGACCATTTCCAAAACCAGTGTATTTTTCTCATGTAATACTTTGGAATTAGCCTGCCTGTGTTTAAATTCCAGTGCCACCTCTTACTAACCCTATGGTCAGACTATTTGACTTCTTTGAGCCTTAGTTTCCTCATCAGCAAAATGGGGATAATAGTACTTACTTCATAGGATGTTGTGAAAGTTTGATGAGATAATGCATATAAAGTGCTTAGCTCAGTGCCTCACTCAAGCCATCACTATAGAGAGAAACCTCCTGTTTCTCTCTAAGTGCCACCACCCCCTCCTGTCCCAGCCCTCATTTCTTACAGGCTCAGACTCACCTGTTGCCTATTTACCAGCTGCCCTGGACACGCTCAGTGGAGACTCTCCCAGGCCAAATTCTCTTGACAGAGTTTCATGTTTCTAAGTTTCCTTGTTACTACCCAATTATCTAAACCAGCCTCTCCCAATATCCTTTTCTGGTCCATGGCCATTGATTTAGCCAAGGACAATAGCATTTTAAATGTGTGAATTGTGATAGTTTGGTCAAGAAAAAAGAAAGAGGCAGAGAAAGAGATATTGTCTCTTGGAACTGTATTCTGCTGCATGGTAGCAGAGCCCTGAAATCACTATGGCTTAAACAAAATAAAGAATTACCTCCCTCACATAAAAAGGGTTTACATTTGGATGAAGGTGATCTAGTACTGGTATGGCAGCTTCCTGGTCATCCAGTACCTGGGTTCCTTCTAGGTTTTATCCACCATCCTCCGTATTTGCTTCCATCTGCCAGAATTCCTCATGCTCAGAAAATGGCTGCTGGAGCAGCTTCAGGCAACAGAAAGGAACTGAAAAAGGGGCTAACGGGCATATGTTACCCAGCTTGCCAATTTCCTTTAAAGAATTTTCCCAGAAGCCTCTTTAAATGACTTCCACTTGTACCTCATTGGCCTAGCCTATCGGGAAAGGCAGCTGGGAAATATAGTTTTTGTTTGTGGTGGTTGTTGTTTGATTTTGCTTTGCTTTGCTGGTTGTTAATCTAGGCATATTGATGCCCACGATAATGTGGTCTATTACTAAAGAAGCTAGGCAAGTTGATACTTGGTAGGCAACTGGCACTTTCTGTCATTGGGAGCAATAGAGAGAAGTAGGGAAGGAAAACCAAGTGCTGATAGCCTTCTACATGCCAGAGTCTTACTTCAAGGAGCCCACAGACAGTAAGAAAGGCAGACAAGTCAATCAGCAATCACCATGTAGTGTGCTGAGTGTAATAATAGGAAGTACATAGGTACAAGGAGCTGTGGGTGCACTTGACCTAGCCTGGAACTGAGAGGAGAGAAGGGAAGAGGTATTGAATGACCAACAGTTGATAGTTTTACCCAAACCTTGAAGGACAAATAGAAATCAAGCCAAGTGAAGACAATGGAGAAGATGCTGCAGAGAGAAAGAAAAGCATGTGCAGGCGGGTCACAGTGGTTCATGCTTATAATCCTAAATTTTTGGGAGGCCAAGGAAGGAGGATCACTTGAGCTCAGGAGTTTGAGGCTGCAGTGAGCTATGATGGCACCACTGCACTCCAGTATGGACAACAGAGCAAGACTCTGTCTCTGAAAAAGAAAGAAAGAAGGAAAGAAAGAAAAGAAAAGAAAGAAAGAGTGAAAGAAAGAAAAAGAAGAAGAAAAACAGAAGAAGAAGAAAAGGAGGAGGAAGGAGAAGAAGAAGGAAGGAAGGAAGAAAAGAAAAGGGAGGGAAGGAAGGAAGGAAAAGAAAGGAAAGAAAGAAGGAGGGAGGAAGGAAGGAGGAAAGAAAGAAAGAGAAAGAGAGAGAAAGGAAGGAAGGAGGGAGGGGAGGGAGGGAGGGAGAGAGAAAGAGAGAGAGAAAGAGAAAGAAAGAAAGAAAGAAAGAAAGAAAGAAAGAAAGAAAGAAAGAAAGAAAGAAAGAAAGCAAGCAAGCATGTGCAATTTCAAGGGGGTAGAGAGATGCAAAGGAATGGCAGGGTGAATGGTTAGAGATAAATCCCAGATCTTAGAGGACATTGCTAGGAGGAGAAGGAAGGACTCAGGACTTCACCCTGAGAACAGTAGGAAGCCATTAGAGGATTTTGAGCATTAAGATAGGAATGATGAGATTTGCCTTTTCAAAAAAGCCCTGGGGCAGCCAGGTGGCCAATAGGAAGGAAAAGACCTGGTGGGAAACTACCTAAAGTAAATGATGGTTTCTGGCTAGGTTAAGGAAGAGAGTCAACTAATATTCAGAAAATAGAGTTGACATCACTTCATGATCAATTAACTGGATATGAAAGGGGTCAAAAGACACAAGTGTTACAGGACCCCAACACTTCCTGGGGGTTTCTGCACTACAGTCCCTTCATGGTCACTAGAAAGATGTTACATGAAAGGGGTCCCAATCCAGACCCCAAGAGAAGGTTCTTGGATCTTGCACAAGAAAGAATTCAGGGCAAGTCCATAGCATAAAGTGAAAGCAAGTTTATTAATAAAGTAAAGGAATAAAAGTAAAGCCCCAAGGGCTAATGGTTGCCCATTTTTATGGTTATTTCCTGATGATATGCTAAACAAGGGGTGGATTATTGATGCCTCCCCTTTTTAGACCATGTAGGGTAACTTCCTGACATTGCCATGGCATTGGTAAACTGTCATGGCGCTGACAGGAGTGTAGCAGTGAGGACGACCAGAGGTCACTCTTGTCGCCATCTTGGTTTTGGTGAGATTTAGCTGGCTTCTTTACTGCAACCTGTTTTATCCGCAAGGTCTTTATGATCTGTATTTTGTGCCTACCTCCTATCTCATCCAGTGACTTAGAATGCTTTAACTGTCTGGGAATGCAGCCCAGTAGGTCTCAGCATCATTTTACCTAGCCCCATTCAAGATGGAGTTGCTCTGGTTTATACACCTCTGACACAAGCAATCTTTCTGTTCTACATTTGGAACAAACTTGTTTTTGCCACCCTAGAGTGATTTCTAAACAGCACACTTACCCTTAGCCAAAGAAACACCTTAGGTTCTTCCAGCTCAAACGGAAGTCTTCTAGGTGCATGTGTGCACTTTGCTCAGACCCAAGAATTTTGCAAAAGTGCCAGAGAGAATAAAACTGAAGCAACTAAAGGGACTTCTCCTCCACTGAGAGTCAAATTTTCTGAGCCCTTATAAAAGTTCCAGTAGCATCTTTCTTCCATCCAATTTATGATCAAAAAGAACCCATTAACGGGTCTTTCTCTTTGGGCTGAGTCATTCAGAAAGGAGAGAAATCCATCTGAAACTTGATCTGAGAGGTGAAATCCTGACTCAGCAAATTTCCCATTGTTGGGCATTACAATTAGCAAATGACCCAGGGATAGCAAGGAGATGTTTGGATGTGATTTAATAAGAATGTGGTTGCAATAAGCACTCAGAATATGTTTGCAATCAATTTGCTGTATACACAATATGCTACCAGAGCAATCTTTTGTGTACGTAGTTGACCTTTATCTCTGGCAATCTTGTCCTATAAAGAAGAGTGAAATCCTCCATTGCAAATCATTAGCACTCAGGAAATAGCTTTAATTTGCATGCTGACAAAGATATTAACTTGGTGGTTGGCGGGGGGGAGAATAATACAACACATCCTTTTGTCTGAAAGGCAGTTCAAAATCTGTGTTGTGACTACAGTTGACTGAAGTTCAATTACTGTAATAAATGTATTCCAAATTTCATCTCAATTGCATTTGCATTTTAATGAATGATTCTCACCTTCTTGTCAATTTGGCAGCCAGGCTAGATTTATTAAGTTATTGTATAAACAGGGCATTCTAATGCAGGAATTTAAATGCAAAATATTTGCTTGGTGCTTTTGAACTGGGGCTGCGTTATTAATTTGCCTCTATGGGTTGCCTGAAAATTCAAGAACTTAAGGATGGTGTTTCAGATCCCTTCATTCCATCATTTTTGCCCTCTCTTCCTCCGAAATCAATATGTCTGGGTGGGCTGACAGAGCAAGGCCTGAGCCAGCCAGATGAAGTGGGCTCCCCAAGCCTCCAGCCTCAACCAATTGGGAATAAACTGATTTATTTGCTATTATTTGAAAACAGTAAAATTTGTTAAGTGAAAATTTCCCATGTAGGCAATTCCCTTCTGCAAGAGCAGGACATCCCTGAAATCAGATTGCCATGAGTGTTTGTTCATCTTAATGTCATTCTGCCTTTCCCGTCAAAGCACTCCTGGCTTTATAGCCCCATATTTCTTGTAGGTAGAGCTGGAAAATGTAAGTGAAAACCAGCTGGATGTAGAGCCATAATACCATTAAAAGTTTATTTTTATTTTTATTTTTTTTTAAGTACATCTGGGCTCTTAGTTTTTAACACAGTGATTTGTGGTAGTTAATCCCATGCCCCCCATAATAGAAAGGTTGAACATGAGTTTCACTCACTGCCTCCCAAATCTTCAATACTCTGCAATTTCTTGTGAGGTTCCTGAGAAGAGGGCTGGGAAGGTCTGTTTTGGGTGATGTTCAATCCTAGTTTTCTTTAGGGCCCTTGGGAGGGAGGCCGATTCAGGTCATGGGAGATGTATTCAGGCAGAGTGCCCTCAAGATAAGAATGTCCAATAGAGAGATTTGTTTTGTTTTTGTTTTTGTTTTTGTTTTTGTTTTTGAGACAGAATCTCACTCTGTCACCCAGGCTAGAGTGCAATGGCATGATCTCGGCTCACAGTAACCTCCACCTCCTGGGTTCAAGCGATTCTCTTGCCTCAGCCCCCCGAGTAGCTGGAATTAAAGGCACCCACCACCATGCCCAGCTAATTTTTTGTATTTTTAGTAGAGACAGAGTTTCACCATGTTGGTCAGTCTGGTCTCGAATTCCTGACCTCAGGTAATCCACCTCCGTCGGCCGCCCAAAGTGAACCAAAGTGGATTACAGGCGTGAACCACCACACCCGGCCAAGAGATTCTTAGAGAACTTCTGAGATTAACTGATTGCTAGCATGTGGCAGAGTTTTAGTTCAGACTTGCAGGAAGGGGACTAGCCTTCTAGTAAAGCCAACTGGAAGATTTTTTTTCTGGAAAGAGTTCCTTTCAATAGTGGGGAAAAGGTATCCAGACAAGTGCATCTCAAACTTCAATGTGTACATGAATTACCCGAGGATCCTGTTAAAATGCAGATTCAGATTCAAGAGGTCTGGGGTGGGGCCCAAGATTCTGCAATTCTAACCCAAACTGCCTTTGCAAAAATTATGACAGTGAGAAAAATCTGACATAGGAAAATTATGACAATAAAAGAAATTTGACCTAACTGATTCCATCTTGCTTCTAACCTCCAAGATGCCCTTGTTCATTCCTGGGGATGGATCTAGGTAACCATAGTAGGAATTTAGTTTCAAACAAAGATGATTTGGAAAACTAGCAAATTAGCCACAAGATTAGAAATTATGGCTCTGGAGTCATACAGCCAGAGGCCACAAGATTCCTGACCACCCCCATTGCTCCTATAGATAACAACTCTATTGTAAAACCTAAGACAGGTGTTCAAGGTATTTTACAGACCCTGCATTCTGATGGCCCTGCTTGCACTACCCAGACCAGTAAACTGGTTCATCTGGTCTTGTGCCCCCCAACCAGGAACTGACTCAGTGCAAGAAGATAAGCTTCAACTCCCTGTGGTTTCATCTTGGACCCAACCAATTAGCATTCCCCATTCTTAAGCCCCTGCCCACCAAGCTATCATTAAGAAATCCTAGACTCTGAATTTTCAGGGAGGCTGATTTGACTATAATAAATCACTGTGCTGTCCTTCCACTTAGCTGACTGCATTTATACAACTTTTTCTCTATTGCAATAATGCTATCTCAGTAAAGTGGCTTTATCTGTGCAGTGGGTAAGATGAACCCATGGGGCAATTACACAACAAGCTCTCACGTGATGCTGATGCTGCTGGACCACACTTTGATTTGTAAGGAACTAGATAGCATCACCTGAAGTAGGAGTGGTTAGTTAATAGTTAATAGTTAATAGTCTTGTTGTAAGTCTGTCGGGCCAGCACCACGGGTAAATCCAATGCTGCAGAAAAGACTCTTAATCTCACAGAGAATATCAGAAAATTGCTCAGATATTTTATCACAATTGCTAGATACTTCTCAGAAGGAGCTGTTAATTACATCATGCTCCAGGTCCTACTCCAGGCCATCTTTCTTAGGTCTGAGGCAACTTCTTTCTTAATACTATATTTTATCATGTCTAAGAAGCACATTTTTTGCACATTTTATCATCTCTGAACTTGGAATGCAATGTACAATCATGTCTTAATTTAATTGACATGTGTTTTTGTGTTTTCTTCTTTGTGGTTCATAAAATAATGGTGCATTTTACAATGGATGATGCACCAGTCAGCTATTTTCATCATGATGCTGTGTAACAAGCTGCCCCCAAACTCAATGATTTTCAACACATATTTCTTTCTTGCTCCAGCCTTCGCTGAGCTAGGCTAGAATTGCTGGGTTCAGAAAGGTCTGTTCAATGTCTTCTCACTCTTCTGGGTCCGTTGTGGATTTTGTTCACACGGACCCAGCTGAGAAAGCTCATTTTATGTGTTCATTCAATTCATATCTGCTAATATCCCATCGACCAAAGGAGACACATGTCCAAGTCCAAATTCTGGACACTGAGAAAATACATCCCAACCCTGAATGTAGGGGATGGGAGAGGAAGAGAGTATTTGCTCAATAATGACCTAATCTGCCACAGATGGTGCTTTGGATTGGGTAAAAACATGGTCTAAAGGGGGAAAAGGTAAGCCATTTGTTCCTATTCTACAGACCTAGAAATGAAATCTGCAAAACAAACAGCCCAGAGGTACATAAACTCAAAGCCTTAAAGCTTTCTACTGAACATACCTATGCTTGGAGCATGCAAATAGAGAGAGAGAAATTCTGGAATCAACCCTACTGTCTTCCGATCTCTGCTTGGCCACATTCCAGCTGTTATGACCATCATTTACCTAACCTTTTCTCTGTTTTCTCATCTGTAAATCACTCCAACTTCTCAGGACTGTTAAGCAAGCTGACGATAACAACCGCTTCCCATTATGGAGCCCTATGTACTAGGTACTACAGTAAACTCATTATCTTTACTGTCTCATTTAATCCTCCCAATAGCCCTTTGAGGGAGGAACTAATATTTTCCCCATTTGAAGATGAAGGGGTTGTGATTCAGAGAGGTTTAAAACCACCCTAAGGGAATGAAAAAGTAGAGTCCAGCCAGAGGCAATCCCCTCTAACACCTTCCCATCGCCCATACTGCTCCTCAAGTCCAAAGGTGCTTAGAAATGAAACCTAGGCTTCCTTCCTTCTGTCCCTTTGGTCTGTCTTGGCCAAGCCCTGCTGAGAATACTCCTATTGCTGCAGTAAGCATCCTCTCATCAGCTCACACACAGACTCCCATACAGAGAACATACGTTCCTTAATAATAACAACCCACCCTCTCCCATGCACTGGTTGAGAAGAAATTGTATTGCATAGAGAAAACTTTCCATTTTATAATCTGCTTTTTCCTCCTCTTGCCTGATGCAGTTAATTATTTTACTCCCCATCGTTCCTCTTGTGATGTTAGCCAGGGGAGTTTTACATCGCACAAAGCAGTGAGCAGGAGGCCCCAGGTGAGTGGATTTAAAGGCGAAAACTGCTCTTCCCTGCAAATAGCTCCCTTCACACAAATAGCCTGGTAATCAGCAATAATGATGAAGAAAATGTAGGGAACACACGGAATTAAATGAGAATTTGCTAAAATATTAAGCGTTTTTAAATGGGCCTCCGCGGTATCAAGGGAGCACTTCCCAAGCTCGTTGAATGAACATCCTGCAGCCTGAAGTTCCCAGAATAGACTGGTGTGTCTGACATGAAGGCCCAGACCCTCCCCCTAACCACATTCATCTGTCACTCAGGCCTTTCCAGAAGATCTGGCAGCTGGACATCTGACTGCCTTGCCTGAAGAGGGGCTGAAATTCCACCAGAAGATTTGCTTGCTAGGTTTCTCAAATTGTCCAACAGTGACTGCCCTGTCTCTTTCTGTGGAGTTAATTGATAAGACAAGCATTTATCACTCTATTTGTATCTAGGGGTTTGCTACAGACTTGGCTTTTTACCGTATGCTCCCTGTACAGCTCCTTGAAAGAAGTCTCTTCCTATTTGCAGCACCAGGAACAGCCCAGCATCTCCTAAACAGCTTTTTAAAAATCTTCAGCCATTAGGAATCACATTAGGATTGTGTTTACCTCTTTGCCTCAGCCACTAGGATGCTCAGGGCCAAATTTATGCACCAGATTATGTGGCATGGGTTTTGTTACCTGTCTTACCTGATTTTGGTTTTCTTGTTTTTTTCTGCCTTCTGCCTGTCTCACTTTAAAAAAAATTTTCTTGTTTCTAATTCTTTTTAGAATGAGAGCATGAATAAGTTGAAAAAAATCTCTTACCAACTTGTTAATTACTACAAAAAGGTAAATGACCGAGATGCAGAGGTAAAGACTGAGAATTTTTTTAGAGACAGGATTTCACTGTCACCCATGCTGGAATGCAATGGCATGGTCATAGCTTACTGCATCCTCAAACTCCTGGCTTAAGTGATCCTCCTGCCTCAGCCTTTCAAGTAGCTGGGACCATTGGCATATGCTACCATGCCCAACTAACTTCATTTATTTATTTATTTATTTATTTATTTATTTATTTATTTATTTATTTTTGAGACAGAGTCTTGCTCTCTCGCCCAGGCTGTAGTGCAGTGATGCGATGTCAGCTCTCTACAACCTCCGCCTCCCAGGTTCAAGTGATTCTTGTGCCTCAGCCTCCTGAGTAGCTGGTACTACAGGCGCTTGCCACCACGCCCAGCTAATATTTGTATTTTTCGTAGAGACAGGGTTTCGCCATGTTGGCCAGGCTGGTCTCGAACTCCTGACCTCAAGTGATCCACCCGCCTTGGCCTCCCAAAGTGCTGGGATTACAAGCATGAGCTGCCACGCCTAGCCTCAGTGCCTGTTCTGTTCTCTGCCCCTACAGACCACAGTCTGTCTCAGGATCCAACAGGTCACTCTGACAGCCTTCCAATCCATGAGAGAATCTGGACAACAGCAAATCCCTGGCACCTACCAGTCAGTGATAAACCACCCAAGTTAGTCCTTGACCCAGTGGCTCATGGAAACTTCAAGATCAAGGCCCATGCTGGTGGGACTTCCGAAAGGACAGAGTGACCAGCCACATCCAGAAACATCCTGACCATCTACCAACCAGCGCAGTGCACAGCTGAGCTCTACAGTGAACTCACCACTTGGGTTCAGACCTCAGCTCTGCTTCTTTCCAGCTCTGTGACCTTGTCTTTCCTGACCACAGTTTCCTTATCTTCAAATGGAAGTGATAATAATAGCACCTAAAACACAGAGTCATTGTGAGGACAAATACATTAACACACGTGCCCAAGAATGGAAAGATCAGGAGAGTGAGGCACAAAACTGCTGGTAAGAAGCACTAAGGTCTACCGCAGACGCGAAATCCCAACAGTGCCGAGTTCACCTTAAAAAGGGCTCTTATGTGAATGCTTTGCAGCATCTCAAGTGTACACTGGAAACACTTGAGAAGTCTCATTGAAGTCCAGTGGCAGAGAGGGACCTCTACAGCTCTGTTCTTATGGCCCTGCACATGAAGATGTTAGACTGAGTTATTAGAAATGAGCTTCTTAATTCAAATGGTAAAGTCTATGGCCTCCTGGAGTAGGACCCTGGAGTAAAGGAGTCGAGAGGCAGGTGCCCAGACCATCACTGTTACCTGGTTCTCCCTACCTTTCCAGCTTAGGACACACAGCCCACCCTTCCTTCTTTCCTCTCTTCCTTTCTTTTTTCCTCTCTCCCTTCCTTACTTCCTCTTTCCTTCCTTCTTCCTTTTTTCTTCCCTCCCTCCCATTTTCCCTTCCTTCCTCTGCGCCTGGCCCAGAGATTTATTTAATTCGTAATTGGTTAAAGGAGCAAGAACTTTATTCAAACACTTGGAATCAGCAGAAAGGAAAGCTGAAGTTCCTGGGGGTTGGACTTCAATGTATGAATTTGGGGAGGACACAACTGAATCCATAGCACACACATTTCAGGATCCAGTAGGTTGCAGTTTCTGCACATCATCACGTAATATTTTGCCAGAGTTGGGTTGCAAGAGCAACCCCCCCCCCACTCTTCCTTACTTCCTCTTTCCTTCCTTCTTCCTTTTTTCTTCCCTCCCTCCCATTTTCCCTTCCTTCCTCCTTCCTTCCCTCCCCTTTCCTCTTCCTCCCTCCCTCCCTTCCATCTTTCCTTTCTTCTTTTTCCAGAGAAGAACCTTTCTGTCAAACAAAAGTCTTAAGTAGAACACTGTAAACTAAAAATAAAATCCTAAGCCCCCTCCAACCAGCTGAATAGACCCTCTCTTGGCCAAGGGAACCCCCGAAAAACCTTAAAAACTGACTTCTTGGCCATGACAAGATGGGAGGTCAGACACACCTCATTGTACTCCGTCCCTTTTGGAAATTAGCCACAAGAGCTGCCCACCATTAATGTTAAAATAGAGATCAGAAGACTGATGAAACTGACTGACAGTAAGATACCAAATTATAAACAGGACCTAAAGCTACACTGGACAAGGATTAAGTCATGCAGAACTACAGGTCACTCCGATCCAATGTATTATGTCTTGCTCTTGCAACCCAACTCTGGCAAAATATTACATGATGATGTGCAGAAACTGCAGCCTACTGGATCCTGAAATGTGTGTGTTATGGATTCAATTGTGTCCTCCCCAAATTCATACATTGAAGTCCAACCCCCAGGAACTTCAACTTTCCTTTCTGCTGATTCCAAGTGTTTGAATAAAGTTCTTGCTCCTTTAACCAATTACGAATTAAATAAATCTCTGGGCCAGGCGCGGTGGCTCATGCCTGTAATCCCAGCACTTTGGGAGGCCGAGGCGGGTGGATCACGAGGTCAGGAGATCGAGACCATCCTGGCTAACATGGTGAAACCCCGTCTCTACTAAAAATACAAAAACAATTAGCCAGGCCTGGTGGCGGGCGCCTGTAGTCCCAGCTAGTCAGGAGGCTGAGGCGGGAGAATGGCGTGGAACCCGGGAGGCGGAGGTTGCAGTGAGCCGAGATCGCACCACTGCACTCCAGCCTGGGTGACAGAGTGAGACTCCATCTCAAAAAAATAAAAATAAAAAAATAAATCTCTGAACCCACCTATGACCTATAAGCCTCAGCTTCCAGGTATCCCACCTTTTTTTGGGTGAAACCAATGTAAAGCCTCTATGTATTGATTTATGACTTTGACTGTAACTTCTACTTCTCTAAAATGTATAAAGCAGACCGGGCGAGGTGGTTCACACCTGTAATCCCAGCACTCTGGGAGGCCGAGGCAGGTGGATCACCTCAGGTCAGAAGTTCAAGACCAGCCTTGATAACATGGTGAAACCCCGTCTCTACTAAAAATATAAAAACTAGCCAGGCGTGATGGTGGGCACCTGTAATCCCAGCTACTCAGGAGGCTGAGGCAGGAGAATTGCTTGAACCCAGGAGATGGAGGTTAGTGTGAGCTGACACGGTGCCACTGCACTCCAGCCTCAGTGACAGAGTGAGACTTCATCTCAAAAAAAAAAAAATGTATAAAACAGAGCTGCATTCTGACTGCCTCTGGGCCACTTACTCAAGGCTCCTTGGGCTTGTGTTTTCTCCAGACCATGGCCACTCATACTGGCATAAACCTCTTTGGAATATTTTACAGAGTTTGGTTTTATTTCCATCAACAACACCAATTTCTAAAACGTGCAAAGCCAACATTTTGGTAGCACACATCGTATTATATGATGTCATATAACATTTTATTCAATGGAAACGAAACTTTTCTTAGTTTAAAATCGTACTTGCTCAGAGCCTTTGCACATGTTGTTCCTGCTACTGGAATACTCTTCCCCCAACAAGTATCTGCATGGTTTACTCCCTTACCTCCTTCACATCTTTCTGCAAACATCACCTTCTGAGTGAGGGTTTCACTGACCATCTTTTTCTAAATGCACTGACACCCCTCATCCCTGGCATCTCGTCCCACTTGCCTGCTCTGTTCCTCCATAGCAGTTGGCACTTTGGGTACCATTTACTTCTTAGTTTTGAATCTGTCTCCACCCTCTGGAATACGAGCTTCATAAGGGCCAGAACTCTACAGCTATTTTGTTTACTGCTGCATCCTCAACACATAGTGCTTTGTACGTAATAAGCATTCACCAAATATTTGTTGAACATTTTCATTGAACGGTTGATAATGGTGCAGTTATTTAGGCAAACACACAAATTGGAAATTGGGATTAATCCGTGTAATAAAGAATCTGACTCCATTCTTGATATTTGACTACTGATGGATTTCAAGCTCCAACACTCCATCCTCACCCACCACACCATTCCCTTCTGCCCTATATCTGGGCAAGTTGATAAGAAAGCCCAGGTGCACCCTCCTTTGATGCTGGTGGGAAGTTCAAATCATCTCCAAATGTGGAACCACTACCTCACCCCCTAACCACCATAAAACCCCAAGCCACTGGTCCCTTCCTGCTCTTTCAGGCAGTTTGAAGACCTGCTTGGGAGACTTCCCTGCTCTCCCCAGAAAATCTAGTTATGTGAGTAATAACCCATTTCATATTCTCTTGGTGTGTGCATTGTGTTGAGGTAGGAGGTGGGACTTAACACCAGAGGTGGGCCTTGGACACCAGACCAAAGTGAGAACTAGCTAAAACAGGGACAGGGAAGAAGCACCTTTCCATAAGATATGTCCATCAGTTTACCATTGCCATGGCAACACTCTGGGAGTTACTGCCCCTTTCTATGGCAATGACACAATGACCCAAAAGTTACCACCTTTTCCCTAGAAATTTCTGCATAAACTACCGCTTATTCTACATGTAATTAAAAGTGGGTATAAATATGACTGCAAAACTGCCCTGAGCTGCTGCTCTCAGCACACTGCCTGTGGGGTGGCCCTGCTCTGCAGGTGCAGTCATGGAGCAGTAACACCGCCTCTTCAATAAAGCTGTTTTCTTCTACCACCAGCTCACCCTTGATTCTTTCCTGGGTGAAGCCAAGCACCCTCCTAGGCTAAGCCCCAATTTTGGGCATGCCTGCCCTGCATCAGTATCAGTCTTGACTTCTGAACAAATTTTCAGTGAAGGGTCTGTTACAGATTGAATGTTTGTGTCCCCCCACCAAATTCATATGTTGAAATCCTTACCCACCTCCCAATATGATATTAGGAGTTGAGGCCTTTGGGAGGTGATTAGCCTCCACCTTTGTGAATGCGATTAGTGCCCCTATAAAAGAGACTCTGGAGAGCTCTCTAGCTCTCTTCCCTCCATGTGAGGCTTCAGTGAGAAAATGGCAGTCTCCAACCTGGAAGAGGGACCTCACCAGAACCCAACCATGCTGGCACCCTGATCTTGGGCTTCCAGCCTCCAGAACTGTGAGAAAGAAGTTTCTGTTGTTTAAGCCACCCAGTCTATGGTATTTTTGTAACAGCAGCCAAAGCAGACTGAAACAGAGTCCACCCCATCTCTGTAAAGTGGCATGACAATGAAAAGCAGTTGCTGTCACATCAGTCTCACCTCCCAGGTTATTTCTGCATTTGCTTTGTTTGTGCTACACAGAGAAAAATCCTCATGTGTGAAGTTAAGAGGTTGCAAACGCTAACGGTTTTCTTTTTATCAAGTTCCCTTGCAGCTTCAGGACTCTCACCAATTCAGAAGCTTGAAAGCAAAATGGAAGCATATTTTTGTTTCAAACATGAATTCCACCTCATATTCACTGCTCACATTCCTAAACTTAAATATAAAAGCCAGGCAGCCAGGCACGGTGGCTCATGCCTGTAATCCCAGCACTTTGGGAGGCCGAGGTGGGTGGGTCATAAGATCAGGAGTTCAAGACCAGCCTGGCCAATATAGTGAAACCTCGTCTCTACTAAAAATAAAAATAAAATAAATAAATAAATAAATTAGCCGGGCATGGTGGCACATGCCTGTAATCCCAGCTACGCAGGAGGCTGAGGCAGGAGAATTGCTTGAACCCAAGAGGTGGGGGTTGCAGTGAGCCGAGATCGCACCACTACACTCCAGCCTGGGCGATAGAGCAAGACGCTGTCTTAAAAAATAAAAATTTTTTAAAAAAAAGCCAGGCAAAAGCACCTATAACTGACAATATGGCATTACTAAGTGATAACAGGTTACCCACTCATTTGCTTTTGCACAATTTTATACATAAGAAAACTGAGAGATTATTTTGCAATGACAAGAACATGAGCTGAGCAGATATGACTGATCCTTGCCTGCAACTGACTGTCTGGGATGGATATATGACATGTGGCATAAACATCCAAAAAATTTTACATGAGCTGAGAAGCAGGATTTAAATTTAGAAAACATTCAGTGGTAATCTTCCAGGAGCACATTCATAAAGAGCAAAAATACAGCATTTTATTGAGTCTAAACCACCATCAAATCTAAGATATGCCACTAAAAAGAAAAACTAAACAATGAAAAGAATTTTATTTAAAAAATTTAACATAACAAAATAAAAACACTGTCAATTAAAATAAGATGGTTCTTTCTTATCACTTAGAATTTTTATTTTGTAAAAATATTTTAGGCCAGGTGCAGTGGCTCATGCTTGTAATCCCAGCATTTTGGGAGGCTGAGGCAAGAGGATCACTTGAGGCCAGGAATGTGAGACCAGCTTGGGCAACACAGTGAGACCCCCATCTCTACAAAAATTAAAATTTTTTTAAAAATTAAAAAATATATATATTATTTCCTAATTTTTAAGAAAAGCTCCTTTTTTACCTACTTAAATAATTTTTTAATATTCCATTTATATCTATATATTCTGTTCAAACCAAAAGGAAAACACAGGTAAAATACATTGGTTAAGGTATTCCTCAAACTTCTTCACATTCAAAGCCCAACTCTTCAGAATCACTCTTCCACTCAGAGTCAACAATGTCCTGTGGAACATTTCTTAAGAGGATGCTCCTCTGTTGTCTCCAAGATTTCTTCCCAGCTGCAGACCCAAGTCTGAAAGTTTTTATAATGGCACTTTCTTGCTTTTCAAAAAATTTTTTGAGATGGAGTCTCACTCTGTCACTCAGGCTGGAGTGCAGTGGCGTGATCTCAGCTAACTGCAACCTCCGCCTCCTTGCAAACTCCGCCTCCCGGGTTCCAGTGATTCTCCCTCAGCCTCCCGAGTAGCTGGGATTAGAGGCACCCGCCACCACCCTGGCTAATTTTTGTATTTTCAGTAGAAATGGGGTTTCATCATGTTGGCCAGGCTGGTCTCAAACTCCTGACCTCAAGTGATCCACCCGCCCCGGCCTCCCAAAGTGCTGAGATTATAGGCATGAACAACCACACCAAGCCTACTTCCTTGATTTTATAAGAATATGTCAAAGAAAAAGACTTTTCAGACTTCAAACTCCTGGTCCAGTGATTTATTGCCCAGCGGGGGCAATTGTGCAGTCAGGCTACCAGGAGTAACAACCAAATTTAAACCTATAGAGGCCACAACAACTGCAAAGCAACTGCCACGTAGCTGGCAGTGATTGTGAATGGCCAATGATTGTAAGATGCAGTTTCACGTCAAGGAAGTTGAGATGCGAAAAAATGGGCCTTTCAGAATTAGTGAACACAGGCCGATGCAATAGAAATGTACAAAATGAATTGATCTAGCATATAACAGAATGTTTTGTGTTGTGGGTGTTGTTAATAGCTTTAATAGCTGTTAATGAAAACTCAGACATTTGCAGATTCCTGAAGCATTTTTACGTACAGTCCAAGCAATTCCCAAATCCAGGCTCACTTAAGAACCCAAGGCCCTGCGCCATGTTTCCTGCCTGCATTGTCAGCTTTAGCTCTAGCCACTCTTCTGTGCTCCAGTGTTTTAAAGATAGTTATAGTTCCCTAAAGAGGCCATCATCAGACTCACCTTTTTGCATTTACACCTGATATTCCATCCACTGGTATGCCATGTCCCACTTTGTTCTACTGGTGAATTCCTACTTAGCCTAAATACTACCTCCTCCAGAAAGCCTTCCAAGATTTCTCTAGGTTCCTATAGCCCTTTGGTACATTAGGTTGAGAGTATCTGTTTGTGGGTGTTCTTCCTCCATGACACTGTGAACTCCTTGGGGGGTAAATGTTTTATCTTATTGCTTTGTGCAGCCCCAGTCCCCTGAACTGGTCCCTGGAATAGCAGGTTCTCAGCCAAGGTCAGCCAGAGGAATGAATGAATGAAATGTTATCACTTAGCTGCCACCCATGTGATGTGATTTGAAAAATGCTGGAAAATCCCGACCTCCCGCCTCCCAGCATATTCCCAATGGACATTTGTAAGAGTCCCCCGATGAAATGAAATGACCTTCATAACACCTTAGCTCGTCTTAGCAAATAAGCAGGGGTCAACTAATCATATGAGTCTGGCCATGGCAGCTGGCTGGGAATATTCCCATGCAAAACCGAGCACAAGAGAGACATGAGAGGAGAGGAAGAGGCCACCTTCAAACAGGGAAAGAAAATCCTACTTTCTCCAGGAAGAGGTCTTCAGCCTCCCCCTAGTCTCAATTAGGTGCCCCCTTCCCCAAAGCCCAGAGTCCTGCCTCTCCCATTACCCTGTGCTATTATTGACATCATGTATCTCTCTCTCCCTCTCTCCTACTGAACCATGAACCCTGAGGGACCCAATGTCTTGTTCATCACTGTATCCCCAACAGTCAGTACAATACCCAACACACATTGCTTGCTTACTAGGAATTTGGAGAACAAATAAAATTGATGGTTGCTTATTAGGAATTTGGAGAACAAATAAAACTGAATTTGAGAACCAACATTTACATCTAGGAACAAAGTGGGCAGACAGAAAGAAACATGTAGACACCTCTGCATCACTCCTTCTCCACCACAGGGCTGCTAACTCCAACCCCAAGGTGAAGACTGGCAAAGCGCAGGGAGGTGTGTAGCCCATCACGACTGAGAATGTCTTCACATCAAGCCAGCATCAAGACATCTGATTAGGAAATAGTGGTTGAGTTGGCATGAAAAGAATTATGAGGTCCCAACATATGTTATTTGACACAGCAAGAACCCACACATTAGTACTTGAACTTCTGTAGCAGTCATGCTGACAGATGTGAGCATTTAGGCAAATCAAAGAGAGGGCAGCCTTAGCCAGGAGCCTAGGCCCTTTAGTGCCTGCTATGCCATTGATTTTCATGGAAGAGCCCATCTTCTGTGCCAAGCACTTCACTGCTGACCCCTTCCCATGCATGATGGTATCTGATCCTGCAGGCTGTGAATTGTTATGTTCATTCCACAGCACCTAGCAGACTGCCTGGTGCTGTAAGTGGGCACTCCATAAACATTTGTTGAGTGATGGGATGATGAAGGAAATGAGGCTCAGAGAGATTCAAGGACTTGGCCAAGGTCTTTAGTACAAGGTGGATCCAGAATTCAAACTCAGGTCTGGCTGAGTCTGGAAATCTACAGGTGGGAAGGCTCCTGCCCTGCAGGCACGAGGGCACGCTCAGAGATTATTGGTCCCAAGACAATAAGAGTCAACTCATCTTTTTTTTAAATTTGTGTCTCCCTCTCCTCCCTCCCTCTCTCTCTCTCTCTTTCCTTCCTTCCCTCTCCCTCTCTCACTCTCTTTCTCTATTTCTACCTGTTTCTTTCTCTCTATCCCTCTTTATCTCTCTTTTCTCTTTCCTCTCTCTCTTTCTTTCTCTCCTTCTCTTTCCTTCTCTCTCTCCACCCTCCCACCTTCCTCCCTCTCTCCCTCTTCCTCCCTGCATGTCTCCAGCTTTTTGATCCAGTCTGTGAAGATAGGCCGTGGATATTTTGCTATTCTGAGGGAAGAGACTGCAAAGAAAAAGAAGCAACAACAACTTCAGAAACTGAAAGAGGAGGAAAGAAATAAATTCCAGCCAGCCGAAAAGATCTCAGAAATCCACTATGGGGACACCTTATTGAGGTAAGTGGATGCAGTAGCTGTGGCACTGAAGGTTTTGGGAATGACCATTGAGAGTGAACCCTGCCTGGTAAGGTCAAGCGAGGGCAGCTATCTCAGAGCACGTGCCCCTTCTCAGCCTGGCATCTAACACCTTCTTTAGTGTGGTCCAACCAACCTTGATAGCCTCGCTTTCTGGTATTCGCTGGAACATCTTCCACTTATCACTAACCACCCAGCTTAAATGCTGCTCTCTCCGAATACTTCCTGGATTTCAGTCCAACCACCTCCTGCACCCATTTGCACTCCAGGTCCCCATAATACGTGTTTATATGCTAGTTTTAGTCCACATCAGTATCTCTGTTCCATACCTTCAGTGGCAGCCCCAGGGCCTGGCTCATTGTCCACAGAAACCAGGTGCATAAAAAATGCCTCCTTTTTTTTTTTTTTTTTTTTTTGATATGGAATCTCGCTCTGTTGCCCAGGCTGGAGTGCAGCGGCGTGATCTTGGCTCACTGCAACCTCTGCCTCCCAGGTTCAAGCGATTCTCCTGCCTCAGCCTCCCAAGTAGCTGGGATTACAGGTGCCCACCACCACGCCTGGCTAATTTTTTTGTATTTTTAATAGAGACGGGGTTTCACTGTGTTGGCCAGGCTGGTCTCGAACTGCTGACCTTGTGGTCTGCCCGCCTGAGCTTCCCAAAGTGCTGGGATTACAAGTGTGAGCCACCACGCCCGGCCTCCTTTTTTTGTAAAGGACTTTCCCCTGGTTGGAAAAGGACTATCAATAGACTGGTCCATTATGAAATGCCCATGCATATAATAATAGTAATAACCAAAATAACAATAAAAACAGATGATGATGTTTACTGTGTGCTTAATGCACACCTATTCGGCTAAATTTCAAAACATTCCTGAGATAGGTGCTATCATTGGCCCCATTTTAGAGATGGAGAAATGAGGCTTAGAAGTTAACTAATCTCCCCCAAGGTCAGTAGTTAGAAAGCAGCTCTGAGTCCCAAACTTAGTGGCACCAAAATCCATCGACTGCACCATTTGGCGTGGACAAAATCCTGGGATACTTTGAGCTTGTGCAGACTGAATGAGGCACAAACCAAGGATGGAAAGGAAGTGCCAAGGCAGCCAGGGAGGAAATGCAGGGTAGAAAAATGGCCTGCAGCTGTAGCCACTCTCCTGTGAGCGCAGCTGTTGCAACCCTAGCTACATATTAGAATCATCTGGCAAGTTTTTAAAAACACCACTGTCCAGGTCAGTTACATTAGGCTCTCTAATATACATTAGCTGTTCATAGATTAATTTTTTTTTATTTCAATAGTTTTTGGGGAACAGGTGGTGTTTGGTTACATGAATAAGTTCTCCAGTGGTGATTTCTGAGATTATGGTGCACCCATCACCCAAGCAGTGTGCACTGTACCCAATGTGCAGTCTTTTATCCCTCACCCTCCTCCCACCCTTCCCCCAGGAGTCCCCAGAGTCCATTATATCATTCTTTTGCCTTTGCATCCTCATAGCTTAGCTCCCACTTATGAATGAGAATATACGATGTTTGGTTTTCCATTCCTGAGTTACTTTACTTAGAATAATGGTCTCCAACTCCATCCAGATTGCTGAAAATGCCATTATTTTGTTTCTTTTTATGGCTGAGCAGTATTCCATGGTGTATATATATATGTATATACATACCACCTTTTCTTTATCCACTCATTGATTGATGGGCATTTGGACTAGTTCTATATTTTTGCAATTGTGAATTGTGCTGCTATAAACATGCATGTGCAAGTGTCTTTTTCAGACAATGACTTCTTTTCCTCTGAGTAGATACTGAGTAGTGGGATTGCTGGATCAAATGGTAGTTCTACTTTTAGTTCTTTAAGGAAACTCCATACTGTTTTCCACAGTGGTTGTACTAGTTTACATTCCCGAAAAAAAGTGCTCAACATCGCTAATTATCAGGGAAATGCAAATCAAAACCACAACGCAATACCACCTTACTCCTGCAAAGAACGGCCATAATATAAAAAGGAATAGGTGTTGGCTTGGATATTCATAGAATTTTTTTAAGTTCCCCTAAGCGAATCCAGTGTGAAGCCACAGTTGAGAGCCGTTAGGCTAAGGCTGCCTTCAGGAATCCAAACTGCCAGGTCATTTGCCAAAAATGAAATGGAAGCCACGACAGATACCCACTTTCCTCTGCACCATTTCCCAAATTCTGTTCTTGAGAATGTTAATTTACAGAATGTGAATATGTGCTTCTTATAAACAAGGGTCCTGTCAATGGAATCATATATTATGTGACTCTTCTGTGTCTGGCTTCTTTCACTTATAGTGCATTTGAAGTTCATCCTAAACAGAGAGCAGATTGTTGGTTGCCAGATGCTGGGGGCAGGGGAAATGGGAAGTGACCACATGGGTCTGGAGTCCCCTTTTGGGAGTGATGAAAATGTTTTGTACCAAGAGGTTATGGTTGTACAACATGGTGCAATGTACTAAATACCACTACATTCTACTCTTTAAAACAGTTAATTTTATGTTCTGTGACTTTCACCTTAATAAATTTTTCTTCAGGCCAGGCGTGGTGGCTCACACCTGTAATCCCAGCACTTAGGGAGGCTGAGGCAGGAAGATCACTTGAGCCCAGGAGTTCAAGACCAGCTTGGGCAACATAGAGAGACTCCATCTCTCTTTAAGGAAAAAAAAGAAAAATATATACAATTTTTTCAAGTAGAACAAGGGTTCTTGTCTATGAGGCCTGGGGTATTGAGTCAGAGGAGAACAGGACCTCTTTAAAGCCCAGGGTTCCAGGTGATGGATGAGAACCCAGACTGCAAGACCTCATGGAGCTGGTATATTTCCAGTCACCTCCCCCAGAATCATGGCTGTTGGGATCCCAGAATATTGTGGAAAGGGTCTCTTCTTTGACTCCTCATTGGTGTAGACCCTGGGATCAGCACAAATTGTGCCTACCTGACCAAACTCAATGGCACCCATAGATTCTGATACTCCTAGTGACAGACTGGCAGCCTTTCCCTGGAATAAAGAGAAGGCATGAACTCATGGCTCTTTTTTCAGGAGCTATGCTCAGATTGACAGGCAAACCCAAAAAGCACTGGGGAAAGATGGTGTCTATGAAAGACACTCCTGTACCTGTTTAAATG
This sequence comes from Homo sapiens, assembly GCF_000001405.40. Taxonomy (NCBI): domain Eukaryota; kingdom Metazoa; phylum Chordata; class Mammalia; order Primates; family Hominidae; genus Homo; species Homo sapiens. Next base: position 119,475,316 of record NC_000012.12, read on the forward strand.
GCTTGGGTGTCTTGTTCCACTTGTTTGGATGGAGTTTCTCATCCATGGTCGTAGAACGCAATTCTCCCCTCTCCAATCCATGTTTCAGTGTGTGAGAAATGATTTATTTAAAGTTTAATAAGTTTAAATATGCATGAGATCGCTCCTCTTGTAGACTTTGGTCTGGTTATGTCTTATCTGGTAGGTTCTATGAGTTATACAAGGCTGGTTATTAAAATAAAACTGGAAGTCATTACAGCAATGTAGCCATCAAATGCGCGGGTGGGAGGGTGTTATAAAACAGCATTAGGAGATTGTCTACACCCAGACAGGGTAGTAGTGGTGAAGTACACAAGCCTTGGAACCCGTTAGGACTTCCCCCATACAACTGTTTCACTTTGAACAAATCCCTGTACCTCTCTGAGTCTCCTTTTCTTCACGTACATAAATAAATGGTACCAAACTCCCAAGCTTATTATGAGGATTAAATGAAATGATACTTAGCCTAGAGTCTACGTATAAGACATGCTCAGTAATTGTTCCTATTATGACGCAATAAAGTGAGTTTGAGCTCTCTGAGCCTCAGTTACCTAAAATCCTTAAATGTATGGCTAAAAATCTTAATTTCCATGAAAGCTGAAAAGCATCTCACATCTAACAGCAATGCTTCTATAGATAAAATTCCAATCACAAAAGTATAAAAAATACAAGTTTCATTTATAAATACTTTTTAAACAAAGTATTTGATCTTGTGCATCATAAAAGCGAAAGGAATTATTTTCTCCTCTCTGGATCTAAGACCATAGAATACATTCTTTTAGACAAAAATTTTAAGTCTGACAAACTATGCAGGGAAAAAAAAATCAAGCACATCCCCAAAGATTTCTGCCTGCAAGCAGTCTTTCCCACTGTGCTCAGTGACCTCATTTTTCAGCTGCAGATTCAGCTGAAAAGGTGGAAAAAAAAGTGACGGGTAAAATTTGTTTTATTATTGTGGTTGAGAGAAGACATAAAACCAGAGATTAGGGATGTAAAAGCTGGGTTAATTTCCACATATCCTAAACCACTGGAAGCATGGTTGAGCCAGTAAGAAAAGGTCACAGCAAGGTATTTGCTGTGGTTTTCTCAGCTCTAGGATTGAATAAAGAGTCAGTGGAAGTGAACATTGGAGGACATAGATTCTGGTCCTAATTTTTGTTAACTCTGTGATTCCAGAATTATCCTCAAATTCCCAGGAGGAAGGTAAACCCCTAACGTGTGTCCCAGCATCATCTCCACTGGCCCCCTCCATCCCATTCCCCACACTAAGCCCCAAGCTAAGTGATCTTTTCAAAATATAAATTGCACACAGCCTAACACCCTCCATGGTTGCCATTCCTCACAGGGTAAACACAAAAGTCTCAGCAGGGGTTCCAAGGCCCTGGATGGTCTAGCCTGTGGCTTGCCTCTCCAGCCCCAGCTCATAGCCTCCTTTTACTCCCTCTACCCAGCCACACTCTCCTACTTTCTTACTCATGACATGGCCTCCTCTACAGAGTCTTTACACATGCTGTTCCCTCTGGCTGGAAGGTCTTTCCCTCCTCCATTTACCCAGTTAATTTCCATTCAACCTTCAGATTTCAGCTCAATATTTACTTCTGCTACAGTTACTATTGCCATGAACACCCACTCTAAAACTTATTAACTCAAGATAATCAGAACTTCTTTCTCTCATAAATCTGCAATTTGAGTAAGGCTCAGAGGGGCAGCTCACAGGACCCATTTCCAAGACAGCTCACTCACATTGGTGGCAAGTTGTATTTGGCTGTCAGTTCGTGAGCTTGGTTCCTTTCCCTGTGGGCCTCCTCACAGGCTGCCAGCTTCCCCACAGCATGGCAGCTGAATGCTGAGTGAGCATCCCAGGACACAGGAAGGAGAGGTTGCCAGTTCCTGGTGCCCGGAATCACATGACTTCTGACATATTCTGTTAGGTCAGCTGGTCACAGAGCCAAATGAACATAGACCTACCTCTCGATTGGAGAAGTTTCAAAGAATTTGGGGGACATGTTTTGAAATTTCCACAACTTCCTCAAGGAAGTACAGTATTCCCTGGTTTCCATTTCAGTCAAATTTACTATTCTAGGCTATTAAAGCACTTTCTATTGGAACACTTATCACAACTGTGTGTTTGGTTGTACCCATCTCCCCCACTAGACTCAGCTTCGGAAGAGGAGAGGCTGCATCTGTTTCATACATTGCTGTATTGGCAGCCCCCAGCTCAGAGAAGAGGTTCAATAATTATTGGTAGAAATGAATGAATCAGGGAACCTGTCAATGATCCAATCAATGAAAGTACTTACACTGCAGCTCAGAAACTAAAAGGCCTTCAGGTAACAGGCAGATGGCATGAATTAGAAAGAAAGGCAGAGAGTGAGAACAGGGATGCTTGTGTTTGGGGTAACTGAAGAAGCACACACCTCATTCAAAGCAGTCTGTGGCCCATCATTCTTGTGTAGAAACACAGGTCCCGAGTGGCCAGAGCTTTCAATTTTTTGAAGGCCAAAGTTTTTTCATTTTTATGTGACATCTCCCAATTTTAAAATACAGACAATTGATTCAATTGCACACACGCACACACACACACACTCACAGAGAGAGAGAGGAGAGAGAGAGAGAAAGAGAGAGAAAAAGAGAGTGGATTAATTAAAATATATCTGTGGGCTGAATTTGGCCATGGACAGAAAAATATATACCCCACAGCCAGGTGCAATGTCTCACGCCTGTAATCCCAGCACTTTGGGAGGCCAAGGCAGGTGGATCACTTGAGGACAGGAGTTCAAGACCAGCCTGGCCAACATAGCAAAACCCCATCTCTACTTAAAATACAAAAAAGTAGCCAGGCATGGTGGCACATGCCTGTAATCCCAGCTACTCGGGAGGCTGAGGCACGAGAATTGCTTGAACCTAGGAGGCAGAGGTTGCAGTGAGCCAAGATCACGCCACTGCACTCCAGCCTGGGTGACAGTGAGATTCTGTCTCAAACAAACAAACTATATATATCATATGACTCAAGCATGACAACAACCACCCCCCCCCAAAAAAAATCCTATTTTCTATAACGGAAATGATTTGCTCTGCTGTAATGGTGAAAGAAAAAACACCTAAATATGGTATTAAATTGCTGTTTCCAGAACACAGCTGAAAATATACCTTGTCTGGCCCTTGAAGCAAACATTTCCAACCCTAGTATAATATACTAGTATGCCGCATGATTTATCTTGTTTATTCTCTTGGCTCTTCTAGAGATTATATACTCCATAAGGCAGGGACTTTTTTTTTTTTTTTTTTTTTTGAGACGGAGTCTCACTCTGTCACCCAGGCTGGAGTGCAATGGCACGATCTCAGCTCACTGCAACCTCTGCCTCCCGGGTTCAAGAGATTCTCCTGCCTCAGCCTCCCGAGTAGCTGGGACTACAGGCACTTGCCACCACGCCCAGCTGTTTTTGTATTTTTAGTAGAGACAGGGTTTCACCGTGTTAGCCAGGATGGTCTTGATCTCCTGACCTTGTGATCCACCCGCCTCGGCCTCCCAAAGTGCTGGGATTACAGGCATGAGCCACGGCACCCGACCGAGGGCAGGGACTTTTATATGCTTTGTTAAGGAACTGCATCTGAAACCCTCATCCCTCCAGCAGAAATTATTTGCCTGATACATAGTAAGTGTCCAGTCATATCTGCCGAATAGACCGTGGCAAGAGAAGAAGGTGTTCAAAGCTACTGCTCATTGTTCACATTGTTTCTCTGTCTGCTTGTCCTTCAGCACATATGATGATGAGAAGTTGAAGACACTGGGAGCTAGAGTCACACGTCGCCCATTCACTCCCATCCACAGCTGCATCATTTCTCCCTCGCTAACCGAGGCTCACGTGTAAGTAGTCTCACCTCCAGCTCATTTGCTTTGCTAGCTTATAAATTGAAGCCGAACTGAAATGACTCAACGAGCTGTCATGTCAGTAGCTGTTCCTTTGTCCTCTTGAAAGGGACATGGAGCCTGGAGCTGGCAAAGCTATTTGGCATATAAAAATAACAGAAAGTAGACACAGTGGTTTACAGCTAAGTGGCAAATCAGCTGGGACTGAGTCATTTCATTTCTTGCCAAGCCAGACGCTCTAATGTCAAATAGTTTGCAAAGCCTGATAAAATCTGTCTACAGCCCTCATCGAGTGTGTGCGAGAACATCTCAGCCTGTGCTCAGGGGCATGTTTTCCCCAAGACTCAAGGAGCTGTTTCCCAGAGAAGCCCATCCAGTTTTCTGACCTGAGGCATGAACTCATCATTGTGTGGTGCAACAGGAACTAATCAACCTTCCAAAGAACACTCTTGCTTTCTAAAGTCTTGATGTCTTGTTCCCCTTGTGTCTATTCCAAATCTCAAGCCCAACTTTTTCTTTTTCACCAGTTAGCACTTTTCAGCTGGAAGATTTCAGGCACAGGGATACAAGCTTCTGACTTTAGGGCAGGGTTTTTCAGCCTTGACACCGCTGACATTTTGAGAGAAATAATTAATTCTTTGTTGTGAAAGGCTGTCCTGTGTATTGTAGGATGTTTAGCCGCATCCATGGCCTCTACCCACTAGATACCAGTGTTGACAACCAAAAATGTCTCCAGACATTACCAAATGTCCCCTGGGAGCAAAAGTGCATGAGCCCCCACCGTACATCATACACACACACACACACACACACACACACACACACACACACACACACACACTCCACATTGAGAACCACTGCTTTAGGGCAATGGATTCATTTAGAGCTGTGATACAATGATTCCAGACTTCTCTGTCTGCTCATTTGTCAAATATTTATTAGGCTTCTACAGTGTTCACAGTGATAATGGCCACTCCTCATCACTCTGTAGCATTATCTCACTCAGTCCTCTCAGCCTCCCTGTTGTGTAGGTGTATCATTATCCCCTCTCTGCAGATGGGAAAGCAGAAGCTCAGAGACATAAACTCACCTATTCAGGGTCACAGAGGTCAGTGTGTTGCTGAGTCAGGTCGGTCTGACTGCAAAGCCCAAGCTTTCATCACCACACACTACATAGAACATATATCCCAAAGCCTTGTCTTTAAGGAGCTCATAATATATTTGGCAAGCCAAGTTTCCTATACTTGAAGAGTAAAAGAATACAAGAGTGAAATCATAGGATAAGATGGCAAACAAAAGAAAATCACTAATAAGAGTACTTAGTTCATGAATGGAAGATGCAAAAACCATCACCAACACCATCATCATCATCACCATCATCCTCATCACCATCATCACCATCACCATCATCATCATCATCACCATCACCATCATTATCACCATCATCATCACCAGCATCATCATCATCACCATCATCCTCACCACCATTATCATCACCATCATCCTCACCACCACCATCATCACCACCATCATCATCACCATCATCCTCACCATCATCATCATCACCATCATCATCACCATCATCATCACCACCATCGTCACCATCATCCTCACCACCATCATCACCACCATCATCCTCACCACCATCATCACTGTCATCATCACCATCACCATCATCATCACCACCATCATCACCACCATCCTCACCATCACCATCATCATCACCATCATCATCACCACCATCATCACCATCATCACCATCACCATCATTATCACCATCATCATCACCAGCATCATCATCATCACCATCGTCCTCACCACCATCATCATCATCACCATCATCCTCACCACCATCATCATCATCACCATCATCATCATCACCATCATCATCATCACATTGTGTTGGACACATCCTTATCCCTCCCTAATATTTCAGTCATTAATGAGCCCTATCCCACTCCATCCCATCCCACTGTCCCCCTACCTCTCTTTGATTGGTATTATGATTATAATATTCCAGCTGGCAGCCTAAGCTTGATGTTCTTAAAGCATCTCCTTGCAAAAATAGGCCTTGCAATTTCTCATGATGTCTCTTCAGTACACTTGCACTTCTGCCCATCTCTCCCATGGACAAGACTTCTGAAACCAATTGGAATAGAACCAGTGGGCTTTCACTTGCATCTGAATCGTCTGGGGGTGGGGGAGAGCAGGGAGGAAATGTTTCTGAGAATGCATATTCCTGAGCCCAATCCACAATTTATTTGGTCTGAGCCATTGAGGCTTACTTAAATCAGCTATGAAGAGAGTTTCTTACCCATCTTCTGTCAATGTCAGATGGGAAAACTAAAGCCCAGAAAGGGGGAAGAACCTGCCAAAAGTCTCACAACAGGAATCTTTTTTTTTAATTTTTTTATTTCCATAGGTTTTTGGGGAACAGGTGGTGTTTGGTTACATCATTTCTTTAGTGGTGATTTGTGAGATTTTGGTGCACCCATCACCTGGGCCATATACACTGCAGCCAATTTGTAGTCTTTTATCCCTCACCTCCTTCCCACCCCTTTCCCTTGAGTCCCCAAAGTCCACTGTGTCATTCTTATGCCTTTGCATCATCATACCTTAGCTCTACTTATGAGTGAGAACACAGTATGTTTGGTTTTCCATTCCTGAGTTACTTCACTTAGAATAATAGTCTTCAACCTCATCCAAATTGCTGCAAATACCATAAATTCACTCCTTTATATGGATGAGCAGTATTCCATCATATATATATAGTATATATATGTATATATATATGTATATATAGTATATATATATGTATATATGTGTGTATATATATGTATATATATGTGTGTATATATATGATGGAATACTACTCATCCATATATATATATATACACATATATACACACATATATATACATATATATACACATATATATACACACACACACACATACACACACACACACACACATATATATATGCCACAGCTTCTTTATCCACTCATTGATTGATGGCCATTTGGGTTGGTTCCACATTTTTGCAATTGCAAATTCACAACAGGAATCTTGATCTCCTGACAGCTAAGTCAGATCTTTACACCAGGTTTGTTACATAGGCTATTACTATTATTATTATTATTATTATCACAGTGGATGTGGTTCATATTTGTATTGGACCAGGGGTCAGCAAACTTTTCTTTAAAGGGCCAGACAGTAAAAATTTTAGGCTTTGCTGACCAGGTGGTATTCCTTGCAACCACTTAACTTTGCTGTTGCAGCATGAAAACTACAACAATGGATGTGGCTATGTTCCAATAAAGTTTTATTTACAAAACCAAAGTGGCAGGCCCACAGGCTGTAGTTTGCTGTAGTCCCTGTCCAGCACTGAAGGCTGCCTTTTCTTATCCTCAGCTGTTCAAAGGCTCTGGCTGCATTTGATGACTTTATTAGTAAGCTATGGCTGTATTACAGATCACCTCGACATGGAGTGGCTTAAAACAACGATTTAGTATTGCTCCTAAGTCTACATGTCAGCAGGGTGGTTCTGCTGGTCAGGTTGGCTCGGCTGATCTTGGCTGGATGTGCTTATGTGTGTACACCCAGCTGATGGGTGAGCTGGAGGTTGGCTGATCTCGAATGGTCTCATTCATAAGTCTTGGTTAGTTGGTTGGTGGCCAGGGTGACATGGGTGAGATGCTGAATGTCTCTCAATACCCAGCAAGCAAACTCAGACTTGTTCACATGGCAAGCAGAAAGGGTTCCAAGAACAAGATCCTAAGTACCCAAAGCCCCTTGAGGGCAATGACAGTGATGATGATGGTGCTGGTGATGATTATTGCATTTTCCATCTGTGAACTAGGCTCAGAATGAACACAGTTACCCTCTCACCACATTCCACTGGCCAAAGCAAGTCACCAGGCCAGCCTAGATACAAGAAGTATGGGGAAAGACTTCCCTTCTTGTTGGGGGGAAGCAGCAAAGTCACATCCCAAAGTGTGCAAAGCAGAGAGGGATGGCATTGTTGTCATCAGTCTACCAAAAGGCACCAGGGCTGGCCCTGCCTGATAATTCCTGAATTTTCAGTTGTCACATCAGCCAATGCGGATCAGAGCCTGGTCAGTCCCTTCAGTCCCTGTGTGATCGATCCCAAAAGTGGCTGATAATTCCAAATCGACTGTGTAGGGATCAATTCAATCATGTAACAAGAGACTGACCTTTATCTTTAAAAAGGGAAGGGAGTGGTCTCTAGGAATGAGAAGCAGCCCCTCGTTTTTCCCTCCTAGATGACTGGGCTGTGCCCCACAGCCTTTAATGAGTGATTGGGCAGCAAGGGCAATGCCTGCAACCTGTGTCGAGATTTGCCCTTGGCAATCAGCACGGGGTGCTTGGAATGGCTTTGAATGCATTTTCCAATTTCTCTTGTAAAAGAAAAAAAAATGCTTTCTTCTCAGAGATGTTTATGCCCACTAGGATTCTGGTTGGTACAGTAGTTTTAATAGAGTGAGCTATTCAGGTGTGCTGACTGCTGGCACTCGCCCGGAGTTCTGAGCTCAGGGACTTCAGAAGCAGGCTTTGTGTAACCCTGTTCAGCATTTTCACCTCTTATTCCCTGCATTTAAAAAAATAAATGTTCTCTCTTCTAATTTGATAAAATCCAAGATACTATGCTATGACCTGACACATGATCATTATGAGAAAAGACCGATTTCTATCAAGCATGCTTCTGGGGACTTTTTTTTTTTTTTAATTTGTTTCACTGCAGATTAGAAGAGCAATCATCAGGTTTAGGGCACTTTTTATAAACAGAGAAAAAGGACCAGATCTATCAGATGAAACCCTATTCTGATGAAAAGGGAGTCTCTACCCTGTAACAAGAGACAACATCCACATTTTCATTAAGAGCACGAATTCAGAAGCCAGACTGCCTGGGCTCACATTCCAACTCTGCCATTTGCTGTCTTTTGTGACCTTGGATAAGTCACTGAGGCCCTTTATGCCTCAGTTTCCTCATCTGCAAAACGGGGATAATAATAGTACCTTCTTCACAGGATTTTATAAGAATGAACTTAGTTAATGGATATTGGGCACTTAGAACAGTGGTCTGGCATAGAGTAAGGACTCTTATGGGAAATATTTACCATTAGTATTACTTCGTTGTTCTGTTGTTGTTGTTTTTGTTACTACTCTTTATTATCTCAATGGTTCTGTGTATAAGAATTGTGCTCAAGTACAGGTGCAGTGGCTCACGTCTGTAATCCCAGCACTTTGGGAAACTGAGGCAGGCGGATCGCTTGAGCCCAGGAGTTTGAGACCAGCCTGGGCAACATGGCAAAACCCCATCTCTACAAAATACAAAAACTGTCTGGGCAGGTGTCACATGCCTGTAGTCCCAGCCACTCAGAAGACTGAAGTAGGAGGATCGCTTGTGCCCAGGAGGCAGAGGCTGCAGTGTGCCAAAATCACGCCACCGCACTCCATCCTGGGCAACAGAGTGAGACCCTGTCTCAAAAAAAATAAAAAAAAAGAATTGTGCTCAAGTTATCAGTTCAGAAAAATATCAGATCTGAACCAATTCATTCCCACCATTTTCCATCAGTAACTGAAAAATCTATTGAGCTGACTCTGTGCAGAGCACAGAGCACCCTGTGGTGGACAGGACTCTGTAGGTTGTAGGCTCACGGTCTGGAAAGTCAAGTAATCAGGTAGTTACAGCAGAGCAGGAACCCAAAGGTGAGGACAGGGAGGACATATTGTAGGGATGGGGATGCTTTAGAACCTCCTTAGAGTGAGCCCAGCCCAGACCCAGAGCAATCAAGGAAGGCTTCCGGATGGAGATGAGAGCTGAAGCCCAATCACTGAGAGTCAAGAAGGAAGAGGAGCAGGAATATGTATCAGGAGCAGGGAACAGTGCTAAGCACATCACCTCACCCTCACTCTCGCCTTTTAAGAGAGGTACTGCAATTACCACCATTTTACAGATAAGAAAACTGAGGCTCAAAGAAGTTAAGTAATTTGGCCAAGGCCACAGGGCCAGTAGATGGCAAAGCTAGAAGTTTAACATGGATGGTGCAAAGAGCAAGCATGGTGAGCTTGAGTGACTGAGTGGATTTTTGCCAGGCTGCAGGTGGTAGCACAAGGAACAGACAGGACAACTCCAGGCTGGAGAGGCGGACGGGGCCTCATGTGTGTCAGTGGATTAGTTTGCTGGGGCTGCCATAGTAAACTACTAGACTGGGTGGCTTAAAGAACAGAAACGTATTTCCTCATGGTTCTGGAGGCTGAAAGCCCAAGATCAAGGTGCTGTCAGCGTTGGTTTCTCCCAACCCTCTCGAGGTTGGAGGATCGCTCTCTCCCTGTCTTCTCTGTGTCCTCATATGGTCTTTTTCTCAGTGCTCGCAGCCCTGGCGTCTCTTTAGGCGTCCAAATCTCCTCCTCTTATAAGGACACCAGTCAGATTAGATTAGGGACCACCCTAATGGCTTCATTTATAAGTGAATCCACTCTTTAAAGGTCCCATCTCCTAACACAGTCACACGCTGAGGTACAGAGGTTCGAATTTCAACAAATGAATCTGGTATGTCCACAATTCAGCCAATTACAAATTATTTAGGAAGTTTGAAGATTTTAAGCAAGAGAGGGAGAGGGTCAGGTTTGCATCCGTTGTTGTCATCTGCAGAAATGAATCTGATGCTCACATGCCCCGCTTCCCCTCCACCACCTTGTGACCAAGCAGACCCCATCTCACCAATTCACTTCCTTTGTTCATTTCCCTCCCCACCCCACATATCCCAAAGCCCAGGCCTGCAGGGGCTCCAAGCTGCAAAACAGAAGAACCCATAGGCCTCTCCCCCGGCCTCTCACAACCTCCTAGGGTTATGGGGAGGGTATAGTGAGGTGCTCATGGCCCAGTGCCAGGCATGTGGCACAGCTAGCTGCTGCTATTGCTAAATGCTGGACATGGCCTATGTACCCAGACCTACCAAAATGCTGTCACCTGTAGGGCCCAAGAAGGTGTTATGGGAGAAGAAAGAGACAATAACTGAAAAGGGGTCAGGTGCAATAGCTCATACCTATAATCCCAGAGCTTTGGGAGGCCAAGGCAGGAGGACCGCTGGAGGCCAGGAGTTTGACGCTAGCCTAGGCAACGTAGGAAGTCCCCATCTCTACAAAAAAAAATAAAAATTAGCTGGGCATGGTGATGCATGTCTGTAGTCCCAGCTACTCTGGAAACTGAGGCAGGAGGATCACTTAAGCCCAGGAGTTGGAGGCTGCAGCCTGGTGACAGAATGAGAGCCTGTCTCTTAAACAAATGTTTTATTTAATAAAAAAAATTGAAAAAGCTGTGGGCTTACAAGTCCTTTAAATTAGAAGTAAAGGAATAGTAGGCGCTTAGTAGATAATCTGTAGAAGGAAAAGACTCCAGGGAAGAAAGGAAAGAGAGTTTCTCATGGTAGTTTTCCAAAGACCTGGTGGATACAGCCACCCTAGTACACAGAGGTGAGGGGATGGGGTAGGGCAGGGCTGTTCCCCTTCAAGCTAAGCAAATGCATGCCTCTCAAGGATTAGCCGGGATAACCCTGGGCCAGCTCCACACTTGAGCCCAGGGATTGGGTATCACCTTCTGAAGTGGTGCCTTCCTGGAAACAGAGAGTAGAGATACCTTCCTGACCCTGAAAACACCAGGCCTAGGAACCCTGGGGAGTGTTGATGAGGGCAGGATGCAGTTTCAGAGAAGAGCAATTACACAGGTTCTTAATGGAGGCATCTGGCCCATTAGTGTTAAGAGGAGAAATCTTGCGGGGAGGGGGGTGGCTGGCCAGGACTCCACCTTGTTTCCAGGAAAAAGGCAGGCAGCAGGTTAACCCTCTCCTGACCTCGCTCTTGGGGTGACCACTGCATCAGCTTCATCAGCACCTCCTCAGAGCCCAGGCCCGTGAGAGCACAGACATGGAGTTAAATTGACACTGGTTCAAATTCTCACTAATCCTAGCAGTGTGACCTCAAGTCACTCATTGCCCCTCTCTGAGCCTCCCATCCCCCATTGTAAAGAGGAGGTGGGAGCGGTATATTACCTAAAGGATTGTTGTGAGCTTTTTTTTTTTTTTTTCCGAGATGAAGTCTTGCTCTGTCACCCAGGCTGGAGTGCAGTGGCATGATCTCGGCTCACTGCCACCTCCGCCTCTCAGGCTCAAGCAATTCTCCTGCCTTAGCCTCCCGAGTAGCTGGGATTACAGGGGCCTGCCACCGTGCACAGCTAATTTTTGTATTTTTAATAGAGATGGGGGTTTCACCATGTTGGCCAGGCTGGTCTTGAACTCCTGACCTAGTAATCCGCCTGCCTCAGCTTCCCAAAGTGCTGGGATTACAAGAGTGAGCCACCGTGCCTGGCCTCGTTGTGAGCTTTAAATGAGATACTGAGAACCATCTCAGTCACCAACAGGCTCTGTGACCTTAAGCAAAGTGATGGCACCTCTCTGAGCCTCAGTTTCCCCTTCTCTAAAATGTGCATAATAATTCATACTCCAGCAGGTTGTAGGAAGAATTAAATAATGTGTATAAAGTGCCCCCATCAATACCTGCCTCCTTGTAGGTGTTTAATACAAAGTGTCCAAAAAATCAGAAAATGTAGGTGAGACATATGTGGTTTTGTTGTTTAAGACAGTCTCACTCTGTCACCCAGACTGGCATGCAGTGGTGTGACCTTGGCTCACTACAGCCTTGACCTCCCTGGCTCAAGCGATCCTCTTACCCCAGCCTCCCAAGTAGCAGGGATCACAGGTGCATGCCACCACACCCAGCTCATTTTTGTATTTTTTGTAGGCTAGTCTCAAACTCCTGAGATCAAGCAACCCACCCGCCTCAGCCTCTCAAAGTGCTGGGATTACACAAATGCGCCATCATTCCCAGCCTGAGACATATTTTTAAACAGTGTTTTAGTGAATATTTTCAAGTAATATGCTCTTTGTGTTTTTCTTCAAAACCCAGCTACATTTTCAGGCAAAGGACTCATAAATGTAAAGCAATGCATCCCATTTTTAATCTGGGGGGAGAAGAACAATTAATACACTAGTTTCCCTGAGTTTCCAGACTTTTTACACACTCTTAGTTTATTTATTGTACTTTTATCAGATTAACAATTGGACATACATAGGATGCTGATTTCCTTGAAGCCTCTCATTTGCCTGAGTCAAGACTTCCAGCTGGGGGACCCCTTCTTGTTTCTCTCCCTGCTATATATACAAATTCTCAGTAACTGGCATTGGATAATCTCATTTCAAATGGGCTCTATCACCTACTGGCCTGGTGACCTGGCACAACTTCCTAAAGTCCTGTGAGCCTCTGATTCCTCATCTGTAAAATGGGCTACAGAATATCTCATGGGCCCATTGCAAAGGCCAAATGAGATGATACATGCAAAATACTTGCGCATGCCTGGAGCATGGTGCCTGCTCCCTCACTGGGAGCAAGTACCACTACTATTTCTGTGGCTATTTTTGCGAAGAAAGTTGTTCTAACAGGATCCCACTGTGTTCCCTCTCTCTGTCTTTGCAGCGAGCCCCTCTTCCGCCAGCTCTGTGCTCTCCACTGGCTTCTGGAGGCCCTGACTATTGACCACACCCACCACACCATGAAGCCTGTGATCACCTGCTGGAACCCAAAGTATGCCTCAGCCCTTCAACTTGTCTTAGACTAGCAGTAGGCTGGGCAGTGGGGAAGAGATTCCTGTATGTTCTTCCACTCCCTTTGCTGTTTTTGGTAGGTGGGCTGTTTCAGTTCCTCTTCTATGTGCTCTGTGGGATCTGAACAGGGGAGAACTAGAGACAGCTTATGCAGATTCGTGGGAGCCGGTTGTGTGCATCTCCTTCCCACATCTCTTCCCAACTCCACATTCAGTGACATCACATGGGTAGCTTGAAATCAGCCAGCCACATGGGAGTATTTACACCACAGAAATTGGCAAGCTATGGAAGCACATCACTGGATCCACAGCTTGACTGCTCTCCAACTCTCTTCTTGGACTGCGTCTCCCTACACTATTCTTTATTCTTCTTCCTTTTCCTCCTCCTTTCCCTCCCTTTTAATCTTTCTTTTCTTTTTGTTTTTGTTTTTATCCTTTCTTTCAAGGTTGTGTTTTGTTTTGCTTTGGTCTTTTTGTTGCTTAATATACATTGGTGGCTACTTCTCCACTTGGACCCAAGGGAATATTTGGTATTCAGTTCCCTGGAGCAGCTGGGTTTGTACAGGCAGAAGCTCCAGAACATGTTGTCTAGGTCAAGAGAAGCGTTAGGTGTCCGCACCAGAGGAGAGAGCTCACATAAAAGCTTGGACGCCACTGTTGCAGGAACAGCATTGTACACACAGGGCAGAACAAAGAACAGACAGGCATGTAAAGGCATTGGTTCTTTAAGAAGGGTCAGGTTGTTTGCAAGAAGAGGACAAACAAAAGTAAAGAACCCTGACTTGAAGAATCAGTTTTTCACTGTGAAAATCAGAGGCTGAGTTAAATAAAATAGTTCCCCACCCCCCGTGCTAACCCATGCCCTCCCATAGTCCTGCCTCCCAGGTGGATCCAGTCTTCCTCTTCCCAAAACCTGAGTCTTTTTTTTTTTTAGACAGAGTCTTGCTCTGTCACCAGGCCAGAGTACGGTGACGCAATCTCGGCTCACTGCAACCTCCATCTCCCGGGTTCAAGCGATTCTCCTGCCTCAGCCTCCCGAGTAGCTGGGACTACAGACATGCACCACCATGCCCAGCTAATTTTTGTATTTTTCGTAGAGACGGGGTTTCACCATGTTGGCCAGGATGGTCTCAATCTCTTGACCTCATGATCCGCCTGCCTCGGCCTCCCAAAGTATTGGGATTACAGGCGTGAGCCACCGCGCCCGGCCAAACGTTAAGTCTTAATTAACTTCTTCCTCTTGAAGACATTTATTACCCATCCCCTAGATCTCCTCCACCCCCAAGTCATCTCTTACACCAGGACCCAGAGAAACTAACCTCAAATGCAACCAGCAATATCATGCATCCATTGATAGATCAGTAACTCCAATCAATTCAGTGTTTTTGGTTGGGATAATTTTAAAACTACAGTCTCTTTTGATACAAGTGGTTGACAGACTTTATTTTTTTAAGCAGCAGACCTCATTTTTTTTTAAATAGAAACCTCTGTAATGTAAAACAGACTTTTCTAAATGGAAGTTCTTCATGAAGCAAGAGGTTTGGGAGCCTGGGAGACCTGGGACCCCTCCAACTTACTTCTATCCCCATCACGGCACCCTAGTTATTTCCAAAATGTCTTTGTGGCTTCCAGAATTTCCTTGAAAACCACAGCCTTAAAACATTTTTCATGCCTTCTTCTTCTTTTTTTTTTTAAAGAGATGAGGGTCTTGCTCTGTTGCCCAGGCTAGAGTACAGTGTCACAATCATGGCTCACCACAGCCTCGAACTCCTGGGCTCAAACAATCCTCCTGCCTCAGCCTCCCAGGTAGCTAGTACTACAGGTGAATGCCACCACACCTGCCATCATACCTGGCTAATTGTTTTTTAAGTTTTTTAGAGATGGTGTCTTGCTATGTTGCCCAGGCTGGTGTCTAGCTCATGCCCTCAAGCAATCCTCCTGCCTCAGCATCCCAAGTAGCTGGGATTACAGGCTATTTATTTTTCTCTAAAATAAAACTGCTCAAGTAATAAGTGAATACAATTTATGCTTATGGAAATCTTTCAAAAAATGTATAAGTATATAAAGTATGAAAGCCTTTATTCCCTCCCTGAAATCCCCTTCTTAAAGAAAACTCCTTTTAAAAGTCTATGATATGTCCTTCCAAATCTTTCTAATGCCTTCCTTTTATAAACATAAACAGTCACATTTTTTAACAGAAATAGGATCATATCTGCATATTGTTCTCTACATGATTTTCCCCTTTACAATAACCAATAGGCATCTTTCCATGATGGTATACACAGGTTTACACATTCTTTCAATGGCAGCAGAATATTCTATCATATGGATGGAATATACACCATTTCTTTATTAACAGACACTGAGGTCATTTCCCAATTTTTGACATTTCAAGTAGTACTGTGTGGAATATCCTTACACATCTCTTTTTGTTTGTTTGTTTGTTTTTGTTTTTGTTTTTGAGATGGAGTCTCGCTCTGTCGCCCAGGCTGGAGTACAATGGCGCGATCTCGGCTCACTGCAACCTCCGCCTCCTGGGTTCACGCCATTCTCCTGCCTCAGCCTCCTGAGCAGCTGGGACTACAGGTGCCCGCCACCACGCCCGGCTAATTTTTTGTATTTTTAGTGGAGACAGGGTTTCACCATGTTAGCCAGGATGGTCTCGATCTCCTGACCTCGTGATCTGCCCACCTCAGCCTCCCAAAGTGCTGGGATTACAGGCATGAGCCACTGTGCCCGGCCCCTTACACATATCTTTTATGCCCAGTTACAAGTGTTTCTGTTAGCTGGATTCCGGGAAGGAGAATCACTAGGTAAAAGCAATATCTTTTTTTTTTTTTTCCTTACTTGATTGCTTACATTCTAAGAAAAAGGCCTCTGAGCCAGAGGGCTCCTGACAGCATTTCATCTCCCTAAACAAACCACCAACAGCAACATTTTCCTCCTACATGTGGGCACCCATTCTCCAAAACTGAGAAAAGAACATCATGTGGAATTTGGATTGAGAAGAGAAAAAGGGCCATGTTTCTTTCCTTTGGTTGGTTTTAGAAATGTGCTCAGAACGTGACCAAAAATTGTTAACTGCAGTAAAAAGACGTAGTGGTCACATTGAGAGTAGCAGATGTTCTACCATGACTTGTAGTGGCAGAATTCTATCAGCGCTCCGAGGATGCCCAGCTCTATAAAATCAGAACCTGAACCAGACCTAGCCACCTGAGGTAAAAAATGCAGTCCAGGAAGATTAACATAGGAAGTCACGGTATTTGTTGGGGTTGTTTTTTCTAGCTGACTATTTCTTCCTGGTGGGCATTTTAGTTTAGGGTCAATGACAATGCTGGTAAATGTTTTAACAACCAGTTCTCTAGGAGGTGAAGAACAATGATTTGTGACAATGCCAATTTCCACGGTGTAAATACTCCCACCGTGGCTGATTTCAATCTTACCAACATGGTATCACCGAACTTGGAGTTGGGAAGAGAGGTACAGAATCCGTTCTTATGAGCCACTATGAGCCAGCTCCAGCACACCACTGTTCGGGATTCATTTTTAAAAATTATGAATCTGGGGGGCAGTTTAAGTTCTCTATAAAGTATAAGAAAACACCTTTTCAGTTATAAGAAAGCAGAAAGAGCTCTTCTCTTCAACACTTAATCCCTATTTATGACGTTTCACCCTTATGCAGCAGTGTGAATTTCCCCAAATCTTCAAGTGCATTTTTTTAAACCCAGAGGGATTAGAGTGATTAAGAGCAAAGGGTTTAGCATCAGATGAACCCAGATGAGTCAAAGCTCTGCCACTTAATAGCTGTGTGACCTTGGGCAAGTCACTTGACATCTCTGGCCCTCTGTTTCTTCATTGGTTAAATGTGTTCCTGC
The DNA here is from genome assembly GCF_000001405.40 of Homo sapiens. Classification (NCBI taxonomy): domain Eukaryota; kingdom Metazoa; phylum Chordata; class Mammalia; order Primates; family Hominidae; genus Homo; species Homo sapiens. The sequence goes on from NC_000012.12 coordinate 119,492,761, forward strand.
CTCAGAAGTTATTGTAAGAATTAAGCAAAATCAAGTCCATAGAGGATTTAGCCTAATATCTGGGAACACAATGAATGTTCATTAAATAACAGCTATAAAATGTAAAAATCCCTATTTTAAAGAGAAGTTAGGTGTACGATTATCAGTACCATTGAGACTGAAGGCTAGGAAAGAAAGGAACTTCTGAGCAGAATTTTACCAACAGGTGAGACCTATGTTCACTGGGTGAACAGACAAGTATGCAAACAGGGAAAAAAGGCTACAGAAGGTTGCCCAAAACCTAGTTGCAAAGATAAACAACCCAGGTAATGAGCCCAAGAAGGTAATACCTAATCTCCAGTTCTCCTGACTGTGCTTTTCTGAGTCTCCATCATCAAGCAACCAGTATCTCCTGTTACTAAAGCATTTTGACACTTAAACCCTGAGCCCTGACACCCACCGTGCATTTTCCAAAAGGAGATATCCATCCTTGGGGACCTGTAGATCCCAGAGGCTCCATTTCAGTTAGGCATAATGACAGCTGTAGACCCAATCCCTCCCCCTTATGGATTTTATAGGAAGAAAGTCGGAGTGGTTCGATACCTCAATGAGGGCTTTCTACAGGCAGCAAAATTTCACTAACCGGCAGTTACTGTGCTGCAAGCAGAAGAACAATCTTTGTTAGTTGCAGGATGATCTCATATTTGGATGGATTGGTGGATGTTTGGGTGAATGGACAGATGACAGATTTTAGGGTGTCATTATGAGTTGCATCTGAGTCTCTGCTTTATTGAGAAAAAAAAAAACTCCTCAACTTCCCAATTTCATCATGTGGCAATTTAAACACATTATCACTATCATTTCTCAGCATCCTTGTTAATTCCACTGCTAACAAGAGAGTTTATTTCAATTGACAAGATGATCGGGTCCACAGTAGAAATTGAAACCAACCCTTCAATAATGAATGTGCCAATTACGTTTCTCCAAGAGATATAAGCCTCTTTTTAGGCAAAGTAGGATCTGATTTTTTCATGAATGCCCATAAGTATTTATTCAAACCCTTAGGGCCAACTGCATTTCAGAATTCTGAGGGTTTTTTTTGTTTTGTTTTGTTTTGTTTTTGCATTTTAAAAAGGAAATATGATACATGTGCCATATAGAACATCACACTCCCAGAGGGGCCTGTCATCAAACACAATATTTCTGCAGAAAACAAATAAGTGAATATTTATCTTAAGTGCATAACAAAGGTCAAAAAAAGGCCACTAACAGCCTCCCATCAGTTTCTGTCATGCTTTGCTACCAAATAAGCCATTTAAATTGTTTTGGTTTAAAGACTCTTTGGATTTTGGAATTGGTTAAGTGGTTGTGAACCTGTATTGATTTTATTCTTATTAGAGACCAAATTTCCAAGAACCAACCGAAGACCTACCTAGAAATGAGTAGACTTTTACAGAGTCACAGACATCAGCTGTGGGGAAATTTGACAAGCTCTAATGCTGCCTCCCCTACCCCTGTGGCCATCTTCCCTAGTTACAGTGGAGAAGAAACAGGCCAGACCCCTGGCCAAAGAAGGGAGTGAAGAGTTACCTACTAACCTTCCAGCAGGTACAGCACACACCTCAAAGGAGTTGTTCCAACAGGCTCGAGTCCCCAGAGTCCTGTGCTTTCCCCTGGTGCCACAGGGGCAGTACAGTTGTCTACGTCTTATTGCTTCAGGCTGTCCAGAGAGACACCACTGGGCCCACTGTTTAGTGGGGAGACCAAGTGGGTGTAATCCCTACGCTTACAATCCTGATTCTTATAATCCTGACTCTTGTAATCCTTACTCTTAAGAGACACCAGACATTCAAGGGCTGGGCTGTCCAGGCACAAAAAATCCACCCTTCCTTTAGAAATACACATATGAGTAAAAGGCAACCAACCACACTTTGAGGTTTCAAATATGACACAAACATCAGCCAGGCGTGGTGGCTCATGCCTGTAATCCCAGCACTTTGGGAGGCCGAGGTGGGCAGATCACCTGAGGACAGGAGTTCGAGACCAGCCTGACCCACACGGAGAAACCCCATCTCTACTAAAAATACAAAATTAGCCAGGCTTGGTGGCACATGCCTATAATCCCAGCTACTTGGGAAGGCTGAGGCAAGAGAATTGCTTGAACCTGGGAGGTGGAAGTTGCGGTGAGCCGAGATCATGCCATTGCACTCCAGCCTGGGCAACAAAAGCAAATCTCCGTCTCAAATATGACACAAACATCAAAATCCATCTACTGTTTTATGATGAAAATGGCTGGCACTTGAGTGCTTTCTATGTCAAGCACTGCTCTGGGTGTATTACCTCATTTAAGCCTCATTCCAACTTACCAATAAGGAAACTGAGGCATAGAAAATTAATTTGCTCAAAGTTGCACAGCTAGCAAAAGGTAAGGCAGGATTCGAACCCAGGTAACCTTGCTGCAAAGTATGGGTGCTTCACCCCCAAATGGTTGTTTCTCTGTAGGTAAATCCCAAAGTCTTTAATCAACTTAGAGAATAATCTGATGCCCCGCCTCGAAGAAAAGAAGATCTTATTACAATGTGGTACTTTCTGGGAGGCCCCAGGATACAAAAGGGACTCGACTTACCGAGATGTTATCACATATAAACTGCAATTTTCTTTTATAAAATAATTTCAAGTGCCATTTTGCACATACTGTTTTGAAACTAAATTTTTGCTGTTTGCCTTAGTATATAAGGAGCATCTCTCCAGATCTGAACCTCTGCTGTGGCGTTTATCAGCATACGAATGTACTGAAACATATTTAACCAATATTCCAAGACCTTTACGTCTTTTCCAAGTTTTTGCTTCCATGAAATACTGTCGCAATCGTTCTGAGCAGCACTCATAATAGCATTTTTAAAATTTAAATTGTTTATATTTAAATTAGTTTTCCCTTATCTTGTGGTACTCCTCCCCCCACAACCAAGAAAATCTCACTTTCCTCAAGCCTGGCTTTTCCAGGCACTAGTGGGAATACTGCCGTGAAGAAAACAGACAACACCCCAGCTCTCAGGAGCTTCCATTCTACAGGGGGTGAGGGAAGCAACAGATGATAAACATGCAATAATCAAGATACTTTGAGATAGCAATGTGTCATGAAGAAATTGATGGGTGATGTGCTAGTGATGGGCAGGGGAGTTTTAAATTGGGTCATCAAGGAAAGACTCACTCAGACAGTGACATATGAGTGAAATCTCTGATTTCCCCTGCTCTCCTCTTTGCACTGATTTAATTGCATGGCTCCTCCACTGTGGTACTCCAGTGGACATCTCTGTGGAGTGGGAGAATGTGGCAGGAGGATCAGATCATCACTCAGGAGGTAGGATGGAACCACCTGGTCCAGGAAGTCCCCAGAGCTTTGACCTCTGCCCCCGCCCTGCTGCAGAATCAGCAGCTCTTCCCCTCCGTCATGGACATATGAGCACGTCCTAACCTAGCCTACAGCTTTCCACCCTGGGAAGCAGATGTTTTACCCCAGATGGGAGTTCAGAAAGAGAGCACGAAGTATTTGAGAAAATTGCTCTGAATTGCCACTGTGGATAGACATCTTCAAGTGACAGCCTGGAACAAAATGTGCTTGGCGGATATAGTTAAAAGAGATTTGACAGTGCTCAGCGCCCTATTCCCTTGATTTCTGGCAAATAGGATCCCCTAGGAAGCTTCAGCAGGGGAAAATTACGGTCTGAAAGTTATAGCTACATCTCCCCCAAGGATCTGCCCTAGTACCCTGTTGTCTACCATCAGCTCCTCCTCTAAGCCACAGTAAATCTCTGTTGAAAAGAGAAGGTTATTGTTGTTAATAGCTGAACTGTATTCAGCTCTCTGTACACAGCACCCATGAAGCCCTTAATAAGCCCCATTTCTTTTCATCTTCACGGCAATCCTTTGTCATAGCTGCTATTATTCCCCCATTTTACAGATGAGGACAGTGAGGTTCAGAGAGACTAAATTACTTACACCAAGTCACACATGTAGGAAGCAGTGGGGAAGACAGAGGACTCGAACAGCTGGTCCAACCTATTGTTAAATTCACTCTTAACCACTAAGATAACACTTTCCTGGCCTTGATACTCGGAGACTTGCCCGAGGTCACACAGACAGTAAATCACAAGGATATTAAATGGGTGAGCTAAGTAAGTTAGGCTGCCATAATGAACAACCCCCAAATCTCAGCAGTTTAAGGCAAAAAAAGCTTGTTCCTTGGCTCACCTTTCAAATCCAACAGGGAGGCTCTACTCTGTAGTTACTCAGGGACTCATGCTGATAGAAGCTTCCACCATCAACGAGGCAGAAAAAGGAATCCGATGACTTCAGGACTAGCTATTAAATCATCTACCCGAAGTCCCACATGTCACTTTCACTCATGTATTTTTGAACAAAGCAAGTCACAGTGCTACACTTGCCTTCAGAGAGCAGAGAAGGCCTGGAACTATTTGGTCGATGGCACTAATGCTTACCCCACCAGGCCAGGGGGAAGGACCACCAACCCTCTCTGCCCTCCTCCACAAGGTATGCAATGGATGATGCAGCTTAGGTGGTTTTATTTTTTTCTTCCTTCCCCTATTGATCTTCCTTTTTGGGTTATTTGCTACTGAAAATGAAACATCAGAAAGACCGATTCCAGCTAACCAGGCCTTTTCTTTATCAATGGGTTTGCAAGAGCAAGGGCTCCGAGCTTTTTAAGGTCTGTGGGAATCTTGCTGCATTTTGAACTCATTTAGCCTGCTGCTTGAAGTCGCAATAGATTTCAGGTCATCTTGGAAGTCAGCATTAGTGGAAAACTTCCATCTTCCCGATTGGACCTGAATAGTTAAGATTTTGAAAGCTTTGCTGGGACCAGATTTAATTTTAAAAGGGGAAAGGGGGTTGCTTTTGAACTTCGAGAAGAAGGCTGGAGGCTCAGCAGGGGCTGCGTTAGCAAAGGGAAATGCGAAAAGCCCTGTGGTCTTGAAAGAAATGCTCCAAAGTGAAAAAAAAAAAACACTAAAGCTTCCAGTGGGTGAACCTTAAATCAGACTTCAAAAGCACTGCTAGTTTAAATATTGTTTATAGGACTGAAGGATTGCTCCTTCTTCTGGCTGGATTTTAAATATCCCCTAATTTGATTACTCGGGGGAGAGGCAGGCAGAACCAACTTAAATGAGCTTCACTGTTAATTATTCAGAGGGCTTTTTATTGTGTAATCAAACATAAAGTCTTACAAAAAGCTTAGAGGCACATTCTCACCCCACCTCACCAGCCCGACTTCCACTTTGGGTCTGTGTGCATTTCTTGTGTGGTGGCTGTTCGCTGGTAGATCTTCAGCAAAGTCCCACTGGTGAAGAGAGGACACCCCCAACTCCTTATTTGGACTGGGAAAAGCCTTTGATTCTGCTACTCAGATCTCCATGCCATGAGAAGTCAGCCTTAAGTTAGGTTTATCTTGATCACCTTTTGCCTTCTATATCTGAGCACCTCCCTTCTACCCACAACCACCAGCACTCAGCAGCCCCTAACAAGCCTAGACCCCTGTCATTGTCTCCCTAAACCAAAGCAGTTCTGTTCATCCTCTTTTTTTTTTCTTTTTTTGAGACGGAGTTTCACTCTTGTCCCCCAGGCTGGAGTGCAATGGTGCGATCTCGGCTCACTGCAACCTCCGCCTCCCAGGTTCAAGCGATTCTGCTGCCTCAGCCTCCAGAGCAGCTGGGATTACAGGTGTGCGCCACCACACCTGGCTAAATTTTTTTTGTATTTTTAGTAGAGACAGAGTTTCACCATGTTGGCCAGGCTGGTCTCGAACTTCTCATCTCAGTTGATCTGCCTGCCTTGGCCTCCCAAAGTGCTGGGATTACAGGCATGAGCCCGGTTCGTCTTCTTATTTCAAGTTCCTGCTCTCTGCTAGGCGAGAGCTAGACAAATAATTAAAAGGATCCTTGTGATATAAAATTCTTTCTGCAAAGAAAAAGGGAATAAAGAAACAGATAGGTGGATGGATGAATGGATGAAAAGATATATATGGACAGAGAGATTGATAGACCAATCAGTCGATCAATCGATATGTAAAGGTAGTTGAGAGATCACACGTTGAGACTCCCTGCTTTCTTATCAGTAGAGACCCACTTCCCCATAGCCACAAGTCCAAAATCCACAAGCTCTGAAAACTCAGTTTTTTCATAACTCATTTGGCAGCAAAATCTGACAGGAACCAATCGAAGTTGGCAGCAAAATTGGACTTGAAGCTACTTCTGGTCTTTATTTCTCCCACCTAGTGTAAATATCCATGTGTTTCATTGCAGAAATATTCATGTATTTGGTTACAGGATGCTGTCCCTTTAGCCCCCTCAGAGGGATTATGTTAACATACAGTATATGCAGCATGTTTCCTTTCCAAAATGCCAAAATTATTAATTTGGCAACAAATCTGGTCCCACAGATTTCATACAAGGAATTATGGGTGTGTCACCAACAGAACCTACTGGGCTTCAGTCTCCTATCCAGAAAATTCCCAACCCATGACAGGAGGATCCAGGTTTTGTGGAGCCTGAAGCTTATTTAACTGGGGAGAGGGCATTTTAAGAAAAAAAAATACAAAATTACAATACAAAATTAGGTACAGGATCCTGGAAGAGGGACCCACACTAGTGAGGAGCCCTGAAGCTTTAGCTTCATTCGTTTCACTGTAAGTAAGTGACTTAAACTCCCTTAGTTTGTTTTCTCATCTGAAAATGGGATGACAATGACTACATCACAAGGTTATAGTGATTGAGATGATACAGACAGAAGGCACAGAAAGGTGTTGCACACAGTGTCGTAGAGAACTTATGCCCAGTCAACCTCCAATCAGTGATTTTCATTGTGCAATCCACCCCCATCAGCCCCACCCTCAATCCCACCCAGTAATATTCTCTGTGTGTCTCTCAGAAATGTCCCTGATGGTGGACCCCTTGGGCAACAGAAAAAGCAAAGATTTAGAAATGAACATGCTTTTCAATTCACCCCTCAGGAGTAATCGCAGACCTGCCCAGGATTCTAGGAGAGGACCGAGTCTAAAATACAAATAGATGCAAAAAACATGCAAATATATACCACCTCCCTCCTCCACCCAGTAAGCAAAAGTCTCTCCAAACCTCGATTTCACTCAAAAGAGCCAGCTATGGAGAACTATCCCCCCCATTTCTTCACAAGTAGAGGAGTGGGGGAGGAAATCCTAACAGAGCCCAGCCACCATTCCTCCTCTATTTATTGCATTTCTTAAAAGAACTTGTAATAAACCAAGACTCTGGAAACGGAAAACTCATTAAGCTGTTTCTCACTCAGGGACCCGGGTGGAAGCAAGAGCACCATTAAAAAAATCAATAAGGACAAGTCCATGGGACAGAAATGGGAGCATTTCATCACAGCGCCAAAGGTAACCAACAACACGCGACTCAACCCTTTGGCTCCTAGGTCCCAGCTTGTGTTGAGGAGTATTTTTGCCAGTCTTTTCTCTGATGGGAATTTTTTTTTCCTAGTTGGTTCTCGGAGTGAAGGGAAGTCAGAGCCACAGGCTGTTGGATGGTTTTTGTAAATTTTAATTAAAACAGTTATCTAGGGATTATAGGAGAAATGACATTTGGCTGGACACTACATAATGGGGACAGGAGGGGGTGCTAAGCAGCTGCTTAACAAGATGTCACCAGAAGGAAATGGACTCACCTCACTCTATCTTCTAAATCAATAACAGTCATTTCTTTCTCCTTCTCCCTCCCTCCCTCGCTTCCTCCCTCACCGCCCCCCACCCCCACCCCGCTTTAACCCAGTCAGAAAATAAAAGCCAGGCACACTAGCTCATGCTTGTAATCCCAAAGGATTGGGAGGCCAAGGCAGGAGGATCGCTTGAGCCCAGGAGTTTGAGACGAGCCTGGGCAACATAGCAAGACCCCGTCTTCACAAAAAATTTAAAAATTAGCTGGGCATAGTGGTGTGCACCTGTAGTCCCAGGTATTAGGGAGGCTGAAGTGAGAGGATCATTTAAGCCCAGGAATTGGAGGCTGCAGTGAGCTATGATCCCACCACTGCACTCCAGCCTCCCACCTGGGCAAGAGAGTGAGATCCTGTCTCTAAGAAAAAGAAAAGACAAAGTGAGTGATTCAACAAAGATTTTCTACAAACTAGAAGGTGCAGTTATTAAGAGGACACCAAGATACAGATTCTTTTTACCCAAAAGTATTCCTAACCCAGGACCTCCCAAACTCATCTACTCAATAAACAAGCCTAATAATCATAATAATAATAATGGCAAAAGGTAATATTGAGATAGGTAAAGGTAATAGAGCACACAACTAGAGCGTTTGCTGAACCTGTCCCCTAACCTATGAAATGGATATAATGCCCTTTCCTGCCTACCTCACAACTTTAGTGAAGAATCCCAGGAAATAAATATAAGGCAAACACACTTTGAAAATGTGAGAATGCTTAGCATTACTGTGGTTATGTAAATTTTAGAGGCCACTGTTCAACATAATTGTAAATGGGCTAGGTTCTGTGCTAAGGAAGCTTCTGTAGGAATATTATCCAGTTATGCCCTCTTAATAACCCTATGGGGCACTATTCTTACCCCCAGGTGAGAGAGGAGGTATTTGGGGGCTCAGAGAGGTTAAGTAACTTACGTAAGGTTACCCAGCTGGGTACTGGCAGAGCCAGAAGTTAATTCTGGGTCTGTTTATTAAACATAGTTTATTAAACATATAAACATCAATAGGTTTATTAAACATATAAACATCCAATGCCTGGTCTTCCTGACCCCATGATTATAGTTGCCCCTCATGAAGAATTTCACCATTTTCTTACTCTTTCATCAGGGTGCTCCTAGATTTAAGACGAGCCTTGGTTTTTATGGCAGAAAGTTGCTATGGAGATACAGTGTGCATCCGTCTTCAGAAATGCACAGAAAAAGCAGCAGGAGCTACAAACCTTTAAAAAAAGTCCTTCAGGGATATTCACCACTAAAATTGGAGGAGGGGAGGGGGAGAATGAATAGCTGTGCTTGAACTCTTGCAAAACTGAATTCAAGTTTGTGGGTCAAATCCTGGGCTGCAGCACGTTCCACTCTGGGCATGGGGGAGCACTCAATTAGGCTGCAGGAGACCTGGCTCAGCCATGCTGACTCAGTTCACTGTGTGACCTCAGACAAATCCTTTCCCCTGTTCTGGGCCTCAGTTTGTCTACCTATAAAATGAGGACTTTGAAGGAGGGAATCCAACCAGCTCCCACAATACTCTTCTTTTCCCCTGATACTCTTCTGTATGTCTAGGCAGTGTTCATAGGGGCCAGGCAAATTGTGTTATTAATAAAAGAAAAGATCAGGCTGAGTGTGATACAGTAGGGAGTGGTGGAGTCTGTGGCAAACTGGAGCACTCCTGCACAGCTAAAGGGAAGAACCTCTGTGCAGCTTTAGCTCATTTTGCCTTGTGAGAATGGGAGCCCAGAGCTTATCATTTTCAAAAGAAACAAAAAACTTACATTTTTATATAAAAGTCTCCCAATTTGTAAAATCCTGGGTAGCTAAACATGTCTCCCCATGGGCCACCAGTCTGCAACCCCTACTTCACAGAAAGTGTAAGGAACCTTTCAGCAAATTCTTTTCCTCCGTTGCCAAAAATCAGTCCCTACTGAGATGGAACATAGCAACTGGTTAACACAACTGCTGAGTGAAATATAAAAAATAGAGAAGCAGCATTTAGGGATTTAAGTCAATTCAGAGAGGTTCAGTTCAATAAAAGGCAAGCCAGTGCCTGTCACATCTTCCCCCTACATTTTATTTTTCTGCCAGTTTCAATTAATCACAAGTGTCAGCCCTTCACTTTGGATTTCCTGGCTAGGATGGTTAATTAAATTTTAATTAATGGCAACTTTGGGAGCATAAGATGAAATCCTAGCTCAAGGAAGACACCCCTGGATATGGAAGGCTCTTCTGAAATTGTCCCAGGCTATCCCCTAGGTTTTATAAATGAGGAAACTGAGGCAGGGCAGAGTGACATATTCAAGGCCCCCCTGAGGTACCCTGACTCTGACTCCAGTGCTCACTGCAAGATTCCAAGCTGCCTCATGCCACCATCTGTCCACCCTTCAAAAATTACATTGATTTTACTAGGCACAGTGGTTTACACCTATGATCCCAGCACTTTGGGAGACCAAGGCGGGCAGATTGCTTGAGCTCAGGAGTTCAAGACCAGCCTGGGCAACATGGTGAAACCCCATCTCTACCAAAAATAACAACAACAACAAATTGGCCAGGCATGGTGGTGGGCACCTGTAATACCAGCTACTTGGGAGGCCGAGGCAGGAGAATAGCTCAAACCTGGGAGGCAGAGGTTGCAGTGAGCCAAGACTGTGCCACTGCACTCCAGCCTGGGCAACAGAGTCAGACCCTGTCAAATAAAAATAAAAATAAAAAAATTACGTTGATCTGAAGAGCCTGGTTCCTAGAGTCAGGAATTCATATTGTTCTAGATAAAATGGAAAGAGGCAACTTCTACATGTTTCATCCCTGAGCTCTGATATCATCTCTCCCCAGAATGACAAAGAGTAGAGGGGCCTTCTGTCAGTTTTGCAAGCTCTTGACCAGTTGCAGTGTCAGGACAACAGGATCATTGTACCAAGCTCCTAATTTATCAAAGGAGAGGACATGCCTGCTTTGGGTGCTTGGCATTTCTTGATCAGTCATTTTGTAACTTGCATGGCCTCTTGAAGATCTGGTTAAATCCAGTTCAAATTCCATTTCTCCAGTCTATCATATTCTGAAGCATTCTGTCGTTTGTACAGAATTTCACTGAAGATTTGAGAGAGATGAGGCAGGCACAGGGAGAGATCATATGTTAAGGCCCACAGCCTCTCCCTCCTCTTCCCCAACCTTCTCCCTCTCCTGTGCAACCAAGAAATCCCTCCCCTCTTCTAGTGCAAGAAGGTTCCACCCATAGTCAGTGCCCTACAAGGTAGCCATTCAAAATATTGCTTCTGATCACATACAGTGGACTCCCTGAAATGAATTCTGCTGAATACAATTCTCTCCACCCTGCGCAATGTGTATTAAATGTTGGTGTGGTCTTCAATGCTGTCTCTTCTCCCTATCACCTTTCCCAGGGTGTCAAACACTACGAATTTCATCTAAAGAAAACACCAGTCTATCCATCAAGAGCTTTCATTGTAAATGTGCTCAGATAAAATTATTTCTATTAAGTGAATATAAACTATAGCCCACTCTGTGTTGAGCTCTTTCTCTGGGGCATCTGAGGGCCTATTCTTCCCCCTTGTAAACCTGGCATTTTAGATGTCATAAAGAATCATTAGCATGGGATAAAGGGCATTTTCGATGTCACTGAAAAAAAACTTTTGAAGTATTTTGAAGCCAGGCATAGTAATGAGCTTTGGCATTAACCTAACTTAGGTCTGAATTCTGGTTCTGCTATTTTCTTGCTGTGACCTTGAGGAGGTTAGGAAGCCTCGCTGAAACTTGGATCATGAGTTATACGAGGACATAACCCCAAACAGTGCATTCTGAAGTGACACCAATCTCACAGGAAGGTACACACAGACACACACACAGACAGTCTGTGTGTACTCTTTCTTACTCCTTTCCTTCTAAAAATCCACAGGACTTTCCCTACCTACCTCTCAATTCCTTCCAGAACTTATCATCCAATTCTCCTAGCCCACTACAACCGTGGCTCCTCCCCCAAGAATGCCACTGCACCAGACAAATCTGCTTCCTCCCACTCACATCCTAAATGTCAGGCCTACAATTTCCCTATTCTGTGTTCTTTAGAAAACCTCCATGATTACAAATTATTCTTTGAGGCCCAGGTGTCAACTGGGGGACTAGGAAGTGTACACATGGAATTTGGAGCCAAAACCAAGATGTGGTTAAAAAATTAGACCCATCCTCATACACAGTTTGAAAATCAACTCCAATAGTTATTACAAAAGAAAAGTCAAAACCTGTTCTGGGCCTTGACATCATCATGGAAAACACGTTTGGCTTCCTATGGTGACTTCTTGGGCAACCATGAGCTCGTTCAATAGAATATACTCCACCACATTTGCTTTAAATAATACACATTTTAACATTATCTCGATTTGTGACAAAAGGTCACTCCAGATCCAGAATATATCTCATGGTGTTTGGAAAGAGCCAGAAGGAATTCACAGTCAGACCCAGGCTTTGCTTTTGTCTGCTGTCCCTCCCCACCTTCCTCCTTCCCTCCTTTCTTTCTTTCTTCCATCTTTTTCCCCCTCCTTCCTGAAACCTCTCTTTCTTCTCTTTCCTTTAGACCAAGAAATTCAAAATTCCCACAATGCGAGTCACCAACCGCAAACCAAGCCGGCGAGGCTCCACACTCAGTCTGAGTCGGGCCAGTGGGGGGTCCTCTCCCCAGAGCAGCATGATCTCTGTGAACCCTGGCTCGGATGAGCCCCCAAGTGTGAACACCCAGGTGACCAGCAGCAAGGACATTGAGGACAATGAGTCATCTTCAACCAAGCCAGATGAAGAACCTCTGTATATGAGTAAGTCCTACCTGAGATCTGACTCATCTACCCTGACCCTTTGCCTTTAAGCCAGACATCAAGAAACCCTCCTGCCTCAAGTCCACCTCCACTCATTTAAAGGTGACATGGGATCCCGCATCCTTGTTCAATTTCCTTGGACCTCTTTGTTTTCCCCAGTGGAGATCAGAAATATACTCCATAACTTGGGTTGCCCCAAGCCATTTCTCCTACAGAGACAGCCTGTGGTCACCAACTGCCCTTTTCTAATTTTAAAAATATTTTTATTTAGGCTGGGCACTGTGGCTCATGCCTGTAATCCCAGCACTTTGGGAAGCTGAGGCAGGCAGATCATTTGAGGTCAGGAGTTTGAGACCAGCCTGGCCAACATGGTGAAACCCTGTCTCTACTGCAAATGCAAAAATCAGCTGGGCGTGATGGCACACATCTGTAGTCCAAGCTACTTGGAAGGCTGAGGCAGGAGAATCACTTTAACCTGGGAGGCGAGGTTGCAGTGAGCTGAGATCATGCCACTGCACTCCAGCCTGGGCCACAGAGGAAGACTCCATCTCAAAAAAAAGCATTTTTTTAAATTTAGCCCAGTTTATACAGAACATTATCATTTCAATGTGTAACCAATGTAAAAATTATTAATGAGATATTTTATATCCTCTTTTATACTGTCTTTGAAATTCGGTGTCTACTTTTTTAAACAGCTTTATTATTGAGATATAATTTACATACCATAAAATTCGCTTATTTTAAATGTGCAATTCAGTGATTTTTAGTAAACTTGGAGTTGTGTAACCATCACCACAATCTAATTTCAGAACATTTCCAACCACCTGAAAGAAAACCTTCTGCCCTTCTTACCCAGAGCCCCCAGGCAACCACAAACTTGCTTTCTGTCTCTACTGATTTGTCTTTTCTGAACATTTTATAGATGGAAGTTGTACCACTCTGTGATCTTCACCCTGAAAAAGTCTTTTCAGTGGCTCAAAATATGAGGGAGACAAGTCCCTTAAAAATATCCAATTAGGCCAGGCATGGTGGCTCATGTCTGTAATCCCAGAACTTAGGGAGATGGAGGTGGGCAGATCGCTTGAGTTCAGGAGTTTGAGATCAGCTTGGGCAACGTGGTGAAACCTCATCTCTCAAAAAAAAAAAAAAAAAAAAAAAAATTAGCCATGCATGGTGGTGTGTGCCTGTGGTTCCAACTACTCAGGAGGCTGAGGTGGGAGGATCGCTTGAGCCTAGGACGTAGGGGCTGACGTGAGCTGTGATTTGCTTCTTCACTGCAGCCTGGGCAATGGTGCAAGACCCTGTCTCAAAAAGAGAAAAGAAGAGAAGAAGGGAAGGGGGAATGGGGAAGGGAAGGAAAATAGGAAAATTCATTGAAAGCTATGAGCCCTCACACAAGAAAAAAATTCAAACACACACATATACACAATTTTGCACAATATTTTGAGTGGGGTGCTGTGGATCTCTACTAGATAGAATCATGACTGGATTCCATAAGTCACATAAAACATTCATTTTCAGAACTTTCTGGCTTGAGCTTGTATAGTAAAAGGAGATAGGAAAAGCAAGAGAAGGATCCAGAAGGATTCATACAGAAAGATGGAGAAGGTAGAAAGAAGAGAGGGTAAGACAGGGACATGAAGGAGGAGTGGCCTACCACAAAATTCTTGACTCTGATGCACGGGACATCTTCCTGCTTCCTCCCCATCTGCTGTGTCCCCTCAGTGGTGTCCAGCGACAGAACTGAGACAACACTGGCGGCCAGTGTTCTCTCTCACACCATCTGGAATGCCTGTGGCAGCCGAGGCTGGGCTGAGTGACAAGGATTGTGTGTCGCATAGATTCAAGGAGGCGAAAAAGGAGGTCAAGGCAGACCAAGAATCTGTGTGGGGCCCTGATGTTCAAAGATGGAAGTGAGCAGAAGTGCAAAAGTCCACTGGGTGGTCAGGGTTCAGAGTAATGACTGCCAACAGGAAAAATCCCCACCGCCCCTGCCTGTCAACAGGGGGCTGGGAAAGGTCCCAAGCCCCGAAAAGCTGTTTTCTGAACAGAAGAAGTAGTATCTGAGATGGGAAGAAACTAAGATAGACCATCAGCAGATATGCGATTCTTATATATATATACGTGTATATATATACACATATATATACATATATACACATACATATATATACATATATACACATATATACATATATACACACATATATATACATATATATACACATATATATACACATATATATACATATATATATATATATATGTATATATACACATATATATACATATATATATATATATATATATATTTTTTTTTTTTTTTTCTAGAAACAGGGTCTCACTCTGTTGCCCAGGCTGGAATGCAGTGGCATAATCATGGCTCACTGCAGCCTCAAACTCCTGGGCTCAAACAACCCTCCCACCTCAGCTTCCTGGCCACTTACGGATTTCTTGATTCTTCTTTCATTTAACACATACTTTTTGAGCACCTACTGTGCACCGAAAACTGAGTTACTTGAGTACCTGCCCTTCCCAAACTTAAATTTTAGAAGAGACAAATGATAAATAAGAAATCCCTAGGCTGGGTACAGTGGCTCATGTCTGTCATTCCAATATTTTGGGAGGCCAAGGCAGGAGGATGGCTTGAGTCCAGGAATTTGAGACCAGTCTGGGCAAAATAGTGAGACCCCATCTCTACATGGAAAATTTTAAAAATTAGCCAGGCATGGTGGCACATGCCTGTAGTCCTAGCTACTTGGGAGGCTGAGGTCGGGGGATCACTTGAGTCCAGGATTTCAAGATTGCAGTGAATTATGGTTGTGCCACTGCACTCCAGCCTGGGCAACAGAGTGAGACCATGTCTATAAAAATAAAGTAATAAAGAAGAAAGTTATGGCATGGCATGGTAGCTCACGCCTGTAATCCCAGCACTTTGGGAGTCTGAGGTGGGCTTATCAAAAGGTCAAGAGATCAAGACCATCCTGGCCAACGGGGTGAAATCCCATCTCTACTAAAAATACAAAAATTAGCTGGGCATGGTGGCATGTGCCTGTAGTCCCAGCTACTCAGGAGGCTGAGGCAGGAGAATCGCTTGAACCCTGGAGGCAGAGGTTGTAGTGAGCTGAAATCACACCACTGCACTCCAGCCTGGCAACAAAGCAAGACTCTGTCTCAAAAAAAAAAAAGGAAGTTGTAACTAGCAAGGCAGTTGCATATAGTATGAGCTGGGAAGAGAACAAAACAGAATGCTGGGATAGAGAGAGACCGTTGGTGGGCATGGAGCTAAATTAGCAAGGGTGATCAAGGGAGCCTCTCTCAGGTCTGATGTTTGAACTGAGACCTGAAGACCTGAAGCTGAGGAGGGAGGCAGGGGCCAGAGCACGCAGGGCCTTTGTGGAGCAAGTAAGACTTCAGAATTATTCCAGGTGCAAGAGGAAGTATCTGGAAAGTTTTCAGTACAGGAGGGACTAGACCTGATCTACTTTTCCAAGGTGTTCTTGTGGTTATTGGTGTTATATCCATGTCTTCATTTTTTTTTTCAACTCTAAAAGCTTTGCTCTTAAATAAGAAGAGTAGAGCGATAGCCCAGCTTCAAGGCCCCACCCCAGTCCCAGAGCTTGCCCATGGTTCTCCTGGGGCAAACTGAACACTGGCGCTGGTGGCAGAAGGGAGTAGCAGAGGAAGGAGACTTTGCAATGAGGGGAGGGGTAAATGGAGCATCTCTCTAGGCACCTGCAACACTGCAGGCATGTCCCCAGTGGCCACCTTCCTCTCACATCCAATCACTCACCTGCTCTGATCAGTGCTGTCTCCTAAAACTCCCTCAAACCCTACCCTCTTCACACCTATTGCTTTTGTCTTGAAGATAGAAAACTAGGGGCACATACGGAGATCCTCACACTTATGTTTTGTTTAGCATACACAAAAATTTGTGTTTTTTTGAAAAGTAGCTGTGACTTTTAAAGATTAAGATGTTTTACCTAAAACATCTGACTTTTTACAAACAAAACACTCTTGGCCAGATATGGCAGCTCACACTCGTAATCCTGGCACTTTGAGAGGTCAAGACAGGAGGACCACTTGAGGCCAGGAGTTCGAGATTAGCCTGGCTGACATAGCCAGACCCCATCTCTAAAGATAAAATAAATTACTCCTTGTGGTAACAGTGGGCCTGCAACCCTGAATGACAACAATCAACTGGAGCTTGGTCCCTTTAAGTAGGGTTTGTGTTCTCCAGTTTTCCACAGTCTTCATCACTCCCTATTGCCCCACTAATTGCTCTGGTTGGCTGAGTGTGTGACCATTTACTATCACATTTGCCCTATTTTTTTCTTTAGAATGATGATGATGATGATGATGATGATGATGGTGATGATAAAACTATAACTAACACTTAAAAGTATTTTTGTATCAGCTCCTTTGTATGTACATTAATTCATTTAATCCTCACAAGAACTTCTTCATGCCTATTCTGCTGATGAGAACATTGGGGCACAGAGAGGTTAAGTTATTTGCCCTAAGTCACAAAGCTAGTGAGTGATGAAGACATAATTTGAACCCAGGAAATCTGGCCCTCAAGTCAGACTTGATTGCTCTGCTTTACCCAAGTCTTCAGGAAAAAATAAAAAATAAACGATGGACCAAGAGAGCAAATTGATTTTTTTTTACATCAACTTGTGTCACTCATTTTTGGTACCTGGCCCCTGAAGGCCACCTGAGTTTTGGACTTCTGGTCTAGAATCTCTTCACTTCTCACCTAGAAAACAACAACAGCCTCCTAACTAGTTTCCCTGCTTCTTGTCCTGCCTTTACCCACTTACTTTTCTCCATGTTGAGTCAGAAGGGACTTTCTAAATGAAAAATCTGATATAGTTCTCTCTAGCTCAACATCTTTCAATGACTCTGCCTTTTCTCTAATACGTTACCTCTGATCTTGCCCCAGGCTGCCCAGGTCAGCTCTTGCTAGTTCACACCTTAGGTGGGGCACTCCAACCTCATCAAAACACTTTCTTCTTTTTAAACAATGCACACTCTTGTATGACTCTCTCTACTTGAAATGCCTGTTCATGCTTGACCCTTCAGTCTGGTGGACTCCTGCTGAACCTTCAAGACCCAGTTCAAATGTTCCCTCCTCTGTGAAGCCTTCTCTGATTCACCCAGGTTTCCTCTTCTCTTGTCTCTTAGTAGTTGGTATTTGCTTTTATTGAATTATTAATTTTAACTTAAAATGCATCTCACTGTATCCAGTAGGCCCTTCTCATGGCTCAGTACAGAGACCTAAAAAGCAGTGGCTTAAAAAAAGATAAAAGCTTATTTTTTGTACAGATTAAAGAAGATCAGTCCAGGGCTGGTAAGGTGGCTTCCATAGATCATCAGGAATCCTACTTCCCCCACTTTCTTCTGTGTCATCCTTAACATCACTTCATAATCCACTATGGCTGCCAGAACTCCAGCCGTCACACTCACATTCTAGGATGGAAGAAAAAGGAAGTAAGCAAAGTACGAAAGTGCCCACTCCCAGCTGAGTTTAAGCAATCCTCTCAGGAGCCCCATACCACACTTCTACTAAAATCTCATTGCCCAGAACTTAGTCACAGGGCTATGCCCAGCTGCAAAGGATGTTGAAAAAATGAGCTAGCAAATGCTTCCCCTTGTATGCATAGAAAGAATCACAGTTCAATTACTAAGAAAGAAGGGGAAAAGGAATGTGAGCTCCCCACAAGTGTGCAACAGTAACATCTTATTTACCTTCATCCTAGCACACAGTAGGAACACAAAAATGACTGAAAAAAAATGAATTTCCTCTGGGAGGAAAAGTTTGCTACTTTAGCCTCCCAAACCTTTTCCTCCATTTATACCTTAACCTCCATCCAATTTGTCACAGCCTTGACAAAAGTAGATTAATTTCCCAGCCTCTCTTGCCTTCTAAAACCTCCTCAAATTGATTCTGAATTCAGGAGTCCTATTCTAAGAGACATACTATTTGACCAAGGTCTAATTTCCAAGGTTTCTGCATAATGAAGTCTTTGTTGATGCAAATCACTGGAGACAGCAGGTTGCAGCCTCTATGGGGAATGATCCCCTCCCCAAATCAATGGCAGGGAGATTCCCAAGAAACAAAAGCCCAGGCTACTCCTCCTGCTGGTCTTGAAGCTCTGAGTCTTGGAACTATTAGAGGAGAAACTCACTTAAATAATAACTCAAAAACATGAGTCCTATGCCATCTCATGTTTCCCTTCAAACCAGCCCCGTACAACAAAAAGACTTCCTCTATTCCCCCTCCCCAAAAAGAAGAAATGGATTTAGGCATTCAAGGGTGAGATTCTTAGACAGGCTGGGCATGGAAGATGGAGAAAGGAAGTCAGGATTTTTTTCTCTGGGGATATAATTTGACATTTGGTGCTCTAGAAGGACTGCTTGATGTGCCAGGTCGCTGTGGTCATTTGCTGATATCCATATCCACCCAACCTTAGGCTTGTTTGCTTATGAGTTGGGGGTAGGAGTGGTAGAGCAGTCAGATGTTGCTGCTTGGTTCTAAAGAGAAGGGAAGAAACTTGGAGAACCAATCACAGCTCCCTTGCTAATAGGCTTCTGGACACACTCCAGAGATTCTAGGATCTGTGGCTCTAGGGAAGGTTGGCATGACAAGACAAAAATAAAGGTCAAGTTCAGGTTAAATGGAATCATGCCCACAAATTGAGAGCTGGAGTAGAAAATGGCTTAATGCTGACATTTATCACAGCCTAGATGGCTCCAAAGTCACTAAGGAAGGCATTCTTTCCCTAGCACCCAGTAATTGCATTAATATGCAAAGGTGGATGTACACAACACACAAATGGTCTTGGGAAGCACTGGGCTTCACGCTTCCCTTCCAGGTATGGCTTTTGACGCCTGAGCTTGAGCCAACTGCAGGTACCCACTAAGGAATGAGGTGTCTGCACTGGTATTGTCATCGTTCATCGATATCCAAATCTAACTCATAGTCCCAAATCCTTCCTTCTATTTCCTCCCTAGTTGTTCACTTTTACGTTTAGCAACTATTGACTGAGACCCCATGTGCTAAGCATGCTGCCAGGTGCTATCAATAAAAAGACAAATAAAATGTGGCCCCTGACATCAAGGAACTCACAGCCTGAGGAGAAGACCTGCAAGTGAACAGAAACTGGCTATCACATGAAATCAATGCTGTGATGGGGGTCAGAAGGACAGTGTGCTGCAGGAGTCCACAGGTGGGCACCCTACCAGGTGCAATGGATGGAGATGGGAAGATAGCATTCTTCCAGAACCCCAGAGGAGGGAGGAAAATGTGATAGATCTATCAAAAGTGCATGAAACCAACATCGGCCACACTGCTCTCTGTTCTGAGATGGTGCAAGCCACCAATATTTCCCACAAAGACAGAAAATAAAAATCAAAAATTATTTTATCCAGTGGAGACAGCCATCTAGCATATTTGTTCATTTTGAGATGCAATCAGGTTGCACCACTAAGAATATGTGTTTAAGGCTCTCCCTTTGGTTGCTCACGTTCCAGTAGTTGGCTGTCATAGTTTTCTTCTTAGTTCCTGGGATTATTTAAAAACCATCTCAAAAGTCTCCTCTCTTTTATTTCTTGACATATCTCTGATCTCCAATGGCTCTCTGTCTGTGTATTTTCTCCTCTTCTCACTCCAAGTCCCTTCTTCCCAATTCTTGTTCATAAATCTGGGGAGAAATTCTGGTGTAGTCACAGTCATCAAGGGACAACCTCACACTGTGATGTTTCAGCACCGTGGACAGCTACAAACATTAGGAAAAAGCGGTCCCAAAGCTCGTGGTTTTGTATCAAAGCAGATTCCACGTTAGGGAGTGGGAAGAATTGAGATATCCAGGGATTTGCAAATATATATCCACATAAGACAGGACCATTCACTTCCACTCTCCCACTTTTCTTGAGGCACGTAACTTACTCCATCTCTATTTCATTTTCCAACTTTTTGGAGTGTCAGTGTGTGCGTTTCCTACAGCTGCTGTAAAATTTCTGACAACAGAAACTTATTGTCTCACAGTTCTGGATACTAAACATCCAAACCAACATGTCCATAGGGCCATGCATCTTCCGAAATCCATAGGAGAGAATAGTTCTCTCCTTTTCTGGTGGGTGCTGGCAATCCTTGGCATTCCTTGGTTCATAAATGCATCACTTGAATCTAGAGCCCGTGTCATCACATAGCCACCTTTTCCCTATATATCTCTCTTTCCTACTTATAAGGACACTAGTCATTGGATAGAGGGTTCATCATACCCCAATATGATGTCACCTTGACTTAACTACAATCACGTGTCACATAACAATGTTTCAGTCAACAATGGACCACATATACGACAGTGGTCCCATAAGATTAGAGTGAAGCTGAAAAATTCCTATTGCCTAATATATCTTAGCCATCATGATATCATAGCACACTATGTTACTCACAGGTCTGTAATGATGCTGGTGTCAATAAACCTACTGCATTTTATACTGCATATAAAAGTATAACACAATTATATACAGTACACAGTACTGTACTTGATAACGATCAAATGACTATGGTACTGGTTTATATAAGTACTACACTTTATTTTCTATTGTAATTTTAGAGTGTATTCCTTCTATTTATAAAAAGAAAGTGAATTGTGAAACAGCCCTAGGTAGATCCTTCAGGAGATATGCCAGAAGAAGGCATTGTTATCATGGGAGATGACAGCTCCATGTGTGTTACTTGTTACTGCCTCTGAAGACCTTACAGGGGACAAGATGTAGAGGTGAAAGACAGCAATATTGATAATCCTGACCCTGTGTAGGCCTAGGCTAATGCGTGTGTTTGTGGCTTAGTTTCCTTTTCTTTTTTCTTTTTTTTTTTCCTGAGACAAAGTTTCGCTCATGTTGCCCAGGCTGGAGTGCAGTGGCGCAGTCTCGGTTTACTGCAACCTCCACCTCCCAGGTTTAGGTGATTTTCCTGCCTCAGCCTCCCAAGCAGCTGGGATTACAGGCACCTGCCACCACATCTGGCT
Organism: Homo sapiens; assembly: GCF_000001405.40. Classification (NCBI taxonomy): domain Eukaryota; kingdom Metazoa; phylum Chordata; class Mammalia; order Primates; family Hominidae; genus Homo; species Homo sapiens. Next base: position 119,514,342 of record NC_000012.12, read on the forward strand.
ATTTTTTTTTTTTTTTTTGTATTTTTAGTAGAGACAGGATTTCACCATGTTAGCCAGGCTTGATCTTGAACTCCCATCATCAGGTGATCCACCCACCTCAGCCTCCCAAAGTGCTGGGATTACAGGCATGAGCCACCGCATCTGCCCTTAGTTTTTAACAAAAATGTTTTAAAAGTAAAAAATTTTAAAAAATAGAAAAATGCTTATAGAACAAGGATATTAAAAAAGAAAACATTTTTTACAGATATACAATGTGTTTGTTTTATGCTAAGTGTTATTACAAAAGAGTCAAGAAATTTAAAAAATGTAAAGCTTATAAAGTAAAAAAGTACAGTAAGCTAAGTTTAATTTATTATTGAAGAAAGAAAAATATTTTTAGTAAATTTACTGCAGCCTAAGTGTACAGTGTTTATAAAGTCCACAGTAATGTCCTAGGCCTTCGAATTCACTCACCACTCACTCACTGACTCACCTAGAGCAATTTTCAGTCCTGGAAGCTCCATTTATGATAAGTACCCTATATAGGTGTACTATTTTTTATCTCATACTCTATTTTGGCTGTACCTTTTCTGTTATCCCTAGATACACAAATACTTAACATTGTGTTATAATTGCCTTCAGTATTCAGTACAGTAACATGCTGTACAGGTTTGTGGCCTGGGAAAAATAAGCTGTATATACCAGGTGTATAGTAAGCTATGCCCAGGTGTATAGTAAGCTATGCCATCTAGGTTTGTGGGAGTGCACTCTATAATGTTCACACAATGACAAAATCGCCTAATGATGCATTTCTCAAGATGGGTCCCCATTGTTAAATGACACAATGGTCATTACATCTGCAGTGACCCTATTTCCAAATAAGGTCATCGACTGAGGTCCTGGTGATTAGGACTTCAGCATATCTTAGCAGAGAGGGTCACACAATTCAACCCATAACAGTCAGGTATGAATAAATATTTCCATACTATACAAAAATCAACAATATTCTTTTTTTCTGAGACAAGAGTCTCACTCTGTCGTCCAGGCTGGAGAGCAGTGGTGTGATCTCGGCTCACTGCAGCCTTGACTTCCCAGGCTCAGGTGATTCTCCCACCTCAGCCTCCTGAGTAGCTGGGAATACAAGTTTACCCCACCATGCCTAGCTAATCTTTTTATATTTTTGTTTTAGTAGAAATGGTGGTTTCTCCATGTTGCCCAGGCTGGCCTCGAACTCCTGAACTCAAGCAATCCTCCCACCCCGGCCTCCCAAAGTGCTGAGATTATAGGTGTGAGCCACTGCACCCAGCCAAAATCAATATTAAATATGAAAATAAAAGCTAGGCCAAGGCAAGGAGGGGTGGTGGGAGCTGTGGGGAGCTAGAGAGCAGTCGCCTATCTAAAGGCACGTCCAGCATGCAGCAGGAATGGGGGCAGTGTAGTCCCATCTCAGACTCCTTTCTAGGGAAGCTGGAGGTCTGGATTTTCATGTGAAATCTTCCAGTGTTAAAAGATTGGCATCCACATGGAATCAAATAAAACACATTTGTAAGCTGAATTCAGCCTGTGGATTGCTGGTTTAAAACTTCAGGCCTATGGAGATCAGAGAAGGTTTCCTGAGCAAGATGATTTATTCTCAGCTTTGGAAACAGTTCTCTCTGGCTGCAGTAGAGTTTAAGGTGGGGAAGGGAAGGGAGATGAAATGGGGGATAAAAAGAGAAGCTGGATCCTGGCAGGCCTCACAGGCTGTGTTGAAAGAATTTATTTATGTTTTATTTTTTATTTTATTATTATTGTTATTATTTTGATTCAGAGTCTAACTGTATCACCCAGGCTGGAGTGCAGTGGCATGATCTCGGCTCGCTGCAACCTCTGCCTCTCAGGTTCAAGCAATTTTCATGCCTCAGCCCCCTGAGAAGCTGAAATTACAGACATCCACCACCACGCCCAGCTGATTTTTGTATTTTTTGTAGAGGTAGGGTTTCACCATGTTGGCCAGGCTGGTTTCAAACTCCTGGCCTCAAGTGATCCACCTGCCTTGACCTCTCAAAGTACTGGCATTACAGGCATTAGCCAAACGTAACACAGAACCACTGATGGGTTTTAAGCAGGGGCGTGGCATGGTCAGATTTGCAACATGCCCAACACTATCAGCCACCTCTTCTGGACCCCAGTGGAATCTCTCTCCAGATCTCCAACCCTCAGGAGCAGAGGTGACCCCAGTTTGGGGGGCTGCACCCTGTTCTGCACAATCCTGTCTCAGGGGTGGCTTCTGGTCAAGGGTGACCTCTCATATTCTCATCAGATCTGCAGAAGCTCCTGGAGATGGTTCGGGAAGATGCCCGGAGGACAGTCACAATAGAAAATGGGATGCAAAGAAAAGCACCCAGGTATGTGCTCTTGACTCCTGGGGCAAATAAAGCTTAGAATAATAGCAATCACATTAACAGTAGTAGTTGCCAACTGTTGAGCATTTTCTCTGTGACAGGCACTGAGCTGTGTTGTTTATGTGTATCACCTCTCTGAGTTCTTACAATAATCCTACAAGGTAGGTACTATTATCTTTATTTTACAAATCAAGAAATGAGGCTCAGAGAGCCTATGTGACTAGTTCAAGGTCACTCAGCTAGTGAATGATAAGGCCATGACTCTAATCTAGACCTTTCTTACCAATTTATTTTTGTCTCTGAGACAGGGTCTCGCTCTGTTGCCCAAGCTGAAGTGCAGTGGCACAATCATAGCTCACTGCAGCCTCCAACTCCTGGACTCAAGTGATCCTCCCAACTCAGCCTCCCACGTAGCTGGGACTACAGGCACACACCACCACATCTGGCTAATTTTTTTTTTATTATTATTTTGTAGAGACAGGGTCTCGCTATACTGCCCAGGCTGGCCTCAAACTCATGGCTTAAGTGATCCTCCCACCTCGGCCTCCCAAAATGCTGGGATTACAGATGTGAATCACCATACCTGGCAAATCCAGACATTTCTAATTCCAAAAACCATTCTCTTTGCCATTCTGCCACACTGCTTCTCAGGAATCTTCTGGTTATTCATTCCTCCTTTGAGTGAATATTTATGAACATGTATGGGCTGTGTACTCATTATTATTGTGAGAAGTGTCCATTAAAGGAAAGCTTGAAACTGTGAGAACAAATAATAATGGCATTTGACCTAGTCTGGGTTGGGGATGGGGATCAGAGAAGTTTCCTCCAAGGAAGAAGCTTTAAGCTGAGATTTGGATAAAGCATGTAAATGAGCCAGCCTGATGAGGCTGGCATGGGCGGGTAGGGAGGTGGGGAAGAGAGTATTATAGGCAGCACATGTGCAAACGTGGTCAAAAGGGACCACAACACCTTCAGGGAACTGAAATGCAGCCAAAAAGGGATGAAACTCAAGGATTCTGGTTTTTATTCTAAGAGCAGCGGGAATCCTTTGAAGTTTCAAGCCAGCAACCGATATGATTAGCTCATAAGGAGGTACTATCAGACTTGAACCTAAGACATCCGCTTTCTGGTGGGAAGCCTCGTCCACAGACTTCTGACCTCTAAAAGCCCCAGAGAGCACACAGCCTAGAGCCAGAGCTCCCTTCCCAGGTGTGGATTCCTTTGAGTAAGCAAATTCCTTCCTGAAAATAAATGAGGCACTAGAAGAGGTTCATCATCACCTTCAGCCCACTGGGATGCCAACTATGACTTATTGGTTATTGTTATTACCACAATTACAGTTCACTGCGCACTTTCACATGCATCACACCTCGCCTCTGCTTGTGAATGATGAATTCGCTGGCTGCTGCCTCAACTCTCATTGGGGCTGCTCTGGAAGGTGGCACTTGGAGGCACTCAGAGACAATGCTGACCCATAAGGCCCCCACTGCTGTGCCTGATTTATAAGCATTAGAGACAGACAATAATAATGAAGCATCAGCTCAATGAGGCTCCTTCCTTTGTAAGAACCCACAGCACAAGCACTGGCTTTGGAGTCAGACTGATGTGGATCCAAAACCTATTGCCCTTGGACAAGTCATCTAGCCTTTCTCTAAACCTCTGTTTTCTCATCTGTAAAATGAGATTGTGTCGCATCAAAGCTTGGCTTTGGAACCAGACAAACTAAGGTCAGGCTCCATGGCCATGACTAATTGCCGGGTTATGTTGGGCAAGTTGCTTCACCTCTCTGAGTCTGATTCTCATTCTGTAAAATGAGGCTCATTAGCAGCCAATCCCAAAGGGTTGTAGTGAGAATAAGATAATATTATCCCTGTAAAATATTACTAATGTTATGGAAATAACATCTAGTTCAATGAAACATTTTAAGCACTTAATCAGATAATGCATTTATTTAACATATTAGCATGTGCCTGGCATAGAGTAAGTATTCAATAAATGGCAGTGAGGTTGGTGGTGGGGATGGTGGTGGGGACGGTTGTTACTTTTATCTCACACATGTTGCCCCATGGAATCTTCTCCTGCTGAGACAGGTACATTCACCATTACCATCACCCCATCCCATATATGTCAAAGAGCAACAAGCAGTGACTTCCATAAGGTCTTCAAAGACAAAACCACTCTAGACCCTGGCTCTCATGAGACCATCACATGGCCTCTGCTTTCAATTTAATGATAAAATAACCATGGTTACAGAGCAAGAATGTGTTGAAGTTTCCCTTCCTCATTAATTCCTCTGGGAAAAAAATCTCCCTAATCTTTTGCTAAGGCAGCAGACATTAAAGCTTCAACGCAGAGCTACAGAGAGACGGTTAGGAAAAGCTGGAAAAGCTGCAGATTCTCTTTTGCCCCTCACTTTAGAAGCTGGATTCCTTTCTCACTTTAGATCCCAAATCTGCTCCCATCAAGGCTGACATCGAACTGAGGGGCCTGCAGAAATCCCTACAAGCCAGCACATCCAGCCCCCAGCCTCAAGGCCGGGCTGCCCCCTAGCCATCTGAAAATACAGCTTTTCTTAAAATCTGGTAGCAGTGTCCCTGATGATCAGAAGCAGTTAGGATACTTGTGAAAAATACAAATTTCTACGCCTCCTCATCCCAGAATCCACTGAATCAGAATATCCAGAGGTAGTGATATATATGTGTGTGTGTGTGTGTGTGTGTGTGTGTGTGTGCGCGTGTGTGTGTGTGTATATATATATATATATTTTTTTTTTTTTTTGACAGAGTCATGCTCTGTTACCCAGGCTGGAGTGCAGTGGTGCGATCTCGGATCACTGCAACCTCTGCCTCCCTGGTTCAAGCGATTCTTCCACCTCAGCCTCCCGAGTAGGTGGGATTACAGACATGCACCACCACACTCGGCTAATTTTTATATTTTTAGTAGAGACAGGGTTTTGCAATGTTGGCCAGGCTGGTCTGGAACTCCTGACCTCAAGTGATCCGCTTGCCTTGCCCTCCCAAAGTGCTGGGATCACAGGTGTGAACCATGACGCCTGGCCAGTAGCTATATTTTTTAAACAAGCACTTCAGGTGGGCATTATGTCACAGTATTTTGCTGTATGGTGGGGAATTTTAGGAGAGAGAGAGAGAGAGTGTGTGTGTGTGTGTGTGTGTATACCTGTGTGTGTGATCTAAATGCAGCTTCTGGGGCCCCCCTCCAGGCCTAATGTATTCAAGTCCCAGGAAATGTGGCCGAGGAATCTGTATTCATAGCAAACTCTCCAGGTGAGTGCTGTGCTCAGTAGAGTCTGAAGATTCTTGCTCTAGAAAGAGAATTCCCCCTCCTCCCACATGTAGTTACTGCACAAAATCTTCATGAATTCAGCGCCTTGTTAAAGGACTCATTTTGCCTTGCAGCATCTTGTCAGTGCTGAAACAAAACAAGAGTAATTCTGCTTATAAGGAAATGCAGACCACTCTCAAATCAAGGTAGGAAAGCCTGGAGCCTGCAGCAGGTGCCTCCGAAGGCAGCCCACACTTACAGGGGCCACTGCAGGGATGCTCCTCCCCAGACCATGGAAAGTGGGACAGGAAAGAGGGAACTTTTTCCTTCTTATGACCTCACTAGAAACAAGCCCCTTTACTGCAGGGCCGGGCGTGGGAATTCAGGTATTTCTCCCCAACAATTATATACCATCAAGTTAAAATCTTCTAGTCATGGAGAAGTGAGGTGGGGAGGACGCGGTACAAGACTATGTCTCTTTCTCTCTACTTGGGTAATTTATAATGGAGGAGGTGGAGATCTTACCCCAATTTATTTGTTCATTTAGAGAATATTCTTTTTTTTTTTTTTTTTGAGATGGACTCTCACTCTGTCACCCAGGCTGGAGTGCAGTGGTGTGATCTCGGCTGACTGCAACCTCCATCTCTTGGGTTCAAGTGATTCTCCTGCCTCAGCCTCCCAAGCAGCTGGGATTACAGGCATGCACCACCATGCCCTGCTAATTTTTGTATTTTTAGTAGAGACAGGGTTTCACCACATTGGCCAGGCTGGTCTCAAACTCCTGACCTCAAGTGATCCACCTCCCTTGGCCTTCTAAATACTGGAATTACAGGCATGAGCCCAGCCCACTTAGAGAATATTCTTAGATTCCCCATCTGTGCCAGTAACTGCGCTAGGTTTGGGGAATTCATTAGCAAATGAAACAAACACAAACAAACACAGCCTGCCCTCATGGATCTCTGTGTCTGGGCTGGGGTTATAAACTTTTATGTGCCATAGACTCCTTGGTAGTCTGAGAAAATCTATGGACTCCTTTAAGAAAAATGCTTTTAAATGCGTACTATACAGTATAAAAGATCACTAAGAAATTCGTAGTAATCTAGATTGCTATATTACAATCAAATTTGGAATATGGTAATCTATGCGTGTCTTTCACAATGCGTTATATAACAAGACTTAACTCCTGTAATTTTGGATTAGTGTTGAGTATAAATGATTTTTCAAATTATCTCTCACAATTGTAATGTGATAGGCAAATACCTGCAATTTCCATTTTGGTTGAAAGTTAGTTCAACTAAAGATGCAACTTTTTTCCCATCTGCATTCATGGACCCCTTGAATTCTACCCATGCTCAAGAATTGCTGATCTAATGGGAGAGTCAAGCATTTCTCAGATAATCCTACAGCTAGCCATAACATCATGACTGTGAAGTGTTCTGAAAAAGAAGTAGGGGTGTTGGGTGCTAACCAACACTGAGTCTGATGTTTAAGCTGAGAACTTCAGGACAAAGGAGAATTGACTAGGCTATGAGTTGGAAAAGGTGGGAATGCTGTTCCAAGCAGGGGGAATAGTGTGTGCAAAGGTCCTGCGGCAGGAGGAAGCTTAGGCTCAGGGGCTCCAAGCAAAGACCAGTGCAGCTGAAACTCAAAGAGGGCCAGGTGGGGGGCACAGAGTGAGACAGGCAGACGGGTTTTTTGTTGCTTATTTCTGTCTCTTGCTTATCACTCCCTAATAACACCACTTTCTTTACCTCCCACCTCCTCCCTGAATCACTGTCAAAGCTCTTGAAAAGAAGAGAGCCATCTACAGGAGGAAGGTCAGGGCCACCATGCTCCCCCAAAGGATTCATCTGCAGGGATTAGGGCAGCTGGTTGGAATCCAAAATCAAGGCTATCTGGATATTGTTAATGGGGGCCTGCTTCTTACCCAAGTAGGATGAGGATTTGCCTACTAGGCCTAAGACCTCCAGGTCTAGTCCTGTGAGCTTCTGGGGAAACCAGCAAAGGCAGGACCTTTTCTATGGGGAGGGGTCTGGAAAATGGCCAGGCCTGCCTGCCTAAAGAAGTCCCAAATGCCACAGGGCTAGAAGCAAAGGGTTACCCACACATCATATTAAAAAGGAAAACGGTCTTACCACTCCCTCCCTCAGAGCCACAGATAAAGTGGTCAGACAGTTTTCCAAGCATTTGGAAGAAAGAAGGGGAAACAGAGTCAGAGAGAAGGTGCTAGACAATGGTGCTGAAAGCCCAAGTCCCTAAACAAGGATCCTGGAGAAAGGCATGAAGGGGGTGGTGGGCAGGGGTAGGGGCTCTTCATCCCCCTCTAGGAAGCTTGCCCAGGCAGAGTCACAGGAGGGGGTATCCATACGAGGATTCAGTCATCCACACCTAGAAATGGTTGGATGGCATGATGAGTTGATGGGTCACAGATGAGGAAACTGACCATCCAGAAGGGAGCTGCTTGCTCACAGACTGACAAGGGGTAAAATGGGTGTTGGGCTTCACTAAACTGCACCTGGTCCAGTGTTAAGTGTTGGGCATGGAGAGGAGTGTGGAAAGGTCCTAAGTCAATTCACCCTCCAGACAAAGAGAACAGTTTTACACAAATGAAACTGAGATCCAGAAAAGACGTAATCCCGACAATATGCAGAGGCGGAAGGTCAAAGTTAGACACAGGAGAGTTCAGATATACAGGACTTGCTGTGGACCGTAAGGCAGGGTAGGATTTAAATAGGTAGAAAAGAAACAAAGAGGACCCTCCAGGCAGGGATATGGCATGAGGAAAGGCCAAGAGGTGGGAAGAAATTCATAGAGTTCTGTGACTGGTGCCTTGATTAGAACCACCTCCCATGCCTGAATCCTGGAAGCTAGCAGGTGCCATGGAGCACTGGGGGCACCCTTTTCTTGAAAAGCAGACTCTGAGCAACTTGAAACCATCCTTTTGTGTTTCAGTGAGAGATCCAGCAGTACAAGTGCAGAAAGCCACATCCAACCAGTCCAGAAGAAGTCTAAAAAGTAAGCCAGGAGGGCAATGGAAGGAACCACGCAAGAGGGAATATGGTGACCACACCCTCTATCTTCCCAGGGGTGTAGAAATGACCCAATGCAGACCAGACTCCCTAAAGCCGTAGATGATGCTGAAGGACAAGGGATCCCCCAGGTTTAGGGACTCATAGTCAAGAAGCTGAGCAGCAATGCAGACAATGGCAAGAAACTCCTCCGCTGTGCCAGGCACCATGAAAAGCATTCTGTCTTCATTACCTTGCTTGTTCCTCAAAACCAATCCTATGAGGCAGGAGGACTAACCCATCTTACAAAGGAGCAGGCTGAAACCTGGCCACGTGAAATGTCTTGCCTGAGGCCACACAGCTAAGAAGTGGTGAAGCTGGACTTTGAGCCTGAATCTCCCAGCTCCAAATTCCATCTCCCGTCCTTAACATTTGCTGGGCTCCAGTGACCAGTTGTCTCACTGTGGGCTCATTTAATAGGGTCTGAACGACCATCCTGATGCTATTGGGAAGATCTGTCCTTTCTACATCCAGGGAGATGCTTAGGGAGGCTCCAGGTGAGGGCAGAGAACCCAGGTGGCTACAGGGAGTCCCCCATGCAGAGCACCTTGGGGCTAAGGGGGGCCAGAGTGGGACCCAGGTTACTAGGGGACATCCCTGGGCTCCATTCCCCAAGCCCTTCTTATCTGTGTCCACAGCCGCACTAATTGTGACATCAACATCCACTACAAGAGTGGGGTGTGTAACACCATGAGGGCCAAGTTTTACAGCGTAGCCCAGGAGGCTGGCTTCTGCCTGCAGGACAAGATGGAAATCCTCATGAAGTAAGCGCACATATATATCCATTCATTCAAACAGCATTCACTGGGTACCTACTATATGCCTGCCAGGTGCCAGGTGCTGGGGCTATATCACAAACAAGAAGAACTTGTTCTCTGTCCTCAGGGAGCTCACAGTCTTCTGGAAAATATGGGCAGAAACAAAATAACTGCATCCATAAATATATAGGTACAAATTCTAATCATTGTCCTACAGTAAGAGAACAGGGTGCTATGAGACAGAGATAGAGAGCATAGGTACCTAATCTAGATGGGGAAATCTGGGAAGACCTCTCTGAGGAGGTGACTTTTAGATGAGTCCTGAAGGATGAGGAAGAGCCAGCAGTGTGATGAGAAGGTGGAATGACATTCCAGGTAGAAGGAAAAGTGCATGCAAAGTCCCAAGTCCAGAAGGGACATGGAGAATTTGAAGAGGATGGACAAGTGGTAGATGAGGGCTGCATCACGCAAGCCACAAATGCCAGAGTTATGATGCGGGATTTGATCTTAAGAGCACCAGAAAGCCACTGAAAGTTTTTCTTCCCTGTTCTGATAACCCAATAACTTCTGCCCTTTCTAGCTTACTCCTTGACTCCAGAGACCATCCATCCCGATGAATGCATCTATACAACAAAGTTTGCATCATAGCCCGTTGCACTCTCATTTTCACAGCACTAATGGGCTGAATGCTCTGGGGCTAGGGTTGGAGAAGACTAATCCTTGCCCTTTCCTTCTGGGAGCTAACAGTCCAGTAGGGAAGATGGAAAGGTAAACAGGAAAGTAGCACACAGGGGTCTGGATGTTGTGGGAGGAAGCAGCCTGAACACAAAAGGGATGCCCCACCTGGCCCAGGACAGCCCTCAGAAAGGTTTCCTTGGAGGAAACAGCAGTTTCTTTTCTTTTCTTTTCTTTTTTTTTTTTTTTTTTTGAGACAGGGTTTTGCTCTGTTACCCAGGCTGGAGTTCAGTGGCATGATCATACCTTACTGCAGCCTCGAGTGATAAGTTTTTTGGTTTTTGGTTTTTGGGGTATTTTTACAGATAGGGTCTTGCTATATTTTCCAGGCTGGTGTCAAACTCCTGGCCTCAAGCAGTCCTCTCACCTTGGCCTCCCAAAATGCTGGGTTTGCAAGCATGAGCCACCACACACAGCTGGAAACAATATTTTCAGTTTAATAAACATAGATGATATTTCCAGGGCACTTACTATGTACCAGTCATGGATGTAAGAGCTTTGTATTTATGTATCATTTAATGCTCACAACAATCCTATGAGGTAGGTGCTATCATTAACTTATTTTGTAGATGATAAAAGTGAGCTCAGAGATGCCTCTTGTCAAAGGTTCTCCAATGGCTAAGTAGTAAAGCTAGAATTCAAACCCAAAGAGTCATGCTGAACAACTTGGAAAATATATTTCAGGATGTCATCCATGAAAACTTCTTCAACCTTGCTAGAGAAGCCAATAGTCAAATTCAGGAAATACAGACAACTCCTGCAAGATTCTATACAAGAAGATCATCCCCAAGACACATAATCATCAGGTTTTCCAAGGTCATAATGAAGAATGTTAAAGGCAGCTAGAGAGAAAGGGCAGGTCACCAAAAAAGGGATCCCCATGTGGCTAACAGCAGACCTCTCAGCTGAAACCCTGTAAGCCAGAAGAGACTGGGGGGCTATATTCAACATTCTTAAAGAAAAAAATCTTCAACAAAGAATTTCATATCCAGACAAACTAAGCTTCCTATGTGAAAAAGAAATAAGATCCTTTTCAGATAAGCAAATGTTGAGGGACTTAATCACCACCAAACTTGCCTTCCAAGAAATCTTGAAAGGAGCACTAAATATAGAAAGGAAAGACTGCTATCAGCTAATACAAATACACACAAAAATACCTAGGGAAGTGAAAGATCTCTACAATGAGAATTACAAAACACTGCTCAAAGAAATCAAAGACACAAACAAATGGAAAAACATCCCATGCTCATGAGTAGGAAGAATCAATATCACTAAAATGGCTATACTGCCCAAAGCAATTTATAGATTCAATTATATTCCTATCAAACTACCAAAAAGATATTCTTCACAGAACTAGAAAAAAATATTTTAAAAATTATATGGAACCAAAAAAGAGCCTGAATAACCAAGGCAATCTTAAGCAAAAAGAACAAAACTGGAGGAATCACATCACCTGACCTCAAACTATACTACAAGGTGACAGTGACCAAAACAGCATGATACTGGTACAAAAACAGGCACATAGACTGATAGAACAGAACAGAGAGCCCAGAGTAAGGCTGCACATGTATGGCCATCTGATCTTTGACAAAGGTGACAAAACAAGCAATGGGGAAAAAACTCTCTATTCAATAAATGGTGCTGGGATAACTGGCTAGCCATATGCAGAAGATTGAAGCTAGACCCCTCCCTTACACCATAAATAAAAATCAACTCAAGATGGATTAAAGACTTAAATGTAAAACCCAAAACTATAAAATCCCTGGAAGACAACCTAGGCAATACCATCCTGGACCTAGGAATGGGCAAAGATTTTATGACAAAGACACCAAAAGCAATTGCAACAAAAGCAAAAATTGACAAATGGGATCTAATTGAACTTAAGAGCTTCCGCCCAGCAAAAGATGCTATCAACCGAGTAAACTGACACCCCACAGAATGGGAGAAAATATTTGCAAACTATGCATCTGACAAAGGTCTAATATCCAGCATCTATAAGGAACTTAAAGAAATTTACAAGAGAAAAACAACCCATTGAAAAGTGGGCAAAGGACATGAACAGACACTTTCTTAAAAGAAGGCATACATTGTGGCCAAGAAGCATATTTTAAAAAGCTCAACATCACTGATCATTAGAGAAATGCAAATCAAAACCACAATGAGATACCATCTCACTCCAGTCAGAATGACTATTATTAAAAAGTCAAAAAATAACAGATGCTGGTGAGGTCATGGAGAAAAAGGAATCCTTATACACTGTTGGTGGGAGTGTAAATTAGTTCAACCATTGTGGAAAGCAATATGGCTATTCCTTAAAGAGCTAAAAGCAGAACTTCCATTTAATCCAGCAATCCCATTACTGGGTATATACTACCCAAAGGAATATAAATCATCCTACCATAAAGACACATGCATGTGAATGTCCACTGCAGCACTATTCACAATAGAAAGGACACAGAATCAATCTAAATGCCCATCAATGACAGACTGGATAAAAAATTGTGGTACATTCATACCATGGAATATTATGCAGCCATAAAAAAGAATGAGATCATGTATTTTTGGGGAACATAGATGGAGCTGAAGGCTATGATCCTAGCAAACTAACACAGGAACAGAAAACCAAATACCACATGTTCTCACTTGTAAGTGGAAGCTAAATGATAAGAATTTATGAACACAAAGAAGGAAACAACAGACACTGGAGTCTACCTTGAGGGGGGATGGTGGGAGGAGGGGGAGGAGCAAAAAAATAACTATTGGGTACAGAGCTTAATACCTGGGTGATGTAGTAATATGTACAACAAACCCCCGTGACACATGTTTATCTATGTAACAAATCTTCACATGTAGCCCCAAATCTAAAACAAATTTTTAAAAAGTCATGCTGGAAAAGTAGGGTGGAAGGGAGTTTCAAGGAAAAGCAACAGATAGGTCCCAGAAGTCAGAGGGGCACAGAGAGCCAGGGAACTGCCAGTAGTCAGGTGTGGCTGGGGCATACAGTGTTTGCAAGGTGATCAGAGAGCTAGAGAAGCCAGATTATAAAAGGCTGTGATAGCCCAGCTGTGGAGGTTGAGCTTTATCTCAGAGACTTTGTTTTTTCTTTCTTTCTTTCTTTCTTTTTTTTTTTTTTTTTTTTTTTTTATTGAGATGGAGTCTCGCTCTGTCGCCCAGGCTAGAGTGCAGTGGCGCAATCTCGGCTCACTGCAAGCTCCGCCTCCTGGGTTCACGCCATTCTCCCGCCTCAGTCTCCCGAGTAGCTGGGACTACAGGCGCCCGCCACCACGCCCGGCTAATTTTTTTTTGTATTTTTTTAGTAGAGACGGGGTTTCACCATGTTAGCCAGGATGGTGTCGATCTCCTGACCTCATGATCCACCCTCCCAAAGTGCTGGGATTACAGGCATGATCCACTGCGCCCGGCATCTCAGAGACTTTGATCATGACCCAAAGGATAAAATTCTGGAAGAGAAGGGATGGAAAGGATGAGGATAAAGCTGGAAAATGTGGGGGCTGAATAATTTAGAGCCTTAGAGAAGAATTTATTCTGAGTAAACTGAAAAGCTATTGAAAGCTGTAGGCAGTGGGGTGACATGGTGATATTTATAATATAAAGTCTCATTGGAGAGACAGAACATAGGCACAAGATGATAAGGGGAGTGGGGAAGAGAGGAACCAGCACAAGTTAACACCTACTGTGTGTCTGGCATGAATCTCAACAGTTTACACACATTATATCATTTAATCCTCACCTCTGGAAAATAGGAATCATTATTATTCCCCATCTTAGAGACTGAAAAGCTATGTAAATACAATCAGAAGTAGGAAGAGAATGAAAGCTAATAAAAAGTGACTAGATTTAACTGTGCTTAAGTAGTGCTTCAGGACCTTGGAGAGAGCTGTATCCTCTTGTGGCAAAAGCCAGAGCCTAAGTTAAAGATTAGCTGACAGGGTTAAGAAAAGCCTCATGAAGGAAAAGGTGTTTAAGTCAGATCTCAAAGGGCAGCTAAGATGGTTACAGGAGGAGGGGATCTCATTCTTCTCTCTCTTTCTCATACAACCTTGTAGGCGCCAAGAAGAGAGAGGTATCCAGAAGTTCCGTGCTTTTGTCCTTGTCTCAAATTTTCAAAAGGACATAGCAAAAATGAGACATCACATATCTGTAGTAAAAGGAGATGCAGAAGAAATTGCAGACCACTGGTAAATATCCTAAGAACCAGATAAGATGGTCCCTGGAAGAGAACAGGGTGTTGTTATTACAAGATCACTATTGATTCCACTGTCCTTCAAGGCATAGAGAGGCATTACTCCAAAACTGTCATTGGCCATCAACAGGATCCCCCACCCCCCAGAAACACTAAATCCAGAGCACAATCAGGCCCAAAACTCCTGGTTTCTGAAATCACAGATAATCCAACCCATTGCGTTCTCCATATTTACCTGCTGTTTGATTCAGACTTGCAAATAAGGACAACCTTGCCAGGCCCTGTGGGACAGGCAGATGAGGCATATCAACCTGAAAATTTCTACAGATTCTGAGGTCTATGGGGGTGATCACTGCATCCCCCCAAGTAACGTAATCCCTAAAAAGTGCAAAACCAGGCAGTCATATCCTAGAAACACTGTGCCACAGCATAAGGGTGATGATAAGTAACAACAAAAAAAGCAACATGAATTGAGTGATTACTGGATGGCAGTCACTACATAAGCAATTTTCATAAATTGTCCATTTTATCCCCCCCAACAAAATAATCCTGAAAGATACATATTAACCCCCATTTCACAAACAAGGAAACAGAGACTCAGAGGGGTAAATTCACTTGTCAAAGGTCACACCATCAGTTAACTGGTGAATTTAGGATTCGAACTCCTGTCTAACCTCAGTCTGTGTGCTCATTTGCAATACAGAATTGGAATCTACTGAACTGTGGTGTCCCGAACCCCATCCTAGCAGGGTGAATACACTAAGATTTAAGAGTAAGATGAGAAAGTAAAAAATGTACCCAGAATCCCTTCCATGAGTTTTATAATGTGAAACAGGAACTTACAAGCAGGTCCCTGGAGTCTTTGCAGAGTTGTTGGAACTTCTACACATCCTCACATCCCAGAACATCACTTTCTCACAAGCAATGTCTGGCCCTGAAGATACATGAGTCTTTTAAGAGGGACCCTCTTACGAAAGGGAGAAAAGGGTCTTCTGCAAACCCTCTTCCCTCTGTGGGAGGGAATTTGGGGGGAGGAGGAAAGGTTGTTATGAACTAACTCACATAAAGGTATTACAGAAGGAAATTAATGCTGGTCCTCCCACAGTGAGATTCAGCCCACAAATCTAATGGTGGAATTTCTGTCATTATTATGGGGGAAGTAATTGCCCTCCATAGTAACATTAAAATCAAGTCAAACAAACCACAGCGTCGTAAGGATGATGTTGAGTTGTAGTTGTTCATTCATCCAATTACTCATTCAGTTTTTCAAATGATAGTTATTGAGCACCTACTATGAGTTAGGCAGTATTCTAGCAGTCTGAATACTGAATAACTCAGACAAGTTTCCTCTTCTCCTCAACGGGACTTTATTCTAAACAAGGAGACAGGAATCAATATAATAAATATATATCCTAGAATATAAAGCAGTATGAGAAGCCCAAAACATATAATGGATGATCAGTTACATCTTCAAAATTTTCCACAATGGGCACATATATAGCAAGGGGTGAGGGAGTTTTTTTTTTTTTAAGAGATCTACCAGCCTTAAACCTGATCACATCTGAACCATCTCCTTAGGTTAGACCTAAGGTAGATTAGATCAAGTAGGTTCTTCAAGGATGGATTCCAAAACTACTCTCACATTCACATAACACTGAAATACACAAAGCTTTGACCCAACCTTGCTCATTAATCAAAGAGATAGAAAATACACACACACACCGTCGTGTGTGAGAGCCTCCAGCATCCTAGTAGACATCCCAAAGATGTGTGTACATCAACTCCGACCTGATTAACCCTCAGAAGAGAAGTTTCAGATCCCAAAGTCCATTCCTTTCTTCTAACATTTCACATTGTCTGATAGAAAAATTACAAATACATCCCTTGAAATCACACCTTTGTTTTATTTTTTAATGAAATGCAAGTCATTCTCCATCTTTTTCTACCCCTAAAAGTAAAGACAGGCCTGATCTGTGGGTCACAGAGGAAAGGTCCCTAGATAAAGAATACTGCTGCCCTGGAGACATCACAGAGAGCAGAAAGAGAAAGTGGAGATGGATGGCCAGAGGTGCTCAGATCTTCCAGCAGCTTCCTAACTTGTCCTCTCCTTTTGGAATTGAAGGTACTTTGATCTGTTGTCCAAACTGCCAGAGGATCTAAAGAACTTCCGCCCCGCCAAAAAGATCCTGGTGAAACTGCAGAAGTTTGGAGAAAACCTGGACTTGCGGATTCGACCCCATGTCCTCCTGAAGGTGCTGCAGGATCTGAGGATTTGGGAACTGTGCTCCCCTGACATCGCTGTGGCTATTGAGGTAAACACCACCTCCTTCCCCTCCACAGTGTTTCAGGTGTCCTCATTCAATCACCTCTCAACATTCAGGCACTGTTTAAGTGCTGGGGACACAAAGTCCCCTGCCTTTATGGAGCTCATATTCTAATAGTAGAGGGATTGTCCCATTACCTGGTTGCCCAACTCCAACTGCAAGGGACATTATATTCTATATAAATGGTACCCCCTGGAAACTCAGAGGCTTTGGGGTGGCATAAAAAATGGGCAGTAATAAGGAGTCCTTTATCTTGCTACTAAAAGTGTACTCCATGGACCAGCAGCATGGACCTCACCTGGGTGCTTGTTAGAAACGCAGAATTGCAGGTTTCAAGTCAATCTGCCAACTCCAAGTTTATATTTTAATGGGATTCCAGGTGTCTTGTATGCACAATACAGTTTGAGAAGCCCCGTATGTAAGTTAGAAGGGATCTACCTTAACTCAGGCAACTGGGAAGGTGACTTTTAAGGCAAGACCAGAATCATGAGAAGACGGCACCATGAAGAGAAAGGGAAAGAGCAGATCAAGAAGAGAAGACAGTGTGTGCAAAGATCCCAAAGCAGCACACGACTTGACTTGTTGGAAGAACTCACTGGCACTCAGTGAGTATGGAAGGAAGCAGGCAAGGAGTGCATAGTTCCCAGGGGATT
The DNA here is from genome assembly GCF_000001405.40 of Homo sapiens. Lineage (NCBI taxonomy): Eukaryota > Metazoa > Chordata > Mammalia > Primates > Hominidae > Homo > Homo sapiens. The sequence continues at coordinate 119,531,729 of NC_000012.12, forward strand.
GGAGAGGTCAGTCTGTGCAAACCTTTGAAGGTCAAGATAAAAATTTAGGAGCCACTAAACAGTTTTCCATTGTCATTCACCACCATCACCAGAAGAAGTTCCTGGTGTTTGTCAAAATGCATCAGCAATACAAGGACTCCACAGTAAGGTGTTAGCAGAGGTTAATGAAGTCACTTCTTTAATTTTATCAGACGGCATATGTGCATTTTAACAGGGCCTTCAACGCCTCCCTCCTGGTAAAGAAGTGACTCAAAAGGTCAAATTCCCAGGCCTTGACAGGCTATGGAGCGTTTGACATTTTCATACCAGGAGGGCCCTTCCACAGAATGACCTGGGTGTGTTAATGAGGGCAAGGTTAGGAGTGGAAGGAGGGGGATGACCTTGTAGACAAATTCAAATGCCAAGACTCTACTCCCCATGACCCGTGAGGCTCCTTCAGGAAAGATTCTAGCAGGTTTGGCCAAAACTAACTCTAGGGCAACTTCCACCTTCTATTTACCAGTTATGGGGTCCAACTTCCACTTGAAGTTATGGAGGACTTTGAAAAGCTAGTCCCTGCATGGGTAAGAAGAGGGAGTACTAGGGGCTCCTCTTTTATATGAGGTGAGTTCACAGCCCTGACTAATAAAATTTAGCAAGCTCTTTTCCTAGTGAGAACATCACAGAACTATTATTATTATTATTATTATTATTATTATTATTATCATTATACTTTAAGTTCTGGGATACATGTGCGTAACGTGAAGGTTTGTTACATAGGTATACATGTGTCATGGTGGTTTTCTGCACCCATCAACCCATCATCTACATTAGGTATTTCTCCTAATGCTATCCCTCCCCTAGACCCCCATCCCCTGACAGGCCCCAGCTTGTGATGTTTCCCTTCCTGTGTCCATGTGTTCTCATTGTTCAACTCCCACTTATGAGTGAGAACATGTGTTTGGTTTTCTGTTCCTGTGTTAATTTGCTGAGAATGATGATTTCCAGCTTCATCTATGTCCCTGCAAAGGACATGAACTCATCCTTTTTTATGGCTGCATAGTATTCTATGGTGTATATGTGCAACATTTTCTTTATCCAGTCTATCATTGATGGGCATTTGGGTTGGTTCCAAGTCTTTGCTATTGTGAATAGTGCTGCAGTAAACATATGTGTACATGTGTCTTTATAGTAGAAAGATTTATAATCCTTTGGGTATACATCCAGTAATGGGATTGCTGGATCAAATGGTATTTCTGGCTCTAGATCCTTGAGGAATCACCACTCTGTCTTCCAAAATGGTTGAACTAATTTACACTCCCATCAATAGTGTAAAAGCATTCCTATTTCTCCACATCCTCTCCAGCATTTATTGTTTCCTGACTTTTTAATGATCGTCATTCTAACTGGCATGAGATGGTATCTCATTGTGGTTTTGATTTGCAATTATCTAATGACCAGTGATGATGAGCCTTTTTTCATTTGTTTGTTGGCTGCATAAATGTCTTCTTTTGAGAAGTGTCTATTCATATCCTTCACCTACTTTTTGATGGCGTTGTTTATTTTTTTCTTCTAAATTTGTTTAAGTTCCTTGTAGATTCTAGATATTAGCCCTTTGTCAGATGGGTAGATTGCAAAAATTTTCTCCCATTCTGTAGGTTGCCTGTTCACTATGATGATAGTTTCTTTTGCTGTGCAGAAGCTCTTTAGTTTAATCAGATCCCATTTGTCTATTTTGCCTTTTGTTGCCATTGCTTTTGGTGTTTTAGTCATGAAGTCTTTGCCCATGCCTATGTCCTGAATGGTACTGCCTAGGTTTTCTTCTAGGGTTTTTATGGTTTTAGGTCTAACGTTTAAGTCTTTAATCCATCTTGAATTAATTTTTGTATAAGTTGTAAGGAAGGGATCCAGTTTCAGCTTTCTACATAAGACTAGCCAGTTTTCCCATCACCATTTATTAAACAGGGAATCCTTTCCCCATTGCTTGTTTTTGTCAGGTTTGTCAAAGATCAGATGGTTGTAGATGTGTGGTGTTTTTTCTGAGGCCTCTGTTCTGTTCCATTGGTCTATAAGTCTGTTTTGGTACCAGTACCATGCAGTTTTGGTTACTGTAGCCTTGTAGTATAGTTTGAAGTCAGGTAGTGTGATGCCTCCAGCTTTGTTCTTTTTGCTTAGGATTGACTTGACAATACGGGCTCTTTTTTGGTTCCATATGAATTTTAAAGTAGTTTTTTCCAATTTTGTGAAGAAAGTCATTGGTAGCTTGATGGGGATAGCATTGAATCTATAAATTACCTTGGGGAGTACGGCCATTTTCACAATATTGATTCTTCCTATCCATGAGCATGGAATATTTTTCCATTTGTTTGTGTCCTCTTTTATTTCGTTGAGCAGTGGTTTGTAGTTCTCCTTGAAGAGGTCCTTCACATCCCTTGTAAGTTGGTTTCCTAGGTATTTTATTCTCTTTGTAGCAATTGTGAATGGGAGTTCACCCATGATTTGGCTCTCTGTCTGTTATTGGTATATAGGAATGCTTGTGATTTTTCCACATTGATTTTGTATCTTGAGACTTTGCTGAAGTTGCTTATCAGCTTAAGGAGATTTTGGGCTGAGACAATGGGGTTTTCTAAATATACAATCATGTCATCTGCAAATAGGGACATTTTGACTTCCTCTTTTCCTAAGTGAATACCCTTTATTTCTTTCTCTTGCCTGATTGACCTGGCCAGAACTTCCAACACTATGTTGAATAGGAGTGGTGAGAGACGGCATCCCTGTCTTGTGCCAGTTTTCAAAAGGAATGCTTCCCGTTTTTGCCCATTCAGTATGATATTGGCTGTGGGTTTGTCATAAATAGCTCTCATTATTTTGAGATACATTCCATCAATACATAGTTTATTGAGAGTTTTTAGCATGAAGGGCTGTTGAATTTTGTCAAAGGCCTTTTCTGCATCTATTGAGATAATCATGTGGTTTTTGTCGATGGTTCTGTTTATGTGATGGATTACGTTTATTGATTTGCATATGTTGAACCAGCCTTGCATCCCAGGGATGAAGCTGACTTGATCGTGGTGGATAAGCTTTTTGATTTGCTGCTGGACTCGGTTTGCCAGTATTTTATTGAGGACTTTCACATCGATGTTCATCAGGGATATTGGTCTAAAAATTCTCTTTTTTTGTTTTGTCTCTGTCAGGCTTTGGTATCAGGATGATGTTGGCCTCATAAAATGAGTTGGGGAGGATTCCCTCTTTTTCTATTGACTGGAATAGTTTCAGAAGGAATGGTACCAGCTCCTCTTTGTACCTCTGGTAGAATTTGGCTGTGAATCCGTATGGTCCTGGACTTTTTTTCTTGGTAGGCTATTAATTACTGCCTCAATTTCAGAGCCTGTTATCAGTCTATTCAGATTCAATTTCTTCCTGGTTTAGTCTTGACAGGGTGTATGTGTCCAGGAATTTATCCATTTTTTCTAGATCTTCTAGTTTATTTGCGCAGAGGTGTTTATGGTATTCTCTGATGGTAGTTTGTATTTCTGTGGGATCAGTGGTGATATTCCCTTTATCATTTTTTATTGCGTCTATTTGATTCTTCTCTCTTTTCTTCTTTGTTACTCTTGCTAGCAGTCTATCAATTTTGTTGATCTTTTCAAAAAACCAGCTCCTGGATTCATTGATTATTTGAAGGGTTTTTTGTGTCTCTATCTCCTTCAGTTCTGCTCTAATCTTAGTTATTTCTTGTCTTCTGCTAGTTTTGAATTTGTTTGCTCTTGCTTGTCTAGTTCTTTTCATTGTGATGTTAGGGTGTTGATTTTAGATCTTTCTTGCCTTCTCTTGTGGGCATTTAGTGCTATAAATTTTCCCTCTACACACTGCTTTAAGTGTGTCCCAGAGATTCAGGCACCTTGTGTCTTTGTTTTCATTGGTTTCAAAGAACATCTTTATTTCTGCCTTCATTTCGTTATGTACCCAGTAGTCATTCAGGAGCAGGATGTTCAGTTTCCATGTAGTTGTGCAGTTTTGAGTGAGTTTCTTAATCCTGAATTCTAATTTGATTGCACTGTGGTCTGAGAGACAGTTTGTTATAATTTCTGCTCTTTTACATTTGCTGAGGAGTGCTTTCCTTCCAACTATGTGGTCAGTTTTGGAATAAGTGCGATGTGGTGCTAAGAAGAATGTCTATTCTGTTGATTTGGGGTGGAGAGTTCTGTAGATGTCTATTAGGTCTGCTTGGTGCAGAGCTGAGTTCAAGTCCTGGATATCCTTGTTAAACTTCTGTCTCCTTGATCTGTCTAATATTGACAGTGGGGTGTTAAAGTCTCCCATTATTATTGTGTAGGAGTCTAAGTCTCTTTGTAGGTCTCTAAGGCCTTGCTTTTTGAATCTGGGTGCTCCTGTATTTGGTGCATCTATATTTAGGATAGTTAGCTCTTCCTGTTGAATTGATCCCTTTACCATTATGTAATGGCCTTCTTTGTCTCTTTTGATCTTTGTTGATTTGAAGTCTGTTTTATCAGAGACTAGAATTGCAACCCCTCCATTTTTTGCTTTCCATTTGCTTGGTACATCTTCCTCCATCCCTTTATTTTGAGCCTATGTGTGTCTCTGCACGTGAGATGGGTCTACTGAATACAGCATAGTGATGGATCTTGACTCTTCATCCAATTTGCCAGTCTGTGTCTTTTAATTGGGGTATTTAGCCCATTTACGTTTAAGGTTAATATTGCTATGTGTGAATTTGATCCCGTCATTATGATGTTAGCTGGTTATTTTGCCCATTAGCTGATGCAGTTTCTTCCTAGCATCGATGGTCTTTACAATTTGGCATGTTTTTGCAGTGGCTGGTACCGGTTGTTCCTTTTTATGTTTAGTGCTTCCTTCAGGCACTGTTGTAAGGCAGGCCTGGTGGTGACAAAAATCTCTCACCATTTGCTTGTCTGTAAAGGATTTTATTTCTCCTTCACTTATGAAGCTTAGTTTGGCTGGATATGAAATTCTGGGTTGAAAATCCTTTTCTTTAAGAATGCTGAATATTGGCCCTTACTCTCTTCTGGCTTGTAGAGTTTCTGCTGAGAGATCCACTGTTAGTCTGATGGGCTTCCTTTGTGGGTAACCTGAACTTTCTGACTGCCCTTAACATTTTTTCCTTCATTTCAACCTTGGTAAATCTGACAATTATGTGTCTTGGGCTTGCTCTTCTCAAGGAGTATCTTTGTGGTGTTCTCTGTATTTTGTGAATTTGAATGTTGGCCTGCCTTGCTCGGTTGGGGAAGTTCTCCTGGATAATATCCTGCAGAATATTTTCCAACTTGGTTCCATTCTCCCCATCACTTTCAGGTACACCAATCAAACATAGTTTTGGTCTTTTCACATAGTCCCATATGTCTTGGAGGCTTTGTTCATTTCTTTTTACTCTTTTCTCTAAACTTCTCTTCTCACTTTATTTCATTAATTTGATCTTCAACCACTGATACCCTTTCTTCCACTAGATTGAATCGGCTACTGAAGCTTGTGAATTCTTCACGTAGTTCTTGTGCCTTGGTTTTCAGCTCCATCAGGTCATTTAAGGTCTTCTCTTCACTGTTTATTCTAGTTCGCCATTCGTCTAATCTTTTTTCAAGGTTTTTAGCTTCCTTGCAATGGGTTCAAACATCCTCCTTTAGCTTGGAGAAGTTTGTTATTACCGACCTTCTGAAGCCTACTTCTGTCAGCTCGTCAAAGTCATTCTCCATCCCGCTTTGTTCCATTGCTGGCAAGGAGTTGCGATCCTTTGGAGGAGAAGAGGTGCTCCAGTTTTTAGAATTTTCAGCTTTTCTGCTCTGGTTTCTCCCCACCTTTGTGGTTTTATCTACCTTTGGTCTTTGTTGGTGGTGACCTACAGATGGGGTTTTGGTGTGGATGTCCTTTTTGTTGATGTTGATGCTATTCCTTTCTGTTTGTTAGTTTTCCGTCTCACAGTCAGGTCTCTCAGCTGCAGGTCTGTTGGAGTTTGCTGGAGGTCCACTCCAGACCCTGTTTGCCTGGGTATCACCAGCGGAGGCTGTAGAACAGCAAATATTGCTGCTAGATCCTTCCTCTGGAAGCTTCGTCCCAAAGGGGCGCCCGCCTGTATGAGGTGTCAGTTGGCCCCTACTGGGAGGTGTCTCCCAGTGAAGCTACATGGGGGTCAGGGACCCACTTGAGGAGGCAGTCTGTCTGTTCTCAGAGCTCAAACATCATGCTGGGAGAACCAGTACTCTCTTCAGAGCTGTCAGACAGGGACGTTTAAGTCTGCAGAAGTATCTGCTGCCTTTTGTTCAGCTATGCCCTGCCCCCAGAGGTGGAATCTACAGAGGCAACAGGCCTTGCTGAGCTGTGGTGGACTCCACCCAGTTCGAGCTTCCACGGCCACTTTGTTTACCTACTCAAGCCTCAGCAATGGCGGATGCCCCTCCCCCTGCCAGGCTGCTGCCTCACAGGTTGATCTCAGACTGCTGCACTAGCAGTGAGCAATGCTCCATGGGCATGGGACCTGCCGAGCCAGGCGCATATAATTTCCTGGTGTGCCATTTCCTAAGACCATTGGAAAAGCACAGTATTTGGGCAGAAGTGTCCTGATTTTCCAGGTACAGTCTGTCCCGGCTTCCCTTGGCTAGGAAAGGGAAAACCCCCAACCCCTTGCACTTCCTGGGTGAGGCGATACCCTGCCCTGTTTCGGCTTGCCCTCCATGGGCTGCACCCACTTTCCAACCAGTCCCAATGAGATGAACCAGGTACCTCAGTTGGAAATGCAGAAATCACCTGTCTTCTGCATCGATCATGCTGGGAGCTGCAGACTGGAGCTGTTCCTATTCGGCCATCTTGGAACAGACTCCTAAACTGGTTATTCTAGTTAGCAATTCCTCTAACCTTTTTTAGAGGTTCTTGGCTTCCTTGCATTGGGTTAGAACATGCTCCTTTAGCTCAGAGGAGTTTGTTATCATCCATCTTCTGAAGCCTACTTCTGTCAATTTGTCAAACTCATTCTCTGCCCAGTTTTGTTCCCTTGCTGGTGAGGAACTGTGATCCTTTGGAGGAGAAGAAGCGTTCTGGTTTTGGGAATTTTCAGCCTTTTTGTGCTGGTTTTTCCTCATCTTCATGGATTTATCTACTTTTGGTCTCTGATGTTGGTGACCATCACATGGGGTTTTTGTGTGGATGTGCTTTTTGTTGATGTTGATGCTATTCCTTTCTGTTTGTTAGTTTTCCTTCTAACAGTCAGCCCCCTCTGCTTCAGGTCTGCTGGAGTTTGCTGGAGGTCCACTCCAGACCCTGTTTTCCTGGGTATCACCAGTGGAGGCTGCAGAACAGCAAAGATTGCTGCCTGTTCCTTCCTCTGGAAGCTTCATCTCAGAGGGGCACCAGCCTGATGCCAGCCAGAGCTCTCCCATATGAGGTGTCTGTCAACCCCTCCTGGGAGGTGTCTCCCAGTCAGGAGACATGGCGGTCAGGGACCCACTTGAGGCAGTCTGTCCTTTAGCAGAGCTTGAGCGCTGTGCTGGGAGATCCACTGCTCTCTTCAGAGCCGGCAGGCAGGAATGTTTAAGTCTGCTGAAGCTGCACCCACAACCGCCCCTTCTCCCAGGTGCTCTGTCCCAGGGAGATGGGAGTTTTATCTATAAGTCCCTGACTGGGGCTGCTGCCTTTCTTTCAGAGATGCCCTGCCCAGAAAGGAGGAATCTAGAGAGGCAGTTTGGCTACAGTGGCTTTGCTGTGGGCTCTGCCCAGTTTGAACTTTCTGGTGGCTTTGTTTACACTGTGAGGGGAAAACTGCCTACCCAAACCTCCATAATGGCGGACGTCCCTCCCCCCACCAAACTCCAACAACCCACGTCGACTTCAGACTGCTGTGCTGGCGGCAGGAATTTCAAGCCAGTGGATCTTAGCTTGCTGGGCTCCGTGGAAGTGGGATCCAGTGAGCTAGACCACTTGGCTCCCTGGCTTCAGCCCCCTTTCCAGGGGAGTGGCAGTTGTCTCTCACTGGCATTCCAGGTGCCACAGGGGTATAAGAAAAAAACTCCTGCAGCTAGCTTGGTGTCTGCCCAAATGGCCACCCAGTTTTGTGCTTAAAACCCAGGGTCCTGGTTGTGTAGGCACCCAAGGGAATCTCCTGGTCTGCGGGTTGTGGAGACCATGGGAAAAGCGTAGTATCTGGGCCAGAATGCACTGTTCCTCACAGCACAGTCCCTCACAGCTTCCCTTGGCTAGGGGAGAGAATTATCTGACCCCTTGTGCTTCCTGGGTGAGGCAACACCCCACCCTGCTTCAGCTTGCCCTCTGTGCTGCACCCACTGTCTAACCAGTCCCAATGAGATGAGCCAGGTACCTCAGCTGGAAATGCAGAAATCACCCACCTTCTGTGTTGATCTCACTGGGAGCTGCAGACTGGAGCTGTTCCTATTCAGCCGTCTTGCTAGCCACCCAACATCACAGAATTTCTAATAATCTGGATGTGGGGGTCTACATGAAACTCTTCCTTTTGTGTGTCTTAAACCCTTTCCAGGAAATTAAGCCCATAGCTGTCATCAATTCTGAAACGGATTTACAAACCAAAAACGTTTAACAACAAATGACTGTTTGAAAAGATATTAAGGAGTAGAAAAGAAAGAAAAATGCAGATAGCTGGGACTTCCTGTCCTCCCCAAATTTCCTTGCATCGATAGCAACAAGAAGGGGCTTAACATTAGCCTGCTGAGCCAGGAAGCTGGAAAGGGGTCCTCTTCACCAAAGGACCACCCCAATCTGATGCTCCAAGATTATGAATGCCCAAATGGTATTCCTGGGGCCACCAGTCTCAGTCACAAATCTTCCAGGATCTTGAGGGGAGGGAGAGAAGGTGGAGTCTACTTTTCAGAGCAAATTCTGAGATTGCCACTATGTCTGCCTCACAGTTTGTGCGAGAACACATCATCCATATGCCTCAAGAGGATTACATCAGCTGGCTGCAGAGCCGGATCAACATACCCATTGGGCCCTACAGCGCCCTGAGGTAGGCTGGGCCTGGGTTGACCAGCTGTCTCAGTGGAGGAGTGTTTGCCTATATCATGTTCCTGTATCCTGCCTGTGTTCCTGCCTCCTGACTACCCTCATGGATGCTCTTTATGGATGACCCTTTACAGTAGGGTCATCTGGAGACTGACTTCCAGCAACATTTTTAGAGGGGGATGGCCCCGGTGGCCCTCCCCTCAATTCCACACCCCAGACCCAACCTACCAGTCTCTGTTCTTCAATGATCCAGCCTGACTCTACCTACTTCCTCTTCAGATTCCTTCACCCTATTTACCTTCCTCAAGTACTGGAGAATAAAATTGAACTGAATGTTTGATGTCTGTCTGGGAAAGAGCTGGGGCCATGGAATTCAGGTGTGGTATTTAGATCCTAATAACAATAGTTACTATTTATTGAGTTTCTATTATGCAATAGATCCAGTGCTGAGTGCTTTACCTAGATAATGTTATTTCAATCTCATGATAACTTGGTTAAGTAGGCACTGATATTAACTTAATTTCACACCGATTAAGCTACAGCATATTTATCAATATTATATATATATTGCTTTGGATGGATGGTTGGGTGGGTGGGTGGGTGGACGGATGGGCAGATGGGTGGATGGGTGGGTGGGTAGATGTATGTATGGATGGATGGATGGATGGATGGATGGATGGATGGTTTGCATAGTTGCATGGTTGGATGGTTGCATGGTTGGATGAATGGATGGATGGATGAATGAATGGATGGTGGATGGATGGATGGATGGATGGATAGATGGATGGATGAATGATGGATGGATGAATGGACAGATGGCACATTCCCCAACAAGGCAATGGTATGCAAAAAAATTTTAGCCTTGAATCCTCGTATATTTTCTGTGGGTCTTAGTTATAGAAAGAAGCTTATCTTCCTGTCATCTCAAAATGTGTGTAGACTCTCATAACCTCTTCTCTCATATTGGTCTTATGCTCACCTACATTCTCACTAAGTTATAGGAACTGTAGGCATTTTAACTCCCTTAGTGATGGCCACACTGAATTAAAAATTGGACAACTGGACTTGATTTGCTCTTGTGCCTGGATTATCAGAGCATTTATGTAGACTAGGCTTGAATCTCTCCCTCTGGCAATCTAAAAGTAGGAAGGAGAGTTAAATTTGAATTATTCTTTAGTCTAAGCAATCTTACACTCATCCATTCACCTATTCAGTCATTTATTCATTTAATGAATATTTATTAAGAGCCCAATATGCACCAACCAAGTTCTAGGTGTTAAGGATACAGCAATGAACAAGGCAGACAAGGTCTCTGTTCTCATGGAGTTTGCCATTTTTTAAAATTTCTTCTTTTTTGACACATGGTCCAAGATGAGATCATGGAGTTCACATAAAAACAGAGAAGTCAATAAAATGCGACAGGGAGGTCAGAGGCATTATGTAACATCCCATGTCCCTCCACAGAGATACCCTATGTTTAACAGTAAACCTTGAAAAGCTATTTGGGGTGCAAAGGTAAGATACACTCCACAGAGAAACTACAAAATTAAGAGACCCTACAGGTCTCTGTATTAAATAGGAATTCGAGTGAGGGAGGAGCAGAGAAGTAAGAGGGAGCTGCCAATAAAGAAGAAGAAAAAGGACAAAGGAGGTAGAGGAGGAAAAGGGAGCTGAGTAACAGGAGCGTGAGAAGGGACTTCAGGAGAAAACCAATCAGGGGGATAAAACAGGGCAGGGCTGGCTGGTGGATCCCTAAGAACTACAATGCAAACCAACCCTCTTCATCCCTCTGGACCTTTAGTAGTTTCTGTTACATACCCAACTGTCTTCTGTGAGCCATGTTTTGAAGAAATAAAGAAAAGGCGCTGTGTTCTACATCTGGGCTGCTTGGGGGCAAAAAAAAGAGCTTGAGGTACTCAGACCCTCAACACAATAAAGAGTTCAGGGCCTGGCAAGGTGGCTCAGGCCTGTAATGCCAGTGTTTTGGGAGGCCAAGGTGAAAGAATCCTTTGAGGCCAGGAATTCAACACCAGCCTGGGCAACATAGTGAGACCCCATTTCTACAGAATATAATTGTTCTTAAAATTAGCTGGTGGAGTTCGAGACCAGCCTGGCCAATATGGTGAAACCCTGTCTCTACTAAAAATATAAATAAATAGCCAGGCATGGTGGCACGCCCCCGTAGTCTCAGCTACTCAGGAGGCTGAGGCAGGAGAATCGCTTGAACCCGGAGGCTGAGGTTGCAGTGAGCCAAGATCGCACCACTGTACTCCGGCTTGGGCGACAAAATTAAACTCCGTCTCAAAAAAAAAAAAAAAAAAAAAAAAAAAAAAAAAAAGCTGGTGGCACCATCTGTAGTCCCAGCTACTCGGAAGGCTGAGGCAGGAGGATCCCTTGAGCCCAGGAGGTCAAGACTGCAGTGAGCCATGATCATGCCACTGTACCCCAGCCTGAGCAACAGAGCGAGATCCTGTCTCAAAAATGAAAGAGTACAGTAGGAACAGGAAGTCAAAGTTAGAGAGACTACTATTACATGAGCTCTCTAGGTTTATAGAAATCTTAAACGGACATTTGGCTTCTCACTAGACATGGGACAGGAACCCAGCCAAATTGATGTATATCTCAAATGTCAGGTGACCATCACAGCTGACATTTAATTACACAAGATAATCAGTGCAATGGTGCCAAATTAAAGCAAGCACAAAAAGGTCCCAGTGGACATGAGGGAGGGGAGGACTAACTCATACCTGAGACGTCAGGAAAGGCTTTTGAGAAGAGGTGATTGATACCTGTAAGTTGAGCTAGAGTTAGCCAGAGAGAGATGGGTAGGCAGATAAGGAGGGAAGAAAGAATGTTCCAGGCAGAAGGAACAGCATGTGCAAAGGCCGAGAGGAAAAAAAGCTTAATTTGTCATTTGAGGACCTAAACGTAAGTCCAGCTGGGCCATATTTCGAATTGGGAGTGCAAGACAGAGAAAGGGAGGAGGGGGGTTGGGGAGGGAAGTAGAAGCCAGATCTTTCAGATGCCTTATAAGCCATGTTAGGAAGTTTGGGCTTTATCTGCCTGGAAATAGGAATCCATGGAAGGATTTTGAGGAAGGGAATAATTGCATTTGCTTTCAAGGGAGAAAAATGGCACTCACAAGGAACAAGGAGCTAAGATGAGGCTATGGCAATGATTGTGGGGAGAACAGCGGTGGTGGAGAAGGGGTGAAGACATTCATTGGAAAGATATCTAAACAGAAGAATCAACAGAACTTGGTGTGATGGATTATAAGTAAGGGGTGGGAGGGCAGGAATATCAGGAATCACGAGTGGAAGGTGATGCCTTAAATGTACCAGGAGAACAGGAAGAAAAGAAATTCATAATGAGAAGGTGAGGAGTTATGTTTTAAGCATATTGAGTTGGAGATGCCTGAGGGACAGTCAGGTGGGGGGATGCATAACTCAGGAAAGGAGGTTGCACTGGAGACGGAAACATAGCAGCAACATCCCACAGGTCAAGACGGTCAAAGGAAGAAATGGGAAGAGAGGCAAGAAGAGGAGAGGAGAGAGGGGTCTTGAGGACAGAATAACGAAAAGCATCAAGAAGCCTACTCAGAAAATAACATTTACTGACTGGACGCAGTGGCTCAAGCTTGTGATCCCAGCATTTTGGGAGGCCAAGGTGGGCGGATCACCTGATGTCAGGAGTTCAAGACCAGCGTGACCAACATGGTGAAACCCAGTCTCTATTAAAAATACAAAAATTAGCCAGGTGTGGTGGTGCATGCCTGTAATCTCAGGTACTCAGGAGGCTGAGGCAGGAGAATCACTTGAACCCGGGAGGTAGAGGTTACAGTGAGCCAAAATCATGGCATTGCACTCCAGCCTGGGTGACAGCGTGAGACTCTGTCTCAAAAGAAATTAAAAAAAAATTTTAAATAACATTTACTGAAGGGCTGCTTAGTTCCAGACCTCATGCAAAATGCTTGGCATATATGATCTCATTCCATCTTCACAAGCCTGCAAAGAAGGGCTCTTATATCCTCCTGTTTTGCAGATGATGGAATAGAGACTCTGAGAAATGTTTTGTACGCATGTCCAGCTGACTATGAACCCCCTCCCCATCCCTACCCTCCGACCTCCAGCCCCCTCTGCTATGAAACAAGGAGGTCACGAGAGTTATTGCGCTTTTGGAATTGAGCTCATCTAATGAGGAGGCTTTCATGAATTGTATTAGCTCACATTTGTACTGTATTCCACTGTTTCCAGAGTGCCTTCTCCAGTATTATCTTATTCGATGCTCACAGCATCCCTCTGAGGTGGGCATTATTATAATCCCCATTTTGCAAAGAAGGATATCGAGACTTAAGATTGTCCAATAGTCACATAGCAGGTAAGTGGGAGAGCCAAGTCTAAATTGAAGTCTGTCTGTCCCAGTCAGGGGCAATCTGAAATTGCAAGACTCACTCCGCCCTCCCGCTTGGCAGTTTCTGAGCCTGTTTCTCATAGCTGTAGCTCCATCTAGTGGCCTTTGTCAGTATTACTCTCCCACCCTGCCCTCCAGCAGAATGTCACTTTCCTGCCAAAAAAAAATGCAAGTATTAAACAGCAGCAACAAGACCTCTTCTGCTTAGACAAAGAGTGTTTACTCAAACAAAGGAAGACCTTTTACTACTAAAATAGACTGGGGACCAGGACAAGGCAACACATCCCCTCCCAGCTTCCAGGTTCTAAGAAGAGCCACAGGAAGAAATTTTTTTGCTTGTTAGCCTCTCCATCATAATCTTAATTGAACACCTACTAGGTGTTGGGTCCCCAGAAGTCACTGTCCCACAGCTCTGACCAAGCCATCTAAGTGGTTAACATGAGAGCTTTTTAAACTATATGTGCGCTAGAGAAGCTTTTTTCTGTAAAGGACTGGATATTAAATATCTGTTGCATGTTCTTTTTATTTATATAGTCCTTTAAAGGTGTGAAAACTGTTTTTTTACACCTTTAAACTTTTAACTGTAAATTAGAGGTCACACAAAAAGAGACCATAGACCAGATTGGGGCCGTCAGTCATCGTTTGCTGATCCCGCTTGAGGATAAATTTAAGAGTGAAGAGGAATGTTCTAGTCTTCCCCAAAAAACAGAGACAGGGAGGACTGGTGAACGTAATATGGTAAATATGTAGATGAACGGGGGGTTGGCACTACTCAGAATAGTTTTTGTCATTTTTGTGGAAAAGGAATGTATGCATGGGGTAAAAATCTTAACAGTGCAAAAGGATCTCCACTAAGTAGTGAGTATTCCTCCCCCTCCAACTCTCAGACCCCCATTCCGGTTTACAGAGGCACTCACACTGTATCCAGTAACTTGTATTACTTTCCAGGGATATTCTTCACATGTATAAGCAAAACATTTTTAATTAATTAACTAAAATGAAGCATTCATTGCGTGCTTACTGTATACCACGCATTGTTCTAAGTGCTTCGCATTCAATTATAGTTTATCCTCACCACAGTTTCATGAGGTAGATATCACTCTGACCCCCACTTTGTTGTGGAGGAAACTGGTGTTGTGGAGGAAAGTTGGGAAACCTGCCCAAAGCTACATAATTGGGGTAGGTAACCTTTTTTCTTTTTAACAGACATAGTGAGCTTCGTATACAAACTTCTGCATTAATTTGCTATGTTGGTGGTCATTTCACTTCCTATCTTCCTACTTTATATGAAGGAGGAAAGAGGCTGAAGGTTCACACCAGTGCATTAAAACCAATACCCAGACTCTTGTCACCACCCTGCCTTGGCATTTCATTTAAAGGTTTGCAGGTAAGGGAGGAACTGGACCAAAAGCTATGACCAATTGTAAAGAATGATATCAAAATAAAAGCCCAAGCTAATGTTAAAACAACACCTGCATCACTTCCTCTTTACCCAATACTGCTCATTTCAGTCCCTGAGCTTCACCTGCATGGCTGAGGTTGAGTGTCCTTCCCTGTTTTGGGATCTGGAGGTAGCCAGGGGAAGTCAGATAAAGATAATGTAGAGTAAGAATTTAATAAACATGAAAATTTTCTAAGTGCCTTATGCTAGGCACTATGTAATTCATATGCATTTGCTGGTTGATTCCTTGTAATTATCCTGTGAAGCTAGCATTATTATGCTTATTCACATTTACAGATGACAGAAAATTGAAGCTAAAGGAGGTGAAGTGGCTTGCCCAAGTCACACGCCTTCAAGCAATTAATCAAGAGTTCAAATCGTGGTCGTCTTGAAATTTTGCAATATTGCTTTAACCACATTACACTGCCTCTCTACTTAAAGGATCTTGTCTTGGGGTTCAAATTGGTCATCTTTTGGGGGGAATCAGAGCTCGAGCTTTAGTGATAATAAAATTTAGAAACCATTTACATTTTTGAAGGGTGTTCACATCCATTAGCACCATGTGATCTTCAAAGCAATCCTCTGAGATGTGCAAAGCAAATCTCACCCACATTTTGAAGACATGACACACCAAGTAATTTGAGATTTGGGTCTGGCTATTTAACTCTGTAGCTTTCTCCACCACACTACCCTGGGGCAAAGGAACCACACTAGTGAAAAGTGGAGAGGGCACAAATTCCTTTCTGGCCTAGTCTCAAAATAGCTCTGAATTTTTTTATGTTTGTTTACTTATTATCTGTCTTCCCAACTAGATTTAGCCTTCATGAGGGCAAGGACTACATCTGCTTTATTTGTTATTGTATTCCCAGAATTTCTCATAACATTTCTGGCATCAACTGAATGGATGGATGGATGGATGGATGGATGGATGGATGGATGGATGGATGCATGGATGCATGGATGCATGGATGGATGGATGGATGGATGGATGCATGGATGGATGGATGCATGGATGGATGAACAGTTGAGTGGATAAATGGATGAATACTTGAGTGCATGGATGGATAGATGGATGGATGGATGGATGGATGGACGGACGGATGACTGAGAGAAACTAAAAGAAGCCATCATCAGGGTTAGACTCATCAGGATTCCTCAGATCCCCACTGCCTTCTAGGAAATAAAGATGTCCAGGAGGCTGGCTTAGATGTGAGACTGCCCATCCTGGCAAAGGTGGAGCCTGATAGTATAAAAAATAAGCTCACAGCTCAGTGTCCTAAGGCCAGCACAAACAGTTCCCTCAATGACCCAACAGGTTGGCGAGAATAGAGCTGAGGCATTCCTTTGACCTTAGACTTTTAAAAGTAAAAAGTCTACTTTCAGAGCTTGGGGCAGGTTTTCTATTACACATCACAGAGCTAGTCCCTTCCATCACATGACTTAAGCCAGAAATACCCCCATCCTTTGTCCCAATTCACTTTTAATGTTCTGATGAAAAGTCTCTCCCGCTTGCCTTTTGGGATTATATCTATCACCACGGATGCTATTCAACAGCCATTTCCCATTCTTCTTTTGCTAGGAGTCCTGATTTTGTTCAAGTGTCTACCCCTTCCCATGTGAATCAGGATAAATTTTGATTGGTCTAAATCTATATTGGCAATTCCATTCCCCATGCTAGGGTTAATTTATAGGTGGTCATGTTACCCCAGGTTTGCAAGGGGAAGCTCCTGAGAAAGGTTTGTTTCTTCTTAAAACAAACACAGAGGAGGCCGGGCACAATGGCTCATGCAATCACTTAATCCCAGCACTTAGGGAGGCCAAGGCAGGTGGATCACCTGAGGTCAGAAGTTCGAGACCAGCCCAGCCAACCTGGTGAAACCCCATCGCTACTAAAAATACAAAAATTAGCTGGGTGTGGTGGGCACCTGTAATCCCAGCTACTCAGGAGGCTGAGGCAGGAGAATCACTTGAACCCGGGAGGCGGAGGTTGCAGTGAGCCGAGATCACGCCATTGCACTTCAGCGTGGGTGACAGAACAAGACTCTATCTCAAAAAAAAAAAAAAAAAAAAAACACAGAGCACAGAGGAAAACAGTCCTTTCCCGGAACTTATCGTGTCTTCACTAAATTGTGCAGGCACCTTGCTGCCAACAAGGGGCAGATTCAAGAGAATCACCTTGGCTGGAACATTTTGAAGTGAGTTGATACAACCTTCATTGCCCAAAGCAGCTGAGTCTGGGTTTTCTGCTACTTGAAGCTGAAAATACTCAGTTGCATAAACCAATAACAATATCATTCTCACGCCTCGCCCTTAACTAACATCTGCTCTTTTGATAGCTGTTTGAATGATAGCTCCCTCGTCTGCAAATCTCAGAGAAAGCCTTTGACTCTTTCAAGCAAGATGTCATCATGCCAAAGAGAACCCAGATTTGTTATACTTGGAACTCCACAAAAAGGCTGCAGTGTGCCTTGCAAATGGCAACATTAACTCTGCTAAAACCTTCCCAAAGATGTGAAACTCAGGGGTCACTAAGGAGCTGGGGGTAAGGCAGAGAACATATGACACAGTACAAAGCCCTTCACAAGGCAGAGACATCTTCATCCCCAAAGTCAAAATAATCTAGGAACAGGGGTGAAAATGAAAAACTGGTGACGGGGGAAGATTTTCAACAATCATTTTAAGGTGTTCACGGGAACAGGGGTGGGAAGGAGGTGAAGAATAGTGTATATTGATTAGATGGTAAGTCCTGGAGGTAACAAGTGGGAGAAGGGGACTGAAAGAAGAAGGGCTGCAGTTTGACAGGTGGAGGTAGGAAACTCATAGAATGTTTGCGCCAGGTGAGACCTTGTCATCAACCTGAGCTTGCATATCATTGAGCACCTACCATGCTCCAGGCTATTTGAGAGACGCCAGAGGTATAAAGAGAGCCTGTGTCCTCCAAAGGTTAAATAGTGGTGTTATACTGTGATGGTTAAAACAGAATGTTCAGGTGTCAGACTGAGAAAGTTCAGATCCTAGTTGTGTTGTCATTGGCTGTATGACCTTGAGAGGTATCTTCACTTCTATATATCTCATCTGTAAAATGAGAACACCACTAAAGAGTCAATGAGATAGCCTGGGCCAGTCTTGGTGGCTCACGCCTGTAATCCCAACACTATGGGAGGCCAAGGTGGGCAGATCACTTGAGGTCAGGAGTTCGAGACCACCAGCCTGGCCAACATGGGGAAACTCCTCTCTACTAAAAATATAAAAATTAGCCAGGAGTGGTGGCAGGCACCTGTTATCCCAGCTACTCTGGAGGCTGAGGCAGAAGAATCGCTTGAACCCGGGAGACAGAGGTTGTAGTGAGCCGAGATCACGCCACTGCACTCCAGCCTGTTTGACAGAGTGAGACTCCATCTCAAAAAAAAAAAAATTCAGTGAAATAGGCTGTGTAAAGCATCCAGCTTACAGTAAAGACTCAATACAACTCAGCTATGACAACAATGGCAGAGAAAGATGGAGCACACAGAAAGCCACCACCGGAGTCTGGCAAGTCAAAAAAGGTACATCAGCCAAAGTCTTTATATGCAAGCAATAGAATCTGATTCTGGCTAATTTAACTCTGAGTCTTTACATTACTGCCTCTGAAAACATAAAAATCCGATCGCAAAGCCTAAGTCACATGATCATATCCTAGTTGACAAAAAAAGCTGAGAAAGCAAGTATCTGGATTGTTTGACTTTCATAATAGGAGAAATATTAATCTCATAGAGTGAAAGTTCCCCAAGAAAAGGAAAAGGACTGAGAAGCTACTCATAAAAAAACAAAAGTGTCCTCTAGAGAAGGCTTACTGGAAGAAGTAACAGCTGAGTTGAAACCAATCCACATCCTACATTTACCAATGAAGAAACTGAGACACAGAGGGGTGGACTCTTCCAAAGTCACTAGCTTTGGGAGGAAAAGAAAGAAGGGCTTGGAATAGGGGACAGTAGGGTTCAGGAGGAGACCCCAAAGGAGATCTCTGATGGGCTGAGGGAGGAAGAGGCTGAAAGCCTCAGCCAGAGTTGGTGTTGGGTCCAGAAGTGGTGGCAGCAGAGGAGACAGTGAATATTGGACGGTGTTAGTTTCCAGGCCTGGGAAGAGTTTGGGATCCAGCATAGAGGAGTGGTGTATCATAAGGAATTGGTTTGGTCTTTATCCCCAGTTTCTGGGAGGGAGCCTCTAAACCCTTAGAAGTTCCTGAGTGAGAAGAGTTTCTTTGTTATTCATAGTGGGCCCCACAGATCACCCCTGAGTTTATGCTAATGAGGTGATCCACAGTGGGTCCCTAGATAGTTTTTGGCTGGAAGCTGGTCATGCCAGAAAGACCAACAATGTGATTAGAGGGTTGGGGTTTTGAACCACGTTATATCCTTTCATCTTCCTATGCTCTGGGGACAGAAGGAGGGTTGGAGGTGGGGTTCAATCACATGGCCATTGATTCAACCAAGCATGTCTACATGATGAAGCCCTAATAAAAATTCTGAACATCCGACATTCCAGTGAGTTTCCCTATTCGATAATCATATATCGATATCCTGAAGACATGGAAATGCCACATCTTGGACCCTCCCAGACTTCACTCTGTGTCACTCTTCATTTGGATCATTTTGATTTATATCCTTTATAATAAAATTGTAATCATCTATATCATATTTTGTTGAGTTCTGTGGGTTGTTCTGTCTTATAAACAGATAAGAACTCAACAAAGTATGATATATATGATAGTGAATTAATGGACCAGAGGGGCTAGTGGGAACCCTCAAATTGTAGCCAGCTGGTCAAAAGTATAGGTGGCCTGGGACCACTATGAATGGTGTCTTAATTGAAGACATTCTTGTGTACCCTTAATCTGAAAGTTTTGACCTACCTCCGGATAGTTGGCGTCACAATTGCATAGCAAAATGAAAGCTGTAATTCAGGCAAAGGACTGTATTGTTCCAACCCTGTGGTTGAGCCTCTGTCAAGGAAAGTCCTCACTCAAAGGTGGAACACATGTGTAGCTTGTGTCTACCCACTCCCTCTTCTTTAGGCAGCAACCCCTTCCTCCTGACTCTCATTCATTGTGGATTGAGCAGTGCTTCAATCCAGTGCCAGGTGTGGGCATGTGACCAAGACCTGGATAATGCAAGCATGACATTTCCCTAATCATAGCAAATGGCTCAGGATGGACACCCAAAGTAATCCAATAAAGCTCAATTCCCGAACTTATGTTGGAACTGGAAGAGAGAACAAGAAGCCCTCTTTTTTCTGGAACTGTTAACACTAAGGATAAAACAAGCCTACAGCTTCTGGGAACCAACACACAGAGAGAAATTGCCAACAAAGGGAGGAAAACAAAGCCAAGAAATGCAGCAAAAGAGAGATCAAATATTGGTCGCATCATTCGGGCCCCTGGCTCTCTAGCCAGATCTTTGAACTTTTGGTTATGGTGGCTAACAGCTTCTCTTTCTTCGGAAGCCAGATTTAATTTGATTTCCTTCACTTGCAACAAACTGATTCCCAATTAATGCAGCAGGAGAAAGAAAAGAGATCTGTATATAAGCATAGTCAAATTCTAGACACCTCTTCCTCTAAGAGGGCGAGTGAGGTCGTAGAGAAAGGCACTGCTATGGGATATATCATGCAGGTAATGCTAAGACGAAATCCTGAGTTAAATTCACAACATCAATCAACAGAAAACGGAAAGACTAAGAACACAGATGTTTTATCACTCCGTTTTGCAGCAGGTGTGAAAGTGCCAATTTGGATTTAAAAGAGCATGAAACAAATGCAAGGTGGGGACTGTTATCAGAGCCAACCCTCATGTCTCTACCACTGTGAAAAGAGGCGCTGGGTAAGTATATTTCCTAGCTCAATGGTCTTCAAAGTGGAAGGGCTGCACAAGATGATCCATTAGGGAGCAGAAAAAAATATTAGAACTTATATTTATAGCTATCTTAGCAAAAGTCTATTTGAAGTTTTACGAGTAGTTTGGGTGTGGATTGACCCTGGCACCCTCATTCAGTCTATACTGAGAAAGAGACCACGTGTCTGGCATCAGGCAAGCTAAGAAACCCAGGAGAAGTTGGGCATTCCACAATATGAAAGGGATAATAGTGGCATTCTTGTCTTCTCATCCCGTGTTACTTCTGATAAGCTTCCAATGCCTCTTCTTTAAATCTCCTATTATTAATTCTAGAGCATCAAGGGTACCTATGAATTGGCATGCCTCTCTCTGTACCCCAGTGATGCTCTCAGATACTGAAAGATTAGTTATCTTCCCTTGCATTAAATGACCCCAGGCAACTGATATCCTAATTAACCCCTCCTCTATCTCCTCCTTGGTTCTCTAGCTTCTCTCCCAACAAAAGCGAGTTTGCCAAGAGAAACAGTGCACCTAACTTGTGCATAAAAAACTTAACTTTACATAGAGGTTTTTTTAAACATGCAATTTCCAGGTTAATGGGAGTCAAATGGCCAAGTGCCTAAATCAAGGAGCATGAAATAATGCTCTGCAATGTTCTTTAGTTCACCCCACAAACTGGCTGTTCTAAGCACATTCTAAATCTCTCTCTTTCTCCCCACCCTGACCCCATGATAAAAAAAGAGAGCTGAGGTTTCAAGGGATCAAAGAAACAGATCACCCACCCCAAACCATTTTTACTTGGGGTGACACAGAAACATCGCCATCCAAGTTTGCTAAAACAGCAGCTGGATCTCACTTGTAAGGCAGTTCCAATAGAGGAGGAAAGGGATACAAATTTACAAAGACAATAAATTTAACACCCTTTTCTCATTATTCCAGCACTTGTAAGAGGATTGCATTACAGGTCTAGCAACTCTAGGGCATCTGAAATGCGGTCTCATTTACAAACATTTTGTTTACACTGCATGATTTCATGAACCACTGATTGCATAAAGCAGGCCAACTGGCCTCCTCCTCTCATCTTCAATTTAATGCCATTTTACCTTTGCAGAAAACTCACCAATGAAGAACAGCAGACAGGTGAACAGGCTGGCCAGGAAGTGGGTCAGATGGTAATACATTTAGTCTTCTTTTCCTCTAGGGCTTCAGTTTCCCCATCTGTAAAATCAGAGAGCTAGATTATGAGGGTCCCAAATCTACATTTCAACCAAGACCAGGCAAGTAATACGAATGAATGGAAGGAATGGGGTCTAATATTATGTGCCGAATATTTGACAGGCACTGAGAGAGAAAGGTACTGGGAGCAGAAAGGGAGACAAGCCATGATCCTTGCTCTGGTGAAGCACTTGGCCTTGTGAGAGATGTGAGCACATAGGCAGCTACCGACAAATATGATAAAAGCTGTATTCAAGGTTCCATATGAATGCACAGGAGGGTTGGACTAATCCATCCCAGATGAATCCTCAAAGATTTTTTAAATAAACGAGAAGGCATCTGGGGGGAAGAGGAGTGTTGTAGGTGAAGAAGTGGAAAGAACAAGAGAACAGGAACGACCTTTCAGGTGGAGAAAACCGCCTGTGCAAAGTCACAGTGACCTGAAAAACAATTACGTATTCGGGGAGAAAAATGAAGTTTGATAGGGCTGGAAGGTCCCTATGTGAAGTTACAGAAAAATAACCTAAAAGGGTGAGTTGGAAATAAATCACAAAGAACCTTGAGGAATTTGTCTTGAGAGTAATAGGAAGCCAGGAATATGTTCTAAATTGTTGAGAAAACTGGTGACATTTCCATTTTAGAAAGTTTGGTCTGTCTGCAGGGTGGAGAATGGGTTAGAGCTGCACCATCTAATATGAGGGTCATTAGCCACGTGTGGCTACTGACCACTGGACACATGGCCATTCCAAATTGAGATGTGCTATGTAACTAAAAATAAAATCTTAAGCCCCCTGCCCCACTGACAGAACAGACCCCCTCTTGGCCAAAGAGACCCCCAGAAAAACCTTAAAAACTGAGTTCACGACAATGACAAGAACCGGAGGTCCAACACACCTCGTTATACCCCCTCTTTTGTGTAGTTTACAGACAACTGACCAGCGTTAATGTTAAAATAGAGATCACAAGACCGACAAAATGAACTCTTCGTAGTAATAAGATACCAAGTTATAAACAGGGCCTAAGGCCATGCCAGGAAAGGGTTAAGTCACACACTCCTTCACTTAAAGAATAAACTATATTCTAACTGCCACAAGGTTTTTCTTTTTCTCTAGCAGCTAAACAAGTGCTGGCCTTGAGATAAGCAGTGTTAAAACAACTGCAACGAACCAACCACCAGACACTGACTAACTGATCCTCCCCCGCACCGTTCCCTTTCCACCAGCCATAACTACAGCTTTGATTAGGCAAGAAATTGATTTCAATAACTTTCTCCTAATAAAAAAGACCACTGACCATGGACTGATTCTGGCCAGTTTACAGAGGCTGTGCACATGAGTGCCTTCGTTCTAAAAAGACCTTTTGACATATAGGATCTAATTATAATACATTTAAATATCAAGCCCCACCCCAAGGTGGGGTGATATGTCACATGTCACATGCATATTTGTTCAATACACGTGTCATAACTACCTTCATAAATATTCATAACTCCTCTCGTAACCTGTTGAATACGCATACTTGGCCACCCCAGTGAGCTAAAATTCCTGTCCAACCCCTCCTCCTCCTGGCCAGGCCCAGTGGCTCACGCCTGTAATCCCAGCACTTTGGGAGGCCAAGGTGGGCAGATCATGAGGTCAGGAGATCGAGGCTATCCTGGCCAACAAGGTGAAACCCCGTCTCTACTAAAAATACAAAAATTAGCCAGGCGTGGTGGCGGGCACCTGTAGTCCCAGCTATTAGGGAGGCTGAGGCAGGAGAATGGCATGAACCCGGGAGGTGAAGCTTGCAGTGAGCCGAGATCACGCCACTGCACTTCAGCCTGGGCAACAAAGCGAGACTCCATCTCAAAAAAAAAAAAAAAAAAAAAAAAAAAACCAACCCCACCTCCTTCAAAATGCCTGCTAATGACTTTGGCCAGAAGTATGGTTCCCAGCCTGTGGGATGGCCACCTTGTAGACTGTAACCCTTTTTAAAAAAATAAAGTCTCTTTATCTAAATGCATGGATTTTGTGATTTTTCAACAACTATAAGTATAAAATACACACGGGACTTTGAACACTGAGTATGAAAAAAGGAATGTAGACTATCTCGTTAATATTGTTTAATATTGATTATGTGTCAAAAGGATATTTGGAATATATTGGGTTAAATAAAATATGGTATTAAAATTAATTTATCCTGCTTTTTACTTGTTTAATGTGGCCAGTGGAAAATTTAAAATTACATATGTGGCTTGCATTATAATTCCATTGGACAGAGCTGAGTTAGAGAGCCTGAGACTCAAGAAAGAAGACCAATGAGGAGACTTCGAAATGTCCAGGAGACATTATGAGAGCATGGGAGTTTGAACCAGACAGTGGGATGGGGACAGAGAATAAGAATAAGAATACGCAAACTTCTCAATGACAGATTGGATAAAGAAAATGTGGTACATATACACCACAGCATACTATGCAGTCATAAAAAAGAATGAGATTATGTCTTTTGCAGGAACATAGATGGAGCTGGAGGCCCATTATCCTTGGCAAACTAACACAGAAACAGAAAACCAAATACTGCATGTTCTCACTGATAAGTGGGAGCTGAATGACGAGAACTCGTAGACACAAAGAAGAGAACCACAGACACTGGAGCCTACCTGAGGATGGAGGGTGGGAGGAGGGAGAGGAGCAGAAAAAATAACTATTGGGTACTTAATACCTGGGTGATGAAATAACCTGTACCACAAACCCCCGAGACACAAGTTTACCTATTAATGTACAACAAACCTGCACATGTACCCCTGAACCTAAAATAAAAATTAAAAAAAAAAATTTGGGAAATAGTAGGAAAAAAATTAAAACCAGAAGACTACATATAATAGCATGATCTCATTTTTATAAAACAAGAATAAGCAAGAGTAAAACACATGCTGTGTAGGTATGACTTTATATATGCAAAGCAGTGATACACTCCCAAACTCAGGATAACAATGACCTCTGTGGAGGGGACCTGGGGCCCTGGACTGGGAAAGAGCATCAGGTGTATGCCTTATTGGCAATGCCCTAGTTCTTTGGTTGACGGGGCCACAGATTTTCATTATACAATTAATCTGTATAACGTAAACACATGTGGTGTGTGTGTGTGTGTGTGTAAACAAATACTTTTAAGATAAATTTTTTCAAATAAAAAGAATATGCGGGCCTCTGGTTACAGGTTTTGGTGATTAAAGGCATGAATTCTGGGACCATACAGCCTGGTTCAACACTTGGCTCTGACATCTGTCAGCTGTGTGACCTTGGGCAAGTCACTTACTTAATCTGTCTCTTGTGCCTGAGTTTCCTCACTTATGCAACATGAGTAGTAGCAGCACCTGTTTTATAAGGTGTTATGAAGATTAAATGAGTTCATTCCCTGATTCTCACAGTTGACTACATATGTGAGTCACCTGGGGAGTGTTTAAAACTCAAATTAGGGGAGCCTGATTTCATTGGTGTAGGGTGTGGCCTAAGCATAGGGACTATTTTAAATTACCCACGTGATTCTAATGTGCAGGAGAGTTCATGAACCACTGTATTAGTATATGTAGATGCTTGAAAGAGTGTCTGACACAGTGTAACCATGATTTAAGTATTTGAAGTTATTATATTTTTAGTGTCTTTAAAATGCATAATATATTTAAAATCCACAATTGAGAGTCTACTATGTGCCACTAAATGCCACTGCAGGGACGGAATATTTCTTAAATGAATTCACAGAGCTCACAGGAAAGGTTTCAACACGTCCTCTCCAGTGAGCACAGGTGGGCCAATTGGAGATCAAGTTCAGATCTGGCAGCTCATTCAGCAATTCCAACTTTTTGAAGTCTCGGTTGGTGAAATATTACAGACCATTTCCCAAAACACTTAACTCCAACAACAAGGTTTTAGTGTTTGGCAACATACAAGCAGAATGCCATTAAGTCTTGGAACTGTGTACTGAGTGTCTATCAGCTGGAGCCAAAGGGGAATGTAGTGAAGTGAGGCTCCTTTCAGAGTATGGAACAAGCCCATCTGTGTCTCAGACCCCCATAGTGGAAACACCTTAATGAGAACTGGCTAACGGTGGTGAGAACTCCTTGTCATCAATGAAGGAGGCATGTCTGGGCCTTACAAGGACATTAAGCAAAGAGGTACTAAAGTCATGAAAAAAAAAATGGCCCTTCTGTCTTGGATAGAGCCTAAAGAAAAATCAGAGCCATCTCTATTCTTATTTGATAGACTTATGTTCTCATTCACATCGTCTCCAGGCTCTATGAATGCTAATTCCAATAGTAATCATTGTTAACATTTATTGGGTGTGTGTTATGTGCCAGGAACCATCATAAGCATTTTATATGCATCAAATTTTTAAAATATGAGGAAGGGGTCATTATCAATACTTTATAATGAGGAAACTGAGGCTCAGAGAGGTGCAGCAATTTGGTTGCAAGTGACAGAGTCTAAACTCAAACTAACTTAGACTAAAGGGGAATTTGTTGCCTTGAGGAATACAATGAAGTGTTGAAACATCAAGCTCTGAAAGGGATAAAGATACAGATGGATCTTTGATGCAACTGGAACCAGGGTTTTTTTTCTCTCTGCTCCTCTCTTCTTCCCTCTGTGCATCAGCCACATCCTGCTGCATGCCAGCTTCTAACACACGTGGCAATGTGGCTTCTCAACTCCCCAGGCTCTCCTCTCTGTTCTGGTTTCAAAAATCCTAGGGCAAAGCTCTGATTGGTCCATCTTGGGTCAGGTGTTCACCTTGAACCAATCAACAGCAACCAAGAGAGCAAGATCATGTGAAAACATGGCAGTTCACTCAAATCACATGGGTTGGAGTCAGGGAAGAAGAAAGAAAATGATTTCCCAAAAAGAAGAATGATATATGTTCCCAGAAGAAAGAGAAAACTACCTATGATAGTCCACTACTTCCAAGAATGAGTGCCAACAAGACTATTAAGTAGGGAGGAAAACTGACTCCTCCTTAAGGTTACACACTCTGAAAGTCCTCCAAAAATTCGAGGTCCAGACCACATATGGCATGCCAACTCAACTGAACATTAATTGACTTTTTACAGTGTACTGGCATTATATTCCAGGCTACCACATAGTATGGTCTCAGTAAATATTTGTTGGATGAATAATGCAAAGATGAATAAGGCAAGGTCCCTCTACTCAAAGAACTTACAGCATAGTAAGTGATGAAGGCAAAGAAACAGCCCAAAAGGGACATAGAACATAGTCTGAGAGCTCAAACAAATGGAAGATCACATGGGTTTGAGAACACATAGGGAGACAATAAGTTAGAAAAGTCATCAAGGAAGGAGGTCCTATTTGAGATCGGCCTTGAAAACAGAATGAGATTTCAATAGACAAAAATGTAAGAAAAGTGTTCCCCAGCAAGAGCAAAGCCATGTGAGCAAAGGCATGGAGGCAGGGATGGACATATCATCCAGGTTTTTTTTTTAATTGTACTAAAATATACATAAAATTTGCCATTTTAATCATTTTTAAGTTGACAATTCAATGGCATTAATTACATTCATATTGCTGTACAACTATCATCACTATCTTGAAACTCTTCCATCTTCCAAAACTCTTCCATCACCCTTGCAGAAACTCTGTACCCATTAAGCAATACCTCCCCATTCCCAGGAACATGGTAATCTCTAATCTACTTTCTGTCTCCTTAAATTTACCTAATCTATGTATTTACTGTAAGTGGAATTATACAACATTGATCACTTTGTGTTTGGCTTATATCATTTAGCATAATGCCTTCAAGTTTCATCCATGCTGAGGGATGTACTGTATCTTCATTCCTTTGTACACCTAAATAATATCCCATCATATGAATATTCCACATTCCCTTTATCGTTTCATTGGTGGATGGACATTTGGTTTGTTTCCACATTTTAGCTATTGTGACTAATGCTGCAGTGAACACTGATGAGCAAGTATCTGTTCAAGTCCTTGTTTTCAATTCTTTTGGTTATCTACCTAGAAGTGAAATTGCTGGGCTGTATAGTAATTCTCTTTAGCTTTTTGAGGAACCATCGTATTGTTTTCTGTAGCGGCTGCAGCATTTTACATTCCCACCAGCAATGTACAAGGGTTTCAATTTCTCTGCATCCTTGCCAACACTTATTATATTCCATTGTTGTTATTGTTGCTTTTAACAGCCATTCTAATAAAGGTGAAGTAGTATCTAGTTGTGGTTTCGATTTGCATTTTTTGTAATGACTAAGGGTATTTAGCATCTTTTCACATGCTTATTCAAGCCATCCAGTTTTACGAGTGCACAACCAACCATCATAAATCCAAGATGTTTAGGTTTCATTGTGTAGGCAGTAGGGAGCCAATGATAGTTTGGAAGCCAAAGAGTGGCATGACCAGAAATATAAAATCTTGGCAGAGGAGTATAAAATGAAGCCAGAGGACTAGTTAAGAGGCTACTTCAATGGTCCAAGCAAGGGACCTGCCACCTCCCAAGCTTGAGCCAGGGAGGTGGTAGTGGCAATGTAAGGAAAGGGACAGTTTCCAGACACATCATCTTTTCAACACAATGGAAGCAACCTATGTGCAATCATAAAGGGCTGGTTATGTAAGCATGGTATAGCCTATGTGATGAATTGCTCTGCATCTGTAAAAATAATGATGCCGATGAATAAATGAAACAGATGTTTCCAAGTAAATGAAAAAAGTAAGGTTACAACACAGCGTGTACATCATGATCCCATTTTTAGATAGATGATGCATAATTAGATCAGAATGCAAAGAGAAGGACAGACACTAAAGGTAAAAAAGACCTTGAACACCACACACGCAAATGTGAACAATGATCACCTCTTGCTAAACTAACCTCCCACCAAGATACTTGTATGTTCTCTTTTATTTTCTTCCTTGCCTTTATCACTATCTGAAAATATCTTATTCATTTGTTCATCTGTTCATAAATTCCAGGAAGGAGGGAGGGTGTCTGTTTTGTTCTCTCTCTATTCCCAGAACCTGGAATCTAGCCACAGGTGAAGCTCCATGGATATTTTTTGATGAAATCTTTTAGTGATGGGATCCATTTTTATTCTCTTACATATATTTTTTAAATGTAAAAAAGGAATCTATGACTTTCGTCATAAAAAAAGTAGCAAAAAGAAGAGACATAAACAGGCATTATTCTCACCACCATCACAATGGCACTGGTTCTTTGATCACAGCTGTTACCCCTAAAAGAACCTCAAAGCCAGATTCTAACACCAGACCCCACTAGCACATCAAAGTGCTTTTCTCAGCCTGTGAACCCACTCACTGCCTCTCTTCCCTTCCTCCAGCTTCCTGGGTATCCACTTCCTCCACCTGTGCCCACTCAGCACAGGATGTTATTAACACCATTGCACCCCCACAGACTTAGGAGCCTAGAATAACCTGCTACCGGTAGGGCAGATACTTGGAAGACTCTTCCAGGAAGAGGAGGTCATCGATCAATGCCCATGCTTGTCCCATCCTCTCTTCTCACCTCCCTTGCACCCAGTCCTGGGGACTTTGGAGTTCATTTTTAAACACCAGAGCTGGCTAACATTGGAGGAGGATACCAGGCTGTGGGCATGGAAAAGTACGAGTGAAGCCAAGAAGCCCAATCAGAAATTCATCTCATAATTTCAGGCATCAGCACCTGGCTGTTAGGCCCAGCGTTTCTTAACCAGAGATTAACCAAGGCTGGGTCTGAATCCCTATGAAGAAAGACATGAGCCACTAATAATAAAGTATCAATGTTTTTAGGTAATTTAATATATTATTTTATTTATTTATTTTTTGAGAAAGAGTCTCGCTCTGTCATTCAGGCTGGAGTACAGTGGCACAATCATAGCTCACTGCAGCCTCCAACTCCTGGGCTCAAGCAATCCTCTTGCCTCAGTCTCCCAAGCAACTAGGACCACAGGTGTACACCACCACACCTGGCTAACTTTTTAAAATGCTTTGTAGAGACAGGGTCTACCTATGTTGCCCAGGCTGGTCTTGAACTTCAGGCCTCAAGCGATCCTCCTGCCTTGGCCTCCCAAAGCACTGGGATTGCAGGCATGAGCCACCGTGACTGACCCTATAATATTTTACTGTATGATATGCTATATAGAGAAAAGTACATGTATTTATATACTACATATATGTGCTATATAAAATGTATTTACAATTTAAATACAGAACATTGTATTTACCATATACATATATATATAGATAGAGGAGGTTCATTCATTTATTCATTTGTGCTGTGAAACTGAATTTTGATATTTTCTACTATCTTGTAGGCTCAAAGTGGGGGACAAACAGGTATTTTAAAGCCACCAGCATTTTTTTCAGCTACTCATCAGACAGAGATTGAGTTCATCACAGTGGTTCTGAAGAGAAGAGGAAGGAAAATTTCTGTTTTGTTTTGGGAGAACACTCTTGGACTCCTGGAGGCATTTCAGTTAAGCAAAGGGTAAACAATCTCCTCTTTTTTTTTTTTTTTTTTTTTGAGATGGAGTCTCGCTCTGTCGCCCAGGCTGAAGTACAGTGGCGCAATGTCAGCTCACTGCAACCTCCACCTCCTGGCTCAAGTGATTCTCGTGTCTCAGCCTCCTGAGTAGCTAGGATTATAGGTGCTCAACATCATGCCTGGCTAAATTTTTGTATTTTTAGTAGATGGGGTTTCACCACGTTGGCCAGCCTGGTCTGGAACTCCTGACCTGAAGCAATTGGCCTACCTCAGCCTCCCAAAATGCTGGGATTACAGGTGTGATCCGCCACACCTGGCTGCAATCTCCTCTTCTGAAAAGGTCATGGAGGGAAGAAATGCATCTCTCTAAAGAATACTTTGTGTGATGGAGAGGAAAGGCTTCTCCTTCTCTCTCTCTGGAACAAAGTGGAAGTTGGGATTTGGAGGAGAGATAGTCAAAGACTCCAACGACATGGGAAACAGGATGAGCCCACGACACCATGGCAGGAGAAAAAGGTTCACCAGTTGGGGTGCTCATGAGCACGATGCATGAGCTCTAAAATATGTGAAGTCCGGGATTTAGGGTCCAGGCTTTCCTATGATGTTTTTCTGCTCTCACCTCCAGATCTCCAGTAAAAGAAATGGGGCTAATTAGGGCAATGAAAGATGTCTAGCAGAGAACTTAGGAGGAGGCTCCCAGAGGAATACTCTTAAAACAGATGTGGGAACATGAAAGCATTCCTCAAGGACCCCCAGAAATGCCCAGGGAGCACTACCTGGTATAAAACTGCAATTCTTTTGGATCAACGCAAAACAGAGCTCAATTATATAACAACTGTAATGGAAGATGACCCATGAAAGCTGGAAAATCCCAAGACATCTGGGTAACAATGAACTCCACAGAAACGACTGAGATCAATTCTGTATTCAGAAATAGAAAGACAATGGTGAGGCTGGGCGCAGTGGCTCAATGCCTGTAATCCCAGCACTTTGGGAGGCCAAGGAGAGTGGATCACAAGGTCAGGAGTTCAAGACCAGCCTGGCCAACATGGTGAAACCCCATCTCTATTAAAAATACAAAAATTAGCCGGGCGTGTTGGTGGACGCCTGTAATCCCAGCTACTGGGGAGGCTGAGACAGGAGAATTGCTTGAAACCGGAAGGCAGAGGTTGCAGTGAGCCGAGATCACCCACTGCACTCCAGCCTGGGCGAAAGAGCAAAACTCCGTCTCAAAAAAAAAAAAAAAGAGAGAGAAAGACAATGGTGAGCAAGATGGACATGGTCTTGAACCTCACAGATAAATATTCAACAAGTACGTACTTGTGGATTCCAATGGATGTGACAGTCTAGTAAGAGTTTTGGCAAACTTTTTCTGTAAAGGAACAGAAAATAAATATTTGAGACTTTGTGAGTCGTATGGTCTCTGCTGAACTCGGCCATGGTGGTGTGAAAGCAGTCACAGACAATGCATAAACAAACAGGCAATGCTGTGTTCCCATTAAGCTTTATTTAAGGATACTGCAATTTGAATTTCATACAATTTTCACATGTCAGAGACTATTATTCTCTTTTTTAGCTACTTAAAAATGCAAAAATTATTCTTAGTTCTCAGGTCATACAAAAACAGGTGGCAGGATGGATGTGGACCATGGGGTGTGGTTTGGCTACTCCTGGTTGAAGGTTAGGCCTAAGACATACATAATAATAATTAATTAAAAATAAGCCGGGCGCAGTGATTCACACCTGTAATCCTAGCACTTTATGAGGCTGAGGTGGGTGGATCACCTAAGGTCAGGAGTTCGAGACCAGCCTGGCCAACATGGCGAAACCCCGTCTCTACTAAAAATACAAAAATTAGCTGGGCGTGGTGACGGGTGCCTGTAATCCCAGCTACTTGGGAGGCTGAGGCAGAGAATCACTTGAACCAGGGAGGCAGAGATTGCAGTGAGCCGAGATCACACCACTGCACTCCAGCCTGGGCAACAGAGCAAGACTCTATCTCAAAAATAATAATAATAATAATAACAATAAATAAAAATAGCTTATGGTCTTGAGCACAGGTCTAAGTGCCAGGTGCTATGCCAAGTATGCTTTGCTATAATGATATTACACTTATAATTTGGAATTTTTTTTAGAGCTCTGTCACTCAGGCTGGAGTGCAATGGCACAATTAGAGCTCATTATAACCCTGAACTCCTGGGCTCAAGCGATCCTCCCACCTCAGCCTCCTAAGTAGCTGGGGCTACTGGCAGATGCCACCATACCCAGCTGATTTCTTTAAATTTTTTGTAGAGATGAGGTCTGACTATGTTGCCCAGGCTGGTCTTGAACTCCTGGCCTCGAGCAATCCTCCCACCTCAGCCTTCCAAAGCACTGAGATTACAAGCATGAGCCACTGCACCCAGCCTATAAATTGGCTTTCTTCTCAACTTTCTTGAGTGAGAAAGAAGAGAGGGGTATTGCACTAATTTTCCAAGAATTTAGCATAACTGGGTGGTGTCATCCTGTCTCTTCAAAGAAAATGTCAAAATGACTGCCCTGGGCACCTCCTCTCAAGCTCTCCAAATGCCAAGCAAGAAAGGATCATTGGGTCCAATCTTGCCACTCTCTCTATATATATTTTAAAAACTATTTAGTGGCTGGGCACGGTGGCTCACACCTGTAACCCCAGCACTTTGGGAGGCTGAGGCAGGCAGATCACCTGAGGTCCAGAGTTGGAGACCAGCCTGGCCAACATGGTGAAACCCAGTCTCTACTAAAAATACAAAAATTAGGCCGGGCGCGGTGGCTCACACCTGTAATCCCAGCACTTTGGGAGGCCGAGGCGGGTGGATCACGAGGTCAGGAGATCGAGACCATCCTGGCTAACACGGTGAAACCCCGTCTCTACTAAAAAATACAAAAAATTAGCCGGGCGTGGTGGTGGGCGCCTGTAGTCCCAGCTACTTGGGAGGCTGAGGCAGGAGAATGGCGTGAACCCGGGAGGCGGAGCTTGCAGTGAGCCAAGATTGTGCCACTGCACTCAAGCTTGGGCGACAGAGCGAGACTCTGTCTCCAAAAAAAAAAAAATTAGCCAGGCGTGGTGGTGCGTACCTGTAATCCCAGCTACTCAGGAGGCTGAGGTAGGAGAATAGCTTGAACCCAGAAGGTGGAGGTTCCAGTGAGCTGAGATTGCACCACTGCCCTCCAGCCTTGGAGACAGAGTGAGACTCTGTCTCAAAAAAATAAAAATAAATAAATACATATATGTTTTTAAAAACCTATTTAGACAGAATTAACGGAAAATGCACCCAAACATAGCAACCATCCTGCCACCTCTGGTGACTCCATTTACCACCAGTTCCCCTTGCCCCAGTGACCATCTAACTTCTGGTCACAAATTGGCAAAAGGGATCACAGAAAACCAAGTGGCCTTGGGTCACCAGACCATCCTGCCCAACAAGGCAACCTTTGCTAAGAGTGACTCACTGTGGCAGAGAGGCAAGTTTAACAGGCATCTGGGCAGGAAGCACTGCCCTGTTTATTGATGGCAAACTGTTTGCCAGAGTAAGAGCTCTTTGGGGACTTCTGAAGGTGTTTGGCAAGCCCCAGTCCCGAAGGCTACTGTGCGCTAAGAAAGGACCTGTGGGCCTCTGAAAACTCAGCAGCTAAAAGGTCACCGCCCCAGAAGCCTATTAAGGAAACAGCATGAAAAGTTCTCCATCCCAGGAGGATGCATGGGAGCGAGCTACCATGTCTTTTTTTTTTTTTTTTTTTTGAGACCGAGTTTCGCTCTTATTGCCCAGGCTGGAGTGCAGTGTCACGATCTCAGCTCACTGCAACCTCCGCCTCCCAGGTTCAGGCGATTCTCCTGCCTCAACCTTCCTGAGTAGCTGGGATTATAGGCACGCACCACCATGCATGGCTGATTTTGTATTTTTAGTAGAGATGGCGTTTCTCCATGTTGGCCACGCTGGTCTCGAACTCCCAGCCTCAGATGATCCACCCGCCTCAGCCTCCCAAAGTGCTGAGATTACAGGCATGAGCAACCAAGCCCAGCCTACCACGTATCTCTTTAAGAGATGCCCCTCCTCTAGGAGTAAGTCACGCCCTCGACCCCATTCCCTGTAACTTCTCCCTTGGAGAAGTTCTCCCTTAGAGCAATTTGCAAAACTGTAATTCGGTATGTGTGTATATTTTATACCCACACGGCTTCAAGTTCTGTAAGTGTGTTTGCTGTGCTGTAATCCACTTAGCACAGTGCCAGACGCATGATAAAAACCTGTTGACCACATGAGATATCACCTCACACCCATGAGGATGGCTATAGTCAAAAGAAATTGAAAATAACAAATATTAGTGATGATAGGGAGAAACTGGAACCCTTGTGTACCATTGGTGAGAATGTAAAATAGTGTAGCTGTTACAGAAAACAGTATGGCAGTTCTTCAAAACATTAAAAAGAGAGTTGAAAGCACGGCCTCAAAAAGAGACTTGTATACCTATTTTCATAGCATTATTCACAACAGCCAAAAGGTGGAAGCAACCGAACTGTCCACCGACAGCTATTTAGGTTTGTGAAACAAAACCCAATCCAAGCCCACTCAAGCAAAAAAACAAAAATTCATTGGCTCAAATGAAAAAAAAGAAATCCAAAGATAGATGTTTCAGCCATAGCAGGATCCAGGTGTTCAAAATGGAAGATTTCAACACATATCTTGCAGTAACTGAGTCTTTGAACAACACAATTTAAAAATCTGATTTAATAGATATATACAGAACCCAGTACCCAACAATTAGAGAACACACATTCTTCTCAATTACATATGAAACAGTTACAAAAAGTGACCACATTTCAGGCAGTAAAGTGTTTCAACAACTTTCAAAGAATCAATGTCATATAGATTATGATCTCTGATCAGAATGTAATGGAGTCGATAACAAAAAGAAAACAAAAAATGTTGACCTTAGAGAATGTGCTTCTCAATTTTAAAAAGAAGAACATGCTTCTATATAACATGAATCCAAGAAAAATCATAATGAAAATGTACAAATACTTACAATTGAAAATAATGAAAATGCTATAAATTAAAGTTTATGGGATGCATCTAGTGAAGTACTTCAAAAAATGTATATTCTTAAATTTTTATATTAAAAATAAAGGCTAAAAATTAGTGAACTAAGTATCCAGGTTAGGAAGTTATAAATATAACAAAGTAAGCTCAAAGAAAGAAGGAAGGCAATAGTAATAGTAAAAAGAATATAAATTAATAGGCCGGTTGCAGCAGCTCATGCCTGTAATCCCAGCACTTTGGGAGGCCAAGGCAGGTGGATCACCTGAGATCAGGAGTTCAAGACCAACCTGGCCCACCTGGTAAAACCCCATCTCTACTAAAAATACAAAACATTGGCCGGGCATGGTGGCACACACCTGTAATCCTAGCTACTCGGGAGCCTGAGTCAGGAGAATCGCTTGAACCCTTGGAGGTGGAGGTTGCGGTGAGCCAAGATCATGCCATTGTACTCCAGCCTGGGCGACAAGAGCAAAAACTCCATCTCAAAAATATATATATTATATATATATATAAAATATATAATATATATTATAATATATGTATTATATATAATATATATAAATTATATATAATATATAATATATATAAATTATAATATATAATATATATAATATAATATATATTATATATAAATAAATAAATGATTTTTTAAAAAATGAAATGTTGGTTCTTCAAGAAAAAATAATAACAGATGCAGGTCTCTGGTGAGATTGATCTAGTAAAGAGAGAGAAAAAGCACAAATGGAGAATATGTCTAAAAATACGTAAAAGAGAGATTTTAAAAGATAATGAAATACTATGAAAAACTTCATGACAATAAATTTGACAGTTTAGACTACATGGAAAATTATATATGGAAAATTATATATTTTACAAAACTGGCTCAGAAAGAAACAGAAAACAAGAATAGTTCTAAAACGAAGAAAATTTGTCAGTAATTTAAAATATTTCCTCAAAGGAAAGAAAAAGATCTAGATAGAATTGTAAAAACTTACAGCAAATTTTCAAGAAACAGATAATTCCAATTTTATACAAGTGCTTCCGAAGAATTCCTGAGAGGAAATGTACCCGTTAATCTAATATAATTCCGATACCAAAACCAGACAGAAAATGAAAAAGGAAAGTTACAGGATAATCTTGCAAATAAATATATGTGCAAAAATCCTAAATATCGGAAAGCAAAACCTAGCTATATGTTCATGAAATATATCATTCATATATCGTATCGTAAACTATATCATATAATAAAATCCTTCATGGCCAATTTGGCTTATACCATGAACGTAAGATTAGCTTAACCTTTAAAAATCCTTTAATGTAAATTGTCACATTTTCAGATCAAAGGAAAAAAACTATATGATCTTGTCAATGGATGAAGAAAAGGCATTGGATAGAATTCAACATTCATTTGTAATTTGTTTTAAAAAACAGAGCACACTTAGCAAACTAGGAATAGGAGAAAAAAAATAGTTAACTTGATAAACGTGTCTACCTAAAACCTGTAACAGAAATCATAATTGCAGGTAAAATTTAGAAGTATTCCCTTTAGAGGAGGGAACAAAAGAAGGGTGCTCATTCTCACTTCTTCCATTCAAAATTGTACTGGATACCCCAGCCAATGCAATAATACGAGATGAATTAAACCAAGGTAGAATGATTAAAATATGGCAACAAAATGAATTATTTGCAATGAATGTGATTATTCACATAGAAACTGCAAAGACTCTATAAATTATTAGAATAAATTAGGCAATTTAGCAAGGTAATTGAATATAATAGTGATATAAAATTTAACTGTATTTATCTGCATCAACAACAAACAGAAATATAACATTTAAAATACTCAACAGGCCAGGCACAGTGTCTCACGCCTGTAATCCCAGTACTTTGGGAGGCCAAGACGGGCGGATCACTTGAGGTCAGGAGTTCGAGACCAGCCTGGCCAACACGGTGAAACTGCATCTCTACTAAAAATACAAAAATTAGCTGGGCTTGAACCCAGGAGGCAGAGGTTGCAGTGAGCCGAGATCATGCCACTGCACTCCAGCCTGGGTGACAGAGCGAGACTCCTTCTTAAAAAATAATAAATAATAAAATAAAATACTCAATGATGATGGCAAAATAAACTGGTAGCCAGAAATACAGATATTTTAAAAATAAGCAGAGCCTCAAGTGGAAAATTATACAACTATACAACTCCCTTGAAAGACATTAAAGACATATTTATATCAAGAAAGACATTTCTCCCCAAATTGATTATATAAATATTCAGGCAATTTCAAATGAAATTCTAATAAAGTTTTTTGTGAAACTTGAAAAGCTAATTCCAAAAGAGAAAAAAGCCAAAGACAGCCACGACATTTTTTGGAAAAGAAAAAGAAATCAAGACTTACCTTAGAAAACTATAGCAATTAAGATAGTACTTTATTGGTGCAAAAATATTAAAAATAGTTTAATTAAACAGAGTAGAGAGTGCAGACACAGTACTAGACATACGACAAAAGAAATATCACAGGTCACTAGGAAAAGTATACCCCTACTCTATAAACACCACTAGGACAATAAGCTATCTGTAAAAAAATTTTTTTTAATTTGATTTCTACTTCACACTATTAAAAAATACAGCTCCAAATGGATTAAAGACTTAAATGTGAGACCGGGCATGGTGGCTCACACCTGTAATCCCAGCATTTTGAGAGACCGAGGCAGGTGGATCACTTGAGGTCAGGAGTTCAAGACCAGCCTGGCCAACATGGCCAAACCCCATCTCTACTAAAAATACAACAATTAGCTGGGCTTGGTGGTGTGCACCTGTAATCCCAGCTACTCAGGAGACTGAGGCAGGAGAATCACTTGAACTCATGAGGCGGAGGATGTAGTGAGCTGAGATCACACTACTGCACTCCAGCCTGGATGATGAGACTCCGTCTCAAAAAAAAAAAAAAAAAAAAAGACTTAAATGTGAAAATAAAAGTCTAAATTTTTGAAGAAAATATGAATGACCTTGAGTTTAATAAAGGATTTCTAAACGAGTTATCATAAAGGAAAACTGAGTTCTATGCTCAGATATATTTGGCAATATAAAAACTTCTACTTACAACGTCATAAACAGGGGACTTCACTTCTGGTTCTGATGAACTAGCCTGTATCAGAATGTTCCTGGCAAAAGCAATTTGAAAAGATTAATAAATGCCCAAAAAATCTATCTGAAGGCATTGCAAAGATATCAAAGCAGCCAGGGCTTAAGAGGTTAAAGTTCTCTGAGCCCGCCGAGGTTAGTCTGACATTCTATGCCATCTTCTGCCAATTTGTCAATAGCACCAAGCTAAGAAACTGAGAAGAAAGTGGATATAAGAGGTTGAGCTGTTTAGCAAAGCTTTCCACCATCACAACAGTACTGGAGAAGCAAAATAAGAGCTCAGGATCTAACAAGGAGAAAGGTCACAGGTTGCATTAGTCTGTTTTCACACTGCTATAAAGAACTACCCGAGACCGGGTAATTTATAAAGGAAAGAGATTTAATTGATTCACAGTTCCGAGTGGCTGGGGAGGCCTCAGGAAACTTACAATCACGGTAGAAGGTAAAGGAGAAGCAAAGGCACATCTTACGTGGCAGCAGGAGAGAGAAGTGAGAGCACAGGAAAAACTGCTGCTTTTAAAACCATCAGATCTTGTGAGAATTTCCTCACTATCACAAGAACAGTATGGGGGAAACTGCCCCGTGATCCAATCACTTCCCCTCCTCCACACGTGAGGATTACAGTTCGAGATGGGATTTGGGTGGGGACACAGAGCCAAACCATATAACAGGAAAGCACACCCAGGCTTTCACTTGAATTTCAATGAAAGGGCTGTCCCTTTCACTGAAAAGGGCTATACGCCAAAAGTGAGGGCAAACCAGAAATAAGACGCCAAAAGTGAGGGCAAACCAGAAATAAGACAAACCTCATGAAGACTGAACCCAGTGATGTGCCAGAGCTGGCTCATATCAACTTCTGAGGAGCCAGTTGTTAAATTTACATTAATTCTGTGAACCACCTGTTAAATGCAGCCATTATTTAAAATGATTATATGAACTTACAATTAAATAAATTATATTTAAAACAAAGATGATGACCAGGCACTATGGCTCCTGCCTGTAATCCCACCACCTTGGGAGGCGAACGTGGGTGGATCGCTTGAGTTCTAGACCAGCCTGGCTGACATGGTGAAACTCTGTCTCTACTAAAAATACAAAAATTAACCAAGTGTGGTGACGCATACCTGTAATCCCAGCTACTCAGGAAGCGGAGGTGGGAGGATCACTTGAGCCTGGGAGGCAGAGTTTGCAGTGAGCTAAGATTGTGCCACTGCACTCCAGCCTGGGCAACAGAGTGAGACTCCCACTCAAAAATAAATAAATAAATAAATAAAACAAAGATAATAAAAATTCAATGTTTTCCAATTATTTTACAATATTTTATTATTATTGATGCTTCGAGGTTATTTCTTTCTATAGCATATATATGGTAGAAACACTATATAATGGTGTGCTAACTATACATCTCTTTCCAACATCACACTTAGTGACCTCAGGTTGGTGAGAATATTTACACCACAGAAATTGGTAACATTACAAATAAACCTTGATTAACTGTTTTGTTGATTGTCTAAGCCAGGGACCAGCAAATTGTTTCTGTAAAGGGCCAGACAATACATATTTGCAGTTTTTTAAGCCACATAGTCTCTGTCACAAGTATACAACTCTACCACTGCAGTACAAAAGCAGCCAAAAACAATATGTAAACAAATGGGTGCAGGCATATGGCAGGCAGATTTGACCCACAGCTGTAATTTGCCAACCCAGATCTAGACTTTTAAAAGTGATACATAAAATATTAACCACGTAGATTAAACTTAAAAGGAGTCATCACATTATGAATAACAAAAAAGAAGAAATACTCTTCCAGTATTGAAACTATTATCCAACTTAGCAAAAAAGTTGCTCATATCATTGACAAATAAGTGAAATTCCCATGTCTTCATTGTTTCATTTTTGCCTTTCTCATTAACCTAAACAAAAATATCAACTAACATTCATGTCAAAACTACACTCATTCATCAACGCAACCCTAGGTTGGCTAAAGATAAAAGAATTTGACAAAAATCAATAAGAATTCTGTGAGAACTGGGTATTTGAAATTTACTACTAAAATATTGTGTATTTTTAATTATTTGCAAGTTGAATGTTACATGTCCTTTATATCAGGAAATTTATAATAAATATATATGTAATTTATAATATATGCATGTATGTGTGTGCAGATATGCATATATAATAAATATTTATATATTAATAATACGTGTACATCACTACCCAGAGAAACCACTACAAAAACTATACAGAGAGATATTGAAAAATACTAGAAATAAATCAAAATGGAATCTCAAAAAGTATTCAAGTAACCTATAGGAAGGCAAGTAAAGAAAAACAGAGGAGGCTGGGCGCGATGGCTCACGCCTGTAATCCCAGCACTTTGGGAGGCTGAGGTGGGTGGATCACCTGAGGCCAGGAGTTCTAGACCAGCCTGGCCAACATGGTAAAACCCCGTCTCTACTAAAAATACAAAAATTAGCCGGGCATGGTGGCAGGCGCCTGTCCCAGCTACTCGAGAGGCTGAGGCAGGAGAATTTCTTGAACCTGGAAGGCAGAGGTTGCAGTGAGCCAAAATCGCGCCATCGCACTCCAGCCTGGGGAACAAGAGCAAGACTGGGAAGGAAAGGAAAAGGAAGGAGAGGAGAGGAGAGGAGGAAAGAAGGAAGGAAGGAAAGAAGGAAGGAAGGAAAGAAGGAAGGAAGGAAGGGAAAAGAAGAGGAAGCAAACACAACAAATAATAAAATGGCAGACTTAAGTTCTAGCATAGCAATAGATTAGGGCCCATCCCACTAACCTCATTTGAATGTAATTCCCTATTTAAGGGCCCTATCTCCAAATACAGTCACATTCTGGGATACAGAGACTAGGACTCCTACATATAAATTCTGGGGAGACACAGTTCAGCCCATAACGTAGGCATTAGATGACTATATGCTAAATAAATGAATGAATGAATGAATGAATGAATGAGTGAATGGTTGAAGCCTCCATTATAACATGTCTTTTGTGAAAGGAGATGTGAATCCCAGATGCCTGAGATGAGGATATGTGGGCTTTTTTTATTGTCCTGAACTCCTCCCATTAAACCAGTGAAGCAAAGTGTAGGGTATGGCCATTCCCAGTGGGACACCAGGGAGCCAAGCTAAGTGCCAATACAATCTACTTATTGCTAGTGCTCTGATATCTTCAATCTTCTAGCACTAAACATTGAGGTCAATTCTCCAAGTGCCAAGGAGCCTCCCCCAGTCAAATTCAGTCACCTTTTGAAACTAACCCTTACTGATCCCTAAATGTCAGAGAAGGCATTTAAGCACAGACAGCCACCACCCTAAGGAAGGCTTTCATTGTCGGGATATGTTGTAGAGAGTTTATCTAGTCCAAAACCTATGGCCATTTATTCTCAATTTTTCCATGTCAATACAACCACTGTGGCCAGAGTCCTAATTTCAAATACGTAGTTCCCTTGTCTTCCTATGCATACTTGCCCAAATCTGGACACCAGAATACTAAGCCCGGCCCCAATCTCTAAAAATGCCATTACCTATAGGCCGGGCATGGTGGCTCACACCTGTAATCCCAGCACTTTGGGAGGCCGAGGCAGGTGGATCACGAGGTCAGGGGATCGAGACCATCCTGGCTAACACGGTGAAACCCCGTCTCTACTAAAAATACAAAAAATCAGCCGGGCGTGGTGGTGGGCGCCTGTAGTCCCAGCTACTCAGGAGGCTGAGGCAGGGGAATGGCATGAACCCGGGAGGCGGAACTTGCAGTGAGCCGAGATTGCACCACTGCACTCCAGCCTGGGAGACAGAGCAAGACTCCACCTCAAAAAAAAAAAATGCCATTACCTATAAAAAAGAATGCTTTGAGGTTAATCATCTGAATGGTTCCTTCAAGTCCTAAGACTGCTTGTCTTTAGACACCCTGATTTCTTAATAAACAATGATGTCTTTGACATTTATATGTCACTTTATTCATTCTCTCATTCATTTGCTTGATATTAAGTGGGTGTTTACTACATGCCAGGCACTGTTCTAATTCCTGGGATACAATAGTAAAGGAAGGTTTCTGCTTTGTGAGGCTTACATATTAGTGAGGAAGACGGATGCTGGGTAAATAATAGCAGTGATGATGATGATGATGATGATGGTGATGATGATGATGATGATGATTGTTGATGATGAGGAGGATAATAGTTGGAAAAGATTATTTCAAACAATATTAAGTGCCTGGGAGGGAGATGATGTGATAGTGACTTAGTGGCCACATTAGCTCATGTGCTAACAGGAGGCTTAGCTGAGCAGGCAACATGGGAGCTGAGGCCTGAATATCAAAAAGGAGCCAACCACATAAAGATCAGAAGGATGGTATTCCAGATGGCGGAAAGAGCATATGCAAAGGCCCTGTGGTGGCAACAAGGGTATTTAGAGGAACAGAAGGAAAAAAAAAAAAAAAAAGACCAGTATGTCTCCCAATATCGAAAGTTCACTAAGTGTCCAGAATAATATTTTCTGTCTCATGGTTTAAGCTGAATTCTCCCAAATGTTTGGGAATTAGGAAAGGGCGTTCATTCTTGTAAACACATAACACCTTCTCCATTATTCTTTTCATGAGTTCAGGTTTTGATAGCAACTATTCTCAAGTTTCCACCCTCTAATTTGAAGCATCCCGATGGCTCTGGCTTACCTCATGCCACCTCAAATCCTCTTGATAAAAGTCACTTTGTCCTTTTAAAGCCTCCAACAACTAAGACTTACTGAGTGCTTATCACGTGCCAGGCACTGTGATAAGCAATTTACATGCACTGTCTCCTTTAATCATCACAACAACTGCATTAGAGTTGGCATTATTGTCCCCATTTTATAGGCAAGAAAACTGAGGCTCTCACAGACTGACTTGTCCGAGGTCACCCAAATGAGAAGCCAGGGGACGGGGATTTGACTTATCCAGGCATGTGCCCTGCCATTTTTGGCTACCATTATCCCAGACATGAGTAGGTGACCTTTGGCCTAAGTTAGTTTCTAAAATCATGG
The DNA here is from genome assembly GCF_000001405.40 of Homo sapiens. Lineage (NCBI taxonomy): Eukaryota > Metazoa > Chordata > Mammalia > Primates > Hominidae > Homo > Homo sapiens. The sequence goes on from NC_000012.12 coordinate 119,575,338, forward strand.
AGGATCCCAGAGAGTCCTCAGGCCTTTCTAAGGTAACTTACAATTCTGCTGATACTGTTCCTAAAAGCCATTTGGGACCAGACCCAGGTTGGCTCCATCTGAATCTCAAGGGAGGATTTTAATAAACAAAGATCCTAGGATTAGAACCCAGGCTAAAAATACATCTTCCCCTTTTGAAAAGCTCCCCCTGGTGACTTTGGTGAGCAGCCAGGAAGAGCACTGGCCCATCTAACCCGACCTCCCTAGCCTACACAACATCTTCAGAAAAACTTTCAGAGACCGGAATTCATCACATCCCAATTTTAGCCTTAATATTGGAAACTTCTTTCTTTGTTGCCTGAACTCTGCTGTTCTCAAACTTGGGCTGCCTAAAAAGAAACGGAAGTCATCCAAGGCCATAAGATTGAAAATTCTTATAAACAATTTCACATCCTATTTCCTGAAACTGATGTTTTGTTTTGGTTTTTGTAAGGAACACAAACCAACCAACCCAGCACCTCAGAGTGCGAGTCATAAAGAAACATACTTGTTGTCCCTCATCAGATTCACTGTGCAAAAAGATCAAAGAGACAGAAAGAACAGAGATGTGAAAAGGGAGGCTGGAGAAGGAGGTAGTTGACTATGATAGAAAGAAATGAGAGGGAGAATGGGTTAAATATTGGGATCTGTGGCTCTTTTAAAAACCCACTTTCAATCTTTCACAAAAGAACAAGAGAAAGAATCATCCCTTAGCAAAATCATGTCGAACCTTCCTTGGCCAAAAAGATGCAGGAAAGTTTTAATTCTTAATGCACAAAAATTCCCTAGGAGCCCAAGAAGAGCTTTCTTGCTGGATTGTGATAGAAAGCCCACTCCTTCATGTATAATTGAAGACATTTAGGATGACATTACAACCCCTCCTGCTTATACACGGATCTGCCTCCCATCCCTGGCTAATGTGCAGCGCTCCCAGGAAGCTCTCTTAAGCAATTAAAAATGGTCCATTCTGCTGCCGAGCAAGAGTCTGAGCTCATCCCAGCCTCTGCGTGATCGGCACAACACATTCAGGAATCATTCACTTCAAGCATGCTCATTCTTCAAACTGTTCCCAAACCACACTTGCTAAATATGTAGGTTAGGGTCATCTTTTTTCCCAAATAACACAAATAACAAAATGATTGTTTTTGATAAGCATTTCCTCTTAATTTGTCCAGTTGGTTTCTAATTTACCAAGTATAGGAAATAAAACTAGATTATGTGTGTTCCCTACCCTTCGGGAACAATTTGCTTCTGAAAGTTTAATGCTAGAATCCCCATCTTCCACGTAGGAAACCTAATTTAATTCATAGCAAATATTGCACCAGAGTGTTATTTTGCATTACAACTGTGATATACACCGTCTCCAAACAATGGGGGAGTGGGGAGGGAAGGCAGGAACAGTTACCTTTTTAGGTTGTATAGTTTAAAGTAGTTATTAAAAGTGTGGTCCACAGACCAGTGGCACCTGAGAGCTTGCAGAAATACAAAATGCTGCTTTAGAGCAGTGATGCCCAACAAGGGTGATTTTGCCCCTTAGGGGACATTGGGCAATGTCTGGAGACATATTTGGTTGTCTCAACTGAGGATGGGGGTGCTACTGACATGAAGTGGGTAGAGGCCAGGAATGCCACTCAGCCTCCTACAAGGCACAAGACAGGCCCCCACAATAAATAATTCTCCTGCCCCCAAATGTCAACAGTCTTGAGGTGGAGAAACCCTGATTTAGAGGAAAGTGAATGGGAAATCGTGGGGTGTGAGGGAAAGTGAATGGGAAATAGTGGGTTGGGAGTAGGGAGAGTAAAAAGAAATTGCTTCAACCTGCTAAATAATAGAAGTAATAGTGAGTCATGGAATTGGGCTGTGATCATGGAAGTTGTGTACCCATAAGGAAGTCACTTACCCTTTCTTGATTTCATTTTACACATTTATAAAATGAAGGGGAAAAATAAAATTGAGCCAAAAAGAATTACTATCTACAAGGTTCTTTTCGGGATAGACGCATTATAATTTAGGTAGTCTTTTGCAAACTTGAGTAATCTATAGATCACCTTCACTATGTTTTCCATATCTGAGTGCCATCTCTGTTAGTTAAGGTTTTACTTTAACTATTTTGTGTTTTTAAACTGTATTTTAAGAGAAAATTTTATGTCACTGCCATTAGTTTAAAGCCACTTCTACTTCACAAAACTGGAAGTAAACACAATTAATAGACATCCATGTTATTAAATTCTAGCTAGGTAACATTGTCCCCCAAGACTTTGAGACTCAGGCCAGCCCCCTCTTGATCAAAAGGAGATGAATGAAGGTTAGAAGGCTAAGGGTATATTTGCACCAACTTGAGACTTTCTGTACCACCTTAAATGGTCTTACATTCCATCAGTGGGATGCATCTACCCTTTGGAAAATCACGGTATGGAGATTGAGTGGGCAAACTTTGGAACAGATCCATTTGGGTCCAAGACTCAGCTCCACCATTCATTGGCTGTTGGATATTAGGCAAGTGATTTAACCTTGGTAAGCCCCAGTTTCTCATTGGGAGTTAGTAATAGAACAGCCACTGAGATGGCCCCAGTGATCCCCACCTTCAGACATTCATGCCCTTGCATAATCCCCTTCCCTTGAGTCCCCTTGAGGGTGTGCTGGACTTAGCACTTACTGATTTGCTTGTAACCAATAGAATACAGCAATAATGATGGGATGCCACTTCTGAAATTAGGTTGCGAAAGAATCTCTCTCTCTCTCTCTTTCACTCCTCTCTCTCTGTCTGCTCTGGTTCTCCAAAAACAAGCTGCCATGCTGTGAGTACCCTTATAGAGGCCCACATAGCAAGGAATTAAAGTCTCCAGCCAAAAGTCACCAAGAACATGAGGCCAACCACAGCTATGTGAGTAAGCTTGGATGTGGATCTGCCACCCACACCACCCAATCAAGCTTTGCAATGGCTGCAGCTCCAGCCTTGCGAGAGATCCTGAGTCAGAGATATCGATCTAAGCTGTGCCCAGATTTCTGACTCACAGAAACTATGAGATATTACCTACATGTGAGATGATACATATTTGTTGTTTCAAGCTGCTAAGTTTGGGGATAATTGGTTATGCAGCAATAGATAACTAATGTAGCTACTGTGAAGGTTATACAAGATAATGGCCCCCCATTCAAAGGAAAAGTCATACTGGAAACACTATTATACAATGTGGAGAAAATCCACAATAGCTGCTAGTATTAATCAATGAATTCCACTATGAATATGAATGGACAACCAAGGATCCTCAGACATTTGTGAACTAAGATGAACAAATAACACAACTGAACTTCAACCAAAAAAAGAGAAGCTATAAAAGAAAAAAAATAATGTTTTTCTTTGAGACAGGGTCTCATCTTGCTGCCCAGGATGGAGTACAGTGGCTCAATCATGGCTCATGATAGCCTCGACCTCCTGGGCTCAACTGATCCTCCCATCTCAGCCTCCCAAGTAGCTGGGACTACAGCTGCACCACCATGCCCAGCTAATTTTTAATTTTTTTGTAGAGACAGGGTCTCACTATGTTGCCCAAGCTGGTCTTAAACTCCTGGGATCAAGTGATCATCTCACCTCACCCTCCCAAAGTGCTAGGATTACAGGCATGAGCCACCACACCCAGCCAAGAAAATTTTTTTTAATTATAGTTAGTAGTGTCTTCAGAGAAAACCAAGAAGATATTCTTTTTGTTTTTGTTTTTGTTTTTGTTTTTGAGATGGAGTCTCATTCTGTCATTCTGTTGCCCAGGCTGGAGTGCAGTGGTGTGATCTCAGCTCACTGCAAGCTCCACCTCCCAGGTTCATGGCATCCTCCCGCCTCAGCCTCCCGAGTAGCTGGGACTACAGGCGCCCGCCACCATGTCTGGCTAATTTTTTATTATTTTTAGTAGAGACGGGGTTTCACCGTGTTAGCCAGAATTGTCTCGACCTCCTGACCTCGTGATCAGCCTGCCTCAGCCTCCCAAAGTGCTGGGATTATAGACGTGAGCCACTGCGCCCGGCCAAGATATTCATTTTAAAATAATAATTAGTGTTGACAATTATAAGGTCTACAGAAAAGACATTATCAGAAAATAGGAAGGCCCTCTAAAAAATTAAAAGTCATACTACCTAAATTTTTAATTTGGTGCACAGCCTGGAAAATTGTCAAGAACCTAAGGGGAAAAGACATGCAAAATATAAACACTAAGAGACACAAAAGACAATCCAGCAGATTCAAAATTTATTTAATAAGAGACCCAGAAAAAGAGGAACAGAAAATAGAAGTGATAAAAATAATTACCAAATAATAGAATAATTCTCAACTCATGCAGAAAAGATAACAAAATCCAACAGTTATAAATAATTTTTACATTAATAAGCTAATGGAAACTTTCTTAATATGATTTTTAAAAAGCCAAAACAACTACAACAACTGATTATAAGACCTCACTCTGAATCACCTAGGTTTACTTATGTCTATTCTGGCCAAATGTGAATGATATTCATGTAAAGCTATATTTTAAAATTATAACAAAACTTCAATTAAAAAGTAAATTAACATTTTCTTTAAAAATCTATCACAAATAGATTTACTGGTGAAACTTTAGAAGCATCCTCATTAAAGTCAGTAACAAGAAAATAATATTTGCTTAACATTATAAAAATTATAATTAAGAAGAATAAATGATGTTTAAGAATAGGAAAAGAAGCTTCTTCAACCAATATGATTAGCTATACAGAAAATGTAAGAGAATCTATAGACAAACTGTTAGAACCAATAAGCGTATCCAGAATATCAACATACAAATATCAGTATAATTTCTACATTCTAAGAACTACCAGTTAGAAAATGTAATAGAAAAAAAAAATCCCACTTAAACAGCAAGAAAAACTATAATGACTATAATTATGAAGAAAATTATGAAACATTATTGAAATACATAGATGAAGCCTTGAATACATACAGACAAATTTGGGAAGACTTAATAACTTTTCCATTTTTTTTCCATCCATGGAATACACGTTTGTGCTTCACGAAACTTATTTAAAGACAATATGAATTGTCTATGCTAGTTTTTTAAATAAAAGCAATGGGGAACAACACACACTGGGGCCTAGAGGTGGGGGTGGGAGGGTGGGGGTTTTGGGGTGGGGGGAGGGAGAGCATCAGGAAGAACAGCTAATATACACTGGGCTTAATACCTGGGTCATGGGTTGATCTGTGCAGCAAACCACTGTGACAGATGTTTACCTATGTAACAAACCTGCACATCCTGCACATGTACCCCTAAACTTAAAAGTTGAAGAAGAAAAGTAGGGTTCACCCTATCAGATATTAATACATCATACAAATGCATAGCAATAAAAAAAACATGCAGTAGTGGTGTGGGAAGTGGCTACTAGAGCCATGTATAATCATGGATGGTTTGGAGGAAACTATTAGGTTGGTTCAAAAGTAATTGTGGTTTTTGCCATTGAAAGTAATGCGAAACTGCAATTACTTTTGTTCCAACCTAATAACTCATTGTTTGAACAAAACTGAAAGTGGATCCCTGACTCACACCTTTACAAAGATGAGCTCCAAATTCCTTGAGGATGTAAATGTAAAATGTGAAACCAGAAATCTAATAGAAGCAATTGTCAGAGAATATTTTTGTGACTTCTAAATGAAGAATGACTTATTAAATAAAATTTAAAACCTATACCATAGGTGGAAAACTGGTGGTACATCAAAATTAAGGTTCCCTGTTTAAAGAAATATCACATAGTTAACAGATAAATGATAGCCTGAAAGAAGGTATTTGCAACATATAAAAAACTGCACATTCTGCACATGTAACCCAGAACTTAAAGTATAACAAAAAAAATTAAAAAAAACAAGAAATTAACATCTAGAAAATAAAAGAAACAAAATCAACAAGAAAAGAAGAAAGCCCCAATAGAAATAGAAAAATTCAGAAGAATATATTGACAGAGAATTTACATATAGGGAAATCTGAATGGCTGAAAAGTAAATGAATAAATGTTCAATCTCACTAGTAATCAAAGAAATGCAAATTAAAACAATTAGATACTGATTTACTCCCATAAGACTGGCAAAAGCTGGAAAGCAAGCTAATAACAGGAATCTCCATGCATTCTGATGGGCATGTAAACAAGTACAGTCATTCTAGAAAACAATCCATCAATAGTTAGTGAAAGAAAATCTGTGTATACCCTAGGACTTAGCAACCCTGCCCCTGAACATATGTACTCTATAGAAACTCTCACACAGAACTCTAACGTGGCATTTATAAGAATGTGAATTGCAACAGTGTTTGTGCTATAGGGAGCTAAAGACCACTAGATGTCCATTACTGAAGAAATGTAACAGCAAGTTGTAATAGATGCGTGCTTTGAAATACTATGCAACTGTTAAAAGGAATTAACTAGATGTACATATAGCAGCAAAAATACATCTGAAAATCATATTGCTTTTAAAAGGTAAGAAACAATGGTCTCTGTTACAAAACATTTTTTGTATCATTTAAGCACATATACACATAAAATAATGTATTGTGATACACATGTAACCAGATACATACACCAAAGACATTTAAGTGGGTGCCTGAGATTGGGGTATGGAGGGGATAAAAAGAATCAAGCAAAAAACAAGGCCAGAGCCTTGAATGGACCAATGACAGTATGTAAAATGAAGTGAGGAATACCATTAACTAGCCCTTTGCACCTGAGATTAAAAAAAAATGCATGTCACAAAGAAGAACAAAGGGCCAAGAATAGCGAAAAGGATACGAAGAAAGCAAGCATGAGGTTGGATTTGTCCTAGCAAATATCAAGGCTTTTAGTAAAGCTATAGAAATTAAGACAGGAGTGCAATAAAATCAAGTCTCAGGATGACACGTATGCAGTGGGCATGAAAAAAATGGTCTAAATTAGATCACAATGTTAGAGAACTCTAAAAACAAAATAGATAAATTATATATTTACAAATAATCTAGATTAACTTGATGAAATTGAATGGCATATAATAGAAATAACAATAGCTATATGGTTACAATATGCTGTATCCTCTTGATATGGTTTGGCTGTGTCCCCACCCAAATCTCATCTTGAATTGTAGCTCCCATAATTCCCATCTGTATGGGAGGGACCTGGTGGGAGTTAACTGAATCATGGGGGCAGTTTCCCCCATAATGTTCTTGTGGTAGTGAATAAGTCTCACGAGATCTGATGGCTTTATAAGGGGTTTCCCCTCTTACTTGGCTCTCATTCTGTCTTGCATGTCACCATGTAAGATGTGGCTTTCGCCTTCCACCATGATTGTGAGGCCTCTCCAGCCACATGGAACTGTGAGTCCATTAAACCTGTTTTTCTTTATAAATCAGCCAGTCTCAGGTATGTCTTTATCAGCAGCATGAAAATGAACTAATACACTTCTGCCCTCCCAATGATCCTTCCTCCCAATTTTTATTAATTATATTCTCCTCTAAAAGACTCAACTGTAATGAAATAGGATTAGGTCCTTCTCTATAAATTTAATCATGCTACTTGATTCTGCAGTAAATCATACTTAGGTAACACTATTGAAACTATCCATTGGTGATACCACCTTTGGACAAAGCCCAAAAGAATTACATTCTCTATATCATAGAAAACAAAATTTACATGTTGTAAACCTTGACAATGCACAAATAATGTCAGAGAACAATTAGGGGGTAAAGAGATTTGTGTGTCATATTTAGAGAAGCAGTTGACAGGTGTATAAGGCACAAGCTCTGAGAGGAAAGTTGATGCTTTATGGAAAGTGCCCATCATCATTTTGACCAGTGGAAGATGGTGTAAGAAATTAGAGGCAAAGAGAGAGGGCAGAAAGGTGAGGCTTCAGGGAACCAAAGAGCAAAGCCAGCCAGAAAGGATGAAAGACTACGCTCTTCCCTGTGGTTACAGGATAGCAGAGATCCAGCCCAAAAGGGCTCCTCGACTTCATATGACTCCAAGATTAGGTGCTTTTGCTCTGAAATATTTCAGAAACCGTAAGAGTGAGTGTGGGAAGAAAAAACGTTCCACCTTCTTCAACTCTGAAGCACTAAAATCCATTGTGAAAGCCCCATTTTTAGGGCAACTGCAATTTAGTCATTCACAAGGCAACTCACTTTACAGTTAGTCCACTTGAGGTTCTGAATTAAAGGATGCCACAGCCACTTCCAGAAATGCCTGTGGAATTACACCTTATTGGAGGGGATATGTCTAGTTGACATCAATTCCGCTTTCCCTAAGATATATGTGCATGTCTTATGCATCGTTAAGCACGTTCTCACTTCAAAACCTCTGGTCATTCTATTCCTCCTAACAGGCTTAAAACCCTACTTTTCACATGCCTTCTTCTTTTCATGCCACAGATCTCTGGTTAAATGTTAACATCTTAGTGAGGTCTTCCCTTACCATTCTATCTAAGTACCTTGCTACTGTCATCTGTCTCAGGCTGTCAGTCCACTAATCTTAGTTGAACACCTACTATGTGCCAGGCACTGTTCAGTCTTAGGACATACAACTGTGACCAGATAAAAACCCCATCCTTGAGGAGCATTTTGAAATTACTTGTTTGTACATCTTGAAATAACTTAATTTTTGTTTGCTTTTTTTTTTTTGAGGGAGGGACTCACTTACCCCTAGAATATAAGCTCCACAAAGAGCATGAGCAAGGTTTGTTTAGTTCATCATCATATGCATCCCCAGCACCTAGTACAAGGCATGCATTCACACAGCATTTGTGAACAAATCAAGGAATAGATGATCCCTTCACTTCACATGCTGACTACCAATTGATTGGAATCCAAGGGACACTAGACTTGAGTTTGGAGTTTGATCCATAGATACAGATTAGTGATTGGGAGCCAGATGAGAAGAGACGAACTTTTATGGTGAGGTCCCCACATCTGCCCTGTCTCATTCCTGCCTGTCCCAGTGCCTAGTAGTCTAACTCTTCTAGGAGCTGATGAAATAAAGCTTCCTTCCCATAAATTTCCTGAGGTCGGTTTTAATTACTCTATATCTGGCAATTGATTAATGCAACTGATTAGCAAAAAAGAACATTAATCGGCTCACATCCAAATCTGGTTTAAAATGCTTCAAGGGCAGGTGCAATGGCACATGCCTGTAATCGCAGCTACTTGGGAGGCTAATTTGGGAGGATTGCTTGAAGCCAAGAGCTCAAGACCAGCCTGAGCAACATAGTGAGACTCTAAAAAAAGTTTTTTAATAAACAAATTAAAATAAAATGTTTCCATGTTTCCTGTTCTTAGAATAAAATCCAGGCTCTTTACTGGTGCTGGAAAGGCCCTACATGGCCTGGTTGTACTTACCTCTTCTATCTTATCTCCTACCCTCGATGGCTTTCTTTCTGTTTCTTAAGTACTCTGAGTTCTTTTCCACCCCAGAACCTTTGCACATCCCATTCCCATTGCCTGGAATGCTATTTCCTCAGCTCTTCAAATGTCTGGCTTCTCCTTAGTCACCAGATCTCTGCTCAAACATTACCTCCCCAAGGAGGCATTCTCAAGCAGTCCTGCACCCAGCAGGATTCAGTCGGCACATTCACAATACGAACGTTAGAGGAAGGACTATTTACAAAAGCATGGGGAACCATAAGGAATAGTGAAGCACCCCAGGAGCAAGAGAGGGGCTGTTACCCCTGTTAGGCCTGAAGCGAAGAGGGCAGGAGCATTCCGGAATACGAAAGGAGAGCTCTATGAAGACAGCTGCCCTTAGAGGACGTGTGGCCGTCAACCCAGTGATTCACCCAGCTCAAGGCAACTCAGAAAGGAGGGGGCCAAGGAGGAAAGCACCCTGACATCACTCTCCACCCTCCCTCCATTCTTCTCCATTCTCGAGGACTCTGTGTTGGCCAAACCCATCCAACACTAGAAGGCAAGAAAGCTTGTTGATGTAGAATTGGGGTTGACAAATGTTTTCTAGTAAGTATTTTCAGCTTTTCAAGTCATGCAGTCTCTGTCATAACTACTCAATTCTGCCATCGTAGCGTAGACCATACATAAATAAATGAGTGTGGCTGTGTTCCAATAAAACTTTATTTACAAAAACAGGCAGCAGGCCATCATTTACTGGTCCTTGATGTAGAATATTCATGATGGTCTTCTGGGGCAGAGGACAAGGTAGAGAAAGGTGGAGCATAGCCCTCAGGTTAAACAGAATTTGCCTAGCATCCCTTGCCTGGGCATCCCAAGTCACTATCACATTATCCCTTTTTTTTTTTTTTTGAGATGGAGTTTTGCTCTGTCACCCAGGCTGGAGTGCAATGGCACTCCAGTGATCTTGGCTCACTGCAACCTCTGCCTCCCGGGTTCCAGCAATTCTTCTGCCTCAGCCTCCCGAGTAGCTGGGACTACAGGCACACGCCACCATGCCTGGCTAATTTTTGTATTTTTAGTAAAGACAGAGTTTCACCATGTTGGTCAGGCTGGTCTCGAACTCCTGACCTCGTGATCTGCCTGCCTCGGCCTCCCAAAGTGCTGGGATTACAGGCATGAACCACCACGCCTGGCCATTATCCTATTTTATTTCCTTCATCACAAATTATCTTATTTGTCCATAAGGGTAGGAATCATGGCTTTCTTGCTTATCACGCTATCTCTGGCACCCAACCCAAATACTGCCTGACACAGGGTAGCCAAATACATTTTTTTTTTTTTTTGAGATGGAGTCTTGCTCTGTCACCCAGGCTGGAGTGCAGTGGCACGATCTTGGCTTACTGCAACGTCTTCCTCCCGGGTTCCAGCAATTCTCCTGCCTCAGCCTCCTGAGTAGCTGGGACTACAGGCATGTGCCACCACGCCTGGCTAATTTTTGTAGTTTTTAGTAGAGACCATATTGGCCAGGCTGGTCTCAAACTCCTGACATCGTGATCCACTCGCCTCGGCCTCCCAAAGTGCTGGGATTACAGGCGTGAGCCACTGCGCCCGGCCTCAAATAAAATAACATGTAACTAATAAAGTATGATACAGGCTGACAAAAAATCCAGAATATCTGTTCTCCTTAAGTAAGGTGCACCAGATAGTGTGCTCCAAATAGAACTCTGTTCTCCCTCTCGAGGCCACACCAAAGTGCAGTTCTCGTCTACTCCCAGTCTTCCTAGCACCCTCTCCAGACCAACTCTGCTCATCTACCACTCTCAGTGCCTCCACCATCCATCACTCTGGTTGCAATTCCCTGCCCAACTTTCAGTCCTTCAAGCCCTAAGTGGTTTGGAGTTCAGAGTCTTTGGAAATAATTCTGCTTCATGAGACCTCTCCCCAATCCTCCCAGCATAGACAGACTTGCTTTGAGTGTCTCCATTTCATCTGATGATGCCACAGTACTTTCCTGGGTAGGTGGTGAGGGAAGAGAGAAAGGAAATAGGGCTTAGAAGCCTCTCTAAAATTCCTGCTCTGTGTGTGTGTGTGTGTGTGTGTGTGTGTGTGTGTGTGTGTGTGTGTGTGTCAGGGTCTCACTCTGTCACCCAGGCTGGAGTGCAATGGCACAAAAATGGCTCACTGCAGCCTCAACCTCCTGGACACAATCAATTCTCCCACCTTAGCCTCCTGACTAGCTAGGACTACAGGAACACACCACCAAGCCCAGTTAATTTTGTTGGTATTTTCTGTAGAAACGGGGTTTTGCCATGTTGCTCAGGCTGGTCGCAAACTCCTGGGCTCAAGCAATCCTCCCACCTCAGCCTCCCAAAGTGCTGGGATTACAGGCATGAGCCACCGTGCCCAGCCATGCTTTCTTATTTTTCATACAAAAGATGACAAATTCCCCAAAAGTATCCAACAAAAGGAAAACAATTAAATTATCATACAATTTTTAAAGCGATCAAAAATGATTATCATCAAGTTTTAAAGCAATCAAAAAGAGAATCACAATTTGCAAAGGGTTTAGTATACAGCATTAAGTTTTTAAAAAATCAAGATACCAAATTGTGTATGTACTTTTATTGCAAGTGTATGAAAATTGCACCTGGATCCAAGGACTAGAAGAGAGTATGAGGAATGTCAATGCTAGTATATTAGAGTATGGGTGGTTTCCCTCTGATTTCCATTACCACTTCTATATTTGCTAATTATTATAAGCAGCTCATCCATGAGCTACAGAGTATGGTCCAATACACAGCATTTTGTATCATCAATTCAGCAAGAAGAGTGACAGGTGGACGCTTTCTTAGTATCTGGTACAATGAAGGACAAATAGGGAAAGAATTGCATTTTAAGCCTGAGAGGCTGAGTTTTATTTAATATGGTCCTCTGTCCAGAAGTAGTTTCATTAAAAGGTATGGCTTAAGAAATTAACGAGACCAGGTGTGGTGGCTCATGCCTGTAATCACAACACTTTGGTAGGCCAAGGCAGGTGGATCACCTGAAGTCAGGAGTTCAAGACCAGCCTGGCCAACATGGTGGAACCCCATCTCTACTGAAAATACAGAAATTAGCCGGGCATGGTGGCAGGCGCCTGTAATCCCAGATGCTCAGGAGGCTGAGGCAGGAGAATCACTTGAACCCAGGAGGAGGAGGCTGCAATGAGCTGAGATCACACCACTGCACTCCAGCCTGGGCAACTCTGACTCAAAAAAAAAAAAAAAAAAAAAAGAAAGGAAAGAAGGAAGGAAGGAAGGAAGGAAGGAAACCAAATCTGTTTCCCCCTATACTTCCTCTCCTCTGTTTTTCCCTTTTTTCTTTTTTTTTTTTTTTTTTTGTGAGAGGACCAAAGTTGTTGGAAAGTGGAAAGGTAAATGGTTTTCTAATAATATTAGCCAAAAAGACACTGTTATTTTGTAGCAAACCCCTGAGACCACAGCAGTTACTTTATGGCTTTATGACTACTAACGGCTGGCACTTGAGACTAATGCAAAATTTGGCAGCAAATACTTGCAACCTCTTACCATTTCCTAAAGATCTGGACTCTCTCTCTTATATTCTCACAGATCAGCAGAATCTCTCTCTCTCTCTCTCTCTCCTCCCTCCCCCACCCCCTGCCCCTCCACCCCAGCCCACTTTTATTTTGGAATCCCAGACATAGCTAAGATCAAATGCACAGATTTCCAGCACACATTCATAGATTCAACACCAATCCATTGCCATTGAATGTTATAAATTCGGGGATCCATTTGGCATTGGGAAGTTGTTCTTTGAATCCATCTCATTTCATCTCTTATGAAGCATCTCATGTCTGTAGTCTATTGAATCTATGGTTGTTTCCTTGGCCTAAATTTTAATTTTACCTTTCATACATATCTTACGATACAACTTCTCAACCAGCCAATCTGAATTGTTTCTCTGCTCTTTCAAAGACTGATATCTACCCTGTAAGATCACAATTCACAAAGAAAAGATCACGAATGCAGACACTCAGATACAAAAGAGATTCATCACAGCAATTTTTAAAATAACTGTATAAACACTAAAAATAACTGCAATACTTAGTGATCAGGGCATGGTGACATAAATAATAATTCATTTAATCAATGGGAAATTACTCAGACCATGAAAATATCTGCAAAGGATGTTAACCATCATATAATGTTGCGTGAGAAAAAGAGGAAACAAAACTGTATATAATTCCATTTTAGTGGAAAATGATATATACATATACAAAGAAGACCAGAAGGAAATAGTTCCTTCTGTTTGTAGTGGTTACTTGGATGACACCTCCTTCTGTTTATGTTTTTCTTCATTTTCTCAATTTTCTTAAATGAATACGTATTACTTTTACATTTGGAAATAAACTTGTTTCAAAGATCAAAAAGGCAAGTTGCTACACTAGAATCCAGAAAGCTACAGTAAGCCTTTCCCCTCTCCTAGGCTGGCTATTAGAAAGTTGCTTTCTCTTCTGTCTCATTTGAAAGAGGGTAGGTATTGCCACATTATTAAGCAATCAGCCAGTAGGGTTCATCCAAGAACAATAAACTGACCTCTCAAGAGAAAATTAGTGAAGCTCAGGAAATTAGAGCTGGAAACCCCCACTGAGTGATCTAATGCATCCCTCAAGAATCAGCACCATATACATTACATTTTCTGGTGTAGGCACTTTCTTTTCAATTTAATTTGAAAAGTTTCAAGTGATGGCAATTTCACTGCTACATCTTAGACCAGTCAACAAGCTATTAATCCATCTTCCCTGAGCAGAGCATAATAACTCCAATGAACTTCAGAGATATCCATTTAACTTTCTGGCCTGGACCTGCCAGCTGAACAAATATCTCAGACCGAGTTCAAATTCTGGCACCTCCTCTTAGCCAGAAGACTTTACACAAGTCCCTTTACCTATCTGTTCCTAGGTTTCCTCATTTGGGAAAAAGAAAACCTCATCACCTCCCTCAGAAAATTTGCTGTAGGAATTAAATGAGATGATACACACAGGGAATGCACTTAGTGCAACAGTGGTGCTCGGTCAATGTTTGGCGATTCTAGAGTGCTCGGCTCATGTTAAGCAGTTGTTTTCCTGGCAGAAGAAACAGTCCACAATGAGTCAACAATCCCTTCTTTTGGCTTTCCCTAGATGACACTAGTGGGTTACAGTGAACAATATAGTTCAAAACTTTGAAAAGCAAAATTTCATTTGGTACCCAAACCTTGGGCTACTGGCACCAACGAAATTAACTAGCCTCATCAACACCTGTGAAAAGAAGGGGGAAAAATAAAAATACAAATATTTTTAAAATAAATTAGGCTCAGATCACAAATATGGTTCAGAGAGCACTTTTTCATTGTGAATAAGAGCCAGAATTGGAAGCCCAGGAGGATGGGAAAAAGAAGACATGGAATGAAGAGTCACATTTGAGAATGAATCAATAGTTTGATGAATAATTCATGGAGAGGCTGAAGGAAAGAGAAGAAGAATGCTGCCAAGTACCTAACTTGGAGGACTAAATTCACAATTTATTCATTCAATGAATTATCTGTTGAGCACCTGCTAATGGCCAGGCACAGTTCTGGGTGTTTGGGATAACACAGCAAACAAAATGGAAAAAAATATCTGCCCTTGTGGAGCTTCCTTTCTAGTGGGAAAGACAGTAAATAAGAAGACAAATAAATAAAAAAGACCATGTCTGACATAGAAAATAAACAAGGTAATGGGATGGAGAATAAGAGGATGGGGTCCACTTTAGATATGATGGTCAGGGAAGGCCTCTGTCAGGCGGTAACATGTGAGTTAGTGGGTCCTGGAAGATGAGAAGGAACCAATAGTTAGAGAGGAGAGGAAGCATTCCAGGAGGAAAGAACAGTAGGTACAGAGACTTTGGGGTGGGAAAAGGTTAGGTATGTTAGAGAAACGGGGAAAAATGTCTATGTAATTGAAGTGCAGTAAGAAAGGAGAGAATTCTGGGCATGGTGGTGCATGCCTGTAATCCCAGCACTTTGGGAGGCTGAGGCGGGAGGATCGCTTGAGGCCAGGAGCTCGACGTTGCAGAGAGCTATGATTGCACAACTGCACTCCAGCCTGGGTGACAGAGCAAGGCTGTCTCTAAAAAATAAATAGTAAATAAATAAATAAATAAGAAAGGAGATACTTGGCAGAAGAGATTGGAAAAGTGAGCAGTGTTCATTGACCAAAGACCAAGCCTTGAGAAGCAAGTTCTTAGGGAAGACAATGAGTTCCTCTTTGACACATTGAGTTTGGGACACCTGAGAGGATTTCCAAGCTAAAGATCCTGGACTGTGTCCTAAGAATTAGAGACAGAACTGGGATCTGAGAAATTGCTCAGTTGCATCAGAATCACCAGGGAGTATTCTAAAAATACAGTTTTCTCAGGCATTAAAAGTACAGATTTCTGGCCAGGCGTGATGGCTCATGCCTATAATCCCAGCACTTTGGGAGGCCGAGGCAGGCAGATCACAGGGGCAGGTGATGGAGACCATCCTGGCTAACACGGTGAAACCCCGTCTCTACTAAAAATACAAAAAAATTAGCCAGGCGTGGTGGTGGGTGCCTGTAGTCCCAGCTACTCGGGAGACTGAGGCAGGAGAATGGCATGAACCTGGGAGGCAGAGCTTGCAGTGAGCCGAGATCGCACCACTGCACTCCAGCCTGGGTGACAGAGTGAGACTCCATCTCAAAAAAAAAAAAAAAAAAAGTACAGATTTCTGGGGTGCTACCTGAGAAATTCTAATCCAAGTAGGTCTTGATCAAAACCTGAAAATCATTTTTTTCAATACATCCAGGTAATTTTGGTCAATTCATTCAAGAAACATTTCTTGCATTCCTACTATGCACCAGGACAATTCTTAAGTGCTGGAAATATAGTTCTGAACAGGTTGGACAGGCTATAGTCTAGAGATAGAACAAACAGTGAACAAGTAAAGAAATAAATTACAATTGTGACACGCTACACACACAAAAAATAATAAACTGGCAAGAATAAAATAAGGATGGAGACCTACACTAGATAATCTACAAGAAGACCTCTCTTTGAGGAAGTGACTTGACCTGTCACCTGAGGAATAAGAAGGAGGAGCCTCCCAGCACTTTGGGAGGCCAAAGCGGGTGGATCATGAGGTCAGGAGTTCAAGACCAGCCTGGCCAAGATGGTGAAACCCTGTGTCTACTAAAAATACAAAAATTAGCTGGGCGTGGTGGCAGACACCTGTAATCCCAGCTACTCGGGAGGCTGAGGCAGAGAATTGCTTGAACCCAGGAGGTGGAGGTTGCAGTGAGCCGAGATCACACCACTGCACTCCAGCCTGGGTGACAGAGTGAGACTCCAACTCAAAGTAAAAAAAAAAAGAAGGAGGAGCCATGTGACAGCCAGGGAAAAACAGCCGAGGCAGAGGGAACAGCCAATGCAAAGACTTGGTTGAGAATTCAGTAGATGAATCTAATCTTTTAGTTACTCCCATTTTATTAATCCATCAAAATGAGAAAGAAGGCATGGCGGAGAATGTACTATTTCATCTTTGTGTGTTCACCCAGCAAGCTATACTAAGCACCTCCCTTGTACCAGGAACTGTGCCAGATGCTGACACAAAGATGAGCCAGATGACCCCTTCTCTCGGGGAGTGTGCAGTCCAATGAGGGAGGCAGATAACAAAATAAGTATGGCTCATGAGATAAGTGAGAATCTCCCAGGCAATCAGCTTATATTCTGAGAAAGCCAAGAAGATGATTAATAGTTTCAAGTATGATGATGTGAGCAATTGCTTTTGACACTGCATGATCAAATTATTTTCATTTCTTTGTGGTCCTGCAGCTCAGAATACCTGGATTTTTGGTGAAATATTAGCAAGGGATATCAAGTTTAGGATACTGTATAATGCACTATATGTTTCAGAATATAAGGAGAAATAGTATGCTAATAATAGCTAATATTTATTGAGCACATGGATTGACCTGGATAATGTACCATCTCATAGAAGAGTCACTACGACTTTATGAGGCAGGGACTATTATTTCCCCTTTTTCAGATGGAGAAATAGGGGCTTAGCAAGATGAAGGGGCTTTCCTGAAGTGACAATTTCCTAGTTCTGTCTGGATTCAAGCTTCAGTTCTGGTCCATACGGCCCTCTCATGAATAGCTTAGACACTGATACAATTGCTTTTCTCACACTAGTCCCCAAAGTGGATACCTTGTTCTTCTTCCCAGCCCACTCATCCATCTAGGTTGCCTAGGCCAGCCTGATCTACCTGCATTTCT
Source organism: Homo sapiens (assembly GCF_000001405.40). NCBI lineage: Eukaryota > Metazoa > Chordata > Mammalia > Primates > Hominidae > Homo > Homo sapiens. The sequence goes on from NC_000012.12 coordinate 119,593,039, forward strand.
CCCCAGGGGTCCTGCAGGTGGAAAAGTGGAAAGAAGAATTCCTTGTTTCCACACTGGGGAGGGCACCTGGACGGGCATGGACCGGGCAGTGCCCACTGACTGACTATACTGGACTCCAGTCTCTTGAGCCCCAAGTAGAATGTGGAAAGCTTTGAGGCCAAAGCTGGGCACCTGGTTCCCACCCCACCTGGGGGAGGGGGTCGGGGGGAGGAGAAATTCCTGGGGCTCAGTGTTCAAGGTCTGAGGCACAGGAGACAAATCAAATGCCCAGGCACCAGACAGTTAAGGTAAAACGTTGAAGTCAAGAGGAAGTAGTGAGTCTGTTGCCAACTGGATAGGGTTGGTCCTGTCCCATCTAAATGTATTAGAATTAAGTGGCTTTTAAAAATGAGCTGGTCATCTTCAGCCCACGGGCTGGCCAATTTGGAACTTAATGGGCCTTTGCGTCCTCCTTCCCTGAGCCTCCTTTTATTCCAGACTTCTCAGTGTGAGTCTGTGCGTCCCTCCGACGATCTCAGGGAGTGGGGTGCCTTCATCTGCCTGTTCCCTGTTCCTCAGGCTGACGCTCCCGCTGTCCTCCCCGCCTCCCCTCACTCCTTTTCTCCCTCCCTTCCTCCTTGTGGGGAGGCTCTTGGCCAGGGTCCCTGAGCCCGGGCGGGTGCTGGCAGAGGACGCAGAAGGGGTGAGGTCACGTCTCCCTTGAGCCCCGAGCCGCTGGCTTTTCAGAGCCTCGCCACAAGCCGGCGGCCAGAGCCCCAGACCACACAGACCGTGCGCTCCTCCGCCCTCCCGGCGCCGCCGGCCTCGCCCATGTCTCAGTACGCCCCTAGCCCGGACTTCAAGAGGGCTTTGGACAGCAGTCCCGAGGCCAACACTGAAGATGACAAGACCGAGGAGGACGTGCCCATGCCCAAGAACTACCTGTGGCTCACCATCGTCTCGTGTTTTTGCCCTGCGTACCCCATCAACATCGTGGCTTTGGTCTTTTCCATCATGGTGAGTGAATCACGGCCAGAGGCAGCCTGGGAGGAGAGACCCGGGCGGCTTTGAGCCCCTGCAGGGGAGTCCGCGCGCTCTCTGCGGCTCCCTTCCTCACGGCCCGGCCCGCGCTAGGTGTTCTTTGTCCTCGCACCTCCTCCTCACCTTTCTCGGGCTCTCAGAGCTCTCCCCGCAATCATCAGCACCTCCTCTGCACTCCTCGTGGTACTCAGAGCCCTGATCAAGCTTCCCCCAGGCTAGCTTTCCTCTTCTTTCCAGCTCCCAGGGTGCGTTTCCTCTCCAACCCGGGGAAGTTCTTCCGTGGACTTTGCTGACTCCTCTGACCTTCCTAGGCACTTGCCCGGGGCTTCTCAACCCTCTTTTCTAGAGCCCCAGTGCGCGCCACCCTAGCGAGCGCAGTAAGCTCATACCCCGAGCATGCAGGCTCTACGTTCCTTTCCCTGCCGCTCCGGGGGCTCCTGCTCTCCAGCGCCCAGGACTGTCTCTATCTCAGCCTGTGCTCCCTTCTCTCTTTGCTGCGCCCAAGGGCACCGCTTCCGCCACTCTCCGGGGGGTCCCCAGGCGATTCCTGATGCCCCCTCCTTGATCCCGTTTCCGCGCTTTGGCACGGCACGCTCTGTCCAGGCAACAGTTTCCTCTCGCTTCTTCCTACACCCAACTTCCTCTCCTTGCCTCCCTCCGGCGCCCCCTTTTTAACGCGCCCGAGGCTGGCTCACACCCACTACCTCTTTAGGCCTTTCTTAGGCTCCCCGTGTGCCCCCCTCACCAGCAAAGTGGGTGCGCCTCTCTTACTCTTTCTACCCAGCGCGTCGTAGTTCCTCCCCGTTTGCTGCGCACTGGCCCTAACCTCTCTTCTCTTGGTGTCCCCCAGAGCTCCCAGGCGCCCCTCCACCGCTCTGTCCTGCGCCCGGGGCTCTCCCGGGAATGAACTAGGGGATTCCACGCAACGTGCGGCTCCGCCCGCCCTCTGCGCTCAGACCTCCCGAGCTGCCCGCCTCTCTAGGAGTGGCCGCTGGGGCCTCTAGTCCGCCCTTCCGGAGCTCAGCTCCCTAGCCCTCTTCAACCCTGGTAGGAACACCCGAGCGAACCCCACCAGGAGGGCGACGAGCGCCTGCTAGGCCCTCGCCTTATTGACTGCAGCAGCTGGCCCGGGGGTGGCGGCGGGGTGAGGTTCGTACCGGCACTGTCCCGGGACAACCCTTGCAGTTGCGCTCCCTCCCCCACCGGCTCACCTCGCCTGCAGCTGGGCCACGGAACTCCCCGGCCACAGACGCAGAGCCCTGATTCAGCGCTGTGAAAATCGCTAGCCACCCGTCCCCCATCAAGTCCGCCCACACTTGCCCACGGGTGGTGGCACCATATTCGATTCGTGGGCACCTGCAAGGCTCCATTTGCACCCGTAACTTGCCCTTTCCCAAACCCGGTTTGTGGACAGCGTCTGCACCGATATGAAAGCGTGCAGCCGCTGAAGTTCAGACAAGTCTGTATTCAAATCCCAATTCTCCCACTTTCTAGCTGTGTGATCTCTGAAGTCACTGCATCTCTGAACCTCAGTCTCTTTGTAAAACCAGAATAATCATAGCCATGTTTCTTGGGGTTGTTGGGAGCATTCATGACATAAATAATTGTAAAGTGCTTAGAACAGTGACCAGCACGGTATCTTTACAAAATCTTTACTCAAATGTCACTTCATGAGGCCTTCTGTGATTACTGTTTAAAATCAGGACCCCCATCCACCCACCCCGCGCAAGCTCTGTTCTTCCTTCCCTGCTACCTTTTGACCAAATTACTTCTCTCCATCTGATATAGTATTTTAATTATTTGTATGTTTACAGTCTGTGTCCCTCTCATTAGAATATAAGCTCCATAAGGGCAGGAATATTTGTTGGTTCCTGTATCTTCAGCATCTAGAAGAAAATGTGGCACGTGGTAGATGCTTAATAAGTATCATGAAATGAATGCATGCATGAATGAATGGTGTGGATGAATCATTAACCTTTTTTTCCCATCCTGGAGGCCCGGAAGCCGTCGCATCCGGTTCCTTCCGACCAACCAGCCAATTTCCTCCCTTCCTTCCTCTCCCCATATATCCGGTCTTGACTTTTTTTGCCGAGAGTCTGGAAACAATGCTGCAGCCAAATTCTCCAGGCAGCAGCAGACTGTCTGGCTGGCACTGGTGCCCACATTCTATCCTGCTTTATTAATGAAGCAGCCAATTCACTCCTTTCCCAGTGCCACTTAGAAAACTGCCTGCAAAGGCTTTTTCCCTCATTGGTCTGAAATGAGCTGGCACTCCAGATGGTAGTGACAGGTCAGATATTAATGATGCTGCTTGGTATGCCCTGGGAGATGAGGTTTGCACATGCTTTGAATTGAAACTTCCTTTTCTAATCCCCTCTTCCCCATTCCCTCCCCCACTGGAGACAGTTTACTATGGACAAGTTTGTATCTTTTTTTTTTTTTTTTTTTTTTGAGACGGAGTCTTGCTCTGTCACCCAGGCTGGAGTGCAGTGGCACAATCTCGGCTCACTGCAACCTCCACCTCCCGGGTTCAAGCGATCCTTCCACCCCAGCCACCCCAACCAGCTGGGACTACAGACGCCGGCCACCACGCCCGACTAATTTTTGTATTTTTAGTAGAGACAGGGTTTGACCATGTTGCCCAGGCTGATCTCAAACTCCTGACCTCAAGTGATCTGCCCGCCTCAGCCTCCCAGAGTGCTGGGATTACATGGGTGAGCCACTGCGCCCGGCCAAGTTTTGTACCTTTTTAAAGCCTTGGTTTCTTCATCTATAAAATGGGAATGTGAAAGCTGTTTTAAGTTGAGCAAAACTGTTGTAAGGATGAAACAAAACAAAGCATTCTAGTTCTTAGCACTATGCTAGGTACATGCAATAATTGTCAGACAGATGTATAGATTTGGAACCTGGAGATATCATGTTACATATAAAAACAAACAGAAATTCTAAACAGTGTGTCCTACACCCTTCCTGTTGCACTGGAAGTCTTTTCCCATTGATATATAGTGCAGCTCTGGACTTGATCAGTTTCATCACAAGGACTCCAAAGGACAAAGGACAAAGAGGAAGAGGAAGGATGTGCAGTAGAAAGGTGGGAGACCAATTCTGCCAGGCGTTTGCTTCCCCTAGGGTCTCTTGTGATGTTCAGTCCTGGCAATTTTCAACTCTCACTTCTCTGTAATTTATGATTTGTGGTGCCCTCAATGATTTGGGGTGTTACTGGCATTTGGTGGAAAAAGCCGAAGTACTAATGTCTGCCATGCTAGGGGCTGTCCCCCAGTGAAGAATGGGCACATTCCCAATACCAAGACCATCCCAATGAAGAAGCACTGTAGGATGATGCAAATTGATATAAACATGGATGTGTGGAACATACTGACAAGGCTCAAAATAATTAGTTTCCAGAATGGTAAAAAAAAAAAGAGCCAACAATCTCAAAACAATCAATGCTTAAATATTTATTACACCAAGCCTGAGAAGCTTTCTATAAAATCACCAAATTAGAGTAGGTGCTGGCAAAGAAAACTACTTTGGAAAAATACACATTCAAGAAGAGTGTTCTTCGAGTGGTGGATTTCTGTGTTCTTTCTACCACCCCATGTAGAACCAGGGGAGTCCTGGGGTCCTGGGGGTTAGGAGGTGGCACACTACAGACAAGCTCTAGTCCAACATGTCATGTGGTATTGGATGTTGATGGGTCAAGCATTGTCAGGGACACAGAAGTGTTTCTTCCTCTATATATTGAAAGTCTGTTTATTGAAAGCATACTTAACCTCAATTTGAGGGACGCATGTCTCAAGAATTTCCCCCTAGACTGGGTTCCTGGTAGCTCATATTGCATCGTTGTGTGAATTTGAATATGGCACATTTTCTCCATGCAGACACAGCCCTCCACCAGGGCACATAGCTTGGTGAGGAGCACAAGCTGGCTTTCAGGCCTCATTCAACATGATCTCACCCATCCCTGGCTATCTGTTTATTCCATGTGAAAGAACCCTATAATTTCCTAATGTGGCCCTCGACCCTGGAGAAAGAATATTTATTTGTTATTCAACATGTACTTATTGAGCATCTATTATGTGCCAGGCTCTATTCCAGCTATTCCTTTATCTCTATCAAGTGGCAAATAAGATCAGCAAGGTCTCTGCCCTCCTGGATCTCAAAGAAGTGGGGCTCTAGGCAAGTTGCAAGAGTGTTGGCAAATTTAGGGTTAGTTCACTGTCTATTGGTTTTGTAGCTGGAATTTGCTACCTGACTCAGAAGACGAGTTTGTGCCCACCCTCAATTCTTGATGACATCATGATGTAATCATTTGCAAAACTGAACCAACTGGTCACTCTAATTATGGATACACAATAACCAATGACTTTTGACTGGATGGCTTATAAGCTTTTCATTAGCACATCTGTCTCACACCTACCAATAGGTGTGTGGGGATTTGCCCTTTATTGGGGGACAATTCATGGCATGGCAGGACAGTAGTACTTTGAGTCTTTCCACCAAATACCAGTAGCACCCCAAAATCATTGAGACCACCACAGATAGCTCCCACATTTCTAAATGCCTTCAAGGGGAATGGTGCAACCCCTAGTCGAGATTCTCAAGCACACCATTGCCTGAGATGTCTTACATACCTGTCTAGAGAACCTGTCTAGAGACCAACCATTAAGGTTCAAATCCTTTTCTTTGATGTGCTTATGATTTTATGCAAGTGCCTCGATCTTTCTGAAGCTTGGTCTTTCCACCTTGTAAATGGGGGTTGTGATAGTATTTACCCAAGTGCAATTGTGGAGATTAGATAATAAAAGTTAAAAGTTTTCAGGTCACTGCTTAGAATACAGCTAGAATTCAATAAGTATTGATGTTGATGATGGTGATGTAGATGATGGAAGACGTGTCTGTTCTAGAGATACAAGCCATTATCTTTCCCAGTTTTTCTGTTTTTACTGAGACTAGCAAATTTGATAAGAATAAAACAATGATCAGTAGTAGACATGTCACTGGAATAAAAATTTGTTGCAGCATAAAGGTAAATATTAATGCCAAACTGAAACACATACAAATAAGCAAAGAGGACTTTCGATTAATCGTGAAATATTGAACATACCTGTTTTGCTCCCACCCCTTCTAAGACCACTTAAAATGATAGTAAGTGCTATTTGGTAGCACAATAGGGTGACTGTAGTCAATAATAACTTAATTGTAATTTTTAAATAACTTAAAGAGTGTAATTGCATTGTCTGTAACGTAAAGGATAAATTCTTGAGAGGATGGATACCCCATTCTCCATGATGTGCTTATTTCACATTGCATGCCTGTATCAAAACATCTCATGTACCCCGTAAATGTATACACTTACTATGTGCCCAGAATTTTAAAAAAAATCGTAGTAAATGAATTTAAAAGGATATAAACACTCAAGAACAAATTAGGAAAACAGAAGAAGAAATGAGATGGTGACAAAATCTTAGACGATGGAAAATAGCTGGCTGGGCATCAACTAATTTTACGTAGTAGATGACACTGAAATCTAAATCCTGCACAAATAGTAGCCAACAAGAAGAAAGTCAATTTTCTCTGCAAAACTCTAGGAAAGCTCAGAAATTGGAGGTACCAGCTGAAGATACTGCCTTTGATGTTAGGAATAAAGGGTAGGGAAAATCTTTGAAAGTCTGTTTATGAAGTCGTGGAACTGCCAGAGATCACCTACCACCCCACACAGCCAGGCCCCCACTTCCTCACCAACTCAGACAGAAGATTAGAGATTTTCTCTCTGGTAAGATTAAACAGAATGACTGTGGACACCAGGCACAGCTGAGAGAAGGGTTTAGGTGCCAAGCTGAAAACGAGATTAATGGAAAGCTGCAATGTTGAACAAGGAAGCTCCTTCCCCAACTTGGTTTCCTGGACAGAAATCGGAGAATTTCTCTCCAAGGATGTGACCAGTCCAAAAGAAAAAATCTTTAGGAGTCCTCCAGAGAGAGGATGCAATCCACCCACCCATTAACAAGCTCCATCCTCATGCAAAAAACTTCCAAGCAGCTTTTCAGTGTCTCACTTTCAAATATGATGAGTCAACTAAAGATTATCAGACATATGAAAAACTCTTCTGAAATAAAAGACCTGCAGTTTACAAAAAAAAAAAAAAAATGAAGTATAAGGTAACAAATAATACAAGATGTAGAAGAAAACTTCAAGAATAGGTGAGTAGCATCCCCAGAGAATAAGAAACTATATTCTGTCCACAAGACAAGAACCGGCTGAAAAAAATAAAACAGCCAGAGAAGCAAAACAGAGCTCTTGGGAATTAAAAAATATGTGGGTAGATTAAAAAAAAAAAAAACAGCAGAAGCTCCTTTGAGCTGGAGCTGAAAAAATAAAATAAAAATAGAGAAAGATTGCAAGTTAATGTTGAGGGAGGCTGGAGGCTGAAGAAGTAATGTAAAAATCAAAAAGATGGAAAATATGGAAGTCACCCAAGTGTCCATCGATGGATGAATAGGTAAACAAAATGTGTTATATACATGAAATTGAATATTATTCAGTCTTTAAAAGGAAGGAAATTCTGACATGGGCTACAACCTGGATGAACCTTGAAAATACTAGGCTAAATACAAGAAGCCAGTCACAAAAGGACAAATATTATATGATTCCACTTATATGAAATACCTAGAGTGGTCTAATTCTTGAGACAGAAAGTAGAATGGTGGTTGCCAGAGACTATGGGGAGAGGGAAATGGGGAGTTACTGTTTAATGGGTATGGAGTTTCAATTCTGAAGATAGAAAAGTTCTGGGAATGGATGGTGGTGATGGTTGTACAACAGTGTGAATGTATTTAATGCCATTGAACTGTATACTTAAAAATAGTTAAAATGGTCAATTTTATGTTGTGTATATTTTACCACAATAAAAAATAAAGGAGGAAAATATTCTCCAAAAAAGATAAAAATAGTCAAGAATATATATAATAAAATTTGATACTCATTCCCAGAAATCTAACATCTAAAAGGAAAGTTCCACAAAAAGGAAAGGACAAAGAGAATTAAAGAGAGGAGATTATCAAATAAGCAATATAGAAAAAATTCCCAGAACTGAACGCATGAATTTCCAGATTAAAAGAATCCCCCAGTACTCAATAAAGTGAATGAAGCAAGACATACCAAGGCACATCTTGGTGAAATTTCAGAGGTTCAAGGGTAAAATTTCTCTCCAATTCTGTAAACTTTGAAAGAAAGGAAACATTATTAATCCACATATGGACTAACAATGGCTTCAGAATTCTGATCAGGAATGCTGAAGGCTAAACAATAGTGAAGGCCAGGTGCGGTGGCTCAAGCCTGTAATCCCAGCACTTTGGGAGGCCGAGGCGGGCGGATCACGAGGTCAGGAGACTGAGACCATCCTGGCTAACACGGTGAAACCCTGTCTCTACTAAAAATGCAAAAAAAATTAGCCAGGCGTGGTGGCGGGCGCCTGTAGTCCCAGCTACTCGGGAGGCTAAGGCAGGAGAATGGCGTGAACCTGAGAGCCGGAGCTTGCAGTGAGCCGAGATCGCGCCACTGCACTCCAGCCTGGGCGACAGAGCGAGATTCCGCCTCAAAAAAAAAAAAAAAAAAAATAGTGAAAAGATGACTTCAAAAATCCTGAAAGAAAATTATTTGCAACTTCAATTCTAGACACATCTAAATAATCGTTCAAGGGAGAGAGAAAAATAAAGACATTTCCAGACATTTAAGATCTCAAATAAGTTGCCTGGCATACATCTTTTCTCAGAAAGTCATGGGCGAATGTGCCTCCCAAAAAGAAGGGAGTAAGTCAAGAAAAGGACACAGGATCCGGAAAAGGGATTCAACATAGAAAAGAGACAGAGAAATGCTCCTGAAAACAAGGCAACCAGTCTCTCACCCCCACAGAAGATGCAGTTGATAATGGATGGTTGGCCTGAAGGCTTTATCACAACCCATTATCTGGTTGTGGGCTGGCACTGTAAGCCACAGCCATGCCCCAAGTCTGACCATACCTGCTGTGGATGATAAGGTCAGTGGTCAGTAAATACTCACAGGATGAAAAGCAAAACAAACCACGTGTTTTTTCCATCTGACCCGAGCTCCACCAGAGCTTGAAACATAGTTTTGACTGCTCACACGTCAAAACTGCTTCAAGTGGACTTCAGCTAGGTGTAGGGAGAAGATCATGTGTGTCTGTGAACTTGGAAATAACAGGTCTTGGTGCAGGCAACTGATCCAGAGAGCTTGACGCTGCCCACTAGTTGGAGCACCAAATGCTGATTCATTGGATCTCTCCCTGTCACTTCTCCCAATGTTCTCTGGCTCTTTCCACAGCTGAGATTGTCACCTGAGAAATGGCGTATTAAAATTACAGACCCCTGTGAATTATTTCTTTTGAATTTCTTGCTTGAAGCTCTGAAGAGCATTCAGATGGTTCCAGATGATGAAGACCCTGTCTGAAGTGTGTCATCATGGGAAGGCCGCATTCCAGATACCCATAGATTTTGCAAATATGCACATTTCCCCAGCAGCCCTGCCTCATCAGTTACTTGCATAAGTTTTGCCACTTGGTGGCCACTGACATTTGGTATTTAGGAACCTAGAATTTAAACTGTTTTTAGAGTCCTTTCAGATCATTAGCAGTACAGACTATGTCTATTTCAAGATGTAAATCTGTGTGCTCCTAATTTTAAAAAATACATTTTAAGAGCCATTTAAATTTACTGATGACATGCTGTAATGGCTGGGTTTGTTGTAACATAATATGTGGGGATAGAGATAAAACAAGATTGGCCACTAATGCATGACAGTGGAAGCTGGGTTATGGGAACATGGGGATTTTATTATATTACCCTGTCAAACTGTGTATACATTTAAAGCTTTCCATAATAAAAAGTAAAAAGAGGGCCAGGCACGGAAGCTCATGCCTGTAATCCCAGCACTTCAGGAGGCTGAGGCGGGTGGACCACCTGAGTGCAGAAGCTCGAGACAAACCTGGGTAACATGATAAAACCCCGTCCCTACAAAAATAAAAATAAAAATAAAAATAAAAAATCAGCTGGGCACAGCAGTGAGTGCCTGTAATCCAAGCTACCCAAAAGGCAGAGGCAGGAAAATCACTTGAGCCCAGGAGGCAGAGGTTGCAGGGAGCCGAGATCACGCCACTGCACTCTAGCCTGGGCAACAGAACGAGACCCTGTCTCAAAACAAACAAAAAAAGTAAAAAGAAAGAAATCCAGATAGAACCTCCCCTCCTAAGTCATTATCCGCCCAGATGAGTGGCAGATAAGATAACAAGACAGCAGCTATTAAATGAGTTGGCCAAAAAGGCTGTGGTTGAGGTAGAGCTTGTCATTAAATAGTAAGAAAACTATTTCTGGCTTATGTGTGAATGTCAATGATGACTTTGAAGAATACCTTCAAATAATCATCAAGGTGAGCCCAGGTAGGACTCACATCCTAGAACTTTAATCACCTAAGGATCTTGTTAAAATGCAGACTCCACTCCTCTTTCAAGGCTCAGCTAGAAAATCACCTCCTCCATGAAGCCTTTTTTGATTGCCTCCTCTCTTTCACTCAAGGTTGTGCCCTCTTTACTCTAAACAGATTTCCTCTTGGATCATCTTTACTTCCTTGCACTGATTTGTGTATGTGAGGCCCTTAAGATTACACTGTTAGCCCCAGCACCTAGCACAATGTCAAGCATGAAGTCCACATGTAACAAACATTTGATGAATGAATAAATGAATTAATGAATGAATGACTACATAGGCCAAAGTCTGCTCCTACCTTTATCTCTGAGGGTTTGCTTCCCTTCCCCAACTGTGTTCTGCATTCCTGCCAAAACCTTTTTTGGAAAATATCCAGGAGACTCAGGCAAATGCCAAGGGTCACTGAGAGGTTGGCCAAGTCTTGGTTCACAAGGATAATTTTCCTGGCTGGTCCAGAGCTCACCAATATGCTCACACTGCAGACCAGTTGGTCCACGTTTAGAAATTTGTCTTTATTCTCAGCTCGTTAGTTCAGGGCAGGACACTCTTCAGCTCAAAGCCCCTCATCCAAAAATGTGAGCCTGAACATACCTGAGAATGTCCAGGTCTTCAAGTTCAAGAATTAAGCCAGACTTTCCAACATGGTGCTTCTCAGAAAACTAGTTGTGTGTGGTGATAACAAATTTTACCAAAAAAGGTACAGGTGCAGGAGAGGATTAAATTGAGAAACCAAATGCTGAGTTGAGCAAAAGTTAAGTCTTTTCTTTCCTTTGGAGCTTTTCGGAGCCTTTGGCAAACCCCTGTGCATTATGGCTCTTTAATGGAATAATATAGTATGGGGCATTTACTAAGCATTTTCCTGGATTCTTGGATCGTAAGGCTAATATGCCACAGCACACATTTTGGGAAATACTGTTCTTAATAATACTTTGATTCTCACTTTAATGAGTACAGCTGCTATTGATATGGGAAGATTGCATGGTACTCCATCCTTAACATTCTTGCATTGTAGACCCACCTCTCCCCCTTTCTTCCAACTTGCATGTTTTTTTGGTTTGGTTGGTTTTTGTTGTTTTTTGTTTTGTTTTTGTTTTTGAGACAGGGTCTTACTCTGTCACCCAGACTGGAGTGCAATGGTGCAATCATGGCTCACTCCAGCCTCAATCTCTGGCTCAAGCGATACTCACACTTCAGTCTCCAAAGTGCTGGAATTACAGACATGAGCCACTATGCCTGGCTAATTTTTTAATTATTTTTTAGAAACAGGGTCTCCCTGTGTTGCCCAAGCTCGTCTCAAACTCCTGGCCTTAAGTGATCTTCCTGCCTTAGCCTCCAAAGTGCTGGGATTACAGGCATGAGACACCATGCCTGGCTAAGTTAGGTGTTTTTAATGAGTCTCCGTAGCCAAACTTTTGCTAATTTCCTTCTTCCCTCACTATCTTTTTTTTTTTTTTGCCACGGGTGAAATTCAGAAACTTGTCTTTCTGTTTCCTTTACCCTTTGTATCATATCTTCTATTCCCCCAACTAAAGGAGACTTTCTCTATTTTACTCCCTCTTTTGATAACTTTATTTGTTCTTTGCTGTGGGTAATTTTTATAGTAGTTTAGTGTTTCTATTACTATTGTTATTATAACATTTATACATTTGTCTTTACTTTTTAAAGCATTTCATATTGACACAATTTCACTTGTTCCTTGCAAAAATCCCAGCAAGGGACATAAGAAAGCTCTCCTCCTTATTTATCCTTAAGAAAACTGAGGCTCAGAAATGTGGTAAGCCTCTCCAACAAAATCAACCATGACAGTCCTTACCCCCATGAAGCATTATAATCAGACAGCTATGCCTTTCCTTTTTTTTTTTTTTTTTTTTTTTTTTTTTTTTTTTTGAGACAGGGCCTCACTCTGTTGCACAGGCTGGAGTGCAGTGGTACAACCACAGGTCACTGCAGCCTTGACCTCCCCAGGCTAAGTCGATCCTCCCAGTTCAGCCTCCCAGGCAGCTGGAACTATAGGCACGCACCACCATGCCCAGCTAAACTTTTTTGTATTTATTGTATAGATGGTTCACCATGTTGCCCAGGCTGGTCTTGAACTCCTGTGCTCAAGGGATCTACCCCCCTCAGCCTCCCGAAGTGCTGGGATTAGAGGCGTGAGCCACAACATCTGGCCCTGCCTTACCCTTTGATAGGAAACAGCTTTGATTGTTCTGGAAGCTTTCTCTTTTAACAGATTTACCCCCATCAATATAAGAAGCATCATACAATACTCTCAATCAAGCCTGGCAGAATTCCTCCCTAGCTTTTGGCTCTAACCATAGACAGCCAAAAGGACAATTCTCACTTGTCCTGAAAATATTTATGGAGAGAAAAAGCCCAAAAGCCCAAGAAGAAGAGAGACGAGCATGAATGAATTAACGGTGCTGAAGAGGAAATGCACCTTGTAGTCTGGAAGCCCAGTCTCAGAATGCCCAGCACGACTTTTAGGTGTAGAAACAGGAGCAAGCAAAATCTAAACTAGAAATCCCAAAGTCGTCTAAAAATTCAGATGTTATTCCTAAAAATATTTACTAAGTGCCCACATACATCAAGCTATTTTGATAGGAGCCTGCTATCTAGGAGTTTGGAATTTAAAACAATATTGATCTACTTAAAAAGAGTTTCTTGCACGTGGAAAAAAGTATCAGACTATGTTCAGAAATTTATGTAAGTCTACAGATGGAGGGGAGTATAAGGAGGGGACACTGGGAAAGAAAGAAACAGAGACAGAGACAGAGACAGAGAAGGGAGAAAACTCACTTCTCACTAACCAAATATGTGCTAGACATAAAGGAATGAAGATGATGAGGATGGTTTTGAAAGAGAGAAGATGTGGTTTGAAGAATAAAAAACATGTTCTAAAAAAAAGACATGTTCTAAAATTTGAAGAATTAGAAGACGTTGTTTGAAGAAAAAAACATGTTCTAAAAAAAATTTGTTCTAAAATTAGGATTTCAGTATTGACTGAACTCAACAGATCAGAATATTGGCATTAGCAATAGCAAACAAAATGTAAAGTTCCCGAAAAAATTTAGGAAACACACAAGGTTTATACAAAGAAAGCCTCACCAAGAGATTAAAATGAAAAACCATGAGCTAAATGGAGTATAGTATTTACATATTAGATGTTCATCCAGCATTAGTCATGACATAAATTATAAAATGAGTTCCTAAACATAAAGCATGGTGCCTAGCACAGAGTAACTGCTTAATATTCATTATTGTTGCCGTAAATGTAAAAGAGACATAAATATTGATTGCAAAATAGGAGATTGGCAAACCAAATAATAATCCATCTATTTATAACATAGAGTGTTACAGCACAGTTAGGATAGTGCTTTTGAAGAATTTTTATGATACAGGGAAAGCTTGGGTGAAGGGCCAAGTGGAAAAACAGGACAAAATACAAAATTGTCTGTGCAAAGAGATCCTTCATTCTTTATCAATTAAAAGTAGCCATATACCCATTCATTGACCCTTAAAAGCATGAACGTGCATGGGGGAAGAAAAGGCTGGAAAGTATTTCAAACTGTCTACAATGATTTCCTCTAAGTAGCAGGATTCTGGACAGTTACAGTATAAAGAGTTATAATATGTAGAGCACAAACTCTATCATCAGACCCACCAGGGTTTTAATCTTGGCACTACTGTTTATTGTTAGGTGACATTCATTGAATTATTTAACCTCTCTGAGTCTCTATTTCCTCATCTGTAAATTGGAAACAATATCACCTACCTCAGAGCTCCAGTGGCGCAATCGGTTAGCGCGCGGTATTTCTACAATATCACCTACCTCCAAGGGATTGTTGTCTGAATTAAATGGGATAATATATGCAAAGTTCTTGACAAATCTTGCCTATTATCATTTCAAATATTCCTATCAAAAGTTTTAATATTTTCCAGAGTTTCCATAAAAAGTATGTAGACCTCATTTCTAGTCTGAAATGAGCATTTTTCTAAAGATAAAAAGGAATTCAACAAGGAGAACAAGGTTAGTAATTAGATGCAATTTTTTTTTTTTTTTGAGACAGAGTCTCGCTTTGTCACCCTGGCTCCCAGGCTCAAGTGCAGTGGTGCAAAAATGGTTCACTGCAGCCCCCACCTCCCGGGCCCAAGCGACCCTCCTGCCCCATCCTCAGGCCCCCAAGTAGCTGAGACTACAGGCATGCATCACCACACCCGACTAATCTTTGTATTTCTTGCTGGTCTCCAAACTCCTGAGCTCAGGAGATTCTCCCACCTCGGCCTCTCAAAGCGCAGGGATTACAGGCGTGAGCCACCATGCCCAACTAGTAATTAGATGCATTCTTATCCACCCCAAAAGGTGATTCTTGCTCTAAATCATATATCATTCCAGACCTGAAATGGTCAGCTCTCTAGTTAACTTAAGAAAAACGCTTTTATTCTGATATTTTATTCTAGTCTTGAAGATCATTGAGGACAGAGAAACTACAGCTTAGCACAGCTCCTGCCCCAAAGTTAATGCTTGGAGAGTTAACACAAGTTTTGCTGTTGTTTTTGTTTTGTTCCAATTCCAGTGGGGTTTTTTAGCCTGCAATGGTAAGAAGTAGCTCTTTCTCTACCCAAGTAGAAGCTCACTCTAATATAAGCCCACTTTTTGGATCTATCTCCCAGCCAGAGAGAGGGCACCTGATGCTCCTGAGATAAATTCTTCATGTTTTTGAAAGACATGTGGCCCATGATCTTTTCCCTTGAAAAGATTCCCTTTACTCACTATTCTGTAGAAAGTATCTACCAAAAGGAGGAAATGGCAGACAGCAGCGACAATGTCTCCATCACTTCAAACATCCCCCCCAGATTTCTTGTCCACATTCATGTTTGATTATAGCAAAGTCCAAGGCTCACTTTCAATGAGAAGGAAAATGAAGGAGGCTGAGGGAGTGGCAAATAGAAATCTGCAAGGCCAAAGACAGAGAAAGCCTGGGCCTCCAGCCTTCTCTTCCAATGATGGCAATCTCTAGCCCCTGCCGCCATGGTTAAGAAGCTGGTTGGGGTGGCAGTTGACTCTTATATTTAAAGAGCAAAGCTGGGAGAGGGAATTCAGATGAGGGGGAAGAGCTTAAAGTCAACATGAAGAAGCGTCACTTGAGTGTGCAACAGGGTGCTTGGTCCCCAGAGAAGTTTCCACAGCATGTGGGAAACTTTCTACTGCCATCCTTCAAGGGTAGAAATCAGGGAGGGATGTTCTCCTACATTCATTTATTCATTTATTCACTCAAAAATGTTTGAATACCTGCTATATGCCAAGCACTATGGCAGCCCTGGAGATAAATGCCCGCCTTTCTTGGGTATTTCTTCATAGCAGCATGAGAATGAATTAATAGAGTAAACTGGTACTGAGGGAGTGGGGCGCTGCTATAAGGATACGCAAAAATGTGGAAGCAACTTTGGAAATGGATAACAGGCAGAGGTTGGAACAGTTTGGAGGTCTCAGAAGAAGACAGGAAAATGTGGGAAAGTTTGGAACTTCCTAGAGACTTGCTGAATGACCAAAATGCTGATAGTGATATGAACAATATGGTCCAGGCTGAGGTGGTCTCAGATGGAGATAAGGAACTTTTTGGGAACTGGAGTAAAGGTCACTCTTGCTATGCAAAGAGACTGGATGCATTTTACCTCTGCCCTAGAGATCTGTGGAACTTTGAACTTGAGAGAGATGATTTAGGGTATCTGGCAGAAGAAATTTCTAAGCAATAAAGCATTCAGAAGGAAGTAGAGCATAAAAGTTTGGAAAATTTGCAGCCCAGCAATGCATAGAAAAGAGAAAGCTATTTTCTGGGGAGAAATTCAAGCCGGCTACAAAAATTTGCATAAGTAACCAGGAGCCAAATGTTAATCACCAAGACAATGGGCAAAATGTCTCCAGGGCATATCAGAGACCTTCAAGGCAGCCCCTCTTATCACAGGCCTGGAGGCTTAGGAGGGAAAAATGGTTTTATGGGCCCAGGGCCCCCTGCTGTGTGCAGCCTCAGACGTGATGCCCTGCATCCAAGCTGCTTCAGCTCCAGCCATGACCAAAAGGGGACAAAGTATAGCTTGGGCCATTGCTTCAGAGGATGCAAGCCTCAAGCCTTGGGGGCTCCCACATCGTGCTGGGTCTGAGGGTGCACAGAAGTCAAGAATTGAGGTTTGGGAACCTCTGCCTAGATTTCAGAGGATGTATGGAAATGCCTGGATGTCCAGGCAGAGGTTTGCTGCAGGAGTGAAGTCCTCATGAAGAACCTCTGCTAGGGCAGTGTGGAAGGGAAATGTGGGGTCAGAGCCCCCCACAGAGTCCCCATGGGGGCACTGCCTAGTGGAGCTATGAGAAGAGGGCCACCATCCTCTAGACCCCAGAATGGTAGATCCATCAATAGCTTGCACCATGCACTTGGTGCAACCCACAGACACTCAACACCAGCCATGGAAGCAACCAGGGTGGGGACTATACCCTGCAAAGCCACAGAGGCAGAGCTGCCCAAGGCTATGGGAGCCCACCTCTTGTATCAGCATTACCTGGATGTGAGACATAGAGTCAAAGGAGATTATTTTGAAACGTTAAGGTTTAATGACTGCCCTATTGGATTTTGGACTTGCATCCTTTGTTTTGGTCAATTTCTCCCATTTAGAATGGGTGTATTTACCCAATGCCTGTACTCCTATTGTATCTAGGAAGTGACTTACTTGCTTTTGATTTTACAGGCTCATAGGCAGAAGGGACTTGCCTTGTCTTCAATGAGACTTTGGATCTGGACTTTGAGGTTAATGCTGGATGAGTTAAGACTTTGGGTGACTGTTGGAAGGGCATGATTTTTGTGTCTTGAAATGTGAGGACATGAGATTTGGGAGGGGCCATGGATGGAATGTTGTGGTTTAGCTGTGTCCTCATGCAAATCTCATCTTGAATTGCAGTTTCCATAAGCCCCACCTGTCATGGGAGGGACCTGGTGGGAGGTAATTGAATCATGGGGGTGGTTTCCCCCATGCTGTTCTCATGATAGTGAGTTCTCACGACATTATGATGGTTTTATAAGGGACTCTTCCCCAATTCACTTGGCACTCATTCTCTCTCCTGCTGTCCTGTAAAGAGGTGCTTTCCACCATGATTGTAAGTTTCCTGAGGCTTCCCCAGCCATGTGGAGCTGTGAGTCAATTACACCTCTTTTCTTATAAATTAACCCGTCTCAGGTATTTCTTTATAGCAGCGTGAAAATGGATTAATACAACCCATTTGCAGTCACTACTCATCCCCACAACCCCTGGCAATCTCTATTCTACTGTCTATCTCTACGGATTTACCTATTCTGGATATTTCTTATAAATGAAATCATACAATATGTGATCTTTCATATATGTCCTCTTTCACTTAGCATCCTGTTTTCAGGGTTCATCCATGTTGTAGCATTAATCAGTACTTCCTTCTTTTTAAGGCTGAATAATATTCTGTTGTATGGATATTCTATATTGTGTTTTTCTATTCATTCATTGATGGACATTGGATTGATTCCATTTTTGGCTCTTAAAAATATGCTGCTATGAATATTCATGCACAACTTTTCTGTATGAACTTATGTTTTCAATTTTCTTTGGTGTAGAGCTAGGAGTGGAATTGTTGGGTGGTATGATAACAATATGTTTAACTTGTTGAGGAACTGCTAGACCATTTCCAAAGCACCCACACAATTTTGCAATCCCACCAGCCCTGTACAAGGGTTCCAGTTTCTCTATATCCTCAATAACACATGTTATTATCTTTTTTACTGTGGCTATCCCAGTAGATGCAAAGTGGTATATTTTTGAGGTTTTGATTTGCATTTCCCCATTGACTAATGATGTTGAGCATTTCCTGTGCTTACTGGCAATTTGTATATTTTCTTCAAAGAAATGTCCATTCAGAGACTTTGCCCCTCTTTAACTGGGTTGTTTGTCTTTTTATTGTTGAGTTTAAGATATATATATATATATATTCTAGATACAAATACTTCATCAGATATGTGAATTGCAAATATTTTCTCTCCTTTTTGTGGGTTTTCTGGCCCTTGCTTCTTTCACTGCTTTGTGAACCTTTTTTGAGAGGTCTGTTTATGTATCCCAGAGTTTTTCACAAAACTGCTTTCCATTTTTGCTTGTATCTTCTCCTTTGGCTCCCAACATGAACACTGGGAGGGGGTACAGATTCAAAGGCAAACATCATGTTGGGCTAGGCTCTGAACTCAACTCCTAAGTCTGAATCCCAGCTCTGCTCTTATCCTAGCTTCTCTGAGCCTAGGTTTTCCCACCTATACAATAGGAATATTAATGCCAACCTCTCTTTCAGTTTTCAAAATTAAGTGAGATAGTGTTGGGCCACTTTACCGCCATCATCTCACGTAAGCCTCACAACCAACCTGTGCATAGATATTCTTTTTTTTTTTTCTGAGACAGAGTCTCGCTCTGTCACCCAGGCTGGAGTGCAGTGGTGTGGTCTCAGCTCACTGCAACCTCCGCCTCCCGGGTTCAAGTGACTCTCCTGCGTCAGCCTCCTGAGTAGCTGGGACTACAGGCACGTGGCACCATGCCCGGCTAATTTTTTGCATTTTTAGTAGAGATGAGGTTTCACCTTGTTAGCCAGGATAGTCTTAATCTCCTGACCCTGTGATTCCCCCACCTCGCACTCCCAAAGTGCTGGGATTACAGGCGTGAGCCACTGCGCCCAGCCCTGTGCATAGATATTCTTATCCCCATTTTACAAATGAGGAGGCCAGGTGCAGTGACTCACACCTGTAATCCCAGCACTTTGGGAGGCCAAGGCAGGTGGATTGCTTGAGCTCAGGAGTTCCAGACCAGCCTGGGCAACACGGCAAAACCCCGTCTTCAAAAAATACAAAAAATTGGCTGGGCGAAGTGGTTCATGCCTATAATCCCAGGACTTTGGGAGGCTGAGGCAGGCGGATCACGAGGTCAGGAGATCAAGACCATCCTGGCTAACACGGTGAAACCCCATCTCTACTAAAAATACAGAAACAAAATTAGCCGGGCGTGGTGGCGGGCACCTGTAGTCCCAGCTACTTGGGAGGCTGAGGCGGGAGAATGGCATGAACCGGGAGGCGGAGGTTGCAGTGAGCCAAGATCACGCCACTGCACTCCAGCCTGGGCGACAGACCAAGACTCCGTCTCAAAAAAAAAAAAAAAAAAAATTAGCCAGGCGTGGTGGTGTGCGCCTGTAGTCCCAGCTACTTAGGAGACTGAGGTGGGAGGATCACTAGAGTACAGGAGGTCAAGGCTGCAGTGAGCCATGATCTCACCACTGCATTCCAGGTGATGTAATGAGACCCTGTCAAAAAAATAAAAATAAAAAAAAGAGGAAAACTAAGGTTTTTTTTGTTTTTGTTTTTTTATTATTATACTTTAAGTTCTAGGGTACATGTGCACAACGTGCAGGCTTGTTATGTAGGTATACATGTGCCATGTTGGTTTGCTGCACCCATCAACTCATCATTTACATTAGGTATTTCTCCTAATGCTATGCCTCCCCTAGCCCCCCAATTGTTTGGTCAACCAAGCATTCTTTTTACATACCAGTAATCATCAACTGTCCAAATGGCTAGATATTTGGGCAAATTCCCAAGAAGCCTGTTCCAAAAAAAAAAAAAAAAAGGGCTACAGGTTGGAAAATGAAAACCTAGCTGTATGAATTTTTTCTTTTTTATTAGAAATATATATTAAGGGAATGCTAGGTGTCAGACCCTCCATTAGGCACCGGAGCAATGAATACATTGAGATATGGTCTGTGCCTTCACGGAGCTCACAGTCAGGTGGCAGAACAAACACTCAAAAGTCAACAGGCCGCTGAATCAAATGACTGTGACTCGCGTCAAGAGCACAAAGGAAATAAATCAGGAGCTGAGTCAGAACCCACTGACTATGGTCACAGGACCTACTTAAGATGTCGGGACCTGGCTGAGTACAGTGGCTCATGCCTGTAATCCCAGCACTTTCGGAGGCTGAGGCAGGATGAACACTTGAGCACAAGAGTCTGAGACCAGCCTGGGCAACATAGCAAGACCCTGTCTCTACCAGAAAATGAAAAAATTAGTCGGGCATGGTGGCATGCACCTGTGGTCCCAGCTACTCTGGAGGCTGAGGCTGGAGAATTGCTTAAGCCCAAGAGTTTGAGGCTGCACTGAGCTATGATTGCACCACTGGGCAACAGAGTAAAACCTTGTCTCAAAAAATAAAAAATGAAGAGATGAGGAGGCCTGAGAAGGCTGCCCTGAAGGTGCCAACAGGTCAGCCAAGACCAGAATGAGCAGATGCTGGCCACACGAGACAGAAAGAGAAGAGGGCCACAAGTAGAGAGGAGATGACCTGGACACAGACGGGGGCAGGAAACGGGGAGACAGTGAGCAAGGGAAAAGGCTCCAAACGAGATAGGAGAGCCTGCAGGGGCCACTCCTGCAGGGTTGGGAAGGGCAGAATGAAGAATGTGAGTTTCTCCCAGGGAAATAGGGAGCCATGGAAGACTTTAGAGCTGAGGAAGCACAATGTTCGAATCCCATCTACCCACCAGTAATCCCAGCAGGGAGTACTTTGGGAGGCTGAGGCAGGTGGATCACCTGAGGTCAGGAGTTCAAGACCAGCCTGGCCAACATGTGAAAGCCCATCTCTAATAAAAATACAAAAATTTGCTGGGTATGGTGGCGTGCATCTGTAATCCCAGCTACTTGGCAGGCTGAGGTGGGAGAATCGCTTGAACGTGGGAAGCGGAGGCTTCAGTGAGCCGAGATTGCACCACTGCACTCCAGGCTGGGTGAGAGAGAGAGAGACTCCATCTCAACGAGAGAGAGAGAGAGAGAGAGAGAGGCAAGAACAAAGAAAATGAATTTTTGACAGTAAAATTAGTAGCACAGCTTAGATATACTTGCCCTATGTTCTCTATCAGTAACCAAATTTTTATTAAATTTAAGTAAAGTCATCTACCTGGTGCTGTGCATCAAATAGTACATCAAATCTTGCTCTTAATTTCTTTGGGGCATAATAAAATAATTATCCTAAGGGCTTTGTGGATGGATGCACTAACTTTTGGTTACATTTGTAGTCCCCTTAGAAAGTTGCTTTTGAACACAGAAACACTGTTTGACTGTTGGTGTCCCACTCTCTGAGTCTCAGTTTTCTCATCTGTAAAATAGGGGATAAGATTACTTCTATCCCCATGGGGGTTATTGTAAGGAATCAATTATATGATGTACATATAGTGGTTAGTCCAGGGCCTGGCACAGAATATTCAATAAATATTAACTATAATTTTAATATGATGATTCATTATTATGACTAATATAGCTCCTGGCTTCCCCTTTGGCCTTATCTCATCTCTCTCCTCTCTCCTCTCTTTTCTTTCCTTTCTTGTACCCTCTCCTCTCTCTTTCACTCCTACAGCTCAGCCACACTGCATTTTGGGGGGAACCTTCAATAAAAAAGTTCTTTCCCCCCTCCAGACCTTTATAATTGCCATCCTCCCTGCCAGGCATCCTCTCCCCACTGCTCTCTGCAGGCCTGGCTTCTTCTCAAACCCTCAGGTCTCAGTCTACCCGCTTTCTGCTAAAAAAAAAAAAAAAAAAAAAAAAAAAAAAAAACTGCCTCCTCCACCCCACTTTCTTTGCCTTAATAATATTCTGTATTCATCTTATTTATTTGCATGTTTACTTATTTTTTATCTCCACCAGAAAGTAAGCCTCATGAGGGCAGGGAGCAGTGCCAGCCACACAGGTGATACTCAAGAAGTAGTTTTCAAATAAATGAATTAATGAATGGCTGTCTATCTAGGACAGTGGTTCTCAAGTCTAGCTGCACTCAGGATAACCTGAAAAACTTTCAAAAAAAAATTCTGATGCTGGGGTCCCACCCCCAGAGAGCCTGATTCAGTTGGTTTGGGAAGGAACTTGGGTATAGGAATTTTTTAAGCTTCCCACCCCAGGTAATTCTAAGTTGCAGCTAGAACTGGGAACCATGAATACAGGGAGATATAAAAATATAACTTTGGAGAGTTTCATCTCCGGTCTTCACTGGCAGCAATCCCATAGGTACTGCTGTCTCATCCAGGGTATCATGTGGGATGTAGCAAGAGTTCTGATCTGAAGACCAGAAGGAAAGGACAAAGTACTTTCCACATTTTCCTGGCTTAGGGCAGTGGAGTAGCTTTGCCGTCTGGTGTGAAGTGTTATGAACTCTCAGAACATTAGACCTACCGGTATTCAGTGCCAGTTATCAAAATTTATGGGGTTACTCTGGACTCTTTTTCTTTGAGGTGTGGATGCCAGGAGTTGCCTGGCACAGCCTCATGACTGTCTTGCCGTCCCCCACAGCAACCTTTTTGAGGTTCAGCATAGAAATGGTCACCGTCACTTCTGACTTCTGCCCAGCTTTCCCCCCGTGGGTATTTAGGTGTCATGTGTCCATCCAGGGAAGGGGTGTATAAATAAGTTTGAAATAACCAGCTGCAGTGACCATGAGATCATTAGCATTTACTACAGGAGAGAGGACCTTGCTCACTCTTCTATCAAAGTGTGGCCTTCACTGGTTCAAGGCATCTGGTCAAGACCTGAACACTGTTATTCCGTTTTGCCAACATGAGCCTAGGCCCAGAGCAAAGAGAAGAGTCACTGCAGGAGACTCCTGCATGCCTTATGAAATACGTGATGAGAACCCATGTGTTCTATATCCTAAGAGTGAAGTGTCATGAATTCTTAGAACATTAGACTATGCTCTTGTTCTATAAGATCCATTTGGATAACAGAGGAAAATTAAAACCAGAAAGAAACTGAAGTCCCTTCATTTTAAAATACTTTGCAGGATGAAGAGAGACAGCAACTGGCTGCTTAGCACCCTCAAATACGGGTGGTTGGCTTATGAAATTATGAGTGCTATAGCTTAGAAAAGAACTCAACAATGTCCAAACACCACAAATATAAGTGAACAGACAATGGACGTGGAGGAAAGGTGCGACTTACAAGGAGTCACAGGGAGAATTTCTCTGTGGTGATGGAGCATTTCTGTTTCCTGATTGTAGTCATGGTTATTAAAATGTACATGGGTGATATTGTTTGGCTCTGTCCCCACCCAAATCTCAATCTTGAATTGTAGCTCCCATAATCCCCATGTGTCATGGGAGGAACCCAGTGGGAGGTAATTGAATCATGGGGCCAGTTTCTCCCATGCTGTTCTTGTGATAGTGGGTGAGTTCTCACAAGATCTGATGGTTCTGTAAGGGGCTTCCCCCTTCGCTCAGCACTCATTCTTTTCTCTCTTGCCACCATGTGAAGAAGGACATGTTTACTTCTCCTTCTGCCATGATTATAAGTTTCCTGAGGCCTCCCCAGCCCTGTGGAACTGTGAGTCAATTAAACCTCTTTCCTTTATAAATTACCCGGTCTCAGGTATGTCTTTATTAACAGCGTGAGAACAGACAATTACAGTAAATTGGTACCACAGAGAGTGGGGAGCTGCTATAAAGATACCAGAAAATGTGGAAGCAACTTTGGAACTGGGTAACAGACAGAGATTGGAACAGTTTGGAGGGCTCAGAAGAAGACAAGAAAATGTGGGAAAGTTTGGAACTTCCTAGAGACTTGGAGGCCTCAGAAGACAGGAAGATGTAGGAAAGTTTAGAACTTCTTAGAGACTTGTTGAATGGCTTTGACCAAAATGCTGATAGTAATATGGACAATGAAGTCCAGGCTAAGGTGGTCTCAGATGGAGATGAGGGACTTTTTGGGAACTAGAGTAAAGGTCACTCTTGCTATGCAAACAGACTGGCGACATTTTGCCCCTGCCCCAGAGATCTATGGAACATTGAACTTGAGACAAATGATTTAGGGGATCTGGCAGAAGAAATTTCTACATGGCAAAGCACTAAAGAGGAAGCAGATCATAAAAGTTTGAAAAATTTGCAGCCCGATGATGTGATAGAAAAGAAAACCCCAGCCGGGCACGGTGGCTCATGCCTCTAATCCCAGCACTCTGAGAGGCCAAGGTGGGCAGATTACCTGAGGTTAGGAGTTCGAGACCAGCCTGACCAAAATAGAGAAACCCTGTCTCTACTAAAAATACAAAATTAGCCAGGCATGGTGGTGCATGCCTGTAATCCCAGCTACTCGGGAGGCTGAGGCAAGAGAACTGCTTGAATCTGGGAGGTGGAGGTTGCAGTGAACCAAGATCACGCCATTGCACTCCAACCTGGGCAACAAGAAAGAAACTCCATCTCAAAAAAACAAAAAGAAAGAAAGAAACCCCATTTTCTGGGGAGAAATTCAAGCCAGCTGCAGAAATCAAATGTTAATCACCAAGACAATGGGAAAAATGTCTCCATGGCATGTTAGAGACTTTGAAGGCAGCCCCTCCCATCACAGGCCTGGAGGCCTAGGAGGGAAAATTGTTTCATGGGCCAGGCCCAGGGACCCCCTGCTGTGTGCAGCCTCTGGACATGGTGCCCTGCATCCCAGCTGTTTCAGCCCCAACTGTGGCTAAAAGGAGCCAAGGTACAGCTTGGACCATTGCCTCAGAGGGTGCAAGTCCCAAGTCTTGGCAGCTTCCATGTGGTGTTAGTCCTGAGGGTGTGCAGAAGACAATAACTGAGGTTTGGGAACCTCCACCTAGATTTCAGAGGATGTATGGAAATGCCTGGATGTCCAGGCAGAAATTTGCTGCAGGGGCAGAGCCCTCATGGAAAACCTCTGCTAGGGAAGTATGGAAGGGAAATATGCAGTAGTAGCCTCCACACAAGGTCCCCACTGGGGCACTGCCTAGTGGAGCTGTGAGAAGAGGGCCACTGTCCTCCAGAACCCAGAATGGTAGATCCATCAACAGCCTGCACCATGCACCTGGAAAAGCCACAGGCACTCAATGCCAGCCTGTGAAAGCAGCTAGGGAAGGGGGCTGTACCCTGCAAAGCCACAGGGGTGGAGTTGTCCAAGGCCATGGGAACACACCTCTTACATCAGTGTGACCTGGATGTGAGACATGGAGTCAAAGGGGATCATTTTGGAAATTTAATGTTTAATGACTGCTCTATTGGATTTTGGACTTGCATGGGGCCTGTAGCCACTTTGTTTTGGCCAATTTCTCCCTTGTGGAACAGATGTATTTGCCCAATGCCTGTACCCCCATTGTATCTAGGAAGTGACTAACTTGCTTTTGGTTTTGCAAGGTCATAGGCGGAAGGGATTTGTCTTGTCTCAGATGAGAACTTGGACTTGGACTTTTGGATTAATGCTGGAATGAGCTGAGACTTAGGGGGACTGTTGGAAAGGCATGATTTTGTCTTGAAATGTGAGGACATGAGATTTGAGAGGGGCCAGGAGTGCAATGATATGGTTTGGCAGTGTCCTCACCCAAATCTCATCTTTAATTGTAGTTCTCATAATCCCCACATGTCATGGGAGGGACCTGGTAGGAAGTAGCTGAATCATGTGGCCAGTTTCCCCCATGCTATTCATGTGATAGTGAGTAAGTTCTCACAAGATCCGATGGTTTTATAAGGGGCTTCCTCCTTCACTCAGCACTCATTCTTCCCTCTCCTGCTGCCATGTGAAGAAGGACATGTTTGCTTCCCTTTCCACCACAATTGTAAGTTTCCTGAGGCCTCCCCAGCCATGCTGAACTGTGAGTCAGTTAAACCTCTTTCCTTTATAAATTGCCCAGTCTCAAGTATGTCTTTATTAGCAGCATAAGAATGGACGAATACAATGGGACAAAATTCCATAGAAGCATACACATATGAAAAAAGAGTAGGCTAGGCATGGTGGCTCATGTCTATAATACCAACAGTTTCGGAGGCCGAGGCAGGCAGATAATTTGAGCTCTGAAGTTCAAGACCAGCCTGGGCAACATGGCACAACCTCATCTCTACAAAAAATACAAAAATTACCTGGTAGTGGTAGCACTCACCTGTAGTCCCAGATACTTGGGAGGCTGAGGTGGGAAGATCACTTCAGCCAGGGAAGTTGAGGTTGCAGTGAGCCAAGATCATGCCATTGCACTCCAGCCTGGGTGACAGAGCGAGATCCTGTCTCAAGAAAAAAAAAAAAACACACTGACACTGGTAGAAATCTATTCACTCAGGAGTTATATTAATATAATATCACTATAATAATAGTATTTTAAAATATTTTTTGAAGACAGCTTTGAATAATATTTTGGACATGTTGGATTGAATATATATTATTGAAGTTAATTTCACCTACTTATTTTTACTTTTTTGATGTGGTTACTAGAAAATTTAAAATCACCTGTGTGTCTCCCATTATATTTCTGTTGCACAGTGCTGGTTCATAATATGTAAAAGTTTCCCACAGCTCAGTAAGAAAACACAAACCGACAGAAAACTAGACAAAGGGTATGGGTACAAAACTCATCAAGAAGAAATACGTAGGATCAATAAATATTCATTTATACATACATTTGTTAATTCAACACATACTTATTGCTCTCCTTCTATGTTCCAGGCACTGTGTGGGTCATGAGGGAGAGCTGGCCAGTTTTAGATAAGCTGGAGGTGAAAAGTCCTCTGTGAGAAGATAACACTGGAGCTAAGATCTGAAGTGTGAAAAGATGGCTCAACCTCACCATTAATTAATGGAATCTTATCTTGAGATTCTTCTTCACCCATCAGAATGGGGAAACAATAGATTGATAATATACAGTATTGGCAATGATGTCAGGGAAAGAGCACTTAAAAGAATTAGTGGGAGCATAGATTTGGATAACCTTTCTGCAGGGCAATTTGGCTCTATCTCTCCAAATGTAAATCCATATACCCTTTGACACAACAATTCCATTCCTAGAAATTCACCAAAAGCAGAGGCTCAAACGTATGCAAAAATGTATGAATTAGAATGTCCACTGCAGCATATTATGCAATCTCAACAAATTTTAAATAACTAAATGTCTATAGTTATAGGTGAGGCATGACCACTTAAATGAACTACTAGGAAGCCTTAAAAAGAATAAGAGAACCATACTCACAATGTTTATAGAACTCACAATGTTTCTATAAGTTTGAAGCTATTTGAAAATAAAAAGTTACAAAGGAAAGATTGCACCATAACAAATCAAGACTTTCCCCAAGAATACAAGGATGATGTAACATCAGGAAGTCTATCAATATAACTCATTATTTTAATCACGAAGGGGGAAAGGAAACAAGAATAAGATAGACTTGGACACACTAGCTTGGGAAGTTGCCCACCCCATATTAAGTGGAAAAAAAAGCAAATTGCAGAACACATGTAGTATGATACTGTTTGTATTTTTATATTTTTTATTTTTTCAGATACAGGGTCTTGCTCTGTCACCCAGGCTACAGTGCAGTGGTTCAACCATAGCTCACTGTAACCTCAAACTCCTGCGCTCAAGCAATCCTCTCGCCTCAGCCTCCTGAGTAGCTGGGACTACAGGTACATGCCACCATACCTGGCTTTTTTTTTTTTTTTTTTTCTGAAACAGGGTCTTTCTCTATCACTCAGGCTGGAGTGCAGTGGCACAATCATAGCTCACTGCAGCCTTGAACACTGGGACTCAAGCAATCCTCCCACCTCAGCATCCCCAAGTAGCTGGGACTACAAGCATGTGCCACCACGCCAGCTAATTTTTTGTAGATACAGGGTCTCCCTATCTTGCCCAGGTTGGTCTTGAACTCCTGGACTCACGTGATCCCCTGCCTTGGCCTCCCAAAGTGTTGGGATTACAGGCATGAATCACTGCACCTGGCATCCAGCTAATTTTTAAAATTTTTTGTAGAGACAAGGGTCTTGCTATGTTGCCCAGGCTGGTCTTGAACTCCTGGACTCAAGCGATCCTCCTGCCTCAGCCTCCCAAAGTGCTGGGATTACAGGTATGAGCCACTGCACCTGGCCTATTCATATGCTTAGAACAAAGAGAGAAAAAAAAAACACAAACTTCTGTGTGTCTGTGCCTGTGTGTGTGTACAATTACTGTACCAAACTAGCCACGTGACTATGGACAAATTGCTTTGACTTCTTTGTGCCTCAGTTTTCCCATCTGTAAAATGGAAACCACAAAGCACCTAGCTCATAGTGTTGTGAGGACCAATACAATAATCCTTGAAAAACATTTAACACAGTGTCTGGCATATACTAAATGCCTCATAAATACTATCTGTTATCATTGTTATTTTGTCAAAGAAAGACTTAAGGCCAAAACATTTAGAGAAGAAAAGATTTTACTTCAAAAGAAATACAAGAGAATCCACCTTCAAAAAGACCAGCTAGCCAAAGCAAAACACAAGTATTTAAAAGAAAACAGATGCAAAGTTGCCAAGGTCACTGAGTTGTTTTATATTAATCTGTTCCTGGAAAACAAACAGTATCTTTCTGAGTATATTACAATATCCACAAAGGAAGTAACCCGTGTTTAGACATCATAGTTGCAAAAGGTAGTGATGAAGTTGTCTTTGCCAAAATTTATGGGAAGTACTCAAGGTTTTAATATTTGAGGGATCAGGACTAGACAGACTGACTCTGTTATTCTTGGTTTACCTCAGGGTGAAAATTGCTGTTTCTCTCTCCTGACTATGATACATGATGTGCTTAGTCATAATGGAAGCAGGAGAAAGTGTCAGTTTTCTTTTCATATTATTCATGCGGGGAAAAAATCTAGAATCAGATGCACCAAACTGCTAATAAGGGTTATCTCTGAGAAGTAAGATTAGGGAAAGAGATTTACTATTGACTGCATGTGCTTCTATAGCATCCAAATGTTTTACATGTTCACAAATTGCATTAGTAATTTTTAAAAGAACAAATAAGATCATATAAATTTTGAGTATCTAAAGCTGCCCTGTTTCTTCCTAGTTCTTCCACACCAGATGGAATAGTTTACATTCTAAGCTCTTCAGAAAAAGATTTATAAACCATGCATTTTCTCTAAAATCCATTTCCACCGCTTCAGTCTGTCACATCTGCCAGGAGAACCTCAGTATAAAATTCCAATTAAAAGAGGAAAAGAATTACAGTGACATGTTGGGGAAGCAGGGAAAGAATTCTTTCTGCTTCACTGTTAGTTCTCTACCCTTAAGCCCGAGACCCCCCCAGCCATGGAAATCCTTCACAATGAAATCTCAGAGCTGGAATCTCTCACTCTCGTCCCTCCCCTCATCTTCTTACTTTTACCCAGCAGATCTACCCGTGGGCAGCCCTTTTCCCAAGTACCAGGGGAGAAAATGGATTCAGAAAAGGATTTGTGGGGAGAGGAGCTTCCACACTTAATACTGAAAGAGGCTTTTCATCTGTTTTTCAAGCCAACAGCAGCCCCATTCCCAGATTCACTCAAGGTCTCCCTTACATGTCCCTGGAAAGAAGGAGGGTCACATACAAGATGCCAGAGTGGCAGCAGGTGATGAACGTGGGGCAGGATTCACCTGTGGCTTGCACCCAAATCCCCTTCAGCCAGGTCACCAAGCACAGCCTCTCTGCCTTGTATCAAACAACTCAAATGGCCAGGGACTCTCATTTCACCTGTGCTCATGGGCAATGCACAGGTGATAGATGTACCCTTCTACGTGACAGATTGGCTGTTCTTCCCACTTTTTTGGTCACTGCTACTGAGAACACGAAACTGTTTTTTCATCCAAACAGCCAGGAGTTGCCATTTAGAAAAGAGAGGGGACTTCATTATTTTTCCTATGGTTACAGCAACATGAATGCATCATCATAGCTATCATCTCAGAACTGTGTTTTCCAAGGCAGCACAATAGGTCGGTTTGGGAAGGTCTGAATTTATATAATTCTAAACTGGATTATGAGCTCAGAATTTAGGGTTCTAATATTCTATGCAGTGATTTTGATTGTAAAGCCTCTAAAACAGCTTCTCAGCAGTTTGGGAGGCTGAGGCAGGTGGACTGCTTGAGGTCAGGAGTTTGACACCAGCCTGGACAACATGGCAAAACCCCATCTCTACCAAAAATACAAAAAAAAAAAAAAAAATTAGCTGGTTGTGGTGGTATGCACCTGTAGTCCCAGCTACTCAGGAGGCTGAGGTGGAAGGATTACTCTCCCCAAAGATCCAGCAAGGGTAGAGAAGATTCTGGTACACCCCAAAGATTGCAGATTTAGAATAAGAGCAAGGCAGGAAGTGGCAATTCACAGCAAAAGCTAACATTTATTGAGCACACACTATGTGCGGAGCCAATACCAACCACTTGACACACATTAATTCAATGTGAAGTGGGCGCTATTACTATTGCCCCCGATTTACAGATGAGGGCACTAAGGCTTAGGAAAGTTGAAAACTTGCCTTAGCTCTTGCAGATGATAAGACATGGAATTTGAACTCAGATCTCTGAATTTCAAGCCCATGGTCTATTACATACTTCCTTGGAATAAATTTAACGACGGTGGGCATCTTGACCTTGAAGGACATTAAGGATAGTTACATAGACCAGAAGTTTTCAATCCTGTGAAGCTTAAAAATTATAATAATAGGCTGGGTAAGGTGGCTCATGCCTGTAATCCCAGCACTTTGGGAGGCTCTGGCAGGTGGATTGCTTGAGGTCAGGAGTTTGAAACCAGCCTGGGCAACATGGCAAAACCCCATCTCTACCAAAAATTAAAAAAAAAACAAAAATTAGCTGGGTGTGGTGGTATGCACCTGTAGTCCCAGCTACTCAGGAGGCTGAAGTGGAAGGATTACTTGAGCCCAGGAGGTCGAGGCTGCAGTGAGCCAAGATTGTGCCACTCCGCTCCAACCTGGGTGACAGAATGAGACCTCATCTCAAAAAAAAAAAAATTTTAATGATAATAATAATGCAAGAGCAACTCAGCCATCTATCAACAGCTGAAGGGATAAACAAAATGCAGTGTATCCTTACAGTGGAATATTATATATATCCCTACAATGGAGTATTGTTCATCCTTAAAAGGGGAAAAAATTCTGACACATACTATAACATGGATGAACTTTGAAGACATTATTATGTCTAAGTAAAAGAATCCAGTCCCCCCAAAAAACAAATACTGCATAATTTCACTTGCATGAGGTACCCAGAATAGTCAAATTTATAGAGTCAGAAGGAATTGTGGTTGTCAGGGGCTGGGGAGAGGATGAATGGGAGTGAGTATTTTACAGGTATGGAGTTTCCATTGGGGAAGATGAAAATTCCAGAGATAGATGGTGGGTCATGGTTGCACAGCAATGCGAATGTACATAATGCCACTAAACAGTATACTTAAAAATGATTAAAAGATTAAATTGTAGGCATATTTTACCACAACAAAAAAATCACACACAAAAAACATGTGCCACCTGGTCCCCACATCAGTTAAATCAGAATCTCTCCATGATAGAGCCTGGTTCTCTGTATTTTTTTTTTACTACCCAGGTGGTTCTAATGAACACCCAAGCTGGAGAACTCCAGAATTCGTGACTTAGAATTCAGGAACTCACCTTGCTGGAAGTCCCTAACATTGTTTTTAGTTCTCGCTCTCTCATTCACACAAGAGGCCTAAAAGCAATTCCTCTTCATTGTTGAGTCTTCCCACCTGTTGCTGACTAAGGTGGCCCAGATCCAAGAATTAATGGAAGGTTCCGGAAGCAGAAAGCTCTGTGGTATACTGGGTATTTCTCTGGCTTGTAATTGTCTGCATATGTCTAATCCCCCTTAATAGTCCAGGAAGAGGAGCAATTATTACTGAAGTGCTGTGATTTCAGAATCAAGGAAGAGGTTCTCAGTGAAATCTGTAATTTCACAGCACTGACGGAGTCCTTCTGTACATAACTTCTTCTTTTTTTTTTTTTTTCCTTTGATACAAGGTCTCACTCTGTCATCCAGGCTGGAGTGCAGTGGCACGATCATAGCTCACTGCAGCCTCAAACTCGTGGGCTCAGGTGATCCTGCCACCTCAGCCTCCTGAGAAACTTAGACTACAGGTGTGCGCATACATAACTTTTAAATAAATATTTCCAGTCTTCTTTGGGCTACAGCACAACTGTTGGGTGACTCTCAGCCATGGGATGATAAAGAGAGCTTATTTTTCAAAACTGTGTGTTCTTTTTATTTTGAAAAATTGCAGGCCTCAAATATAAGTGAGCAAATAACACAATGACCTATATAATCACCAAACTGCATCAATAGTTAACATTTTTTGCCATTTTTATTCTTATTTTGCTGAAAATTTAGGTACAGGTTGCAATAATATCAGTTCTAGATAATGCAGCCTGTATCTTCTGTAGAAAAAAAAATTCTCTTGTGTAACTAAAATACAAATATCACACTCAAGAAATTTAACATTATTATTATCTAACATTTACTCTACACTCGAATTTCCCCAATTATCCCGAAGATATCTGTAATTGCTACTTATTTATTAATCCTAGACACGATCAAGGATCATACATTGCATATAATTGTTAGGTTCATCTAGTTTTCTTTAATCTAGGAGAGTCTCCTGATGTGTTTGGGTGGGTGGGTGTGCATGTCTTTCACGACATTGACTTTTTAAAAATAATTTCAAGCCATTTGTCTTGCAGAAAGTTGCTCAAATAGAATTTACCCTATTATTCCCTCTTAATTAAAAAAAGCTAGGTATATTGAGAAAACTACATAGGGCCAGGTGCAGTGGCTCATGCCTGTAATCCCAACACTCTGAGAGGCCGAGGCAAGTGGATTGCTTGAGGCTGGAAGTTCGAGACCAGCCTGGCCAACATGGTGAAACTCTCTCTGCTAAAAATACAAAAATTTGCCACGCGTGGTGGCAGGCACCTTTAGTCTCAGCTACTCAGGAGGCTGAGGCGGGAGAATGGCTTGAACCCAGGAGGCAGAGGTTGCAGTGAGCTGAGATCACGTCACTGCACTCCAGCCTGGGAAACAAAGCAAGACTCCGTCTCCGGAAAAAAAAAAAAAAGAAGAAAAAGGAGGAGGAGGAGGAGGAGGAGGAGAAGGGAGAAGGGAGAAGGGAGAAGAGAAGAGAAGAGAAGAGAAGAGAAGAGAAGAGAAGAGAAGAGAAGAGAAGAGAAAAAAGAAAAGAAAAGAAAACTACACAGGTAAAATGTCCTTGCTAGGGTATTTTATCAGAAGGCACATGATGTCATTTGGTCAAGATTCTCTTATTATTAAAGGGAGAAGAACAGTATCTGGCCTTCATTTCAGCAGCAAGCAGTCTCTGAATACCTCTTCTTTGCCTGGCAGTGTACTATGTCCTGCAGACCTCAAAGATGCCCTCAAAAACTTCACATTCTGTGGGGAAACAGAAATATTCATGCACTCATTCAGTCAATAACATATTTCTTGAGCTCCAACAATGTGCCAGACACCACTCTAAGTACTAGAAACAAGGATGATATTTAAATATTTAACAAGTTTGGCATGAGCACAGAATCAGAGAAGATGCTCTGCTGAGCCCAATAACCCTTAAGTTGCTGGATCATGGGGAAACCGGGGAAAAGGCAGAGGAGCAAGTGGGATGGCTGGGATATTGGGGAAGGCGGACAAGCTTCAGAGTAGCTGCTATTTATCAGTGAGTACAGAGTATTTCAACATTTTAACAGCTGGGAATGACAGCCGTGGCTTGGGCATGGAGATGAAAAATTCAGCCAAGGTCCCTGACCTCATGGATTGACCTTCTAGTGCAGGAGTGGGCGAACTTCTTTGGTAAATGACCAAATAGTAAATATTTTTGGCCTTGCAGGCCCTACATTCTCTGGACAGAGAGGCAAAGTCCCAACTACTCAACTCTGTCTTTGTAGCACAAAAGTAGTGTGTCAGTCCATTTTGCACTGCTATAAAGAAATACCTAACACTGAATGATTTATAAAGAAAGGAGGTTTGTTTGGTGCATGGTTCTGCAGGCTAAACAAACATGGCGCCAGTATCTTCTTCCGGTGAGGACTCAGGAAGCCTTTACTCATTGTGGAAAGCAAGGGGAAAACAATTGTGTCATGTGGCAAGACAGAGAGAGAGAGCAAGAGAACGATGCCAGGCTCTTTTAAACAACCAGCTCACACATGAACTAACAGAGTGAGAACTCATTACTGCAGGGAG
The DNA here is from genome assembly GCF_000001405.40 of Homo sapiens. NCBI lineage: Eukaryota > Metazoa > Chordata > Mammalia > Primates > Hominidae > Homo > Homo sapiens. Next base: position 119,627,623 of record NC_000012.12, read on the forward strand.
GGCACCAAGCCATTAATGAGGGTCTGCCCCCTGACCACAACATCTCCCACCAGGCCCCACCTCCAACATTGGGGATCACGTTTACACATGAGATTTGGAGGGAACAAACATCCAAACTGAGGTAGGAGGCGGGACTTGACTCCAGACCAGATTGAAGACCGGCTGAAACAGGGAAAAGGCACTCAAAGCTCCTCTCCATAAGACATGCTCACCAGTGCCATGACAGTTTACCATTGCTATGGCAACACCCAGAAGCTACCACCCCTTTCCAGGGCAATGACTCGGAAGTTGTCACCCCTTTTCAGGGCCACGACCCAGAAGTTACTACCCCTTATCTAAAAATTTCTTAACAACCTGCCCCTTAATTTACATATAGTTAAAAGTGAGTATAAATCTGACTGCAGCACTGCCCTGAGCTGCTGCTCTCAACACGCTACCTATGGGGTAGCCTTGCTCTGCAGGAGCAGTCATGGAGCTGTAACTCAACCAGGGCTCTAATGCTGCTGCCTCAATCAAGCTGCTTTTATATTTTATTTTTTTTATTTTTATTTTTGAGACGGAGTTTCACTCTTGTTGCCCAGGCTGGAGTGCAATGGCAAAAATCTCAGCTCACTGCAACCTCTGCCTCCCAGGTTCAAGCAATTCTCCTGCCTCAGCTTCCCGAGTAGCTGGGATTACAGGTGCCTGCCATCACACCCGGCTAATTTTTTGTATTTTCAGTAGAGACAGAGTTTTACCATGTTGGCCAGGATGGTCTTGAACTCCTGACCTCAGGTGATCCACCTGCCTCGACCTCCCAAAGTGCTGGGATTACAGGCGTGAGCCAGCACGCCCGGCCTAAAGCTGCTTTCTTCTACCACCAGCTCACTCTTTTTTTTTTTTTTTTTTTTTTTTTGAGATGGAGTCTTGCTCAGTCGCCCAGGCTGGAGTGCAGTGGCACGATCTTGGCTCACTGCAAGCTCCGCCTCCCAGATTCACGCCATTCTCTTGCCTCAGCCTCCCAAGTAGCTGGGACTATAGGCGCCCGCCACCACGCCCGGCTAATTTTTTTTTATTTTTAGTAGAGACGGGGTTTCACTGTGTTAGCCAGGATGGTCTTGATCTCCTGACCTCGTGATCTGCCCATCTCATCCTCCCAAAGTGCTGGGATTACAGGCATGAGCCACCACGCCCGGCCCACCAGCTCACTCTTAAATTCTTTCCTGAGAGAGGTCAAAAAACTTCCCAGGCTAGGCCCCAGTTCTGGGGCTCACCTGCCCTACAACAAAACTATATCAAATAGCCACAGACAGTAGTAAACAAATGAGTGTGACTATGTTCCAAATAAGCTTTATTTACAAAAACAGGCAGCAGGCTGGATTTGGCCCATGGGCCATGATTTGCAAATCCCATTCTAGTGAACAAGACAGACATACTCATTTGTGTTTTTATGCTACAAATACTTATCCAGCATCTTCTACATGGCAAGTATTGCACTGGACACTGGTATGCCGAACAAGACAGAAGGCCGGGCGTGGTGGCTCATGCCTGTAATCCCAGCACTCTGGGAGACCAAGGTGGATGGATTACTTGAGGTCAGGAGTTTGAGACCAGCCTGGCCAATGTGGTAAAACCCTGTCTCTACTAAAAATACAAAAATTAGCCAGGCGTGGTGGCGGGCACCTGTAATCCCAGCTACTTGGGAGGCTGAGGCAGGAGAATTGCTTGAACCCGGGAGGCGGAGGTTGCCATGAGCCAAGGTTGTGCCACTGCACTTCAGCCTGGGTGACAGAGTGAGACTCTGTCTCAAAAAAAAAAAGAAAAGATAAAAGACAGACGATGACCCCTGCCCACGTTGCACTTACATGCTGGTGGGAGAGACAAAATCTTGTTACGTAAATGCTAAGACAAAAGTCATCAGGAAATACAGAGGGGGCAGTTAACTCATCCTTAGAGTTTAGGGAAGGATTCCTGGAGGAGGGGATGACTGTGTTGTTTGCTTAGCAGGCTGTCAGTGAGATGAGCAAAGTCACCAGAGAGCTCTTGGAACCTTTTCATCAGGACAGCCTGAGGACCTCCATCCCTTTCCCTGTGGGTTATCTGTCATCACCAGCTCTTCCCTTCTGTCCCCCAGTCTCTGAACAGCTACAACGATGGAGACTACGAAGGAGCCAGGCGGCTTGGGCGGAATGCTAAGTGGGTAGCCATCGCCTCCATCATCATTGGCCTTCTCATCATCGGCATTTCTTGTGCAGTTCACTTCACAAGGAAGTAAGTAGGCTTTTTGAATCCCTCCCCATGTCAAACGCCCTTTCTCGAACGCCCGTTGGAATCTGTTAGGGTAGATTAGGTTATGCTCCAGTAACAACCCCAAGCCAAAGGGTTTTCATGTTTTCTTCTCAGAATAAATTTGTCCCAGTCCAGAGGGACATATCAACAGTGTGGATCTTCTAGTGCGGGAGTGGGTGAACTCCTTTGGTAAATGACCAAATAGTTAATATTTCTGGCCTTACAGGCCCTACATCCTCTGGACAGAGGGACATAGTCCCAACTACTCAACTCAGTCTTTGTAGCACAAAAGTAGTGTGTTAGTCCATTCTGCATTGCTATAAAGAAATACCTCAGACTGAGTGATTTATAAAAAAAGAAGGTTTGGATGCTTCTTTGGATCAGGTCAACAATATGGATCCATTACATGGATCATATAGGTCAGTGGAAGGTCTCTCCTCCACACAGTCATGCAGGGTCCCACGCTATACAAAGCTGCACCATCTTGTAGCTGCTCTATCTAGGACAGAAGTCAACAAACTTTGTCTGTAAAGGGCCAGATAGTAAATCTTTTAAGCCTTGCAGGCCATATGGTCCCGATCATGGTCTCTGGCACAGCTACTTAGCTCTGCCATTTTAGCACAAAAGCAGCCATAGACAATATAGAAATGAACAGGCGTGGCTGTGTTCCAATAAAACTTTATTTACAACAACAGGCATCTGTCTGTGGGCTGTAGTTTGCCAACTTCAGATCTAGAACATGAGGTGTCCTCAGGCAAAGGCGGGGGAGAGGAAGACTGGAGAATCCCACATGGGCTTTTTACTGCCTAGCGACAAATGTCGCTTAGGCTTACATTGACTGAAATCAGTCACGTAATCCCACCTAACTGTAAGAGGGTAGGAAATGTGGGAGAATAAATGGGATATTTAGGATTGCTATTTGCTCTGCCCTAGCACATCATCTGCTAAATAAACTCCTACTTGCATCAAACTAGCATAACTGTTTTAGTTTAAGGGCAGAAAGGTCACTACATATTTTTGGTATTGACAAGGAGCTCTCATCTCATGAAGAGATGGATGCTGCTGATGTGTTGTCCCTCTGGACTGGGACAAATTTATTCTGATTTCTCTAACCAGCTCAGATGGGCTCCATCTGCTAGACTCAATAACACTTTCCGTCAGAGGTTTGACAGACAGCAAGGTCATGTGATAGGCAACTCAGACCCAGAAATGACAAGTCCAGATCCATCTCTGTCTTGCTGTGTAATTTCTGGTAAGACAGATAAGAATGCTGAGAAATTCTTTCACTTTTCTGCCACAGCAGCATGGCTACTCCTATACCCTTGACCAAAGTCCTACACCCATCAAACTGAGAAGGTCAACCTCTTTCTCTTGGTTGACAAAGGAGGCTCACCCAGATGGGTGAGGGAGGAAGGAGACCTCTTTTGACATTCCAGATCAGCCAACCCAACCTTGGCAACCAAGACAGTAGCAGATGTCATGGTAGATCCACTTCCTATCAGAGAAGGCAGACCCAGGAACAACCAGTGGCAGCTGGGTAGAGGGGAAGATGTCAAAACAGAAGTGTCACAAAAGAAAATTAAATGGCTTTGGCCAAATAAAAGAGAAAAGGACACTCAAACATGAAAGGAAACTCAAGGTTTCTTGCCTGCAGGATGGCAAATTTGATGTTGGCCCATGAAGAGGAAGATGGTTGGAGAATACACGTGAATGAACCTGACTATATTCTTAAGAGAAGGTGTAAGGTGCTTGTGAACTTGTGAGCAGGGGAGCCACAGAGTGTGGGTTTAATGGTGCAGTTTTGGCACCAGACTGCCTGGACCCAGGTCCCAGTCACCACTTATTCACTGTGAGACCTTCAGCCAATTGTTTAACATTCCTGAACCTCAGTTTCCTCACCTGTAAAATGAGAATAATAGTAGTACCCATTTCATAAAGCTATTGTAAAGGTTAACTGGATGACCCACAGAATGTGTAGGTTGGTGTCTCTGTTCTTTAGTGGGTGCACAAAAATGTAAACCATTTATTAATCCCATTATTACTAATATTATCAATGTTACTGGGAAAGGACCTCAGAATTCAAGATGCCATTAAATAGAATTCAAGGCTTTATATTTATGAGCCAAACAAAGGACAATGTTCTAAGGGAATGAGACCAAGCCTTGGCTTGACTCCTGGGAACTTGGGAAAATGCATACTGCCTAGATTAGTGTTTGAGCTAAGTGGGTTATAATAATAGCAGCTGACACTAACATAGACCTTGACATATGCCAGGTACTGTTCTAAGCTCTTAACATTAATTAATCCTCATTGAGTCTTCACAGCAACCCAAAGAGGTAGATAGGTATTATTATCCCTATTTTGTAGATGAGGAAACCGAGACTCAGAGAGGTAAAGTGACTTGCCCAAAGCCTCACAGCTAGTTAGTGGAAAAGGTAGGATTTAAAACCAGGATAGTGTCGCTCTTCAGGCTGTGTTCTTAGCCAAACTCTGCACTGCCGCTAAGTCAATATGTTCCTGCTAGTACACCCAGTAACAAAGGCCAGTAAGTGGTACTTGCTTTGTGGCTAACTCCAGGATTGATTTACGGGGGAATGGTATGGTGAGGTTTCATCCTACAGAAATGTGTGATGAGTCAGGGCTAAGGTTCACAAAATCAAAGGAGTACAGGGGTCAGGGGAAGGACATACATGAGGTAGCCTGGTTATAGGACAATAGGAAGTGGTGGGGACCATGGTAATTTCAAAAGCACAGTTTAAAGGAAGCAGCCACCACTCTGCTCCAATTGTAACCACTTAGTATGCAGGCCTCATGGGGCTCATTTTTCAAGAGATGTTGGAAATCTGGGATTTTATGTAAAATCTCCAAATTTTTAGATGTTGACAACCAATTCACATTACTAAAACGCATGGTTAGCAATTCACATTACTAAAACACAAAAACAATATTTGCAGCCTAGACACTATCTACTTTGCAGTCTCTAGTGGACAGTTTGCTTTCAAAGATCAGTTTGCTCATGGCAACTCCATCCAAGAAGTGTTGGAAGGGATCTAGAAGCATTCATATGTTAGACTTTCTCCAGCCTTAATATAAGTGTTTTTATCTGGGGATGAAGTGTTGATGTCTCTGCTTGTGATTGAAGCTTTGTTAGGAATAAAAGGTATGAGAAGGAGTTGCCTCTTTGATCCTTCTTCCTAAAAGGCACTGTTCACAAAGGTTAGAGCCTATGATTTAATACCAGCTTTATCAGGATTCAGATCCTACTTCTACCACACAGGCTATCTGGGCAAATTATTAAACTCTCTGTGCCTCAATTTCCCTAACTATAAAATGAGAATTGAATTATTTCCCCATCTGTAAGGTCAAATTCCTTCTAGATGCCTTTCCCTCTGTTATTAAAGAAAACAGGCCAGGCACAGTGGCTGATGCCTATAATCCTAGCACTTTGGGAGGCAAAGATGGAAGGATCTCTTGAGGCCAGGAGTTCCTTGACCAGCCTGGGCAACATAGCTAGACCCCATCTCTAAAAAAAAAAAATTTTTTTTAATTAGCTGGGCATGGTGGCACACACCTGTATTCCCAGCTATTTGGAAGGCTGAGATGGGAGGATCACTTGAGTCCAGGAATTCAAGGCTGCAGTGAGCTGTGGTCATGCCATCGCACTCTAGCCTACATGACAGAGTGAGACCCTGTCTCAAAAACTAAATAAATAAATTTTAAAAGAGACCCAAATTTAAAGGCTTTGTCATATGCATGTAGGGGCAAGAGAGAGAGAGACAGAGAGAAAGAAGGAAAGAGGCAGAAAAGAACTAGCTGTTAGAGAATGAAATCAATTCTCTCTTCCAGGTAACATGGCCAATTTCTCAGTAATCCTTTGAAATTAAATCTCCCAGCCCTCATTTACAGGAGTAACTAAATGGCAATATGAAACTTTTAAGGCAAAAGTACCCAAGCTTTAGACTCCATAAGAGTTACCTGGAGAGGTTTTAAAAAAGTTAGCATCCGAGCCTCACCTCCAAAGATTCCAACCTGCTAAATCAGAAGTGGGGTTCAAGAACATCTGCATCTTTCAGCTGCCCCTGCTCCCAACCTGAGGATTCAGATGCAGGTGGCGGGCAGAAGGGTCTTTGCCAAACCTTGGCAAATATCCTGCCACCAAAGTCCACAAGGAAGAACGTGCGAATGGTGGCCATTCATGGACTGGTCGGTTTTCATTTACAGCAAACTCATCATCCTAATCTGCTGTCTAACCCAATGCTAGGGAGGGGAATGAAGTTGCCACCTAGCAGGTCTACCCACAGGGAGCCTCCTTTGTAACAATCTATTTCCACAGAGGGGCTGGAAAATCTGACATTAGAGGAGTCGAAGCCTGAAGATGAGCCCAAAACCCATGAATCTGTGAGTTTTCTGAAAGTATTCATTCCAAAATGCTGTCTCGGGGCTGGGTGTGGTGGCTCACACCTGTAATCCAATACCTTGGGCTGAGGTGGGAGGATCTCTTGAGGCCAGGAGTTTAGGACCAGCCTGGGCAACATAGCAAGACCCTGTTGCTCCAAAAAATATTTATTTTAAATTAGCTGGGTTTGGTGGCGCATACCTGTCATCCTAGCTATTTGGGAGGCGGAAGCAGGAGGATCTTTTGAGCCCAGGAGATTGAGGCTGCAGTGAGCTGTGATCACACCACTGCACTGCAGCCTAAGCAACAGAGTGAGACCCTGTCTCAAAAAAAAACAAAAACAAAAACAAAACCTGTCTGAAGTAAATTACTGCCTTTTAAAAATTGTAAATTCCCTGTCTTTAAAAAAATCATTCTTTATCCTTATTAAGAAAGCTGTAACCAATGTGTTAGAGAACAGATTGAAATCTCAAATGGTTGAAATCCCGGGTAGTTTACTTCCTTGGCGTAGTCTCAGATCATGATAGTCTTTACCCAAACTCATAAAAAGCTCTCATTCGTCCTATTTTACAGGATATCTATGTAAGCCACATGGTGGCTGGGGCAATGAAACACGGGGTTTCATGACATCAAATTCCTAAGAGCTGGGAATTATTCAACTGAAATATTAAACCATTTTGGATAGAATCGTGCATTGACAGCAGGGAATTGTTCTTGTCCAGACAGAATCATGAACTTGCAGTCTTTCAAAGTCAGAAAACTCTCCGCCCTCAAGCTGCTAGGGAAAGTGAAGAAATAAATCACACAGGTGAAAGGTTTAAATATAGTAGCTGTCCATTTATCAATCCTAGTAATTCAAACCCCTAGTCAAAACCAACCTATTTGCAGGCTTTTGCTTCCTGCTAATACCTTGAGGACTCAAGCAAGGTTAGGTTATTCTAGTGATGTTTCTCAAAGCACAAATCTCAGAGCCACCTACGACAGATTCATCTGGGATGTTTATAAAAATGCAAGTTCCTGGACCCCATTTCCTGAGTAGCCTGGAAATATGACAAGCCACCTTCCCCAAAAAATAATTCTAAATATTCTAAAGTTGCAGAACTACTATCCTAGGGCTTGCATTTAATGAAGAACATTCTTGCCTGTGTGGACATGTGCCAACAAACAAGACTTTTTGCATCCCTAAGATAAAAGATAAACAGTTTTTCTTCTCTTATACACTCAACACAACACACAGCTGTGAGCAGGTGTGTTTTGTTTCCCCCACACACCAAGCAATTGTCCAGTGACTACCAACTAGGTATTCTGTAATTTAGCCCGATTATGACACCATCTACTGGGAGTTAGAGTCAGATCCCACAGGTTAATGGTTTGGTCCCCCAAGACTGCCTCCCATTTCAGATGCTAATTGCAAGCCCCAGGTTGTGACCTGCGCTTCTGACTGGCTGGCTCTTAGTTGGAGATTTTCACCACCCTCTTCTCAGTTTCTATTAATGCGCTAAAGTGGCTCACAGAACTCAAGGCAACACTTACTTATGTTTACCCATTTATTACAAAGGATATTACAAAGGATACAGATGAACAGTCAGATGGAAGAGATGCATAGGGCAAGGTATAGAGGAAGGGGCGTGGTGTTTCCATGTGTGCCACCTTCCAGGTCCCACCACACATTCAGCAATCTAAAACCTCTCCCAACCCTGTCCTTTTGGGTTTGCATGGGGGCTTCATTACATAGGCATGACCAATTACATCACTGGCCATTGGTGCCCAACTCAAAATCAACCTTCAGGCCATTTGTCCTCCCTGGAGTCCAGGGGGTGGGACTGGAAGTTCCAACCTTCTAATTACATGGCTGGTTCCCCTGGCAACCCACTCCCAACCTGAGGCTATCCAGGAGCCCACCAAGAGTTGCCTCATTAGAACAAATATAGTCCCATCACCCAGGAAATTCCAAGAAACTGGGGAGCTCTGTGTCAGAAACTGGAGTCAAAGACAAAACATCAAAACAAAAGATTCTCCTAGTACCCAGTCTACAAGGGTGTTAGGAGCTCTGTGTCAAGAACCAGATGCAGGGATCAAATATTTCTTATTGTTATTATAGCACAACATCACACCTAAGGTACCTGGTAGAAGCTTCAGTTATTGCTGCTTCCCTGGAAAGTTTACACACCTCCCAAATTTTCTCTTCCTCCCTCCCTTTTGTTTTTGGTTTTTGAGACAGGGGTCTCATTATGTTGCCCCGGCTGGTCTTGAACTCCCAGCCTCAAGTGATCCTCCCACCTCAGCCTCCTGAGTTAGCTGGGATTACAGGGTTGAGCCACCACACCCAGCTCTTTTCATCTCTCATTGAGATTAGGCTCATGGTCACTTATCTGATGCTCTGTGGAATTCAGCGGAACGTCCTTAGCAGCAGAAAGAGTTGACCAGGACAACATTTGGGTATGAGACAAATGTCCTCTGTGACAAATATGACATTCCCGGATGACCCTGCTAATACAGTGGAGCTTCATGTTACTCAGGAGTAAGGTTCTCATGTCAGGGCACAAGGTGAGCTTTGAGTATAATCAAACTTAATCTTGGAAGTATCCAAGGAGGGCGCCCTACTGGAGACTCACACATGGTATCTTGATCAGCCCAGCATAGCCAGTGAATGTTTCCAGTGTTGGAACAGGTGACTGTTCCTTGGGTTGAGAGCCCACTGAAGTATGTGGCTGGGTTTAGGGTTCATGGCATCTGTTTCAACACTGGAACCACACTCTGGGCTCACATAGAAGGAATAGATGTGACATCCCCATCCGTGCTCATGATCATTGAGCGGGGCGGCAGTCAGAAACTCCAGCTCTATTTAAACAGTTGCTTTTTTTGTTTTTGAGGAACATAAATAGTTGATCTGCCACATGTTAAATGCACATACAATGTAACTCCCCTGAAGGTACATCTCTGAGTGGTCTTGTTGAGGTGTAAACAGCCAGGTACACACCTGTGTGTTAAAAATGCTTGCTTGCCATTCTTAACAACAACAGCCTTTGTGCTCCAAGGTTTTCATTAAGGAAAAACTTACCTCTAAACAGGGGTTAGGGTCCCATGACTGTGTCTCATTAGCAGGCACAGAGTTAGAAGACCTTGACCCATTCTGTACTGGGAAAGCGTCTCTCTCATAAGCAAATTGAAATGAATCCTTTCCTGGTCTCAAAATATCCTTCAATTGCATCAGAATTGGAAGGAGACATACATATCAAGGTGGAACTTGACCTTTTTGCAAAAGCTTAAAAGCAAATCCCTCTTCTTTTCTATATTTTTGGCTGGGGAAAGGCTTTCTGGGAATTGTTTTGATCAGAGAATTTTTGTGATTCCATAATGAAAAATGGGAATCATTACCTATTTCTAGAAGGTTAGAAGGGTCTTTCTCTGTTGGTTCAGATAAGTTCAGGTAGAGACAAATCAGACCTAAGTTGCCAGCAACAATGGAAGAATTTTTGCTTGGAAAAGGATATAAGCTAGCAGCGCATTGATGAAGAAATCAGAATGAACATTAAAAAGATGTTCAACCTCACTAGTAATCAAGAAAGCACAAATTAAAGCAATAACAACAAAAATCCTACATATTTTTGTCTGGCAGATTGCAACAATTAAAAAGATGGGTAATATCAAGGTTGACCAGGATGTGAAAAATTTGACACTATACTGGTGGTGAAAGAGAAAATTGGGACAGTCTTTTGGAAAGTCAGTTTGGATGTATCTAATATAAAATCCAGGCACCCACCAACCCAGCAATTCCACTGCTCAGTATCCACCTTAGAGACAGGTGCACAGAAATGCATGTAACACAGTAATGCTTCACCCTAGCTACGTGTTAGAATCACCTGGGGAGCTTTAAACATATGCCAATGCCGCTGGGCACTGTAGTTCATGCCTGAAATCCCAGCACTTTGGGAGGCAGAAACAGGAGGATCACTAGAGCTCAGGAGCTGGAGGCCAGCCTGGGAAACATAGCAAGATCTCATCTCTACTAAAAATTTAAAAAAATATATCTGGGCTTGGTGGCATGCACCTGTAGTCCCAGCTACTTGGGAGGCTCAGGTGTGAGGCCAGCTTGAGCCCAAGAGGTCGAGGGTGCAGTCCGCTATAATTGTGCCACTGTACTCCAGCCTGGGTGACAGAGCAAGACCCTGTCTCAAAAAATTAAAACAAAAAAATTTTTAAAAACAATGCCCAGGGCCCACCCTGGACCAATTAAATTAGAATCTCCAGTAACAGGGCCAGGAATTGGTAGACTGTAGGGCTCTCCAGGTAACTCTAATGTGCAGCCAGGGTTGGGAACCACAGACGTGCAACGATGTTCATTGCAGCTTTGTTTGCAATAGGAGAAACCTTGAAACAACCTAAATGTCCATCAGTAGGCAGGTTAAATTAGGAGTGATGTATTCATATGATGGGACGCCACACTGCAGTTTAAACATGAAGACAGGGCCAGGTGCCCTGGTTCATACCTGTAATCCCAGCACTTTGGGAGGCCGAGGTGGGAGGATCACTTGAGCCCAGGAGTTCAAGACCAGCCTGGGCGATATACTGAGATCCCGTCTCTATTTTTTTTTAAGTATACAGGTGGAGACATCCTTCTTACTATGACTTTACAAGCCCTGCATGATCTGGCTGCCACCTCCCCATCCTCATCTCCCATCCCACATCCTCATCTCCCCTCTCTCTCCCTTTCACTCCCTCCACTTCAGCCACATCAGAGTCCTCTCTGAGCAATGCAAGCATATTCCTGCCTCAGGGCCTCTGCACTTGCCGTTCCCTCTGCCTGGAATTCTCTTCCTTCTAAAAGCCAAACAGCTGGTTCCCATTTCTCCTTCTGGTACTTGTTCATATATTACATTAGCAAAGAGACTATCCCTTTAGCCAGTTTTACTTCTCTTCCTTACTACTCCCTGACAAATTATATATCTATGTCTGTTTCCCCCCTACTGGCATGAGAACTCCAGGGACATTTTCATTTCTGTTATTGCCCATAATAATAGAGCATGGCCCTTAAGAGTGCCTATTTATGGCCAGGTGTGGTGACTCACACCTGTAATCCCAGCACTTTGGGAGGCTGAGGCGGGTGGATCACAAGGTCAGGAGATCGATACCATCCTGGCTAACATGGTGAAACCCCGTCTCTACTAAAAATAGAAAAAAAAAAATTAGCTGGGCATGGTGGCAGGCGCCTGTAGTCCCAGCTACTTGGGAGGCTGAGGCAGGAGAATGGCATGAACCCAGGAGGTGGAGGTTGCAGTGAGCCGAGATCATGCCACTGCACTCCAGCCTGGGCAACAGAGCGAGACTCCATCTCAAAAAAAAAAGAAAAAAAGAAAAAGAGGACCTATTTACAAGTTAGACTGCTGGAGTTCCAGTCCAGGTGCTTCCTCTAAGTAGCTGTGTGCCCTTGGGTATATCTTTTAAGCAGTCTGTGCCTCTGTTTTCTCATACATAAAATGGGGATAATAACAGTGCCTATCTCATAGGGCTGTGAGGGTTAAATGGCACAAACTACAGGGCCTGGCACTCTGTACTCACTAGGTAACTGTTGGGTATTATTACTATCATCAGCACCTAAAGCAGTGCCCAGCATGTAAATAAGCATTGAATAAATGAATGAGTAAAACAAAAAAAGAAATTGCAGCACGATCACATTGTGTAAACGCATACACATGATGAGTATATAATTTCTACATGCTTATTGATCAGTTTCAATGCAGAGAAAAACGCCTGGAGAACTTACACCAAACTGCTAACAGCACTACTATACTAATCCTTGGGGAGGAGAGTGAGGTTCGGAAATGCTCAAGAGGCATTTTTCCATATCCGCATTTTGTTTGTTGTTGTTGTTTTGTTTTGTTTTTTGAGATGGAGTCTTGCTCAGTCGCCCAGGCTGGAGTGCAGTGGCACAATCTCGGCTCACTGCAAGCTCCGCCTCCCGGGTTCACGCCATTCTCCTGCCTCAGCCTCCCAAGTAGCTGGGACTACAGGCACCCGCCACCACGCCCGGCTAATTTTTTTTGTATTTTTAGTAGAGATGCAGTTTCACCATGTTAGCCAGGATGGTCTCTATCTCCTGACCTCGTGATCCACCCGCCTCAGCCTCCCAAAGTGCTGGGATTACAGGCGTGAGCCACCATGCCTGGCCTGTTTTTGCTTTTGTTTTTTTGCACGTACCACATGTAAGATAAAATAAGTTTTACAAATAGAATATGTTTCTCAAAAGGAAGCCCCTGCTTAGAGTCAAAAGTGTGCACGCAGGCTGGTACATTTCAACATGTGTTTAACCAGAGTCATCATCATCAAATAAGGAAGGCATCGAGCTGGGAAAGCCAACCACAGAAGCTCAGCCCACGGTCTTTCTCTCTCTCTCTCTGTCTGTACCACACAGTGCCTGAGGAACCAGCGGTCAGTGGGCTGTGAGCGTGGAGGATGGACCTCATCCACACACACCCCAAAGGAGTTTCTAAGGAATGGATCCTTGACTTCAGACTGTGAGATCTTTTCCTCCAGGACTCTCCAGAGGCAGGTCCCTGGCAAATGAACAAGAAAAAAAAAAAAAAAAAGTCCAAAATTTAGGCAATCCAAGCTGCACAGCCGGATCAGCCAAAGTCATTGATTTGTAAAAATGAAAAGAAAACAGAAAAAAGAAAAATGAAGTCTCACTGTCTCAGTTTAGCGAATCCCGTTGTGTCCACTCCTGTCCTCCAGAGGCGAGCCTCAGGAAATCACATAACTTTTCACTGAGGGGATCCAGGGGGTCTCCATATAGGGGGAGATGGAGGTTTCTAGGAAGAGCAGCAGGTGCTGGTATTTACAATGTTGAGCACAAACATTTGCAGCATGTTTAAAATTGTCTAGTAGAGTTCAAGTTGTGGATTTGCTTTTCCTTTTATTCTTATAACCTTCAGTAACTCCTCCTCTGGGAGTCAGCACTCCCATGCCCAGAGTTCACCCATCTGGTCATCAAACACTCAAAGAAGGGGCTTTTCTGGCCTTTTGTCTTGATGCTTATATTTCCAAATAGGCCCCCTCCCTTGCTTGCATCCACGTTGGTCAACTTGACCAAAACCTCACTCTTCACTCAAACAGGCTCTGAGAATGGACTTAGTGGCCAATTCTAGGTACATGAGCACTTCCTGTATCCCAGTTTTGGGAATAAACTGGCTGTATTTATAGAATGTGCTTTTTTTTTTTCAATTTCTCACTCTCTCTCCTATCTCTAGCAAGTCTCAGGCAAGATCTTTGATTTTCCTGGATGCCACCTGGAAATGCCACCCATTGTGTTTCTTTTCTGTCAAATGTAAACCCTTTAGATGTGAATGTACTGGTTTAATGATGCCATTATTCTGCCTGCCAGAACGCAGTAACCCAGTGTCTCACAGAGCACAAGGGGTGTGCCACTGGTGGTACACAAGATAATTTTTAAGTAGTTTCTAGGAACAACATTAAGTAATACCAAATCACAAAGAATGTTTCCCCTTTTCTATTCTTTTTTCATCCTGATTACAGCAAGGAAAAAGTCTCTGTTTAGTGCTAGCAGGTCCTTTACACCTTTCAGACACTATGGCTCTTTTCCCTTTTTAGCAAAGAAAGAGCAGGCCTCAGAGTCTTCTGTCTAGATAGAATTTAATGATATTGTTTTGTGTCATGGTATTTATTTTATTTATTACCTTCCATTTACAGCTTCCCACAGTGGGGGATGTGACATATTGTTTCTGTTCAAATAAATTAAGAAAAACAAGAGAACTCAAGAAAATATCAAGTAATTAACACACCAGATAAGTATATGTGGCAAAAGTCACTTCAAAGAATTAATGTCAGAAAGATGGTGATAATGAAGCAAAAGAAAGGCAGATTATGCTGGCCGGGCGTGGTGGCTCACGCCTGTAATCCCAGCAATTTGAGAGGCTGAGATCACTTAAGGTCAGGAGTTTGAGACCAGCCTGACCAACATGGTGAAACTCCATCTCTACTAAAAATACAAAAATTAGCCAGGCGTGGTGGTGCATGCCTGTAATCCCAGCTAATAGAGAGGCTGAGGCAGGAGAATCACTTGAATCCAGAAGGCGGAGGTTGCCGTGAGCTGAGACTGTGCCACTACACTCCAGCCCGGGGTGACAGAGCAAGACTCCATCTCAAAAAAAAAAGAAAAGAAAACGAAAGAAAAAGAAAAAAGAAAGGCAGATTATTCTAATTGAATGAATAAGAGGCTGAGAGTCAATACCTAGTTCCAACGCCCTTTTGTTTTTGCAGGGTTTTTATTGGCCACTAACTAGCTATGCAAGCTGATTTTAGGCAAGTTTCATAGCCTCTCTGTGCCTAAAATTCCTTCACCTGCAAAATGGGGATAAGAATGCCTGCCTACTTACCTCACAGTGCTGTTATGAGAATTAATTGTTGTAATAGTTGTGACTAACCATTGGCGGGGAGAATTCTAAGTACTATACCAATACAAATTTCAGCATTTTTTCATATACTGAACCCTAGCAAAAAAAAAAAAAATTCTGATGAACATCAGATTCAACCTGTCATTTTACCCGGATGTTGTGATGAGCCAGCACTTGTCCCAGGAGGACGTTGAATCAGGGACACGAAATCTCAGCACACAGAGATTCTAGCATCATTCCAATAGATTGGACCCTGATTTCTGTTTCTGACATCCTGTTTTTTGTTTGTGCGTGTTTGGGTCCCTGGTCTTTTACCCAAATCAAATGAAAAGTGTTGCTCAGAGGCAGAATAAAAATGGTTTTAAGTAAGCCTGTGTACCACAGTGTGTGAATTGTGTTTTCTTGGGGTTCCCCACCTTCCAGAGATTTCCGTAACCAAAATAAGCTCATCTAGTCCAGCATCAGTCCCCAGGGAAGAGCCCAGAGAGGCCAGAGGTGGCGCTAGAGAGGCATCACTCTGAACTAATTTATGGCCAGAAATGTCCCTCTATGAGGCACTGAAAATGTTGGTCCTATTAAAGTAAAAAAATAAAATAAGAAAAATCTTGTCATTAAATGTGCTCCTTGGGGTCAAGAGGGCCACTGATTTTTGTTGGGCGTCCCCCAGGTCCTAAGCTCTAAGAAGGACAAAATGGTTTTTGTTGGGATGATGGGCTTGTCCAGAGCTTCCTCCAAAGCTAAGACTGCCCCTGCTCCACTCGCAAAAGCACAGTTTAAAAAGAGATTGGTGGCCGGGCGCGGTGGCTCACGCCTGTAATCCCAGCACTTCGGGAGGCCGAGGCAGGTGGATCATAAAGTCAGGCTAGCGAGACCATCCTGGCTAACACAGTGAAACCCAGTCTCTACTAAAAATACAAAAAATTAGCCGGGCGTGGTGGCGGGCGCCTGTAGTCCCAGCTACTCGGGAGGCTGAGGCAGGAGAATCGCTTGAATCCGGGAGGCGGAGGTTGCAGTGAGCCGAGATCATGCCACTGCACTCCAGCCTGGGCGACAGAGTGAGATTCCGTATCAAAAAAAAAAAAAAGGTGTATTATCAACCAAGAGACTCCTTCATCAGCCAGTTACAAAAACTGGCTAAATAGAGCAGAAAAAGTAGAGTTTACCCTCACAAGACGGAAACTTCCAGGGATAGCTTCAGAGGCAGCTGGATCCTGGTGCGCAGGGTTTTTGGGAACGTGTCCCTTTCCAGGTCTCAGCCCCAACTTGCTGAGTTCATTTTAGTTTAATAGGGACAATACGACTGCCAACAGCTTTGGACTTTTTCCTACCAGCCTGTGGAAAGACAGTGTTTCTTCCCTAATAGCTCCAGGGGGGAAAAATGGTTCAATTCAATATAATGAACAACTGATACAAACCAGAAACCGACCTATCAAAATGGATACCAGTCATTAACAAACAGGTGTGGCCACTGTACCAACATAAATGGATGCTGTGGCCAGGGGTGTGTGGTGCCCTCATTGGCCAGGCTTGAAGTCAGGATTCAATCACTGGAACTGAATGTGAGGTCAGCTCCACTCAAACCTTATAGATTGAGGGTGCGGGAAGGATGGTTCCCCAAAGGAAAACCAAAGTACTCTTACCAGAAGAAGGAGAGAGATTTGCTAGGCAAAAAAACAAAAACAAACAAACAAAAAAAACAGCGTCCATATTAAGCATGCTGCTTCTTACTATACCTTCCATATGCAGGGCAAAGTAATCTAATGGCTTTTCTTTTTCTTTTCTTTTTTTTTTTTTTTTTTGAGATGGAGTTTCACTCATTGCCCAGGCTGGAGTGCAATGGCACGATCTCTGCTCACTGCAACCTCCACCTCCCGGGTTCAAGCGATTCTCCTGCTTCAGCTTCCTGAGTAGCTGGGATTACAGGTGTGCACCACCACACCTGGCTAATTTTTTGTATTTTTAGTAGAGACTGGGTTTCACCATGTTGGCCAGGCTGGTCTCGAACTCCTGACCTCAGGTGATCCACCCACCTCGGCCTCCCAAAGTGCTGGGATTACAGGTGTGAGCCACCACACCCAGCCTCCTCATAGCTTTTCAATTTCCCCGTGGTGTTGTCACTTTCATCCAGCTCCTTCTCTGACCAGTATTTATAGAGCACCTGCTCAACCACAGAAACTGGGCTGGTGGAAATTCCAGAATGTTTAAGAGAGACCCCTGAGAAGGTGGCAGTAGTCTAGTGGGGGGAACAGACACACACAAACAATGAGAAGGAAACATGAGAGTGCCCAGACAGAGGCATAAACAAAGTATTGTGCCATCACTTTGCAGGAGAACACACTGGCTGTACTAAAGGGAAGGAAGACAGTCCCTGTCCTACCATTCTTCGCAGTGCTGAGGCCAATAGGGCTACAGCTCTTGAAGTTGCCCTGTCTCTGCCCACAAGTTATGGGCAGAAACAGATGCAGATATAAAATCGCTGGCCTCAGCTCCTGGATCAGCAAATTACCTTTGGCCTACAGCAGGACAGCTGCATTCAGCAAAACAGCATGATGCACATATCTTGATACGTAACCCTAGATTCAGGCTTCTAAATATAAGAGACAGTTCTGGGCCACCAATTACCAAAAAAAAAAAAAAAAAAATCTTGTAAGATAACGTTCATACTCATGGGTTACAACCAATTCTTAAAAAATACTCACGAATATTGAATATTTAAGTCTGGGGAATTGCCCTATAAAAATATGTCCCTGCACCAAAACACTTTGAATTCTGGTTTGGACAAGCACAAAGAGAGGCAGGCATAAAGATGACTCAGGCATCACCTACACTTGCTGGAGAAGCCACAGAAAGAAGGAATTCCCTTTCCAATACATTCATTCATTCATTCCAGTAGACATCTATTTATCAGGGGTCAGGAGAGGGAAGTATGAAGTTGCCTCTGTGCATTGCCTGCATGAGGCATCAGAGAGTTTCATCTCGAGTACCTGTTCCAAACCTCGGGTGAGCAGCCAGTCAGACCTGCAATGACCCGGTCACGGCGTTCATCTCTCTTCCTGTCCCAGTGTAGAATTTCCCAGTTTGCACCCACACTGGTTCACTGATGCACCCAAGCTGTCTGCTCCTGGAACTGTGACCAAGTGTTTACTCCCCCAGGTCACGTGGAATCCCATGCATGGGGACTAGTTGTACTAGTTGTACTAGTTGGAGTGAAAGTATTGGGAGGAACTCATAAAAGGCCAAATTCTGCCTATATAGAAATGGCCTGATCACCCCCAAGAAAGAGGACCTAAAGCACGCCTAGAAGGGAAGGTAAATAAATATTTCTTGAGCCATTACCAAAGCTCATCTAAACAATTACAGTAGCTTTTTTTTTTTTTTGAGATGGAGTCTTGCTCTGTTGCCCAGGCTTGAGTACAGTGGCATGATCTTGGCTCACTGCAACCTCCGCCTCCCAGGTTCAAGCAATTCTTCTGCCTCAGCCTCCCGAGTAGCTGGGACTACAGGCTAGCACCACCATGCCCAGCTAATTTTTTGTATTTTTAGTAGAGACGGAGTTTTGCCATGTTGGCCGGGCTGGTCTCGAACTCCTGGCCTCAAGTGATCCGCCCACCTCGGCTTCCCAAAGTGCCAAGATTAAAGGCATGAGCCACGGCACCAGTCCTACAGTAGCTTTCTTACAGGGCTCTCTGGTATAACAACCATTACAAACTTAATGAGTTAAAACAACCCAAATTTATTATCTTGCAGTTCTGGAGGTCAGAAGTCTAAAACGGGTCTTGCTGGACCAAAATCAAGATGGCGGCAGGGTTGGATTCCTTTCTGGAAGTTCGTAGAGAGAATCCCTTTTCTTGCCTTTTCCACCTTCTAGAAGCTATCCACATGCCTTGACTCAGGGCCTCCTTCCATCTTCAACGGCAGCAAAGTCACCATTTACTTATTTATTATCTTCTTTATTATCTACCTCCTCCCCTTAAGATGCCTTTTTCACACTGCATCTCTTTTGTTCTGACTCCTTTTCCTCTCTCTTCCCCATTTAGGGACCCTTGTCATTACTTTGGGTCCACCTGGATGATCCAGAAAAATCTCCTTATTTTAAGGTCAGCTGATTAGCAACCTTAATTCCATCTGCTCCCTTAATTCCTCTTTACCATGTAACCCAACATATTCACAAGTTCCAGGTGTTTGTATGGGGATATCTTTTGGCGAGCATTATTCTGTCTACTACATCTTGCTTTGACATCCATTCGCTTAAAAAACACACACAGCAGCCAGGGTTATCTCACAACCTAGACTTAATCACATCATTCCTCTGCTGAAACCCAACCCACACACCCAGTGACCACCCACGGAATTAAAACTCAAACTTTCTTTTTTTTTGGAAGAGATGGGAGTCTTGCTATGTGGCCCAGGCTAGTCTCAAACTTCTGGCCTCAAGCAATCCTCCCACCTCTGCCTCCGAAAGTGCTGGGATTGTAGGTGTAAGCCACCATACCCAGCCTTTAAAATCCAAACTTTTTTTGTGTGTCCTTAAAAAGGTCTTTATTACTAAAAGCTGGAAGGTCAGTCTTTAACCCCCAATCACAAAATGCTACTTTGCCTCGACAAGCAGGCTTTTTAGTTGAGTTGGTGTCTCTTTTGTAGTTAAGACAAGCATTTGCCCTTGTTGACCAGTGATCAGGAATCCGTTCTTGTAATTTTGCCCTTTCATCCTTGATAGGTGAAATCAGTACCTTTTCCACAACTTTGTTTATTCTTCATTTTTTTTGTCTTCGGAGTAAAAGACCAAGGGACATTAACAAGTTGATGGTCCCCTAGATATGGGCTCTAGTGCCAGCGAGTCTGTTCTCTTCTTCAGTGTCAAAAGGACTGCTCATTCTGGAGCATCTACTCTTCTGGACTAAAATCCAAACTTTTTTTTATTTTTTAACTTCAAGTTCTGGGATACATGTGCAGAACGTGGAGGTTTGTTACGTAGGTATATGTGTGCCATGGTGGTTTGCTGCACCTATCAACCTATTATCTAGGTTTTAAGCCCTGCATGCATTAAGCATTTATCCTAATGCTCTCCCTCCCTTTGCCCCCCACCCCCCCGACAGGCCCCAGTGTGTTATGTTCCCCTCCCTGTGTCCATGTGTTCTCATTGTTCAACTCCCACTTATGAGTGAGAACATGCGGTGTTTTAAAATCCAAACTTTTAATGATACCCCGCAAAGCCCTACATGATCAGACCCTTGGCTGCCTCTCAGATCTCATCTTCTACCTCGCCCCCACTCTACTCAGCTGCAGCCACACACTGGCCCCAAACATGACAAGATCATTCTGGTCTCAAGGCCTTATGTGTGCTGTTTCCTCCATTCATAACACCATTCTCCAGATTTTCACATAGCTGGTCCTTTCTTCCCCATGCCCTAGGTCACAGTTTCTCAGAGAGGATCAACCTAACCCCCATCTCTAAGGCAACCACCCCACCCCTCATCACTTGCTATTACACCACCCTGTTTTACTTCCTCCATGGGGTTTGCCACCACTAACAATATTTTTATTTAACTGTTTACTTATTTATTATCTTCTTTATTATCTATCTCCTCCCCCTAGGATGTTGACCTTGTGAGGGCAGAGACCTTGTCTGTTCTGTTCACTGATGTGTCCCCAGCATCTAGACTAGGGCTTGGCCCATGGCAGATACTCTATAGCTATTTGCTGAATGAGTGAAAGGTTCTTTTCCCCATGTGCCCTTCCTCCTGGCTAATGTCCACTCCTTTATCTCAGATTAAGTGCCTCTTGTTCAGAGGTGCCTTCTCTGATATGCCAACGTTTCAAGAACATGAGGGTCTCCCTTTTGCATGCTCACACTTCCCCGTGGTTTCACTCAAGGTCATATCACAATGGTAGTTAGATGCAGTTTGCACAATTACCATTTAATATCTGTCTTTCCCAGCAGATCATGAGCCCCCATGAGGGCAGGGACCATGTTCATCTTGTTCACCTCTGTCTTCCTGGTCCCTAGCTTGGTACCTGGCACATAAGTTTCCAATAGTTATTTAATGAATGAATGAATTAATTAATTAATTAATGAGGTAGAGAGAAATGGAAGAAGAAAACTGAGTCAAAGCTTCCTCCATCATCATAGCTTTATTTTTACATTGTTATCTGACAAGATTTAAACTTGAATTTTAAAGCAAGATGAAGCTAACCAAGGTATTGGCTGTAAATCCTGTCTCAAAACTTTCTCACATATTCCTTATCGTGATGGTTTAGAAAAAGGAAGAAATGAAAATCGACTTATACCAAAAAATAATTTCAAGAAGATAGAGACCCGGCTGGGCGCGGTGGCTCATGCCTGTAATCCCAGCACTTTGGGAGGCCGAGGTAGGAGGATCACCTGAGGTCAGAACTTCGAGAACAGCCTGGCCAACATGGTGAAACCCAATGTCTACTAAAAATACAAAAATTAGCCGAGAGTGGTGGTGCATGCTTGTAATCTCAGCTACTCGGGAAGCTGAGGCAGGAGAATCTCCTGAACCCAGGTGGCGGAGGTTGCAGTGAGCCGAGATTGTGCCACTGCACTCCAGCCTGGGCCACAAGAGCAAAACTCTGTCTCAAAAAAACAGAAGAAAAGAAAAAGAAAAGGAGAAGAGAAAAGAAGAGAAAAAGAAAAGATAGAGACCCAAATGAACCCCAGCCTCCTTTGTGCCTGGGATGCCCCCTAGTGGAAAAAATGGAGAAAGACAATTTAGAGTGTTCCCTAACAATTTGACAAATATCGTATTTCTTTGCTTTTTATACTCTCTGAGTTAGTGTAGGATCCAGAAACAAACTGGAAGAAAATCACACAGCTTTGATGAAGCAAAGAAGCAAGATGTTCTAGAGTAATAAACTTTCAGTAAAACAAAAACTGAGCAACTGTTGCTTTGGAACCAGATTTTTGGCTGATCTCTGATGGTAATTTTTGGGCTATCTCACTCTAAGACTTATTTCTGATATGGAACTTTTCAAAAATGATGTAGATTCAATTAGTCACACCTCTGTTCCTTAGAAATTCAAGGTGGATAAGATCATCAAATGCCAACACTGGCTCAGCGGGGCTTGTTCTTCAGTCTCTATATTCTACAATTCTAAACTTAGCTCTTCTGTCCCACGGTAGTTGTTTAACTATTAAAAAAAAAAAAAAAAAAAAAGGGCCGGGCGCGTTGGCTCACGCCTGTAATCCCAGCACTTTGGGAGGCCGAGGTGAGCGGATCACGAGGTAAGGAGATCAAGACCACCCTGGCTAACACGTTGAAACCCCGTCTCTACTAAAAATACAAAAAATTAGCCGGGCGCGGTGGCGGGCGCCTGTACTCCCAGCTACTCAGGAGGCTGAGGCAGGAGAATGGCGTGAACCCGGGAGGCGGAGTTTGCAGTGAGCAGAGATGGCGCCACTGCACTCCAGCCTGGGCAATAGAGCAAGACTCCATCTCAAAAAAAAAAAAAAAAGTGGGTAACTATAATAACAAACATTATGGCTTGCTATTTGCCAGACATTCTGCTAAACCTTTGACATGATCTCTCATTTGATCATTATTAACAACCCTAGATATAAATACCATTAACTTCTCTTTGCATCTGAGGAAACTGAGTCATGGAAGAGTTAAATAATTTGTCTGAGGCACAACTGCTGAATGTTGGGCCATTTGATTTTAAAATCCATGATCTTAATCATTACACTCAATTAACTCCCATAAATGATAAACTAACTCTCAGAGTTTAGTTCATAACTAAGCAAAAATAACAGAACTACTTTCTACGCATAACAGCGTGCAATGACCTAATAGCCTATTACCCATTGTCCCTAATTCGTTGCAAACTTGACATAAATTTCTGTGAGATGAACTTTTACGGCCGATTTGCATTAATTATAACACATTCCTTTTGGGATTGCTTATTTGATTTTGTTGTTGTTGTTGTTGTTGTTGTTGTTTTTGAGACGGAGTCTCGCTCTGTTGCCCAGGCTGGGGTGCAGTGGCACAATCTCAGCTCACTGCAACCTTCACCCCCCAGATTCAAGTGATTCTCCTGCCTCAGCCTCCCCAGTAGCTGGGATTACAGGCATGAGCCACCACACCCAGCTAATTTTTGTATTTTTAGTAGCCATCGGGTTTTGCCATGTTGGCCAGGCTGGTCTTGAACTCCTGAACTCAAGTGATCTCCCCACTTTGACCTCCTAAAGTGCTGGGATTACAGGCACAAGCCACTGCTCCCGGCCTGCTTATTCGATATTTAAGAAGCTCTGAGGTCTCACTTCAATGTCTAAGATATATTTTCTATGCACAATAATTAATATACACAGGAAAGAAAAAACAGCTACATTTCTACTGTTGAAGGATATGAGTCCATCCGAGTATACGATTTAGGATGCTTTGGGTTGTAAGCAACAGAAAATCCAACTGGCTTTAATAAGGGCAGTTACCAGTTCTCACAATGGAAAATTTCAGATAGAAGACAAACTTCAAGGTTGGTTTGATTCTGCACATCACAAATTTAATAGGCTATGGCTCTGTTTCCCTTTGATTTTCTCAGCTTTGTCCACCTTTGTGTATTCTTTGACCTCAAACTGGTTTCTCTCATGGGAGTAGCTCTTCAGGCTACAAACTTCCTCATCAATGTCCTGAGAGAAGGAAGGCCTCTCTACCCTAAACCTTCAGACAAAAGCCCCACTGTATTCTTACTGTAACAGTTAGGTCATACAACCATTCCTGAACCCAGTGCTCCAGTCTGGGTTATGTGACCATTCCGAAAAAAACTGCAGCAAGAAGGGTAGGATTGTCCAGTCAGGACCTGCCTTAAGAATTGCTCAGTAGGCCAGGTGCAGTGGCTCACACCTATAATCCCAGCACTTTGGGAGGCAGAGGTGGGTGGATCATGAGGTTAGGCGGTCAAGACCATCCTGGCCAACATGGTGAAACCCCGTCTCTACTAAATATACAAAAAAAAAAAAAAATTAGCTGGATGTGGTGGCACATGCCTGTAATCCCAGCTACTCGGGAGGCTGAGGCAGGAAAATCACCTGAACCAGGGAGTCGGAGGTTGCAGTGAGCCGAGATCATTCCACTGCAGTCCAGCCTGGCGACAGAGTGAGACTCCGTCTCAAAAAAAAAAAAAAAAAAAAAAAAGAATTGCTCAGTAAACAGTAGCTCTTAGAAATTTTTATTCTAATAAATGAAAATTTCTGTACCCAAGTAAAGTATAAGTAGAATGACTAATAATGAAAAGTTAGTCCACCTCACTCATAAATCAACAAAAGCATAGGAAACCAATGGCATACAACTTTTATTAATCAGACTACCAAAAAAATTTAAAAATTAATAATGCTTAGTGTTGAGGAGGATGTGAGAAACAGATATCACAAACATCATTGCTGCAACACTTTTGGAGAGAAATTTGGCAATTTCTAGCAAAAGTGTAAAGGTATGTACCCTTGGACCTAGTGATTCCATATTAGAAATTATTCCCACTATTTTACTCAGAAAACTATGATATGTGAGCTAGGATATGTGAATCAGTCACATTGTATGGATATACCAAGGCAGTGTTATGTGTGAAAGTTTAAAATGAGAAGCAAAAATGTCCATCAATAGAGACTAATTAGATTTCTGGATTTTAGTAGTGGAGGAGTAACTTATATTGGGCAAATTCCATTGCCTAGTACAGCTACAAACTCTGAACAAAACATTTTTACAAATTAAAGACACCTGAGAACAACTAAAAACTGGAGGGTCAGTAAGAATCCTCATAAAATGGGAATCATCCACATTTACCCGGCTTTTCCTCTGAAGGGTCACCCAGTCTGCATAGCACACAGAGAACAGAGCTCAAGCCAAAAGCAATAGTCTTATTAGGCAGCAGAATCACAGGTTAGAGTTTGGGGCCCCCATGGTGGCTGAAATTTGATGAGAGAAATCCCAGAAATGATAGAGCCACAGAAAAGGGACCTAAAAAATCTGAATATAAACTCCCCTCAAATCCTTGGCTGACTCAAACTGTATTTGTGAAGCCCGACAGAAAACAAAACCAAACCAAAAAGCTGGAGGAGAATGCAAAGAACTGCATTGATCAGTGCTGGGGAGGCAGAGTTTGGAGCTCAAGTTCTACCAAATTAGAGAAACTTAAACTCCTCAGTCTTTCTGTTGAAACCCAGAGGGGTCACAAATTAGTCAGAAAGACCACATCCAAGAACTAGTATGTAGAAGGCACAAAACCAAAATGGATCCACCCAAAAGAAGTCCCAAACCATACCTTCGTAACATAAGAACGAGTCACTAGTAATTTCACTACCAGTTAAAACAAAACTCAACAATTTTCTGAGAAAGATAATAGAATCCAGAGCCTCTGCTATATTATCCACAATGTGCAGTATAAAATTTTAAAATCACTGGGCCGGGCACAGTGGCTCACACCTATAATCCCAGCACTTTGGGAGGCCGAGGTGGATGGATCACGAGGTCAGGAGATGGAGACCATCTGGCTAACACGGAGAAACCCCGTCTCTATCAAAAATACAAAAAATTAACCAGGCAAGGTGGTGGGCATCTGTACTCCCAGCTGCTTGGGAGGCTGAGGCAGGAGAATGGTGTGAACCTGGGAGGCAGAGGTTGCAGTGAGCCGAGATCACACCATTGCACTCCAGCCTGGGTGACAGAGCGAGACGCCACCTCAAAAAAAAAAAAAAAAAAAAATTAATCACTAAACATGTGAAGGAGCAGGAAACTGTGATAGTCAAGAGAAAAAATAGTTAATAGAAACAGACCCAAAGACAATGCAGATGTTGAAATAAGTAGGCAAATATTTTACAATAACTCCAATACATATGTTAAAGAATCTAGAGGAATAGATTAATAGGTGAAGAGGTGATGAGTTTCATGAAGCTATGCAATGTAAAAAAAAATTAAAAAATTTTTTAAAAACCCCTGAAAATCCTAGAACTAAGAAAACAAATCCTGAAATAAATTATTTGTATGGGATTAAGCATACAGAAGAAAGGAGCAATGATCTTGAAGACAGGTAAATAAAAATTATCCAAACTGAAGCAGCAGCAAGAAAAAAGATTTAAAGAAAAAAATAAGCAGAGCTTCAGTGATTTGCAGAGAAGTATCAAGCATTCTACCATATATGTAATTAGAGTCCTAAAAATAAAAGGAGAGAAAGAATGGAGCATTTAAAAAGTTTGCTTAAGAAAAATTGATTTAAATGTTTCCAAATGGTATTAAAAATATCAACCTACATATCCAAGAAGCTAAAAAAAAAAAAAACAAAAACCCAATCAGGATAAATGCAAAGGAAAACACACCTAGGCAAATTACTGGAAAAAGAAAAAATCTAAAAGGCAGCCAGAGGGAAAAATGATACATCACGTACATGGAAACAAAGGTAAAAATGATAATTGACTTCTCTTTTTTTTCAGGTCTTGGCATCAAGACTTGATTCTCATCAGAAACAATTAAATACAGAATAGAGTAGAATGACAACTTTAAAATGCTGAAAGAAAAAAGGTGTCAAGCTCTAGTGAAAATATTCTTCAACAATGAAAGCAAAATAAAGATATTTTTAGTTAAAAACTTAGAGACTTTGTTGCCAGCAGATCTGCATTACAAGAAATGCTAAAGGAAGTCCTTTGGCCTACAGGGAAATGAAACCAGATGGGAATTAGTATTTAAAGGAAAAAAAATGAAAAGTAGTAGGAATATTAAATTTGTGAATAAATATTAAAGACCATAAATCTATGGTCTAATCAAAATCTCAGCAAGACTTTTTGTAGAAACTGACAAGTGGGGTCTAAAATTTATATAGAAAGGCAAAAGAACTGGAATTGCTGAAACAATATTGACAAAGAAAAGCAAAGTTGGAGAAGTTACATTGCCTGATGTGAAGACTTGCCATAAAATTACAGTAATTGAGACAGTGTGAAGCTGGGCACAGTGGCTCACACCTGTAAGCTTTAGGAGGCTGAGGTGGGAGGATTATATGAGGCCAGGAGTTTAAGACCAGCCTAGACAACATAGCAAGACTCCATCTCTACAATTTTCTTTAATTAGCCAGACATAGTGGTACATGAATATAGTCTTAGCCACTTAGGAGGCTTGAGCCCAGGAGTTCAAGGTTACAGTGAACTATGATCATGCACTGCACTCCAGCATGGGTGACAAAGCGAGACGCTGTCTCAAAAAAAAAAAAAAAAAAAAAAAAAAAGACAGTGTGGTATTGATAAGACAGACACATAGATCAATGGAACAAAATAGAAACTTCACAAATAGACCCACACATATATGGTTAATTGTTTTTGTTTTGTTTTGTTTGTTTTTTTGTTTTTTTGTTGTTGTTGTTTTTTTGAGACGGAGTCTCGCTCTGTCGCCCAGGCTGGACTGCGGACTGCAGTGGCGCAATGGCTCACTGCAAGCTCCGCTTCCCGGGTTCACGCCATTCTCCTGCCTCAGCCTCCCGAGTAGCTGGGACTACAGGCGCCCGCCACCGCGCCCGGCTAATTTTTTGTATTTTTAGTAGAGACGGGGTTTCACCTTGTTAGCCAGGATGGTCTCGATCTCCTGACCTCATGATCCACCCGCCTCGGCCTCCCAAAGTGCTGGGATTACAGGTGAGCCACCGCGCCAGGCCTGTTTTGTTTTGTTTTGAGACAGTCTCCCTGTGTTGCCCAGGCTGGTCTGAACTCCTGGCCTCAAGTGATCCTCCCACCTCAGCCTCTCAGGTAGCTGGGATAACAAGTATGAGCCACCACTAGATTAAGTCAATAGATTGTTTTTTGGTTGTTTGTTTGTTTGTTTGTTTTGAGACAGAGCCTCCCTATGTTGCCCAGGCTGGTCTGAACTCCTGGCCTCAAGTGATGCTCCCACCTCAGCCTCTAAGGTAGCTGGGACAACAAGTGTGAGCCACCACTAGACTAAGCCAATTGATTTTTTTTTTTTTTTTTGAGACAGGGTGTCTCTCTGTCTCCCAGCTAGAGTGCAATGCGATCATGGCTCACTGAAGCCTCAACCACCTGGGCTCACATGATCCTCCTGCCTCAGCCCCACAAGTAGCTGGGGCCACAGGTGCATGCCACCATGTCCAGCTAATTTTTTTACTTTTTGTAGAGATGGGGTCTCACTATGTTGCTCAGGGCTGGTCTCAAACTCCTTGGCTCAAGCAATCCTCCCACCTCGACCTCCCAAAGTGCTGGGATTACAGGCATAAGCCACGGCACCTGGCTGTAAATTGATTTTTGGCAAAGGTGCAAAGGTCATCCAATGGAGAAAGAATAGTGTTTTCAACAAATGATGCTGGAATAATTGGACATCCATGTGCCCACAGATGAACTTCAACCCATAGTTCACACCATACATAAAAATTGATTCAAAATAGATCATAGAGCTAAATGTAAAACCTAAAATGATATAATTTCTGAAGAAAATATAGGAGGATGTGGAGAAACTGGAACTCTTGTGTACTGTTAGTGGGAAATGGTACAGCGGCTATGAAAAACAGTATGGCAATTCCCCAAAAATTAAAAATAGAATTACCATAGGATCTGGCAATTCCATTTCTGTATACCCAAAACAACTCAAAGGGACATGAAGAAATATTTGTACACCTGTTTTCTTAGAAGCATTATTCACAATAGCCAAAAGGTAGAAGCAACCCAACTGTCCATCAATAGATGAATGGATAAACAAGCTGTGGTGTATACATACAAAATATGATTCAGCCTTAAAAAGGAAGGAAATTCTGATACATGCTACAGCATAGATGAAACTCAAAGACATTATGCTAAGTGAAATAAGCCAGTTACAGAAGCACAAATACTGTTTGATTCCATACATCTGAGATACTTGCAGCAGCAAAATTTATACAGACAGAAAGTAAAATGGTGCTTGCTGGGGTCAAGGGTAAGATGGAATGAGGAGTTACTGTTTAATGGGCATAAAGTATCAGTTTTGCAAAATGAAAAAACTGTGGATGGATGGTGATGATGGCTGCAAAACAATGTAAATGTACTTAATGTCACTGAACTGTACACTTTAACATGGATAAAATAATAAAGTTTATGCTATGTATATGTATTAATCGCATTTTTCATTTTCTATATCTTATGAGGCTTGACATCTTGGGGACTTACCAACCTGAAAGAGACTGTTTGTCCCAGGGTTAGCTCATTCCAAGAGATAGCAGATGACCTTCCTGCAATATGCAGTCCAACCAATTCAGAGCCCATACTCTGAACCACCTCCTCTCTCTGGCTTTTCCACTCCGAGAGGCAAGTTTCCCCTGCCCTAATCATCCCAGGGTCAGGTATCAGACAGTTAGAGACTACCCCTATAGCCCACAGCTGGCCTGAATTATTCAAACTATCCAATCCTAAGCCCTAATCATCCCAGGGTCAGGTATCAGACATTTAGAGACTACCCCTATAGCCCACAGCTGGCCTGAATTATTCAAACTATCCAATCCTAAGCCCTAATCATCCCAGGGTCAGGTGTCAGACATTTAGAGACTACCCCCCCCAACCCCCTATAGCCCACAGCTGGCCTGAATTATTCAAACTATCCAATCCTAAGCCCTAATCATCCCAGGGTTGGGTGTCAGACAGTTAGGTACGACACCTATAGCCCACAGCTGGCCTGAATTATTCAGACTATCCAATCCTAAGCCTGTTCAGCTGCTTACCTTGCCTCGCCCATTCCTCCTGGCAAAAACCACAATAAAGGCTTTTTCCTAGGCTTTCTTCTCATCCTCTCTGGCTGTGACCAACCTCAAAGTTCTCTCCTGTGGTTCTGCATGGCATGGCGGGCTCCTGCCCCTTGGGAACTGTATTAGACTGTTCTCACACTGCTGTGAAGAAATACCTGATACTAGGTAATTTATAAAGAAAAGGGGTTTAATTGACTCACAGTTCCCCATGGCTGGGAAGCCCCAGGAAACACAATCATGGCAGAAGGAGAAGCAAACAAATCCTTCTTCACAAGGAGGCAGGAGAGAGAAGTGCCAAGCAAAGGGGGAAAAGCCCCTTATAAAACCATCAGATCTCATAAGAACTCACTCACTATCAGGAGAAGAGCATAGAGGTAATCGGCTCCATGATTCAATGACCGCCCCCGCCAAATTCCTCCCACGACACGTGGGAATTATGGGACCTACACTTCAAGATGAGATTTGTGTGGGGACACAGCCAAAGCATATCAGGAACTGTGAGCAATAAAACTATATTTTTAATGGCAATGGTCTTCCGATCCATTGGCCTTACCATACATGAATAAACCCAAAGTCCCAGGTACATTCTAGAACAGTATATCCTACAACATTTTAAAAAATACATTAAGGAAATGATAGATTCAGTACCTTAAGGCAGCAGTCCCCAACCGCCAGGCCACGGACCAGTACCATGGTACGTTAGGAACCAGGCCGCACAGCAGGAGGTGAGCAGTAGGTGAGCAAGTAAGGCTTCATCTGTATTTACAGCTGCTCCCCATCGCTCACATTACTGCCTGAGCTCTGCCTCCTGTCAGATCAGTGGTGGCATTAGATTCTCACAGGAGCACAAACTGTATTGTGAACTGCGTATGCGAGGGATCTAGGTTGCATGCTCCTTATGAGAATCTAATGCCTGATAATCTGTCACTGTCTCCCATCACCCCTAGATGGAAGCATCTAGCTGCAGGAAAACAAGCTCAGGGCTCCCGCTGTTTCTACATAATGGGGAGCTGTGTAATTATTTCATTATATATTACAATGCAATAATAATAGAAAAGTACGCAATAAATATAATGTGCTTGAATCATCCCAAAACCATCCCCCCAACCCTAGTCCATGGAAAAATTGTCTTTCACGAAACCTGTCCCTGGTGCCGAAAACACTGGGGACCACTGCAATATAGTACATCTGTGCAGCAGTAGTTTTGCATGGTGGCTAAGAGCATAGACTCAAGAATTAAATTTCCTGTATCTAAATCCTGGCTTCACCACTTACTAGCTTTGTGCCATTGGACAAGTTACTTCTCCACTTGTGCCTTAGTTTTTTCTTATGTAAAGTGGGGATAATAACAAAATGCACCTCTTAAAGCTTTATAAGAAGTACATGGCTTAAAGCAAGGAAAGTGCTTAGGACAGTGGCAGGTGTACAGTAAGCACTCTATACATAGACCTCTTCTTGTTATGAAATCTGCAGTCATTACAAAACTGAGGTGGCGGGACATGGTGACACACAACTGTAGTCCCAGCTACTCAGGAGGCTGAGGCAGGAGGATCACTTGAGCCCAGGACTTTGAGGCTGCAGTGAGCCATGATTGCACCTGTGACTAGCCTCTGCACTCCAGCCTGGCAGCATAGCAAGACCCTGTCTCTTTTAAGAAATTTTTTTTTTACTTAAAAATTTTTTTAATTAAAATTTTAAAATGAGGTGGAGCTGTATATGCTGATATGGAAAGATATGCTAAGGAAAAAAAGTACTAATTGCTTGCATTTTTAAAGAAGAGCGATGTAAGTACTTTTTCTATAGTTATAATTATAGGAAATTATAATTATAATAATTGTAACAAAATATACCCCCAAAAAGTATACAAGAAACTCTCAACAAGTTATTTGAGGGGAAAGGAATTAATGATGTAGGAGAAGGTGTAAGGGAGACTTTTGTTTTTGATTCTGTACCCCCTCCCATACTGCTTGAAGTTTTTAACCATGTTCATCCATACTTTAAAATACATACATTTAATTTTTTGAAAGGCCATAGGAATAATCTTTGTTGCTCTTTATTGCCACCTAGGGGATGCTAGGGGCATTGCCTGCCATGATCACTCATTGCTGTTAACCCTATTGACTATTTAATAATTGATTCCACCTTCTTGATTAGTACGTTACACCCAGCAAGTCATGGCTTCCAACTTTCAGATTTTTATTGAGTTTTGTAA
This sequence comes from Homo sapiens, assembly GCF_000001405.40. Classification (NCBI taxonomy): domain Eukaryota; kingdom Metazoa; phylum Chordata; class Mammalia; order Primates; family Hominidae; genus Homo; species Homo sapiens. The sequence goes on from NC_000012.12 coordinate 119,659,628, forward strand.
CAATAAGAAACATGGTTGGGAAATTGATGCTCTTTTGAAAAAAAAGAAAAGAAAAAACAAACATGGATTCGTAGTTAGAAAATTTTTTATTTTTTTAATTTTTATTTTTTAAAATATAATAAAGATGGGGTCTCGACAGCTTGCTCAGGCTGGTCTTAAACTCCCGGACTCAAGCTATCCTCCCGCCTCGGCCTCCCAAGCTGCTGAGAGCCACTGCATCTAGCCTAGAAAATTTAATAGATATTAAAACAATTGAACACCTAGTTTGTTCTCCCTCTCTGAATGACCATTCCAGCTTTATACTTATAATCTAGATCAGCCCAATCCATTGGCCCACCCAAAATGATTTCATCCCTCACTCAATGATCTGTCCGTGGTGGCTAAAATGTTGACATCTGTCTGGTTGCCTGCATTTGAATGCTGGTTTCATGACTTTCTAGTTGTGTGACCTCGAATAAGTCACTTCATCTCTCTGAGCCTCATTTTCTCCTGAAAAATGCAAGTGGTAATAATAGTAGATCCCTCAAAGGACTGTTGGTGGCATTACATGAGTTCATACATCAAACACAATGCCGAGTGCATAATAAGGATTGATAAACAACTTTCACTTTAACACCTACAATCTCCAAATCTCAACTTGATTGTCACTTCCTTCAGCAAGCCTCCTCTGACCTCAGGACTTGGTCACATCCTTCTCACTAGGTCACACTTCTCCTTCTTAGCGTTTGTCACAGAAGACTGTTGGATGATTGTTCGATTAATTTCTCTCTTCCCTACTAGATCGTAAACACTCAGGACAGAGCCTGGGTTTGATTTTGCCCACAATTCTCTCCCCAGTGTCTACCACAGTGCCCGGTGGATAGGAGTTTTTGCCATGAAAAAGTTATTGATAAAGAAATGAATTAATGCAATTAGAAAACTGAAGGCCTCTGAAAAAATCAATATTAACTAGAACAAGTGCCATGAACTAGTTAGGTTCTGATGGGCTAGATGACATGAGTCATGAGACACTTACAGGGAAGGACAGGGTGCGGAGAGGTTTATTTTGTAAGACAGTTGCAGAAAATAAATTGGAAAAAAGATAAACTGTACACCTCTACCATTTGTTCTAGGACTAACCCTATTTTCTTTGAGGTAAAATTCATACAACATAAATGTTAATTTTAAAGTAGACATTTTTAAGTGAACAATTCATAGGCATTTAGTACATTGACAATGTTGTGGAACCACCATCTATGCCAAGTCTTAAAACATTTTCATCATTCCAAAAGAAAGCCCTCATTCCCTCTTCCGCCAAGCCCGTGGTCACCACCAGTCTGCTTTCTATTGACATGGATATATCTATTCTGTATATTTCATATAAATGGAATCATATAATATATGACCTTTTGTGTCTGGCTTATTTCACTTAGCATAATGTTAATATTTTTGAGGTCATCCACATTGTAACATGTAACAGTACTTTATTCCTTTTTGTGATAGAAGAATATTCCACTGTATGAACATACCACAATTTGTTTATAATTCATTTTGTTATTGTTGTTACAGAGTCTTTCTCTGTCGCCCAGGCTGGGGTGCAGTGGCACAATCTCAGCTCACTGCAACCTTCGCCTCCCAGGCTGAAGCAAGTCTCATGCCTCAGCCTCCCAATAAACTGGGATTACAGGTGTGCGCCACTACAACCAGCTAATTTTTTGTATTTTTAGTACAGATGGAGTTTCACCATGTTAGCCAGGCCGGTCTCGAACTCCTGGCCCCAAGTTGATCTACCCACCTCGGCCTCCCAAAGTGCTAGGATTACAGGTATGAGCCACTGTGCCAGCCTACAAACTCATCTCTTGGTGGACATTTGGATTCTTTCCACCTTCTGTCTATTATGATAATGCTGCCGATCCCTGTTTTTTAAAAGTCTCCATGGTTCATCATATCAAGAAGAATGATAATCTCACAGTACCCTGGACCAGAAACCAAGACATAAGATCCAAATTATGATCTATGACCACTAACTTTTTCTATAATTCAGCAAGCTATTGTCCCTCCTCATCTGTAACCTATGTGGTTGAACTAGGATTTTCATGCAATTAGTGTGTCTTGGGAGGTGTTTCTGAGTATTTATTTGGAAGGTGCTCCTAAAAAGAGATAAAGAAAAGGAAAGGAAGATAATCAATGAATTCCTTGATCCAATTACTGCTGTGGACATCTAGGGTGCATTTCCACTGGGGACCTCTGAGACACGGTAGGGAATATATCTTAGTTATACGAGAGCTAAAAAGAAATTATTTAGACAGTTAGTGAGGGTAAGAGAGTCCTCAGTAAGGTTTTTCTTTTAATAAAAACGCAGTCTCCAAATCATTTCTTTTTTTAACAAAAAGCAGCCTGAAAAATCAAGCTGCAAGCATAGATAAGCAAGCTAGAGGCTTGCATAGGTAAATACCAGCAGCTGTGCCAATAGAAAACAGATAGCTGGAAACCAGGTATATTCAACATGGAGGTTCCCTCTTCCCTTTTCTTTGTTGCCACGTGTGCAGATAACATGGCACCAGCCAGGTTTTTTAAAATTCCATTTGCATAATAAAAGATTAGAGTGGGATGACCAGCCTCTTCACGGGCTATGAAAATGGCACATCTGGTCCAACCAATCCACTACACCCCATGTAAATCATATACCATCTCCTCACGCTCATCCCTAAAACCAACCACACCTTGCCCCAAACCAGGGAAACCCACTCAGGACCCCTTCTTCTGCATGAGGAAGCTCTCTTCCTTCTTTCATCTATTTAACTTTCCACTCTTAAACCCACTCCTTGCATGGCCATGTCTTCAATTTCCTTAGCATGAGACATCGAACCTCGGGTGTTACCCCAGAAAAATGACGCTGCTTCATTAGAGTTAGCACATCCAAGGGGCAAGGGAACTGGCTCCTCTGTGGTTGGCTGAGGGCTTCTCTCAGGGTGTCTTCTCTGGTCCCCTTGGGTTCCCACTTGTGTCGACAAAGCTTTCTCCAGAAGGCCCTCAGAGTTGCACCTGCTCACAGTTAGGAAGTTTGGGGCATGCGCAGAAGGGCACATGCAGATGGGGTATGATGGTCCCAACAGCATATGTTAAAGTGATTATGAAACTTTGATATTCAAATCCCTGGGAGCTTACATTTTAAAGAGATGAGACAGAGACAGACTTCCTCTCATTGTTTTCACCTCCGTTGGATCTTTGCCTGGATACTGCTTTAGTTTGTCACTTGTCCTCTAGAAAAGGGGTAGAAAGTGTACATCCTTTTCTCCTCCATTCCTTCAAAGCTCTTAAAAGAGGATAGAGATGCCAGGTGCAGTGGCTCACACCTGTAATCCCAGCACTTTGGGAGGCCGAGGAGGGTGGATCACCTGAGGTCAGGAGTTTGAGACCAGCCTGGCCAACATGGTGAAACCCCGTCTCTACTAAAAATACAAAAAGTAGCCAGGCGTGGTGGGGTGCGCCTGTGGTCCCAGCTACTTGGGAGGCTGAGGCAGAAGAATCGCTTGAACCCGGGAGACGGAGGTTGCAGTGAGCCGACATTGCACCACTGCACTCCAGCCTGAGTGAAAAGAGTGAAACTCCATCTCAAAAAAAAAAAAAAAGAGGATAGACTTGAGGTGAACTTTATTAAGAACATTGTGTTACCTTGAACTGGGCACTTCTCCCTTCTAGGTTTCAGCTTACCCTGTGAGTGAAGCTATTTATTTAAAAAAAACTTTATTGAAAATAAAATAAAGATACAGGAAACTACACAAAAGAAATGTATGGCTTAGTAAGTTACTACAAGGCAAACATGTTAATAATTACCAACCCAGGTCAAGAAACAGAATTTTCTCAGACAACCTAAAAGTCACAAAATGAGGCTATTTGCCAATTAAGGTTGTAGACCAAATGCTGTAGAATGAACTTCTTTTAATTCTATGTTGATGACTCTCTGTCACAATATTCACATCTCAGTGCAAAGAGAACACAAGAATGTCTAGCAAGAAAAGATGGACAAGTTTCTCAAACATTGGCAGTGTTACTTACATTGGCTAGGCAAAATTCAGAAGGCCTGGTGGAAATCTGGTTAAGCCCTAAAAGTAAGCTTGTAATTCTATCCTAGCAGCCCACACACATTTGAGTCTGTCTTAGTCAGCTCAGACTGCTATAACAAATCATCAACTGGGTGGCTTAAACAACAGAGATTTACTTCTCCCAGGTCCGAAAGCTGGAAGTCTAATATCAGTGATATAATTTGGATACTTTTCCCCCTAAATCTTACACTGAAATGTAATCCCATGTTGGAGGTGAGGCCTCCAACATGGTGGGAGGTGACTGCATCATGGAGGTGGACTTCTCATGAATAGTGTAGCACCATCGTCTTGGTGCTGCCCTCACAAGATCTGGTTGTTTAAAAGCGTGCGGCACCTCCTCCCACTTTTTTTCTTACTCCCACTCTTGCCATGTGATACATCAATACATCGGCTCCCCCTTGGCTTCCTGAGGCCTCACCAGAAGCAAGCAGATACCCAGAGCCATGCTTGCTGTACAGCCTACAGAACCATAAGCCAAGTAAACCTCTTTTCTTTATAACTTACTCAACCTCAAATATTTCTTTATAGCAATACAAGAATGGCCTAATACAATCAGGGTGCCAGGATGGTTGATGTGTGGTGAGGGCTCTTTCCCTGAGTTGCAGATGGCCGCCTTCTTGCTTTGTCATCACATGGCCTTTCCATTGAGCATGGGCGTGAATAGACAGCATGCGAGCAAGCTCTCCAGCGTCTCTTCTTCCCATAAGTACCCTGATCTCATCATGGGGGCCCCACTCTCATGAGCTCATCTAACCCTAATTACCCCTTGAAGGCCCCACCTCCAAACATTATAAAATTGGGAGTGGGAGTGCAAATGTATGAATTTTGGGGGGATACAATTTAGTCTACAGCATAGTCCAAATGTGAAATTTCTTCCTCCAGCTACCGATGTTTAGTGAGAACACTGCCTGTTCTCACCACATGTGCATATGTGTGTGGACTCTTTCCTCTGGAGGGCAAGAACTTGGTTTTGTTCACTGTTGTAACCAAGAGTTACAACAGTGCCTGGCTCATAATTGGCACTCAATATTGCCATTGAGTTATTTGTGATCAGAGCCCTGGCTGTTCTTAGATGGGGAGGGTTCTTCAGAACAGTACAAATGTTTGTAGACAGGCCAGCTGGGGAACCAAAGGTCTTTTTGATGAGGTGCCATGACCATGATGTAGTGGGGAGTGGCCAGGTGATCCAGAATTCAGTCTCAGTATGACCTATGATCATCTGAGTGACCTCAGGCAAAACTGTTCGATCTCTGGGACTTAGACTCTTCCTTATATAAAACAAATGGGTTGGTCAGTTCAGAAGTGCTATACTGATTCTAATCCATCCTATGGAGGAGGCCCCAAAACATTATCCTTAACCCTTTTAATCATAAATTTAAGGATAAATGAGATTTTATCTCACTCTGGGTGACTTTTAAGGACTTGAAAACCTACTTCTTTTTGTGCTTGGAGCTGGAGTGAATTTGAAGCCAGGGTTGCGGGGGTGGGGGAGGGGTACTCCTAGCTGTGGCTGTGTTAAAATTGCCCTGGTTTGTTTGGGGGAGAATCTAGGGTATTTATCATTTGTCTTTGCCCTGGTGCCAGACAGACAGCAGTGAGTAGATGATGCCTTTTACACAGCAATGTGCTAACAGTTATACTTCCTGGCACACCTCCAGCCCCCAAGATGGAATGGTCTGACATCCATATCAGCAGAGAATCAGAGAAAGATGAGACGCTCTGATGCTTAGGAAAGTCACAAACCATTGTTACACAGATAAGTAACACAAAATGACCCAAGAGAGACACAGCTGGGACCCAAGTAGACACTTGTAATTGGCGAGTCTACCCTACCCATGATTTTCAATATGGGGTCAATAGCTGATAGATACCAATGTTAGTTTCTTTGTCATGAAATCTTGATACAATGTGGTAAGAGTTTCCAATCAGCAGTTGGTGGCATCCTCAGGATATTGTTGATTGTATTTGACATCAAGGGCCACCCATGCTTTCACTGTTATCTTATTCAAGCTAGTGCAGATGTCTTAAAACTTTCTTCATGCATCAAAGCATCTGCATAGCTCAGATAAAGAATCCACAGCTCATGTGTTCTTTCTTATCTCTCCGGCTGTTTGGGAGAGATTTCAAAACTCAACACCCCACTGTCTCATGTAACCAAGTCAGGGCCACTATTAGAAAAGCAGCTCAAAGAAGATATCCTGGGTCATCCACAGTATCTTAGCTTATTTAATTCAGCAAGCACATTCAACATTTCTGATTATACTGAATACATTCAAATTCTCAGTCATCAGCTTCAGGAAGACCCTCCTGGCTCCCATCCCTTTTCCTGGCTCCCATCCCTTTTCCTGGCCTGGCTTAAGTCCCTTCTGGGCTCCCACAGGATCCCTTACCTAGCTATATTATTGCTTTTCTGTGGGTCGGTGCCAGCCTGTACTGTATTAATTCCTTTGGGGCTGGAACCATATCTTATTTTTTTAAATTAAAAAGTAGTACATCCTCACAATAGAAAACTTTTCAAATACAGAACTATATAAATGAAAAGTGAAAGTCCCTTTTCTGTCTGCTCCTATTTGCAATCTCCCTCCTCTCCCCACAGAAGACCACTATTAACAATGTGTTGTATACCCTTCCAGAACTTTCCATTTGCTAGCCTAATAGTGCTAATAAAAGTGTTAACAGTTATTGAGTGTTTACTAAGAGTCAAGTGCTATGCTCAGCATTTTTATGCACGTTCCCAATTAATTCACAAAACAAGCCTATGAAGTAGGTGTTATTTTTGTTCCCATTTCACAAAAGAAGAGACTAAGGTGACAGTTACTAAATGGTAAAGCCAGAATCTGAACATGGCCAGGCTGAATTCAGAGCTCCTGCCCTTGAACTTGTTCTCTCACTTGCTTCCGGACCTTGCAATATCATAGACACTTCCCCATAGTGACCTAAAAATGGTTTCTCCCTTTTTAAAAGTTGCTTGGTATTCTACAAAATGAATGTATTCCATTCATTTTGCCATTCTCCTACTGAACAACTTTTAGGATTTTGTAGTTTTTCATTTCCTTATTTCACCAAGTGTAAGATTCCATTATTGTAAAAAGCATCCAGTTTCAGAAATTAAAATATATGGGGGCATGGGGGGTGACAAGTGCATCTTAGAATATATTTTTGCATGTAAATATTTTGTAGATAATGCTTGTAAATAATTTTCATGTGTGTATTTCTGCACAAGTTTCCTAGGAGTAAAATTGTGTGTCAAAATGAAGGTGCATTTTTAAATTTTGATGCATACTGCTGAATTCCCCCCAGGAAACCTTATCTTAGTCATCTTGTGTTCCTCATTTCCTTAGCACAATGTCTGGTACTTTTTTAGGTACTAAATAAATGTTCAGTGGGTGAAATGCATGACCTGACCCGGCAAATGCAAAGTATTTTGAGATATTCACACACCAAAAAACCCACAAAATATGACAATGACTGACAATGAGAAGATGAGAATATTTTACTACCGTATTTGTATGCACTTCTTGTTGAAGCACTGACCAGAGTAAATGACAAACGCTAATGCATCTTATGCAGAAGGATGTTTCCGAAGTGATTACAAGATATCTTGCAAAATTACCTATCAAAAGATTGCACACTCAATAAAAATACACGAATAACTCCAGCATTTTACAACCCCCAACCTACTAGACATAAGAAATTTCCAGAGATCTTATGGTCTGCCATTTTTTCAAATACCTGCAAGACTGCCTGCACCCCCGACCCTAATCTGTAGAAATCATGATTCTGCAGGTCTGCAGTGGGGGATGCATTTAACAAGCGCTCCAGGTTAACCTAATGCACTGTAAAGCGTGAGAACACGTGCATTAAAAGGGCTTTAAGAAGTGGAGTTTCTGAATCAGATTTGCATTTTAGAAAGATCCCTCTGGCTGCAGAGTGTAGAATCAACTATAAGTGAGCAAAGATAGCTAAATGGCATTATTCAGCCCAGCGCATGAACGGCTCAGATTGCCCGCGCGCTGGGGTGCCCCCTGCCGGCCCTCGGCAGCGCCTCGTCCTGGGCCTGGCCCTGGGCGGCCGGCTGCTGACTGCGACTGCGCGCTCCGAGGCCTGCAGAGACGGCCCGGGGCACCTGTTACCGCACCGCTCAAGACCGGAAGCGGAAATGGAATCGAGATAGCCTCGCGCGTTTAGCTGGCCGCCGCCACCTCCACGCCCTAGGCCGGGCCGACTTACGGAGTCGCCGGAAGCGGAAGTCGCTGAGGGGTGGTGAAGCGGTTGGGAAAGTGTCGGTTTATCTTCGCGCCCCTTGCGTTCTTGCCGCGGCTTGCCTGGGCAGGTAAAGCGCGATTGCGAGAGCTCGGCAACCCTGCCGACTCAGCCGGAACCGGCTCCCGGCCCGAGGGGCGTGGTGTCCTGGTGCTCCGACTCCTTCCGCAGGCTCCTTGGGACCCGCGGTTCCGGGAGTCCCTTGCTCAGGGTCCCTTTCCTGCAGTGAGGCGCCGTCCGCCTTCCCTGTGTCCCCGCAGACCCCCATCATGGGCAATACCAGCAGTGAGCGCGCCGCGCTGGAGCGGCATGGTGGCCATAAGACGCCCCGGAGGGACAGCTCGGGGGGCACCAAGGACGGGGACAGGCCCAAGATCCTGATGGACAGCCCCGAAGACGCCGACCTCTTCCACTCCGAGGAAATCAAGGTGCGAGCGGTGTGGAGGAACCCGATTCCCCTTGACTAATGTTGAGGAGAGGAACCCTCCACTAGATTCCCGTCACATCCTTTCGAAAAACACCAGAACGGAGAGGGAGGTGGTACATTACCCGGTGCACTTAAAAGCCAGATGGTCCTGTAAGAGTTCTCTTAGCGGTCCAAGAACCTGTGTCTAATTACCAATATGAGAAAGTCACCCTGAGGGAGGAGGTGCTCACTTGGTTTAACATCATTAAGGAGAAAGCAGCTCTGGGACAGAGTTTCAAATTCTTAATTAATTCAGAGTCGAGCTAACAGTAATTGAGCCCCAGCTTCTGCTTTTCTCTTAGGTGTAATTAATTGCACTGCTTTGAGACAAATTCCCTCACCTTTACACAAACTGGAGCTTTTGTAAAAGTTAGTTTGGGAATTTATCCATTTTGGAGGCAAACCAGGTACATATACAAGCTGAAAGTAGAGCGGAACAGCTGACGGCAGTTGCCAGAGGTGTTTAGTTCTGCCCAACACTTTTGATTCACCCTACTTATTTTTTAAAAGACGGTGGTCTCACTAATTAGCCGGGCGTGGTGGCGGGCGCCTGTGGTCCCAGCTACTCGGGAGGCTGAGGCAGGAGAATGGCGTGAACCCGGGAGGCGCAGCTTGCAGTGAGCCGAGGTCGCGCCACTGCACTCCAGCCTGGGCGACAGAGCTAGACTTCGTCTCAAAAAAAAAATATAAATAAAAATAAAAAAGACGGTGGTCTCACAATGTTCTCCAGGCTGGTCTCGAACTCCCGGGTTCAAGCAATCTTTATGCCTTGGCCTCCCAAAGTGCTGGGATCGCAGGCGTGAGCTACGGTGCTGGCCGGTTCAGCCTACTTTTTTTTTTTTTTGAGACCGAGTCTCGCTCTGTCGCCCAGGCTGGAGTGCAGTGGCGCGATCTCGGCTCACTGCAAGCTCCGCCTCCTAGGTTCACGCCATTCTCCTGCCTCAGCCTCCCGAGTAGCTGGGACGACAGGCACCCGCCACCACGCCCGGCTAATTTTTTATATTTTTAGTAGAGACGGGGTTTCACCGTGTTAGCCAGGATGGTCTCCATCTCCTGACCTCAGGAGATCCGCCTGCCTCGGCCTCCCAAAGTGCTGGGATTACAGGCGTGAGCCACTGAACCCACCCTACTTATTTTTTTTTTTTCCTTCTTTGAGATGGAGTCTCACTCTGTTGCCCAGGCTGGAGGGCAGTAGCACAATCTCGGGGCACTGCAACCTTCGTCTCCCGGACTCAAACCATCCTGCCTCAGCCTCCCGAGTAGCTGGGACTACAGGCGTGTGCCACCATGCCTGGCTAATTTTGTGTATTTTTGGTAGAGGTGGGGTTTCGCCATGTTGCCCAGGTTGGTCTTGAACTCCTGACCTCAAGTGATCCGCCCGCCTGGGCCGCCCAAAGTGCTGCGATTACAGGCATGAGCCACCACTCCCGGCCTCACCCTGCTTTTTTTTAAAGCGTACATAGAAAAGTCTTTCAGCTTCTAGAGGTCAGTGGGCGGTGAGGGTCTGTCTGAAGGAGGCAGCCAGCAGCTACTGAACTTCTCTCTAGTGTTGTTTAAATATGACTTAATCGTGCTTAAGCAGGCCAGTGCAAACATTTTTCTTCCTGCTGCAGCCTGTTTAAATTCAAAAACTCAGGTGACTTAACTCCTGCTTCAACCACACTCCTGTTAACCACCTTCATATGGTGGATATTTCCAGCCGCAGGGCTCAGTCCAAGGACACTTAGTGATTCTGGCAGCTGGTATTTATGTGTTATGTCCAAAAGGAACTAATTGTTTCAAGGAACAAAGTAGGTTTAGGAAAGATAAAGCTGCCCTCTGCCCAACATACCCTGTTAGTATCCAATTTCATGTTAATCATCATCCATTTAATTGCTTGGCAGCTCATTCCATCTGTGTTTGTCCTCATGTTGAGCGAGGTGATCACATCTCACACCTTCTTTTGGATCTTAGTTTTGAGCCTGACTACAAAGAGGCTGCTTTTATGTGGCCCTACAACCTGTGGTTTGAACTTGCTCTCTGAATTTGTTGCATTCTTGAAGAGCTGTGTGCAAAGTGAACTTTAGAATCATGTTTCTCTAATGACTTGACGTCCTTTCCCCAGGAGGTAATTTTGGTCCCTGGTCCCAAGAAGGCTATTTAAGACACCAAAGGAATCAAAACTACTTTCTTCAGAAGTATTTGTTCTGTTACTATTCCAAAACTCCTCCAGGAAATGTTGAGCACACACATCATCTATGGGGAATGATTTCAAGCAGCGTCCATTCTCACTTCATTAGAAGTTACTGAAATCCCCAGATACCAAAAAAGTCGTGAATTCTTTTAACTACACTAGGGTGCTATTTTGGTCATAATTAGTTATCCTTAGTGTGAAGTGATTCCAGTCTGTTATTTAATATGTAGATCTTGTTAGAATTCAAAGAATACAGGCATCATTTGGATAAGCTGAGGTCGGTATTTGAGATGAAGGTGCTAGAAGCCTGCTTAACTCCCTGAAGAGTCTTTTCCAGCCTGAACCTTCTGCTCTTTTTAAGTCTTTGGCTTCTGACTGGGAAAAAATCTAAAAGGTGCATGACTACATATGTCATCCAGATAGATTTGGATGAGTTTATTTCTTATTCTGGAATACCTCAGTTATACGGAGCTTACCACACTGGAGGTTATCATTTATCCTAATGAGGGTTCAGTCTTTGTCTTGCTTTATTCCCCAGTCCCTAGACAGAACTTTGTGAGTAGTTTTTCCCTTCCTCAAAATCTGGATTTGCCTATTTTCAAGTTGACAGCTCTAGAATTGTTCCTCTTAAATTTTCATGTACAGTCATACATCACTTAATGACAGGGACATATTCTGAGAAATACATCATTAGGTGATTTTATCATTGTGTGAACATCATAGAGTGTACTTACACAAACCTAGTCTGTTCTCATGCTACTATGTAGAAATACCCGAGACTGGGTAATTTATAAAGAAAAGAGGTTTAATTGACTCAGTTCCGCATGGCTGGGGAGGCCTTAGGAAACTTACAATCATGGTAAAAGGCACCTCTTCACAGGACGGCAGAAGAGAATGAGAGCAAGCAGGGGAAATGCCAGATGCTTATAAAACCATCAGATCTCATGAGACTCACTCACTGTCAGAGAACAGCATGGGGAAACCGCCCCCATGATCGATACCTCCACCTGGTCCTGCCCTTGACACGTGGGGATTATGGGGATTACAATTCAAGGTGAGATTTGGGTGGGGACGCAGAGCCAAACCGTATCACCTAGTCTATATGGTGTAACCTGTTGCTTATGGACTATAAACCTGTACAGCATGTTATTCTACTGAATACTGTAGACACTTATTCCACAAGTATATTTAAGGATTTGTGTACTTAAATGTATCTAAACATAGAAAAGATAACAATAAAAATATGGTATAATCTTATGGGACTACCATATACACAGTCCGTCGTTGACTAAGACATCATGCACATGACTGTACTTCAAATCTTGCTTGATTAAGGGAGGAACATGACATTAAGCTAGTCTTGGATTCGTAGTAGCCCCTTCCAAGTGTGTTTCATAGCTTCTTCTAGAATTTTGATGTCAACTTCTTTAATGACAACAATAGCTAATAATTAGCACTCACTGTGTCAGACACTATATAGAGCACTTACATGGACTGTCTCAGTCTTCACAACCTTAAAAAATATATTTCTATTTTGCAGGCAAGGAAACTGAGGCACCACTAGTAAGTTTCCGATCCTAACCATGAACCAAGATAGTAACAGCTGCGTCTTTAGAATGAATTGTCAATATTGTCTGTTGTAGGGAGCTCGCTTATGGCTTTCTGAGTAAACTGCTCTGCTTCTAGGCACCAGAGAAGGAGGAATTCCTGGCCTGGCAGCATGATCTGGAAGTGAATGATAAAGCTCCCGCCCAGGCTCGGCCAACGGTGTTTCGATGGACGGGGGGCGGAAAGGAAGTTTACTTATCTGGGTCCTTCAACAACTGGAGTAAACTTCCCCTCACCAGAAGGTAATTGCCTGGGGAGTGTTCACATATTTGTCTTAACATAAATTCTCTTCTTTCTAAAACATCTCTGAGAGAGAACAGAAAATGGATGTTTCTATAAAATGGATGCCTAGTGGAAAAATAATTTTGCTTAATAAGTCTTAAGGTTCAAATGTTAAACCTTGGTGGTCTCTAGGTTTAGAGTACAGAAGAAAGAGAATATTTCTGTGTCACAGACATCTTTCACTTCAGATCCTCAGCTATCTGTTCGGTCAGGACTTTTCCACAGAAACACAAAAATCTGTCTTAATGCAGTAAGGGAGCACTGGGCTGGAATCTTAGAAACCCACATTTGAGCCCACATTGGCCATGCTGTCAGTCACCTAACGTTAGTTAACCTGAGCCTCAGCGTTCGTTTCTGTAAAGAGGGAATATTGGACCAGATCATCTCTGAGGTTTCATCTAACTTTGACTCTGCGTAATACTTTGTTTGAAAAGTACATGTTGGCTGGGCATGGGGGCTCATGCCTATGATCTCAGCACTTTTGGGGGCTGAGGCAGGAGGATTGCTTGAGGCTAGGAGTTCAAGACCAGCCTGGGCAACATAGTGAGACCCCCATCTCTACAAAAAAATTAAAAATTAGCTGGACATGGTGGTGCACACCTGTATCCCCAGCTACTCGGGAGGCTGAGATGGGAGGATTGTTTGAGCCTGAGAGGTCAGTGCTGTAGTGAGCAGTGGTTGCACCACTGCACTCCAGCCTGGGCAACAGAGCAAGACTTTGTCTCCAAAAAGAAAAGAAAAATACATGCTATGTAGGTGTCATTAGCAAGGATTATAGTAAGACATTTTATCAGGAACCCCAGCATGGACTTCTGTCTTAAGTTGTCAGTGAGAGAACACCTTTAGTGAGTATTCTTGATAAAATGAGGGAGAAAGTGTCAGGCCTATTGTCAGGGGCTGCCTGCTTTCCAGCGTTTCCATTGGAGAAGGAGGGAGCCACTCAGCACAGCAGTCACAGGTCAGTTCAAGCCAGGGGACAAAACAACCCAGTGAAGGGGCTCTTCCGGAGTTTGGTTTTTCAGTCATTAGGCAAGTTTCTTTAGAGAACATTTGAGCTTCCTATTCAATTGATCCCTTCTCCTGCCCAAGGCAAAGTGACAAAGGGTAAAACGAGGCAGCTTCTGTTTATCTTGTGTTGTCATCCTCCTTGGCATCCAGGAGCCTTGCGAGCTTGAGACGCACAAATGCCTGACTGTTGACCTTTTAACATTAGGGATGTGGTTTCCTGGTATTTGAGTAAGGTGAGTTTTCAGGAAACTGTGTCGCACTGCTGCTTCCTTATAGCCTTTTCAGATTGAGGTCATTATGCTGAATTGTCTAAATGGGCTAAAAATGTTTGTTCTCCTGCAGCTGAACTCTTGGTTTTATGTGGAAACGTTTTGTTCTGTAGCTGGTTTGGCAAGTAAGCTCGGGGGGCAGCCCACCCCACGGAAGTCCTCTGCTTCCTTTTTCCTTGCAGCCACAATAACTTTGTAGCCATCCTGGATCTGCCGGAAGGAGAGCATCAGTACAAGTTCTTTGTGGATGGTCAGTGGACGCACGACCCTTCCGAGGTACTCTTCCTCCCACCTCTGGTCCTCTGGGTGCCCGCACATTCCAAACAAATCACCTTCCCAAGAGATTGCCGCTAGGTCCCTTTGCCCAGCTAGTAAAAGTCCCCGTGTGTGGCAGAGCTGAGTAGCAGCACTACCTGTCAGACAGTTGGCATACTTGACCAAGATGAGCAGGGTGGCTAGCCAGGAGATGAGGCCTTCCAGCCAGGAATTCCAAGTCCTCTGAAGAATAACTCCGCAGACCTTCCACGTTATGATTTCTGCCTATCTGTCTCTTCCCAGCCCATAGTAACCAGCCAGCTTGGCACAGTTAACAACATCATTCAAGTGAAGAAAACTGACTTTGAAGTATTTGATGCTTTAATGGTGGATTCCCAAAAGTGCTCCGATGTGTCTGGTATGAACACAGTTATTTTATACCACATGCGTGCAGGTGGGGGCTGTACAGTCTAGACATACTCTTGTTTCTCTTGCCTCTCTTGAGCTGAAGCTGCCCAGTCAGATAGGCATTTATAGCCCCCACTTAAAGGCCACAGAACTTAATTCCTGTCAGGTTGTTGAAATTTAGCCCTAAGGGAGCTACAAGTCATTTCCCTGGTCATCTCAGGTATTCAGTAGGTCTGCTTGGCCACAGAACGCAGACAGCAGAAATGGAACCATAGCTTGATCTCGTGCCAAGGGCAGGGCTGAAGAGGCCCTGGAGGGTGGCACTGAGTCAGTGACAGCCCAGCACTGGGGAAGCCTGTGTCTCATCCCACTTGTGGTGCCTGAAGAATTTCAGCCTGACAGGTGTAAATGGACACCTCAGTGACCTTAGCAGTCACTTATGTGGTACATTAGCACCTTGTCAGAATCCCTTTGGGGAGGATGCGGCTCCCCACGGGAAACAGCCTGCACAGCCCAACTCTCCTTGATGGGAAGCTATTTGGTACAGAAATACAGACCCAGTAAAACTTCTCCATCTTGTAAGAGCCTTTCAGGCATCGAGGTTTCAATAAATTGCTTTCCCTCCAAGCCCCACAGGAAGAAACTACCTGGAACATGATTCATACAGTTCGGGGGAAGAGGGTTGCGATCTAAAGTGTTCCCCTTCTTGGAGGCGGGGGCTTAACAATTCCTGGACTCTGAGGGAGGCAGTGGAAAGATGCCCTGGCAGAATATCTGGCGCCCTAAGAAAACAGATTCCGTTCGTTGACAGGAGAGTTCTTCATCATTGTCTAGTTAGGCCTGGAAGTTCTGCCACCAGGATTTCTTGTTACCAGTTCAGAAATCACAGTGGTAAAATGATCACAATGGGCTCACTGTGGTTGACAGTTTGTTGAGCAGGACTTGGAAATCCGAAATCTGTGCTTTTATCTGGGTAATTAGTCTTTTAGAGATATCATCTAGTTTTTTTGCAGATAGTTGAGAATCAGGGAATGGAGGAAGTGTGCCCAAATATCCTCCAAAATATATAACTTACTGATACATGTAATTTTAAGCCACTTACAAGCTTTTTAGTCAAATTTCCACCTAGGGAAAGGAAACGGACCCCTCACTGATACGAAGCTAATTCCACGTTCTCTACAGACTTCTGTTTCGACACTTACTTCCTCAAAATGTTATTTACTCCTTATGGCTCAGTTTTCTGCACTTCATGCTTTTCTCAGTTTCTTGCTGTGATATGGTTGGGTCACATAAACGGGGCTTGTCCCCTGAAAAATGACATTGAGGGAATTGGCAGAGCTGGGGCATAGCAGATTTTCCCTGGACCAGTCCCAGGATCTGGCGACCAGAACCATCCCACGCGTTCTTTGGATGATGGCTTGGTACCTTCTGGCTGGCCAAACGTCACTATCCAGTGTTCTAGCATTATGAAATCCTGCTCTTGTAGCAGCTTCTCAGTGTATCTGAATAATCCAGATACTCAAGCAAGAGTTTGGAAGGAACTTGAGTGTAATGGAGTTAAAGAGCCTTTAGATATTGGGCTTTCAATTTTCCCCCCCATTTTGAAATGTGCCTCGTTTAGCCTGTTTTCTCCACGGCCTCTGTGTAAACAGACTGCCTCATCTTCTGTTGCATTGCGGCCGGGGGTGCCCATAACTTGGACTTAGCTACTCAATCCTCACTTAGCCTCCAGCTTCTTTGTGGTTTTGCCAGCCCAGCCTGAAGGGAGAAGGAAGTCTTATTCTGCCGTGCGTGTGGGATTAAGTTATCGAGAATAGCCTCCTTGTGATCTGACGCAGACTCACTGGCTGGGCCGTGTCTTCCACCAGGGCATCTGAGTTGACTACTGAGTTGTATGCTAGTCACCCAGATTCCAAAAGGGTTTTCTCCTCTCCTCTATTCTGCACTCTTGGAACCAGTGCATCCTTCAAGAGAATGTAAATCTGCATTGAGGGAACAAGAGACAAGGAAAATGAGATGATGACAACATAAGTAAGGCTGCTCCTAGAATGCCTGATTTTCAAAGTAAAGTCCTGTTACCATCTCCCAACAGAGCTGTCCAGTTCTCCCCCAGGACCCTACCATCAGGAGCCCTACGTCTGCAAACCCGAAGAGCGCTTTCGGGCACCCCCTATTCTCCCCCCACATCTCCTCCAGGTCATCCTGAACAAGGACACGGGGATTTCCGTAAGTATGTGGGCATCTGCCCGGACCATCCGCCGTGGGTCATGTTCAGTTGCTTTCTTTCCTGTGTCCACCTCTTGCAAAGCAGCTGGTGAGCAAGCTCAGTGTCACCCCCTAGTGTGAACTGTGCCGTTCACCTCTGCTGTGGGGATGGGCTGATAACAAGAGGTTCCCAGTGTGGACACCGCTGCCTCGTCTTGCAAAGCCTTTCTGCACTACTCTTCCTTGTCCTTCACGCCTGCCTCAGTCTAAGCCCTGTTCAATTTACATTTCATGACAAACTGTATCACCATCTCTTCTTAGTAAGCTACATGCTCTGGCCCCCACATTTTAGAATCTAGTTTTAATCATTCAATTGCTTTTAGAAATATCAGTACTCCTGGATCAAAATTTGGGATATCTAGGTAACACACATTTCTCCTCCGGGAAATTATTACATGCAGAAAAGAAGTGTGTGTCCTCCTGGATCTTGAAGAACAGCCAGTTCTGTTGTGATTCTGTTTTCTGTTCCATCTAACCTGGATTGCCTGCCCAGTCCGCCTAGCTCTGGGATGCATGGCACAGCCGTAATTCTTGGGAATCCAGGAATTCAGCTTGGTCCAAGCTACCTCTTAAGAGGCATTGTTTACGAGGTGCTTAAAGTAACCATGCTGCTACTGAACACTCCACCCTGAAGTGGAGGGCATGTGTGCTGAGACGAGGAATGCACGTGTACACATGCAGGTGTCCCTACAGTGGTCCCTGCCGGGCTGCCAGGACAGGGTCTCAGTGCTTGTTACCCTACAGGGTACCCAACAGGGCTTGCCTTTCTCAGGTCACCTCCTGTGCTGGGAGTGCCCCTGCAGCTGGGTAGCCATCCTGGTATAGGCCCAGAAGAGGCCAGTGGTAAGGACAGCACGCCTCAGCTGGCAGGGCCCACCATCTTTCCAGCACTGAGTTGGCAACAGTCTCAAATAGGTCACAGGTGAAGAGTTTCAAGGACATGTAGCTTCTGCCTTAGAAGCACTTAGTTGACACTGCTTCCCTTAGCTCTAACTTTACAAAGGTTGGTGGGTAAGATGACTTTCAGTGCCCTCCTAAGCTAGTGAGGTTTGTTTTTTTTTTTTTTTTTTTTTGAGACGGAGTCTTGCTCTGTTGCCCAGGCTGGAGTGCTGTGGTGCCATCTTGGCTCACTGCAAGCTCCGCCTCCCGAGTTCACGCCATTCTCCTGCCTCAGCCTCCCGAGTAGCTGGGACTACAGGCCCCCGCCACCACGCCCGGCAAATTTTTTGTATTTTTAGTAAAGATGGGGTTTCACCATGTTAGCCAAGATGGTCTCGATCTCCTAGCCTCGTGATCCACCCGCCTCGGCCTCCCAAAGTGCCGGGATTACAGGCGTGAACCACCGTGCCTGGCCAGGTTTTGTTTTTTCTAGAAAAGGGAGGCATCACTAGCCATCTTCTCTGATGGAGACTGCTGCTGGGAATAGACAAGCTGAGAGTGGCCCAGGGGGCTGGGAATATGAGAATGTCAGGACCCCTCTGTCCAAGGTAGCACTAAGCTCTAATGTAAACTGTGGTTACAGTTGTCACTACTAAAGGGTTAACATTTATTTTGCCCCAAACTAATCTTAAGTGCTTTTCGTGTATTCTTATTCAAGCCTCACAACAACCATGTGAAGTAGGTGCAATTATTACCCCCATTTTAGGGATGGGGAAACTGAGGCACAGAGCAGTAGGGAGAACACTTAAAATCTACTGTCTTAGAGATTTTCAAGAATACATTGTTACTAATAGTCACCGTGTTGTACAGTGGATCTCTTGAACGTATTCCTCCTGTCTAACTGAAATGTTGTATTCTTTGACCAGCATCTCCCTACCCCCACCACTCCTAGCCGCTGGCAACCACCACTCTACTCTCTACTTCTGTGAGTTCGACTTTCTTGGATTCCACATAAGTGACATCACATGGGATTTGTCTTTCTGTGCCTGGCTCATTTCACTTAATGTCCTCCAGGTTTATCCATGCTGTCACAGATGACAAGATTCCTTTTGTAAGGCTCAGCAGCACTGCATTGTGTATCAGTACCTCATTTCTTTATCCATTCATCCATTGTGGACACCTACGTTGATTCCACGTCTTGGCTATTATGAATAGAGCTGCAGTGAACGTGGGAGTACAGATATCTCGACATGCTGATTTCATTTCCTTGGAGTATCTACCCTGTAGTGGGATTGCTAGACCATGTGGTAATTTTAGTTATAACTTTTTAGGAACCTTCATGCCATTTTCCATAATGGTTGTACTAATTTACATGCCCATCAGCAGTGCACTAAAAGTAGCTTTTAAGTGTTCTCACCACAAAAACATGGTAAGCATGTTCTGCGTGTGTTGATGAGCTTGATTTAGCCATTCCACAATGTGTCCATATTTCAAAACAACATATTGTACATGGTAAATATACATAATTTTATCTGTCAATCTTTGAAATTGATTAATTTTTTAAAAACCCCTCTTAGGCTCACACAGCAACTGGCTGAGCCAGCAGTCACATCAGGCTTGGCTGGTGCCAGATCCTTGGTAGTTGGTGCTCTCAGCAGCCACCCTGAATGGCCTCCCAGCGGGAGCTTGCTGAGTATTTGTTGACACAATGATTGGCCCAGCCTCTGGGATCCTAAGCCTACAGCAGTTGTTCTACACTTTTTTCCATTTGAATTGCATTTATAACAGTTGGGGGTATACAATGAAAAAATAAATCCCGATTTCTGGCTTCTCTTAAAACATAGGAAGGTGCGGCGGGCAGCTCTGAGTGCCAGCCCGGTGGCAGATTTTCCAGAGTAGTGGTGTCTTGCCCAGGTATCCGTTTCATTCTTCAGGTTCATTGAGTCTTACAGATACAAGTTTTGAATCCATTGCTCAGGAGCGTTTAGTGCAGATGGTCTCTTCCTGTGTTCTCTGAAAGTGCTGTTAATAGCTGCTTTCTTCCTGCCCCACCCTCCATAAGAGGACAGGGCCGTGGCCCACACTTGAAAGAGGCCGGGGTAAATGCCTGGCCAGAGACACACACCGATGCCTCCAGCAGGCATGCAGGGAGCTCCCTTCAGGTCAGAAGGCGTGACCTTCATCTCACCTGTCGTCTTGGACAAGCCCTTGCGCTGCCTGATTTGGGAAGAGAGGTCGGCCTGAGCGCTGCCTCCTGTCCTTTGATATCTGGCACTGGGAAGTAAAGGGGAGAATCTTGGTTTCCAAATCCCAAATGCTCACCGCTGCCTTTGTTCCCTCACAGTGTGATCCAGCTTTGCTTCCTGAGCCCAATCACGTCATGCTGAACCACCTATACGCGCTGTCTATCAAGGTAATGACATGTCTGTCCCCATGAGAGCTGTGTTGCCCAGTGTGTGCTCTGAGGACCCCCAGCAGTGGAATGACCTGGCGGGACTGACTTAAAGGGCAGCTTCCAGGGTCTGGCACAGGCCATCAGGCTCAGGTTCTGAAGCTGGCCCGGGAATTTGTGGTTTTATGAAGCCCTTAATGATTCTCATGTCCTCTGAGGCTTGAGCCCCTTAGTCCAGCCTTTGATCATTTCCACCTTGTTCCTTAGGATGGAGTGATGGTGCTCAGCGCAACCCACCGGTACAAGAAGAAGTACGTCACCACCTTGTTATACAAGCCCATATGAAGAGCTGGGGGCGGATGGTGGCCCAGGAGACAGCACACCACCAGGCTCCACACGTGCATGCTTTCCCCAAGAGGGAATGGACTGTACATTGCTCATTTCACACTCTTCAGAAGACATTTCATACCTGCCCTGGTCCTGCTTGAAGGTTTGTCCAGGCAGAGCAGCTCCTGCAGCGCCTCGGTCTGTGACAGTCCTCCTAGCACCCCCATGGCTTTGAGCCTCGGGGACTCATCAAGTCCAAGAAAAGAGGGAGGGGTGGCAGAGGATCTGCAGCCCTGGCCCCGCGGTGCATGAGGCTGGGTGCAGTTCTAAACCTACATTCTCGATTTTTCTTAAGCCAAAAATGAATGCTAACTCCTTTGCCAGTAAAATTCTGGGAAACAGGGACTGAGGCCACACATCATTTCCAGTCATCTGTGTGTTTTTAAGGCCAGCCACTTGTCCCTGTTGAGGCCTGGCTATGGAACTAAATACAGTGTTGGTCTTGCCTGTCCTTCAAAATCAACAACAGATTGTCTCTCGGCTCCAGGGAGGTGTCATTTCTATAGAAATTAGAAGCTTTCTGATTTCTAGATGAGGTTTTACAATTGTTTCTTACAGTCATGTGCACTAAGTACTCTTTTTGTAAGCAGAGGTGGCTGGCTCTGCAGCCTTAAGGCCATTTTTTAAGTCACCACGTCTAGAAGTCACATGAACTCTGCTCAGCAATAATCTGTTCTCAGAACAGACTTTTCAACCTGCTGCCGGATTTCTCCATTCAGCTGGATGATCCTCAGGACTGACCAGTTAGCTGGCAGGTTGTCCAGCTTTTTATTCCAGTCATAATAGGTGACAGTGTTAACCGTGAAAACTTGAGAGGCACTCTGCCCTCTTCCCTATAAAATCACACAGCGTGATTTTACAAGGTCCCGTGGCACCTTGCTCAGGACCTCTGCCCCTAGTTAGCAAGACTGCAGCAGTTGCTGTTGCTTATTCTGAAAGGAATGTAGAACTTGACAGCAGCCTTCTGAGTCTGGGTCAGGAAGATGTCCTTTGGACCAAAGCAGACTTCTTTATACGCAGCTCAGTTTCCCGGGAGTCGCCACAGATGTACCCACTAGCCCAGGTTGCTGTGAGTCAGCGGAAGCTCCCGTTATGCCCTTTGCTCCTGGTGGGAGAGGGAGGAGTGAGCTCCCTGGGTTCCAGTATTTACTTGGTATACCTGAGTTTGGGGGTACCCTTTTTTGTGACTTTTCAAAACAGTGAATTACTGTCACCTTGATGGACAAGTTTCAATAAAACTTTGTAAAAATAATTGGACATGTGCCTGGAGGAGCTCTGATTTTATTCAGTCCCTTGGAGAAGAGACTGGAACTCTTCGAGAGTTGCGTTTCAGTACCGTTCTTGTGGCTCTGAGCGGACAGGGCTACTCCAGCTGCCCAGGCCTGAGAACCAGTCCTGTGACTCACACCCATTCACACAGTTTGGAACCTTAAGGGACCCCTAAAACTGAGCCCCTCTGAACAGCTCAAGTCACAAGGGGAAGCTGAAGAGGGGTAACAGCAGAGGCTCCTGGCTTCGGCCAGTTGTTGGTGTCCCCAGGCCAGAGGGTTTGTTTCCTTTTGCTCCTAAACAAGCCCGGTGGGACAGCCTGGGATCGTGACCCTGGCGTGTGAGAGAGCAGGACGTTGTGGAGTCAGAGCTGTTTTCATCCACTAAAAGAGGCCGTGTCCCTCCTCCAAAAAGGTGGAAGGTTATGGGTGTTCCTTTAAGCCTTCTCAGGTATCAGGAAACATTTTAAATTTAGCAGAAAAGCATGCTAATGAGCTCTACCCACTGGTGCAGAAAACCCAAGCTGAAAATGCTATGTAAAATAAGACTGGTTTACTGGAGCCAGTCACCCCATGAGTTCTCCAAGCCCTGGGGCCACAGGGGACTTCCAGGTGAGGTCACTGCTGAGATGATGGAGGAGACACAAAACAAGAGGACATGGTCAGAGACAACACATCTCTGTGCGTATTCAAAGGATTTCATTTTCTTTAAAAAGCACATTATAGTCGGAAAGCCTGCCCACCAAGTGAAAGCCTCCATACCCAAGAAGCTAAAGGTTAATGGTGATTTTACAAAGGTGGAAAAGGAGACCTTGTTTTGCCCAAATCACAGGGGCAAAGCCATATGTCAAATCGTGTCCTATGACCAAGTAATCCTTTCTTCATTAGCATTTCCTTTATGGGTGAGGACTTAGTTAAAGCTTAACTCAAATTGCTTTTCAATGAAGATACATTTTTCCCTCTAGAAGCTGATATACAGATGAATTTATAGAGCCAAATTAAAGCCTAAAAAATTACTAAAATGTAAATCAGTATTGCAGGGCTAAGGCCACAAACAGGAAGTCAAAAGGCCAGACAAGAAAATTGTGCCTGCACCTCAGCTAGCTCAATTAGGAAATCTCCAAGGCTCCTAAAAGACTGAGAGAAAAAACCTGGAACATCATGATACGATCTGTGGCTGAGGTCAGAGACTGAACGAGCCAGTCTAGGAAAGAACAAAATTTCATTTTAATTCAGTTCCTTTTGTATGAGCACAGTTTCACTTTCAAGCATTTACTTCCCATATCTGATCCTCCTCTGCTATTGTGTCACCTTCAAAATTCAAATGTCCCCAATGTGATAGTATTAAGAGGTAGGGCCTTTAAGAAGAGATTAGGTCATGAGAGCCCCTCCTCTCATGAATGAAATTGAGGTTCTTATCAAAGAGGCTTCAGGCAGCATTCAGCTCATGTGCCCTGGCACCTTCTGCCATGTGAGGACACACAGCTTTTCTCCCCTGCAGAGGACCCAAGCACAAGGCGCCATCTGGGAAGCAGAGAGTAGCCCTCACTAGACAAGCAAACCTGCCCATGCCTTAATCTTGGACTTCCCAGCCTCCAGAACTGTGAGAGAATGAATTTTTGTTCTTTATAAATTACCCATTCTCAGGTATTTTGTTAAAGCAGCACTAAATGGGCTAAGACATCCACCAATGTTTACAAATGGTTTGAATGAATTGATGAAGACCCAAGACATGGACCACTCATCAAATCATAAAGTTTCTGAGGAATAAAAGCTTCAGCACTCATCTTGGCCAGCAAATTAGTGGAGAAACAAACTAGAGCCTTCTGCCCTGGTATGCCAACTATAATTGTCTTCAGGAGAAAACATGGAAGTTGTAGATACGTATACATTTCTTCTAAAACCCCAGTCATCCCTATTAATTGTAAAAACATCCACAGGATCCTCCTAAGAGTCATCGTCACTATAGTGAGTCAGACATTTGGAGAAGATCCCAAAAGCTGGAGCAGCAGCCGGAGCCCCGTCTCTGGGACCCCAGCCACTGGCTCTAGAACGAGCCACCAGGCTCTGCCCTCAGGGTGGGCTCCCACAACTACATTGTCGTCTTGTCTTTCATACAACTAAAGAGCCTTTCCCCAGATGAGGATGCCAGCTCTTACTGCTACCTCCCCCTAAAAGAATTCACCCATCCCATCTGAAATACTCAGTGGCCAGTGAGAACAGGCCAAGATGTGTATACCCTTGGTCGATTTTTTGTTTCCTTTTTTGTGGCTCTCTGAAAGACAGCCTGACTTATGCAGAGTAATAAAGTCATTTTCAAGGTTCTTTCATCTACCTCTAACAATCTCTCTAGGGCAAATAGAGTTCCGTTCATCATTAACAGACTCAAGGGAAAACAAAGTGATCAACACTGGACTCTATTTCCACTACCCCCACCCTCCCCAGCTTCAGGAAACAGCTTCAGCATTTGAGTGGGCAAATAAGAAACTATTTTTCTCATTTAACACTGTAGGCCTAGAGCCACGGTCTACATGCTTTAGACATCATTAGCAGTATTTAAATTGCCAAGGAAGACATGGGACTAAAACTAGAACAGACCACGGTTTCTCAACCTTGGCACTATTGAGGCTTTGGGCCAGATAATGCTTTACAGTGGGGGGCTGTCCTTTGCCTTGTAGGATGTTGAGCAGCATCTCTGACCTCCACCCATTGGATACCAGTAGTACTCCCGAGTTGTGACAACCAAAAATGTCTCCAGACATTGTCAAATGTCCTCTGGGAGGAGGGAAGCAAAATCTCCCCATGGCTTAGAACCAGTGGAACAAGCCAGTGTAACCACTGTATTCTGAGAATGGAATCTGAGCTGGCCCCCACGAATGCTTTCTATAGCAAATCACATTCAAGAGGTCCAATTCTGAAGACAGTCCTATTAAGCAAATTCTCTTTTGGCCTAACCCTCCAAATCCTAAAGTTCCATGGTTATGGAATTTGCTATGCAATCAACCTCTTTAGTCCGGTGACAATTAAGTTGTAAGCGCAGAAAACATGACATCTAATTTTGTGCTTATGAAACAGGAGTGGCCAGCATGAAGAGTTAGGCCTCATTTTACGGTGTGGCTGTGGAATTGGTTGGTTGTTTCTTTCGGGCTATTCCTTAGGGTTCAAACACTCTTCCTTGGCACTTCCTTTTGAAACCAAACTATGTTGACTTAGCTTTGGAAGTTTTCTGTGACCTCCCACAATCCTCTAGACAATCACTGAAATGCTTGGTTGATATTTAACAGATGTTTTTCTAATGCTACAAGGAAAGAAAGGTTCACATTTCACCACTTCATCTTCTGAATTATTTTCATTCTTACAACTACGACCTTGTGGCAGATTTTCATGCCCAACAGTAACATCGAAAAGAACAGAATTGCATCTGTGGTTCCCATCACAAGCAACAAAGACAGATACGACTCTGCGAGTCCAATTTTGACCGTGGTCAGACGACTTCATTAGAAAATAAAAATTCAAAGACTACAACCCACAGGAACCATGAAAACAAAAACATCACCATTTGCCAAAACCCGTTTGTCTGGATCGAGCAAGTTTATACTAACAAACTAAAGAATGAGAAAAAATTTATCTTGCAGACTGTAAAAGTTCCTCTACTTAAAAATGGAAGTATTTTCATTTTTAATTACCTTTGATTTGAATTCTTCTCTACAAAGAAATCTACATTATTAAATTGTAGTTGGCCTTTTAATAGATGAAAGATATCTTGAGCTGACCTGTTCCTGGTTAGCTGATTATAGAACTGGGTAATCCATTCTTCAGTAATCCTTTCCAAATGTCCTGTGTGACTGCTTGAAGAGCTTTCCAGCTCTGCAGTCCTATAAAATGACCTTAATAGCCAGTTCATGGTTCACTGGAAGTATTGACCAAATTTCCACAGTCAAACTCTTGGCAGAGAATGTCACCAATCGCTTAATTCCAGGATAGCAGTGTGCCCTAACCACCACGTGGCTTCCTCTATCCCACTCCAGAGGAAAACCCTCCCCACAACGTAAAGAAGGTCCCATCCATGATAATACACCTACACTGACACGCTGGTGATAGTTTTTCTTTCACAGTCTCTCAAAAAAAGAAGAGGTCATTGCACTAAAGCACACATTAGTTTAGATCATTGCTTTATTTCACTAATTGTTCAACAACAAAGTTCATTCCTCTCAAGGTGGATCTTGAATCATTCCTTGTGTTCTCTTCCTCGTTCTGAATAAAAAAGGTAATGAAGAAAAAGCCTGTACTTTTGGAGACCTAGAATCTTGATTGATGCTAATAAGCTTTTGACAGCAATTTCGTGTTACGGTATATCCTGCTGGCATCTTGGTGGTCACACGGAGCTCCCCACCCTCCAGTGAAGATGGCTGTCCACAACTACCACCATTGAAACCAAAAGTAAGTGTTGAAAAATGCACCTTTTACAATAAAAAAGTAGAAACCAATTCAATTTCCTCTTTTTTTTTTTACGAATATAAAGTTTCTTGTAAATATGTACAGTCTTTTGAGCTAGTTCTATATAGCAGAAAGCAGTTCACAGATGAGACACACAATATACATTTTCAGGGCTCAAGAAGCCCATTTCTCATGGAGATCCTAAATGAAATGCCAAGACTGAAAGACCCATTTTCAGTGACCTTTCCAAATACTGTGGACCAAGAGACAAAACTTCAGCAAACATTCAATCAAATCTGCCCTGGGGACGGGAGGGGAGGGAGTACGACCCCACAGACTCCAAGCAACACATAAAACGCCACAGCAGGACATTTGCCAAAGGAGCTACCACATGGAGGTTTGTAGGCGTTTCAAACAAGAAAGCACTTAGGTTAAGACACGAGCAGGAAGGAGCTGGGATGCAGGCCAGGTTGCAATCTGGAAAGGGATCTGAACTGTGGACACAGTTGAAAACACGGTCATGTTCACCTGCTGCGGTGGAAACGGGTCTACCTTTGAGCCTACCTAGGAGGTGCCTGGGTTGTTGAGGCGGGCCTAAGAGTCGTGGAGGACCCAAAGCAACAGATGCCTTGTGGGAGATTAAAGGCAGAAATAAGGCCGCGAGTTAGCTTGCCAACTGCAAAGCCTCTAGGTTGGTTCTGTACCAGTTGCCAGGAATTTCGTACTCTAATAGGAGGGTCCGCAGACCCAGTGGGAGCCGCACTGCACCTAAGGACTTCCCAACCCTGGCGGAGCTGGAAGAGTTGAGCTGCGGCTGCTTTCTCAAACTTCCTGGTCTTAGGTCTAGCCCTAGGGAAAGGCTCATTTGGAAAGTCACAGTTTCGTGGGGTAGAACCGCGCTGGATTGGGTGTGAACAGAGTCATCCTCTGCAGGCAGGGAAGTGTGAAGTTTGGAGGGGACACTGAGTGGGAGGTGGTGGTTTGCTGAAATCCTTCTCTGGTCGTAAGGCTTGAGCGTTTTGTTTTTTGTTTGTTCAGTGCTACAGACTGCAGCTTGTGGTGGCCAGTTAGTCGGCAAGTCGTCAGAGGGTCTCGATTTGGCAGGAGCTATGGGATGGTATTAATACATTGGCAGAGCAACCCAAGGGGGCAGCACATGCAGTGAACTGCCATGCAGAACTCCCGACGGGCCTCTTCCCCATCCCAGAGTGGGGAACAACACGCCGTCACAGACAAGGAAGTGGGTGCCCCCGTCCCCTCCCCGACCCCGAGACCCAGGAGTGCTGGGCTCCGAGCAAGTCTATTGCATGCTTTCCTGGCCAAAGCTATATGGAAAGCGGGAACAGCAGGCTGGGGAGATGACGCTGGGGGGTGGGGAAGGAAAGCGTCTCGAGGTCCCTTGGCCCCAAGTCACTGCCTCCGAG
The DNA here is from genome assembly GCF_000001405.40 of Homo sapiens. Taxonomy (NCBI): domain Eukaryota; kingdom Metazoa; phylum Chordata; class Mammalia; order Primates; family Hominidae; genus Homo; species Homo sapiens. Next base: position 119,687,497 of record NC_000012.12, read on the forward strand.
CTGAGGCCCCGATGACCTCCATACATTCTCAGCTGGTGGGAGGGGAAGTCGTCAAGGCCATAAAAGGCAATGAAAACAGTAAACATTTGGCTACGATGTCACCCTGGGGAAAGCAGGGCCATCTATGAGAATGAACAGGAACAAGGATGAACCTACTTGGCTGCGGGAGGTTGGCCAACTGACCGGGACTGTTCTACACTATGCCTCGGTGGCAAAGACCTGATGATGTGGTCGAGCTAAAAATGACTACAACAGGAAATACGTCGCTATTCAAATCTATTAAGAATTCTGTTGTCTTAAAAAAAAAAAAAAAAAAAGGAAAGAAACAAAGAGAAAAAAAAAAGAAAAACCAACCAATCCTAGGATCTTAAAGTAGCTAATTAGGATTCTAACCATGTTGTAGTTAGCATCCCGGTTGGTTTCCTTTGATGAACTAACTGGTACAGGCTAGAGCTAGGTACAAAAGTTTGTGAATGCTTTGAAAGAGTAACAAAGTGCAAAGAGATGACTGCAGGGAGGTGCCCAGGGCAGGCACCGGGCGCTGACAGCTCCGAAGAGCCTCAGCCACCTGCCCCTCCTGGAGACAGGGGTGTCCGTGCCGAGGTGGGTCTGGGCCCCGCTGAGCCAGAGGGTGGCTGAGCACGTGGGCGCTTGGGTCCCCATCAGCAGAGTTCCATAGTGTGTTTGGTGTTTTCCTGCAGATCAAGATGAGGAGTTGGTTTTTCTGGCTGAGATTTATACTGAAGACTGGTCCCAGACCTAGGAGTGAAATAAGGAGGAGTGTTAGCCATCCGAGGCCAGAAGTTGCTGTGCTCACCTTGCATGATGCAAATGGGAATCTGCAGCCCCTGGGCTATCCCCTTCAGCAGCTAGCAGTGAGTGCTTGGCAGGGCAGCACCCGCTCCAGAGCCTGGGGAAGCCAGGGAGTGAAACTCACTGGAAAATCCCAAAGCCGTGTGTGTACCTGCGATGCTGTAAGCATGTGATACACACACATGCACATACACAGTTTCATCGGTCAATTGGGAGGGATAAGAAGCCATATGGATGGTGTTTCCTTCTTTCTTTACCAGCAGGTGAACTGCAGGTGGCATCAGAAGGAGAATGCCACCCAGAAAATCAGCCCCAAATGGCAGAAAGGTGGCTCCTTGACCTGCTTAGCCTGCTAAGGAGGCACCAAGCACTTGAGCCATGCCCTGCCTGGGGGAGCCCCTGGTCTTCCACACCCATCCCTCTCCTCGATCGCAAACCTAAAATTACACAGATCATTCATGCACATGATTTAAACATTTCCAAAAGTTCAAAGTTCTTCTGGAAGGCAACCACTGTGAACACTTTCTGTGTAGCCTTCCAGAAAAACAATTTATATATACACATGTGTGGGCTGAGCGTGGTGACTCACGCCTGTAATCCCAGCATTTTGGGAGGCCAAGGTGGGAGGATTGCTTGAGCCCAGGAGTTCAAGACCAGCCTGGGCAACATAGCGACATTATGTCTCTAAAAAAAATAAAAAGGGCCGGGGGTGGGGGTGGGAATCAGACAGATGGTGGCTTGAGCCTGTAGTCGCAGCTATTCAGGAGGCTGAGGCTGGAGGATCACTTGAGCCCAGAAGTTCAAGGCCGTGGTGAGCTATGATCACACCACTGCACTCCAGCCTGGGCAACATAGTAAGACCCTGTCTCTAAAACAAAACAAAACAAACAAACAAACAAACAAACAAAAAGTGGGGGAAAAAGTTAGCCAGACATGGTAGCTACAGCCCATATTCCCAGCTACTCAGGAGGCTGAAGTGAGAGGATCACTTGAGCCCAGGAGTTTGAGGCTGCCGTGAGCTATAATCACGCCACTGCACTCCAGCCTGGGGTAACAGAGCAAGACGCTGTCTCTCAAAAGAAAAAAAAAAAAAGAAAAGCATATGTGTGTATGTGTGTGAATCTATATCTATGTTTGAAAAAAGCATGCAACATTTCATATAGGATGCTATCATTTGGGTTTCAAAAGGAGAGCACACATATATATTTGCTGGTACGCACAGAATATCTCTAGAAACTGCTACCACTTGCCTCTGGAGAAGGGAAAACATTTTTTGGTAGCTATTATATTTTGAGTTACATGCATACATATTTTCCTTTTCAATTACACACACGTTATCCATTTGCTTAGGAAGCTCTTTTTTTTTTTTTTTTTTTTTTTTTTTTTAAGACAGAGTCTCGCTCTGTCACCCAGGCTGGAGTGCAGTGGCGCGATCTCGGCTCACTGCAAGCTCCGCCCTCCGGGTTCACGCCATTCTCCCGCCTCAGCCTCCCAAGTAGCTGGGACTACAGGCACCAGCCACCACACCCGGCTAATTTTTTGTATTTTTTTCGTAGAGACGGGGTTTCACCACATTAGCCAGGATGGTCTCGATTTCCTGACCTCGTGATCCACCCGCCTCGGCCTCCCAAAGTGCTGGGATTGCAGGCGTGAGCCACCACGCCCGGCCAGGAAGCTATTTCTTAAGGTACATTTTCTTCCTAAATTCCTGTGTCTCGCAAAGTCTGAATTACAGTCATGGAGTTCCTTTTTTAAACAACAGTGGCCCCGTGGGGGCCTCAGTTCCCCAAGTCACTCCTGGCCTCCGCAACAGACACACAGGCCTCGGAATGCTGCCTCACCTTGTTCACCTGGGACAGCGGGGTCCTCACGGCTCCCGCAGGCAGCCGGCCCCTGCTGCTGTCTTCAAACAGCCTCCCGGGGGACCGCTCTCTCCGCGTGCTGAGCATCCGGCCGGGGGACTTCTCTCGCTCCAGGGGGCGGCCAGGAGACTTGTCCCTGCGCAGCTCGGTCCGCCCCTCGCGGTAGCGGTGGGGTGTGCTTGGCTCTCGCGGGTGGCTGGGGCCTTCGGGCGGCGCTGGGCTGGAGGCCACGCGCTTGGTGATGTGCTCGTTGTACGTGGGTGGGCCTCGCTTGTTGGGGCTGCTGGCGACACAAGAGGAACGTAGGGAGCTGCGAGGCCACAACCCCAGAGGGGCATTTTCCTTCTTACCTGAGCAACCCCCTCCTTGACCCAGCCTCACCACTGATTATCAAGAGATTAGACCTGGAGTTCTTTGGACTTTGCCTGCATTTGATTTTGGTAGCAAAGACAGGGAAGAGAGCAAAGATGGCAACAAAAGACAACCCACCTTCCTCAGTGCAGGCTTTCATTTACTGAGCACCTACTGTGTGCCAGGCCTGTGCTAAGTTCTTCATCTGCCATCTCTCATTATCTCATTAAATCATCACAGCAGCTCCTGAGCTATGAACAAGCATGACCCTCACTGTACAGGCAAGAAAATGGGGACAGACAGGAGTTAGGTGACTTGCCTGAGCTAATGAGTGGTAGAGCTGGGATTCCAATAAAGACCAGTTTGATAGGCCAGGCGCAGTGGCGCACACCTGTAATCCCAGCACTTTGGGAGGCCGAGGCAGGTAGATCACGAGGTCAGGAGATCGAGGCCAGCCTGGCCAACATGGTGAAACCCCGTCTCTACTAAAAATACAAAAATTAGCCGGGCGTGTTGGCGTGTGCCTGTAGTCCCAGCTACTCAGGAGGCTGAGGCAGGAGAATTGCTTGAACTGGGGAGGCGGAGGTTGCAGTGAGCCAAGATCGGACCACTGCACTCCAGCCTAAGTGACAGAGCAAGACTCCGTCTCAAAAAAAAAAAAAAAAAAAAAAGACCAGTTTGATGTCATAAGCCCCATATAATATCCTACTGACCTACTATTTCCCAGAGCCTAGAAGGCACAGAAGGAAGTCATCAACTAGGAGGTCAGCCTACTAAGACCCAGAAGTCAGGGACCCACAAAGGCCCTCAGTGCAAGGAAGCAGTTTGGAGAAACCCTGTACTGATCACTGTTAACTGCCATGTCTGTCCCACTCCTGGGCCTCGTGTTTGGTCACCTCTGCCCCCATGTGGCTTTCCAAGAGTCTCTGACACCTGATGCAAATGCAGATGCTCAGAAGGTGGATGGTTCTCAGTCATGACAATAAGACGACCGAGAGGTGTAGGGATCAGGCCTGATAGAGTCAGGAAACTGAGCAGGGCAGACAAAGTAAAGCGGGCTCAGAAAACGTCCCAGGCCTCAAAGGTTGATAATTAGTAACCAAGCAGTTGAAAACACTGCGGCCTTTTTGTACAACCCAACCCAATCCTCCACCCACTCCTGGCCTGGATATTTCAAATGAAGATTTCAGCAGACCCAGGGGCCAAACTCCCTCTCTGAAGATGTAGTAAGACCTACAAACACAGAGAGAACTGAAATGTGGCCTTCTGAGTCAATTCTTTCCCACCCTTGATCAGCTCTAAAAGTACTAGGGTCCCTATTATCTCAGCATAATTTGTGCTTGGAAAAGGCCCTACTTAAAATGGAGGAAAAAAATTACAGTGAATATTACTTGAAAACATATTTTGTTTGATTGAGGCTTTATCTTGGAATATAAACTTATTTTATGCTAGATATTTTTAGTATTTAAATTACAATGCAATTACATGCTGATTCCAAAAATGAACCAAGCATGAATCACAGAATGATTTGTTTTGTGCTAATTGTCTCAACAAAATTGCTGCTAACATGCTCTGACACCAACGTTGGACACATTGGACTTTTGCAGTGGATCCTAAAGAAGGCTCTTCAAAAATATTTGAAAAAGCCGGGCACAGTGATGCATGCCTGTAGTCCTAGCTATTAGGAAGGCTAAGGAAGGAGAATTGCTTGAGCCCAGGAGTTCAAGACCAGCCCGGGCAATATGGCAAGACCCCGCTTCTAAAAAACTAAAACTAAAAATTAAAACAAGAAAAGTGTTTTCCCAAAGGACTATCTTAATCCTTGATATTTAAATCCTTCTCATTGGAAGAGGCTATAATTTTATCAACTTGTTCATTTCTTTCTTCAATTATTGGTCTAACTGTATCAGAACCTCTTCTGTCAACGTCCATAATTGAGAAGCGACAGCAAAGACAGTGTTTATTGTGGAAGGAGAGACTCTAGAACAGGCTTGAGGGCCAAATCCGGAAGATGCTTGTTTTTATAAATACAGTTTTATTGGAATGAAGCCATGCCCATCTGGTTATGCATTGTCTTACAGCTGCTTCCGCATGACCACAACAGGGTTGAGCAGCTGAGACAGAGACCATATGGCTCACAAAGCCGAAAATATTTACCATCTAAACCTGTGCAGAAAAAGTTTGCCAATTCCTCCTCTACAATATAACAGAGAAGTTGGTGTGCAGAGATAATTTCATAAGGGCTCAGTTCATAGTGAATAGTTTCATGCCATGCTCTTGCTTTCCCATGCAACTGTAACGTTTGGAGATTCAGACAACGAATGCTCAGAAGGCCAGAACCCCTGTCTCTGCAGCAGTAAGATTTAAGATAACTCAGATTTCAACATCTTGAAATCAAGGTTTATATTCATCTCTAGCCATATGGCTTTGAAATCTGGAAGACAAACAAAAAAATAAATTCCGAGTAGGAGAACTACATTAAGCCTACTTGTAATGGAAAAGAAATGATAAGATGTGTCCACAAGAAACTATCATAAAACAAATGAGAGGGTGCTCACTGGCCAGGGGAAGAAGGATTGCTCAAGGGAAGGCCATTCAGGACGTCAGCTGAGATTAACGGGAGGAAGGAACACACCCGTCATTCCAAGCCAAGTGGGCAGTCTTCCATCTCCTTATCCATTAATGACCCATAATCTACCACATCAATTTTATGGTTTTTTGGCAAGGAGTTACGTTTCCTGCTCTGCTAAACAGACCAGGGCAACGAAGCCTGCAGTGAATCAGACCCAGAAAGCCAACCTTCTACATTCTCAACTGCCCAAAGAAGTCAGCGACCAAAAGATCATTCTATAAGCCAAGAGATAACCAACTACTGATTTTCCAGACATGCCACAGGAAAGCAAACACTTTTCTGCCCCTCGTTCTCAGGAACTGGAACTGTTTTGATCGCACAGTAAGCAACTCCTTTGAGAGACTATATAATCTCAAAAGCAAGGTGCCTGGCCACCTATCCAGTGAGGCAACGGAGGAAAAAAATCTAATTACAATATTTCAATGTGTTTCTGGCATGACTTGGGAACTACTTAAAAAAGATCTAGACATTTTCAGGGGAGGACTGTGGTGCACTGAGCAGTCACTCTTGAAGCAGGGCCAAGCCAAGAGTTAGGAGCATTTAATTATTGGCACTTCTGGTTTTTCAGCAAGTTCCTCAGGTTAAAACCACACTAACCAAACATTTCAGATTAATTAACTCCTATACATCAACAAAAGAGAGATTATTCATTAGGACAGTCTTGCCCAAGATCTTGGTATTTTGTAATATTAGTTGTGGTTCTTCCACCAAATTATGGGCTCCTGGAATATAAGAACATGCTTTCTACATCTCTGTATCCCCAGCCATAGACATTATGTCGGGCACATGGTATGGAGTCCACATAACTATTTAGAAGGTAGACACACCTTATAATAATCCAGAAGATTATCTTAGGTCATTTATTCCCGGGGTTAAATAATCTCAGACCTTCTTTGCAGGCCAAGGTTTCAAACTTCCTACACCTCGAGCTGGATCTAGCTCCTAGCACTGTGTCAAGACGAGGCCAGTCCCACTTCCACACGCAGCTGGTGGGATGGCAAATGGGAGAAGCCTTCAGGGCAGAAAACTCCACACTGTCCATCAGATTTACAAATCCACATCAGCCATCACCCATTCACCCACACTTTTCTAGGAATTTATCCTACAGATAGATTCCTCAGCATGTAAAATGACGTAAGGAGAAAGTCATTTATTGCAGCAACAGATTGGAGACAACTCGAACAGCCATTAATGAAGAAGCAGTTAAACCAATTAAGGTACAGCCCTGATAAGGAAGGTTGTGCAGGCATCTGGGGAGAAATGAATGAATAACTACTTCTCACACTGACACGGAGCAATCGCCAAGACACATCAAGGTACAGGAGAGTATGCAGAATATGCTGCCACTTGTATTAAAAAGGAGGGGTGGTTGCGTGTAGTGGCTCACACCTGTAATCCCAGCACTTTGGGGGGCCAGGGCAGGCAAATTGCTTGAGCCCAGGAGTTCAAGACCAGCCTGGGCAATGTGGTAAAACCCTGTCTCTACAAAAAATACAAAAATTAGCCAGGTGTGGTGGCGGGCGCCTGTAGTCCCAGCTACTCGGGGGGAGGCTGAAGTCGGGGGCTCTCTTGAGCCCAGGAGGCGGAGGTTGCAGTGAGCCGAGATCACGCCACTGTGCTCCAGCCTGGGCACAGAGTGAGACCCTACCTCGAAAAAAAATAAATAAATAAAAATAAAAAATAAATAAACAAGGAGGGGAAGGGCACTTCCAGAATGCCAGACTAAGGACCTCTCACAACCTGTTTCTCCATAAAAGCAACAAGATCACTGGCAGTTGTCAAAATCAACTTTTCAGAGCTCTAGAAATTAACCCTAGCCCTTTGCGCGGCCACTCTCGAGGCAGGGTCAAACCAAAAGAGTCAGGAGCACGTGGGTATTTGGCACCTCTGCTTTTCCAGCAAGTTCCTGGGATCAAAACCACACTGAACAAGCATGTTGCAAAAAAGGCCTGCAACAATTCAAAGAGTGTTTATGCAAGAAAAACAAAGGAATCTCAGCAAGAACCGAATGTTTTGTGACATTCAACTTGCCCCATACCCACTCCCCTCTCCCCAGATCTGTGGAAGAGTTGAAACCAATGTCCTTGGAACCACAGTAGCTGTGAAAACCAGCAGTCTAGTAGCCACTAGAGGGAGCAGATCAGGATTGAAGCTCCCCAAAAAGCCCCATCCCCAGAAAACTGTTGCTATCTGACCTGCCTAGCGACGCTCCGTGGAAAAGACCCATTCTCAGGGCAGTGGATCTGACTGTACATTTGGTTGTACAGTTGTCCCTTGGTGGCCTGGGGGACTGCTTCCAGGACTTCCTGTGGGTACCAAAATCTATGGATGTTCACATCTCTTATATTAAATGGTGTAGGACCAGACACAGTGCTTCAAGCCTATAAACCTAGCACTTTGGGAGGCCAAGGCGGGCAGATCACTTGAGCCCAGGAGTTTGAGACCAGCCTGGGCAACATGGTAAAACTCCATCTCTACAAAAAATACAAAAATTAGCTGGGTGTGGTGGCACACACCTGTAATCCCAGCTGCTCATCAGGCTGAGGTAGGAGGATCACCTGAGCCCAGAGGTCGAGGCTGCAGTGAGCTGGTACCACTGCATTCCAGCTTAGATGACAGAGACCCTGTCCCAAAAAAAAAGTAGGGGGAGTGTATTTGCATATAACCTACACACATCCTGTTGTACACTTTAAATCATCTCTAGATTACTTATAACACCTAATACAATGTAAATGCTCTGTAAATAGCTGTTATACTATATTGTTTAGGGAATAATGACAATTTGTAAAAGCTTGAACATGTGCAGTACAAACACAATTATTTTTTCAAATATTTTCAATCCATGGTTTATTGAATCTACAGAGGCATAACCTATAGACAGAGAGGGCTGGCTGTATTGGCATAAAGGATCCCTAAACGGAAACACAAAAACTTCAAAAAATTGGTTCCTTCCCAGGTGGGGACCTGGGGAGAGGGAGTGAGGAGAGTTAGGAGGCAAGAGAGACCCAGAAGAGAGGCTCTGTACTGTACACCTTTCTTATCCTTTGAATTCTGTGCCCTGTGGTTAGATTATCAATTCAAAAAGAAGTAAAATTTAAAAAGAATGCCTTTTAAGAAGAGGCCTTTTTTTGGAACATGCTTGTTCAATGTGGTTTTGATCCCAGGAACTTGCTGGAAAAGCAGAGGTGCCAAATACCCATGTGCTCCTGACTCTTTTGGTTTGACTCTGCCTTGACAGAGACCACTCAGAGGGCTAGGGTTAATTTCCAGAGCTCTGAAAAGTTGATTTTGATAATTGCCAGTGGTCCCGTTGCCTTTATGGAGAAACAGGTTATCAGAGGTCCTTACTCTGAAATTCTGGAAGTGCCCTTCCCATCCTTTTTTGATTTTGAGATAGGGTCTCACTCTGTGCCCAGGCTGGAGTACAGTGGTGTGATCTCAGCTCACGGCAACCTCCGCCTCAAGGGCTCAAGCAGTCCCCGCCACCTCAGCCTCCAGAGTAGCCGGGATTACAGGCACACACCACCACACCTGGCTAATTTTTGTATTTTTTGTAGAGATAGGGTTTTACCACATTGCCCAGGCTGGTCTTGAACTCCTGGGCTCAAGTGATCTGCCAGCCCTCACCTCCCAAAGTGCTGGGATTACAGGTGTGAGCCACCGCACCACCTCCCCTCCTTTTTAATACAAGTGGCAGCATATCTGCATACTCTCCTGTACCTTGATGTGTCTTGGCGATTGCTCCATGTCAGTGTGAGTTCTTCATTCTTTTCCCCAGATGCCTGCACAACATTCCTTCCCAGGGCTGTACTTTAATTTATTTAACTGCTTCTTTATCAATGGCTGTTTGAGTCCAATCCTGTTCAGGAGGTCTCGCATTCCAGGGAAGGCACGAGGCTGGCCAGGAGTCCCTGACCTGCTCTCACGACCTCACATCTCTGGACCTCCAGGCATGGCTTGCCTTCCCTCCTGCCTGAGCACCCCTCACTGGTCTCCCTGCCCCCACCTCGTATCTGATGGGAAATCCTCCCTCACCTCCACGTCCAGGCTTTCAACCACCCCACCAGGGCCTCATCCTTCCATGCCTTAATCTCTGATTGCCAGCATCTCTCCCACTGGGCTGTGAGTGCCATCAGGGAGGGGCTACATCTGCTTTATTCACCATTCTCCCTCCCCCACAAGCCCAACAACTAGCACCGCAGAATACCTGCTAAAGCAATAAATGCCTAATTTGTGCTCCATTTCTCACCAAGCCAATGAAAATACCCAGGAGAGAAAGATCAGACCTCTCCCCTCTGACTTTTGCAAGGTGGTATTTTCTAATTCTCCTGATGCTCATAATGGTCTGTGTTATTTCAGTGCCGCAGATCGCAAACAAATGAATGGTTTGAGCTTAAGAACAAAGTGAAGATTGGGAAACATTCTACTGGTTTAGTATCACTTCCTTCTGCCTTGCAGAAAAGCACGTTGCCCCTGGTACTGAGGAAGAGGAGAAGCTGGTTACCTGCGGGAGGTGGACGGGCCCCGGTGGTGTTCAGTGCCGGACTCCTTCACGAGGTTTCCCTTGCAGCAAATGACCCTTAATTTATCCTGGTATGAGGACGCCAAGTAAATCGCTCCTGAGGAAATGGCAGGGCCCAGGTAGCGCGGGTTCGGGATGTCCAGGTACGCTCGGGCAGGGGTCCTGCAGAGTCCCAGAGTTCCAGTTACCTTCATTGCAGGCTACCTCCATTGCTAGGCAAGTTAGGAAGGAACATGCGGCCGGCCCCAACACCTACCCCAATAGCTGAAGTTTTCCACGCATGGGAGGACAATGCTTACCCTGCTGAGGAGCGTGCCTGGATCTCAATTACTTCGAGTGAGTTGAAGTGGGTCACAAACAGATAGGGTTCTCTGTAGGCTGTGTGATCACCATGCAGGCACAGTGTGGGCCAAAGAATGGTGAAAAGAGGGAAAATCAAAATCTGACTGCAATGCATTCTTTGACCCAGCAATCCTGTGTAAAGCAACTCACCCAACAAATACATATCTATGCGCCAGAACAGTCATGCATGTTCGAGGATATTCACTGCCGTGTGGTTTGTTACAGCAGAAGATGGAAAACAACTCAAGTGTACAGTGTAGGGATTGGCTAAATACATTATAATACATCTGGCTGGGCGTGGTGGCTCACGCCTGTAATCCCAGCACTTTGGGAGGCCAAGGCAGGTGGATCACCTGAAGTCAGGAGTTCGAGACCAGCCTGGCCTACATGGTGAAACCCCATCTCTACTAAAAATACAAAAATTAGCCAGGCATGGTGGTGTACACCTGTAATCCCAGCTACTCAGGAGGCTGAGGCGGGAGAATCACTTGAACCCAAGAGGCAGAGGTTGCAGTGAGCTGAGATGGCACCACTGCACTCCGACCTGGGCAACAGAGGGAGACTCTGTCTCAAAAAAAAAAAAAAAAAATTATAATACATCTATGGAATTCTGTGCAGCTGTAAACATGCATGAAAAGGCTCTCTTTGTACAGATATGAAAGAATGCCCAAGGTACACTGCTCAGTGCAAAAAGCAAGGTTCAGAATCATGTGGGAAGTATTCTGCCTTACTGATTTTTAAAAAGCTGGAAAAAAGAATATATATATTTTATGTGCTAGTATTTGCATAAAGTACTGGAAGGACAAGAAACTCATATGAGCTTTTTTTTCTTTGGAGGAATAGCGATGGAGAATTTGGGAGATGGACTCTCTGGGTGAGACTTTTCATTGTATACCTTTTAAAACTGATTGTAAACATCTTCAAAGAATTCAATTTTTAAAAAGACTAGGTTCGGGCTGGGCGCGGTGGCTCATGCCTGTAATCCCAGCACTTTGGGAGGCCGAGGCGGGTGGATCACCTGAGATCAGGAGTTCAAGACCAGCCTGGCCAACATGGTGAAACCCTGTCTCTACTAAACATAGAAAAAATTAGCCGGGTATGGTGACAGGCGCCTGTAATCCCAGCTACTTGGGAGGCTGAGGCAGGAGAATCACTTGAACCCGGGAGGTAGAGGTTGCAGTGAGCTGAGATTGTGCCATTGCCCTACAGCCTGGGCAACAAGAGTGAAAATCCGACTCAAAAAAAAAAAAAAAAAAAAGACTGGGTTCTATTTTAAAAAAAAGACTGGGTTCACAGCTATTTAGACATTGCTGGTCTTCTTAATACTCTATCTCTGCATGACAGTGTCACTGAAACTAGAGCACACAGGACTGGAAATATTTTCTGCCTTAAAGGGAAAAAGCACTATTATTCCTTGTGGCAAGACTTGGTATTAGACTTTTAAAGTCATGGGCTCTGGTATGCGTGCCCCGGTGCAGTTCCCTGGCCTTGAATCTGGGCTGACTCTGCGGTCTGCTCTAACCAGTAGAGCGTGGTGGAAGTGAGCACGCTTGCCAGCTTCCGCTTCTATATTCTTGGAAGAAGCCAGCGTGGAAAGCAACAAGGCCTCCAGCCACCAGCCGCAGCTAAGCGCCCACATTATGGCCAGCACTCATTGCGTGCCATGTTTGTGAGCCTGTCTTGGGCTTTCTAGTTGTCCCAGTGGCCCTGCTGATACCACATGAAGCAGAACTGTCCAGTCAAGCCACGGAGTTGGGGCCAATAATAAGCTGTTGTTTGAAGTCACTAAGCTTTCAGATGGCTTGTTATGCAGCAAGAGAGAAACAAAATAGCCTCGAAGGGTATCTGGGCCACGACGGCATTTCAGAACATTCACACAGATACGTATGTACATACTTGTATGTGTATGTGTGTTTAGTCTTTGATCCAACAGTTCCACTTTTAGGAGCTTATAATCAGGGGGTGCTATCTAACAAGTGCAAAAAGATTAGTACAAGGATGTTCATCGTAGTGTTGTTTACACTTACAAACAAAACGGGCATGGCCTTACTGCTTTGCCTAATTAGAACTGGTTAAGTGAACAGGTGTTCAGCTATGCCATGGGACACTCTGCAGCCTTTGGAAATGACTGAAATAAATCTACAGGAATTGGGCTCCTTTCTATCATGAGAGCCTAGCAAATATTTCCCAGGGCTGGGACTGTGGGCTGGTGAATCTGGCGTAGGCAGCTCTTCATCGAGCCTCAGAATCTTTCCATGAACAGTTCTCCGGGTGACTGTTACACATGGCACTTGGTATCTAATGGAATTCACATGCACAGTGCTTAGGCCAAAAAAGAAAAAAATTTCCACTTGCAATTGCGGTTTTTTTTGTTGTTTTTTTGAGACAGAGTCTCGCTTTGTCACCCAGGCTGGAGTGCAGTGGTGTGATCTCAGCTCACTGCAACCTCCGCCTCCTGGGTTCAAGCAATTCTCCTGCCTCAGCTTCCTGAGTAGCTGGGACTACAGGCACATGCCACCATGCCTGGCTAATTTTTGTATTTTTAGTAGAAATGGGGTTTCGCCATGTTGGTCAGGCTGGGCTCAAACTCCTGACCTCATGATCCACCCGCCTCGGCCTCCCAAAGTGTTGGGATTACAGGCGTGAGCCACCGCACCCGGATGCAATTCTTTTCCAGGACACCAGCTGCTGGCAAAAGAGAAGCCCCCACACTGAGCCTCACGTACCAAAGGCCAAAGGTAAGCGACTCCACTTGAGATCGTCTGTGCGGCTACGTCTTCCGTAAGAATCCACGAACACTCCAAATTCTGCAAGGTGTCAAGAGCACGTGGGCATTAGCACAGCCAAGAGCAGGGGCATCAGCGACACACATGGTGATGGAAGAATGAGGAGCAGAGCCCAGGGACCCCTGGCCAGATGGGACTGACTGTGAAAACCAGAGGCCCTCTGCTGAGCCAGCTCTCAGCTTTATTAAAAATGAGGGACTTTTTAAATTTAATTTATTTTAATTTATTAAATTTTATTAAAGAAAGAGAACTCAAGTGAAAAGAAGGAAAGGAATAAGAGGAGGAGAGGGAAAGAGAAAGAGACAGAGAGAGAGGGGAATGAAGCGATCCGGAGGAAGGAGGACAGACAGGGAAAGACGGAAAGACTCAGGAAAGAAGGGAAGGGGGAGGGGAGGGAGGGGATGGGGAGGGGGAGGGGAGGGAGGGGATGGGGAGGGGGAGGGGAGGACCCAAGAAAGAAAGAAAAGAAAGAATGCAACAAAGAAAAGGACAGATAGAAGGATGGAAAGGGAGGGGAAGGGAGGGGAGGACGAAATGAGGACAGAGTAAGAGAAAGGAAAGGGAGAGAAAGAAAGGCAAGGGATGGATGAGGAAAAAACTGCCTGCTCTTTGGAGAGAATGTGATAAAGTTAGACCACGCTAGTATCTGGTGATGGAGAGGAGCATCCCCAAGGGGACTTGGTGGTGCTGGAAGGACATTCTCTGTACCCCTAGTCAAACCTATCCTGCCCCAGAGCTCCATGTACCCTCCTCCAACCCCTCATGGGTCCCTAGTGTCCATGAGGACCCAAAAGGGCAGTGGGCGCAGCCACGACTCACCGTGGAAACACAGCAAGTACTCCTCTCGCTGCCCTGCGCTGTTCACCTGCACGATTGAGACAGGGAAGCTGTTGGAAGAGGCGGCAAACACAGCAGGTGCCAAGGAATGGTCATTCTTATCCAGGAATTCTGTAAAGGCAGGCGAGAAGCGGGGCTTCAGGAGTGAGTTCTGAGTCTCAGCGCGGCCTGAGCCATGGGTGGGTGCGAAAGTGGAGGTGGGTCCTACCCTCGAGCGTGTACTGCTTCATGTCGATTTCGTAGAATTTATTGGTTCCAATGAGGATACTGTAATTGGTGAAGTGGATACAGCTGCAGGGCTCTGAGGTCTCTATCTCCTGAGACATGAGAGCAGAAGAGAAGGATGTGAGAGGTAACACAGGGCAGCCAAGGTCCACAGCTGTTCTGCTTCTGCCTACAGCATCTAGCCAAGCCCTGGAGAACATTGTCACCAAGCTTGTTCACGTTGTCATAGAGAGCCATTCATCTTTTTTTTTTTTTGGAGACAAGATCTCGCTCTGTCACCTAGGTTAGAGTGCAGTGGTGTGATCATAGCTCACTGCAGCCTCAAACTGCTGGGCTCAAGCAATCCTCCCACCTCAGCCTCCCAAAGCATTAGAATTACAAGCTTGAGCCACTGCACACGCCCCATTCACCTTTCATGCCTCTCAGGATGAACAGTGATCCATTTGTTTTCTCTTCCTATTGTTCCATGCAACCCAAAACTAAGAAAACAAGGTCAAACTGCAGCCAAAAAAAGGTGGGGTCAGAAACACCATTCCAGGCTGGGCGCAGTAGCTTACATCTGTAATCCCAGCACTTTGGGAGGCTGAGGCAGGTGGATCACCTGAGGTCAGGAGTTCGAGACCAGTGTAGCCAACATGGTGAAACCCCGTCTCTACTAAAAATACAAAAAATTAGCCAGGTGTGGTGGTGTGCACCTGTGATCCCAGTTACTCAGGAGGCTGAGGCAGGAGAATCGCTCAAACCCGGGAGGCAGAGGTTGCAGTGGGCTGAGATAGTGCCATTGCACTACAGCCTGGGCGACAAGAGCAAAACTCTGTCTCAAAAAAAAAAAGAAAGAAAAGAAAGAAACAGCATTCCAATGAAGAGACAGATCTTGAACAATACAACATTCTTATCACAGGAAAAAAAAATACAGGAAAAATACAACAACTATTAACAGTGGTGGTCAGCAGCAATGGTTTTGGTTTCCTTCTTTTTGCTAGCTTCTAAGTTTCTAGTTTGAACCTATATTACCTATGCAGTCATCATCATGATCATCATTATTGTCATCTTAATTACCTGCTTCCTGATTATTTTTAGTTGTTTTTAGGCCAATCCTAATGTCATCAAAAAACCAGGCACACCTATTCAAAATGTGTGGCCGGGAATCATAAAGAAGCAATGATTTCTGAGAATTTTCCTGAAGCTAACAGTTCAAATTCTAGTGAGCATTATCATCATCACTGAATATTTCTTGGTCACCTACTAAGTATGGGAAAACTTTGAGGAAGCACGATATAGTGAAATGCTAGGAAAAAAAATCAAACTTCAGTTCTGGCCTCAACTTTGTAACTGAGGATTTTCTGCCAGCCTCAGTTGTCTTACCTGAAAATTGGGAATAACTGTCTCTGCTTTTCAGAACTGTGGTGAAAGGTGCTTGTAAAACAGCCAGTTCAGTCCCTTACAGGGTGGGCACCCAATGAACACACCAACTAAACTAACACCACCCTGCCCAGAATGGAACAGTTTCTCTAACAGGTAATGACCCTTATATATTATTCACCCTTCATTTCACTTTTTTTTTTTTTTTTTTTTTTGAGATGGAGTCTTGCTCTGTTGCCCAGGCTGGAATGCGGTAGTGCAATCTCGGTTCACTGCAACTTCCACCTCCCACGTTTATGCAATTCTCCTGCCTCTGCCTCCCACGTAGCTGAGATAACAAGCACCCGCCACCATGCCCGGCTAATTTTTGTATTTTTAGTAGAGACAGGGTTTCACCATGTTGGCCAGGCTGGTCTCAAACTCCTGACCTCAAGTGATCCACCCTCCTCGGCCTCCCAAAGTGCTGGGATTATAGGCCTGAGCCAACATGCCCAGCCTCATTTCATTTTTGAGACTAATCATGAAAGCACCAGAAATATATCAGGCTTAGGAGGAGTGGGACACTCCGAGGTAGGGACATCAGACAGCATTCTCCAGAAGCCAGGCAGATTTAAGGATCTAACACACATCTCGTCCATATTGCAGTCATCATCACAGCTCACTCTGCTCCGAAAAGAAGGAGCTCCCTAATTACATATCAAAATACTGCTAGCACTGGTTATTGCAGAAGGTTATATTAATAGACACCTCTAGAATTTGAGAAAGATTCTGATAAGTGCTACCTGGGACTGCTAGGATCTTAGAAAGAGCCCCCCCTTTTTTTTTTCCACTGGTTTTTCCTATCAGTCAACTTTCTGTTCTAACAAAAGGCTGAACTCACTGGGCTGGATGGGGAGGCAGTTCGCAAATGTGAGAAGAAAAGCAGGAGGGAAACCGCAGCTACTAGTGGCCCTGGGGAATCCTCCACAAAGGAAGGATCTCGCTGACGACAGAGGTCACCCCAGGCTAAAGGCCCGCAGGGTAGAAGGAACCCAGTACAGGCTGTGTCCCAGGACAGTGCACTTTCCACACTGGCTCGCTGAGAGAGCAGGACTGGCTTTCCCACGTTCAACCAAGGCAAGGCCCAGGACTTACTTTCCGGATGCAGTATTTGCTGAGGTTTTCGTTGTAGCGGAGAATGACGACTTTGCTGGGCATGGCTGCACAGATGCAGAGCCCGTTCTCAATCTGAAAAGCAACCAAGAAAAGAAAAAGACTGTCACCAGTGTGATACCGGCTGTGGGGCAAAACTAGGAAAAGCTCTCAGGCTCAGCGCCATTGATGATTCAGACCAGATCATTCTGTGTGGTGGGGGGAGGGCTGTCCTGGGCATCGCAGGATATGAGCAGTATCCCTGGCCTTGACCCACTAGATGCCTGCAGCACTTCAATGTGTGACAATCAAAAATGTCTCCAGCCATTACCAAATGTCCCCTGGTAAGGCAGAATTACCCCTGGTCGAGAACCAAGGCTTTACCTGGGATCCAGAGAAGGCCTCAGGGAGGCACCTGACACCACACACCTTTCCCACACATGTGCCTTCTGCTGGAGACAGAATCTTTTGACAAACTTCCCTTGTGAGGAGGGAGAAGACAGAATGAGGGAAGGGAGAGGAAAGGTGGTAGAGACTGCTAAACGAATTTAGAGAAAATTTCTTTTCTTCTGAGACGGAGTCTCACTCTGTCGCCCAGGCTGGAGTGCAGTGGCATGATCTCGGCTCACTGCAGCCTCCACCTCCCGGCTTCAAGCCATTCTCCCACCTCAGCCTCCCAAGTAGCTGGGACCACAGGTGCGCACCACCATGCCTGGCCAATTTTTGTATTTTAAGTACAGATGGGGTTTTGCCATGTTGGCCAGGCTGGTCTCGAACTCCTGGCCTCAAGTGATCCGCCTGCCTCGGCCTCCCAAAGTGCTGGGATTACAAGTGTGAACCACCACACCCGGCCCACATTTAGAGAAAATTTCAATCCAAAAGGAAAAGTTCTTAGCTAAGAACTCATACACGTGCAGAGTTCTACATCAAAACGCTCTTTTTCTAGAACAGCTGAAACCCTTTTAACGTCTCCTGCTACAACCAGATGTTTATCATTCACCAAATGAGGCTTACTGCTCAAATTAGTCCTGGCACGAAGGTCAGCAGCTGGTACAGTGGGAGAATGAAGATGGGCCGGGATAAGGGAGGAACACACAAGAAAAGGGAAATTGTTAGCAATGTTCTATTTCTTGGACTGGGTAGTGAGTGTGTGGATGCTTACGACATTATTAGGCTTTATGATTTACATATATGTTCCATACATTTTTTGAACAGTTCAGATATTAGAATGAAAATAATTTCTAATTTAAAAAACTAATTTTTATTAGCTGGGCATGGTGGGCATGCCTGTAATCCCAGTTACTCAGGAGGCTGAGGCAGAAGAATCACTTGAACCTGGGAGGCAGAGGCTGCAGTGAGCCAAGATCACACCACTGCATTCCAGCCTGGGTGACAGAGTGAGACTCTGTCTCAAAAAAAAAAAAAAAAAAAAAAAAAAAAAAAATTTTGGCCAGGTGCAGTGGCTCATGCCTGTAATCCCAGCACTTTGGGAGGCCAAGGTGGGTGGATCACTTGAGGCCAGGAGTTCGAGACTAGCCTGGCCAACATGGTCAAACCCTGTCTCTACTAAAAATACAAAAATTGGCCTGCTGTGATGGTGCGTGCCTGTAGTCCCAGCTACTTGGGAGGCTGAAGAGGGAGAATCGCTTAAAGCCGGGAGGCAGAGGCTACAGTGAGCCAAGATCGTGCCGCTGTGCTCCAGCCTGGGTGACAGAGCAAGACTCTGTGTCAAAAAAAAAAAAAAAAAATGTTGATTGAGCGGCTGAATGAACAAATGTGCAGTGTGCTCTCTTCTGAGGGTCAAAATGCGATGGTTTTCAACAGCAGAACGCCAGTAGCCTCAGGGGGTCTATAAACACCTGATTCAGACTTAATTAAAGTTATACATGTACATGTATATATACCCGCAAACACTCTTTTTTATTATTTTCTACTTTAACTTTTAAGTTCACAGGCACATGTGCAGGTTTGTTGTATCAATAAACTCATGTCATGGGGGTTTGTTGTACAGGTTATTTCATCACCTGCGTATTAAGCCTAGTATCCATTAGTTATTTTTCCCGATCCCCTCCCTCCTCCCACCCTCCACCCTCTGACGGGCCCCAGTGTGTGTG
This sequence comes from Homo sapiens, assembly GCF_000001405.40. Classification (NCBI taxonomy): domain Eukaryota; kingdom Metazoa; phylum Chordata; class Mammalia; order Primates; family Hominidae; genus Homo; species Homo sapiens. The sequence continues at coordinate 119,706,474 of NC_000012.12, forward strand.
TTCCCCTCTATGTGTCCATGTGTTCTCATCATTCAGCTCCCACTTATAAGTGAAAACATGTGGTATTTGTTTTTCTGTTCCTGCATTAGTTTGCTTAGGATAATGGCCTACAGCTCCATCCATGTTCCTGCAAAGGACATGATCTCATTCTTTTTTAGAGCTGCATAATATTCCATGGTGTATATGTACCACATTTTCTTTATCCAGTCTACCATTGATGGGCATTTAGGTGGATTCCATGTCTTTGCTATTATGAGTAGGCTGCAATGAACATACACATGCATGTGACTTTATAATAGAATGATTTATATTCCTTTGGGTATATACCCAGTAATGGGATTGCTGGGTTGAATGGTATTTCCATTTTTAGGTCTTTGAGGATCCCCACACTGTCTTCCACAATGGTTGAACTAATTTATACTCCCACCAACAGTGTATAAGTGTTCCTTTTTCTCCACGACCTCACCAGCATCTGTTATTTTTTGACTTTTTGACTAAAGAAGCAAACAAAGGTATTTTATGTGCCACTTTTCAATATGCCAGAAGCTACAAATGAATTAACTTGAGTTCTCATGAACTTTGTTATGTAAATGTCATAAATTCGAATTTTTAAATTTCTAGTAATGAAACATACTTTCATCTAGTTCAGACATGGAGATCCACATTAGATTTTTTTTAAGGTTCATCTCTCTCTCACAGACACAGCAGACATACACACGCACATGCAAACACACTTATTTTTAAATTATGGATCATCCTTCTAGTTTTGTTAATTTTATTCCCATTTTGCTCTCAGACATTTATTTTAGATTCAAAACCTGTACAAATTTCATGGCTACACAAATTATTTCACGTGCCTAAAGGAGGCAACAGAAATTTAACCTAGTTTGAGGATGTACAATTGTGAAAGTTGTCAGAATCAAAATGGAGCTGCCAATGTTAACAAAACGCTGACATTAGAGCAGGAGGAGGCCATGAAGAGAGGATTCTCACACTTGTGTGCCTGATAAAAAAGAGACTCGACGAAAACCACAAAGGCCATTGCAATCTGTTTTTTTTTTCCCTGTCACCAGGCTGGAGTGCGGTGGCGCAATCTCGGCTCACTGCAACCTCCGCCTCCTGGGTTCAAGTCATTTTCCTCCCTCAGCCTCCCGAGTAGCTGGGATTACAGGCGCCCGCCACCGTGCCCAGCTAATTTTTGTATTTTTAGTAGAGACAGGGTTTCACCATGTTGGCCAGGATGGTCTTGATCTCTTGACCTCGTGATCCACCTGCCTCGGCCTCCCAAAGTGCTGGGATTACAGGCATGAGCCACCGCGCCCGGCCAGGCCATTGCAATCTTACACAAAAAATACTTCTGCAAGGACATCCGCCCAGTGACTATCTGTCCAACCTTAGACAAGCGTCAGTCTTGTTATTAATCTTTGAAGCCAAGGATAATTATTTCAAAAAGACTATGGAATCCTCACTTACAAACCTCTGTCTTCCTTTATCTCCCTAGATACCCACATAGTTTACAATGGCACGTGTATTCCCATTGCAAAGCCCTGTTCCCAAATCAATCTCTTTTCTTTCAAGAGAGCCCCTCTCTGTTTGTTATTTAAGTTGACACTATCTTGAAGGTCAAATCAACGAGCTCTGTGGGAAGAGAGGTAGTGTCAATTTCCAGAACATTCCACCAGCTAGGACTCTGAGGGGAGCTTACCTTGCCTGCCCCAAACAAGTGGCAGCCCTTGACAGCTTCAAAAATGTTGGGTGAGATGTCGGGCTGGGCAGGCAGGTGGGACTGGGCCAGGGACTGTTTCACTTTCTTCACGTCCACAAGACACAGTGCCCGCTCTTCTCCTGAACAGGAAAAGGAACAACCTCTCGTCAGTGTGAAGCCGTTAAGTAAAGGTACGGGATGGTGGTTCTAGTTCTAGTCACAAGTAAAAGTCACAAGAGGCCACACAGATGATCTGAGTTTTCCACAAATCCATATAAACACATTTTAGGTCCATGATTTATTTATTTTTTTTTTTTAAATTTTTGAGACAGAGTCTTGCTCTGTTGCCCACACTGGAGTGCAATGGTACAATCTCGGCTCACTAAAACCTCTGCCTCCTGGGTTCAAGCAATTCTCCTGCCTCAGCCTCCTGAGTAGCTGGGATTACAGGTGCATGCTACCACGCCTGGCTAATTTTTTTTTGTATTTTTAGTAGAGATGGGGTTTCGCCATGTTGGTCAGGCTGGTCTCAAACTCCTGACCTTGTGATCTGCCCGCCTCAGCCTCCCAAAGTGCTGAGATTACAGGCGTGAGCCACCACGCCCGGCCCAAGTCCATGATTTAAATCTAAGACAATAACATTTGGCCTTTTAGTCAAGATTCTGAGGAGGGTGGAATTCTGCAGACATAAAATTGGAGAATGTGAACTGTACTTTCAAACATGCTCCCCAGCAAAGTAAAGAACGAATGTGTGAGGGAGGAATGAGGAGGCATTCTATGAAAAAACAGACTTGGACTATCCAAATATGTGGATGTCAGGAGAGACAAAAGGCTGAGGAACCGTTCAGATTAAAGGAGACTAGAGAGACATGATTAAATGCAATGCAAATTCTGGGACATTATAGAAGCCACAGGTAAAATCCAATTATGGGCAGCATAGCGGATACTTGTATTATAGTAAGGGTAAATTTCCTAAATGCAGAAATTATAGTATGTGAAACTATTCTATATGATACTCTATGTGTGGATACATGTCATTATATGTTTTTCAAAACCCATAGAATGTATACCACCAAGAAAGAACTCTATAATGTAAACTGTAGACTTGGGGTGACAATGATGTGTCACTGTCAATGTGTCAATGTAGGTTCACTGACTCTAACGAACGTATCACTCTGGTGGGGGATGTTGGTAGTGGGGGAGGCTATGCATATATGAGAACGGGGGTATATGGGAACTCTCTGTACCTTTCAATTTTGCTGTGAATCTAAAACTGCTCTAAAGAATAAAATAAGGAAGAGAGGAAGAGACGGAGGAAAAAGAGCTGAGATTAAGAAAGGCCAGTTCTTGTCCATAGTATGTCAGTCCCCGGATCCAGCCATGCCTGAAACAAGACCTAACTGTTGTTGTTTTGAACACTGAATCGATATATTACTCTTTTCCCCTTTAAAAATAATGTCACTAACACAGACAGAGAGAAATAAACTGTACCCTGGTTATGTGACAGAATGTCTTCAATCCTTAGGTTGATATACTGAAGAACTTGGCGTCATACCTGCAACTAACTCTCAAATGGTTCAGGAAAGAGAGAGAGAGAGAGAGAGAGAGAGTGTGTGTGTGTGTGTGTGTGTGTGTGTGTGTGTGTGTGTGTGTGTGTGTTAAGAAGACAGAGAAAAAAATTATGACAAAATATTAGCAAATGGTGACTTGAGAGAGATCACAGAGTTAACAGAGCAAGCAAGCTCTCAGAAGGTCAGGGCCCACGGTGGTTTCGTTGCAATCAGGACAAAGGGTTTGGCTTTAGATAGTCTTCGAGGCTTAGCACTCTTCACTTGGCCTAACAGTGGGATGTTCTTTGGGAATGTCAGACTGTGCTAAACTGGATACTGGAAGGGAACTGAATCTGGACAGAGGGGGTCCATTAGCTGAGGCTTGGGCATCTATGGGGACACAGAGATAAGAGCTACAACGGCTCCTCTCTACTATTTTGTGTTTTACGAGCATGAAACGTGGCTTCAACATATTGGCTCCCTTGAAAGTAAAGAAAAAACACCATGTCCTTGGCCTCACACCTGCTATCATGAGTAGCTTCTCCAGGTCCTTGATAATATAAATTTGGAAGACTGCTCCAATTCCTGGGACATGGGTTAGGGAGTTTTTCAAGACATTCAGGGCGTAGAGCCCTTCCTCGGTGCCCACCAACACCACCTGCAAGGGCAGAAGTCCGAAGGCAGAACATAAGCACGGTCACGTCACCAGAACAATCTCTAGTAAGAGCAACAAGGCCTCCACAGCCCTTTCTTTCTTGATGGGGTGTGGCTGTAACCAGACACCAGCTGGCCGTGCCCATGCAAGCATTACCTGGTCACTGAAGGGCAGCGTGCAGTTCATGTCTAGACGGTCATCACCTTCCAGTTTCAGCAGGGAGTTTCCAAGCAGTTTCTTTTCATAGGTGAAAGAAAAGAAAAACAGAAGACATCGTGAGGCTGATCTGTTTATGACCAAACCATCCAGAGAAACCAAGAGAAGGTTAAGGCCAAGTTATTCCTGGAAATGCTCAGAAACGCACATATGCTCTTAGCTCAGCCCGTATTTTGATCTGAGCTCCAAATGCAAAATGCGAGTGCTATTGGTATCTCTGGGGCAGCTGTTAATTAGCATCTGAGTTATAATTTGGCTGGGATGCAGAAATAAGGGAGGGTAGTAGACATGGAAAGCTATTCTGTAATAAGAAATAAGCTGAAGCTAAGGAGATTTCACCTGCGCAGGGTTAATAAGACACATGAAAGACTCCTTCCCCCATAAGGCTGCAGCAGAAGTGCAAAGGCGCCGTGTTAGCAGCGAGCCAGCACGCCTCTGCATCTCTTTACCTGAACCCAGGCAGGCAGAAGCTCGTAAGAAACACAGTCGCGGGCCTATTGTACACATATTAACAAGGATTTCAGTAAAAGCTCACGTGTGAAACGACCAACAAGTCATCCAAACAGGTCTAACCACTGAGTAAAGCCCTTTTCAGGAGGCTTGTGGTTAAGAATCTGCCAATTGCTAACACATAAAGTGTTTATTAGGAGTGAAGAGTCTGAAAAGAGCTGTTTGGTCTTCGCTGGAGCAAACGTCAATGAGCAATGAGCACTGTTTGTATCCTGGAACATTTTAGGTGGGGTGATGCCAATCACAGCACACCTACGTTTCTAACAGCTTAAGGATAAGTAGGACTCCAAACCTGCCTACGGAAGAGCAAATACTGCAAAAACAACTGAGATGCTTATGAAAAGCCTTCCTGGAGGGGACACAGCTGCCGGCAGCCTATTGTGCTGCTTCGTGGCCAAAGTGCTTCTAACTCAAGCCTTCAAACCAGACAAACTCATTTGAGTAAACAGGAGAGAGGATTTCCTTATAAGTACATTTGCTGCTGCATCACCACAACCAAGGTCTACAATGCCACCAGAGTAGGCTACTGATGCCGATTCCCCCATTCTTTTTCCTTTGCTTTTACAGTCCATGCCTCGCTCTGTTGCCCAGGCTGGAGTACAGTGGCACAATCGTAGCTCACTGCAGCCTCAAACTCCTGGGCAATCCGCCGGCCTCAGCCTCCCTACTAGCTGGAACTACAGGTGCATGTCACCACACCTGGCTAACTTTCTTTCTTTCTCTTTTTTTAAGAGATGGGATCTTGCTATCTTGCCCAGTCTGGTTTCAAACTCCTGGGCTCAAGTGATCCTCCTGCCTTGGCCTCCTGGGTCACTGGGACCACAGGCATGAGCCACCGCATCCCTGATTCCCACATTCTAAATGGATCATGATGCCACACAAGCTACCTTGGTGCTTGTGCCTTCATCACCACCAGACTCCTGGCCATGACACAGTCTAGAGCCATCAGCCCTCAGAGAGAGAGCCTGAGGGGAATCAAAATGGCCAATGGGATTCTCGTCGTTAACACCAGTTACCAAGTCAGCCCCCTTTACAAAGACAACCTCCAGGGCCCGCTTTCATACTCACAGCATCAGCTTCTGCTTTTTCCCTAGAAACTCTCCCACCTGCGACAACTGATTCTAAGGCGGTGACCCAGCGCTGTTTGTCAGGGAAGCTGGGAGCTAGCAAGTAGAGGGTTCTCCCGGGCCAGCAGGTGGTGTGCGGGTGAGATTCCATCTTCAGTATGTATGGGACATCTAGGAGATTTCAGAGAGCACAGGATTGGGTGTGGATTTCCCCCGTTCCCACTGGGAGGGACGGGCCTGAGAGATCAAAGATGCCCACCAAACCACGCAAATCCCAGTTACCGCCAAGGCGGGGAGCGGAGGAAGATGGGCCTCCTTTGCAGAGCCAATCTTCCCTGTACCACCCCTTCTGTCCCTGCTGATTGGCCAAGCCCGGCCCACCTCCAGGGCGGGGCTCCTCCGGCTCCTCCTCACCTGCTTTGGCTGTATTTGCGAGTTCGGAAGCACCAACGGCACCATGAATAGATACATCCCCGTCGGGAAGGCACAGCTCAAATTCTTCCACCGGCCTCTGTCCAGCTTGGTGCAAAGAGGAAGGGCAGAAAGAAAAACAAAAGAACAGGAACAAGAACAAGGGGAGAAGAGAGAGCGAGAGAGACAGCAAGGGAGAGAGAGACAGGGTACGTGTGTAAAGAGAGGCGCACGAGAACAAGGAAGGGACAGAGGTGTGCAGAGAAGGCAGAGAGGGAAGATAAAAAAAAATAAAGTGTGTCAGATGAGTAGCACAGTCAAATTTCTGATGACGATGCGGATTTATGGGTTAGTTGACTGAGGCAGAAGTTCTCGGAAGGTGTATTAGCAGGTGGAATCTTCAGGGCAGCGCCCTGCGGGTTCTTCAGGGGGGAGACCTATAGATGTGAGTATCGCACCAATAACCTTTAGAGAAGTCATTTGGTTTGTAAGTTTCAAAAATGGAAAAGCGTAGAAGGCTTGCAAGGCAGTCCAAAAAACAAAGCCTTCGCGCCAGCACTGGGGAGACCTGGGTTAGCCACGTGCAATGACCTTCCCCCTGAATTATTAATTTACCTTCTCTGGCTTCATTGTCATAAATGAGGACTTTTGATCCCTCCAGGACAATGTACTTCCTGTCCCAGCCTTGCTGTCCTCGTTTGTTATTCCTGGGGAAAGAAAGATGGAAAAGAAAAATGTCTGAACTCAGAAGAAACATCCGGCTGGAGGATAGGATGAGGGGGTGGCAGAGTTCCTAGAAAAGACACTTCCCTAGAAAACATCAGGGACAGAGTGGCTTGTGCCAGCACCTGCTCCAGCCCAAGCCACCCTGACATGGTACCTGGGCACCTTCATCCACCCTTCCAGGTGCAAGCTGCTGCTGGGCTCCTTGGTCTGGAGACCTGGGGAGTTCATTTTGTCACGGCAGAAGGCCTCGGTGAAGTGTGTGGCATATTCAGCAGGCAAGCCGCAGGTGGCTGGCAAGCACGTGGAGCACTTGGGGTGACACATCACCTGACATTCTAGGGAAGAACAGTGAGCAACCTGAGGGCATGCTCAGCTGACCCTGGACCCTTCCCTTCCTCTGCCAGCCAACGCCTGGGCTTCTCTACCCCAGCCGGGCCCAGAGAGTCTGGCCCTGGCTTGCAGGTAGTCTCCTGAGCTTCCCCTGGTGCCAGGCCCCTGCAGAAAGGGAAAACAAAAGTGCCAAGTGCTCTTGACCCAGTTTTCCAGGCTTCAATCCAGACCGCCCACAAACAGGTGTGTAAAGAACACGTTTGCATGTTTCAGTTGGAGTCAGCGGAAAGGTAGGGAGAGACCAGCCTGACAAAAAGGGGCTGGAAATTAGCAAAGCCTAAGGCACTCTGAGCAGCAGGCTGGAGTCATGAGCTGCAGACATATATAAACTCACAGCTTCAACAGGGGAAAAATAGCATCCTCCTACTGAAGTAAGAAGCTCGAAAATGAATGCACTATATGATGAGTTAGAAAAAAATCACCTCCACCTGATAGACTTTTTAAGCTGGAGATGCACAGGTGCCCAGCACAGATGCACAACTACTGATCTTACCGAGACATTTGGATGCCTGGCGTCCAAAGTGCACGGTATCCAGACACACAGCACACTTTGTGGCTCGCATGTTCAGTCCTACGTTGAATCGGTGAGGAATATTGTGGTGCATGCGTTCCTTAAGACGCCGACTAAATTCTGGAGGAAAATGTTTTAAAAAATCATTAGAGTACTGCAAATGATCCCATCAGGAAAGTGAAAAGACAACCCACAGAAAGGGAAAAAATACTTGCAAATCAAATCTCTGATAAGGGACTCATATCTAGAATACATAAAGAACTCTTACAACTCAATAATAAAAGGACAACCCAATTTTAAAATGGGCCAAGAATTTAAATAGACACCTCCCCGAAGAGGATAAATGGCCAACGAGCAAATGAAAAGATGCTCAACATTATCAGTCGTTAGAGAGATGTGAATCAAAACCCCAAGCAGACACCACTTCACAACCACTAGGATGTCTACAGTCTAAAAAAAGGAAGATAAGTGTTGATGAGGATGTGGAGAAACTGGAACCCTCACACATTCCTGGTGAGAATGTAAAAATGGTGCAGCCACTTTGGAACTCAGTCTGGTAGTTCTGTAAAAGGTTAAACATAGTTACCCCAGAACCCAGCAATTCCGCTCCTGGCTATATATCCAAGGGGACTGAAAACATATGTACCCACAAAAATCTGTACATAAATGTTCACAGCAGCATAATTTATGACAACTACAAAGTGAAAACAACACAAATGTCCACCAATGGTGATATGGTTTGGCTGTGTCCCCACCCAAATCTCATCTTGAATTGCAGCTGCCATAATTCCCATGTGTTGGGAGGGACTTGGTGGGAGATAACTGAATCATGCGGGTGGTTTCCCCCATACTGTTCTTGTGGTAGTGAATAAGATCTGATAGTTTTATAAGGGGAAACCCCTCTCGCTTGGTTCTTATTCTCTTTTGTCACCGCCACATGAGACATGCCTTTTGCCTTCCACCATGATTGTGAGGCCTCCCCAGCCACATGGAACTGTGAGTCTATTACACCTCTTTTTCTTTATAAATTACCCAGTCTTGGGCATGTCTTTATCAGCAGTGTGAAAATGGACTAATGAAAATGGATTAATGGATAATCAGATGTGCCATCTACACAATGGAGTATTATTCAGCCATGAAAGGAATGAAGTTCTGATACATGCTACAACATGGGTGAACCTTGAAAACATTACATTCCATGAAAGAAGCCAGACACAAAGGCCGCATGCAGTATGATTCATCTTTATGAAATGTCTAAGAGAGCAGATCGACAGAGACAGAAAGTAGATTGGTGGTTGCTAAGAAGAACATTAGTGGAAGGAGAATGGCGGGGGACTGATAATGTGTATGGAGTATTTTTTGGGTGGGGGGGTGTCAAAATTGTTCAAAAATTAGAATGTGATGAGGGTTACACAACCCTGTAAACTTACTGAAAAAGACTGAATTGTACATTTTTAATGAGCGAACTGTACGGTATGCAAATTACATCTGAATGAAACTGTTAAAACCATTAGAACAGGTTAGTTACAGATTTTGAAAGTATTAACACTAACAGATGCATCTAGATTTATAAGACTCAACTTAAAATCTCCATTATCCAGTGATTAGGAATCAGGCTTTAAGAACATGTTACTGGTAGGAGATTGACTGACTATACGGTAGGCTCTCCTTACAACATCACCCCCCTTCCTTTCTTGGAAAGGTGCAAGGAATAAATAACAGGAATGCACTTTGAAACTGTGTGGTGCAGTATACACAAAGGAGCAATATACTGTAGTACTATCACTATTCAGGGACATTTCAGTGGACACCACAGCCAGAAGCAATGCTTTCCTCTATCTTGTCATCACCATTTTAATGAGTTTAAAAGTAAAGCTCTTGGGCTGGGCACAGTGGCTCAAACCTGTAATGCCAGCACTCTGGGAGGCCAAGGCAAGTGGATCGCTTGAGGTCAGGAGTTCAAGACCAGCCTGGCCAACATGGTGAAACCCTATCTCTACTAAAAATAAAAATATTAGCCAGGCATGGTGGCGCATGCCTATAATCCCAGCTACTCAGGAAGCTGAGGCATGAGAATCGCTTGAGCCTGGGAGGCAGAGGTTGCAGTGAGCCAAGATCACACCACTGCTCTCCAAGCCTGGGCGACAGAGCGAGACTCTGTCTCAAAAAAAAAAAAAAAAAAAAAAAAAAAAAAAAAAAAGTAAAGCTCTTTGATTCAAGGAGTTATATAAACACAGGAGGAAGAAAATGACTTCAGGCTAAAGAAAAACAACAGCAACAAGAAAACACCATCTGGTTTACAACCAAAACAGGTTTGATTGCAATGCCATGATTGCTAAACCACAGCTCTACCCTAGTGTTCCTAAGACATTCCAAACAGCTTCCTTGGCCTTTTCTTAAGTCCTTTTAATCTCTAGGTAAATGGAGTACATTTGAGACCAGCAAGAAAACTCCTCACACTGTTGGTAGAAATAAACATTGGCACAAACTACCAGCACTCAAAATGTACATGACCTTTAACCCAGTGATTCATTTCCCAGGAATTTCTCCAGGCACAACACCCACAGAGGCACAGGATGTCCTCTGCAAGGTGTTTACAGTAACAGGGGATTGGAAACAACCTAAATGGCCATCAACAGGAGCCTGGCTTAACAGGTGAATTGCATGCTCACACCACGGAATACTGTGTGGTTCTCTGAAAGAATGGGGTAGGTCCTTATGTACTAATGTGAAACCTCTAAGATAGCACTTTAATGAAACGAAGGTGTCTTGCAGTGTATACTGTAGTGTGCTATGATATTTATAAGAGAAAAAAGGCCTGAAAGATAAGCTTACGTTTTCTTGTTTTTGTTTTTGAGACAGAGTTTCAGTCTTGTTGCCCAGACTGGAATGCAATGGCTTTATCTTGGCTCACTGCAACCTCTGCCTCCCAGGTTCAAACAGTTCTCCTGCCTCAGCCTCCCAGGTAACTGGGATTACAGGCATGCACCACCACACCCGGCTAATTTTGTATTTTTAGTAGAGACAGGGTTTCTCCATGTTGGTCAGGCTAGTCTCGAACTCCCAACCTCAGGTGATCCGCCCACCTCAGCCTCCCAAAGTGCTGGGATTACAGGCGTGAGCCACCACTATAATATTTATAAAAGAAAAAAGGCCTGAGAGAGAGATGTGCTTATTTTTTCATATTCTTTTTTCTTTTCTTTTCTTTTTTTTTTTTTTTTTTTGAGATGGAATCTCACTTTATCACCCAGGCTGGAGTGCAGTGGGGTGATCTCGGCTCACTGCAACCTCCACCTCCTGGGTTCAAATGATTCTACTGCCTTAGCCTCCCAAGTAGCTGGGACTTCAGGAGAATGCTACCACACCCAGCTAATTTTTGTATTTTTAGTAGAAACGAGGTTTCACCATGTTGGCCAGGCTGGTCTCAAACTCCTGACCTCAGGTGATCCGCCTGCCTCAGCATCCCAAAGTGCTGGGATTACTGGCGTGAGCCACCATGCCCAGCCTATTTTCTCATATTCTTTAAATATAATCACACAATGTAAGATACATGAATGGTATAGACATGTGGTCACATATATGAACCAACACTGAGGATGGGGAGCCAGGAGACTGACTTCTTTCTTTTTTTTTTTTTTTTTTTTGAGATGGAGTTTCCCTCTTGTTGCCCAGGCTGGAGTGCAATGGCGCAATCTCGGCTACCGCAACCTCCGCCTCCCGGATTCAAGCAATTCTCCTGCCTCAGCCTCCCGAGTAGCTAGGATTACAGGCATACACTACCATGCCCAGCTAATTTTGCATTTTTAGTAGAGACGGGGTTTCTCCATGTTGGTCAGGCTGGTCTTGAGCTCCCAACTTCAGGTGATCCGCCCACCTCGGCCTCCCAAAGTGCTGGGGTTACAGGTGTGAGCCACCGTGCCTGGCCAAGACTGACTTTTTAATCTTTAACCCCTAGTATTACTTGTAATTTTTACCATATGCCCACATGTCTTAGTCGACTAAAAGAAATTTCCATACAACTCCAACGTACCCTCTGGAGTTGAAGACTCCTTTCTGCGGCTGGATGGCGGGGCCAGCAGGCTCATGGCACTGGGCTGGTGCTCTGGCGACCGCACGATGGCGGACATGGCGATCTGCTGCCTCGCGGTGGCTGGCGTGGATGGGTGTGGGTGGTCCGTTGCTTTGCGGTGGGCAGCTGCAGAGAGACCAGGACAATGCCTTTTGGTTAGCTGGGTCGCCTAGAGGACCAAACTAAGCCGAATGTCCCTGGGCTATCTTTCAAGGACCCAAGACCAAAAGAATATGCGTCACATCAACTTGGCAATGCACAGGGGCCATACGTTTTTCAGACATGGGATGTCTGGTCTGAAAGCGTATGGGCCATAAACGAAGACACTGAGCTAGTTAGTCTTGGCTGATCTCACTGAGATCAATCCTCTGCCTTTTCCACATCCTTGAGCATTTTGGAGAGAGTGAGCCCCTACCTTCCTCCCGGGCGGACCGGAGCTCGATGCGGGTCTTCTGAAGGGCTTCCTCTAGCTCTGCACAGCGAGCTTTCTCCTTCTCCAGGGCCAGCTTCAGCTCATTGTACTGCAGAGGAACCTGTGTGGGTAAAGCAGGGTCCTCTTTCCGTCGACTAAATAAACCCTAGCAATGGAAACAGAGATATCTCCTAACTCCTGGAAACTGGCACTTGAAACTAGCTAAAGGAAATCTGACTCGGGAGGAGCAAACCACAAAAGCCAGGAGCATACTCACTGTAAGTGTATTTAGTAAAAATGGCATGTGAAGGGGGGGAAGGGTAGGCTGAGCCACAGCCCGTTCCAGCCGGCTGAAAAAAATAGGGGTGCGGAAGTTTTCACCAAGAGGATTAAAGATGCTTGAATGGCCACCACCTCTTCCTCTAGCATTGCCAAGACAGGAGAGTCATGTCCTGAGTCTTTCCCATTCAAAAAATGGAATCAGGAGAGTATGGAGTATGGAGTCAGGAGAGATGGTTCAGAGGTCACTCTTGCCTTGGAATATGTCTCATGATGCTCAGTTACAAGACACAGAGATGAGTGTTTTGTAAAAGGAAGCAAAATTTTAAAAGGAATGCTAAAATGAGGTCAAAACAAGGGGCTTACTCAAAAAAAAATGCAAATGAAAATATTTACTATACATGGAAAAAAAAGGAAAACAGAATAATGCAACTTAAAAAAAAGGTAACTAAAAAAAATAACAAATGGAAACACCCTAACTAAATCAAGTGACATAACCAGGTAACAGTTCACTGCTAAAATAAAAAAGATTAAATATCATAAGCATAACAACCATATACAGTCACGCAGCATGCAAGAAAATCCTTCCCGTGCAGCCAACGTCTAGTGGGAGGCGGCCTCTGAATGTTGTGCTCATGCCCTTACAGCGAAGATGGCACCGGAAATATTGAGACAACTGTCAACTTCAGCCCTCCACTCCTTCCTCCTAGGTATTCCAAGTCATCAAGGCCTCTCCTGCAAAACCACTGCCACTGCTGCTATGGTATGCTTCTGCATTTGGAAGGAAACTGCAAGCTTCTTCAAGACTTTTCTGGAACTGAGAACACCTGGCCAAACCTAGTATGAAGGCTTTAGTGGTTTGGGAAAGCATGTATAGATCAGGCTTATGAAAAACAATCTTCTCATGTGCACTATGTATAACCCTGCCCCTAGTTTGTAATTTGTCTCCTGCAATCTAAAAGGGTTGTTCAGTACTTGGCAGAGGGGAGAAGTGTCCAGTCAGACACTTCAGGCAGGTCACCCCAGCTCCCTGAGTTCTAGTCTCTTTGTGAGCCGATCAAAAGGACTGGACTAGATCACTGTTAAAGTCCTTTCTGGAGTGTGGTACGAGAGACCTGAACTGCTGAAGCCCCATACTTGTGACTTGCTAACTCCCTCTAGAGTCATGTATGCATGACTTGGTATAAATCTTTCTCTCTGCATACATCCCTCTGCCCCAACTGCTATGTGTGTGGGCTGGGGAGGGATTACTTCTTTAACAAAGATACTATGATTTGAATGGTCATAAACAAAAAGTAGTTTGTTAGACTTGATCACTGATATCTTTCAGTAAGACCTATTATAATTATCTCAAAATCTATTTTTCAACCCAAAATAAAACAACAAAAAAAGTATACTTTGTTTTCTTCTATGTTCCTATGATCATATATCACAGTGGTGTCCACTGAGCCATGAATGATGAGTGAAACTGACAATTCCCACTTTTCAAACACTTTGACTCACCTTTTTCTTTTTAGCAGGTTGGTCCATTTTGGCTTGCAGAAAATCAATGAGTTTGGTTTGTTGAGAAATAGTGCCTTCCATTTTCACCTTTTCATGAGAATAGAGAACCTAAAATTCAAGAAAACAAACTAACCTCAAATCCAGACAGAAGTATACTTTTAAAGTTGGTACTTTAAGAAACTAAAAAGTGAAGTTGTTAGGACACTAATATATGAAAATCCAACACAAACAGTACTGAGTCAGTATGTATTTAGTCCAGTTTTACTGCAAAAGAGAAAAAAGATATATTTATAGATAAATATGTGAAAAAGTAAAAATAGCAACAGGTTCCTTGTAGGTCATGGTCACTATAGAAATCTTCCAACTTCTCTGAATGTTTGCAATCTTTGAAAATAAAATCTTGGGGAAAATACACACAATATGCAGCACAAAGATACTGACCATTTTACCAGATGACTGTACAATCATGCTTTGCCTCTGCAGACTTATTTATTTATTTATTTTCTTGAGACAAAGTCTTGCTCTGTTGCCCGGGCTGGAGTGCAGTGGTGTGATCTCAGCCCACTGCAACCTCCACCTCCCGGGTTCAAGCCATTCTCCTTCCTCAGTCTCCCGAGTAGCTGGGACTACAGGCACCCGCCACCACGCCAGGCTAATTTTTGTATTTTTAGTAGAGATGGGGTTTCACCATGTTGGCCAGGCTGGTCTCGAACTCCTGACCTCAAGTAATCTGCCCTCCTCAGCCTCCCGAAGTGCTGGGATTACAGGCATGAGCCACTGCGCCCAGCCGTGCAGACCATTTTTAAGCAGATTCCCTCTGCCAGTCCTCACCTGAATGTTTTCCAGCTGATACTCCAAGTCACTTCTTTCTGTCTTCAGTAGATCAGCCCGATCTAGAGCTTCTTGCAGTCCTTGAGTCAGACGGAAAATGTGATTTTTCTGCAGGTCCATCTGCTGCTGTAATTTGGCTTGCTAGTGGGGAGAAGGGCCAGGGAAATGCTTGATACTGCACACAATACAATTTGTTCCCCTGCTGTTCCTATTTCAAACTAATTTCAGGCATGGCACCAGAAGTACAGCTTTTGAAATCATCTCAATTCAGAATTACCAATTGTCATCTATTCCAAAAGGATGCAAGCACAGTTAAAATGAATTTGCACAGAAACCTCTGCTGGCCAACAAGTCCGAGGATCCCTACCGTCACAGGAAGTCCAGGCTGCAGGGATGGCCTTCCCAGACAGAGTTCCAATTGAGGATATTTTGGTACATTAAGGTGAGGATATTTTGGATGGCATGAGCCATCTGAGTTGACATCTAAGGCAGTTCGACTCAGTGCCATGACAACTAAGTTCCAATGTCTTTATTTTCTGTTTTCAAGATCTTAATTGTTGCTATGAGAAATTACTCCATGCAGGCAGTGTGGGATACACAAAGAGAAATCATATCATCCCTTACTTAATAAAGGTCCCATTAGGGTAAGAGACCCCAACAAGTACATGAATAACCACAATCATGAGACATATTTCTACAACGTTGGGGGAAAAGAAGAAGATCCCAGTTATAGTACAGAGTGTTGGTAAAACCCAGAAAAGAAATTCAATTAAGTATATTGAAAATAGTTTTGTGCTGCAAATCTCGCTCCAATTTTTATAATGGAAGTTAACCAGAAAATAGGACAGGCTATAAAGACGCTGGTTTTGTGGTTCTTTTTCCTAAAATGCATCCGTTTCTAAAAAAGCAGGAGAGAGCAGGCATCCTGATGAGACAGTGCTTGATTTTATCCAAACCCTGGATTATAGCTTAACTACACTTAGTGTGGCCCAAATAATCTCTTCCCTGGTAGCCTGGGTCCTCTGCAGACTTAGGGACAGAGAGCTACTCAAAGCAATAAACATCATCACTGGAGATTCCAAAAGGCCTATGGCAGCCCCCAAACTCCTCCATCCCAGCAGGCCCAGAGCCACTGATAATCTCAGCATTTCCTGGCCCTCTCTGTCTCTTTGCTTCTCTCTACCTCTGTTTTTCTTTCCATTTATATTCCTCACCTGCCCTTCCTCTTAACATGTAGCTGATTCCCTAAGGCATCGTGTTGCAGTAGAAAGACCTGGATGCTGGATTCTTACAGACCCTGGTTTAAATCCTGACTTTTACACTTATCATATCACTGATACCTGTTAAAATCTGTATTTATCACCTCTCAGAGCCTCAGTTTCTTCATCTGAAAGTGGGTATACTAGCTTGCCTCATTGGATGACATATTGAACAAAGTGCCCAGTATACAGTAGGTGCTTATTGAATGTTTATCCTCTCCATCTCCTTTGTCCTTCTTTCTTCCCTCCATTCAGTTAAGGTGCTCCCTCTCATCCTCCCGTCTGCCTTTCCCTAACAGTACTGCCACAAAGGAAGAGCTACCAACTAAAGATCACCTGGGGCCAGGCACAGTGGCTCACACCTGAAATCCCAGGACTCTGGGAGGCTGAGGTGGGAGGATCGCTTGAGCCCATGAGTTCGAAGTGGCAATGAGCTATGATTATGCCACTGCATTCCAGCCTGGGCGACAGAGCAAGACCCTGTCTCTAAAAAAATAAAAACGAAAATTTAAAAAAAAAATCATTTGGCCCGTGTGCGTAATCTGGAATTTCTCAATCAAACCACAGAGCCCCCTAAAATACAGGAAAAAAGGAAAGAAACAGCTAAGATACCCTCCTCCGCAGCATGAGTGATTTCTTCTGCAAATTACCCTCTTTAGTTTCTTCCCACTATTTTAGGACAACATTAATTACTAGGCAGAAACCAGAGAAACAAGTGCTGGGGACGAGAATCTGTTTGGTGACAGCCGAGCCCAAAATATTTTTCTAGAATAAACGCATCAACTGTCCATTAGCTTTCCAAGAAATAGGCTGGTTATTCCCTATACATTAAAAAAAAAAAAAAAAAAAAGTAAGCGGGGCATTTGTACTCTATGAAATGTTTTTCAGAAGCATTTACCTGCTTCCCAGAAAGAAGCAAACAGAGGTATATTCATGGGCCAGTGTTAGGCTGAAAGGGGGATCTTAGCTGTGTGTTTAGACCTGTCCAACAATTTCACGAGGAAACTGTAAGGAAAAAGACAGGAAACTGGGAGGAAAAAGAAAGGGCCTGGATGATAGAACAAGAGCATGAAACAACCCCCGTGGGCTGGAAGAATGGATCAAGACCAACAAGAAAAACTTCAGTAGGGCGGTATTTTTTAAATTGTCAATGGAATAAATCTAGAACATAAAGATGTTTTTAAGAAAAAGCAAACTTGTGGAAGGGCAGGTAGTGATTTAACAGACCAGTGGTGTCAATGATGTGATCAAAACTACCCAAAGAGCACAGGTAATTGGCAGAGGTTTAGAGCCCAGTATGGAGACGGAAAGATCCCAATGTATTCAGTGCTATTCAGACCACATGGACTTGTAGAAACTCTCTGTGGAAAGACAAATCTACCAGAAAAGAACATCCAAAGCTTGAGGGGATCTAAAATGTTTCACTTAAAAAAGAGAAGGTGGCCGGGTGCAGTGGCTCACTCTTATAATCCTAGCACTTTGGGAGGCCAAGGCAGGAGGATCGCTTGAGCCCAGGAGTTTGAGGGCAACATAGGGAGACGCCGTCTCTACAAAAATACTTGAAAAAATAAAAGAGAAGGCAATTTGGAGTGGGAGAGCTATTTGGATATCTAGTTGACTGTCACAGAGATAATAAAACTAGTTATCTCCCAGGAACATTGCAAGGACTGTAAGAGTTAATTCATGTACTCAGAGAGTCAGTCACATGGTAAGTGCTAATTAAACATTAGTTATTTTAATTATTAATCAAGTAATCTATTAATCAGTATTAATCTCCCATTTTGGTTGGAGATATCAGACTACTTTCTAATTTCATGTGTTTTAATGTAATAGAACCAATAGGTAAAAGTGGAAGGTTTTTAGTTCAAAATAAGAATGTTCTAAGAATGAGAGTTGCTGAAAAATGGGTTGGGATGTCCAAAGTCATTGTAAGTATTTAGGCCAAGGTTCAACGGGGCCTACCTATGAGGAGCGTTGGGGAAGGGATCTTCTACCTTGGATGAGAGATGAATTTGACCAGGACTAGCAAATGGACTTTGATCACTGATATTACTTCCAATGAACAGATAGTGGCTATAAAGTGTCATGTTGGCCAGGTGCAGTGGCTCACGCCTGGAATCCCAGCACTTTGGGAGGCCAAGGTGGGTGGATCACGAGGTCAAGAGATCGAGACCATCCTGGCCAACGTGGTGAAACCCTGTCTCTACTAAAAATACAAAAAATTAGCCGGGCGTGATAGCAGGCACCTGTAGTCCCAGCTACTCGGGAGGCTGAGGCAGAATGGCGTGAACCCGGGAGGCAGAGCTTGCAGTGAGCCGAGATCACTGCACTCCAGTCTGGGCGACAGAGCGAGACTCCATCTCAAAAAAAAAAAAAAAAAAAAAAAAAAAGTGTCATGTTGAGAAAGCTTCTGAAGCCATTTTGGGCCCAGGAGGAAAAATGTGAAAGATCCATTAGTAAAGTTTGTCAGGAGCAAGGATAAAGGGAATAGTGCTGGAAATTCAGACTGGATGATATAAAAATTCTTTCAATTCTGAGACTTTGATTCTGGCTCCATTTAAAAGTCTCCTTATAGGCCAGGCATGGTAGCTCATGCTATAATCCTAGCACATTGGGAGGCTGAGGTGGGCGGATCATTTGAGGCCAGGAGTTGGAGACAAGCTGGGCCAACATCGTGAAACCTTGTCTCTACTAAAAATACAAAAAAATTTAGCCGGGAGTGCTGGTGTATACCTGTAATCTCAGCTACTCGGGAGGCTGAGGCAGGAGAATTGCTTGACCCTCGGAGGTGGAGGTTGCAGTGAGCCAAGATCACGCCACTGCACTCCAGCCTGGGCGAGAGAGCAAGACTCTGTCTCAAAAAATAAAAATAAAAATAAAAAATAAAAGTCTCCGCACCTACGAAGAGGATACTTAGGTGGAAGCCTTGGGCACATATGCTTATACAGCACACACCAACCAGGAGGCCCAATCACAATGTGGACAATAAAGAGCATTCTTTGTTCCAGAATGGTTTCAACTGTCACTGAAATCTGCCTCCGGCTCAATGTCAGCCAGAAGTCTGTGCTCAAAAATCTTTCTGTGAGGAACATCCTGGGAAACTGGAAATGTTCTCATGTAGGTTAGAAGTGAGAAGGAGGGAACTGAATTGGGATCCCGGCACTCTATTCCTAGAGTCGTCACTGACTCACCACATAACCTTGGACCAAAGTACTGGGCTGTCAGGGCCAACTCGCCCTCTCAGAAGGAAAATAGGACAGGCAAGAGCATTGATTATTTCTGTTCTTTCTGTTTGCAGGATGTGCCTAAGTGGGAACACTGTCTATTCACTGCAGATAAAAGACCCTAATTCTCTATTTGACCACGAGGTACATTTAACATTTCCACTGTAGTGTTGTTCTTAAGGCCACGGGGTGAATTCCTATGTGTGTTCACCAAATATACGTGTGTGTGTGTGTGTGTGTGTGTTTAGTATTAATTTTATTTTTTAAATTGTTTACAGAGGCAAAATACACGACATAAAATTTACCATTTTAACCATTTTTTAAGTGTATAGTTCAGTGGCATTAAGTACACTCATGTTATTGTGTAACCACCACCACCATCCATTTCTAGAACTTTCTCAAACTCCCACCCATATTTTTCATTTTAATTTTTAATTTTTATTTTGAGACAGGCTCTCACTCTGTCACCCAGGCTACAGTGCAGTGGTACCATCAGAGCTCAATGCAGCCTCAAACACCTGCGCTCAAGTGATCCTCCCACCTCAGCCTCCTGAGTAGCTGGGACTAGAACTGCACACCACCACACTTGGCTAATTTTTTTTTTTTTTTTTTTTTTTTTTTGTAGAGATGGGGTCTCACTATGTTGCCTATACTGGTCTCAAACTCTTGGCCTCAAGCAATCCTCACGCCTCAGCCACCCATATTTTTTAAAGTATCATTCAATAAAATATTTTATACTCACCCGCAAAAATGTCACTATACTTTTCAAACTTAACAGCATAACAATATTATTTCTATCAGCAAAGTGCCTCAGGAGCTATGGGTATCACGTGACAAAACCTCATCAGCCAGAACAGGGCATTCTGGTTAATTAAACTGTCAGGCTCACTAAGGGTTAAACAGAATACTCTTTGGAGTCCAATTTTTCATTATAAAGTGCATTTGTCCTTGCAGGTCAATCCTAAAGAACAAAGCGGAATCATCAGTGATTCAACACACAGGGCTCTGGTTGGGGAGTGGGAGGTAGTCATCAATTTAAATAGCCGTTCTCAGAGTTCTGTGAAAAGGTACCAGCCATCACGTAAGGGATGGGTTTAGAAGATCAGTCTGAGCTTGTCTATTATGCTTCAAAAGCAGGGCACACATTATTTTTAACTAAATTACCCAATGTTCAAAAACCTTCATGAAATTTGGTACTCAGAATAATCTGATAAAATTCTGCCCTGTGCAGGAAGCTAATTTGCATGGATGTCCTATCGGCATGAAACTTAATATACTTTGGATATTAGCTCTAAAGAACAATTTAACTCAATATTCATTCACCCATGTATTTAATAAACTTCTATTTGGCACACACTTACTATGTGCTTGACACTCCATTAAGCATCACATAGAAGGATAAAAATGACAGAGACCCTCTGGCCTTCATGACATAGTCTTTTAATGTGTTAAATACCTTAAGACAAGTATTACATGACCCCCATACTCTTACTTGAAAATTCTAATTTCAAAATATCTAATTTGGATCTGACAAATTGTCAATTTCAAAATTCCACCTAGAACGGAAAGCTAACTACTGCACATTCTCACTTACAAGTGGGAGCTAAGCTATGAGTATGAAGGCATACAAGTGGTATAATAGACACTGTGGATTCAGAAGGGGGAAGGCGAGGAGGGGAGTGAGGGATGAAAAATTACCTATCGGGTACGATATACACTATTTGCGTGACAGGTACACGAAAAGCCCAGACTTCACCACCACACAATTCACCCATGTCACCAAAAAAACACTTGTACCCCTAAAGCTATTGAAATAAAAAAATCTTTTAAAGAAATTTGTTTACAAGTCCAGGCAGGGCACGGGGACTCATGCCTGTAACCCCAACACTTTGGGAGGCCAAGACAGGTAGATCACTTGAGCCCAAGGGTTTGAAACCAGCCAGCCTGAGCAACATGGGGAAACCCCATCTCTACAAAACAATACAAAAATTAGTCGAGCATGGAGGCATATACCTGTAGTCCCAGCTACTTAGGAGGCTGAGGTGGGAGGATGACCTGAACCCAGGAAGTCAAGGCTGCAGTGAGTAGTGATTGCTCCACTGCATTCTAGCCTGGGCAACAGAGCAAGACCAAAAAAAAAAAAAGACTCCAGAGAGAAATGAGCTACCAGCTATGAAAAGACATGGAGGAAACCTGGATGCATATGACTAAGTGAAAGCAGCTGATCTGAAAGGCTACATCCTGTGTGATTCCAGATATGCAACATTCTGGAAAAGGGAAAACTATGGAGACAGCAAAAAGATCAGTGGCTGCCAGGAGTTGAGGGTGGGGAGGGATGAACAGGCAGAGTACAGAGGGTTTTTAGGGCAGTGAAACTATCCTGTATGATACAGTAAAGGTGGATAACTGTCATTACACATTTGTCAAAACCCATAGAACATACAACACCAATAGCAAACCTAATTTAAACTATGCATTTGGGGTGATGACGATGTGTCAGTGCAGGCCCATTGATTGTAACAAATGGACACTCTGGTACAGGGTGTTGATAGCTGGGGACACTGTGGGAGGAGGAGACAGGGAGTATGTGGGAACTCTCTGTGCTTTCTGCTCAATTTTGCTGTGAACCTAAAGCTGCTCCAAAAAAAAGAAGCCTATTAAAAGAAAAAAAAAATCCACTTGGCCCTTCTCCCAGGTATTTCACACTCACCTCTTCCAGAAGCCTCTGTTTGAGCTCTCGTTCAGTCTCCAGCTTCTGCTGTAAGCTTCGGGCATTCATTTCAAGCATAGCATGCTTCTTCTCCAGGTCATTGAGCTAGACATTTGGAAAGATTGGCATAATGCCACACTTAGGAATGTTAGATGCTGACAACGTTTATGAATGTCCACGAACCTTCACGGAGAAAGAATATTGAGTTCTAAAGGTCAGAACGTAAAGGTTGCTTTTTTCTAAATACAGAAGTCCCTGTCACTGGTGAGTCTTCCATAGGTTATTATATGAGGATGGAAATTATTTCTAAGGGATGGCTCTTAAATATGGCTGTGACAAGTTCTAGGAGGATAACTGCTCAAGGACTTATTTATCTGACATGCTTTGGCTGAATTTAATTAAATAATCATACGCTGAATGCTTACTACCTGCATTATAGCTTTTAGGATGAAAGGATAACCAAGCTCTCAAGGATCTTACGTCAAGTCAGAAAGGCCCATAACTAGACATGTATGCAAATAATGACTGCTCTGTCAGCTTATAAGTTTGATAAGAAAGGCTTGGGAAAGAAATTCAACCCAATTAGGAGAAGATCAAGACAATAAGGTATTGCAAAGTCTGGAGCTTTAAAAGATATGAAGGACTTTGCTGCTTAACATTTTAAGAACAGTCAACTAGAAAAAAATATTTTTCACATTAAACATAAAAGGCCTCACATAGCTCTAATAAATCTAGTTTCCTCATGCTTAAAAAAAATGGTAACCCAGTTTCAGGGAACTCAGGAGCATTCCTGACTAGAGAGCTCTGGCCTTAAACCTAATAATTCTGCTTCTATTAATATAAGTATCCGGTAAGAAAATAATCATGGATGTCCATAAAGATTCATGTTTATCATATTGTTATTTATATGGTAAAATACTGGAAGTTCAAATTTCCAATACAAGTATAATGATTCAAGTAGGTACTTCCATGCAATTTATTTTTTTTAGAATCACATATTCAAAAAATATTCAACTCAGAAAAAACCTGAAGTTAAATGATTTTTAATAAAAACAGGTAAAGCTGTATATATAATGAAAATCTAATTTATAAAAATACATACGTATGTCTATGTATATGTGTGTATGCATAAACATAAGCACAGAGACTGCAAATAAATACACCAATAAAACAACAGCGATGGGTGACCAGCCATTATTTCTTTTACTTTTCTGTGGTTTCTATATTTTCCACAATGACCCAAATAATTATTTTTCTATCATGAAATAACAAAGTTATAGAAAATATAAAATCAGATCGTTATTTTATTTTGTGTGTGTATGTGCATGAAAAAGAGTGTCTATGTATGCATCTGTGTGTTCATACATAAAAGTCCTCTGATCTTCACTTTGGTGATCTGTAACGCTGAAGCGCCTATTCTGTATCTCTCTCAAGATTATTAGCTAAAATCTCCAAAACATTGTTTATGACTATAAATGTAATATGGAGAGGCACATGGATGGAACACGTGTATTTCCGATGTGAAATACTGAGAACCAGCATGCGTCATCAGACCCTATCACGACCCTGAACTTGGAACACGGAGAAGCTGAGCTGCCTATTACTGCAGCAATTGGATGAGCATTAGTCACTGCCACCAAGAACTTCCCAAAGATGCACAGCATTCAATCCATAAAGCCTTCTGGAAATAAGATGCCAGACAACCAGAGAGTAGAACACCCAGATCAAAATTCGAACTTCAAGGGCCTAGACACACAGATTTTAAAAAGTCACTGGCCGACTGTGATCACTGGGTACCCACCGCACCCACCCACGCTACTGCCAACCAAAAATGTCCCATGGTAAGGCAAAACCATGGGACATTTTTGGAGTGCATGAACATATGTTTATGAAATATGTTTGCCATGGATTGCATTTGAATTTTTATCAAGCGTGCCTTTAAAAGAAGGAAACGAAAATGTTTTCCTAAAAAGCAGAAGGGGTGGGCGCTGACCTTGTCAGAGAGGCTCTCGGCCTTCAGCTTCTGCTCTTTGAGAGCCTGCTGCAGAGCGAGAATCTCAGCCTTGTGCTCCTTCACTGCCAGCTCCACCACCTGGCGAGACTCGGTGATCCGCTGATCGGCTCTCGCCCTGCCAGAAAGACACAGGTCAGCTTTTGGTAGCCCCCCAACAGCTGACCTGCGGAAAGAAGGCTGGTCCGTCTCTAATCCTGACGAGCAACTAAACAGGCTGCAGGCCAGAAAGATGCCCAACCTTGACTCTTAGTTC
The DNA here is from genome assembly GCF_000001405.40 of Homo sapiens. Classification (NCBI taxonomy): domain Eukaryota; kingdom Metazoa; phylum Chordata; class Mammalia; order Primates; family Hominidae; genus Homo; species Homo sapiens. The sequence continues at coordinate 119,730,769 of NC_000012.12, forward strand.
CAAACTGTCTTCCTTTCCAACAGCTTACAAAGCAAAGATTTGACCCATGTTAGGCTTGGGTAAGGAAAAACAAAACAGGCCAGGCACGGTGGCTCATGCCTGTAATCCCAGCAGTTTGGGAGGCCAAGGTGGGTGGATTACCTGAGGTCAGGAGTTCAAGACCAGCCTGGCCAACGTGGTGAAATCCCATCTTTACTAAAAATACAAAATTAGCTGGGTGTGGTGGCGTGCGCCCCTAAACCCAGCTACTCGGGAGGCTGAGGCAGGAGAATCACTTGAACCCAGGAGGTGGAAGTTGCAGTGAGCCGAGATCACACCACCGCACTCCAGCCTGGGTGATAGAGCAAGACTCGGTCTCAAAACAAAACAAAAACAAAAACAAAGTTAAATGTTTTTGGGTACTCATCAAGAAACTGAAACTTGAGGCTGGGTGCAGTGGCTCACGCCTGTAATCCCAACACTTCGGGAGGCTGAGGTGGGCAGATCACCTGAGGTCAAGAGTTCGAGACCAGCCTGGCCAACATGGTGAAACCCCGTCTCTACAAAAGATACAAAAAATTAGCCAGGCATAGTGGCGCATGCCTGTAATCCTAGCTACTCAGGAGGCTGAGGCAGGAGAATTGCTTGAACTCGGGAGGCAGAGTTGCAGTGAGCCGAGATGGCACCACTGCACTCCAGCCTGGGCAACAAAGCAAGACTCCATTCTCAAAAAAAAAAAAAAAAAGAAAAAACAAAAGTGAAACTTGAATCTGATGAGTGTCTCCATAAATAATGCTAAAGAATAGAAAAACCAGAAGCAAAATAGGAAAAAAAAATCACTTCCCTTTCCCCATTTAGGTATCATGCTTCCTACTTCCACACTTTGGCTTATACAATCTCCTCCACTGGCCATTCCCTCCTTTGCTACTCTGCAAACTCAAATCTTACTCAGCCTTCAAGGATAAATTCAAATGCTATGATCTCCATAAAACTATTCCCACTTTCTCTTCTCAGGAGCAACCTCACCTTGTTCTGTAACAAAAGCATAACTGTATTTCTCTCCTAAATATATATATATATATATATATATATACTTTTTTTTTTTTGAGATGGAGTCCCACTCTGTCGCCCAGGCTGGAGTTCAGTGGCGTGATCTCAGTTCACTGCAACCTCCACCTCCAAGATTCAAGCGATTCTCCTGCCTCAGCCTCCCAAGTAGCTTGGACTACAGGCACGTGCCACCAAACCCGGCTAATTTTTGTATTTTTTGTAAAGACAGGATTTCGCCATGTTGGCCAGGCTGGTCTCAAACTCCTGACCTCAAGTGATCCACCCACTTCGGCCTCCCCATCTCTCCTAAATATCTGAATCCATATCTCCTCCAGTAGACTCTTAGGCTCTTGAGGACAAAGATTAACAATTATATTTTACTCATCTCAGTATCCCATATAATACCAAAACAGAAAAAAGAAAAAAAAGGAAAAGAAAGGCACGATCTTCCACAATTGCCCTGAAAGCAGACATGAAATGAAAGCAGACTAATGCTAGTCTTCCTGAGAACAGTTCATAATTATACCTTCCATGTATGGTCGTGTATTTCTTGATGCTGAAGCCAGATCCTACCCCAAAAATGATCTCTGTAGGTCCCTAAAAACAGCTAGGATAGGAGCTGGACTTGAGGGTGGGAGGGAAGGGGTCTGTGGGAAAACAACCAGAACTTACAATGAGGATGGGGGAGTCTAAGGATTCAGAAGGAAGCTGGAATAGGAGACTTAAACAGCAGTCCCTCACATCAACAAATACCCTGAGTGGGGAAGCTGGGAGGATCTACAAAAAGGAACTATTTCTACCATTTCTTTTGAAATGTAAGGGTTTTCATCTTTTACCTCCAAACTTTTGGAGCTCAACTGAACTTTGCGTAATCCATCTGACATATTTAGTTAAGCCTACTATGGCCAAGCAAAAGTGAGAGATAGATACCCAAGTGAGTGTAATACAGACTAATTCATTGATCGATATTTCTATGGATAGCTAATCTTGCTTAAGGAGTTCAGAGAATCACAGGAAGGTAAGTTTCAGAGGAAGGTGACATGAGCAAGTTGATGAAAAATGGATCCGATTCAGCTGTGCAGACAGGAAGTCACGGGGCACACACTAGCCCATATCATGCCTTTGTACAAACTGGAAAGCGGCACCCGTCCTTCTAGACCATTTCTTTCCATCTGTGAAATGTCACAACGTACCAATTTTGTCAGAAAGAAAACACTTTTCTGCCATGAGCTGTGTAAAACTGTCATAACAACTCTTCCAGTCTATGACATCTTTAATGTGACCAGCAACCCTTAGAACTATGGAGTATGCAATTGTGCCACTGTGGCCCCACAGGAAGGGAAATCTATACTGGGGAACTGTGGAAACAAAAGTGAGAAAGCAGAGGAACGATACTGCCTGAACTGATTATTATCATTTCCTACTAAGAAAGGAGAAAAAAAAAAAAACCAGCCAGGTGTGGTGGCTCACGCTTGTAATCCCAGCACTCTGGGAGACCAAGGCAGGTGGATCACTTGAGGTCAGGAGTTTGAGACCAGCCTGGCCAACACGGTGAAACCCCGTCTCTACAAAAATACAAAAAAAAAATTAGCCGGGCATAGTGGTGCACACCTGTATTCCCAGCTACTTGGGAGGCTGAAGAAGGAGAATTCCTCCCACCCTGGAGGTGGAGGTTGCAGTGAACTGCGATGGTGCCACTGCACTCCAGCCTGGGTGACAGAGACTCTGTCACAAAAAAAAAAAAAACAAAAAAAACCCACTAAACTATTCTTGTACAGCAGTGGTTCTCAACTGGGGACAATGGAGACACAGGGGATATTGGGGGCAATGTCTAGAGACATATTTGTTGTCACAACGTGGGAAGGGGGTTGTTGGTGGCATCTAGTGAGTAGAGACTAGGGATGCTGTCCCGTCCTACAATGCACAGGACAGCCCCCATAACAAAGAATGACCCAGCCTGACATGTCAATAGTGCCAAGGTTGAGGAACCCTGGGGTGGAGGGAAGACCAGGATTAAAATGGTAATGGTTTTGCTATGGCCTTGCTATGGTCACTCTGACAAGAAACCTCATGAGAGTTTTCTGCACAGAAAACAGAGGTATTTGCCCTGATGCCCAGGCCTCTGCATGGGGAAAACAGATACCAGTCATAGCCACAGAATCCAACTCACACTATCTACGTTTACAACTAGGGTGACCACCCTATCCTGGTTTGCCCAAGAGTCTCCTGGTTTTTAGCACCAGGAGGCTTGTGACCCAGGAAACTTCTCAGTCTCGGCGGGAATAGCTGATCACCCTGTCCACAACTCTCAGGCCGATCCTCCTGCGGTCACCTGTCATGAGCTTTCCACAAACACAAAGCCCCACCTGCTCTGTTTCTCGGTGTCCAGCATTCTCTGCAGCTCTCGAACCCGACACTCAAACTGGGATTTCTCATCACCCAGGACGCTCCTCCAGGCCTCCCACTGCCGCTCTTTTTCTAGCAGCTCATCGTTTAGGGCCTCCAAATCCATGACCTGTTCCTCCAGCATGGTGCACGTGGTCTTCAGAGCCTCCATCGTCTGCAAATCAGTAGCACTGATTTGTGCCTTGTCTTTAAACAAGGATTTCCTGGAGATTACTTTGGTCGGGTCAGTTTCAGAAAAGCACAAGTTTCTAACTACAGTTTGAAATGCGGTTTGTCTTTTGCTTCTGCAGCCCAAGGGGACCAGGCAAGAATGGATGAAGGGCCAGTTCTGCAGCCACCTTAGAGGCAGGATCCAAAGCAAAGCCAGGGGAAGTGACCAAGCTTAAAATCAAGCCATTTACATTGATCCCCCAAAGCATTTGATTTTGTTTTTATCTATCTTTATTTTTTCGAGACAGGGTCCAGCTCTGTCACCCAGGCTGGAGTACAGTGGCATGATCACAGTTCACTGCAGCCTCGACCTCCTGGGTTCAAGCGTTCCTCCCGCCTCAGCATCCTGAAAAGCTGGAACTACTGGCATGCACCACCAAGCCCAGCTAATTTTTATCTTTTTTATTTTTATTTTTTTTAAGAGATGGGGTCTCACTATATTGCCCAGACTGATCCTGAACTCCTGGGCTCAAGTGATCCTTCTGCCTCGGCCTCCCAAAGTACTGGGATGACAGGGAAGAGCTGCCACACTGGCCCTATTTTTTAAAATCAAAATTAATAAGAACTACACACTTTTAAAATACATTTTTAAAACCCTAAAGGCTTGGAAAAAAGACATGATTTTAAAAAGAGCCCAATTACTGTATGAGGTTCAGTGTTGGAACCCTTGGGAGAACGCACCAAGCACTCCTAAAATCCTTCTAAAAGTCCTCCAGGGATCTCACGACCTTGTTAACCCTCCTTACTTGCTTCTGGCTGGTAAGCTGCATCTCTCGTTCCGTGATCTCCCGGCGGAGATGGTCCACTTCACTTCGCAGTTGTACAATCTCGTCGTTGGCGCCAGAAGCCTCATCGAGTTGTTTGGACAAGTAGAAGTTTTGGTTGTTGAGTTCAGCGTTGTCCTCGGTCAGCTGGTTTAGCTGCTCCTCCAGGTCTGTGATTACCTAAAAGAGGAAAGGAATCCAGTTACACGCCAAGCACATTCATTTCAAATAAGAAATTGCTTCTAGGGCTATGGATTTCTGAACCCACGTGACACTGGCAATCAACGTGCCGCTCATGAGTTTGCCCACCTGACCGTGAGAGCCATGTCCAAGCTCCTATGCCCAGCCACTTAACTCTAAACACGAGCAGTGGAAGAAAAAGACTCAGTTTCTCTCTAACTCAGGACACATCTAAAAAATATGGCAAAAGCAATCAAAAGTAATCACTGCATGAAACGGATGACTTCGAATGAGATCAAATTGACGGAAATAATATAATGTGGAAAGAAAATGCAAATTAAGAATAGACTGGTATCACCATCCACTAATTAAGCTAAAAATGCCCATGACACTATCACTAGGACCTTATTATTGGAGATGGCCATAGTCTTAGAAAGCAAAATGAAGTTCTTATCAAGGAAGACTGACAGGGAAAGACGCCAGGAGTTATTTCGATAATATCACAAGCAATAAATTTAATTTCATACAACAAAGGAAAAAAACTTCAGGGAAACTCAGAAAAACCCTGAAAATACAATACACTGTACTATGGCATGACTTTAATGGATTTTACTATACAGTTGGCTATCAGACAATGGGAAGCCATGTATATGAAATTGTTATTTTATTGAGAGAGATTTAATCGGGGTTTGCTAAATTACTCTCCTGCTCAGTAGCAGAATGACTTCAATTTCAGAACATTTAGCTTTCCTATTCTCTTTGCTGAGATTTAGTATTATGGCTTGCAGAGAGCTTTTATGTATAATACCTTGGAAGTTTAAGGGCAATTTTCTAATAATAGTTGGACTGAGGCACACAGGCAGTAAATTAAATTTTACGTAACAAAAAGAAGGAAATTAAAAGGAAATGCCGTTAAGCCTACAGTTATTAATTGTTTCCAATTTTCAAACCTAGAGTCGATTTCGTTTATGAAATGTTGCCATTGCTTTCATGACTAATTCCCTATTTTAACCCTCTTTGATTATCAATTTAAAAAAAAATCTTCCCAGGCACATGAAATTAAAGAACATCAATTAAGTACACTTGTCCACAAATGTACTCAGAGGAGATACAACTTTTCATTTTGTTAACTGAGCTGATAACCTTTTAGTGTATGGTCTAATGGTCTAGTAATTTGCTTTTTAATGTCAAAAGCCACATTAATTCCTATGTACGATTTTGAAGTACACTGTCAGCTACAAGAGGGGGAATAAAAGTTATCTGGTCAGGTTCTTAGCTCAGATACATTCTTTATCAAGGAAGACAAATAAGGAAAATCTGTACGTTTGCCATTCCTAACAGACACTTATGACTTGCAGGGTCCCTGCCTTTCCCTTTCTGTGGCATGTTAAATCTCCTAAAACCAGAAACAATGAATAAACAATGCCCAGTAGTTCAACTGGTCTCCTTCCTGTACGTAGTAAACCCATTCCTTAAGATGTTTTTCATAATGTCTCCATTTAACTACTAATTCCTCCCCCTACCTCTTTCCCAAAGAAAAATAAGACAGGCAAGCTGGCTTGGAAGATATAAAATGGATTCTGGAACCCCCAATAAGCCATCTGACCTTTGCTGGGTTGGTTTCTTCATCTGTGACATGGGAGTGAACACTATATTTACTCATCTGCTTTTACCTTTTTAATTATTTTAATTTTCTTGCATGTTATTTGACCTTAATGCATCATGTAAACATGAGGTCAGGAGATCAAGACCATCCCGGCTAACACGGTGAAACCCCGTCTCTACTAAAAATACAAAAAATTAACCAGGCGTGGTGGCGGGCACCTGTAGTCCCAGCTACTCGGGAGGCTGAGGCAGGAGAATGGCATGAACCCGGGAGGCGGAGCTTGCAGTGAGCCACAATTGCGCCACTGCACTCCAGCCTGGGTGACAGAGCAAGATTCCATCTCAAAAAAAAAAAAAAAAAAAAAAAAAAAAAAAAAAAAGCCTCTTGGGGAATAAATAGACTAGACTATAGAAAGTCTACTCACATGAAAATACATCATTGCCAAAATAATTTACTTGCCATTCAAGGATGTACTTAAGACTTTGGGTACCTGCTTTCTTTGATTCACGAAAAAAATGCAATTTATCATTTGTGATGGTAGCCCATTTCTGCCACCTCTTCGTTTTCTCCCAAAGTTATATTATAAAATGCTAAAGAAGAAACACTTGAAAAAGGGCAATTTTGTATCACTCAATTGAGATGGGCCCATTGGAATAAGAAGGGTCTTTCTATTTCCCTGTTGTCATCCAGTTTTCAAGGGTTCTCACGCCTCTAATTATATTTCCGGTTTGTGATTGCTGGTTCTATATTTGGTCATCATCTCTATTTTGCCCATTTGACAAGAGAAGTGTTACATGTTTTTGTAAAGTACCCATGCCGAGATTGAAGGCATTTTAATTGATTTGGACTTTTTATACACATATTCTATCTACCCAAGCCATAACACATTTAGCTTGTGACCTTGTTTCAAGTTGCTGGAGTCATGATATTAAACGTTGGACACACCCACACACACACACATACGTTACTGAGTTTACAGATATTAAACTGACTTATGACATAGGCAGTAAATTAATGGTCTTCGTGGATTTTTTAAAAAAGGCATAACAACAGGCAATGTTCACTACTGTCCTTTGAAGTAGGTATTATTTTATTTCTATTTTATAGATGGGGAAATTGGGGAAACAGAGATGCTAGGTAACTTGCCCAAGGTCACTGCTAGTAAATAACAAAGCCAGAATTTGAACCCAACACTAAAACTCAAGAATCTACATTCTTGCCCCCTGAACCATACTGCCTGTCTAAAATAGGGATAGAAGTGTTTATTCACTTTTTTATTCAGATCTTTGAAAACTGAAATGATGGAGGTAAGATATATTGACCATTCAGGACAACCCCTCTTGATTTTGATCCAGGGAATGTGCAAGGAAAATTGTTAGGTCTACTTTCTGGTCCTGGGTATATTCTCTACCCACCAAGGACAAATGATTTGTTTACTATGAGTCTGTTAACCTTTTAACCCCAAAGATAGAGAGTAAAAAAGAGAAACTGAAAGGCTGATTCCATCTTAGCAGCAAAAAAAGATGAGCAAAATATCTTCACAACGCAGGCGCCAGCAGAGCTTTCTTATATGCTGTTTTTACAGATGAGAGGTCTTGGTACAGTTCTAAGACAGAAGATATTAAAAAAAAAGATCTAAGCTGGACGTGGTGGCTCACACCTGTAATCCCAGCACTTTGGGAGGCTGAGGCGGGTGGATCACCTGATGTTGAGAGTTCAAGACCAGCCTGACCAACATGGAGAAATCCCGTCTCTACTAAAAATACAAAATTAGCTGGGCATGGTGGCACATGCCTATAATCCCAGCTACCCAGGAGGCTGAGGCAGGAGAATCACTTGAACCTGGGAGGCGGAGGTTGTGGTGAGCCAAGATCACGCCATTGCACCCCAGCCTGGGCAATAAGAGAGAAACTCAATCTCCAGAAAAAAAAAAAAAAAAGATCTACTCTCAGTGTCAAAAAGAAAAAAAAACAGCTCTGTTTGGGCTTATCTGTTGTTTTTCAGTGCTATCATGGTTCTGAGAAGAAGATGTGAACCTCTCACACCTAACTGGAAGACCAGGAGAGGAAAATTACCAGGTAAAAGTCCAATGGCATGTTAGGGGTGAAGAAACCAGTCAGATAATGAGCATCAGGCTAAACAGACACAGGACTGAAATCCTATTTTAATGCCTGGTTCTCTTCTGAAGGCAGCTATTTGCATATTATTTATTTTTAATCTTATAGCTGACAGATTGATTCATAATTAAAACTGTGTCATATGTTTGCCCACCAACTCCCCTCTAAAACAGACTTAGGTAGGGTTTTAGGTGCCAGATTGAATCAAATCCTTTTTAAATGTCTTCAAAATATAGAAATGGTCTGAGCTTGAAAATCTTACTGTGCATGAGCTTTTTGAAAGCTGAAGAGAGCTCCTATCAATTGAGTTATTATGGGAGTTGTGGGAACTCCCATAATAACTCATTTTTAAATGACAAAGATGACATTTCCTAGCGGAGACAATCTTGGGCAATGCCAAGAAAGAAAGGAACCTCCAACACACTCCTCTGAAGTGTCTTTAAAGCGGTCTTGAACTTGCAAAAGTATAATTGAGACCTACTATTGTGGCCAAATGTTGTTCTAAAGTAGTGGTATTCAAACTTTTTAAAGTAGCAGCAGAGCCATTTTCCAAACAAAAGATTATATTATAAGCCCAGGAGAATAAAATAATAGTAGTAACCAATGTTGTTTAGTACTTTCTATGGATCAGGCCCTGTGCAAGCAGTTTGCACGTATCTCATTTAATTCTCGCAGCAACCTTATGAGGGAGGTACTACTACCAAATCCCATGACTCAGTGTTCCATAAGTTGTATTGTTTCTGAAATGTGGATACGTGGTATACTGGAACCAGCAGCTCTCTCTCTTCCCTCACCCAGCCCCCAAAGAGCAGTTATTAAATAAATTATGCATCCTACAATCAATGAGCGTACTGATTGGAACTGAGGGTATACAATGTTATCTCCATTTTACAGACAAAGAAACAGAGGCTTAGTAGGATAATACACGTAGGTTACTAAGAGGCCAATTTATAATCTGAACTCTATCTGATTCCAGAGCCCATGACTTAGACTACTAAGTTACCCAGCTCCTCTGGCTGAAATGTGGGTGAAGGGCATCTCTCTCAGGTTCACACACACACACTTGGGAAGGCCCCCATAGGCTTCGCCACAGAACACAGAGGTAAATGAAGCAAAGATTAGAAGTCACCGTTCCAGAAATGCAAATTTGGAGAGCATTAGAGTTACATGAGAAAGTAACCAAATGCATTCTACATACTAGTGTATTCCACTAAAACTAAACTTCCAGTTTTTAAAATGGGGGACAAGATGAATTACAAAGGGGTATAAGGAAACTTTTGAGGGTCATGAATACAATAAATATTTTGTTTTTATCGCTCAAGGATAAAATTTGGATAACCTTATTATCCAAAATAATAACAAAATTCATTATTTTGATTGTTTTGCTGTTTCACAGTTACACACACATTTTAAAACGCATCAGATTATAGTACACCAATTATACCTCAATAAAACTGTAAAAAAAAGTTTTTTAGAAAGTTCTTATGCCAAAAGACTGAAAAAGGAAAAAAGAACTCCAGATGAATGGAACAGGATTACTAATGCACACATTTTTTAAAATCCAAGCTTATATAAGGAAAAAATAGTAATATAAAAAATTCCAGTCATAAAATGATCTACATTTTATTCAGTGATCATTCACGCGCATGTATGTAATATAAGCAAATAATTCTTGTGTAAAATAAGAAACGAAGACAACAAGAAACTAAAATCCTAGGGCAGAAAACTACCAGAATGTCACCCCCCAACTCCTCAAGGAAGGGAGGAGGGATGGAGGAAATCCACAGACATTTTAAGGCAGGCCCATCCCGATCCACCACCACATCAGGAAATACAGACCAAAAAACTGGTCTGTCAGTTCCCTACTAAAGTCAAACAGAGGCAAATCTCATGACCTAGTAATTCTTGGGGATATGTTCACCAGACGTAAGTGCTCACAGCCACCAAAGGCCTTGTGTAACGGGGTTTCCTAACAGCTTGATCCATTATGGAAACAATCCAAATGTCTACCAACAAGGAGAATGGATAAACAAACTATAGTTCTATTCATACACCAGAAACACCACACAGTGATAAAAAAAAAAAAGAACAAATTATTGATAGGTACAGCAACATGGAGGAACCTCACAAAACATTTAAGCGAAAAAAAAAGCTAAGCCCCAGAGAGCACATCCTCTGTGATTCCATTTATATGACATTCAAGAACAGGTAAGACTAAACTATGGTTATCAGAGGTCAGCATAGTGGTTACCCTTTGGGTGAAGGATGATGATGGGAAGGGGACATGAGGGAGCCTTCAGGGACTAAGAAAGTTCTGTATCTTGATCTACATTGGGGTTACCCAGTTGTCTATCTGTGTAAAAATTTTATTGAGCTGTATACTTAAAATTACTACATTATTATGTGCTTTACTAGATACATTTTATATCTAAATTAAGAAAAAAATACCATTAGGACTTAATATTTCATTTACAGTAGCTAAAGAGGAAAGAAAGGGCTCATAACAAGAAAATAAAATATGTATGTGTGTGGAGGCTGGGAGGTGTCTCTGGAAATTCACAAATGCAAATAATACAAACAAGGACAAGATCACTGAGGACTAAGAAGGTAATAAAGTGACAAAAAGGCCAAAGAAAAGAGAGGGCACATGAATAAGGAGAACATCCCCATCTTCTGAAAGGGGCCTATTTCAGTTCTTCACTCTCATCAAAAATAGACTGAATTCCCACTGACCCTACTCTATTATATAACCTATGGAAGATGCTTATCCACTCATAGAATTTACTTCTCTCAATATAAATAACATCTCCCAAAGAGTCCTAGATTTTGAATTTGCATGTTGGGAAGCCAAATTTTGCCTGGTAGAAAGTTACAATTTCTAGGTCTCCAGGAGAGCTCACTGGTCTTTCCTCCGCAGGGGCAGCAATCTGGACAAGTCTCACAGATACAACTGCCCTGGTGACAGGGGAGTCTCTGACCTGGGCTAGCCATGGAACCTTCTACATTGGGACAGGAGGTGGAACTGCCTTGGGATTTTTGTTGCGGCTGCTGAAACCTATTAGTTGTTCCACTAATAGAATTATTTTGACCCTTCCAACTATCCTCTTCCCCAAAACATGAAGAATGGTTTCAGTTTTTGAAAACTGGAAGAACCCCCAAAAACAGGTTATCTAGGGCTCAAAAACTCCAAATAAGGTTGATTGCATTATCTTCTTCAAGCTGCAAGTTCGTATCAAAACTCAGTCACCAATATTTTAAAGAGACGTCCCCTTTTCCTCCTCTGTTTTAGTTTCATGTTATTTTAATCGTCTTTGGGTAATTAATACTCACAGTACAGCTGTTACGAAGAGCATCAAATTTGCGCTGGATTTCATCTCTATGTGCCTAAAAGGTAAGAAGTTGATTATAAATTTTTCATAGGGTAGAATACAATTCTACATGCTACGGGTCAAATATAGAGAATAGCAATTTGCCTGGAAAGCCGAGAATGCGGCACCAGCATCTGTTTTTCTAAGAACTAATTAATCAAATCATCCCCAACACCAGAAATAAGTTACAGGAATACACAATGCTGTGTTAATAACAATTAATTCTTTAGACCATACATGCACACCCTGTACAAATATTTTTAACATTTATATTAACACCTACAGGCTATTAGGAGAAAAGGGAAAAAAAGCAATAAAGGATGAAGTTTTACTCTCCTTCATTTGTCCTATTCCCATTCTGAAAAGATGAGTATTTTCCCTCTTCCCTCCAACTGACTCCTCCCCAGCCTACTCCCTGACACACACACACACACACACACACACACATACACACAGAAACGCACACACAGGACAATAGCCAAGACAAAGGGACTTTGTGTGTGTGTTGTTTTTTCATTAAAAGCTGCGGACATTCAGAAAACTCTACATCGGCCTTGAAATAAATATATATAGGCTTTCTCCAGGAAAAAGCTGCCTTAAACCAGCAGCATTTTTTCAGTTGACAAGGACTTTTTTAGTGCATACTATATGCTTGACACTGTGGAAGGATATAGGCATCCATGACCCATGCCTTCATTCTGGTGACGGAAGATCGGAAATGAATAAGTGCGTGATTAGAGATTGGGACAAATGTTATAAAGAAAACAAATAGGGACCAGTTTAAAAAAAAAAAAGGAATAAGAAAGGTAGGTAGAAACTTACTTAGATGGGATGGTCAAGGAGGGCTTCTCTGAGGAGGTGGCATGTAAGCTGAAACCTATAGGATGATGAGGAGCCAGCCATGCAATGGACAGGAGACGGCAGAGGGAGCAGCATTTGCAAAGACCCTGAGGCAGGAAAGGGTCTGGTGCATTTGATGAACAACAACAACCAAAAAAACTGAGTGGCTAGAGCAGAGTTTTTCAAACTGCAAGCTGTGACCCAATAGCAAGCATGACAAGTGGGGTTTTTTGTTTTGTTGTATCCAGTGAAGTAGAATAAAAAAGATAGAATTGAAAACATCAGAATGTGCCTTGAGGAGTAAACATGAGGTCTGTTATAGGAAACTTCTGCTTTAGATACTATAACTAATCAAATTTAAGGTACTTTCCATGGTAAAACCTAATTTTATGTAACATTAAGAAAGAAAAAGTGCTGTTAAACTATGACATGTTTATGTCTGTATATGACTGTAATATGCACCTTGATTTCAGATGCCTTAGAAACAGTGAAATACAGTATATATACTCCCTTCTATTGGATTGCAAGTAAAATGTATTCTGTGGGTTGTGGTCAACTTTTGAAAAAGCACAGCAAAGAAGAAAAAAAAGTAGCCCAAGATGATGACAGGGACCAAGGCAGAGACCAAGAATCTTGAAGGTCCAGTAAAGAATTTAGGTTTCATTCAAAATTCAATTAATTGAAAACCAATGGAAAATTTTAAGAAAGAAAGTGACGGATTTTACTGTTGTTTTAAGATCACGGTAGATGTTACAGGGAGAAGAGGATCAAAATAGAACAAAGGTAGAACGTAGCAGGGAAACCAATGAAGGTACTGTTACTGTCATTCAAGCGAGAGATGATAGTGGCTTGGAGAAGGATGGTGGCAAAAACAAACAAACAAACAAACCAAACAGAGAAAGTGGATGAAACTGAGATCTCCTTTGAAAACATAAGGAAAAGGACTTACTGATAGATGTGTGGCCAAGAGGAAAGAGGAGTCAAAGACGCCCTAACAGACTTTTCACTTGATAGACAAAGTGGATATGGTCCCATCTGCTTATGTATGAAAACCCAAATAAGAACCCAGAACCCAGTTTAGGGCAGATGTAAGAGTGATCCTTCTATTTAATTATAAAAAAAAAAAAAGTCTCCATAAGAAGGTCTATAGGAGGCCAGGCGCAGTGGCTCATGCCTGTAATCCCAGCACTTTGGGAAGCCGAGGCGGGCAGATCATGAGGTGAGGAGATTAAGACCATCCTGGCTAACAGGATGGTCTCTACTAAAAAATACAAAAAATTAGCTGGGTGTGGTGGCAGGTGCCTGTAGTCACAGCTACTCTGGAGGCTGAGGCAGGAGAATGGTGTGAACCGGAAGGCAGAGCTTGCAGTGAGCTGAGATCACGCCACCACACTCCAGCCTGGGCAACAGGGCGAGACTCCGCCTCAAAAAAAAAAAAAAAAAAAAGTCTATAAGATAACTGAGTCAAAAATTTTAGAGCTGTGATGTTTTTTCTAATATGTCTATTTTTCCATAAATACTATTGTCAGTTTATAATGGCAGATTAGATACTTTAGAAGAAAAGATTAGTGAACTTGAAGACAAGTAGAAACAAAGAAGTAGAAGACAAGAAGTAGAAACCAAAATGAAACACAATGAGAAAAGAAAAAGGCATTTTCAAAAAATGCAGAGCATCAGGGAGTTGTGGACAACTTCAAGTAGCCTAACATACATGCAATTAGAGACCCAGAAGGAGTACAGGAGACAGAAAAAATATTTCAAGAAATAATGGCCACAAATTTTCCAAAGTTGATGAAAGCCATAAACCCACAGATGCAAAATATTCAACAAGTAAGTACCAAGCATAAGAAATGTGAAGAAAATTAACCTAAAGCACACTATAATGAAACTGTTTAAGTCCAATAATAAAAAGAAAATCTTAAAAAAAAAAAAAACAGCCAGAGAAAAATACATGTTACATTAAGAGAAACAAAAATGAGAAAGACAGATTTCTCACCAAGATGGGGAGAAGGAGTGGGCATGAAAAGCTAGAACACAGTAAAGCAATATCTTCAAAGTGCTGAAATAAAAAACAGAAGAAACAAGCAAAAAAAAAAAAAAAAAAAAAAAACACCTGTCCACATAGAATTCTATACCCAGCAAAAATACCTCTTAAAAAATGAAGGTAATATAAAAACTTTTTCAAACATACAAAAGTTGAAGGAATTTGACACCAGCAAACCTGTGCTATAAGAAATGTTAAAGAAAGTCCTTCCGACAGATGGAAAATGGCAACCAGAAATTTGGATCTACACAAATGAATGAAGAGCCCTGGAGAGATGGTAAAACAAAACAAACCAAAAATAGATTAGTTGCTGAAAATAGCCAGAAGAGAATTATAACGTTCCCAACACAAAGAAAAGATAAATGTTTGAGGTGATGGATATCCCAATTACCCTGATTTGATCATTACACATTGTAGGCATGTATCAAAATGTCACATGTATCTCAAAAATATGTACGACTGTGATATACCAATAAAAAAATACATAAAATACCAAAAATAGATAGTTGCATAGACAGAATCACAGACAGATTTATAAATAAAAAGTTATTGTTTAGAATTGACTTCCTAAATAACTAGCCTATATTCTATGGACTAATTTAACAGATCTTAATTTTTTTTCTAAAAATCTACCTGCTTTTTGCCCAGCAATAATGAGAGATTTATTCCTTTGTTAAGATAAGAATACTGCTTACCCAAAGTAAGACTGTGGCTATCTGCACTATGTCAAAATCTCATCTGTGACCAAGCAGCAGCCTAGACCCAAGGACCACACAACCCCCTTTAGTGTCTTCCATGATCACCAAAAACCAAAGGCAAGGATTCTTCCTAGAGAAAGAATAAGGCCCTTATGTTAACAGACTCTTGGTCAGGAATCGGCAAATTTTTTCCTTAAAATGCCAGATAAGGAAATTTCCTTAAAATTTCCAGAGTATCCAGTCTTGGTTAGAACTACTTAACTCTACCCTTCTAAAGCAAAAGCAGCCACAAACGATATGTAAACAAACAGACATGTTTGTTTCTAATGTGTTCTAATAAAACTTTATTTACAGAAAACAGTGACAGACTAAAATTTGGCCTGTAATTTGCCAGTCTCTGCTCTAAATGACTATTTGGTGTGAAATCTCTCAAAAACAGAAACAGGAAGCTGAGAGTGGAGTTAGCTCCTTCAAAGCATAAGTGGTGACCATAAAAAAGCTCACTGGCTTATCCACAGGGACAGAAGCCCTATTCCACTTTCTTATTAACAGCAAAGTTTCAAATAACACAGCACCATTAAAAACTCATTTAACTCTCCCACTGGAGTCTGAAATTTCAGTCATTAATACTGATCCATTTCCATTAAAATTAACCATTATGGGGACTTTGGATCATGTCAAGCAATCCTCTCTGAAAGTTAACATAATGAACCACAGTCATTATGGCTTTTGATTTATTACTGTTTATGAAATATAAACACAAAATGTAGAACTGACCCTGTTGTGGTTGCTAGACCTACTGTAAGCACTTAACTACTGAACTAGTCACAGTAAGAAAATGGTAAGTCATATGCTTTATGTTTTTTGAAATAAGTTATAAAACAAATACACAAAAAGGCAAAAGCTCATGCAATAGAATATATACATAAAGACAGCAAAACGCATAAGACAAGCTTTGGATGCTCTCAATGAAATGTGTGAGTGTTAATTAGATATTAGGTGCTACAGAGAATAAATATCTACACTCTTAAAAATTACTGAGGACCCCAAAGAGCTCTTGTTTATGTAGTATCCACCTACACTTGCAACATTAGAAATTAAGACTGAGATGGCCAGGCACAGTGGCTCACACCTGTAATTCCAGCACTTTGGGAGGCTGAAGCAGGTGGATCACAAGGTCAGGAGTTCGAGACCAGCCTGACCAACACGGTGAAACCCCTTCTCTACTAAAAATTTAAAAATTAGCTGGGAGTGGTGGCGCATGCCTGTAATCCCAGCTACTCAGGAGGCTGAGGTAGGAAAATCGCTTGAACCCAGGAGGTGGAGGTTGCAGTGAGCCAAGATCGTGCCATTGCACTCCAGCCTGGGCAACAGAGGGAGACTCCATCTCAAAAAAAAAAAAAAATTAGGCCTGGCGCAGTGGCTCAAGCCTGTAATCCCAGCACTTTGGGAGGCAGAGGCGGGTGGATCACAAGGTCAAGAGATCGAGACCATCCTGGCCAACATGGTGAAACCCGTGACTCACTAAAAATACAAAAATTAACTGGGCGTGGTGGGCGAGCACCTGTAGTCCCAGCTACTCGGGAGGCTGAGGCAGGAGAATCGCCTGAACCCAGGAGGTGGAAGTTGCAGTGAGCCGAGATCACGCCACTGCACTCCAGCCTGGCAAGAGAGTGAGACTCCGTCTCAAAAAAACAAACAAACAAAAAAATTAAGACAGATATTTTTCAAATATTTATTTTTTATTTCTTTTAAAATAACACTAACATTGCTTTTGCACCATCAGTGCAAATATTAACACAGTGAAAAGTGTTAAATGACATCTTAGTATTGTTATGAAAACAGTCTGACAGGCAGGCATAATGGCTCATGTCTGTAATCCCAGCACTTTGAGAGACCAAGGCAGGCGAATTGCTTGAGCCCAGGAGTTCAAGACCAGCCTGGGAAACACGGTGAAACCTCTTCTTTACAAAAAAATACAAAAGTTAACCAGGTGGGTGGCGAGCACCTATAGTCCCAGCTACTTGGGAGGCTGAGGTGGGAGTATCACTCTTGAGCCTGGGAGTCAAGGCTGCAGTGTGCTGACATTGCACCACTGCACTCCAGCCTGGGTGACAGAGTGAGACCCTGTCTCAAAAAAAAGGAAAAAAAACCATCTGATCTTGGGAAACCCAGGAGTCCACAGATCCACTTTGGGAACCACTAACCTAGGAGTTGGGTGGCAAAAATGTGGACGGACAGGTTGCAGCCAGTCTGCCCCTAAGACCAGAGAGATACTTTCTTTTGGAAGTATTTATGCCTTAATTTTCAGGAAAGTTACAAGAAGAAGAAAGAAAAGTAAACTACAATGTAGCCTTGAGGGAGCAAAATATCTGCAGAACTGAAGAAAGGAAACAAGCGTGTAGATGTCTGACCACCTTCTGGGATCCATGGTCAGGATTCTAGAACGGTTAGGCTTCTGTGCACCCACCCCCTTTCAGGGTGAAGGCAGGCACCAGGCAAGAATGTCACCTTACATGCCCCGATTTCACATCTTGGCTATCATGCCGATGGCTTACTAATTAATTAAACAGAGGGCTTGATATTTATGTACGAGAATGAGAACGTGCACTGACTCATGATTTTAACAAATCAAAGAGGATGACTTTGGGATCCCATCATCACGCTATGCAGGGAGAAGGATTCCTTTCATTAGTGTCTCTAGCTTTCAACTCTTGATTATTCAACATTAGTCACTTGACAGAATCGGTAAAAGAACAGAGGAGTGAAAACACAAAATGTGTTCATGAGGCCTGGCCGGTGCACACAGAGCACACAGCACGCCTCTTGCCTGGTGGTCCTCTTCAGAGTGATGCTTATACCACATCACACATCGTGTGCTATAAGGTGTGCAGACTCAAATTATCTCCCTTGAGATGGAGTCTTAAATATCAAGTTCAGGCTGAAATGTCTCTTTTCCAGCAATAAGTACGGAAGTATCTTAAAAGCATGTTTCTGTTTAAATTTGACAGGATGGGTGAAGTGAAAGTGGAGAAGAGGCAAGCATTAGAAACGGCAACAAAGGCCTCCCAGCTGCACCGCCAAGACCCTTCAGTCGAGAGCTTTAATTTAACTGTGCTCCATCTCATTTGGCCCAGGGATGGAGGCCAAACAAGGTAACTGCTCCCTTTCACAGGCTAGGAGATGACTGCCTCTTACAATTAAACAATCATAGCACATTTGACTATTCCCTTTTATTGACAAAACAGCCTGCTGTGAAACTCACAAATCTCCTAGGCGATCATTATAGATCCAGCTGATTTCATTTGACTGATGCTTGTGCAGGGTCTCCACTCAGGTCTCAAACAATGAGAAAGTTGGAAAGTATGGCATTTTGGGACCATTTTCGCTTTTTCTTGGAAAAGACGTTTTTCAGAACAAATTCAACTAACCCATTCAGGCAACAAACACATGCTGTCCATAACCAGGTTTATGGAACATAATCAAGAGAAGGGGGAAGGAAAAGCCCACAGCCTTGAAACTGAATGGAAGCAAATGGAAATGGAGTTTGGATTTCCGTATGATGGGTTTGCAAACAGCTGTTGGAGGAAGGCACTTCTGCCATCATTTGAAGAAGCCCTGTTTTTTCCACAGCATCTTCATCTGCAAAAGCAACAGAGCCCTAGTTTCTAAACCAAGGGAGGTTTGTTTCCTTATTTTTTTTTTTAAGAAGATGCTTTGAGGCAGTGATCTCATCTAACTAAATTAAGTCGTGACTTGCTGCTGTGCTCAGCTTCCAGCAGCCATCAGACACAGCACATTCCAACCAGCAGCAAGAAAGGATTTAAAGGACTAATTTCCCCATAGATAAAGAGCAGTGACACGTGCTCTATTTTATGCCCTCTTCCTTCCAAACAGGGCCAGGATAAGATACACAGTCACCCCTCCTTCCCAATTCCAACAGAGCAGCAAGATAAATGTGTCCTTCTCGGCTGCTCTGAAATAAACGGATTTGAGGAATTACAGACCAATCCCCTGGGGAGAAAAAGCTAAAGACACAGCATTGGGCCCATAGCAAGGGCTTATTAAATATGGATTAAATTGCTGATGTCTCTTTTTCTTTCAGAGGTTGGGTATAGGTACAGGAGGAAAATATTAATATACATTGCGTTAAATATAATAGTGGTTGAAATTTAGGTGCCTCCCTTTAAAAGCTAAGAAATGTTATCTGTCTCTCTCCACCCACCCAACTCCCAACTCCAGCAAGTCTATAAGCCTTCTTGGCATGAACTCTTATATATCAACTTCATTCCTAGCTCCATTTTTTCTTCTACAGACTTATTTTCTCTTTGCCTTTTGTTTCTTATTTTGTTCTGTTTTACTGTGTTGCATCTTTCCAAGTGGTTTTCAGTCCACTGTGAAACAAGACAGTATACACAAAGACATACTGTGGTTATTTTTTGCCAAAGCAAATTTTGGGGGCATGATGTGGCATCATTTAATGAGTGTTCTCATAGAGACTATGGAACCTAAATGTGCAGTCAATATCTGAACTTGGTGTAAGTCCTAGAAAATCTAGGATGCACAAACATACTGGAAGCCACTAAACCTTGGACTGGTCCTATACAGACCCTGGCACTGTCAGATCACATTCCCAGTTTGGTTCAGATACTGGGATCCCCAAACCCAACAATGGGCAATAACTTCTAAGAATGAAACTACGTTAAATATATATAGATATAGATAGATAGATAGATAGATAGATAGATAGATAGATAGATAGATAGAGATATAGAGATGTACACGTGCATTACATCGAGGTAAAGTGTAAGCAATGAATGTACATGGCCATTCATTCCACGGAAGTAACCCCAATCAAAGAGAGGTTTAGAGATGTTCACTGACGGAAATGGGGACAGCATCTAAGTTGAGTCAGAATGAATAAGGTACCTATTTAGGTGGCTTATTAAAAAAACACTAAACCCAATCAGCTGTATTGTGACTGGCCCACAGGAGAGGGCACCCTGACCAGCAGGCAGGTGTGTGCCTGTCTGCTTGGCGGGTACAGTATGATACTATGAGAAATGTATGAGCTTGGCTGACACCAGCCATTAAAATTCATTTGGCCTTCTATGCTCACAGTCTAGGTCCTCCGGGGATCCTTCCAAGATTAACGGGATTTTCTAAGTATACTTCCCTGAATGGGAAAAAGAAAATGTGAAGATTGGCCACCCAGAGTACCCTAGTCAACTTGGCAGTTGCATTTCCCCCTTCAAGTTAAGTTGGCATTTCACATATCAGATTTTTGTGAGTTTTGTTATTCTGGGTCAGTCTCTGTGGGAATGATCAAATGTGGGGAAAATGGCCCCACAAAAAAATCCATTTCAGACTTCTAAAAAGAACTAAGGTTTCAATCCAGTAACACCCCCGCTCCAAGTTCTACCTCCTGAGAATACTCTCCAGCTAAGTAAACTAGTCTCTCAGAAAGAACAAGGAAGCCAGGTCCCTTTTAGAGAAAGAATCTTTCATTCAGTAGAATTTTTCCCATCCAGTTCATACCAGATGCATACAAAAGACAGGAAGCAGAATCTACAGCTTGAAAAAAAAAAAAAGTAACATGAGTAAGGTTAACTAAAACAAAAAGTAAAAATATGGTAGAAAAACTACTATAAGATTATTATTATTATTTTAAATGATTATTGAAAACTAAAGTAGAAAGCCAAGGTAAACAAACTTTTAAACAAACTGAAACCAAACTTTAAAATATAATGATGATTTTTTCAAAAGAAGGAAAATATATAAGTAAAGGAGGAACTATTCAAGATACTAAGAAAAGTTTGAATATAACCAACCAAGCTCATCTACTAGTTCCAATGAAGCAGCAGCCTATGTAAGCCAATTTCCTGGCCACTGAATATCTTTGTGGATCATGTTTTCCCTCCTGGAATTTCTAAGGGTGAGCCAGTATACTCAGTGCCAGTTCCACACTCATCCTAGCTGAGGCCTTTAGCAACCTGAAGATGTTGCTCCCCAGACCTACCGTGAGTGCCTGGATCTCCTCTTCAGCTTCTGCTGTGGTCTCTTCCAGCTCTGTCTTCGCCTGGCGAAGCTGGCTCTCCAGGGCCGCCCGTGCAGCCTGCAGGGCTGTCAACTGTGACTCGCGCTCCTGCAGGGAGAGCTGTAGCTCTGTGAGCTGGCGCTTGAGCTCCAGTTTCTGCTCCTCGTGCTCTAGACTGACCTGAGACAGAGAGAGAGAGAGAAAGAGAGATAAACCCTTGCTTGGTCTGAACAAAAGAGAAAGTGAAGACATGACCTGCTACTCAACCTGCAGCTGAAACCTGGTCTTGGAACCACCTTCTCGGCACTCGATAGAGGAGAGGAAAATGCAACAAAATGGGCCTGAGTTCCATGCATCTCTGAATTCAACAGGAGTAAGAACAGGTAAGGGCTATATCTCCTAACCACCCCTTACTTACATATATTCAAATGCCTGGGAAGACTTTAAAAGGAAAAGCCACACAGCAAGAATCACTAATGAAAATGATGATGATTACTCTTATTAGAAAAACATTTAAAGCTAAGCAGATATAAATAACAACATATTAGTAACAAGGACATCTTTTCAATTCGATTGTAAATGAAACAACAGACTGAATTCTATTTATTTTAAACACGCTTTCTCTGATGTGTCCTCATTAGGTAATCTGCTTTAATGTCACATTAGAAGTTAATCATTCTTCCCTCCATCTGCTCATCCATCCACCTATCTATTCAATCTTTCATCATTCATTTAACAAAAATTTACTCAGCAATTTCTGTGGAAAATGGAATATGGAGATGAAAGACAGTCTCTGCCTTCAAGTGGGGAGAAAAATGAAAACCAACCATGACCATATATCATGGTCAAGTGCAACGGTCAGGACATGTAGGGATGTTGCAGGAATACCGCAGGTGGGTAGAGGAGCTAACTCTGGATCTGTTAAATTCTGTTGAAGAATATGCAGGAGTCAAACAAGCAGGTAAGAGGTGAAAGAAAATTCCAGGCAGGGGAAGCAAGACATCCAAAGGTATGGGGGTGAGGGAGACCACGACACATCTATTGACCTGACAAACATGGACAGTGTGGTCCTAAAGATCAATGTCAAGCAACTCAGAGATGCTTGCTGCCCTCAGAGAGCCTGCTGTCTAAGGGGACTGCCAAGAAGAACACACTGCGATGAGCTATGCCCTGAAAGCCATGGGGATAAAAAGGAGACCTCCAACCCAGCTTCAGAGGGTCGGAGAAGGCTCCTCCCTAGAAAAGGTGGCACCCACATCCCGAAGCCCATAGGGGTGAAGAGAAGAAACACTTGCAAAAGATGTAACCTGCAAAACCAACAGGATTTAGTGGTGAATTTGATGTGGGGCAGAGAACAAAGGACATAAGGGAGTCAAAGATGACTCCCAGCCGGGTGCAATGGCTCACACCTGTAATCCCAGCACTTTGGGAGGCCGAGGTGGGCAGATCACGAGGTCAGGAGTTCGAGACCAGCCTGGCCAGCATGGTGAAACCCCATCTCTACTAAAAATAACAAAAAATTAGCTGGGTGTGGTGGCACACACCTGTAGTACCAGCTACTCAGGAGGCTGAGGCAGGAGAATCACTTGAACCTGGCAGGCAGAGGTTGCAGTGGGCCAAGATTGCGCCATTGTACTCCAGCCTGGGTGACAGAGCGAGACTCTGCCTCAAAAAAAAAAAAAGAAAAGAAAAAAAGATGACTCCCACATTTCTGGACGGGTGAATTACACAAATAGACCATTGCTATGACAGAATAGGAGAGAAAGGGCCAGTCTGAGGCAAAAGATAAGAAATTCAGTCTTAACATGTTGAACTTGAGCCCTGCGGGAGACATCCAAGTGGAGATGTCTAACGTCTACTAATAAGTAGTCTACTAGTAAGACAATGGGTCAGAAACTCAAAAGAAAGGTCTGGATTGGCAACCTGGATCCAGGAGGCCTTAACAAATCAGTGACAGCTGAAGCCATGGCTATTATCTCTCTCTAGTGATGATGGTGATGACGACGATGTCACAGCAGCAAATACGGTCCTCACAACACACTGGGCCCTGAATTAACTCATTTCATTTTCAGAACAACTCACTAAGGGAGGTACTACTATTACCTCCATTTTACAGATAAGCAAACTGTGGCACTGAGAGATTAGGTAACTGAGCAAATGTCACACAGCTATAAAAATCTTTTTAAAAGGCAGGACTGGCATTCAAACCCAGAAAGTCTGGCTCAAGAGTCCATGTAACATGTTGCTGTATTCCTGCAACATCCCTACGTGTCCTGACCATTGCACTTGACCATGTACAGGGTAAACACTGTACCCTTCTGTCTTACTAAAACACCATCAGTCACAGCAGAGTGGACCTCTACTAGCAAGCCTGAAAATGCTTCCGATGCCATTTGGCAAAACCAAGAGAGGCAGGTGACAGTGACTCAAGGGGAGGAGCGGGAGCTGGATGCTATACAATGAAGGAAGAACCCGGGAGCCTGCATCTTTGTGACTCCACACACCTGGCTAGAGAAGAGCTAACGCTGCACACACAAAGTTGGGGGAAGGCCCAGGTCCTTTAAGGCGGATCAAACTCCAGGTGGAGGCCTCTGCCCTCAATCTCAGTAGCAGCATGTGGCCAAAAGAAGAGGGACTGATCTGGTTATATTTAGAGCTAAACTGCAAAACTCCCAGGGAGAATATAGAGCCTGAACCTCTCGTGAAACGTTTGAAGTTTCTCTTACCATCCTTGAGGGGCTGGCTCTACTGATTCAAGTGAAAAACAACAGCTTCCCTGGGACACTTTAATAGCCCAGATGAGCTACAGCAGCAGGGCAGGCTCCTAAGAGGAACATTTGTGCAAAGGGAAGGCAAGAGACAGCCAGTCAAGGCCCCCAAGCTAGAGAAGTCCATCTGGATTGTTTAGACTCAAACTTAAGGGCGAGTCTCCCGTGATCTTGCTGTTAAACTTACAGAAGAGTGAAAGTATAGCCTGGATGATAAAAGTTAAACCATCGCCTAAGGCTTAAGGCTCATGCCTGTAATCCTAGCACTTTGGAGGCCACGGAGGGAGGACTGCTTAAAGCCAGACGTCCTCCTTCTGAGAAATCCTGACCTAAGAAATAATAAAAGAAAAATAAATAAATAAATAAAGCCAGGAGCTCAAGACCAGCCTGGGCAACATAGCAAGACCCCATTGCTAGAAAAAATGAAAATAAAACCAGACACTCCAGGTGAACCTAATGGAGGAGTTCACACCTTGACAACCCCTAAAAAACATGAGATAACACATTGTTACTGTCCCTTGGAGAACTGACTTCATTTTAATACTCCAAGACAAATAAAGACATGCATAAACATGAGTACTACCCAAGGCTTAGACCTCAGACCGCTGTCTGCTTAACAGGACCTTCCTTAAGAAAGATCATCTGCTTTTTGAAGAATTCCATCACAAATATTTGAGCAACTATTTTACATGAGACATTGTATCTTCCCTCCCAGCCTGGGTGTTCAGCTTCCAACAACCACTATCCTGAACTCCAGTTGTGTCTCTGCTGGTGCCAGCGAACCCTGCTGCTAGGCTAAAAGCCCTCGTGTCAGGAACAGGTCTGTCTTGTCGCCACTGTAGACCCAGGCTACAAATTGGCACACAGCAGACATCTGACAAATATACAGTGACTACATAAATGTAACCTTATGGCTTCAATCAACCTCAACATGTCTACAACCCAATTTGTTGTATTTTCCTCCCCAAAACCTGGCCACTCTTCCCAGCCTCCTTATGTTTTTGAAGAGAGCTACCTTTCATCAATCACACCTAAATTTGGTTTTGTCTTTTAATCTCCCACCGTCATTATGAGACAGACCTCTGCCACCAGCACTGGGCCACCATGGCTAAGCTCTGACTAGGTCACGGGGCTGTCATTACATCTTGATAAAGGAGGAATTGCTCTGCTCCCATTTGACAGATGCACAAATTGACACGCTCCCCACAGGACCCTATAAAGGAGATACATTATCACTGACATTTTACAGATGAAGAAACTGAAGCCCAGCAGAGAGATGAGGCAGCTTGCAAAACTAGTAAGAGGTCATAAAACCAGTAAGGAGTGGAGGTGGAATTCTAACCCAGATCCCCATGGCCCAGTCTGTTACCAGAAGGAGGGCCTGGGGTCTAAGTTGTCTATTTTGAACAAAGAATTGGACAAAACGCACAAAGTAACAAAGGAACGAAACACAGGAACGAAGCAGCGAAAGCAGGGATCTATTAAAGCAAGAACGCACTCCACAGGGTGGGAGTGGCCCCAGCAAGTGGCTCAAGGGCCCAGTTACAAAGTTTTCTGGGTTTTAAGTACTCCTTTTGGGGTTCCTATTGGTTACTCCTTATCTGAATAAAGGATTCGGTCTGTGGCTAATTACAGGCTGAGGCGAACTGGTGCCCTATGCAGATGAAGGGATAGTCCCTCCTTGGCCCGCGGCCCATCCAAGGTGCTCTTCCTTTCCATCTGAGCAATGGTGGAAGGTGGGGGGAGGGGGTTGCAGGGAGAGTAGTCTTCCATCTTTTGGAGCATTGCAGGGAGAGTAGCCTGTTCCATCTTTCACTACTGGGGCGTGGGAAGATGAGGATTTTCCTTTTGGTTCAGCTTTAGGAAGTTTGTGTTAATTGGCCTCAGGTTCCCTGCCTCCAGCCCCACGTGTTTTCCTTTCGATCCAGCTCTGGGAAGTCAGCAGGAATGGGCTTTAGGTTCCCTGCCCACAGAACCTGGTGTTTTCTCTTTTAGAAAGCTAGCACAAATTGGCCAGGCATGGTGGCTCACGCCTGTAACCCCAGCACTTTGGGAAGCTGAGGCGGGTGGATCACTTGAGGTCAGAAGTTCAAGACCAGTCTGGTCAACATGGCAAAACCCTGTCTCTACAAAAATTGGCTGGGTGTGGTGCCAGGCGCCTGTAGTCCCAGCTACTCGAGAAGCTGAGGCACGAGAATCACTTGAACCCAGGAGGCGGAGGCTGCAGTGAACCAAGATCGCACCACTGCACTCCAGCCTGGACAACAGAGCAAGACTCTCTTAAAAAAAAAAAAAAAAGAGGTTAGCACAAGGGCCTCAGATTCCCTGCCATAAACCTTGGTGTTTTTCCTTGATTCAGCATGAATTGGCCTTAGGTTCCTTGCCTCCAGACCCTTTTCTCCTGCCTCAAGTCTGCCCCCTTAACCACCAAGCACAATGTCTCTTGTATAGATATTGATTTGTGCTCGAAAGCTGACTTGTTCAGAGCCCGAATCGCCCAGCAAATCCTCCCAGGAGATGACTCCTCGCTCTCACCTCCCGCAATCTTGTCTCCAGTTCCAGCAGCCGATTCTTGTCACTGTGGTCTTGGTGGCTGATCTTCTCCAGCTGCTCCTCCAGTTTTCGGTTCTGGGCCTCCAACTTCCCAGCCTGTGTCTCCAGGTAAAATTTCTGTTGCCTGAGTTCAGAAATCATCTCTTCTTGGGCCTTCCTGGTGGGGGTGGTGGGAGGATCCAAACAAAATCACAGTCTCATTAGGGTTGAGCCCGTTTCCACGGGAGGTAGACGGACACGGAGTTAGACATGTCTCCTCACTAAGTGGACTAGGGCCATTCCTGGGTTAGCTGTCTCCTGATCTGGCCTCATAAGCATGATCCCGGCATGACGAACGTGGGGACCATTTACTCATCACCACTCAGTGTCAGTCCCTCACATATGGGATTAAGTAAGGTCCAGGAGGATGCAAGAGATACTAACATTTCACTCCTTTGACAGGCCTGTTTATTTCTTCTGTGAGTCTGTGTAGGGACAGAAGGGGGCCTCCTTAGATTAATGTACAAGGGCACCCCAGTAACTCATGAAGGCAGGCCCTGGAGAAAAAGGACTAAGGAGAAAGAATGGTATTCCTTCTAGTTCTCTGCAGATCTCCCTCACCTCTCCAGCAAACTGCTTAGAAGTATCAAAACCTAGAACGACTCAAAGACCCAAAACACAGCCTACTAAGCTGGTTTAGATTAAGATGGGACTGTTTTGGGAGATCTCTGAAGAGAGAAACCTAAGGGGGAAAAAAATCCTGGAGATTCTAATTCTCTGGGGGAAAAGATTCAGCTCAAAGTGCTCCTGGAACACAGCCCTTGCTGAACCCCAAACTTCCTTCCATAGGGTCTAACCTAGTGACAACTAAATGGATGGCCCAACTGGGCACACACAATTTCACCTCTTACTAATTACAGGATGCAAGTCTAGGGAACAAGAACTGCAGCTTTCCACAAGCAAATTATAAATAGCCTCATTAGAGAGAGCAAAACACTCTGTAATGTGATGGTAATTGAAGGCATTTAAGAAAACCCGACTCAAAAGTGGCAGAGTGAGACCACTTAAGACAGGGCAAGATGACGTAAGTATCTGAGGGCTGGGCTGAGCTACAGAAGTCATTCAATCCACTCCAGCTCCATCAAACAGAAGAAGGGAGTTTATGCCACAGGAGAGGAGACCAAAGTGTAATAATGTAGGGCAGTTAGAATTTGAATACTTACATGTTCCTTTGGGTAAAAAGACTGCTATTTGCTGCAAGTTTATTGGCTTCAGACAGTTCCACAATCCTCTGTTCCAGGGATCTGATCTTGGAATCCATAGCATTGATCATCTGAAACACAGGGCACCTATGAAACTTCACACACCAGAACAGGAGTAACAGGGGCAGTGCGGGCCAGGGTAAAAGTTTCATCTGAAATGACGGCAATTTGGCTAGAGGTAACAAGGCACTCAACTAGTCTGTACTCTGAGGATCACAGATGGTACCACTCAAATGGATGGTACTTGGTTGTTTTTTCAGTGATGAAATCTCCCCACACTGGCTAAGTGGCTTGCATTTAAAACAGACATAAGGACCTATTCAAGAACCTAACATCCTGGGAGTAATCAGGCCTTGTTAAACCCCATCTCATCTACATGTGACCTGGGCCTGCAAGTCTCTTAACTCAAATCTGCACATTCGCATTTATCACCACCTCCTCGAGGGTTGTCATTTTCTGAGTGATTCCTTCTCACCCAGCCACCATTGCTCTAGACTCCACAGCAGGGGTCTCCAACCCCAGGGCCACAGAGCAGTACCCCATTACCGGTCTGCCACCTGTTATGAACCAGGCCGCACAGCAGGAGGTGAGCGGCCAGCGAGCGAGCATTACTGCCTGAGCTCTACCTCCTGTGGGATCAGTGGCATTAGATTCTCCTCAGAGTGTGAACCCAATCATGACCTGCGCAAGCGAGGGATCGAGGTTGCGTGCTCCTAATGAGAATCGAATGCCGCCAGCCGGGCGCGGCGGCTTAGCCTGTAATCCCAACACTTTGGGAGGCCAAGGCAGGTGGGTCACCTGAGGTCAGGAATTCCAGACCAGCCTGGCCAACATGGAGAAATGCTGTCTTTACTAAAAATACAAAAATTAGCCAGGTGCAGTGGCACATGACTATAATCCCAGCTACTCGGGAGGCTGAGGCAGGAGAGTCACTTGAACTCGGGAGGTAGAGGTTGCAGTGAGCCGATATTGCGCCACTGCACTCCAGCCTGTGTGACAGAGCAAGACTCCGTCTCAAAAACAAAACAAAACAACAAAAAAATCTAATGCCTTAATGCCTGATAGTCTGAGGTGGTACGGTTTTATCTCAAAACCATCCCCCCACCCCTGTGGAAAAATTGTCTTCCACAAAACCGGTCCCTGGTGCTAAAAAGGTTGGGGACAGCTTCTCTACAGCAAAGTTTCCCCAACTTAAAAAATCATAAGAATTGGGGTGTGGGGGTACTAACTAAAAATTTAATTTCCCAGGATCTCCCCTCAGAGATCCTGATGTGGGGTCGGGCGCGGTGGCTCGTACCTGTAATCCCAGCACTTTGGGAGGCCGAGGTGGGCAGATCACTTGAGGTCAAGAGTTTGAGACTGGCCTGGCCAACATAGTGAAACCCTGTCTCTACTAAAAATACAAAAATTAGCCGGGCACGGTGGCACATGCCTTTAATTCCAGCTACTCGGGAGGCTGAGGCAGGAAAATTACTTGAACCTGGGAGGCGGAGGTTGCAGTGAGCTGAAATCATGCCACTAAACTCCAGCCTGGGTGACAGAGTGAGATTCCATCTCAAAAAAAAAAAAAAAAAAGAGAGAGATTCTGATATGGTAAGTCTTGGTGGAGTGCAGATAAATAAGCACCACAGGTAAACCTTAGGGGCAACAAGTTTCTGAAACAACTGCCTATGTGGATTAGAAAAGAGACAAACAGGCAAGTAAAAAGAAGAGAAGTGTAGGGCCAGGAGTGGTGGCCTGTAATCCCAGCACTTTGAGAGACCAAGATGGGAGGATTGCTTGAGGCCAGAAGTTTGAGACCAGCCTGGGCAACATAGCAAGATCTCGTCTCTACAGAAAACTTAAAAATTAGGTAAGCATGGGGGCATGCACCTGTAGTCTCAGTTACTTGGGAGGCTGAGGTGGAAGGATCACTTGAGCCCAGGAGTTGGAGGCTGCAGTGAGCCATGATTGCACCACCACATTGCAGCCTGGGCTTCAGAGCAAAACCCCACCTCAAAAAAAAAAAAAAGAGCAGGAAGACCAAGAGCCACTGGACATTTTGTCAGGGGCATTTAGAAGGACAGTATTTTAGCAGACAGCAGAACAGCATGAGTTCTTGAAAAACACAAAACTGGCCATCCAGAGCCACCACCTCAGTTGCTTTTAGGAAAGGAAACAGTTTCAGAGAAAGCCTCCTATTACCAACAACTCCACAGGATTCAACAGAAGGAATTTCACCAGGTGAAATAGAGTCTTATCAGGGGTGATTCTTGGCATATTTCAAAAACCCTCCTTTGAACACTGGCTTGGCAACTCCTTCTACCTACCGCCTTCTGTTCGCTGAGAATTTTGCCCTTCTCATGGGCCTCCTCCTCGTGTCTCTGCATCATGTTCTCCAGTGTCTCCTTGTCAGCCAGGTCTTTCTTTATCTGATTGTCCAACACCTACAAAAACAAAAGCAGCAGCAAATGTTCTCAGGAGCCAAGCTGAGGAGGGAAGACTAAACGGGGACACTTGAGAAAATCTAGGAAAGAGGAGAAAAGCAGGGGAGAGGCCCGAGGTCTCCAAATTCTGGGGCAAAGAGAAGGCAAAAACTGGGAGTCCGCTTATCAATCAGGATAAGATTGAAAAGTCAAATATTACCATCCAATGGCAAGTAACAGGTTGACTTGAACCAAGAACTTATTTTAAAATCAGCAGCCCAAAGACCAGAGAGATATATTCAAAATGAGGCAGACTCCAGAATGAGAAGGGAGGAGGAAACAAGATTGCTCTAGATCCAGACCTAGAGAATAAATTTCTTATAATCTGCAGATATTACCTGGGGACAACTTTTTCTTCGCCAGTGCACCCGTAGTTTTCAGAATATTCCTCACTCCTAATTTATACAGATTAATTCTAGATACTCCTGGGCTGTGTGCAAGAGGGAGAGAAGCCGAAGACAGGGGAAGTCTATGTGACCAAGGATGATGCTCAGAAACAACCAGGGACAAGAGGCTTTTGGCCACCAATAACGTAGGTGGATGGTCAACAGATTAAAAAGACAACATAAAAGAAAGAAAAAAATGCCTCTTTCCCTGGTTCTTTCCTCTGATCCAACTAGGGGGAGAAAAAAAAGTCACTGGGAAAAGAAACCTTTCCCAGGGGAAGAGAGATCATGTGTTCTCAGTGCTCAGAATGCCACTGTAAGCACCTACTGTTCCCAAGAGGAAACATAAAACAGTAATGGTATCACCAATCGCCAACTTGATCTAATGTTCTTTGGGGCACACACAGCCCTACGAGTTGCCAAAACAACAAGCAAAAAGGAAGGAAAAAAGAAGACGACATCAGAACATGCCCAAGCCTTTGACCACAACCCTACGTTCCTCACCACAGAGGCTCCATTCGACTTTTCCAAAGAACACCAACAACATCAAGGAGGACAACAGGATCCTGGGAATAAAGCTGAAAGAGCTGGGGTCACAGAGAGGGCTAAAATCTGCCTTTCCAACAATGTCTATTGTGAAAGGACTGTCACAGCTCATGGGGACGACGTCCCTAAAAAGAGCCAGTCAGCGGGGAGGGAGTCCACAGGAGAAAGAAAGGAAAGAACAGATTTCAAAGAGGTCTTTAAACTAGAACTGACTGATGAAAAAAAATAGAATGGAAGTTGGAAGAGAAGACCAAAAGGTGGGAACAGGGTCATGAGAGAAAGGAAGAAGCTCAAAAGGATGAGAAATGGCCCACTCTCTTGGATGTCTGAGCATGATTCTAAAATTATGAGCAAGAACAGGGTAGAATCGAGGGTATGATCATAATTATTACTAAAATGGCCTGACAGAGGCTGGAACAGGAAACACAAAGCAGAACAGGCTAAAAAGAAATGGTTTCATAAAGATTCCAGTAGGGAAGAAAGACAGATCTTTCCCTGACATTCCTTGGGATCTATAAAACAAATTTCTTTCCATCTAGAAGTTAGCAGAGACCACATAATATCTAGACCACATATGCCCTTTATATTTTATGAGGTGCTAAAGCAATGAAATACATTTTCAGGATGCCTCTGCTCAAAATAAGACCTCAACTTTGGTCAAGAAGGATACCAATAAGAGGTAAGTATGAGCTAGAAGGGATAAGCCTCTATCAAGAACGTATGCACTAGGCCAGGCATGGTGGCTCATGCCTCTAACCCCAGCACTTTGGGAGGCTGACACGGGTGGAGATCGCTTGGGGACAGAAGTTTGAGACCAGCCTGGGCAACATAGCAAGACCCCATTTCCACAAAAAGTATAAAAAATAGTAATTAGCTGGGCATGGTGTTGTACACCTGTAATCCCAGCTACTCAGGAGGATAAGATGGGAGGATTGCTTGAGCCCAGGAGTTCGAAGCCTCATTGAGCTATGATCACACTACCACATTCTACCCTGGGTGATGGAGCAAGAACCTGTCTCAAAACAATAAACAGATAAATAAAAGAACATACGGATCTCTCTTAGCTTTCATAGGGTTCAACTGGCAGAAAGATAAACAAGATATATGGGGAAGAAGGGGAGCAAAATGTTTATTTGAAATAAGAGATTCCACTAAAGACATCTAAATCAATTTAAGATAGAATATGGCTTTTGGTAGGAACATCAATATATCACCAAATCATAGAATATGTTTCACAAAAGGTTACTTTCATCATGCAAAGGTGGCTCACTGCAGCCTCAACCTCCTGATCACAAGCGATCCTCCCACCTCAGGCTCCCAAGCAGCTGGGACTACAGATGTGTGCCACCTGCCTGGCTAATTTTTGTATTTTTTGTAGACAAGATGAGAAGGGCGTCTCACTTTGTTACACAGACTGGTCTCGAATCCCTGGACTCAAGCGATCTGCCCACCTTAGCCCCACAAAGTGCTGAAATTACAGATGTGAACCACTGTGCCTGGCCTCCTATATTTCTTTTACTGAAAAACAACCAAAAATAACGCCAGCGGTAAAAGATGCCAGGGTGGTGATGGTGATGATGCTGTGTGAGCATGTACGTGTTAGATTCTCCAAGAAAGGACCACTCAATTCTTTGAGAATACCAACCAAATCAATAACAAGATCATCACAAAAATTGAAATCCCCCTTCAATGTCTGGTTGGAAAAGGGAAGCGACAATATTCAAGATATAATAAACAGCATCTGATTCTCAAGAACATAAGAATGAATTAAAGGCTTGATCCAAATCATCATGAAAATGGGATGTGATTTTAAAGGAAATTGATAGAGCGGCAGCCATTTCTAATAGCATAGTGGGCTACATGTCAGGCCAGCCCTTCTCTTGAAAATGATTTAAAATGCTAGATAAAATATAAAAAACATTTTCCCAAAAGCACCTACAAGTTGGCAAGAGAGTAAGAAATTGCCAAAAACTAAGTAAAACAGAAGCAGGGAGAGGTAAGAAGGGTTTAACCTGAGATATTTTACTGAAACAAATTAACTTAAGTTTCAGTTTTTATAGCCTCAGTGGTCAAGAAAAGGCAGAAATGAAAGCCCCCGACCACCCACCAAGGTGGGCACACATTTCATCCAAGGCCTCAAAGAATTTCCATTAATAATTCTCCAAGGAAAATAAAACAGTCACCATGACAAAGAACCAAGAGAAACAACAGAGCAGAAGCAGACCTTCAAATACTTCACATAGTGGAGTTGTCAGGTACAGATGATAAAATAACTATGCTCAGTACATTTAAAGAAAGAAAAGTTAGGCTTGAAAATGAATGCACAGAACAGAAGATGATTGTCTTAAATAATCTAGCAAACTTGGGAATGACCCAAATAGAATGTCTAGAAGTAAAAAATATAACAACCGAAATTAAAACTCAACAGAAAATTTAAAAATTACCCAGGCGTGGTGGCATGCACCTATAGTCCCAGCTACTCAGGAGGCTGAGGTAGGAGGATTGCTTAAGCCCAGGTTGCAATGAGCTATGACTTGCACCAGTGCACTCCAGCCTGGGTGACAGAGTGAGATCCTGTCTCAAAAAAAAAAAAAAAAGAAAGAAAGAAAAGAAAAAACCTCAATGGAACAGCAGATTAGACACAGCTAAGAAAGAATTTGCAAATTGGGAAATATGTCAGAAGAAACTACCCAAAATGTAGCACAAAGAAACAAAGAAATAGAAAATATTTAAAAAGGCTAAATTGGAGCTGATCTAACTGATGCCCAATCAAATTCTTTTTTATTTTTTTCTTTTTTGAGACAGAGTCTCACTCTGTCACCTAGGCTGGAGTGCAGTGGTGAAATCTTGGCTCACTGCAACCTCTGCTCACTGGGTTCAAGAGATTCTCGTGTCTCAGCCTCCCAAGTAGCTGGGACTACAGGTGCACGCCACCACGCCTGGCTAATTTTTTTGTATTTTTAGTAGAGGCGGGGTTTCACCATGTTGGCCAGGCTGGTCTTGAACTCCTGACCTCAGGTGATCCACCCGCCTCTGCCACCCAAGTGCTGGGATTACAGGCGTGAACCACCGCACCCAGCCCCAATCAAATTCTTAAAAGGAAAAGAGAGAAGGGGGAAGAGACAATATTTGAGATATAATGACCACTAACTTTCTAGAATAAATAAAAAGATATGAATCTACTCAAAAGCCCGGGAGACCCCATCTCTACAAAAAACATTTTTTAAATAGCCAGGTATGGTGTCATGTGCCTATAGTCCCAGCTACTTGGGTGGCTGAGGAGGGAAGATCACTTGAGCCTACTGTGCTGAGCAAGACCATGTCTCTAAATATATATATATTATATATAATATAATATATATTATAATATATATTATATAACATATATATATATTTAGCCCAGTAAATCTTAAGCAGAATAAGATAAGTAAAAAGAAACAGACTTTTTTTTTTTTTTTTTTTGAGACAGGGTCTCTCTCTGTCACCCAGGCTGGAGTGAAGTGGTGCAATCTCGGCTCACTGCAACCTCCGCCTCCCAGGTTCAAGCAATTCTCCCATCCCAGCCTCCTGAGTAGCTGAGACAACAGGTGCGTGCCACCACACCCAGCTAATTTTTGTATTTTTTGTAGAGCCAGGGGTCTCGTCAAGTTGCCTAGGCTAGTCTTGAATTCCTAGACTCAAGTGATTCACCCATCTCGGCCTCCCAAAGTGCTAGGATTATATGCATGAGCCACCACACCTAGCCAAGAAATCCACATTTAGACACAATACAGTAAGCCTCAGAAAAATTAAAGGCAAAGTAAAATTGTAAAGAAAAAGCCAAAGAAAAATCGAGCTGTCACATGATCCAGCAATCCCACTGCTGGAAAGGAAAGAAAAGGAAATCAGTATATCAAAGAGATATCTGCACTCCCATGTTTGCTGCAGTACTATTTACAATAGCTAAGATTTGGAAATGACCCAAGTGTCCATCAGCGGATGAATGGATAAAGAAAATGTGGTATACGGACACATGGCAGGGAACAACACAAACCCTGTCAGCGGGGGTGGGGTGGGGAGAGCATCAGGAAGACAGCAAGAATAGCTAATGCATGCTGGGCTTAAGACCTAGGTGATTGGTTGATCTGTGCAGCCAATCACCATGGCACACGTCGTTTACCTATGTAACAAACCTGCACATCCTGCACATGTACCCCAGAACTTAAAAGTTGAAGGGAAAAAAAAAAGAAAGAAAATGTGGTACAGATACAACAATGGAGTACTATTCAACCATAAAATGGAATGGGATCCAGTCATTTGCAACAACATGGATGGAATTGGAGATCATCATATTAACTGAAATCAGCCAGGCACAGAAGGACAAACATCACATATTCTCACTTATTTGTGGGATCTAAAAATCAACTTAATTAAACTCATGGACATAGAGTATAGAAGGATGGTTAACAGAGGTTGGGAAGCGTAGAAGGGGTTGTAGGGAAGGTAGGGATGGTTAATGGCTGCAAAAAAATAGAATGAACAAGACCTAGTATTTGAGAGTACAGTAGGATGACTACAGTCAATAGTAACTTAATTGTGTATTTTAAAATAACTTAAAGAATGTAATTAGATTATTTGTAACTCAAAGGATAAATGTTTGAGGGGATGGACACCCCATTCTCTATGATGTGCTTATTTCATATTGCATGTCTGTATCAAAACATCTCATGTACCCCATAAATATATACACCTACTATGTACCCACAAAAATTAAAAAAGAAAAAGGATTATAGAAATGATCATGGATTAAATGACAATGAGTTTAAAAAATCAGTTTAAAGATGAAATTGAGATAAATGATGACCACATTTAAAAAAAAAAAAAGGTTTTTTTTTTGGAACTTCAGATTTCCAATCCTTCACATAAGTAACACCCTGAAATCTCTCACCATGGAATAAGGACATTATTCACCCCAAACAGTACTTTGGTCCAGCAAGAAATGGCCACAAGGGCCCAGGAAGAGATGGGAGCTACATGGTACTATAGGAGCAAGGCCAGGGAAGATCAGAAAATGTCTTTACTTTAATCTTTTCCTCATAGTGCTGCTCTTTCTGTTTCAGGTGCACTTCTAGGTGCTGGGCTGAGACTTGGGCCTCCCGATGTTTCTCTTCGAGCTCCTAGACACAAAAGAAAAGACAGTCAGGTGTGCAGAGGGCAGGACACCGCCAATGCACGTTAGACATTCACAGGAAACATGACTTTGGTACAGGTACCACAGGTAACGGTCATCTGGTCCTCCATTACTAGCCTAAGGCTCTTGGGAAGGAAACCACCACGCCTTGGCCCTGGGTTTTCCAAGTCCAAGTATTCGCACACACATACACACATAGCTGGTGGGCTGTAAGGCCTGAGACCACAAATACGTCAGTATGACAGGTCGAACAAAGGCAGCTCTTCATCTTTGCATAGAGAAATAAGAGTAACAAGGCAACACTGGAAAGTTTAGTACATGACAAAGCCCTGACCACTATCTTGAGCCTTAAATGAGAAAAGTCATTTTAATATATGATTATGATTTTTAAAAATACTTTGTATTTTCCTCATTAACAGAATTATTGCTCAAGAACCCTAGCTAAAAAGGAAAACTAATGTTATGATCCAAGCACTTCAAGTTTTGAATGATGATTTTAACTGACTGGTAAGTGGCATATGTGACTATCTGTAGATGTGCATGTGATATAATGTTCATATGATACAATGCAAATGGGGACAAAGACAAACATATAATACACTGATAATAATGACATAAAAATGTACAGACATATTAAAGATTAGAAGAGAATCTGGAGTAATATAAATAGCCTACATTTAATGTTCTCTTAATTCTTTTATTGTTAAGTTTCCAGCTTTTTTTTTTTTTTTTTAGACGGATTTTCACTCTTGTTGCCCAGGCTAGAGTGCACTGGCGCGATCTTGGCTCACTGCAACTTTCACCTCCCAGGTTCAAGCAATTCTCATGTCTCAGTCTCCCAAGTAGCTGGGATTATAGGCATGCGCCACCATGCCCGGCTAATTTTTGTATTTTTAGTAGAGGCGAGGTTTCACCATGTCGGTCAGGCTGGTTTCAAACTCCTGACCTCAGGTGATCCACCCGCCTCAGCCTCCCAAAGTGCTGGGATTACAGGCACGAGCCACCATGCCTGACCAAGTTTCTAGCTTTTAAACAAAACTGTAATTCACTTGAAAATTGCAGTTCATTTGCCAATGTTTTATAAACTGACCTTACAAAAGGCAGCATTCAATTCACTAAAACATTCTGTAAATGCACAGCTGCATCTATATTAATTCTTATGAATCTGGACCCATCAGTTAATTACTAATATCAAGTCATTACTCCAAGTTTTCAACTCTTTATACTATTATGAAATTTTTCTTTGAAGTGGAAGCAATTATGAGGGTTTTGAAGAATGAGGAAATTATATAGGATATGTTCATAAAATGGAGGTGAAAAAGTACTTTGAGATTCACACACACTTAAAATGTTAGTGATTAAGCTTTTGATATTCTAAAGTCTCCAAGCATTGGCTTTGCTCTGAGGGCAATTAAAGTTCAATCTTAAGACCAGGTGCACAAGATCTACTGCAATTCAATAGATGTGATCTTGAAGAGTTGAAAATAAACAGGATTAATAAAAACATATTTTAAAAGGTTCTATATGTACTTGGCTAAACGATCTCTTGCAGTAACTTCTTTTACTAAGGCCAAGGACTCTACTGTACTGACTGTACCATTATCTGTTTTGAAAGTTCTTATCAGAATAGCAAATATTTTAAAGCCAATGACATTTGGCGATGTATGTTCAGGCATCATCATTACATAATGGTACTAAGGACCACTCTTTGCCCACCTCCTAGATACTTTGCAGCCTAAGCACAGGGTTCTTGAGCAAAAGGCACCTTCTAATAAATGAAGTCACAACCACAAAGGTACTCCGGCGGGTGGCAAGATACACTCGGACGAAGAAATCCGCTTATTTTTCCTTTATGTTAGAAATCATTTGATAATCATCCTTTTTTTTTTTTTTTCCAGTTTCGGTCTTCATAAGATAGCACAGGAATGGAAATCAGAATCTAAGATTAGATCAAAAAACTCAGGTATCTGAGACTGACAACTTTAAGACCAAATTTCTGGTCTATTTGTGAATGGGAGTTTATAACACATAATCCAAGAATGCAGAACTCTCTACTCCTCCATTTTAATTGTAAGTGAACCTTAGGAAGAGCAGATATTCTAAAAATCTGACTCCTTGGTAGTTTGGCATTTTTTGTTGTTGTTGTCATTTTTTAAACAGGTATTTTCTAGATATATTGGATCAACTCTTCAGTCCTGTTATGCAAATACTGTTGTTTGCTGCTAAATTTCCAGCTCCTAGAACAGTGCCTGGCACATAGTAGAAGCTCATTAAATATTTGTTGAATGAATGAATGAACACATCACCATTAAACAGAGAAACACTTTGCAACCACAAGAGAGTTAACCACTCCGTTTATACCAAGCAAGGGACAGCAGCGGTGGGATCTCAGTGGGATCTAATTTTATACTCATGATAAAATTCAAACACTTGACAATAGCCAAGAGAAACTTTGATGACGGAACAAGAGAACAGAAAGGGTAGACTAACAGTCACATTTGTCTTTGTGTGCAGACATATATACAAAGACTGGGTGTCTTAGCAAAACAATTTAACCCATTTTTCTTTTACCTGTTGATTCGAGAACATCCATATATTTATAAATACACACAAACAGAAATGTAAAGTTGTAAACAGTTTGATTTGGTATTAAGTATAGACCTATAAGTTGGCCACTATGGAATTCCAATAGTTGCTGGTGACTCATTTCCCAGAAGTGATGTGAAGAGAGAGAGATGAAGTGCCCTGCTCACGACCTTGCCTCCTTAGGGTGGAGAGGAATGACCAATGACTTCAGAGACTCTCTCCCAGGTGGGATAGGAATGGACTCCAAGTCATCCTTGAGTCTCAAACATGATGTCAAATTTCTGGCTGTGGGACTGAGGTCCAAGGAGAGCCCTTCAAAGGTGCTGTCTTCCACCCTGGCAGGGGCAAAACGTCAACACATCTGCAAATACCACCCGAACCTTCCTTGATCAAGTTAATTTGGTGATCAGAGCCTGAGACAGAATCAGGATGACTACAGACCCTAAAAAAAGACCTGCTATATCTAAGGAAATTGAAAAAATAATAATAATAATAACCAACTGTAGCAGAGAAAGTGAGTGGGTGAACATGGATCTATGACAAATACTACTCCTAGCAAAACAATTCTGTATGACTAATTGCTTTCTTCTCTAAAAGCAAGAATCTGAATTTCGGTCTTAAAGGTCTAAACCCCTACAGCTTTTTAAATTGGCAATGCGAAGTTGACAGCTATCCAAAGCTCTGCTGATAGAAGTATGTCAACACGCCTTTAAAAATGTATTGAAAATGATAGATGCACGTTCCACTAAAAAAAAAAAAAAAGCCAGGCTGTAGCAAACAGAGCAAAAAACGATATTTACGGATCTGTTACCAGTGCTGAAATGTCCGTTATTTGGTTATTCATACTACTCTACGATGTGGCATATGCTGAAACCACCTCACTCAATTCATCTACTTGGAGATACCTCCCTTATTGTGGCGGTTAATTCTTCTTCTTACCCCCTTCCCTTTGCAAACTCTAACCTGTTATCTTTTAACTTTGCGACTTTCATTCCTGCTCACCAGAATTTTATCAGCCATCTGCTGGATCTGTTGGGATTTTGTCTGGATGTCATCCTTCAGTCTGTTTTCTCTACGCTCCATGGTCTCTAGTCTCTTTACCTTGTTCTCCAGAGAATGGCGGCGTTCCTGTAGATCATGAATCAATCAGAGAGTTTTAATGGAGTAACCGCTATGGGCATAACACCTGCACCGAGGGAAAGAGCCCTCAAGAAGCATACACTCGAGTCAGGAAGAAAAGTCTCAGGCACCCGAAGCAACAGCAGAGAAAATAAGATTCTATAATCTAGGTACTCAGTTGTGTAGGTTACAAGAGTGCATTCATTCATTCAAATATTTACCAAGCACCTACTATCTGCAAAGTGCCACCTAGGCATCACGGAAAATACAGAGGAAGATGGCATCATTCCTGCCCTTGGAGGAGATAAGATAAACACAAATAATCATAATATAGGTTAAGAGGAGGAAGAACCATAAAGCAAAGAGGTACAAAGTGCTGCAGGAGGTTGCAGGCAGGAAAGAGGACTTTTAATTGGACAGTTGAGCAGAGACATCAGAGAGGCGTGAGCTCTGGAGGGGGGTGGTATATGGTGTTTTGCAGGAGGAAGGACAGGAGAGGAGGGGGAAGATGTTTCAGACAAAAGGAGACACACTAGCAGAAACACAGCAGTAGTCAAGAGCCAGTCTGGGCCCCAAGAGAAGCCTGGAATGGCTACAGCACAGCACATGTTAAGGGGAAGGGCAGGTGAAAAGCAGAAAGGTCAAAGGTTGAGGGTTTCAGGTACCAGGCTCAGGGGTGCACCTGAGCATTATGGAACCCCTGAAAGGTTTGGGATGGGGCAGGGAATTCTGAGAAATCTGGTCCTTGAGGTCCATGAATCTTTCACTGTGTGAACTAGCTGGAAGGAAGGAGAAGCTGGAGGCAGATGGCCAAGAAATTATTAGATTTTCTCAGCCAAGAGGAAAGGGCTTGGACTACAAGGAGGGCTACAGAAATGGGAAGCAGGAGATGAACAGGAGACGTATGGCTGCATTTATAGGATGGAGGGACTCACTGAATAGCGGGGTCCAGAGAAAACGAAATGACACCAAAGTTTCAAGCCTGGAATGACGAGATGAATGATGGTGGCCCTGCCTGGCATGAGGAAAGTGAGAAGGGAAACCAGCTTGCCAGGGAAGAGACTGAGCTCATTCTAAATCTGATGCACCATTCAGGCACTCAGTTGGAATTTAGGGGAGCTGGGGGAAATGCAGATGAATGTGGGTGAGGATGGCCCAAAAGAGACATGTACCAGGAGGTTCACACCAAGAATGTGACAGGAAAAAGCAAAAGACCCAGCAATAGGAGGAGGGTGAAATCAACTACGGCACGCCCCTTCTGTGGGACAAACACCAAGGGGCAGAGGAGGCAGATA
Organism: Homo sapiens; assembly: GCF_000001405.40. NCBI lineage: Eukaryota > Metazoa > Chordata > Mammalia > Primates > Hominidae > Homo > Homo sapiens. The sequence goes on from NC_000012.12 coordinate 119,772,197, forward strand.
CGAGTAAAGGAGAAGAATCGCTTTTTATCCTATATTCTTCTGTACTGTTTTAAGTTTTTTACGAAAAGGCACTCATGTGGTTCTGGTAAAATTATACAAATGATTTCAACAACAACAACAACAAAGAATTTGAAGTAGACAAGAGGCCCAAAAATATAGATCTGAGAGTCATTGACGCGCAGGTAATAGGTGAAGCCTTGAAAATTAATATGCTATTAATATCGTGGAGGGGAAAGGCAAGGAAAAAACAGAGGGAAGAGAAAGAAAAAACCAGTGATGGAGCTTCGGTTTACCTATAAAAATCAAAATTCTCCCAGATTAGTGGGTAGGTCAGAGGAAAATAAACAGAAAGAAAAAACTTCTATGAAGACATCTTTCTACTTGAAGCTGCTATGACAAATCTTTCTTTCCCCTGGGGGGAAATGATTCCCAGCCTCTCAGGTTTCAAAGGGATCTTCAGAAGGGAAAGCAGCTTTGGTCAAACATAAGCAAGTGATGGTCTGGCAGTTTCTTTCCTTGGGCACAGCCAAAGGCCGAGGCCGCTGGGGCCTGGGCTGGAGGTTCCCTGCTCACCTCAGCTTCCACCAGCTTCTTTCTGATGCCTTCAGAAGAATCCTCTCGGTTCTGCAGCTTCTCCAGCTCCCTCTCGGCTCGCTCCTTTGCCTGGCGGATATTCTGCAGCAGCTCGGTGGCCTCCGTGCTGGCTTTTACAGCCTAGGAAGAGAGAAGGAAAAGGAGATAGGTGGGCAAATTTATTCATATAAAAAGATGGTGACAGTATGTTCTGCACATGTATCCCAGAACTTAAAGTATAATCTAAAAAAAAAAAAAAAAAGATAGTGACAGTGTCCTAAATTTAAAAAGCAGGTAATACTGAATTTACCATTTGTCAAAACAAATACACAATCATTTAATTCTATATTTCATTATTCTAAGGTGCACTTTTTTTAACATCACTGAATTTGAAATCCACCCCACAATTAAAATTGATGCATTTTTCTTTCTTGGGGTATATAAGATAATGGTGTATCTGACCATCATTAGCATCTTCGATTCGATGCAACGTAATGAATGGAAATAGAAAGATCTAAATGGATTGATCTACCCAGGTATCAATGTATTTGCCTCTAAGCATTAATTTTCTCCTTATTTTAATTATCTCATTTGTTAATTTTCCTATGGGAAATATTGAGATATACTGGGTTAAAACAAACATATCATTCAAATGACTTCACCTGTTTTGCTTTTTTTTTGAGACGGAGTTTTGCTCTTCTTGCCCAGGCTGGAGTGCAATGGCGCAATCTCAGCTCACTGCAACCTCCACCTCCGGAGGTTCAAGTGATTCTCCTGCCTCAGCCTCCCGAGTAGCTAGGATTACAGGCATGCGCCACCACATCCAGCTAATTTTGTATTTTTAGTAAAGACAGGGTTTCACCATGTTGGTCAGGCTGGTCTCGAACTCCTGACCTCAGGAGTTCGCCTCAGCCTCCCAAAGTGCTGGGATTACAGGCGTGAGCCACCATGCCCGGCCTGTGTTTGCTGTTTTTAAATGTGGCTACTAGAAAATTTTAAATTACATCTGTAAGTAATATTTGTGGCTCCCTCACACTTTGATTGGAGAGCAGAGTTCTAGATGGAGACACGTGTCCTCTCACAAGCTTTTGGCTAAAGAGGGCCATGAGAGCTTTCATTAGAGAGCTCAAGAATAAGGAAGCAGGGAGCAAATAGTGGATAAGCAATATGCAGTATGTCTATAAAAAGGAATATGATTCCACCTTAAGAAGGAAGGAAATTCTGATACATGCAACATGAATGCAACTTTAGGACATTACGCTAAATGAAAGAAGCCAGTCACAAAAGGACAAACACTGTATGATTCCAGTTTATGAGGTATATAAAGTAGTCAAAATCATAGAAACAGAAAGTAGAAAGGTAGGGGGATGAGAGGAATTCGTATTTGGTGGTTATAGAGTTTCAGTGTAACAAGACAAAAACGTTCCAGAGATTCATTGCCCAGTAATGGGAATAAACTTAGCACAACTGAACTGTACACTTAAAAATGGTTAAGATGGTAATTTAATGTTATGTGGTTTTTTTTTTTACCACAATTTTAAAAAAGAAGAAGGAGGAGGAGGAGGAACTCTATTAAACCAAGCCAGCAAACACATTCACAAACATTCTCAATGCCAAAGGTACGTCCCACAACCACATTCATTCTGGCCCTTCCATTAAGCATTTCCAGTGTTCAACTAAAGAAAGGGCTTGAAAATTGCTCTTAAATGTTCTCACCACAAAAAATATAAGAAGAATGTGAGGTGATAGATCTGTTAGCTGGCTTGACTTAATCATTTCACAATGTATATGTGTGTGTGTGTGTGTGTGTGTGTGTATACATCACATTGCATACTATAAGTACATGCAATTATTATTTGCCAATTATACCTTAATGAAGCTAGGGAAAAAATTAATAAAAATTTTAAAAACAAGATAAAATGGTCAGGTACAGTGGCTCATGCCTGTAATCCCAGCATCTTGGGAAGCAATGGCAGGTGGTTCACTTGAGTCCAGGTGTTTGAGACCAGCCTGGGCAACATGGCAAAATCCTATCTCTACAGAAAATACAGAAAATCAGCTGGGTGTAGTGGTGCACACCTGTAGTCCCAGCTACCCAGGAGGCGGAGGTGGGAGGATCACCTGAGCGTGTGAAGTCAAGGCTGCAGTGAGCCATGATCATGCCCTGCACTCCAGCCTGGGTGACAGAGTGAGACCCTGTCTCAAAAAAGTTAAATAAGTTGGCCAGGCGCAGTGGCTCATGCCTGTAATCCCAGCACTTTGGGAGGCCTAGGCATGCAGATCACCTGAGGTCAGGAGTTCGAGACCAGCCTGACCAACATGGTGAAACCCCGTGTCTATTAAAAATACAAAAATTAGCCAGGCGTGGTGGCACATGCCTGTAATCCCAGCTATTCAGGGGGCTGAGGCAAGAGAATCGCTTCAACCCAGGAGGCGGAGGTTGCAGTGAGCCAAGATCACACCACTGCACTCCAGCCTGGACAACAGAGCAAGACTCCATCTCAAAAAAAAATTTTTTTTAATTAAATAATTAAACAATGAAATAAAAGGGCCATTAGCACAAACTTTGCAGGATGCTATAAACCAAATCCACGCCCCTTCCCAATCACGTGACAACCCCATGGCTCCTCCAGCCTTCTGCAGGGCAGGCCTCCTGCTGGCAGAAAGCAGTTTGGGTGGGGAACTACTTCTCTTACAAATGTGCATAAATGAGGTGCCAGGCCCCCTGAGGCGAGAGATGCAGGCCTCTTGGGTTCTGTCGTAGTATAATTAGAACTTTTACTTGAGAGTCTCACACAGCTTGGTTTTTAAAAATAAACACTGCTGACATGTCTCAAAAGGAAAAACTATATTCAGAACTCTGATATTTTCAGGTAATCGCTCACTCCCCCTTCATTTTCCTCAGCGCTGGGTGACTAATTCTGTTTCTTTCATCTTTCGTGCTCTGGGACAAGGCAAAGATGTTTGGAAAGGAGGTGGTGGGGGGTAAGTTCCTGAAAAATCACCTTGGGCTTACCTTCTCCAGTTTCTCTTGGAGCTCCTGAATTTTGAGCTGCTGCTCAGCATTGATCTATAATTAAAATCCCAGGAAATAAAGCAAAAGGCAAATCAGCATTAACATCTTGCTACATTTATTGCAGTCCTATTCTCTTGAGGTTTCTATGGGGTCTTTTTCTTTGGGTTTCCAGAACCTATTAAGGGAGAGGAAGAACAGTGGCCTCTCAGGGAAGACTTTGTCCCAGTGCAAAGCTCCATGTTGATGATGCATGTAGGACCAGCAACATACAAATGGCAAAAAGAGAAAGTCGCTCAGTCCTTTAAAACAATAACAATTTTCCTATACTTTTTACTAAGTGTCTGGGTTTGTTGCTGTGGGCAGGTGTGACAAAAATGAGCTGTCTTTTACCTCTTTTAGAGCCATAAAGTCATATGTGGTCACCCAAAGGTGGACTATCAAAATAAGCCTCGAAGAGAGGTCTCTATTCATTGATGAAGAATACTCTTCATCAATGATGGGCCACTGATAATAACATGAAAAAAGTTATCTACCCAAAATATTAATAGCAAAACCAATCATGGAAAGTATACCTTCTCCAGTTTCGCATATTCTCCCACTTCAGGCTTCCCTTGATCCTTAGCCTGTAATTAAAAAGACACAACATATTGGGAAATCTCAACAACCTAAAAAAGTCGTGTAGACTACTTTCTTGGTCTCTGTGACCAAGATAATAATAGTAAATAAGAATAATGTTATCTTCTGTAAATAAAGACCAAGAGTTTTCCAAGGTATCCTACTATTTCTCAAACTAGGTTGTTTCTCATTAAACTAGGTTCTCCTTTTTCTTGCTAAGATCATGTACAATTTTACCCAAAAAGCACCCTCCTGGAGGGTGGCTGACTACCTTCAACAGTTTATGCTGACATTCTGTCGCTTTCCGCTTGAATTCTTCAGCAGCAAGCCGAGACTCTCTCAGCTCAGATTCGTAGAGATCACTCCGTCTTCTTGCTGAGACAAGATCCTCTTCCAACTGATTCATCATCAACCTCATTTCTTCCACTTGAGCCTGGTACTCCTAAAGAGCAGGCAATGAAATAAAAGAGAACTTTCGAACTCCGAAAAGAATAGACAGGCAGTGAGGATGGAAGAGTATTAACCACACAGGGAAGATGCACAGTGAAGAGAGACTGGCAAAGAAAAGACCTGGCCAGGTGCAGTGGCTCACGCCTGTAATCCCAGCACTTTGGGAGGCCAAGGCAGGTGGATCACCTGACGTCAGGAGTTCAAGACCATCCTGGCCAACATGGTGAAACACTGTCTCTGCTAAAAATACAAAAATTAGCTGGGTGTGGTGGTGCGGGCCTATAGTCCCAGCTACTTGGGAGGCTGAGGCAGGAGAATCGCTTGAACCCAGGAGGCAGAGGTTGCAGTGAGCCGAGATCGCGCCACTGCACTCCAGCCTGGGTGACAGGGCAAGACTCCGTCTCAAAAAAAAACAACCTACAGACCTAGAGACGAGGGGAGTAGAAAGATGGACCCAGAATGAGGCACCAAGTAGGCAAAGGTGAGAAGTGTAGGGTGAAGATGAGGGAGAAAAAAATATTAAACCTTAAAACTGTTTTGGCCGGGTGTTGTGGCTCATGCCTGTAATCCCAGAACTTTGGGAGGCTGAGGCAGGCGGATCACAAGGTCAGGAATTCGAGACCAGCATGGCCAACATGGTGAAATCCCGTCTCTACTAAAAACACAAAAATTAGCCAGGTGTGGTGGTGGACGCCTGTAATCCCAGCTAGTCAGGAGGCTGAGGCAGAAGAATCGCTTGGACCCGGGAGGCGGAGGTTGCAGTGAGCCGAGATCGCGCCACTGCACTCCAGCCTGGGTGACAGAGCAAGACTCCGTCTCAAAAAAACAAAAAAAAACAAAAAAAAACACTTTTAATGTAGAGCATATGTCATTAGCAAAACCACCGGGAACACACATGCAAATCACACCATACGAAATGCACAGAACCTTAAGGCCTAACACAGGAGAGCCAAAAGGGATGTTCTTTAAACAACAAGGATAAACTGCTTACATGTAGTTTTCCGCCAAGGGTAATCATTTATATAGACTTGTCCTTTAGAAGTCATGTGCTCCTAACACAAATTGGATATGGTACTAGTTTTAAAATTAACCTTTCAGACAGCACAAGAGGGTAATTGAAAATCTCAGTGGAAAGAATTCTGGAAGGTGAAACTCATCATGTCAGTTTCTCACCATTAATTTTTCTGGGCTCAAAACTGAATGATGACCGTAACATCACTCCTGCAATGCAAGTCACCCTGAAATCTGGAAGAGTCACAAAACACTGGCTTCGGTCAAAATAACTTGTGAGAAAAATTCCAAGGAAAGAACCTTCCTGTTCCCTTGAGCAAACCCTTTAAGTGATCCAAACAGCCCAACCTTTTCCAAAATGCATTTCTAAAATCAAAACATTTACATTGAAGTTTCTCAGAACTGGGCTCACCAAAAGAAATGGCCAGTGATTTTGAAAACTTTTGGACAAAGTATAAAAATATTCTGTGTTAGCAAAAATCAAGGCTAAGTATAAGGATTATGAATGAGCATTTATGTAATCCAAGGTGACTTGTGGGGTGAGGACGAGAGAGATACAAAACGAAATGAACAAGGAATTGAATCAAGAATGTCTTTAAAAATCACAATATTCAGTAACATCTCTGAGATCCACTCTCCCAAGAAATAATTGGTGAGGAATATTTGAATATTTCTCCCAAGAAATAATCGACTGAGCAAGGATATTCTTTTAACTGATAAATTGCAATTTTTGAATAACAGGGTATAAAGGAAACCTTTTATCCCATTGTAGCAGGTGACGCCCCCCCCCCAGAGCATATTAAAGGGGATGTGCTGCTCTTATGAAAATTGGATGGTTTCCATGCAAGCACACCTCTCCCTCTATTATCTGTAAAGGAGAAAGGAAAAAACAGCCCAAAATGGAACACGGGTCTCATTTCACTCTCTCCCACCCAAAAGCATACTGTTATTGAAGGTCAATCCTCAGAATCATGGGGCACACAGGTTTCCTGGGTCATGCATACTAAGCAGGCAATGCTGGATTATATAACCAAAGATCTTTATAACCTGCTCACAATTATCTAAACTCACAGGGCAGGCCGGGCATGGTGGTTCACGCCTGTAATCCCAGCACTTTGGGAGCCCGAGGTGGCGGATCACTTGAGGTTAGGAGTTCAAGACCAGCCTGGCCAACATAGTGAAACCCCATCTCTACAAAATATACAAAAATTAGCCAGACATGGTGGTGAGCACCTGTAATCCCAGCTACTTGGAAGGCTGAGACAGGAGAACTGCTTGAACCTGGGAGGCAGAGGTTGCAGTGAGCTGAGATTACACCACTGCCCTCCAGCCTGGGTGACAGAGCAAGACTCTATCTCAAATTAATTAATTAATTAATTAATTCACAGGCCAGAACATGAGCTGTATGTGAAATGGAATATCGGTTTTTCTGGACCCCCTCAAGCAGAGCCATATTATGGCTTTCATAACTGTGAGCACTGAGCCTGTCTTGCCTTCCTCCATAAAAATTAAAATTAAAAATTACATTTTACAGTTGTGCTCCTATAAATACAAAAATATTAACATCATCTATGAAAACAGTGTCTTTGACCTAAGCCCAACTTTTTTCTTCTGATGAAAAAATTAAAACATTTTGTGAGACCCTAAAAGTAAAGTGGTCCCTAGATACCGTGCCTGCTAGAGCTAATGGGAAAGCCAGTCCTGGCTACAGGCATGGACACCAAATCTTGAGCATCTTTTGTCCTCAAGCTCACTTTTCTTTCTTGAATTTATGTCGGCGAGAAGGGAATGTAATTTTTGTGTTTTGTCAAGAGCAAGGACAGAGTGTCTGTTCCTTCCCCCCAACATCTCTCTTCCCTGAGCTGTCAGCACATAAGAGGGAGGAAGGCAGGAATCAGGCAACCACTCTGTCAGCTCTCCAAGCTCTCGGGGCACCCAGTCTCCTACAAGCATCAAAAGAAAATTCTAACTCATTTGTGGATCCTTTGATATTGTGCAGGATACTTCAAGGAAATCCTATAAATCTAGCAGCTAACCAAATCCCTGCTTCAGGAAAAACCTGAGAGGTGATCATCAGGTCTGTTTGCAAGATCAGCTGAGAGAGAGCTGTGGTATCTCAGGATGGAATGAAAGACTGGTAGGTGTGAGTCAGGTCAGGATGGGGAACTGCAGACAGGTTTCAAGGCCCACCTAACGCAAGTCTTCTGAATGGAGCTTCAGAATTTTGTGGGGAGGAAGGATCAGGTATGATGCAATTCACTCAGAAACCATGGAACACAAGTGACTTTTGTGTTACCCACACTTTTGTCTCCTTTCCTGAGTAGGGGAGCAAGGAAGAAGCTGAAATTGCTAGTAATGATCTAGGAATCAAATTTCACATGAGTCTTTGAGGTGTTTTTCTTTTAAACCAAATCTAAATATTCTAGAGGGGGTAGCTAGGTGGAAGTAAAATATTTTTTAAAAAAATGAAGAGCCGGCCAGGTGCAGTGGCTCATGCCTGTAATCTCAGCACTTTGGGAGGCCAAGGCGGGCAGATCAGGAGGTCAGGAGTTCGAGACCAGCCTGACAAACATGGTGAAACCCCATCTCTACTAAAAACACAAAAATTAGCTGGGTGTGGCGGCGTGCACCTGTAGTCCCAGCTACTCAGGAGGCTGAGGCAGGAGAATCACTTGAACCCAGGAGGTGGAGGCTGCAGTGAGCCGAAACTGCACCACTGCACTCCAGCCTGGGTGACAGAGCGAGACTCCATCTCAAAAAAATAAAGAGCGATATAGAAAGTTAGATTTTTAAGAGAAAGATCAGGGAATAAATCCCAAGTCTAGAAAAAATCAATATGCCACAAACTAAATACTGAAAGTTTGCTGCAAGCATTAAAAGCTTTCTCCCAGTCTGCAAACATCCTGCTCTCACAAAACTTACCAAAAGTCATAAAATAAATCCTTGTTCCGATGAAAAATCAAATCTGAAACCACGTTTCTTCCCCACAATGGAACTTTTAGCAGTCATTAAATCTAAGACTCCACATGCATGCCAACTGTGGTATGAATCATAAAAGACGTGTCTTTGAACTCGGCCACCAACATACACCTTTTCAAAACGTCCTGATAATTCCGTTTCTAAGGAATCTATGGACACCAGCTGCTCCCTCTGGTGGCCAAACACAGCTTTCATTTCCCCAGGATGTCACCAAAAGTAAATTTCCAGGTATGTTGAACTAATGGGAGAAAATGATTCCTACCTCTTGAAACTTTTAGGATGAAAAACTATGTTGATAAAAGGAGCATGAGTCAACTGTCAAAGCAGATTTCTCAAAGCCAATGTGCAGCCTTCAAAACCTCTAAGACTGCATTATTCAGAGATCTGATGATCCTTTACAGGGTTTCCGTCCTATGCACGTTTATTTATAATGTTTTTATCAAGCAACAGAATATTAACTGATCACAACTTTAAAATATTCAGATGATAAATATGCCAACAAAACTCCAAAGACAGTAATTCTTTTTTTAAAGAGTAATTAATGGATAGAGTTATTTGCAGAAGTTTCTTGCATTAGCTCCAGCCAGATGGCTAAGTTTGTGCTACCCAGAGACAGAAATGTTCATTTCTATCAGTGTTTCCATTAGATTTTCTGAAGTGAATGAGAGTTGCCTGGCAGCTGATAGTTCAGCTCTCCAATTGCTCATTGCCATCTCTTCATTAAAGTCTCTATTTACAGTTTTTCAAAAGACACAAAAATCCATGCTAAAAAGGAAACAATGAGGCAATACAAAAATGAGCCATTTAGAAAGAAAACCCGTTTAGAAAGAAAAAAAAGAGTGGGCTTTTTAAAGGTCTCGATTCTCCTTTCTGAAAACACAGGGGACAGCCTTCTGCACTCAGATAGGCAGTGTTAATCCTGACTTGACCTTGACCAGAATGGTTCAAATTTCTCTTCTAGAATATTTCTTTATGTAAGTAAAACTATGAATTAGCCTGGCTTCACTCAAAAACTTAAAAGTGCATCTGAGAAGCTATTAAAACATTTAATTGTTTTTAACCATCTAAAGCAGGGATTGGCAAACTTTTGCTGTAAGAAGCCAGATAGTAAGTAGTTTCAGCTTTGCAGGCCACATGGTCTCTGTAACAACCACTCACCTCTGACTCTGTAGCCTGAAAGCAGCCAGGGCCGATATGCAAATTACCAAGCATGGCTGTGTTCCAAAAAAAAAACACTTTATTTATGGAGACTGAAATTTGAATTTCATATAAATTTCAAATGTCATGAAATATTGTTTTACTTTTGATTTTTTTTCCAACTGTTTAAAAACGTAACCCCATTCTTAGCTTGTGGGCCATAGAAAATAGGTGTTGGACCAGCTTTGCCCCACAGGCTGAAGTCTGCCCACTCTTGCTCTAAACCTACATCTTTATTTTTAAAAGCAGACATTATGGGGTATCAGCTTCAAAAGGAGCTGGAACAAGCATTCTATGATGTATATAAATTATGAGAAATCTGAAGTTTCTGAATGACCTACATACCTGTCTCTCTTCCACTCTGCCCCCACCCTTTCTCTCTCTCCCTTTCTTCCTATTTCTCTCTCAAACACGCCTCTCCTGAAATTAGAGGTCCAAGCAAGCCGAGATGCTGCTGTGCTCCCAGGCAAGCAGGCCTACCTGCTCTTTGATTTCTTGGAGCTTCCGGCTCTGCTCTCTGATATCATGGAGAAGCTGCAGTGCTTTGTCATCCTCCTGGGACACCTCCATCCGTGCTTGCTCCAAACTTCGCTTTAAGCTCTGCAGAAAGCAAAAATTTTAATAGGGATGCCCTGTGGATCCTGCTTTGTTTGAAAAGACTCATTAAGAGAGCTGCAAGCTGCTTCGCAGACACCAGGACAGTTTCGAGTGACGGACCACAGTTCACAACTTCCAGTTGGTTGCCGACTCCGGTTTCCATCCTGTAAAACCCCTTGGTTCAAGAAACATCATCTCAACCTGGTGACCTTAGGGATCCAGCCGGAAACTGCATCAGCCTGTCTCCTGCCACCATCTACCTGTCCTAGGAGATACTTACTTGCATGTTCAGGACTAAAACCTATTAAGACCCAGTAGCTATTACAGCCACCATGTGGATAGCTACAAAGTGTTTTCTACAGTTATTTGTGGGCCCTAAAGTACATATGCCTCTTTCAAAGTAGCAATGACTTCATATCCTCTGCCCAGTTGTCATTTAAGACTCCAAGTGGTCTATTTCTACCTCCTGGCTTATTTTTCCTGGACACCTTTCATCCATAAGAATCCCTTAATGCTTCAATGGCACTGAAATCTATATCTGAAATACATAGCTGAATAACTTCACCCACCACTGAAAGGCAGCCAAGTCTGGAATGGAAACATAGCAGTTATTCTTAATCAGCCACGTTCTATAGATTTCCTCTCCCTTGTGAAAAAAACTTTAGAAATGTGTGATTCAACTTCTTGAGACTGTTTAATTGGGCACATTAAAAAACACCTGAATGAAAAATTTAACAAGACAATGGAGAAGAAGACAGTCTACTCTTGTGAAGGAAAGAAAAAATGAAAGTCACATGGTAAATAATGACAGAGGGTCTGGGTTTTCAAGGCTATTTTCTTGTCACTACACTGGTTCTGGCCAATGGAAAATTTGATGTCAGGAAGATTGAAAGTAAGTTTTCTTGTACATAGTTGGGAGTCTGGTTCTCAAGGCTGCTCATGTCAGACACAACGCAGACCACAGAGGCTGGGATGGGAGATGTTAAGATCTTTTGCAACTTGCGGCAAAGATGGATTACTCCCATCTCCAGACTCCATGGTACCAGCCGTCTACCTGCACTTTCTGCTGGAAATGAGTCCAATCTCATTTCTTGGGGACCTTACGCCTGGCTCTCACTACTCTGCAAAACACAGATCTTGCTTTTGTGCTCTCCCTCTCTCTACTCTCTGCCATTGGCTGTGATGTGCCTCATGGAGCCATCATGAAACAGGATGAGACACACACAACAGGAAGTGCCACCTCCAAGGGAAGGGGGCTTCAGGGAAGGCTCACACTGCATTCTGTGATGTAGGTAGCAAGGTCCTGCTCCAGGAGGGATCTCTGAGTCTCAGAGGCCTTCAGCTCCACCTCCTTCTGACTAAGCACAGCCTCCACCTCTGACACTCTCCGATGTAACCGGGTCATTTCCTGCTCCATCTGAAATAAACACATCGACAGGTTAAAAAGGCCCGTGGAGGTTCATTAGGAGCAATCACATCTCAAGTAGCCTCCGAAACCACCTGGTGGTCTGGGCTAAGGCTAATTCGCCAAAAGTTAAGTTGGGATGGAAATACCATTGTTTCTTCGCCCAGGAGCGCACAGTTCTTCGTTAAGGACAGTCACCAAATGCTAAGTCACTCCTCTCATTCAAGTCCCGGTTCACACTTGATCACTTCTCTAACCCAGTTAGCAAGGAAGCCACAATCATCATTTTTCACCTGTTTGCTTTTGTTTTTGTTTTGTTTTTGCAGACGTCACTTTAATTTTATCCCAAATCCATCTTGATCCCCCCCCATCTCCTTGCAAAGATCTAGAGGACAAATCCAGGACAGGGCAAGGAGATATTTATTCGTCTGCACTCTTAGGAGTCCCAGGCAAGCAGTGACTTATTAGTTTCCAGAGCGTTGCCTCTGGGCAGGAACAGTGAATGTTAAGAGACGTTGAGCGTAATCAACACAGTGGCCGCAGTGACATAAGCAGGAGTTTTAAAAGACTAGGAAGAGAGACTTCGCATCACTCAAAGCAGATGGGATGTATCTCAGCCACAGGTGAGGACCCAGGCCACCTGCCGGAAGAAGCAGACATCTGGCTGGGTCATGCTGAGAAACGGACTGTTTAAATCCAGGGCCTCCTCTGGTTTAGATTTAAAGGATTTACAGCAACAGCAAGGCCCGAATTCATCTCCCTCTGAGCTGCTGGAGGCGCGACTTCAGCGAAGGCAGGAGCGCCTCACTCTCTACGGATCAGGCGGCTCAGAGCCAGCAGCGGCCCCGGGCGGATCCCTTGGCATATACGGACGGGAGGATCCTGGAGCAAGGAAGGAGGCCGGCTGCGGAAATAAATACCTTGTGACACTTGTCCTGAGAGTCTTGTAGCTCTTTGCTTTTGATGAGAAGTTTCTTTTCCATGGAGCTAGTCTTGGCAGGGGAGTCCAGACCCGACACAACAGACCTAGGTAGAGAAAAACCAACGTCAAGGGGGCCTGCAGGTGGGCCTAAGAAGCTGCATTAGGAAGCTGCAACATTTGTTTCATTTTACAAAAACATCTCATGCTCTTGATGTTAGGTCAAATAATGCCCCCTTCCCGTTTCCCAAAGATGCCCATGTCCTGATCTCTGCAAGCTGTGAATATATTACCACACATGGCAAAAGGGACTTTGCAGATGGGATTTAAGTTATGGATCTTGGGATGGAAAGATTCTCCTGGGATATCTGGATGGGTACAATGAAATCACAAGGATCCTTATAAGATGGAAGCAAGGATCGGAGTCACAGAGACCTGAAGATGTTACACCAATGGCTTTGAACACGGAGGAAGGGGCCACAAGCCAAGGAATGCAGGCAACCTCTAGAAGCTGGAAAAGACAAGGAAACAGATTCTGCCCTAGAGCCTCCAGAGAGAGTGCAGCCTTGTCTACACTGATCTCAGCCCAGTAAAACTCATCCCGGACTTTTTTTTTTTTCTTGGAAACAGGGTCGCGTTCTGTTGCCCAGGCTGGAGTGCAGTGGTGCAACCTCGGCTCACTGCAACCTCGGCTCACTGCAACCTCCACCTCCTGGGTTCAAGCAATTCTCCTGCCTCAGCCTCCTGAGTAGTTGGGATTACAGGTGCTCGTGACCGTGCCTGACTAATTTTTGTATTTTTAGTAGAGATGGGGTTTCACCATGTTGGCTAGGCTAGTCTGGAACTCCTGACCTCAAGTGATCCTGCCACCTCAGCCTCCCAAAGTGCTGGGATTACAGGCTTGAGCCACCAAGCCTGGCATCATCTTAGACTTCTGACCTCCAGAACTGTAAAATAATAAATGTGTGTTGTTTTAAGCCACTAAGTTTGTGGTCATTTGTTACATTGGCCATAGGAAACTCATACACCTATTGGGCACTGGCTGCATACCTGGTTCTGTTTGAACGCTAGATATATTTGAACTCTTTGTTTTTGTTTTTTTTTCTTTTTTCCTTCACTGACAGATACATTTGAACTCTTTACTCCCCACAGCAACTCTATGAGCAGATACGATTTATTATCCTCATTTTATATGAGGAAATTGAGGCCCAGAGAGGTTACGTAAACTGCCAGTTGATAAATAGTTTCTGCTGGTCTCAAGAGGGAGCTGGGGTAGACAAGTTGGCTTGATGCACTTGCTTATACAACTCTTAGGAAAATATCACAAAAATAACATAGGATGCCCTCCTGAGAGTGGACCAAAAGGATGCTCCCCCCACAGAAAGGGCAAACTTACCCACACTCATCTATGTAACTCATGCACTGTGCCCAGAAGCAGTTAATTATGGGCAGAGATGAGAGAGAGATTCCAGGACAGCTGCCCTCAGTGGTTGGTACACTGGATATGAACACTGGGATTGGTGAAAGACAAGGCCAGAGCAAGTGGCCAAAGGTTCTTATGCACAGAGAGATGTGGCAGAGCCCACCATTACCCCTGGGCCCATCTTTGTTGCCCTGGTAACAGGGTTGCAGAGCTGGTTGTCAGTGACCACTCAGATCTTACCAGCAGGTGCAAGTTCTGCTTTCTACTGCCCAAACTACTTCCCTGACTAAAAGAGGTCAGTTCCCTGCAGCAATGCAAAACACCTCTCTCCCCGCAGCTCCTGGCAATGACAAGGGCTGGCTTGATAGTGCTGACTTGCTGTACTCCAGTGACAGCTTTCCACACTCACAGCCAAATGAGTCAACGCCCAGCATCATGCTCCTCTGTTCAAAATCTCAGGCTGGGCACAGTGGCACATGCCTATAATCTCAACACTTTGGGAGGCCGAGGCAGAAGGATCACTTGAGGCCAGAAGTTCAAGACGGGCCTGGGCAACACAGCAATACCCTGTCTCTATTTTTAAAATAAATAAATAAATTATTTTTTGAAAGACAGTCTCACTCCGATGCCCAGGCTGGAGTGCGGTGGTCCCAGGTCACTGCAGCCTCGACTTCCCAGACTCAAGTGATTCTCTTACCTCAGCCTCCCCAGTAACTGGAACTACAGGCACGCACCACCACACCCAGCTGATTTTTGTATTTTTTGTAGACACGGGGTTTCTCCATGTTGCCCAGGCTGGTCTCAAATTCCTGGGCTCAAGCAATCCGCCCGCCTCAGTCTCCCAAAGTGCTGGGATTACAGGTACCACACCCAGCCGTCTCTATAAAAAATGTTTAAAAATGAGTCGGGCATAGTGGCTCATGCCTCTAGTCCCAGCTACGTGGGAGGCTGGGGTGGGAGGATCGCTCGAGCCCAGGAGTTCAAGGCTACAGTGAGCTACGATTGTACCACTGCACTCCAGTCTGGGTAACACAGCAAGACCTTGTCTCTTAAAAAAAAAAACAAATAGGCCGGGCGCGGTGGCTGATGCCTGTAATCTCAGCACTTTGGGGGGCCGAGGCAAGCGGATCACGAGGTCAGGAGATCCAGACCATCCTGGCTAACACGGTGAAACCTCGTCTCTACTAAAAATACAAAAAATTAGCCAGGCCTGGTGGTGGGCGCCTGTAGTCCCAGCTACTCCGGAGGCTGAGGCAGGAGAATGGCATGAACCCGGGAGGCGGAGCTTGCAGTGAGCCAAGATGGCACCACAGCACTCCAGCCTGGGCAACAGAGTGAGACTCCGTCTCAAAAAAAAAAAAAAAAAAAGCAAATAAATTTAAAAAAAAAAGAAAAATCTGACCCCACCACTGACTAGTTATTTGACATCTCCGAACCTCAGTTTCCTCAATTGTAAAATGGCCATAATTACCAACCTACTTCAAAGAGTTCTTGGAAGGATTAAATGAAATAATGCATGTAATGCTGTCAGCACAGTGCCTGGCACACTGCAAGTGTTCGACAAATGTCACCTGTTACTACTGTCATTGTTGTGTTTTCCATTACTACCCATGCAACTTCATAAATAGTACATGCCTCACGGGCCTAAAGCAATTGCTTAAAATGGTAAAACTCAGGGGGCTGAATTTGCTGTGTGCTATTATTCACATTAAAACAAATGGTGATTATTCATAGAAATGGGCAACAGGGATTGGATCCAGAAATAAATCTTTTTAAAAATCTTACTTTTGGCTAGAAATTTTAACCAAGTTCTACGCTTCTCACCAGCCTGTTTTCTACCTAAATCTAGCCAACACACACACACTCTCTCTCTTTTCCTTTTCATATAAGATGAAATGCTTGGCATGGCCTTGAGCAAAATTCCTTTGCTATTTCCTTTATTCCTAATTGCACCTGGCTGGGTGGGCTAGAGAACAAGACCCAAACCACCCACGGAGAGAGTGGTGATCCACAGACTGGGTCCCTGGTCCTTCAGAGATCAAAAGTCACCCACATGTCATGAAGTCACATGCATGACATGCATCAGGGATGACAACACAGGTCACAGCTCCTTGTGCTTAAGCAAAAAACTGGCACCCTTTAAAAGAACGATGACATGGGTGCATGATGATAGGTAGGATGTGGCGTGAAAAACTTAATGACACATAGAAGGCTGGCCCCAGTAGGGCTTCCTGTTTAAAGTGCACCGCTGTGGGTACAAAACAGATTGCTTTTTCACCCCCCACCAAAAAAAACGAAAGGCACTTTTAGGTCACTTATCAATGGGCCCAGAAGCGAGGAGATGTGCAGCCCCCACCCGCCGGCACTCGAAAGAGACCATGCGACAGCCCTCCTCACCCGAGGTCCAACCCCTTCATTCTGCTATTCTATGTTTGACAAATGCTCACTGTTTAGAAGTTCTAAGCACAGCAATTAAGAGCTCTTTAGAATAAAGGTGCTAAAGAAATCTTTTTCTTTAAGAATAAATAAAAATTGCATCTAAAAAAAAGCTAGAGTAAGAATGCTATGACTAAGCTGGGTGTGTAGCAACAATCCCATAAACAATCATGGGATTGGAGGATGAGGCTGGAGAGTAAAGGTTATCAGGCTTCCTACACCTTCCCTGGTCCTCAATGCAAGTACACATTAGAATCACTTGGAGACCTTTTAAAAAACACCTGATGTATAGGCCCCATTCAGACCAATTAAATCAGAGAGTCAGAAAGATGTGGAGTGTGGCCCCGGGAAGCAACATTTGTATTAAGCTGCTGAGTGATTGTAATGTACAGAAAGGATTAAGAACCATGGTGCTAATTAGAAGAAAGTGCTTCTGATTTAGGGTCTAGCCACTTAAAACTCATTGTATGACCATCCCCAGCATTTAGTTCCATGTAGCATTTTGGCCAGACCATTTGGTACTGGTGCCTTTTCATCACTCTTTGAGTAAGAACCCAATTTTGAAATTAATGGTGGTGGGCTATGAATTTCAAAACAACGTACAGGTATTAGATAATGATTAAAGCCTATTGTCCCCAGTGTTAATAATTCAGTTAAAATATACCATTTCCATGAATTTCTATAAAAGAAATATAATACAGATAGACATGGCTCAATTTAAAATGTTTATATTCTATTCATTTTTCATGTAGACATGGGGAAATTCAATCTCTAGCATCAATGGTAAGTTCTCAGTATGTATTTCTTGAGCACACATATCCTCCCCAACAAATATTCTGAAATATTACAATTTATTTTCTTTTTCTAAGATTTTCTTTTTTTGTTTTTTGTTTTGTTTTGTTTTGTTTGAGACGGAGTCTCACTCCGTCACCAGGCTGGAGTGCAGTGGCACAATCTCGGCTCACTGCAACCTCCACCTCCCGGGTTCAAGCGATTCCCCTGACTCAGCTCCCGAGTAGCTGGGACTACAGGCGCACGCCACCACGCCCAGCAAATTTTTTTTTTTTTTTTGTATTCTAGTACAGATGGGGTTTCACCATGTTGGCCAGGATGGTCTCAATCTCCTGACCTCATGATCTGCCCGCCTCAGCCTCCCAAAGTGCTGGGATTACAGGGGTGAGCCACTGCACCCGGCCTGTTTTCTTTTTCTAAGATTTTTATTAGCCATCCTTCTGACTTTCAAAGCAACAGCAAGTGATTGCTGATAATTGCATTATGCTAACATTGACCATAATGTAAATCATAGCTTGAGAGGTTCGATCAAAGACTGGCCTCAGAGTCACCAGTTACACCAAATATTATTGTATATTACATTATAATAATATTACATACATATTATCACATATATATTATTACCAAATATAGCCCTGTCCTCTTCAAGCAGCAAGTCGGCTGGTCTCAAATTATCCCGAAAAGTACCACTTCATCAAGCATAGTATTATTTAAAGAGCTGATACTATCACTGCTTTAAGGAAAGTTTGCAAGAAAAATCCTCTAACTGGTTGGAACTCTAAAATGATGGGCAATGGGGTGCAGAGTTGCAGTAAACAAACTATCTAATTATGAAATTCTGTTGACCATGGAATGGGACAGAGTCTATCTGTTCATTAAAATGCCTTCCAAAATTTTTCCTTTGTTCTCAAAATTCTCAAACTTCAACAAAATTTTTTTTAACCACCTTCTCTAAGCGTGTGTGTGAGAGAGAGAGACACCCAGAGAGGGAGAGAGAGAGACAGAGAAGAGAATATAAAAGCCCTGTGATCCCCATGAGAGATACCTGCAGACCAGTGGTTCTCAACAGGGGCAGTTTGGCAATGTCTAGACATTTTATTTTCATGACTAGGGGTGCTATTAATATGTAGTGGGTAGAGGCCAAAGATGCTGCTCAACATCCTACAATCCACAGGACAGCTCCCACAACAAGAATTATCCAGCCCAAAATGTCAATAGTGCCAACTTGAGAAACTCTGCTGCAGTGGCCATTAAGGAAGCCACAATTCCTGTCCTCAAGGAAGTAACAATCTAGGAGAGAGAATTAATGCCACGACCTTTGTCATCAGGACAAGTGCTCATTTATTGAGCACGTGTCAGGCACGTGTTTAGTGCTTCATGGGTTACTTCACTGAGTCCTCCCCACAATCCTATAAGATGGGTATTATTCATGGCATTAAGGAGGGGCTTGCCCTATACCTCTATGTTCTCCTACCACGTTACCATGATTTGTGCAGGGGTGCCAGGCAGTAGAACCCCAGTTCAAAGCTGAGGCTCTATCACCAAACAGTCATGGCTTCAAATCCCATTTCTGCTACTTCTTAGCTAGATGGCCTTGGACACACTCAAGAAAAGTGCTACAGAGGCTCAGAGGGGCAAGGTCATGGAGGAAAGGGAGAGCGGAACATGTGAGATACAGTGACCTCCATCCATGACTGGCTGCATTCAGTGCTAAGAAGCTGACTCCAAGCCTGAGTCCAGGACAGCTCTGGATACCCAAGAACATCCACATGCCAGGTTGGTTCACAGCCACCCCAGGGAAAGCTCACCCCACAAGAGCAACTCTCCCTCCCTCACTTTAGGGTTCAGGGGAGTAATTAGGTGGGAAGCAGGGTAGATATTAGAAACCCAGGCCAGTTCATGCTCTGGGCTCGACGAGATGCAGTACAATGAAGATGCTAATAAAAGAACATGCAGCCTGCCCACACGTTGCTTGCCTACTCCTGGCCACATCTCGGATACACAGCCAGTTATCCCCATGGAGAGAAAAGGCACTTCTGAGCAGCGGGTGCACGCAGCCACCCGCCCACACACAGCAGTGCTGTCTCTTCGAGCACGAAGCCAAGTTTGGGTTTTCCTTTTTTTTCCAGCTTCTATTTTCTAGAAAAACTTACTCTGAAATCAACATCTCTCCCTGATATACACATCTGCTTTATAATTATAGAAGCCCAAAGAGTATTAATAGGGATAATGGCATATGACACAGAAGAAAGAGCAGGCATGGTCATTACCGCTGTAACAGGAAGACATGTTTTCTTAAAATGTATCAGATATGACATAAAAATTGCTTTACATGTAACCTCAACATTTCAGTGAAAATTATAAAATGCAGTTTTCCCGTGATGTACCTGTAAATAATCCATATAACTTTGTTAAAAAAAATTACTTAATAGGGCTATGAATAAAATATTGCATATCAAAAGAGAATACAATGTGTACTCCTTCCTACAAGCAAGTGTACATGTTGAATACTCTTTAATCACTACTGCGATGATTAAGTTCGTGCTTAAGCATCAAGCCATCCATTTATTCCCTTAGGAATAGGACCCTATGCCTGCAAAATACGACACCAAACCACAGATAACACAGATCACAAATCCCAGATATTCTTGGGAAAACCAAGAATGAGTATACTTGAAGCCAAAATGAGGGGACTCAAAATTAGCTCAGCTGAGGGCCCCACCTTTAGTGCTGGCCAACAGCACTAAAAATACATGCAACTGCAAGATGTAATATGCTGCAAAAAATAAAAAACTCATCAGCATTCCGTTTCCAAAAATATACTGGCTTTTAAGATTGAGCATTCCGAAATTTGTGAACTTGTTTTATTTATTTATTTAGAGATGGAGTCTTGTTCTGTCACCAGGCTGGAGTGCAGTGGTGCGATCTCGGCTCACTGCAACCTCTACCTCCCAGGTTCAAGCAATTCTCCTGCCTTGTCCTCCGGAGTAGTTGGGACTACAGGCACGCGCCACTGTACCCAGCTAATTTTTTTGTATTTTTAGTAGAGATGGGGTTTCACCACCCCGTTGGCAAGGATGGTCTCGGTCTCCCAACCTCATGATCCACCCGCCTCGGCCTCCCAAAGTGCTTGGATTACAGGCGTGGGCCACCACATCTGGCCTCTGAACTAATTTTATAAGCACACTTTAAAATACACAATGGTGGCCGGGTGTGGTGGCACGCACCTGTAGTCCTAGCTACTCGGGAGGCTGAGGCAGGAGAATTGCTTGAACCTGGGAGGCGGAGGTTGTCTTGAGCCGAGATAGCGCCACTGCACTCCAGCCTGGCGACAGAGTGAGACTCCGTCTCAAAAATAAAATAAAAATAAAATAAAATAACAATGGTGCCCATCAGGAACACCTGGAAATATCAAAAACACTATTCCCCTAAAGACAGTCAGAGTCTGTCTAGCTTTGGGGCACCCCCCCTCCCCCACCACACACAATATATATATTTATATATATACCATACACACATATACATACTGACACACACCACACATACTCATATACATACACACATATGCACTCACACACACAACCAGCAGTGGTCTCTAGTTAAATTAGAGCACTTGCTTTGAAATGATTAATATGTAGCTCCAGAATCATTTATCAAAAATCATGCTATTAATAAAAGAATAGCTAGTCCCATGATTTTTAATTCAGTTCCCACCTCTAAGCCAGTGCCTCACTTTGCAGGTTAATTTCATTGCCTCTCACCTGGATGACTGCAATAACCACACTTACCTCCCTGGATCCAACTCTTGTCCCTCACTATCCACCCTCCACACAATGGTCAGAGGCACACTTTGTGAAATAAGACCCAGATATTCCATGACCCTATTCAAAATCCTGCAAAAGCTTCCTACTCAGTGCAATTTAGAGCAAAGTCCATACCTAAAGGCCCTGATGACCTCAGCTCAGACCATGTTCCTTGTGTATCCTTAAGTACCCCCTACCCAAACATGCCTTCTGTTCATTGAGCACCCATAGGTTAGTGGCAGCCTCAGGGCCTTTGCCCTTTTTTCCTCTCTCTGGAATACTCTTCCCACTTATTTTTGCTAACCGACTCCTTATTGATATTCTGGAAGAATGCACTCTGTGTGGGCAGGGATGCTTGCTCCTTTGCATTCACTGTTACTTCTCCAGTGCCTAGAAAGTGCTTGGCACATAGTAGGCTCTCAAATAGCTGAATGAATTAATGAATTAATGAACAAATGAATGAATGTGAATCTGCCCCCATCATGTAAGCTCCATGAAGACAGGGATTTTTGTCTCATAGTCAGTGCTATATCCCAGGTTCTCGAACAGCCCCTAGGACCTCAGAGCTGCTCAGTGTGGGCTTAAAAGCTGTGTCACCTTGGGATGCAACTCAGCCTTCTTGAACAAATACTCATGCTCAGCTCAGAGAACCTTTCCTTGCGGACCCAGTCTAAAGTGGCCACCCCCAGGCAGTCTCAATCCCAATTCTGCAGACCACCATCTGCAATTGCCTCACATGTGCACAGTAGTTATTTCTCCTTTGTTTCTCCCCACCAAATGCTAGCTTCTTGAGAGTAAAGACCTTACCTGTCTTGCTCAGAGTTGTGCCTTAAGGACTAGAACAATATATTTGTTGAGTGAATGAATGAATGAATGAATGAATGAATAAATAAGTGAATGGTGTGCTAGTACTTCTGTGCCCCCAGGCAGCCAGTTTAAAGGTCACCGTGGGATAAAGGAATCCAAAATGAGAAGTGTGCTGCATGTATGCTGGCATGAAAAAGCTTTCCAGCACCTGCAAGTAGAGATGCCCAGCATTGGTTCTGAGACAGGAATGGCACAATGACACACAGACTTACCCATCCAGGGGATACCCAAGTGCTTCCAGGGTGGGTGGGAGCATGTGACATCTAGGCTGGGAACATGCACACTTCCCACTGGCACTGGATCCTACCAGAAGCCTGGAGAGCATTTTATAGAAAGTGCAGGTTGAAGTGATACATCACAGACTCCATTCAGAGTAAAAAATTAGATGGAGATATTAGGACATCTGTCAGGCCCCCCACGTGGAGCTGGATTCTCTCAATGGGCAGAAACCAGCAAGATGTCTTTATAAGGCGGAAGCAGGGAGAAAAAGAGAGTCCAAAGCACCCCATACCCATCCTCGGACCTAAATAACATTAACAAATATGAAATGAACACTCATTCTACTCATGGCACCAACACTAAGTGTGCTTCATATCCCCATGGCAAACCTATCAGATAGGCGACCTTACACCTTCCACTTTACAGATGAGGGAATTGAGGCTGAAAGCAGTGAAATGTCTCATTCACACAACAAGCAAGGGGTGAAACCCTGAGTTCAGCCCACGTCTGTCTGATTCCAAAGCCTGGACTTTGAATGGGTATGCTACAGTCAGTCCCAAAAAAATAGGCATGTTTATATCAGTTCTAAAGTTAAAAGTTGAGCCAGGCGTGGTGGCTCACATCTGTAATCACAACACTTTGGGAGGCCGAGGCTGGCAGATCACTTGAGGTCAGGAGTTCAAGACAGGCCTGGCCAACATGGTGAAACCCAGCCTCTACTAAAAATACAAAAACAAAATTAGCTGGGCGTGGTGGCAGGCACCTGTAATCCCAGCTACACGGGAGGCTGAGGCACAAGAATCGCTTGAACCTGGGAGGCGGAGGTTGCAATAAGCTGAGATTGTGTCACCGTACTCCAGCGTGGGCAACAGAATGAGACTCTGTCTCAAAATAAATAAATAAATAAGTTAAAACTTGGAAAAGTTGACCACCCTCTGCCAGATGTGAGCTGAGTGAACCTAAGAAGTAACCCAAGCATCATGATCATCATTTTCTCTATCTGTAAAATAATGAGTTATTGCTGGGTCTACATGAGAATGCTTGTCAGGCACTCAGAATAGTACCTAGAAGAGTAGATTCTCATTAAAACCAATTCTTTTACCTTTACTATTAGACAAGTCCATAACTCCTGCATAATCTAGCAAAGTCATGGCTCTTAGAGGCAGGGTAGATAGTACAGTGGTCTAGAGGCAACCAGATATTGCTCCAAGTCTTAGATGTGTTTCTACCTTCAGAACCTCAGGAAAATAATCTAATCTTCCTGAATCAGTGTCTTCATTTGTAAAATGGGGATAATATCAGCTACCTCATAGAGTTACAGTGAGATTGTGATGATTTAATGAGATAATGCACATAAAGTACTCGCATAGTTCTGGGAACACAAGAAGTGCTCTACAGAAAACAGGTTCCATTAGCAGTTGTCTACACTGTGCAGAAGGAATTGGTATAATCCCTGGCCATTTTAGTCTAATTCAATTCAACAAATGTTCATTGAAGACCTGCCAGGGGCAAGGCACTGTTTCAGGCAAAAGAAGGAAGACCTGGTCCTGTCCTTAATGAGCCTTGAACAGCTTGGCCAGACAACACTATTGAAGTGATTCAGTAGGGGATGAGGAGACACAAATGAGCCGGCAGGCTGGGGTCTTGGCATACCAAGACTGAATACCAAGTTCAGGAGCAGCCATTAATTATGAGCACACTGGGATGCTGTTGAAGGTGTAAGCCGGTGAATGACATCATCCAACCTATGCTTTGGAAGAATTCCACCCTTTGTGGAGAATGGATTACAGCCAGGAAAACCAGAGGCAAGGGAATCACTGAGGAGGCTACTGCACCAGACCAAGCAAGAGTCCATGATGGGTGCCAATGAGGAAGAAAGATGGGTATGGATGCAAGTGGCATCCTAGAGGCACCACTTGGAGAAATTGGCAACTGATGGGATGGCGGGGGAGGCAGAAAAGAATTTACGATGACTCAGCTTTCTTGCCTAGAAGGGTAGGGAAGGTGGTAGTTTCTTACATAAAATGAAGAAGCCAAAACTAGCACCTAGTGGCTTACTGAGTGAGCGAGTGGGTCTGTCTATGTAGGAAGGGAACAGAGGATGGGATGGTGAGAAACTGGTAAAACATCCTGGTGATGAGGAACACAGTGTACGATGGGAGGAGGCCATGGGGAGGTAAGAACTAAAGTCAAGGAACTGAATGAGATCACCAAGAACCAACTAGAAAGATAACTGAGGATGGAACTTGAGGAGATGGTACGTACATTGCAAGAGCCTGATGGCAGCCACAAAAGAGTGAGAATGACAGTCAGAGAGGTAGGAGGGAAACCAAGTGTCCATAATACAGAAGAGAAGAAAGTAGAACGTTGTCTCGAAGAAAGGTAGTATTAATGGTATCACGTGGTGAGATGGAAATCACCAGATTTGGTGGTTAGGTACAATCAACGGCTTCTGAGACAGTCATTTCAGTATTGTTGAAGAGGTGGAAAAAAGAGGTGTTGAGTGCAGGCTCTTCTTTCAGGAAGTTTGTCGGAGAGAGGTCAGGAGATGAACAGCAAGCAAAGCAAAAAGAACTAGGAGAAATTCACGTAGACAAAGGAAGAGTTGCCAGACTGGCGCAGAGCTTGGGAACATGTAGCGCCATTTAGTCAATGACTGTCTTCTTAAGGGATCCCAGGCAACCATGCAAATTAGCATGTGTAGGCCAGCAAAAAACACACTTGACAGATCTTCTGGAGCCTAATCTTCAGGACTGGGCTAGGATTGTCTGGATTAGATTTCCTAAAGGTATCTTTAAGACAAATGAGAAGGCGGTGGAATGGTCCTGCCAGGGCTGCAAGGCAGGCACGCACAGTCTAAATAGAGAACAGAATAAGGCAAGTAGGAGAACAAGCTGTGCTTGGCTAAGAGAAGGAAGAAATTGAATGAGCAAGAGGAGAGGAGAAAATCCAACACAACACACACAGGCAAATGTTAAACATCTAATCCAGATAATGAGGGGATGGGAACAACACAAGGCACTTGAGAGCAATAACCATGGGCAGAAGCTAGTTAAGGTTTTTGAACTTGTCTGGGAAATACAGCAGATGCATGTCTTCGTGTAGCAGAGACGACTCTGTTATTGCTGCTATTTAAAAAATCAAATTGCAGGCAAGACTCTTTCCAATAGGGATCTAGGTAGCAAGCACAAGGACCAAGAGCCTTTGGCTGGATGTAGAAAGGAAAACACTTTTTAAGGGAAGATCCTCCAACCTCCAAGTATTTCATAAAAAGGAAACAGGACTGATTGGAGAGTTCAGGCTGTCTTCCACTGGTATCAGCCATCCCAGGACAGATGGGAGGCAAACAAAAGTACAAAATGTAGATGTGAATAGACATAGATAGTAGAGTCATCAACAAAATGAGAGTTGCAGCCATAAGAATGATTTAGATGGATTAACCAAATGCTTATTAAGCAACTTGTGTATGATCAGCCTGAAGATATGGTGGAGAGTAAGGTCAGTGCAGTTTCCTCTCTTTGCCAAGCTTAAGCTTTAGCAAATAAGAACATTCAGGGAAAGAGTATATACGCGTGGGTTTATGTATGTGTGCGGGCACACACACACCAGATAAGAGTCTCTAAATGAAAAGAGGAAAAAATCTGAGAAATCCAAGAGCTATACCGTCTACCTACTCAATAAACACAGAGACTGAAAATGAATCCCAGCATTTAGACCTGCCTGTCAGCTCCCATCACACCCTGCCCCAACCTCATCATTCGTGATTCTCTACAAATAGCTTCCACTTCTAACAAGCACATGAACCTGGGTACCCCACACAAATTTCCCATCTGTGGCGTTTATACCCACAGGGTTCAAATCTCAGCTAAGCCACTCAAAGCTACATAACTTTAGGCAAGTTGTTTGATCTCCCCACGCCTCAGTTTCCTCACATCCAAAATGAGAATAATAATGGTACCTTCCTCTTGGGCTGGTTGTGCAATTTAAATGAATTCATCTGTGTAAAGTGGTTGGAACACAGCCTAGAACACAGTTGGTGCCCTGTAAGGATGGGCTGTTGTTAGCACCCTGCCCACCTGAAATTCCCTCTACCTTCCTCTCCACTGATCCAAATCCACTGTCTTTTTAAAAAACCAACCCAAATATTTTACTTTCCATTAGTATGCTTATAAGCCCAGTTCCAGCACAAGTATTTACTGCTCCAGGAAAACCAGGATGAATAAGACCCAGCCTTGCCTTGAGATCACAGTCTACTTGGGGGAATGGACAGACATTCCAAGGAAGATCAGCAATGTAATTTAACAAGAATTGTGAATTGGCATTACCCATTAAGCGTCCCTCACTGGATTTTGCCTTACTCCGCTAACTCCCAAAGATGTCCAATTTGTACCATGATATTCTGCAGCAATGGTGTTTGCTTTACTTTCTCTCAGTTGTTTCAACATAACCTGTTTTGACTTGTTCAACTTGATGGGAAGGTACCCATTCTGGGACTGGACCTTCTAATTCTGTTCCCCAATCCACTCCTCCCCAACATCCACCTTTTACCAACAGGTATTTGGCAACTGCATATTAACTCTTTGTAGTTGGTCAGAACCGTGAAGTGTCTCTAGCAGAAAAGTCCCAGGGCCTGGGAAGCTTGGTTTCCAATCTGGTATGACTTTGGACTACCTAATCATTGCTGAGTCCTTTCCATATTCTCTTGGTGTGTATAGGAGGACACTATACATACATGGACTAGTGTATTAGTAATAACAAAAATAACAACAGTGAACATTTACCAAGGCTTTTCCATGTGCCAGGTACTAGACCAAGTGTTTTACGTATTTCATCCATCCCCGCAAAAGTCCTGTAAGAAAAGTATCGCTGTCCTTCCACTTCGCAGTTGAAGAAACTGACATGCAGAGAAGCCCCAGTAGAGCAAGGAAGAGGCACCAAAAACTGGTTCCCAGAAAACTCGGGAAGCAATGGCAACAGCCACTCTTCCTTCCTCCATGGTGTTTGAATGCCTGGATCCATCGCTGTGTTTTCAGAACCACCCGAAAAGAAAGGAAAAATCTCTGAATCAAAAGGAAGAGAGTGCCCCTTCCTAAAAACAGCCTACCCAGACACCATCTTCCCACAAATTCCAGCCCCATCAAGATCCCATTACCCTCAGTGTTCCCCAACTCTTCCAAAAGCATACAACCAGCATGTTTAAAACAAAAACATAAAACCAACTGATTTTTACCTTCTACAGCAAGCTTGTCCAACCCAAGGCCCCGGGGGCTGCATGCAGCCCAGGATGGTTTTTAATGTGGCTCAAAACTTACAAGTTTGTAAGCTTTCTTAAAACTTTATGAGTTTTTTTTTTTTTAGCTCATCAGCTATCATTAGTGTATTTTATGTGTGCCTCAAGACAATTCTTCTTCTTCCCATGTGGCCCAAGGAAGCCAAAAGATTGGACACCCCCGTTCTAGAGTTTATACTTATGGTTTGCAGAAATGCACGGCTTCACCAAGAACTTAAATGAGGCAGTGCCTCAATCTAGAAGGAAAAACCTAAATAAATGTACCCCTTGCTAATGGGAAGGAAAAGAGCTGAGATCTATTTTATTTTTAAAACTTTAACATGCTGTTTCCTGTTACTACCCTACTATTGTCAAGTTCAAGCAAAGAAAGGCTGAGAGGAACAGCCAGGCATTCAGAGCTTGGGGATTTGGTTTGGGCTCTTGCTGGTTAAAAAGGAAAAGAAGCATCAGACAGCTACTCACTCTCCAAGACTAATTTCACCATAACCCCACCCCAAAGACAACCAAACCTAGTTCTCTAGAAACTCTCCAGCTCCCACCAACTCAAGCTGCAAGGAACTCCCACTACGCCTCAGCCATTGAAACGCTGTCATCAAGATTCTTGCTCAGCCTAAAATAATGATGCACTCAATGGCTTAAAAATAGTCTGGGGTCCCAAAATAAGGATCCCAAAAAACGAGGAGCTATCACAGAATTTAAATCATTCTCACTGCCAATTTCTCCACAAAAACTCCTCGTTCATTCAGCTCCACCTCTGAACATTTCATTCAATTCACTGGTAACAAATCTGAGGTCAATTTACCTAGCACAGTACAGCAGCATCTGCAATTTCCTCAGTGGTGTGAAGAATGAGTAACAGCACAGGTAATCAATGTGTGTAAATAAAAACCTGTGATGCTGAAAACGGTGAGAAAAGAAAAAGAAACTCAGGAAGAAACACAGGGTCGCTGGCAGCAAAGGTGGTACCCCCAGAAAATGTCTCCCCCTCTCTCCAAGTAAATTTTGTCAATAAAACTGCAGGAGCTGCTAAGTAATTTCATCACTGCCTCTCTTTTATTAGATTTCTAATTAATCACAATCTGATATGTCCAGGGTCATCTACATCCAACAGGTGGATGAATTTCTAAAATGATGCTTGTAGGTATCACCCACAGGGCTGCCTACAGCAGAGTAGCCAAGTCCAATAGCAATAACACATAACAAGACGCAAGATGAAAGAAAATCTTTCTGATTCCAACCCCGTTGCCAAGCTTTGAAAAAACGTTAAAGTTCCCCAATGATAGGAATACTCTGATGCCATCGTCCAAATAAGAAATACACAGTTTTATTTGCATGGACCTTTTTTGAAATAAGAATCTTATTAAACATTCTGTTGGGTCAGGAACAGCAGCTCGTTTTGTGCTCTAAGGATATAGTTTAAACTACCAGAGGTGAGATAGCACATCTTCAAATACAATAAGCAATATAAACACTTCTGGAGGAAAGGATCATAGGTAAATTAAATCAACAAATATTTATCGAGTGCCTCAGCCTTAATACTGAGATGTCCCTGTCAGAGAGCTCCCTAAACTGAGCTTTCTGTGAGAAACAGAAAGATGTCGTTCAAGTCTTCCTGAAAAATAAGCAATTAATCACACACTGCTTCAGATTAATTGCAATGCCTAAGATCTCCCATATCATTCTGCCTTTTCCCCTGAAATCTAACTCCCTCGAATCCTCCCTCGTCTTTCAGATCACTGACCAACACCCAAGCAAGCTTGCATTCTGACCCAGCCAGCCCACTGCTAACCAGAACTAGAACTCTCCACACGTCCTTCCAGTACGACGTGTGACCTTCAGTGTGCTGCGTGTGTCAAGGTTATACTGCCCACTAACCATGCATCCTTCAACATCAGGCCTCCGCTTCTGCCCTGCTCTTTGATGCCAATGGCAAAACCTCCCAATCCTGCTGAGCCGTTTCAAACCCATCTGATGGCACATTCAACAGCTAGTTAGCACTCTGCCTCTCCCACCACCATCCAGATTGCTTTGGGGTTGTGGAGCAAATCAGACAGAGAGGCACATCTAACACTACCAAAATCCAACCTGAATTTGAAACCCAGCCCCCAGAGAGGGGATCAAGAAAGACCACTTCAACATCTTGCAACATAAAAACCTCCCTCACATTCAATCACAGCCCACAACCTTATTTCGTATCAAATGCCCAATTCCCCACAACACTCTGAAATCTTTTCAGGAACGTTACTGTCAAAATAGCACCCATAGGGAGACACCATCCAGGAACCAACATAACATCCCTATAAATCGATATCTAAGCTACAAATACCACAAAGAGGGAAAGATGCTGCCAAGAAGAATATCAAATTCTGCTCGTCTCCTAAGTGGGCAGCAACTAACCCAACATTACCCTCTGAGAACCTGAAAGTGCAGGGACCAGGGTGGCTGGCAAATAACACCATCAGTCCAAGATCTTCTGGGGAACTCACTCCTCTGAAAACAGAATGTCATTGTATCATGAGAGAATGAGGCAAGATACTGACCTCCCACATCCACAGAAGCTACTGCATTTTACAGAAATTCCAGGAGGCTCCTGGAAGCCTCGACCCTCTAATTCCAAGTGCTCTGTTAATGCATTTTTCAATAGCTTTTATGAGAATGGAGAAAGACCTACCAGATCAAGAGGTTTACAGTGATATTTATATTTCCATTTTCTAGTCTCCTGGTTTTTTTTCCCCCTATGAAGCCCAGTTTCTGTGAATCAATGACTCGGCTACATCACACTCCCTCCTGGTGGCTCACAGTAACGGGGCTTTCTCTGGCTGCCAGCGCTCCACCAGCTCAGAGAGGCTCAGCTGCCAGATCCCTGATCTTGCAGCATACTTGGAGAGGAGCCGAGCACCATCTCTCTGTTAGAGCTCTGGTTCAGCCACTTGCAGCTCAGTTAAACCCATCAGGAAACCTCTAGCTTATGAGACAAGGTTTTTAGGATTCTTTATACAGCCAAGATAGCAACCCCCATCCACCCACTTGAGAGACAGATACATAGATGGTTAGATAGATGGGCAGCTCATCTTAACTCCTGCACATTTCTCCTTTGACCGGGGATCTGCACTGCTGGAAATCTCCCACTCTCTCCCCTTTAAAGAAGACCAAAGATTGGAAAACTAACCCAAAGTACCCAATTGACAATTATCATACCACAGACAGGAACAGGTACCTTACACACTGCAAAATGAGAATATTAACAGGCTACCCCCGCAAAGCCCTAACAGGTAGACTGCTTTCCCAATGCAGGTGACTAGCAGCTTCCCTCCACTGCACTCCCCCCACCTATTCCCCCACCCCCCCACCACCACCTTTGGCTCCAAAAGCCTTGCATCAATGCAGGTCCCTTTAGAAAGTCAAATTTTCACTTACTCAGATCTACCAAGAATCCCCAGTGCCTTGCTGTACGAAAACCCCACAAACGGCAGTTCTTCACCCGAGAAGCCTGAGGGGCTCAGCTGGCACGGAGAGGATGAAACCCACGAATTCTTCTCTGGTTCATCAAAATTGGAGGTGTCATCGTCAGACTTGAGGGTGGGAACGAAGGGGGGAGGAGCTGGTTAAAGAAAAACAAGAAAGGAGGCGGGGAGGAAAAAAAATTTCAGCCGGATTCAACACTGTTGCGGAGAAGATCGTCTTACTCCTTCGGCGCTGGCGATGGCACTGCAGCGCCTGCTTTCAATCTAGCTCGCAACCTCGGCTCCTACAGCAACAAGAGATTAACCCCTTCTCTGCCAACATGGCCACCAACCCGCAGACAGGCTGCCTTCCCGCCTGGGGTAAACTGAAGAGCAAACTCAAACAGGTCACTTGGGCCAACGAAAGCACTTGGGCCAACGAAAGCACTTGGGGAACTCGTGGGGAAGCCGCTCCTTCCTGCTGTTTCCAGAAGGCTCCTACAGAGCAGCTGCTGGCTAGTGCCAGGATGCTAGGAGACCTAAACCTATGGATTCCCTCCTCCAGACAGGTCTAAATTATTAATGATTAGCACTAATCGTTGAAATAAGATGGAACTTCTACATTTCGTGGATTAACCGGGATAAGAGGAAGGACCAGGAAAAGGGATGTGTGAGGTTCTGGAACTCCTGTTAGGATACCACTGCAGTCTACTTCATTCATACCCGGACAAGTCGACTCCGAGATCTTATTAACCACTTTTTTTTTTTTTTAGTTCATTATGCATCTTCCCCAGCGCAATCATGCCCATCAAATCCACTGCAGTTTAATCAGCATAATGAAGCACCAGCCAAATAAAGTTCCTACCGGTGATCTACAGCACCCCTGCGCGCTGACGGTGGGAATGCACGGATGGACATATGCGGCTCCTACCTCCTCAGGGCTTCACTCCCGGCTGGGGGCGTGTTACATCCTCTCCACTTCCTCCGACCTACTAAGCGCTCTCGGTCTGGGAGGTGGACACTCGTCCATCAGTCACCAGGAGGCTGCCCATCGCGGTGGGCTCCCGGGGGTGTCCCCCGCCAGAAACGTTACCATGGTTGCAAGCTGAGGCGTCCGTGGCGGGCCAGCCAGGCGAGTTAGAGCCGAGCATCACATCCCCCGCAGTGCAGGCTGCATGCTCCCGGCTCCGTGCGTGCGTGCTCTGGCTGGAACCCCACCTGGCTGCCGCCTGCCTGCCAGGGGCCAGTGCTGATCCCAGTGACAGAGCAGCATGAGTCACTGCCCGCCAGGGCTCGCTAGAGCTCCCCCTAGGACAGTTGTCACAGCCCTTCACAGCCCAGACTTCTTTTTAACTCCTCGTTTTCTGGACAAAGCTGGGTGCCAGATATGAGCAGCAAGCAGTCTGTTTTCTGCTTACAGACTCCAAAAAAATCTGGCTGTTTCCAAAGTTCCCCGATGACAACAACATCCAAGTGGCGCTGGGAAGTAATTGGAGCAGGAAAGGGATGTGGAGGGGAGAGGAGATGAAGCCAGAGGTCTGGCTGTTCCTGAGAAGTACAAAAGAACATTCCCAGAGCTTCAGGTACATTGAGATGAGGTGGGAGAGTGAGGAAGATTTAAGATGTAAAATGTGCACTACCAGAAAATTATTTAACACCTCCAGTCTCTCAAGAGAATTTAAATCTTCCCTGTTAGTGTCAGAATCTACTTGCTTAATACTTTAAAAATTAGCTGATGGAAAGAAAAATTAGATTGAACACTTCAGCCCACATCCCATGTGTACTTCCATCAACACAGGCTCAAATCCAATCTGGTTTCAATTATCCGGTACCTTTTTTAATAGCAAAAAAAAAAGTTTTAATGGAAATTGTATTTCATAAGGATCAAAAACAGAAGTTTTCCTTCCTGAAATAAGGAAACTCAGATAAAGACTGAGGAAATTTATGGAGAGAGATTTGCAGATGATACTAATATGGAAGCAAAGTGGTTAATGGCAATTGTTCTGGAATCTCAGTTCAAATCCCAGCTCCACCACTTACTAGTTCTGTGACACTGGGTAAGTCACTTAACCTCTCTGAACCTCAGTTTTCAACATGGCAATATCTATTTCAATGGACTATTAGGAGGTTTAAATAAAATAATCCATATAAAAGTGTTTACCACAGTTCTTAGCATACAGTAATCACTCCACAAATATGACCTGCTATTATTGCTACTGCTCACAGGAATTGCATGCTTAGGAGAGAACCTGCAGGTCTTGAAAGCTAGTGACATAGAGCAGAATCTGTACTGAATGTTCATCTTTCCTGCACAGGGCAGAGACACATCCATGTGGATGTTTGTGTTAATCATATCATTTAATTCCTAGCAGAACTTTATAATTCCTTTCCACTATATACTAATTTATCTTTAGGAGACCAAAATAGAATTCCATTTCTGAGTGAGAAGTATAATTAATGGAGAGTAAAAGCCACCCTCAGTGAAATAATTATGATTTTGAAATCCTGTACTATAAAATAAGATTCATCTATAAAACTCTTGCCATGCTCAAAGCCAGCTTAATGCGGTTAAGATTAGAAAAAGGGGCAGATAATCTTCAAGTTAAAAGGAAGAAGAAGTAGGCCAGGCACAGTGGCTCATGCCTGTAATCCCAGCACCTTGGGAGGGCGAGGCAGGTGGATCACCTGAGGTCAGGAGTTCAAGGCCAGCCTGGCCAACATGGTAAAACCCCATCTCTATTAAAAATACAAAAAAATTAGCCAGATGTGATGGTGCATGCCTGTAGTCCCAGCTACTTGGGAGGCTGAGGCAAGAGAATCGCTTGAACCTGGGAGGTGGAGGTTGCAGTGAGCCAAGATCGTGCCACTGCACTCCAGCCTGGGGAACAAGAGCGAAACACCATCTCAAAAAAAAAAAAAAAAAAAAAAAAGGAAAGAGAAGTCAATGTGAAATATACTAGCTGGTAACAGGTAAGATATTCACAGCAAAGATTAAAAGCTAGGGATATAAACCTCTAGACAGCTAGTCGGTCAAGTACAACAGGAAAGTTTGAAAAGAAGGGCTTCTTAGGGCCACATTCAGGCAGAGGAAAAAGCCACAGCCTTAAGCCAAAAAGAAGTGGGGGAACTGGAAATATTCTGCCACCCAGAAAGTGATGAGATGTTTACCCTTGTCCAGGGCCCTTCAGTGGGAAGGAAATAAAGCAGATAGAAAGAAGCAGTAACCTCAGGTAGAGTGTCCACATTTACAGTATCCTGTTACAATTCAAGAAATTAACATGACTACTGGTCCAGGATCACTGAGCCCTTGGAGCACTGGCAGATGCAAGTGGAGAACAACTTGTAGGGGTGTTTTTGCAACCCAGGGCACACAGGATTTTCTCCCCACCCCACCCCCACCCCAACAACCTCCTTCCAATCCCTACCAGAAATAAATTCACAATTAAAAAGTAAAAATCAACAACTACACCTTACGGGTGCAACAACAGATACAAGAAATGGGAGAATTAGCCCTCCAAAAACTGCAGATAAAAGAACAATCTAAAATGAGCCATGAAACAAATTTTTATTATCAAGGTAAATTAGTAGAAATTCTTATCAAAGAACATGACACTTTGAAAAAGAACCAGGTACATTTGAAAGGAACCAAACTGAACTTCCATAAATAAAAAGTCTTGTTCTTGAATTTAAGGTTAAAAATTCACTGAATATGTTAAATAGCAGACTAGATACAGCTGAAGAGAAACTTAGTGAACTAGCAGTTAGATCTGAGGGAATCACATAGAACCTTGATACTTAAGCTATGGTCTACACACTGGCATTATCACCACCACTCAGGAGCTGGTTAGAATTTAATTCTCTAAGAATCTCAGGCCCTGCCCCATACCCATGGAATCAGAACCTACGTTGTAACAAGGTCCCCAGGTGATTCATGTGCACACCACAGTTCAAGAAGCATTTGTGTACAATGCAACACACAGAGACAAAGAGACGGAAAACATGAGAGGTCAAAAGACAAAGACAGAATGAGAAGATCCAATATACATCTAATGGGGCACAGAAAGAGAGATTAGAGAACTACTTTAAAATCTGGTTGCTGCATTTTTTAAGGATTGTGTAAAATCTGGTCACGTCCAAAAACTAACAAGTATGTTATCACATATATCTTGGGGATATAATTCTTCTATTTCTTGTACCTTATATAAAATGTCTCTTTTTTGATCCTTACAAAATGTGATTTTTTTTTGCTTCAATAAAGGTATTTTTAGTTCACTGAAATCATATTGATCTTGAGTCTATGTTGATGGAGGTACACATGGCACCTCAGTACACAGCACAGTGCCAGGTACCTAGTAGGTGCAGAGTAAATATTTGCTAAGCAAATATATAATTAAATAGCAAGAAAATAGGTCTTGTAAAGAGAGCACCTAACATAACACAGGCCACAAACAGGGTACTTGATGTTTGAATTAAATGAAGAGGTTTTAAAAGTCAAGATTGTTCTGTCTGAGAAATATGTTAATAAGTACCTACACTAATCATTTCTGATACAGTATTATGAAATCATCAGCTCCCCCAGCTGCCACATACCCACCACATTCACTAATGACAAATAAGAAATCATATAGTAAGACCTATTGTTCACTGGGAAAAGCCACTAAAAAAAAAAATAGAAAAAAATATTTCCATATATATTTTTAAATATTTTAATAAATCAGCCTGTTTGAGGTAACATCAGAACACAGTCTCCTTAGTGGCAGAGGCTATACAAGTAACTTCTTGAGGTTGTTTTTTGTTTTTGTTTTTGTTTTTGTTTCAGTTATAAAATAGATAGCAGAATCAAGGCTTTCAGAAACAAAGAGCTATTTTAGGAGCTATAGTTAATTTCTCTTCTATAAATTCTCTCTCTCTCTTTTTTAATCCTAACATTCATTAAAAGCTTTTGAGGGGAAAAAAATTATCATCCTCAAAAATATTCGAAAAAAAACAAGGAAAGAAGAACCAAATGGATTTGTCCTCTTGGGACTCCTTCTAACATGCTCCTTTGAGCTCCAGCTGCCTCATTCCCACCTTTGATTTTTTAGCATAGCCCACTAACACCTCAAACAATACCTGGCTGTCCTTATTTAATGTTTAATATCTATTTTTTAAGAGAATGAATGAAAAACAAGAACCTTACATAGGGGATAATTATTTAGACCTAATGTGCCATTCCACGCAACATACCACTTCAGGAAACCCAGGAAATGATATGCTTCAGAGTACCCAATGTATTCATGAAGAACTAGCATATTAAAAAAAAAAAATACTGAGCCTCGTAAAACTCCTAAGACTTTTAATCATCACCATGGATTGCAGAAATGGGAGATGAATAAGAGCCAGCACTGTGTCATAAAGGATGAAGGCACATAAATAATTATTGTGTGATGATATAATGAATCAGGACTGTGCCTAGAATACAGTGGGCATGCGCTAATATTCAACCAAAAACACGTTCAACTTCGTTCTCTCTACCATGATGTCCCTCGCCCTTTTAAAAAAATGTTAATTGACTAATTAGACACTATGTTCAAATTTAAAGGAAGAGTACCAAAAAAATAGCTATCTTCCAGTTGCTTAAAATCTAGAGCGCTAATGTGATCATACTTATCAATGTTATGAAGACAGAACTGTGAAATAAATGAAGAGGAGAATATGTGTGTTGTTCAGAGGTCAAGATATGGGTGTGAAAAGCAGAGAATACATAAACTGGCTGATGGCAAGTTTTGCCAGTGGGGAATGCAGTACTTTTTTGCAAGTTCCTGCAGGAAAGTGTCACGGAGGGGATTTAATCTCAAGAGCTGGTTAAAAGGTATCTTCATGGGCTGGAGTGGGGAAAAGTGCTACTTTAGAAAAGCCCCAGAAGCCAGAGCAATGGCCC
This sequence comes from Homo sapiens, assembly GCF_000001405.40. Lineage (NCBI taxonomy): Eukaryota > Metazoa > Chordata > Mammalia > Primates > Hominidae > Homo > Homo sapiens. The sequence continues at coordinate 119,809,152 of NC_000012.12, forward strand.
AAGAGCATAGTGAATAATGAGGCAGGGAAGAAAGTGAAAGTGAAGTCTTGATGGATTGACAGATGTAAAACCAGAGTGCTGGGTTAGTGTCAGTACTGAGACGGATACAATCATCTCAATAGTGATGGGTGGAAGAGGCTAGTGCTAGAAACTCTAAAAGACAAGTCTACAATAGTCAACATGACAAATTCTACAAATTCTACACTTAGGCAGATCTACACTAAGGAAATGATAACAGAAACAGAGAGGATGGGATTAACAGGAGACAGGTTTGAATTATTATGAGATATATATATACATATATATAGGTTTTCATCCACGGTTCCTGGCTTATGACTCCCATAGTCCTTGTTACAATCTTTTGTTATTTAGGGGTGCTTTAGGCTTTAGAAGCAGGCCTTGAAAAACAGAATCTCTCTCTCTCTGACCTCCTCCAGCCCTCCTTTCATCTGCTCAAGGCAGGACTCTAATCTTCCCCCACCTTTCTGACTTGGAGCTGGCCATAAAGAAATTTCCTCTGCCTTGTCTGATTGTAGGTCAGAAGACCCCATTTCAGAAGGGGTCCTGCCCCATAACCTGGAGGAATGAATGCTACAGAAGGATCTGAACAAACAGGCCTTGCTGGGATTCCCCACTCAGCCTATGAGGATTAGATCATAGCCTTTTCGTGCAATCCCATTTCTACATGGTTGTTGATCATGCCTATCCAATGGCGTCTCCATGAAAGGTCCCAAGAGGACAGAGTTTGGAGAGCTTCCGGATAGCTGAACACGTGGAGGTTCCTGGAGGGCGACCAGGGAGGGCGTGGAAGCTCGCAACCCTTCCCCCATACCTCGCCCTATGCATTTCTTCATCTTTATCCTTTGCAATGTCCTTTAGAATAAACCAGTAAATGTGTTTTCCCAAGTTCTGTGAGCAGCTCTAGCCAATTAATTGAACTCAAAGAGGGGGCTGCAGGAACCCCAATTTGAAGCCAGTCAGCGAGAAGTTCCAGAGGCCTGGACTTGCAACTGGTGCCTGAAGAGGGGACATTCTTGGGGACTGAGACCTCCACCTGTGGGATTGAGCCCTATCTCCAGGCGGATAGTGCCAGAACTGAACTGGAGGACGCCTAGTGGTGTCCACTGCAGAACTTACTGCTTGCTTGGTGGTGACCACATATTTGGTCACAGAAGTCTTCTGTGGTGTTGACAGTTATGGTGTGAGAGTGGAGGAAAGACAGTGAGTTTTTCCACATTCAGGTTACAGAAAGAAGTAACAAAATGTGGCTGGGCGTAGTGGCTCACACCTGTAATCCCAGCACTTTGGGAAGCAGAGACAGGCAGATCATTTAAGGTCAGGAGTTTGAGACCAACCTGGCCAATATGGTGAAAGCCCATCTCTACTAAAAAAAATACAAAAATTAGCCTGGAGTGGTGGGGTGCTCCTGTAATCTCAGCTACTCGGGAGGCTGAGGCAGGAGAATCCCTCAAACCCGGGAGACAGAGGTTGCAATGAGCCGAGATGGTGGCACTGCCTCCAGCCTGGGCAGCAGAGTGAGATTCCATCATCTCAGAAAAAAAAAAAAAAAAAAAAGTGGCAAAATCTGACAACTGATGTTAGAGCAGAGATTTTGATGGGAGTTCTTATCATGGGAACAACTCTGAGAGAAAAGGCTGCAATGGGAAGAAGAGGAAGATATCCCATATCGAAGTCTCATGGGAATGAACGAAGAGAACAGATTAGGTGATCAGCAAATAGAGCTGGCTACTAAATATGCATAAGTAATTGATCCCAAGAGAACAGATTACATTGCCTAAAGCCTCAGGCAAGCCCTCTAGTTTCTCCCCTCCCACTAGGAAGTGGTCAGGCATGACTTGCCCACACAACACACTGTATATACGAAGTTCAAGACCGGGCCTGGTGGCTAACACTTGTAATCCCAGCATTTTAGGAGGCCAAAGCAGGTGGATCACTTCAGTCTAGGAGTTCAAGACCAGCCTGGGCAACATGGCAAAACCCTGTCTCTACAAAAAATACAAAAAATTAGCCGGGTGTGGTGATGCACATGGGAGAGATGGGAGGATCATCGGAGTCTGGGAGGTCAAGGCTGCAGTCAGCTGTGACTGCATCACTGCTTTCTAGTCTGGGTAACAAAGCAAGACTCTCTCTCAAAAAAACAAAAAAGGTAGTTCAAAAAGAAGACAAAGGAGTTCCAGTTTGCAATAGACTTAAATAAATCAAAAATTATCCCATCTCTTTGCCTCCCCAAAAAGTCATAAAAATACTTCAGGGTAACATTGATTTGGGCTGGTGATCAATTTTTACAATGCTGTCTTTAAAGTCAATGAATAAGGAAGCCAGCATTCCCAAAGTAGCCTTCCATCAATCAATCTAAACAATGCCAGGGTCTGGCTGCCAACAACTAGGCAGATAACCTCTCTGGTGGTGGATTTCAATGGAGATGTGAGCTCTAGCTGGCTCTCGCCATACCCAAAAGCCATGTTCCTATGAGGCTGCTTAATATTAAGTTTTTGGTAATCAAGTTATGTTTCCCCAAAGATTCATACTTTTAGAGATGCTTTCCCTCACTTCTGGATTGCACTTTAACCAGACTTCTTAACATTTTAGCTTTACTTTGTTTTTTTCTCTCCCTCTCAGTCTAGGTACTCAGCAATCTGTGAAACACCTACATAGGCTAGAAATACTCAGAAGAGGAACGTTTCAAATTGCAACTAGTCATGAGTGCATTTCTTTGCAAAGCTGAATTTGGATATACCCAATTTTTCACCCTGGTGGATATTCCCCAGGAATTTTTTTTTTTTTTTTTTTTGAGACTCAGTCTTGCTCTTTTGCCCAGGTTGGAGTGCAGTGGCATGATCTCGGCTCACTGCAACCTCCACCTCCCGGGTTCAAGGAATTCTCATGCTTCAGCCTCCCAAGTAGCTGGGATTACAAGCACCTGCCACCATGCCTGGATACTTTTTTTGTATTTTTAGTAGAGACGGGGTTTTACCATGTTGGCCAGGCTGGTCTCGAACTTCTGACCTCAAGTGATCCGTCCGCCTTGGCCTCCCAAAGTGCTGGGATTACAGGTGTGAGCCACCACATCTGGCCCAACCAGGACACATTTAAGTAATAGCAAAGGAGCTAGTTCATCAGCACCTGCTTGCTGTAGGCCCAGGCAACCTTCCCTTTCAGCACCTTCCGCCATGAATTACGTACACCCAATAACACATCAGACTAGATTCATTCTTTGCTGCCTTCCCGATCTCTTTAGTACCCTTTTATCTCTTTAGTATCCTTTTCTCCAACTTTTTTTTTTTAGAGACAGTGTCTCACTCTGATGCCCAGGAGGGAGTGCAGGGGTGCAATCATAGTTCACTATAAGCTTGAACTCCTGGGCTCAAGCAATCCTCCCACCTCAGCCTCCCAAGTAGCTGGGATTACAGGTGCACACCACCATACCCAGCTAGCTTTTTTTATTATTATTTTTTGGTAGAGACAGGGGTCTTGCTATGTTGCCCAGGCTAGTCTCAAACTCCTGGCCTCAAGTGATCCTCTCACCTCAGCCTCTCAAAACTTTTCTCCAACAGTGAAAAGATTTATTCTTAATTTTTTTTTTTTTTTTTTGAGATGGAGTCTTGCTCTTTCGCCCAGGTTGGAGACATCGCACCCGGCTAGTCTCACCCTTCTACTCACTCCTCCAATAAAGAAGAAGGAGGTTATCTGGCTCATGAAAAGCAGACATTTATTTGGCCATGTTTTACTAGAAGGTAGAATTACTATGTCTTGAAAGTAAGGGCCAAACTTAAAACTTCCCCTTTTACTGCCTAGGCACAGGCATAGCAGGCACTCAACCAACCGAACACTCTTGTCCCCCTTATTTCCATCAGGCCCCCTGTTGTGGCAAGGCCCCCCTCCGACCCCGTTCATGAGGGGAGGCCACCATTCTTCTCTGTTGGTAGGATGGGCAAATTTACCAGAGCCCTGCATCAGAGCTTACTGGGTGCTTGCCCTGCCAAGAATAAAGTGGGTATTTTGGTCTCTATCTGGCTATCTGTTCTTTGTGTGTGTCCTTTATAAGTCAGAATTTTGAAGTGCTGGAAGGGTGGTCTTAGATCCCAAACTGCCAGTGCTGTAGTTGAATGTTCCATCACCACGGATGAACAGAGTTGGCTATATTTATTTTCTCTGAAGTGAGACACCAGAAATCATTTCCAAACTCTCAGTCATGAACCACCTGGGCCTCTAACTCTTTGTCCTGAGGCTTTCATCTCTTTTGATTCCTGCCAACCGCCCTTTTTAGTTCTATCCAAACTTCACCCTCAGAAAATGAGCATAACTGCAATCACCACACTCATAGAATTGATTAGAAAGTTGGCTGCTGAATATAGTCCCAGATGTTTAATATAATTTTGAATCTTTGGCCAAATCATTTCCACATTTGCTTGGTTGTGAAAGGTTTTCCCGCAAGTGAGAATTTAAGGGTTGAAGACTCCAATTTATGGGCTCTCCAACAAACCCACTCTGTTTCCCATCTTCCCCCAAAAAAGGCATTAATTTATCTCACTTAGAATTGATTTACCAAACTTGGATGTGGCATTGCACTGCTGGCTTGCACTAAGAGGCCCAGAAGGAAGCAGTCCTATGGAAATGCCAGGGTACACTTCCGAGGGATGGGGCCCACCAGGTCACAGGGGGTCTCATTTATGGGAAACCCAGTGGTGAAATTCCTCAGGGCTCAGTATTCAGAAAATTGGGTCTCCTCTGAGCAGAGCATTCTGGACTTTTTTTTCATGCGACTGGGGCTCTTGTAACTGTTTATATTCTCCTTTCTGCTTTGGTCACTGGGAGACTGAGAGTCCCAAATCATTCTTCCTTTGGCAACTTAACAGGAACTTCCTTGTTTTTACTTTCAACCCTAACTTTATTTCCCTATCCTCATACTCCTTTCATCTAGATTTCTCTATTTATTCATTGTTATATTTTTAATATTGCAATTATTTCTAGAATAAGTTGCCCTCAATTTATCTTGGAATAAAGTAGAATATTACATATTTTTGACATCTCTGGAAGTAGCTTCTAAATTCAGACTAGTGGGGGAAAATCCTATAATCCTAATTCATAAGCATTTAGCTCTTTTTGGCCTATTTTTTCTTACCAATCATTTACCTTCTAAAAACAGAACAGCCCCCAAGAGACACATAAATATTTGCCTACATATCCCATAAGAGATTATAAGAGCTACTGACTATAGCTCTTCATTATTCCTTTTTTGTTTTAGTAGGTGGCGCCCACACGCTCCTGGTCTAGTAAGTTGAATTTCTACCATCACTACTTTACCATCCCATCCCTCTTGCTCCCCTTCCCGTCCATGCTGATACTCCAAACAGACCCAACTCCTCTTCCTCACTTCCTCCTGCCCCTGAAGTAAGTGAGTGTCCAAAAGGAAGACAAGTTTAAGGGCCAACCAAGCCTAACAGAGAAGCATATCTATGATCCTCATGGAACTAGCTTAGAAAACAAAACATGACCAGATAACCCTTCAAATGACAGGAAGCCTCAAACAAGAAGAACTTTAAAAGGCCCCAAACAAATGAATACACAAACAAGATGAACTTTAAAAGGCCCAAAACATCACGCCTGTAATCCCAGCACTTTGGGAGGCCGAGGCGGGCGGATTACCTGAGGTCAGGAGTTCGAGACCAGCCTGGCCAACACGGTGAAACCCGTCTCTACTAAAAATACAAAAAAATTAGCCAGGCGTGGTGGCGCATGCCTGTAATCCCAGCTGCGTGGGAGGCTGAGGCAGGAGAATTGCTTGAACCCAGGAGGCAGAAGTTGCAGTGAGCCGAGATCGTGCCACTGCACTCCAGCCTGGCTGACAGAGGAAGACTCTGTCTCAAAAAAAAAAAAAAAAAGGGCCCAAAACGAATATGTGCGTGCTCACATACCACACACACACACACACAACACACACACACACACACACACACACACTAAATGCACAAGCCATTGAGATAATGCAATTCTAAAGGCAGGACACTAAACAAAATAAATGAAAAAATAATGTCAAAATCATGATATCACCTGTGGCCTTGTTTAAAAAAAAAAAAAAGCCATAAGGGGTTTTCATTTGAGAAGAGCACTGCTTATCAGAAACCAATGGCTGAGTGGCAGATTCGAAGGATAAGCATGGTAGGGCCATGCTTAAATGAATGAAGTATAAAGATTGCTTCATTCATTTCAATGATGCGGGAAAATAACCTGCCAATAAAAATTACTGAATTTGGCCAGGTGCGGTGGCTCACGCCTGTAATCTCAACACTTTGGGAGGCCGAGGTGGGCGGATTACCTGAGGTTGGGAGTTCAAGACCAGCCTGACCAACATGGAGAAACCCCATCTCTACTAAAAATACAAAATTAGCCAAGCATAGTGGCGCATGCCTGTAATCCCAGCTACTCGGGAGGCTGAGGCAAGAGAATCACTTGAACGTGGGAGGCAGAGGTTGCAACGAGCCGAGATCACGCCATTGCACTCCAGCCTGGGCAACTAGAGCAAAACTCCATCTCAAAAAAAAAAAAATTACTGAATTCTTGGGAGGCAGCATAAAGATGTTGTTAAGAGGATAGGTTGTGCTAGTGTTATAGGAGCATAGAATATTCTGGAAAGTTCTATGAGAAACTGACAATAGTGGTTCGCTTGAGGGAGAGGGGTTGGGCGTGGGGTGGGAAGGAGGCATTTTTCGCCGTATAACCTTCTGTATAATGTGAATTTTCTGCTATGGGCTATACCACTTTTTCAAAAAAACAAAGGCAAAGAGAATTTAGAGTCAGGGAGACCTGAGTTTGATTCCTACCACTGCCAACTTCGGGCTCCATGACCTCATTTGTATTGTGGACTAGTGATAGGACCTGCCTCACAGAGGTTTGGGGAAGAATAAATGGAACAATAATAAGCATAAAGCACTTTGCAGAGCTCCTGGCACATACTAGGCACTCAATAAATGGCATGGTAATATCATACATGTATAAACATGTTAGTGAAGAATACTTATTCCACCCTTAATTAAAATCCAATATGGGACAACAGTAAAGTGGGGTTCAGGGAGTCAAGGAAATATCTTTTTGCTATCAGAAGGCAGAGATTAGGTCAAACCACCATTTTGAAGTATATGAACGATGTAATGTCCATCTAAGAGAAAAGCTTTAAATTCCTCAAAGCAAGGCCTAAAACCCAGCAGTTCTAAGCAGTCCCATTCACCCATAGGAGTCCTGAGCCAAAAAGTGGCCTCCCCATACCTTAAGCCCGAAGACAAAACGAGGAAGACCCACAAAGATGAGCAAGAAACTCTGAGGCTAGCATCCAATTTCTTCCTCTTGCAGGGCTTCACAACTCTAATATGCACAGAAATCCCCTGGGGATCCTTATTAAAATGCAGCTTCTGACTCAGTAGGCCTGAGTCTCTGAAGCTCTAACAAGCTCCTAGATGATTCCGATGCTGCCGGTCCACGGACCACACTCTGAGTAGCAAGGTCCTACTGCCTCCACGTAATAGTTTTGCTGTTCGTTAACAGTAACAGTGGCAGTATTGAGAGATTCAGATTACTGTGATGTTCCCTCTCCTGATAATAACCTGGCCAATTCTTCTAAATCAATGGTTCTCAACTGAAGGTGACTGTAGCCCCCAAGGGGAGACTGGGCAATGTCTAGAGTCATTTTTGGTTGTTGCAACTGCAGGGGGAGGGTGCTACTGGTATCCATGGAGAAAGCACAGCGATGCTGTTCAACATCCTGCAATTCACACAACAGCCCCCACAGCAAAGAATTATCTGGCCCCAAATGTCAACAGTGCCAAGGCTGAGAAACCCTGTTCTAAATAAACAGAAAACAGGACACATCCTGAGTCTTCTCAACTCATCTTGAGATTAGAAATCCCAAGATTAGAAGTGGGCCATCGATCCAACATTGTCCTTTCCCAGGCTAGATCTGAGACATGGGGAGAGTTATAGGTTAGCAGGATGCTGTATGTGGGGAAGAGATCACCAGGTCACAGCCTATAGTCTGTATTTTGCTTAAAATCAAGCACATGTGGGGCCAGGCACAGTGGCTCATGCCTGTAATCCCAGCACTTTGGGAGGCTGAGGCAGGTGGATCACGAGGTCAGGAGACCGAGACCATCCTGGCTAACATGGTAAAACCCTGTCTCTACTAAAAATACAAAAAAATTAGCCGGGCGTGTTGGCGGGCACCTGTAGTCCCAGCTACTCGGGAGGCTGAGGCAGAAGAATGGCGTGAACCTGGGAGGCGGAGCTTGCAGTGAGCCGAGATCACGCCACTGCACTCCGGCCTGGGCAACAGAGCGAGACCCCATCTCAAAAAAAAATCAAGCACATGTGGTTCAGTAAACTAGTGAGGGGAGGCCTACGAAGCATTAAACTTCCCACCATTTGGAGGTACAGCAATTTAACAGGACTACAGCTCTATTCAAGCAAAAGACCGGTTAGGCTCTTAGACTCTAAATTCAATGAAGGTAGGGCCATACCCAAATGTGTTCATCAATGGAGCCACAGCACCAGCACCTGACATTGCACTTAACATACTGTAGAAATTCAAATATCAGAATGAATCATCAATTCAAAAATTCCTGCAATTCTAGGCTGGGCATGGTGGCTCATATCTGTAATCCCATCACTTTGGGAGGCAGAGGGAGGATGATCACTTGAGCCCACAAGTTTGAGACCAGCCTGGGCAAAGATGGCAAGACTCCATCACTTAAAAAAAAAAAAAAATCCAATTCCTGCAATTCCAAATGTTCTTAAATAGACCTAGAGATTAAATCACTCTCTAGTGTGACATGGTTTATTATTTGCCATCATCACAAATATTATTACTAATAACAATAACTTATGCAAAGGCATATATAGTATTGTAGAAAGAGCATGGGCTTTGGAATCACACAGACCTCCACCCAAATCCAGAATCCCTTATTCACTTGCCCTATGACCTTGGCCAAGTTACCACAGTAACCACATCTGTAAAATGGGTATAATAATCCTTACATTTGACAGAAGTGTTTTGAAGGAGCATAGTGTAATATACTTGAATGCCTAGTGGTTAGCACAGAATAGGTACTCCCTAAACAATATTGTTGACCATACTAAAGGACTAGAAAAAAAAAGAAAAAACCCAAGGAGGTACATGGTGCTTATTTCTACACACAAAAATTTGTAAGACTTTCACCTGAAGCTAAGTAGGCACAGAATCCCTATCCCCCAAACCAAAGACTGTCTTCCCTCAGGATTATTGAGCAACCATATTATACACTTGAGGTTTCATTGTCACTATTGAGGGCCAGCTAGCAAATAAGCAGCAACAATCAAAACGATACCTATTTGGAAGAAGACTATCTCAGCGTTTCATCAGCATGGGACCACCACTGAGTCACTGCCGGATGGAAACAAAGTGTACTTTCTGCTAACAAATGCTGAGGACCTGAAAAATCAGGATCATGTGGCAAGAATTGTTTCTTTCAGAGAATAGCAAAAGAAAGACAACTCAAGAGAAAAAGCCCATGTCAGACGCAACAGACCATCCGAGTTCTCTAGCGCATTAGCCATAATGTCCTAGGAAATAATCCGTGATCACCACTTCCATTATGCATTTCTCACTGTTGAGATATGGCAGTCTTGCATAAAACGTACAAGTGTGCTGGTTCCGTTGACATCACGATGCCTCGGGGGAAGATATCTTAAAAGATGTTGATAGAAGACAGTACCAGACAGCAAAACTTTCCCATGGATGGGAGCAGGTACACGATGCCAGGCAAGGTAAGCATAATCCCAAAGGCATGAAAGAGGAGCTCTGATTGGCTTCAGCTTTCCTGAAGCCCAGAAAGATCAGGCTGGGTACAGCCAGAATCCGGCCCAGCATCTGAAACATCGCCGGAACTGCACAACCAGGGCAGCTGGTACGCTTAGGAAACCCCCCACTGAAACTTGGAAAGCAGCCTTGAAATAATGATAATAATAAATAAGCAGCTGAAAAACCAATCTTGTGGGAGGCTGGAAATGAAACAGAATAATGAGAGCCTGGTGACCCATGAGCATGGCAGTCACTCATCACAGAGTGTTCGACTTGCTGGAAGAATAAGTATCCTGGAACTGGGTCAGATGCCTGGTTCATGGGGTGCTGCCTGCAGCAACCCCAAGAGGCAGGACCCAGGAGTGTACAGAAGCTACGCCTGACCTCAGTGTCAAAGCAAAGGCGCATCCTAGTTTCTCTCGGTAGCCACTCCCAGTTCTGTCATTCATAAATTTGCCAAGACCTTTCTTAAATTGCATTTATATATCCTGCCAGGACCACCTCTTGAGATAATGAGTTTTAGAAGATTATTACCTGCTGTGTTAAGCAGTACTTCCTTTCATTGGTTACAACAAGAAAAAGAAGAATTGGGGGTGAAACCGCACAAAGGCTAATGTTGCTTTTAACAAGGGACAATCTCTTATTGCAGAAGGCAGAAATATTCGACAGCCTGGAACCACCAGGCATTTAAGCAGCATCCATGAACTTGGGAAACTTAATGATTCGAAGTATTTCGGTTGATGAAAATCACTCAACATGTGTTTATGAAAAACAGTGCTAGATAAAAGCATAATTTATGTTACAGTTACCTAGTTAGAAAATAGCTTAAAGAGCATGGAGTCAAGCAATGTTTTCAATCACAAATCTCTGAGTTGATTGCAAATAATGCAGGGATCAGAGGTTGGTGAAAAACAGGAAAATTTGCTAGGAGACACTGAAGTTAATACCATGCCTCTCTGCATAGTCGGAAATGCCATAAAACCACCAGGAAAACACAATACCAATCCTCGGTGGGCATGAAGATCCCACCTGCTGGCTGAGCTACACTAAGTATCTAAACTAGGACCAGTCCCATCAAATATAAACACCCTAACTGCAATATGGTACCACGGATTGATTCCTGAAACAGAAAAGGGACATGAGTGGGAGAATTGGTAAAATCCAAAAAAAGTCTGAAGTGTAGTTAACAATAATGTACCAATATTAGTTTTGACAAATAGTTTTTCAAACACTTAGACAGTGACACTGTTATGTAAGAGTTAACACTGGGGGCTGGGTGCGGTGGCTCATGTCTGTAATCCCAGCACTTTGGGAGGCTAAGGTAGGCAGATCACCTGAGGTCAGGAGCTTGAGATCAGCCTGACCAACATGGTGAAACCCTGTCTCTACTGAAAATACAAAAAGTAGCCGGGCATGGTGGCGCACACCTGTGGTCCCAGCTACTCGGAGGCTGAGGCAGAAGAATCACTTGAACCCAGGAGGCGGAGGTTGCAGTGAGCCGAGATCGTGCCACCACACTCCAGCCTGGGCGACGGGAAGACTGTGTCTCAAAAAATAAATAAATAAATATAAAAAAGAGTTAACGTTGGGGAAAACTGGGTGAAGGGTATGTGGGAACTCTTCCATACTATCTTTGCAACTTTTCTATAAATCTAATACTATTCCAAAATAAAAGATTTATTAAAATTAGGGCTGGGTGCAATGGCTCACGCCTGTAATCCCAGTATTTTGGGAGGCCAAAGCAGGAGGATCACTTGAGCTCAGGAGTTCAAGACCAGCCTGGGCAACCTGGTGAAACCGCGTCTCTACAAATACAAAAAAATTAGCAGAGTGTGATGGCACACACCTGTAGTCCTAGCTACTTAGGAGGCTGAGGTGGGAGGACTGCTTGAGCATGGGAGGTCGAGGCTGCAGTGAGCCGTGATCACACCACTGCATTCCTGCCTGGCCCACAGAGTGAGACTCTGTCTCAAAAGTAAATAAATAAAGATTTACTTAAATTAAAAGAATTTTTTGGCCAGGCGTGGTGGCTCACACCTGTAATCCCAGCACTTTGGAAGGCCGAGGCAGGCAGATCACCTGAGGTCAGGAGTTCAAGATCAGCCTGACCAACATGGAAAAACCCTGTTTCTACGAAAAATAGAAAATTAGCTGGGTGTGGTGGTGCATGCCTATAATCCCAGCTACTTGGGAGGCTGAGGCAGGAGAATCGCTTGAACCCAAGAGGCGGAGGTTGCAGTGAGCTGAGGTCGCACCACTGCACTCCAGCCTGGGCAACAAGAGCAAAACTCCGTCTCAAAAAAAAAAAAAAGAATTTTTTAAAGCAAATACATTTTGTGAGTCTTCAGAGCCACTACACTGGGAGCTGGGAGTCAAATATATTATGCCTAATTTATAAGTTAAGCTTTATATAACATAGGTATGTATGCACAGGAAAAAAGGTAGATGGGTTTCAGTACTATCATCAGTTTCACACATCCACTGGGAGACTTGGAACATATGTGCCACAGATAGGAGGGTGGGGGACTACTTTAACTCTACTCAGGTAATCACCATTCACTGACTTACTTAAGTGGAGATACATTCTTAGACATGATCAGCAGGTTCATGAATAAAAAAAATTAACTGCTTATTCAAGAAGATTACAGAGATAAAAAGGCAAGACAAGAAAAGATTAAGTACTTGAACAGCATCTAAAAGAAAGTCTATTACATCTTTCTAAAAGCATAAAAGGAAGAATGCCCTGAAAATATATTACTGATTAGAAGGTCTGAACCTTGGAGATTTGGGGGGAGATGTCTATTTATTTAGAAAAATAAAGCAATGTGGCCACCCGAATAATAAAAACATTTGCCAAGAAAGATTTATGGAAATGCGACCTACTTAAATATTTCAGCAGAAGGTTAGAGAAACCATCAAAATGGTTTACAACTGGACAATACTGATTTTTTACCATACTATGTCCTAGCTGAAGGTGCAAGCAATTATAATTATAACACATCTCCAATCAGAAGCCTGGTTTTGACACCTAGAAACAGATTCCATTTCCCAACCTCCCTCCATCACCAAAAACAAAACACATACTCAAACAGGATAACTGCTTTCCTACTGGCTCTAATCCGTGCTGATCATTCAGTAGAACACATTCAATCAACAACACATCCAAGAATTAAAAGGATTTTTAAAAGATCACCAACTGGTAAAAGAAAAAAGAGCATTGTGTGGTTTCTGTTGATAATAAACCAGGTCTTTGTTTTTAATGAATTCATTCAGTTTGCACTAACTGATTATAAAAAGTGATGTATGAATGAATCTACTGTGCATATACATTATAGGTTTTACATGCTTGTGAGCAAAGACAAATATTATCGAGGGAAACAAATGAATAAACACAGGGAGGTGTTTATGGTTTTTGTTTAAACTCAGCCATTAGCAGAACAACCTGGGCATGTTGCCTAATCTGAGTCTTTTTCCTGATATGTGAATGAAATACCTAGATCCACTTTTTTGGAAGAAACTGTGTCAAACCAAGTGACAACCTTCAAACTCCATTAATCTGTGCCTCTAACTTACTGAGGGATAATATTCTAAAGGCCACATAAACACAGAGTTTGATAAATGACCCAGTTCTACACAAACAATTTTAAGGCAGAATTATTACTCAAAGACAGCTACATCATTAGCCTTTACTACTCCTGTAGATAATTAAAGCCTTTATTTATGTAATTTACAGAAGCTTCTTTGGGCCAGAACAATCTCAGATCTCTCTTGAGTGTTTCATAATCCCAACATCCCAAATTAAGGAAAACAGCCCTACTTACAGTTACGAATGTTGTTCCAGTCAATTTTAGAGAAGAAAGGATGGCAGCAAAGACCTTCAAACTTCAGTCTCTCTTTCTGGCCGCACAACAAGCTTTGAATCAGATCAAGAAAGTCACTGCTCACTTTGGGGTCATCTGGAAATTTCAAAAACCGCTGTTCCAAAAAAAATAAGAGAATTATTTCCTTAGTAGGGATTCCGTTTCTCATGCTGCAAAGTGAAGAAAGTATTTCTCATATATGCAAGTTTCTTTTTTTTTGTTTTTTAGAGAAGGAAGTTTCGTGCCCTCTTCCCTTTGGACCAAAGGCGTGTTCCCAAAATAAGTGGCCTGTTCACATCAATAGGCTTAGTTCCTTTGTAGGGGTTCAGCGTCCTCCATGGCTTGACCCCGGCTCCCCTTCTCATCTCATCTTGCCACATTCCCCATCTCTCCCTTTGCTGTCCAACAATGATGAGCTATTTAAAGATCCCTGAACAAATCATGCTGTTCTTGCTGCTTTCCTTGGCTACCTTTTCTATCCTATAACTCCTTTCTGCATGTTCCCTCTGCACTCTACTTTTGCACACACACAATGCGCTGTGATTTCAGTGTGATGAAAAAGAAAGAAGGCAGAGAGGGCCTGCTTCTTCTGCTCATCCCTGTAAACCTGCTACCTAACAGTACCTGGTATGATAACGCACTCGTTATTGAATGATTGAATGAGTGAGTGAGCTAAAGGGAAGGAAATAAATTAGCTCCAAGAGTCATCTAAGGGGAAATTTTCACTCAAGAGGAGGCTCAAGAATAACAAATAATGTATGTACATAAAAATATGTATTAAGCATTCCAGAAAGATGAAAATTAGGTGAGATACAAAAATCTAGGAAATACGTTCCTTTTCCTTTTGGTTGAAACTAAAACATATACATTTATCAGAGCCTTAAGAAATGAGCTTCACAGGCTAGGCACAGTGGCTCATGCCTGTAATCCCAATACTTTGGGAGGCCGAGGCAGGCGGATCACCTAAGGTCAAGAGTTCAAGACCAGCCTAGCCAACATGGTGAAACCCCATCTCTACTAAAAATACAAAAATTAGCCAGGCATGGTGGTGGGCACCCGTGATCCCAGCTACTCAGGAGGCTGAGGCAGGAAAATCGCTTGAACCCAGGAGGCAGGGTTGCAGTGAGCCGATATTGTGCCACTGCACTCCAGCCTGGGTAACAGAGCAAGACTCCATCTCAAAAAAAAAAAAAAAAAAAAAATAGGCTTAATGTAGTAGAAAGCACAGTTATTAGAAAATAGTTTTACTGTATATATATATATATATATATATATATATATATACAGTAAAACACATATCTATATGTAATTGTATTTCTAATTCATTTCCTCATTCAATTGTAATACCATATTCAACAGTTAGTACTAAGAAGGAGTATATCGAAAAATCAAGAGCATGGACTTCAGGGCCAGACTGCCTGTGTTATTTCAGGCCAGTTACTTCACCTTCAGTGCTTTGGTTTCCTCATCTATAAATGAAAATAATAATACTTACCTCACAAGGTTGTTTGAAGATTAACTAACTGACTAAACTATATCTCCTCAATTCTAAGACTCACAGTTATTCACAGTTAACAGCACTGAAATCAAGATGCATTCTATAATCAATAAAAATATCATAGACTCATTGGCAACAGTTTTTCTTCCGTAGCAGTACATAAAATAATGGTGTAGTCTTATCATTACTGGCAGCTGAGATTCCGTGAAATACAATTAATAAAATGTTTAGAATAGCCTTTGGCACAGAGTTAAGTGCCATATAAGTATTTGCTATTATTATTTTCCACCACTGCTGAAACACTCATTCACACAATTTTTAAATAACATCTAACATTCTATAAACATTCATTCACACAATACGTATAAAATATTCATGAACACAATTTTTAAACAACATTCTAGAAACATTCATTCACACAATTTTTTGGTTTTTTGTTTTGTTTTGTTTTGTTTTTTAGACGGAGTCTCACTCCGTTGCCCAGGCTGCTGTAGTACAGCGGCGCGATCTTGGCTCACTGTAAGCTCCGCCTCCCGGGTTCATGCCATTCTCCTGCCTCAGCCTCCAGAGTAGCTGGGACTACAGGCGCCCACCACCACAACTGGCTAATTTTTTTGTATTTTTTAGTAGAGATGGGGTTTCACCATGTTAGCCAGGATGGTCTCGATCTCCTGACCTCGTGATCCACCCACCTCGGCCTCCCAAAGTGCCGGGATTACAGGCATGAGCCACCACGCCCAGCCTCATTCGCACAATTTTTAAATAACGTTTCTCAATGTGACTTCGAAATCTTCTAAGGACTCTTTACCTGGAAATTCATAATGTTATTGAAGGTTCTGGCAGAGGTTCCCTCTGCGAAGGGGGATCTCCCATAAATCATCTCATAGGCAATCACGCCCACTGACCACCAGTCACAGTCCAGGCCGTAGGTGCCTTTTCCATCCCCGTTCATCACAGTCAGCACTTCAGGAGCCATGTAATCTGGGGTCCCAATCGGGAGTTTGGCATTCACCTAGAATCCCATCAATAAAACGAATACAGCAAACTTTCAATTATCCTCAAGTAGACTGCCAACAGCCACATTTCAGACACAAGCTGATTTGCCACTGATTACTATTCTCCCAGGCACTTAAACCAGCTGTCAAGTGGCACACTGTCAGGAAATGCAAACGCTTTACTAATTTAAAAAAAAAAAAAAAGCACACAGCATATAATGCAATCCAAGGGCAAAAGGGCAAGAATTGTTGATGATATACACACAGCCTTCAGTTATACGAATGAGAGTTGGATATACCGGGAATGGAAGATGTCTTTCCTAATACAAGTTATTGACATGATGGAACTTCTCTTATGATAACAGCAAAATGATAATAAACTCTAAAAATGAATCTAAAATATCAACCTAACCATTACTAGAAAACTGGCAGTTGGCCAGGTGCAGTGGCCCATGCCTGTAATCCCAACACTTTGGGAGGCCAAGGTGGGTGGATCATTTGAGGCCAGGAGTTTGAGACCAGCATGGCCAACATGGTGAAGCCCCATCTCTATTAAAAATACAAAAATTAGTCAGGTGTGGTGGTGCACACCTGTGGTCCCAGCTACTCGGGAGGCTGAGGCACAAGAATCGCTTGAACCTGGGAGGCGGAGGTTGCAGTGAGCCAAGATTGCGCCATTACACTGCAGCCTGGGTGACAGCGAGACTGTAAGAAAAGAAAAGAAAAAAGAGAAGAGAACTGGTGGCTAACTGGCAAGATAATATTACAAATCTCAAGTTCAAAAATTTGGAAAACTGCCTTTGGAATTAACGTTCCTACTTCAACCCACCCACAGGGCAAGACATGATAATTAACTTCCACCCAGGGCCCAAGGTTAATGAGTTCTTTTTCCTCACCCCTAACCCTTGTTCCTGTGGTTCCCTCCCCCACCGTTCAGAAACCCAGGGGCTTATAATCCAATGGCA
Organism: Homo sapiens; assembly: GCF_000001405.40. Lineage (NCBI taxonomy): Eukaryota > Metazoa > Chordata > Mammalia > Primates > Hominidae > Homo > Homo sapiens. The sequence continues at coordinate 119,826,317 of NC_000012.12, forward strand.
CCCAAGCACTTGACCTTGGCAAAGAAAGATTAGGACAATACAGGAGGGCATTTTATAAAGCTAAATGTAACCCATTTAAAGGACTGTCCTTTTTTTCTGAGAATTTGTCCTTCTGACTTTTTTAGTGTTTAAATGTCCTTTGTTTCTGGATATGCTGTTGATGAAAGAAGCAGGCTTTCTTCCCCTCATACCCACCCCTGTCTAGGCAGCCTAGTAAGCTAGCAACCCCTTTGGTCTTCAAAATTATTTTGACGTTTTACTGAGCCATGAAATTTGAAGTCTAAAGATTCCTTCTCTAACTTTTCTCCCCATCAAAACAGAGAGGCCCTGATTTTAGCTATATAGTGTGTTGGCCAGCTGTCCTATAACTCTATATCATAATGGGCTTCTCTCAGGTCAGCAGTTACATGGTACAAAAGAACTTTTTCCTCATTAAACGATGGTAAGTGAAACTGAGTGAGCCAAGAGATTTTGTGGGTAAGTCCACATACCTTGAAGGCTGGGCTTTTCACCAAGGAAGTAAATTTGCTTTACTTTAACTGGGTGTGGAGAGGAAAGTGAATGTTTAGTGAGGACGTGATGAGGTCTCCTCTCCCCGGGGCTGATTCTGGATGAAGCTCTTCCAGCCTGTAACTTGAATCTCATCCATTCCTCTGCCATGAGACTTTCTCGTTATATGAAACAGACCTATTCTTCCCTCTCCTCTCTTTTTACCTCTTCCCTAGGGCCCACGCTCTGATACAGGTTTTTCCAAGCCCTAAACCCAGAAAGCAGTGTGATATAATCATTCCTGACATGGATTGTCCACCGGTTTGGGCAATAAAACTTCCCCTGTAAGTGCCCCTTCAAGAAAGCCAGATGGTCACACTATCCAAAACCCACAGGCAGGCTTGGCTTGATAGACAGAAGGGGAGACAAAGGGGAAAATATTTGGCCTAAGACAAAACCACAGGGTGACTTAAGCTTGAAGAACTGAAAGTAGCTTAAGTCAAGGAGAAGACTTAATATGTTGGGAAATCTGGGCTGATTCTGTTTTTTAATATGTATGTAAATGTTAAAGAGCTCAGCACAGGTTAGGGTTAAACTAAAGGGTTTTGGTTAAAATGCACCAACAATAACCAATAGATTTTTTTTTTTTCCGAGATGGAGTCTCGCTCTGTCACCAGGCTGGAGTGCAGTGCTGCGATCTCAGCTCACTGCAACCTCCTCCTCCCAGGTTCAAGCAATTCTCTTGCCTCAGCCTCTCGAGTAACTGCGACTACAGGTGCATGCCACCACACCCAGATAATTTTTGTATTTTTAGTAGAGACGGGGTTTCACTATGTTTGGCCAGGATGGTCTCGATCTCTTGACCTCGTGATCCACCCATCTTGGCCTCCCAAAGTGCTGGGATTACAAGTGTGAGCCACGGAGCCTGGCCACAATAGATATTTTTTAAATAACAAAACAAGAGAAGGAAAACTGTAACATCTTGATTTGACTAGGTAATGAAAATGCTACTATATTGTTGATTAAATACTTATCCTTTATGTCTAATTACCTTGCAGGACCTAACTACGCAATTGTTGAATACATACCATTTGCACTTACTGGATTTCATTTTTATTGCCACAGACTGTTCAGGAATATTCAGTTCTCCTTATTTGCAGCTCACAGGGCAGTCACTTGTTCACAACCAAAGAGTTGCAAAAACAGAATTGACTGGGGAGTGTTTCTCAGGACAACCCAGCCAAACAGTATGAATTGCCAATGCCCCATTTTCAAACTAATGATAAGACTTATCAAAGAAAGATAATTCCCCAACTAATTTTTGCCCCCTAACAGATACATGATTATACACATTTATGCACAATCATTTTCTAATTTTCTAAATTTTATTAATTTGTACTAGAAAGCTATGAAGGGAAAAATACCCACTGGCTTCCTCTTAAGTGCATAATAGTGATTAGCAAAGGCATTACTCTTTGTTAATTAACAAATCTCTAAGTGTGTAATAGTAATTAACAAACATTTTTAATGACAGTTAATGACTGCTAAGTTCCCATTAGTCACTGACCCCCAAGCACATTAAACCTGTTCAACACATAATCTCACATGTCCTGATTATGATTTTGCAATATGCTTTCACTCTCCTCTGGTGGCAATTCAGTCAGCTAATCTCGGTGAGATATTAAAAGTGAAACTGTAGTAGGGGCCCAGCCTGCCTGCAGGAGGACACTATCTGATAGGGCCCAAGTACTACTTAACTTAGTTAATTTTTTTTTTTTTTTAAAGACTGCTCTGTCGCCCAGGCTAGAGTGCAGTGGCGCGATCTTGGCTCACTGCAACCTCCAGCCCCTGGGTTCAAGCAATTCTCCTGCCTCAGCCTCCCGAATAGCTGGGACTACAGGTGCGCACCACCACACCCAGCTAACTTTTACAATTTTTTTTTAGTAGAGACAGGGTTTCACCATGTTGGCCAGGCTGGTCTCAAACTCCTGACCTCAGGTGATCTGCTCGCCTCGGCCTCCCAAAGTGCTGGGATTACAGGCATGTGCCACCACTCCTGGCCAACTTAGTTAATTTTTACTGTATTAACAGGGAAGAAAATAAACAAGTTCAGAAGACTATATGAGAATGACTAGGGGACAGAAGAGTCTGCCATATTTTGGGAGAAAGGGGGAGAAGGAAAAGAAAGGAAGGAAGGAAGGAAAGGGGGGAAGAACTGAAAGAGGGAGAGAGGGAGGGAGAAAGAAAAGAGTTAGCTTAGCAGGTTCTTTCACTAACAAAAAGCAGATGAGGAAGAAAGAAAACCAATGTCTTCCTCCTCCTAACCCCTTTCCATAAAATGCTTCAACATGGTGAAACCCCATCTCTACTAAAAATACAAAAATTAGCCAGGCATGGTGGCGGGCACCTGTAATCCCAGCTACTCGGGGAGCTGAGGCAGGAGAATCTCTTGAACCCAGGAGGCGGAGGTTGCAGTGAGCCAAGGTCGCCCACTGCACTCCAGCCTGGGTGACAGAGCAAGACTCTGTCTTGAAAGAAAAGAAGAGAAGAGAAGAGAAGAGAAGAGAAGAGAAGAGAAGAGAAGAGAAGAGAAGAGAAGAGCTTACAAATAAAACTATTTAAACCTAACTTTACCCATCAAGTTGCCTAGGGCATAAGCATATACCTGCAGAAGCAGGGGGAAAAGGAGTTCTTACTATGTCGTTCCTCTTGTGGAAAATAAAGCTTTTCACTCCTACACAAATCTAAAAAGGGCTATCTCTTGTGGGGTTGCAACTGCCAAATGGGGTTGATTATCACTTACTATGCTATATAATGTGGTTTATCTACAATCTCCTTATGACTGTTTTCATGAGAGCCAAATGAGACAGATTGGAACTCAGCTGTTCACCATTCTTTGAGATTCTAATAAAGTGAAGTGGGTGACCTAAGTCACACAGCAGGTCCTAGAGTCACTAGGCCCTGTGTTTACTAACAGAAAATACTCCAAAGCAACATTCTGAATGAGAAGCTTGAAATAAGACAATGGATAATGGAAAACTGAACAGATCTAAGATTCACAGGTATCCAAAATACGAAGATATTACGTGGGGGTGATAGGGAAGGGATTGATTGATTTGGGGTAAGTAATATATGGTAGTTCCAGTAAATGTGGATTATATTTTATATGGTATACTATGAGTACAGGCAACATTTAGAACCTACTTTAGGCCTACAGACATTTCATTTAAAGGAAATATGTTTAACCCAAAACCACTATTAAAAATATCCCCCCAAAAATTATAATTTTATATCCACACTTGACTTGATCTAGTGTGCAGATTATTGCTCTTCTATAAGAAAAAGGACTTTGCACTTAATGCAAAAAATTCCTTATCTGCCTGTCACGTTCCAACCCTAAAAGCTCAAGAGAAAAAGAGAGGCAATATTCTCAAGTGTGTGGTATAGAGTGTCATATCTCCTTGACCAAAATAATCAGAGATTGAGCCTTGTTGTAAATAAACCTGGGAGGCTCCCCACCTGGAGTGAAGGTTGTTACAATTATAACTGAAAAGGGCAGTCTGAAGCACTAAAAAATTGAAACTGGGAACCCTGTCTCTCCACCAAGAGCTCCGAAGAGAATGACCCCAGACACAGAGATAGGGTCTTATTCTTAATTCCTATTTATTTACCAAGCAGTAACTTTGGAACTTGATTAGTTTGCTGAGGTTTTCTTACTGCAAACACATATTCCTGTCTAATTAATTAGCTTTCTGATGCTTCTCAACCTACTGCAGGCATGATCAACTAAGGGTTCTCAAACCCCACTTCCCCCAACCCTCCTACCCCAGGCACATCTGGCAATGTCTAGAGACATTTTTGGTTATCACATCTGGAGGGGAGGGTGCTAATGGCATCTAGGAGGTAGGAGTCAGGGATGCAGCTAAACATCTTATACAGCGCATCCCCCACAACAAAGAATTATTCAGATCAAAATGTCAGTAGTGCTGAGGTTACACTGTCAATGTACCTTGCTTCAATTTATTTCTAAATCCATGATTTTTTTTTAATTTCACGAATGCAGCATATAAATTTGTTTTAAGACAGGGTCTTGTTCTGTCGCCCAGGCTGGAATGCAATGGTGCAAACACGGTCATTGCAGCCTCAACCTCCTTCGCTCCAGCGATCCTACTGTCTTGGCCTCCCATGTGGCTGGAGCTACAAGCATGTACTACCATGTCTGGCTAATTTTTTGATTTTTTGTAGAGACTAGGTCTCATTTTGTTGCCCAGGCTGGTCTCAAACTCCAGCAATCCTCCCGCCTCGACCTCCAAACGTGCTGGGATTACAGGTGTGAGGCACTACACCCGGCCCATATAAATGTTTAATCCTAAGTGATAAAACTGCATTATTTTAACTTTTTTTCTGTGCTTTATTCCACTAAATTTAATACCTAAGTTTTCATGCCTGTTTCTAAATTGTACATAATTTTTAAAACATAAAATGCTTTGTAGTTATAGCAATATAATCTAATTCTTAATGTAATGATCAAGTGAACAGATTACAAGAAAATAACCTGAAAAAAAGAATAGTGCTGAGGTTGAGAAACTTTGACACTGGACAACATAGGGAACTTATTTTTCCAAGGGCCTGAACACCAAGAAAATTATCTCAAGTAGGTCTCAGGTCTGCAGAACAGACAGGCCAGATGCTAGAAAGCAAAAAGTTAATGCAACTCCAAGCCTTTTCTTAACATCAACCTAATAATATCCACTTTTCTGGAAGCAGTTTAAGAAAAAAAAGAGCCGGGCGCAGTGGCTTATGCCTGTAATCCCAGCACTTTGGGAGGCCGAAGCGAGTGGATCACGAGGTCAGGAGATCGAGACCATCCTGGCTAACACGGTGAAACCCCGTCTCTACTAAAAATACAAAAAATTAGCTGGGCATGGTGGCGGGCGCTTGCAGTCCCAGCTACTCGGGAGGCTGAGGCAGGAGAATGGCGTGAACCCAGGGGGGCGGAGCTTGCAGTGAGCCGAGATCGCGCCACTGCACTCCAGCCTGGGGGACAGAGCGAGACTCCGTCTCAAAAAAAAAGAAAAAAGAAAAAGAAAATTTTACATATTGTCCTTTATGTAAAGGATTTAACTCTCAGACTTGGGGGGCATTTTGAAGAGCAGCTTCTCTAACCTCTTAAATTATGCATTTTCACTAGCATCAGTTTTTTCTAGAGAAAGTATAAAAGATCAAGTTCCCAAGGATTTGTCTAGGTCACCAAATGGCTCAGTTGTAAAATCAGTCTTAAAACCTAAGTCGATTTTCTCTTAGACCTATCCTTTTTTGCGGAGTTGACTTCCAAATTCATATTTTAGTACATACCAACTTTATTAGAAGATTTTTAAACTCTAATCTTTTTTTACTTTGTCATCTTTTTCCTAAAGTAGTCTCACTCTTGATCTCAGTAGCTACCCTCCTGCCGTCCTACTTAGCATGTGGAATACAGTTTAATTTCTACCAAAGATCCAAGACTTAAAAATGATATTTTGAGCACTTGGTTCTTAACACTTAAGGATATTTGGTTCAAATGCTCCAGTGATTAATTTCAATTTTGCTGCATAGGAAATAGAGGATTTGACATGCAGGAGTTTCCATTTCATCAAAATATTTTAAAGTAAAAAAGATAATATAACAAAAGACAGTCTATAACAGGCAAGGAAAATGAAGAGAGAAACAAAATAAGCATTTTCCTTTATTTCTAACCAAACTATAACAATGCTCCTAAAAATGTCTTGGAGGGTATTAACAGGCACTATAAATAAAAAGGTGCCACGGTCTGGGAAATGGTTCTGTGTCCCTGTCCCCACCCCCATACACTGCCAAAGGCTCCAAAACATTGTTCACCATTTTATCCCAACACTTCCCAAACTTAGGAGGACCAAGAATACTTTTTAGTATAAACTCTATTAAGCTATCTTATTCCATTTTTTACCATCTTGTTTGAATTCATTTTCGCGGCAGATCCAAAATCCACCAGCTTGATGTGTCCTGTGCGGTCAACGAGAATGTTCTCAGGCTTGATGTCTCTGTAAGAAAATCAGGACCATGAATTGCCTCCTCCATCCCAATCAGCAAGCAAGTGCTAACCTAGAATCTCAATTGAGCCAAAAATCTTTGTTTATGTATTCTGTTATATAGACCTCCTCTATTGGTGGATATAAATTATTAGCATACATTTTGCAAAATGAATTTAACCGAAAGGAAGGAAGGAAGGAGAGAGAGAGGGAGAGAGGGGGAAAGAGAAAAAGGGCGAGAGGGAGCAAGGAAGGATAGGAGAGAAAGAAAAGGAAGAGAAATGAAACACATATTATTCAATGGATTATTTCTCCTAGAGACACACATTTCACATGAGGAAAACTAAGGCCAAAAGGAGCTATGAAATTTTCCCAAGGTCATGTAGCTAGGCAATGGAAAAGCTGAGACTCTATCTCAAATTTTGTGATTCCTGGACTAACAATCATTGTATTCCCACAACATTCTCAGATGTACACAAAACATCAGATGAATGAAGACATGAAGAACCACTTACCAACTGAGGATTTTGTAGGCCAGGCATGGTGGCTCATGCCTGTAATCCCAGCAATTTGGGAGGACAAGGTGGGTGGATCATGAGGTCAGGAGATCAAGACCATCCTGGCCAACCTGGTGAAACCCCATCTCTACTAAAAATACAAAAATTAGCTGGGCATGGCGGTGCGTGCCTGTAATTCCAGCTACTTGGGAGGCTGAGGCAGGAGAATCACCTGAACCCAGCAGGCGGAGGTTGCCATGAGCCAATATGGTACCACTGCACTCCAGCCTGGCAACAGAGCTAGACTCTGTCTCAAAAAAAAAAAAAAAAAAAAAAAATTGTAAATTCTAACGGGCAGAGTTAGAGAAGTACAGCTCCATGGTCTTACACTACTATGTGGTATGACATTTCCTTCTGCAAACCAAATTCAGTTCTTCTATCATATAACCCAAAGAACTCATGCAAGAGTTCCCAGTCTTATTTAGCTACATTAATAGATATTACTAGCAAACTTGAGCACATTACAATTCTAGATCTATTGCACTGCTGGATAAGCAAGCTGAAATGTCCTCCATCTTGGAAAGTTTGCTTTCAGCCAGTTATTGGTAGACTGGCTAAAAACTGGATGGGGCGTTATCTTGATCTTGAAATCACTCATCCACTCATTTCCATGCAGGAACTCTTATGCGACACAGGAAAATCCTCAGCATAAAAATGCTACCAGAGTCTCACTTACCGATGCACGTATCCCATCAGATGAACGCTGTGAACAGCCAAAATCAGCTCAGCTAGGTAAAACTGTATCAGGTTTTCATCTAACTGGTCCTCATATCTATTCAAAAGTGACAGCAAGTCCCCTCCAGGCTGATATTCCATGACCTGTATAGAATGCCAAAGTTATTAATTCTTCACACACCCAAAAATAGGGAATGCCTCAATTAGATCCTCGAATATCACCTGACGTGTTATAATAACAAGGTCTCCACAAAGCAAAGAAGATGTGTAAGGCACGCTGTAAGTCATGTAGGATGAAGTCCCTGCCCTAAGGAAATTACATCTGTTACCCAGGGGAATCAATATAATGAAAGACTAGTCCCAGACACCATGCACAGTGTTTGCAAGGCAAGCTTGAACAGTTGAATTAAATCCACCCACTTTCCCACCCACAAGTTGACACCCCAGACATTCCCTAGGATTAGGTACAGTGTAGACGGATATTCCTAGAGGGCAACCACTCTTATATCCTTTCTGTATTCCCCTCAGCACCCAGCAGAATACAGAAGGCTTGCAATAAATGTGATACAATCTTTTCCTTTTATAGTCAGTGTGGAAGGCAACTGACAGCCTCTATTCAAAATTTAAATGTGAAAATATCCCCTTTGACCTAGTAATTCCACTTCTAACAATTTACAGGTACTTACAATAGTTTGCAGATAAATAGAAAGATAAATAGATTCCTTGCAGTATTGTTTGTAACAGGGGAAAAAAACATGGAAATCATTCAGCTATCCATCAGTTAGAGACTGGCTAAAATATGACATATGTAAACAATGGGATAAGACAAAGATATTAAAAACAAACAGATTCCATTTATTCATACTGCCATGGAAAATTGTCCATGACAATATAAAGTGAAATCTTGTAAAGAATAAAGTACAACCCCTTTTTTGAAATAAACAAGGAATTATTACATGTGTTGGTACATACACAGGAAAAAAATCTTGAAGAAGAATATGAAGCCTCAAGTAAAATGTTTGATTAGCAAAAAGAAACTCTTCTACCCCAAGGAACTGAAATCCTTTCTCCTTTTGATGATAAACAGGTGTGATATTCCTGAGTCCCTAGGTAGCTATAAGGCCAGTTAGCCTGGGCGGCTTCAGCCTCCTGCTGGTGACTTCACCTCGCTGCCTTTCAGTTTCATCCTCTCTAAAACAGGGATAAGACTAATCCTCTTGCAGCACTGTGTGAGGATTGAGTAAGACAAGGTCCTAGGAGGGCCTGGCACAGTGCCTGGCACCAACATGAAGTCTTCACCTACCATTCAATTCCCTTTCTTCCCCCCCACTTTACTGCATGATCCTTTCTGCTCTGGCCAGCAAAAAGAACCCATTTAGACAATCGCTGTAGCCATGTTAACCCTTATTGAGTTCTCCTGTCCTTCGCCCTGATTTCCCATTTTATTAGCCATGCTATAAATGTCTTGGAAGTTGTCTCATATGCTTTCTGGGAAAAAGGCAAGATCTGAATATACTTCTTAAAAAAAACACTAAATCTCACAAACTACTGCATTCCAAAAGCCAACTCGGGGATGTGAATTCTCACCATCATCCTCCAAACTCCTGCTTGCTTTTAGTCCAGAATTAGAAGAAAGCTCTAGACAAGTCAGAAGTAGAGCATCTGCACAGAGCCCCAAAGGCCTCAGGCTGGTCCAGTAAAATCTCCAGGAAGTGTGCCCAGCACCAAGGCAACCCCAAACCAGAGACCCCTGGAGAAGCCAGTGACTCGCGCATCCTCCCTGGGGGCTCCTTATAACCTGGGAATCTACTCCATTCACATGGTTTCTGACAACAGCAGACATTAAGCCAGACACTGGACAATTGCATTTGAAGAGTAAGGTTCCACTTGTATAACAATTGCTGAAAAAATTTTGATTTATGGGCTGGGCACAGTGGCTCACACCTGTAATCCCAGCACTTTGGGAGGCCGAGGCAGGCGGATCACAAGGTCAAGAGATCGAGACCACCCTGGCCAACATGGTGAAACCCCGTCTTTACTAAAAATACAAAAATTAGCTGGGCATGGTGGTGCATGCCTGTAGTCCCAGCTACTCGGGAGGCTGAGGCAGGAGAATCACTTGAACCCGGGAGGCAGAGGTTGCAGTGAGCTGAGATCACACCACTGCACTCCAGCCTGGCAACAGAGCGAGACTCCATCTAAAAAAAAAAAAAAAAAAAAAAAAAAAAAATTATGAACAAGAGGAACACTTAGAAGGGGGCAGCACCTAACATACACACCTTCTTTCCCCCAAGTTCCTAGCAGACATTAGTTACTCACCCCAGTCCTCGAGGAGCCCACAGGAGCCACCTGGCTGCCTGTAGCTCACCCACTCATCCCAACCTGGTTCTCCATAGGCCCTGGGTATGTGGGTGAATGCTAATTTATATGTCTGTTTTAAATATATATTGACATCGAAAAGGTCTTAAATATCCAAAAAAAGAAAAAGGAAAGAAATTCACAGATAATAACAGAAGTACTTATACTTTTAGTACTGAAATGTCTTAAAATAAGAACAATGCATATTTATGACGACACGCCACAGTTATAAATTTCCTATGGCTGTATTAAAGATGTGAAAAAAACAGTATGGCTTGTAAGTTTAAGGCTGAGAAAGTCATACGCATAGCAGAGCAGCCACCGGCAACTCTTAAGAACTGACAAACTGAACACAACTTAGTATTTGGCAGCTACTCCTGACATTCTATTTGCAATGACCAGTAAAATAGTTCAGAAAACAAGAGCCAGCTTGTAAAGTGGCAAAAAGACATGTATTCTTTGCTTCCATTCAGAAGATCCAACTTCCTGAACTGAAAATCCCCTCCCAAGTCAGATCAGTCTAAGAGTGGAACAACTTCCCATTTCTTCAAAACCAGGGTTGATTGAGAAAACAAGCAACAAAAATTACAACAGCTGCTACACAGCATGCTTCACAACATGAGGCCAAAACAGACACACTCAATGACAAACCTCTAAATAGACCGGGTCCTTATCAAAGATGCTAATCAAACTTGACCCACCAACACTATTCCAGGTTACCACACCAAAAATTCCAACAGTGCACCATTAGGAGAATGTAAGCCAGACATTTACTAAGTAAATGTGGCTATCCCAAGATGTTACCCATATCCCAAAACTATACTACTGGGGTATAGCTGCTCATTCTAGTATGAATGGAGGCCATGGGGAAGATGGCTTGTGTGTGGCCAACCACAGCTTATTCAATCATCATGCTGTTAGAGCTTAAAGATACAATAAAGACCCAGGACTTGAGTGCTTTCATAAAATACGTTTGGATTGTTAAAATGGTACCAAGAGGTTCCAAAAGCATCATCTAAAGTAACAAACTAGCAGTCTTTGAGTCTTCTTATCAGGTGACTTGCTGTGAACCAAAGAACAGGGTCAGCAGAAAATGATGAAGAAGTTAAGGACCAAGTCGCCACCCAGGTTGTGACCAAGAGTCCATTCACAGCATCTGGTTTTGTCCAAAAATGTAACTCTGTCCCTGACTTTTACTCTTCAGAGATGCCCAGTAAGGCACTGATTCTAAAAACCAGGATAGCCTTGGCTTCTACCCCAAGACAACTGTAGGTCCTCTAGGTTAGAACTTCCCAAGCCTGATTGTCCATCAGAATCACCAGAAGTGCTTGTTAAAAATAAGACAAGCCAGGCATGTTGGCTCATGCCTATCCTAGCCCTTTGGGAGGCTGAGGCAGTACAATCGCTTGAGGCCAGGAGTTTTGAGACCAGCTTGGGCAACAAAGCCAGACCCCACCTCTAATAAAAATTAAAAATTTAAAAGAAAATAAAATAGACTCATCTAAATCAATACTTGAGTGCCTATCGTGCCAGCCACTATTCTAGATGTTAGGGAAACAGCAGTGAATAAAACAGAAAAAATCCCCGACTCCATAAAGCTGACGTTCCGGTATAATGAAAAAGAGTTTTGTTTTTTTGGGTTTTTTTTGAGATGAAGTCTCACTCTGTTACCCAGGCTGGAGTGCAGTGCCACGATCTCGGCTCACTGCAACCTCTGCCTCCCGGGTTCAAGCGATTCTCCTGCCTCAGCCTCCGGAGTGGCTGGGACTACAGGCATGCGCCACCATGCCCAGCTAATTTTTGTATTTTTAGTAGAGACAGGATTTCATCATGTTGGCCAGGCCAGTCTCGAACTCCTGACCTCAAGTGATCCACCCGCCTCGGTCTCCCAATGTGCTGGGATTACAGGTGTGAGCCACTGCGCCCGGCAAGAATTTTAAAATAATAATAAGAAGAAGTATAGTAACATAAAGCATATCTCTTTCCCATCCCAACCACTTAGGGAGCTTAAAGGATTCCAGGGAATAACCCCAGACTTCATGGATCACATTCCATGGGTGGGACCCAGGAATCTATAGTAAAAGGAGCTACTGCGGTGATTCAGAGGCAGCTAGCCCAGCACTGTGTTGGGACCCACTGCTGAGGAGGCTGTGGAACCAATATGGCTCCCTACTCCAAGTGAATTGAAAGTTTCCATAGCAGCAATGCCCTTGATGAAACGTGACTTTCATATAGCCATCACCTCTGCTGCTTATATTTTTTTCAGTGACTACCTGGAGCCTTTCTGCATATCAAGACAAGATCACTGACGACAAAGGGCTGGAAAATAACCAGTCCATCAGCACTGAAGCCAGTGATCTTCCCTCCTTACAAGGACTGGAGATGTCTCCTGCACACACAATGAGCAGCTGCAGGTCACCCAAATGAGGATCACCAAGGCATGGTAATCAAAGGCTGGGGGCACAGGAGGAGGAAAGAGTCCTAGAGTGAAACAGCCCAAAACAATGTGGCAACCCCGCTGATGGCAGAGAAAGCACAGCAGCTGACAGACGAGCCTGGCTTGGAGCTATAATGGACTTGCTCTTTTAAAGCAAAGACTTTCAGGCCAACAGAGACAGACCCTTCTGATGGCAGCAGCTGCAGATGCTAATTAAAGGGCAAATCTCACATGTGTTCAGTTTGGAAGTAGCGGCTGCTTCTCTGTTGGTGTTTGCATCCATACCCCAGTACCAGGAAGGCAATTTCCATCCATTGTGTTGCATTTGAAACGAAGGACAAATGTGTCTGTGCACACGTGCACACACACATATACAATGAACCCACGTGCATGCTTGCATATGCGGGGATGGGGTGAATATTGAACAGTTCTTTAGTACTCTATTCCAATTCACATAGGGCATTAGAGGCATGCTGTGCTAGCCACCTCTTAGAAATGTCTCCTTGAAATGTTTGCACGCTCAGCACAACTGAAAGTGCCGTGAAAATGTAATGACGCTGGCGGCATCGTTATCCGCTCTGCCCAATGTTCCTGATCTTTGGCATGAGGGAGGAGAGAAGGGGTCCTCAAAGCAGAGTGGCCTCTGAGCAGAGTGGCCCCGATATTATTCTTCTTGAGAATAAAAACTCTGTTATTTTCTTCTTGGTCAAAGTGACCAAGAGAAAAAGAGAGAAGCACCTTTATCTTAGAAAACATGAAACCCAGCCTGTTTCATCCATCTATGCGAAAAATCCTCATTGAGTACTGAATCATCCAGAGTCTTGCCAAGAAACAGACAGGACACGCAAAACAGGGAATTGAGGACGTTCATTAGGGAAGGGGCTATTTACAAAGGTTCAGGTTAGGAGAAGAAAAATAAACTTGGGATGATGAAGCACCCCAGGGCTAGCAACAGAAGAGGACCAGATACCATGCCTGGGCCTGAAAGAGCAAGGACAGGGATTTCGGATGTGTACACTATTACTGAAGGGACAAAAGGAAGAAGCTATAACCAGAAACTAACTATAGCTACAGCTATAGAACAATGGTTCTCAAAATGAGGTCCCTACACCAGCAGCAGCATTACCTGGAAACTAGTTAGAAATGCAAAGTCTTGGCCAAGTGCAGTGGCTCATGCCAGGAATGCCGGCATTTGGGGAGGCTGAAGCAGGAGGATCACTTCAGCCCAGGAATTCAAGACCAGCCTGAGCAACACAGTGAGACCCCCATCCTTACAAAAAATTAAAAAGGTGGCAGGGCATGGTAGTATATGCCTATAGTCCCAGCTACTCAGGAGGGTGAGGTGGGAGGACGGCTTGAGCCCAGGAGTTTGAGGCTACAATGAGCTACGATCGTGCCACTGCACTCCAGCTTGGATGACACAGTCAGACTCTGTCTCGAAAAAAGAAGAAGAAATGCAAATTATTGGGCCCCACCCCAGACCTACTGAATCAGAAACTCTGGGGATGGGGCCAAGCAAGCTGGGACAACATAACTGAATTGTGGCTCCTAAAATGGTAGAAGTGTAAATGCACTCACTTGAAACATGCCTCAAAACACCAGAATAAAAAAAAACAACTATTTCAAAGGCACAGAAAACTCAAAGAACCTCCCAAAGGCAACAATACACTCAGCAATTGAATTGAAGTCAATAAGAGGAATTAATATCTCATTTCACCGATAAGAAAATTGAAGCGGAAAAGGCCAGTGACTCTGGAGAGACCAAACAAGGAATGGTAATAAAACAAGAACCAATATTCTAAGTCACAGCCTCATTCTGATGGGCAGCTGGTTTCCAAACCCTGGCTTCAGAAGCAGCAGCATGTGAGCAGGCCTGGTGAGTTTTGAGACATGCCTGAAAAATCAGATAATCTTAGCTGAGAGATCAAAACAGCACATGTCTCACTGTCAAAACTATCATAAGCTGCCACATTTCACTAAAGTAAACAATGAAGTTGTGTTCATTAACTCCCTCCAGATTCCCAATGACAGCATAGCCTGCTATTCATGAAAGCCTAGAAACAGCCCACTTTCAAATTGTTCCTATATAGGAAACAAACGCTGCCCATAAAATTACACAGGTGTGGGTTGAAAGCAAGATAATATAAAGAACTCATCCCAAGCAGGGCATCAGATCCAGTGGTTTCAGATCCAGAAGTATAATGCCTTGAGTAAGAATATGGAAGGTGAAACTACAGGCCTGGCTTCAAAGCTTAGCTGTACCTTGTATCACCTACAAAAGCAGCTGTTTATTTAACCTTTTTTTTTTTTTTTGAGATGGAGTCTTGCTCTGTCGCCCAGGCTGGAGTGCAGTGGCACCATCTTGGCTCACTGCAACCTCTGCCTTCCAGGTTCAAGCAATTCTCCTGCCTCAACCTCTGGAGTAGCTCGGATTACAGGTACCCGCCACCATGCCCGGCTAATTTCTATATTTTTAGGAGAGACAGGGTTTCACCATGTTGGCCAGGCTGGTCTCAAATTCCTGATCTCAAGTGATCCACTTGCCTCGGCCTCCCAAAGTGCTGAAATTACATGTGTGAGCCACCGTGCCCAGCCAAAAGCAGCTGTTTTAGCCTCTGTGACAGACTATTAATTGTGCCCCCAAATCCATCCTTCCCTTATTCCACAGTAATAAGAATTTTAGCTTGACAGAGGCCACACAGCCGACAGTAAATTCCCAGTCTCCTTAGCAGCTAGACGTGCAGTCACATGACTACGTTCTGGCCGAGAAAATGTGAGAGGAAATGATGTGTCCAACTTCCGCATCCATCTATAGAAAAAGAATTTGCTTACTCTGAATTTCTGTTCTTTTTTCCTACCAGGCAGCTGGAACAGAGACATGAAATGGCCCAACTTCAGCCATGTAAAAGAAGACAACATCCTAAGGAAGGGGGGAGTCACAACATGGAAGGAACCTGGGTCCCTGAATTAACACATACAGCAGAGCTGCTCTACCAGCCTGGGTTGTACATTAGGGTCTCTTTGATACAGCAGCTAAGCATGTACCTTAGCTAATACATCTCTACATGCAACCAGGGAAAAACATTTGGAGTGAACACAAGGAAGTCATTGTAAGGTTAGAACATGGAAAAGAAGTTCATGAGTCAATTGCAGGCTCAGAGCAAGGGTAATCTGAAGAAAACCACAGTAGGAAAAACATCAGCACAAATAATTTAGACAAAACAATACTGGCAGGGCACAGTGACTCACGCCTGTAATCCCAACACTTTGGGACGCCAAGGCAGGCAGATCATGAGGTCAAGAGTTTGAGACCAGCCTGACCAATATGGTGAAACTCCGTCTCTACTAAAACAACAAAAATTAGCCAGGCATGGTGGTGTGCGCCTGTAATCCCAGCTACTCAGGAGGCTGAGGCAGGAGAATCAATTGAACCCAGGAGGTAGAGGTTGCACTGAGCTGAGATCATGCCACTGCACTCCAGCCAGGGTGACAGAGCGAGACTGCATCTCAAAAAAAAAAAAAAAAAAAAAAAAATACTGCAAGTGGTGGGATGCAAAACTATGTGTTCTTTGTGAAGATCAGCTCCTTCATGGAAGGACACTGATGAAGGCATCTGTTATGCAGAATTGAACAGATTTCTTCATGAACCAGATCAACAGAGCACTGTTTCCATCAGCCACATGCAGAATACAGGACTAGCTTTGTTATATAGAACCAGACATTATGACAGAGTTTGCGACAATTTTCTATAGACCAGAAAACAATAAGCCACATTCACTGGCTTATTGTGGTATGTCACCACAAATGGGAAATTTTTAACCATCAAAATGCAAAAGAACTCAAGTTCAATTTCCTTGCACTGCATTCCAAATTTTGAAAATCTCACTGAGTCTATCTTGAATTACACACGTGAAAGAAAATAACTCCACTGAGAATATAATGCAAGTTCCGTAATACAATAAGTAAATTTGAATGCACATCAAATTTCTATGAAATTAATCACACATTCATCCAATAAATATTGCTTAAGCATTGACTTGGTAAAGCTCTACTCTCCCTTTATGGATGAAGTAGCCTAGTGGGACAGACCAGCACCCACTCATAAAGGAGAAGTACAGGGTGCAATGAGCGTACAGTCAAAAGGCGCCATTCCAGAAGTATAGGGTCTAGGAAGGGCTTCTGGAAGAAGTGAAATCTGATCCAACCCAGAAAGAGAAAGAGGAGTTAGCAAGGTGAACAGGGAAAGAGTGAACAGCATGGAAAAAGGTCAGAGGCAAGGTCAAAGAACCAAAGGAAGTTCAGGATGTTAAGGTAGAAAGAGAGAAACAGTAAGTGGCTGGGGACAAGTGCAAGAAAGGCCTGGTAAGTCACGTGGAAGAGTCTGGACTTCATCCAGAGGACAGCAGGGAGTCTTGAAGGGTTTCAACAGCGGGCTGACTTGGCTGCAGTATGTGGAAGACCTGGGAGAAGGGCCAGACAGATGGCAGGGAAAATACTTCAGAGGTTATCACAGTAATTCAGAGTAGAGAAGATGGATGCCTGAAACCCACACAGCAGAGGCAAGACTGGAGAGAAGAGACAGCCAGGAGGGATATACCATAGGAGGTAGAATCCTGTTGTTTTTTTCATTGATTTAAAATGTATCTTCAGGGCCAGGCGTGGTGGTTCACGCCTGTAATTCCAGCACTTTGGGAGGCCGAGGAGGGAAGATTACAAGGTCAGGAGTTCGAGAACAGCCTGGTTAACATAGTGAAACCCCGTCTCTACTAAAAAGACAAAAATTAGCTGGGCATGGTGTTGCATGCCTATAATCCCAGCTACTCAGGAGGCTGAGGCAGGAGAATTGCTTGAACCCGGGAGGCAGAGGTTGCAGTGAGCCAAGATCGCGCCACTGCACTCCAGCCTGGGCAAAGCGAGACTCCATCTCAAAATAAATAAATAATGTTCAACTGCCAAGGGAGCGTGATATGTAAGTTTCCCCAAACTTCAAAGGTTTGTTGATGTAAAAGTGGCCAATAGATAGGATGGAATTTCAGGACTGTACGGTACCGATATAAATCTAGGATCCATTTATCTTGAAGCAGAATGGGTTTCCAGATTCAGAATTTTTCAGATTTTAGAAAGGTAAAGTGGTACACACACTTTTTTTTTTTTTTTTTTGAGACAGATTCTTGCTTTGTCGCCCAGGCTGGAGTGCAGTGGCATGACCTTGGCTCACTGCAACCTCCACCTCCTGGGTTCAAGTGATTCTCCTGCCTCAGCCTAAGGAGTAGCTGGGATTACAGGCGCCCACCATCATGCCTGGCTAATTTTTGTATTCTTAGTAGAGACGGGGTTTCACCATGTTGGCCAGGCTGGGCTTGAACTCCTGAACTAAGGTTATCCGCTCGCCTCGGCCTCCCAAAGTGCTGGGATTACAGGTATAAGCCACCGCGCCCAGCCATACATACAGTTTATATTATGTAACACCCTCAGTAGGGTCTGGGACATCACCTTGTAATCAAACACACTCATAATTTTATAGCAAAATGGGAAGTCACACTAAAGGGAATGAATAAAGACTAAAAAGAGCCTTAAGAGAGCTTGGATCAAGTTTTGCCAAAAACTGAGTTCAAATCAGGTTTTGCTGATAAACAAGTAACAAAAGAATTTGAGGTTATTCAGAACTCTAGGTATTTCAGAATTACAGATAAGGGATGGCAGACGTATGAGCATATCTTAATTTCCATGCTAAATTTGAGCTTTTATGTGAAAACTATACCCTTAGCAAGCATTTTACTCAAAAGCAACAAAGTACTTGAGAAGAAAATGGAGACAAGAAAATATTAATAATTACAAAATCCCATCAGTAATACCCAATTGAGCTACAAAACAAGGGAGTAAAAATGTCATTGACCCAAGTAGCAGTGTGCTGAGGCAACCAGAACTCCAAAAAACAGCTGCATTAAGAACCCTCCTAGGCTGGGCACGGTGGCTCACGCCTGTAATCCCAGCACTCTGGGAGGCTGAAGCAGGCGGATCATGAGGTCAGAAGATCGAGACCATCCTGGCTAACACGGTGAAACCCCGTCTCTACTAAAAATACAAAAAATTAAACGAACATGGTGGCACGCGCCTGTAATCCCAGCTACTCCAGAGGCTGAGGCAGGTGAATCACTTGAACCCAGGAGGTGGAGGTTGCACTGAGCCGAGATTGCGCCACTGAACTCCAGCCTTGGCAACAGAGCGAGACTCTATCTCAAAAAAAATAAACCAAAAAACAAAAACAAAAACAAAACAACCTTCCATCTTGCAAGATGGCAGATGGAAAAGCTGAGTAGAAGCTAAGGATGCCGATGCCAGTGGTGAGATCATTGGGGAAGCCTCCTACATCTGGGAGCCTGTCCTAGCACAGAAACCCACAGACAGTCCCAATCCAAGAGGTACTCCGGGAAGGCTATGCCCAAGCAGATGTCCACAGCAGTTAAATCCACAACTAAGAAGACAAAGGTGGCCAGGCGCAGTGGCTCATGCCTGTAATTCCATCACTCTGGGAGGCTGAGGCAGGCGGATCACCTGGGGTCAGGAGTTAGAAACCAGCCTGGCCAACATGGTGAAACCCTGTCTCTACTAAAAATACAAAAATTTGCCGGACATGGTGGTGGGCACCTGTAATCCCAGCTACTCAGGAGGCTGAGGCAGAAGAATTGCTTGAACCTAGGAGGTGGAGGCTGCAGTGAGCCAAGATCCCGCCACTGCACTCCAGCCTGGGCAACAGAGCAAGACTCTGTCTCAAAAAAAAAAAAAAAAAAGCCAGGCGTGGTGGCTCACACCTGCAATCCCAGCACTTTGGGAGGTCAAGGTGGGCGGATCACAAGGTCAGGAGTTCAAGACCAGCCTGGCCAAAGTGGTGAAACCCCATCTCTACTGAAAATACAAAAATGAGCCGGGCGTGGTGTCACACGCCTGTAATCCCAACTACTCGGGAGGCTGAGGCAGGAGAACCCGGGAGGCAGAGGTTGCAGTGAGCCGAGAACACGCCACTGCACTACAGCCTGGGCAACACGGCAAGACTCCATCTCAAAACACACACACACACACACACACACACACACACACACACACAGAAAAAGGAAAGTTATTTCTACTATGACAAAACTAGGTGATGGTAATAAGAACGGTGACATCAAAGTGAGAAATTATCAAAGTGCCCAGATAGTACCCTCCTGAAGATGTGATTTGAGAACTGTTTAGACATGAAACAATGCACTCCCATCAACATGTAAGAAAACTACATTTGGGCATTCCTGCTGGGACTCCTCTGATCATCCTCACTGGCCACAGGGGAGGCAAGCAGTGGTTTCCCTGAAGCTACTGAGCAGTAGCCTGCCACATGGACCACTAAATCCTCAACTGAGTTCCTTCACACAGAACACTCAAAATCTGTCAGTGCCTCTACCAAAATGGACCTTGATGATGTGAAAATCCCAAAGCATTTCAATAATGCTTACTTTTAAGAATAAGTTGCCTGAGACTAGACACCAAGAAGGGGAGCTCTTCAGCTCAGAGAAAAGAAATATGAGTTTATGGAGCAGTGCAAGGTAGACCAGAAAACTGTGGACTCTCAACTTTGGTCCAAAAAATCAAAGCCCTTCCTAATTCCAGGACCACTTAGATTCTGTGTGGCCTTGAAAATGAAGTTTATCTTCACAAGCTAGTGTTCTAAACCTCCTGTAGAGCTCGAATTAAAATATCTAAAAATAGGCTGGGTGTGGTGATTCATGCCTGTGATCCCAACAATTTGGGAAGCCAAGGCAGGAGGATGACTTGGGGCCAGGAGTTCGAAACCAGCCTAGGCAACATAGTGAGACCCTAGTCTCTATGAAAAATTTAAAAATTCGCTAGGCATGGTGGTTTGTACCTGTTGTCCCAGCTAATCAGGAAGGTGAAGCAGGAGAATCACTTGAGCCCTGCAATTTGAGGTTACAGTGAGCTATGATCATGCCACTGCAACAGAGACATCATCACTTAAAAAAAAAAAAGAAAGAAAAAAATACGTATCTAAAACAACAATAACAAACAAACACAAACCAAAACAAACAAAAGCCCTGTTGTTTCAAGGGAACGTCTTTTTTTTTTTTCTTGAGACGGAGCCTCGCTCTGTCACCCAGGCTGGAGTGCACTGGCACAATCTGGGCTCACTGCAAGCTCCGCCTCCCAGGTTCACACCGTTCTCCTCCCTCAGCCTCCCGAGTAGCTGGGACTACAGGCACCCGCCACCATACCTGCCTAATTTTTTATATTTTTAGTAGAGACGAGGTTTCACCATGTTAGCCAGGATGGTCTCGATCTCCTGACCTCCTGATCTGCCCACCTCGGCCTCCCAAATTGCTGGGATTACAGGTGTAAGCCACCACACCTGGCCCGAACTTCTTCTTAATAAAGAAGCCTGAGGCTGGGCACAGTGGCTCACGCCTATAACCCCAGCACTTTGGGAGGCCAAGACGGGTGGATCACCTGAGGTCAGGAGTTCAAGACCAGCCTAACCCACATGGCAAAACCCCGTCTCTACTAAAAATATAAAAATTAGCTGGGCACGGTGGCACACGCCTGTAGTCCCAGCTACACAGGAGGCTAAGACAGGAGAATCACTTTAACCCAGGAGGTGGAAGTTGCAGTGAGCTGAGATTGCATGACTGTACTCCAGCCTGGTGACAGAGAAAGACTCCATCTCAGAAAAAAAATGAAAAGAAAAGGCGCAGTGGCTCACGCCTGTAATCCCAGCACTTTGGGAGGCCAAGGCGGGCAGATCATCTGAGGTCAGGAGTTTGAGACCAGCCCCACCAACATGGCGAAACCCCGTCTCTACTAAAAATACAAAAATTAGCAGGGCGTGGTGTCATGCACCTGTAATCCCAGCTACTCGGGAGGCTGAGGCAAGAGAATCGCTTGAACCCAGGAGGTGGAGGTTGCAGTGAGCTGAGATTGAGCCATTGCACTCCAGCCTGGGTAACACTAGCCTGGGTGACAGAGTGAGACTTTGTCTCAAAAATAAAAAAAATTAAAAGTCTGTTAATACATTCAAACATGAGAAGCTGCTTATGATGCAGAGAGCACAAGGTAAATACTGCATCTGCAACAGATGTCCTGGAACACCAGCAACCCTAGAAACACACCAAGGTCATCTGTGAAGGTGAGGGTTCCATGCCCCATGTCTCAAGGAAGGAAAGTTTCTAAGGCAATATGTAAGGAAAGGGTGTTTCAGGCCATAAACCTAAGAGCTGTGGCATTGGTTCTGAAGGCACGTGTGGTCAGTCAAAGCCAGTCTGCCAATAGATTCATATGTGAATGTCCTCACTCAGAGGACAAGGAAAACTTCTCTCCAGGCACTGGGTTCTCAACTAATATGAAACCAAGACACATAAACTTATTTATTTTAGGTCAGGAATAAAAGCAGCAAATTCCCCAAAAACGGGCCAGTAGAAGTTTAAGATAAGTGGGAGTTCATCCCTCTTACCCTTTTCTCTTACGTGAGCCTGTTTATCTCCATTCAAGGTAACATGATAGTCCTCTTTTAAGGGCTGAATCAGGAACAAAAATTGTTTCCAGGATACACTTGTTAAATTTAGGAATTTAATCCCTCAAGAACCTAAACAAGGCCCCAAAATGAATTTTAGCATTCTCTAACTTATGATATATACACATCAGGGAAAATTATGCCACTGCTCAAAGAATAAAGTAGACCTGCGTTACTGACAAGGAAGAAAGGATGTCTGGGATACACTGGTGAAAGGCAACAGCAAGCTGGAGAGCCAAGCACAGAGTAACATACCATTTTTATAAAGTAAACTATACACATGTGGATATAGAAATATCCCCCACCGGAGCTGGGCATGGTGGCTCACACCTGTAATCCCAGCACTTTGGAAGGCCAAGGCAGGAAGATCTCTTGAGCTCAGGACTTCGAAACCAGCCTGGGCAACATGGCAAAACCCCGTCTCTACTAAAAATACAAAAATTAGCCAGGCACAGTGGTGTATGCCCGGGAGGCTGAGGTGGGAGGTTTGCTGGAGCCCAGGAAGTCGAGGCTGCAGTGAGCCATGTTCATGCCACTGAACTCCAGCCTGGGTGGCAAAGTGAGACCTGGTCTCAAAAAAAGAAGAAAAGAAAAGAAACATCCCCCACCATGCTCCTACAGAGCACAGTTAAGGGTCAGAAAGGGAAAGCTTATGTAACCATTTAACATTTCTTCCCCTAGGGAGGAGGATTAGAAAATAAAACGGAGAGGCCGGGCACAGTGGCTCACTCCTGTAATCACAACACTTTGGGAGGCCGAGGCAGGTGGATCATTTGAGGTCAGGAGTTTGCGGCCAGCCCGGCCAACGTGGTAAAACCCCATCTCTACTAAAAATACAAAAATTAGTTGGGCGTGGTGACACGTGCCTGTAATCCCAGCTACTAGGGAAGCTGAGGCAGAAGAATCTCTTGAACCTGGGAGGTGGAGATTGCAGTGAGCCGAGATAGTGCCACCGCACTCCAGCCTGGGTGACAAAGCGAGACTCTGTCTCAAAAAAAAAGAAAAGGAAAAGAAAATGGGGGGCTTTCCCTTCAACTTCATGCATGTCTGCAGTGTTTGCATTTTCTTATAACAACCATGCACTATTATCATTTTTTTAATCCTAAGCAAGCTAACACAGGAAGTTTTTAAAAATTAAAGCAAGATTATCTTATACATAATGACAGACTATTCCCCAATAAATGATTCCCTATTATTGCCTGAAAGCCACAGCTACAATATCCAACTGTCAATGAGGCTGTTTCTTTTTTTTTCTTTTTTTTTTTTTTGAGATAGAGTCTTGCTCTGTCACCCAGGCTGGAGTGCAGTGGCGCAATCTCGGCTCACTGCAAGCTCCGCTTCCCAGGTTCAAGCGATTGTCCTGCCTTAGCCACCTGAGTAGCTGGGACTACAGGCACCCGACACCATGCCCGGCTAATTTTTCTGTATTTTTAGTAGAGACGGGGTTTCACTGTGTTAGCCAGGATGGTCTTGATCTCCTGACCTCGTGATCCACCCGCCTCGGCCTCCCAAAATGCTGGGATTACAGGCGTGAGCCACCACGTTCAGCCCAATGAGGCTGTTTCTAAATGGGTTAGCTCTTGATCTTTATAACGAGGAAACCAGGGAGACACCTGTAAGGTAAGAAAGTCTTTGCATGAATGAGACCACATGGGCAAGAACAACATTCAGTTCTACCACAGGCATCTGAGTGTCAGAGTGCTAGGCTAATTCCAGAGAGACAGATGTAAAGACTCACCAGATAAAGGTGATTTTTGTCCTGAAAGGCATACTGTAATTGGGGGATCCACGGGCTTGTGCTTCGAGATAATATGTTCCGCTCTTCCTCAAAAAATGAAACCTAGGGAAAAAAGAAACTGCTTAGACAATTATAAAGAACTGTGAGAGGAAAAAGAAGCCTTTTCCTCTGTCTTTATGCCTAAACTGATGTTTCTAGCTTTAAAAAAAAAAAAAGGCAAAGGAAAGAAGGGAAAAGAAAACAGAAGGAAGGAAGGAAGAAGAGGGAAAGGGAAGGAAAGGGAAGGGAAGGGGAAGGGAAAGGGAAGGAAAGGGAAGGGAAAGGGAAGAAAAGGGAAGGGAAGGGGAAGGGAAGGGAAAGGGAAGGGGCTGTCACTTAGCCCAGAATTGCATAAATCTCAATCATTCACCTACTTTGGTCACAATTTTTGCCAGCTCCGTATATTACCTGCTCAATTCTTTACCTAACATATTTCTTTAAACTACCTTTCTTTAAATGTAAATATTTTTCTCTTCCTCTTCTCTTCCTGAAGCCATTCACTGGTGTGGAACAAGGTAAGCATCCACGCTAGTTATGAGAAAAGTCATGGTGGCCCAGGACACAGTGCCGTCCCAAGCAACGTGAGGAGGGCAGCACTCATGTGTGGGGGCAGCCCAGTATCACAGGCCCACACAGGGTAAGGAAGACATCCACGTGAAAGGGCAACCCAGAGCAGATTATCTGGACCCACCAAGGGGAGGTGGGATACCAACAAAGACAGTAGATTGGATGCATACAGATGCATAAAATAAGTAAACATATTAAGGGTATAATGTCAGAGAAGAGAATTACAAACATGGAAAGGGTGAAAACTAAAATGAACCCTGTGAAGTTGGATTGGAACTGGGGGCACGGGTGTGAACTCATGGTTTTCCCTTTTTATTTTTGTAGAGACAGAGTCTCTCTCTGTTTCCCAAGCTGGTGTTGAACTCCTGGCTTCAGGTGATCCTCTTGCCTCAGCCTCCCAAAATGCTGAGATTAAAGGCATAAGCCACTGTGCCCAGCCACAATTTTCAATATATAGACATGGATACACAAATATAGATGTAATGTATATGTGTGTGTGTGAGTGCACGCACATGTGTAGGTGGATATATTGTATATACGTATGTGTATTCCTTAGTGCTGTCCACTGAAAGGGGTCTGGGAGTAGTGACACACCGGTAGCAATGAAAACACCCAATGTCCAGATCTTGGCCTCTAAACACCATTGTCCACTGAAAGGCACAGGGCTCCTCTGAGAAATGACTGATGCCAGAGCCAGGGCAGAGAAAGTAAAAGTACCAAAAGAACCTGAACATCTTGCTATACCAGAAAGCAGGAAAGTATTCAATGAATCTTGGAGACATGTGAAAAGGACACAAAAGCTAACCTAAAAAGGTTCTCAGTGGCCAAGTTGGGAACAATTTAAGTATAAAACTAGTGACAGAAATGGATTATAACTCACTGACTGAAATAGGAAAATCCAAGTCCACATAGATATAAAATATTTCCATCACTTGAAAGTAACTCCCCATAAAATACTTTTTTAATTACAAAGGAGGCTGGGTGCAGTGGCTCATGCCTGTAATCCCAGCACTTCGGGAGGCCAAGGCCGGAAGACTGCTTGAGGCCAGGAGTTACAGACCAGCCTGGACAACACAGTGAGACCCCATCTCTACAATACAAAAAGTAGCTGGGTGTGGTGGTGTTCGCTTACAGTCCCAGTTACTCAGGAGGCTGTGGCAGGTGGATTACTTGAGCCCAGGAGTTCAAGGCTGCAGTGAGCCAAGATCCCACCACTGCACTCCAGCTTGGGCAACCAAGCAAGACCCTGTCTCTAAGAAAAATAAAATAAATAAAATCACGAAGGAGGAAGGAGTAACCCTACAAGTAGAAAGGCATAACTGACACCACCTTAATCAAGTGATCAAAGTGAGCATCAACATAAATGTGATCAACTGAAACAGAGAGTCTTCTGCTCTGATGCAATAAGAACAGAGCATCTTGTCTGAGATATTCCGGCCAAAGACCAAGACCCTAAATCTAAACATAAGCAACATCAGACAAATTCAAATTTTACAAAATAACTGGCCTATAATCATCAGAATTGTCAAGGTCATGAGAGTCCAGGAAAAATCAAAGAACTGCTCCAGATTGAAGGAGACTAAAGAGACAGGACAATTAAGTGTCACGTGTGATCCTCAACTCGATCGTTTTATTCTAAAAGACATTATGGGAGCCAGGTGTGGTGGCTCACGCCTGAAATCCCAGCACTTTGGGAGGCCAAGGCGGGCGGATCACTTGAGGTCAGGAGTTCGAGACCAGCCTGGCCAACATGATGAAACCTCGTCTCTACTAAAAAAAATACAAAAATTAGCTGGGCATGGTGGTGTGCTACTTGTGGAGCTGAGGCAGGAGAATCACTGGAACCCGGGGGCAGAGGTTGCAGTGAGCTGAGATCTCGCCACTGCACTCTAGCCTGGGTGACAGAGTGAGACTCTGTCTCAAAAAAAAAACAAAAACAAAAACTGTATAAATCAACTGCTTAAAATAAATAAATTATATATATGCATATATATGTAAATATATTCTATGCATGTGTACATATATATTTCTGTGTATATATTCTGTATGCACATATATTCTATGTGTATATACATTCTGTGTGTGTGTATATATATTCTATGTATATCAGTGTGTGTGTATCTATCAAATGGTTTAAGAAAAAAAGTTGTTTATACTGTATGTGACGGTTAGTCTTATGTGTCAACTTATAATCCTAGGAGATGATTATATATCTATCTCCTACTGGTTCCATTTCTCTTAAGAACCCTGACTACATGGTACTTGCAACTTTTCTATAAATTTGTGATTGTAATCCCAGCACTTTGGGAGGCCAAGGCACGTGGACTACTGCAGGTCAGGAGTTCAAGACTAGCCTAGCCAACATGGTGAAACCCCGTCTCTACTAAAAATACAAAAATTAGCTGGGCATGGTGGAGTGCACCTGTAATCAATCCCACCTACTCAGAAGCCTGAGGCAGGAGAATTGTTTGAAGGCAGAGGTTGCAGTGAGCAGAGATTGTGCCACTGCACTCTAGACTAGGTGACAAAGCAAGACTCTGTCTCCAAAAAAAAAAAAAAAAATGGTTACTGTTTCAATTTTTTTATTTAATTTTAAATAAAAAATTGTTTAGGTTATTGTTAGAACAAGTTACAGGGGATTTGTTTATTTGTTTGTTTGTTTGTTTTGTTTTGTTTTGTTTTAGAGACAGGGTCTCACCATGTTACCTAGGCTGGCCTCAAACTCCTGGGCCCAAACCATCCTCCCGCCTTGGCCTCCCAAAGTGCTGGGATTACAGGCGTGAGCAAAGTCACAGGTTTTGATATGCTAGTTAATATTAAACTATTAAATGTTTTTACATAGGTTGTCCATATACTACCTAAAATCATGAGATTTAACACTACCAGGGATAAATCTAACACATTTGGGAAACACCAACATAACCCCAATAATTTACTGCACCTGATATGCTGATCCTTCTTTTGTCTGGCACATAAAAGGTGTCCAAGGAAGGCTGAACTGAACAGTCTACACCTTTGCTTGCTCACCAATGACTCTGTCTGACCCCGTCTGACCCCTGAAGCTTCCATTAAAATAAGCAGTCTCAAAACAAAAAAAATTAAAAATAAATAAAATAAGCAGTCTCAGCCAGGAGGGGTGGCTCATGCCTGTAATCCCAACACTTTGGGAGGGGGAGATGGAAGGATCACTTGAGGCCAGGAGTTCAAGACCAGTCCGGGCAACATAGGGAGATCCCACCTCTACATAATTTATTTTTTTTTTTTGAGACGGAGTGTTCGCTCTTGTTGCCCAGGCTGTAGTGCAGTGGCGTGATCTAAGCTCACTGCAACCTCTGCCTCCCAGATTCAAGCAATTCTCCTGCCTCAGCTCCCAAGTAGCTGGGATTACAGGCATGCACCACCACACCCGGCTAATTTTTTGTATTTTTAGTAGAGACAGGGTTTCTCCATGTTGGTCAGGCTGGTCTCAAACTCCCGACCTCAAGTGATCCGCCCTGCTTGGCCTCCAAAGTGCTGGGATTACAGGCGTGAGCCACTGCACCCGGCCCACAAAATTTTTTTTTAAAGTTAGCTGGGGGCTAGCCACAGTGGCTCACGCCTGTAATCCCAGTACTTTGAGAGGCTAAAGTGGGCAGATCACTTGAGGTCAGGAGTTCGAGACCAGCCTGGCCAACATGGCAAAACCCCGTCTCTACTAAAAAGATACAAAAAACATTAGCCAGGCATGGTGGCACCCGCCTGTAGTCCCAGCTACTAGAGAGGCTGAAGCACAAGAATCACTTGAACCCAGGAGGCAGAGGTTGCAGTGAGTGAGATCCGGCCACTGAACTCCAGCGGACTCTGTCTCAAAAAAATAAAAATAAAACAATGTTTTTAAAATAATAAAGTGGGCCGGGCACGGTGGCTCACGCCTGTAATCCCAGCACTTTGGGAGGCCGAGGCAGGCAGATCACAAGGTCAGGAGTTCGAGACCAGCCTGACCAACATGGTGAAACCCCCCCTCTGCACTAAAAATACAAAAATTAGCCAGGTGTGGTGGCAGGTGCCTGTAATCCCAGCTATTCAGGAGGCTGAGCAAGAAGAATCGCTTGAACCTGGGAGGCGGGGTTGCAGTGAGCCGAGATCGTGCCACTGCACCTCTAGCCTGGGCAACAGAATGAGACTCATTCTCTAAATAAATAAATAAATAATAAAGTTAACTGGGTGTGGCAGCACATGCCTATGGTCCCAGCTACTTAAGAGGCTGAGGCGGGAGGGTCGCTTAAGCCCAGGAGTTTGAGGGTGCAGTGAGCTATGACTGCATCACTGCATTCCAGCACAGATGACAGTGAGACCCTCTCTCTAAAATAGTAGAAACAGTCGGCCAGGCACAGTGGCTCACACCTGTAATCCCAGCACTTTGGGAGGCCGAGGTGGGCGAATCATGAGGTCAGGAGATCAAGACCATCCTGGCTAACGAGGTAAAACCCCGTCTCTACTAAAATTACAAAAAAATTAGCCGGGCATTGTGGCAGGCGCCTGTAGTCCCAGCTACTCGGGAGGCTGAGATAGGAGAATGGTGTGAACCTGGGAGGCGGAGCTTGCAGTGAGCTGAGATCGCACCACTGCACTCCAGCCTGGGTGACAGAGACTCTGTCTCAAAATAAATAAATAAATAAATAAATAAAATATAAACAGTCTCTGAAGACCCCTTCCAGCTGTCAGAGAACCCTGGGTGGGCGTGCGGGCCTCTCCCAGGCGGCAGGCCTTGTCTGCAGAACAGCATCCCTCCCTCCTCTCGGGCACTTCTTTTCCTTCCCTTCACTGCTTGTGCTGGCTTCTCTCATGCCCTTAAATTCCAAATGGCTCAGTTAAGGACCCTACTTTTCTTTTCTATGCATCCTCTTAAGGAATGAATAGGCGGCTTTAGTTAGCGCCTGTATGTGTATAATTTTATAAGCCCCCAGCCCACACTTCCACACGGTCATTTCAGGCCATTCACCTGGAGGAAGGTATACCTATTTGAATATCTCTATTGTTTGCCTGCCGTGTGGCCTGTTGGATTATTTTCTTTTTACACGCACTATTTCCCATCAAAAACATAAGCATCACAAGGTCAGGGCTACACGTAATGCCTCTTCTCCAGGACCTAGAAACACACCAGATACAACAGATGCTCAGGTAGTATGAACTGATGAGACACAGTTCTTTCTCAGGAGCTGGGAGGCTGAGTGAGCATCTTCCACTCCTCTCTTCCAAATTATCTGCCATGTCCTGTCACTTTTCCTTTCTATTATGTGCTCACATTTTATTGCTAAACAAAGAAGCCACATCACTCTCAGATTCTGACAAGCAGCTTCCTGCCCTCCGCTGCTTCTCTGATTGGAGGCCACACAAAGTCATTGAAGTCCACAGGGCCAGACTCTGATCCCAACCTCCTCCTTCCAGAGGCCTAAATAATCCCCAACAGCCTCACAAAGTAAACTGCAATTCAAAAACTGGTTCTTGGGGGAATGGGGAGGTATTGTATAATGGATAGAGAGTTTCTGTTTGGGATGATAGAAAAATTCTAGAAATGGAGAGCGGTCATGGTTGTACAACATCATGAATGCACTGAATACCACTCAGTTGCACATTTAAAAATGGTTAAAATGGTACACTTTATGTTATATATATTTTACCACAATTTTTTAAAAAAAGGTTCTTGAGTTTCCCACCCATTTCCCCCTCCCCACCCAAATGTCCTCATTTCGCCATTTCCCAGTCTGTTCTGAACCACTGAACACACACACACACCCACACACACACACTTGCATAGCATTCTAGTACTCCAGAATGTCACACTTCTACCCAACATGTTCTCATCACTTCTCTCTGCCGAGAACCTACATTTCCCCCCATCGGTGAGAACTGTCCCTAACTGTCCCTTGCTCACCCACAACATCTCCCCTCACATCATCGTTAATTAATTTGCTAATTGCTCTCCCACTTCTGTGATACTTTAGCTGGTAAGCACCTGCTTTATACATTTGCATTTTTCCTCCACTTTCCAAGGTTGTTTTTAAACACTGAAAATAGCAACCATGGGACTT
The DNA here is from genome assembly GCF_000001405.40 of Homo sapiens. Lineage (NCBI taxonomy): Eukaryota > Metazoa > Chordata > Mammalia > Primates > Hominidae > Homo > Homo sapiens. Next base: position 119,856,851 of record NC_000012.12, read on the forward strand.
CTATTCCTTTTGCAAGCTTCCTGCAGAGCTGGGTACATTATCAGACATATCATGTGCACTAAAATGTCTGTAAGTAATAAATTACTCTCTGAATTCCAAGGCTGACGGCCATCTCTCTAAAACACAGCAAATGAATCAATATGTCTAGAGACAGTAGCCTTGTTTAAAAGAAAGAAAAATACCACAACAAAAAAGATAACGTTCTACCTGCTCTCAAACAAGCAACTCCCTAGCCACATAACAAAGAATGTTATTTGATTTCTTCAAAGGCCTGTTTTAAAACCAAATCCATATGCCCACAACACAAATACCTAAAGCGTGTACAAAAGCAATCTGATTCACCCCACCATATGTATATCCTGAGTCCTCAGCTAATGGTCATAAAAGATCATCTTAAATTCATTAGCTAAAAGGCCACCTTGGTTCTGAAATAAATTACAACGATAGAAACATGATACATCAAGAGGAATTTGTGAGCCTTCAAAATTAGCCAACATCAGTTCAAGAAGATGAGCTAAGAACATGAGAGACCTTTTTGCCCCAACTATAATTAAATATAGAGTCACAGAGGAAAACGTGCTTGATCCTAGACGCCAGTGCAGCAGATTATCGTCTTTGCAATGAACACTCCGGTACAGAAAGTGGAAAAGCATGATGTTAAAATCCTCCTACCTGCTCCTGGGCCAATAAAGCCTTCTTCTTCATCACTTTCATAGCATAGATGTCCCCGGTTGCTTTCTCTCTTACCACCTGCACTTCAGCAAAGTGACCACAACCTACAAGACTTCTGACTTCGAAGTCCTTTGCCGAAGGCTGGAGCTCCTGTAACTCAGCTATGGTGTCGGAATCTGCAAAAGATGCAAGAGTTAGCCCCAGGTAAATAAAGCATGCAAATATATGCATCTTTATGAAAGAAAAAAAAAAAAGAAAATAGCATTCGGATAGCTTCCCTCACTGTCAAAGACATTCACTTTCTCATCCATCATGAATAATTATAAAATCAGTACAAAAGTGTTTTTATATGTTAAGTTAAAATTAAGGGCTCTAGAAATTCCAAAGTACAGTTTCCATGGCAGCTACAATTTGAATCCCATAGACTCAGAAAATAGGGAGAGAGGATACAAATTATGTTTTCCTTCTTCCTCTCTGAAGGCTGCAGGGCAGTGTTTGGTCAAGCATGCTTATTAGCATTTAGACTGGTTTACAGTGTGACATAGTCAACATGAGTCTAATTTAGACCAACTTGGGACCTGGTTTCCAGATCATTCCATTCTAACTACATGCGCTTAGTTTTATCCCACTAGCCCAAGGTTCATCTTCCTTGGATTGTATCCATAAAGCCTTCGTAGATCTAATATGTGGCAGTGCTTAAAGGGGCAGAGGGGTCCAGGCATGGTGGCTGACGCCTGTAATCCCAACACTTTGGGAGGCCTAGGCAAGTGGATCACTGGAGGTCAGGAGATCGAGACCAGCCTGGCCAACATGGTGAAACCCCATCTCTACTAAAAATACAAAAATTAGCCAGGTGTTGTGGTGCACGCCTGTAATTCCACCTACTCAGGAGGCTGAGGCACAAGAATCACTTGAACCTGGGAGGCAGAGGACACAATGAGCTGAGATTGTGCCACAGCACTCCAATCTGGGTGACAGAGTGAAACTCTGTCTCCAAAAAAAAAAAAAGGCGTGGGGGCCAGGAGCAGTGGCTCACGCCTGTAATCCCAGCACTTTGGGAGGCCGAAGCGGGTGGATCACAAGGTCAGGAGATCCAGACCATCCTGGCTAACACAGTGAAACCCCGTCTCTACCAAAAACATACAAAAAATTAGCTGGGCATGGTGGTGAGCACCTGTAGTCCCAGCTACTTGGGAGGCTGAGGCAGGAGAATGGCGTGAACCTGGGAGACAGAGCTTGCAGTGAGCCGAGATCACACCACTGCACTCCAGCCTGAGTGACAGAGCGAGACTCCATCTCAAAAAAAAAAAACAGCGTGGTGGGCAGAAGGGCTTAGCACTCAGAGAACTAAATGGGGTTCTGACATCTGCTCTGCAGGGCTGACATACTACATGTCCAAATGGATTTGCAACTATAGTTTTCTTACCATACAGTCTTATTATTTTTCCAAGTCTAATCTTTCAGTCAGAGATCCTCAACGTATGAAGTATGGATTAAATGGACAGTAGATTTGGAATCTAACATGTTTATTAACACTCTAGATACACTGATCTGAGACATCGCTAAATGTACGATGACTCTAATGACCTGCAGGAATGAAGGGGAGCAGCAGTGGCTGACCCAAAAATTTAATCCTGCACGTTACAAGGGAACAGCATCATACACAGGCATTACACACCAAGGGCAATGCAATGCTTATAATCAAAATTATCCTGGAAAATCCGGCAGAAAGATGCCACACTGAAGACCAAGAGACTGTCTTAAAATCCCAAACACACACTGGAATCTTCTGGGAACTGGAAGGGATGGCCATTTCAATGGCTGGGCAGCAGATAAGGTTAGGAGCTACATTCCAGAGTCATACTCAGCCCTGCAAGTGGCTCACACAATGAGACAGACTCGGTCCATCAAAGGGAAAGCCATTTCATACCACAGTCAGTGAGTGGCATTTTAATGAATTGGCCAATGTCATTTTTTTCATTTTCTTAGTTTTTTTTTTAAGAGACACAAATGGCTGGGCGCAGTAGCTCACGCCTGTAATCCCAGCATTTTGGGAGGGCGAGGCGGGTGGATCACCTGAGGTCAGGAGTTCAAGACAAGCCTGACCAACATGATGAAACCCCATCTCTACTAACAATACAAAAATTAGCTGCACACAAGCGGCCGCTTTTAATCTCAGCTGCTCGGGAGGCTGAGGGAGAGAATCACTTGAACCTGGGAGGTGCAGGTTGTAGTGAGCAGAGATCGTACCACTGCACTTCAGCCTGGGTGACAGAGTGAGACTCCGTCTCAAAAAAAAAAAAGAACACAATCTTGCTCTGTCGCCCAGGCTGGAATGCAGTGGTGAAATCATAGAATCATAACTCACTGCAGCCTCGAACTCCTGGACTCAAGGGACCCTCACCCACCTCATTCTCCAGAGTAGCTGGGACTATAGGCGCACACCACCAATCTGGCTAATTTTTAAAATTTTTTTGTACAGGTAGGGTCTCATTATGTCACCCAGGCTGGTCTCAAACTCCTAGACTCAAGCAATCCTCCCACCTTGGCTTCCCAAAGCACTGGGATTACAGGCATGAACCATCGCACTCAGCCTGCAACTGTAACTACTCTTGCCCACCCTGTTCCTTTGTTGCACGGGTGGAGTTGAAATCTCCTGTGTCAGAGGCTTATAATGAGTGCCGCGGTATTGAGAGTCTTCTCAGCCACAGACCCCACCCCTCACTTCAGCAATCATCCTGAATACACCTTCCCTTGGTCCCTTGGGGAACCAGGCAAGAGTGGTGGGTGGATCCACATGAAGTCGTGACCACTGTAAAAAACAAATCTAGGGCACCTACATGGGGAATGCCATGAAGAAGCAAAATTAAAAGCTGCACGGTATTTTCCTTTTACCCTGACAATGCTGTAACAAGCCTGTCTTCCTTCCCTCTTTCCAAGTTTCTTCCAGATCAAGTATTTGAGTTTTGAATTATAATTCCCCAAAAACTTGCTGGATTGAACTTGATTTTGTTATTGCTCATACACAAAGCCAATCTCTCCTAATTCTCTAGTATGCCTTGGATTGTTTACAAAGTTGCTTAAAGCAGTGTCCAACTTAATAACTCTGGGCCTGTCAGTGGCGACCACCAGCTTTCTCAACTGCACAAGGAGACAGACCACGGTGCTTTGCAGGCAAAACCATGACAATACTCTCTTGGAATTCTGAGAAGCCATTCCAAATCTCCATTTCTTTATCTAAAGGCTTTTGGATTATTAAGGTGAACAGATGAGAGGCTACATTCAAGCCTATGATTACTTAAAAAAAAAAAAAAAAGACCAGGCGCAATGGCTCAGGCCTGTAATCCCAGCACTTTGGGAGGCCCAGGTGGGCGGATCACCTGAGGTCAGGAGCTCAAGACCAGCCTGGCCAACATGGTGAAACCCCATCTCTACTAAAAACACAAAAATTAGCTGGGTATGGTGACACATGCCTATAATCCCAGCTACTCGGGAGGCTGAGGCATAAGAATCACTTGAACCAGGGAGACAGAGGTTGCAGTGAGCCGAGATCAAGCCACTGCACTCCAGCCTAGGGGATACAGCGAGACTCTGTCTCAGGAAAAAAAAAAAAAACTTCACAACTTCTCTCTATACCAGCTGCTTCTGTGACCCCAAAACCGTCACATCACTCCACCCCTGTGCACTTTTAGCTGCAGTATCTAAGGGCCCAGTGGGCACTGAATATTGAGGTACTGAGGTAGAGATAAGGACCCAAAACACTGTGAAAATGCAGTCAGAGGGCCAGGCACTGTGGCTCACGCCTGTAATCCCAGCACTTTGGGAGGCTGAAGCGGGTGGATCACCTGAGGTCAAGAGTTCAAGACCAGCCTGACCAATATGGAGAAATCCCATCTCTACTAAAAATACAAAAAATTAGCCAGGTGTCGTGGCGCATGCCTGCAATGCCAGCTACTTAGGAGGCTGAGGCAGGAGAATCGCTTGAACCTGGGAGGCAGAGGTTGCAGTGAGCCGAGATCGCGCCATTGCACTCCAACCTGGGCAACAAGAGCGAAACTCCATCTCAAAAAAAAAAAAGAAAAGAAAAGAAAAGAAAATGCAATCAGAGAATAACTTTGTCAGATAATCATCTGGACCCAAGAGCAAAAGCCAACATAGCTGGGTGTATTGCTTCCTTTTTTGGAACACAGTAATCCAAACTTTCAATTTCTAGGAATCATCCATTGTCCACAGAAATACTTGCACATGTGCTCAAAAAAGATGCATACAAAGATGTGAATGATGAAAACTGTTGTAACACAAAAATAATCAGAAACCACCTAAAGGTTCATCAACAGAAAAGTTGAAACAACCTACAAGTCCGCCCATATAAAAGAACATTAGGCACATGTTAAACAGAACAAGATGGCTCAGTATCCATTAGAACACATACTCCTTACAGACAGGGAGTTTTCTCTGGTTGGTTAGTTGGTTTGTTTGTTTGTTTGTTTGTTTCTAGGATGGAGTCTCACTCTGTCACCCTGGCTGGAGTGCAGTGGCATGGTCTTGGCTCACTGCAACCTCTGCCTCCAGGGTTCAAGCAATTCTCATGACTTGGTCTCCCGAGTAGCTGGAACTACAGGTGCCCACCACACCCGGCTAATTTTTGTATTTTTAGGAGACTGGTATCACCATTTTGGCCAGGCTGGTCTCAAACTCCTGACCTCAAGTAATACACCCACCTCGGGCTCCCAAAGTGCCAGGATTACAGGCGTGAGCCACTACACCTGGCCACCTTGGGGTACGTTTTTAAATTTCCATAATAAATATTTTTAAGGCACACACACACACAAACAAAATTGGCACACTATACAGCAATCTGTTGGCAGTGATTGTCTCAGGTAAGATTTTGAGGGATTTTTCTCTCACTATGTATGTGATGTGCTATATTCTAAACGTTTGTGCCCCTCGCCCCTACAAAATTCATGTTGAAATGTAATCCCCAGTGTAATACTATTAAGAGGTAGGACTTGCAGGGGCTGGCCACAGTGGCTCCCGCCTGTAATCCCAGCATTTTGGGCAGATCACTTGAGGTCAGGAGTTCAAGACCAGCCTGGCCAACATGGTGAAACCCCAACTCTACTAAAAATACAAAAAAATTAGCCAGGCGTGGTGGCAGGCACCTATAATCCCAGCTACTCAGGAGGCTGAGGCAGGAGAATTGCTTGAACTCAGGAGGTGGAGGTTGCAGTGAGCCAAGATCGCACCACTGCACTCCAGCCTGGGTGACAGAGCAAGACTCTACCTAAAAAAAAAAAAAAAAAAAAAAAAAAAAAAAAGAAAAAACCAAAAAAAAAAACGAGGTAGGACTTTTAGGGAAGTGATTAAATCACTTCCCTAAAAAAGAGGCTGACATTGGGCCGGGTGCAGTGACTCACACCTGTAATCTCAGCACTTTGGGAAAAAGACGAGGCCGGCGGATCACAAGGTCAAGAGTTGGAGACCAGCGTGGCCAGCATGGTGAAACCCTATCTCTACTAAAATACAAAAATTAGCCTGGCATGGTGGTGCGCACCTGTAGTCCCAGCTACTCAGGAGGCTAAGGCAAGAGAATCACTTGAACCCGGGAGGCAGAGGTTGCAGTGAGCCAAGATCGCACCACTGCACTCCAACCTGGGCAACAGAGCGAGACTCTGTATCAAAAAAAAAAAAAAAAAAAAAAAAGAGGCTGACATTATCCTTAGCAAACTAATGCAGGAACAGAAAACCAAATACCACATGTTCTCACATATAAATGGGAGCTAAAGGATGAGAACACAAGGACACTAAGAAGGGAACAACAGACATTGGAGCCTACTAGAGGACAGAGGGTGGGAGGAGGGAGACAATCTGAAAAAATAACTATTGGTTACTAGGCTTAGTACCTGGGTGACGAAATAATCTATAACAAACCCCAAGACAAGTTTACCTACATAACAAACCTGTACATTTACCCATGAACCTAAAATAAAAGTTTTTTTTTGTTTTTTTTGTTTGTTTGTTTTGAGACGGAGTCTTACTCTGTTGCCAGGCTGGAGTGCAGTGGCGCAATCTTGGCTCACTGCAACCTCTGCCTCCCAGGTTCAAGCAATTCTCCTGCCTCAGCCTCCTGAGTAGCTGGGACTACAAGCACACGCCACCATGCCTGGCTAATTTTTGTATTTTTAGTATAGAGACGGGGGGGTTTCACCATGTTGGCCAGGATGGTCTCGATCTCTTGACCTCATGATGCACCTGCCTCGGCCTCCCAAAGTGCTAGGATTACAGGCATGAGCCACCACGCCGGACCAAAAGTTTTAAACATAGAAAAAAAAAAAAAAAGAAGCTGAAGGACTCATGTTTGCCCCTTCTGCCAGGTGAAGATGCAGCAAGAAGGCGCCATTTTTGAAGCAGGGAGCCATCACCAGATACCAGATTCGCTGGCGCCTTGATCTTGGACTTCCCAGTCTTCACAACTGTCAGCAATGAATTTCTATTGTTTATAAATTGCCAAGTCTAAGGTATCTATTATCGCAGCCCAAACAGACTCAGATGCACGTTTAACCTTCTATATTTAACATTGTATTGTGTATTGTTTGCAATAAGAAAAAAAAAAAACTTTTCAAAAGTTATCATTTTCCCATTAGTACTAAAGTTGTAAATATATTGAAGATCTTATCTATAGTGAATATAGCTCAAATGGTAGTAATTCAGCTACTGTCAAATTGCCAATAACAGCCCAATTTTGACAATTATCAACACTTTTCTGTGTAAGTTTTTTTGTTGTGGTGGTGGTTTTGGATTTTTTTTGAAGGGGGTGTTGTTTTGTGTTTTGAGACAGGGTCTTACTCTGTCACCCAGGCTGGGGTGCAGTGGCACAATCTTGGCTTACTGCAACCTCCACCTCCCAGCTTCAAGCAATTCTCCAGCCTCAGCCTCCCAAGTAGCTGGGACCACAGATGTGCGTCCCCATGCCCCAGCTACTTTTTGTATTTTTTGTATAGACAGGGTTTCAGCATGTTGCCCAGGTTGGTCTCAAACTCCTGAGCTCAAAGATCTGCCCACCTCGGCCTCCCAGTGCTGGGATTACAGGCGTGAGCCACTGCACCTGGCCTCTGTGCAAGTTTTAGTATAACACTGCTGTATATTTTTTACACAAATTATCTGATACTGTGCTTAATGTTTGCCATTTATTTTGTTCACTGAGCATACACTCATTCAACAAGTATTTACTAAGGACTTAACATATGCCAGACACTATTTTGGGCACTGGGGATGTAAGAGTAATTAAGAAAGACAAAAATCCCTTCCCTGGTTCCCAGATGCTCGTTCCCTTCCCTTCCCTCCCTTGGCCCAAGGCTAGAGGTACTTCTGCTGGAGACATCCTTCTCCTTCAGAGCTACACTCTATTCCATTTTCTCTAACAGTCCCCAAAGAAAATCTCCATCCCTATAGGAAGATTCAAAAAACCTGGGCAGAAGCAGCTGAGGGACCCTTCTCCACGTAGAAAAACAAAGCTTACATTCCAAAACAGAAACTCAAAAAGGGGAGGAATAGAAAACACACTAATGTAATCACCCATTTTCAATCATGGCCTCTTAAACACTCCCCAGGAAACCTCTTCAAAAATATGAAACATTTCCCTGGAAGAGGGGTCTATTAGAAAAAAATCTACATTCCACTAAACCAAGTCTTCTGATCACTAAATGATTCTAGATAATTCACTGCTGTTAAGTAACCAGAGGACAGTCTCAAGACTAATGAAGGTGCCTGCAGATGGCTCAGTAAGCTAGCCTCATCACATAACTTCCTTCCCCTCCCACTCGCTACTTATAAATTTAAATATTCACAAAAAGAAGGCACGAGCTTATTCAAACAAAAACAGAATGATGAACAAATACCTCAAGTACATTTTGAAGATATACAATATATTAAATGTTGTTGACATTCACAGTTATTAATACTGGGTACCATTTATTGTCTCCTATGGGCCAGGCAACATGACAAATCTGGTCTGTGCATTAACTCATTCAATTCCAACACAGCCTCATTAGATATACATTATTCCCAATGGGCGTGGTGGCTCATGCCTGTAATTCCAGCACTTTCGGAGGCCGAGGCAGGCAGATCACTTGAGGTCAGGAGTTTGAGACCAGCCTGGCCAACATGGCGAAACCCCATCTCTACTAAAAATACAAAAACTAGCTGAGTGTGGTGGTGCACGCCTGTAGTCCCAGCTACTGAGGAGGCTGAGGCAGGAGAATCACTTGAACCCGGGATGCGGAGGTTGCAGTGAGCTGAGATTGTGCCACTGTACTCCAGCCTGGACAACAGAGCAAGACTCCAAAAAAAAAAAAAAAAAAAGGATATACATTATTCCTATTTTACAGATGAGAAAACTGAGAACAAAGTACATGTAAAATACTGAAGAGCACTATAGTGAACATATGCTGATTTTTTTTCTACCCAGCATCCCCGGCTCCTTTGCATAACCACGCATCCCCCATTCCATGAGGTCCTGGTAATCACACTGCCCTGACCCCTTTGGGCATTCCAACAAAACCGATCACAACACCTCACCTCCAGGGAGGCAAATGACCCAAAGCAGAGCCAAGTTAGAATCTTCCCTGGGGTTGTATTAATCTAGATAAGGGAAGATTACCATTGGGCAGGGTGTGGTAGCCAGTCTCCAAAAATAGCACCCAATGCCCCAGTCCTCTTGGGATTCATGACCTTGTGTAGTTTCCTCTCAGGTGGAATTTGAGCAGCCCCAGAGCATGCATCAAACAATAAAATGCAGTCAAAGAGATCCTATGTCCCTCCTAGGATAACCCCTAAGAAAGCCTGGCAGCTTCCACTTTTGTGTTTTGGAAACCTGAGCTACCGTCGAGGCTGTCCTGCTAGAGAGACCATGTAGCTCAGAGGTCAGCAAGCCTTTTCGAAATGGGCCAAACAGGAACTATTTTGGGCTTTGTAGGCCATTTGGTCTCTATCACAACTACTCAAATGCTGTTGTGGGCTGGGCACAGTGGCTCATGCCTGTAATCCAAGCATTTTGGGAGGCCAAGGTGGGAGGATTTCTTGAGGCCAGGAGTTCAAGACCAGCCTAGGCAATCTCACAAGGTCCCATCTCTACACAAAATTAAAAAATTAGCCATTAGTGGTGGCATGGGCCTGTAGTACTAGCTACTGAGGAGGCTGAGACAGGAGGATTGCTTGAGCCCAAGAGTTGGAGGCTGCAGTGAGCTATGATTGTGCTGCTGCACTCCAGCCAGAGTGAGACTTTGTCTCAAAAAAAAATAAATAAAATGAAATAAAATGCTGTTATGATGTGAAAGCAGCCATAGGCACTGTACAAACACATGGGTAGGGCTGTGTTCCAGTAAAACCTTCTTTACAAAATAGGCATCACAGGCTGTAGTTCCTTGACTTCTGATTTGGAGACCACATAGAGGTGCCATGTGGACAGCAAAAGGCCCTGAAACTTCATGAAGAGAGAGAGGCCCAGCTGGGCCCAGCCTCCAAGCCAGGGCACCAAACACTGAGTAAGCCCTCTCACACATTCCAGCCCAGGAGAGCCCCAGGTGACTGCAATCCTGGCCAATGTAATACAGAGCAGAGGAATCCCCAGCTGAGTCCAATTAACCTACACACACAAGAGGTAATACAATAACTTTTTTTTTTTTTTAAGACAGAGTCTCACTCATTGCCCAAGCTGGAGTGCAATGGTGAGATCTTGGCTCACTGCAACCTCCACCTCCCAGGTTCAAGCGATTCTCCTGCCTCTGCCTCCCAAATGGCTGGGATTACAGGCGCCCGCTGCCACATTCAGCTAATTCTTGTATTTTTAGTAGAGACAAGGTTTCACCATGTTGGCCAGGCTGGTCTGGAACTCCTGACCTCAAGTGATCCGCCGCCTCAGCCTCCCAAAGCGCTGGGCTTACACGCATGAGCCACCGCGCCCAGCCACAGTGACTATTGTTTTAAGTCAGTAATATTTAGGGTGGTTGGTTGCACAGCAATGTTGTACAAGGTGGGGTTTCTCAAATTCAGCACTGTTGGCATTGTGGGCTACATAATTCTGTGTTATGGGGGCTGCTTTGTGCACTGTAAGGTGTTTGGTGGCATCTCTGGCCTCACCCATTAACTGACAGTAGGACCCTTCCCCCCAAACTCACACACCACCACCCCCAACTAGCTCTGACAACCGAAAACGTCAAATCACCCACTGGTTGAAAAACACTAATGTAAGAGTATGAAACTGGGACACTAACAGCCAACTGCCTCATCACATGGAAGTCAAGCAAAGTCAGAAACAGGGTGAAGGCAAGGCCAATATATGACTTCATAGGCCCTAGGTACTTTTGCCTTCCTCAGCCCCTTCCTCCATTAAAAACAAAAAAGAATTCAAAAATTATATTTTATGGGGCCAGGCATGGTGGCTCACACCTGTAATCCCAAAGCTTTGGGAGGCTGAGGCAGGAAGACTGCTTCAAGCCTGGAGTTTGAAACCAGCCTGGGTAACATAGTAAGACCCTATCTCTACAGAGAAAAAAGCAAAAATTAGCTGGGCGTGGTAGTGTGAGCCTGTAGTCCCAGCCACTGGGGTGGAAGGATTGCTTGAGCCTAGAAGGTTGAAACTGCAGTGAGCCATGATATACCACTGCAATCCAGCCTGGGTAATAGGGCAAGACTCTGTCTCCAAAAAAAACAAAAATTATATTTTATGACTACATTAGTATAAAGATGAATGTAATCCAGAATCATTATACATTATTATATTCATTTTTCCTATAATTTTAAAACAAATTAAAATTTAATTCAGTTAATTAAAAGTAATTAAATTCATTAAAATTAAATATCACAGATCCTAAGCACCGTGCCTACTCTGCCTAATAGAAAGTCAGCCCTGAGTGAGTATAAGGACAGGGCCACGGGATATTATTGAGGTCTCTGGAACTAGCTATGCCTAAAGCTAAAACTTAACTCATTCCTGGATTTCTCAGTTTCATGAGCCAATAAATTCACTCTTTTATTCACACAGGGTCTCACTCTGTCACCCAGACTGGAGTGCAATGGCACAATCACAGCTCATTGAGCCTCAACCTCCCGGGCTCCAGTGATCCTCCCACCTCAGCCTCCTCAGCAGCTGGGACCACGGGTGCAAGCCACCATACCCAGCTAATTTTTGTATTTTTTGTAGAGATGGGGTTTCACCATGTTGCCCAAGCTGGTCTTGAACTCCTGGGCTCAAGCGATTCACCCACCTCAGCTTCCCAAAGGGCTGAGATTATAGGTATGAGCCATTGCACCTGGCCTAAATTCAGTCTTTGAATTAAGTTTGTCGCTTGCAACCAAGAAGCCCAACTTACCTGGTCTCCCAGCTATAAGAGGTGCAGCCTGAATTTGAACCTGGATCTGTCTTATATAGAACCAGAGTTCTTACCGACTACTATCAACCAGTAACTCATTCTGCCTCAAGCATCTTTCTAGTTTTTCTCTCTCAGGACAGTTTTCAAGAAAAAGTTCCCCAAACTTACACTTCCGGACAAAGTTGCTCACGTGCTTAATCTTCATCAGAGCAGGCTGACTGCATTCTTCAAAGAGAACAAAGAGGGCATCTAATATCCCTTCTCGGGAAAGAGGAGACATCTGCTGTTGAGTCATAAAGGGTGGTTTCCCCTAAAAACAGCAAACAGCAGATGGAGACACTGTCAATAATGAAAAGCTTTGATCAATAACATCCACACAGAGTAAATTACAAGCCACCAACTCAACTAACTGCTCACGACATGCTAACAGCACAATTCTGTGGCTTCATTCTTTAAAGCAACGTCAACTGACAGTCATTATGGTATCACTTCCATGATTCCAAGACTGTGGGTTTCTTTCACCAGCACCTGGGAAGGAAAACTGCACAAGCGTGGCCATTAACAAGAAAAGCTCCCTCACTCCTGAGGGTCTGAGGCTAGTGAGAATATTTCCTCTGGATCCTCTGGCTCTGACATGCTTCCATGTTTCTACAATAGGAAACAATGGGTTTTTCACTTCTTTCATGTGTGCCCAGGGGTTTATTCATATAATTTCAGCTTTTTTAATTCATTTGAACAACCTAGAGTAATAAGAACTGAGTGACCATCGTAAAGCCAAATTTACTCATGATCTGGAGAAATAGTTACAAACTGGCAGACTGTCTCTAGCCCACAGATATGTTTTGTTTGGCCTGTAGTGTTTAAGATAATTTGAATTATCTGCCAATATTTCAAAATCAGGAGATTCCATACAAAAAAATAAAAATGGAGTCTCTGGCTTCTTTTGAAACACTGGCACATCCGGCAACACTGCCTCGCCTTCCTGCCTGATGACGCTGAGCTGGAGCTGAGTAATGCTGCCCCTCCCGGTAGCAGATGTGTTTGGGAGTTCACTGCAGGTCTGACTCCATCTTCCAACTGGCCCACTTGACTCATTTATACTCACTGCCTGGCCCCCAAAGACATGAGTCTGCAACCCTGGTATAGAGCAGTGATTCCCACGTGCCAAGCCATGGATAGTGGTGGTCTCTCTTCAAAGATGGCCTCCAACAGTTCCTCCAATTCTGTAGGCACATGCTACTCCTTACTTTAAGCGCTGGAGTCTATTTCTCCTGCCTTTGAATCTGTGCCATCTCTGAGACTCTCTTCAACCAAAAGAATGTGACACAAGTGACACTGTGCCAGTTCAGGGCAGTGCCTTTAAGAAGCTTGTCAAGCGGCCAGACACGGTGGCTCACATCTGTAATCCCAGCACTTTGGGAGGCCAAGACGGGTGGATCACTTGAGGTCAGGAGTTTGAGACCAGCCTGGCCAACATGGTGAAACCCTGTCTCTACCAAAATACAAAAATTAGCCAGGCGTGGTGGTAGGCACCCGTAATCCCAGCTACCTGGGAGGTTGAGGCATGAGAATTGCCTGCACCCGGGAGATGGAGGTTGCAGTGAGCCGAGATCACACCACCGCACTCCAGCCTAGGCAACACAGTGAGACTCCCTCTCAAAAAAAAAAAAAAAAAAAAAAAAGGCAGCTTAGCAGCTTCCACTTTTGGGAAGCCAGCCACCATGCACAGATGCTTGGGCTAGACCAGGGGTGTGCAATCTGTAGCCCTTGGACCAAATCCAGCCCACGGACTTTTTATAAGTTTTACTGGAACACAGCTACACCCATCATTTACATATTGTCTTTAGCTGCTTTTGTGCTACCATGGCCAAGTTGAGTGGTTGCAACAGAGACTACAGGACCCACAAAGCCTAAAATATTTATTACTTACAAAAAAAGTTACGAGTCAGCCAGGTGCAGTGGCTCACACCTGTAATTCCAACACTTTGGGAGGCCGAGGCAGGCGGATCGCGAGGTCAGAAGTTCGAGACCAGCCTGACCAACGTGGTGAAACCCCATCTCTACTAAAAATGCAAACATTAGCCGGGCGTGGAGGCACGTGCCTGTAATCCCAGCTACTCGGGAGGCTGGGGCAGGAGAATTGCTTGAACCCAGGAGGCGGAGGTTGCAGTGAGCAGAGATCGTGCCACTGCACTCCAGCCTGGGCGACAGGGCGACAGTCTGTCTTAAAAAAAAAAAAAAAGTTACGAGTCCTGGGCTATACTACTGAAAGACCTCATGGAGAAGAGAGGCCATGTGAGAAACACTAAGGTGCCCCAGCCAGCAGTCAGCACCCACATGTTCCAGTCCCAGACATAATCCCAGCTGAATGTAGCCCCACAAGTGACCCCAGCTGACATCACAGGATGAAGCAGAACTACCTAGCTGAGTCCAGCCAACCCACAGAATCCTAAGAAAAAATAAATCATTGTTGCTTTAAACTTTGTGAGTGCTTTGTTACACAGCACTTGATAACAGAAACAGACCGGCTGCATTTGAATCACAACAGCACTGGAGAATTTAAGAAAAACAAACAAACAAACAAACACATTCTCTGGTCCTATGCCCCCCTCCCCCACAACCAAATGAATTAGAATTTTCCAGACTGTAGCCTAGAATCTGTTTTATTAACAAGTTCCCCAGCAGGGAGAGGTGGCTCACACCTGGAATACTAGCACTTTGGGAGGCCAAGGTGGGAGGATCACTTGAGCCCAGGAGTTCAAGACCAGCCAGGGCAACACAGCGAGATCCCATCTCTACAAACAAACAAAAAAAAATTAGCCAGGTGTAGTGCCATGGTCCTGTAGTCCTAGCCACTTGTGAGACTGAGGTAGAAGGATCACTTGAGCCCAAGAAGTAAAGGCTGCAGTGAGCCAAGATTGTGCTGCCACACTCCAGCCTGGGCAACAGAATGAGACCCTGGTCCCCAAGAGAGTCAGACCTCAATCAGGTTTGGGAAGCACTGCATTCAAGGCCACCATATCTGTCACTTTAGTAATAGTTGCCAGTAACTCAGAAAAATAAAATGCTTTGTTTCTTCTATTCTTCAAGAGTTTAGATCAATTAAAGCAGGGGTTCCCAAATATAGTACTGGTTCTTAACAAAGTTTTCAACAGCCTGCAGTGAAATGAGAAAAAATGAACACCACATGATATCTTTTTTATAAAACTAAATGTATTCAAATTTAAAAATGGTCCTTTATTCTGAGATGATGTTCTTCCTGTCTTGTTGTTTCTTAAAATGCCCTTTATGAAATACAAGGGCCAGAAAATAATAGGTCTTTCTTTTTATTTTTTTTTTATATATCCTTACTTGGCAAAATAAAAAGTTGGAAAACCTGTGTCTACCCAGCAATTTGGGAAATTTTGCTGGCTCAGAAAGTCTGACAATCACTGACCTCGAACATGTCAGGAAATCCTGTTGAGTAGAAGTAAAAAAGACAAAATGACACTCAGTCTAAGGTACTCACCTGAATGGAAAACAAAATTGCTACTGTATCTCAACCTCATTCAAACAGCACTATATGGGAAAAGAACAAACAGCATCCTTACCTGATAACTCAAGGCAAATGATAGGTATATACTATACTTGCAATAATAGCTTTACTGGGCAGGGGGATCTCAGCATTAAAAAGAGATGAACTGAGGGTTTACCCATAAGTCTTCCTGTTATAATGACTAAATACAAGATATACTTAATAAATTCTGACGTGCACAGGTGCTGTGGCCCAATGGCTATGTGGTCAGCCTTTGGAGTCAGACCAACCAAAGATGGAGTCTGATCTTGGCCTCATCTGCAAAACCCAACGTGTATGATCTTGGGCAAGGCCTTACCTACCTCCATATCTGTCTATATCTGTTGCCTCCTATTTATGTATTTATTTAGAAACAGGGTCTCGTTCTGTTGCCCAGGCTGGAGTGCAGTGTTGCAATCTCAACTCACTACAACCTCTGCCTCCGGGGCCCCAGAGATGCCCCCACCTCAGCCTCCTGAGTAGCTGGGACTACAGGCACACACCGCCATGCCTGACTAATTATTTATATTTTTTGTAGAGATGGGGTTTCACCATTTTGCCCAGGCTAGTCTTGAACTCTTGGACTCAAGCAATCCACCTGCCTCAGCCTCCCAAAGTACTGGGATTACAGGTGTGAGCCACCACACCTGGCCTGTTGCCTCCTATTTAAAGTTTAAATTAAAAATAGTCCTTACCTCTGTCATGAGGCTGAAGTGAGATACTCAGAAACATGCCAGTTCTATGCCAGACACATTGGAAGCCATAACTATTACATAATCAGCACACTATAAGCCCTTAATAAGTTGGAAATTTTTTTCCTTTTCTTTTTTTTTTTTTTTTTAATTTACAGGGTCTTGCTCTGTCGCCTAGGCTGAAGTGCTGAAGTGCAGTGGCACAATCTTAGCTCACTGCAACCTCTGCCTCTAGGGCTCAAGTGATCCTCCTGCCTCAGCCTCCCGAGTAGCTGGGACTACAGGCACACACCATCACAGTCAGCTATTTTTTGTGTTTTTAGTAGAAACGGAGGGGCTCACCATGTTGCCCGGGCTGCTCTCGAACTCCTGACCTCAAGCAATCCACCCACCTCAGCCTCCCAAATTGCTAGGATTACAGGCGTGAGCCACCACGCCCAGCAAGTTGGAGATATTTTAAAGTAGCATGATAAAGGGGCTGAAACGTGGCAGCACTCCAGCCATCTAAGGTTAAAGACAGACTATTCATTTGTGAAAGATATGTCAAGACTTAAAATGCTGATGGGGATGGTCCCACAGAAAAACCTAAGCTTTCAATTTGTTTCCACTCTCATCTGTTTAAACACCCAATACCAATATTTTGGAAAAAAAAAAAAGTTATCAAGAATACTTCATCATTCATCATCTTACAGGTATCCTACATAACTACCTTCCCAAATATAATTACTATTAAGGAAACAAATTTAGTATTAATATTATAACTAATACTATTCTATGCTGAGTATTAACAATAATTACCATTTTTTATAAGGAGTTTACTAAGAGCCAGGCAAGGTGCTAAGTGCTTTAAATCGAATATCTCATCTAATCCTCACAACAACCCTGTGGATTAGGTACTACAACCTCTATGTTATTTTTTTTGTTTTCTTTTGTTTTGTTTTGTTTTGAGATGGAGTCTTACCCACTCTGTCGCCCAGGCTGGAGTGCAGTGCACCATCTCGGCTCACGACAACCTCCGCCTCCCGGGTTCAAATGATTCTCCTGCTTCAGCTTTTCAAGTAGCTGGGATTACAGGTACATGCGACCACCATGCCCAGCTAATTTTCTATATTTTTAGTAGAGACAGGGTTTCACCACGTTGTCCAGGCTGGTCTCGAACCCGTGACCTCAAGTAATCCGCCCGCCTCAGCCTCCGAAAATACTGGCATTACAGGCTACAACCTATTTTAAAGAATAGCAAATGGACTCAGAAAAGGTAACTGACTCACCCAAAGTAATGCAGCTAACTAGTGCTGGGACTGGGATTCAATTCTAAATCTTCATGGTCTCTATTGTCCCCCTGACTTACGAATACATAAATCAAACAAGGATTTCTACTTCACCAGTGTTCCACATACATCAGAAACAAAAGAATTAAAAATCTATTTGGAAGTAATCTTATGATATTAAGTTTTAACGCATCTGGGGTGACAGAAATGTGTATCTTGAGAGGAATGAGGGTTAAACAGGTGTGGTATTCATCAAAACTTTTTTTAAAATCTTAAAAAATACCATCCTGACTAACACAGTGAAACCCCGTCTCTACTAAAAATACAAAAAATTAGCCGGGCGAGGTGACGGGCGCCTGTAGTCCCAGCTACGTGGGAGGCTGAGGCAGGAGAATGGCGTGAACCCCGGGGGGCAGAGCCTGCAGTGAGCCGAGATCGCGCCACTGCACTCCAGCCTGGGCGACAGCGAAGACTCTGTCTCAAAAAAAAAAAAAAAAAATCTTAAAAAATAAACATCCCTGCAATGAAAATGAATAGGATTATACCCACAGAAATTGTAGTTTTAAAAAGCATCTTTGTTCATTTATTTTTCTTTCTTCAATAAAAGGACAAACTTGCCCTGGTACAGGGGCTTATGCCTGTAAGCCCAACACTTGCAGAAGCTGTGACAAGTAGATCACTTGAGCCCAGGAATTCGAGACCTGCCTGGGCAACATGGTGAAACCTCATCTCTACAAAAAATACAAAAATTAGCCAGGTATGGTGGCACACACCTGTGGTCCCAGCTACTCAGGAAGCTGAAGTGGGAGGATCGTTTGAGCCCAGGAGGTCAAGGCTGCAGTAAGCCGTGATTGTGCCAATGCACTCCAGCCTGAGCCACAGAGCAAGACCCTGTCTTGCAAGCAACCAATCAATCAATGAATGAATAAACTTTAGTACAGAAGTGTAAAGTGTGAGAAATATGAAAAGATCTCCCTTCTAAGGCAAGTTCAGCTATCTACTTCTGCACAGTGTCTTTTTTCCAAAAGAATCAGTGCATATAAAACTCTAAATAGAGGGCCAGGTGCAGTGGCTCACACCTATAACCCCAGTGCTTTGGGAGGCCAAGGCAAGAGGCTCACTTGAAGTCAGGTGTTCTATATCAGCCTGGGCAACACAGTGAGACCCCATCCCTACAAAAAATTAAAAAATTAGCCAGGCATGGTGGCACAGGCCTAGAGTCGACAGAAGACCTTGTTTCAAACAAAACAAAACAGAATTTCCCCTAAAATATTATCCCTGGTCCTATAATAAAAGCAAGCTGGGCACGGTTCATGCCTGTAATCCCAGCACTTTAGGAGGCCAAGGCAGGTGGATCACTTGAGGTCAGGAGTTCGACCCTAGCCTGGCCAACATGGTGAAACCCCGTCTCTACTAAAAAGAAAAATACAAAATTTAGCCGGGTGTGGTGGCAGGCGGCTGTAGTCCCAGCTACTCTGGAGGCTGAGGCAGGAGAATCGCTTGAACCCAGGAGGCGGAGGTTGCAGTGAGCTGAGATTGCACCACTGTACTCCAGCCTGAGAGACTGAGACTCTAAATAAATAAACAAATAAATAAAAGCAAAGGTGAGTGACAAGGAGATTCCAAGGACACACACAGGTGAGCAAAGTTGGCAGGGTAGGCTGTTACCTGGAAGAACAGATTCAGCCTGGAGGCCCGGCTGGCAATGGGTTCAGCAGCACCAGCATCCAAAGGATTCCGCGCTCCATATTTGAACTTCAACATCTCCCCACTGGCGCTGAAAGGATATCAGAAAAGTCAAGTGTGTCCTATGTTTTGAGCAGGAAGGGCCTGAGAGATCCTGATCTCCCTCAAGATATCAGGGACAAGGAGGTGAAAATCAGCTACCACTCCAGTTTTAGGAAGCTCAGTCTAATCATGGAGATTAAACACCAGATTTTAACTCACTGTGACAGGAGATGATACACTTATCTGACATACTCTCTTACTTATAAATGTGTTTATTATCTCCCCCCTTAGAATGGAAGCTCCACAAGGGCAGAGATGTTTGCCCCCATGCAGTGGGGGCACACATAGCCTGGCACACAAATAGGTGCGAATAGTTATTAAATGAATGACTGAAATAAGCAAAATATATAGCTTGTTGTAAGGTGTTAAGTGCTATGGGGTAAAAACAAAATCGAGCAAGAAAAGGACAATGGGGGTGAGATGGTGCAATTTTTAGTGTGGTCAAATAAGACTTCACTGAGAAGCCACCATTTGACCCAAGACTTGAAGACCTGAAGCGAATGACCAGCAAGCCATGTTGATATCTGGGGAAAGAAAGACATCCGTGGCAAACGAAACAGCCAAGCCAAAAGCACTGAGGCAGGACCTGGCCTCTCCAGCAACAGCGAGGCCAGACGGACTGGAGCAGAGCGAAAGAGGCGGGGGCATCATGAGGTGATGGGGTGGGCACGGGGTATGAATACGCTGAAACAGAGAGGTTAAGTAAATGGCTAAGTTCACGCAGATAATAAGGAACCGGCCGACTACACTGGGCAGAATAATGCAGTTAGTGCTGACAGGAGGCAGAGCTGAAGAGACAAAGCACTCCGCCTGGTTTAGGGGAGGAGCAAGCCTCCTGCCCCAGCACCACTCGGCTGACCCCTCGGCTCCCAAGGAAGGTGGGCGCGCGCACAGCTAGCCCCGGAAGACCCTCCAGGCCTCCCGCAGCCCTGGGGGTGGAATCGCCGCCCTCCCCGGGGCGGGAGGGAAACCCGGGACTTGTATGGGTGGAGGCGGCCCTCCCCTGGCCTTGCAGAGCCGGGTGCGGTAGAATTGGGTCTGGGGGATCAGACTCACGCTCTGCGAACCCCCAGGTCTGCGATCTGTTCCGCCCCGCGCCTCCCGCCGCCGCGTTTGAACCCGAGGAACGGCGCGGGCGGGTCTCAGCCGTGTTTGGACCAATCAGCGTCTCCGCTCCTATGATAGACATGGGCGTCTCAGCCAGGCCCCGCCCATGTCCCTAAAGGCATGGAGGAAAGTGAAGGGGAGAGCCAATCAAATTGCATCTTCCTTTGACTCGCGACCAACGGGAAAAAGGGAAGGGCAAAATCAGCAGGGCAGGTCTTGGAAGTTTGAAATTGGCGGTTACGCAGGATGCTGCGTTTGAGGACGCGACTGTTAATCTAGGATCCCTGAGGAGGTCGCCAGGGCGCTGTCCCCTGCTCTCGGCCACCTGCAAGGAGGAAGGCAGCCAGGCTGCTCTGCCTGGTCTTCTTTCTCTCTCATGTGGCTAAGGTAGAAGTACTTGTTACCTGGGGAAGCCCAGTGGTCCTCTGCTACAGCTGAGGCAGCGAATGTTTTGAGCTTGACTTCAACCTACCTTGATTACTCTATCTCCGGGCTGACTGCCCTGCAAGGAGTTGGTGACAGTCATTGAGACTGTCTGAAAGGACACTTTAAAATAAATTATAGACGAGATACTTAAACAGGCACTTCACCAAAAAGGAAATCCAGATGACCAACAAATGTGTGAAAGTTGTCAACCTCGTTCATAATCAGAAAATATGAAAAATAAAGTCACAGTGAGAAAGAATAACACTCAAATTCGAGAACAACAACAACAAAAGGATGTGACAGTGTTTGCGAAGATGTGGAAGTACACACACTTATACAGTACCCGTAGGCGTGTAAATGGATACAATCTCTTTGAAATTTGAAAAAAAAGTTTGGCATTATTTGCTAACATTGAAGATTTGTGCATTCTATGACTATTGCTAGGTGTAGTTTCTCTACCTAAGAAAAACTCCTATTTATTTATTTATTTTGAGATGGAGTCTTGCTCTGTCTCCCAGGCTGGAGTGCAATGGCACGATCTCGCCTCACTGCAACCTCCACCTCCCAGGTTCAAGCTATTCTCTTGTCTCATCCTCCCAAGTAACTGGGATTACAGGTGCATGCCACCATGCCCAATTGTTTGTATTTTTAGTAGAGATGGGGTTTCACCGTGTTGTCCAGGCTGGTCTTGAACTCCTGACCTCGAGTGATCTGCCCACCTCGGCCTCCCAAAGTGCTGAGATTACAGGCCCTGAGCCACCACGCCGGCGAGAAACTCCTACTTATGTACACCAAGAGATGTGTATAAGAATACAAAATAGTGTTCGCAAAAAACTGGAAGTGATATAAATGTCCATCAGCAGTAGAAAAGACAAAATTGTATATTGCAGTGTTTTCACAAGCAATGAAAAAGAATAAACTGCAACTAACCACAATGACATAATGAGTCTCAAAACAAGGCCTAATGAAGGAAGCAAGAAAATAACATATGATTCCATTATGATTCCATTCTTATAAGTTCCAAAACAGGACAAAACAAAGCAACATTGTTTAAGGAGGGATGTATTAGGTTGATGCAAATCATTGCAGTTTTTGTCATTGTTTAAAGTAATGACAAAACCATAAAGAAAGCAACAGCCAGAATAGTAGTTACCTGGGGTTGGGATGGAGGCCTTTCAGGGTGTTGGGGTGCTGCTGTGATCTATTTCTTAACCTAGGTAGCAACAATATGGATGTGGTTTCATAATGATTAAATTGTGTGTATATGTGTGCACGCATGTGTGTGTGTGTATGTTCTATTTATATATGTAAAGTCCTTTTTGTACTCTCCTAATTCTACAGTAGACAGAACTGGAGATGTGTTCTCTCTCTCACACACACACACACACACACGCACACCAGCACATAATTAGAGCTACAGGCTTGCTTAATACACATTTGTTCTTTTTTCCTTCCCCAAACATAACTTACTTCTTGTTCCCGGGGCCAATAATGGATAGCTACTATTTATCAAGCACCTCTTTTTTTTTCTTTTTTCTTAGACAGAATCTCACTCCGTCACCCAAGCTGGAGTTCAGTGGCACAATCACGGCTTACTGCAGCTTCCACCTCTCCAGGCTCAAGTGATCATCCCACCTCAGCCCTTCCAGTAGCTGGGACCACAAGAATGTACCACCATGCCTGGCTGTTTTTTTGTTTTTTTGGGTTTTTTTTTTTGTAGAGATGGGGTCTCCCTATGCTACCCAAGCTGATCTCAAATTCCTGTACTCAAGCAATCATCCTGCCCCGACCTCCCAAAGTGCTGGGATTACAGGTGTGAGCAACTGCGCCCAGCCCAGAAACTTCTATATAAAGAAAATAACTGGCCAGACCCAATGGCTCATGCCTGTAATCCCAACACTTTGGGAGGCCAAGATTGGTGGATCACTTGAGGTCAGAAATTTGAGACCAGACTGGCCAATGTGGTAAAACCCCATCTCTACTAAAAATACAAATTAGCCTGGCGAGGTGGCAGGTGCCTGTAATCCCAGCTACTCAGGAGGGTAAAGCAGGAGAATCACTCGAACCTGGGAGGCGGAGGTTGCAGTGAGCTGAGATCTCACTTGCCACTGCACTCCAGCCTGGGTGAGACAGTGAGACTCGGTAAAAAAAAAAAAGAATAATTATCATTGGCTGAGTGCTTTCTAGGTTTCTAGGTGCAAGCCTTCAATAGCCCCTGAAGTAGGCACTATTATTAGCATCCACCCCTATGGAAAGGAGCCACTCTCACGCTGGCTCAGAGGCAAATATCCCAGATATTCCCTGTTTCCCAAAGATGTGTCCCCACAACTGGTATGAGCAACACTTTCAAGTGGCAAAAAAAGTCACTTATTTGTTAAATTATATATTTTACTATATGTTAGAAAAACTATAGCTAGCCCATCCAACCAAGTATTTTATAGATGATACCACTTGGAGTGAGACCAAAGGAAATATTTAAGAAGAAAAAATGAGCCAGTAAAGGAAATATTAAGTAAACAGTAGTACAGGTTGTACATGGGTATAGCTTTAGAACAAATCTTGAAATTTGGGAAACACTGCATCATTTGACATAATTCTTAAGCAAGCCTCTGAAGTAGGCATTATTGTTAGCAACCCCATTTTACCAGCAGAGAAATTCAAGCTTAGAGAAATTAAGTCACATACTAGTAAACAGTGGAGCCAGGACATCAGTTGGTTCTTTCATTCTAAAGCCCATTTTGATAACCACCAAACTGTATTGACTTATGTTTATCCCAGCACCTAGCACATAATATTTATAAATATTTGTGGACTAAATGATGAAATCTAACTCCATGTGCATTTGATTACAATTTAATTACTTCTTTCCAGCCTACCAACAATCAACTTTGCAGGCTCTCAATAGAAGTGTACTGAATTTACAAATGAATTGCCTTCTGATTCTACACACACCATTTATTATACCTTCTCATGGTGCAGGTATTCCAGAAGCAGTGGTTCACAACCTTGCATTCACACTGAGATCACCTGGGAAGCTTTAAAATAACATTGATACCTGGGCCCCATCCTTGGAGATCCTCATTTCACTGTTCCAGGATCAAGCCTAGGAATTGGAAGTTGATCAAGCTCCCCAAGTGATATGGTTTGGCTGTGGCCCCACCCAAATCTCATCTTGAATTCCCACGTGTTGTGGGAGGGACCTGGTGGGAGGTAATTGAATCATGGTGGCAGGTCTTTCCTGTGGTGTTCTCATGATAGAGAATAAGTCTTATGAGATCTGATGGTTTTATAAGGGGGAGATTCTCTGCACAAGCCCTCTTCTCTTGTCTGCCACCATCCACATAAGATGTGAGTTGCTCCTCCTTGCCCTCTGCCATGATTGTGAGGCTTCCCCAGCCATGTGGAACTGCAAGTCCATTAAACCTCTTCCTTTTGTAAATGCCCAGTCTCAGGTATGTCCTTATCAGCAGTGTGAAAACAGACTAATACACCAAGTGACCCCAATGTGCAGCCAATGTCATGAACCACTTGCCTAGAAAGGGCAAATATACTACTAACCAAATGTCAAAGTGTATTTTTCATTGTAAGTTAATAAACTGACAATGTGGCTTTATTATCAATCTTTGTTAACAAGAGTCCGTCCCTATGGAGAGGACCCACTCTCACACTGGCTCAGATGCAAAGTGGATACCTCAGAATGGGCCTTCCAGTCCTTGCTCTGTGATCTACTATGGTGAAACCAAAGAGGGTGATGGCTAAGTAATTTAACAGAAGGAGACTGGGGAGTATGGGTTATACTCGGCTTAAGTAAGGACTGAATTCTAAAATAAGTGTTTCGTGTTTTCATATTTGGAGCCTTAAGTGAAGATGGGTATACAAAAGGAAGAGATTCCCAAGCACTATACACAAGCAAAGGACATACAACTTGATTTCCTCTCCACTTTCTTCTGTCCTTTTCTCTTCTTTCCCCTCACTTTCTCTCATTCCAATGGTGTTCCATTTGAGGTTTTAAACTGAAATGGAGGCCGGGCATGGTGGCTCATGCCTGTAATCCTGGCACTTTGGGAGGCCAAGGCATAAGGATCACCTGAAGTTGGTCAGGAGTTCAAGATCAACCTGGCCAACATGGTGAAACACCATCTCTACTAAAAATACAAAAAAATCGGCCAGGCAGAGTGGCACATGCCTATAATCCCAGCTACTCAGGAGGCTGAGGCAGGAGAATCATTTGAACCCAGGATGCGGAGGTTGCAGTGAGCCAAGATCTCACCATTGCACTCCAGCCTGGGTGACACAGTGAGACTCTGTCTCAAAAAATAAAATTAAAAAATTAAAAAATTAACTGAAATGGAAATCAAATTCTAGACACTTGATCTTTCTAGCCTAGCAACAGTCAACTTTGTAGGCTCTCAATAAAAGTTTATTGAATTCACATATGAACAAACTTCTGATTCTGCACACATCATTTAACCTCTGAGCCTAAATTTTTGCCTAGCTATAGGGAGATTTAAAAGCTAAGAGATGTGAAATGCTTTGTAAAATCTAAAGCCAGCAACTCACAAACTGGGAGAAAAATGTGTAAATCAAATATCTAATGAGAAACTAGCATCCATTATGTACAAAGAATTCCTACAGTCTGACAATAAAAAACAAATAGCCCAATTTAAAAACGAGCAAAAGATTTGAACAGACAATTCTCCAAAAAATATATGCCAATAGCCAAAAAGCACGTGAAAAGATGCCCAACAACATTAGTCATTAGGGAAATGCAAATCAAAATCACAATAACACTTCATGTCCCCTGGGATAGTTATAAATAAACAGAAAGACAATAACAAGTATTGGTGAGGGTGTAAGAAAATGGATCCCTCCTAAACTGCTGGTGGGAATGTAAAATGATTCAGCCACTTTGGAATACAGTTTGGCAGTTCCTCAAAAAGTTAAACAGAGCAACAGTATGACCTAACATCTTCCTCCCTAGGCATATAACCAAAAGAAATAAAAACATGGCCGGGCGCGGTGGCTCACGCCTGTAATCCCAGCACTTTGGGAGGCCGAGGCTGGCAGATCACGAGGTCAGGAGATCGAGACCATCCTGGCTAACACGGTGAAACCCCGTCTTTACTAAAAATACAAAAAATTAGCCGGGGTTGACGGCGGGCGCCTGTAGTCCCAGCCACTCGGGAGGCTGAGACAGGAGAATGGCGTGAACCCTGGAGGCAGAGCTTGCAGTGAGACGAGATCACGCCACTGCACTCCAGCCTGGGTGACAGAGCGAGACTCCATCTCAAAAAAAAAAAAAGAAAGAAATAAAAACATATATCTACACAAACACTTGTATACAAATGGTCCTGACAGCACTATTCACAATAGCCACAAAGTGGAAACTACCCAAATATCTGTCAACTGATGACTGGATAAACAAAAGATGGTATCACCATGCAATGGAATATTATTTGACCATAAAAAGGAGTGAACCACTTAAACATGCTAAGATGTGGATGAGCCTCAAAAACATTATGCTCAGTGAAAGAGTGCAGGTGCAAAAGGCCACATATTGTAAGATTCCATTTACATGAAATATGTAAGAGTATGTAAATCCATAGAGACGAAAGGTAGATTAGTGGGCTATGGAGATGGGGAAATAGGAAGTGATTTACTAGTGGGTACTGGGTACAGAGTTTCCTTCTTTCTTTTTTCTTGTATAGTCAGCGTATTTTATTTTAGTTACTTCAATAGGTGGTGTAGTGGATCCACTGTGGTTTTTGTTTTCAGATTTTATTTTTTTAGAGAAGTTTTAGGTTCACAGCAAAATTGAGAGGAAGGTACGAAGATGTCCCTTACATCCCCCGTCCCCACACATACATACCCTGCCCCATTATCACTATCCTCCACCAGGGTGGTACATTTGTTACAACTGATTAATTGAATGAAACATTATTATCTCTCAGCAATTTGGGAGGCTGAGCTGGGAGGATTGCTTGAGCCCAGGAGTTCAAAACCAGCCTGGGCAACATAGCAAGACACTGTCTCTACAAAAAAAATTTTTAAATTAACTGAGGCATGGTGGCACGCACCTGTAGTCCCAGCTACTCTGGTGGCTGAGATGGGAGGATCGCTTGAGCCTGGGAGGTCAAGACTGCAGTGAGCTATGATTGCATCACTGCACTCCAACCTGGGCAACAGAGCAGGAGCCTATCAAAAAAGAAAGGAAAGAGAGGGAAAGAACGAAGGAAGGAAAGAAGGAAGGAAGGAAGGAAGGAAGGAAGGAAGGAAGGAAGGAAGGAAGGAAGGAAAGAGAGAGGAAAGAGGAAGGAAGGAACGAAGGAAGGAAGGAAAAGAGAGAAGGAGAGAGGGAGAGGGAGAAAGAGAAAGACAGAGAGAAAAAAGAGAGAAAGGGAAAGAAGGGAGAGAAAGAGGAAGAAACATTATTATCACTCAAAATCCATGGTTTACATTCTTGGTATTATACATTCTGTGGGTTTGAACAGGTGTATAATGATATGTATCCACCAATATAGTATCATACAAAGTCTTTTCACTGCCCTAAAAATCCTCTGTGCTTTGCCTATTTATTCATTCTTTCGTTTCTCCAATCCCTGGCAACCACTGATATTTTTACTGTCTCCATAGTTTTACCTTTTCCAGAATGTCATATAGTTGGAATCAGTATGTAGTCTTTTCAGATTGGTGTCTTTCACTTAGGAATACGCATTTAAGTTTCCTCTGTGTTTTTTACATGACATGATACCTCGTTTCTTTTTAACAATGAATAATATTCCTTTGTCTGGATATACCATAATTTATTTATTCATGACCTGCTGAAGGACCTCTTGGTTTCTTACAAGTTTTGGCAGCTGTGAATAAAGCAGTTATAGACAGCCGTGTGCCGGTTTTTGTGTGGACATGTTTTCATTTTCTCTGGGTAAATACCAAGGAGTGTGATTATATTGTACGAATATGTTTACTTTTTTTTTTTTTTTTTTTTTGAGACGGAATCTCACCCTGTTGCTCAGGCTGGAATGCAGTGGCACGATCTCAGCTCACTGCAAGCTCCACCTCCCAGGGTCACGCCATTCTCCTGCCTCAGCCTCCTGAGTAGCTGGGACTACAGGCGCCCGCCACCACGCCTGGCTAATTTTTTTATATTTTTTAGTAGAGATGGGGTTTCACCATGTTAGCCAGGATGGTCTCGATCTCCTGACCTCGTGATCAGCCCGCCTCAGCCTCCCAAAGTGCTGGGATTACAGGCGTGAGCCACCGCGCCCGGCACCATTTTTTAATAAGAAAACACATAACTGTCTTCCAAAGTGGCTGTACCATTTTGCATTCCCACGAGCAATGAATGAAAGTTCCTGTTGCTCCACATCCTTGTCAGCACTTGATATTGTCAGTGTTCTGAATTTTGACCATCCTAATAGGTGTGTACAGAGTTTCTTTTTGGGGTGACAAAAATGTTCTGGAATTAGATAGTAGTGATGATTACACAACTTTGTAAATATACTAAAACTCACTGAATTGTACACTTTTCGAGAGTAAAATTTGTGGTATGTGAATTATACCTCAATTTTGAAAATATTTTTAGGAATGGGGTCTCACTCTGTCACCCAGGCTGGAGTGCAATGGCACAATCATAGCTCACTGTGACCTCGAACTCCTGGGCTCAAGGGATCTTCCCGCCTCGGCCTCCAAAATAGCTAGGACTACAAGTGCATGCCACTATACCCAGTTTGTTTGTTTTTGTAGAGATGAGATCTGGCTTTGTTGCCCAGGCTGGTCTTGAACTCCTGGCCTCAAGCAATCCTCCCAGCTCAGCCTCCCAGAACATTGGGATTACAGGCATGAGCCACTGTGCCTGGCCTCAATTTTTTTAATGTAAAAAAATTTCTAAAGCCAGTATATAAATGTGAAACATCATTTTAACTCAGGGTTTCTCAGTCCCAGGATTGTTGATATTTGGGGCTAGATAATTCTTTGTTGTCGAGGCTCTGCCCTGTGCATTGTAGTATCCCTGGCCTCCGCCCACTAGCACACACACCCCAGCCATGGCAACCGAAGATGTCTGTAAACATTGTCAAATATCTCTTGGAGGACAAAATCACCCTGGATTGAAAAGCACCTGCTATAACTGTATGATGTGAACATTCTCAATGAATTCATTAAATATACTTTAATTAAGCCAGCAGAGCTCACAAAACAACCAAAATACATTGCCCAGTTTTTAAATATTATGACAATTTTAACTGATTATTAGAACTTTCATTCTGATCCCATCACTTTCCCAGTGTTTTCTCCAAGTTTGAACAAATGATTTCCGATGGTTTTTCCCTCTTTGACCTGAGACAAAGCTTTTAACGAGAAAAGCTAAATTTTCAAAACTCAATTAAATGGTAATTAGCCTCCCTGCCATTTGATTTAGGCAATTTTTCTACGGTGTTTTGGTATGTTCATTAATTGTGTTTCTTCAAATGTTATAAGATATAAAAACATATCTCTAATCCTTCAGCCCACTGACTTCAGGAGTGTTTTGTAATTCCCAATCCATTTATAATGCAGGAAACTCAGGCACCTGATTCATACCAACTATTCTCTAAGGACAGCTTTAAAAAAATGTCATCAAATTCATACAGTGATCCGGGTCCCCACTCTGTATACTTAACATAATTGTTACTGATGTCTAATCTACTAGAAAGAGACTAGATGAATGTCAATCTCTCAAAATTGATGCAAAGCATATACTTATTGGAAACTGTGTCTCATGCCTTGGCTAAGCTCCAATAAGTCAAATATCTTGTCCTAGGAATATGATTAAACATGCCCTACATTGGATGGGCACGGTGCCTCACATCTGTAATCTCAGCACTTTGGAAGGCAAGGTGGGCAGATCACTCGAGGCAAGGAGCTTCAGACCAGCCTGGGCAACATGGCGAAACCCCATCTCTACAAAAAAAACACAAAATTTAGCCAGACGTGGTGGTGTGTGCCTGTAGTCCCAGCTGCTTGTGGGGCTGAGGTGAGGGTATTGCTTGAGCCCCAGAGGTGGAGGCTGCAGTGAGCTGCACTCCAGCCTGGGTGACAAAGCAAGACTTTGTCTAAAAAAAAATTTTTTTTAATTATATACATATATATGCCCTATATCTTTCATCTGGGCTTGTCTTAGGCCTGCATATAATAATAACTTTTTAATAAAATTGACTCTCAGTCAGGCATGGTAGCTCATGCTTATAATCCCAGCACTTTAGGAGGCCAGGACGGGTGGATCGCTTGAGGTGAGGAGTTCAAGACCAGCCTGGCCAACATGGGGAAACCCCGTCTTTACTAAAATACAAAAAAAAAAAAAAAAATTAGCTGTGTGTGGTGGCAGACGCCTATAATCCCAGCTACTCGGGAGGCTGAGGCAGGAGAATCACTCGAACCCAGGAGGCAGAGGTTGCAGGAAGCCAAGATTGTGCCACTGCACTCCAGCCTGGGTGACAGAGTGAGACTTCATCTCAAAAATAAATAAATTAATTAATTAATATAATTGACTCCTAACCTTTCCTGTCAATCTAATATTTATTTTTTAAGTCCCTCTCCTATGCCCACGCACTCGAGCTGCACGAGAGAATCCTTTTTTTCTTTTCTTTTCTTTTTTTTTTTTTAAGAGACAGGATCTCACTATGTTGCCCAAGCTGGTGTCAAACTCCTGAGCTCAAGTGATCCTCCCACCTCATTCTCCCAAAGTGTTAGGATTACAGGCATGCGCCACCTCGCCCAGCCAAGAGCAAGAATCATGCCTGTCTTGGTGCAGGCGACAATCCTCAATATCTTACACAGTGCCTGGCCTTTGGTAGTCTCTCAATAAATTTGTATTCTCTGAATTAATGTGTGACTAAATGAATCAATGCACCTATAAGTCAATAAAGTGCTAGATATAAAGGTCAGGTGTAAAAGACACCCTGCTTTAAGTTTTCATATAAGAATGTTGTGACTGTTGATGGGTTTGAATCGGAACATGGAATAAATATCTAGAAGCAGTCATCCTGGGGAAGAACAAAAAAACACAGGAAGACATCAGTAAAAGCCCTTCAAGAGATGAGCAGAAGCCAGGCACGGTGGCTCACACCTGTAATCCCAGCACTTTGGGAAGCCAAGGTGGGCGGATCACTTGAGACCAGCCCGGCCAACATGGTGAAACCCTGTCTCCACTAAAAATACAAAAATTAGCTGGGCATGTTGGTGGGCACTTGTAATCCGAGCTACTCAGGAGGCTGAGGCAGGAGAATCGCTTGAATCTGCGAGGCAGAGGTTGCCCTGAGCCAAGATCACCCCACTACACTCCAGCCTGGGCAACAGAGTGAGACTCCGTCCCCAAAAAAAAGAAGAAAAAAAAAAGAGAGAGATGAATAGAAAATACAGGGATTAAAGTAACTGGACTATTTATTTAGTAGGAAGAATAGGAAGACTTTGTAAGACTTCAATCATTCATTTCTCCATTCACTCACTCAACAAACATTTATTGGATGCCTACTATTTGCTGACACTGTTTTTTGGTGTTGGAAAGACAGCAGGAGATAAACTGTACAAACATCTCTGGCCTGTGGAGCTCATGTTCCAGTGGGTGGAGACAGACAGCAAGCAAGATTAAGAAGTAAAATAGCCTGTGATTTCAGTATTTTGGGAGGTCGAGGCAGGTGGATCACTTGAGGTCAGGAGTTCGAGACCAGCCCGGGCAACATGGTGAAACCCCATCTCTACCAAAAATACAAAAAATTAGCTGGGCATGGTGGCGTGCACCTGTGGTCCCAGCTACTTGAGAGGCTGAGGTGGGAGGAGTGCTTGAGCTTGGGAGGCGAAGGTTGCAGTGAGCTGAGATTGCACCATTGCACTCCAGCATGCGGGACAGACTGAGACCCTGTTGCAAAAAAAAATAAAAACTAAATAGAGGTAAAATATGTTATGGGGGGAAAAGTGAACCAGGAGAAAGGCTCCTGGAGTACAGGGGAGGGTTGCAATCTTAAACAAAGTGGTCAGGAGCAGCTTGATGGAGTAAAGACCCCAAATGTGGGAAAAAGCCATGCAGGTAACTGGGGTAGAGTGGGATCAGCAAGGACAAAGGTCACGAGGTGGGAAGGAGGCTGATGTACTCAAGAAACAGTAAGGAGGTGGGTGTATTTCCTTCCTATAGCTGCTGTAACAAATGACCATGCATTTAGTGGCTTAAAACAACACAGTTTTTTTGTTTTGTTTGTTTGTTTGTTTGTTTTGTTTTTGAGACGGAGTTTCACTCTTGTCGCCCAGGCTGGAGTGCAATGAATGGCACGATGTTGGCTCACCTCTGCCTCCGGGGTTCAAGCGATTCTCCTGCATCATCCTCCCGAGTAGCTGGGATTACAGGCACGCGTCACCACGCCCAGCCAATTTTGCATTTTTAGTAGAGACAGGGTTTCTCCATATCGGTCAAGCTGGTCTCAAACTCCCGACCTCAGGTGATCCGCCTGCCTCAGCCTCCCAAAGTGCTGGGATTATAGGCATGAGCCATGGCACATGGCCTTGTGGGGTTTTTTTTTTTTTTGAGACAAGGTCTCACATTGACACTGAGGCTGGAGTGCAGTGACAAAATCATAGTGCATGCCACCATGCCCAGCTAATTTTTTTCCTGTAGCGATGTAGCAGGACGAGCAGCAGACAAAACTCCTCAGACACCAGGTTAAAGAAGGAAGGAGCTTTATTCTGCCGGGAGCTTCAGCAGACTTGCATCTCAAAAAGCCCAGCTCCCCGAGCTTACAACTCAAGGGTGGTTCGCGTGAGAAGGCTGTGATCGATTGAGCAAGCAGGGGGTATGTGGCTGGGGGATGCATGCGCTGGTAATTAGAACAGAACAGAACAAGACAGGGATTTTCACAATGCTTTTCCATACAATGTCTGGAATCTATAGATAACACAAGCAGTTAGATCAGGGGTTGATTTTTAACTACTAGGCCCAGGGCATGCAGGGCTATCTGCCTGTGGATTTCATTTCTGCCTTTTAGTTTTTACTTCTTCTTTCTTTGGAGGCAGAAATTGGGCATAAGACAGTATGAGGGGTGGTCTCCTCCCTTAGAGACAGGGTCTTGCTATGTTTCCCAGGCTGATCTTGAACTCCTGGCTTCATGTAATCCTCCTGCCTTGGCCTCCCAAAGTGCCGGGATTACAGGCATGAGCCACCACGCCCAGCCTATAAGAATACAAATTTCTTCTCTTATGGTGCTAGAGGTCAAAAGACCAACACAGGTATCACATACTAAGATCAAAGTATTGGAGTCTCTGAGAGAAAATCCTTATCCTTGCCCTTTTCAGCTTTTAGAAGCCACCTACGTTCTTTGATTCATGGCTTCATTTGCCATCTTCAAAGCGAATAATGTAGCAAATAGAGCATCTTGATTCTCTCCTTCTCTCCCGTTCCCTCTCTCTTTCTGACCCCTTTATTTGTCACATTCTTATTTCCTTATCTTTCTGGGCTTCCTCTTTTCTTCTTTCTTAAAAATATTTTTTATTTTATTTATTTTATTTTTTTTCTGAGAATCTCACTCTGTCACCCAGGCTGGAGTGCAGTGGCACTATGTCAGCTCACTGCAACCTCTGCCTACTGGGTTCAAGCAATTCTTATGCCTCAGCCTCCCAAGTAGCTGTGATTACAGGCATGCGTCACCACACCCAGCTAATTTTTTGTATTTTTAGTAGAGATGATTGACCAGGCTGGTCTCGAACTCCTGACCTCAAGTAATCCACCGGCCTCAGCTTCCCAAAGTGCTGGGATTAAAGGCGTGAGCCACTGCACCCAGTCCCTCCTTCCCTCTTATAAAGACTCTTGTATCTCATCTTGGATAATCCCGAATAACTCCCCCATCTCAAGATTTTAAATTTAATCACATTTGAAAAATCCCTTTTGTTATAAGGTAATATACCCTTGGGTTCTAGGGAATGGAATGTTGACATCTTTGAAGCACTAATATTGGGCCTACTGGAAAGGTTGAAGAAAAGTTAGTGCAGGCAAGAATAGGTAGGTGAGGTCAAAGACTTTCCTTTTTTTTTTTTTTTGAGATGGAGTCTCGCTCTGTCGCCCAGGCTGGAGTGCAGTGGCACGATCTCGGCTCACTGCAAGCTCTGCCTCCCAGGTTCACACCATTCTCCTGCCTCAGCCTCCCAAGTAGCTGGGACTACAGGCGCCCGCCACCACACCTGGCTAATTTTTTGTATTTTTTAATAGAGACGAGGTTTCACCATGTTAGCCAGGATGGTCTCGATCTCCTGACCTCGTGATCCGCCCACCTCAGCCTCCCAAAGTGCTGGGATTATAGGCATGAGCCACCGTGCCCAGCCTTAAAGACATTCCTTTTTAATGACTAAACGCTTATCCATTACAAAGAATTATGTTTGCAGTTTCATTCTTTAAGACTAACTGGATTGGCCTTTTCCATGATAAATAATATTGGGTTGCACTTTTCTACTCCTTTTGCTTTTAGACTGCTTTTGTAATGTTTTCTCTATTTTTCAACTTCTAATAAAGTGAAAACACTTGGAGAGGCTGACTGCAAGATGCATTAGTTCAGCTTTCCGTGTGAGAAAGATCTACAGAACCCAAAGATTTCTATTTGGGGCATGTATATATTGGCAAAAACACTGTCCAGCCTTGCATAGCTCTTTGCTTAAATTAATTTTTTTTTTGAGACAGGGTCTCACTCTGCTGCCCAGGCTGGAGTGCAATGGTGCAACCTCAGCTCACTGCAACCTCCAACTCCCAGGTTCAAGTGATCCTCCTGCCTCAGCCTCCTGAGTAGCTGGGACCACAGGCGCGCACCACCATGCCCGGCTAATTT
The DNA here is from genome assembly GCF_000001405.40 of Homo sapiens. Lineage (NCBI taxonomy): Eukaryota > Metazoa > Chordata > Mammalia > Primates > Hominidae > Homo > Homo sapiens. The sequence goes on from NC_000012.12 coordinate 119,891,564, forward strand.
TTGCATTTTACTAGAGAGGGCCACCATGTTGGCCAGGCTGGTCTCAAACTTCTGACCTCAGGTGATCTGCTGATCTGGGCCTCCCAAAATTCTGGAATTAGAAGTGTGAGCCACTGCACCGGGCCCATCTTAACTTTTTTTTTTTTTTTTTTTTTTTGAGACGGAGTTTCACTCTTGTTGCCCAGGCTGGAGTGTAATGGCGAGATCTCGGCTCACTATAACCTCCACCTCTGGGTTCAAGTGATTCTCCTGCCTCAGCCTCCCAAGTAGCTGGGATTATAGGCGCCTGCCACCACACCTGGCTAATTTTTGTATTTTTTAGTAGAGATGGGGTTTTGCTATGTTGCCCAGGCTGGTCTTGAACTCCTGACTTCAGGTGATCCGCTGACATCAGCCCCTCAAAGTTCTGGGATTACAAGTGTGAGCCACCACTCTCGGCCCATCTTAACCCTTTTTTTTTTTTTTTTTTTTGAGACGGAGTCTTGCTCTGTTGCCCAGGCTGGAGTGCAGTGGCACAATCTCGGCTCACTGCAACCTCCACCTCCCAGGTTCAAGCAATCCTCCTACCTCAGCCCCCCTAGTAGCTGGGATTACAGGCATGCGCCACCATGCCCGGCTAATTTTTGTATTTTTAGTAGAGACGGGTTTTGGCCATGTTGGCCAGGCTGATCTCAAACTCCTGACCTCAGGTCCTCCACCTGCCTCGGCCTCCCAAAGTGCTGGGATTATGGGTGTGAGCCAACACGCCATGCCATCTTAACCATTTTTAAGCGTACAGTTCAGTGGTAGTAAATGCGTTCACATGGTTGTGCAAACATCACCACCATCCATACACGGAACTCTTTTCATCCTGCAAAACTAAAACTCCATCCCCATTAAACACAAACTCCCCATTCTCCACTCCCCCAAAGCCCTGGAAACCACCATTCTACTTTCTGTCTCTGAAATTTTGACTACTCTAGATATCTCATATAAGTGGAATCATATAATATTTGTTCTTCTGTGACTGGTTTGTTTCCCTTAACACAAGTTCATCCATGTTGTAGCATGTGTCAGAATTTCCTTCCTTTTTAAGACTGAATAATAGTCTATTGTATGGATAGACCACATTTTGTTTATCCATTCATCTGTTTTGGGAAGGGGGTTGTTTGTTTGCTTTGAGAAAGGGTGTTGCTCTGTCACCCAGGCTGGAGTGCAGGGGTGTGATCAGGGCTCACTGCAAGCTCCAACTCTTGGGCTCAAGCAATTCTCCCACCTCAGCCTCCTGAGTAGCTGGAATGGCAGGCATGCACCACGACATCATTTTGTTTGTTTGTTTTTTGTTTTTGAGACAAGGTCTCATTCTGTTGCCCAGGCTGGAGGGCAGTGGTGTGATCTTGGCTCACTGAAACCTCCACCTCCCAGGTTCAAGCAATTCTCATGCCTCAGCCTCCCAAGTAGCTGGGATTACAGGTGTGCACTACTATGCCCAGCTAATTTTTGTATTTTTAGTAGAGATGGGGGTTTCACCATGTTGGCGAGGCTGGTCTCAAGCTCCTGACCTCAGGTGATCCACCCGCCTCGGCCTCCCAAAGTGCTGGGATTATAGGCAAGAGCCACTGTGCCCGGCCCCCATTCATCTGTTGATGAGCACTTGGGTTTACTTCTACCTTTTGGCTATTGTGAATAATATGTACAAATATCTCTTTGAATCCCTGATTTCAATTATTTTGGATATATCTCCCGAAGTGGAATTGCTGGATCATAAGGAAATTCTATTTTGAGTTATTTAAGGAACCACCATTCTGTTTCCCACAGTAGCTGCATCATTTTACATTCCCAGCAATGCACCAGGGCTCCGATTTCTCTACATCCTCGTCAACACTTGTTGTTTTCTGTTTGGCAGTAGGCGTCCTAATGGGTGGGAAGTGGCATCTCCTTGCATAGTTCTTCGAAGCTGTCACATCAGCTCTTTACTTCCCACATATTACGTAAAGGGAGAATGCCAGCATATGCCCTCCATAGCCTTAATTCTGAACTCCTGACTTCCATTTCCTGGTCCACCCCGGGAGAACTGGACAGAAACTGAAGGAGTCATGATGTTCTCCAAAATGAAGCACAAGGAAATAGGTTTAAGCCAGCTGATTCCCAAGCTAGGCTAGGAGACTTTACAGATGATCAAATTTCCAAATGTATGTGTGTGTGTGTGTCTCTGTGTGTGTGTGTGTGTGTGTGTGTGTGAGACTGACATAGGATTTCAACAACTTATTTTGCAAAATAAGAATATTTTTTAAAATGTTTAATGTTATTTTATAATATTTTTGTTTTATAATATTTTATTCTGCTTTATTTAAAGACAGAGCCTCGCTATATTGTCCAGGCTGGAGTATGGTGGCTATCCACAGGAATGATCACAGCTCACTGCAGCCTTGAACCCCTGGGCAATCCTCCTGCCTCAGCCTCCCTAGTAGCTGGGACTACAGATGCATGTCACAGCACCTGGTTCTATTATTTTATTTTATTTAAAAATAATATGTATTTTAATATTTCTAAATGTTCAAATAATTTTAAAAGAGCATCTGTTATCATGACTTCATAAAAGCAATGAAATTAAAATGACAGAAAAACTGAGACTATATTATTCAGGATTCTCCAGAGATGCAGAGATGCAGAACTAATCAAAGATATATACATGCATACATACACATCTATTATACATACACACCCATATATACACACATACATATGCACACACACACATACATATCCATATACTTACACACATATATACACACATACACACATATATAATACACATATGTATACACACATGCACACACGCATACACATAACCACATATATACACACATACACATATGCACACATATATGCCCATATATAATACACACATATACACACATACACACATATACAGAAACACATATACACACGTATACACATGAATACACATATACATATGTATATACATACACACGTGTATACACATATTTATACATACATATATACACAAATATACACACATATATATGCTTACACGATATATACATACATATATACACATACATATATATACATACCAACATCTGTACATATATATACATACACACATATACACACATATATACATACACACACATATATACACACACACAATATACATACACACCTAGATACACACACACCTATATACACACACACACACATCTCTGAAGCTGGCAGACCTGGGTTTAACTTCTAGCTATGCCCCTTATTACCTGTGTGTAGGCAAATTATGTAACCTCTTTTTTGTCTCCATTTCGTCATCTATAAAATAAGATCACAACACCTACCTCCCTGGGCTGTTGTAAGAAATATGTTACATAATTTGCCTCCGACCTGGGTTTCTTCCAGGGGTCTTTATCTTAGAAAATGTCCATCTGGAAGTATACAAACCTGAAGCTAGGCAATGAAGCTGTAAAAGTTTTTCTGGGGAAGTGCTCTCTGAGCTGATATCAGAAGGAAAGGTGGGAGTTAACCAGGGAAAGAGTGGGAGAAAATATTCCAGGCAGAGGGAACAGCACATTCAAAGACCCAGCAGTGAAAAGGAGCCCTGACAGGAAGATGTTGGTCAAAAGGTACAAAGTTTCACTTGATAGGATGAATCAATTCAGGAGAGCTATTGTACTGCATGGTGACTCTAGTTAATAACAATGTACTGTGTGCTTGAAATTGGCTAAAAAATAGATGTTGGCTAGGCTTGGTGGCTCATGCCTGTAATCCCATTGCTTTGGGAGGCCAAGGGCAGGAGTTTGAGACCAGCCTGGTCCATCCTGGTGAAACCCCATCTCTATGAAAAATACAAAAATGAGCCAGGCATGGTGGTGGGCACCTGTAATCCCGGCTACTTGGGAGGCTGAGGCAGGAGAATCGCTTGAACCCGGGAGTTGGAGGTTGCAGTGAGCTGAGATCGTGCCACTGCACTCCAGCCTGGGTGACAGAGTGAGACTCTGCCTCAAAAAAAAAAAAAAAAAGTAGATGTTAAATGTTCTCACTACAAATAAAGGTGAGGTGATGAATATGTTAATTAGTTTGATTTAATCATTTCACATGTATACGTACATCAAAACCTCATGTTGCACACTGTAAATGTACACAATGTGTATTTGTTGATTATACCTTAATAAAGGTGGAGGAGGAAGGGCAAGAGAGCCTTGAGTATCAAATTGAAAGAAAGCAGTGTCCCTAAAGCTCTGAACACAGTGAGGGATGAAGATGAGGGCTTAGTTGAATACTTTGGTTTTGAAATGCGTGTCCACTTCTAATGGCTGCTATAACAATTTTTCAGCAACGTGGTGGCTAAAAGCAAACAAAATTTATTCCCTCACAGTTCTAGAGGCTAGGAATATGAAATCACTATTGCTGGACTGAAATCAGCGTGTCAGCAGGGGATACACTCCCTCGGGAGCCTCTAGCAGGAGAATCTTTGCCTTTCCTCACTTAGCTTCTGGTAGCTGCCAGCATTCCTTGGCTTGTGGCTGTTTCACTCCAATCTTCAAGCCTAGCATCTTTAAGTCTCCCTCTGCTCTGTCTTCATGTCACCTTCTCTGTATGTTGTCCGATCTCCCTCTGCCTCCCTCTTAAAAGAATATATGTGACTGGGCGCGGTGGTTCACGCCTTTAATCCTGCACTTTGGAAGGATCACTTGAGCCCAGGAGTTTGAGACCAGCCTGAGCAACACAGTGAGACCTTGTCTACAAAAAAATCAAAAAATTAGCTGGGCTTGGTGGTGCATACTGTGGTCCCAGCTACTTAGTAGGCTGAGGTGGGAGGATTGCTTGAGCCCAGAAGGTGGAGGCTGCAGTGAGCCACAATTGCACCACTGCACTCCTGCCTGGATGGCTGAGCAAGGCTCTGTCCCAAAAAAAGAAAAAAAAAAATGCTTGATAGAATCCAGAACAATCTCTCCATCTCAAGACCCTTCTTTTTTATTTTTTTTTTTGAGACAGTCTTGCTCGTTGCCCAGGCTGGAATGCAGTGGTGAGATCTCAGCTCATTGTAACCTCTGCCTCCCAGGTTCAAGTCATTCTCCTGCCTCAGCCTCCTAAATAGCTGGGATTACAGGCACCTGCCACCACGCCCAGCTAATTTTTGTATTTTTAAAAGAGACAGGGTTTTGCCCTGTTGGCTAGGATTGTCTTGAACTCCTTACCTTAGGTGAGCCACCTGCCTCGGCCTCCCAAAGTGTGGGGATTACAGGCACGAGCCACTGCACCTGGCCATCTCAAGATCCTTAATCACATCTTCAAAGCTTTTCCTTCCTTTTTTTTTGGAGATGGAGTCTGGCCTTGTCACTCAGTCTGGAGTGCAGTGGCATGATCAAGGTTCACTGCAACTTCCGCTTCCCGGGTTCAAGCCATTCTCCTGCCTCAGCCTCCTGAATAGGTGGGACTATAGGCGCGCACCGCCACGCCCGGCTAATTTTTTGTATTTTTTAGTAGAGACGGGTTTCACCGTGTTGCCCAGATTGGTCTCGGACTCCTGAGCTCAGGTAATCCACCCGGCTCGGCCTCCCGGAGTGTTAGGATTATAGGCGTAAACCACCGCACCCGGCCATTCAAAGAGCCTTTTTCTAAATAAGGTAACATTTACAGGGATTAGGACATGGCCATCCTTTGAGGGACTATTCTGCAGCCTACCACAAAAAAATGCATTTTATAATCAAGGCCTGGCATACAGAGAGCATTGAATAAATATTGGCTACTAGTATCATTACCAATGTCAAAATCATTACTATCTAAGATATCTTGTTTGCCTTTTCACCTTAACTCCATGCAACTAGACTTGAGCAAAATTTTAGGGATTAGTCATCCGCTTTTTCATTTATTTACTTATTTTTGGGCAATATGTACATTTACATAGTTCAAACTCAAAAGGCACATCCAAAGAGAATATCTCCCTCCAGACTACCATTTCCTCTTCATGGAGGTATCAATGAACGACTTTTATGTGATTCCTCCCAGAATTACATTCCATAGAAAAACCACATATTTGACCAGGCGCAGTGTCTCATGCCTGTAATCCCAGCACTTTGAGAGGCCGAGGAGGGAGGACTGCTTGAGTCTAGGAGTTTGAGACCAGCCTGGGCAATATACCAAGACCTCATCTCTACTAAAAATAAAAAAAATTACCAGACGTATTGGTTTTCGCCTATAATCCCAGCTACTCAGGAGGCTGAGTCAGGAGAATCGCTTGAACCTAGGAGGCAGAAGTTTCAGTGAGCCGAGATTGCACCATTGCACCCCAGCCTGAGTGACAAGAGCAAAACTCTGTCTCAAAAAAAAAAAAAAAATAACATAATGAAATCCTGTCTCTACTAAAAATACAAAAATTAGCCAGGCATGGTGGCGTGTGCCTGTAGACCCAGCTACTCAGCAGGCTGAGGTGGAGGAGGATCACTTGAGCCAAGAGTTGGAGTCTGCAGTGAGCTGTGATCATGCCATTGCACTTCAACCTGGGCGACAGAGTGAGACCCTGACTAAAAAAAAAAATATATATATATATATATATATGGCAACTCTATTACTACATAAAGAGCTTCTAGCTTTCTTCCTGCTTTATTTCCTTCTTTTTTTGGGGGGGGCGGGGGGGTCAGAGTCTCTCTCTGTCACCCAGGCTGGAGTGCAGAGGCATGATCATGGCTCACTGCGACTTCCTGAGCTCAGGCAATCCACCCACCTTAGCCTCCTGAGTAGCTGGGACTTCAGGCACCTGCCACGACAACCAAATAATTTTTGTGTTTTTTTGTAGAGGCGTGGTCTTGCTATGTTACCCAGGCTAGTCTTGAACCCCTGGGCTCAAGCGATCCTCCTGCCTCAGCCTCTGATAGTGCTACAATTTATTTATCTTTTATAGCTGCATAGTATTCCATGGAATGGTTGTATCAAACTTTATTTAATCAGCCTAAAAATGATGGGCATTTAGGTTGTCTCTAATGTATCGCTACATCAAACAATGCTGCAAAGAGTGACTTTTATGTATGTTTCACACGTGCAAGTTTATCTGTATGATAATTTTTTTTATTATACTTTAAGTTTTAGGGTACATGTGCACAATGTGCAGGTTAGTTACATATGTATACATGTGCCATGTTGGTGTGCTGCACCCATTAACTCATCATTTAGCATTAGGTGTATCTCCTAATGCTATCCCTCCCCCCTCCACCCACCCCCACAACAGGCCCCGGTGTGTGATGTTCCCCTTCCTGTGTCCATGTGTTCTCATTGTTCAATTCCCACCAATGAGTGAGAACATGTGGTGTTTGGTTTTTTGTCCTTGCAATAGTTTGCTGAGAATGATGGTTTCCAGCTTCATCCATGTCCCTACAAAGGACATGAACTCATCATTTTTTATGGCTGCATAGTATTCCATGGTGTATATGTGCCACATTTTCTTAATCCAGTCTATCATTGTTGGACATTTGGGTTGGTTCCAACTCTTTGCTATTGTGAATAGTGCCGCAATAAACATACGTGTGCATGTGTCTTTATAGCAGCATGATTTATAATCCTTTGGGTATATACCCAGTAATAGGATGGCTGGGTTGAATGGTATTTAAAAAGTCAGGAAACAACAGGTGCTGGAGAGGATGCGGAGAAATAGGAACACTTTTACACTGTTGGTGGGACTGTAAACTAGTTCAACCATTGTGGAAGTCAGTGTGGCGATTCCTCAGGGATCTAGAACTAGAAATACCATTAGACCCTGTATGATAAATTTTTAAGTGCAATTTCGCTGGGTCAGATGTTCTCTTCAGCATAGTTTGGTAGATGAAAATGCCCTCCAGAGGGGCAGTACTAGTTTATAGCCCTACTAGAGTTGTACAAAGCTGCCTTTTATTCATCTTTACTGATGCAGCATGTTATTTAAATGTGTTGTCTATGCTATGTGATAGATGAAAAAAATGCTATCTCAGTATAGTTTTAGTTGAGCATCTTTTCATGTATTTAAAAGCCATTTGTATTTCTTTTCTCTTTGTTTTTGATTGTTTTGATTGTTTGTTTGTTTTTCAAGACAGGGTCTCAGTCTGTCACCCAGGCAGGAATGCAGTGGCACCATCTCAGTTTACTGCAGCCTCAACTTCCCACGCTCAGGTGATCCTCATGCCTCAGCCTCCCGAGTAGCTTGAACTACCAGCATGCACCATCATGGCCGGCTAAATTTTGTACTTTTTGTAGAGATGGAGTTTCACCATATTGCCCAGGCTGGTCTCAAACTCCTGGCTCAAGCGATCTGCCCACCTTGGTGTATTTTGATTATAGGCTTTTACATCCAACTGCAAGTTAGCTAATAAAATGTCAGGAGCAGCTTTCTTAGCCAAGAACAAATATCAGAGGGCATAGCTTTATTAATATTTTTTTCTTTTTTTTTTTTTTTTTAGATGGAGTCTTACTTGTTGCCCAGGCTGGAGAGCAGCGGCGCGATCTCGGCTCACTGCAACCTCCACCACCCAGGTTCAAGTGATTCTCCTGCCTCAGCCTCCCAAGTAGCTGGGATTACAGACACATGGCACCACACCTGGCTAACTTTTGTTTTTTGTTTGTTTGTTTTGTTTGTTTGTTTGTTTTGAGACGGAGTCTCTCTCTGTCGCCCAGGCTGGAGTGCAGTGGCACGATCTTGGCTCACTGCAAGCTCCGCCTCCCAGGTTCACGCCCATTCTCCTGCCTCAGCCTCCTGAGTAGCTGGGACTACAGGTGCCGGCCTAATTTTTTGTGTTTTTAGTAGAGACGGGGTTTCACCATGTTAGCCAGGATAGTCTCGATCTCCTGACCTCGTGATCCACCCGCCTCAGCCTCCCAAAGTGCTGGGATTACAGGCGTGAGCCACCGCGCCGGGCCTGTATTTTTTTTTTCAGTAGAGACGGAGTTTCACCATGTTGGCCAGCTATTTATTTATTTTTATTGTGGTAAAATATACACAGCATAATTTTTTCATTTAACTATTCTTTATTTTTTTACTTTTATTTTTGAGACGGAGTCTCGCTCTGTCACCCAGGCTGGAGTGCAGTGGCGCGACCTCGGCTCACTGCAACCTCCGCCTCCCGGGTTCAAGCGATTCTCCTGCCTCAGCCTCCCGAGTGGCTGGGATTACAGGCCGGCGCCACCACACCCAGCTAATTTTTGTATTTTTTGTATAGACATTAGTTTTGCCAGGCTGGTCTGGAACTCTGACTTCAGATGATCTGCCAGCCTCGGCCTCCCAAAGTGCTGGGATTACAGGCGTGAGCCACTGTGCCTGGCCTATTTAACTATTCTTTAGCATACAGTTCAGTAGCATTAAGTACATTCATAACGTGCAATGAATCATGATCACTGCCTATTTTCAGAACTTTGTCATCATCCCAAACAAACTCTGTACCTATTAAACTACATCTTTTCATTTTCCCTCGGCAACATCCGTTCTGCTTTCTGTTTTTTTGTTGTTGTTGTTGTTGTTTTTGTTTGTTTTTTAAACTGAGTCTCCCTCTCACTCTGTCACCCAGGATGGAGTGCAATGTCACAATCTTGGCTCACTGCAACCTGTAACTCCTGGGTTCAAGTGATTCTCCTGCCTCAGCCTCCCAAGTAGCTGGGATTATAGGCGTGCACCAGCACCCCTGGCTAATTTTTGTATTTTTAGTAGAGACAGGGTTTCACCATGTTGGCCAGGCTGGTCTCGAACTCCTGACCTCAAGTGATCTGCCCGCCTCGGCCTCCCAAAGTGCTGAGATTACAGTCGTGAGCCACCGCACCCAGCCTCTGCTTTCTTAACCTCTATTCTACTTTCTGTATCTATGAATTTGCCCATTTTAGGCACCTCATATAAGTGGAATGATATCATACAGCAGCCCTTCGTGCCTGGCTGATTTCGCTTAGCATGTTTTCAAGGTTCATCCATGTTGTAACATGTATTAGGACTTCATTCCATGTATGACTGAATAATATTCCATTGCATGTATATGCCACATGTTGTTTATCCATTCATCTGTTCATAAACACGTGGGTTGCTTCTGTTTTCTGAAAGAATGTTGGTGTACAAATATCTGAGTCCCTGCTTTCCATTCTTTGGGGTATATTTACATACGTAGGAGTGGATCATACGTCACTTCTGTTTCCTTTTTGAAGAACCACCAAACTGTTTCTCAAAGTGGCTGCACCATTTGAAATTCCCACCACTAACGAATCAGGGCTTCAAATTCTCCACACTCTAACCAACACTTAAATTATTTTCCATTTTATATATATATAAAACAATAAATATAAATAATATATAATATAATTACATTATATAATAATATATTATAAATTATATATTTTATATATTATAAATAATATATATTTTTCCATTTAATATCTATATTATATTATATATAATAGCCATCCTAATAGGGATGAAGTGGCATTTCATTGTGTCTTTTTAATTTCCTTGTTTAGCAATGTAAATTTTTCCTATGGAATGTAAGCAATTTTCTAGATCACATTCATTCCACACTACCTAATGAGCACCTGTACTTCTCTTCCAAATAGCCTTTTTAGAGTCCTGCCCTGGAAATTACTTCCGTTAGTTGCTTCCTTATCTTTAAACCATCTAAAGCACCATTGCTTGGTTTAGCATTTTACCTCCTCGAAGCAGAAGCGCTATCTAGTGGCCCAATAGAGTAGCTGCAGGGGCAGCCCCCATTTTCACTAGTGCCTGTCTTAGTAACAAGGTCCTTGATATGCTTTATCTGGTGCTGCTGATCTGGCAGTGCCATGAAAGTCGACATCCAAGTCTGACTCAGAGAGGGATGTCTCTACAAAGATGAGATAGATGGGCTTTCGCCCCAAATGACAATGTCTTCTCTGGTCTTAATTGCACCATTCCTAAAACAGGGATGATAGAAATACAGTTGACATTGTAAAAGCAACTGGTTAAATATTATGTCCAAAAAAACCCCCAATTTATTATTTTTCCAGTCTCTTCCTTCAACCATTCTCTATGGAACCTTCCTTTTCCACCCTTAAGAGACATCCCTAGCAAACGCTGTGGCTTTCATGTCCTCAACTTTCCCAAAGTGCCCCCACCCCACCCCCTTTATTTGAGATACGATCTTGCTCTGTTGCCCAAGTTGGAATGCAGCAGTGTGATCACAGCTCACTGCAGCCTCGACCTCCCAAAGCTCAAACAATTCTCTCCTCTCAGCCTCCCGAGTAGCTGGGACTACAGGCACACGCCACCACTCCTAGCTAATTTTTAAATATTTTTTGTAGAGGTGGGATCTCCCTTTGTTATCCAGGCTGATCTAGAACTCCTGGGTTCAAGCGATCCTCCTGCCTTGGCCTCCCAAAGTGCTGGGATTACAGGCATGAGCCATTGCCCCAGCCCCAAAGGCTCTGATAGTGTGTCTGATGCATCATCTCCTACTCCCCTCCCCGATAAGCCCAGCTTTGGAGTGGGGGGAAAGAATGATCTGTGGGGAGTGGTCTGCTCTCACATGCTTGCCCCACCCTCCTTCGTTCAAAGCTCCTCTGATGCTTGGGGCAGAGACTAGAAATAAAGGAAAAGGGCCACACCTTGTACAATTTTCTGACATAGGAAATGGACTCTTGCTTGGACTTTTCCAATTACCCTTCTCTCAGCTAAGCTCCAGGGAGTCCACTTAATTCATTCTTGTCCCACCCAACATCAGGAGTTCAAGCTTTCTCATTTCGCCTCCTCTCTCTGTCTCTCTACCCCTGTACCCCAACCATCTGCCTCCCGTTTTTCTCCCTTTCCTCAGAGATTACACGTATAAGAAAAAGGAGTATCACTCTTAGAAAAGGAGATCACAGCCCGGGAAGGCTGAGGCAGGAGGATTGCCTGAGTCCAGGAGTTGGAGACCAGCCTGTGCAACAAAGTGAGACCATCTACCCGACCCCACCTTCTCTACAAAAAAATTAAGAATTAGCCAGGTGGGGTGGCGTGCACTTGTAGACCAGGCATTCCAAATGATAGCCCAATATAAGATGAATGCACATACACACAAAATCAATAGCTTTCCATTACACTAGTAACAACCATTGAGCTAATGTTAAAGAGAAATTATTCTCCTCCAGTAACAACAAACTATCCAGTTCCTAGAAATCAACACAATAAGAAAAGGGCAAGGGGTTCATAAAGAAAACCGCAAAGCTTGACTACAGACTTACAAACAAGGCCTGAGTAAGAAAAGACAGGGATGATCTGTTCCTAAATAAGAAGTGCCAATGTTGTAAGATTCCTTTTCTTCCCAATTTAACATAAAAAGGAAAAGCAGAATAAATAAATGGTGGTGTATCCATACAGTGCAGTTCTACTCAACATTAAGAAGGTATGTGCGGCCAGGCACGGTGGCTCATGCCTGTAATCCTAGCACTTTGGGAGGCCAAGGCAGGCGGATCACCCGAGATTAGGAGTTCGAGACCAGCCTGGCCAACATGGTGAAGCCCCATCTCTACTAAAAATACAAAAATTAGCTGGGCGTGGTGGTGCACGCCTGTAATCCTAGCTACTCAGGAGGCTGAGGCAGAAGAATCACATAAACCCTGGAGGTGCAGATTGCAGTGAGCTAAGATCGTGCCACTGTACTCCAGCCTGGGTGACAGAGTGAGACTCTGTCTCAAAAAAAAAAAAAAAAAAAGAAGGTATGTACTATTGATACAAACAATACAATAAATGAAAATAAGTGAATCTCAAAACCATTAGGCTGAGTGAAAGAAGCCAGATTCAGAAGAGAGCACAAAACCGAAGGCAGTGGCTCATGCTTGTAATCCCACCACTTTGGGAGGCCAAGGCAGGAGGATTGCTTGAGCCCAGGAGTTTGAGACTAGCATGGGCAATATTGTGAGACCCCGTATCTACAAAAAATAAAATAAAAATTAGCTGGGCATGGTGGCATGCACTTGTAGTCCCAGCTACTCGGGAGGCTGAGATAGGAGGATCCCTTGGGCCTGGGAGGTTGAGGTTGCAGTAAGCTATGATCACACCACTGCACTCCAGCCTGAGTACCAAAGTGAGACTCTGTCTCAAAAAAACAACAGCAACAAACAACAAAAGAATACATGCTGTATGATTGCATTTATATAAAATTCTAGAGAGGGGAAAAAATGACGGCAGCTAGAGTTGGGGATGAAGGTAAGGATTAATTGCAAAAGGATCTCCAGGGGTCTAACAAGAATGTTCTATAGCTTAATTGCATTGGCGGTGACATGGCGTATACATTTGTCAAAACTCATCTAAATATAGCCCTAAAATGGTGCATTTTATTGTATGTAAATTATGGCTCAATAAAGTGGGAAAAAATAAAATGTAATTCAAATTGAAATGTGGGCAGGCATAGTTGCTCATGCCTGTAATCCCAGCACTTTGGGAGGCTGAGGTGGGCAGATCACCTGGGGTCAGGAGTTCGAGACCAGCCTGACCAACATGCAGAAACCCCATCTCTACTAAAAAATACAAAAATTACTTGGGCATGGTAGCTCATGCCTGTAGTCCCAGCTACTCAGGAGGTGGAGGCATGAGAATCGCTTGAACCCGGGAGCTGGAGGTTGCAGTGAGCCAAGATCGTACCACTGCACTCCAGCCTGGGCAACAGAGTGAGACACTATCTCAATTAAAAAAAAAAAAAATGGCCAGGCTCAGTGGCTCAAGCCTGTAATCCCAGCACTTAGGGAGGCCCAGGCGGGCAGATCACGAGGTCAGGAGTTCAAGACCAGCCTGACCAACATGATGAAACCCCGTCTCTGCTACAAATACAAAAATTAGCCAGGCATGGTGGCGTGTGCGTACAATCCCAGCTATGCAGGAGGCTGAGGCAGGAGAATTGCTTGAAGGAGGCAGAGGGTGCAGTGAGCTGAGATCATGCCACTGCACTCCAGCCTGGGTGACAGAGCGAGACTCCATCTCAAAAAAAAAAAAAAAAGAAAAGAAAAGAAAAAATTGAAATGCAATTCAAAAAAAAAATTCCAGGCTGGACGTGGTGGCTCATGTCTGTAATCCTAGCACTTTGGGAGGCCAAGGTGGGTGGATCACTTTAGGTCAGGAGTTCATGGCCAGCCTGGCCAACATGAAGAAACCCTATCTCTGCTAAAAAATACAAAAACTAGCCAGGTGTGGTGGTCCGTGCCTGTAGTCCAAGCTACTTGGGTGGCTGAGGTGGGAGAATCACTTGAGCCTGAGAGGCAGAGAGAGTGAACGGAGATAGCACCATTGCACTCCAACCTGGGCAATAGAGCAAGATTCTGTCTCAAAAACAAAAATAAAAAGAATTCCAACTTCAGGGTTTCAGGGAGAGGTATGGCAGAGACATGAGAACTGAAAATGAAATTCTTCAGGAAGAATAAATGCATGAGAACAGACAAGAAAAACACCGTGAGCCCAGAGAGTCCATCGACAATTCTGCAGCCCAAGTAGGCAGCCACTCTGGCCACCCTAGGAATGAGATGCCTTTGGTTCTCGCTTCTGCCAGGTGCCCTCCAACTCAAAGAACAGCTTCTAGCTCACGCTTGTAATCCCAGCACTTTGGGAGGCTGAGGAGAGTGGATGACCTGAGGTCAGGAGTTCGAGACCAGCCTGGCCAACATGGTGAAACCTCATCTCTACTAAAAATACAAAATTAGCCGGGCATGGTGGCTCACTCTTGTAATCCCAGCTACTCAGGAGGCTGAGGTGGGAGAATCACTTGAACCCCGGTGGCAGAGGTTGCAGTGAACCAAGATCACGCCACTGCACCCTAGCCTGCGTGACAGAGTGAGACCCTGTCTCAAAAAAACAAAAACAAAAACAGAAAAAAAAAAAGTAAAAAAAACATACATCCCTAAGTTGTTTTTCAAAAACCCAGACCCCTACCAAATGGCATCCAGGGGCGCACAGACCTCAGATGAGGGGAGACTGATGACCGACCTCTGACCACCATTCTTTGTTCTAAATTTGTTCCTGAAGGGCCTGGAGGAAGCCAGGAGCTAACGTTCTTTTCTGCTGACCCCAAATTTTTAAACAAAGCTTCTCTTCCTTAACCAACTGCAAATCAGAAAATCTTTGAATCCACCTATAACCTGGGGGCCCCACTTCAAGGTATCCTGCCTTTTTAGGCCAAAAACCAAGGTGTACCCTCCATGTATTGATTTACAATTTTGCCTATAACTCTGCTTTCTTAAAATTTACCCCTGCTTTTAAAAACCATCAGGGAGGTCAGGACGTAAGCATTAGCTGCCCAATTCTCCTTGCTTGGCACCCTGCATATAAATACCTTCCCTTCTCCTGCTGCAAACCTCCATGTGGATATCTGGCCTTACCGTGCCAGGCGAGCAGAACTCAGTTCGGTTTAACACCTTCCCTCCCCCAATACACAGGCTGGGATGCAGGATGGGATAGAGTGAGGCTGTGGATAGCGAAGTAGTTTGGTTACTTTTTTTTTTTTCTGAGACTAAGTCTCACTCTGTAGCCCAGGCTGGTGTGCAATGGCTCAATCTTGGCTCACTGTAACCTCCACCTCCTGGGTTCAAGCGATTCTCCTGCCTAGCATCTCAAGTAGCTGGGATTACAGGTGCATGCCACCACACCCAGCTAATTTTTTTGTATTTTTAGAAGAGACGGGGTTTCGCCATGTTGGCCAGGCTGGTCTTGAACTCCTGACCTCAAGTGATCTGCCCGCCTCGGCCTCCCAAAATGCTAGAATTATAGGCATGAGCCACCATGCCCAGCCTATTTGGTTACTTCTTAATAGAAGAGGGGACTCCAGTTATTTTCTTCTTTCTTTGGACCATGGAGTCCATGAAGCTTTTTTATCAGCTTTTGAGCCCTGGCTGCCTCCTCCAGAGTTGTTCTGTGACAAAAGGCAAGAAAAAGGATCAAACTCCTTTGGCATGCACCTTATATCATGGAGGTCTTCAAGAATATATTATTTCATGGCATAAAAACATGGACCAGCTGCAGTGGCTCACACCTGTAATCCCAGTGCTTTGGGGGGCCCAGGCGGGAGGATCACTTGAGCCAGGGAGTTTGAGACCACCTTGAGCAACACAGCAAGACCCTATCTCTACAAAAAAAAAAAAAAAATTTTTTTAATTAGCTAGGCCTAGTGGTACACACCTGTAGTCTAAGGTATTCATGAGGCTGAGTCAGGAGGATCGCATGCGCATGAACCCAGGAGTTTAAGGCTGCAGTGAGCTATGATCATGCCACTGCACTCCAGCCTGGGTGACACAGCGAGACCTTGTCTGTAAAACAAAAACAAAGTTAAATAGGCCAGGCATGGTGGTTCATGCCTGTGATCTCAGCACTTTGGGAGGCCAAGGCAGGTCAATCACCTGAGGTCAGGAGTTCGAGAACAGCCTGGCCAACGTGGTGAAACCCCATCTCTACCAAAAATACAAAAATTTGCCGGGCATGCTGGTGGGTGTCTGTAATCCCAGCTACTCGGGGAGCTGAGGCAGGAGAATCGCTTGAACCTTGGAGGGGGAGGTTGCAGTGAGCCGAGATCGCACCACTGCACTCCAGCCTGGGCAACAGGGTGAGATCCTGTCTCAAAAAAAAAAAGGCAAAATAAATTCTAAAAATTTAAAAGCAGAAATGTGTGAACCTTAGATGGTAGGGCAGATTCTAGCACATGCTAAACAGGAAATAACAGAACAGCAATGAATCGATTTTGTGAACTCCCACAGTTTGCTGTTATCTAAGATGAAACTCCTGAAAAGGGAGAACAATGGGTCGATGCATCAACATACATTGTGTTCACAGCAGATAAAAGCAAGACAGGACCTTAATGTGACCAATTTCTCTGGGCATAAAGATTTTCCACAACCATTAGGCATTTCTCTTTCAACTGGCGTGCTTGGTAGTGTATTTTTAGAATCAAATTTCTCCTTCAGGGGTGGTGTGGTTTGAAGATGATTGCCCTTCCAAGGCAGTTTTCTCTCTGTTCCCCATTAGCAGGGTCTAAAAAAACAGCCTTTGAAAATCCAGGTTTTGTGCCTTCAAGAGCACAGTTTCCAGCTCCCTTTCCTTTGCCAAGTAAAAACTAATTCTAGCACTAACAAAAGGGTAATTCACCTAAGATTCTCCACCAGTTTTTCACTCTGTGTAACTAAGATTCTTCAAGGAACAAGAAATCATTAAGATTGAACATTTTTTGGAAATATTTATGGCAGCCAATCAATGACAGAAATTGGGGTCTATCCATCATAAAATAATGTATGGAGAGAGTCTTGTGTTTTCTAAGCTACTAAAGTGTCTCTCTATTCACTGATACTAGTCAATAAAACAAGAACAACCCTATAAGCTGCTCCGAATGCCTGCTGAAAATTAAATGGACATATCACTCAGGTCTGTCTGTTTGTCGTTGTTTTTAGACAGGGCCTCATCCTGTTTCCCAGGCTGGAGTGCAGTGGCATGATCATAGCTAACTGTAACCTCGAGCTTCTAGGCTCAAGCCATCCTCCCACCTCAGCCTCTTGAGTAGCTGGGACTACAGGTGCACACCACCATGCCTGGCTAATTTTTAATTTTTTTAAGAGATGGGTCTTGCTATGTTGCCCCGGCTGGTCTTGAACTCCTGAGATCAAGCACTTCTCCCACCTCAGCCTCCCAAAGTGCTGGGATTACAGGCATGAGCCACCACTCCCAGCCAGATCTATCTGTATTCATTATCTATTGCTATATAACAATACTGCCAAAACTTAGCAGCATAAAACGACCTGCATTTATTATCTCATAGCTTCTGTGAGTCTGGAGTCCAGGCACAGCCTAGGTAGGTGCTCTGCAAAGCTGCAATCAAAGTCCCAGCCAGGGCAGTGGGATCTCATTCCAAGGTCTGACTGGGGAAGAATCTGCTTTTAAGCCCACATGATTGCCGGCAACATTCAGTTCCTTGAAAGCTGTAGCTGTAGCTTCTTACTCACTGTCAGTGGACGCCACTCCCAGTTTCCCTTGCCCCATGGCCCTGTCCACAGAGCAGCTCACAAGATGGCAGCTTGCAAGGGAGAAAGTCTCTCAGCAAGACACACACGACAATCTTATGTAACGTGATAACCCATCATCTTTGCCATAGTCACCTGGTTAGAAGCAAATCACAGGTCCTGCCCACACTCAAGGCAAAGGGATCACACAGGATCTGAACACCAGGAGATGAAGATCATGGGGACCACCTTGGCCACCTTACAGTCTGTCCTCTGCACTGTCCAAACTGGTTGCTAACATCACTTTAGCTTAAACATCAAGATCTCCATCCCATGGCTGACCATCCTCTGCCGTGAATCCTTTAATTCCAGTATAGCATTTACCCCAAATTGAGGACGATCTTGGATGATGGTATTTTCTTATCTGCTCCCTCTTTCTCCTTCCATTGTCTACCTCCCCTCCAAATACCAGGAATCCACACTGCTGCTCTGGTGGGCACAGCTCCCTGAGCATTGCTTGGATGCTTCCCAGTGGAGGTGCGTCCATCTCTAGAAATGTAACTGTGTACATGGAGATCCCCACCATTGCCACTGTCATCACCATTACAGTTCATTAGCACCATGGGCCAAAGCACAGTGTCAGACATGGACTGTGACACAAAGAATAATGAGGCATGGTACTCAAGATGTATACAATCCAGATGAAAACTGCTTTAAGTCTTACCCAAGGGAGAACTGTCAACCTAAAGGGCACAGTGGACAGCTCTTAAAGTTATAAATAATCCGCATATGTCATTTGTGTAATAACAAATTTTTTTTTTATAAATTACTTGCAACTGAGAGCATAAGCTAAGAGCTGAGAGTCAACGTCCCTTACCCTACCTTCTGAAACAGAATCCAAAATATCCTGTGTGGGCCCAGTGCAGTGGCTCACGCCTGTAATCCTAGCACTTTGGGAGGCGGAGGTGGGCAGATCGCCTGAGGTCGGGAGTTCAAGACCAGCCTGGCCAACATGGTGAAACCCCGTCTCTACTAAAAATACAAAAATTAGCCGGGCATGGTGGCGCAAGCCTGTAGTCCCAGCTACTCAGGAGGCTGAGGCAGGAGAATCACTTGAACCCGGGAGGTGGAGGTTGCAGTGAGCCAAGATCGTGCCACTGCACTCTAGCCTGGGCAACAGATAGAGACTCATCTCAAAAAAAAAAATCCTGTGTGAAACCCCCCTCCCTCCCTCCCTCATCTTCTCAGTCCTCATCTTCTCAGCCATAAACTTTAGGCAATATTGATCCAACTCCTCCTCCAGGGGTGGGCCTGTATCCAGCATCAGCCAATCAACTTATCCCGTACATTTTCCCTATGATGATTGGTTCACAATTGAAGCAGAAACCCAACCAAAGTCAACGATAGGTAAGGAGATGCTTACTGTGGTCTTTGGGAAAGAAAAGTCTCCTCTCTCTTGAGGAAGATTTCAGAAGAGGTTCTTCTCTTACACTAGTGCTATCCAATAGAAATATAATGTGAGCTTCATATTGAGATTTCAATTTTCTATTGGCTGCAGCTTAAAAAGGAAAAGGAAAAGGTGAAATTAATTTTAATAATATGTTTTATTTAATCCAATATAACCAAAATATTATCATTTCAGTGTGTCAATAGTAGAAAAAAATCAATATTTTACATTCTTTTTTTTCATAGTGAGTCTTTGAAATCTGACATGTGTATTTTATACCTTCAGCACATCTCAAATCAGACCTAAACAGATTTCTCAAGAGCCACGTGTGACTAGTGGCTACTATGAAGCTCTGGACAGTAAAATATAAGGATATGAAACTTGATCTGCTTTACTCATAGCACAAGTAGGTGGAAAAGGAGGACTTTAGGATGAAACTGACCACAACTAATAGGAAAAAAAAAAGAACTGGGTCCTCACTGACATCATTGGAGTCATTGGCTCAAGCTTCACTTGAAATCAGCATGACCTCAGAAACTCAGTTATGCGAGCCAATAAGCTCAATTTACTGTTTAAATGTATTCAAGTTGAAATTCCTATCACTTCCAACAAAAGAATCTCAACGGACACAGAGAGTGAGCGATGATATAAAGCAATTTATTATGTGCCAAAACTGAAGAAGGGACAGTAAGCATCAAGTGTGTAGAGAAAGGATAAATCAACTTGAGACTAGCCTGGGCAACATAGCGAGGTTCTATCTCTATTAAAAAAAAAATTGTAGCAGGGTTTCTCAACCTTAGCACTTTTGACATTTTCAGCTGCATAATTCTTTCTTGTGGTGCTGTCCTGCACATTGTGGGATGCTTAGCAACATCCCTGGCCTCCACCCACTAGATGCCAGCAATACCCTTTACCTCTGGTTCTGACAACCAAAGGGGTCTTCAAATATTTCCAGTTGTCCCCAGTTGAAAGCCACTGGGCTAGAGGTGGTATTTGTAATAAATCTGGAAGACTTGTTGGGATGTACTGTTATAATAAATCTGGAAGGCTTGGTGGGATGTACTTAGAGATAATGATGTAAATAAAGGTACCAGGGAAAGAGAACAAAAGGCTCATGAGGAAATCAATCATCATCACTACTAAGTCTCAGCTATGGTTGCCAACAACAATTAGAACATTAAATCTTATCTAGAAGCTCATTTTTAAAATATTTTTTTAGAGATGGGGTCTCACTTTGTTGTACAGGCTTGTCGCAAACTCCTGGCCTCAATCCTTCTGTTTAGCTTCCCAAAAGGCTGGGATCACAGGCTCAGCCACTACACCTGGCCTAAAAAATATATATATATTTTAATTCTTATCATACACTGTTGGTAGAAACTGAAATCGGCAGAAACCTTTTTGGAGAGGAATTTGGCAACATCTATGAAAATAAGAAATGTTTTAACCTTTTGTCCCAACAATTCTTCCTCTAGAAATTTGCCTTACAGTAAAAAACTTTTCCTAACATCATAATAATAACTGGGCCAAGATCATGCCATTGTACTCCAGCCTGGGCAACAGAGCAAGACTCTATCTCAATAAATAAATAAATAAATAATGACTCTGTGTGTACAAAGAAAAATATCTAAGATACATATGCCAAGGTATCTTATGGGATGTACAGTGCCATCCCATACAAATAAGATAAAGATCTATTGACATATGCTTGGGAAAAGTTAGGGAAATATATATAAAATGTATCAGTGGTTATCTTGGGTGAAATGCATACTGTGGTATGGGAAAGAAATGAGGATTACACTCTATCCATTATATACAAAATGTAAAAATAAGTAATTCAAAATCTAAGCCATTGAAACTCTATTTTGAGCCTTAAAGGAATGTGATTATGGGGACTGAGTCATGTGATAGGCAGCTGTAACCTAGACAGCTGTAACCTTTGTTTCTCTGATTATAAATTAGCCATCTTCTTTTTTTGTTTTTGTTTTTGTTTTTTTTAGTTTTTTTCCTTTTTTTTTTTGAGACAGTCTCGCTTTGTCACCCAGGCTGGAGTGTAGTAGCACGATCTCAGCTCACTGCAAGCTCCGCCTCCCAGGTTCACGCCATTCTCCTGCCTCAGCCTCCTGAGTAGCTGGGACTGCAGGCGCCTGCCACCATGCCCAGCTAATTTTTTGTATTTTTAGTAGAGACAGGGTTTCACCGTGTTAGCCAGGATGGTCTGGATCTCCAAACCTCGTGATCCACCCGCCTTGGCCTCCCAAAGTGCTGGGATTACAGGCATGAGCCACCGGGCCCGGCCTTTTTGTTTTGTTTTTGAGACGGAATCTCACTCTGTCACCAGGCTGGAGTGCAGTGATGCAATCTCAGCTCACTGCAACCTCTGCCTCATGGATTCAAGTGATTCTCCTGCCTCAGCCTCCCAAGTAGCTGGGACTACAGGCGCACACCACCACATCCAGCTAACTTTTGTAGAGATGGGGTTTTACCATGTTGGCCAGGATGGTCTTGATCTCCTGACCTTGTGATCTGCCCACCTCAGCCTCCCAAAGTGCTGGGATTACAGGTGTGAACCACCGCGCCCCAGTGCCTAGCCAGATTAGCCATCTTCCTAAACTATGTTGTTTGTAAAATGTTGCAAATGACTAAAGGGCACCAGAGAAGACCCCTTGCCTCTTTACTGTTGATTTTCATTATAGATTAACTTCCTGCTTACCCTTCTCACACAAAGATTTCATAGCTATCACATTGTCTTAAGATGGAATGCTAAATATACTCTTTTAAATTGGAAAGGAAATGCAAGCCAGCTGTAAAGAAAAGAAAACAAGCCTTAAGGAAAAGAAAACAAACTGTAACTAATTAAATTGTTGTAACTCATAAACCAGGCTTATGTAGAAAATGTTACCATTCTACTAGACTCTGTTTTCTGCTTATAACCAAGAACTTAACTTTCAACTTCGGAACTCTCACCTCATTTCTCTGGAGTCTGTCTCCCAGATTGGCTATTCCCAGCTCTTCGCTTGAATAAACTCTTTAAGACTAGATTCTGATGCTTCCAATTATTTCAGTTTGGCATCAAAAATTATTCCCCACCCAAGACCCTGGCACTGACTTCTGCAGAACAGGACCTATTTGTTAGGTAAAAACTTTGGGCGGGGTGCATTGGCTCACACTTGTAATCCCAACACTGAGAGATGCAGAGGCAAAAGGATAGCTTGAGCCCAGGAGTTTGAGTCCAGCCTGGACAACATAGCAAGACCCCATTCTCCACAGAAATGAAAAAAAGACTTTGGTGTGCATCTTGCAGAGTGAGTCAGTTGTATGCTGGTAATTATTTAAGAAGTAACTCAGGCCGGGCACGGTGGCTCACCCCTGTAATCCCAGCACTTTGGGAGGCTGAGGCCGGTGGATCATGAGGTCAGGAGAGCGAGACCATCCTGGCTAACATGGTGAAACCCTGTCTCTACTAAAAAATACAAAAAATTAGCTGGGTATGGTGGCGGGTGCCGTAGTCCCAGCTACTCGGGAGGCTGAGGCAGGAGAATGGCATGAACCTGGGAGGCGGAGCTTGCAGTGAGCCAAGATAGCACCACTGCACTCCAGCCTGGGCGACAGTGCGAGACTGCACCCCCCACAAAAAAAAAAACAAAACAAAACAAGGGCTCACTATGTTGCCCAGCCTTGTCTCAAACTTCTTGACTCAAGCAGTCCTCCCACCTCGGCTTCCCAAAGTGCTGGGATTACAGGAATGAGCCTCCATGCCCCACCTGATTTATTTAATAATGAGCATGTATTATTTGAGTAATTAGATACAGTTCTCTCTGTGTTGAGAACTGTGTCTAATTACTCAAATAATTCTGTCAACACAGAGTTGAGAGAACTTTCTTACCATACTCAGTAGAACATGGCAGAGATTCTTTAAATGCAAGGAGGCACCTATAGGAAGTAATCAAGTCCTGGAATGTCACCTAAACCAGTCGGGTCTGTTTAGAGAGAGGGTTTTTGTTACAGAATATAACCTCCCAAAAACTCCTTTTTATTTATTTTTTTTCAATTCTGTTTTGGCTGAAGTATGTGGAAGCAAATCCATTCCAATCATAACTTTGGGTAAAAATGACTCCTATCCATATCATAATAGGACCCAGGAGTATTGCCTGCTGATCCCAGCAAAATGTAGAAAGAGAGCATCTCTGATGCAACTTAAACTTAGATTGAAGAAGGGTTGGTCAGGCCAGGTACAGTAGCTCACATCTGTAATCTCAGCATTTTGGGAGGCCAAGGCGGGCAGATTACTTGAGCTCAGGAGTTCAAGACCAGCCTGGGCAATATAGCAAGACCCTGTCTCTAGGAAAAAAAAAAAAAGAAGAAGAAAAAGTTTGGCCATTATGTTTATATTTGGAAAATAAATTTTATTTATTTCTTAAAACGGTCTTGTGAGGTAAGTACTATGTATTCCATTTTATAGATGATGCACCTAAGAACACCAAGAGATTAACTGGCCATCCTGAGTGTACAGTTTAATACATTTTGGAAAGTTTGCTGAGTTATGCATCATCACCATATCATCACCAGGTTTATATATATATATATATATTTTTTTTTTTTTTTTTTTGAGACGGAACCTTGCTCTGTCTCCCAGGCTGGAGTATAGTGGTGCAATCTCCACTCACTGCAGCCTCCGCCTCCCAGGTTCAAGTGATTCTCCTGCCTCAGCCTCCCGAGTAGCTGGGACTACAGGTGCATGCCACCATGCCTGGCTAATTTTTTCTATTTTTATTACAGACGAAGTTTCACCATATTGGCCAGGCTGATCTCGAACTCCTGACCTCAAGTGATCTGCTCACTTCAGCCTCCCAAGTGCTGGGATTACAGGCGTGAACCACCACACCCGGCCAGAATATTTTTATCACCCCAATAAGGTCTCTCATGCCCATTTACAATTAATCCCCATTTCCACCTCCAGCTCCAGGCAACCACGACTCTACTTTCTGTCTTTATAATTTGCTTTTCCTGGGTATGTCATATAAAAACAATCATGTAATATGTGGTCTTTTGCATCTGGCTCCTTTCACTGAGCATAACGTTTTCGAGGCCCAGGCACGTCGTAGCGTATATCAGTACATCATTTCTTTTTATAGCTGAGTAGTAACGATAGACCACATTTTGTTTACACAGTAAACATTTTGAGTTGCTTCCACATATGGGCTATTATGAATAATGTTGCTATGAACATTCACACACTAAGCTTTGTATGGAGGTATGTTTTTACTTCTCTTGGGTAAATACCTAAGAGTGGGATCGCTGGTGGACAGCAAGATTCCAGAGCCTGGTAGAGTGTTGTATACAATGCCGTGTTGAATAACGGGGCTTTGTATTCATCCGTGATTATTCTGACGTCCAGGGATGTGGTTATGATTCTTGTTCCCTCTGGAAATTCTATTTCTATTAAATCAGGGTTTCTCAACCTCAGTACCATTGCTATTTTAAGCTAGATAATTCCTTGTTGTGGGGGGATGCCCTGGACGTTGAGGAACCTCCCTGACCTCAGCCCACTAGATGCCAGTAGCACTCCCACCCGCTGCCTAGTTGTGACAACCTAAACTGTCTTAAGGCCGGGCGCCGTGGCTCACGCCGGCAATCCCAGCACTTTGGGAGGCTGAGGCGGGCAGATCACCTGAGGTCAAGAGTTCAAGACCAGCCTGGCCAACATAGTGAAACTCCGCCTCTACTAAAAATACAAAAATTAGTTGGGTGTGGTGGCGGGCACCTATAGTCCCAGCTAGTCGGGAGGCTGAGGCAGGAGAATCACTTGAACCCGGGAGGCAGAGGTTGCAGTGAGCCAAGATCGTGCCATTGCACTCCAGCCTGGGCAACAGAACAAGACTCCATCTCCAAAAAAAATTAAAAAAAAAAAATGTCTTCAGACATTGTCAAATGTCCCCTCGGGAGCAAAATCACCCCTGGATGAGAATCACAGAGTTTGAATTCACTCGGGAAGTGGAAGTGCTGCCAATCCTGCTTCTGACCTGAGGGTACTTGGTGGTTTAGCACATGGTTTGGCCTGTCTTCCACACTCAGAGTAGGTGTGCTGGGTCCTGTCTTGGAGCGCGTGGTGTTGACATCCTACATGTTACTTTATTTAATTTGTTCTAAATCAGTCGTTCTCTTGTGGTTCGGTGTGTATGTGTTTGTTCTCAAATTGGGCCAAGAGAAGTGGGGGACTGCAGATGGTACAAACTGTAGTCTCTGTCTATTTAATTCAAATCAGCCCATCCTGGTGGTATTTATTTTCAAAAGTATGAGTTTAAGACAACATGTAATAGGTATTTGGAGTATTTATACAGCTATGCTTACAAAAGCTCAAAGCAAAATAGAGTGGATATTTGTTGTTTTTGAGCTTCCAGGTATATATATTTTTCTCTTCCAAACAGCACCCTGCTTGCATTTTGAAGAACTGCTTCTCCCTGGCTGTGGGAAATTCACAGGGCAGAGAGTCTAAGTATGCAGCCCTCACACTGTGGAAGCCAAAAGAGGTTTCTAGAGGCTTCTCCTAGCAGATCCTTTCTCTCCAGGCCCAGGGGGATGGGCATGTGTTCCAGTTATTGATGCTGTGTAAAAAACAACACCAAACTCAGAGGCTTAAAATGATCATTGTTAATTTCTTATGGTTCTAGGGTTGGCCATTTGGACAAATCTGCTGATCTTGCCTGGGCTCATCCACATGGCTACATTCAACCGGAAGTTTGGATGAGCTAGAAGATCCGAGACAGCCTCCCTCAGTAACTGGCAGTGGGTGCTGACTGTCCCCTGAGGAGCCTCAGTTTTCCTCCATATGACTGCTTGTCCCACAGGAGGCCAGGCAGAAGCTGCAAAGTTTCTTTTTTTTTTTTTTTTTTTTTAAATTTATTTTTTTATTGATAATTCTTGGGTGTTTCTCACAGAGGGGGATTTGGCAGGGTCATGGGACAATAGTGGAGGGAAGGTCAGCAGATAAACAAGTGAACAAAGGTCTCTGGTTTTCCTAGGCAGAGGACCCTGCGGCCTTCCGCAGTGTTTGTGTCCCTGGGTACTTGAGATTAGAGAGTGGTGATGACTCTTAAGGAGCATGCTGCCTTCAAGCATCTGTTTAACAAAGCACATCTTGCACCGCCCTTAATCCATTTAACCCTGAGTGGACACAGCACATGTTTCAGAGAGCACAGGGTTGGGGATAAGGTCACAGATCAACAGGATCCCAAGGCAGAGGAATTTTTCTTAGTGCAGAACAAAATGAAAAGTCTCCCATGTCTACTTCTTTCTACACAGACACGGCAACCATCCGATTTCTCAATCTTTTCCCCACCTTTCCCGCCTTTCTATTCCACAAAGCCGCCATTGTCATCCTGGCCCGTTCTCAATGAGCTGTTGGGCACACCTCCCAGACGGGGTGGTGGCCGGGCAGAGGGGCTACTCACTTCCCAGTAGGGGCGGCCGGGCAGAGGCGCCCCTCACCTCCCGGACGGGGCGGCCGGCCGGGCGGGGGGCTGACCCCCCCACCTCCCTCCCGGACGGGGCGGCTGGCCGGGTGGGGGGGCTGACCCCCCCATCTCCCTCCCGGACGGGGTGGCTGGCCGGGCAGAGGGGCTACTCACTTCCCAGTAGGGGCGGCCAGGCAGAGGCGCCCCTCACCTCCCGGACGGGGCGGCCGGCCGGGCGGCTGACCCCCCCACCTCCCTCCCGGACGGGGCGGCTGGCCGGGTGGGGGGGCTGACCCCCCCATCTCCCTCCCGGACGGGGTGGCTGGCCGGGCTGAGGGGCTCCTCACTTCCCAGTAGGGGCGGCCGGGCCGAGGCGCCCCTCACCTCCCGGACGGGGCG
This sequence comes from Homo sapiens, assembly GCF_000001405.40. Lineage (NCBI taxonomy): Eukaryota > Metazoa > Chordata > Mammalia > Primates > Hominidae > Homo > Homo sapiens. The sequence continues at coordinate 119,918,768 of NC_000012.12, forward strand.
GCTGGCCGGGCGGGGAGCTGACCCCCCACCTCCCTCCCGGATCGGGCGGCTGGCCGGGCGGGGGGCTGACTCCCCCCACCTCCCTCCCGGACGGGGTGGCTGCCGGGCGGAGACGCTCCTCACTTCCCAGATGGGGTGGCTGCCGGGCGGAGAGGCTCCTCACTTCTCAGACGGGGCAGCTGCCGGGCGGAGGGGCTCCTCACTTCTCAGACGGGGTGGTTGCCAGGCAGAGGGTCTCCTCACTTCTCAGACGGGGCGGCCGGGCAGAGACGCTCCTCACCTCCCAGACGGGGTCTCGGCCGGGCAGAGGCGCTCCTCACATCCCAAATGGGGCGGCGGGGCAGAGGCGCTCCCCACATCTCAGAATATGGGCGGCCGGGCAGAGACGCTCCTCACTTCCTAGATGTGATGGCGGCTGGGAAGAGGCGCTCCTCACTTCCTAGATGGGATGGCGGCCGGGCGGAGACGCTCCTCACTTTCCAGACTGGGCAGCCAGGCAGAGGGGGTCCTCACATCCCAGACGATGGGCGGCCAGGCAGAGACACTCCTCACTTCCCAGACGGGGTGGCGGCCGGGCAGAGGCTGCAATCTCGGCACTTTGGGAGGCCAAGGCAGGCGGCTGGGAGGTGTAGGTTGTAGTGAGCCGAGATCACGCCACTGCACTCCAGCCTGGGCACCATTGAGCACTGAGTGAACGAGACTCCGTCTGCAGTCCCGGCACCTCGGGAGGCCGAGGTTGGCGGATCACTCGCGGTTAGGGGCTGGAGACCGGCCCGGCCAACACAGCGAAACCCCATCTCCACCAAAACCAGTCAGGCGTGGCGGCGCGTGCCTGCAATCGCAGGCATTCGGCAGACTGAGGCAGGAGAATCAGGCAGGGAGGTTGCAGTGAGCCGAGATGGCAGCAGTACAGTCCAGCTTCGGCTCCGCATGAGAGGGAGACCGTGGGGAGAGGGAGAGGGAGAGGGAGAGGGAGAGGGAGAGGGAGAGGGAGAGGGAGAGGGAGAGGGAGAGGGAGAGGGAGAGGGAGAGGGAGAGGGAGAGGGAGAGGGAGAGGGAGAGGGAGAGGGAGAGGGAGAGGGAGAGGGAGAGGGAGAGGGAGAGGGAGAGGGAGAGGGAGAGGGAGAGGGAGAGGGAGAGGGAGAGGGAGAGGGAGAGGGAGAGGGAGAGGGAGAGGGAGAGGGAGAGGGAGAGGGAGAGGGAGAGGGAGAGGGAGAGGGAGAGGGAGAGGGAGAGGTTTCTTAAAACCTGAGCTCTGAAGCTCACACAGCATCAAGTCTGCCACATTCTGTTGGTCAATGTGAGCCATGAGGCCAGTATCAGTTCAAGCGAGCAGAAGAATAGAGTCCACCTCTTGAAGGGAGGAACAGCAACACCACATTGCAAAGAGGGGTGGGTAAAGGGCCATTATTTATTTACTTTTCTTTTTGAGCAGGGTCTCACTCTGTCTCCCAGACTGCAGTGCAGTGACGCAATCATAAGCTCACTGCAGCCTCAACCTCCCAGGCTCAAGTGATCCTCCCACCCCGGCCTCCCAGGTATCCAGCACTAAAAGGTGCACACCACCACACTTGGCCAACTTTTGCATTTTTTGTAGAAACGGGTTACACCATGTTGTCCAGGCTGGTCTGGAACTCCTGGGCTCAAGCAATCCTCCTGACTCGGCCTCCCAAAGTGCTGAGATTACAGGCGTGAGCCACTGCAGAGAGCCATTATTATAATGATCTAGCACATCATGTGACCCAGGCCACTCCAATTAGACACTGTCTCTTGGGATTCCAGATACATATGTGTGTGTAAGAGTGTTCATGTGTATATTTATACATATACATATATGTATAAATGTTTGGTTTGAGTTGGCCAGAGTTGATTTCTGTGTCACTTGCAACCAAAATATCCTAACTGATACATGTATCAGGGCTATTGAGTGGAAGGCCTTTCTCAGGTTTTGGCATATCAGGGTATTTACTTCTTCTCATTGGTAATAAGGGAACAACACCAAGTCCCTGAGACCTGTCTTGTCCCCATTTCCAACTCCCGTGGTGGCTCCTTTTGGCCATGTCTGGACAATGTAATCCCAACTCCTTGACCATACTTGTTGGGACCAGAGTCGAAACTAACCCTACTGACCAGTGGTGAACGCCTGTAATCCCAGAACTTTGGGAGGCTGAAGCGGTCAGATCACCAGAGGTCAGGAGTTCGAGACCAGCCTGGCCAACATGGTGAAACCCTGCCTCTACTAAAAATACAAAAAATTATCCAGGCGTGGTGGTGCACTCCTGTAACCCCAGCTACTAGGGAGGCTGAGGCAGAAGAATTGCTTGAACCTAGAAGGCGGAAGTTGCAGTGAGCTGATATCATGCCACTGCATTCCAGCCTGGATGACAGAGCGAGACTCTGTCTCAAAAAAAGAAAGAAACTAATCCTACTAAGCCCAATCAGATTATTTCTGCCAGGATTTAAAATCAGAACATGAGAATCTGTCAGACTATACTATCCCTTGAATGAGGCCACATAAACTCAAAGACTGAGGATGGTCACCTTCCACCCTATGCAGAGAAAAATAGAGATGGTTGATGTGCAGAAAGAAGGAGCAGAGATACTGAGAGAATAGAGATGAGAGATGGTGTGGCATCTAAGAACCTGGCCGGGAACAGTGGCTCACCTCTGTAATCCCAGCACTTTGGGAGGCTAAGGTGGGTAGATCATTTGAGGTCAGGAGTTTGAGACCAGCCTGGTCAACATGGTAAAAACCCATCTCTACTAAAAATACAAAAAATTAGCTGAGTGTGGTAGTACAAGCCTGTAATCCCAGCTACTCGGGAGGCTGAGGCGGGAGAATCACTTGAACCTTGGGGGCAGAGGTTGCAGTGAGCAGAGATGGCATCAGTGCACTCCAGCCTGGGTGACAGTGCAAGGCTCTGTCTCAAAATAATAATAATAATAATAATAAAATAAAAATAAAAAGGGAAACCTGAGAGATGTTTACTCCTGAGAGCTTTCTGTTCCCTAGTTCTCGTCTCCTGGCCACAGCAATTGGTTCAGGAATCAGCAAATGACTGCATTCAGGTCAACAATAGAGAGTGAATCCTAGGACTAACATAAGAGATATCAGAAAATATATTATTTCTTCCCCTGGCTAGTCTGGTAGAAGTAGGCGGATCACCTGAGGTCAGGAGTTCGAGACCAGCCTGGCCAACATGGTGAAACCCTGTCTCTACTAAAAATACAAAAACTTAGCCGGGTATGGTGGTGCGCGCCTGTAGTCCCAGCTACTTGGGAGGCTGAGACACCAGAATCGCTTGAACCCGGGAGGCAGAGGTTGAAGTGAGCCAAGATTGCATCACTGCACTCCAGCCTGGATGACAGAGTGAAACTCCATCTCAAAAAAAAAAAAAAAAAAAAAAAAGAAAGTAAAATCTGGAGCAGCCACAAGACCACTGGGTGGACTGTGAAGATGACGCGAATACTATAGAAGTTAGAATGGAGAGGCCAGAGCTGAGCTTGGTGGCTCACACCTGTAATCCCATCATCTGGGGAGGCTGAGGTGGGTGGATCACGTGAGGCCAGGAGTTCAAGACCAGCCTGGCCAACATATCAAAACCCCATCTCTATTAAAAATACAAAAAAATGGTAGTCCCAGCTACTTGGGAGGGCTGAGGCATGAGAATCACTTGAGACCAGGAGGCAGAGGTTGCAGTGAACCGTGATCATGCCACTGCACTCCAGCCTGGGTAACAGACTGAGACCCTGTCTCAAAAAAAAAAGAAAAAAAAAAAGAAAAAGGAAAGAAAAGAAAAAATAACATATAAAGCTCAGAACTCATTTTTTTTGTACCCCTGGCCATTGATAGACACAACTTTCGGCCGGGTGAGGTGGCTCACGCCTATAATCTCAGCACTTTGGGAGGCCGAGGCAGGCGGATCACAAGGTCAGGAGATCGAGTCCATCCTGGCCAACTTAGTGAAACCTCATCTCTAGTAAAAATACAAAGATTAGCCAGGAGTGGTGGCAGGCATGTAATCCCAGCTACTCAGGAGGCTGAGGCAGGAGAACTGCTTGAATCTGGGAGGCAGAGGTTGCAGTGAGCCGAGATCACACCCCTGTGCTCCAGCCTGGTGACAGAGCGAGACTCCATCTCAAAAAAAAAAAAAAAAAAAAAAAAAGATAGATGCAACCCTCCTCTGCGAAATGTTGATCCAGAGGCTCAACCTGCAGGATTCAAAAGTGATTTTGGACCTCCAAATGTGACCTGAGGAACACCTCAGCTTGTGGGAGTTGATCAGATAACTCACTTTATTCTCCTGCTATTGGTAACTTAAAAAAAAGCAATGAGAGCTCCATCTTATAGATAAGACAAATTGAGGCTTATGGTGGTGATTTATCAGCTACAGTGACAAGATAAGAACTAGCAAAGGCAGTGGCTCACACCTGTAATCCCAGCACTTTGGGAAGGTGAGGCAGGAGGATCACTTGAGGCCAGGAGTTCGAGACCAGCCTGGGCAATATGGTGAGACCCTCGTCTCTACAAAAAATAAAAATACCAGCCAGGAATGGTGGTGCATGCCTGTAGTTCCAGTTACTTGGGAGACTGAGGTGGGAGGATCAGCTAAACCCAGGAGTTCGAGGCTGCAGTGAGCTATAATCGCACCACTGCACTCCAGCCTGGGCGACAGAGCAAGACTCTGTCTCAAAAAAAGAAAGAAAAAGAAAATTAAAACATTTTAATTATAAGAAAGAAAAAATAAATAACTAGCAAGGGCACTCATATTTGATGCTCTGCTGAGCTCTTAAATCGCCTTTGTAAATCATGTATTATTTACCTACCTAGACACCTAAAAACAGAACTGGGGGCTCCTCAGAAGCCAAGAGGAGCAGCCCAAAACAGAGGAAAAAAGGCCAGGAGTATTTTTAAATTTTACATCTAGTTTAAATGATCAGGACTTGGATTATAGTGATACAGTGCAGGGACCTCATTAGTGACTGACTTCTAAAGCAGTACTAAAATTGTCCAAAAATGAAGAGTGTTCCCTCCACAGTTCCACGCACAGAATCAAATACCATGAGTAAGTATGCAAATTAGCAGGTGCCCACAGGCCCAGGGTCTAAAGAAAATAAATCAAGCAGCTATCCTAAGATAACTTCCAATAAACTTTGCTTTTCCCTTTATTAGCATTCAGTTCAGTTGAGTTCAACAAGCACTTTTTGAATGCTTGCTACATGATGTGCAACGGGCATTGCATTTCCATTTGCATGATGGTCAGCTGTCACCTCATTTTCCCCTTTAAGCGCTTCCAAATAAAATACTGTATTCATTTCCTAAGGCTGCCATAACAAAGTAGCACAAGCTGGGTAGCTGAAATAATGGAATTTTATTCTCTCACAGTTCTGGAGGCTGAAAGTCCCAAATCAAGGTGTCAGCAGGGGAGGCTTCCTCTGAAGGCTCTAAGAGTGGATCGTTACTCGGCTTTTCCAGCTTCTGGTGGTGCTAGCTGTTCCTTAACTTGTGTCTGCATCACTTCAATCTCTCCTTATGTCTTCGCATGATCATCATCTGTGTGTGTCTCTCCACTCCTTATAAGATACTGGGCTGGGCATGGTGGCTCATATCTGTAATCCCAGCACTTTGGGAGACCAAGGCAGGAGGACCACTTGAGGCCAGGAGTTCAAAACCAGTCTGGGCAACATATTGAGACCCTGTCTCTACAAAGGGAAAAAAAATAGCCAGGCATGGTGGTGCATGACTGTAGTCCCAGCTGCTTAGGAGGCTGAGGCAGGAGGATTGCTTGAGCATGGGAGTTTGAGGCTATACTGAGCCATGATTGTGCCCCTGCCCTCCAGCCTGGGTAAAAGAGTGAGACCCTGTCATAATCTCACCTTGAGATCCTTAAGTAGTTTCATCTACCAAGAGCCTACTTCCAAATAAGGCCATATTTCGGAGTTCCAGGTGGACACTATTTAATCCACTACAAATACTGTGTCACAAAATGTGAATGAGCAATGTTAATTTCACTGAAGTTTTTGAAAGGAAGGAAGAGAAGGTTGAGGTTACTCAACCCACCATAGACACCTTGAAATCCCTGTTGCAGGTTGGGTTCCTGGGAAGCTGACTCTGAGATGGAGATTAGCATGCAGGATGTTTATTAGGGAGTACTCTGGAATCCCAGTCCTTGGGAAGGTTGAGGAAGGAAGCAGGACTTACACGGGGAAGTTGAGCTGTGATGCAGCCGCACCAAAGGCTTTAGATGACCCCTCAAAAAGCTCTGCAAGGCTGGGCATGGTGGCCCACGCCTGTAATCCCAGCACTTTGGAGGCTGAGGCAGGTGGATCACTTGAGTCCAGGAGTTCAACACCAGCCTGGACAACATGGAAAGACCCACATCTTTACAAGAAAAAAAGTACAAAAATTAGCTGGACTTGGTGGCGCACACCTGTAGTCCTAGCTACTTAGGGGGCTGACGCAGGGGGATTGCTTGAACCTGAGAGATTTGTGTCCCCCGTTGATTACTGGTTGTGGGCCTCCCAGGAAGGGGGTGTGAACTTGAGTGAAGCCACTCACTTTAGCAAAGGCAGTCCCCAGAGGAGGCTGCCAGCCTGCAACACTCCCAGCATCTGGGAGAATAATCCTGCATCCTTGAAGGGGGATCTGGGTAGGGCACCATGGTGTCTTCAGCATCTCTTTAGTCATTCCTTCTGTTCTTAGTCATTTCTCTCCCACAGTTGTCAGAAGGGAGAGTTCCCTTTTGCTCTTGTCTCTTCACAGTGCTGAGGGACCCTCACATTCCTTGCTCCCATTGAAGCTTTTTTCTCCAAACTTACAAATGCAAACCTATCTACAAAGAAAATGCCTGCACACCACCTCTGAGGTCACCTTCAAGGACATCTACTTAGAAGATATCAAAGGGAGTATTTATTTATTTATTTATTTTGAGACAGAGTCTCGCTCTCTCGCTTAGGCTGGAGTGCAGCAGTGCAATCTTGGCTCACTGCAACCTCCGCCTCCCAAGTTCAAGCGATTCCAAAGGGAGTAATTAATAGCAACCGAGGTGTTTGTTAATGCTGCTTGTTGCATAATGGAATGAGTGCTGGATTTTGAGTAAGAAGCCGCAAATTCAAGTGCTAGTGCTACCTCGAGCAAACCACTAGTCTCTAAGAATGGGGGCAAGAACTTTATCACTGATTATGGAGCACCTAGGATAGTTCCTTGCACAAAGCAGGCTTTAAATAAAGATTCCCCTGGCTGGGCACAGTGGCTCACATCTGTAATCCTAGCACTTTGGGAGGCCAAGGCGGGTGGATCACTTGAGCTCAAGAGTTCGAGACCAGCCTGGCCAACATGGCAAAACCCTGTCTCTACTAAAATTACAAAAATTAGCCGGCGTGGTAGCACGTGCCTGTAGTTCCAGCTACCTGGAAAGCTGAGGCATGAGAATCAATTCAGCCCAGGAGGTAGAGGTTGCAGTGAGCCGAGATCACACCACTGCACTCCAGCCTGGGCGACAGGGCAAGACTCCGTCTAAAAAATAATAAATAAATAAATATTCCCTGAGCGCATGAAGGAAGGAACAAGCTTTGCCTAAGCTTTGATTCCCTTGGAATAATACCGAATTGGTAAGGGTAGGCCAGGTCGTGATTCCCAAAGTGTTATACTGGCACTAGCAGCAGCAGCAGCACCCAGGAACTTGCTAGAAATGTAATTTATTGGACTCCACCCCAAACCTGCTGAATCAGGAACTGTAGAGAAGGGGTTCAGCATTCTCTGTGCTATAGGCTGAAGGTCCCCTTCCCCTCAATCCATATGTTGAAACCTAATCCCCAATGTGATAGTATTTGGAGGTGGGGTCTCTGGAGGTGACTAGGTCAGAGGATGGAGCTCTCATGAAGAGGCTTTTCTTTCTTTCTTTCTTTCTTTGAGACAAAGTCTACCTCTGTCGCCCCAGGCTGGAGTGCAGTGGCACAGTCTTGGCTCCCTGCAGCCCCCGCCTACCTAGTTCAAGCGATTCTCCCTCCTCAGCCTTCCAAGTAGCTGGAACTACAGGCGCCCACCACCACGCCCGGCTAATTTTTTTTTTTTTTTTTTTTTTTTTTGTATTTTTAGTAAGGACGGGGTTTCACCATGTTGACCACGCTGGTCTCCAACTCCTGACCTCAAGTGATCCACCCATCTCAGCCTACCAAAGTGCTGGGATTACAGGCGTGAGCCACTGTGCCCAGCCTAGGATTAGTGCCCTTAGAAAAGAGACTCCCTGGCCGGGTGCAGTGGCTCATGCCTGTAATCCCAGCACTTTGGGAGGCCCAGGCAGGAGGATCACTTGAGGTCAGGAGTTCCAGACCAGCCTGGCCAACTTGGTGAAACCCCGTCTCTACTAAAAATACAAAAATTAGCCAGGGGTGGGGGTGGGGAGGGGTGGCACGAGCCTGTAATCCCAGCTACTTGGGAGGCTGAGGCAGAAGAATCACTTGAATCTGGGAGGTGGAGGTTGCAGTGAGCCAAGATCGCACCATTGCGCTCCAGCCTGGGGACACCTGGGGACAAGAGTGAGACTTTGTCAAAAAAAAAAAAAAAAGAAAGAAAAGAAAAGAAGAGAAGAGAGGGGAGCGGAGGGGAGCGGAGGGGAGGGGAGGGGAGGGGAGCAAACCCCACAGAGCTCCCTTGCCCCTTCCACCGTCTGAGGATGCAGTGAGAAGATGGCTGTCTATGAACCAGGAAGTCTTGTTCACTGCCTGTAGAATGCCATCTTCCTAAGAGAAGGGACCTTATATGTCTCCTTTATCCCTGGAACCTAATCCCCTAGAACAATGCCCGAAGCATACATCTGCACCCTATAAATGTACATTGAATGAAGGGCTCGGGGCTCTGCTTCTCTTTTGAGGTATTGACACTGTGCTCTGTGGGAGGAAAATACCTTCTTTATAAACTAAAGATAACAATTTCTGCAGCAGCCACATTTTCACATGAAATCAATAGATCCAGAAATGAAGTGCATCTGGCAGCCATGTGGCGAGGAAGTGCCATTTTTAACAAAGGACTTACAGGGTCACTGTTTCAGCTGATACGCTTTGCAACCTCGCTGCAGATGCCTAGCAAAATATTGTACAAATGGCCAAATTATTTTTGCACATTACTACGTTGGAACTATGCACAATGTCCTCATAGTCATGTGTAGATGTGCTTTCAGGAAGAAAATAACATTTATTGTAAGTTTTTAGAATTTCTAATTTCAGAAGAATCACGAGCTCATTGCAGAAAATTTGGAAAATAGAGACAAGCACAAAAGGAAACACCAATCTTGCGAACAGTGAAATATTTTGATGCGTGTACTTTCCAGCCTATTTCTATGAATGCCTTAAAAATGAATTTGTATCATATAAAATGTTTCAGAGTAGAATTTTTCACTTAGTGGCATATCATGGATATTATTATTTGTTTAATATTGTTCTATAAAATGTTTATATATTATAATCTAGTTAAATACTTTTAAATTATATAAAAATATCATGGTAAAAAATATTACATAACAGAAGAGCAGGAAGGAAAAAGAAACTTCGTAACACTTCTATCACTAAAGGTTTCTTGCATTGTACATCTTTCCAGAATATTCTAGGCTTTTATATACACAAAGGGAATCACACAATACTATTGTTCAACTTATTATTTAATGTTACAACACATCGTAAATATCTATGGCTGTATGGTGTTCTGTTATGTAAGTATGCAATATATTTTATTATTATTATTATTGTTTTTTATAAATAGAGACAGGCTCTTGCTTTGTTGCCAATCTGGACCTGAACTGAGCTCAAGTGATCCTCCTGCCTCAGCCTTCCAAACTGCTGGAATTACAGGATATGAACCACCATGCCTGGAAACTTGATGAAAAATTCATATTTCTTAATTCTTTGATATTACATACAGTGATGAAATGTTTGCACTCTCACTCTATCTCTATATATACACACATATATTAAACATATATATATGTAACTTGTAAAATGCTTACAACAGTGCCCACATATAGTAACGTGCTGTGTGTGTGTGTGTGTGTTTCTTCATATATATTTGTAGGTAATATATATATGGAGATGATCAATTGGGCAATATTGGCTGGGCATGGTGGCTCGCACCTGTAATCCCAGCACTTTGGGAGACCGAGGCAGGCAGATCAGTTGAGGTCAGGAGTTCAAGACCAGCCTGGCCAACATGGTGAAACTCCATCTCTACTAAAAATACAAAAATTAGCCAGGCCTGGTGGTGGCACTACACACCTGTAGTGCCAGCTACTCAGGAGGCTGAGGCAGGAGAATTGCTTGAACCTGGGAGATGGAGGTTGCAGTGAGCCGAGATCGCACCACTGCACTCCAGCCTCGGTAACAGAGTGAGACTCCATCTCAAAAAAAAAAAAACAAAAACTGGCACTATCTACCAAAATTTAAATTGCATATCTCCTTTGACTTAATTATGAATACTTTGCAAATCTACAGATTTTTAGGTACAAAATTAATAAGTTGATAAAATGCAAATTTAATAATATATTTTTAATTTTGTTAGATACTGCCAAATTGCCCTCCCAAAGCGGGTGCCAGCTTTCACTTTCACCGAGAGTATGACAGTGCCTATTTCTCTACTGTTTTGTCAACACTGGGTAGTATAAATTTTTTTAAATATTCATTAATCTAAAAGGTGAAAAGTTATATTCTATGGTATCTCCCTAATTTTTTTTTTGAGCCACTGCCCCTAGCCTTCATCTCTCTAATTGTTAGTGAGCTTGATTATGTTTTTATTTTATTTTATTTTTAATTTTTGGAGATGGAGTCTCACTCTGTCACCCAGGCTGCTGTGCAATGGCATGTTCTCGGCTCACTGCAAGCTCCGCCTCCTGGGTTCAAGCGATTCTCCTGCCTTAGCCTCCCGAGTAGCTGGGATTACAGGCGCCTGCCACCACACCAGTTAATTTTTGTATTTTTAGTAGAGAAGGGATTTCACCATGTTGGTCAGGCTGGTTTCGAACTCCTGACCTCAAGTGATCCTCCCGCCTTGGCCTCCCAAAGTGCTGGGATTATAGGCATGAGCCACCGCATCCGGCCTCCAAATTCTACTTCTGGTGGTGAGAACTTAACCTATTCTCCTTAAATTGGGTCTATGTTAACAAAGTGGGCAACAAACAAGTAATGAATTTGTCCATGAGTTCAACTTGTATAATAAAAACGTTGAAAGGGAGCAAAGATAACAGGTGAAAGCAAGAGACTGTGTCACCCAAAATACTATCCTGAATGCCCAGCTGCCTAGAGTTTTATCAGCACGCCATTTCGTGTTGTATAACCTAACGTCAGACACTATCCTTCACTATGGCACTTGCAGCCTTGAGCAGCTCCCTTAAATTTCTGTGCCTTGTTTTTCTTTCATGAACTGGGCAGGAGAAGAGGTATATTATTTCACAAGGGGGCTGTGCAAAGCAGTCCATGCACATCAGGCCCTGCAGAAAGGCTCAGAGCCATCTGCCCTCCTGATTAACATGAAGTCACTGAATGTTAAGTCGCAGACTCCAGCTCTGCCAACACTCAAGACAATCTCAAGACCTTAATAATCATCGTGCCTAGCACAGAATAGAAATGCGTGACTTGACTGGCTATGCAGTTTCCTACTGATAGCAGTAAAAATAAGAATGAGTTCTCCTCCTTCCCAATAAAAAAGCAACATATGAGATCAGGTTCCAGAGAGAAAACTGCCTATTAACTCCAGTAAACATTCTACTCCATTGTTCAGGTACTGTTTAACCAGTTTTAGAATTTCCTAAACCAGTAGTTCTCAAACGTGATTGCAAACTAGAATCACCTAGGGAAGTTTTTAAAAATGTACATGCCGGCTGGGTGTGGTGGCTCCTGCCTATGATCCCAGCACTTTGGGAGGTCGAGGCGGGTGTATCGCCTAAGCTCAGGAGTTCGAGACTAGCCTGACCAACATGGTGAAACCCCATCTCTACTAAAAACACAAAAATTGGCCAGACGTGGTGGCGCACACCTGTGATCCTAGCTACTTAAGAGGTTGAGGCATGAGAATCGCTTGAACCTGGGAGGCAGAGGTTGCAGTGAGCCAAGATCATGCCATTGCACTCCAGCCTGGGCAATGAGAGCAAATCTCCGTCTCAAACAGACAAACAAACAAAAAAATACATACATGCCAGCTGGGTGCGGTGGCTCCCACCTATGATCCCAGCACTTTGGGAGGCCGAGGGGGGAGTATCACCTGAGCTCAGGAGTTTGAGACCAGCCTGGGCAACATGGCGAAACCCCATCTCTACCAAAAATACAACACAGGTGTGCACCTGTGGTCCCAGCTACTAGGGAGGCTGAGGTGGGAGGATCACTTGAGGCTGGAAGGGAGAGGTTGCAGCGAGCCAAGATCATTGCCACTGCACTCCAACCTGGGTGACAGACTGAGACCATGTCTCAAAAAAAAAAATTGTAAATGCCTAAGCCGCACTCACAGGATTCTACTTTAAGTGGTTTGAATGGGGTCTAGTAATCTGTATTTTTAAAAACTCTCTAGGTAGTTCTAATGTGAAAACTTTAATGTGCATTCAAATCCTTTGGAGGAATTTTAATGCGAGGCTCTGGTTCCCACCCAGAGAGTCGAATTTGGTGGGTTTGGGGTAGGAGCCCTGGAATACACATTTTAAACGACCAGTCCAAATAATTCTCACGCCCTCTTCTTCTGTTACTTTAAGGTTTTGTTTTTTGTTTTTTTAACGTACCGAGTCATAGTTGCAACAGAGAGGAAAAGGAGTTGACATTTGAATCCATTAGTTTTGCAGACATGCCAAAACACATTGAGGGAGCTAGGTGAAGCTATTGACTATGAAGAGGATGGGACGATTGCACTTACCCGTGCTCTCAACCTAGCAGGACACACACACAAATGGACACACACACGCTTCTACATGAATGACTACATTCACCCAGTATGTTTGTACTGATGATTGTTAAAATGCAGGAATACTTCCATACCAACTAATAAATAGCTGCTACTTTTTTTTTTTTTTTTTTTTTTTGTGACAGAGTTTTGCTCTTGTTGTCCAGGCTGGAGTGCCATGGCGCGATCTCAGCTCACCACAACCTCCTCCTCCCGGGTTCAAGTGATTCTCCTGCCTCAGCCTCCTGAGTAGCTGAGATTACAGACATGCGCCACCACGCCCAGCTAATTTTGTATTTTTAGTAGAGACGGGGTTTCTCCATGTTGGTCAGGCTGGATTCAAACTCCCGACCTCTGATCTGGCCGCCTCGGCCTCCCAAAGTGCTGGGATTACAGGCATGAGCCACTGCACCCGGCCAATAGCTGCTACTTTCAAGACCTTATTCCTCCCTATCCACTTCCATGCCAGGACTACTCAGTCCCCCCGTGGAAGGACTCTCCCCACAAACCAGGCACAAGAGTATCTCAATCTTCTAAGTTCTCATGGGTCTGGTCAATGAGCCACACTGTTGTTAAATATTTTAAATAGCCCTTGAGGCTGGGCGCGGTGGCTCATGCCTGTAATCCCAGCGCTTTGGGAGGGTGAAGCAGGCGGGTCACTTGAGGCCGGGAGCTCGAGACCAGCCTGGCCAACAAGGAAAAACCCTGTCTCTACTAAAAATACAAAAATTAGCTGGGTGTGGTGGCTTGCGCCTATAGTTCCAGCTATTTGGGAGGCTAAGGTTGCAGTGACCCAAGATCACTGCATTCCAGCCTGGGTGACAGAGCGAGACTCCATCTCCAAATAAATAAATAAATAAATACCCCTTGGCCAGGTGTGGTGGCTCATGCCTGCAATTCTAGTACTTAGGGAGGCTGAGGTGGGAGGATAGCTTGATCCCAGGATTTGAAGACCAGCCTGGGCAACATAGTGAGACCCTATCTCTACAAAAAATATCGTTTTTAATTTGCTGGGAGTGGTGGCACACACCTGTAGTCCCAGCTACTCAGGAGGCTGAGGCAGGAGGATCTCTTGAACCCAGGAGTTGGAGGCTTCAGTGAGTCATGATTGTGCCACTGCACTCCAGCCTGGGTGACAGAGTGAGATTTCATCTCAAAAAAAAAAAAGAAAGAAAGAAAACATATCCCACCCACTGCTCTCTGTAACAAATTTTTCATGCTGGATGTTTGCACACAGCAGTATGAAAATATAGAGAAGAGAATGATTAATTCTACCTGGAGGGGTCAAAGAAGGATTTGAAAAGTAAGTAGCCTTAAAGTAAACCCCCAAAAGATAAGCGGCTCTGACTAGGCAGGGAAAATAAAGGCATTTTAGACATGGAGAATGAGCAAAGATAGAGGGGGGTAAACAGTGGGGACGAGGTAGTGGGTAGTATGATGTCATTACAGTGTGGGACAAGAAAAAGGTCTAAAAGGTGGATTGCAGCCAGGTCTGCAAGAAAATTGAATGTCACATTATATTTAGCCAGTATTACACTGTTTCTCAACGTATGGTCCAAGAATGACCTAACAAAGAATTACCTGATGCTGGCTTAAAAGGCAGATTCCAGGCTGGGCCTGGTGGCTCACATCTGTAACTCCAGCACTTTGGGAGGCCACGGTGGGAGAATCACTTGAGCCCAGAAGTTTGAGACCAGCCTGGGCAACATAGTGAGACCTCATCTCTACTAAAAATAAAAAATTAGCCAGGAGTGGTGGTGCCTGCCTGTGATTCCAGCTACTCAGGAGGCTGAGGCAGGAGGATTGCTTGAGCCCAGGAGTTCAAGGTTACATTAAGCCACGATTGCACCACAGCACTCCAGACTGGATTGCAGATCTCTCCATCTGATAGTAAATGAGGAAAGCCCATCTCTGCAGTGGGACCCAGAAATCTGTATTTTTTTTTTTTTTTTTTTTGAGGCAAGGTCTCACTCTCTTGCTCAGGCTGGAGAGCAGTGGCAAGATCACGGCTCACTGCAGCCTCAACCTCCCAGGCTCAAGAAATCCTCCCACCTCAGCCTCCCAAGGAGCTGGGATTACAGGCGCACCCCACAATGCCTGGCTAATTTTTGTATTTTTTGTAGAGACAGGATCTCATTGTGTTGCCCAGGCTAGTCTCAAATTCCTAGGCTGAAGTGACCTACCCACCCTGAGTGCTGGGATTACAGGCATGAGCCACCGTGCCTGGCACAAAAATGTTTTGCTTTTGAAAGCAGAAAAAAAACAAATAAACAGAAGAAGAATGAATCCAGTCTGGATTACAACGCAGTCATAAAATATTATTAAAAAAATTTTTTTGATATTGAGTCTTGCTCTGTTGCCCAGGCTAGAGTGCAGTGGTGCAATCTTGGCTCACTGAAGCCTCTGCCTTCTGGGTTCAAGGGATTCTCCTGCCTCAGCCTCCTGAGTAGCTGGGATTACAGGCACCCGCCACCATACCTGGCTAATTTTTGTATTTTTAGTAGAGACGGGGTTTCACTATGTTGGCTAGGCTGGTCTCAAACTCCTGGTCTCAAGTGATCTGCCCGCCTCAGCCTCCCAAAGTGCTGGGATTATAGGGATGAGCCACCCCACCTGGCTTATTTATTTTTATTTTTATTTAAAACAATAGGGACAGGGTCTCACTATGCTGCCCAGGCTGGTCTTGAACTCCTGGGGTCAAGTGATCCTCCTGCCTTGGCCTCTCAAAGTGCTGGGATTACAGGCGTGAGTCACCTCGTCTGGCCAAAATATAATTTTTA
This sequence comes from Homo sapiens, assembly GCF_000001405.40. NCBI lineage: Eukaryota > Metazoa > Chordata > Mammalia > Primates > Hominidae > Homo > Homo sapiens. The sequence continues at coordinate 119,934,458 of NC_000012.12, forward strand.
GTATCTTTTACAGAAGATGGGTTCATACAGGCAACAAAAGTGCTTCAGGCCCACAAAAGTCATAATGTGGCCTTGAGTCCACCCAAAGAGAGACGAATCAAAGCGTAGCTCAAAGAACTCTTGAGCTTCGCAGGTTTTTTTCGCATTTTCTATGTGTGAATTCCCTTTGGCAACCCTGTGAAGCTGAAGGACTCTTCTCAGAATAACGGGTTTTTTTGTGTGTTTTTGTTTTTGTTTTTGTTTTTGTTTTTTTGAGACGGAGTCTCACTCTGCCACCCAGGCTGGAGTGCAGTGGTGCGATCTCAGCTCACTGCAACCTCCGTGATATGGTTTGGCTGTGTCCCCAACCAAATCTCAACTTGAATTATATCTCCCAGAATTTCCACGTGTTGTGGGAGAGACCCAGGAGGAGGTAATTGAATCGTGGGGGCTGGTCTTTCCCCTGCTATTCTCGTGATAGTGACTAAGTCTCACAAGATCCGATGAGTTTATCAGGGGCTTCTGCTTTTGCTTCTTCCTCATTTTTCACTTGTCACTGCCACGTAAGAAGTACCTTTTGCCTCCCGCCATGATTCTGAGGCCTCCCCAGCCATGGGGAACTGTAAGTCCCATTAAACCTCTTTTTCTTCCCAGTTTCGGGTATGTCTTTATCAGCAGCATGAAAACAGACTAATACACTCCACCTCCGGGTTCAATCGAGCCTGCTGCCTCAGCCTCCGAGTAGCTGGGATTACAGGTACACGCCATGACGCCCAGCTAATTTTTTGTATTTTTTTTAGAGATGGGGTTTCACCCTGTTGGCCAGGCTGTTCTTAAACTCTTGATCTCAGATGATCAGCCCACCTCGCCCTCCCAAAGTGCTAGGATTACAGGCGTGTGCCACCGCACCCACTCCTGGTCAGAATAACAGCTTTAAATGCCAAAAAGAAAACACACAGGGTTACAAAGGAACCAATTATATTGAAATACAAGTTATCAAAATACTTTACAAAACCAACTTGGGATATAGCAACATGGTTTTTATATTGCTATAAACAATTGCTATAAACACATTTTATAGCAATATGTGTCTCTATTAACAAACTAAATAATAAGATCTAGCAGCAAGTCTAAAAACTGCCATGATTTTAAAGTAGCTATGAGCATTAATTTTGAGACATCAGCAGCAGCTGTACATGTAGTGTACAAATATCTGTGACTTCTACGGGTGACAAAATCACAGGCACTGCCAGGAGTTCCAGACCAGCCCTGGCAACATGGTGAGACCCCTGACTCTACAAAAAGTTAAAACATTAGTTGGGTGTGGTAGTGTGTGCTTGTGATCTGAGCTACTTGGGAGGCTGAGGTGGGAGGATCACTTGAGCCCGGGAGGTGGAGGCTGCAGTGACCTGTGATCACACCACTGCGCTTCAGCCTGGGCAACAGAGAAAGACCCTGTGTCAAAAAAAAAAAAAAAAAAAAAATCACAGGCGTGGTTTGTTGTCTGCATTCACAATGGAAGGAGAAATGCTGTCTTTCAGTTAGAATTGTGAAAATAGAGAAGTGATTTTCCCACGTTTTTGGATGTCTGAATTTTTTTTATTTTTTTTATTTTTTTGAGATGGAGTCTTGCTCTGTCACCCAGGCTGGAGTGCAGTGGCGCAATCTTGGCTCACTGCAAACTCCAGATGGTCTCGATCTCCTGACCTCGTGATCCGCCCGCCTCGGCCTCCAAAAGTGTTGGGATTACAGGGGTGAGCCACCGCGTCCGGCTCTGGATGTCTGAGTTCTACCCACTGTCCCCTTTTGGGGGTTCATGGATCTGAATTAGGAACTTCTAGTTTAATGAGTGTTGGAGATGAGGTGACAGAGAGTGATCAGAGGAATAGGGACAGATCCAAGAAAAACGTGACCAAACATGCAAATGTTTCATAAGAGATGCCCTGAAGTGTTAAGACAAAGGGAGTGCACGGAGGGGCAACCATTGTCCCGACTAAACTATCAGCCCCTTAAGGACAGGGATTGTGTCCTGTGTATTCCATGGACTGGGGTTGTAGATTCATAAGGACTCTATGAAATTAATGCAACCCATCACCACATTTATTTATAGACTGAATAAATGTTGCCTCCTGCACACCCACATAAGACTTTTTTCTTTTTCTTTCTTTCTTTTTTTTTTTTTTTTTTTTTTGAGAAAGGATCTCACTCTGTTGCCCAGCATGGAGTACAGCAGCATGATCACAGCTCACTGCAAACTCAAACTCCTGGGCATGAATGATCTTCCCACCTCAGCCTCCCGAGTAGTTGGGACTACAAGACCATGTCATCACACCTGGCTAATTTTTTATTTTTAGTAGAGACAAGGTCTTGCTATGTTGCCCAGGCTGGTCTCCAACTCCTAGGCTCAAGCAGTCCTCTAGCCTTGGCCTCCCAAAGTATGATTGCATGCATGAGCCACTGCACCCAGCCAAGAATTTTTCAAAGTGTGTGGATGATGTTATAATAAATAAAACAGGAATCTGAAGAGTCCTTAAATCATGGTAGCTTTTAGTCATGTATTTTCTCAACCAGAGTGCTCTAAAATTACATGGAAACCATTGGACCTTCAAGTACCCTGTTCCCTCAGCCTAGAGGGCTTAGCCCACTCCCTCCCCTTCCTTCTTTGCCAACTCTTACTCATACTTGAGTCTCACCTTAAACATCACTTTCCCAGAGAGGCCTGTCTTGACTCTTTCCAAAAATTAGGTCACCCCATTACACATCACCATGGTCCTGGTCCCCTCCCCATCCTAGCCTACATCACATGTGTAATTAATTACTTCTCTAATATTTGTCTTCCCTTTTTCCATGAGGATTAAGACTGTGTCTGTATTCCCAAGTCAGGAATAAATATTTGCAGAATAGACGATGGGTGGATGGAAGGCCCACTTGGGACAGGCACTTAAGGTGTAAGTAATCTGTTTAAATATTTTCATTCTTTCCCATCACCTCATCCATTTTCACTCATTTTGCTTGAAACATGTTTTGTGAATTTCTCAGGTTTAATCCCCATTGCCAGAACACATTAACTTCAGGCTCCGAACACAAAGATTGTTGTCACTTTCAATTTGCCCCTCAGTGCATTTTAAAGAAATCATTCCCATGGTAGAAATTGGGAGAAAGAAAAAAAAACACACATGAGTGGGTTTGAGGTAGGAAAGTGTTGAGGAGGAGGGGAGGAGTGAGCGATGGGGAATCAATTTGATAGCAATCAGGGAGGGGCCAGGCATGGTGGCTCATGCCTGTAATTCCAGCCCTTTGGGAGGCCGAGGCAAGAAAATCACTTGAGCCCAGGAGTTTGTGACCAGCCTGAGCAACATAGGGAGACCACCTCTCTACAAAAAATTTATGGCCGGGTGCAGTGGCTTACGCCTGTAATCCCAGTACTTTGGGAGGCCAAGGCGGGTGGATCTCTCGAGGTCAGGAGTTCGAGGCCAGCCTGGCCAACATGGTGAAAACCCATCCCTACTACAAATACAAAATAGCCGGGCGTGGTGGCACACACCTGTAATCCCAGCTACTCGGGAGGCTGAGGCAGGAGAATTGCTTGAGCCCAGGAGGCGGAGGTTGCAGTGAGCCCAGATCGTGCCACTGTACTCCGGCCTGGGCCACAGAGCGAGACTGTATCTCAAAAACAAACAAACAAACAACAACAACAACAACAAAAATGCAAAGAAAAGAAATCAACCATTTTCTTCCCCCTTTCAAACCCCATAGCCTAACCAGAGGGAACTTCTGAGGGGAAACTTGCTCTTTGCTGCCATCTGGTGGCTGTTACTGGAGCAGTTCTCACAGGAAAAACTTCTATCCAACAATTATGTGGCACCTACTGGGTTCAAAGTTCTGTACCAGGCAACTTATAAATACTTTCTTACATTTTTATATTCCTTTACCAATAATGAGGCATTTTCTTTTTTTGAGATGGAGTCTCGCTCTGTCACCCAGGCTGGAATGCAGTAGCCCGATCCTGGCTCACTGCAACCTTCACCTCCTGGATTCAAGCGATTCCCCTGTCGCAGCCTCCCAAGTAACTGGGATTACACCTGTAATCCCAACACTTTGGGAGGCTGATGCGGGCGGATCACTTGAGGCCAGGAGTTCAAGACAAGCCTGGCTAACATGGCAAAACCCCATTTCTACTAAAAATACAAAAGTTAGATGGGCATGATGGTGCATGCATGCAATCCCAGTTACTCAGGAGGCTGAGGCAGAAGAATCACTGGAACCCGAGAGGCAGAGGTTGCAGTGAGGTGAGGTCGCACCACTGCACTCCAGCCTGGGTGACAGAGTGAGACTCTGTCTGAAAAAAAAAAAAAAAAAAGAGCTGGGCATGGTGGTGCACACCTATAATCCCAGCTACTTAGGAGACTGAGGCATAAGAATTGCTTGAACCCAGGAGTTGGAGGTTGCAGTGAGCCGAGATTGCACCATTGCACTCCAGCCTGGGCGACGGAGAGAGATTCTGCCAAAAAAAAAAAAAAGTCTGCAGTCATTGCCATTGTCCCCTGGGGAGGCAAAATCCTCAGTTGAGAACCACCAGTATAGATCAATGACAGCTTATAATTCAAGGATGCCCACCACCATCTGTTTGTGGGAGTATATATTGGCACAAATCTTGGACGGGTGATTTTGAAAGTAGGCTTTGGAAAGCAATCATTAAAATATTCAAAATATTTGCATTGGAGGAATGGGAGAGAATTTATTATTTATAGTCCTAGAAGTGTAATAGATTCATTAGGAATAAAGGTTTGATGATATATAAGACTGTAGTTTCCCCAAGTGATAGACACAGATGTGATGGCTGCCAGCTGCCAACAGTCCTCGAAGTAGCTTCGTACATGAGAAACTGGATAATTCATTTGAGGTGTGGGCATCAGTCTCACCTGGCTTAGACTGCAGTGATTGGTTCAAAGATGAGCCTATCAGAGTGCTTCTCTAGAGTTCTTCTAGTTTAACCTGAGGGGTCAGGTTAACTGACTGAGGGGCCAGGGTCAGAGAAAAGGGTATCTTTTCTCCCTGGTCACAAGGCTGTAAGTATGGAAGCCCAGCATCAAAGAGCCATGCCCCCACCTAAGAAAGAAGTTGTTCTAAGGAAAATGAAACCAGTATACAGACAGCAGGATGGGTAAGTGGCACAGAAAATCCTTGTGATGTTCAAGTCTGGAGTTTGGCCATCTGTGGCTAGCTCCAACCGGGACATTCCCATAGTTTCCTCTTGTGAGCCAATAAATACCCCCCCTCCTCTTTTTGTTAATAGACAGGGTCTCACTCTGTCACCCAGGATGGAGTGAAGTGGCACGATCATGGCTCACTGCAGCCCCAAACTCATGGGCTCAAGTGATCCTCCCACCTTATCTTCCTTAGTGGCTAGGATTGCAGGTGCATGCCACCATGCCTAGCTAATTAAAAAAAAATTTTGTAGAGGTGGGGTCTTGCTACGTTGCCCAGGTTGGTCTCAAACTCCTCCAGCAATCCTCCCCCTCGGCCTCCCAAAGTGCTGGGATCACAGGCATGAGCCACTGCACCTGGCCCCAATTCTCACTTTTTATTCAAGCTAATGTATATTGGATTTCTGTATCTTGCAACTGTAGGGTTCTGACTAACACATCTTTTTTTTTTTTTTTTTTTTTTTGAGACGGCGTCTTGCTCTGCCGCTAGGCTGGAGTACAGTGGTGCGATCTTGGCTCACTGCAATCTCTGCCTCCCGGGTTCAAGCAATTCTCCTGCCTCAACCTCCAGAGTAGCTGGGACTACAGGCACGCGCCACCACGCCCAGCTAATTTTTGTATTTTTAGTAGAGACGGGGTTTCACCATGTTGGCCAGGATGGTCTCGATCTCTTCACCTTGTGATCCACCTGCCTCTGTCTCCCAAAGTGCTGGGATTACAGCCGTGAGCCACTGCGCTCGGCCGCTGACTAACACATCTTGACAAAGATGTAGAGAATTTATGTAATGACCAGGAGCACTGGTAAAATTTTGACTTGTAAATGTCTTGAGGAGAGAATCCCTGTGCAAACTAGATGGATCCAATTCCCCTGCGAGCCTACTGTGTAAATCCTGGTGTGACGCTTGCAAACTCAGTAGATGCAGCTGCCTCGTGGCCACCACACCGCCTCCATTCCTTTAAGGTTTTATACTTCCCCAGGCTTTCACAATCATTATCTCATTTGCCTTCTGCCACATCCCAACCAGACAGAGAAGGAGATTTTACCATCCCCATTTCCAGGTGAGAAAATGAAGACACCATGAGGCTAGACGATTTTTTTCATGTAATTCAAGGATTTGAGAAGAGATCAGCTGTTCTCAAATTCGATCGGTCATGACCTGTGCCATGAGTGATCTGATGGTAATGGTTAAAGTACCATTAGCTGGAGGATGATTCATATATTTTTAAATAATACATTATCCCTATACCAACCTAATTCTTGCCAGCATTTAATATGCTTTCCCTACCGGGAGAAAAAGGAGCAGAGTTACAGCTGGCATATTAAGACTTCCCCTGGGAGTGTTATGCATATGAATGCCTGACCATGTGCAGCGTAACAGAAAACAAGGTGGAGAGTCCATGGAATAGCCAGTTCCAAAAGCTGCTTCCAGCTCTACAATGGGATGATTCACCCAAAGTAAACAATGAGTTGATGGCATTCAAATCAAAACTAACCACTTTTCCTTGTCCATGTATCTGACCAAGGATCACTCACTTCAAACAGTTGTAGGATGATTATAAAATGTGTCATCGGGGCCGGACTCAGTGGCTCACGCCTGTAATCCCACCACTTTGGGAGGCTGAGGCAGATGGATCACCTGAGGTCAGGAGTTCAAGACCAGCCTGGCCAACATGGTGAAACCCCGTCTCTACTAAAAATAGAAAAATTAGCCAGGAGTGGTGGCAGGTCCCTGTAATCCCAACTACTTGGGAGGCTGAGGCAGGAGAATTGCTTGAACCCAGGAGGCAGAGGTTGCCGTCAGCCGAGATTGCCCCACTGCACTCCAGGCTGGGCAACAAGAGCAAAAACTCTGTCTAAAAAAAAAAAAACAGTGTCATCCATCGACACCTGTGGAAAGAAAGGGGGAAAAAAATGTGTCATCCAGACCAGGATACTTTTTTTTTTTTTTTTTTGAGACAGCATCTTGCTATGTTGCCCAGGCTGGAGTGCAGTGGTATGATCTTGGCTTACTGCAGCCTCGATCCCCTGGGCTCAAGCAATCCTCCTGCCTCAGCCTCCCAAGTAGCTGGGACCATAGGCGTGCACCACCATGCCTGGCTAATTTTTTTGTATTTTTTGTAGGGATAGGGTTTTACCATGTTGCCCGTGCTAGTCTTGAACTCCTGAGCTCAAGCAATCCGCCCACCTCAGCGTCCCAAAGTGATAGGATGACAGGCATGAGCCACCGTGCCCAGCCAAACCAGGATACTCTTAAGACAAAAGGGAACATCTAGGGAATGGAACACCAAGGCCACATATTAAACAGGAATTGTGTTGAGAAAAAACAGGACTTAAGTTACCCTAAGTCTATGCAACTCAGGAAAAGTAAATTTACAAAACCAGAAACCAACAGCCCTGCCCCTAGGAACATGATTCTGAAGGCAAGTTGGATATGTCTTGGTTTTAGCTCCCCCAGAAGCAGATCCTGAGACAAGGATTTGGGTTAGTTTATTTGGGAAGTGAAGGAAGCACCTTGTAGGGGAGTAGGAAAATAAGATAAGGAAAGAAAGGCAGCCAATAAGAGTGTGGCTCATGCCTGTAGTCCCAGCACTTTGGTAGGCCGAGTCGGGCAGATCACCTGAGGTCAGGAGTTCAAGACCAGCCTGACCAACATAGAGAAACACTGTCTCTACTAAAAATAAAAAAAATTAGCCGGGTGTGGTGGCACATGCCTGTAATCCCAGCTACTCAGGAGGCTAAGGCAGGAGAATCACTTGAACCCGGGAGGCAGAGGTTGCGGTGAGCTGAGATCGCACCATTGCACTCCAACCTGGGCAACAAGAGCGAAACTCTGTCTCAAAAAAGTGTGTTATCAAGCTAGCTGTTACTGTGGGCAACTGCCACGTGATCCCTGTGCTGGCCACAGAGCTGGGCCACCCACATGCCCCCTCAAGGGAGGACTTGCTGTCCAGGGACTGCAGGGAGTGCAGTCAGTAGACAGACTGCAGCTGTCACCTCCTTCAAGGTCAGCCTCAGCTGTACAGCCCTGCCCAGCCCAAGGCCATGCCCTTCCCGAGGTAGCCTGCATCTGTTGACTGGGCAAGGAAAGTCTGTTTTGTTTTGTTCTGTTCTGTTTTGTTTTGTTTTGTTTCGTTTTTTGAGATGGAGTCTCGCTCTGTCACCCAGGCTAGAGTGCAGTGGTGCGATCTCGGCTCACTGCAACCTCCGCATGCCAGATACAAGCAATTCTCCTATCTCAGCCTCCGAGTAGCTGGGATTACAGGCACTCACCACCACGTGCGGCTAATTTTGTATTTTTAGTAGAGACAGGGTTTCGCCCATGTTGGCCAGGCTGGTCTCGAACTCCTCACCTCAAGTGATCCAACCACCTTGGCCTTCCAAAGTGCTGGGATTACAGGTGTGAGCCACCACACCCAGCCAGGAAAGTCATTTATAAAGGTCGCCCATTCCACCTGACTTGGAACATTTTGACAGGCAGTGTCAAAGTGTTGCTCTGGAGCTCCCCTCTGGGTTAGCCAAAGCTTTGTCAAGCCTGCACTGTGGCTGGATATTTCTCTCTGCCCAATCCTGCTTCTTCTCATTTTTTTCATAGGGACTGATTCCTTTATTTACTTATTTATTTTTGAGATCGGGAGTGCAGTGGTGGGATCTCAACTCACTGCAGCCTTGATCTGCCAGGCTCAGGTGATCCTCCCACTTCTGCCTCCCAAGTAGCTGGGACTACAGGTGCACACCAGCATGCCTGGCTAATTTTTGTATTTTTTGCAGAGACAGGGTCTCACCATGTTGCCCAGACTGCTCTTGAACTCCTGGACTCAAGAGATCCACCCCCCAACATGGAGAAACCCCGTCTCTATTAAAAATACAAAATTAGCCGGGCAGGGTGGTGCATACCTGTAATCCCAGCTACTCGGGAGGCTGAGGCAGGATAATCACTTGAACCGGGGAGGTGGAGGGTGCGGTGAGCAGAGATTGCGCCACTGCACTCCAGCCTGGGCAACAAGAGCGAAACTTCATCTCAAAAAAAAAAAAGGTCCGCCCCATTCGGGCTCCCCAAGTCCTGGGATTACAGGTGTGAGCCACTGCACCTGGCTGATTGATTCCTAATGAGGATTTTGTACCCCAAACTCCATGTAAGCATCTGCTTCTAGAGAACCTAGCCCCAAACCATGCCTATGGGGAAACAGGGAGTTAAATAGAACATGTTCCTCAGAGATTCATGGGATGTAAAGCAATCCCTCAATTTCTAGCATATGAGATTCCTGGGGAGCTCACTTTCCAGCATTGCTGGTAATTCTTTGCTCAATAGGGGTGTTATTAAGAACAATTTGCCAGGACATCTATAAGCAAAGATTAGGCTCATAAACAGACTGCCTCTGAATTGCCATTGGGTGTTCTTAGATGCTCATAGCCTGCTGGGTATACATTTTAAAGCACCATCTCTAGCTCTATCTTTAGTCCCTACCCCTCAGCTTGTGCTCATGAAATTAAGTACATCCACATGATAGTAATTTCAAGGGCAACCTTGACCTTGCAAAAAATGCAATTCCGGCCAGGCACAGTGGCTCATGCTTATAGTCCCAGCACTTTGGGAGGCCAAGGCAGGTGAATCATCTGAGCTAAGGAGTTTGAGACCAGCCTGGGCAACACAGAGAGACCTTGTCTTGACACACACACAAAAAAAATCGGTGTGGTGGCACATGCCTGTTGTCCCAGCTACACAGGAGGCTGAGGTGGGAGGATCATTTGAGCCCAGGAGGTTAAGGCTGCAGTGAGCTGTGATCATGCCACTACCCTTCAGCTTGGGTGATAGAGTGAAACCCCGTATCAAACAAACAAAAACGCAAAACAATTCCAGTATGTTGATGGATTTCTAATTGGTGGTCTAAGGGAGGCCTTACTGTATGTATGATATGGTCTGGCTCTGTCCCCACCCACATATCATCTTGAATTGTAGCTCCCATAGTCCCCATGTGACGTGGGAGGGACCCAGTGAGAAGTAATTGAATAATGGGGCCGGGTTTTTCCCATGCTGTTCTCATGATAGTGAATAAGTCTCATGAGATCTGATAGTTTTATTATTTTTATTTATGTATTGATTGACTGATTGATACAGGGTCTCACTCTGTCGCCCAGGCTGGAGTGCAGTAGCGCAATCTTAGCTCGCTGCAACCTCCACCTCCCAGGCTCAAGCGATTCTCGTGCCTCAACCTCCCGAGTAGCTGGGATGACAGGCATGTGCCACCATACCCCGCAAATTTTTTGTATTTTTAGTAGAGATGGGGTTTTGCCATGTTGCCCAGGCTGGTCTCGAACTCCTGAGCTCAGGCAATCTGCCCACCTTGGCCTCCCAAAGTGCTAGGATTACAGGTGTGAGCCACTGCACCCAGCCAATCTGATGGGTTTATAAAGGGCAGTTGCCCTGCACACACTCTCTTGCCGACCATCATATAAGACATGCCTTTGCTCCTCCTTCGCTTTCTGCCATGATTGTGAGGCCTCCCCAGCCATGTGGAACTGTGAGTCCATTAAACCTCTTTTTCTTTACAAATTACCCAGTCATGGGCATTTCTTCACAGCAGTATGAAAATGGGCTAATACAATGTAGGTCCTATAAGTCTCATTAATTCATTCAACACAAATTTTCTGGACACCTATACTATGTGGTAAACACTGTTCTAGGCACCGGGTTTAAGAAGTCAGAGGCCAGAGAGGACTGTGCCTCTGCATCTGTGTCTGGTCACAGAGTCAGTTTATAAACCATTATGTGTATCTTTGTGCTGCCTATTATTTTACAGAACAATAGTCAAATGCTTTCGATGTGCTCAACACAATGCTAGGCACAGATGAATAAGGGTCTGTTCCAAGAAGACACAGAATGGGAGAAATGGTCAAAAATAAAGGTAAAATGTTACTCCTCACTAGTATTTATTTACTTATACCCTGTTGTGTTCCAGAAAAGATTTAAGGCAGCTTACAAGGATACATAAAACATAGCTAGACAGCATAAATTATACATAAGAGAAGGAAGAAGAAAAACAAAACAAGAGTGAGGATTGAAATGGGGCCAGAGATGAGACTAACACAGGGATAAATATGATCAGTTCCTCTGTGCTCATAGCCTGGTGCAATCACAGGTGTGGTGGATGTTATTGGGGCCCTGCCCAGAGACCCTCAACACTCATTTCTAAATGCCAAAGAATGTTCCTCGTGACTCTCTGAATGAAGGCTTTGTTCTGGTTGTGGACGCACACCTGGTCTGCAAGCAGGATAGCCTAGAAGTCCCAGAAAGTTCAAGTCCCTAGAAATAGCCCTCACCCAGTGAGGGATGGGAGTTGTTAGATAAATACCCCAGCTCCTGGCCAGGCGCAGTGGCTCATACCTGTAATCCCAGCACTTTGGGAGGCCAAGGTGGGTGGATCACTTGAGATCAGGAGTTTGAGACCAGCCTGACCAACATGGTGAAACCCCGTCTCTACTAAAATTACAAAAATTAGCCGGGCATGGTGGTGCACGCCTTTAATCCCAGCTACTCAGGAGGCTGAGGCGGGAGAATTGCTTGAACCCAGGAGGCGGAGGTTGCAGTGAGCTGAGATCGTGCCATTGCACTCCGGCCTGGGCGACAGAGCCAGACTCTGTCTCAAAAAACTAAAAAAAAAAAAAAAAAACCAGTTCCATATTTATCCTCCATTGAGATAACCCTGAGGCATGTTCTATACAGTCTTCCAGGGCTCCCCAGTGAGACCGAGCTCCTGCTGCCCACAGTGGTAACCCGCTTGGTAACAGACCTTTTATTGGCTGACTTCCTTTCTCTGTCTCCATTTTTCTGTCCCCACACTGTTGTTTCCTGGGATCACCTCCCAAATAAACAGCCTGTAATTGAATTATTGTCTCAGCAAGGATTCTTGGGGAGCCCAACCCAAGACAATGCACTATGCCTTCATCTGCTATTTAATGTAGAACTCCAGGCTCCTGCAAAGTTTGTTCCCTGTCAGAATTTCCAGGAATGCCCAGGAGAGGATCACACACAGAAACGAGTCTTGTCGGTCTCAGGTTTGTGGGTTTTTCCTCCTTTCCTCCTGTTCTGGATGCACTGATATTAACCAGGCATGCTGCTATTTTTGCTGGGTGTTTTTTGGTTTGGTTGTTTTGTTTTGTTTTGTTTGTTTTTTATTTTCTTGAGACAGAGTCTCACTCTGTCACCCAGGCTGGAGTGCTGTGGTGCAATCTCGTCTCACTGCAACCTCCACTTCCCAGGTTCAAGTGATTCTCCTGCCTCAGCTTCCAGAGTAGCTGGGATTACCGGCATCTGCCACCATGCACTGCTAATTTTTGTATTTTTAGTAGAGATGGTGTTTCACTAGGGTGGCCTCGAGCTCCTGATCTCAAGTGATCTGCCCACCTCAGCCTCCCATAGTGCTGGGATTACAGGTGTGAGCCACCATGCCCGGCCTATTTCTGCTGGTTTTGACTATCTCAGTTGATTTCCACTTTATCCAAAGAACATCTGCACCTCGTACCATTGGGTACCATCTTTGCTATCAGGCACTGTTGGCTTTTATTGGGTACTAACTGGCCCAAGATGCCAAAGCTATATGACGTTCAATGGTGATGTTCAGTAGAGGGTACCCACACTGTGTTCTGCCATGTGGACAAGATGCCAGAACAACATTGCTTGGGGGCCAAAATGTAGTTTTCATTAAGCAATCCTGTTTTCATTAAATAACCCCTAATGTTCCTTTAATTTTTACTTACAGCCATAATCACATAAAACTCAAGCATGGGTTAGGCAATAAGGAATGGTCCTGATAATTAATCTGAGTGATAGCTACCCCACTGTCCTCAAAAATCACTCATTCAAACTTAGCCAGATAAGTCTTGGTGGTTTTTTTGGTTTGTTTGTTGTTTGTTTGTTTAAGACAGACTCTCGCTCTGTTGCCCAGGCTGGAGTGCAATGGCATGATCTCAGCTCACTGCAACCTCTGCCTTCTGGGTTCAAGCCATTCTCTTGTCTCAGCCTCCCGAGTAGCTGGGACTATAGGCACATGCCACTACACCCAGCTAATTTTTGTATTTTTAGTAGAGACGGGGTTTCATCATGTTGGCAGGCTGGTCTCGAACTCCTGACCTCAGGCGTGAGCCACCACACCCAGCCTAGGTTTTGTAATTTAAAATGGAAATCATTTACAATATGCTAAGCCTAGGATGCCAGATACAAAATGCCACATATTGTGTGATTTCATTTATGTGAAATATCCAGAATAGGTAAATCCATAGAGACAAAATATAGATTGGTGGTTGCCAGGGGCTGGGAGGAGAGGAGAATGGGGAGCAACTGTTTAGTGAGTATGGGGTTTTCTTCAGGGGTGATAAAAATGTTTTGGAACTAGACAAAGGTGGTGGTTGCATGACATTGTGAACGTACTAAATGTCATAAAGTTGTTCATTTTAAAATGGCTCATTTTGTGGCCAGGTGTATTGGCTCACGCCTGTAATCCCAACATTATGGGAGGCCAAGAACGGCAGATCACTTGAGGTCAGGAGTTTGAGACCAGCCTGGCCAACATGGCAAAACCCCTTCTCTACTAAAAATACAAAAATTAGCTGGGTATGGTGGCACGTGCCTGTAATCCCAGCTATTTGGGAGGCTGAGGCACGAGCATTGCTTGAACCTGGGAGACAGAGGTTGCAGTGAGCCATGATTGCACTACTGCACTCCAGCCTGGGTGACAGAGTGAGACTGTCTCAGAAAGTTAATAAAATAATAAAATAAAATAAAATAAAATAAAACAAAATAAATAAAATAATAAAAAATGGTTTGTTTTGGGCCAGGCATGTGCCTTAGGCCTATAATCCCGCACTTTGGGAGCCTGAGGTGGGAAGATCTCTGGAGCCCAGGAGTTCAAGACCAGCCTGAGAAACTTAGTAAGACCCTCTCTCTACAAAAAAAAATTCCAAAATTAGCCTGGCCATGATGGCGCATGCCTGTAGTCCCAGCTACTCAGGAGGCTGAGGCCAGAGGATCACTTGAGCCTGGGACGTCAAGGCTGTAGTAAGCCTTGATCCGCCACTGCAGTCCAGCCTGGGAGACAGAGCGAGACCCCGTCTCTAAAAAAATATGAAAAATAGGCCGGATGTGGTGGCTTGGTGGTTCACGCCTATAATCCCAGCACTTTGGGAGGCTGAGGTGGGCAGGTCACCTGAGGCCAGGAGTTCGAGGCCAGCCTGGCCAACATGTTGAAACCCCGTCTCTACTAAACATACAAAAATTAGACAGGCATGGTGGCGGGTGCCTGTAATCCCAGCTACTCAGGAGGCTGAGGTGGGAGAATTGCTTGAACCCAGGAGGTGGATGTTGCAGTGAACAGAGATCACGCCACTGCACTCCAGCCTGGGGGCAACAAAGTGAGACTCCTTCTCAAAATATATATATATATATAAAATTAAAATTAATAAAATTTGAATAAAATTCCAACCTCAGTTTCTCAGTCACAGTGTAGCCACAATCCACGTGCTCAATAGCACTAGGCTATGGCATTACAGGACATGTGACTTGACTATTCCTATGCAACTCGTATAGCTTTTTAAATCATTTATTTCTGTTTTGACTTCCCAGCACTTGCCAAAAGCTTTCAAGGTGAAGTGTCCCAGTTTATTTAAGCACCACCTGGCAGCCGCTGAAGTGTCACGTTTCTATTTCACAGGAGCTAGCCATGAATCTGATTGCTACTGTTCCACATGATTAGCACGTTTGGGGTGACAGATTGTTGGGTTTGTCACACTTCGGAGCAGGTTGTGATTCTGTAATCGTTTTTTCTGAAGGGAATGAAGCATCAAGAAGCTACTGGTCTGGACCGGGTACAGTGGCTCACGCCTATAATCCCGGCACTTTGGGAGGCCAAGGTGGAAGGATCACTGGAGCCCAGGGGTTCAAGACCAGGCTGGGCAACATAGGGAGACTCCATCTCACCAAAAAAATTAGCCAGGCGTGGTGGTACACGCCTGTAGTCCCAGCTACTCAGGAGGCTGAGGTGGGAGAATCACTTGAGCCCAGGAGGTTGAGACCAGCCTGGGAAACATGGTGAGACCTTGTCTCTACAAAAAAAAAAAAAAAGAAGCCAGTGGTCTGTGTCTCAAGAAGCGACATATCATGTTTCCCTGCAGCCCTCGCCTCTAGAGAGTTGCAGAATAAGAGAAGAGGAATGAGCTCATACAGAGGGACCATGCTGGTAGTAAGACATATAAAAAGAGCAGTTAAAATGATTAGGGATGTCAAATCTTAAGAACCCCAAGGATAATTCATTAGACTCTGAAGTATCTGATGAGCTCACCTGGTCCATCCTGGATGAATAAGAGCAATTTGCCCTTTTCTCTCAACTCCCAAGAGATAAAGATCCACACCAGCCCTTGTTTTCTCATTGCACTGAATCGTACCTCTCAGGTGTCAAGAAGTGTTTCTCTAAGTCTTATCAGAAGCTCTCCTATTAGCTGATCTTTCAAACCTGTCTGCTAACTTGGATATCATTTAATGATGGCTGCTCCCTGAATGTCAGGACCTTTTACCTGGAAATAACTCTTTAGTATTTTCGCATTTTTGATGCTTCTACATCTCAATATAATTATCCAATTTTTGGCTGGGCGCGGTGGCTCATGCCTGTAATCTCAGCATTTTGGGAGGCCAAGGAGGTGGGTGGATTACCTGAGACCAGCCTGACCAACATGGAGAAACCCTGTCTTTACTAAAACTACAAAAATTAGCTGGGCATGGTGGCGGGCACCTGTAATCCCAGCTACTCGGGAGGCTGAGGCAGGTGAATTGCTTGAACCCAGGAGTCAGAGGTGGCGATGAGCTGAGATCACGCCATTGCACTCCAGCCTGGGCAACAAAAGCGAAACTCCATCTCAAAAAAAAAAAAAAGGAAAAAAAAAGAATTATCCAGTTTGTAAATTGCCTGACTATTTCTCCTCGTTTGTCTTTCTTGCTTGCCCTTTACATTTTTTCCGCTCTCGCTCTACTTTATCATTTTTATTTTTATTTTTGAGATGGAGTCTCACTCTGTCGCCCAGGCTGGAGTGCAGTGGTGCAATCTCAGCTCACTGCAACCTCCACCTCCAGGGTTCAAGTGATTCTCCTGCCTCAGCCTCCCGAGTAGCTGGGATTACAGGCACACGCCACCACACCTGGCTAATTTTTGTATTTTTAGTAGAGACGGTTTCCCCATGTTGGCCAGGCTGGTCTCAAACTCCTGACCTCAAGAGATCCGCCCACCTTGGCTTCCCAAAGTGCTGGGACTACAGGCATGAGCCACTGTGCCGGGCTGTCTCCTTTATCAGATTGGAGAGAAGAGTAAAATAAAATTTCCATTGGCCACTTTTTTCTTGGCCAGCCCAATAGTACAAATGTATTCAAATTATGCCTTTCTGGTCAGGAGCAGTGGCTCACACCTGTAATCCTAGCATTTTGGGAGGACAAGGCGGGTGGATTGCATGAGCTCAGAGTTCAAGATCAGCCTGGGCAACATGGCAAAACCCCATCTTTACTAAAAAATATAAAAATTAGGCGGATGTGGTGGCACATACCTGTAATCACTCGAACCCAGGAGGCCGAGGTTGCAGTGAGTCAAGAAAGCGCCACTGCACTCCAGCCTGAGTGATAGAGTGAGACAGTGTCTCAAAAAAAAAAAAAATCTGCCTTTCTAATATTGAGGCGAGAGCTATCAGCATAAATCTATACCTCTCTTGCTTATTCATAACATAGGCCTTGGATAGTTTCTTTAAAAACAAGAACAACAATAAAATACAAACCATGGTAGCACATTCAATCCTGTTGCTGATGAAAGTGATGGCTTTTATAGATGCCTCAGAAGAAATAACACATATTCCCAAAAGAGTTGCTGTCATTTATGCCTCTTTCAAGGTTAAACTTGGCTGTGTGCAATGTTTTGTTTGCAAGTTTTTGATTGCAAGTAATGGGAATGTCCTATGGCTAGCATAAGGAAAGAAAGGGAGGAGAAAGGAAGGGAAGGGGAGGGGAGGGAAGGGGAGGGGAGGAGAGAGGAATAGGAAGGGGAAGGAAGAAGGGAGGGAAGGGGAGGGGAGGGAAGGGGAGGGGAGGAGAGAGGAATAGGAAGGGGAAGGAAGAAAGGGAGGAGAAAGGAAGGGAAGGGGAGGGGAGGGAAGGGGAGGGGAGGAGAGAGGAATAGGAAGGGGAAGGAAGAAGGGAGGGAAGGGGAGGGGAGGGAAGAGGAGGGGAGGAGAGAGGAATAGGAAGGGGAAGGAAGAAGGGAGGGAAGGGGAGGGGAGGGAAGAGGAGGGGAGGAGAGAGGAATAGGAAGGGGAAGGAAGAAGGGAGGGAAGGGAAGGAGGAAGTTAATGAAAGGATGTTGGAGGCATTTTATGGAAGCAAAGGAAGAGGTGGATAACTAAACCATCCTAGAAAAGGAAGAAACCATGCCAGGCGCAGTGGCTCATACCTGTAATCCTAGCATTTTGGGAGGCCGAGACGGGCAGATCATCTGATGTCAGGGGTTCGAGACCAGCCTGGCCAACATAGTGAAACCCCGTGTCTACTAAAAATACAAAATTAGCCAGGCATGGTGGCACGCACCTGTTATCCCAGCTACTGAGGAGGCTGAGGCAGGAGAGTCACTTGAACCTGGGAGGCAGAGGTTGCATAAGCCAAGATCACACCACTGCACTTCAGCCTAGGCGACAGAGCGAGACTCCATCTCAAAAAAAATAATTAGCCAGGCATGGTGGCAGGTGCCTGTAATCCCGGCTACTCGGAAGGCTGAGGTAGGAGAATCTCTTGAACCTGGGAGGCAGAGGTTGCGGTGAACACAGATCATCCCACTGCACTCCAGCCTGGATGAATCCAGAGTGAAACTCTGCCTCAAAAAAAAATAATAATAATAAAATAAATAGGCCGGGTGTGGTGGCTCACGCCTGTAATCCCAGCACTTTGGGAGGCCAAGGTGGGCAGATCACAAGGTCAGGAGTTCAAGACCAGCCTGACCAACATGGTGAAATTTTGTATTTTGTAAAAATACAAAAATTAGGCTGGGCGCGGTGGCTCACGCCTGTAATCCCAGCACTTTGGGGAGGCCGAGGTGGGTGGATCACAAGGTCAGGAGATCGAGACCATCCTGGCTAACATGGCAAAACCCCATTTCTACTAAAAATACAAAAAAAATTAGCCAGGAGTGGTGGCAGGCGCCTGTAGTCCCAGCTACTCGGGAGGCTGAGGTGGGAGAATGGCATGAACCCGGGAGGCAGAGCTTGCAGTGAGCTGAGATCGCGCCATTGCACTCCAGCCTGGGTGACAGAGCGAGACTCCGTCTCAAAAAAACAAACAAGCAAAAAAAAATTAGCCAGGCATGGTGGCGCATGCCTGTAATCCCAGCTACGCAGGAGACTGAGGCAGGAGAATCGCTTAAACCCGAGAGGCGGAGGTTGCAGTGAACCGAGATGGTGCCACTGCACTCTAGCCTCAGCGACAGAGTGAGACTCCATCTCAATAATAATAATAATAAATAAAGTCATCAGTTCCACTCCCATGATAACCCATTAACCCATTAATTTATTAATCCATGAAAGGATTAATCTGACCCAAGAATCTCTTAAAGACTCTCAATACTGCCACTTTGGGGATTCAATTTCAACATGAGTTTTGAAGAGAAAAAATATTCAAACCATAAAAGCAGCCTAATCTCCTTGAACCCTATCTATGGACTAGCACATAAAAAAGAGAAATTTTTAACTTGTTTAAGCCCCTGTATTTTGGAGTCTGTTTGTTACAGTAGCTTATCTATGAAATAATAGAGCTGGGATTGCTGTGTTGGATCTGAAGGGCCTTATGGTTCCTGCCCAGGATGTAGTCATTCAGAAACCCAGCAGGATTCAGGTTTGATACACTGAGGGAGGCTGAATTGCACACTTTTACCTGAGTTCCCATGAGGACTGGCAGCCTTTTGAAATCCCTGCCTTCCTTATTTCCATTAATATCCTTACAGTAATAGGAGACCATCTGTTTCTTGGCACCAAAAACTTCTAAAACAAACTCTCCCCTTACATCCTGCACTTCTCATTTAGATGCATCCTTTCTGTCTTCTCTGCTAAACAGTGAGCTCCAGGAAGAAAAGGATCATCATTTATCCTTCCATGCTGTGTCTTTAGAACCTAGTGTGGTGCCCAGCACATAGAAGGTATCCCAACAAATAGGGGATGGAGGGAGGGAGGGAAGGATGAGTGGATGGATGAATAAATGGAAAAAAAGAAAATAATAAAACTAGCTGTAGCTTATAGGAGGGAAGCCTTCATGGAACTTCTCTCTCCAGGCTCTGAATTCCTACTGTCCTGACTTTCTCTGTGTCACTGTCACGTATGACTGAGCCACGTCCCCATTTTCACCTCCACTCTGGAGGCATACTTCAACAGAAGTGTTAGGTCACAGAGGTATGTCTTTAGGACCTTTCTTTTTAGTGGCTCTACAATCTTACAACCCTCTTTCTAAGCATCTAGAGGCCTAATACTATAGAGCTTTCCTTTATCATACTCAAATAATTATTTTTCTCGGACCTACTTTGCTAGCCTGATTAGAAAACAGAGCCTGAGACAAGATTGAAGTGCTAACACTTTATTTAGCAGTTGAAAGCCTATAGAGGTGAGAATGAGGAAGAAAAGAGGAAAGAGGTGAGGTGAAATACAAATCAATGTGATGTGTTGGCCAGGCACGGTGGCTCATGCCTATAGTCCCAGGACTTTGGGAGGCCGAGGCCGAGGGATCACTTCAGGTCAGGAGTTTGAAACTAGCCTGACCAACAGGGTGAAACCCTGTCTCTACTAATAACACAAAAATTAGCGGGGTGTGGTGGCATGTGCCTGTAATCCCAGCTACTCAGGAGTCTGAGGCAGGAAAAAAGCTTGAACCCAGGAGGCAGAGGTTGCAGTGAGCCAAGATTGCGCCACTGCACTCCAGCCTGGGAGACAGAGGTAGACTCTGTCTCAAAAAAATAAATAAATAAAAAAATAAAAAAAATGATGTGTTTCCAAAACTTTCCCTGTGAACTTTATAAAATTAATCAAGGGACCAGATGGAGTGGCTCACACCTATAATCCCAGCACTTTGGGAGGTCAAGACAGAATTGCTTGAGCCCAAGAGTTCAAAACCAGCCTGGGCAACATACGGAGACTCCATCTCTACAACAAATAAAAAAATTAGTTGAGCATGGTGGCTCACACCTGTAGTCCCAGCTACTTGGGAAGCTGAGGTGGGAGGATCACTTGAGCCTGGGAGGTCAAGGCTGCAGTAAGCCATGATGGTGCACTACAGCCTGGGTAACGGAGGGGGACCCTGTTCCAAAAAAAAGATTTAATCAGGCTGGGCACAGTGGCTCACACCTGTAATCCCAAAACTTTCGGAGGCTGAGGTGGGTGGATCACGAGGTCAGGAGATCGAGACCATCCTGGCTAACATAGCGAAACCCCATCTCTACTAAAAATACGAAAAAAAATTAGCTGGGCGAGGTGATGGGCACCTGTAGTCCCAGCTACGCGGGAGGCTGAGGCAGAAGAATGGCGTGAACCCGGGAGGCGGAGCTTGCAGTGAGCCGAGATTCCTCCACTGCACTCCAGCCTGGGCAACAGAGCGAGACTCTGTCTCAATTAAAAAAAAAAAAAAGATTTATTCAGGGAGAGAGAAGGAGAGATGAAAATAAACCAAGTTTGCAGCACACTCAGCACTAATCATTAGGTAGCTTGGTCTCTGACCTGCTTCCTCATAGCTGTTTGTCTCCTATTGTCCTAGAATCGTATATACCCAGTTAAAAGATTATAGTTCCCAGCTGGGCACGGTGACTCATGCCTGTAATCCCAGCACTTTAGGAGGCCGAGGTGGGTGGATTACCTGAGGTCAGGATTTTGAGACCAGCCTGGCCAACATGGTGAAATCCCGTCTCCACTAAAAATAAAAAAATTAGCCAGGAGTGGTGGTGCACACCTGTAATCCCAGCTACTCGGGAGGCTGAGGCAGGAGAATTACTTGAGCCTGGGAGGCAGAGGTTGCAATGAGCCAAGATCGTGCCACTGCACTCCAGCCTGGCCAACAGAGCGAGACTCTGTCTCAAAACAAACAAAAAAAATTATAGTTCCCCTTAACTGCTCTACAGGTAACAACTTGAACATGATGAAATGTTAAGTTTTCCCTTTGAGATATTCTTTCAGGTTCTGCATACCAGTGAAATTACTAACATCAGCTGTACTGAAGGACCCCAATGGAACTGAGTCACAAAAGAATTCAGTTTCCATGTACTGATGATTTTATCCCCCTTACCCTGATCAATGACCCCAAATTCCATGATCCCCTTAAAAACCCCAGCCCAGAACTCCTTGAGGAGATGGATTTGACTGTCTCCTTTCATCTCCTTCCTTGGCTGCCCTGCAACCATTACACTCTTTCTCTGCTGCAAGCCCTACTGTCTCAGTGTAATTAGTATGTTACTGTACATCAGGCACATGAGCCTGTTGGTCGTATAATATTGCCGTACTGGCCACCAATCCCAATCCTGCACAGCAGGTTACTCACCAGCCTTGTTTGCTTGGTGCATAGTCTTTTCCAGAGAGACCACGAGGAGGAGCCACATCTAGGAACAGATCCTCACAAGTGAGAAAGGAGAAGGAATGTATTTGCTTAGCTCTCTCCTATCTTCCATTTCTCAGTGGCCAAGATTCATCCCTGGGGAAACTAACTCCCCTATACTCTTTGGTTGTGTAACCTAGCACCTTGCAGCCATCCAGGCTGGCAAATTCCAATGGCGTGGCATTACAAATCCAGAAGTAGAGAGGTAATTCAGTGTGGATAGGGTGCTGACTAGTAGAGAAGAAAGAAGATAATCGACGGAATCTGGGAAGAGTTCTTTCTTTTTTTCTTTTTTTTTTTTTGACAGAGTCTCGCCCTTGTTGGCCAGGCTGGAGTGCACTGGTGCGATCTCAGCTCACTGCAAACTCTGCCTCCCGGGTTCAAGTGATTCTCCTGCCTCAGCCTCCTGAGTTGCTGGGATTACAGGCATGCGCCACCATGCCCAGCTAATTTTGTATTTTTAGTAGAGACAGGGTTTCTCCATGTTGGTCAGGCTAGTCTCGAACTCCTGATCTCAGGTGATTTGCCCACCTTAGCCTCCCAAAGTGCTGGGATTACAGGCATAAGCCACTGCACCCAGGGAAGAATATTCTGAATTATCCAGGTGGGCCCAATCTAATCACATTCGTCCCTAAAATCAGAGAATCTTTCCCAGCTGTGTTCAGAGACAGACATGACAACAGAAGGGCCAGAGTGATGCTTCATTGCTGGCTTTGCAGATGGAGAAGGGGCCACTAGCCAAGGGATGGGGGCAGCCTTTGGAAGCTGGAAAAGGCAAGGAAACGGATTCTCCACTAGAGCCTCCAAAAAGAAATACAGCCCTAGTGGCACCTTGATTTTAGTCCAGTGAAATCCATGTTGAACTTCTGGACTATAGAACTAGAAGAAAATTAATGTGCATTGTTTTAAGCCATTAAGTTATGATAATTTGTTATAGCACCAAGAGGAAATTGATACACAGTCTCTACTGCTATAGCTAGTTCTAGGGCCACAATTGTAACCACTCAATGGGTTCATTTTACCTTCTGCCCAAATAGAGCCAATTTATCAATACAGGGGAATTGCAATAGAGAAAGAGTTTAATTCGCACAGAGCCAGCTGAATGAGAGACTAGAGTTTTACTACTCAAATCAATCTCTCCAAAGATTTGGGGGTTGACTTTTCAAGGATAGTTTGGTTGGCCAGGGAATGGATACTACTGATTAGTTGGGGATGCAATCATAGGGGTGTGGAAAATGGTCCTTGTGCATGCTGAGTCCACTTCTGGGTGCGGCCGCATGACCCATTGGCAGGTCTGGGTGGAACCATTTGTTGCCAGAAATGCAAAAACCTGAAAAGACATCTCAAAAGGACAATCTTAGGTTCTACAATAGTGAGGTTATCTGCAGGAGTCATTGGGGAAGTGGCAAATCTTGTGACCTCTGGAATAATGGCCAGCAATCATTTACACCTAGATCTTAGCAGAAGTCAGGCTCCCCTCATGCGCCTATTCTAGCGGTCTTTCATTAGCTTTACAAAGTGGTTTAGTTTGAGAGAAGGGCAATTGCCATGTAAACAATAAACTAAATGTCTCCCAAAGTTAGCTTGACCCAATCCCAGGAATGATTAAGGTCAGTTCAGAGGTTAAAGGCAAGATGGGGGTTGGTTAGATCAGATCTCTTTCACTGTCACAATTTTCTCACTGCTATAATTTTTGCAAAAGTGTTTCATAATTGAAATTTATCATCTCTGTCTTCCATGACCCAGTTGGGGTTACCCAGACATTCATCCCCAAGGAGTATAGGTGTTTAGGAACCCTTGCGAGCTCACAGTTGTTGTAACTGCCCATTAACAGTCATCCCAAGCATGAAAATATCAAATGATACACTAGTGAATCTTCTGGGTTCCAGACATTTTGTCTCCTGCCCCTGTTGTGAAGCAGCTACCTTAATTCCCCAGAACAATCAGAAATGATTATCCCAGGCAGTGCAGTAACTCCCTTCTCTGCTTGTCACTTCAATAATACGAGGAACTCAAACTAAGTACTATATAGTCGCAGCATCCAATTCAATGGAATGCTTACTGTGTCCCCAGGCCTAAGAGTTCTTCCAGAAATTAGAAACTCTTATCCTACAGAGCCCAAGGTTACAGGGATGAGAAGCACAAAATCTGCAAGTGGGTCACTGGGTGCAATTGTGAGAAAGGTCAGCCCCTGTTTCCCAACCCCAATATACTAACTAGAGAGGCATAGTATAGTATATTACTTGTTAGCTCAAGGAATAAGCCACATCCTTCAAGATAGCCCATAGCTGGGTGCATTGGCTCACGCCTGTAATCCCAACACGTTGGGAAGCCAAGGCAGGGAGATCACTTGAGGCCAGGAGTTTGAGACCAGGTTGGCTAACATGGTGAAACCCCGTCTTTACTAAAAATACAAAAATCAGCCGGGTGTGGTGGCGCACGCCTGCAATCCCAGCTACTCAGGAGGCTTAGGCATGAGAATCGTTTGAGGCCGGGAGGCAGAAGTTGCAGTAAGCCAAGATCCCACCACTGTACTCTAGCCTGGGTGACAGAGTGAGACTCTGTGTCAAAAAAAAAAGATAGCACCTATCCTGCAAGATATACTTCTCCAGCACATTAATTGGGCCTTCAACAGATGCTATTAAATGTAGATTTTATTATTATGCAAATACGGTGAGGCCAATATAGGAGGCAATTGACATTGAAAAGATAGTGTCTCACTAGGCCCAAGAGGAGGGGGCACACCAGGCCATACATGGCCACATGGCCACATAGGGGAAGCACCAGTGTCAGAGGCATTTGAACCAGAGTGACTCAATCTTTTTTTTTTTTTTTGAGACAGTCTCACTCTGTCACCCAGGCTGGAGTGCAGTGGCACAATCTCGGCTCATTGCAACCTCCACCTCCCCGGGTTCAAGCGATTCTCCTGCCTCAGGTTCCCAAGTACCTGGGACTACAGGCGAGCACCACCACGCTCAGCTAATTTTTGTATTTTTAGTAGACACGGGGTTTCTCCATGTTGGTCAGGCTGGTCTCGAACTCCTGACCTCAGGTGATCTGCCCACCTCAGCTTCCCAAAGTGCTGGGGTTATAGGCGTGAGCCACTGTGCCCCACCTGGGAACAGGACTTCTAAAAGGCAAATATGTCTGGAAGGCTGTGGTCCTAAGGCCATTTTTGCTGGCTATAAGCAGGGTCTCTGGAACCAAAGGGAGCACACAGCTCTCCTTAAAATTGAAGATGTTTATGCCCAAGATGAAACTGAATTCTGTTTGGGCAAGAGGTCTGCTTATTTATACAAAGCAAAGAATAACACAGTGACTCCTGGTGGCAAACCGAACCAAACCAGAGTAATCTGGGGAAAGGTAACTCAGACCTATGGAAACAGTGGCGTGGTTTGTGCCAAATTCCAAAGCAAACTTCCTGCTAAAGCCACTAGACATGGAATCCATGTGATGCTGTACCCTTCAAATATTTAAACTAATGAAAACTAAATAAATAAAAGTGGATTTGTGCTCTTGTAAAAAAAAAAAAATCAGAAACATACAGTTAATACAATAGGCCATCCCATTATTCTATCAGACCAGTTATTTCTGAGTGATAGGTACATGGTTAAGACTAGTGAAGCCCATGGCCATAGGCCCCTTATCACATCACACCACACTTTCTTTGCTGTAAAAGGGGTCTCTTGGTTCCCAAGATTGTGTGTGATAGTGATATGGTTTGGCTGTGTTCCCACCCAAATCTCACCTTGAATTATAATAATCCCCAAGTGTCAAGGGTGGGGGCAGGTGGAAATAATTGAATCATGAGGGCAGTTTCCCCCACACTGTTCTCATGGTAGTAAGTCTCATGAGATATGATGGTTTTGTTTGTTTTTATTTTCATTTTTATTTTTTGAGACAGAGTTTTGCTCTTGTTGCCCAGGCTGGAGTGCAATGGCACAATCTCGGCTCACCACAACCTCTGCCTCCTGGGTTCAAGCAATTCTCCTGCCTCAGCCTCCCAAGTAGCTGGGATTAGAGGCATGTGCCACCAGGCCTGGCCGGCTAATTTTTTTTGTATTTTTTGTAGAGATGGGGTTTCTCCATATTGGTCAGGCTGGTCTCGAACTCCCGTCTTCAGGTGATCCACCTGCTTCAGCCTCCCAAAGTGCTGGGATTCCAGGCATGAGCCACTGCACCCGGCCTTTTTTTTTTTTTTTGAGACAGAGTCTTGCTCTATTGTCCAGTCTGGAGTGCAGTGGTGAGATCTCGGCTCACTGCAACCTCCACCTCCCAGGTTCAAGTGATTCTCCTGCCTCAGCCTCCTGAGTAGCTGGGATTACAGGCATGCACCACCATGCCTGGCTAATTGTGTATTTTTAGTAGAGACAGGGTTTCTCCATGTTGACCAGGCTAATCTGGAACTCCTGACCTCAGGTGATCCGTCCACCTTGGCCTCCCAAAGTGCTGTGATTACAGGCATAAGCCACCGCGCCTGGCTGATCTGATGGTTTTATAAACGGGAGTTCCCCTGCACATTTTCTCTGTTGCCTGCCACCATGTAAGACGTGACTTTGCTCCTCCTTTGCCTTCCATCATGATTGTGAAGCCTCCCCAGCCATGTGGAACTGTGAGTCCATTAAACCTCTTTCCTTTATAAATCACCCAATCTTGGGTATGTTTTTATTAGCAGCGTGAGAACAGACTAATACAGATAGTATGCCACTATATGACATCTGCAGTCCACCAGATGCTGGTGCTAGTAGAGACACTTGGAAAGGGGAGGCAAACCTGCTTAAAGGATACATTTAAAGCTTAAAAGGATAAATTTCTAATTCTCCAAGGGGAGAGGGGTCAGACAGATGTCCTGGACCTACCACCTGGTGGCCATGCTGATCTCTCTGAAGATTGGTACCATATTGAGCCCTCCTGCCAGCAGCTGGATACTTAGCAACGGCAAACCTAGAGCATCCTTGGTGGACCCATGTTGTTGGATCCACACATGGTCTCCATCCCTCCCGTCATGGCCACTATGTTCATGGCCCCACACTGCAAGCTGTGAGGGCGTCAGGCAGCCAGACGCATTGAAGATATAATGTCTTATTCTTTTTGTTTAACCAGCATATGGCCTTTTACATAGTGGTTACTCAATAAATATTTTTGAATTTGATTTATTTATGCAACATTTATTGAACTCCTACAATGTGATAGACAATGAGATAGGTTAAGAATACCAACTTGCTTTGGAGGCCAAGGCGGGTGGATTGCCTGAGCTCAGGAGTTCGAGACCAGCCTGGGCAACATGGTGAAACCCTGTCTCTAGTAAAATACAAAAAATTAGCCGGGTGCGGCAGCATGTGCCTGTAATCTCAGCTACTCCGGAGGCTGAGGCAGGACAGTTGCTAAAACCTGGGAGGCAGAGGTTGCAGTGAGCCAAGATCATACCACTGTACTCCAGCCTGGGTGACAGAGTGAGACTCTGTCTCAAAAAAAAAAAAAAAAAAAAAAAAGAATATCAACTTGGCTTCCTCAGATAGTAATGCAAAACAAAATAAAACAAAACCAAAAAAAAAAAAAAACCAACTAAAGTATCTGTCCTGTGTTGCAGGTTGGGGTCTCAGGACACAGACAATCAGAAGGAGTTTGGGGGGCAAGGTGTTTAAAGAATGGAAAAAGTCAGTCTGCAATGCAAGCCTAACAGAGTATTGGTCAACCCAGCAGGAAGCTCCTGGGCCAAGATAGCCATCTCTCTCTCTCTCTCTCTCTCTCTCTTTTTTTTTTTAAACTTTTTTTGTTTTTCTGAGACAGGGTTTCACTCTGTTGCCCAAGCTGGCATGCAGTGGCACGATCACAGATCACTGCAGCCTTGAACTCTGGGGTTCAAGCAATCCTCCCACCTCAGCCTCTTGAGTAGCTAGGACTAAGGCGTGCACCTCCACACTCGGCTAATTTTTAAAACTTTTTGTAGTGACAGGATATCATTATGTTGCCCAGGCTGGTTCTGAACTCCTGGGCTCAAGCAATCTTCCCACCTTGGCCTCCCAAAGTGCTGGGATTACAGGCATGAGCCACTGTGCACAGCCTAGCCATCTCTTTATATGCCCTCATCCTTCAGCCCAGATGCAGGCTGCCCTAGGAAGGGTCTGACCTTAAGTGAGTCTGACTCTAAAGGAGCTGCCAGCTGGAGGCCATCTCCTGACCACACTCCCCACAGCGGGGTGGCAAGTTCCTCCTTAAAGGATTTGAGTAGCCCATGTCTGCGTCTACCAGAGTCCACCTCTTGCTGTGCACAGATCCAGGTTTCCATACACTTTCAGGGACTAGCCCCTCCCTTCCATGGGTCCAGTGGGCCCTTCTTCCTTTTTTTTTTTTTTTGAGACAGAGTCTCGCTCTGTCACCTGGGCTGGAGTGCAGTAGCACAATCTCAGCTCACTGCAACCTCTGCCTCCAGGGTTCAAGCGATTCTCCTGCCTCAGCATCCTGAGTAGCTGAAACTATAGGTGTACGCCACCATGCCCGGCTAATTTTTGTGTTTTTAGTAGAGGTGAGGTTTCACCATGTTGGCCAGGCTGGTCTTGAACTCCTGATCTCAAGTGATCCACCTGCCTCGGCCTCCCTAAGTGCTGGGATTACAGGCACGAGCCACCGCACCCAGCTATGGGCCCCTCTTCCTAAGGAAGAACTCAGAGAAAGAAGCTTACTGGGATGAACCACAGCCTTTGCTGCTGCGATCGGTCTCAAGGTTGCAATTCACACTCATCCTCCCTTTCCTCCACTACCCATTCTAGATGCCTCCCCAAGCCTCAGCTACTACCTTTGCTGGCTTTAGTGTCTTAGCTGGTGATATGATTCGGACTCTCATCTCTAGAGCTTAACACGCAGGACATTTTTTAGGGAGCATTTTCGGCATCAACATCTGTGGGGGAAGTGAAGGAAGCAGGATTGGACAGAAAGAGAAGTTGGGATATATCACAACTAGATTTCAGCTGATGCCACAGGGAGCTTTGAAGCTGTGCTCATCTATCAGAGCTGTCTCTGCTGGGACAAGAGGACCAGGCTTTGATTATCTCTGCCTCAGCCTTTCCTTGAATACAGGCTGCCATGGGAGATTGAATGTGATGCTGGGTGTGATGCCTTTCTTCAGCCAAGGGCAATTTCCAGAAAGGGCTGACAGCTGAGACTGGCAACTGTGGCATCTGCCAGCAGCATTCCCAGAGGCTAGGGCAAAAGTCCTTCAGTCCTAAAGGGGAGATCGGAGTGGCGCCAACCACAATAAACCCCATCTGTGTCCACGACTCAATTCTTGTCTCTCTTTGCCTCTCCAGCTCCTCATCGGAGTTGTCCCTCACCAACTCCTCTTTCCAGACTTCTTTTTTATTGTGGTAAAATACACATAACATAAAATGTACCATCTTAATCATTTTTAAAAATGTATTTACTTTTTTTCTGAGATAGGGTCTTGCTCTGTCACCCAGGCTGGGGTGCAGTGACATGATCTTGGCTCACTGCAACCTCTGACTCCCAGGTTCAAGCGATTTTCCCACCTCAGCCTCCTGAGTAGCTGGGATTTCACCAAACGGGGTTTCACCATGTTGGCCAGGCTGGTCTTGAACTCCTGACCTCAAGTGATCCAACCGCCTTGGCCTCCCAAAGTGCTGGAATTACAGGCATGAGCCACAGCGCCCGGCCTTATTTACTTTTTTGAGACAGGGTCTCCCCCTATTGCCCAGGCTGGAGTGAAGTGGTATGATCACAGCTCATTGCAGCCTCAATCACCCAGGCTCAAGCAATTCTCCCACTTCAGCCTCCCAAGTAGCTGGGACTACAGGCACAAGCCACCACGCCCAGGTAATTTTTGTATTTTTTGTAGAGACAGGGTCTCACTATGTTGCTCAGGCTGGTCTTGAACTCCTGGGCTCAAGCAATCCTTCCACCTCGACCTCCCAAAGTGCTAGGATTACAGGTGTGAGCCACCATGCCCAGCCCATCTTAACCATTTGTAAGCGTACGGTTCAGTGGTGTTATGTGAATTCACATTGCTTTGAAGCAAGTCTTCAGAGTGCTTTCATCTTGCAAATCTGAAACTCCACACCCATTAACAAGAATTCCCCGTTCTCCCTTCCCCCAGACTCCTGCAACCGCCATTCTACTTTCTGTCTCTATGATTTTGACCACTCTTCATACCTCGTGTAAGTGGAATCCTGCTATAGTAATATTTTTGAGAATGGCTTATTTCCTCAGCATAATGACATGAAGTTTCATCCATATTGTAGCTTGTTAAAATTTGCCTTATATTTAAGATGGAATCTTTTATATATATATATATATATATATATATATATATATATATATATATATATATATCTCCCCATTTTGTATATCCACTTATCCATCGAGGGACACTTGGCTCACTTCCATCTTTTGGCTACTGGGAATAATGCTGCTATGAACATGAGTATATATCTCTTCCAGGTCCTGCTTTCAACTCTTTTGGATATGCCTGTATCAACAATGTTTTTATCCAACATGGGCTTATCTCTCATTGGCTTAATTTCTTTTAGGCCCAGATAGAGGTGAGGATGAACTGTCTACTGTCTCCATAGAGAGGCAAGTCTGATAAATCAGAACATTCTGGGTTAGGCGCAGTGGCTCACACCTGTAATCCCAGCAATTTGGGAGGCTGAGGCAAAAGGATCACTTAAGGCCAGGAGTCCGAAACCAGCCTGGACAACATAACAAGACTGTGTCTCTACAAAAAAAGCGAACACTCTGGTTGGGTCAGGTTGATGAATATAAAACCTGGTTCATGATTAATTTTGAGCCATCATATGCCATCCAATAATTTCTGTTTTTTCCACCAAAGAAAAAGAAACCACCCGTAAAGGAAATTTCCCACATGCTGCGGGAACCTGCTTCACCTTTTGTTATCCCAACTCCCAAGGTTAGTTAATTACAAACAGGACTTTGAGAAACAGCCTTTATGATGAAAGAAAATAAGGCTAAGAGACAGGCTCATTAAATGAGACATTAGGCCGGGCACAGTGGCTCGCACCTGTAATCCCAGCACTTTGGGAGGCCAAGACTGGTGGATCGCTTCAGCCCAGAAGTTCAAGATGAGTCTGGGCAACACAGTGAAACCCCATCTCTACAGAAAAATACAAAACTTAGCTGGGCATGTTGGCATGAGCCTGTAGTCTCGGCTACTTGAAAGGCTGAAGTGGGAGGATTGCTTGAGCCCAGGAGGTTCAGGCTGCAGTGAGCTGAGATTGCACCACTGCACTCTAGCCTGGGCAACAGAGCAAGACCCTGTCTCAAAATAAATAGATAAATAAATAAATGCCAGGCTCGGTGGCTCATGCCTGTAATCCCAGCACCGTGGGAGGCCGAGGCAGGCAGATCACGAGGTCAGGAGATCGAGACCATCATGGCCAACATGGTGAAACCCCATCTCTCCTAAAAATACAAAAATTAGCCAGGCGTGGTGGCACATGCCTGTAATCCCAGCTACTCGGGAGGCTGAGGCAAGAGAATTGCTTGAACCTGGGAGTCAGAGGTTGCAATGAGCCGAGATCGCGCCACTGCACTCCAGCCTGGTGACAGAGCGAGACTCCATCTCAAAAAAAACAAAGACATTAAAAGAGACAGACCAGCTCACTAAATCATACTGAAGCCAGTGAGGGTATCTTTGGAGTGATGAGGGAAAAACAGGAGCTGGCAAGGGAGAGAAAAACGCTGGGTGGGGAGGTTGGGCAGAGTTAAGAACATTTTGCCAAGAATCTAATCGTACATCATTTTGTTGCCCAGTTGTAGATCTACACTAAGCAATGCCTTAGATTTTTTTCTTTTCTTTCTTTCTTTTCTTTTTTTTTTTTTTTTTTTTTTGAGACAGAGTCTTGCTCTGTCACCCAGGCTGGAATGCAGTGGCATGATCTCCGGTCACTGCAAGCTCCGCCTCCCGGGTTCAAGCGATTCTCCTGCCTCAATCTCCCAAGTAGCCAGGACTACAGGCCCGCGCCACCACACCTGGCTAAGTTTTGTATTTTTAGTGGGGATGGGGTTTTACCATGTTGGCCAGGCTGGTTTCGAACTCCTAACATCAAGTGATCCACTCGCCTTGGCCTCCCAAAGTGTTGGGATTACAGGCGTGAGCCACTGCACCCAGGCAGCCTCAGATTTCAAACAGCAGAAAAATGAAAAGTGTGCTCCTTATGAATTTTTAAAAAATAACTCAGGCTTCTGGTCTAGGATCTATAAATTTGGAAGAACACATACACTTCAGGGTTTATTTCTTCTGTTTTTGTTAAGGTTAAACCTAATCGGCATGACTCAAGCCAAAAGTTGAAAGAGGTGTCAGGTCTTTTGAGCTTTACTTCACTGCAGGTAGCCAGCTGGAATGGGAAAGTGATCAAAGTAAACTTAAAACCTTAGAATTCATTTTCTTAAGGAAATTCTTAACTCGGAAATTCACCCACACAGAGCTATGTGCGAGTGGATAATTGATACTGAATACATTAATGGCAAAATCGTATTCATGCTTCCTAAAATAGCAGAATTGTACCATGGGTAGTTGGGAAGAAGGCTAAAAAATAAATAACAGAAAGATCTTCATACCGCAAAAGACTCATTTTTTTTAGAGACAGGGTCTCACTCTGTCGTCCAAGCTAGGGTGCAGTAATGCAATCCTCCTGCCTCAGCCTCCTGAGTAGCTGGGTCTACAGGCGCATGGCAGTTCTCCCAGATAATTATTTTTACCTTTTTTTTTTTTTTTGAGATGAGGAGTCTAATTATGTTGCCCAGGATCGTCTCAAACTCCTGGCCTCAAGTGATCCTCCTGCCTCAGCCTCCCAAATAGCTGGGATTACAGCAGTGAACCACCAGCTTTTTTAGCCAGCCAGCTAAAAAACAAATTTATTTTGTGAGACAGGGTCTCACTTTGCTGTCCAGGCTGGAGTGCAGTGGCACGAACGCAGCTCACTGCAGCCTCAACCTCCTGAGCTCAAGCAGCCCTCCCACCTCAGTCCCCAAAGTAGCTGGAACTACAGGTACATACCAGCATGCCTGGCTAATTTTTTCTATTTTTTGTAGAGACAGAGTTTTGCCATGCTGCTGAGGCTGGTAAAAGACTAATTTTTAACCAGCATTTGTAATGATACTAGATGATTATGCGGGACCTCTCAAGAATGTGTTCTGAAAAGATCAGTCAACCCTAAAGGTTACATTGTTAGGTTTCAATTTTTAGTGAGCTGTAGGATACCAACTTTGGTAAAATTATCTTCTTGGGATATCCATTTTTGTGAGAGCAATTGTATGTGCTGCTGTACCTGTTCTCAGTTTCGTATTATGGTTCTATACCTTAGATGATTTGCCTGAGGTTCATTTCAGTAAGAAAAAGAAATTGGCAAATAATAATGGAACACAAACAAGAAAACCCAGTACATCTCTGACTTTCTCCACAGTTCTCCCTTTCAACATTGGCCTAACCATGGACAAACTTAAAACATTCCCTTTAGCAAAAGTGAGATCATCTGTCATTTTCAAAAGAAGATATTCCAATAAACAAATGAAATACCAAAAGCAAGAAAAAAAAATGCCAGGTTGAAAAATTTAGGTTTCTGAGTTTCTGATCTTGTAAAAGCTTCCTAGCTTACTGAGACAGTTGCTGCTGATTTGACAGCCTACTCAAACAATTTCCTCATTGAATTTTTCTGCTCTTTCTCCTTTGATTCCTGTATTTGCAACCACCCAAAAGTGGGTACCAGTCATGGAGAACTTCAGGAGAAAAGTGAACAAAAAGCAAGTGAGGTTGGCAGCCCGGGCCCATACAAGTAATGTACTCTTCACTCTTCTCCAGGTAGCTTCAAAATAGAAAAGCTTCCCCTCGCACCTGTAGCCCCAGCTACTCGGAAGCTGAGGTGGGATGATCGCTTGAGCCTGGGAGGTTGAGGCTGCAGTGAGCTGTGATCTCACCACTGTACTACTACAGGCTGGGCGACAGCGTGAGACCCTGTCTCAAAAACAAACAAACAAGCAAACAAACAAACAAAAAGCTCCTTCCTTCCTTAGGAAATTGTCAAAGGTCGGTTTCCTATAGTAACAGTTTGTGGTCACACCAAATTTGGAACCTGTATTACACAAGAGTCTAATGAGATTCCACAACCTAGCTTGAGTCCTGCAGACTTAATCTTAGCCTTTGAGTCAAATTCCATTCGTATAAAAAGAAAAGTAATTTTTAACATGGAAGTTGCAGCTGTCTTTGATATAAAATTGTATCCTTCACTTTTCACTTTCAAAACTTCCTCTCACTGAAACAAACTATCCAGATTTATTTTTAGACATCTCAAAGAAGCCCAGTTACCGTAATAACCTAAGTGTTAAATTAAAGGCAAGAACTTTCTGTAAATATTGTTACTACAGGTTGACGTAAATTACCAATATAGCAGATAAGCTTAAGTCATCACAGATTAAATTCTGCTTTTATGGTTAATTATAATAGAATGATAAGCTTATTTGTGTATCATTTATTCAAATCTGGACGTTCATCAGAACCACACCCAAACCATCCTATTTAAACCACATTCGAGCCTACCACCCCAATTTTTAAAAGCAGCCCACAGCCTGTAAAGTCGGTAAATAATTCTAGTGTCTGGACTGGGCTTAGTGGCTCATGCCTGTAATCCCAGCACTCTGGGATGCCAAGGTAGGTGGATCGCTTGAACCCAGTAGTTCAAGACCAGCCTGGGCAACATGGTGAAACCTGGTCTCTACAAAAAATACAAAAATTAGCCAGGCGTGGTGGTGGGCACCTGTAGTCCTAGCTTCTTAGGAGGCTGAAGTGGGAGGATCACCTGAGCCTGGGAGGTCAAGGCTGTGGTGAACCATGATTGTGCCACTGCACTCCAGCCTGAATGACAGAGTGAGACCCTGCCTCAAAAATAAATAAAATAAAATAAATAATAATTCTAGTGTCTGGCAACCAGCATTTCAGAGAATGTTCTTTGATATTTAATAAAATCCTTCAGTGCAATTAAAGAGTAATTGAGGCTGGGCACAGTGACTCACACCTGTAATCCTAGCACTTTGGGAGGCTGAAGCAGGTGGATCACTTGAGGTCAGGAGTTCGAGACCGGCCTGGCCAACATGGTGAAACCCTGTCTCTACTAAAAATACAAAAAATTAGCTGGAAATTGCTTGAACCCAGGAGGTGGAGGTTGCAGTGAGCCGAGCTTGGGCCACTGCATTCCAGTTTGGGCGACAGAGCAAGACTTCATCTAAAAAAAAAAAAAGAAAAGAGTAATTGATCACCACCTTCTATAAAATAACAGAGTATGTTATTACTTCTCTCAGGTTAGATAATCCTATTCACTCACATTTTCTTTGTAAGTTCCATTTAGCAATTTTATCCATATTTTGTGAGTCTCTGAACCATTGGCTCGTTTTGGTGTCATGTATTAACACATAATTAGTAACAAAATAAATGGCGACTAGTCCAGCTCCCTGCTTCGGTTCCCCTGGGCCAAGCCTGATTTTGCTCCAGTAGAAACAGTCAGTGCCTGTCCCAGGCTTTGATCAGCTTCATTCATTCAGTCAGTGCCTGTCCCAGGCTTTGATCAGCTTCATTTCATGTTATTATTTCTGCCCCCCAAGCCCTGAAATATCTTATATAGTGGTTATCACCCATGCCTGATCCCCTAATTTAGCCCCAGAATTTCCCCAGTCTCATCCAAACTCCTGAAAATGGCATAAAATTCTCTTTCTGTCATTGGCCTATAATTTCTTTTTCTTTTCTTTTTTTTTTTTTTTTTTTTTTTTTTTTTGAGACAGAGTCTCCCTCTGTCTCCCAGGCTGGAGTGCAGTGGCAAGATCTCAGCTCACTACAACCTCTACCTGCTGGGTTCAAGTGATTCTCCTGCCTCAGCCTCCCAAGTAGTTGGGATTACACGCATGCACCACCAAGCCTGGCTAATTTTTGTATTTTTAGTAGAGATGGGATTTCACCATGTTGGCCAGGCTGGTCTTGAACTCCTGACCTCAGGTGATCCGCCCTCCTTGGCCTCCCAAAGTGCTGGGATTACAGGCGTGAGCCACCGTGCTCAGCCTTGGCCCAGAATTCTTAAAAGGGACAATAGAGAAAACAACAGACAAAGTGACAACAAACAGGCCTCGTATGACCTAAAAGTTTTGTCCCTTTTGGCCTCTCTCAGTCAATTAAATTCTACAACTTAAGAGCTTTGCTTTGGATGTTGACAATAAATTTCTAGGAAGGTTAAAACATATGCATATGTAATCCACAGCCGTTATCAGTAATGACTGCATTGACATCAATAAATTTCTCATATTGACATCATAAATGTCTTTACTGACATCATAAATTTCTCAAACAGTAACTTTACTGGGTTGTGGGAAGCCCGGATCTTAGGGTACTACCTGGGGTTGGGGGTGATTTGTCTCACCATAGTAGAAAATCTGGAGGGTGTAGCGTGCTTGGAAGCAGGGGAAGAGGCACCAAAAGAAGAGGTGAGAAGACAACCAAAATAAATCTTTCATAATGTTTTTTTTTTTTTGAGACGGAGTCTCACTCTGTCACCCAGGCTGGAGTGCAGTGACATGATCTCGGCTCACGGCAACCTCTGCCTCCCAGGTTCAAGCGATTCTCCTGCCTCAGCCTCCCAAGTCGCTGGACTACAGGTGCCCGCCACACACCCAGCTAATTTTTGTATTTTTAGTAGAGATGGGGTTTTGCTGTGTTGGCCAGGCTGGTCTCGAACTCCTAACCTCAGGTGATCCACCTGCCTCGGCCTCCCAAAGTGTTGGGATTACAGGCATGAGCCACCATGCCCAGATGAATCCTTCACAATTTTATTTATACTTTGAGAATAAGAGTTATGCAAGCTGGGGCCGGGTGCAGTGGCTTATGCCTATAAATCCCAGCAATTTGGGAGGCCAAGGCAGGAGAACTGCTTGAGTCCAGGAGGTTGAGGCTGCAGTGAGCCACGTTTGTGCCACTGCACTTCAGCCTGGGCAACAGAGTGAGACCCTGTCTAAAAGAAGAAGAAAAAAAAAGTTGTGCAAGCTGGGCATAGTGGTGTGCCTGTAGTCTCAGCTACTTGGGAGCCTGAGGTAGGAGGACTGCTTGAGCCCAGGAGTTTGAGGCCACCCTGGGCTACATGATGAGACCCTGTCATTCCCCCACCACACACACACACACACACACACACACACACACACACACACACACACACAGAATTATGCAGATTTCAACAGAAAAGAAGCTTGCCTATGTGCTCTATGAGGTCAGACTTTGCCTATTAAGAGATTTCATAAGGTAATAATACCTTGGAGAATTTGTCATCAATAACAAGATTCAACATTTATATAGTAGTTGTTATGTGCCTGGCCATGGTCTGAAAGTCTTAGAAATCTGATTTTGGGGCCAGACGTGGTGGCTCACGCTTGTAATCCCAGCACTTTGGGAGGCTGAGGAAGGCGGATCATGAGGTCAGGAGTTCGAGACCAGCCTAGCCAACATAGTGAAACCCCGTCTCTATAAAAATACAAAAAAATTAGCCGGGTGTGATGGTGGGCACCTGTAATCCCAGCTACTCGGGAGGCTGAGGCAGGAGAATTGCTTGAACCCGGGAGGTGGAGGTTGCAGTGAACCAAGATTGTGCCACTGCACTCCAGCCTGGGCAACAGAGTGAGACTCCATCTCAAAAAAAAAAAAAATGAAATCTGATTTGCTAGCACATGCCTGTGGTCCCAGCCACTCGGGAGGCTGAGGTGGGAGGATCACTTAAGTCCAGGAGGCAGAAGCTGTAGTGAGATATGATCGCATCACTGCAGTCCAGCCTGAGGGACAGAGTGAGACCCTGTCTCAAAAGAGAAAGAAAGAAAAAGTAGAATGACCATATGATCTGGCTATTCTACTTCTGAGTATAAAACCAATAGAAAGCAGGACTCAAGAGATATCTGAACACCCATGTTCATAGCTGTATTGTTCACACTAGTCAAAACATAGAAGCGGCCGGGCGGGTGGCTCACGCCTGTAATCCCAGCACTTTAGGAGCTCAAGGTGGGCGGATCACGAGGTCAGGAGATCGAGACCATCCTGGCTAACACTGTGAAACCCCCCTCTCTACTAAAAATACAAAAAAATTAGCCAGGCATGGTGGTGGGTGCCTGTAGTCCCAGCTACTCGGGAGGCTGAGGCAGGAGAATGGCGTGAACCCATGAGGTGGAGCTTGCAGTGAGCCAATATTGCGCCACTGCACTCCAGCCTGGGTGACAGAGTGAGACTCCATCTCAAAAAAAAAAAAAAAAGAAGTAGAAGCAACCCAAGTGTTCATGACAGACAAACTGATAAACTACGATATACACATACAATGGAATACTATTTAGTCTTAAAAAGGAAGGAAATTCTGACATATGCTGCAATATGGTTGAACCTCTAGGACATTATGCTAATTGAAATAAGCCAGTCACAAAAGGGCAAATACTGTATAATTCCACTTATATATGAAGTACCTAGACTCAAATTCCTAGAGACAGAAAGTAGAATGGTGGTTGTCAGGGCTGGAGGGAAAAGGAAAAGGGGAGTTACTGTTTAATGGGGACAGAATTTCAGGTTTCTTTTTTTTTTTTTTTTTTTTTGAGATGGAGTTTCACTCTTGTTGCCCAGGCTGAAGTGCAATGGAACGATCTCAGCTCATTGTAACCTCCGCCTCCCAGGTTCAGGTGATTCTCCTGCCTCAGACTCCCGAGTAGCTGAGACTACAGGCACACACCACCACGCCCGGCTAATTTTTGTATTTTTAGTAGAAACAGGGTTTCACCACGTTGGCCAGGCTGGTCACGAACTCCTGACCTCAGATGATCCGACCGCCTCAGCTTCCCAAAATGCTGGGATTACAGGCGTGAGTCACCGCGCCCGGCCAGAATTTCAGTTTTGCAATATGAAAAGAGTTCTGTGTATGAATTTTGGTGACGGTAGCACAACAATATGAATATCCCTAACTAATGAACTACACCTAAAAATGGTTAAGATGGGGCCAGGTGTGGTGGCTCATGCCTGTAATCCCAACACTTTGGGAGGCTGAGCAGGTGGATCACTTGAGTTCAGGAGTTCAAGACCAAGCCTGGCCAACATGGTGAAACACCATCACTGCCAAAAATACAAAAATTAGCTGGGCATGGTGGCACATGCCTATAGTCCCAGCTACTGGGAAGACTGAGGCAGGAGAATTGCTTGAACCTGGGAGGCAGAGGCTTCAGTGAGTCGAGATTGTGCCACTGCACTCCAGCCTGGGTGACAGAATGAGACTTCATCTCAAAAACAAAAACAGGGGCTGGGCACGGTGGCTCATGCCTGTAATCCCAGCACTTTGGGAGGCCGAGGCAGGCAGATCACGAGGTCAGGAGTTCGAGACCAGCCTGATCAACATGGTGAAACCCTCTCTCTACTAAAAACACAAAAACATTAGCCGGGCGTGGTGGCATGCACCTGTAATCCCAGCTACTCAGGAGGCTGAGGCAGGAGAACTGCTTGAACCCAGGAGGCAGAGGTTGTAGTGAGCCAAGATCACGCCATTGCACTCCAGCCTGGGCAACAGAGTGAGACTCCGTCTCAAAAAAAAAAAAAAAAAGAGATGAAGGAAGGGAGGAGGGGAGAGAGGGAGGGAGGGAGAGAGGGAGAGAGGGAGGGAGGGAGGGAGGGAGGGAGGGAGGGAAGGGAAGGGGAAAAAAGGCCAGAAGGAAGGAAGGGAAAGAAAGAAGGGGGAAAATAAAAAAGGCCAGGCGCGGTGGCTCACGCCTGTAATTCCAGCACTTTGGGAGTTCGAGGCAGGCAGATCATGAGGTCAGGAGTTCGAAACCAGCCTGGCCAACATGGTGAAACCCCGTCTCTACCAAAAATACAAAAAAATTAGCTGGACATAGTGGTGCGCGCCTGTAATCCCAGCTACTCGGGAGGCTGAGGCAGGAGAATCACTGAACCTGGGAGGCAGAGGTTGCAGTGAGCTGAGATCAGGCCACTGCACTCCAGTCTGGGCGACAGAGCAAGACTCCGTCTCAGAAAAAAAAAAAAAAAAAAAAAAAAAAAAAGCTTCTCTATGATGACTTATGCCTTTTGTTTTTTGTTTTCAAACCTGAGCTGTTTTCACAAGGCCAATACATCAGCTCCTATATTTGCCCTCATATTGTAGTGTAACCGGTTTGTCCTGTTGAATTTCATCCAGTATGAGACTCCCTATTTTTTTTTTTTTTTGAGGCGGAGTTTA
The DNA here is from genome assembly GCF_000001405.40 of Homo sapiens. Lineage (NCBI taxonomy): Eukaryota > Metazoa > Chordata > Mammalia > Primates > Hominidae > Homo > Homo sapiens. Next base: position 119,974,535 of record NC_000012.12, read on the forward strand.
TTCTGTCACCCAGGCTGGAGTGCAGTGGCGCGATCTCAGCTCACTGCAACCTCTGCCTCCCGGGTTCCAGTGATTCTCCTTCCTCAGTCTCCCAAGCACCAGGGACTAGGGACTACAGGCGTGCGCCACCACACTCAGCTGATTTTTGTATTTTTAGTAGAGACAGGGTTTCACCATATTGGCCAGGCTGGTGTCGAACTCCTGACCTCGTGATCCACCCGCCTCGGCCTCCCAAAGTCCTAGGATTACAGGCGTCAGCCACCACGCCCTGCCTGAGACTCCCTATTATATGGTGTCATTGTATCAGCTATACCATAGAAATGTGCAACACGGAACACAGCATCTCAAAAATACAAACAACATTGTTACTACTTGCCAATTAAAAGAACAGACTTTCAATCAAGTTTCATGGTTGATAAACAAAGCAATTGGATATTGGGTTGACATTAACTTTGACAATTTTAACATACTTGTTTTTTTTAGATCTGCAAGAAATACATCTACCAGCTGGGTGCAGTTGAACAAAATCATTACAGGATTAGCAGTTTTCTGACCCACTTACTAAAAAGAAGCTGAATCACTGAATTGAGACCCCAGGGAAATGCAGATTTATACCTTTGATGTATTTCTTGATTTTTCTTAAATTAAATTCTATAATCAGTTTTTGAGTCTTTGCCATCTATCTTTTAATTGGGTGATTTCATATGTCTTCTTGAATATAAGCCTTTTCAAAGTTTTGATTTTCTGTAAATGCAAATGCATAATAAAACATACATATAGCTTTGTTCTATGCAATTATTTTCTAAACCCATCAGGAAGGCCTGCTTCTTTCCATCATCCCTTCCTTTATTAGATAGGGAGTGGGTGGGAGAAGTTGGCTGTCAGGAAAAGGAGTCCCATGCACTTTGATGTAGATGGGAGTTGAGGAAAATGGGGAAATGGTCACTTGATCCACAGGCACAGAACCCTGTTCAGTTCCCTGTCCCACTGCCAGATCTACCCCAATGGTTTTCCAAACATGGGACGATCTTCCTCCTCCTGTCAAGTGTTCTCATTTCTTCTCCTGCATCAATTGTAGTTTTCTCTAGGATGCTTTCTGCTGGATGAGGAAGAACTTTGCATTTTCAATCCCACTGATACATTTGTCATCAACTCACTCTTTTTTTGTTTGTTTTGTTTTGTTTTGTTGAGACAGGGTCTCATTCTGTCACCCAGGCAGGAGTGCAGTGGTGCAATCTCTGCTCACTGCAGCCTCAACCTCCTGGGCTCAAATGATCTTCCCACCTCAGCTTCTCAAAGTACTGGGATTACAGGCATGAGCCACCGTGTCTGTGTGAACAACTCGCTCTCATCATTGCTATGTATATTGATTTCACGCTTGCCTTTTTCCCTATATAGGTGAGAGGTCCTTGGCCATAGCCAAATCAAAGGGCCTAATTATCTGATTCTTGCTATTTTTCCAGTTTTCCTGTTTCTGGCAAGACACCATCATTCTGTTTGTTGTCCACATTGGTAACCTCAGAGGCATCTCTGAATCCTCCTTTTTCTTCATTCTCACTCTCTAATAGCTGATCAGACTCCAAATTTAGCAATTATTTCTCTTGTTTATAACATCTCTGACCTCTGTCTTCCATTCCATCAGAACTTCCATATAGATTCTTCCAGCAGTATTGTAATTGTTCTCCCCGACTCCTGACTCTCACCTTGAATCTATCTTTCACACCAGTGCCAGGTTAGTCTTCCTGAAGTACAGATTTATTCAGATTTCCTCACAGTTTCAACATGTCCAGTGGCTCCCCATTGTATCTAGCACTGTCTCCCTTCTCTGAATTTTTTATTATTTATTTATTTATTTATTTATTTTGAGAAAGGGTCTCACTCTGTCTTCCAGGCTGGGATTGCAGTGACACGATCTCAGCTCATGGCAACCTCCACCTCCCAGGCTCAAGCATTCCTCCCATCTCAGCCTCCTGTATAGCTGAGCTTACAGGCACATGCCACACGCCCAACTAACTTTTGTATTTTTTGTATAGACAGGGTTTCACAGGCCGGGCGTGGCGGCTCATGCCTGTAATCCCAGCACTTCGGAAGGCCAAGGCAGGTGGATCACTTGAGGTCAGGAGTTCAAGACCAACCTGGCCAACATGGTGAAACTCCATCTCTACTAAAAATACAAAAATTAGCCGGGCATAGTGGCATGCACCTGTAATCCCAGCTACTAAGGAGGTTGAGGCAAGAGAATGGCTTGAACTTGGGAAGTAGAGTTTGAAGTGAGCCAAGATTGCACCACTGCACTCCAGCCTGGGTGACAGAGTGAGACTCTCTCAAAAAATAAAGAGATAAATAAATAAATAAGACATGAGGTGTTGCCCTCTTGCCCACGCTGGTCTTGAACTCCTGGACTCAAGCAATCCTCCTGCCTCAGCCTCCCAAAGTGCTGGGATTACAAGCATGAACCATTGCACCCAGTCCTGTTTATGTTTTTTTTCTTCTTCTTCTTTCTTTTTGAGACAGGGTCTCATTCTGGAGTGCAGTGGCGTGATCTCGACTCACTGCAGCCTTTGCCTCCAGGGCTCAAGCGATCCTCCTGCCTCAGCCTCCAAGTAGCTGGGACTACAGGTGTGCACCACCATGGCCAACTAATTCTGGTTTATGTTTTCTATTGTTTATTAAGTTATAAACATTTTGAGGGTAAGGATCACAGCGTATACATATATGTTTCCCCCACATAATCTCCAACTTATCACATGATAGCCTCTATGCGATAAATGTTTTGTATGAGTATAGAGGTTAACACAAACCATGTGGACCATATTAATATGTAACAAATCTGGTATTCTGAGATCAAGAGTTTTTGTTGGTTTTTTGTCTTTAACATCTTATTGAGTAAACTCTGACTGTGTCTTAGCAATGTACTAAGTGCTTTAGACACATTATTCGTTCATTATAAAAATGTATCAAGTTCCTACAAGCCTGGAAAACATGGTGAACCCCATCTCTACTAAAAATACAAAAATTAGCTGGGTGTGATGGCGCCTGTCTCTAGTACCAGCTACTCAAGAGGCTGAGGTGGGGAGCATTGCTTGAGCCTGGTAGGCAGAGGTTGCAGCAAACAATGATTGTGTCACTGCACTCCAGCCTAGATGGCAGAGTAAGACTCTATCTCAAAAAAAAAAGTATCAAGTTCCTATCATATGTTAGGAACTGTGCTGGGCCTTAAGACCCACTAGTAACAAAATTATTTACTTACATAGTGCATAGAAAGGTTAACTAACTTTCCTAGGGTTATTTTGGCTAGTAACTGAGGGAGCCTTGACTTGAAACCAGAGCTTACTCTAGAAACCATGTTCTTAACCACTATATTAAATTTCCTGTGGTGTGAATTATGGACATGCCTTGGTGACGCCATGTCCATTTTTTTTTTTTTTTTTTTTTTGAGACAGAGTCTCGCTCTGTCACCCAGGCTGGAGTGCAGTGGCATGGTCTTGGCTCACTGCAACATCCACCTCCTGGATTCAAACAATTCTCCTGCCTCAGCCTCCCGAGTAGCTGGGACTACAGGAGCCTGCCACCATGCCCGGCTAATATTTTGTATTTTCAGTAGACACAGGGTTTCACCGTGTTAGAGAGGATGATCTCAATCTCCTGACCTCGTGATCCGCCTGCCTCGGCCTCCCAAAGTGAGCCACCGCGCTCGGCCCACACTCTTACACAAACACTGATGGAATACTCCTTGAGGATGAGAATCACGTTTTCTAAATTTTTTTTTTTTTTTTTTGAGATGGAAACTCACTCTGTCACCCAGGCAGGAATGCAGTGGCGTGATCTTGGCTCACTGCAACCTCCACCTCCCAGGCTCAAGTGATTCTCCTGCCTCAGCCTCCCGAATAGCTGGGACTACAGTCATGAGCCACCACGCTTGGCTAATTTTTGTATTTTTTGTAAAGACGAGTTTCACCATGTTGACCAGGCTGGTCTCGAACTCCTGACCTCAAGTGATCTGCCTGCCTTGGCCTCCCAAAGTGCTGAGATACAGGCATGAGCCACCATGCCTGATATGTTTTCTAAAATTTTCTAAAATCCTGAAATTCTCATATAATGAGATAATAATACCAAACGCACACCAACCGTCAATTGTGTCTCAATAAATACTGGCCAACTGCCTTGGTAACTATATAATTCAATAGATTTCCTTATAGTTTAGAAACTTTAAAAAATTATTTTGCTGGCTGGGTGTGGTGGCTCATGCCTGTAATCCCAGCACTTTGGGAGGCCAAAGTGGGAAGATTGCTTGAAGCCAGTCATTTGGGACCTGCCTGGTCAACATAGCGAGACCCTGTCTCTACAAAAAATATTTTAAAATTAACTGGGCATGGTGGCACATGCTTGCAGTTTTAGCTTCCTGGGAGGCTAAGGCAGGAGGATTGGTTGAGCCAACGAGTTCGCAGCTGCAGAGAGCTACGATTATGCTACTACACTCCAGCCTGGGCAACAGAGCAAGACCCTGTCTCTAAAAAATATAAGTGTAGGCCAGGCGCGGTGGCTCACACCTGTAATCCCAGCACTTTGGGAGGCCGAGGCAGGCAGATCACGAGGTCAGGAGATCAAGACCAACCTGGCCAACATGGTGAAACCCTGTCTTTACTAAAAATACAAAAAATTAGCCAGGTGTGGTGGCACACACCTGTAGTCCCAGCTACTCGGGAGGCTGAGGCAGGAGAATTGCTTGAACCCAGGAGGCAGAGGCTGCAGTGAGCCGAGATCATGTCACTGCATTCCAGCCCGGGTGACAGAGCAAGACTCCGTCTTAAAAAAAAAAAAAAAAAAGGCCAGGCACGGTGGCTCATGCCTGTAATCCCAACACTTTGGGAGGCCGAGGCAGGTGGATCACCTGAGGTCAGGAGTTCGAGACCAGTATGGCCAACATGGTGAAACCCCGTCTCCACTAAAAATACAAAAATTAGCCAGGTGTGGTGGCAGGCGCCCGTAATCCCAGCTACTGGGGAGGCTGAGACAGGAGAATTGCTTGAACCCAGGAGGCAGAGGTTGCAGTGAGCTGAGATTGTGCCACTGCCCTCCAGCCTGGACAATAAGAACAAGACTCCATCTCAAAAAAAAAAGAAAAAAGAAAAGAAAAGAAAAAATATATATATTTATATAAATATATAAAATGTGTGTATATATATATATATACATTACTTAATGGAAAAATTAACTATTAAGATAGTTGCATTACACCAACTATCTTTCCAGAACACTTAATATTCACATATATCCCACACCTACACATGTGCCCCCCACACAAACATAGCTACATTTTCTAGGACATGATTAAATTTTGACCCTTTAGAAGATGACTATTCCTCTGATCATAGGAAGGCACCAAGAAATCCATAAAGGCTTTTTACATAAAGTGAGAAGTGTAGCAGTAGCAATGCTAACACAAACCATGGAAAACAGATTCACGGGACATTTTACCTACCCACCAGCAAAAGTTTTTAGTTATCCTGGAAACTGGATGATATAAAATTTCCATAATCAGTGTACTCTGAAATTGACAAAGAACACTAAAGGGAGGAAATTCACTTAAGAAACAGTTTTAGTATGAGCAGTATCAATAGGTATAAATAACTTGCCTGCCAACAGATTAAACCAGAATGTAATGCGGAAGGAACAAGATATAACAAATGTTTGGCAAATTCTTGAGATGAAATAAAACTAGGAAATGTTTTAAAATAGCTCGAGATGAATGATATATGTAGCAAAACACAGCAACAATGTGTTTAGAGCCAAGATCATTGAAAAGAAGCAGGAAAATATGAGCACATAGAAAATGAAACCACAAATCTTTCTAGATGTGGGCATTGGAAGAACCAAAAACAGCCAACCTGAGCATAAAGCAGTCATTTTCTGATGAGTTTGGGCAACAGTGACAGCCAAATCATTATAAGAGGGTAGGGGAGAGTAGAAAGTAATTTAGTCAATGTTGGGAGCAATTGCCTCAAAGCAGAGGAGCTTTTTGGTTATTTATTTGCCTAAGTGGTATGGCTGTGTTATGGGCTGGTTTTCCAGAAGAGAATCCCTAAAAGCAGCCAAAGCACCCTTGGGCTTGCATCAGAGCCCATCATGCATGTAACCCATTTATATCTTTCTCAGGCAACAAACCTCATGGTTAAGTTGTAGAAGCCTGTCATTTTATTTTATTTTATTTTATTTTATTTTATTTATTTGAGACAGGGTCTTGCTCTGTCATCCAGGCTAAAGTGCAATAGCGTGATCACAGCTCACTTCAGCGTCAACCTCCCCATACCCACATGATCCTCCCACCTCAGTCTCCCTAGTAGCTGAGACTATAGGCGTGAGCCACTGTGCTTGACTAATTTTTGGATTTTCTGTAGAGACGGGGTTTCGCCATGTTGCCCAGGCTGGTCTTGAACTCCTGGGCTTAAGTGATCCACTCACCTCGACCTCCCAAAGTGCTAGGATTACAGGTGTGAGCCACCACGCCCGGTCAAAGCCTGTCATTCTGTCTTTTTTTTTTTTTTTTTTTTGAGACAGAGTCTTTGTCACCGAAGCTGGAGTGCAGTGGCCCAACCTCGGCTCACTGCCAACTTCCACCTACCACGTTCAGATGATTCTCCTGCCTCAGCCTCCCAAGTAGCTAAGACTGAAGGTGCATACCACCACGCCGGCTAATTTCTGTATTTTTAGTAGATATGGGGTTTTTTCATGTTGGCCAGGCTGGTCTCAAACTCCTGACCTTAAGTGATCTGCCCACCTCAGCTTCCCAAAGTGCTGGGATTACAAGCATAAGCCAATGCGCCTGTCCCGAAGCCTGTCATTTTAAACTAGCGTTTCTCAACTCAGCACTATTGACATTTGGGGCCAGATAGGCTGTCCTGGACATTAAAATATGTTTGGCAGCATCTCTAGTCTCCATCCATTAGATGCCAATAACACCTCCTTCCTCCCAGTTATGACAACCCAAAATGTCTCCAGACATTGCCCAATATCTCTAGGGTCCTAGGAGGAGGTCAAAATCACCCCCAGACCAAGCACGGTGGCTCATGTTTGTAATCCCAGCACTTTGGGAAGTTGAGGCAGGCGGATCACGTGAGGTCAGCAGTTTGAGACCAGCTTAGCCAACATGGTGAAACCTTTCTCTACTAAAAATACAAAAATGAGCTGGGCATGGTGGCATGTACCTGTAATCCCAGCTACTAGAGAGGCTGAGGCAGGAGAATCGCTTGAACCCAGGAGCTGGAGGTTGCAGTGAGCCGAGATCATGCCACTGCACTCCAGCCTGCTTGACACAGTGAGATGCCGTCTTAAAAAAAAAAAAATCACCCCCAGTTGAGAACTACTGGTTTAGAGCATACAGGGGTGATTACCAGGCCAACTTCATACCGTACAGATAAGGAAGCCAAAGCCTAGGCACATTAAATGCCTTGTTCAATTGTACATAGCTACACAGCTGGTTAATGACAGATCTAATTCAGAAAGCCCAGATTGTTTGTTTGTTGGTTGGTTTTTAGAGACAGGGTCTCGCTCTGAGACCGAGGCTGGAGTGCAGTGGCGCGATAGTAGCTCACCGCCTCGCTGCATCCTCAAACTCCATGTCTCAGCCTCAGGAGTAGCTAAGACTATAGGTGGGAGACAGAGGATCTCTCTGTGTTGCTCAGGGTGGTCTCAAACTCCTGGCCTCAAGCGATCTTCCAGCCTCGGCCTCCCAAAGTGCTGAAATTACAGGAGTGAGCCACTGCACCTGGCCTGCCAGGCTCCATTTTAAACATATCTGAAATATTCTTGTCTTAAGACTGACCTTATTAAGTAAGTATTACTTCTTCTTCTTCTTATTATTATTATTATTATTGGAGACAGGGTCTTGCTCTGTCATCCAGGCTGGAGTGCAGTGGCACACAGCTCACTAAAGCCTCAACCTCCTGGGCTCAGGTGATCCTCCCACCTCAGCCTCTCCAGTAGCTGAGATGAAACGCACACACCACCATGCCTGGCTAATTTATTTTTTATTTTTTTGTAGGGACAGGGTTTTGTTATGTTACCCAGGCTGGTCTTGAACTCCTGGGCTCAAGCAATTCACTCACCTCGGCCTCTGAAAGTGTTGGGATTACAGGTGTGAGCCACCACACCTGGCCTATCAGGCTTCATTTTTAAGAGCTGTACGTATCTGAAATCTTTCTGTCTTAAGACCAAATTTATCAGGTAAGTACTACCATTATCCCCATTTTATAAATGAAGAAACTGAGGCATAGAGGTCCAAAGTCATCCAACTCCTAAGTGGCAGAACTAGATGCAGCCCAGGAAGTCTGGTTCATGATCATTAAGGGGAAAGACTGAAGATGCCTAATCAGAAGGGAGGAAAAATGGGTCAGAAGCTGGAAATGACAGTTGTCAGAAAATAACTGGCAGAGGTAACAGGGCAGCTAGACCTGGGGTATTAGGCAAATCCTTGGGAGAGAGGAGTTCTCATCTGGAAGGGAAAAGTTGGGCAAGGATGTTGGTAGGAAAGGATAGAAGCTGGAGGAGAGGAAGTTGGGAACTCACACTGTGTATCCATATAGGGACAAGATGAGGCTTCTATTTACCTTCTGAGTAGCAGAGAAGGAACTTCCCGACATCAGGCAGGGCAGGGTCTCTGCTGAAGACTGACACCGGTGAGCACCAGCCACTGATGTTAACATTTTTCCCCTAAAAACCAACTTGAGAACCACCAGGGGTATACACACCACATTCTGCAAAATGTTGAGATCACTCCTCTCTAAAAAATATAAAGTGCTTTGGGTAACATTTGATGAATGTCCAAGACTTGTATGTTTCCACGATTATTTCATAGACAAAATATACAACTTAAAACACGCGTGATCTGCTGGTGCACACAAACACACACATCATAGCTAAATGAAAATATCAAGCATAGAACAGCTTTATTACACATTTTGCCAGTTCCTCATGTTTCTTCAACACTTGGCTTTTCAAAAACAAATTTTCGAGACGTTTTGTCTTTTACACTTTCCAGTTTTCACGGACCAAGATGTTAATAAAAGTAAACAACTTGGGGAAATCGGATGAGCGTTGTCATATTTGTAGATATCAGGATCTCTAAGAAGGAAAAATGTCATGTTTTGCCCTTAGTGATGTAATAGCACTTACGTGGAAATTCACCCATAGTATGTTAAGTATGTAAACTGTACTCATACTCAAGTTTACCAGACTATCCAGGTACTAAAACTAACACTAATGCAAATATATTTTAAAGGAATACATAAGTGATAAAAAGTGAAGTGCAGTAGAGTAACTAAGAACAAGTCCATTAGAGACAGACAGTTCTAAAACACTAGCATCATAGTATCATGTACTAGTATATATTGGTGTAACACACTACCATTATAGGGTTATTGTGAGGATTAAATGAGAGAGTGTTACATAAAGGATTTAAGGAGCACAGTGCTAAATGTATTTTAGCTGTTATTGTTCTAGCATGAAGAAGAATAAATTTAATAAGCTTCTTAGAAGTCTGATGGTTTTCATAACTTGGCTTTAATGAGTTTTAAATCCTGGCACTAATTTCCATATAGGCAGGTATATATTCATTCTGTTACCTCAAGGCTGACCTAATGGACTTGAATCAGCAGTTCCCAGAGTGTGGTGCACCGGCTCCTAAAGGTCCTAGAGTCTTTCAGAGGGCTACCAAGAAAAGAACTATTTTCATAATAAGTGTAAGGATTATCATTCTAATGTTATTAACAATAGCAAACTAATTTCATAATAATGCTAATCATCTAATACTATTTTTGTTTGTAATTATGTTGACATTTGCACTGATGGTGCAAAAGCAATGGTAGGTAACACCACTGATACCTTAGCATGAGTCAAGGCAGTGTTACCCAGCTGTGCTGGTACACATGGTAGTCTTCACTTTCATGTGCTCATAGAAAAAACAGAAGCTAGTTTTATTAACCAATGTCCCTGACGAAGCAGTACTTCTATTAAGTCCAGACCCTTGAGTGCACATCTTTTTAATATTTCATGTGATGAAATGGGAAGTACCCACAAAGCACTTCTGCTGTGTACTGAAGTATGATGGTTATCTTGAGGTGAAGCACTTGTACCTCCGTTTGAGTTGGGAACTAACTAGCCACATTTTTCACGGAACACTGTTTTTACCTGAATGAATGACACAAACTGTGGTATTCAGATTCGGGTATTTGGCAGATATTTTCTCAAGAATTAATGAAGTAAGTCTGTTACTTCAAGGAAAACAACTCAAAATATTTGTTACTAATGATAAAACTCAAGCTTAGTAACTTCTCAATACTTAAAGACTTTTATGATGAGATCAGTGGTGGTGATATTAATGAATGTGATTAGGCTGATATTGTGTAATGACATGTGACAATATTTGTAAGATCTGCATAACTCAGACATTTTCCAAATGAAAATACATGCTGTTATACAATCAATCATACATATGTAAAAAATCCATTCAAAGTGAAAAATAGATCAATGGGATTTCCTTGACATGGTTTTAGATTTCACATTGCAACTAACCTTTAAGAAACTACAACTTGTCATCTGGGCGCAGTGGCTCACGCCTGTAATCCCAGCACTTTGGGAGGCTGAGGTGGGTGGATCACCTGAGGTCAGGAGTTCAAGACCAGCCTGGCCAACATAGTGAAACCCCGTCTCTACTAAAAATACCAAAATTAGCCAAGTGTGGGGGCACATGCCTGTAGTCCCAGCTACTTGGGAGGCTGAGGCAGGAGAATCACTTGACCTGGGAGGTGGAGGATGCAGCGAGCCAAGATTGCGCCACTGCACTCACTCCAGCCTGGGCAACAGAGTGAGACTCCATCTCAAGAAAGAAAGAAAGAGAGAGAGAGAGAGAAAGAAAGAAACTATAACTTGTCAAGTTTGGGTGTAATATCAAAGAAAAATATCCAAAATGAAAAGGCTACTAAAATATTCCTCCTTTTCCCAACCACATATCTTTGTGAGTCCAAATTTTCTTCATATATTTCAAAATATCATACATTATAGATATATCCAAATACAAGAATTCACTTTTCTACTGTTAAGCCATACATTACAGAGGTTTACAAAAATGAAGAATAACGCCATTCTTCTCACTAGTTTTTTTTACATTTAGGACCATATAGTTATTGTTCATAAAAATTCATTATAGTTACATATAATAGGTTTATCATAAATATTTAAAATGAATTAATTATTTAAAAACTTTTTTTTTGGAGATGGAGTCTCACTCTGTCACCCAGGCTGGAGTGCAGTGGCGTGACCTTGGCTCACTGCAACGTCCGCCTCCCAGGTTCAAACGATCCTCCCGCCTCAGCCTCCTGAGTAGCTGGGACTACAGGCACATGCCACCATGCACAGCTAATTTTTGTATTTTTAGTAGAGACAGGGTTTTGCCATGCTGGCCAGGCTGGTCTTGAACTCATTACCCCAAGTGATCTGCCTGCCTCGGCCTCCCAAAGTGCTAGGATTACAAGCATGAGCCACCGTACCCGGCCCAAGAGTGTAATGAGATTCTGAGACCAAAATGTTTAAGAACCACTATTTTGAATAGTTCTGCAAAGTTGGGCTGGTTCTCCCAGAAAGACAGTGCTTAGAGCCAAACCTACTGTAAGAAGTGAACATTTCCTAGTAAGGTTCAGCAGTGGAACATTGTTAGGAAGGAAATTCAGAAGCTGGAGTTAGAATTGTAACAGTTCATTTTCACAGTAACAGATAAGTGGAACAGATTAGGACCATTGGGCTCAAGGCAGGCAAACAAAGTCATTTTTTGAAAGATAGGCTGCATGTCTGCATTAAGGAAAAAGAGCTGAAACTCTTTTTTTTTTTTTTTTTTTTGACAAGTTCTTGCTCTGTCACCCAGACTGGAGTGCAATAGTATGATCAGGGCTCACTGCAGCCTTGATCTTCCAGGCTCAACTCACCCTCCCATCTCAGCCTCCTGAGTAGCTGGGGCTATAGGCACACACCACCATGCCTGGCTAATTTTTTTGTATTTTTTGTAGAGACGGGGTTTTGGCCATGTTGTCCAGGCTAGTCTCAAACTCCTGGGCTTATAAGACCCTCCCACTTTGGCCTCCCAAAATGCTGGGGTCATAGGCATGAGCCACCCAACTGGTGGAGAGACAGGATCTTGCCATGTTGCCTGTTATAAGTAAAATGTTTATTTAGAAACAGAATGCTTGTTCCTCGGTACCACGAGGAAAAATCAGCATTTAGAGAGAAAGTTTTCTCAGCAATGCAATTTTAGTTTCTGCAGAAAGGGTGCTCCTTGCAGCTGGAACAATGGCAAGAGCACACCTGAATAAAGGAAAGAAGCAATTTTTATCCCTTACGCAGTTTGTCCCTGCTACTGTGCCTTGTCTCCATTGGCTGGAGCCAGACCTTACAATTTAAACTGAACCTGATAGGCTAACAACTTAAAACTTTTCTAAATAGGTAAAAGCAATGGAGAACAAAGGAAAAGAGGAAGTTATTTATGAAAAGACTTAGAAAAGTAGTAACATTCCCAAATAGGGAAGGGGCATAGGCTGCAAGCTGGGACATGCCAGTGAGCATGTCCAGCACAGGTATCTTGGTTAAAGTACATGGACATAGAATGTACTCATTCCCTTAGATCTAACAGCTACATAGGAAAGGGCTTAACAGAGAGTTATTAGCATAAAATAAGGTGGCTTGAAGGAAGTTAGTCTTTAAAAGAAACCATTATTTCTAACACTTATTATTCATTCTTTAACAAGAAGGGAAGCTTTGAAGAGGAAACTTTACTTTCTACATTGTCCAAGCTGGTCTTGAACTCCTGGGCTCAAGCAATCCTCCTGCCTCAGCCTCCCGAAGTGCTGAGATTATAGGCAGGAGCCACAGAGCCTGGCCCTGTTTGTTCTTGATGTGTCTCCAGACATATTAGGGAGAAATTTGTCCTTCTGTGATTCAAATAAGACAAAAGGAAGTGGCAATTGGATCTCACCTCTGGCCCACAATTCCAGCTCAAGGTGGGAGGTCATAATAAAAAGTGTTAGAACATTTCCTTGCTGGAATGGTAACATGGTCAACTGCAGAAATTTAGCTCTAAGATTGATGTGGGAATCCCTCAACTGTCTGTCTCCTTTCCAGTCAACAAGTGAACAATGCCAGCCCTGAGGCCCAGGAGCTTTTCAGATTCTGGCCTTCAGTCTAAGGGTAACGATGTTAAAACTTGAATATTGTTTAGGCTCTGAATTTAATAAGCGATAAAAACCATGAGAAACTATTTGACCCATTTCAGCCTCTTGATGTTCTGAAATTTCCATCTCACTGGGATGAAAAGAAGAAAGGCATGATCCAAGTAAAAAATGGGTTGTCTGTCCAAGAGGAAAAGGAAGCATAGGGACGAATTCTAGCTTTAGATGGGATTGTTTCTGGAAATAGGAGACACGTAGCACCACCAACGAGGTCAACACCAAGGAATGACTGCAAGTCACCCAGTAGGCTCTCCAAACCTTCCTTTAATCATTGAGGAAATGTTCCTTCCATATCCACCCAATCCATCTTGGTCACAAAGGACCATTTATCTTCCTCAAGACTGCTTCTATGTGAAGAAAATAAAGAATAATGATTCACGTGATCCCTGGCGTCGGCCTGGCTAGATCTCAATCCTGACTCTACCAGTTGTAATGACCTGGGCAGACGATGCCATCTCTCAGGCTTTAATTTCCTTCTCTGTTAAAATGACAAGCGGCAGTACTGATTTTATAAAGTTCTTGTGAGGATTATCTAAAATAATGACTATCAAGCACTTAATACAGGACATGGCACACACTGAGTGCCGAATAAACGGTAGTTATTATTAGGGAGGTTCTTTGCTTCGTATTCCCATCTGTGAGCAGTTTTTTCCGTTATTTCTCCGCAGAAACCCTTTCTCTCCGGGCTGCTGATCTGCGAAGCATCTGGTCCTTCATATCCCTGAGTCATCAGCATGAAGATGCCTGGTTTCCGAAGTCCTCCCTCCTCCTACTGCTCTCTAGGGCTCCCTCTCCTGACTGCTTAGTTCTCCTGGGGGCCCAGACCTAAATTTCGTGAGGGTATGTCTTTCTCGGGGCCGGGTCACCAGTCTTGGAGGAATGTCCTCAGTCCCCTTTGCCCCAGACACCACCAGAGATGCGGCAACAGAACTCTGAGGCGCGCCCCGGCTTCCAAGTAGCTGGGGGCGGGGCCGCGCCTGGAGGTGAGCAGCAGGCGGTGGGCGGGGCCGCGCTCCGTCCGAGGTGAGAGCGAGGCCGGGTGCGAGGCCACACCCCGAGGTACGAGAGCTGAGGGCGTGGCCACACCCCAGCTCTGAGCGAGGCTGAGGGCGGAACCGCACCCCGAAGTGGGTGCAAGGCTGGGGGCGTGGCCGCGCGGTGAGGCAGCCAGGACCGTGAGGGATGCGCCAGCCGCCTCCGCAGGCGGCGCGCGCAGCCGCCCGCAGGGCGTGAGGCAGAGCAGGGGTTAAGGCCGCCGGCGCCACCTGGGCGTCGCTGAGGAGACCCGCGAGCCGGCGAATCCCGCGCGGGCGGGGCGAACAGGTGCCCGCGCGCGTCAGGCGCCGGCAAGGGGCGGGGCGAGGGGACGCGGCCGGAAGCCCGGGGCGGGGCGCTGCCGGCCCGGTGAGCCGGGAGGAGCCGGGGAAGGCAGGAAGGAGCTCGCCGGGTTGCGCGGCGCGCGATGTGGAGCCGCCGCCTCGGCCCCTGCAGCAGCAGCAGCCGCCGTCGCCGCCGCTGCTGCTGGGGCTGCCGCGGAGCCGGGGGTCATGGAGTGCGGCTGCAGAGAGCGGCCGCCGGCAACAGCAGCAGCAGCAGGAAGCGTCGCGGCGACAGCGGAGCGCAGCCCGCCCCGTGAGGCGCTGCCCGGCCGGCGGCGGCAGCAGCAGCAGCAGCGGCAGCGGCAACAGGGCGGCTGAGAACCCGGCGGCGGCGTTCCTCCTCGCTTCCTCCCCTCCCGCTTCGCCGACCCTCAGTCTCTGTTCCTGAGTCCTCCCTTCCCCAGCCTTCCCGTTCCCACCACCTACTCCGCCACTACCCCCACCCCCTCCTCCCGCGCGCGCCTGAGCAGCTGAGCCCGGGGGCGGGGGAGGGGGCGCGTGCCGCCGGCGCGGGGGAGGGGCGGGCCGGCGCGCGCCGCGCCCAGGGCTCGCGGGGACCCGGGGGCGCGTGCCGCGGCGCGAGGCGAGGCGCGGGACGCGGGGCGGCGCGGCAGGGCCCCTCCCCCCTGCAGCCTGGCGCGCGCGGGCCGGGCCGCACCGCTGCGGGCTCCGCGCGCGCGGGCCATGTCCGCTTTCTGCCTGGGCTTGGTCGGCCGCGCTTCAGCACCCGCCGAGCCGGACAGCGCCTGCTGCATGGAGCTGCCCGCCGCGGCCGGGGACGCAGTCCGGAGTCCCGCCGCCGCCGCCGCCCTCATCTTCCCCGGGGGCTCCGGGGAGCTAGAACTGGCGTTAGAGGAGGAGCTGGCGCTGCTGGCGGCCGGGGAGCGGCCGTCCGACCCCGGGGAACACCCTCAGGCCGAGCCTGGGTCTCTGGCCGAGGGGGCCGGACCGCAGCCGCCGCCCTCCCAGGACCCCGAGCTGCTGTCGGTGATCCGACAGAAGGAGAAGGATCTGGTGTTGGCGGCCCGGCTGGGTAAGGCGCTGCTCGAGAGGAACCAGGACATGAGCCGGCAGTACGAGCAGATGCATAAGGAGCTGACAGACAAGCTCGAGGTGAGGACCTCCCTCCAGGGATGGGTGGGGAGCAGGGGCCGCCCAGGCACGCGCCCGGCCCTGGGCAGTTAGGGAACCACTCACCCCCACTTCGTTGCTCACCCTACCTCGCAGAAAATCTGGAATGAATGGGGGAGGGAGGATGGAGGATTATCAGATTTCGTTGAACCCACTTGACTTCCCCACCCCGCTCACAGCAAATGGGTCCATGCGTGGCTCCAGCCGCTGTGGGCCGTTCTATATACGTACTGTACCCAGCATCTAAAATAGAGCTTACAGTATGACTATATAGCACTGAGGTGATGTCTGCATACAGAGAAATGAGGAAGTCGGGAAGCATTTAAAATATGTTGCAGGTTTTCAGAGCAGTTAATCTCTAATCAGGGTGTTAGCCTAAAGCCTTCCAGTTTGGGCGTTAAGGCCTTTAGATGCCCTTGTCTTAACTTCCTGGCAGCTCAGAGTTGTGGGAAACAAGTGCCCCTAAAGGAGCTTTATATAGCCTTCAAATGCTCAGGGATTAGGAAATGTGGTTCCATTGCAGAAATCAGGCGAGCCAGGGCTCAACATGTGACCGCTGGTAGTGGATTTAATTTGGGCCTCAGTATTTATGTGTATTTAAACAGTACTTTTCTGTGTTCTGGGTCTCAGGCTTGCAATTGAATGACCAAATGCAACCTATGAGAACCATATTACTTTAACTTCTGTTATAAAATACCTGTTAAGGTATCCGTAATATTTCTGCCAGTTCTCTAGGCAGTCTTTCAGAGTTGTTTGTTTTCTTGCCCTTAACTAGAAAAGGGCCTTGAATGCAGTACAGAATGCCAGCATTTCTAAAAATTAGATTGCAAAAAAAAGGGGCAGGGGGATGGGGAGAGGGAGTCACCTGTGACTTACCTTTCCTGCCTGTGCGTTTACTATTATTGTTACCTAGTTTGGTTGCAGCCAGCTCTTTTCATTCTTAGTTACAGCAAGACAATAGTACAGACCTGAATGAGGTTTGAAATTGACCCTAGTCAGGTTCCGTATCTCTGCTACTGGTTGAACAGTCAGAATGGAAATTCAGAAATATTCTGTAATAAGATTTAAGTATGCCTATAGTCCAGCGACGTAAAAGTAAATCCGGGAGAAAAAAAGGAAACCTGTGAGTGCCCTGTAGTTCGGTTGTCCTGCTAACTAGGTCTGCCAGTCGATGAACTCCTGAGATACCTCTCTGAAAAGTCGTTTGTGAAACCTATAGGTAGACTGCCAAAAAGCAGCCTAATGAATTGAATTGTTTAATTTTCACTTGAAGTAGAGGTCTAGAAATAAAAAGCCTTCCTTTTTTTTTTATAAAGAGATTCAGTTGTACGACTTTGTAAAGAAGTACAACTACAGAGATTTATACTTGTGATTTGAAATTTCTTCAGTGAAGGACTTGATTGAAGAGACAGCTGACTTGAAAGGAGCACCGTATCAGTTTGATTAGTGCCAGATTTCATAGTAATCCTGAGTGTGCAATTACATACATTCTGGGTTCCATGTGGAGCCTTTATACATTTCTTCAACATAGGGCAAAGATTTCAGAATGGTAACAAAAAAAGGTTGTATTGTAAAAGAATAAATTATCTTTGACATTTTGTTATTTACTTAATGGACAACAATAGTTTAAAACTCTTTAAACTATTTTTTAAAACCTTCATTCCTCTGCAGGTCAGCATATGAACTCTAGTTTTAAAAGTTCAATTTTAAGTTCTGGAGATAGTCGCACAACAATGTGAATATAACTAACATATACTTAACATATACTTACAGGCCAAATATTGATCATTGTTGAAACTCAGTGATGAGGGGAGTCAGTTATATTATTTCTTATAGGTAGGTTTGAAAATTATAAAAAATTTTAAAGTTTTAAAAATGTTCATTAAAGATACTAAGAGAGTACCATTAGTTGCTTGTTAATCTTTCTAGTGTTAATGTGAGAGTGACAAACCTGGTTTACAGAGTACTGTTTTATTTGACACCTCCGGTTTAGTTTTCCCCACAGTACATTGTTTGAACAATGTAGGTTTTAGAATGTCTGTTTAGACAATACTTTCTAACGTTCAGTACAAACTGCTGTACTTTGTACTTTTTTCTTTTTTAGACAAGATCTCACTCTATCCCCCAGGCTGCAGTGGAGTGGCTGATCATGGCTTACTGCACCCTCAAGTGACCCTCCCACTCAGCCTCCTGAGTAGCTGGGACTACAGGCGCCTACTACACACCTGGCTAATTTTGTAAAAATGTTTCGTAGAGATGGGGTCTCACTATGTTGCCAAGGCTGGTCTCAAACTACGGGGCTCAAGCAGTCCTCCTGCCCTGGCCTTCCAAAGTGGTGGGATTACAGGAGTGAACCATTGAGCCTGGCCTGTATTTTCAATTAAATCAAACACTTGGGAGTATAAAACCAGTACTTTAAGACGCATTTATTCATGAGAGAACTTGACCAGAAAAAAAAAATTTATAATCTTCCACAAACTGTCGGACATTTGGAGTCAAACACATTTTCTTACAGGGTGGT
This sequence comes from Homo sapiens, assembly GCF_000001405.40. Lineage (NCBI taxonomy): Eukaryota > Metazoa > Chordata > Mammalia > Primates > Hominidae > Homo > Homo sapiens. The sequence continues at coordinate 119,992,837 of NC_000012.12, forward strand.
TTGAAAGAGAAACATGTGAGTGGACTGAGGGAATGCCACTTTCACTATTGAATAATGAGACTGGTTTTATTTTAATCCCATCTTCTCTACTACTTCAAAATTGGCACCTTTCTTCCACCCCCCCACCCTGCCCCCCAGATGGAGTCTCGCTCTGTCGCCCAGTCTGGAGTGCAGTGGCGCAATCTCAGCTCACTGCAAGCTCCACCTCCCAGGTTCATGACATTCTCCTGCCTCAGCCTCCTGAGCAGCTGGGACTACAGGCGCCCGCCACCACGCCTGGCTAATTTTTTTTTTTTTTTTGTATTTTTAGTAGAGACGGGGTTTCACCATGTTAGCCAAGATGTTCTCGAGCTCCTGACCTCGTGATCCGCCTGCCTCGGCCTCCCAAAGTGCTGGGATTACAGGCATGAGCCACTGCGCCGGGCCGGCACCTTTCTAATGTCGGGACAAACAAGGCATTTTCAAGATCTTTTCTACCTATTCATTAGTTAATACTAAATACCTCTCTGGTTCTGTGTGCCAAGCCCAAGATTTTGTTGTTTTCATTTCAAACATTAAAGTACTTGATGCTACACTATTGTGTCATTAAAGGCATACTATTAATATTTAAAGTCTTCAGTGGTTTAAAGGTTAACAGAAGTTTTTTAGTTATATGTCTCTTGGGGTTAAAATGAAAATTCAGGTTAATTGGAAAAACTGTAAGGTTTGGGCCATTTTTTCCGCTCTTGAATTGACTCTGTATTTTGTTACTCATTCACTGAATCAGATGCTTAAAGTTGTTTCTTTTTTTTTTTTTTTGAGACAGAGTCTTGCTCTGTTGCCCAGGCTGGAGTGCAGTGGCGTGATACCAGCTCACTGCAACCTCTCTGCCTCCTGGATTCAAGCGATTCTCCTGCCTCAGCCTTCCGAGTAGCTGGGATTACACAACCCACCATCATGCCTGGCTAATTTTTGTATTTTTTAGAGATGGGGTTTCACCATGGTGGCCAGGCTGGTCTTGAACTCCTGACCTCAGGTGATCCTCCCGCCTCAGCCTCCCAAAGTGCTGGGATTATAGGCGTGAGCCACTGCACCCAGCCCAGATGCTTAAAGTTCTGAAGGCATTTTTAAAAATTTCTTTTCATCTACAATTAGCCGTTTTGCTTTAAAACTTATATCCGGTCATGTCCTTAGCTTTTTCCCCAGAATATGAAGTAAGACAGTAACTTGTATTTATACACCTTTTTTCTTCAGGAATTAAATATTTGTTGTTAATGTACAGTATCTCCCTTTTTTCCATCATGGCTGAGTGGATTATCTCTTTACTGCAGAGATTGTTCTCTTCCCTCAGTTATATTTTCCTCCTTCCCCAGGCCAGGCCAATTCTCATTAGTCCAGTACTGTTTTTTTAAGAGGAAGAACAAAAGATGAAAATGAATACATAATGGGAGTCACTAGTGGATTTAGGGAAGAAAACCCAGGGGTTCTGATTTGCATTTAGTTCTTGGACCTTTTAAAGAACAGTACTTTTTCAGAACCATGTACTGGACTTCTGAGCATATTGTCAGTTTTTTGGTTCTTTTTTTTTTTTTGGCAGAAATCCATTTCTGTAAAGACCTGTTTTATGTAAACTAATGATCTTAATTTTGGGTGGTGGGGTTTTTTTAGTTTTAAATAGACTCTTTTTTTTTCGAGACGGAGTCTCACTTTGTTACCCAGGCTGGAGTGCAGTGGCGCCATCTTGGCTCACTGCAACCTCCGCCTCCCGGGTTCAAACAATTCTCCTGCCTCAGCCTCCTGAGTAGCTGGGACTACTGGTATACACCACCATGCCCGGCTAATTTTTGTATTTTTAGTAGAGACGGGGTTTCACCATCTTGGTCAGGCTGGTCTTAAACTCCTGACCTCGTGATCTGCCCACCTGGGCCTCCCAAAGTGCTGGGATTACAGGCATGAGCCACTGCGCCCAGCCATAGACTCTATTTTTTAAAATGGTTTTAGATTTCCAAAAGAGCTGGAAAGATAGTACAGAGAGTTTGCATATACCCTGCACCCAGCTTCCTCTTATTAACATCTTATAATAGTATGGTACATCCGCCATAATTATTGAACCAGTACTCATGTGATTACTAACTGAAGTCTTCAGTTTATTCAGATTATCTAAGCATTTATCTAATACCTTTTTCTGTTCCAGGATACCATATTACATTTAGTTTTTGTGTCACTTTAGGCTCCTCTTAGCTGTGACTGGCAGTTTCTTAACCTTATTTTTGATGACCTTGACAATTTTGATATTAACTTTCTAAAATACTATATAACCCTGAGAAACGAAGGAGAGCATAAGCAGAACTTGACCTTCACACTTCCTGACAGTCTCCCTAGAGTTTTCTGGTTAATTTAGCACTTAATTGAAAATATAATTCTAGGAGAAACTTTTCTCAGAGCAGATGCTAAATTCTGTACAAAATGGTAAATTCTGTATGTTTATTAATAGGAAAGCCTGGAATTTGTCAAAGGATTGGGAAACATGAAATAGGAAGTTTGTCTCATGTCCAAAGAAATACAAGGACTGAATAGACTGATCAGCACCACCTGTCCTCAGCCCTGCCCCCAAGTGGATTGGATTGTTTCAGTTGCTTGGTTGGGCTCTTCACTAACAGCTGTTTGCTGAATATTTTTAAGTCACTCTGTTCTTTTAGAACACGAGCCTAATTTATCTGGCCTCTCAGTAACACTGTGATTACTGAGTTCTTGCCATTGCCTTCTGCTGAATCTTTTTCATTTTGAAAAAATTGAATAAAAGCAAGTATCACAATTTTAGGATTGCAATTAGCATTTGTTTCTGCATTCCATCTTGCTGAAGTTTCTACAGTGACTAAAACATTCTCTGGCCGGGCACGGTGGCTCACGCCTGTAATCCCAGCACTTTGGGAGGCCGAGGCAAGCGGATCACGAGGTCAGGAGATCGAGACCATCCTGGCTAACACAGTGAAACCCTGTCTCTACTAAAAATACAAAAAATTAGCTGGGCGTGGTGGTGGGCGCCTGTAGTCCCAGCTACTCGGGAGGCTGAGGCAGGAGAATGGCGTAAACCCGGGAGGCGGAGGTTGCAGTGAGCCGAGATCATGCCACTGCACTCCAGCCTGGGAGACAGAGCAAGACTCCGTCTCAAAAAAAAAAAAAAAATTCTCATTTTTGGAAGTTAAGCAATACAAGGGATGCATAGAGCAAAAAATTCTCATACTGATGAGAAGGCCCTCCCTTGTCATTTCTTTTCCCACATTGCCCCAAACAGACTGTATAAAATATAATGTGTCTTTTTCAACAGATACACTCGAGTGGCTATCTCCAAATGAGTTGTCTCCTTAAAGTTGTCAACTTGGGAGTTTTCGGTGAAAACTGCCTTTGCCAGTGTGCTCAGAATGTTAATTTTCTACTGCTGTTTTTATCTTTTGGCACATTCTTTTGACTGCTCTCAATCATGGTAAATTTTCATCTTTTTGGGGTTAATGACTTTCAGAAACATTCAAAAGTCACTCAACAAAGTAAGGAGAATAAGATGGCAGGATGAAGGAGGCTAATCTCATTTTTTAGACACACCCCAGATGTGAAGTAATAGAACTTATTTTCTTGCATGACTGTAAGCTGTCCCTTAAGGCTTTCCAAAAGAAGCATTCTGAAAGATATTTTGAATGGTGAGAACTTCAGGTGAATAAGAGTATAGCCTCTCAAGATAAGGAGATGACTGAGTAGTCTGAAAGAGAAGATTCATAGGTGCATTTTAGTTCATTCAGTCTCAGTGCTTGATGTCAACCTTCAGTGTGTCAGAATTTCCTGTAGAACCCAGTATATATACATATACAGATACACACACACACACACACACACGCATAGATGCCTTAGACTTCAGTCTATTCCTAACTGCATCACAATCTCAGGAATTGCAGTCCAGGGTGTATTTTGAATAGTTACACCAGAATGTTTCTGAGAGCATCAAAAGTTCAGGACCATCACTTTCACTTAGATTTCCTAGAGTCCTTGAAGTATAGTTTTGGCTGTTGTACATACTGTGCTTTTTAAATAGAAGAACATACTCTTTTCAGAGGCATGCATATTTATCTCAGAAACAAAAAGATTTTTTTTTTTTTTTTGAGACGGAGTCTCGCTCCGTCGTCCGGGCTAGAGTGCAGTGGCGCGATCTCGGCTCACTGCAAGCTCTGCCTCCCGGGTTCATGCCATTCTCCTGCCTCAGCCTCCTGGGTAGCTGGGACTGCAGGCCCTCGCCACCTCGCCCGGCTAATTTTATATTTTTAGTAGAGATCAGGTTTCACCGTGTTAACCAGGATGGTCTCGATCTCCTGACCTCGTGATCTGCCCTCCTTAGCCTCCCAAAGTGCTGGGATTACAGGCGTGTGCCACCGCGCCTGGCCACAAAAAGATGTTTTTATTTCCCTCAATCCAAAGAAATCTTGTTTTATTGAGCTGCTACATTAAACCATATGTACTTTTCCTGCATACCATCTTTCATATGCAATTTGTTTTATCAGTCTCCTCCACTAGAATGAAAACTCCATACAGGCAAGGACCATGTCTGTTTTGCTCATTAGAACGTCCCTAGGACTGTGCTTGGCTCATAGTAGGTGCTCAAGAATGAATCAATGTATCAAATAAATATACAAGGCTTAATGGGCCATGATTTAAAGTGGCCCTGAACCTCAACTTGCCCTAATGATTTTGAATTACATTGCTATATATAGCAACAAATATTTATTGAGCTGTGACTTAGAGAACCAGAGTCAACTGACTTAGACAGTCCCCGCTTTGCCGTTTACTAGTAGTGACCTTGAGATTGTCACTTAACCTCTTCTGTTGCTTCATTTCTAAGACGAGATGGTTAATTGAAAAGATCTCTGGAGTTCTTTTCATCTCTGAAAAATTCTGTGATAGTAAGAATCTGGTATTATGCCATGGATAATAGGTGACTCCAAAGGAAGCCTCCTTAAAAAAAGTAAGGAGGGGGTGGGGCACGGTGGCTCACACCTGTAATCCCAGCACTTTGGGAGGCCGGGCCGGGGGGATCACGAGGTCAAGAAATCGAGACCAACCTGGGCAACATTGTAAAACCCCATCTCTACTGAAAATACAAAAATCAGCCCAGTGTCATGGCGCATTCCTGTAATTCCAGCTGCTTGAGAAGCTGAGGCATGAGAATTGCTTGAACCTGAGAGGCGGAGGTTGTGGTGAGCCAAGATCACACCACTGCATTCCAGCCTGGGCGACGGAGTCTTACCACTGCACTCCAGCCTGGGCGACAGAGCAAGACTCCATCTCAAAAAAATCAAAAAGGATTTTAGTTGTGGGACTCATTTTTAGTTGTTTAAATGTATAGTTCACCAATTGATTAGATGATTGGCAAATTTCAAGTGAACTCCCTAGTCTAGAACCTCATGCCTAAGGATAAGAATAAACATAATAACTTTAAGTATTTTCAGTAAGAATGGCGTTCTCTTTGTGAAACCAACTTCTTCCCTGCTCTGGAAGAAGGAATATTTTTGTAGCTGTGAATTCGGCAACTTGTCCTATGTGGTAGGGTGTTTTATTGTGTCTACTGACTAGGAAAAAGAAAAGTTGGGACAGCGCGGAGAGAAAAAATAAAAGGCTGTGGAATTTTTATCAGTGTTTAAATCCCTTCACTTTTCACCCAGCACTTAGAGCAAGAGAAACATGAATTGAGAAGACGATTTGAGAACCGAGAAGGGGAGTGGGAAGGCCGAGTGTCAGAGCTGGAGAGTGATGTGAAGCAGCTACAGGATGAGTTGGAGAGGCAGCAGATTCATCTGCGGGAAGCAGATCGAGAAAAATCACGGGCTGTCCAGGAACTGTCGGAACAGAACCAAAGGCTATTGGATCAGCTCAGCAGGGTGAGTCACAAATTAAGAATTTAAGATGTAAAATACTAAAAGTTGAAATAGGCTGGGCATGGAGGCTTATGCCTGTGACGCCAGCATTTCGGGAGGCCAAGGTGGGAGAAGCACTTCAGACCAATCTGGGCAACACAGGGAGACCTCATCTCTACAAAAGTTTTTTAAAAATTAGCCAGGCATGGTGGCACCTGCCTGTGGTCCCAGCTACTTGGGAGGCTGAGGTGGGGGGATCGCTTGAGCCCAGGAGGTCAAGGCTGCAGTGAGCTGTGATCAGTCATGCCACTACACTCCAGCCCGGGCAACAGAGTGACAGCCTGTCTCGGAAAAAAAAAAAAAAAAAAAAAGTTGAAATAGAGCTTCTGTATAATGTGAGTCATATAGATGACAAGAGCAATTCTGATTTTGTATGCCTTCGTTTTTAACAAAGTTCAGTATTTCTATCTACAAGAACTTTGGTATTACTGAACTAGGGGTCAGGAGCCAAGATGCATGCTTGTGATTAACAAGCCACAGACTTTGACAATCACTTAACTTGGGAGTTTTCTCATTTTTAAAATGAAGGGGTTGTGCTTAATGACTTCTGACGTTTTTATAGCTCTAAAAGTCTGTGATTACTTTACCTATGAAAGTCTATCACTGGCAAAATTATGTTAATTCGTTTAGTTCAAATATTAAAAGGTACTGTCTTTAAACTTTTTAAGCTTAGGGAAAATTTCTAGAGCAATTGATTTTTATTGATGTTGCATTTGTGAATGTACACTTTTTGTATTGTTTAAATATGAAAAGAAATGTGTATCTGTATTGAAAATTTGTTTTATTTCCACATTTAGTAAACATTCTTTATTTGTACCTTTCTAAGGTGGTGTCATGGAAGTATTAACCAAAGTCAAGGCTGTAAAATCATTTCAAGGAAGGAGGTTGAGGCTAAATAGATGGAAATCTAATTTAAATACAGAACATACCTTTTAAACAAATGCAGGAATGTTATTAATGCCCTGGTCTATAAATCCATCTATTTTAGAAAATTAAGACTTGGATTTACTATTCTACCTCAGCCCTTCTTGTATATTGAAAATAAAACTACCAACTCTTCAGTTACCGGAGGAAAAAGAACTTCTCTGATATCATCCCTCAGCACTGATGTTCTCATGGGAGCAGTGCCGTGTCTGCATGGTTAGTGTTTGGTGCTTTGGTCTTAGGGAAAAGTGTAAATAGGGCAGCATTTCATAAATTCCTGGATCTTCCACTAATTTGATGGGTGATGCTGTATGAAGTTATTTCACTAGTTTGTGTTGTAGTTGCTTCCTGTGGTTATTCTGAGACCAGTGAAAAAACGTGTCTCACAAGAATATGGGAAGAAGTGCCACCAATGGGGAAGGGAGGAGAAGAAGGAAAGGTAGAGGAGAGGGAGAAAGAAAGAAGGAAAATGATGCTTAGTAACTTGGAAAATAGTTGCAGGGAAATACCAGAATGTTTGTGAGAGCTGAGGATTCAGGCAATAGGTAGAGCTAAAGATCTTCTTGCCTGCAGGTTTCCCATCTGGAGAATCCAGTCACCATTTGATTGTCTGGGAAGTAGGAATTGGACAGTTCAGGAAGTCACTTCACAGAGCCAGCTCAGTAACAGGATTTCTGATTCAGTTCTAAAAGCTTTTTTCAGCAACTGGGAATGGAATCTCTATCCTTGTAAAAATTTTTATGTTTTTGACTATTTTCATTCATTATTCATGAAAGATTCAACCAGAGAGGCCTGGCTAGATTGATTTATTTGTTCAAAAACATTTAATACATACTTTGAGTAAGTGTTTCTTACGGAGACTTATAGAATGAATGCAACAAACCAGAAAAATTAAAGGGGAAATTAAGATTTCTTGGGGGCTAAGTTCATGTTACAAAATAACATGAGCTAAAGCAGACTCTGCCCCGTGAAAGATAGGTGACCAAGAGAGACGAAGGGAAAAAGCAGATTTCAACATGACATAGCAAAAGCTCATGGAGCTTGGAATCTGACTCTGTTACTCATTAACTGGGGGACCTTGTTTGTGCCTCAGTTTCCTTTTCTTTAAAATGGGTGTAAAAATTATGCCTCATACAAGTATTATTGAAATGAAAAATGAGATAATGTGTTTATGTTAAACAGCGTGTGAAGGTAAGGATTTGTTTCAGTGTTGATGGTTGTTTTACTAAAGCAGTGTCTTTATAATTTGTTCACTTTGCCTAATTTCTTATAGAAAATCCTGATAAGCTGCTCCTAAAAGAACGTAGGAAGATAACATTTCTACTAGATCTAGATTTTTGTTATCCTTTCTGGCCTTGAATATAGGCCCTTGGTGAGTTTTATAGCTTTTTCCCTTTTTTCAAGCAGGACCAGCCCCTGGGGTTTCCATCAGCAGCAAGTTTAGATAGCGTTTTATTAACTGAGTATCCAGGAACTAGAGGAGTTAAATATTTTGAAGTGAATTAAGACAAGATAATCAACAGAGGTAATAGAAGGCCATACTTTTCTTTTTCTTCTTCTTTTTTTTTGAGACAGAGTCTTGCTTTGTCGCCCAGGCTGGAGTACAGTGGCACAATCTCAGCTCACTGCAAGCTCCGCCTCCCGGGTTCATGACATTCTCTTGCCTCAGCCTCCCAAGTAGCTGGGACTACAGGCGCCTGCCACCACGCCCGGCTAATTTTTTGTATTTTTAGTAGAAATGGGGTTTTACTGTGTTAGCCAGGATGGTCTCGATCTCCTGACCTTGTGATCTGCCCGCCTCGGCCTCCCAAAGTGCTGGGATTACAGGCATGAGCCACCACGCCTGGCCAAAGGCCGTACTTTTCTTATAGTGTTTAAAATGTGTTTTTATAAGTATGAAATGTATAATATCTAAAATGTACAGTATTTCTTTGATACCTTCGTCCAGAGTTTACATACATCTCATTGGCTTCCTTGGCCTCCAGGGCTGCTCTTCTCTTTATTAATAACAGCTTTATTGAGATATAATTCACATACCATAACATTTACCCTTTAAAAGGGTACAATTTGGGGCTTAGCACAGTGGCTCATGTCTGTAATCCCAGCACTTTAGGAGGTTGAGGCAGGAGGATCACTTGAGGCCAAGAGCTTGAGACTAGCCTGAACTATACAGTAAGACCCTGTCTTTACAAAAAAAATGTTTTTAAATTCTCCATGTGTAGTGGTGCATGCCTGTAGTACTGGCTGATTGCTTGAGCCCAGGACTTTGAAGCTGCAATGAGCTATGATCACACCACTGCACTGCAGCCTGAGTGACAGAGTGAGACTTTGTCTCTTAAAAAAAAATTTTTTTAAGTGTATAATTGGGTAGTTTTTAGTTATTTACAGAGGTGTGCCACTATCACCATTATCTAATTAGAGAACATGTCACCCTCCGCAAAAGAAACCCTGTACCCATAGCAGTCACTCATTTCTCCTAACCTTATAAGGACGCCAACCATATTGGATTAGACCCACCCTAATGACCTCATTTTAATTTGATTACCTATGTAAAGACCCTGTCTCTAAATAAGGTCACATTCTGAGGTACTGGGTTTTGAACTTCAATATATGGATAGGGGAAGGGGAACATAATTCAACCCATAAGAAACGTGTTGGGGTTTTCTTACCAACAGATACAACTCTTGGATGTTAATCAGTGCTGTCTGTGGGAGGTGTTCACAGTAGTGTCACTTTTCTGGGGGGTTGCATATACTTAATAACATATTTACATACCAAAGATACATAAGCCTTTGGCCATATGACTAAGAGCTGCCATGGTTCATGGGAAGATACTTAGAACCCTTAATTTTATTCTTTGAAAAAGTCCCAATCCACCTCTCTCATTACCCTCCTCTAAAGACTAACCTGCATTCTATTCCTTGAGTAAAATATGAAAGCCTTTATTATTTTTTTAGATCTTCTTTAATTCAACATTCAGCAAATATTTATTGATCAAGGCACTGGGAATACAGTGGAGAACACAAGTCCTCTGTTTTATGAAGCTAGTAGGAGAAGATGTATAAATAAATGAACAATCCACAAGATACAGATTGCAGTAGGTACTATGAAGGGTGATTTGATGGAGACTGACTAGAAAGCAGGGAGCTTTTTCTACCTTAGAAAGACTCGGTAGGGGGCCGGGTCATGGTGGCTCACGCCTGTAATCCCAGCACTTTGAGAGGCTAAGGCGGGCAGATCACCTGAGGTCAGGCATTTGAGACCAGCCTGGCCAACATGGTGAAACCCCATCTCTACTAAAAATACATAAATTAGCTGGGCATGGTATCGTGAGCCTGTAATCTCCAGCTACCGGGGAGTCTGATGCAGGAGAATCGCTGGAACCTGGGAGGCAAAGGCTGCAGTGAGCCGAAATTGTGCCACTGCACTCCAGCCTGGGCAACAGAGCAAGACCCCATCTTTAAAAAAAAAAAAAAAAAACAGTCGGTAGGGAAGGCTTCTGTGGGGAGACAACATCTGAGATGAGACCCCAAGGGTGAGGAGCCAGCTGTGGAAGAGCTAAGGGAACAGCATTCTTTGATGAATACTGTTAGACTGTAAACTCTATGAGAGCAGGGACTCTATCTGTCTTGTTTATTGTTGTAAACAGGTATCTAGCAGAGTGGGCATTCAATAAAAGATGGTTGGGTTTTGTTGTTGTTGTTAAATGATTATCTAAAATACCCAATAAGGAGATTATTAGAACTATAACTGTCAAGAATACACTACCCCTCCATGTACTCTTTAGAAGTGCACTCCTGACTTTCACACTCACTCTTACACTGCGTGTATGCTGTTTGAAAACCAGTTGTCAAAGGTGCCATGGATATCAGTGCTTTGACAGGCAACCTATAGCTAATGGTGACTCACTTGCCTAGACACCTAATATTATTATCATAGATACTCCTGGAATTGCATAAAAAGCCAGTCTTCAATGAATTGAGAAGAGTGACTACATATGAGAATGGACAGAGCTTTTGTGCATTGATTTAAAGTCTGCAGGTCCTTTTGCATTGCACTGTGCTTCTCCATGGTCTGCAGGTTGGTCAGTTACAGAGCGATTGGTTCTGTAGTTCTCTGACTCTACTGATGGGTATGGAAATGAGCCTTTTAGCTTTTACAAAAAATTCTCGTCTCATGGGACGATTGGCCATTATTTGGGTTTAGGTATCATTATGGCTTTCCTGTCCTTCTTGGGAGCGTACACTAGACAAAAGAACTCCCTGTCTGCAACTCTGTGTCATCTCATCTGTTCTCATGCTCCACATGGTCTGTAGTATGGAGAAGGAGGCAGCCAGAGGTTCTCATTTGGAAAGCTGAATGGTGATTGCTTCTGAGCAGAGCCTCACGTAGGATATATAATTGCTCACTGTGCAGCCCTGATGGCTTCTTCAAGAGTAAAACTCGAGAATTCACCTTAAAATAATTATTTTTTCTTTGATTTATTTAGGTATTGTGCTATATTCTTTTTGCATTTGTTTTCCCAGAGCCCCCTCCATTTATCCCTTTCCCCTCATCACAGTGCTACAAGTGTCTCTAACAAACCTCTCCCCAGTTTCTCACATCCAGAATTGGGGTCATGTGCCTTGTCACTATGACTTTGGGTATTACTCCCTAATACCCAAAGAGAGAAGCTGTTTTGGGAGCATTGTATAAAAAGGGCTGCTTCAAAGGCTGAATGAAGCCAAGATGGGTTTCTACTATAGAATCACTGAGATAGGGAGGGTGATAAAGAGCATTCAACAGGAAGTTATGCCTAGGTCCAAGGCCAGGAGAATCCAAAGCCTGTACTTTAAACTAGAAGGGATTAGGCCAAGAGATACCTGGAGGAATGGTCTAAATATTGGTGAAGGAGAGACTGAAATAAAGAAACAAAGATCCATTATAGTTCAGGTGAAGCCAGGAAGTTTGAAATCTATGTTTATGAAAGATTGGCTCCCAATGGGGTGTTATTTTTATGAACTTTGATTTATCTGGCTAGGATAGGGTCGGCTTCTTAAGGAACTTAGCTTTACTGAATATTCCTTAGTAGATATTCAGAAATTCTAGTTTTGCCTCTATCCTAAGTTTAAGTTTTATAGATTTGTTTGTTTGTTTGTTTCTGAGACGGAGTGTCGCTCTTGTTGCCCAGGCTGGAGTGCAATGGCACGATCTCAGCTCACTGCAGCCTCAGCCTCCCAGGTTCAAGGGATTCTCCTGTCTCAGCCTCCTGAGTAGCTGGGATTACAGGCGCCCGCCACTATACCCGGCTAATTTTTGGTATTTTTAGTAGAAGCGGGATTTCACCATGTTGGCCAGTCTAGTCTCAAACTCCTTGACCTCAGGTGATCTGCCCACCTCGGCCTCGAAAAGTGCTGGGATTACAGGCATGAGCCACCGTACCTGGCCTATAGATTTTTAAATTTTAAAAATGTTTATTGTGTTTCCTGATGGCAAAAAGAATTCATGTTCACTGTGAAATAATATTGAGACAATAGAGAAATGTTCAGTACAAATGTTCAGTGAAAATCTCCCATGGTCCTCTTCCAAAGAAAATACTAGCCATGGTTTGGTGTTAATTTTTTTTGTATTTCTTCATATGTGATACACACATGCACACATGTTGTACATAACTTTTCTACTTATTTTGCTTTGTTTTTGTTTGTTTTTGAGAGAGTCTTGCTCTGTCTCCCAGAGTGCGGTGGCTGGAGTGTAGTGGCACAATCTCGGCACACTGCAACCTCCACCTCCTGGGTTTAAATGATTCTTGTGTCTCAGCCTCCCAAGTAGCTGGAATTACAGGCGAGTGCCACCATGCCTACCCAATTTCTGTATTTTTAGTAGAGATGCGGTTTTGCCATGTTGGCAGGCTGGTCTCAAACTCCTGGCTTCAGGTGATCCACCTCGGCCTCCCAAAGTACTGGGATTACAGGTGTGAGCCACCACGCCCAGCCGTTTTTGCTTTCATTTTAAACAAAATGGTTTTCTTAAAATTCTTTCACTTACTATATCTTGGAATTTTTTTTAAAGTATTTTAAATGGTTGTATATAGTATTCCATATAGCACATATGGAGGTACCACGGCTAATGTAACAGCTATGCCATTGAAGGGCATATGTGTTGGTTATAGTGATTTAGTGTTACAAATACTGCTGCAGTGAACATCCTTGTTCATACATTTTTGCACTCTTCACATTTTTCTAGGTTAGATGCCTACAAACAGGATAGCTAGGTCAAATGGTATGTACATTTAAATTTTTAATAGATACTATCATATTGCTCCAAGAATGTTTTAATAGTCTATACTCTCCTCATATCTACCTTCATCAAGAGTGCAAAACCTATCATTCTGTATGCATACATAGTACAACTATAAAGAAAACTGAGGTAATTATCATCACAAAAGTCAAGATAATGGTTACCTGGGGAATGTGTGTGATTGGTGGGGAGGATCCCCGTCATCATGGAATGGTGCCTGGAGAGGAGGCTTCTGGAAAGCTGGCAGTGTTCTGTTTCTTGACCTTGGTGGGAATTATGTGGGTGTTTGCTTTATAATTATTTGTTAAGCAAGACGTATTTGTTTTATGTATTTATCTTTATATATGTTGTATTTCACAATTTGAAAAATTCATTCATTCATTCATTCATTCAAATACTTATAATGTGCACCTACTATGTATGAAGTCACTGTTCTGAGTAACAGTGATGCTACAGTGAACAAGGTGCATTCCCTGTCTGAAAATAATGCAGGAAGTTGACAGTAAAGAAGGAAATACATAAACAGACAAATCAGCTAGTGATAGTACTATGAATACAATAAAACCAGGTAAGGAGGAGAAAGTGGTAGCTGTAGAGACAACTCAATTTTTGATAGGATTCTCAGGAAGGAACCTTTGGGGAGGTGAAGTTTGAGCAGGATAAAAAGGAGCAAAAGAGTATTCCTGGCAAAGAAAACAACATGTAAAAGCCTAAGAACAGTGGAAAGAAGGCTGCTATGACTGGGGTGTGGTTAGCTTGGAAAGGGTTAGGAGATGAGATCAGAGAGGTAATCAGCAGCCAGATCTCATAGGGCCTTGCTAGCTACCAGGGGTTTTAGTCAGTGTGCTGGGAAGCCAGTGATATGTTTTTGGCAGGGGAGCATCATGACCTGATTGATAACAACTTTTAAAAGATTAGTTACTCTAGGAGGATGGATTATCGGGCTGAGGGTGGAGGGATAGAGATGGATGAAGAAGCGACTCCCCAGGTAGAGTTGATGGTAGCTTTGATTATGGAAGTGTTGAAACGGGTTAGGTTGGATATATGTTTTGAAGGTAGAACTGACAAGACTTACTAATGGAATAAATGGTTGTGGGAAGGAAGGTTAAAGAAAAAAAATAATCAAAAATGACTCCTAGGTTTTTGTCTTGAGCTACTGGAGGAATAGTGGCATCATTAACTTGAGAGACCAAAGGCTAGAGGAAGGAAAGAGGGATAGGTTGGAATATAAAGTCAAATAATTCATCTTAGACTGTGTGGATAATTAAGGTTGAGATGCCCTTTACATATCCATGTTAGTTTCACATAAGTAGAACAAATGAGAATTCTGTTGTATTGAGGTGAAATACTGAGTTAAATTTCCGCAGCCATCTGAGCTCTCTCAGGACCTGAGACTCTGTTCTAGTACCTTTCATGAGGTTGTCACCAAGAATTTCCTCATTCACAGTGACGGAAGCTGAATTCAGACAAGAGTGTCCCCCACCCCCCACGTACACACTCTCAGCTCCTAGAAGAACCACCTTCTGAGTTCATGCCTGTGAGGTGAGATGTGTAGGAGGAAGTTAATGCAAACAGATGCTTTGTCTGTTTCCTGCCTGTTTGGAGCTGTTTTCCTCAGTCAGCCTCTAATGCCTTATCCACACACAAAGAATACAGTTTGCATACTAGCTGAAACTAATCTTCTCTGAAAAGACTAATTTTCCTCTGAAAGGTAAACAGATCCTTGTTCTTTAAACAGCTCATTTTGGATTAGCAACTCTGCGTCTGGTACACTTCTTGAAGCACATTTCTCCCAGTTTCCTTTCTTGGAGTTAAAGACATTAATACAGTGTCCATAAGTGTCACCACCACTCTGCCTCTGTTGAGTGATGCAGAACCATTTTTGTTTCTAGAACACTTTACAGTGAGCAACAGCTGGTTATCAGAAGTAGTTTTAATTGCTGAATGGGCTTTTGTTCCTTTTGAGGTGGGGGCTGTATTATTTGTTTTTTTCTTAAAAGTCTGCTTCGTTTACAGAGGCTGGCAATTTTTAGTCATCCTATTCTAGAAAGAAGTTATGAAAACAAGATAATTTCTCAACCAAATAACAGCTATTTAAATTTCCAAAGGACGTTCTCATATGTGACCTCTTCTGATCCCATTCCTGCCTGTGATGGAAGTCATGATAATTACTCTTTCTTTTTTTTTTTTTTTTTTTTTTTTTTGAGACAGGATCTCACTCTATTGCCCAAGCTGGAGTGCAGCAGCGCCATCATGGCTCACTATAGCCTTGACCTCCTGGGATCAGGTGATCCTCCCACCTCAGCCTCCCAGGTGGCTGGGACTACAGCTGTAAGCCACCATTCTTGGCTAATTTTTTATACTTTTTATAGAGATGAGTTTCACCGTGCTGCCCGGGCTGGTCTTGAACTCCTGGGTTCAAGTGATCCACCTGCCTTGGCCTCCCAAAATGCTGGGATTACAGGCGTGAGCCACTGTGCCCAGCCAATAGTTACTCTTTATTTGGCAGATAAGGAAACTGAGGGTCAGAAGTTTGGTGACACTTGCTCAAGGCCTTGCAAAGGTTACATGTTAACCACTGGCTTGAGGATTGGCTTTTTGTAAATCTTCCAGGATGGGTAGTCAATTGGAAATAAAAACCACTTCATATGTATTTCTATCTCATTGATTTGGTTGATTTTTTGGTTGATATTTGCTGGGTGGTATTGTTTTGGATGCCTTTTACATCACTAGGTAAAATGAATCCAAATGTTTGGAATTCATTCTTAGCAATGTTTGTTATATTAAGGATGTACTAGAAGGATTAAAAGTGGTATATTGAGAGGACCACTTCAGCTAAAACAGAAAAGGGCCTTTTACATAGGAGCTCTCTTCTGTGAAGACAGATTTTCCAGCATTTCCAGATTGTGCTATTGCTAATTAGTAGGTTAAACACATTAGGGTGGTAATTGCTTATTCTTCCGGCATAGAGGTGTTTTTTTTTTTTTTTTGGTAGATTCTTGTATTGATTAGTTGAGCCTGTTCTTTTCTTTTTGAGATGGAGTCTTCCTCTGTCACCAGGCTGGAGTGCAGTGGCGCAATCTCGGCTCACTGCAAACTCCACCTCCTGGGTTCAAGTGATTCTCGTGCCTCAGCGTCCCGAGTAGCTGGGATTACAGGCACACGCCACCACACCCAGCTAATTTTTGTATTTTTAGTAGAAATGGGGTTTCACCATGTTGGCCAGGATGGTCTCGATCTTCTGACTTCATGATCCGCCCGCCTCGGCCTCCCAAAGTGCTGGGATTACAGGCATGAGCCACTGCGCCTGGCTGAGCCTGTTCTTAATTATTTACCGAGAGAGCCATGCCTGATTCAAGAGTCTTCAGGTTGGTTGTGTGGGCTACAAGTATCTAGTTCTGGTTTTCTTTTTCCAAAGAGGAACGCCTAAAGTTCTAGTATATTGGGCCTAAATTTTGGAGGTTTGAAGGCCCAAGATTCAGATTAATTACTGTAGGGGTAGATCTTTTTCATGCTTCTAGATTTGGCTTAATGTGGCAGTTAGTCTTTCTTTTTACCTTGAAATCTGGATTCACTCAATCCTTGTAGACAGCTTGGTATATTGTGTAGGAGAGATAAAAATAGAGTTTAAATGAGCTGCCCTTGCCTGATGTGAGGTGGGGCCCCCAAATTTTGTACTTGGTAAATGGTAGGAAGATTGCAGATGGTAGGAAGGTTGGAGTTGACAGGCAGACAAAAAGTTGGCAGCATACTATATACTCTTTTGTTACTTATGCTGGTTAGCCCATAGTTGTGGTTCCTAAGTATTGTTGCTTTGAAAAACAAAATATCTGTATCCAGTGAATGAACCATCAACAGAAAAGCAAGTAATGTTTTGACACAGATAGCATCATCTCCATTTCTCTACATTGGCATCTGGGCCAATAGTCCAGTGCTATTATAAGTGTTTTAGAGCTAAAAGAGAACTTCTGGTCTATCTGGACCAGTGGTTTGTGAAATGTTTGCTCTTCAGGGATTCTGCAAACTTGAATGTGTTTTTAAAATTTGTAACACTCCAAAGAACCATTACCAAAATAGTCATCATGAACCCTCTTGAGATGTCATGTAGAACACACGCAAGACCACCAGTGCCTCAGCCTGTGCTGCCAGCTTTGCCTGAATGTGTGGAGACGCCAGCCTGCAGCCTCCATGCCACTTCTATTAACTAAAGAGTATTATGCAGTTGTAAGGTGGACTGAGTAAAACTGGTTGCGCTTGTAACTGCTTCACTGGGTGAATAAAACAATTTGTTTTCAATATTTAAAATCAACTAAATTCACAAATACATGCATACTGAGTAAGATTGCCACCATCATCCTTATCCTCCAATTTCAAATTATTTTGGAAAGGTCTAATTTTTCTTAATTGAGTTTATAAATTTTATACATCTACATTATAAAATACTTAATAAAAGATTACTTTGTTCTGTTTATCTGTTCTGTTTATTGAGGCTTCACATAAGATTTCATATGGAAAAGGGCTGTGGGTGCCAACAAAAAAATCCCATATAATTTGGAAAACCATTGGTTTCAATCAGCGGTTCTCAAACTATTCTGAGGAGCCATAGGTCTCTAAGAGGTGCCTCAGGGAATAGCTGCAAGGAAGAGCTGAATGGATTGTTAATCTGGTGGATTCCTGTCCCCTTCCCCATTTTCACTTCAACCTGAGCATTTTAATGTTTTATGTATTGAAGTTCTGTTTAATATTTTATTTGAGGGAAAAAGTGTTTTTTTTTATCTGAGTTTAAAGAAAAATGATGTGCAGTCACTAATCTATGACTAGTTAAGGAAGCAGAGCCCCGGGGAAGTTAAGTGATTTGCTCAAGTCTGCAGTCCCAGTCCTCTGCTGCTTCCTGTGGGGCTCTTACTGGCTTAACAAGTAAAACAAGCCATCTCTTTGATAATAAATGATATTTACTGATTAAGAAAAAAAGGGGTGGTATTCATTATTTGTAGAAGAGTAACCCTAGTTACAGTTTTATTCGTTAATACTGAAGTTGTTGTGACGGATCAGTCACCAACTTTTAGTAGCCTAACAGGAATTAAAAGCTGGTATTCCTGAGTGGTCAGTGGCTCTTAGTTCAGGCAGTGATTCAGTTCTCCTCCAGCCATCTTCCATCTTGTGACTCGGCTGTTTTCAACAGGTGACTTCTAAGGTCGTAGCAGAAGGAAAAGAACCTGGAAGATTTCTGTGGGCTATGCCTGGAAATGGTGCCTGTTGCTTCCGCTCATTTGCTGGTCAGAGCTCAGTCACATGGCCATACTCAGTTACAAGAAAACCTGGGAAATGTAGACCAGCTTTTTGCCCAGGGAGGAGAAGAAATGGGTTGGTGAACAACTAGCCAGTGTCAGCCATAATGGAGTCAGTAGAAAGAGTCCTGGGCTTCAGTTTTCTAAAGAGATTAGAGTGGCTGATTGCTAAGATCTTCCAATTCTAACTAGGTAGGATTCCAAGGCAGATATAGTTGTAACAGTATCACCTTTTTTGGTACACATTCACCATTCTATCCCAGATAGAGAAGCTGTTTGGTCTTTTTGTACTCAGGTAATATCTTTGATAATCACAGAGTTGGGTAAATTCCTTTGAAGTTATAACTTGATCCAGAATCCCCAAAATAAAAAAAAGTTGGTATCTTTTTCAGGGATTGCCTTAGGGTGAGATAGACCCTTTCATGGTTATATTAGGTAGAATAACATTAACTGTTATAATACATAAACCCTAAGCTCTCAATGGCTTTACATAATAGAGGTTTTTTTCTCATTCCCATAAAGTCCAACAGCATTTCTGTTTAAACATGAGGAAGAATAGCATTGTGCTTTAATGGAATGAATTGACCTGGAAAACAGAAGACCTAGGTTCTAGCCCATGTTCTGTCACTAATTTTCTGACTTTGAATAAATCCTCACTCTGGGTTTCAATTTCTGTCAGTAAAACACGGAGATTGAACGAGATGATTCCTTCGCTCTCTAAATGTCCACATGTACGTATGCGATCTCTGTTGGAAAGAAAATTAGTAGAGAGATAGTCTCACATGATGTGGTATATCATGTCTGGTAACTTTGTAATGCTGCCGCCTTTGCATGCAGAACATATTCATCCTTCTCTGGGACCGAGGGCGGCTTCTCCTCTCACCCAAATTTACTCCTTTGTGTAATGAGAAATAGAGAGAGGTTGAGATGATTGGTGCCACAACAAAATTTATTTTCCATTCCAGTCATGACACATAAGGTACTTTCCCTGCACACGACTGACGGTGTGGGGAATGAGGAGGTGTTTATGTGATTTTCCTGTTTAAAATTATGCATCATAGTACTAAGGTTTTATGAGGTTGACATTCTGTAATTCTCCACGAATAAGTCAGATTTTCCGCATTGCCCTGGTATGATTAGTTGCATTCAATGCTGCATGTTTGTCATTTGCAGAACTGTAAGAATTCCCCCTATACACACCTCTCGTCATCAGTTGCTAGGTTACGGCTTTTCACATTGTCCCAGTCTGGTGATGTTGCCATGGATACCAGTTATACCTCCTCCTATGACACTGTCCTGGTCAGGCTCAGAGGGCGGGCAAGATGTAACTATGATGTCAGAGATGTTTTAGCATATGTCTTTCCCTTTACATTAATGATAAGATCTAAGTAATAGATATCAATTCTATGTGTTCTCATATATGAATTAAGGACATGAGGTATTAGCTGAATCCCTCAAACAGTCCACCACTTAGAACCTTTATTCCATTATGTATTTTTTTTCTTTTTTAAAGGAAAGGGAAGGGAAAGGAAGGGGAAAGCCTTTATTCCATTATAATTCTGCAGAAATGGAACTAACAGATTATAAAATATGAATATAAGATCTGCTATACTGTGTCCAGCTCATTCCCTACACAGACCAGCACCCCACCTCCCATAGGGTGGGCTATACATGGAATATCATTATCCTTTACATTGCCTTCAGTGGTAGGGACATTTGGGAATGCTTTTTGTCAAACTCTTAATTTATCTAAGTTATAAAGCCTGTGGGCCGGTAATGGTGGCTCATGCCTGTAATCCCAGCACTTTGGGAGGCCAAGGCGGGTGGATCACCTAAGGTCAGGAGTTCAAGACCAGCCTGGCCAACATGGCGAAACCCCGTCTCTACTAAAAATACAAAAAAAATTAGCCGGGTCTGGTGGCATATGCCTGTAGTCCCAGCTACTCAGAAGGCTGAGGCAGGAGAATCGTTTGAACCTGGGAGGTGGAGGTTGCAATGAGCCAAGATCACACCTCTTCACTCCAGCCTGGGGGACAGAGCAAGACTCCATCTCAAAAAAAAAAAAAAATTATAAAGCCTGTGGTCCAAATTTTATTGTCATTTAATGTCACATGATTATATTTCTTCTCCTGCTAGGTTTTAGACACCATGAATTGCAGGGACTATGTCTTTAACCAGAGTGTGTGTGTGTGTGTGTGTGTGTGTGTGTGTGTGTGTGTGTGTCAGAGTCTTACTCTATCACCCAGGCTGGAGTGCAGTGGCGCGATCTCGGCTCACTGCAACCTCCGCCTCCTGGGTTCAAGTGATTCTCCTGCCTCAGCCTCCTGAGTAGCTGGGATTACAGGTGCCCGCCACCACGCCTGGCTAATTTTTGTATTTTTAGTAGAGACAGGGTTTTGCCATGTTGATTAGGCAGGTCTTGAACTCCTGGCCTCAAGTGATCCGCCTGCCTCAGCCTCCCGAAGTGCTGGGATTACAGGCGTGAGCCACCGTGTCCAGCCTTTAACCAGTTTTTATCCCCAACAACACTTAGTGCCATGCATATTATGGCAGGGATCCAGAAAAGTCTCATTGATTTGTTCTGAAGACTGAAATGTAGGTAATAACTAATTTGACTTTAGATTTCTAGCATAGTGTTTTAAGATGGTGGAAACCCCCGCATATTACAGTTGTTGAAGGGCAAGGTTAACCCATGTTATTTAGCTCTTGTCTAGTCTGACCTTTTGATCTCACAGTTGAAGAAAGCACTAAGGCCGTAGGAGGATGTGACTCATCTAAGGTCACAGCCAGTAAACCTGTGGTTTAGGTAAATGTGTGTTATAAAAAATCTTTGAAAAACAAGGTGTAAAAATCTTTGCAAAGTAATTCTGTTTACTTAAACGATCATGTTTTGTTTTATGCAGTCTGTTTACTTAAAAACCTAGCAGACAGAAAGCTATTATTAAAGAAGAACTTCAATATTTAAAAGGAGCCCTACATAGAACCTACCTACCAGTTACTTCAAGTCAACTCGAAGCCTTGCATTCTGCTTAGTATTTGAATTATTCCTCAAAAACCAAAATAAAATTTAATGTAGCATCGGATTGAGGCATCTTTCAAAAGTAACATCTATTTTGAAAACCAGCAGAGTTTGAATTAAAAAACCATTCTTGCACCGGTGCAGTGGCTCACGTCTGTAATCTCAGCACTTTGGGAGGCTGAGCCGGGCAGATCACAAAGTCAGGAGATCGAGACCATCCTGGCCAACATGATGAAACCCCGTCTCTACTGAAAATACAAAAATTAGCCAAGTGTGGTGGCGCGTGCCTTTCATCCCAGCTACTCAGGAGGCTGAGGCAAGAGAATCGCTTGAACCCAGGAGGCAGAGGTTGCAGTGAGCCGAGATCACGGCACTGCACTACAGCCTGTGACAGAGCGAGACTCCATCTCAAAAAAAAAAAAAAGCAAACCATTCTTGGCTGGGTGTGGTGGCTTACACCTGTAATCTCAACACTTGGGAGGCCAAGGTGGGAGGATTGATCCCAGAAGTTCGAGACCACCCTGGGCAACATGGTGAGACTCCCATCTCTAAAAAAAAATTAAAAAATAAAAAAAATTATTTGTATGTCATGTTACTTCCCTAAAATGAAAGGAATTTATTTACCAAATAGAATCCTTTGTTTGAAAAAAAAATGAGTGAAAACATGTCTTCTGAAAATACAGTCTGCTAAAGTTATAGGTTATGGACTTTTAACTGTCAGTGGGAGAGACAGACAAATCTTATGAGAGTCAGGGAAAGTGACAAAGCTGAAACCCTCAAGAGAGGACACATAATTCAAGATGGATCTTCCCTCCCTTGCCCCAAGACCAGAGAATTCAAGAGTCTGCCCCTTCCCACTTGCAGTGGGAAGGGAAAGCTTGTTGAAGCTTTCTTAACTTTATGCAATAACCTGAAACATCTCCTTGCCTTTAAGCTCTGCTCCTCCATTTTTTCCCATTGTCAGATACCTTCCTCTTTGGAAGCTCTAAACAACTCTTACTGCATTTAGGGGACTCCCTTGGCATAACAAATAAGAAAGGGCATGGCATTCAAAGCCCTGTACCTTCTGGACCTAGCACACATTTCCAGCCCTGCCTCTTCTTTCTACTTGTACCACCGTTGGAATTTCCCCCAGTCCTGAAGGCCAGGCTCAGTTGCCACTTCCTTCATGAGAACTTTGCTGTTCTTCTCCCACCAGCTTTGATCTCTCCTACTTACCAACTAGAGTGCTTTAGTCCCTTTCTTTTGTCATTTACATTCTGTCATCTCTTACGGTTAATTCATGTATTTGACTCCATTGAGTCAAGGACTGTGCACTCAGGGCACCTCCCCCACAGGGCTGAGCACCTTATCTGGAAACTTCGTATGTGTTAGAACTAGATTCACAAGCCAGCTAAGCATATGTTACTTAGTTCTGTGGTTCAAATGTATAGCAAACTTGACCATTTACTAAAAGGTTGAACCCACCCAGAGAATTATTTCACTTCTCTTAATATATACTTAATCTTGCTGAATTCCTTTTCCATTGTCCAGATCACTGGTTCCCAGTCTTTCAGTGTAAGGAACCCCCTTTTTAAAACCTAATCCAATGACCTTCTACAATATTTTGAAACAGCCTTATTGAAGTATAATTTACAGTTTATAAATTCACCCACTGTAAATGTATAATTCAATTTTTAGCATATGTACAGAGTTGTGCAGCCATCACCATAATCCAATTTTAGAACATTTCTGCTACCCCAAAAAGTTCCCCCATATCGTTCTGCATTCAGTCTTCACTCCTGTCCCCACCCGCAGCCCCAGGAAAACACTGATCTGTTTTCTGTCTGTATTGATTTTCCTTTTCTGGATATTTCATATAAATGGAATCAGGCAATATATAGTTTTTGTGTCTGGCCTCTTTCACTTAGCATCACGTCTGTGAGGTTCACTCGTGTTATAGCACATAATAGTTCCTTTTTTAGTATTCCATTGTGTGAATATACTGCATTTTGTTTATCCATAACCAGTTAATGGAGATTTGGATTGTTTCCAATTTTCAACTATTATGAATAGTGCTGTTAGGAACATTCATGTACAAGTCTTTGGACTTACACTTTCATTTCTTTTGGGTAGATATTTAGGAGTGGAATTGCTATATGGTATGTCTGTAACCTTTTTTTTTTTTTTTTTTTTTTTGAGACAGGGTCTCACTCTGTCACCCATGCTGGAGTACAGTGGCGTGATCATGGCTCACTACTCTGGTGATTCTCCCACTTCAGTCTCCCAAGTAGCTGGGACTACAGGCATGTGCCACCATGCCCAGCTAATTTTTGTATTTTTTGTAGAGACAGTTTTGCCATGTTGCCCAGGCTGATCTTGAACTCTTGGGCTCAAGCAGTTTGTCCATCTTAGCCTCCCAAAGTGCTAGGATTACAGGTGTGAACCACCACACCTGTCCTGTCTGTAACTTTTTAAGAAACCGCCAAACTTATTTTCAAAGAAGCTTGTACCAGTTTATATTCCTACCAACAATGCGTGAGAGTTCCAGTTTCTCCACAAGAGGACTCCTTTTTAGTATGTAAAAAAAAAAAAAATTGTAGACCTTCACATGGTAATAGATTTATTTTACTTTATTTTATTTCATTTTTTGAGACGGAGTCTCGCTCTCTCTCCCAGTCTGGAGTGCAGTGGCACGATCTCGGCTCACTGCAAGCTCTGCCTCCCGGGTTCATGCCATTCTCCTGCTGAGCTCAGCCTCCCGAGTAGCTGGGACTACAGGCACCCGCCACCACACCCGGCTAATTTTTTGTATTTTTAGTAGAGACAGGGTTTCACTGTGTTAGCCAGGATGGTCTAGATCTCCTGACCTTGTGATCCGCCTGCCCTGGCCTCCCAAAGTGCTGGAATTACAGGCGTGAGCCATCGTGCCCAGCCTAGATGTTGTTTTATATCAGCAGATTGATAAAACAACACAGGGATTGAGTAATACTTTTAAAAGGATTTATATTCTAGAATCAAAACAGCGTGTATTAACATGATGTGTTCAGTATAGAGGCAGTGCTCTTAAAGCAACTCGGTGTCCCCAAAGGATTCATGGTTTGTAAGTTGGGAGCCACTGATCCAGATGACTTGTTTAGAAATAAATGTAAGTTATTTTGTGTCTTTTTATGCATCATCTGTAAAATGGAGACCTGCCTCATAAAGTTGTTTGAAGACTAAATGAAAATATATCCCAAGGCAGGAAGATTGGTTGAGCCCAGGAGTTTGAGAACAGCGTGGGCAACATAGCAAGACCCGTCTCTGCAAAAATTTTTTTAAAAATAAGCTGGGCATGGTGGCACAGGTCTATAGTTGTAGCTACTTGGGTGACTGAGGCAAGAGGATCACTTGAGCCCAGGAGTTCAAGGTTGCAGTAGGCTATGATTACACCACTGTACTCCAGCCTGGGTGACACAGTGAGACCCTGCCTGAAAAAAAAAAGAAAATGTGTCAAGATTTGGCCGCATAATAGTTGCTCAATTAGTGGCAGCTAGTATTAGTAGAAAGCAGTATGATTTAATCGAGTATAGGCTGTGGAGCCAACAGCTGAGAATTCTAACTTAACCTGAATTAGGTGAGATTAATAGTAGTCTGCTTTTCACAAACTTTTTTGAAATGGGGACTGTGTGGATACTTGCAAACACCTGTTTCCATGCTTGATTCTTGCTGACTTCAGATTGCTGTTTATATCTACCCGTTTCCTTTGGTTTCATCTTTTTGGATAGGAACCTTCTCCCCACCAGCAATCTGTCAAAGTCATTTAGTAAATGCTATTCCTGTGTTCTAAAGCTGTAATTCTCATCCCTGATTGCATATTAGAATCACCTGGGCAGCTTTTGCGCTGGATACCGATGTCTGGTCCCACCCTCAGAGATTTGACTTAACTGCTCTGGGATGTGATCTGGGCATCTAGATTTTTAAAAGCAGGTGATTGTAATGTGTAGGCAAAGATGAGAATTACCATTCTAACGTGAAACCAGGATTGGAGACAGCTGTTCTTGCCCAATTTAGTATCAGTAGCCAGTGTTACAACTTAATTCCTTCATTGGTAAGGAAATTGAACAAAATGGACTCTCTCAGATTCCCTGTTAGAATCTGAGAGTTCCAAGGCACTGGAGGAACCTTTCAGGTAAGCCTTTCTTCCACCTAAGTAGCACAGTCAGTGTCTGAGAAAGATTGTGTGGAATGAAAGCAAAACCTTAAATCTTGAAGTCAGGGTATATTTCATCCATCACTCTTTCTAGGAGGCTGTATGCTGTAGTGAAATGAATGCAGGTTTTGGCACTAGATGAACCTGGGTTTATTTTGGCTCTGTTGATTACCAGTTGTGTTGGTTGATGTTCAGAAAGTTTGCAGTTGCACATTTTCCTCATCTGGAAAATAGGAATTGTTATAAAAAAAAAATCATACTATATACCTTATGGGGTTGTTAGGGTTGTAGACTACATATAAAGTCTTGTGTTGGCCAGGCGCGGTGGCTCACACATGTAATCCCAGCACTTTGGGAGGCTGAGGCGGGTGGATCACGAGGTCAGGAGATCAAGACCTTCTTGGCCAACGTGGTGAAACACCGTCTCTACTAAAAATACAAAAAATTAGCCGGGCGTAGTGGCGGGCGCCTGTAGTCCCAGCTACTTGGGAGGCTGAGGCAGGAGAATGGCGTGAACCCGGGAGGCGGAGCTTGCAGTGAGCCGAGATCCCGCCACTGCACTCCAGCCTGGGCGACAGAGCGAGACTCCGTCTCAAAAAAAAAAAAAAAAAAAAAAGTCTGTGTCTTGTGTCCATGGCCTTAATATGGTGACCTCTCGGGAGCGGGGGACCGCCAGCTTGCTTAAGGTGAAGTGAACCAGCCCGGGTTAGAAACAGAGCAGGTCAAAACTTGCGTGCTGATTAGTAGTGTGATTGTGCCTATGAAAAGTTACTGCACTCCAACCTGGGCATCATAGTGAGACTCTGTCTCTTAAAAAAAAAAAGTCTATCTGGCTTAGTGAATTGTAACTGCATTTGTACTGTTACTCATTTATTTATATTTCTTTTTATCCTCTGACTCTACTGTAATTCATCTGGTGTCTCATCACCTGGGCATTAAAGCTGAAAGGACTATGAAGTTAGAGATTGTATTTTAGAGTCATTTATATTTCCATTGCCTATACTAGTGCCCTGTGTGCAGAAGGTTATAAAGTTTGATGATTCAGAAAATAGAAAATTTAATATTTTTTTCAAATTTTGCTGATTTCATAGGTAAATAACAGAGATGTGGCATTACATCATTAGTGCTCAGCAAGTAAATCTTGCTACACATCGTTTTTGTTAGTTTGTTTTTTTGAGACCGAGTCTGGGAGTCTCTCTGTGTTGCCCAGGCTGGCTTGGAACTCCTGGGCTCAACAGATCCCCCTGCCTCAGCCTCCCAAGTAGCTGGGACTACAGGTGTCCACCACTGCAACTGGCAGACACATTATTTTGATGGCGATATCCCTTCATTTTTGTCTGCTGAGATTCATGGTCAAAGTCATGCAATATCATACAACCCAAGAACAAAAATAGTAGCACCTTAGTATTTAGCAAGAGAGGCTTCAGTAATTATAGCAAGTATGATGTAAGCAAGGGAATGGGTTTGAGGAGCAGCTGTGATGAAGAACCAGGCAAGCAATGAGAGAGAGGTCAAAAGAGGTTAGGATGTATAGGCAAACCAGAATCAGAATATGGAAGTGCTGTTCATATATCTTTTTTTTCTTAGTTCTGTCCTCAAAGGGCTTAGAAGCAATGAAATACTAGTTAGTAGTAATGAGCACCCCCAGTGCCCATATTTTAATTTCTGAATAACCAGGGCTCTCTGGAGAAATGACTAATTCCAGGTCTGAAACAGGAACTTGATAGGGCGAGCCTGACACATTATCTTGTGCCAGAAATAAGAACACTATTAAAATCTAATGGAATAATTATACCGCAGTTTAAAACAGATGAACTAATGGAGTTGTGTCAAAAGGACAGAGAAGCCAGTTGGAAGGGACTCTTAATTGGCCGAAGGCGGGACGGCTGGAGAGTTGGCTGCAATTGATTTAAACACATGAATATATAAAACGTCAGAGTCTGTTATATTGTAATAATACTCAGAAAAGAGAAAGCTTCCCCAACAGTTGTCAGAACTAAAAATTACTTAAACATTAACTCCTTACTCTAAATATTGATAAAAAGAAAAAATTAAGCATTTTTCCAGGAGCAACCTTTTTTTTTAAGGTAACCAAATAACTCTAGGTGATGAGGGTATGATCTTTACATAAGAATGCCTGCTCATGTTTATAGAAGTAATGTTATAATTGGGGAATAACCATTCCAACTCCTAATAAAATAACTGATTCAGGCAAAAATCATCTACAGATGATAAAACTATTAGGTGAACAGTAGATGGAGAACTGGACATATCATCCCACAGGTTATTTGATGATTACAAGGAGAAAGACACAGCTTTACAATGGGAGGGGTTTACTTTAACAAGTGCTCCATCTTGGCATCATGAATGGTGGGGACAACCAGGCAGTATGAAGTAAACAGCTCACCTATGCTGTGTTCTTGTGAAAATTATTTCACCTGAATCTATTCAAGGCTTTAGACAGGCCTTGTGCTGGATTTGGCCATCTTTGTATGGCCCTTGAGCCAAGAATGGTGTTTATGTTTCTAAAGGACTTTTACAAAAAAAAACACTGGTCTCGTGGTGTCTACACCTGTAATCCCAACACTTTGGGAGGCCAAGGCAGGCAGATCACCTGAGGCCAGGAGTTTGAAACCAGCCAGGCCAACATGGCAAAACCCTGTCTCTACTAAAAATACAAAAAATTAGCCAGGTGTGGTGGCATGTGCCTGTAGTCCCAGCTACTTGGGAGGGTGAAGCATAACAATTGCTTGAACCCAGAAGGCAGAGGTTACAGTGAGCAGAGATGGTACCAGAGCACTCCAGCCTGGGCGACAGAGCAAGACTCCATCTCAAAAAAAAAAAGGAGAGAATAGGCAGGGCACGGTGGCTAACATCTGTAATCCCAGCACTTTGGGAGGCCAAGGTGGGCGGATCACCTGAGGTCAGGAGTTGGAGACCAGCCTGGCTAACATGGTGAAACCCCATCTCTACTAAAAATACAAAAATTAGCCGGGCATGGTGGCACGCGCCTGTAGTCCCAGCTGCTAGGGAGGCTGAGGCAGGAGAATCGCTTGAACCCAGAAGGCAGAGGTTGCAGTGAGCCAAGATTGCGCCACTGCACTCCACCCTGGGTGACAGAACGAGACTCCATCTCAAAAAAAAAAAAAAAAAAAAAAAAGAGAATCAGCCAGGTGTGGTGGCTCATGCCTGTAATCCCAGCACTTTGGGAGGCTGAAGTGGGCAGATCACCAGAGGTCAGGTCTCCAGTTGGAGATCAACCTGGCTAACATGGTAAAACCCTGTCCCCACTAAAAATACTAAAATTAGCTGGGCGTGGTGGCGCATGCCTGTAATCCCAGCTACTCGGGAGGCTGAGGCAGGAGATTTGCTTGAACCCGGGAGGTGAAGGTTGCAGTGAACCGAGATTGCACCACTGCACTCCAGCCTATGCAACAGAGCGAGGCTCTGTCTCAAATAAAATAAAATAAAATAAAATAAATAAAAAAATAAAATAATAAAAATAAAATAAAATATAAAAAAATAAATAAAAATATCATAGTAAAGTAAAATAAAATAATGACTTTTACAAAAAAAACAAAAAGACAACCAAAAACCAAAGAAGAGTATATAACAGAGGTAGTATGTGGCTCACAAGAACCACAGTTTTGCTTTCTGGCTCTTTACAGAAAGTTTGTCAGCCTCTGGGTTGGAGGAACAAGTTAATTGACTTAATGAGGAAGCCATGTCAGATAAATCCAGAAAGTGGACAACCTGTAGGAAAACTAGGTCTATTCAGCTTCACAGAAAAGCAGAAATATATGGGATGGAAATTTGTTAAAAATTGAAAGAGCCTGGGCACAGTGGCTCATGCCTGTAATCTCTGCACTTTGGGATGCTGAAGCAGGAGCATTGCTTGAGCTCAGGAGTTCGAGACCACCCTAGGCAACAGCGTGAGACCCTGTCTCTTAAAAATATATATTTATATATATATTTTTTATATTATATATAATATATGTATTTTATATATTATATATTTATATATATTTTATATATTTTTGTGTATATATATATATTAAAGGAGACTTAAGAGGCATGAAAAACAAATGCAATGTTTGGATCTTAGTTTGAACAAATTAGCTTTATAAGGTATATTGGGGACTTCTGCTTCCAGTGAAGCTGGCATAACAGAGACCAGGTTTACTTTCCCACTTATAAAAACATACACAAACTATATGAAACAATGTTTTCAAGAGACTAGATATCAGGTAATGCAGGAGAGTGATCCCCGAGAAATGGGGAAACAAAAGAGGTGAGGCCTACAATTGCCCCCAGACTGCCTTGACTTTCAAAGCTGTAGCACCAGAAGCAGAAAATGAAGCAGAGCCCAGTGAACTCTGTAAGTTGACATGGTACTGTGAATCCAGTGAGACCGGTGCAGCTACCATTCATAGGAGGGAGTAGCAGAAAGAAGAGAGAGATACAGAGAGAACCCCAGAGGTCTGCAGGTCTCTTGAGTATTCATCAGAGACCAATCAACATAAACATGTGAGCAAACTATTCAGGACTGGGGATTTGATGGAATGGGTCCCATGTTCAGACAGTAGTTGCAACAGTGCTTGTTACTACCAGCCAGTACTTGGGAAGGTGTTGCCTTAGTAGTAGTGAATAATTAGCTCTGGACCAGGGGTATCCAATCTTTTGACTTCCCTGGGCCACATCAAAAGAAGAATTGTCTAGGACCACATATGAAATACACTAATGATAGCTAATGAGCTAAAAATAAAAAATAAATTGCAAAAAGATCTCAATGTTTTAAGAAAGTTTATGAATTTGTGTTGGACCACTTTCAAAGCCTGTGGGCCATGGGTTGGACAAGCTTGCATCTAAACAGTACTTCTCTGGGCCTACCTAACAAATCTTAAAAGCAAGATTCAAAAGGATCAAACTATATCCAAGTAATTTAACTCTATCCCATAATAAAGATCAAAAAAGGCTATGGGAACACAAAAATATTGAACACCTAACATGGTAAAATTCACAATGTCTGACATCCAATCAAAGATTCTCAAGTATGGGCCCAACACAGTGGCTCATGCCTGTAATCCCAGCACTTTGGGAGGCCAACCTGGGTGGATAACTTGAGGTCAGGAGTTCAAGACCAGCCTGGCCAACAATGGTGAACCCCATCTCTACTAAAAATACAAAAAATTAGCTGAGCGTGCTGGCAGGCACCTGTAATCCCAGCTACTCAGGAGGCTGAGGTAGGAGAATCGCTTGAGCCTGGGAGGCAGAGGTTGCAGTGAGCTGAGATCGTACCACTGCACTCCAGCCTGGGTGACAGAGTAAAATTCCATCTCGAAAAAAAAAAAGGAAAAAAAAAAGATTCCCAGGTATGCAAAGAGGCAGGAAAATATGGTCTGTAATAAAGAGAATAATCTGTTGAAAGTGAGGCAGAGCTGACACACGTGTTAGACTTAGCATAGAAGAACAGGAGAGTTCTTAGAACTGTACTTTGTATGTTTAAAACTTAAGTAGAAACATGGAAGATATAAAACACAGACCTAAGGCTGGGCACGGTGGCTCACACTTGTAATCCCAGCACTTTGGGAGGCCAAAGCAGGCATATCACCTGAGGTCAGGTGTTCGAGACTAGCCTGGACAACATGGTGAAACCCTGTCTCTACTTAAAAATACAAGAATTAGCTGGGCATGGTGGTGCACGCTTGTAATCCCAGCTACTCAGGAAACTGAGACAGGAGAATCACTTGAACCTGGGATGGAGAGGTTGCAGTGAGCTGAGATCGCACCACTGCACTCCAGCTGGGGCAACAGAGCAAGACTCCATCTCAAAACAAAACAAAACAAAAAACACAGACCTAAATCGAACTTCTAGAAATGAAAATGACAATGTCTGAGATGAAAAATGCACTAAATGTCATTAATAGCAGATTAGACATTACAAGAGAAAAGATTTCATGAATTTGAGGACATAGTGATAGAAATTATCCACAATGAAACACAGAAAAGTAAAAAAACATCTAGCAGTGAGCTGTGGAACAACTTTTGAACAAATAATGGCTGAAAATTTTCCAAAGATAAGTATAAACCCACAGATCCAAGAAGTTCATTGAATGCCAAACACAAGAAACATGAAGAAAACTACACTGTCATTTATCTAAGTTTATTGCTTCTCACCGTCCAGTGTACCCTTCAGTATGTACTCTCAAATATAATAATTTATTTAAATCCTCTTTCTTTCTTTCTTTCTTTTTTTTAACAGAGTCTCACTCCATTGGCCAGGGTGGAGTGCAGTGGCACGATCTTGGCTCACTGCAACCTCTGCCTCCCAGGTTCAAGTGATTGACAGGTGTGTACCACCACACCTGGCATTTTGTTGTTGTTGTTGTTGTTGTTGTTATATTTTTAGTAAAGACGGATTTTCACCATGTTGGCCAGACTGGTTTCGAACTCCTGACCTCAAATGATCTTCCCGCCTTGGCCTCCCAAAATACTGGGATCACAGGCACGAGCCACCGCACCCAGCCAAGTCCTTCTTCTTTAAAGTGTGTAGCCAAGTCCTTCTTCTTTAAAGTGTGTGTGATATTATACTTTCTTTCTTTTTTTTTTTTTTTTTGAGACGGAGGAGTCTTTCTGTCACCCAGGCTGGAGTGCAGTGGCGCGATCTCAGCTCACTGCAGGCTCCGCCCCCTGGGGTTCACACCATTCTCCCGCCTCAGCCTCCCGAGTAGCTGGGACTACAGGCGCCCGCCACCTCGCCCGGCTAATTTTTTGTATTTTTAGTAGAGATGGGGTTTCACCGTGTTAGCCAGGATGGTCTTGATCTCCTGACCTCGTGATCCGCCCTCCTTGGCCTCCCAAAGTGCTGGGATTACAGGCGTGAACCACCGCGCCCGGCCGATATTATACTTTCTTAGTACAGGGAACTGGAGGGACAGTGTAGGAGACAGAAGCTCTTGTTTCTGGTGTAGACCACGGGTCACAGTTGTGGGTATGAGGACATCCCATGGAGCCTGCCCCAGAACATGGTCCCTATGTGGTGTTTGCACCCGTGTTCTCTCTTCAGCTCGCTCAACCTGTCCTGCGTGGCTTCCACATGACCGTACACTCTGAAGTCTTCCTTTTCCCACTGGCACTCAGACTCCCTACTGCATAGCATTGACTGCTGATCACCTTCACTCCAGACTGTATGCTTTAAATATGTACAGGTTACCATATATCAATTATACATCAGTAAAGCTATTTTCAAAATAAGGTGTAGTATAGTTGGAATTTTAATCTTCACTGGGTATCAGGTATTAAGGAATTATTTTTCATTTTTGTATGTGAAATATTAATAGTATTGTGGTATATATTTCTATATATACCACATTCCTTTTACTGCTTTCTTTTTTTTCTTTTTTTGGAGACAGAGTTTTGCTCTGTCACCTAGGCTGGAGTGCAGTGGCTCAGCCTCAGCTCACTGCAACCTCCACCTCCAGGGTTCAAGTGATTCTGCTGCCTCAGCCTCCTGAGTAGCTGGGATTACAGGTGTACACCAGTACGCCCAGCTAATTTTTGTATTTTTATTAGAGATGGGGTTTCGCCATGTTGGCCAGGCTGGTCTCGAACTCCTGGCCTCAAGCAATCCACCCACCTCGGCCTCCCAAAGTGCTGGGATTACAGGCATGAACCACCGTGCCCGACGCACATTTATTTATTTAGAGTTTCATATTGAAGTATTTTTTGTAGAATTCGACAAGTGCAGTTCATCAATTTGTTCTGAAATTTACATGGAAATGCATATAAATATGCATTTATAGAGAAGATTATCCTAATGTCTGTGATTTATTTTTAAATACTTTAGAAAAAATTTACAAAGCAAATGGAGGAAAATGTTAACATTAACAGTTGTAGGTGAGGGACAGATGGTCATTTGTATAGTATAATATTTACTTTCCTGTAGGCTTAAGTTTTCTTCCCAACAAAAGTTTTTAAGTGAAGTTCTAAAAAAAAATAATATTGTCATTTAGAGCAGTGGATGAGAAGCTAGGTAGATAAGAACATGGAAGATAAAATGGAACCGAAGGCTTTGCCAAGTCTAGACCAACAGGAGCTAATCACTCTTGAGGGAAAAGGACAAAAACTACACAAGATTTAAAGTACCTATAACAAGGAAATACACTAATGATGGAGGCAAAGGGCTGCTTCAGCTCAGAGGGTTCTATGGGTTTCTGTGGCAAGAAGGACCATTGCCTGATGCAACTTCCCAGCACTTGTTGGCATGAATTGTGAGCAGGAGTTTTCTGCTGCAGTGTCATAGGCTCTAGCTTGTCAGCCATCTTTTTTGCTCTCTTTACTGCCTCTGTGGATGTGTTCCACTAACCTGCCCAGCATTACTGTGAGGTCTCAGTGCTGTGGCATGACAAAGACTTGGCAGTATAGGAAGTTGGTTCACCCTACCCGCACATCCAACTGAATTGGAGTTGGTATTAAACTGAGGTGGGAATTCCATGGGAAAACTGGGATCATAGAAAGAATATGAATTATTGGCTATTCCAGTACCTGAAATGAGAACGAGAATAATGATGTAATTTCTTTTTTTTTTTTTTTTTTTTTGAGATGGGTTCTTGCACTGTCGCCTGGGCTGGAGTGCAATGGCGCAATCTCGGCTCACTGCAACCTCCGCCTCCTGGGTTCATGTGATTCTCGTGCCTCAGCCTCCCGAGTAGCTGGGATTACAGGTGCACACCACCACACCTGGCTAATTTTTTGTATTTTTAGTAGAGATGGGGTTTCACTCTGTTGGCAAGGCTGGTCTCGAACTCATGATCCGCCTGCCTTGACCTCCCAAAGTGCTGGGATTACAGGTGTGAGCCACCACACCCAGCTGGGAATAATGGTGTAATTTCACATCCTTTTGTGAAATAAAGTTGAATCTTGCCCTATTCCTCTTGAGGTACCACTTTACCTTGAAAATGCTTAGTAATAACATTTTTTAATATATTAAATCTCATTTGAGATTGAAAATGGTGGTATTAGATATTACCCTTTTCTACAGGTAGGGAAATTGAATTAGGTGTTGTTATCCCGGTTTTACAGGTTAGGAAACCAAGACCCAGAGAGGCTGTGATTTGCCCAAAGTTGATCATCCGGGTCCTGCGCAAACTCATACTGTTGTCACTTTCTTGTGTTCTGTCATGGCTGTTTTTCCTCAGATTTCTTTGAGATCTTTAAAAATCCAATTTGCACTCTGCAGGTGATGATGAAAATATGACTTTTCTTGTAGAACAATTTATGTCCTAGAATTTTCTCTTGGGTATAGTGTAGTAAGCATCCAAAATATGTTTGGTCTCCACAGAACTAGGTTAGCTATTTTCATCTTAAGACAGAGGCTAACATCACTTAACACCATCATTCCTAATTAACAGATCTGTTTACTCTTAATTTGCAATTATAGTGCAGTACAAGAAAGGCCAACAGCAAGAAGATTCAGTCCAGAGGCACCACAACGTTGATCGTTGTGTTCCTAAATGGGTGTTTTTAAGGCAGAGTTTTAATTGAGGTAATGGTGGGTATTAATCTCACTCTGCATTACCATACTGTTATGCTGTTAATGATTCAGAATTCATTGGGAAATTGGCTGTTTTGAAGGCTAGCTGTTAAATGGCTTTGCTTTTCTCTCAATGTCTGATCATCAGGGTCATGACTATCAATTTAATCAAGGATCTAGAATTGGAATGTAGCTCTGTCATTATCTGGGACTACACACTTTATCAGAAATACTGGTTTGGTAGATCTTCTCCAAGTTTCATTTTTACTCGAGTTTTAATTAATAAGAAAATATATCTAATTTTGTTTTGTTCTCTACTTCTTAGGCTCTTCTGTTTCATTGGCCTTTACAAAGGCCCATTGTCAATCACATATCCAAGAATTGGTTTCCAAAAAAAAAAAATAGATATTGGCTGGGCGTGGTGGCTCACGCCTGTACTCTCAGCACCTTGAGAGGCCAAGGCAGGCAGATCACTTGAGGTCAGGAGTGTGAGACCAGCCTGGCCAACATGCTGAAACCTTGTATCTACTAAAAGTACAAAACATTAGCCGGGCGTGGTGGCAGGCGCCTGTAATCCTAGCCACTCTGGAGGCTGAGGCAGGAGAATCACTTGAACCCAGAAGGTGGAGGTTGCAGTGAGATGAGATCGCCCACTGCACACTCCAGCCTGGGCAACAGAGTAAGACTCAGACTCAAAAATAATAATAATAAGATAAAAAGATATTGAAAATTAGCGAGAAAATAGCTGAGTGTGTTGTTGTACACTTGTAGTCCCAGCTACTTGGAAGGCTTAGGCTAGAGGAGCTTCTGGCTTGATTGAGCCCAGGAGTTCAAGTCTAGCCTGGACAACATAGTGAAACCCTGTCTCTAAACAAAAAAGAAAAAACCAAGAAAATGTATTATATTATGAAGGAGGCCACAAAGAGTTAAGACTGGCCAGAAACCTAGCTATTTAGGCAGAATCTACAGATCCCTTAAGTTACAGGTAAGCAAAGAGTCAAATTGGAGGGCAACTAACTTAGGAAAAAGCAGGCAGGTAACAATGATCATTGAGGTGGTGGTGATCCAAGAAGTCAGTGAGGATCCTCTTAACATTGCCTGCTGAGCAAAAGCAGGCCCTGAGCTGAGGGTGCAGGGCCTTTAGACCCATGGCTTCTAATGCATGTGATTAGAGGCCCAAAGTGTACCCTGTTCTAAGTCATACAAGGGAAGACGTGTTGAGATCTCCACAGGTATGAACAGAATGTACTATGCAACCCCAGGGCGGTATTCTTCTCTGTGCCCTGAATTGTAGGGCTATAATTTTACCTAAAGGTTAGCACCATTTTTTCCCCCTCAATAGGACAAAGACCCTTCAGCTTCATTCTATAGAACACAGTCTATGACTTCTTGATTATTATAACTTAGTGTTATTTTTTATTTTTAACTTGGTTGCCATTCATGGACCCCGAATTGAAATGTAGATCTATTTAGAATTTTCAAAAGTATTTACAGCAGCTTTCTTTAATAGCATCAATGTCAAGCAGTGTATCTCAGAATTAAAAATGTCTTATGGTCAAATAAATTGATCTCTTAAAGATTTGCAGTATATGTTAGTACACTAAAAGCTTTTGTAAGTCTTAGCAGTAAAGAAATCTGTTTAATCCAGTGTTTCCCAAATTTTTTTGACCCCAGAATTATTATTATTATTATTTTTGAGACAGAGTCTTGCTTTGTTGCCCAGGCTGGAGTGCAGTGTCGCGATCTCACTGCAGCCTCCACCCGCCGGTTCAAGTAATTATCCTGCCTCAGCCTCCCAGGTAGCTGGGAGTACAGGCACCCGTCAGCTGTAATCTTTGTATTTTTAGTACAATGGGGTTTCGCCACATTGGCCAGGCAGGCCTCAAACTCCTGACCTCAGGTGATCTGCTCGCCTTGGCCTCCCAAAGTGCTGAGATTATAGGAGTGAGCCACCATGCCCGGCCCAGAATTTTGTTTTTTGTTGCTAATACCCATCAACCTTCTTTTAAAATAGTCTTTTTTCTTCCAGTTTTATTGAAGGATAACTGGCAAAAATTGTATATATTCAGCGTACAACATGATGAGTTGATAGATGTATACATTGCAAAATGATTACCACAACCTAATTAACACATCTGTCACCACACTTGGTAACCCTTTGTGTGAGTGAGTGATGAGGACACTTAAAATTGTCTCTAAGCAAATTTCAAGTAAACAATACTGTATTAGTAACTATATTTAGTAAACAACTGTTGGGGCAGAACATACTCTGGAAATAATAGCTATATAACAAGTGGATTGATCTGGAAATGAGGCGAGATGTAGATTATTAATGTAGCCCCATGATTTAGAGGAAAGGTCAACCCTTCATTAAACCCAAGAAAGAGCCTAATAATGACTATCTGCGCTATTTTCCTGAAGAGATGGGTGTATTTTGGAAAGTGAGACAGGCTTGCGTCACTTGGAGCTAGTAGGTTGATGAAGATACCTCACACTTGTATTGTGCTTTAAGATTTACAAAAAAATGTGCATTTCCGTGATCAAAACCCCAGGAGGTAGAAAGGCTTATATTGTCTCCTGTTTTACAAAAGAGGAACCTCAAACTAAATGACTTGCCCAAGGTCACATAACATTATTGATAGGTAGCAAGACTGATGTTGTCTGGAACCCTGGGCTTCAGGTTGCAAGTGCAGGATGACCCACATCACTAAAATAGTTGCCTAGAATTATATGCTAATGAGTGTTTCTTTTATAGAAATATATACATCTCATATTCACTTTATTTTTCTTCCTTACAATACTTCAAGTTGCTTTTCTACCCCTGGGCTATTTTTTGTCTTTGCTACTTTCAACAGTAACTGAGTGAAGAGCACAGCCTGGGTATGACAAATAACCAGTTTGCCTCAAGGCATGGGTTTTGGCCTCAGAGGATCAGAAACCTTGGACTTGACCAAATTTCAAATTTCTCTTATAGAACATGTTTCTAGATATGAGTTTAGAACCTACTGTGTTTAACCTGTTTTGGTTTTCATAAATTCAACCAACAATTATTAAGAACTGACCACCAACTACAGGCAAGGCACCAAGGTATACGTATTTTTCCCCAACACTTTATTAAAAAATCTTTCAAGCATATGGAAAAGCAACTTTTCCATAAGTTGAAAGAATCATTCAGTGAGCACTATATACCTATCACCTGTATTTTATAATTAACATGTTCCTTTTTTTTTTTTTTTTTTGAGACAGAGTCTTGCTCTGTCGCCCAGGCTGGAGTGCAGTGGCACAATCTCAGCTCACTGCAAGCTCCGCCTCCTGGGTTCACGCCATTCTCCTGCCTCAGCCTCCTCAGTAGCTGGGATGACAGGTGCCCACCACCATGCCTGGCTAATTTTTTTGTATTTTTAGTAGAGATGGGGTTTCACCATGTTAGCCAGGATGGTCTCCATCTCCTGACCTCGTGATCTGCCCGCCTCAGCCTCCCAAAGTGCTGAGATTACAGGCTACTTTATTATTTTTTATCACACATCTATCCATCTGTATTCATCAATCACTTCATTTTATTTTTTTATCTATTTCAGAGTAAGTTGAAGATATCAGTATACTTTATTCCTACATACTTCAGTTTCCTTTTTGTGTGTGTAGCTCTTTGTGCACCAAGCACTTGATGGGTACTTATCAAATGTGTGTTGAAAGCATAAATGGCTTAATCAGATCAAAAAACAAAATCAAGACTAGAGTCTGCACATTCATGAAAGTGGTAGATCCCTGTGTAATTCGAAAAGGCCATTTTATGTCTACTGTCTTGACAGTCTCAAAAGAAAATTCCTGGCTGGGTGCATTGGCTCACACCTGTAATCCCAGCCTTCAGAAGGTCGAGGCAGGAGGATCGCTTGAGCCCAGGAGTTTGAGACCAGCTTGGGCAATATAATGAGACCCTGTCTCTACAAATAAAAAAAAATTAGCCGGGCATGGTGGTGTGCACCTGTAGTCCCAGCTACTTGGGAGGCTTAGGTGTGGGAGGATTTCTTGAGCCCAGGAGTTTGAGGCTGCAGTGAGCTATGATCACACTACTGCACTCCAGCCTGGGCAATAGAGTGAGACCCTATTTCAAAAAGAAAATACTTCCCACTGTATCTTCCCTTCACCCCATTATGTGTATACAGGACCTCACATCTACCTGTGTTAGAACATTCCATTCTCAGAAGTCAGGAAGAATCTTTTTGAGAAAATGAGTCCAGAATAAGTTGGTGCTCCTCTTCCTGGTGGTGATGAATTGGGTAGCTTTGGGGTCCTGAAGAATGACAGAAACAAGGAGCAGCTAGCTAGGATTTAAAGGGAGATTTTTAAAAATTTTTTATTTTTTGGCCTAAGTATCTTATGGCCTAGCCAAGTTGTCACAGCCCTGTCACTTTTAAGCTGACTGGTGGGTTAAAGAATTGACAGTTTCTGCCTGTCCCATTTTCTAAGACCAGATGATAAATTAATTCCATGAAGGCTTTCCTCACCATTGTAGCCCACAGTGATTACTTTCACTTTCTGAAGTCACTATCATTTATATGGCACTGCCTTGGGAAATTTTATTTAACTTATTTTTAACCTTTTATTACAAAAGCATTACATGTGCACTGAAGAAAAATTAAAAATAGAGGCAAGCCAAATAATTTAAAAACATCATATTTCCACCTTCCAGAGATTGCTACTGAAAACAGCTTAGTACAAATCTTTAGGGACCTTCTTCTAGGTTTACCTAAATAC
The DNA here is from genome assembly GCF_000001405.40 of Homo sapiens. NCBI lineage: Eukaryota > Metazoa > Chordata > Mammalia > Primates > Hominidae > Homo > Homo sapiens. The sequence continues at coordinate 120,032,738 of NC_000012.12, forward strand.
ATCTATAATTTTTTTTTTTTTTTTTTTTGAGATGGAGTCTTGCTCTGTCACCCAGGCTGGAGTCAGTGGCACGATCTTGGCTCACTGCAACTTCCGCCTCCTGGGTTCAAGTGATTCTCCTGCCTCAGCCTCCCAAGTAGCTGGGACTATAGGCGGGCACCACCATGCTGGCTAATTTTTTGTATTTTTAGTAGAGATAGGGTTTCACCATGTTAGCCAGGATGATCTCTATCTCCTGACCTCGTGATTTGCTGGCCTCAGCCTCCCAAAGTGCTGGGATTACAGGCGTGAGCCACCATGCCTGGCCTATAATTTTTTTAAGCCAAAATCATATAATATGCTGCATGTATTACTTTGTAACCTGCTTTTTAGATCAGTGATCTCCACCTTTCCGCTTCAGTAATTTTTTCATTATTGTAATTCAAGTCAAATTTAAATTTCCCCAGTGGACCTCAAAAGATGTCCTTTACAGCTGGTTCACATATCAAGACCCAAACCAGAACTGTTCTATGTCTGGTGCATTATGCCTGGTCTTTTAAGTGTTATTTATTTTATTATAATCCTTTTCCTTTTTTATGCCAATGACATGTTGAAGAAACTGGGCCAGTTTTCCTGTGGAGAGTTCTTGCCTTTTTTTTTTTTTTTTTTTTTGTGGGGGAGATGGAGTCTCACTCTGTCGTCCAGGCTGGAGTGCACTGGCATGATCTCGGCTCACTGCAAACTCCGCCTCCCGGGTTCACGCCATTCTCCCACCTCAGCCTCCCAAGTAGCTGGGGCTACAGGCGCCCGCCTCCACGCCCGGCTAATTTTGTTTTTTGTATTTTTAGTAGAGACAGGGTTTCACCGTGTTAGCCAGGATGGTCTCCATCTCCTGCTCCTGACCTTGTGATCCGCCTGCCTCGGCCTCCCAAAGTGCTGGGATTACAGGCATGAGCCACTGCGGCCGGCTGAGAGTTCTTGCTTTTAAATTTACCTGGTTGTTTCCTCATAATGACGTTTAGCTCCTTCTTCTATTCCCTGATATTTTGTATTAACTGGAGAGAGTATATATATATATAAGCTTGATAGATTTAGGTCAAACATTTTTGGCCAGAAGATGTGCACTTCTGATGTATTACATCAGATGACACATAGCTGGCATCCCTCTGTCACCAGTGCTGAGACCCCTGGACTGTGGTGGTGATGTGAGATCCCCCTTATTCAGTTTTTTCTCCATATTGACAAGAAAAGTAATCTATGGAGTGTTCAGGCATTGGCTTTTGAAAGATAACTTATTTCAACACAGCCAGATACAGGCATACTTTCTCATCTTTTGTACTCGAGCATTTTGATGAAAGTTTTCACAAGTAACTTCACTACATGGTTTTTGGTTCATAAACTTGCTGTTCTCATTTTGGAAAATAAACTAGTATTAGTTATAGACTAATAGAAATGATACTTTATCCCTACGAATGAAATTAGGAAGGCTGCAAATATGGATGAGATCTGCCATCTGTAGAAATAACAAACTAAGAATTGTCTTTTAATGAGTACAGATTTAGGAACATGCAAAATACAATCAAGGTTACTTGAATGTAACTCAAGAAGGCGTGACTGGACTACTTTTATAACTAAAATTATGACACTAAAATTAACACAGAGGGGTTTTAGAGCGGCTATCTAGCAAGTGGGTCTCCTTCCTTGGAGTGGGGCACTGAGCTTGAACAGAGGCATCTGGTCTTGGGCAGTTAATCCCTGGAGAGGGCAGGACATGTGACTTTATGACCCGTTTTGGGATGTAAGATCATCCCAGAAATTCCCTTATTGGGATTTGGCTTCACATGCCAGTTTCTTTCGAGGGATGCAGGGGTCAGCTAACTATTATCTCACCATTGCCAAGGATCAGGAGTTAGCATGGCTTAACTGGGTTCTCTGCTCAGAGTCTCACAATTCTGCATTCAAGGTGTTGGCCAGGCCAGGTTCTCATCTGGAGCTCCGTGTCCTCTTCTAAGCTCATTCAGGGTGTTGGCCAAATCCCATTTCTTGTTGCTATAGGACAGGACTGAGGCCTGTGGCTCCTAGACGTTGACCCTGTCCATAGGCAGTTCACAACACAGCTGATTGCCTCCTCAAGGCCAGCAGCAGTGCAGGCCTGCCACTTCCAGTCTCTGTTTTATGTAACCTTTACATTTTTATTTTTTATGATTGTCTGTCTTAGCTCCACTTGCTGTGTGTTTTTCCCCCATAGCTCTTAGTATAATTGTGTTATGCACAAAGAAGATACTTAGAGTTAGGTTGTTTCTGTAATTGTTGCTCCAGAGTAAGAATAAAAGGAGAGGCTGGGCATGGTGGCTCAGACCTCTAATCCCAGCACTTTGGGAGGCCAAGGTGGGTGGGTCACTTGAAGTCAGGAGTTCAAGGCCAGCCTGGCCAACATGGCAAAACCCCATCTCTACTAAAAATACAAAAATTAGCCGGGTGTGGTGGTGCACGCCTGTAATTCCAGCTACTCGGGAGGCTGAGGCAGGAGAATTGCTGGAACCCGGGAGGTGGAGGTGGCAGTGAGCCGAGATCATGCCACCACATTCCAGCCTAGGTAACAGAGTGAGACTCCATCTCAATAAATAAATAAATAGAGAAAAAGTATTGACTGCTTATTGTGTACCAAGCATTATGTAAGATACCACTTTCTCTCATTTGATCCCATGTTAACCCTATGTGATACGTAGCCTTATCTTATTTCTTTGAAATGAAAAAATGAAGCTCAGAGATGCTAAATTTATCACCTAAGGTCACCACATATAGTGAACAAGTGGCTGAACTGGGATTCACATCAAAGGCAGCTGACTCTAAAACCCTGCTCTTAAACCCCTGCTAAACTACTTACTGTAAATGGAGCTCTGAGAAATGCCCTTGCGTCAAAATCTTTTTTAAAGAATTTTTTTTCAAAAAACCATGCTCTATACAGAGTATAAAACATAAACATACATATTAATGAAATGTTATAATAAAAGGAAAACCTTTGTAACCACCACACAGGTTAAGAAATAGTGTTGCCAGCACAACTCTTATTTCCCTCCATAAGCACGACCTCTTCTTCCCCCAAGAGGAACCACTAACCTGACTTTTATAATAATCATTCCTTTCCTTTGCTTTATAATGAGTTTTACCTGCTAAGTATATGTTCATAAATAATACCATTTTGTTTTGCCTTTCTGGAATTTTATATAAATGGAATCACACATTGTGAATTATTTTCTGTCTTCTTTCACTTAACATTTAGTTTTTACAATTTATGTTTATGCATGTAGCTTAGTAAATTATTTTGCTTTGGTATATTATATTTCATTGTATGAATATTCACAGATCTGTTTCACTGGTGATGGTTTATAGGTTTTAGCTATTAACAAATAATGCTGCTATAAACAGTCTTGGACATACAGTCTGGTGCACATAAGCACACATTACTATGGGATATACACCTAGGGAATTGCTGGGTATGTATATCTTTGACAGCTTCTCCAATTATTTTCTAAGGATAGATTCCTAGCAGTAAAATTAATGGATCAGAAGGTGTAACCATGGAAGGTGATTTCAAGACTTTTATGAATTTACTCAGTTATCCATGGGATAGCCTTTATGCTAGTTTAATTCTTTCTGCTGCAGTGTAAACCAGCTATACTTTGTTCAGTCTGTGGAAACAAGCTATAGAATCAGTAAGCCATTTCCTTGTACTGGGAGCGTTAGACTTGTTTAGACTTCTCTAAATTTTATCTGGAATTGTATTTCTTTCATCTGGTCTAAAGCCTGTTCTTTTGGGTTTAGGTAGTGATTATGGCTGATTGGCTGGAAAGCTTAGAACTATTGGTGAATCTTAGGTCAGGCACAGTGGCTCATGCCTGTAATCCCAGCACTCTGGAAGGCTGAGGTGGGAGGATCACCTGAGGTCAGGAGTTCAAGACCAGCCTGGCCAACACAGTGAAACCCCATCTCTACTAAAAATACAAAAATTAGCCGGGCGTGGTGGCATGCGCCTGTAGTCCCAGCTACTCGGGAGGCTGAGACAGAAGAATCACTTGAACCCGGAAGGCGGAGGTTGCAGTGAGCCAAGATCATGCCACTGTGCTCCAGCCTGGGTGACAGAGTGAGACTTTGTCTCAAAAAACAAAACAAACAGACAACTATTGGTGAATCTTATTGCACAGACATATATGAAAGTTTACCAAAATCAAATCTATGATGAAGGAATTAAATCAGTATGCTTTGAGGATTCACTTTCCAGAACTTAAGTTCTGTCAGTTGAGTGTTTTAATATATGTGTTTCTGTGTTGTTGCTTTTACATTAGCAAGTGTGACACCTAATTTGTTTCACTTGGGTTTCATGTCCTGCTTGAATGCAGTACTACAAGTTACTCAGTGCCTAACATGTTGTCTTGCCTGTGGTAGGTGCTCAGTAATCGTATGTTGAATGAAATGGGTACAGCATTATTTGGAATTATTGCCTTTGTTGTATTTGTGCTCTTCTCTGGTATGTTAGTTTTATTAATAAATGTTCATTTTGATTTCTAAAGTACCTTCTCTCTCACCTAGAGATCTGAGGAGACACGTTATTTGGAACTGGTTCTTTTTTGCTTGAAATAATTTTTCTGGCATTTAAATAAGCCTTGGTCTGGAGGTTTCACATATTCATTTCTGTCTTTTTAAGCTTCCCTGCTCCCGAGAATTTTCAGGCTTGTAAGACTGCGTGCAGTTCATTAATATTCTCCATCCTGGCATCCCAGATAGACATAAGAAGTTGACTGACAGTAAGGAAGCAGAGAGGAGTTTAAATAGAATAGTGCTCAGCAATGAGAGAGAACTTTATACCTGAAAGCTTCCACAGACATTAATCAATTTCCAACACTTTGGAGAAGTAGGAAATTGATTTTTATTATGTATTTAATAGCTGAGCAAATGTGATATGCTTTTAATCTCCTAACTCTTCCTGAGATGGTGATGTTCACTTAGAAGCAACTATATTTGTTTAAAATCATAAAGACATTCTTTGTAGCCTGGTCTACATAATACATTCCTACTTTTTTATAATATGAGTTTGTTTTAACAGACTCGTCCTTTGACCTTCCATCCTTCTCAGAAGTAGGCAACTGAGTTAATCAACTTCAGAGTCTACTGGTTTCATTTCCACAAGCCAATTCACTTGGCAGGGAGCAAACTACTCTTGCTCCCTCACTATCCTAGAGAAACAAGAAAACAGATGCCTGCTCAGAACATTAAGCAGTGTCTAATTGCCCCTGAAGGGTGACCTGGAAGTGGGTAGTTTGTCCCATGCTTTTGAAGCCCTGGGTAGACAGAGGCCAGATTCTTCATGCATTGCTCATGTCCATCCAGTGAGCCAGCAGCAGTTGGGAATGGAGTCCAAAAATAGGTGATCCCTGTCCCAATACTTATTCCTAAAGCAGTGAGTGGTTCCTAACCCGTTTTCCATCAAGACACATGCTCAAATGCTTCTGTTACCTTCAGTTTGCGCAAAGGGCTAGCCGTAACTACACCTTTTCCCTTCCGCCTGAGAAAACATAGTGAGCATTTTGAATTTGCTCTTAGTGATATTTTTTGAAGTAAAGGATTTATTTTATTACTTTATCAGTAATAAGAAATGACTTATAACACATCCTACAGTTGATTATGACCAAACATCAATGTGTTCATAGTTAGAGCTTTATATAAGTGTTTGTATTTTTTTTTTCAAAATAGTATGTGGACATTGTTAGAAGTCTCTTAATACATTTGATTTCTTTTTTAAAAAGTCTCTCCCATCCCACCTGCTCACATTAAATGTAGTGAATTTTTTTCATTGTTGGTTTTCTTTAAATCATTATGTTGATTTTTTTCTTTAAATCATGTTTTGATTGATTGGCTGTTGTGAGCCAAGACTTTTCCGAATGCTAGAGAGGTTGCAGAAGTTGAGTGACCCTTTCCTTTGAGGAGTCCATAGTTTAATGCTAGTAATAAGGCCTATTTTAGGGAGATAACTTACTGTATTGGGAAAGTCACAACCTCTTTGAAGTTCAGTTTCCTCATCTAAAGAGTAGGTTAATAATACCTGTCTAACAGGGATTATTTTGAGGATTTAATGAAATAGTTCATGTGACACCAATTGGCACGGGTGCCTGGTTCAGGGTGGGTACTCAGTACAGTTGTTAATTCCACTTGCATCTAGAGAACCATGCAAGAGACTGTCATTAGATTCTTAAAATACATGAAGGCTACTTTTAAAAATATGAATTAGAAGACAAAAACAAGGCCGGGCACGGTGACTCAGCCTGTAAACCCAGCACTTTGGGAGGCAGAGGCGAGCGGATCACCTGAGGTCAGGAGTTTGAGACCAGCCTGGCCAACATGGTGAAACCCCATCTCTACTAAAAATACAAAAATTAGCCAGGCATGGTGGCGGGTGTCTATAGTCCCAGCTACTTGTGAGGCTAAGGCAGGAGAATCGCTTGAACCTGGGAGGCGGAGGTTGCAGTGAGCCAAGATAGCGCCACTGCACTTCAGCCTGGGCGACAGAGTGAGACTCTGTCTCCAAAAACAAAAGAAAAGAAAACAAGAACTGAGAGCTGGTGTTTATTAGAAAAGGCTTCATGGGCCGAGCGTGGTGGTTCACGCCTGTAATCCCAGCACTTTGGGAGGCCAAGGTGGGCGGATTATGAGGTCAGGAGTTCGAGTCCAGCCTGACCAACATGGTGAAACCCCATCTCTACTAAAAATACAAAAATTAGCTGGGCGTGGTGGTGCATGCCGGTAATCCCAGCTACTCAGGAGGCTGAGGCAGGGGAATTGCTTGAACCCGGGAGGCGGAAGTTGCAGTGAGCCAAGATTGCGCCACTGCACTCCAGCCTGGGTGACAGAGTGAGACTCCGTCTCAAAAAAAAAAAAAAAAAAAAAAAGAAAAGGCTTCATGGAGGATGTAGGATTTAAAGAGGCTCTAGAACTTAGATTATCAAACTGTAGGTATTATAACGATAAGGAATGGACAGATTCTGGCCTGGAGGAGGAGTTTGGGCTCTTCCACCCTCCCCCACTTTCAGGGAGTGTCACCAGTTTTTTAGCCCCACGTACCGTATTACCTTTTCAGTGACTTTACAGAAAATAATTCTGTAACCAGTGTGGTAAAACCCTATGGGGCTAATCCATATTAGCATTACTACTGTTTCCATGGCAACCATCAGCCAATCCAGAACCTTATAGTAAGGCAAAATGTAAGAAGCACTTTCATCAACAAATACCCAATTTTACTGGTAGAATGTCCCACTGGGATGTTACCAGACTACCTAGCTGCTGTATCCAAAATCTAAACTCTGTTATTCCATATTTCTTTTTCTTTTCTTTTCTTTTTTTTGTTCTTCTGAGATAGAATCTCATTCTGTCACCCACACTGGAGTGCAGTGGTGCAATTTCTGCTCACTGCAGCCTCCACCTCCTGGGTTCAAGCCATTCTCCTGCCTCAGCCTATCGAGTTGCTAGGATCACAGGCACCACCATGCCCGGCTAATTTTTGTATTTTTAGTAGAGAATCGCTGTTGGTCAGGCTGGTCTTGAACTCCTGACCTCAGGTGATCTGCCCATCTTGGCCTCCCAAAGTGCTGAGATTAACAAGCGTGAGCCACCGAGCCCAGCCTTCTTTTTCTTTTCTTTCTTTTCTTTTCTTTTTGTTTTTTTGTTTGTTTGTTTGAGACAAGGTTTGGCTCTATCGCCCAGGCTGCACCATCTTGGCTCACTGCAACCTTCACCTCCCAGGCTCAAGCCATCCTCCTACCTCAGCCTCCTGAGTAGCTGAGACTATAGGCATACACTACCACACCCGGCTAATTTTTTTGTATTTCTTGTAGAGACAGTTTTACCATGTTGCCCAGGTTGGTCTTGAACTCCTGAGCTCAAGCCATCTGTCAGCCGCAGTCTCCCAAAGTGCTGGGATTACAGGTGTGAACCATCACACCTGGCCCTATATTTCCATGTTGGAACATTTAATAGGAAATACTTTTTTTTTTTTTTTGTAGACAGTCTCACTCTGTCGCTCAGACTGGAGTGCAATGGCATGATCCCGGCTCACTGCAACCTCTGTCTGCCAGTTTCAAGCAATTCTTGTGCCTCAGCCTCACGAGTAGCTTGGATTACAGGCATGTGCACCACACGTGGCTAATTTTTGTATTTTTAGTAGAGGAGGGGTTTCGCCATGTTGGCCAGGATGGTCTCAAACTCCTGACCTCAAGTCATCCACCTGTCTCACCCTCCCAAAGTGCTGAGATTACAGGTATGAGCCACTGCTCCCAGCCAGCAGGAAATACTTTTAAGAAAAAATCTTGCCATGATTTTTTTCTGTAAGGAAATAGCATTATGTTTGAATTCTTGTTGAATAGTTTGTATAAAGTGGATATAACAAATAAGGTAAAACTGAGAGGGAGGAGAAAGATTTTATATCTAATTATGTAGAATTTGTGACTATTGATAATAGTTAGGGGCAAGGGCCAAAAATCAACATGATTCCTCTTCTATCAGTTTTACTCTAAAGGGAAGATTGAAAGATAAAATTCTTAATATTTAAATTTTACCTCTGAAACCTGAACTCATTATGTAATATGGGGGTTTTACAGACCGTTTTGTTCCCTGTTACAGACAACCTTAAGCCAAAAATGAGTTAATATAGACATGTTTTCCCTGCATTCAAATTTGTCTGCTATGTGCCTGGCTCACTTCCGAGTACTGGGGTTGTGGCAGCAAACAAAGGCCCAGACCTTTTGAAACTTACATCAAGGGCAGGGGGCGGGGGCAATAGCTCGATTAACAAAGAACTATCTGTCGGGTGTAATAAGCGCTACAGAGAAAAATTAAACAGAGGAAAGGAATGGAGGGCGGCACAGGTAGGGTTAGGGTGAGCAGAGGAGGCCTCTCTGATAAGATGACATTTGAGAAGAGACCCGAGTGGAGTGCAGGAACAGGCCTCGTGAATGTCTGAGGAAAGCATGTTCCAGGCAGAGGGGAATCATATGCACAGATTTTGAAATAAGAGTCTGCTCAGCAGGTCTGAGGGCAGCAAGTAGGCCAGTATGAGTGGAACAAAGAGAATGCAGCGGAGAAAAGAGGAGATCTGAGATAAGATTGGGATGCAGGGAGGAATCCTGTAGAATCTTAGAAGTCATGGTAAGGACTTTATTATGTTTTATTCTGAGTAAGAAAGCTTCTAGAGGGTTTTGAGCAGTGACATAGTCTGACTTGGGTTTCTGAGAATTGCTGTGCTGCAGAGAGTAGGCTGTAGGAGGGCAAGGGTAGGAGCAGGGAGACCAAGTAGGTGGCACCACAGTCAGTAGTCTTGGTGGGTGGTGATGCTGGCTGGGACTAGGATGGGAGAGTGGAGGCGGGAAGAAGTGATAGCATCCTGGATATTAATTTTACTCGATAAATCTCATATAGCACCTATTATATGCCAGGCAGTGTTCCAATGGCTTTATAAATATCAGCTCATCTCATACTCATAATAGTCCTCTGAGGTATATTTCAGCAGTAGAGTCCACAGGATGTGTGGATGGGTTGGATGTGGAGTGTGAGGGGAAAATCAAAGATGATTCCTGTTTGGGGCCCAAAACTCCTAAGAATGAAGTTGCCATCTCCTGAGAAGGGAAGAGTCAAGGAGGAGCATGTTTGGGTGGAGGCCCTCAAATCAGGAGTTCAGGTTTGGACATGTTGAGTGTGACGCACATTAGTGTTCCAAGTGGATGTGGTAAGTAGGCAGTTAGATATAAGAACCTAAGTCAGGCCGGGCGTGGTGGCTCACGTCTGTAATCCCAGGACTTTGGGAGGCCAAGGCAGGCGGGTCACCTGAGGTCAGGAGTTTGAGACCAGCCTGGCCAACATGATGAAACCCTGTCTCTACTAAAAATACAAAAATTAGCTGCGTTTGGTGGCGGGTGCCTGTAATCCCAGCTACTCAGGAGACTGAGGCAGGAGAATCATTTGAACCCGGGAGGCGAAGGTTGCAGTGAGCCGAGATTGTGCCACTGCGCTCCAGCCTGGGCGACAGAGCGAGACTCCCCCTCAAAAAAAAAAAAAAAGACGAAGAACCTAAGTCAGAGGAGAGGTCAGGGCTGAGAGCTGGAGATAAATTACAAACTAGATATCAAAGCATTCAGGAAGAAGTGCCAGCCTGGTGTCTATTTTTCTGCTAAACCTAACCAGAGGTGGACACAAGGGGTGTGTTTTCCCTTGGGTGTGGTGGTGTAGTAGCACTCTCATTGGCTTTGGGATCAGACCTGCATTTGAATCCTAGCTCCACCATTTACTAGCTAAGTGACCTCAATTATGTGACCTAATCTTGGCTAGCTTCAGTTTCTTTATCGATGAAATGGGGTTAACAATGCTCATCCTGTAGCGTTGTTAAGATAAAATGAAGTAGCCTGGGTATGTTACCTAGAGCAGTGCTCCGACCTAGAAAATGCTAAATAATATTCATCTTCCTTTTCCTTGGATTTAGTTTGTTGAATTCAACCCAGACTAACAGAAGAGCTTGTCTTCCAGGATGAAGGAAGTCTGAATTTACAGCCTATTCCCAAGTACACATATTTTGGGGCGTGCCTATTTAATGACAAGCTCCAAAAAAGAAAAGGATTTCAAATCCATCTGTTATCAAATGAGAATGACTTTATAAAAGAAAAGACTTGAGTGAGGTTTATAAAGGGAACAGGGAAAATAGTCATGGGTTCTGAGTATTAAAAGATTGCACATGCAAAAGCAGGGTGAGGGTATAGGTAGAAACACCGAGCAGCAAATCCATGGATCAGTCATGCGTAATTTACATCAAAGGCTAAGTAAATCTACTTGAGCCATGGAGATGACCTATAGGAGGAAATAGTGCCCTTTCCTGTGGATGGGCTATGTAAATCAAAGGGAATTATCTCATTAATTCTCTGGTGATCCTGGTGGAACCTTGCTAAAGGGGCACTTGTGGGCTTAAAGTTAATCCCACTTCTATTTTCTACAGTCATAGCTTGACTTTTGCAAGAAGCCCTCACTTAAGGTGTTCAGATTTTATCTCATACAGTACGCATTTGAATACCTGCCATGTGCCATGTACTTTATTAGGGAAGCAAAGATAAATAGGAGATATAATTTCTGCCCTTAAGTCTTTTCCAGTCTAAGAGAAAACAGATATGTAAACAGAGTGTGTGATAAGTTCTCTAATAAGAGTATTGCAGCACTGCAAATAATGTAGTCATTTTAACCGGGGATCTTATAATGGCAATATGGAAGTTATGTCTGAACTGGGCTGTTAAGGTTAAGAATTTATCAGGTGAAAATTTGAGGAAAGACATTCCAAAAGAGGGTATATCATGAACAAAGTCAAAGAGGCATGTTCAGGGAAGAAAAAGCCATACTGTGATTAATAGTCTTGTTTTTATGGTGGTGGGAAGAAAGTGACCACCAGTTTGGAAAGCAGTTTTTCCCTAACCCTTCTCCAATTCCAAACAAGAACATTTTAACTTTGTAACCTTCTTTTTAGGTCTAAGAAGTCTCCTGGTGAGCCATATGACCAAAACAGGTGGTGGCGGGGTGAGGTGGGGAAGTATGAAAAACACTAAAATTTTCTTTCTTTATTAGGATTAGACGTGACTGCTCTTTCCTGAGAGAATCCTGAATGTGTCCCTGTGTCACCACTTGTCTCCAGTGAAGGGCTCCTTAGGGTACACCCCAGCCCATTTCCATCCCTGTTCTAAGTTAAAGTTTGCTGAGTAGAATGTCATTCCAACTGCCCGTCTTCCCCTAGCCTTCCTGTTTATTACGAAAAGGTTCTCAATTTCTTTTCCAAGCATTTTCATGCAATCTCCTTTTGAAAGTATAAACATTTCAGCTTTCTACATATGGCTAGCCAGTTTTCCCAGCACCATTTATTAAATAGGGAATCCTTTCCCCATTGCTTGTTTTTCTCAGGTTTGTCAAAGATCAGATAGTTGTAGATATGCGGCGTTATTTCTGAGGGCTCTGTTCTGTTCCATTGATCTATATCTCTGTTTTGGTACCAGTACCATGCTGTTTTGGTTACTGTAGCCTTGTAGTATAGTTTGAAGTCAGGTAGTGTGATGCCTCCGGCTTTGTTCTTTTGGCGTAGGATTGACTTGGCGATGCGGGCTCTTTTTTGGTTCCATATGAACTTTAAAGTAGTTTTTTCCAATTCTGTGAAGAAAGTCATTGGTAGCTTGATGGGGATGGCATTGAAACAGGCAACCTACAAAACGAGAGAAAATTTTCGCAACCTACTCATCTGACAAAGGGCTAATATCCAGAATCTACAATGAACTCAAACAAATTTACAAGAAAAAAACAACCCCATCAAAAAGTGGGCGAAGGACATAAACAGACACTTCTCAAAAGAAGACATTTATGCAGCCAAAAAACACATGAAAAAATGCTCACCATCACTGGCCATCAGAGAAATGCAAATCAAAACCACAATGACATACCATCTCACACCAGTTAGAATGGCAATCATTAAAAAGTCAGGAAACAACAAGTGCTGGAGAGAATGTGGAGAAATAGGAACACTTTTACACTGTTGGTGGGACTGTAAACTAGTTCAACCATTGTGGAAGTCAGTGTGGCGATTCCTCAGGGATCTAGAACTAGAAATACCATTTGACCCAGCCATCCCATTACTGGGTATATACCCAAAGGACTATAAATCATGCTGCTTTAAAGACACATGCACACGTATGTTTATTGTGGCATTATTCACAAGAGCGAAGATTTGGAACCAACCCAAATGTCCAACAATGATAGACTGGATTAAGAAAATGTGGCACATATACACCGTGGAATACTATGCAGCCATAAAAAATGATGAGTTCATGTCCTTTGTAGGGACATGGATGAAATTGGAAATCATCATTCTCAGTAAACTATCGCAAGAACAAAAAACCAGACACCGCATATTCTCACTCATAGGTGGGAATTGAACAATGAGAACACATGGACATAGGAAGGGGAACATCACACTCTGGGGACTGTTGTGGGATGGGGGGAGGGGGGAGGGATAGCATTGGGAGATATACCTAATGCTAGATGACGAGTTAGTGGGTGCAGCACACCAGCATGGCACATGTATGCATATGTAACTAACCTGCACATTGTGCACATGTACCCTAAAACTTAAAGTATTATAATAATAATAATAATAAAAAGAAAGTATAAACATTTCACATTCCAGGAAGCCCAAGATAGTCATAGTATTTCTGCCCTTGAAGAAACAGAAGCTTGTTCCAAGGTGGACATGTTCTTAGGAACTATGCAGTGCCTCAGTTTAGCTGGGTGGTAATTATTTTAGCTTGGCTGCATTTTCATATCCACTCTCCCCCTTTAGCTGCAAGACCTTTCAAGTCCTCTCTGTTATTACTAACTACCATTCATGGATGAAAGCAAGTGCCTAAATTCCCTACAACTCTGCCTCTGTTAGGGGTGTCCTTCTCTCCATCCTCCATCAGTCCCTGTGCCAGATTTTCTTAAGCTCTGTCTTCAGGCTCTTTAAGGTCTGCTCTTACTTACATTTAATCTGTTAGACTTTTCTGTGCCAGTGACTTAAACATCAGCTCTAAAGTCAGAGTTGATCTTTCAGGTTATTAGAGCTGGCTTATAATAATGATGAAGGTGAATATAGTAACAGCAACAGCTAACACACGTACTGCCTACTGTGTACCAGACACTGTTCCAAACACTTTACATATATTTATTTCAGTCATACAACCTTATGAGGTAGGTACTACTTTCTCCTAAATGTAAGGGAAGAACCTGAGACACAGAGAATTAAGCAGTTTGCCTGTGGTCACACAGTACAGTAACTGATAGAGAAGAGACTATGTTATTTTTAGACCTTGAGTTTTCCACAAGACCTATGTCTTATTTATCTCTGTATCCCCAGTTCAAAGCATAGTAGTGTTCCATCCATGTTGGAATTAGTGCAAAGTGCCAGGCCATCAAGTTAACATAGGGGATAGTGTCATTTTGGTTAAGAAAAAAAGACTGAATCAAAATCTCCAATTGCGAGTACAGTGTGGTGTATTAGGAGTATCTGGGGCCTGTTTTATTATGAGTCCTCATAGAACATTTAAAAATAAAATTAAAAGATCTGTTCTGACTTCTGAAATGTTAGTAACCAGCAGTAGGGATCTGACATTGAATAATAGTCCTCTTCCAGAAACAAAAGCAGTATTAACATTTGTCCTTTTTTCTTTTTCAATTAAAGCTGGTGCTGCTGGAGTTGCTGGTCTTTGATGCTGAGGGATTACGTTTCTGATAGTTACCGAAAGGATAATAACAAAACTTTTATTGTGCTCTAATTTAGACATTAGTTCAAATGAAACAAAATTAAACATGCCCCTATCTAGTGGATGTATACCTTCTAAATGGCACATAGTGGCTTTTATACATGCCTTCTATAAACAGTATGACCAGGAAAGCATTGACTTTATCAGGCATTCCCTCACAATTGTTAGGGCCATCAGACCTTCCTCATTCCAGGGGATGAGTTTTTGTCATCCCTGGAAATCATCCAATATCTGACTATTTGTTTTTGACTTAAAAAGGGGTAATGAAATGGAAAGAAACTGAAATGGGAGTCAGAAGCTAACAAGTTCTGTGATCCTGGGCAGGAACCTTCATGCAAATTGTATCTTTACGGGCCTAACTTTGTTGACCCATGCCTCAATTTCATCACCTGCAAAATTAGGGTTTTGAACCAGATTATCTCTGAAGTTTCAACTCTCAAACTGCATGTTTTCCTTTGAGCTAAAGCCAATATTCTATTTGGAATTTTCACTTTATCATAAATAATTATAGCTATAGTGTATTACATATTTAACCTGTGCTAAACATTTCATATATATTATTGCATTTTAATGCTAGCATAACTTGAAAGGTAGTTTTTTTTTAATCACCATCTTTCAGATGAGGAAACTGAGGTAGAGAGTGGTTAGATAATTTTTGAAGGTCATACAGCTATGTACTTTGTTTATTCTTCCCTTAAGATAATTACTGTATTTTTGCCTTATTTGTGTACTTCTCAAGTCACCTGCCAGTTTATACAAATATTTATTCTGTGCTTTATATTGGCTGCTTCATAAGGGTTCATCTCATCTTCAGCTACTTAAGAATGAAGATTGTGTCTTATAGTTTATATCTCTCATAGGGACATGAAACTTTGTATATTTCCAAAATGGAAGGTCTTTTAAAAATAAAATAAAAAAAACAAGCAAATGACTCCTTTCCTCCCTCAATCTTTCTAAGCTTACACTTTCTGAAATTTGTTATGATTATTATATCACTCTCCCCAGCCTCATTATTACTGAAATTCCTGATCTTTGTTTGATGTTATCAACACAGTTTTTTTTCTTTCACCTTTCTCCCTAGATGTTGATGTCTTATGAATTTACCTTTTTTTTTTTAAGAGGGAGAGGTCTCACTGTGTCGCTCAGGCTGGAGTACAGAAGCTATTTGCAGGCACGATCATAGCTTGCTGTAGCCTTGAACTCTTAGGCTTTATTTCTCCTGATTGTTAAGATAATACAACCTCCATATTTGCAAACATCTGGATTCTGCTAAGCTTAAGTTTTGTTTTAGTTTCTTCTCCTTTAGCCTTTCACTGTCAAGTGCATTGCTGTTAAAATTACAGGTCCTTGATCTTTTTGTAGTTCATAAACATGATGATTGGGCTTTCACACTTGTTTGAGGTGTGTCTTCCTCAAACCTTATAGTGTCAGCACATTGCCTGTCTGATGTGGGAAAAAAAAATTACAGGTTCTTGTTTCCTGTGATTTGCTTTTCCATTTTTTCCCTATCTCATTTGGTTACCTATCC
Source organism: Homo sapiens (assembly GCF_000001405.40). Classification (NCBI taxonomy): domain Eukaryota; kingdom Metazoa; phylum Chordata; class Mammalia; order Primates; family Hominidae; genus Homo; species Homo sapiens. The sequence continues at coordinate 120,048,608 of NC_000012.12, forward strand.
CTTACTCACTCTGTGACCAAGGCATCTCCTCTGGGCCTCAGTTTCCTCATCTGTGTAATGAAGGAGTTCACTTAACTGATTTTCTTTTATTTTGGCAAGGTCCAGCTCTGACATCCTTGAAATCTAAGATGGTACCAGATCTGCCTTCTCTGTTTCATCCCCAGTACCTAGGATAAATCTAGCCACACAGAAAGGCTTATTAAACTTTTGTTGACATTTTTTTTTAATTTGGGGTCTGTGTGTCTACTCTAGTTTCTTGGAGATTTTTTTCTTATTTTCATTCTGTAGTTACCTACTGTACCTTTAAACTTTTATTTCTCAAGGACAGTTTGTTTCAGCCTTGAAAGATCCTTCATTCAGTTCAGTTCAGGCATTTCTTGGCCAGGTACTGGACTAGCTACTGGGAATGCAAAAATGAATTAGATGCTGTCACTGTCCTTAAAAAGCTTCAAATGAGGTGAAGGACTCATAAGAAGATAACTCATAAAATGTAATATGTCCTCTGCTAGAGTTTGTGCCTGGGGTGCTCTGAGAACGCAAAGGAGGGTCCCTCTGGAATGCCAAGGAGCACAGAAAGCTTCTGGGAAGAGATGATGCTATAGCTAAGTCTAGAAAGACAGAGTTAGTCCTGTGAAAAATAGGGAAGAAGCATGCCTAGGGAAAGAACAAGGATAAAGGGGACAGAGTTACAGGAGATAGAAGGTTGGCAGGTGACTGGCCTTGGAAGGCTTTTTGTGCCTGTTTGTAATAGGGAAGTACTAAAAGATTTCAGCAAGAAAATGTCTTTTCATATTACATTTTTATATGTGTCTTTTTATTTTAAAGAGATCTGCTAACATGGGCCGTATTTGTGGTCGTTAGGGGAACCAAGTGTTTTCTCTGGAAAGGTTGTCTTTTATCTTCTTTTTCAGATTATCTTAGTCTGGCGCTCTGCAGTTTCTTTATGATATATCTAGGTGTGGATTTCGTTTTATTTCTTCTGCTTTGTTTTCATTGGGCATCTTGAGTTTGTGAATTGGTGTCTTTCATTGTTAGGAGATTATCAGCCATTATCTCATCAAGTATTGCCTCGGTCCCATTCACTCTGTCCTTTCTGGAACTGCAGTTTAAACATATGGGGACTATACTAACGTAGTGCTTCTATTTTCCATCTTTATCTCTGTATTGTAGTGTAGATAATTCCTTCTGACTAGTCTTCCAATTTGGTAATTTTCTCTTCAGTTGTCACATGTGTTCTTAAACTCTGTCCATTAGGTTAAGAAGAAACTGGAAAGCTTTTTATTCCTCCAAAGTAGGTTATGCCATTTTACACTCCCACCAACAGTGTGTGGGAATTCCAGTTGTTGACATTCCCAGTATTTTGTGTTGTTGTTCCTTTTAATTGTAGCCTTCTTATGAGTATGTAGTGGTATCTCATTGTGGTTTTAATTTACATTTCCCTGGTCACTAATGATGGGGAGCACTTCTTCATGTGCCTATTGGCCATTCATTTATTTTTGTCTTTGAAGTATCTGTTCGAATGTTTTGCTCATTTAAAAAATTACGCGTCTTTTTATTGAGTTAGAGGTTTTTATATATTCTGAATACAAGTCAGATATATGTGTTATAAACATTTTCTCCCAGTCTGAGCTTTATAGATCTATTCTCTTTTTTTTTTTTCTTTTTTTTTCTTTTTTTGAGATGGAGTCTCACTCTGTCGCCCAGGCTGGAGTGCAGTGGCGTGATCTCGGCTCACTGCAAGCTACACCTCCTGGGTTCACGCCATTCTCCTGCCTCAGCCTCCCAAGTAGTTGGGACTACAGGTGCCCGCCACCACGCCCAGCTAATTTTTTTGTGTTTTTAGTAGAGACAGGGTTTCACCGTGTTAGCCAGGATGGTCTCGATCTCCTGACCTCGTGATCCACCTGCCTCAGCCTCCCAAAGTGCTGGGATTACAGGCGTGAGCCACCACGCCTGGCCTAGATCTGTTTTCTTAATGATGTCTTCTAATGCTTAGAAGTCTTTAATTTTGATACTACCCATTGGGTTTTGTGACATTTTTTGTTTTTGCTTGAGACAGAGTCTTACTCTGTTGCCCAGGCTGGAATGCAGTGGCACGATCTTGGCTCACTGCAACCTCTGCCTCCCAGGTTCAAGCAATTCTCATGCCTCAGCCTCCCAAGTAGCTGGGATTAACAGTTGTGTGCCACGCACAGCTAATTTTTATTAGAGACAGAATTCTTCAGTGTTGCCTTGGCTAGTCTTGAACTCCTGGCCTCAAGTGATCTTCCCACCTTGGCCTCCCAAAGTGCTGGGATTACAGACATGAGCCACTGGGCCTGGCCTGGGTTTTTAATTTTAAGTTATTATTTTGTATTTCTAGATATCTTGGATCTTTTCCAAATCTGAGAAGGTTGTACTTTACATTTTCCTCTTCCCTGGAGATTTTTTTTCTTTTCCCCCGAGACAGAGTCTTGCTCTGTCGCCCAGAGCTGGAGTGCCTAGAGCTGGAGTGCAATGGCGTGATCCCGGCTCACTGCAACCTCCACCACCCGGGTTCAAGCAATTCTCCTGCCTCAGCCTCCCAAGTAGTTGGGATTACAGGCACACACAACCGCACCTGGCTAATTTTTGTATTTTTAGTAGAGACGGCATTTCACCATGTTGGCCAGGCTGGTCTCAAAATCCTGACTTCGTGATCTGCCTGCCTCAGCCTCCCAAAGTGCTGGGATTACAGGCGTGAGCCACTGAGCCCAGCCCCCTGGAGATATTTTTAATCTTTTATTTCTCTAAACATAGCAGCGTTGTCTTATAGTCTATATCTGATAATATCAGGATGTGAAGTTTTTATGAATCTGTTTCTACCAGTACTTCCTAATGAGTCCTTGTTTCCATGGGTACATGTTTGTTTTTAATTTTTTTTACTATAATATTATTTTTATTAGAAAACTATTTATGGAGATTATTTGATCTTCGGATTGAAGGTACCATCCTCCAAAGAGGATTTGCGTTTTCTTCTGTTAAGTGTCTTGGGGGCACAACTAGTCTAGGATTTTAAAAAGTTAGGCTTAAAAAAGAAGCTACAAAAGCAATATGGATTCTCAAATACCCTTCATGTAGCTCCCCCTAATGTTAACATCTTTTGTAATCATAGTGCAGTTATCAAAACCAGAAAATTAATATTGAGACACTACTATTAACTAATCTACATACCTATTGGAATTTTGTCAGTTTTCCCACAAATGTTCTTTTTCTGCTCCAGAATCCGGTTCAGGCTTCCATGTTGCACTTGGTTGTCATGTTTCTTTTCTCTCCTCCAATCTCTGCCAGTTTCTCAGTCTTTGTTGTTGTTGTTGTTGTTGTTGTTGTTTTGAGACAGAGTCTCGCTGTGTTTCCCAGGCTGGAGTGCAGTGGCATGATCTCGGCTCACTGCAACCTCTGCCTCCCCGGTTCATGTGATTCTCCTGCCTCAGCCTCCCAAGTAGCTGGGACTACAGTTGCCCGCCACCACACCCAGCTAATTTTTTTTGTATTTTTAGTAGAGACGGGTTTTCACTATGTTGGCCAGGCTGGTCTTGAACTCCTGACCTCGTGATCTGCCCACCTTGGCCTCCCAAAGTGCTGGGATTACAGGCATGCCTTGTTTTTCTTTCCCCTCCCCGCCCCTCCCCTCCCCTTCTCTCTCTCTCTCTTTCTAACTTTTTCTTTCTTCCTTCCTTCCTTTCTCTCTCTCTCTCTCTCTTTCTCTGTTTCTCTTTTTCTTTCATTTTAATTGATGACAGTTCATTCTGAATAGTCTTTGTTTCTCTTGAACTTGATACTTTTGAAGACTATTGATCAATTATTTGGTACAAAGTCATTCATTTGGGTTTGTCTAATGTTTTGTCATAATTAGATTGAGGTTATTCAGTCTTGCCGAGAATAGCACAAAAGTACAGTTGGGCCCTTCTCAGTACATCATATGGAGGACATGTGATGTTGACTGCTTGGTTAAGGTAGTGTTTGCCAGGCTCCCCACTATAAATGATTTTTCCCTTTGTTATTAATAAATCAGTAAATCTTATGAAGAGATACTTTGAGGATATGAAAATATCCTGTTTCTCATGAAACTTTTGCCCACAAATTTTAGCATTCGTTCTCTGGTCTTGCCTGCAGCAATTACTGTGATGCTTGCCTAATGATGATTTTCTTTTGTTTTCTTTTTGAGACAGAGTCTCGCTTTGTCACCCAGGCTGGAGTGCAGGGCACAATCTTGGCTCAGTGCAACCTCTGCCTCCTAGGTTCAAGCGATTCTCCTGCCTCAGCCTCCTGAGTAGCTGGGCACTACGGACTACAGGCACCCGCCACCACACCTGGCTAATTTTTGTATTTTTAGTAGAGGTGGGGTTTCACCATGTTGGCCAGGCTGGTCTCAAACTCCTGACCGCAAATGATCCACCCACCTTGGCCTCCCAAAGTGTTGGGATTACAGGCGTGAGCTACCACAGCCAGCCTGATTTTCATTCTTTTATTTGAGGTGTTTTGTTCCTGTTGCCCAGGCTAGAGTGCAATGGCGCAATCTCGGCTCACCACAACCTCTGCCTCCTGGGTTCAAGCGAAGCAATTCTCCTGCCTCAGCCTCCCGAGTAGCTGGGATTACAGGCATGTGCCACCATGCCTGGCTAATTTTGTATTTTTAGTGGAGACAGGGTTTCTGCATATTGATCAGGCTGGTCTCGAACTCCTGACCTCAGGTGATCCACCCGCCTCGGCCTTCCAAAGTGCTGGGATTAGAGCGTGAGCTACTGCGCCTTCTATTTTCATCATTTCTTCTACATTTATCCTGTAAGGGAGAAGAGCCCTTTTCCCCGTTTGTTGATTGAATTGTTTATCAGTGTAGACTCAGGAATATTTATCCTATGTGTTATAATCCATTACTGTCATTATTTGTTTATTGATTAAATGGTCCTTGCCTTAGCCATTAGGAGCTCCTTCAGATTGACTCCTGTGTCAACCATTATTTTTTCATGTGCCACCATCATTTTTTGAGCACTTCTTACTTTCCAGTACCATGAGATATTCCAGGCTCATCCTGTATTTTTCCTGCCCCAACCCTGAAACTAGCCTTTTCTCCAAGGAGCCTTCGTTCATTTATTAGAGAATGGTATTTGGAAAGCAAGATTTGAGTGCTATGCGTGTATTGCTACTAGAGTGTCATTGTATGTAGGTCCTCTCAGAGGACAGAGCTAGGGAATAAGTATATGTATGCTCATAAATACATGTATGTTTATCAGACTCCTCATTTGTGTATATAAAAAACTGTAAGGCCAGGTGCAGTGGCTCACCCCTGTAATCCCAGCACTTTGAGGGGCCAAGGTGGGCGGATCACCTGAGGTCAGGAGTTTGAAACCAGCCTGACCAACATGGTGAAACCCTGTCTCTACTAAAAATATAAAAAAAATAAGCCAGGCATGGTGGTGGGCACCTATAATCCCAAAAAAATTGTAACTTTTTTTTTTTTTTTTGAGACAGAGTCTCGCTCTGTCGCCCAGGCTGGAGTGCAGTTGTGTGATCTCAGCTCACTGCAACCTCCACCTCCCGGGTTCAAGCTATTCTCCTGCCTCAGCCTCCCGAGTAGCTGGGACCACAGGTGTGCCCCACCACCCCCGGCTAATTTTATTGCTTTTTTAGTAGAGATAGAGTTTCTGCATGTTGGCCAGGGTGGTCTGGAACTCCTGACCTCAAGTGATCTGCCTGCCTCAGCCTCCCAAATTGGTGCTGGGATTACAGGCATGAGCCACCTGGCCAGGTTTTCTTTTCTGAAGAGTATTAATCTACCTTGCTGACACAGTAAGCTTGTCCAGTCTACTTCTACTCAGGTAAGTTTTTCTACCACTACGCCAGTGACATGTCTTCATCAATGCATTATAATTGCAAAATATGGGGAAATCCCACGTGCCTAATAATAAGGGAATGGTAAAGGAAATACTTGATGGAATATTACAGTCATATAAAATGAGGATTAATAATAGGCTGGGTGTGGTGGCTCACGCCTAATCCCAACACTTTGGGAGGCTGAGGTGGGCGGATCACTTGAGATCAGGAGTTTGAGACCAGCCTGGCCAACATGAAGGAATTCCATCTCTACTAAAAATGCAAAAAAAATTAGCCGGGCATGGTGGCACACACCTGTGGTCCCAGCTACTCAGAAGGCTGAGGCAGGAGAATCACTTGAACCTGGGAGGCGGAGGTTGCAGTGAGCCGAGATCGCACGACAGCACTCCAGTCTTGGCAGCAGAGCAAGACTTCATCTCAAATAATAATAATAACGTAGGAATGCTATTGATACAATGCTAAGTAAAAAATTATAACAGTAGGATTGTAAGTAATTGTACACACACATATATGTAGAAAGATTGGGGAAAAAATAAAATGCTAGCAGCATTTTTAAAATACCCATATTCTGCAGTGGGATTTTGTTACATTTAAATTTTAAAATAAATGTCGTCATCCTCATTGTCACTGTCACTGCCACCCCAAAAGGTGCCCATTATCCATCATGCCCTGGCAAAAGAAAGTTTGAGAATTTCTCTCTTAAGGTAAAACTCAATTATTCAGGCAAAATATTAAAATAGTAGATCTTTCCTATGATAATTTCTAAGTTTATTAGTTCATTTGTTTTCTTTCAACAAATAAGTAAACTGGATACTCGTATAAATAATGCAATTTCCTTCCCTCCATTTAACAAGAAAGTGTGTAGTGAACAGTTCTGCTTTGGCAAGTTTAAACAAGCTTAATCTAAAGGTTCTAGTTTGGGGGAATGTTCATATGTTATTAATCATGTCCACAAGCAAAGTAATGATGAAACAGCTTTGTTCAGTGGGGAGGAAGTAATCTGTCCTAGATGGTACTCTGACCAACAGGAAAAGGAACACACTGTTACTTTGTTTTGCCAACTTGAGGATTCATTAAATAATAGTAACCCAAGCAAATTATAAAAAGAGTTTATTTCAGATAGTTTTGGGAGTGTGCATTAAAATTTTTAGCATTCTGTAACAGAACTAGAGATATTTTTCAAATGTTTTTTGCTTCATCATGCAATCTGTATTCAGTGAAAGTAAAAGAGACTTAAGTTTTGAAGATATTAGAAATAAGTATCTACAAACAAACAAAAAATAAGTATCTAAAGATTAAAACATTGCATAATACCCAGTGGTGGCAGAGTATTGAGAAACAGGCATCAGGTGTATTTGTACTGTTGATAGGGATATAAATTGATGCAACCTTTTTAGAGGACTGTTTTGCAATACCTTGTTCAGAGTGAATGTGCGTATTCTTTTACCCAGTGATTCCACTTATGGAAAATTACCCACAAGCACAAAGATGGGTGAACAAAGATATTTTTTGGAGCAATGTTCATAATAGCAAAAAAAATTGGAACACTCGAAATGCTCATCAGTAGGGACTAGTTAAATTAGAATAAGGTAGATCTACATAGATACATACATATGAATAGAAAATTTCTAAAAGGACTCCCAAGAAAGATCTAATAGTGATTACCTGTGGTGGGTGGCACTAATACTAGGAGTAAGTAGAGATTTTAACTTTCATTTTAATTCTTCAGTTTTCTTTACTTTTTTTTACTCTGAACAGTTGTAACTTTTATCATAGAAAGAAACCTGAGTTTAAAATGGAAAGAAAAATGCTTTAACTAAAGTCTTGCCATCTATTTTATATTCACCTATGATTTCAAATGTTTTTTGCCACAAGTAATTACTGGCTGCTTAGTTAGGCATGGTAGCCAAAACTCATCATTTTGATAAGTAAACTATAAGACTTGTGTCTGCCATTTTCTGCTATAAGAATGAATTGAGGCCGGGCGCAGTGGCTCACGCCTGTAATCCTAGCACTTTGGGAGGCCAAGGTGGGCGGATCACGAGGTCAGAAGTTCGAGACCAGCCTGACCAACGTGGTGAAACCCTGTCTCTACTAAAAATACAAAAATTAGCTGGGCGTGGTAGTGCGCCTGTAATCCCAGCTACTCAGGAGGCTGAGGCAGGAGAATTGCTTGAACCTGGGAGGCAGAGGTTGCAGTTAGCCGAGATCGCGCTACTGCACTCCAGCCTGGGTGACAGAGCGAGACTCCGTCTCAAAAAAAAAAAAAAGTGAAAGAGAAAGAGTGAAAGAAAGATTTGGGCAGAGGGTCCTAGATGGATGTGGAGACCTGGCAGGAGAGTGGCTGCAGCTGGGGAACCTGAGGCCAGGCCTCGAGCATGAGCACTGACCCTGCTGGGCAGTGAGTGAGCAGTCTGTGGCCTGGTCAGCAATGCCTCCTCCCAGCCGACCGCCTGCCCTTGATGCAGGTTAGGGCTCTACAGAGCAGAGGGGAGGCTGGGCCCTGTGCCAAGCCCTGGGTTGGATAGGAGCCCAGTGGTCCTCTCGCCCACGCAGGTGGGAATGGTAACAGCAATGGATGCCTTAGAGGAAGAGAGCTTCAGGCTGTCCTCCTCCACCTCTGATGCAGAATTTGATGCTGTGGTTGTATATTTAGAGGACATTATCATGGATGACAGGTTCCCAATTATTACAGAGAAATTACATGGACAAGTACTACTAGGACTTGTAAGTTTGTAGAGACAGGGTTTCACCATATTGTCCAGGCTGGTCTCGAACTCCTGAGCTCAAGCGATCCTTCCACCTTGGCCTCCCAACGTGCTGGGATTACACCGCGCCTGGCCCATTTGATTCAATTTTTTGTCTTTCCACGATACCCCTCCTCTCAGGAGCACAGTGTATCCCTTCAGAGAGACTGCTGTTACCCTGGCTAACTCTCCCACTTCTTCAAAGGTTCTTCAAAGAACCTCTGAAATTCATTCCAGAGCTAAGGCTTCCTTATTTAGCATTTAACTTCCAGAAAGCATTTAGAACATAAGAGTTATATATAAACTTAAGAGGTTATTATTTAATTTATGTGCAGAAATAGCTAATGTTCATTGTGTTAGTCAAGTCCAAGGTGTGAACCAGATTCTATCTCTGAAAAAGAAGAAAATAATTTATTTTGGAAGGTGCATTAGCTCCTTGCAAAGGGTAGGTTTATAACTCAGATTATCTATTCCCTCCATCACCATCACAGGCAATTGATTGGCCCCCCTGGCTGGAAGGTGGCTGTGATGTGGTGGCCAAAGGCCAGTGCAGTACACACCCTTGGAGCCTCTATCTCCCTGCCCTGCAAAAGGAGGCCAGCGATTCCTGCTTTTTTTTTTTTTTTTTTTTTTTTTTTTTTGAGACGGAGTCTTGCTGTGTCGCCCAGGCTGGAGTGCAGTGGCGCGATCTCGGCACGCTGCAAGCTCCGCCTCCCGGGCTCATGCCATTCTCCTGCCTCAGCCTCCCGAATAGCTGGGACCACAGGCGCCCGCCACCACGCCTGGAGAATTTTTTTTTGTATTTTTAGAAGAGACGGAGTTTCACCGTGTTAGCCAGGATGGTCTCGATCTCCTGACCTCGCGATCCACCCGCCTCGGCCTCCCAAAGTTCTGGGACCACAGGCATGAGCCACCGCGCCTGGCCGATTCCTGCTTCTTAAGGCTATTGTAAATTGAGATGAGAAATGGAGTTTAAAAGCTTTTGCTGTGCATATCCCTGGGCATAGTTGAGGAGTCAGACATTTAAAGGGAGCATTATAGCTTAGTGCTTAACAGCTTAGGCTCTAGAGTTTAACTTTCTGGTAGGAAGAGACAAATTTCTATTTCTAAGAAGATCGCTTTGAGAAGAGGTAGTCTGCAGGAGCATTTTATACCAGCTGGACTAGATTTGCAGCCCTCGGTGCATCTCTGCGGCTTCGTTGTTGAGTGATTCATGTCAAAGTGGTGATGGTAGGAATAAGATCAGCTACCTGAATTACCCAGTGCTCTGCACATCTAAGTATGTTTGAAATCTCAACAGTCAACTGAATTCAGTATATGCACTCAAACTGCAGCATGTGATTTCCTGATGGGCCAGCCCTACCTTCTGTTAAAATTTTTTTCTTTTTTTTTTTTTTTTTTGAGACAGAGTCTTGCCCTGTGGCCCAGGCTGGAGTGCAGTGGCGCGATCTTGGCTCACTGCAACCTCCCTCTCCTGGGTTTAAGCGATTCTCCTGCCTCAGCCTCCCGAGTGGCTAGGACTACAGGCACCCGCCACCACGCCCGCCTTATTTTTGTATTTTTAGTAGAGACTGGGTTTTACCATGTTGGCCAGGCTGGTCTCAAACTCCTTACCTCAGGTGATCCACCCACCTCAGCCTCCCAAAGTGCTGGGATTAGAGGCGTGAGCCACTGCAGCTGGCCTTAGAAGAAATTTTAAGAGTCTCAAATGAAATGCCTAGCATTGAAAAAAAAGAAGAAAAGCCTTGCTAAATTGGACTCGTGTAAAGTTTGGTTTTAGTAGTGAGCAATAGAAATATGAAAAATTATTTCAAAATACAAGAAGATAGTATTACAGTACTAATTTGAGGTTAAGACAGCCAAAGTTGGTTTTTTTTTTATTAATTTTTTTTAATTTTTTCTTTTTGAGACGTAGTCTTGCTCTGTTGCCCAGGCTGGAGTGCAGTGGCATGATCTTGGCTCACTGCAACTTCTGCCTCCCAGGTTCAAGCGATTCTTCTGCCTCAACCTCCCAATAGCTGGTACTATAGGCACGCACCACCATGCCCGGTTAATTTGTTTGTTTGTTTGTTTGTTTTTTGAGACTGAGTCTCGCTCTGTAGCCTGGGCTGGAGTGCAGTGGCTCAATCTCAACTCACTGCAACCTCCACCTCCCGTGTCCCAGTTCAAGCAATTCTCCTGCCTCAGCCTCCCGAGTAGCTGGGATTACAGGTGCATGCCACCATGCCCAGCTAATTTTTGTATTTTTAGTAGACACGGGGTTTCACCATGTTGGCCAAGCTGGTCTTGAACTCCTGACCTTGTGATCCGCCCACCTCGGCCTCTCAAAGTGTTGGGATTACAGGTGTGAGCCACCATGCCCGGCCTAATTTTTGTATTTTTAGTAGAGATAGGGTTTCGCCATGTTGGCCAGGCTGGTCTCAAACTCCTGACCTCAGGTGATCCAGCCACCTCAGGCTCCCAAAATGCTGGGAGTACAGACGTGAGTTACCCTGCCCAGCCTATTTATTTATTTTTGAGACAGGCTTTCACACTCTGTTGCCAAGGCTGTAGTGCAGTGGCAGCACGATCATGGCTCACTGTAGCCTCGACCTCCCCAGGCTCAGGTGATCCTCCCACCTCAGCCTCCCAAGTAGCTGGGACTGCAGGCACATACCACCATGCCTAGCTAATTTTTGTATTTTTTCTAGAGACTGGGTTTCACCATGTTGGCCAGGCTGGTCTCAAGCTCCTGGGCTTAAGCAGTCCACCCACCTCAGCCTCCCAAAGTGCTGGGATTACAGGCATGAGCCAGCGTACCCAACCCAGCCCAAAGTTTTTACCATCCTGATTCTGTCACTGAGATGCTGGGCAAGTTCCTTCAGTTTCCTGAGCCGATTTCCTTGTTAATTGGGGGTAACAATCAAGATAATGCATTGGAAAGCAATTAGCACAGTTCTTGACACATAGTATGTACTCAGTAAATATTACTAATGTGATTCTTAGGCAAAAGTGAATGACTAATGTGTTTTTAAGTGATTGAGAAGTCTAAAACAGCCTAGTGGGTATCTGAAATTAAATTTAGAATACGAAGGAGAAATAATATAGGGAAAATATTCCCAGGAATGTTTATTGCCAGAATTGTTCACAGGTTTCAGGGTGTGTAGGGTGGGGTGAGGGAGTTGGCAGCCTAATGCTGATTCCTTGCATCATAAAGCCAAGCTATGAAATTGTTCATTTCCAATAAGTTACTTCATGTAGCTCTGAACTTCTAAGTTTTTTAAGGAGTCAGTTGTATATCAGAATCTTACTAGCTCATTACTTCACTGACTGAAACTTGGGAAACAAAGATGATTCATAGGAAGGAAAATTTAAAGGTTAGAGGGTATTTAAATGAAAATCAACTAGAGTATGGTTTGATTTTATTTTGTTTTGTGTTTTGTAATTGTTTTTAAAATAGCACTGTAGGTTGAGAATCTTCTGTGGCTCTGTAGTCCAGTGAGGTAACATTTGTTGAATATGTGGAACCAAAAATAAAAAAGATGGACAATTGATTATATAGTACTTGAAGATAAAAAGAACTACTGAACATGTAACCATTACTGTGAGAGCCTCATTGAACAGCTAGCCTACCACTTCAACATTATCACCATCCCACCTCCTCGGAAAGCCTTTCCTGGCCGTTCCAGCACACGGTGATCTCTCCCGAGAGAACCCATAAAGCTTACTGACCCCATTTGGCCTCAAAAAAGCATTGAGGCAGTTACTTAATTTGTCCCGTGGCTCTCCTCTCCACAGGACAGTGGGCAGGGCTCCCTCAGTAGGGTCTGGGCTGGGACCCTCAGGAGGAGGGCTGGAGTTTGTGTTACCAGGTGAGCCTCCTGCAACACCAGATGGTATTTGGTGTTTGCTGTATTTTAGCATTAGATCATAAATGGATTGAGGTGGGAAACAGGCACCTCTGCTGGCACTCCCCAAAGAATTAAAAGTTGCAAAAATGTCCTTGAGGAATGAGTGGCAAAAAATCTTAACAGGTATGACAAGAAATTTCAAATAGTGTCCATGTTAAGTAGAGGAGAGAAATGCAGATGCACGTGATTTGACTGAGCCCACTTGAGGAAATTGATGGGAGAAGTAAAGGAATTTCTAAGGCAGTAGGTATAACCATCTTATTCTTTTATGTAAAATATTCAGACTTTCAATTTATTAGATATTTGCTGAGTTTCTGCTATATGTAGAGTAATAATGATAACTAACATTTGAGAGCATACTATTTCCTAGGGCTGTTTCCTTTGATCAGTAGAGTGGTCTTGCACCTATTCAGGGTCATTAATGGTAGAGGTGGGGGTGGGAGTTTGTCCTGTTTTGGACTAGAGAACAAATGGATGGGAAACCAGCATCTCATCTAGTGCTCCTTAAAGAATAGAAAGTGCAAAGAGATGCTTGATAAATGAAAGCAGAAACCTTAACAGAGTTCCTTTGCATAACCTCCGAATCAGCTCTGCAGGTCTCCTCTGTTTCAGGCATCAGAAGTTGAGAGACAACTCTCCATGCAGGTCCACGCCCTCAGAGAAGACTTTCGGGAGAAAAACTCATCAACCAACCAGCACATTATCCGGCTGGAGAGCCTTCAGGCCGAGGTGAGCCTCCCGACACAGCAGTGCTGGAAGGTGGAGTGCTTTTCTCACTGGGAGACAAAAAACTGCTCTATGTAAAAGGGCCTAAAATCTCTACAGAAAGACATTTCTGTGCGAAACTAAATGGGAAACATTTGATCTGTTTCTCTGGGTAGCCTGTTGTCTGGAAAAATGAAGTTGCTCAGAGTTACTGCCGGGTGTGTTGAAATCACGAATGACCTACATTTTACTGAATATGTTGATCTCTCCAAAAATATCCTTGCCAATCCCAAACAGGAGGTGGGAAAGGGCATCTCGCCTTTCTCTATTCCATTTAGGCCCAGTTCAGTCCAACTTAGTAAGGTCTACTATCATTCTCACCTGCAAAATGAGAGAAATAGAAGTTTCTACTTCACAGGTTTTTGCAAGGATATTATGGGTTAATGCATACAAGGCACTTTATATGATACCTGGAACACAGTGATGTTATTGGAACCATAGGAGAGGCCAGAATGTGAGGGCCAGGATGAGGGGAAAAAGAAAGTATCGGCAGGGGAACAATACTGTGAGAACCTGGTTGTGGAAGGTGAAGAGAGGGTAAGGATCTTATCACCAGCCCAAACCAGGCCTCCCCCTAGGGGAGGCTTCCACCTGGTCTGCTTTTGAGGACCCTTTAGCCAAGTATCTGGCTAAAGGGGCCAAGTAGCAGCCCCTTTGCTAAGTCAGAGTTTGAAGGACAGTCTAGAGCCAGGTTGAACAAGTAACCTTCCACTGTGACGAAGCGATCTGCCATCATGGTCAGGCCAGAGAAACCCAGATAGCCTGTTGCCCTGCTCGGTAAATGACCTGAGGATGTTTTTCCTAAAGTCTGTCAATATCTTCTCTTTTCTCCTGCCTCCTATTCCCTTCCTTCCCCCTTTCCCTTGGAATGCCTACTGGTATTGAGCAGCAGGTCCTTGAAGTAAGTAGAGTTTGTTCCAGTGGGGTTTGGCATGCCTGTGTGTGACCATTTGTGTGCATGACTTGCCATTCACCTGCCTCTGCCAGCCTCTGACTCCTTCACGTTTCCTGTCTTCCTCTTTCCTCACCCGTTCATTTTTTCTAGACCCTCATGAACCGGGTCGTCCCCAGGAATGTTTATTGCCAGATTTTTTCACAAGTTTCAGGGTGTATAGCGCTGGGTGAGGGAGTTGGTGGCCTAACACTGATTCCCTGCTTTGTCCATGAACACTGCTACCTTTAAAAGGCAAGCTATGAAATTGTTTGTTTCAAGTAAGTTACTTTGTGTAGCTCCGAACTAAGTTTTTTTAGGGTCAGTTGTGTATCAGAATCTTATTACCCCATCACTTCACTGACTGAAAGTTGGGAAACAAAGATGATTCATGGGAAGGAAAATTTAAAGGTCAGAGGGTATTTAAATGAAAATCAACTAGAGTAAGAATTGTCTTCACATGGGTAACTTTGCTTCAGTGTAGGAAATAGTGGACCCATTCACAAAAGGGGCTTGCTCCTTTTGGTCCCCTACCCAGATGCACACTTGAGAGACAATATTTCTTTGTTTGGCCAGATATCTGATCTCTCTGGACAAAGGCCACATACTTTGTTTCCCCAGGACAACATCCTATCTGATTGAATTGGTGGCCAGAGAAGATCTGTGCCCTGTGAGCAGAATTCTAGTTCAGAGAATGAGAACAGATAAAAAGTAAAGGGAAAAGTGTATCTCGTAGGACTGAAACAAGCTAGACATTCATTTCAGGATTTCCCCTGGAAAAGTTCTAAGGTTGGTCCCCAAAACTTGCACAAGTAAAAGCCTTAAGGAATTGTTATCAAAGCTGGACTAGAGAGCTTGGAGAATATTTTAACCATGTCAAGAAAATATTTACAAGCAAGAAACTGGTTAAGAATCAGTCCAGCAGGGCACTGCTAAATAAATGGGAGGATCCACGAGGACCTCCAGGATTCCAGAAGGTCCCCTAGGAGTCAGATCCAATTGGCAGGGCTTTCTGGACCCCCTGAGCCAGGGTGGTGATCTTTTGAGTGAAGCATCCCTGGCCTTGGGGAGCACTGGCTCAGCTTCTCACCCTTCAAACCTTGAGGCCAGAGGAGACTTGGCATCTCTTCCCTCTTTGCCTCTGTTTTCTCACTGACACTGAAGAGATTAGACAGACCTTCCTAAAAGAAGATTTACTTATGTGGAGACTGACTAGGTATTCAGTGTATACGAACATATCAACCTGTTTCATAAAAAGAATTTGCGCCTCTTCACGAATGACTCGCTCAGGTAAAAGTTACTCTGAGTAAAGTCAGCATTCACTTGTATCTGTGTCCTGCTCCATCCCAGGACACAGGCTGATGCAGGCACTACTTTGTTTTCTGTACCCTGGGAGCTCTTCCCTTAACTCAAGGCACTGGATCTGAGCTGTGACCTCTAGTGCCAGAGGGGCCAGGAGCGGGGAAAGGAAGACGGAGGGGAATCCCGGGGTGTGAAAACACGGCGCTCCAGAGGATTTCCTGGGCATTTTCTTGTGCTCATGACTTGAGGAGGAGAAGTAGTGCAGCAGGTTAGGTTCCACTCCTCCTGCCAGTTGTAAGGATGGGGTAAAGTTGAGGGCAGGCAAGGTGGAGCCCTTTTTTTTTTTATCTTATCTCTGGAATTTCCAGAGCACTAGCCTTCCCTTCCTCTGCCTGGCATCCCACATTCCAGCTTCCCCAGAGCTCAACTCCTACTCCTTCCCAGACAGGTTTCTAGAGGGGAGGGGTTTTCTCTTCAGCTTAGGGTTTCATAGCTATTCTCTCAGAGATGGGGGTACCGTGACATTGGGCAGAATACTGAAAGATACTTGCCTTCATGTTTTGGGGCTAGTCCCTAGTTCCTACTTGTCAGCCCGGGTGTAACTCCACACCACCCCTGTGGCTCTCCACCCTTTCAGATCAAGATGCTGTCAGATCGGAAACGGGAGCTGGAGCATCGTCTCAGCGCTACTTTAGAGGAAAATGACCTGCTCCAAGGGACCGTGGAGGAGCTACAGGACCGGGTGCTAATCCTGGAGAGGCAGGGCCATGACAAGGACCTACAGGTACTGGGGTAGAGAAGCTGTCCTGCAGGACTAGAGCCAGATAAAAGGAGCACTTAGCCAAAAAGAAAAGGCTGGGAGGCCAGCATCACTGCTGGGGTAAGCTGGGAGTGGATGATGCTGAGGTCTCGCTGTGGGGCCTGGGGCATTCACTAACTTGGCTCTTCCGACTCTGCCTAAAGGAAGTGCACTGCTACCCACAGATCATTTCTACAATGTGTTCTGAGCCACTGGCCCACGGAGCAGTTTCACAGAGTTCTCTCTGGGTTCTTAACATGGCTGGAACACCAGGAGTGCTATTCTGGCCTCCTAGCATTTGCGAAATCTGCTAGAAGGTTTCAGAGGGAGCCTGTGACTCTCTAACTCAGCTCATAATGCTCTCTGCTGCTGTCTTCCCAAGCTCATGGATTTAGTTGGCTGGCATGGAGCAGAAACCTGAAGCTGCCCACTGAACACAGCAAGATTTATATGCTGCTTCTGCCAGTTGCCAGAAAAGGCATAGACTGACCCCTTTGTGAGCCTCATCAGTCTCTTTTTTTCTTTCTGAAGGAAATTGCTTCATGGCCATATTTGTTCTTATTTGGGAACTGCTACCGGGCCTCAGCTGAATCCCCAAGCTCACACTTGACAGGAAACAACTCCCAAAACAAAAAGATATCATCACTCCAGTCTTCCCAGAAATAGAGTACAGCATCTGCTACCAAGATGCTTTGCTGGGCTGGCCTAGGAGGACTTGGGGTCAGAAACTAGGAGTGCATTGCTTCCCTTTGGCATTCTCTGTGCATGCCAGGGAGTGCACTGGATTGCAACAGTGATGTTTGTGCAGAGGTGGTCAGCCAGGTGTACTCAAGCACCAGGTGGATCTCTGCCCGAAGGCTAGGCCACAGAAGGTCCCACTGGGCTCATAGGTAGGCTGTTTGAAAGCCTTGGGGTATGGGATAAGGAAATATAATGTCTTGGACTAAGATTACTTGTCCCTGGCACCATCAGCTAAGCTGACACCTGAGTGATTAACCGCTTTGAGGGAAAATGAATGGCTTTTATCTCTGCATGTTTTTAGTACCTTCAGCTAGTAACTTTCCATATATTAATAGTAGTACCTCAGTCAATGTTGAGTAGAAAATGGTGCTGGCTAAAGCCTTACAGCAGTTTTCAAGATGGAAAAGAATTTGCTCATTTTTCAAGGTTGATGATAATAATAGCAGTGAACATTTGTGTGCCTCTTTGGCATACAGGGTGCTTTTAGCATACATCATAAAGCTGAAATTGAGAAAAACTGAATCGTTTATCCAAAGTCATGTAGTGAGTCTTTGGTAGAATCGAGACTGGAACCCTCTCACCTGCTTTACCTGTAGCTCAGTGATAACTTCTTGGTATCACTTGCCTCCAAAAATCAGTTCCTGACCAGCATTTATTACCCTATCAAGCTGCTCTCCTGAGGGTTGCTGACATACAGTATGGGAGGAGAAGGAAAATAAGTATGGAGAAAGAGAAAAATGGCCCTTGCCTAAAAGAAACTTTCAGTTCAGCATGAATTTATAGTGAAAAGTCCTTATTTCAAATCAAGAACTGGGGACCTGGGTTGGGGGAAAGAGGCAGGACTAGTATGCCTTCAGGGGCCTGACCAGCACTGTGGGCTGTACATTCTTTAGCAGCGAGAATCCCGTCATGCCACATGCACTTGCTCACCATGTGCACATCCACTGTCTTTCTGTTGAACTTCAAGACTGAGAAGGTGTCATTCACCTAAGGACCTGCAGCAAGTCAGGCAGTACTCAACTGATTTGGAAAATCTGCATTTATAGGCTGAATTCTCATCTTCTCTAACAATTTATCATTATAGTCCTTCAGTTCATGTGAAACTCTCCAGTTGCCACTAATTACCAGTGTCCTCCAGAAAGTCCTTTCTGTTGCTAAAATGGCCCGTACTGATACAGAAATAAAAAATCCAGCTTACTCAGGTAGCAGCTGAATGATCCTAAACCATATTTGTAAAATGTAAAGCTAGTGGCCTTGGAATGTACTTAATCCTTTGATTTTAAATCCTCAGACAAGGGTGAGGGATGGCTGAGCAGGCAAGGCAACAGGCCTGTCACAACCAGGGGAGCCCCCTTTTGATCTCTGTCACTATATAATTGGGGTCCTGCTGTCAAAAACAGATTTTCAAACAACTGATCAAATCCAACTCTGAATTTTTTCAGACCTGAGAATAAGCATAAAAATTATTATTCATTGAACACCCAGTATATATCAAGTATTTTGCCAAACTCTTACTATCCAGTAAAGGAAATCTATTTGTCCCTCTAAGGGCCACTTAACTGCCCTGTCTCATACTCAGCTGGGCATCTTACAGATGTCTGCAGGGCCTAGTCCCAGCGACTGGGTGGATTCCATCAGCAGAGCACAGGCCCTGCTCACTGTGGGGCAACCCAGGAAGCAGGTGACCTGGAGCCTAGACCTTGCTCTAATGCTGATTGTGTACCATTAGGCAAATCACGTAACATCACACCATCCCAGTTCCCTTAGATGAGCGTAAATGTAGTGTACTGTACAAACACAAAGCACTTGGTGTCATTCTTATTCATACATATAAGTATACTTAGTGTCATCTTTGTCATATAAAGGATGATGTTTCTTATTTTAAAGGGCTCTTAAATGTAATAGACTCTTCTCTTGTTTGGTTTGGTTTTTCTGCCTGTGTCTGTCCAGTTGGTGAATCAATTGTTGACTGGAGAGTGCAGACCTCTCCTGGTCTTTTGTTCCCTTGCTGTTATCATTAATTAAGCACCTTTGAGTGTGCATGAGTAATTGAACTAATTTTGTCCAGTACATAAGAACTTGTACTTGTCTGTGCCAAACTTCCTCCTGCTGAGATGTGTGTGGAGTTGTCTAAAAAATAATTGTGAAGCATTTTGCCAGTTTAATATGCCATTTGTAATTGTGCCAAATGCTTCCTAGGAATGTCTGTTTTTTCCTGTAACCCTGATGTTTTTCTTTCTGAGTCTCCTCAAAACTGGGGTTGGAGAAGTTCCCACTGGACCAGCAGGTATTGCTGATCCACCAGAACTACGCAGAGCAGGCTTGCCAATCCTTTCTTCATTCTCTGGGCAGCCAGGCTCCAAACCTTTCCTCTTTAGGGCTATTCCAGATCACTGGTGCCATTAGCCAATCATTTCGAAGTACTGACGGTGAAGGTGAGGCTCCCAGGTCCCCTAAGGCTCTGCAAGGCAGCTTTCTCCCTTCATGAGAACTATAGAGCTCCAAGTGGCTGCCAGCCACCCCAGTCTGCATTTCTGCAGGAGCCACAAGCCAACTCAGCCACAGGTCTGAAAAAGACCAGTGCAGTGTCTACTTTCTTTTTAATGGAACAGAGGTGACCCCAGAAATGCTGTTTTATAAAAGAATAAATTAGCTTAATTTAAATCCCAAGAAGTTCTCCCCCACACCACCACTTCCTGAAAGTCTTCTAAGGACCTGGAGTGGGGAGTTGCAGTCCACAGATAGGAAGAGTAGGAAGCATTGCTTCTGGGCAGATGTGGCATGTGGCATGTGGTCGTGTGTCTAGCTTCTAGCAAACTGATGACAATTCTGCAACTAGGGTCTGCTGTATTAAAAGCAAGTTAGTGATGGAGTGCACAGATAAGAAGATAGCATTTAGGCCGGGCGTGGTGGCTTACGCCTGTAATCCCAGCACTTTGGGAAGCCGATATGGGCAGATAACTTGAGGTCAGGAGTTCGAGACCAGCCTGGCCAATATGGTGAAACCCCGTCTCTACTAAAAATACAAAATTTAGCTGGACATGGCGGCGCATGCCTGTGGTCCCAGCTACTAGGGAGGCTGAGGCAGGAGAATTGCTTGAACCCAGGGGGCAGAGGTTGCAGTGAGCCACAATCGTGCCACTGCACTCCAGCCTGGGTGACAGAGACTCAAAAAAAATAGCATTTAGCAGCTGTGGTTGGGTCATCCCCTTATATTCAGCAGTAGTAACCTCCCCAGAGAGTTGTACCCTATTGTGAACTGCACACAGAAGGGGCCATGGAGAATGCAGTGGGGTAGAGGGGGTGAAGTAGCAGCATGGAGAGAGAAGGAAAGAGCACTGCCCACAATTCCTGACCCCTGCGCTGCTGTCTCCTCTCTACCACTGGCGTCATTCCCCTTTTCTAAGCTTCAGTTTTATCCTGACATAGTTGGACTCATTGATCTCTGTGGCTGTGCTAGCTCTAAAAATGTAGGCTTATGTGAAAATCTCTGAGATCATTTAAAAATCAAGAGAGAGAGGCTGGGAAAAGTCTAAAGGGCATATAATATATATATTTGGCTTGCAGAATAGAGCAATTTGGAAAGCTATTGAAAAGGAATGTCTCCAAGTAATTAGCTCTTTTCAAGTCTTCAGAAAAGGACTGAGAGAGAACAAACAGGTGAACGTGCAGGATGAAGGACTGATGTTAGACATGGCAAAACTGTGGACATTTCTGCCCGTGAGAGTTAGAACTGAAGCTGTGGGACTTCCTCCCTCAAAGATCTTCAAAATAAGTTACTATCTCATCTGTCAATATCTCTCTGGGACAAATGAGGTATGTGGAAACTGGAAAGAACCCTGGACTGGGAGTCATGAGTCCAGTTCTGCTTCACAAGGGTTTTCGGAAAGTCACTTTTCACCTGTGACTCAACTACCTGATGTGGAAGTGAGGGGCCAGCCTAGGGCCTTGCCTCTAATGGTTGGGTGGGGGTAGAAACTCTTGGTATTGCTATCCAGATGCTACTCCCGTTTCCACCTCCGGCTCCTTTCCAAGCTACTCTTTTTCCCCTTAATTTTTTTTTCATGAAAATGTATATATAGTAAAGCATACAAATCTTAAGGGGACAGCCCAATTAATTTTTACAAATACATACCTGTGTAACCACCATGGAGATCAAGATACAGACCACGATCAGCACCCTAAAAAGAATACTTGCCGCTTCCTCAAAAGCAAACCTCTACTCCAACGTTTTTCTACCTCAGTGAAGTTTGGGAACGTTTTATAGACTCATGTATACTTTTTATGTCTGGCTTTTGTTCAACATTGTGTCTGTGAAATTTAACCATGTTGTGGCATATAGTAGCAGTATATTCTTTCATTGCTCTATAGTATTCTAACATGTGAACATACCGCAATTCACTTATTTTATTCTTATTAGCATTTGGATTGTTTCCCATTTGTGGTTATTTGAACATCCTGTGTATGTCTGTTGTACACATTTCATTTTTGTTGGGTCTACAGCTAAAAGTGGAATTGCTGGATCATAGAATATAGATTCTATTTAACTTTATTAGAAACTGCCTATTTTCCAAAGTATTCGTACATTTTCTACTCCCACCAGCATTGCCCCACATCTTCATCAACACTTGATATTATTTGTATTATTTATATTAGCCATCTTGGGTGAGACTCTAATGGTATCTCACTTTGTGTGCCTGTGTGTGTTTGATTATTTATTGCAAAGGATTTCAAACATTCCACAGTGGCACAGTGTAATGAAGCCCAGCCCTGAAAACCACCAATCCCTGCCCAGTGCTGCCCCATCTTCATAACATCCATTTCCTTTTCTCTCACGTTATTTTGAAGTAAATCTCAGAATTTAATAAGTTCATCTGTAAATAAAAAGTACTAACTCTAAAAGATAAGAACTTTAAAAAATGTAACTACAGTACTATTATACCAAAAAAATTAGCATATTTTCTTAATATCATAAAATGCCCAGTGAGTGTTCAGATTTTCACTTGTCTTATAAACGTCCATAATTTTTTTACATTTTTGTTTGAATCAAGATACAGATTAAAATGGGCCTACATAGTGCGATTGGTTGGTATAACTCTTTTTTTTTTTTTTTGAGACGGAGTTTCATTCTTGTCGCCCAGGCTGGAGTGCAATGGCGCAATCTCGGCTCACTGTCACCTCCGCCTCCTGGGTTCAAGCGATTCTCCTGCCTCAGCCTCCCGAGTAGCTGGGATTACAGGCGCCTGCCACCATGCCCAGCTAATTTTTGTATTTTAGTAGAGACAGATTTCACCATGTTGGCCAGGCTGGTCTCGAACTCCTGATTTCAGATGATCTGCCCCCTTTGGCCTTCCAAAATGCTGGTGTTACAGGCGTGAGCCACCACGCCCGGCCTGGTTGGTATAACTCAAGTCTTTTTTTATTTCTGTGTTCCTCCTTTATCTGTTTTTTCCCTTGCAATGTTTTTGTTAAGGAAATGGAGTTGTTTGTCCTATAGAATTTTCTTTTTTCTTTTTTTCTTTTTTGAGGTGGCGTCTCGCACTGTCACCCAGGTTGGAGTGCAATGGCGTGATCTTAGCTCATTGCAACGTCCGCCTCCTGGGTTCAAGCGATTCTCCTGCCTCATTCCCCAAGTAGCTGGGATTTCAGGTACCCGCCACCACGCCCAGCTAATTTTTGTATTTTTAGTAGAGGCAGGGTTTCATCATGTTGGCCAGGCTGGTCTCATACTCCTGACCTTAGGTGATCTGCCCGCCTCGGCCTCCCAAAGTGCTGGGATTACAGGGGTGAGCCACCGCGCCCAGTCAGAATTTTCTAGATCTGGATTTTGCTGAGTGCATCTCCTGATGTAGTTTAACATGTTCTTCTCTCCTATTTATTTTTCTATAAATTGGTGGTTGGATCCAGAAGCATGATCAGGTTGAGGGTCAGTTTGTCTTGGTTTTTGTGTTTGGTAAACCTCAACCATTTGCTCTTTCTTTGAAAGCTGCACCAAAGCCAGCTGGAGCTTCAGGAGGTGCGTCTCTCCTGCCGACAGCTGCAGGTGAAGGTGGAAGAACTCACTGAGGAGAGGAGTCTGCAGAGCTCTGCCGCCACCAGCACATCCCTCCTGTCAGAGATCGAGCAGAGCATGGAGGCTGAGGAGCTGGAGCAGGAGCGAGAGCAGGTGCTGACCTGCCTGTCACCCCACAGGCGAGGCTACCTGGGGTTGCTTAGGTCTCATCCTCCTCCCTAGTGCTCAGCTGCCATCCTGGCAAGGCTGTGCCCCTGTGCCTGTGTCAGCCCCTTGGCCTGCTGGCTAGAGTGTCATGAAGCAGGCCCTGATGGAGCATGTCCCTGGCCCTCCATTTTCCACCCACTTTATCCATTAAGGCATTGAGCAGAATTGCTAGAGGACAGAGTATCATAGGCACAGCCAATTCCCACTCATTGTCACCCCAGTTCCTCTTAGGAAATGCTTGTGCCATCAGCTCCATACCTGTTATACTGACAGAGTTCCAGAGCAGTCATGATCCATCTTCTCCATCTAACTGGTTTCTTTTCACACTTTTCATAATACAGAACCATTCATTCCCCTGATTGTTTTCTGACTCCCACCAAAATAACTGATTATATAAAGAAGTGCTTTATATTGTGAATGGAAGAAGCTAGAGAACAGGGAGAATAAGAATTTGGAATCTGTATAAATGTACTTGGTTCAGAATAAGTATTATTTCTTGGGACAAATGAGTTAAAAAAAAAACACAGAACAAAAAACCCTTTCTTCTAGAACTGGTGTCTTGGGTATCAGTATTTTGGGTTCAGAGCTAGAAAAAGATGGCCAGGTAGCAGTCTTCTCTAGAGTCTGAAATGAATAGTAATTCTCTGTGGAACAGCTGAGACTGCAGCTCTGGGAAGCCTACTGCCAGGTTCGCTATCTGTGCTCACACCTTCGAGGCAATGACAGTGCTGACTCAGCCGTCTCCACGGACTCCTCCATGGACGAGTCTTCAGAAACCTCGTCCGCCAAGGATGTGCCAGCCGGCAGCTTGCGCACTGCCCTCAATGAGCTCAAGAGACTGATACAGAGCATTGTGGATGGCATGGAGCCCACGGTAAGAGGCCAGTCTGAGATGGTCCTTACCCCACAGGAGCTGGCTGGTGGGAGGTTAGAACCCAGTGCATAGGGTGAGGTCAGCCATGGAACTGGAACCCTATAAAATATCTGCAAGAATTCTTCTGAGCCCTTATTGGTTGTTTTGGATTTTGTTTTTGAGACAGAGTCTCGCTCTGTTACCCCGGCTGGAGTGAGGTGGCACAATCTCGGCTCACTGCAACCTCTGCCTCTCAGGTTCAAGTGATTCTCGTGCCTCAGCTCCCTGAGTAGCTGGGATTACAGGCGTGCACCACCAACCACACCCAGCTAGTTTTTGCATTTTTAGTAGACACAGGGTTTTACCATGTTGGCCAGGCTAGTTTTAACTCTTGACCTCAAGTGATACACCCATCTCAGCCTCCTAAAGTGCTGGGATTGCAGGCGTGAGCCACCACGCCAGGCCGTGAGCCCTTATTTGAGAACACCAACTACTGCTGTGATGAGGCAGAGGGGCCAAGTGTCAGGGCTCCAAAGGCAGCTTCCTGCACACACCAGGTACACATAGAGCCTTTTTCTCCAGGTAGTGATGTACAGACAATGGCAGCTTCCAGTTTAAGGGCTTTCCTTGGAAACTTTGCATATAGAAGTTTGTATCCAAGTAAAAACTGTAAGTTGCTATTCTATAGCCCTTTGGTCCTAGTGGTAGGGTTAGCTGTGAATTGGCAAAAGTAAAAGATCTGAAGCTTCCGCCAAAAGAATGTAAGTGAGCACAGGAAGTTGGGAAGATCAGCTCTAAGGGCCTTTTAGAATCCTAGATGTGGCCACCTGTGGAGGAGAGGACTGTTCCCGTGGGCATCCTGGGCAGTCTGGCATTTCTTCCAGCTTCATGACACATTTCTCCCCGACTTACCCTCCACTCACGCTCCCAGCTTTTTGGCTATTATTTCTCCTCACGTTTCATCCTCCTACAGAAAACTTGTGTCTTTCTGCCTGTATTGGGTAAAGTAATATGAAGGGTAGCTGTTCTGTCTGACCATGCCGTATTGATCTGTGGGAGGTATTATACTATGAGGCCAGGTCATTGTGGGAGAAGAGAGCTGTCAGAATGTGATGGTGTGCTATTCCCACCACACGGCTTCCTTTCCCCCAAGCCTGAAACAAAAGTGAACATCTGTTTGCAGGTTGAAATTGAGCAATCTCTTTTTTTTGTTTGTTTTTTGTTTTTTTGAGACGGAGTCTCGCTCTGTTGCCCAGGCTGGAGTGCTGTGGCGCCATCTTGGCTCACTGCAACCTCTGCCTCCCGGGTTCACGCCATTCTCCTGCCTCCCAAGTAGCTGGGACTACAGGTGCCCACCACCACACCCGGCTAATTTTTTGTATTTTTAGTAGAGACAGGGTTTCACCGTGTTAGCCAGGATGGTCTCGATCTCCTGACCTCGTGATCTGCTGCCTCGGCCTCCCAAAGTGCTGGGATTACAGCGTGAGCCACTGCGCCCGGCCACAATCTCTCTTCTTGACCCCTTCTTCCTTCCACCTTTTGTCTCTTCCCTCCTCCTTTTCTCCTTCCCTTCATCTTCCCTACTATCTTTCCCCACTATCTTTCCCCACATCATTCCTCCACTCTCCCCCATTTCTCCTCTCCTTCTCTCCCCGACTAACCATCTCTCTCCCCCTTCCCTATCTCTCCTGTACCCTTACCATATCTGTCTGGCTGTCTTTCTTTTACTGTCAGGGCTCCCGGAGACTTGATGATGACTCCTTAGAAGAACAGATAAGGCAGACCAGTGAGGACTCGAGAGCCCTAAGGGAGCTCATGGAGGGAGAGAGGGGTAAACTGAGGCAAAGCCTAGAAGAGCTGCAGCGACTCCACAGTCAGGTGAGCACCCCAACCTTCAGTTCAGTGCAGGGCATGTGCACCTGCCCCTGGCTCTCTTGGGACCCTTTTGAGTTTCTCTCTCCCATTTCTGTGTGAGAAGTGGCTCTCCTTCATCAGATCATCAAGGAATGGTGACCTGAAGTTGAGGTAAACTGAATGTCTTCAAGAGAAGAACCCAGTCCTTTAGCCCAAAGTAAAATTGGCAGGGATGAGAATGGCTGGTCCTCCATTTCCTCCAGTGACACTCTGCCTTATACAGAGCCAAAGTTAATCTGACTGGTAGATGCTGACAGCCCTCGGGCTACTTATGGGTGCTTTTCCAGCAGTTGCTGGGCAGGGAAGTTTGCAAACCAAGGAACAATTGATCTTTACAGCACAGTTCCCTTTTGTAAGTGCCATCACTTCTCTCAGCCTGTTCTTCTGCTTTAGAAGAACTTACTGCTACCCTTGCTGTTCCTTTCTCATTTGATCACGATTTCATCTCTCTAGAGAACGCTGAAGGAAGACATTTATATTCTCATCTGAGAAACTTTAAAGGACTTATAGGCAGCCCCACCCAAAAAGGAGCTTCTAAAACCTATCCTAGGAGATAGATAAAGGCTCTTCCTGTTGACTGTGGTCATGTGTAGAGGTTCTGTGCTGCTTGGGAGTAGGGGCTGGGGTAGCACCAAGCAAGCAGCATCTAAACCTTGCTCCTGCCCCTGTCCTTTCCTGGCTCAAAGCTGTTCACGCCTTGCTGCTGCATGAGGTTTCTTTGAGATGGAATTTAAGCCTGCCTTTCACTTCAGTCAGTATTTCCTCTTTTTTTTTTTTTTTTATTTCTTTTTGAGACAGGGTTTCACTCTTGCCCAGGCTGGAGTATAGTGGCGCAGTCACAGCTCATTGCAGCCTTGACTTCTAGGCTCAAGCAATCCTTCCACCTCAGCTGCCAAAGTAGCTGGGACTACAGGCGTACGCCACCATGCCCAACTAATTTTTTGTAGAGATGAGGGTTCGCCATGTTGCCTAGGCTGGTCTCAAACTCCTGGGCTCAAGAGAACCACTCACCTCAGACTCTCAAAGTGCTGGGATTACAGGTGTGACCCACCACATGTGGCCCCAGTCAGTATTTCCTACATTTGAAATATCTTTATAGAAAGAAACTCCCCTTTTCTGGGAGTCATCCCGTTAGTCTTCCTGATATTTTCTTGGAAAATATCGGGAGACCCACCTCCAGCCATCTACTGTCCTCTTCTTTCTGTGAGTGACCAGATAACAAGGACACAAAGATGCCATTTCAATCTGTGGCTTGGCCAGGCACGGTGGCTCACGCCTGTAATCCCAGCCCTTTGGGAGGCCAAGGCAGGTGGATCACTTGAGATCGGCAGTTCGAGACCAGCCTGGCCAACATGGCGAAACCCCATCTCTACTAAAAATAGAAAAATTAGCCCAGTGTGATGGCACATGCCTATAATCCCAGCTACTTGGGAGGCTGAGGCAGGAGAATTGCTTGAAACCAAGAGGCGGAGGTTGCAATGAGTTGAGATCGTGCCACTACACTTGAGCCTGGATGACAGAGTGAGACTCTGTCTCAAAAAGTTGTAGCTTGCTCACAGCCGAACGCTAGAGACTTGGGTTAGGCAGCCACAGACATTCACCCGCCTGAAACCTAAGTTCTTCAGCGGGTAATTTGGCCAGAGAGTGATTCAGACTCAGAGACAGATCTTCTAAACTGGAAAAATAAAATGCAGGAGAAAGTTGAATCTGTAAGGTCTTTGGATTAATAAAAGTTTTGCTTATTTTAAAGCCTATTTAAATTTCCATAGGGTGCTTCTGTTCATGAGTTCTTTAATATTAACTGGTTTTGTTGTTTTGTTTCTCAGAATTATAAAACTAGAACTCCACAGTGGATGCGGGGGGCATTGTTTTATTCAGAAACATAAGCAAATTGTAGGTTGCCAAGATTCTACTGTAGAATATTTAGGAACCCATTTCCACCTCGAAATTTTTCTTAGAAGTTCAGCTGATAATGGTTTAGGCCAGTTGCTGTGGATTCTCTTTCAAATGGTTCACCAAGTGGAAGGTTGTACTCATGTCCCACGCGGGGTATAGAATTGGACTTCTGTAGGCCATCTCTTCCCAGATGCTCAGTCAAAGCAGAAAACCTCTCAGCCACACCGCACGTAGCAAAGCCACCTCATGGGGAGTAACACTGGCCTCCCAAGGCAGGGGTAGGGTGCAGATTGAGTCCCAGAATGACTGCAGAAATTGCAGCCATCACAGCAGGCATGGCGTTCTGCATGCAAGGTTGGTTCAACATCCACTGACACCCACTGCGTGCCTGGTGCTGCACTAGGCCCTGAGAGGCACCAGATGGATGTGCAGGGCCCCTGCTCTCTAGGACCCCACAGTGCCAAGAGGACAGTCAGAGCCATCTCTGAGCCCTTTTGGGGGCAAGGCCCAGACATGGTTAGGTGGGACTGAGGTTCTAGCACACAGCTCCTGGACTGGGCTCAAACCTCATCTGATGGCTGACCCAGCCTCTGAGCCTGTCACCTGAGAGTGTTCTTTTCTCTCTTGAAAACTAGGCCAGAGGTCAAAGGTGTGGGGGCTGGAAGCCTATCCAAACTTTAAAATAAAGGAAAGCGTAGGTTTAATTTGACCGGTAATTATTTTTTAGAAGCAAAATCCATACCCAGACCCGAAGACTTGCTGGCACCTGTTATTGTGCTTAAGGAACAAAGTCCTTCCTGTGGTGGTGTGCCCCCTCCTACCCCACTCCCATCAGTGGCAAGGAACTGCCTCCTCCTCTGTTCCCCAAGTGGCCCACCCCTCACCTCTGGTGTGTGTGGAGCAGCTGCTAGGATGCAGGGGGGTCTTCTGCGATTAGTCTGTAGAATATGAACACGTTATCGGTGAGGCCCTCAGCCAGTTCTCAGGCCTGTCACCCAGGTGGCAGGAGGCTCAGTTAGAAGCATCCCATTTCTGTTGTTTGGATCCTTCATGCTTGACTCGAGTGCACACTTGTTACTCCAGAAGGGGCATGAACATGCAGAGAGTGCTGGGAGCCTGTGGGCTTCACTCGCCAAATCTGGGTGCCTCTCCTCTGAAATCTCAGCATGGCCATCTCCTCCATCCTCCGTCCTCCTAGCTCCTGCCCTATTTCAAGACCTGCATCCTTTCACACCCTGGCTATGGTCACCACTTCCCAATTTATCTGCCTTCCCCCAGCCCGCCCACCCTCACACGCTTTGGATTGATCTTCCTGAAGCGTGACTTGAAAGTGGGACGCCCCTTACAAGTTCTGGGTGGGTTCCCATTATCAAATAGCAGGAAGCCTTGAGCTGTTGTGGCTGTGCAGTCTGGCTGCATTCCAGCCGCACAGCCTGCGTCCCTCTGGTTTCCCTCTTGCCCCCTTTGCTTTAGCAGAACTGAACATAGGATACAAAGGGCAGTGGCACATGCACCCCATGCTACCCACACCTGGGCCTTCTCCCCAGCTTTCTCTGTGCCCAGAAGGCCTTCTCTCTCACCTGCTCATATCTCCATGCTATTCAGCCTTCAAGTTCCCAATCTAGCATCACTTCCTCCTGAAACCCTCTTGATTCCTTTCCTCATGGAGCACCCCTGTCTCTGTCTTGTCACAGTTACCCTGCTCACATCTCATCTTCTCAGTCAAACCCTAGACCCCATGAGGATGAGCTCAAGGTCTGATCTAGCTGTGTCCTCTCCTAAAGCAGCTAGTACAGTGCCTTGCTGAGAATAAGCACTCAAATGTTGTTGAACAAAAGAGCAAATTAAGCCTTCAATATCTGACTTTTGAATGTTTTCTTTGCTATTTAATTGCGGGGACACCCACCTTATTTGGGAAAAGTGGATTTAGGGGTGGATGTAACCTAAGTCTTTGTATAAACAAGCCAGATCAGTTATCATGACAGCAGTGATTAGGTCCCACCTTGCAGGAGGGAGGAGAGAGTAGAGCTTACAACCACATGCATTGAGCCCTTGATATCATTTATCTCGTAATCCTCAACGACAACTTAGTGGTGAGAAATAGTTATTTTTATTTCCGCTTATTATAAAAAGTATGTATAGCTCAAAGAGGGCAAGTGCCTTGTCACCTCTCCTAAGGCACATGTCTGGTAGGCTGTAACTCGACCAGGTTTTTTAGGCCAAAGCAAAAAGTTCTTCTGAAGTTTCATCTGGAGCATATTAAATGTTGGCTTTTCCTGCCTAGCATATAGTTTTACCTGTCCCTTACTCTGCTGGCAGAATGTCCGACTGGCCCACAGCTGGTCCAAGGCCATGGCAGGGCTCATTTGGCCTAAGAGGAGGTCTGGCTGTCTCTTCCAGGTGCTTTGTAGGTCTTGAGTCCTGGCCTACCAGGCTGCAGAGTCTGCTGCTAAATAGGGGGAGGCTGGGCTCTGCCCTGGTGCCTTGTCTGCCTCGGGGCTAGATGCATGTGTGTGCTGGGTAGCTGCAGGTGCTCCAGCCTGTTCTTCCCCGAGGCTTCCGCCCTCCTCACCCAGCTGTCCCTACCGGAAAAGCTGCTGCTTTGGGCTGTTCTCAGTACAGAGCACCCGGCCCTGATGTTTCCTGCTAGACTCTGCAGA
This sequence comes from Homo sapiens, assembly GCF_000001405.40. Taxonomy (NCBI): domain Eukaryota; kingdom Metazoa; phylum Chordata; class Mammalia; order Primates; family Hominidae; genus Homo; species Homo sapiens. The sequence goes on from NC_000012.12 coordinate 120,079,179, forward strand.
GTATAAAACCCATTGCTTATGGTGGCAACAGATTGTCCTTCTGTCCCTCTTCACTGTTGGGTGTCCTCTGAATTCCTCCAGAGTGGCTGCTACCCCAGGGGCTGGCAGCTCTGCCGTCTCGTTCTGGAGAATGTCTGAAATGTATTGATTTTCAGACACTTCAAGATCAAGGGAAGCTTGATCTTCAGCCTTACACCTGGGGCCTTTGCTCAGTTTCATTCTAGCTGAAGAGGATTAGACCTGGGACTTGAAGAACAGAGGAGTATGCTGAAAGGTGGCATTTGTCCCGTTGTGGGAGGGAGGCAGACCTGTATGGATGGATCCTCCCTTGGAAAAATGTCAAAGTATGTGTAATATTTAACATGAAGGCAGGGCTAGGCATCCTGACTCACGTCTGATCTTATCAACTGAGAAGAAGGGGCTCCCACCCTTTCATTATTCAATAAATATTTATTGAAAGCTCTACCAGGCAGGGTTTCTGGTTGCAAACAGCAAAACATGTACTCTGCTTAATGTAAGCAGAAAGAGAATGTATGAGACCTGAAAGCTTACAGAATCAACAGGAAAGTGGGAGAACCCGGTTCCAAAACAAGAAAGGGCCATGGGAAAAGGGACAACAAACAAACTGCCGCCCTTGTCACTAATTCCTCCCTCGCCTGGGGCTTTGCTGTGCTCAGAGCTGCAGTCCCTGGAAGGGGTTGTAACTGGCAAGTTTGGTCACAGGCCCACGCCCAGACTGCCTGGGAAAGGAAATGTCTATTCCCTGTTGGCTTCTTTAGTTGGAGGTCAAGCCTTGTGTCACACCAAGTCTCACACAACCAGGAGTGCCCCCAAAATGGGAAGAGATTTCGGATGATGACTAGCCAAAAAATGACAATTGTCTACTGCTTTGGGATTAAGCACCCTACACAGCCAGGCTCTGGGATGCACAGATGGATGTGACATGCTTCCTGCCATCACACAGATCATGGTGTACACAGGGTTACCATACTGTGGGGCAGGGTAAGCTGTGGTCCCTGACGGAGCCACTGGAGGGGTGCCTCACTGCCAAAGGTTGACTCCCAGCTGGGGCACAAGGACCTGAGAAGGTGGTGGTGCCCTTTGCTGAAGCATGGGCCACAGAAAAGGTAACAGGTTTGAGGTGGAAGATGATAATGTCACTTAGGTGTCTAAGTTCCCTGTGGCTTTCACCTGGGGAGCTGAATGAGGAACTAAAGCGAGCTGGGCTGTGCCAAGGGCTGTCACGGGGGAGCAGGGACTCCAGCTTTGGAATCATCCAGGGCTCTGTTGATAGCAGCATCCATGTTGAGTGGGAGATGGTGGGAAAGGGAACGGGATTCCCTACCCTAAAAACTGTGTGTCATGATGACTTATGGTCTTCATTCACTTGTTACCTGGAGTGCCTGGAGATGGAGGAGGTAGTATGCCGTGCTGAGTGCAAAGGGAAGATCTGGCCTACGGCTGCAGGTCCAGAGCTAAATTCCCCCCAGCTCCCTTGCTGCCGAGCTCAAGCCTAGCATGTGATGTGGTACCCTTTCTTCAAGAGAGACAGGCCCTCTCTTGAAGCAGGATGGCAGTGGAATGCTACCAGCTTGCACCCCCACACATGTACCCTGGTCCTGCCTGGGGTCTCTTTGTTCCTTTTTCCCTCTTGGAGGGAAAACCACCCAGGACAGCAGCAGTGATACCATATTCATTCTCCTGTTAGGTGACACTGCTGAGTGTGGAGATGACTGCCCTAAAAGAGGAGAGAGACCGACTCAGAGTCACTTCTGAGGACAAGGAGCCAAAGGAGCAGCTTCAGAAGGCCATCAGGGACCGCGACGAGGCCATTGCAAAGTGAGTAGGGATGGCTTCACTTTATTCTTAAGATAAAGTTGAGTATATAGAATTGAGCATATGCTCAATTTTTTAAATTAAATCATACAAAAGAATACAAAGGTAAAAGTTAGTTTCCCCGCTACCCACCCCCACCCCCACCCCCACCCCCATTCCCATTCTCCTCCCCAGACACATGCTGGTATTGAAAGTTAGCTGTGCATTTTTTGCAGCTCTTTTTCTTATGCATATGTAGGTGTGTAGGCAATGTAGTTATTATGTGTTTTTAGACATCAATAGGATGATACTCTACATGTCTTGCCTTTTTGCACTTGTATCTTAAAGAGCTTTCCTTTTTTTTTTTTTTTTTTTGAGACGGAGTTTTGCCCTTCTTGTCCAGGCTGCAGTGCGATGGCGCGATCTCAGCTCCCTGCAACCTCTGCCTCTGGGTTTAAGCGATTCTCCTGTCAGCCTCCCAAGTAGCTGGGATTACAGGTGCCTGCCACCATGCCCAGCTAATTTTTGTATTTTTAGTAGAGACAGGGTTTCACCATATTGGCCAGGCTGGTCTCCAACTCCTGACCTCAGGTGATCTGCCCGCCTTGGCCTCCCAAAGTGCTGAGATTACAGGCGTGAGCCACCACACCCGGCCTCCAGTTTTATCGTATGTATATATCTACCTCACCTTTTTTTTTTAGTTTTTTTGTTGTTTGTTTCTATTTTTTTATTATGGACATTTTCAAGCAAACACAAAAATAGAAGATATAAGATGACTTCATCTCTCAGCCTCAATACTAATTAGCATATGGTCAGTGTTATTTCATCTATATCCTCACCCACTTCCTCCACCTCCCTGTTGGATTATGTTAAATCACAAGACATAGTGTCATCTCCATAAACACTTCAGTATACATCTCTACCAGAAAGAATTAAAAAAAAAAAAAACACAATACAATGATCACACTTGAAAAAAATAATTTCTTAATAATATCAGAATCCAGTTGATGTTAGAATTTCCCCAATTGGCCCATAAATATCTTTTGATAACTGATTTAGAATCAGACTCCGAAGCCTACATATTCCATTTAACTGATGTGTCCCAAAAGTCTGTAACATCTCCTCTTTCTTCTTTTTCATATTACATTTATTTGTTGAAGAAAGTGGATCATTTCTCTCATAGATTTGCTGCATTCTGGGTTTGATTGCATCCCATAGCATCATTTAGCATTTTCCTCTGTCCCTTATATTTCCAATAAACTAGGTCTTTTTTTTTGAAGACAGAGTCTCACTCTGTCACCCAGGCTGGAGTGCAGTGGCATGATCTTGGCTCACTGCAACCTCCCCATCATGGTCTTGAGCGATCCTCCCACCTCAGCCTCCCGAGTAGCTGGGACCTCAGGTACACACTACCACACCTGGCTAATTTTTTGTATTTTTGTTAGAGACGGGGTTTTGCCATGTTGCTAGGGCTGGTCTTAAACCCCTGGGCTCAAGCGATCCTCCTACCTCAGTCTCCCAAAGTCCTGGGATTACAGGCATGAGCCACTGTGCCCAGCCAACTAGGTCTTTTTAAAAATGTTTTGTGTTTTTTTGTTTGTTTGTTTAAGACAGGGTCTCTCTTTGTCACCCAGGCTGGAGTGCAGTGACACAATCATAGCTCACTGCAGCTTCCACCTCCTGGGCTCAAGTGATCTTCCCTCCTCAGCCTCCCAAGTAGCTGTGCCACCATGCCGGGCAGATTTTTGTATTTTTTGTAGATACGGGTTTTCACCATGTTACCCAGGCTGGTCTTGAACTCCTGGGCTCAAGTGATCCACCCACCTTAGCCTCCCAAAGTGCTGAGATTATAGGCGTGAGCTACTGCGCCCAGCCGTGTTTATTTTATTTTACTTTATTTTTTTTGAGAGAAATTCTCACTCTGTCACCCATGCTCACAGCTCACTGCAACCTCCGCCTCTTGGGTTCAAGCTATTCTCGTGCCTCAGCCTCCCGAATAGCTGGGATTACAGGCACACACCACCACGCCTGGCTAAGTTTTGTATTTTTAGTAGAGATGGGGTTTCACCATGTTGGCCAGGCTACTCTCGAACTCCTGGCCTCAAGTGATCTGCCCACCTCGGCCTCCCAAAGTGTTAGGATTACAGGCATGAGCCACCATGCCCAGCCTGGCCACATTTTCTTCATAAACACATTGTCTTACATTCAGAAACTTTGGAAACAAACATATTTACATATCCCCTATTCCCCTGTGAATTACTTTTTATGTATTTATTTTTTTGAGACAGGGTCTTACTCTGCCACCCAGGCTGTAGTATAGTGGCCCAGTCACAGCTAACTGCATCTTTGACCTCCTGGGCTGGAGCAATCCTCTCACCTCTCAGCCTCCCGAGTAGCTGGGACTACAGGTGCACGCCACCACACCTGGCTAGTTTTTGCTTTTGTTTTTTGTAGAGACGAGGTTTTGTCCTGTTGCTCAGGCTGGTCTTGAACTCCTGAGCTCCAGGGATCTGCCCAAAGTGCTGAGATTATAAGCAAGAGCCACGGTGCCCAGCCCCACCCTGTTCAAGGAGTGTGAGGAGATAGTTACCAAAAATGTGTCTACTTTGGGGTCATTTACAAAATATTAATAGTAGTATTTATTTATTTATTTATTTATTTATTTATTTATTTATTTATTTATTGAGATGGAGTCTTGCTCTGTTGCCTAGGCTGGAGAGCAGTGGCACGACCTCGTCTCACTGCAACCCCCACCTCCCAGGTTCGAGCGATTCTCCTGCCTCAGCCAAGTAGCTGGAATTACAGGCATGCGCCCCCATGCTTGGCTAATTTTTCTGTTAGTAGAGACGGGGTTTCAGCATGTTGGTCAAGCTGGTCTCAAACTCCTGACCTCAAGTGATCCACCTGCCTCAGCCTCCCAAAGTACTGGGATTACAGGCGTGAGCCACTGTGCCCAGCCAATAGTAATATTTATACATCACTTTATAGTTTACAAAGCACTTTTATTCTTTTTTTTTTTCTTTTCTTTGAGACGGAGTCTCACTCAGTCACCCAGGTGGAGTGCAGTGGCATGATCTTGGCTCACTGCAAACTCCGCCTCCCAGGTTCAAGCGATTCTCATGCCTCAGCCTCCCGAGTAGCTGGGACTACAGGCATGTGCCACCATGCCCTGCTAATTTTTTGTATTTTTAGTAGAGACAGGGTTTCACCGTGTTAGTCAGGATGGTCTCGATCTCCTGACCTTGTGAACCACCCGCCCTGGCCTCCCAAAGTGCTGGGATTACAGGCATGAGCCACCACACCCGGCCAACACTTTTATTCTTTAATCCTCCCAGCCACAGTAAGAAGTAAAAATTTTTAATCCCAATTTTACAGATGAGGAAACTAAGAAATACTTTGCCAGGGCCACAGCCAGCAGTGACTCATGAGCCTCCACCTCAAGTCTTCTGATTCCCGTCTTCCTGACACCCTTTTCCCTTTGCTACACTGCTACTTGTTGGGAAGCTAAAATGAACTACTTGGAAACAATGTGTAAATAAGATACTGTATGCTTTTGTAAAAAAAATAATATGACACACATTTTAACTTCTGACTTTAAAATTCCTCATACTCAGGCCAGTTGCGGTGGCTCACACCTGTAATCCCAGCACTATGAGAGGCCGAGGCAGGCAGATCACCTAAGGTCAGGAGTTTTGAGGCCAGCCTGGCCAACATGGTGAAAGCCCGTCTCTACTAAAAATACAACAATTAGCCAAGCATGGTGGCAGGCGCCTGTAATCCCAGCTACTCAGGAGGCTGAGGCAGGAGAATCACTTGAACCCGGGAGGCAGAAGTTGTAGTGAGCTGAGATCACGCCATTGCACTCCAGCCTGGGCAACAGAACGGGGACTCTGTCTCAAAAAAAAAAAAAAAAATTACTCATACTCTAACCTCACTTCCACACACACTTTCCCCCTCCCTTCTGTTCTCTTTCATCATTTTCATTATCTCTATTTCCGTTTTACCTTTGGGTCCCCTTTTCTTTCTGGTCAGAACCTCATGTCATGGTGTCTGTCAGTTTCTAGTTCATTTTAGAAATTATTCTTGGTGAATCCCACATAACGATGTATCTTTGCTGCTTGGATTTCCACTATATTTAGTTAATGGATACTTAAGTAACAGTGTGATAAGGCTGGGGTGCAGCGGCTCAGGCCTGCAATCCCAGCGCTTTGGGAGGCTGAGGCAGGTGGATCACTTGAGGTCAGGTGTTCGAGACCAACCTGGCCAACATGGTGAAACCCCATCCCTACCCAAACAAAAAAAAAAGAAGTAGCCAGGTTGGAGGATCACAAATTCAGGAGGCGGAGGTTGCAGTAAGCCAAGATTGCACCACTGCCCTCCAGCTTGGGTGACAGAGTGAGGCCCTATCTCAAAAAAAAGTAACAGTGTGATAGAGGAGGCAGCATACCTTTATGAATAACAGTGAAATTGTGTGATGGAATAAAATGGTAAAATGAAGATGCTTATCGTGGAAGTCCACTAGAAATCAAAAGCAGAAGGAGGCCAGGCAAGGGCGCCTGTAATCCTAGCACTTTGGGAGGCCAAAATGGGAGGATTGCTTGAGCCTAGGGGTTCAAGACCAGCCTGGGGAACATAATGAGACCCTGTCTCTACTAAAAATACAAATAAAAAATTAGCTGAGTGTGGTGGTACATTCTTGGAGTCGCAGAGGTGGGAGGATCACTTGAGCCCAGAAGGTTGAGGCTGCAGTGAGCTGTGATCATGCCACTGCACTCCAGCCTGGATGACAGAGCAAGATCCTGCCTCAAAAAAAAAAAAAAAAAAAAAAGGCAGAATGAAGATAGAAGTACACATGGGTTGGTTACCTTCTCTCAGACAAGAAGCTGAACATTAAGATCATATTCTGTCATCAGCATGGAAGGTGGGATGGAAGGTGGGGGATACAAACAGAGAAAGTGTCAGGGTGCAGGAGAGAAGAAGCAAGTTGTCCAGTCTTTCTCCCTTTAAAAAAAAAAAAAAAAAAAAGTAAAACCTAGCTCTGCCACCTGGGTGAGCAAATCTACATGAAACCTTGTAATGCATGCTCTTGCCTGCTTTCAAAGGAGGCCCAGTTACTATCCAGGAGTCTGATTAGACTTGCAAATTCTCCCCTCTGGAAGGATGCCCCCAGTAGGGAGAACTCTGGAGCAAGGGTCCTGTCCTTCCTGGACTCCTATAGAACAGGGCTGGCTGGGCAGTTAGGTTACTCTGGGAGGATAGTTCTTTTCCCATACCTTAGAAATGAATTTTTGTTATACAAGAATTGAGACGACAAGCCTAAGGAATCATTTAAAGAGGAAACCACACCCCCCATTTGTATAGTAACTTAGTTTTACCAGATACTTCTTCCATATACGTTATCTCTGATTCTCCATCCTGGCCGCACATTACAATCATCTGGGGAGCGCTCAGACACCAGGAACCTCACCAGAACAATACAGTTGAAATCACGGGGTGGGGTCAGTTGGGTGGGGCCCACTTCTTTCCCCCTTGATTTTAATGTGTAGTCAGGGGTGAGAATCCCTAAGAAATATAACTTCCTTCTCGTCACTGGGCTGCAGAAACCTTAAGGTGCACCTTCTCCTATACAATAAATGAGTTTCAGGAAAATTAAGTAGCAATTTTTTTATCTCCTTGCAGGTGAAGGGCCTTCACTAAAACCAAAAATAAATCTTGGGCTAGCAATCTGCCTTACAAAAACAAGTCAGTTACTAGTGGTTTCATTTGTAAAAAGGAATTATTCGAGCCCTTGGAATATTCCTATTTTTAAAATGTGATTAATGTGTTGATCCTGGTCTGGGGTTTCCCATGAATGACGAGCACTTATTCCTTGGTGAGCAAATGTCCCAACGGTGCAGCGCGTGGCCAGGATTGGAGGTCGTCCAGGCAGCCCCTGCCTCAGGGCGTTTTTTGGCAAGGAAGGGAACCCCACCATGCCCGGCGCTGCGCCGCGGCTGTAGCCCTGGGCCCATCTGTCCCTCGCCGGCAACGTTAGTCAGCACATTCCTGGGGCTCCCGCTGCTCTCGGCGCCACCTGCCGGGGGACGCCGGAAGCTCAGGAGGCTGTGGCTGTCGTGGGGCACCACGGGTTCTGACGCTACTGGAGGGGTGTCCATGGCAACCGATGCCGCGTGAGGATTTCCGCTGTTTGCTGCCAGCCAATAGCAGTGGGTGTGACGGAGGCAGCCTTCGGCATCTGAGCCCTCAGCATCCATTAGACGGGCTCGGGTCCCGTCGCTGCCGCAGTGGGCGGGGCTGACGCGGTGGCTGAGCTGTCTGGAGCGGTTTCTCTAGGGAAGGCAGGCGGGCCGGCGGGCGGGGCGCACTTGCGGTGTCGGCACAGGTGACTAATTGCTCGGTAGACCTGAAGCCAAAGAAGAAGTGCTGGTCGCAGCAGTGGCCTGAGCACTTTGCAAGTGGGATCCACCTGTTCCTTTTTCTGGCCGCACTTCGGTTAGTGCGGTCGGTGTTGTGAAGCTCGAGCTAGGCGGCCTCTGCAGGCGGATCCTCTAGCTGCCCTTGAGCCCTGCACATTAGTCGCTGGCCCTGTACAAGGAGCATGCTTTTGTTAGCTTTGCTGTTTTGAGTGCTTAAGGGAGCGATTAATGAAGGCAAGGGCTAAATAATACACGTTTCTGCAGTTGGGCAACCAGGGCTGCCTCTGCAGAGGTCCTTCCACCTTTATTCCCGTTCCCCTGCCCTCGAAAAAAATTAATTTTCTTTTGCATTGAACAGCCGTGATTTAGGAATGTTGGGAAAGGTGAACAAAGTAATACGTGAAACACAAATGTGAAAATAAAAAAATGCAAAATAATGTCGGAGGAGTTACCCATCAGTAATCATCACCCAGAGATAACCAACTAGACATTTTTGTGCATATCCTTGAACACACAGGCAGTTTTTTGTTTTGTTTTGAGACAGAGTTTCGCTCTTGTTGCCCAGGCTGGAGTGCAGTGGCGTGATCTTGGCTCACTGTAACCTCCGCCTCCTGGATTCAAGTGATCTCCTACCTCAGCCTCCTGAGTAGCTGGGATTACAGGCAGCATGCGCCACCACGCCCGGCAAATTTTTGTATTTTTAGTAGAGGCGGGGTTTCTCCTTGTTGGTCAGGCTGGTCTCGAACTCCCAACCTCAGGTGATCCGCCCACCTTGGCCTCCCAAAGTGCTGGGGATTAGAGGCGTGAGCCACAGCACCCTGCGGACACAGGCAGTTTTTGTTTTACAAAACTAGTATTATACTAGACCTTGTTTTCTGGTGCTTTTTCCACTCAGCAATATGTTATGAACTGTCAATAAATATTCTACCTCATGGTTTTTTGTGGGGTTTTGTTTTTATTTTTTTGAGACGGAGTCTTGCTCTATTGCCCAGGCTGGAGTGCAGTGGCACAATCTGGGCTCACTGCAAGCTCCACCTCCCAGGTTCAAGCGATTCTCCTGCCTCAGCCTCCCGAGTAGCTGGGATTACAGGCACCTGCCACCACACCCAGCTAATTTTTGTATTTTTAGCAGAGATGGGTTTTCGCCATGTTGGCCAGGCTGGTCTCGAACTCCTGACCTCAGGTGATCCTTCCACCTTGGCCTCCCAAAGTGCTGGGATTACAGGCACGAGCCACCGCGCCTGGCCACACTTTATGGGGTTTTTTTGTTTTTTTGAGACGGAGTCTTGTTCTGTCACCCAGGCTGCAGTGCAGTGGCGCGATCTGGGCTTACTGCAAGCTCCGCCTCCCGGGTTCACGCCATTCTCCTGCCTCAGCCTCGCCAGTAGCTGGGACTACAGGCACCTGCCGCCATGCCTGGCTAATTTTTGGTATTTTTAGTAGAGACGGGGTTTCACTGTTAGCCAGGATGGTCTCAATCTCCTGACCTCGTGATCCGCCCGCCTTGGCCTCCCAAAGTGCTGGAATTACAGGGGTGAGCCACCGCACCCGGCCTACTTTATGGTTTTTACTGGTGACTGTATTCCATCCCATCATTCATGACCACTTGGCTACTCTGACTAGCTAAGCTATAGTGATCACCACTGTGTGGCTATCTTCGCACACCTCTGTATCTTCAGGACAGTTCCCCTAAGGGGGATTGCTAACTACAAGGAATCCCTTCTATACCAGCAGGACAAGGTTCCTGCCTTCCAGTGGGGAATGGGCCATTTTGGGAAAGGATGAGTAGCTCCTTTATGCTGTGTGAGGCTTTTGATCCCCTCTGGGTTCCAGTCCTTATTTTAGTATTGTCCTTTTTCAACGTGTGTGTGTGTGTGTGTATGTGTGTGTGTGTGGGGTGTGACGGAGTTCTGCTCTTTCAACGTGTGTGTGGCGTGTGTGTGTGACGGAGTTCTGCTCTTTCAACGTGTGTGTGTGTGTGGTGTGTGTGTGTGTGACGGAGTTCTGCTCTTTTTGCCCAGGATGGAGTGCAATGGTGCAATCTCGGCTCACTGCAACCTCCTTCTCCTGGGTTCAAGCAATTCTCCTGCCTCAGCCCGAGTAACTGGGATTACAGGCATGTGCCACCACGCCTGGCTAATTTTGTATTTTTAGTAGAGACAGGGTTTCTCCATGTTGGTCAGGCTGGTCTCGAACCCTCGATCTCAGGTGATCCACCCGCCTCGGCCTCCCAAAGTGCTGGGATTACAGGCATGAGCCACCACACCCGGCCTCAACTTCTGTTTCTTTATCCGTGAGGTGGGGATGACAAATATTCCTTTCACCTACAGGTTGGTTATGAAAACTGGGAGAATATATGTGAAAACATGTTGCAAACTAACCCTCTGCAGGCAACATCATAGTTATTGTTGCAGCTGCTATTTGTTGTGAGTTCAGGGTCAGAGCCTGTTTCCTCATCCTGGGACTCCAGGTGCCCCAAGTAAAGACCAAGATGCCTCTGGCACAAGGTGTCCATGTTCACCCTGGCTTGTCTGTTCTCAGGAAGAATGCTGTGGAGCTGGAACTTGCCAAGTGCAGGATGGATATGATGTCTCTGAACAGCCAGTTGCTGGATGCCATTCAGCAGAAACTGAACCTCTCGCAGCAGCTGGAAGCTTGGCAGGTAAACTGGAGCCTGAGATCCAGGGCGAGAGGAGACTCCAGGAGGAATCTCTGAACCCAGGCAGAGTGTAAGGAGAGTTTGCCACTGGAGGGTTCCATGTGACTGGGTGAACAGCACATCCCAGTCTTCACCTGGCAAGATCCAGAGCTCATGTCCCCTAGTCCTTGGGGAAGAATGCTTAAGGATGCTTTTGAGCGACAGTGCCCAGGCTGCTGCTGTCTGGAGATGTAGTGATCTCCAGACTTGGAATGGGGCCCCCTTTCAGCTGGTTGTCTGGGCTTTAAGCTGGAAAGAAACAACTGGTTAACATGGAGGCCCAGGAAGCTCAGTATAATTGCATGAAAATTCACAGCGGGATGCGGCTCAGCAACCCTCCTGCAGCCAGCAGCTGCTACCCTTCCCCTTCTCAAGGGCCAGCCTCCATTTTCCAAAGAGCACTGTGCTGGCACAGGCCCTGGGGAAGAGGAGTCAGTGGGTCCCTCTCTAGACCCACTGTTTTCAGGGTCCAGCATGGCTCCCCCACTGGACTGGGCTGTGGCTGGCTGGGTTTTGTTCGTGAGGTTGAGGTAGCACAGTTTTAGGATATGGGTATAAACATTAATATTTCTCCCCAAGAATTCTCATCCAGACAGATGAAAAGCCGTCTGTGGCTTTACAAGGTAAGCCCCCCGTGGAGGGCAGGTTGTTGGTGACCATTCCTCCCAGGGCCCCATGGGGCTGGCAGCCAGAACACTGGCCCCACCGCAGGGTGCCCGTCCCTGGCTCCTTGGCTCCTGCATGGCAGCCAGCTGGCCGCGCCCTGGCTGACCGCTGCTCTCTCTCTTCTCTCCCGGCTACAGTTTGCTTCCTCAGGGCTTTTTACTATCTGGCTCCTTTGGTTTCTGATCTAGTGGCCTTTCTCAGTTCCCGTATCAACAGCTTTAGTTGTACACCCCTCCTGCCTTTGAGGTGAGCCTGAGCCCTACATCCCATCCACCGTCTCGCCCTGCCATTGCTGTGCTGCCCCGCCGCCTCCCCTCATGGCCCACTGTGTTCTGTGTGCTGGAGCCTGGCGTCATCTCTGTGCAGTGTGACATGCCCTCAAGTCCCAGCTCCCTCCTCCATCACAGTCGCGTCCAGTGAGCTCTTCAGCAGTGTGTGGCCCAGTGCTAACGGCTGGTGCCGTCTTCTCATAGATGGCTGTTCCATCCACTGAGGGACCAGCAGGCCTGGAATGATGAGCAGCGTGTGTCTGGGAAACTCTAAAGGGCGACCTGGACAGACCTGATTGCTTAAAGTTAAAAAAATGAAGTTTTCAGTGTGCCAAACAAAACATTGGCAGCTTTGAAAGGTTGGTTTTTGAAAGACCCTTTAGCATTCCTACATTGGATTTAGCGTAGATTTTACTGAGCACGTCGTAAGTGCAGGGCACTGTGCCAAGGATCATATACTAGACCCTTATAAGGAGGGACCGTGTGTTGGCAAATACCTGGCACAGTGCCAGCTCTGAGGGGCAAGTGGAAAAGGGGATGGAAGAGAAGGGAAGAAGACAAGGGCAAGGAGAAGACCAGGAATGAGCTGAGTCTGAAAGACAGGGTTGAGAGAATAGGGAGGCTGGAGAGCAGGCCCTGAGCCAGAGCGCGTGAGGGGTCCACACTCACTGCTACCCCACGATGACTCAGGAAGGCCCCTTTGTTTCATGCTGAAACCTGCAGAGATATTAGAATGACACCCATGGGTGGGAGGGAGGAGGAGTGGACAAGCTGCTCAGATGGAGGGGCCCAGCCAGCCCAACTTCATGCCCTCATCTCGTCAGTGGCTGCTCGGAACCAAAGAGGTCATCTGCCCTGGCCACAGGGAGCCTGCCCTGAACACAGGCCTCACCTGTCCTGTGCTCGGACACCACAGGCTGACTCACTCAGGGGTTTAGCCAGAAAAGCTTGGGGTCTTACCAGGATGCCGCAGAGCCTGCCAGGTTCAAGTCATGAAGGAATCGAGCAGACACATGTTACATTTACTGATGATGCTAATTACACAGGCTGCTCATATTTCTAAAGCAGGAGTTTTCAAACTTTGTTAGTGGCAGAACTTTTGTCAAATGGAGTCTTACCCAGAGTCAGAATCTAGCCACCAAAATGGGAAGGGAGTGGAGCTGCCCTGTCCACAGGCTTCTCTATGGGAAAGGCTGCTGTTCTGTAAAACATGGTGGGGCGGGCTGTGGGGAGGAAGGCATTTTCTGGACCACATGAACGAATTCGAGTTGGGGGACGGTCCTACCCCAGTGAGGAAGCTGAAAGAAATGGGCCTGATTTGGTGCAGGACAGCCCCTGAAGACCGTGAGGCCCCTGGCCTCTGCCGCAGATGGGAGCCTCAGCAGCAGGGTCTAGGGCAGCACCCAGGGCATCCTTGCCACGTGAGGCTGCCGTTGGTGCCTGGGCATCAGTAGCTCAGGCTGGAATAATTGGAAAGGAAAAGGCAGGAGGAGCCCCTGAGGCCAGGCCATTGGGCTGGGGAGCTGTTAAGCTGAGGTGGCCCTAGGGCCTGCCGGGGCTGGGGGTGGCAAGCCAAACCGGAGGCACCAGCCAGGCCCACAGGACACAGGAGGCAGAGCCGTGAGGCCTGGTCAGAGCAGGTGGAGTGCTAGTGTGGAGACTGCAGGGAGAGACCACCCGAGCCATCAGCTGAGGACTGTGGCGGCCCAGCAGGAGTAACACTGTTGAGGAGAACCCAGCCCAAGCCTGAGGAGGCTGGAGGTGCCATACGGCTCCTGCGTGCGCCTGGTGTCTTGCCCACGCTCACCGCTTTCTTGGTCAGGGCAGTCCCGGCTGCAGCCTCTCACTCATCACATTCTCATCTCTCATCTGTCTGATGTTCCCACCTCCCTGTCCAGCCCCAGGGTTAGGTGAGAGCAGCTACTCAGTCCTGGCCACTGTCCCCTCCCCTCTGCAGGATGACATGCACAGGGTCATTGACCGGCAGCTGATGGACACGCACCTGAAAGAACGGAGCCAGCCGGCTGCTGCCCTCTGCAGGGGCCACAGCGCTGGGCGGGGGGATGAGCCCAGCATCGCTGAAGGCAAACGACTCTTCTCATTCTTCAGGAAAATTTAAGTTGGGAGGAGTCAGGCCACCAAAGATGGGTGGACTGGAGGCAGCTGGAAAGGCGGTGCAGGCAAGGCCTCCCCTGCAGCTTGCACCTCAGCAGCTGCCCTGCCCCTCATGCTAGGGCCCCATGGGTCCGGGAGGGCCTGCTCCCTTTCGTCGGTGGGGATGGAGACCTAGAGGTGGGGGCCTGCCTTGGCCACTGAAGGCTTCCCTTGGCCCACCGCCTGGCCAAGCCCACGCCTGGGCTTCTCCAGGACCACGTGCTTGAGCAGGGTTAGGCCACCTCCCAGAGGGGCCCCTTGGTGTTGGGCTTTGCAGCTCACACCCAACAGATCGCAGCCCACCCCCAGGCACTGCTGCCTCCTTGATTTTAGCAAATGGGGAACAGAAGGAATGGAGGCCCTTCTCTGCATGCCTCAGGAGGCCTGAGCCCCAGGGGCCTAGACCTGTGGGGGCAGCGGGCCAGGCCTGAGCCTCCATTCCTTCCCCAGCCCCTGGCCCAGGGTCAAAGGAGAGATGGCAGCCCCTCCCCCGCATGCATGCACCTCAGCTGGCAGGAGGCCAAGCCTCTGGCCGCAGGGTCTAAGAGCCGGGGCTTACCCAAGCTCAGCTGAGGCCACCCGAGCCCCAGGGAGGAAGAAGGCCCTGTCCCCCTGTCGCCACTGCTCTCCCTCCCAGCCTTCAGTCTCTGCCCCTTAGCAGGGCCTGGCCAGGCAGAGTGTTATCACCAGTCATCTGCAGGCTTTAGCCATCCAGCCCTTTCCCCTGCTCAGGGCTGGGGTTGGACGGGGTCTCCTCCTCCCACAGCTCCCTCCTCCACCCCTCACATACATACATAATTTCTTGGCCTAGCCAAACAAGTCCAGGCCACTGAATGGCACCAGAGGGGTCTGTGGTCAGCCACCCCACCTTGAGGGCAGCACAGGCACCACGGGGTGGAGGGGAGGGGGAGGCTGCCGGAAGCCTCCAGATGCTGCCTGCCTGCCTGCAGAAGCCTGCAGTGGCTGCTGCTCCTGCCTCTGCAGCCGCCCCTCCTCCTCCACCCAGGCCCCAACTCAGAGGCTCCGCGGCCCGGCCAGCCCTCAGCTGCTCACAACCGATTCAGTCTCCCTCCCTCCCTCACGTGGGGAAAGCACAGCAGGGATGCGCGGCAAGAATGTACCTGTAGATGTGTACATACCACAGTGCTGTAATTTTGTATGTAGCAATCATGTAAATACATGTATGGATTTTATAATATACATATATAAAAATCTATAAAGGCATATTTTTAGAAAAACAGCACACCACTGCTTCTTTTGAAAATAGTCTGAATAAGAATAAAATGAATTTCTACAGAGCTTCCTGCCTCAGTCTCTGGGTATTTGCGGGGGGCGGGTTTGGTCTGAATGCAGCTGACATGTCAGACTCACCACTGGCTGCTGCTGGAGAGGTAGCAATAGTGGTTCCCCTGCACCCGGGCCACCTCAGATGCTGGTACTTACTTAACCAAGGGATTTGGCCAGGAAGGGCATCCTCCCCTGCCCCTCCCGCCTGGCACTGCCCCCTGCCAGTGCTGCAGCGTGCCATCCGCAAGGCAGGCCTGCCAACGCTGCTTCCCAGGCCAGCAGGGCCCTAAAGCTTGGCAGAAACTTCAAGCCAGAAAGAAACCACGCCAGGCAAAGGCTTCCACTGCATCCTTCCAGGCATGTGGAGGATAAACACGGAGCTTCCCCTGGCATCTTACCACATGTGCTCCCAGTCCAACTAGGGGGAGACTCAACCCTGGCCCACCTGTTCATGGAGAAAATGGACCTGGCTTCTGGAAGTGTCCCAAGGGCCTCGACAGGCTCCTGTGCAAGACTTAGGCCAAGAACAGGGAAGAGCAGGACACGGTGGGTGGGAAGAAGCCACGGCCACTCAGCACATCTCTGGAGGGAGAGCAAACAGACCCTGGAAGAAAATTTGGCAGCTTGAACCTTTATTTTTAGTATTTTTTTAAAAAGCATAATTAGAAACTTTCAATACAGAAATACTCCTAGCAAACCATTGAAAAGTGGTGTTTGTTTGACAGGAATTTCACATCAGGTCCACTAGGACGTCGGTCCAGCCCTGAGTCCCCACCCCCACCCCATAACCCCCATTCATGCGTGTAACAGTGGGACAGGCACACTGTCATGACCAAAATCACCCCAATACCTGGGGCTGATGTCCAGCTGCCAGAAGCCATGGGGGCTTCTAGCCTGGGCTGGAAGCCCCCAGGAACCCCCCTCTTATTGCTTGAATTTGCAAGCACACCCTCGCTGGCCTCGCCTGATCGCTCAGAGGCCAGCATGCCCCCCGCCCACCGGCACAGGAGCCCCAGGCACCGTGCATCCTCAGGGCCCGTGGCCAACCAGGACAGTCCCAAGGACGGAGACCCCGCTTCTGCTCCTGCCGCCCCCGCCCCCGACCAGATGAGGCTGCCTGCTGGTCAGCCCTGCAGCCCCCTCCACAGCACCCTCCTTCCCAGGCCCATGGGGCTCCCCCACCCCATCCCGTGGCTCCAAAGTGAAGGCCTGTCCCAGAATCACCAGCTTTTGGCAGTTTGGGCAAGTGGAGAGTCGGTGAGAAGAAACCCCCAGTTTTTATTGATTAAAAACCCATCCACAGTGCTAACATGGAAACTGCAGTGTGATCTGTGATGTGATTGTCCAATCAGGGCTCTCCCTGGAAATCGCCTAGGAAAGGAAATCTAAGGAAACACATCCTGGTGTTAAACTCGGTTCTTCCCAGGTCACTTGATCCCTGTAGTGGGAGGGGAATGAGGTGTCCGGGCTGGGGGTCGGGGAGCAGTCATCAAGTGCAGATGACCCTGGTTGTTCTCCAGGGCACTGGGGCGTGTCAAAACTGGCCGCCCCAGCCATTCCTTCCCACCCGCCAGGAAATCCTCTTGCTACCTTTGTCCTGACAAAGGTTAGGACAGTGACCAGGGCCTGTCCATGGTCCCCACCCAGAGGCCCCAGGCATGCACTCCCCACAGTGCCCGAGGCTGCAGTGTAGACTCCTGACCTCCAGTGGGAGGCAACTCGGACAAGGGTGGGAGGCCCCTTCTCCGCTCCCACCAAGAAAGCCCAAGAGTCCAGCCCCACAATGGCAGGAAGCCATTCATTTTTTTCTAAAAACAGTGGACACAAGTGGGGTGGCCTCAACTTTTGCTGCTGTGCCAATCAAACCTCAGGGAAAGAAAATAATTGTGAGGAATTTAATTCACTTGATTTGGCTTCATTTTCTTGATCTGTTAAAATAATCCTCCCATAGCCCCCCTGCCAGCCCCATCTCTGCACGAACCTACCCCGACCTTTCTGTTGGAACTGAAACCTGTTGGTGTAAATGAGAAGCCATGGCTGCCCTGGGTTTGGAGCTCAGAGGCATCTAGAAGGCAGGACAAGAAATCTGTTGGCCAAAGGGCAAGACCTGCCACCTCTGTGGAACTGCAGGGCCTGCCTTGAGACCAGGTTCCCCAGCTCCCAGAATGGCTGTGGGGACAGGACAACGGGGAGGGAAGGGAGCTGGCACAGGCCCCGGAGAAGGGGCAAGACCCTGTGCAGCGGGGACAGAGGCTGACAACCTGTCGGAGAGAATGAGCAACGCGGAGCCCACTCCACTGGCACGGGCTGGCCGCAGACGCAGCTAGAACGTGCCGCTGTCTCCTCAGGACGCTGCTTGCAGTAAGATGGGCTGGGGAGGGGCGCGGGGAGGGTCTGTTGCAGCAGGCTGGCATCAAGAAGGCAAAAGCCAGAGCAGGACGTGGTGTGCGGCCGGGTAGAGCAATATACACTATGTACAGACTCTGCGAATCAGTCCGCTCGGCGGGCAGCGTCCTCGCCAGGTCCAGGCGCCTTGGCCGGGGAGGAGGGGGCACCAGTAGGGAAGGGCGGGCTGGTCCAACACCTTCTTGGCACTCGAGGAGGGCGGGGGAGGAAGTGCCGATGGCACCTCCCGATACAAAAACATGGAGAGAATTCTTTAAATAACGGCACGAAACTGAGACTGTCCCCCGAGGAACCTCCGTGGGCCTCGGGCTGGGGGAGGGACCGCAGTGCAGTCTCTGCAGTGGACTGGGTGCCATTAGCAGCAGCGTTTCTTTCGTTTACTGTTCTTCGTGAGCTTCACCACATCGTTCTGTTGTTGCTGCTGCTGTTTTGCCAGGTTGTCTTTCTTTGCTCGGAGGACCAGCTCCGTGATGCAGTTGAACATCTGTGGAGAGGAAAGAGGAAGGGCCCGCCTCAGACCTGGCCAGGAGGCCCCTGCTGGCCTGCACGGCTGCCTCCCCGCCTTCCGGGGCCCAGCTCTTTCTACCTGTGCATTTTTGGTATGTATGTCTTCAAAGCCTATTCTAGAAGGAGGTGGTGAATTATTTTATTTAAAGGTCAAAAAGGAACAACATTGCTAAAACCCCACCTCTACAAAAAACACAAAAATTAGCCGGGAGTGGTGGTGCACACCTGTAGTCCCAGCTACTTGAGAAGCTAAGGTGGGAGGATTACTTGAGCCCAGGAGATCGAGACTACAGTGGGCTGTGAACACACCACTGCACTCCAGCCTGGATGACAGAGTTAGACCCTGACTCAACAAATAAATAAGTCTGAAAAAAGGAACACCATCAGAGGCCCATGAGCTGTGTGGACTTGGGGAAGTCAATCTCACAGGGGTTTTCCAGTCCTTCTTTTAGAGAGACCAACCCCTTTCCTTCAGCTGGAATCTTTTTTTTTTTTTTTTTTTTGTGAGATGGAGTCTCGCTCTGTCGCCCAGGCTGGAGTGCAGTGGCGTGATCTCAGCTCACTGCAAACTCTGCCTCCCTGGTTCACACCATTCTCCTGCCTCAGCCTCCCGAGTAGCTGGGACTACAGGCGCCCACCACCACGCCCGGCTAATTTTTTTGTATTTTTAGTAGAGACAGGGTTCCACCATGTTAGCCAGGATGGTCTCGATCTCCTGACCTCGTGATCCGCCCGCCTCGGCCTCCCAAAGCACTGAGATTACAGGCGTGAGCCGGCGCGCCCGGCCCAGCTGGAATCTTATGACATGACAGATGAAAGTGCCCCTGCTGTTCACGGACATAGGTGACCCGGGGTCTGCCTGCTCCACGCCACTTCATGGCATGTGGGGCCCAGAGAGGTGAAGTCACCGCCCAAGGTCATACCAGCCTTGCCCACAGGCCCAGGTGGATGGGCCAGCATCAGGACACCAGCCTGACTTACAAAGGAGCCTGTGCCCGCTGCTGTGTGGCCCCTGTGCCCTGAAGCAGTGGGATCCTCGACTTCCACAGGCCTCTGGGCTCCACACAGCACAAGGCGGCCAATGAGGCAGAGGACTGGAGTGGAAACTGTGCTTG
The DNA here is from genome assembly GCF_000001405.40 of Homo sapiens. Lineage (NCBI taxonomy): Eukaryota > Metazoa > Chordata > Mammalia > Primates > Hominidae > Homo > Homo sapiens. The sequence continues at coordinate 120,098,512 of NC_000012.12, forward strand.
GCTTTGGTGTGGGACAGAGGTTTACTCAGTCTCTTACTAGCCAGGTGGTGGTCCTTGAGTTACTTCAACACTTGGAGCCTCAGTTTCCCTATTTGAAATGTGGGTATAATTGTACCTACCTCAGAGGACTGTTGAACTATGAACTAAGATCGTTAAAGGGCCTGGCACATAGTAGGCACTCAATAAATGGCAGTTACTATGACATTTTCTGTTGGTCATTTAGATGCCTCAAGCAGGCCAGCAGCATGGAGAAGGCGGCCACGGGTGTGTGGCAGAGCCACAGTGGCCCAGGGCCTCACCTCTTCCACGTTGACATTCTCCTTGGCGCTGGTCTCGAACAACTGGATGCCCATCTGCCCGGCGAATTTGTAGGCATCTTCCGTCTCCACCACCTTCCGCTCAGGGTCGTCATTCTTATTACCCACTTCAAACGAAGGCAGAGTCAGCGCAGCCCTGAGGGGCGCAGCCGGCTGCCTCTCTCCCACCCAACCCCGACCCGGCCCTGAGTGCAGCCTCACCTAATATTCGGCACACATCATCACAGTTCTGGTTGATTTCGTGAAGCCACCGCTTGACGTTGACAAAGGACTCGGCACTGGTGACGTCGTAAACCACAATGACCCCGTGGGTCCCCCGATAATACCTGCAGGGCCAGAGTGTGCGGCAGCATGTCAACCCCGACAGGAGTCACCCCCTTGCCGGGACCCACCTGCCCACGTCAGGACACTGACCCGGAAAAGGTGAGGGTGGCCCTGGAGCCTGGGCTCTCACTCAGCCTCGGCAGATGCCCCCGAGCCACAACAGGCCAGCAGGAGAGGCTACTGCGGCAGCACTGACTCCCCCTGCCCGCCCGGGGCACCAACAGGGCGGGAGGGCCAGCCCCTGGGCAGCAGAGCAGGTCTGAGGAGTCACCTCCTGCTGTTCAGAGTCTGCTGCAGGCTTGAAACATCTTTGAAGTTCTTGCTTTATTTTGGGAAATCAGGCAGTTTTTGTATTTGACATCATGTTATCACTGTCTTTGAACATTCAAAAAAATATTTGCTCCTCAAACCTGTTTTAGAGAACCTTTCCAAGAAGCCACACCATCATGACGCCCTGGCAAAGTCTGTGCCCCTCCCCTGGGGCAGGTAGGCACCTCCCTTCCTGCTACTCTTGGCTCATCTGTGCAGGTGGCAGGAAAAGCATGGAAGCCACACAAGCATCCAGGGATGGCTGGGGAGAGGGCGCCCAGCAAAGCCATCACCCCAAACATGCAGAGCCCAGGGCCAGCCAGGAAGGCCAGAAGGAAGGGGAGGCCCAACTCTCCTCTCCAGACCCCATGTCCCCATTCATCCCAGTGGCACAGGACGACATCAATCCCCGGAGGAGGAGGGGGACCACAGCCTCCGCTTCCCCGAGAGCTGTCGAAGAGCCGGAGGCCAGGCGGCAGCCCCGCCCCACACTGTGCAATCAGCCAGAGCTGTCCCTCTGTCCCCTCTCCCCAAAGCCGCAGGGACCTCCACCCCAGGGCTCCTCAGGACAGCACACAGACAAACCATGAGTGGACAGGCCGCTTCCTCCCGGCTTTCTGGCTGCCACCTGCCCCAGCCCTAATTACCTCCACCCCCATGAGGTTCATGGGGACAGCCCAAGCCCCAGTTCAGGAACAGCCCAAGTCAGCGCAGGCTGAGCAAGAATGGGGCAGCCAGGCTGACTTGTGGCTGCAGCTCCATTCCTGTCCACCTGCCCATCAGCTCTCTGGCCAATGCTTCACATCTGAGGCCCGATCTAAGGACAAAGACCAACCCTGGCTCCATCTCTGAAAGGCTGGCCCTTGGGAAGGTGCCTGCATTCACCCTGCCACACCTTGCAGCTTCAACAGTTATAGCACACAGGTGGCTAGTCCTTAACTGGGGTGGTCATGAGGAAGAAAGGAGCTAAGCATTACCCCAAGGCGGGGGAGCAGTAAACAGTCAGTATGCGTTCTTCAGCATCATCAATGTGCCTTCAAGGACAATCTGTGGTCCCAGACAGAGGTGGTGGAAGGAAACCAACAGGCAGCTTAGGGGCAGCCCTGAGCATCTTCCCTGATGCTGCAGAGCCAGAGCTCCTGCCCAGCCCTGGGACAAAGCCCAACCTGCCCCTGCCACCGCCCCTGCCCCATCCTTGCTCCATCCTCAACACGACCGCTGGGATCTCTTCCCAGGGCTTCATTCTGCCCACAGCTTTGCTTCCAGGGCAGCGTCGCTCCTTGGCTTCGGGGTAGCTGTGACGATCAAGCTCTCTTGGCACTGGGCCCAAGAACTAGCTCTGGCCTTGGCAGCTGCTGCTGAGAGCGCCGGGTCAGCACATGGCATGGTGTGTCAGACGCCTTCCAGAGCGAGGGCGCGCCGGAGCCACAGGAACAGGCGACTGTCCCCTGCCAGCAGAGGAAGCCCAAGGAGCGGATGGCTCTGCAGACTCTCCTTTGCTGAAGATGATCAGAGATGCCAAGAAACGCCTGCAGCCATGGCCCCGGCGCACAGCCCCCGCGGCTCCCTGGGCGCCTCTGCCTCATCCGGGGCCCAGGAAAGGGGCTTTATCTGAGAGCAGAGAATTTGTCTGGGGATGAAGTCAGGGGCTCAGAGCTCTGGCTAGGAGGAACCGGAGCACCGACGTTTCCCATGGCCACCAGGAATCACCTTCACTCACAGGGACTCTGCTCTAGGCCAGGCACAGAGCTGGGGGCTTGGTATCCATTACCTTATTAATGTCTGCAGCCACCTGATCCAGCAGACCTCAGGATGGCCATGTGACCAGCAAGGACGTGAGGCTGAGTGCAGCGGCCAGCTGGAAGTCCTGGCGCCCAGGGCTGACTCCCAGGCCCAACGCCAGGGCCTTGCCTTCCTTGTCACTTCTCCCCTCACCTCCATCCCACCCGCACCTCTCAGGGCCGGCAAACCTCAGCTTCTGAGAGCAAGAACCCGAGAAGGGGTGACCACAAGGCTTTTTCTCGCCAGGCTAACAGGATGCAGTTTCAGTTTCTCTCTGAACGCCCTGCATCGGAAAAAAGTCACGCTACTGCATCCTGACTGCCCTATTCCTGAAAACTCCTCACCTCCCCAAAACTCCTTCCTTCTTTGCCAGTGACCATCAAAGGGCGTCGAGACTTCCAGTGGCCCCTCAGGGCGCCCTGCTGGGCCTCCTGCCTCATGAGGGCCAGAGCGGGACTCTAAGATGGAGCCACCTGTCTGCTTCCCCAGACACGTGGGACGGCAGCAGGGGCCCAGCCGCTGCCCACAGGCCGCCCCTTCCCAAGCCCCTGGGGAAAAACCCATGTTGCTCCCAGGAAGCTGAGTGACTCCTCCCCGCCTCCCCACGGAATGGAGGAACCAGTTCACCTTCTTCCCGCTCTGCCCAGCCCAGAAAGCAGCTGACTGCATGATGGCAGGGAGGGGCTGTGGCTCCTCCTGCTGAAAGAGCCTCGGACCCCCCAGGCCCCACTGCCCTGCCCAGGAGTTCATTCCTCATGGCCACGGGCCTCTGAACCTCTGCCACCCTGAACCTCCGCCTGGTTTTAAGGCACAGGACGGGGCAGGAAGGCAGGGGCGCCACCTGCCCAGTCGATGCAGGGCCTCGGCAGACTCAGGGCCAACCCTGAGTGCCCCCAACCTCTGCCCCACTGAGTTAGGAGGCTTCATCCTCCCTGGGCCTGTTTTCCTGTCCATAAAATGGAGATAGTCACAGGTCTCTCTACCGGGATTAACCAAAATAAAGCAGCTGAAATCCTAGCGACAGGACCAACCCAGAGCAAGGATTCATGAGGTCAGCGCCCAGACCAGCCAACGGCATGAGGGCTTGCCTCGCCTGGGCCTGCAGCCCCAGGCTGCCCAAAGCACTGATGCCAGCCCTGCCCCAGTGTCCTCCGCAGATTCTCACTGGCAGCTGCCAAGACATGCAGGCCACAGAGCCCTCGCTCACAGGGCTCATCAACGGTCACCACACAGCACCACACCAGGGCGACCCCGGGACTGGGAGCTCCCAGGGATTCCGGGCATCACGGGCCACAGCACAAATGTGCTCAGCATAGGGTGAACCCAGTGACAAGCCCTCCGCCTTGGCTCCAGCCCCAGGAGCTGCTCGCCCAGCACACCTGTCCCTCTCCAGCAGCCCTGCTCTCCCCCATACTCCCAGCCATCCATGGGGGCGCTGCACCCCACACTTCCCACCCTCGGGAGATGCCGAGGGGCCCGGGGGCAGGGGCAGCCAGCCTGGGGAGTGCCGGGCTTTCATGCTGTGGGAAGGAAGGGGGCCGCTGGCTGGGACTTCCTCATTCGCCTTCCTGAGGTCACTTCCAGAGGAGCTGCTCGAGAGAGCCAAGGAGGTGCCCGTGGAGCCAGACAGCCGCCCCTCACTCTGCACAGGCCACTGTGTGGAGCACAGGCTTGGCCGCTGGGAGGGACCCCTCCAGGGCGCCCTCTGTCAAATGGGATGACAGCAGCACCAAGCACACAGAGCTGCCAGACACCACACCCCGGCACGCACGTTGACGCCTGCAGCAGAGCACCTGGCACCCTCCACATGGAAGCCAATCCCAGAGGCAGGCCCTCCAGGAAACGAGCGCAGAGAGCTTCGGCAACTTGCCTAAGGACACACAGCCCAACAGCTCCAAATCGGCCCCTTCAGACCCTGCTCTTTCCTAAAACCTGCTCCACTAACAACCCAATAACCAGGAGCCGCTCCGAAGGACACTGCCCATCTGCGCAGGAGCCCAGCTTCCCCCCGGCCTGCAGCTCAGCCACAAAGGTGGGCAACCGGTGGGCGGCCGGATTTCCCAGGAACAGCTTTAAGGGTAGGGAAGGGCCTGCTGACATGCACCGTGTTCGTCTCTAGACAGCGTCACTTCCAAGGCATCAGTGCAGGTGACGGGAGCCTGCACAGGCCAACTCCAGCTGCCATAACTGACACCTACCAAGAGGAATTGTCAGCGACTAAGTCCTGGGTGGGCAAGGCACTTCGCAACCCCCTAGCGAGGCAAATGCTATTCTGCTCTCTCTGTAAGGTGACGGCACAGTGGGCCGGAGGGTCGGCTGACTCTCCAAGGAGATAGAACATGGCCACTGTCCGGCCAGACTCCAGCCAGGGTGCTCAGCGACTCCCCCACAGCACCCCCCTCACATCTTCAGGACCAGGAAGGGTGCAGCCAAACGCCACCTACTACAGCCAACAACAGGCTCACTTCCCGACAGCCTCAGGGACCCACCAGTGACATTTCCACCATGACCAGGCACCGGTCGCTCAACTGTGTCCACAGGTCAGTGGCGCGGGTTGGGTGGGAGTGGGCGTGTGGACTCACGTGGAGGTGATGGTGCGGAAGCGCTCCTGCCCCGCTGTGTCCCAGATCTGCAGCTTCACCTTCTCCCCGTTGATCTCCACGGTCCGGATCTTGAAATCCACTCCGATCGTGGTGATGTAGCTGCCTGCACACACAGGGCAGTTAACGAGGCCCAGCGCGGTATCTTCCCAGGCCCTGAGCCCCACGCTGCACACAACACACCCCCAGGCTCCCCCACCCTCCCGACTCATTACATGTGCCTGGTACATTCTAGGTCCCAGGGACACAGCCCTGAACATCCTTGTTCACAAGGCCCCTCCACACACAAGTGAAGGAGGGAGACAGGATGCAAGCAAACAAACAAAGAGGACAATTTCCGAGAGTGAAAAGTGACACATAGGAAATAACACGGGATGGGACTGGCGGGAGTGGGACAGGCTCCTTTAGAGTGGCTAGATGGGGACACACCAGCTATGTCTGAGAATGGTAGACCTACGGGCACTCTGGGTTTTTCTTTTCTATTCAAGTCAAAAAAAATTTAGGGCCCTCAAAATTCACTTCCAAACACACAAATAGGTCATGAGCTGCAGTCTGAAAGCCACTGCTCCAGGCAGGGGAGACAGTAGCAAAAACAGCCGTGAGTGGGGGCGGTCACATGAGGTCAAGCCTGCCGCCCAAGGCAGGCAGAAAGTGGCGAGGCCAGATCTTGGACCTGTGTGCCACTTCCAAGAACGTGGACTTTCTCTCGTGTGTGCTGGGGAGGCACCAAAGGGTTTTAATCAGTGGCATGAGCTGCTGCATTTTAAATAGCTCTCTTGCAGCATCTGTGGGAAAAATGGATTTTTTTTGGTGGGGGGGGGACAGCGTCTCATTCTGTCGCCCAGGCTGGAGTGAAGTGGGATTGCACCCTTGACCTTCCCCCAGGGTCTGATAATCCTCCCACCTCAGCCTCCTGAGTAGCTGGGACTACAGGCATGCGCCACCACGCCCGGCTAATTTTTGTGTTTTTAGTACAGACGGGGTTTCACCATGTTGCCCAGGCTGGTCTCAAACTCCTGACCTCAAGTGATCCGCCTGCCTCAGCCTCCCAAAGTGCTGGGATTACAGGCACAAGCCACCGTGCCCGGCCTGAAAGATGGATTTGAGGAGAATTTCTAGCCGGTGTAATTGCCCAGTCCAGCTTTCCAAAGCCTGACACTAGGAAGAGCACAGCTTCTCACTCCATTTGGGGCTTATGCTATAACAGTGCAGGAGACACCACACACACACACAATTATGTGAAATGTGGCAAGGGCGTAGGAAAGGTCAAATTCCAAGGTGGGGTGGGGAACAAGGCAGGCTTCAGGGAGGACGTCACATCTGGGCCTAGCTTGAAAGAACAGGTAAGACTTCAAAGGTTGAGATTAGGTAGGGGAACGACATCCCACTCAAAAGCAAATAGCTGAGGATGATACGCAACCAGAACACATTCAGAAAAGCGGCCAGCACCCGGGGTCTTCCAGCCAGGGGAACGCCAAGGAGTGCAGCCCACTGCCTAGCACAGTTAGGCTCCCCAGAAACAGCTGGTGGCTAACGAACCAAGCAAGCCAAAGAACAAAAGAATGACCAGGGGGTAGGAGGAAGCCAGAAAGGCGAACTGAAAACAGACTACGAGCGCAGTGGTTCTCAGCCGGGATGACTGTCCCTCCAAAGGACACTCAGCAATGTCTGGAGGCATTTTTGGTTGTCACAGCAGGGGGAGGGAAGTGTTGCTGGCATTTAGTGGGTGGAGGCCAGGGATGCTGCTCAACATCCTTCGACACGCAGGATAGCCCCACAACAAAAATCACAGGGCCCAGACCCGGCGCGCTGGCTCACGCCTGTAATCCCAGCACTCTGGGAGGCCGAGGTGGGCAGATCACGAGGTCAGGAGATCAAGACCATCCTGGCTCACATGGTAAAACCCCGTCTCTACTAAAAATACAAAAAATTAGCCAGGCGTGGTGGCGGGCACCTGTGGTCCCAGCTACTTGGGAGGCAGGAGAATGGCGTGAACCCGGGAGGCGGAGCTTGCAGTGAGCCAAGATCACACCACCGCACTCCAGCCTGGGCGACAGAGCGAGACTCCGTCTCAAAAAAAAAAAAAAAAAAAAAAAATCACAGGGCCCAAAGGGTCAACAGTGTCCAAGTGAAGAAATCTTACTGTAAACTCTGTGCAGGTGAGAGGGGCCACTGAGGTTTTTAAACAGAGAAAAGACCCTACCAGACACACACATGAGCGGTTCAGGGTGGGTAGGGGTTGCCGTAATGCTTCCAGGTAGAACCAACAGTAAACTGAGATGCTGGTCGTAGAAATGGAAAGGTGGGAAGAGATTGCAACAACAAGCCCTCCAAGCACTGAACACAGATTGGGATGGGGAGGGAGGAGGCCATTAAGGAGGAAGAGGAACATTTTTTAGCATAATTAGAGGCTGTTAATCAGCTATCATTCTTAAACAGAAGGTTAACAGCCAGTCGCAACAAATAGCTGGTATTTATTGAGCAATTACTTAGTCCCAGGCACTGCAACCTGCACTATCTCAGGTCATCCTATAACAACCCCATGGGGAAAGGACCATTATGATTTCTACTTTACACATGAACTGAGGCTTCTATTTTACAAATGAACTGGCTAAGGTCACACAGAGCAGCCATCTCTTTCTAACACCACACCACTAGTGAGATTGCAGGGACAGTGTCAAGGAAACAAAGGGGGCAAAACCCACTTCTCCACCAAGAGACATCAGCTATGGAATCACTTTCTTTTTCTTTTTTTTTTTTTTTTTTTGAGACGGAGTCTCACTCTGTCGCCAGGCTGGAGTGCTGTGACAAGATCTCGGCTCACTGCAACCAACTCCCTGGTTCAAGCGATTCTCCTGCCTCAGCCTCCTGAGTAGCCGGGATTACAGGCACATGCCGCCACACCCAACTCATTTTTTTATTTTTAGTAGAGACAGAGTTTCACCATATTGGCCAGGATGGTCTCAATCTCCTGACCTCATGATCCACGCGCCTCGGCCTCCCAAAGTGCTAGGATTACAGGCGTGAGCCACCGCGCCTGGCCAACGGAATCACTTTCTAAAGGCAGCCCAGCCATGTCAGAGGGAATTCTCCACAAGATAATCAGAGATGTCAACCCCACCCAAAGCATCTGTAATGAACCTGATTTTTTTTGTTGTTTTTTGAGATGGAGTCTCGCTCTGTCGTTCAGGCTGGAGTGCAGTGGTGCCATCTCAGCTCACTGCAACCTCCCTCTCCCGGATTCAAGCAACTCTCCTGCCTCAGCCTCCCCAGTCGCTAGGATTATAGGTATGCACCACCACGCCCAGCTAATTTTTGTATTTTTAGTAGAGACGGGGTTTCACCATGTTGGTCAGGCTGGTCTCGAACTCCTGACCTCATGATCCACCCGCCTCGGCCTCCCAAAGTGCTGGGATTACAGGTGTGAGCCACCGCACCCGGCTGAACCTGATGTATTTAACAAACAAAAATGTGTTCCATCTTACCAGTGATTAGGGAAATACAAATGTAAACAAGTTAGCCCTTTTTGCCTATCAGCTCAGCAAGAATGAAGACAGCTACTAAGATCCAGCACTGACCAGGGTTGACAAGGGGCACTTTCCACCCTTCAGTGGGACTGGATTAAATGACTCCAGCTTCTTTGAAAAGCAGGTTGGCAGTACCTATGAAAATTCTCAGTGCATACACCCTGTAAGCCAGTAACCCCACTTCTACAGAAACACGTGCACAAGAATAAGTATCAGCTGGGCGCAGTGGCTCACGCCTGTAATCCCAGCACTTTGGAAGGCCAAGGTGGGTGGATCACCTGAGGTCAGACGTTCGAGACCAGCCTGACCAACATGGTGAAACCCCATCTCTATTAAAAATATAAAAATTAGTCGGGCGTGGTGGCAGGTGCCTATAGTCCCAACTACTTGGGAGGTTGAGACAGGAGAATTGCTTGAACCCAGGAGGCAGAGGTTGCAGTGAGCCGAAATCGCGCCACTGCACTCCAGCCTGGGTGACAGAGCAAGACTCCATCTCAAAAAAAAAAAAAAAAAAAAAAAAAGAATAAATATCGCCTATATCCCAAGTAGCTAAGCATCGCTGAAAACACAACCAGAAGTCAGGCACGATGTAACAGCAGCGTCAGTGCACCATGTGGTGCCTTCAAGCACAGAAAGCCCACCGCACTCAGATGAACCACAAAGGCCTGCATGTGGAGCGCAGAAAGAAATCAGAAAGACACACGCTGACCACAGGCTGCCAGGGAGGCATAGGGGGCAGGAGCAGGGACTGTGTCCCGGGTGGCACCATAGACGCTGTTATGGGAACCTTCCTGTTTGGACCATGGGTGGGAAAATGATGGGCCAGCCAAAGGGTTTTCGTGAGCAGGTGCATTAGACAGACCACAGAGGCTTCTGACAGAAGCGCCACAAGGTCCTAAGCCCCACTCCATCTTCTTCCCTCCTCTGGCAACCAGAATGAGACAGTTCCCAACATCAGGCAGAGGCAACTCTGTTTGGTGCCAGGGAGGGGATGTCAACAAACAAACAAAAACGACACCCCAGCAGCACTGCAGGGGAGGACTCACCTGAGAAAGTGTTGTCTGCAAAACGCAACAGTAAACTGCTCTTGCCCACACCTGCAAGAGAGAAAGCACTGCGATGAGGGGGGCAGGTGGGTCCCCTCCCCGCAGCCCCAGCCCTTCTTCCGGGAGAGGATGCCTCAGTCCCAACTCTTAAGAAGCTCGGTGGGACCCAGCTCACTTCTCAATGCTCTTTCCACCTCCCTGAGCGGCCACACACCAAGAACATCTCTTCCACTCGATCCCTGACCTTTTCCTTCGTCCTTGTGTAAGACAAGCTGCTCCCAAATCCCCTGGGGGAGAGATGAGAAAGGGACTGGTGCCCAGGCCCTAGGCTGAGGGCTGGCCCAAAGGGAGATGCCAGACGACAAAGCAGAATGAAGGTCAACCACACGAAACGGCCCCCAAGTGCGTCTACAACATGGTCCCTAGAAAAGTGCACAGCACGTTGTAGCACATCAGTTAGGGAGCCGCCCAAAATGAAGAGCTGTAGAGCGGGAAAGGACCCTTGAGATCATCAGGGCTATTTTGCAGGTGAGGAAACCAAGGCCCACATAGCTAGAACTCAATGGCTACCATCTTTCTGGCTGATGTCCCCGCCGGGTGGGCTGGTGGAGTGGAGGGTCTGCCTTATACCCATCAGGGCAGCAGCCCACATGTGCTCAGACCATGCACCAGCCACAGCAGCTCCTGGCTGCTTAGAGCACAAACATGTACACATCTGGCCTCCCCCACTTTTTTTGTAAAGAAATGGGGTTTCAGGCCAGGCGCGGTGGCTCATGCCTGTAATCCCAGCACTTTGGGAGGCCGAGGCAGGCGGATCACCTGAGGTCGGGAGTTCAAGACCAGCCTGACCAATATGGAGAAACCCCGTCTCTACTAAAAATACAAAATTAGCTGGGCGTGGTGGCACATGCCTGTAATCCCAGCTACTCGGGAGACTGAGGCAGGAGAAGCACTTGAACCCGGGAGGCGGAGGTTGCAGTGAGCTGAGATCATGCCACTGCACTCCAGCCTGGGCAACAAGAGCGAAACTCTGTCTCAAAAAAAAAAAAATGGGGTTTCATTCAGTCACTCAGGCTGGAGTACAATGGTGCAATCATGTCTCACCACAGCCTCCAACTCCTAGGCTCAAGTGATCCTCTGACCTCAGCCTCCCGAGTAGCTGGGACCACATGTGCATACCATCATGCCCAGCTAATTTTTTTATTTTTAGTAGGGACAGAGTCTGGCTACGTTGCCCAGGCTTTTTTTTTTTTTTTTTTTAATCTTTTGTAGAGACGAGGTCTTGCTATGTTGCCCAAGTTGGTCTCAAACTTCTGGCCTCAAGCAACCCTCCCGCCTGGGCCTCCCAAAGCGCTGGGATTACAGGCATGAGCCACTGCGCCTGGACCTCTCCCCTTGACTTCAACTCACAGTGCTTTCAGCCTGCCAAGTACACCTGTTCCATGTCCTCCTATCCTGTCCCCAATCTCCAACACCCCTGAGGCCAGCCAAGTTAATTGACCACAAAGAATTCACATGCATCGGGCTGTGTGTGTGGTGAGCCCTTGGATGCCTCTTTGATTATAATTCTGGCCACATCTCTTGAGATGAGGAACCTCAGGCCCAGAGTGGCCGGCCTAAGTGCCTCTGTGAGCAGCAGTAAAGCTGAGATCTGCATCCAGGCCGGACTCCTCCAGAGTGCTAACACTCCTCCCAATACACATTGCTGGGAGTCTTGCGTCTGGTTCAGGAAGTTTGGAAAAAATGACCTGTGGGGGCTCCAACATCTCACTCCTGTTAGATTTTTAATGAAAATGCCACGAAAGCTATGAAACCCCCTGAAACAAAGTGCAGATTTGAGCCTAGGTGTCTGTTCATGGGAGAAGCCCACAGCATTTTTTTTTTTTTTGGAGAGATAGGGCCTTACTCTGTCTCTCAGGCTGGAGGGCAGTGGTGCGATCATAACTCACTCTAACCTTGAAATCCCCAAGTACTACAGGTGTTCGCCACCACACCCAGCAAACTCTTTAAAAATTTTTTGTAGAGATGGCCTCTCACTATATTGCCCAGGCTGGTCTCAAACTCCTGGCCTCAAGCAATCTGCCCGCTTCTGCCTCCCAAGGTGCTGGGCTAACAGGCCTGAGCCACTGCATTTGGCTCCACAATTTTAATAGATTCTCAAGAAGGGCACTGCCTCCACCTGCACTCTACCAAGTAACCAAAGCGGAAAACCACTGTCGCAGTTGTATTTCCCTAAGCCTAACCCCAGCATCCTCTCTGGGCAATCCTCTAAAGATCTCTTCTGGGAGCTTCTCCTGGTGAGTGAGCTGCCCCACGATGCCCAGAAGAACTTGTTTCACTGAGTAAGCCTGGGTCCTACTTTCCTAAAGACAGGCCAGGGTGAGGCTCTCCTGGGCAGGCAGACGCTGCTCAGCCTGGGCCTGCAGGGCTCATGCTCAGGGCCACTTCCTCCTTGCTCCGCCGTGAGGCTTCCTGCTGAGCTCAAGGAGAGCCCGAGTCCCGGGTTGGGTCCTTCACGGCGCTGTGCCCAACACCAGCACCCCACTGGCCTCGCCGCCTCCTCTGCTTCCTCCTGGAGCCTTCTGGGTCCAGCTTACTCAGCTAAAAGCTTGAGTCTGGGAGTTCCTCTAGGACAGAGCCCTCGCCTCACCCGCCCTGTGCATTCACAGTGCTGTAAGCCAGGCCCAGCACTTAGTAGGTGCCAACCAAACACTGCTTAATGAATTTCTGCCTAAACGAACGCCCGCCACACTGACAGCTCTGCTATCCAGCGCTCCCACTGCAGCACAGCAGGCGCCTAAGCAGGGGTTTCCAAACTTCTGCAGGGCAGCAGAATCCTTTTCTTCATCCAAGCTTTACCCAAATCCCATGTGTAAAACAGCTCTCTCTGCAATGACACAGCAGTATCCCCTCCAGCTTGGCCTCTCCAGGTCCCCATACTGTCCCCAGGCGTCTCGGCAGAGCAGTTAAAAGCCACTAGGCTGGCCAGGCGCAGTGGCTCACACCCGTAATCCCAGCACTTTGGGAGGCCGAGGTGGGCAGATCACGAGGTCAAGAGATCGAGACCATCCTGGCCAACATGATGAACACCCCACCTCTAGTAAAAATACAAAAATTAGCCGGGCGTGGTGGTGCGTGCCTGTAATCCCAGCTACTCGGGAGGCTGAGGCAGGAGAATCGCCTGAACCCAGGAGGCGGAGGTTGCAGCGAACTGAGATCGTGTCACTGCACTCCAGCCTGGGCGACAGAGCGAGACTCCATCTCAAAAAAAAAAAGCCACTAGGCTGCAGAAAGACCACAACCATCACCACATTATCTGCTGCTTTGGACCTGACACCAACCTCTGACACTGCTCTCCCTTTGAGAGGAACAGAAACCCACCCCAAGAAACACTACCTCCTAAATATCCCTGGAAGAGGCTTCCTCGGAAACACAAGCTGCAGCCATTACCCCACACCATCAGTGTCAGGGCAGGAGCAGAGGGCACCCACCAACCTTCACCACAGCCACCCCCGAGGCTGCCCAAGGGCACATCAGCATGACCCCAACCAGTCCAGCCTGTCATTCTTTTTTTTTTTTTTTTAAATGGAGTCTCACTCTGTCGCCCAGGCTGGAGTACGGTGGCGCGATCTTGGCTGCAACCTCCACCTCCCAGATTCAAGCGATTCTCTTGCCTCAGCCTCCGGAGTAGCTGGGATTACAGGCGCCCGCCATCACGCCCAGCTAATTTTTTGTATTGTTTGTAGGGACAGGGTTTCACCACATTGGCCAAGCTGGTCTCGAGCTCCTGACCTCAAGTGATCCGCCTGCCTCGGCCTCCCAAAGTGCTGGGATTATAGGAGTGAGCTACTGCTCCCGGCCTTTTACCCCTGGCTGCTGTATCTGGTCCTCACCACGCAAGCCACACACATGTCTTCCCTTCCTCCTGCTCCTGCCTGGGCTATGGCCCCCTCACTCCTCTCTGCTTCAGTTCAACCTCTTGAAGAGCCCTGACCTTTCAGTGAACTGTTCTCGATATTTTTTTTTTTTTTTGAAACAGGATCTTGCTCTGTTGCTCAGGCTAAAGTGCAGCAGCGTGATCATAGCTCATTGCAGTCTCAACCTCCCAGACTCAAGAGATCCTCCCACCTCAGCCTCCCAAGTAGCTGAGACCACAGGCGTGCACCACCATGCCCTGCTAATTTTCTTCTTTTTGTTGAGACAGGGCCTCCCTATGTTGCCCAGGCTGGTCTCAAACTCTTGGGCTCAAGTGATCCTCCACCTCGGCCTCCCAAAGTGCTGGGATTACAGGTGTGAGCTACCGTGCCTGGACCTTTTTTTTTTTTTGAGACAGTGTCTCATTCTGTCACCCAGGCTGGAGTGCAGTTGTGTGATCCTAACTCCCTGTAACTTTGAACTCCTGGGTTAAAACAATCTTCCTGTCTCAGCCTCCCACATAGCTGGGACTATAGATGTGCACCACCACGCCCAACTGATTTTTTTTTTTTTTTTGAGATGAAGTCTCGCTCTTGTCCCCCAGGCTGGAGTACAGTGGCACGATCTCGGCTCACTGCAACATCCGCCTCCTGGGTTCAAATGATTCTCCTGCCTCAGCCTCCCGAGTAGCTGGGATTACAGGTGCGTACCACCACACCCAACTAATTTTTTGTGTTTTAAGTAGGGACAGGGTTTCACCATGTTGGCCAGGCTGGTCTCGAATTCCTGACCTCAGGTGATCTGCCCACCTCGGCCTCCCAAAGTGCTGGGATTACAGGTGTGAGCCACTGTGCCCGGCCTTTTTTTTTTTTTTTTTTTAAGAGATGGGGTCTCGCTATCACTATGTTGCTCTCACTATGGTCTCGAGTTCAAGTGTTCCTCCCGCCTCATCCTCCCAAAGCACTAGGACAAACTACTGCCCCCAGCCATGTTCTCAATTTTAAACCTGCCTCAGCCACCACCTCACTGTATAACCTCACACAAGTCACGCCCCCTCTCTGAGCCTCAATTTACTCATCTGTCAAGTGAAGGGCTAACTCCATCTCCAAATGAGGATGGCTGGCCTGAGGGATGCAGACGACATGCTGTTACAAATCAAAGCCAGTGTCAGAGAGTATAAGGGAAAGTATAGAAAATACAGAACTGGCCGGGCGCGGTGGCTCACGCCTGTAATCCCAGCACTTTGGGAGGCCGAGGCGGGCGGATCACGAGGTCAGGAGATAGAGACCATACTGGCTAAAATGGTGAAACCCTGTCTCTACTAAAAATACAAAAGATTAGCCGGGCATGGTGGTGGGCACCTGTAGTCCCACCTACTCGGGAGGCTGAGGCAGGAGAATGGCGTGAACCGGGGAGGTGGAGCCGGCAGTGAGCCGAGATCGCGCCACTGCACTCCAGCCTGGGCGACAGAGCGAGACTCCGTCTCAAAAAAAAAAAAAAGGAAAAAAAGAAAATATAGAACCTCCGGCATAACGAAGGGATGCAGAGATTGAGGGAATCCATTGCAGAAGCATCCACAATGTGCAGAGTGGGCAGAACTCTAGATTTATGAAGAAAGAAACCAGCATTCATGGAGGGCCTATTGTTTGCCAGCCCTGACATGAGCTGCTCGCACACGTATTAGCACTGAGATGCAGTGGCTCCCGGCTTTGCCCCTGCTGAGCTATGTGATTTGGGGCAAGTAAGTCACCTCCTCTGAGCCTCAGTTTCCTTTTTTTTAAGACGGAGTTTCATTCTTGTCGCCCAGGCTGGAGTGCAATAGTGCGATCTTGGTTCACTGCAACTTCCGCCTACCAGGTTCAAGCGATTCTCCTGCCTCAGTCTCCCAAGTAGCTGGGATTACAGGCACATTCCACCATGCCCGGCTACTTTTGTATTTTTAGTAGAGACGAGGTTTCATCATGTTGCCCAAGTTGGTCTCAAACTCCTGTCTTCAGGTGATCTGCCCGCCTTGGCCTCCCAAAGTGATGGGATTACAGGCGTGAGCCACCGCGCCCGGCCTTAAGCCTTAGTTTCCTTATTTGACAAATCACACAGGGGGCGGGTGAGAATAAGCGTCTGTGAAATCGTTCAACATATCTTAAGGAGGCATTCACACAAGGAGCCCAGTTCAGGGGAGTGTGTAATGTCAGTCTCTGGGCTCAGCTGCCAAAGCTTAGTCTGGACTTCCATGGCTACCATCTCCCAGCTTTGAGGATCTCAATGTCGGGAGAAATCAAAGAGCACAGCATCCATCTCCTCTGCACAACCTACGCCTACATGGCTGACCTAGGAGCTAGACCACATAAATCTCGACCCAATGAGTCTTCTCCCACACCTGACTTCGGAGAGAAAAATCAATTCATCACACAAAATGTACTGTGAGAAAGCGGGCCAAACCCATCCCCTGGGCTTTACAGAGGAGAAGAGCCAACAAGCTGCATCTTCCTGCTGAGTTTAGGCTTTTCACTGTTGGATATCAACGCAGAGGTCCAGATGTCTTGCAGAGGGATAAAGGCTCCTGACCACGGCGGGCTGTCACTCCAAAAAGAGAGAAATGGCCCCAGTGCCAGTCCCTCAGAACCCAGGCCAGGGCTGCAAGGAAATCATGTAAAGGAAGAAGCCTCAAGACCCTGAAGAATACCAAAGGCCATCTCCAAGAGAACACTCCAGAGCTTGCCTGGTTTCCCTTCATTCAAACCATAACCAGTCAGTACTCCACCTTTCTACCTCCTTCCCCAACCTCAGTTACTCTTCCATCTCCCTGGTTAGCCCCCAGCTTTCCCCCTTACCTCTCCCCTCCTCCAGCAACCACGGAAACCTCAGCCATCCTTCACCTGATCCAAACCACCAACCACATCTCCATCCAGCTTTAAAAGGGAGGCCAAAACCACCCACTTCCCTGACCTAGCTCTGACATCGCTACCCAACACTCCTACATCCCAAGTCATACCGCTCACTTGATTTGATCCCCTTTCCTTAACAGTCCATGGGCTCTACCACCAGCCTGGCCTCTGCCTCCAATCATAAGACATCCCTCCCCACACTCAGCTCAGGTCTGGTCTACAAACTGAGCATGCTCCCAAGACTCTTTCATGAACATCATATAACCCCAGCACCTCAGTTTCGCTCCCATAAACCTTCTGGGGCCTGCCTTCCTGACCTCTTGGTCACTCCATAAACCTGCTCACCTGCCACACTCCAAACAGCTCTAAAACCCTCCACCTTTTCCCAGAAACCAGTCTACCTTTTCGAAGGACACTTAATATTCATTAATTCCTTCTGCAAATATGTCTTAAGCATGTACTGGGTGCCAGGCACTGTTCTAGGCACTGGAGCTAGAGCAGTGATCAGAGCTAGGAGCCCTCAAGCAGTGTGTGTGTGTGGCCAAAGCACTTTTATAATTTTGGCTGTCCCATCCCCAGGACCCCTCTGTATATAGTAGTGTAACAGCAAACAGTGACAACTCACTATGTGCCAGGAGCTGTGAGCAACACTGCAGAATCTCACTTAATACTCACATCAACCCCATAAGGCAGATCCAACTATCATTCCATCTTACAGATGAGGAAACTGAACCACGCAGGGATATAATAATTCAGCAGGAATATGCCAGACCCTGTGCAAAGCCCTTTATCCGACTTACCTCATTTAAACCTCACGGCAATCCCATGAGGCAGGTTCTGAGAACGTCCTCATTTTAGATGGGAAGAAACTGACGCTTATAAAGGATACTGATGATAATGACAATAGTGAACATTTACTTCGAGCTTACTTTACCGGGTAGGGCGCTACGCACTTTTCCTACTTTATCCCATCGAATCCTCACACCACCCAGCAAGGCACATCCCCACTTCTCAGATGAGGGAACTGAGGCTCAGGACGGCGAAGCAACTTGCCCAAGGTCAGCGCGAGGCAGGTGGTAGTCCTGAGACTCGAACCCACGTCTCTCCAACTCCAGAGATCGCGCGACTTGACCAAGGTCACACGTGAGGCAGGAACAGGCGCGATGACTGGACCCGGCGCGCTTGGCCCCTCCGCCCCGCGCCCCAACCTCCCCTCGGCGCGGTCCGGAGCCCCTCGGCGCACCCCTGGGGCCCAGACCGCCGGGCTGCCCCGCCCGCCCGCCCCGCACGGGCCGGCACCTCCCCGCCCGCCTGCCGCCCCGAGGCCCCCGCGGGCCGCGCCCGGCAGGGCCCGCGCCGCCTCCGGCCGCTGCGGCCCTCACCGCTGTCGCCGATGATGAGCAGCTTGAAGAGGTGGTCGTAGTCCCGGGCCATGGCGGGCGGGGGCGGTGCGCGCGGGCGGGCGGGGTCGGTACTGGCCTCGCGATCCGCAGCTCCCTTCGGGCTGCTCCGGCAGCGGCGGATCCACTTCCCGAACAAACAGCCGGAACTGACAGAAACACCTCCCTCCGCTCCCCCTCCTCCTCCTCAGCAGCCGCCGCCGCTACCACCGCCTCCCTCCTTCCCGCCCCGCCCCACCACTGCGCAGGCGCAGCGTCTGGCACCGCCTTGCGCAGCCGCAGCCTGAGCCGGCCGCGCCCGGGTCGCGCACGCGCCCTGACGGAGTCCCAGCAAGCGCGGGCCCGTCTTCCTCGCGTCTCCTCGGGGAGCGTCGTCGCCGCCACCCTGGGCGCTGAGAGCTTGCGGAGCCGAGCCGCTGTCGAGTCCCAGCGGAAAGAAGCCCAAGGTGCCGGAGAAGCCCGGTCGTGGACGTTGTTGCTCCCTCATCTTCGAGACCCGCACGCCCTGCGGAGAGGAAATGACAGGCACGCCGCGACCGTGGGGCGGGGCTCGCACGAGCTCCGGGTTTCCAGAGGCAGGGGCCGGGGCCGTAGAAGGCAGAGTCGCGCGGGGAAGGCCCGGTACCCCGCCCCTTCCGCACCGACCCCTCCCCCGCGGAGCTGGCCCCGGCCCCGGGCCTGTGGAGTGGACGCCGAGGGCGGCGGGCGGCTTCCGAGTTGGACAGAACGGGAGCTGCCGGCGGGAGCAGAGCTGCGAGGAGGTGGCCTTTGAGGGCAGCGCGGGGTCGAAATCCCATCCCAGCGCTGTGACCTCTTGGAGCCCACATTGCCTCTTTGGTGGAGGGGAGGGAGTGGTCCAGCTCCGAGCCGAGCCTGGGAGCTGAATGACCCAGTGTGCAAGGCGCACCTCGGAGACCGAAAGCAACCGCTCCCCCGGCTTCAATTTCACACCACCTGCAGATACACGTCTCAGAATCTGCGGCTAGGAAGACCTGGGCCGCCAGAAGCTAAACGTGTGCATTTTGTCATCAGCCCCGGTTTCTCGTTTTAGAGTGAGTTCCCACCTGCCCTACCTAAACTGACCTGAAACGGAAAGTTGTATGCCCCCACGACCATCCTCACTGCAGAACTGCAGAGGGTTTTAAGCTCCTTATTACCTGTTTCTTATAATCCTGTCCCTTTCCAGGCGAGTATTTATCGGATAGTTCTACTTGTTTTATCAAACTTCCTTTTCTTTTGACTTTATAAAAAGCAATGCCGGGAGGCTGAGGCGGGAGAATCGCTTGAACCCGGGAGGCGGAGGTTGCAGTGAGCTGAGATCTCGCCATTGCACTCCATTCTGGGCAACAAGAGCGAAACTCCGTCTCAAAAAAAAAAAACAATGTTCGTCCTTAAAATTATGTGCAGAAGTTTACTGAAAAGTACAAGTTACTATTTTTCCTTCTGAAGCACTCCTCACAGGTAACCCCTGTTAGTTTCACAGGTAACCTTAAAATGCTTAACACATATTTGTTGAATGAATAAGTGCCCCCCAGTGAATTTCCTTTGCCTGTACAAACATATATGTACATACCTTGCTTTTTCTATTTAACAGTACACTTTTATCATTTAACATCTGCGTGGTATGGTACTCCATCCGATAACCATCGGATGTACTATTATTTAACCACTCCGCTATTAATAGACATTCATGCTGTTTATATTTTTTGGTTATAATAAACATTGTTGCAGGCGGGATCATTGAACAACACATGGAGTGTCTGACTCAAGCCTTGAGTTGTTTTTCCGGGAGCTGAGAATCAGTGTGGTGATATCGAAATAACATGAGCTTGGAATCTGAAGGTACTGGCTAGGGAGAAGAGCTGCTCATGTGCTCCCGATAGAAAGTCCCCCTTGGTCGGGAAGGTTAGGGCCATCCTCTGACTCAGCAGTTTTAGGAAATAGAGGGGGAGAAGGAAGGTATGTACCTTCCTTCCACCAGGGAGGCACGCCCAGCCCTAACCAGCCAGCGAGGCAGTAGGTCCTCCTAGCTCATCTTCACAACCTGGGCTGGTGTCGGGAAGACTTTCGTTCCAATGCTAGCTTTGGAATCCTGGCCTCCATCCCTTAAAAGCTTTGTGATCTTAGGTAAGTCACATCACACTATCTCAAAGCCCCCGTTTCCTCACAGAATGGTTGTTTTAGAGTTATGTTTGTAAATTACCTGGCACATGTAGGCATGTGACAGACTGTAACCAATGTTACTCAAGGTCATTTTGCACTGATTCATACTTTGAGCCATTTCCTACTGTAGACTCTAGCACACATTTTCAAGGCAGCTTCCTGATAATAAGGCTGTAGGATATTTTTGGGAAATAAATCCAAATTGGCCATTAAAACCAGATTCCTGACTTTGCCTGCATGTGTCATCTGGAAAGCAATCGGCATAAATTCCTTCATTTCTTTGGTAACTATTTAATGAGTGTTTATGTGCCACGGATTGCAGAGGTTATAAGAAGAGAGCCTTAGGCCGGGCGCTGTGGCTCACACCCATAATCCCAGCACTTTGGGAGGCTGAGGCGGGAGGATCACGAGGTCAGGAGTTCAAGACCAGCCTGGCCAAGATGGTGAAACCCCATCTCTACTAAAAATAAAAAAAATTAGCCGGGCACGATGGCAGGCGCCGGTAATCCCAGCTACTCGGGAGGCTAAGGCAGGAGAATCGCTTGAACCCGGGTGGCAGAGGTTGCCGAGATTGCACCACTGCACTCCAGCCTAGGCGACAGAGCAAGACTCCGTCTTAAAAAAAAAAAAAAAAAAAAAGGAACAGAGCCTTTTCTCACCAGTTCACAGCCTCATCAAGAGTTAAGACATACTCATGAGGAAATTGAAAGTATAAGACAATACAGTAGATAGAAAAGCTGTCAGATATGCAGTCTAGACTTCAGAGGAGGAAAGCTATAGCTTTTAGTTAGAATGATGGGGAGAAGATTTTATCATAAAGATGTCATGATGGCACTGGAATAGGAGAGCTTTGAGTGTCTATTTAGACAGTCCCTGTCACAGTCTATGAGAATCATCATTTGGCTTGGAGGGGAATTCCCTGCAGGCCAGGGTATGTGCCTGGCATCTCAAAATGAATCAGCACATTTTCTTCTGGAAACATTGTTAGACATTTATTTAAACTACAGTTCAGTGATGAGTTATGTTAAGCTTTCTTTCTCCTTCTCACTGTATACATATGTAAACTTGTGTGACCTAAAGGATCAGTGTGTCCAGTAATGGGAAACTTTGTTCCACTGCTCTGAACAGCTAACTTACAGATGAACTTTTGCAACACCACCTGTTTGCACATTAGAAACTATTAATACGATGAGGAGGCATTGAAAGTTTTTGAGCAAAGAGGCAATCTCAAAATATTTTAGTGAAGTAATCTGGCAGGGTGCAGGATGGATTTCAGCTGCAGAGCTTTAAAGGTTATTGCTGAAGCCTGGGTGTAAGGTAACAGCAGGGACAGATGCAAAAGACAATAAGCAAACTTATAAACTAGACAAAGCAGCTTCCAAAAAAAAAAATCACGTAATTTACCTGGTAACTGGATTCATCCTTAATTCAGTAAATATTAAGTGGCCGGGTGCAGTGGCTCACGCCTGTAATCCCAGCACTTTGGGAGGCCGAGGCGGGTGGATCATGAGGTCAGAAGATCAAGACCATCCTGGCTAACATGGTGAAACCCCATCTCTACTAAAAATACAAAAGAATTAGCTGGGTGTGGTGGCACACGCCCGTAGTCCCAGCTACTCGGGAGGCTGAGGCAGGAGAATCACTTGAACCTGGGAGGTGGAGGTTGCAGTGAGCCAAGATCGCATCATTGCACTCCAGCCTGGGTGACAGAGCGAGACTCCATCTCAAAAAAAAAAAAAAAAAAAAATTTGCACAGTTACTAGGTGTTAGGCACTGTAGTGGGCACAGAGGCTAGAACATGAACAAAACAAAGCTCCTGTCCTCACGGAGTTTACAGTTTAGTGGGGAACAAGTCATTCACTCATTCAACAAATACTTGAGGGCCTACTATGCCAGACATTGATCTACGAGCTGAGGATTCAGCAGTAAGTAAAATTTTAAAATCCCAGCTTTCATAGAGCTTATATTCTGATAGAGAATACAGGCACCAAGTATGTCCAAGGAGAAAAGTAAAGCAGGGAGCACGCTGAGGTTTGCAGAAGCAGGCAGTGGAGCCACAGAGGTGGCAGGAAGTTTGGCAGTGGATGACAAGAGAAACAATGCTTGGTGGTGAGAGCAGTGGGGCTCATGAAGTATTTTTCAGGATAGTGGAAGCAGAGGATTAGCAGCCAGGAAATAATAAGGAGTGAATATTTGGAGGGAAGATGAGCTAAGGGCGCTTCAAAGAGCTTTGGGAAGTAAAGTGTCACCAACCAGAAGGCTAAGTGGGTAAAGGAGAGGGGGACCTCAGGCCCTCAAGGGTAGCAGTGTCAGGGATGAAGATCAGTGCAGTGGAGGTTGGAGGGACCTGTGAAATCCATTATTTCAGACAGCAACATGGACTTCAAAGCTGCTGAGTGCTAGGTAGCAAGGGAGGGAACGTGTGCTGTGATCATCCAGGAAGGAAGCAGTGGGTGGTGAATCAGAACTCAGAGAAGGCAGGTAAACTGACCGACAGGGACTTTAAATTAGGAGCAAGATGGGGACCACTCAGCATACTGGTCCAAGAGGGAAGGAAGAGAGGATATGATATGATGCCTGGTGTCTCCCTCTGATGGAAGTGGAAACGGGCCCTTTCTCCCACACCTGCAAGCCTGATGCCACACCAAGAGACTTGGCAGTGGGCCTTGCCCTGCCCTGATGTAGCCCCCAGAAATCAAGTGAATGTAAGTTCCATGATTCCAGGGACCATCTCTTTATCTGTATCCTCTGGAGACCCAGTGCCTGGTAGGTGCTTGATACCTGTTGAATTAAAGTGAAGCCACACACACAGTGTGAGAGTTGGACAGAATGTCAGATACAATTAGTTGAACCCTCTCTTGAGTTCACTTTTTGGGGTGTGGGCCAAACTTGGGGTCTAACTCAGGGTCAGCTTCTTCCCCTGACTCCAAACCGTTTAGCAGGAATTTTCTCACTCAACCTTTATATTATTAAATCAGTGGTTTTGCAAGTGTAGTCTGAGGACCCGCAGGGCTCCCTAAGACCTTTTCAAAGGATCTTCAGAGTCAAAACATGTTCACAATACTAAGATGTGATTTGCCTTTTTCACTTTCATTTGCTTATGACTGTACAGTGTTTGCCAGAGCCTACATGACATGTGATACAACAGACCAAATGCAGAGCTGACATGCGAATCCAGACATTAGAAACCTAAAAAAATGTGGAACAATGCCACTTGAACAGTTTTGCTTTGTTGTTGTTGTTTGTTTTTGAGACTGAGTCTCTCTCTTGCCCAAGCTGGGAGTGCAGTGGTACGATCATGGCTCACTGCAGCCTTGACCTCCTGGACTGAAGTGAACCTCCCACCTCAGCTTCCTGAGTAGCTGGGACTGCAGGTGTACACACCACCACACCACTATGCCTGGCTTTTTTTTTTTCTTTTGAGACAGAGTCTTGCTCTGTCACTCAGGTGGGAGCTGGAGTGCTGTGGCATGATCTCGGCTCACTGCATCCTCCACCTCCTGGGTTCAAGTAATTCTCCTGCCTCAGCCTCCCGAGTAGCTGGGATTACAGGTATATGCCACCATGCCCAGCTAATATTTATGTTGTTTAAGTAGAGACGGGGTTTTGCCATGTTGGTCAGGCTGGTCTCAAACTCCTGACCTCAGGTGATCTACCCACCTCAGCCTCTGAAAGTGCTGGGATTACAGGTGTGAGCCACTGCGTCTGGCTGCTATTTTTTTTTTTTTTAATTTTTAAATTTTTTGTAGAGACAACAGTCTCACTATGTTGCCCAAGCTGGTCTTGAACTCCTGGCCTCAAGCCATCCTCCCACCTCAGCCTCCCAAAGTGTTGGGATTACAGGCATGAGCCACTGTGCCTAGCCTGGTTTTGACTCCTAAGATGCTAAATATCAATAGGTAAGATAGGTATACACAAGAGCTCTTTGGTGTCCTCAAAAAAATTTCAAAATATAAAAGGATCCCGGCTGGGCACAGTGACAAACACCTGTAATCCCAGCACTTCGGAAGGCTGAGGAGGGAGGATGGCTCAAGGCCAGGAGTTCAAGACCAGCCTGGGCAACATAGTGAAACCCTCATCTCTACAAAAAAAATTTAAAAAATTAGCCAGGCTGGGCACGATGGCTCACACGTGTAATCCCAGCACTTTGGGAGGCCAAGGTAGGTGGATTACCTGAGGTCAGGGGTTCAAGACCAGCCTGACCGATATGGTGAAACCCCATCTCTACTAAAAATACAAAAAAAAAAAAAAATTAGCTGGGCATGGTGGCGGGCACCTGTAATCTCAGCTACTCTGGAGGCTGAGGCACAAGAATCACCTGAACCTGGGAGGCAGAGGCTGCGGTGAGCCAAGATCACGCCACTGCACTCCAGCCTGGGCGACAGAGTGAGATTCCATCTCAAAAACAAACAAAATTAGGCAGGTGTGGTGGTGTGTGGCTGTAGTCCTAGCTGCTCAGGAGGCTGAGGCAGGAGGATCACTTGAGCTCAAGAGTTCAAGGCTGCAGTGAGCCATGAGCACACCATTGCACTCCAGCCTGGGCGGCAGAGCAGTACCCTGCATGTAAATAAATAAGGAGTCTTGAGGGCAAAATATTTGCGAAATGCTAGATTGAATCCTGCACCCCAGCTTCCTAGCTCCCTTTTTTGTGGGAACCCAAGTGGTAAGAAAGATCTAATGTAAATACATTCAAAACCCACAGCTTTCTCTTGTGGGACTGCGGGGCACAGCCCTGAGGAATTATCATGCACTAATTGTCCCTGTGACCAGGCCGCCATCTCACTAGAGAAATAGCTCACAGGAGGGAACCTGACAGGGACTGGGGTATCCATTCAGGCACAATCAGGAAGGTCTCACCTAGAAATCCCTCTGAGGCAATCATCCCTCAGACCAGTTTTTCCAGTGTCTTGAGCTGTGTTGACATCAACACTCCCCTTCCCCTGGGGCAGGCAGCAGGGACCCTTCCTAACAGAACCTAGGGGCAACTCAGAGCCACCCTGTGAAATAACTGGGCTCCATCTCTTAAAAAGTGAAACCCAGTCACAGGCCAAGAACGTGGGTTTCACTTTTGTTACATTCACCTTCCAAATTATTTTTGTAGAATGCCCCTGGGGCTTGGTGAGCGGAGAATCAAGAAATATGGGTTTTTTCCCAGTTCTGCCAATGTGACCTCAGAGATGCTCCTTGCCACCTGTACCTCAACTTTACTCTTCATAAAATAAAGACCACGTCCTGCCGGCCTCTCTCTCTCACGACGGTGGGAAGCACCGATCTAAGTGGTGGTAATGTGCCTTCCTGCCCATGCACAGTGGAGACCATCTGTGTGCTGATGTATGTACACTCAGCATTTTGGAGAATCAAACATAGTCATCATCATCATTTCTCAAAATCAATCTCATTCCCCATCATCCTTGTTTCACTGTCACCATCCATGTATCCAGAACCTCCTATGTGTGCCTGGCTCTGTGCAAAGTGCATTATGTCATTCAACACAGATGACAACACGGTGAGACTGCGCTGTCAAGGTGAGGGGATGCACTCAGAGAGGTTAAGGAACATGGTCTAGATCACACAGCTTAGTATTAAGCAGTGAAATTAAGGTTCTAACCTGTCCTGGAAGTCCCTGTGGCTCCACTATCCTGCACTAGAACTTTAAAGCGGTATCTACATTTCCTTCACAATATTTTAGAACTTAGACCTTTTAAGTTAGATTGGTTCCTCTTTTTCCTTATTGAAGCAATCTGAGACACATCCACAGAGCCATACATTGAGGAAAAACATTCCTAACTGCCAATTGTGTTTCAAAATCTGTCAAATAATGTCTCCAATCCCTGCACCCAAAACTGTCAAATCTGCAGCCTCCCTGCCACTCTCCCAAGTCCTCCCGCATCACAGTGTTGGACAAAGAGAATGTACCTGAAGGTCTGGTTCCTTGAAGGGTTGCGTGAACCATGTTTTAACAATACCCCCCCACCTTTTTTTTTTTTTTTTTTTTTTTTTTTGAGACGGAGTCTCGCTCTGTCGCCAGGCTGGAGTGCAGTAGCACAATCTTGGCTCACTGCAACCTCCGCCTCCTGCCCCAGCCTCCTGAGTAGCTGGGACTACAGGCACCCATCACCAAGCCCGGCTAATTTTTGTATTTTTAGTAGAGACAGGGTTTCACCATGTTGGCCAGGCTGGTCTTGCTCCTGACCTGAGGTGATCCGCCCGCCTCGGCCTAATACCCCCACCTTTTAAAAATAATCTTGCTGCCCATGATTCCTGAGGCTCCCAGAGTTAGGTGAAGGTTTGGGAATGCTCAGTTTAGAACTTTTTCAGTTTTCTCTGGATAAGGGAATATGACTTTGTCATTGACTTTCAGACACAAGAAGAGAAAGAGGGACAGTCTCCCCTGGAGGATCACTGCGAGTCTTTGAGAATAATCCGCTTTCTCTGAAGACTTTCCCAGCCAGTGTCCTGTTAAGTGGAGTGAGGTCCTCCTCCCCACAGCCTGCAGAGCAGCTGGGTAGGGTCTGGAGGGGGTGGCATCCCTGGGCAAGGCGGCTGGAGCTGTTCACTTAGTGTGCTATACACGTACTAATTTCCTGTATATACCTGGATGGAAAAGTTCTGGAGGCTCTAAAGAATGAAAAATGCTGATGGCTAACTAGCCGGCATAGGAGAAGTTAAGAGAAAGGCTAAAAACAGAGGTCTGGGGACAGGCTGCCATTTACTAGCCATATGACCCTGGGCGAGTGGCCTCTCTGTGCCTCAGTTTCCTCCTCTAGAAAATAGTATTGAGAACCCGCTTCATAGAACTGTTAAGAGGACTAAATGAAATGATAGCAAATGTCATCTGTTGTAAGTACCATTAACCTAGAGAGTACCACCACCTACAGAATAACTTTGAGAATAAATTTTTAGAGCTTCTCTTCCAAATTCTTCATTGTACATAAGAGGAAACCGGCCCAGGGAGGTCAGATGACTTGCCCAAGGTGAAACAGCTCTACCAGCCTCCAGGACAAACAGCTTTTGCTTCTCTGCTGCTAACCTCAATGTCCCCAGGGTGCTTGGTCTGGGCTGCTGTTCTCAGGACTGCTAGGACTTTGGGGTGACAAGGTCCTTTCTGTGGGCTCCCCTGGCATGTCCATGACAGCCCTTCATGGCTCACTTCCTGGGAGCTCACACCCTCCTTCCAGACTCAGAGAATGCAACTCAATATGCTCTGGGAGCCTTCGAGTCATCCCCGTCTGTCAGTCAAGCTCCATCCATTCCGAACAGAGAGCTCATCCTCCTCCAGTTTCTGGAACTGGTATCTGGTGTTTTTCCTTTGGATTTTGCTTAATGAGTGTCTGATACCTCTAAGTACGTCAGGTTCCCCTCCCAGTTGCAGAAGGGGGGCTAAAAGCCACAGGTGGATATCAGCATCTGATCCAAGACCCTGGAGGAAACAGTGAAGATGGTCTCACAGCTTAACAGGTTTCCCAGCTCATGCCCCTCAACAGAAACTTTTCCCGTATCTCCCCATAGCTGACTGGTGGTGGAGAACACATTTGCAGACAGCCTGATGGACACATGCCCTTGGCAGTTGGGAGGATGCTGATGACCATCCGAATTCCAGAGGCAGAGAACAGTTACCATGGCTACCAAAAGTTGTAGCCATTGGCTGTTCTGGCTACAAGGACTCAGCTGACCTCTCAAGGTCCCTTCCAGCCCTGGGATTCTACAGTTACCTCAAGCCAGCTGACACCATGTCTGCTGCAAGAAAATAGGGCTCATGAGAAGTGCCTCAGAGGTCACCTTGCCTTATTCATTGGAAGTGTTGAGTCACAGGCCTACTTTCCACCTTGGCTGCATTATTAATAACCAAAGTCTTGCTTTTTTTGGCATAGCATTTTTATACCTTTTATAAAGTGAGTTTGCCACTACCACTTTTTCTCTTCCTTTTACAGCTCAGGCCAGTAATTTTGACAGAGGTTTGTCCTGTATTGTGGCCAGGGAGCAGCCCAGAAAAACTTGCGTCACTAGGCCCAGTGGGGTGTGCTCCATCAGACAGAATGTGTGTGTCACGAGCCTTCTAAGAATCAGGAGGAAGGAAGTCATTCATAAAGGAGGCAGATGCTGAAATGCAACTTTGGCTTCCTCTTCCAAGTCCTTCAACTATAGGAATGTGGCCCTTTCTTATTCACAGAGGGGCTGGATTTCTCTTTACAACCTGAGTACCAGAAGCTCCCTACCTTTCCAAGTCAGAACAGAACAGGAAAGTGGCTAATTCGACCTTTGCATTCTCCACACTGGGGGAGATCACAGGCCAGGCTGCACACCTCTCAAAACCCAACCTCAGGACAGACGTCTACAGGGAATGCTAAGACTTTCGAAAGCAGGAGAGAGATATGTCCAGAAATCAGAGAACTGTGAATACTTACAAAAACAGGTACAAACCTTTCCTTATTCCTGATGCAGGAAGCTTCATGTTTAATGGGTGGAGATTTTTAAAAATCTGTTTATATCAAGATTAAATCAAAGCCTTTATTAAACATTCCTCTTTCAAACAGCCTTTCAAACCTATACCCCTCCCCAGACTTGGGAACTGCCAGAGCTGTGAATCATTTTCATCTGACAGGGGTCAGATCCATTCAGACCTCACAATATTGAAAAGCCAAGCCAGACACACCACACTGGGCAGAGATCCACCGTCTGTGCCCCACTCGGGATATAGGAAAAAGGTTGGTAGCGCCAGCTCTCAAACCAGAGCTCAAGCACAGGAGAAGAGGAACCCACAGTCTGACCCTGCTATTATAGTTCCAGACCTAGCCATGCTAAACTGGACAAACAGCTCCTGGGCTGCCATTTGCTGAGGCGCATGCGTGTGCTTTTCCTTCTCTTCTCCACAGGAAAAGGTGAGAGATGGAGGAGGCAATTTTCAGTTGTGTGTGGGTTTGATTTAAGGCTTTGGCTGTGGTCTATTGATATTAAAATACTTTCTGGGAACGCCATCTTCCAAGCTCCCCATTGGAACAAATGTATTTTCAAAAATGAAAACATTGAGCAAAGATGTGGAGCGGCAATGCTGCTGCTGGCCCAGGCCTCTCATGTCAGGATGGTGTCGTCCACCTGCTCCGTGGAGTCGGCCTGGCTGGCCAGCTTCTTCAGGGACCTTCGGTTAACCTCGTTCAGCACCTCCAAACTGGCCACATCCAGGATCTTGGAGAGGGACTGTGGGGAAGGATGAGCAGGAGGAAACATAGTCAGAACATACGGCTGCCACGTTCTCCAATTGGAGAAAGACAAAAATGAATGTTAACCCCAGAACTAGAGACACTGAGGTGGACTCTGGCAAAATAAGGGAATCAGATGGATCCAGGGAAAGCCAATGAAAACACTCATCATGCTTTTCTATTTTTCCCTTTTTCTTAGAAACAGAGTCTCCCTATGTTGCCCGGCTGATCTTGAATTCCTGGGCTCCAGTGATCCTCCCACCTTGGCTTCCCAAAGTATTGGGATTACAGGCATGAGCCATCGCACCTGGCCCCATCATGCTTTTCATGAGACGAGGCAGTGGGAGTTGCAGCTTTTGGGCTTTTTTTTTTTTTGGAGATGGAGTTTCGTTCTTGTCGCCCATGCTGGAGTGCAATGGCACGATCTCAGCTCAACACAACCTCCGCCTCCCAGGTTCAAGCGATTCTCCTGCCTCAGCTTCCCGAGTAGCTGAGATTACAGACATAGCGCCACCACACCTGGCTAATTTTGTATTTTTAGTAGAGACGGGGTTTCTCCATGTTGGTCAGGCTGGTCTCGAACTCCTGACCTCCGGTGATCCGCCCACCTTGGCCTCCCAAAAGTGCTGAGATTACAGGCGTGAGCCACCGCGGCTGGCCAGCTTTTGGGCTTTCAAGGCTGCTGGGGGCTGGGGACTGAGTGAACACAACTCTGGGTTTCCTCTGGGCAGCTCTCCTGGGATCTGCTATGTCTGTTTGGGTGTCATGTGAGATTTTATTTGAAGAAAGGGCCCTGCTCGGAAAGAAGTCTGAAAACCATGGGAATGTATGTTTTCAGGTACTGGGCCAGTCACCCAAATCTTTTTTTTTTTTTTTTTTTTTTGAGACGGAGTCTCACTCTGTCGCCCAGGCTGGAGTGCAGTGGCATGATCTCAGCTCACTGCAACCTCCGTCTCCTGGGTTCACGCCATTCTCCTGCCTCAGCCTCCTGAGTAGCTGGGACAAAGCCGCCCACCACGCCTGGCTAATTTTTTTGTATTTTTAGTAGAGACGGGGTTTCACCGTGTTAGCCTTCATCTCCTGACTTGGTGATCTGCCCGCCTCAGCCTCCCAAAGTGCTGGGATTACAGGCGCGAGCCACCGCGCCCGGCCCCAGTCACCCAAATCTTAATCTGCTCCTGAAAGCTAGCACATCCGTGGTGGCAGAGAAGAGCCTGTGGTTTAAATATTTCCATGCTGAAGAAGAGCTGAAAGACAAATGCTCACAGCACATCCTGGTGAGGCCCCCCAGGCTCCCACCTGAAACACCTCTTCACCCTGCCGCATCTTGAGGAGGTTGACAATTGCCTGGTCGCTGTAGGCCCTGACCACGGTGTTCTTATCCTTGGTGTTGTCAAGAAGAGCCTTCAGGATGGGCTTGATGGCCTGGGGGTCCAGGGGAGGCAGTGGGTCCTTATTTGCCCACCAGATCATCTTCTCAGCCACCAGCCTGATGTCGCTGGATGGGTTCTGCAGACACTGTAAAAAGAACCACAAACAGGCTTTTGGATAGGCATGTCATCTATTCCTTGAAGCAGCCCAAATGCCCAGCCTCGACACTCTCCCTACAGCATGAACACTGACCCCCCCTGCTCCTGTGGGAGGGTCCCAGCATGACTCGACCCTGGTTTCCTGCACCCTCATCTCATGCCACTCTCCCCTTGCTCACTACTCTCAGCCCGCATGCGTTTTTACTTCCTCCAACATCCCAGGGCCTCGGGCCTCTGCCCTGGCTGGTCCCACAGCTTGGGCCGTGCTTGCCCCGGATCCTCTCTAGGTTAGTTCCTTCCCATCCTGCAGGTCTCAGCTCCCATGTCATCCTTTAGAGGTGCCCCCTGCCAATCTTATCTATATCAGGGTCCTCCCCATGGGCTCCAGGGATCCTGTCTGCCTTGTTCATCTCTACACCTTCAGGATAATGCCAAGTGAACAAGCGGGTGCAGGCTGATGTCATCACAGACGAGGCTCAATCGAATCAGGCCCCTCAGAAACTCCGTGGGTTCCCGGTGCTGCGGGGGGAGGCAGTCACTCTTGGGAACCTCATTACTCAAGGCAAGGTCCATGCACAGCACCACTGACACTGTTGCTGAGAGCTGGTTAGAGTACCAGGCATGGCCCCATCTCACTAAAATACACCCTGGCTCTGACTTCTGTGCACAGTAATGCTTCAGAAGCACG
Source organism: Homo sapiens (assembly GCF_000001405.40). Lineage (NCBI taxonomy): Eukaryota > Metazoa > Chordata > Mammalia > Primates > Hominidae > Homo > Homo sapiens. The sequence goes on from NC_000012.12 coordinate 120,130,194, forward strand.
CCATATCACACGGGCCACAGGAGCCCTGCTGGCACATTCCTTGGCTTTCCTAACTAGGGCCTGGCACATAGCACAGTAACCACACCAAGAAGTGCTGGGCCAACTAGAAGAGGAAGGAGGGAAAAGAGAGGTATTAAGATGGGAACCCAGGTCTGTATCTAATTTTACAAAACTACGGTGCCTAGAAAGAATGCCTAAAATAGCGATTCCTAACTTGATTCAGAGTCACGGGTCAATTTGAGAATCTGACAAAAAGTTAGGCTTTATTGCAGTGTAAAGCACACACAGAAACCCCCTACATTCCATCCCTAAGTGTTCAGCGATCTCCTGGAGGCCGTCCACGGAGAACTAGCACACAACTAGTTGAGGGCGCACTGCTGGTGGTCTCTGATCCTAGGACCTCCTCACAAGCCAGGTGTTAGGGCTTAAACACATGCTTGGCCCCCACTCACCTTAACGAACAGGCTGGAAAGTTTGGCCGGCAACTGCCCTCCGCCTGTCTCGATGTGGTGTCTCATGAGAAAGCCCATGCCCCGGACCCCGCTCACCGCAATGGGGATCTGTGGAGAACAGACAGCGCTAGACGGGAGGCCCCCCACCCCTTCCCCAGAGCCAGGAAAACCCCAGTTCCTAGTAATCTCCAGGACCCTCCACTACATCACCACCACATCACCCCTTACACCATGACAGCTCTCAGGCAGGCTGCCCCGGCTGAGGCAGATGAGTACAGTCACTGGTTCCCAGGAACAGGGATCCAAGACCTGACCCAGAAGGGGCATCTAGATTCTTCAACCCAAATTCCTTGTTTAGATGATGAAACTGGGGCCCAAAGGGATCAAGTGCTGGTCCAAGGGCACAGCAAGTTACTGACAAAGGTAAAATTAGACCCAAGCTTCTTAAGCCCCAGTCTGGGGTCCACCCGCGCTGTGTCCACAAGGTGCTGCCTATGGGATGTGGCCTATGCCTATGGGATATGGCCCGAATGCCTTACCCTGTCCGCCGTGGCACTGCTCAGGATCATTTCCTGAACATCACTGCTATATCTGCCGGCACAAAGTCTGCCAGGAGCCACATTCACAGCCACGGAAAGTGCCAGGCTCCGCCCGTGCCGAACCATCCAGTCAATGCCGGACACGTCCGCTGGGTGGAAGGACACGACTGGGATCAACCGGTATTTTACAGCATGTCCCCAGCACCCATGAGGCCCATGGGCCCACCCCGCTGGAGACCAGTGTGCTGACCCAGAGCACAAGGAAAACTCCAGGCCACATTCACATGGACCTCCCTGCTATCTTGGCAGAAGCTCCCCAAAGTGGCACATTAAGGAAAGTAAGGAAAGCCTGCTCATGAACCACTCCGGGCTTACAGCTGTGTTCTTTGAGCAGAGACACTCAGGGCTACGGGACCACTGCAAATTCAGTATTGTTTGTTTGTTTTAGAGACAGGGCCTCGCTCTGTCGCCCAGGCTAGAGTGCAGGGGCGTGATCAAGGCTCACTGCAACCTTCAACTCTTGGGCTCAACTGATCCTCCCACCTCAGCCTCCTGAGTAGCTGGGACTACAGGTGAGTGCCACCACCCCTGGCCTGGATTTTGCTTTAACTGCTGGATTCCCAAGGAAAGGACAGTCCAGTTGCTAAAAGATCCTCTGAGGGAGGGAGGGAGATGCCCGTCGACTCTTCGCTAGGGCTGAGAGGCCCAGGTCCCTGAAGGGGAACTCTCCAGTGTACTTACCCAGCAAGCACTGCTGTAGAACGGCACTAAGCTCCTCTTCAGTCAAAAAGGCACACAGTTCCCCTAGGCACCCGGCTGAGGAGATGCGAGTGTTGTCCTGACAGGGAAGAGAAGGGAGTGAGGGGGTGCAGGGAACAACACCAGCTGTGTGGGAACCAAGGCAGGCAGCTCTAGAGCCCAGGATGGACAGCAACAAAGAAGGTGGAAAAGCCAACTCAGAGACTCAAGATCCAGTCCTTCCTGTAGGCACTCGTGCTCCCCTGCCAGATTGGGCTGCCACTGGTATGGAGTTAAACATTACACAGCCAGCACTTCACTTAATTATAGAAAACCCCAGTGTGTATGCATATGGTAATCATCCTTGTAATAGCAGTAATAACTGTATTTACATAGCATCTTTCTTCTTAGGAAGGCTGAATGTTTCATATTTATTATCTCAATTACTATCAACAGCCCTGTGAGGCAGGGAGGGGCGGGAGGGGCAGGAGGGGAGGCACCTGCCCCCAGCCACCAGGGAAGCCGGCTAGAGACGGCCACTCTGAGCTCCTTTCTCCCACAGAGTTTGTGTCATCTTGTGGCCAGAATGACTCCTGCTATCTCCCTACTGCATGAGTGCCCCACTGCCACCGAAATTACTTGGGTTCATCCTAGGAAGTCAAACTAAAGCCACTAATCAAGCCAAGGAAGATAAGGAAAGGCAAGCACTTCCTGTTCAAATCAGAGCCAGGTACGCGAGCGGCTCCGTGCTCCTCCCTGGCCAGCTAACTATGGAATACCAAGAGAGGATTTTAAGTTATGTTCCTTATTACAGGTGCCAACTCAACATGTCCCCAAAACAAACCACCAACCAGGGACTCAATAACCCAAAAAGCTAATGCCAGGCTGGCACCCTGAACTGCCACCTTCAATCTGAGTGGAGGTTCAGAGGGTAAGAGAATGGACTGCCAGCAGTTTGGGCCTCTGAGCTCGAAGCAGAAGCCCAGGTGCCAAGCTAAAGCTGGCTCTGACACCGACTCTCTCCAACTTCATCTATTTTAAGCTGCACTGTGGTAAAATGCAAATATGTTTCAATACTAACTTTTGCTTGCACTGTACACATGACTCTGTAGAAGCCCTGAAAGACTGTGACCAAGACAGCAGACTTTCCTGTCTGTCCCCACAGAGAAGGCTGGGGCTGGAGTCCGACAGCTGGCGCCTGGGGACCAGAACTAGGCCTTTGGAGCCATGGGAAGTGCAGCAGCAAGTGTGTGTGTTGCAGGTGTGGGCAGGAGGAGTGTGTGTGGGTGTGTGTGTGTGTCAATGACGTGTAAAACCATGTGAGCCCAAAGGCCCTCTCCTCCTAGATTGGCCCTACAAAGTAAATTAGACCACAACAGAGGGCTGTCTGAAAAGGGAACAGAAAACTCTTCTCCATAGACTCAACTCCCTACTGGCCCCACAGTGCTCGCAGCCAAATATTTGACAGATGCTTCCAGACTAGGTGAGGCTGATGGAACTGGGACAGAACCAGGAGTCCAGGGCTTCTGGTTTGGACTCTACTACTTGCTGGGTATGGCCCAGACAAGTCTCACCCTCGAAAATAGACCTCTAAGACTTGCCACCGGGACACACCCTGGAGACCATTTATCCCACTACACACTAAGTTTCTTGAGGTCTGTGACCACGAGGTCTATGCACCTCTGGGATAGGCCCTTTAGCTCGGCAAATGTTTCACAAAACAATAAATAAACCTCTTCATTTTACAAAAGTGGAAATGAGAGGCAGACAGAGAAAGTGACTTCTTTAAGATCAGAGAGCAAATAGGTGAGAGGTCTGGGTCTCTACAAAGCTTACTTGCCTCATCTATAAAATAGAAATAACCGGCCGGGCGCGGTGGCTCATGCCTGTTAATCCCAGCACTTTCGGAGCCCGAGGCGGGTGGATCACCTGAGGTCAGGAGTTTGAGACCAGACTGACCAACATGGTGAAACCCTATCTCTACTAAAAGTACAAGTATTAGCTGGGTATGGTGGCGGACACCTGTAATCCCAGCTACTCGGGAGACCGAGGCAGGAGAATCGCTTGATAGGAGGCGGAGGCTGCAGTGAGCCGAGATTGTGCCACTTCACTCCGGCCTGGGTGACACAGCAAGACTCAGCCAAAAAACAAACAAACAAACGGAAATAACCAATATATCCACAATACCTGCCCCGTTTCCCTTGAAACCCGAGGAAATGTTGGTGAAGCATACAGGGTGATAGAAATGTCAGGAATGCTTATTACTACTGAGCTGTACTGGTTCTAACACAAAGTGAAGAACTCAACCTAAGGAGGAGGAGGGAAACCAGTGGTCCAGTGCTGCCACTAGTCCTGCCTGCAGCCGTACCTCATCGTGTCCCAGCATGCTCAGCAGGAGTGAGACGATGTTTTTCCGGATGACGGCATCCACTTTGGCCCCTGCTCCCTGAATCACAAACCTCAGGGCCTGCAGCATGGTGTCCCTGCAGAAGCAATGCACCGCCTTAAGCCCTGGGTGCCTCCACCACCACCCCTCCTGCCAGCGCAGGCTCGGCCCACAGCAACCCCTGGCCTCCTGGAGGCCACAGTGCTCCCTTGCCAGCGCCGTACCTGACACCTGGGTCCTCCATGGCGCGGATGCCATTGAGCAGCTCTGTGAAGAGGGGGTCCACCTTAATGTGGATGGAAATGAGCTTCCCCAGAGCATCTGCGGCCTTCAGGCGCACCCCCCGGTTGGAGTCCTGCAGGGCTTTGGTGAAAGTGGTCTGCAGCTGGGGCAGGAAGGGCTTCAGGGCAATCCCAACCTGTGGGAGGAACCCACATCCATGAAAGACAGTTGTGGTAGACCCAAAGCCACAGTGTACCACAGGCATGAGAACAAATGACAATCCCAAACCACCACAGCGAGTCCAGCTCTCATACAGGGCTGGGGACAGATAGCCCGTCAGAGAGGCCAAACACAGACAGGTTTCGCTTGGCCTCCTGGTCATATCCAGCATGCTTTGATACACTGGAGGAGCAGGAGGCCGAGGAGGCGGCGGCCGCTATCTGAGGGAGCTGTCTCGCAGCCTTGGCTGCGTTGGGGTTTGGCTTAGTGGAGACCTGTCCATATCGATAAGTGACTCAAATCCTCCTCTGAATACATTAACAAGCAGGGCAGACTATCGGCAGTACTGAAGCACAGTTCTAATGCCAAGACAGGGAAAGGGACTCAGTGTATAATTGCAGAGCCCATCTACTGAGCAACTGACAGCAGGATACGCACTCCACATTCAGCCCTCAGAACAAGCCTGTGAAACAAATGACCTTGGAGAATCCTCCCTGCACAAATGTGTACCCACCTAACTAAAAATCCAGTTCAACCCCTGACTATACAGAAACACAGGCACACTTTTGATACAATACAGGTGGGTCCAAGAGTAAAGATTTACTTACTGTTTTTTGTTTTGTTTTTTTTTTGAGACGGAGTTTCGCTCTTGTTGCCCAGGCTGGAGTGCAAGGCGCGATCTCAGCTCACTGCAACCTCCGCCTCCCGGGTTTAAGCAATTCTCCTGCCTCAGCCTCCTGAGTAGCTGGGATTACAGGCACCCGCCACAATGCCCGGCTAATTTTGTATTTTCAGTAGAGACAGGGTTTCTCCATGTTGGTCAGGCTGGTCTCGAACTCCCGACCTCAGGTAATCTGCCCACCTCGGCCTCCCAAAGTGCTGGGATTACAGGCTTGAGCCACCACGCCCGGCTTACTTATTGTTAATTAGGAAAACCAGAGTGACTGTTTGGAGGTTCAGTGCCAATGAAGGTCTGGAAATACTGGAGTTGGGTGGGTGTGCAGGCTGTGGCAGGCACACAAAGGGGATAGGGGGAGCTGGTAAATCTGAGCTGTGCGAGGTCAGGAGTTCGAGACCAGCCTGGTGAAACCCTGTCTCTACTAAAAATACAAAAAAATTAGCCAGGTGTAGTGGCAGACACCTGTAATCCCAGCTACTTGGGAGGCTGAGGCAGAAGAATTGCTTGAACCCAGGAGGCGGAGGTTGCAGTGAGCCGAGATCGCGCCACTGCACTCCAGCTCTGGGTGACAGAGTTAGACTCTGTCTCAAAAACAAAACAAAACAAAACAAAAAACAAAAAAAAACAAAAACTGCAATATCTTTAAACAATGTTTTCCTTGTATTTACGTGGTCCTGAATTTTTTCCTTTGAAAAAGTAGTTTTTCAAAATAATAGCATTTCACATGTACTGAGTGCTTAGTATGTAGCAGGCATCATGCTGGACATAACCTCATCTAATCCCCATATCTAGCAGCCCTTCATGAGGCAGCTGGTATTATTAGTCTCACATTGTAGGTGAGGAAACAGGCTTAGGTTATATGGCTTTCCCAAGGTCATCCTGGTCACAGAGCTAGTAAGGACGACTTGGAATTGACCCATGGTGTAGCATGTCTGAAGTCCAAGGTCTTACCTCCCTCTGCTATGCGGCTCTCCACAATAAATCTGTTGCCCTGCTGCTACATGACACCTTGTATCAGGCTCCTGCAGACAGACCTGTTCTCTAAGATCTGAACAAACTCATCAGCCACTCACCTTAGCCAACAAGAGGCTGAGTGTCTCGAGCAGAGCCGCCTTCACATTCCAGCTGAACCTGTCCCCCAGGATGCGGATCAGAGGGCCAGTGATGCTGACCACGGAGGGCCTCAGGGCGTCAGCCGAGGTCAGGCGGATTACCAAGCCTAAGGCTTTGGCTGCCTCCTCCTTCTGCTCAGGGCTGCCAGTCAGGACTCCTTCCCGCAACACTGGAAGGATGGAGGTCACTCCCTGACAAGAGAACCACAACTGAGAGTCAAATCTCAAACACCCTGGGCCCTGGTGTCTCCCATGCAAGCAAAGTGGTCCTGACAGCTGTCCTCCCCTCAACTCCATGGGAGATATTGATTTGGGCTGAATCTCAGGATCACAGCCTGAGAGGGCTGGCTATGGAACGGTCTTGGCAGAGAAAAGACGACAAGGGCCCCAACAGGCCTATCACACAGAGAGAACATGCACTGCTGTTACCCTGTGGCCCACTCACTCTGGCCAAGGTGACCTGCAGAGCTTAAACCAAAGGCAGCATGAACCCTGTCCCCATCTGACTGCCATGGAAGAAAACATGCTGTCTGCGAAGGTGCTGAACACCAACCACCACGGCTACTGCTCCAGCAGCCCCTACCGCAGACCTGGGACAGGGGTAAGGGCCAGAAGGGCACAACAGACTGCACGCCCACAGCCCCCTGCACGAGGCCCTGGCTTACCTTCTTCGGGAGGCAGAATCCTGGCACATGCTCGCCTTTGCTCTCGTTCCCTATGAGCCGGATTTCCTTGTGCAGCTCTTCAATGAGTGCCAACTGGTTGCCAGCATCCAGCTTCTGCAGGAATCCAGGAAAAAGCGAGAGGATGTACAGCCCTCTCAAGACTGCTTCCAAAGAATATATGGGGAAAGCGTGGGCGGGAGTATAAACAAGACTTGCCACGAGTGGGTAAACGCCGAAGCTGAGTGACAGGTACGTGGGGGATTCTTATAAGTCTATTCCTGTAAATGTCTGGAATTTTCTAAAAGCAAAAGTTGGCTGTGGGGTCAGCAGTCCCCTCACCTTAGTGATGGCATTTAGGGCATCCCAGCTCTCCTCCAGAACCACAGGGCTGGAGTCATTGAAGAGGCGGATCAGGCCCGAGACCAGGCTCCGCAGGTGGCTGGTGTAGTCAGCCTTTGAGCGGGAACAGTAGATGTTGAGGATGATGGCAGCAGCTTGCCTCATGCCCACCTCAGGGCTGCGGGTGGCCTCCAGCAGATCCTCGATGATGATCCGGTGCCCTGTGTCATCCTCTACGGAGAGGATCACAGCCTGACAATTGGCCATCTCCTGCAAACCACAAGGGACATGTGTGCTGAGCAGGGATCCTCCGGGCAGACGGGACATGAGAAAGCAGGAGCAGGCTCGCCCCTTACCAGCTGCTCATCTGGGGTCCCAAGCTTTTCCTTCAGGGCCAGCATGACCGCTGGGAGGATCACGCCAAGATGACGGGTGAGGGCATCACCAGCCACTGACGAAAGGAAAGCCAGCACCCGGGTGTTGACAGGTGGCGTTGTCAGCTGGTGGAATGACAAACATTAACTCAGTGAATACTGTGCCAGGTGCTGCGCTAGGCTCTGGGAACAGACGGGTGGGCAAGAGAGCCCAAGCCCACTGCTCAGAGCCAAGCATCTACTCCAGCATATCTTGGAAGACAACAGGGGAAGGATGTAATGCTTGCACTGCACCCTCCTCCCCCAGCCCTCCAACATCTACGTTCAGAACTGGTCTTCACTGCAGGCCCTGGAAATGTCAATGCCCTGGAGCCAGAGGGTGTTGACCACATGTTGGGATTTACCTTGGGCACAAGGTAGGGCAGCACCACACGACTCTTAATAGCCATGACTTGCTTCAGACCATCCAAGGCAAACTCTGACACCTCCTCGTCATCCTGCAGAGGGTGTTGGGGACAACCCTGAGGAATCTGCATCTCTGCTGTCTCAACCAGCCACCGCCAACTTCCTTCTCCACTTGTTTCCCTCCCTCCTGTTGCACCCACATTTCCTCACTGCCGAAGGCGAAGCACAAAGCCAAGTCTGATCTTGCTATACCCACTCCCTCTGGAGGGCCCACATTGCGACTGCCTTGGCAGAATAATCGCCCTGTATTTTCCATCTACAAAGACGGCAAAAGCCAAACTGGTAGGTAGGTGTGTGGTAGATCCACTCACCAGCTGCTTTAGTAAAAATGGGAGAATGTCCTCCAGAGCCTGGTGGCCGATGGTGGAATGCAGCTGCTCGAAAGTCTTGGCTGCCGCCTCTCTGACCTCCTCCAGTGGGTCACACAAAGCCTTCCTTGCCGTGGGCACGAGGGATTCAGAGAAATACAGCACCTGCAATGGCAAGCTACAACTGTACCAGATGCAGGAAAGGCAAAGAAGGAGCAGAAGCAGACAAGAAGCACAGGCAGGGGACTCTGACCCAGCTAGGCCACCCTAACTCTCTTTGCCTGACTTGTCTTTTAACTTAACTCTTTACTGTGAAATAAAAAAAAGGAGAGAAGGGGCCGGGCACGGTGGCTCACACCTGTAATCCCAGCACTTTGGGAGGCCAAGGTGGGCGGATGACTTGAGGCCAGGAGTTCGAGACCAGCCTGGTCAACATGGCAAAACCCTATCTCTACTAAAAATACAAAAATTAGCTGGGTGTGGTGGTGCACACCTGTAATCCCAGCTACACAGGAGGCTGAGGCACAAGAATCGCTTGAACCCAGGAAGCAGAGGCTGTAGCCAAAAGAGATGGTGCCCCTGTACTCCTGCCTGGGCAGCAGAGTGAGATTGTCTTAAACTAAAAATTTTAAAAAAATTAAAAAGTAGAGAGGGGCCGCGCACAGTGGCTCACGCCTGTAATCCCAACACTTTGGGAGGTGGAGGCAAGAGAATCACTTGAGGCCAGGAGTTTGAGACCAGCCTGGGCAACATAGTGAGACCTCACCTCTACTAAAAATGCAAAAATTAGCTACGTGTGGTGGTGCACACCTATAGTCCCCAGCTACTCAGGAGGCCATAGCGAGAGGATCACTTGAGCCCAGAAGGTCAAGGTTACAATGAGCTATGATCGCACCACTGCACTCCAGCCTGGGTGACAGAGTAAGACCCCGTCTCAATAAAAAAAAAAAGCAGAGAGGATGTGATGCACCCCCATGTATCCTTCACTGAGACTTAATAATCAACAGCTTGAATCTTTTAGGTGAATTCTCAATATACCTCCCATCTTCTCTAAGAACTGCAAACTCCTTCCCATGGCATCTGGCCCCCTCTCTCCCTGGACTCTTTCTTTTGCTTATTCTCTTGGAAAACTCCAAGTCCTTCTTCAAGTCTCAATCCAGACTTTGTGCTCTATGAAGTCTTTGGGTCTACAATGGAGCCAATAATGGCTCTGCTCCCTCAGTAACGATCCCAGCACAGCAAAGCCCACTCTGCATTCTAATGACTGGTTGGCATGTGGGCCTTGCCATTGGACTGTGGGGACTTTGCAGACAAGAACTCAGCCTCTGTGGAACTCTACCTCTCCAATGAATCACAACTCTTTCTGATGACAGAATTTCTTTTGATTCCTTGCCAAATGTAAATTTTAAAAACCAAACGTAAGACAAACATCAATATAGGAGAAGAGGGATCTGGTATCCTAGGAATTCAGACAAGGATGCCCAAGCCAAGCAACTGGCCACTTGCTTACATTTCTAGCGGGCCATCCACTTAATTGCTTTGGCGTTTTCATCCAAACACGAAGGCAGTGCCTAAAAGCACTCCTAACCTACTCCCCAGGGTGGTCTCCAGGATCATTTAACTCAGGAACCAAGTAAGAGTAATGGACTTCACACCCCTTGAACGTTGCTGCTATGGAAACAGTATTGTTGCCAGACGCAATATGCTTCCTCCCACCTGGCACCACAACTCTTACCTGCTCCCCTCCTGCTAAGGGTGAGTGCACACCCCCTCCCGCACCCTCCTGCCCTACCCACTCACACAGCTGTCCATCCCCTTTCCCAGAAGGAGGTGCACACATTTTAACTGGACTTATATAGCATCACAAAAGAGACTGATCCTGAGCAACCTCCACAGTTGTAAGAGAGCGATCATCTCCAGTTTCCAAAGGCCACTCAAGGAGGCATCCAAATCACTTAGCTCTTAGCCTGCAAAACTGACAGGAAAGCTGAGAAGACGGAGCCTCAAGTCCATGTGGCCCAGCCAGCACCTCCCCAGAGTGAGACTGGCTCATCCCTGAGGGCAGCACAAACCCCCTAGAGGTGAACCTCCTTCAGTAGCCCTCCCCCGCCCTCTGAGTCAGGTCGTCTGCAGTGCACAGCTGGCGGGATCCTTGGAAGATACTCACGGCATCCCGGCTGGTGGACTTCATGATCTCACTTAGGCCAATGCACACACCCTGCCTCTCATCGCTCTTCTGAGACCTCAGGCCTTCCTCAAGGATGGGGATGATCTCGGGGAGGATTTTCTCCCCTAACTTCCGCACAAGATCTCCCAATGTTCTCGCTGCAATCTGTCAACAGAGACCAATCCAGGAAGTAAAGTCCCTGCAAAGCCCAGGGCACCCAGAGGAGGACTCCAGAATGAGGGCCCTGAAACCTCCCAGGCTTTATCTGAATCACTGACTTAACTTCCCCAAATGCTCTTACCCCTAAAGAGCCCCCAAATACTCTCTGTAGTGCTTGCAAAACACTACCAAAAAATTATCTGTTTCACACACACCTACACAACCTAACATTAAGAGCCAGCAGCACCTTACACATGTACAAAAAATTCATCATCTGCTGCACAGTCAAGGGCCAATTTCCCTGGATGACTGAAGCCTTAACACTGTGCTATGGCTGAGCAGGAGCCGAATCTGGAACAAAGCTTTAAGGAAAAAAAAACATCTACTTTCTGAGACCTCATGCAAACCCTTCTTTAGAGCCAAATACACAATTTGCTTGCCAAGGATGGGGGGTTGGAAGTAGACCAAAGGAGATGGGCAGAAATGATCACCAGCCCATCTGGGCACCTCCTCCAGGCCCACTGATCTGTCTGCCCCTGCCAGCGCGCCAGCCTGATCTCATGCCGCACTGCTCCTCCCTGCCTCCTCACTCCAGCCACACTGGCCTTGCTCAGCCCCTACTGGTGCTATGTTCCTGCCCACCACGGGACCTCTGCATATCCTGTCTTTGTATCTGAAACATTATTTATTCCCTCTGTCTGGAATGGTCTTTCGCCACCTCCTCACCTGGTTAGTGCTTACTTATCTTTCATCTTCCAGCATCATTTCTTCTGAGAAGTGTTCACTAACACAGGCCCATCCCTCCCCAGCAGGTCAAATGCAGCTATTATAAGCATTTGCAGTGCCATGCAGCACTGGCCACAGTCGCATTTTACATCTCTTTGTGTGGTTATTTGATTAATATCCATCTCCTCGACTAGACTACCTCTCATGAGGATAAGGAATGAAGCTGCCTTTCTTCTCCATTGTGTCCCCAGGTGCTAGGCCCCTGCTTAGTGCACAGGAGATGCTAATAAATATTTGCAGAGGCCAGGCGTGGTGGCTCAAGCCTGTAATCCCAGCACTTTGGGAGGCCGAGACGGGCGCATCACGAGGTCAGGAGATCGAGACCGTCCTGGCTAACGTGCTGAAACCCCGTCTCTACTAAAAATATAAAAAAATGGCCAGGTGTGGTGGTGGATGCCTGTAGTCCCAGCTACTCGGGAGGCTGAGGCAGGAGAATGGCATGAACCTAGGAGGCGGAGCTTGCAGTGAGCTGAGATCACGCCACTGCACTTCAGCCTGGGCGACAGAGCAAGACTCCACCTCAAAAAAATAAATAAAATAAAATTAATCAAAAAATATTTGCAGAATGACTAAGTAAAGAACACAATGTCCCTCTGTTAGGCAGGGTGGATGGGTACTTTCCCAGGCTCTGCAGACCCAGCCTTCTAGGCTCTGAAAGGAGGCACTGGGGCTGCTGGTCCAAAACAAGGCCCAGGAAACTCACCGTTCTCTTATCTGCACACGTGCTGGCCAGGAAACCCAGCAGGAGCCCAAAGAGAGTGGGTAGGATCTCACGCAAGGTGCGGGGGGTATTGGAGACAACAATCTTCCAGACATGCAGGGACGCCTGCCGCACCACCAGCTGGGTGTCTGAGCGGCCCATGTACAGCCCTGCCAACACCCGGTTCCGCCGCTCTACCCCCAGGGCAGTGATGATCGCCTGCAGCCAGTAGAAGGGGACAGAGAGTAGTGAAGCCTCTATGGCATGGGCATCAGGGCACACCCTACCATCAGCAGGGGCAGGAAAGCCACTGCAGGCACCTTGTTGGACTGGGCAGTTCCAAAGTTATCATCCTCAGAGGCAGTTTCTGTGGTCATCTTCCCAGTGACTCCTGAGATGTGAAACAGGAGATCCCCAAGGAGCTGAACAGAGCTGAACCTGAGAAGGAGGCCAACAACACAGTCACACAGCTGCAAGGAGTGGGCTCGGCACAACTGAGCACTGCACAGAAGATGGAAAGAAGTGCACCCAAAATACTCATGACGGTCATCTTGGAATGGGAAGAGTCAGGTGGTTTACATTTCTTTACACTCGCCCACATATTTTCCAAGTTTTCTACTAATGAACATACATTAATGTTGAGGGAAAAAAACTTTTTAAAAACATGTAAAAATTTCTATAACAAAAGTTATAAAAAATAAAGTGAGTACAAAAGGGGAAGCATTAACAGGCAAGTAGGAAGACTGATCATCAGAAGTGGAGGAACCAGGAGAGGCCTTAAAGGATAAACTATTTCAGGCCAGGTGTGGTGGCTCACGCCTGTAATCTCAGCACTTTGGGAGGCCAAGGCAGGCGGATCACCTGAGGTCGGGGGTTCGAGACCAGCCTGACCAACATGGAGAAACCACGCCTCTACTAAAAATACAAAATTAGCCAGGCGTGCTGGCAGGTGCCTGTAATCCCAGCTACTCGGAAGGCTGAGGCAGGAGAATTGCTTGAACCCGGGAGGCAGAGGTTGCGGTGAGCCGAGATCATGCCACTGCACTCCAGCCTGGGTGACAGAGCGAGACTCCGTCTCAAAAAGGAAAAAAAAAAAAAAAAGACCACTGTATGAATGTGCTATATTTTTAAATCAACCTCCAATTTTTCAAATGGTAAGCAATACTGCAACAAACATCCTTATGTCTAACAGCTTTAAGCACTTGACCATTCCCTACATCCTTGAAATATATTCCCATAAGTAAAATTTTTAGATTAAAGAGTACTTGACACTTAAAATCTGAATACAAATTGGAAGCCTGTATAGAGAGGACTTTTTAAAAAAGAATCAGAATAAAGACATTGCTACAGGAAACTGGAAAAGTTACAAAATGGTTAAAAGCAAGGGTCTGGAAAAAGTTGAGAGAGTTCTTGGCAACATTCTGCTCTTCATTTCTCAACTGGAGTTATCAAAATGCAAAGTTCAACCCTTTGGATCTTTTTTTTTCTCCTAAGACAGCGTCTTGCTCTGTTGCCCAGGTTGGAGTGCAGTGGCACAATCTCGGCTCACTGCAACCTCTACCTCTGGGGCTCAAGTGATCCTTCCGCCTCAGCCTCCTGTGTAGCTGGGATTACAGGTGTGCACCACCATTCCCAGCTAATTTTTTATTTTTTATAGAGACAGGGTCTCACTATGTTGCCAGGGCTCATCGTAAACTCCTGGGTTTAAGCAATCCTCCTGCCTCGGCTTTCCAGAGTGCTCGGATTATAGGCATGAGCCACCACGCATCATCCCCACTGGGTCTTTCTGCCCAAGTTCTCACCTGATTCTCCAAAGGTCATCAAAGAGGCCTTGCTCTAGCTGGGGCAGCAGCAGGGCGATGGCTGTCTCAGCGTACATGGAGATAACCCGCTGGCCCGCGCGCAGGGCGGTGTCACGCACAAACTCATTCTCATCAGCAAGAGCCTGGGCACACAGAGGGTGGGTCAGCCAGAGCTGCCACCCCCAGGCCCCCAGCCCAAAAAACATGGGGCTCACTGAAGGCTGAGGGCTCTGCCAACCAACCCCAGCCAGCAGGGATCTCTAGCTCTCCAGGTGAGCACTTGCCTCCTGCCCTCCTCAAGGACTCTACCCTTGCCAAGGTCATGGTACCTACTTTGAGGATACAGGGGATGATGGGCCCCACATAAGGAGTAAACTTGTCTCCAAAGGTGATGGGCAGGTAGTTAAACATCATAATGTAGCCATCTCGGACATGGGGTGCAATGTCCACTTTGCTGGCTGTAGCCACGATTTCTGGCATCAACTTCTCCAACTTCTCCACCCCCAAACCGGCCATGACCTCAGCCAACCCTGCAACAAAGGACAGAATGAGTCCACTGGATCTGAGGGCCCCTTAGAGCATTCCCAGGCTGGCCACTGGACCTGCTCTGGCCTTACCCTGTGCAGCGCCTGAGCGATCCACAGAGCTCTGCTCATAGGTCAGTGTCTCCATCAGCCACGGCAGCAAGTCCTCAAAGCACGACTCCCCCATGCCCTTCACCATGGCCCCAAGGGCCTTTGCAGATACGGTCCGCACCTGTCAGGTAACCGAGAGCAGAGATGGTGTGAGAAGATGAGGCTCAAAACAAGGTAGCCACATGGGAGCAGGAAGGGGCACCGAGGGCCTCTTTCTCTTTACCCAACAGACACAAAAGCAGCTTTGGGGAATTCTCAGGAATCCATTTATGGGGACTGGATGAGGGGCCTGGCCCATCCCCCAGCCTACCTCAGACTCACCTCAGGCACAGGGTCCAAAAGCGATGCTTTCAGGCCAGGCGTCACGCTGGGCAGGTACGGAGCCAAGTCCTGCAACAACACAGGAGGCGGCTCAGGTGAGGCCCGACTCCTGCTTTCTCCAGGCCTGTTCCACTGTGGACCCTGACCTCCCCATTCTGCTGGCAAGGAGTGCTTGGCAGGGGCACCTAGCATGCAAACCTCACTGCCCACGGAACAGGGAGGGCAAGTAAGTCCCCTCTCCGACTGGTTCCTTCAAGGCCCTCTGCAATTGCTCAGGGACTCCTACAAGGGACCCCAGGCCCATCCTCAACAAACAGGAGTTCAATGCTCTTGCACCTCCCACCCTTCTCTTAGGACCAAGGCCTGTCCAGACTCTGGAATCTTTAGCAAATTACTTCTGGTAATTTCCTTTCAGAATTTTATTAACATCTTCCCTTTCTTCATCTCAAAATGTTTATGTCTTTTGATAGAGCATTCAGCTTTAGGGAATAATTTTAAATACAGAAAATGCCTTATGTTCACTGCAGCATCACTTAAAATAGCCAAAAACCTTGGACACTATATGACCAATGATAGAATTATATAAGTTATGGTATATAAACTTGTTGAGATATTATGTAACTATTAAAAATCAGTTTTGTGAATAACTTGTTATAACTTGGGAATAAGTTTTAAGTTTAGGAATGCCATTTTTAAATGTAATTTTAAAAATTAACAGTAATTGGCCGGGCACGGTGGTTCACGCCTATAATTCCAGCACTTTGGGAAGTCGAGGCGGGTGGATCACCTGAGGTCAGGAGTTCGAGACCAGCCTGGCCAACATGGTTTCACCCTGTCTCTACTAAAAATACAAAAATTAGCCAGGCATGGTGGTGGGCGGCTGTAATCCCAGCTACTCGGGAGGCTGAGGCAGGAGAATCGCTTGAACCCAGGCGGCAGAGGTTGCAGTGAGCCGAGACTGATTCAGTGCACTCCAGCCTGGCAACAGAGCAAGACTCCATCTCAAAAAAAAAAAAAAAAAAATTAACAGTAATTATTTTCGTGGTGGGGAACTGTAGATAAAATATTTTGGTTTTCTAATTTTTTTAATTAATTAATTTACTTTTTAAGACAGGGTCTTGCTCTGTCACCCCAGGCTGGAGTGCGGTGGTATTATCACGGCGGTATTATCACGGCTCACTGTATCCTCAACCTCCTGGGCTCAAGCTATCCTCCCATTTCAGCATCCCAAAGTCCTGGGATTACAAGCATTAGCCACCAAGCCTGGTCTGTTTTTCTGGTTTTTTAATTTCCCAAATTTTCTAGGATTAATATAACTTTTATATATTTTTTTTGCCCATAGCCTCAGTAAGCAAAGCAGAGCTATGGCAGACAGTGAGACCACACATGTGAGCTCCTAAGGCAGACAGTGAGATCACACATGCAAGCTCTTGGGAGCAAACAAACAAACAAACAAAATCTCCCAAACCAGGCTCTCCTGACAACAATACAGGAGTATTCTTGTCAAGAGCAAGTAGTCAAAGTGGCAAGCACTTCAACACTCTTGAGAGGTCAAAAGAGAAGACAGGCCTTTCTGGGCCTCAGCTGAGAACTAAGAAGGACTTGAACCACTGCGCTAAGATGCCCAGAGAGCCCGGATTTCCACCACAAAATGGCTCATTTCTCCCCATAAAAATAATTAGGGACTAACGTCCATAACTTTCCATGTCTAATGTGGGGACTCTGCACCTCTGACTCTGCACTCAAACATCTTCTGGTCTATCCCACACTAGCCTCAGCTGGGCCGCTACCTTCTGGTCTGTCAGGGAGTACATGTTGCCAATAATCTGGGCTGCCATCTTCCGCGTGTCCGTGGAACGGTCCTGGAAGGCTCTCTGGACAATGGGCATGATGAGGGCCAGGGATGGGGCATCAATGAAGTGGACAAACTTGGTGTCCAGCAGGGTCTGCAAGCACTTCTGGGTCTTCCTGGAGGGATCCGTCAGGGCATCCAGGAGGACTGGAGCAATGGCTGCACATCCAAAGAGAAGAGAGCTGGATGATATACATCTATGCAGCTGCAAGGCCCCTGGGCCCCCAGAACTAGAATGGATCAGAAGAGAAGGGAGTCTGGCACACCTCCTCCCTGAAACCCCACAAGTCACCAGCTGGGGAAGACAGGAAACCCACAAAGAGCAATCCTTGTTTCACTCCAACTCCTGACCTCAGGTGATCCGCCCGCCTCAGCCTCCCAAAGCGCTGGATTACAGGCATGAGCCACAGAAATAAAATTTTTGAAAAGCATGTATCCTTAGTAAATTTCTGGTTTGCCTATCGGTAATGGAGAAGTGTGTTGAAATCTCCCACTATGATATAATGTATTTGTTAACTTTTCCCTATAGCTTTATAAATTTTGTTTTATGTATTTTGAGGTTATTCCACTTTCCAGACTGAAGTACTGACTGGGCACTGGCAGCTGAAGCTTAGAATTTAACAAGTGACATGCTGGTCAAGGTGGCTGGCTGGGTTTTGTTCCTAGCGATCGACCTCTTCCCAGTACTTGAGAAAGAACCACATCCAGAGTAGTCAGGTTAATCCTAACCCTTCCTTAACCCTCCCCTCTATCAAAGGCCTCCTGGAATGAGATGGAATAGCAAGTTTTCACAGGTCCTAACATTTTGAATGGTGCTGATGTGGTCCAGATAATGTCATTCAGTTCTGTTGACCTCATGCTCAGCTTAGTGCACAGGGATCTCTTGGAGTCAAACTGCTCCTGAGCCAATGACTCAGTGTCCCTATTTCACTGTGAACATATTTGTCCTCGGAGGCAAAGATCTTAGCTGAATGGGTGCAAGTTCCCTGCAGTGTCCAAAGGCTGCGGCGTTGGTGGGAGGTCAGGGCAAGCACCCTCACGGGAAAGGCCTACCCAGGATCTCCGGGTTCCTGATAACGGAGCCGATCTGCCTGAGCGCCTGCTGTCCAGCCTTCTGGACTTTGACATGGGAGTCGGTCAGCACCTCCGTAAGCTTGGGCACAATGTTGGGTAGACAGGATGACAGCTGCTTAGGAGCACAGTACGCCATTGCCCCAAGAAGCTCCACTGACCCTGTGGATAGCAGACACAAGCCCAGTACTGAATCACTGAGCAAAGGCCAGCAACTCACCTGTGCTGGCTACATGAGCAAGGGACATCTACCCTGGCCCCTGCAGACGGTGCTCAAGCAGTCACTGGGAGGAGGGGAGAGGGGGCTGGCTCTAGCAGAGGGGTCGAAAAAGCTCTTGTGGCCTGCTGAACAGTGGGATCCCAGGTGAGAGGCAGGGCAGTATGGGAGAAAGAGACCAGGATAGGTAAGACCTGGTTTAATCCTTACAGTGAGATCCAAGGCCAATTCACTGAATTTCTCTGAACTGTTTCTTCATCCACAAATGAGGAAACTGATTTAGATTTGTGTTGTTTCAAACTACAGGGTGAAGCCTGAAGGACTGAGAAGGAGGTTGAGTGGGAGGGCCTTAGATGGTGATCCTCCCCCAACTAGAGCAGCTCTACTTTTATCTGTTTGCTTATTAGGGTGCCAGACATTTTATTTATTTATTTTTGAGACAGGGTCTCACGCTGCTGCCCAGGTTGGAGTGTGGTGGCAAGATTATAGCTCGCTGCAGCCCCAAACTCCAGGGCTCAAGTGATCCTTCCACTTCAGCCTCCTGAGTAGCTGGGACTACAGGCATGCACCACCACACTTGGCCTATTTTTTTTTTTTTTGGTAGAGGTAGGGTCTTGCTATATTGCCCAGGCTGGTCTAAATTCCTGCCCTCAAGAGATTCTCCTGCCTAAGGTTATTTTCAAAAAGAGCTTTCCTGGGGGGGGAAAACTTTAAAGCCAAAGAGGAGCTTTAGAGCTTTAGGATATCCTGACTTAGGGTTGTGGCTCTTGTCAGAGACCTGTTTCTTGGCATGAAAGCACATAAACTATAGAAAGATCCAACTGCCAGAGGGAGAGCTGGCCAGGCGTGGTGACTCACACCTGCAATCCCAGTGCTTTGGGAGGCCAAGGCAGGAGGGTCACTTGAACCCAGGAATTCAAGGCCAGTCTGGGCAACATAGCGAGACTCCATCATTACAAAAAAAAATACAAAAATTAGCCAGGTGTAGTGGCATGCTCCTGTGAGAATGGTTTGAGCCCCAAAGGTAAAGACCAGCCTGGGTGATAGAGCAAGACTCCATCTCAAATTTTTAAAAAGGCAGAGTCTTAACCCTATCCCTGGTCTGGGGAGCTCACAGGACAAGAGCTGTGGCTACCCAGGATCCTTGCTGAGGCTGGTTTTCATAACAGGAAGCTGGGAAGAGAGGCAGAGCGAGTGGTCTTACCAGCTTTGGTCCGCCACGATTCCTCCTCCAGGGCAGCCAGTAAGGAGGGGAGCACCAGCTTCACCCCGTGAGCACTCAAGTTGCTCATCACAGCCTTGGCACAGTCATCTGCAGCCTCAAGGGGGGAGAAAACACATTCAGGGGCCTCCTCACCCAAGCAAGGGGCAAGGCCTGACACCAGTCCTAGCGTTCCTCCTATAACCAACGCTTACTGGGGTTCTATTATGTCAGACCCTGTGCCAAGGCCTGCAGACACAGCTGGGAACACATCTCATAAAGTTTCCATGCTGTTCTCCCGAGCAGTCCGGGGACTTACCTCACGCACATACTGGTTTCCATCCCCAAAGCACAGGAGCAGATGGGGCAGCACGTGAACCACATACGGCTCAAAAAGTTTCCCCAGCATGGTGCAGAGCATCTCGAAGGCAAAGAGGGCTCCTAGGGGAAAAGAAGGTGGGACGGCTGGGAAGAGAATGTCCCCTGGGGGTAGCCACAGAGAACAGAAGGGACAGCAACCTCCCTGCCACCTCCCACCCCTCTGGAAACACTCAGAAACAGCTGTGGAACTAGTAGATGCCCCATGAGGAGGCAGCACCCTCTGCCTCAGCTCAAGAAGCCCCAGCAAAGGAATGTGGCTGAGCGAAAGGGAGGACAGCACAGGGGAGCCACCTTCACTTCTTGGCACTAACAGTTAAAAAAGCCAAACCTTGGCCGGGCGCGGTGGCTCACACCCATAATCCCAACACTTTGGGAGGCTGAGGCAGGCAGATCACGAGGTCAGGAAATAGAGACCATCTTGGCCAACATGGTGAAACCCTGTCTCTACTAAAAATACAAAAATTAGCTGGGTATGGTGGTGGGCACCTGTAACCCCAGCTACT
The DNA here is from genome assembly GCF_000001405.40 of Homo sapiens. Taxonomy (NCBI): domain Eukaryota; kingdom Metazoa; phylum Chordata; class Mammalia; order Primates; family Hominidae; genus Homo; species Homo sapiens. Next base: position 120,150,487 of record NC_000012.12, read on the forward strand.
AGGGTGGCTGAGGTAGGAGAATTGCTTGAACCCAGGAGGTGAAGATTGCAGTGAGCCGAGATTGTGCCTGGAGACAGAGTGGGACTCCATCTCAAAAAAAAAAGAAAGAAAGAAAGAAAGAAAAGCCAAACCTCTCTCAGCTAAGGGTGTTGCTGAGTTAGAAATTTGTGGCCGGGCGCGGTGGTTCATGCCTGTAATCCCAGCACTTTGGGAGGCTGAGGCGGACAGATCACGAGGTCAGGAGATCGAGACCATCCTGGCTAACACGGTGAAACCCCGCCTCTACTAAAAATACAAAAAATTAGCCGGGCGTGGTGGCGGGCGCCTGTGGTCCCAGCTACTTGGGAGGCTAAGGCAGGAGAATGGCATGAACCCAGGAGGCTGAGCTTGCAGTGAGCCAAGATCACGCCACTGCACTCTAGCCTGGGCGACAGAGCGAGACTCCGTCTCAAAAAAAAAAAACAGAAAAGAAAAAAAAATTTGCAAGTCCAAGGAAAGCAGCAAGGACGCAGCTGGACTGGGTCGCACACAGCGGGGCCCTCTGTAGTACACGCACAAGCAACGGCCTCCACCTGGGGCGCCACGGTCAGATTCCTTCCTCTGGCAACCTGGGGACCAACTTCCCATGCTGGGCAGCCCCAAGCTCAGAGATGCTCACCCTCTCGCCGGCGGAAGTTCTTCTTATCTTGGATGGCATCAGTCAGTGCCGCCATCATCTCCTGTTGCTTCAGCGAGAGGATGCCCAGGCCCTTCACCAGGCCCGCCAGGCCATAGGCGGCCCCTTTGCGCTCTGCGTACTTGTCTGACTCCAGCAGCTGCTGCATAAGCCTCTGGATCATCCCTCCAGCATCCTCCTTGATGGCTGGCACAAGGGGTGGCAAGCAGCTGGCTACGGACTCCTGGACCTGGGGAAGGGCCCACCTGTCAATGCTGTGGCTCCGCTGCAGCCGTTTCATGGTTGGTGGGGGGTCTGACCATTCTACACAGCACCCACCACTAGATGTCCCAAGCCCCATCTCAGCCACTGCCTGCGGATGTCACAGGGCACCAGAGAAGCAAACAGGTATACACAGTGTTGTATACCTCTGAGGGTGCACACTACAATCTGCTGACGACAAAAGCTTTGGCCCATATGGTGCCATTTCTGGTCTAAATGGAAAACCTAGGCCTGGGCAGTGGGGCAGGGGACCAAGGAAGGGACTCTAAAGACTAAATCCACTCAGAAAGAAAGCTTCCAGAGAAGTGTGCTGCTTTGCCTCCATAAAAACAGCCCGTGTCTCTGTTTCCAAACTTGTCAAAATCACAGAGAAATTGGGCAGGGCCTTATAGGACCAGGCACAAATTGAGTGGAACCAAAAGACACTCAATCCTGCCTCCCAGCCGCAGCTCACTAAGCCCAGCTTGGGAGCAGCAACCCCGAGGCCATGCTGGCAGGTGCCCAGGTGCGACTCTTTTGCTGCTTAGGCTTTCTGACACCATATTTGACCACAATTTTGGAAACTGGTTTTCAACTGTGCATTTTTTTGGTAAAGTTTTTTGTTGTTTTTTGTTTTTGTTTTTAGAAATAGGGTCTTACTCTGTCACCCAGGCTACAGTGCAGTGGCACAATCATAATTCACTATAACCTTGAATTCCTGGACTCAAGCAATCCTATTGCCTCGGTCTCCTGAGTAGCTAGGAACACAGGCATGGCCTCCACCTCTGGCTAATTTTTAAAGTTTTTGTAGAGACAGGATCTCACTATGTTGCCCAGGCTGGTCTCGAACTACTGGCCTTAAGCAATCCTCCCACCTCAGCCTCCTAAAGCACTGGGATTATAGGCATGAGCCACCACGCCCAGCCCAACTGTTCACTTTATGAAGACACTCTAAGTGGTCCAAAATGCAAACCACACACACACGCGCACACACACACACACACACACAAAATATATATATATAAATATATATATATTTATATATATATACATGCGTGTTTTTCAAAACAAAGAAAAAGAAATTTATTTGCACTGTAGCTTAGAGGCTACATTAAAACGCACCTGTAGCCTCCTAAAGCACTGGGATTATAGGCATGAGCCACCACGCCCAGCCCAACTGTTCACTTTATGAAGACACTCTAAGTGGTCCAAAATGCAAACCACACACACACGCGCACACACACACACACACACACAAAATATATATATATAAATATATATATATTTATATATACATACATGCGTGTTTTTCAAAACAAAGAAAAAGAAATTTATTTGCACTGTAGCTTAGAGGCTACATTAAAACGCACCTGTAACACACAACCAACACATGTAGAGGGCCAGAAAAAGGCTTGACATAAGAGAAAGCCTGACCTTTTATTTTTTTTCCCTTTGGATTCCCAGTGCACGTTAGTGAATAGAAAAAATGGAACTATCTAGGAGGTCTATTAGAACAAAGTAACAAAGAAACTCCCTCTCCAGGGGCATTCTTCACTATAAACCAGGTGAGTAGAAAAAAATGAAACTATCTGGGAGGTCTACTAGAACAAAGTAACAAAGAAACTCCCTCTCCAGGAGTGTTCCTGACTATAAACCAGGCTCTCCCCTGCGAGAGGGGGTGAATCCTTAACAAGAACTGGGCTTTCAGGGCCCTGATTGTCCAACTCCACCCCTAGTATCCCACCGCCTAACCACAGCCGGGTCCCAATTCTCTAACCGACATGTGGGTCCCAGGCCAGATGGCAGGTACCTGCTGGGAGGGGGTGGAGAGGGCAGCGATGAGCTTGGCAACAATGGGCTTCACTTTGGGGTCACTCTTGTCCAGGTGCTTGGCCAGAGAGCCCATCAGGACCACCACACTCTGTCGCACAGCATCATAGCTGGCATCATTGGGCGCGTTCTTCAGGAACTCCTCGAATACTGGCAACAGCGAGTTGACGTTCTCCTGGAAAGCCAAACCCCTCAGAGCCTCAGGTCAACCCTACAGGCTGCATCTGGGGACAACAGTCCCTGCCCTGAGGACCAAGACCAAGTCTAGCTCTGGGACAGGCATCCTGACATGCCAGCCAGTGGCTCTTCCAGTTTTCTGGCAGGACTGCCACAGACTTAAAAGAATTTAACACACTATCATGGTCTTTTTGGCTCAAAGTGCTCTGCCAGGACTCTTGGCACTCAGCATTTCTGGCCCCTGCTCAGCCCTAGCGCCTGCCTCCCGTGTCTCCTTAGCGGGCTGGGACCCCCTTACCTTCCCGTGGGTGTTCCCTGGCTGGGACCCCCTTACCTTCCCATGAGTGTTGAGCGTTGCGAGGGCTGCATCCAACATGCACTTCCGGACATCTGGGTGTCGGTCATTGAGGGCATCAGGGACAAAAAACTGAAAGAGTGGCTTCACCTGAGAGCTGTCCAAATACTGGGAGAGCTTGTTGAGGGCCAACGCCAAGCCACACCTGGGAAAGAAGTGGGAGCACATCAGGAGGGGCAGTCAGGGGGCCTCCTCTGCCAGTGGAACCTCTGCTGGTGCACGGCAAGGAGAGGGAGCTTGCCTGAGGCAAACACTGTTTTGGGGGCAGAGAACAGCCTGAAGCCCACCACCCAGTGCTCACCCAATGTTCTGGAACAACCCACTTGTCATATGGAGACTTGCCATCTGCCCTGATTTTACCTCCTACTGGGTGACCAGCCCTGTGTTGGTTTCCCCAGAGAGGAATGTGAGTGCAATGCTCACCCCTCTACCTGCAAAGCAGGTTGTAAGAGAACACAGAGGTAAAAGAACCAGATGTAGAGGCCTGTGGAAGTGAACACATTCTCCAAGGGCAAAGTGTTGTTACTCTTTCCAGTCATGGAGCAAAGAATCTGTGTCCTATCCCTGGCTGATGGTCTGGAATGAAAAATAAGCCAGGATGGGCCCATACACCACCCTACACTGACACACAAGGCCTCACGGGAGTGGACACGGCCAGGATGAGCCATTCAGAGAACTAACACCCTTGCGTGTTTTGAGCCTGCTCTGTGGGAGGCAAGTGTCTTTCAATGTCCCAGTTGCTCCCAGACATCTGTCTAATCCTCCAACTGCTACTCATGGGCTCTGTGGAGAAAGGCTGGTAGCTTCTGTTATTGTGCCCTGCATATAGATGAGGAAACAGAGGCCTGGGGAAAAGGAGAAACACGCTCACGGTCACGCAGCTAGTGCAGGAGAGGACACTCTAAGGAACTTACTTAGAGTTCATTTTAATTGATTTAACTTTAGCCACATGCGGTTAGTGGCTACATCTTGGACAGTACAGCCTAGAGAGAGGTGAGGAGGCAGGTCAGAGGCTCTTCTGAAAGATGGTGCCTCACACGGTCCAATCCCACCCCTTCCAGGGGCTGATGGAACTCAGGCCTCCCCGACTCTGAGGGAGGTCCTGCTCTTTCATTAACCCATGCTGCCTCCTCACAGCACCCACCCAGCCAACCTGCCACATCTCACAAAGCTTGGAGTAGAACGAGGCTGAACAATTGTTATACCTGGCTTCCCACTGATCTGGAGGAGATTCTGAAATAACTCGTCCCAAAGCATCCAGCACTGGGGGCGGCCGCTGCAACAGACAAGTTGGTAAATGCTTTGCAACGGGCAGATCAATGACCTGGGCACCAGGATTGTGAGGCAGGAAACTAGCCGCAGCTACCCTGAGCCACCGTGAGCCCCGAGATTCCTGTCTGGAGCAGTAGCGGGGTGAGCAGAGACCCACCCAACCGCACACACCCAGACTGCATCAGGGCTGCACAGGTCACTCACGTAGAGCTTTTCCTGGTAAATCTCCATGAGCCTGCCCATAACCTCCGCCGCCTGCCGCTGGTAACGTGCCACTGCTTGGGAGAGGGCTTCGGCCCCTGCCTGCCTTACAGCCGCCTCATGATAGATCACGTCGTCAATCAGCAAGGAGCAGAGGTCTGGCTGCAGGTCTAGGCCCATCATTGACCAGAGCCTGTGGGAGATCCAAGGCAGGGGCTGCTTAGACAAAGATCTGCAGCACTTGCCCTGCCAGCCCAGCCCTTCTTCCCACTGGAGGCTGAGCACACTGGGTTCAGTTATTTCCTAAAGGAAGAGAGGATGCAGCAGGAGAAAGCGACATGCTGGCTCTCTCACCTCTCAGCCAGCTTCCGGATCTCCTCCTCCTTGTCAAACTTGACCACCCAGAGTCTCCGCAGAAGGTTCAGGCCATTCTTCTCATCAGTATCAGGTGCTGGCAATACCATGTGGAGTTCCATCAGCCCCTGGAAGGGGTGGGATTGGACCGTGTGAGGCATCATCTTTCAGAAGAGCCTCTGACCTGCCTCCTCACCTCTCTCTAGGTTGTACTGTCCAAGATGTAGCCACTAACCGCATGTGGCTAAAGTTAAATCAATTAAAATTAACTCTAAGTAAGTTCCTTAGAGTGTGAGGTGGTAAAATGTTTTTTTAATGTGAAAATTAAAACGTTAAATAAACCAGACAGATAAAAACCTCAGAAAAAGCGTATTCCTTTTGTTCAAAAAAATTTTAAGGAAAAATTTACTATATTGTCATCATTTTCACATTTTACCAAAAGCCAGTGAAAACTCTGTCACATATCAATAGCAGGAGGCTGTGGATCAGCAGGTAGGAACCACTGTCTTACCACTACAAGGGGATGCTTCAGTTTTTGGTCCAAAAGCCATGAAGAAAAACCAAGTACATGGCAGTGGGCTAAAGAATTGAACTCCTCCTGCAAGTTAGCTCTGTCCGTGGAAGTACCAAGGTCCACATTCCAGTTTAAAAATTAAGTGAAGTGTTCCAAGGTAAAGGAAAAAATACAGTGATACATCATGACTGCTTAGTGTTCTGATTCTCAGAGAGACCCCAACCATGTGACTTCTTCTCTTTGCCTCTAGGCCTCCCACCAGAGTGAGGGACATTCTCTCAAATGCCCATCATGCAATTTGCACTTGCATAGAGTGACAAGGGACACTGCAGTGGCTCTGAGACTGAGCACACACCCGGAGCACGGTTTCCCGCACGCTGGCACACGGGGACTGCAAGGCACAGAGCAGCACGTCCACCTCCTCCTGCTCTGCAAAGGCACAGCCATCATCACCACTGCTGCTGGCACACAGGGTGGTCAGGGTGTCTGAAGCCAGAACCTAAGGAGAACATCAATCCACTGGTTCAGTCAGCAACTCATTTACTACTAGGGGGCCAGAGAGGGATATGCACTGAGAACACCCACCCCTACAGCACTGCAAGGGCTAAGACCCCAGCTCCAGTGGCAGGACCCAAGCAAAACCCCTCACTAGCTAACAACAGTCAGGCTGGCTCTCTAAAGCAGTCTTTCTACCAAAGTCCAAAAGTAAGGGCTGAAAGGAAACTAGGACTCCACCCTTTACACTGGGACTTGAGGTCTGGGTCACGAACTGAGTCACAGCAACAGCCAACTGAAAACCACATCACCTGTAAGCGAGGCGAGCCCGTCCCGATCACCCAAGTCAGAAGACGCAGCATGGCCACGCGAGGCAGCAACTCCGGGCCATTCTAGGAGAGAACGGCAGGTAAGTCGAGATGAGGCTGTGGGGAGGTCTGTAACCCAGGCGGCCAACGGCAGGGCATCCTCTCACCCACGGGGGAACATTCTGGATCATACAACCGGCCCCACCACAGAAACCTCATTAAGTTTACAACTAGGTCCACAGGTGCTAACCCCAGTCAACCATGATCCTCAGGAACTAAAAACTAAATTCTGAAACTTGCTTGAAATTCACACTATGAAATCCAGAAAGACCGTAAATATATGAAGAGACACTCAACTTTAAATGAAATGCAAAATAAAATGAGATTATCATTCTTTCACTCATCACTGACGATATTAATACTATCTGAGGTTGCATTAAGGCTTTGAGAAAAGAAAACTCTTGGTGAGAGTATAGCTCAGAATATGCCATATAATCTAGTAATTCCATGTCCAATGAACCTGTCCTAAAGAAATGCTCACACTGGTTAAGTAAGGGGCATATACATACAAGAGGGCACATCACAGTGCTGTTCAAAACAGGAAAAAGTTAGAAACAACCTTAAGAACTCATCAACAGGTAAAGAGTTAAGTAAAACATGGTACATCCATAGCACAGAATCTCATGCAGCCAACAAAGTCAATCAGGTGAACTGACATGTACTGGCATGGCAGGAGAGCCAGAGTCTACAATCACATGAAAGAAGCAGTCTGACCCGTTTTTGCCTTAAAAAACCCACAACACTGTGTGAGGCTGCTGTTGGTATAAACATACACTCTCTATTTCCCCACCAGGAACTGTTCATGAGACAAAACGTGTCCACAGGCCCTGCCTCCCTGATCCCCTTTAAACCAAGAGGAGAGCAGAGCTTCCCTGCCAACCTCGTCCACCCGCCCGGGTGGGGTGTTGGGGGAGGCCCTCAGCTGGGCTTGGACAGTGAGGATCTGAAGAATCTGGGCCATCCACTCCTCCTCCTCCTCACTGTGGTGGGGCATCTCCGTCAGCACCATCTTCAGAAACGGGAAGACTAAGGAGAAGGCTGGCGCGGACAAGGGCGCAGCACCTGTGAGAGCGAGAAGCAGATAAGATTCTGCAGGCAGGGCAGGGACCCGGGCCACTGCTGCCTATTTCTATCCTCAGGGAAAGTAGGGAACGGATGGACCAGAGGCCCGTTCTGACACCTGGAAGCACATGGCACGAGGACAGAGACAGCAGCTGGTAGTCCAGTTCTAAAACCAATTCTGCTTCTACTGCCAAACACTGCCCAGTTCCAGGATGTGAGAGTTAAAACAGAGATGGGGACACCAGTGACAAAAAGTAAACCCTCAACTGGGCTCACTGCAATTCACAGACTACGAAGGTTCAATTCAGAAATCCTCCATATGGTCCAATCCCCCAGGCTCAGGAGGCCCTGGGTGACGCTGTGCCTTGAGCAGCATTCCTGGCACCAGCTCACACCGCCTGGTGCCCCTGATCCCGTCCCAGCCCTTACCTGGCTCCCCCTTGCCCACCCTGCTGGTGATGGTGTGGGTGTGCAGCAGCATCACCGCCCTCTTCACAGCCACCGACAGCTCTTCCTGGCACCAGGACTTATCCAGGACACACTCTGGCTTCAGCAGGCGCAGGGTCACGTGGCTCACCAAAGTGCCTGTGTTGAAGAGGAGAGACCCAGCAGGAGATGACACACAGAGATGTGGAATCCAGCCCAGGCTAAAACAGGGGACCCAGTGCCTCATCCTTCTGACTTAAAAAAATATTTCTGCGGCTGGGCGCGGTGGCTGATGCCTGTAATCCCAGCACTTTGGGAGGCCGAGGCGGGCGGATCATGAGGTCAGGAGATTGAGACCATCCTGGCTAACACGGTGAAACCCCATCTCTACTAAAAATACAAAAAATTAGCTGGGCGTGGTGACGGGCGCCTGTAGTCCCAGCTACTCAGGAGGCTCAAGAAGGAGAATGGCATGAACCCGGGAAGCGGAGCTGGCAGTGAGCCAAGATGGCGCCACTGCACTCCAGCCTGGGTGACAGAGTAAGACTCCGTCTCAAAAAAAAAAAAAAAAATCTTTCTGCTTCGCCAAAATGTCCCCAGCCTAATTTCTCACTTGATCTTTGTGACAGCCTCAGAGGGCAGGTAGGCAGAGAGTTGCCCTTTGGACATTTAAGAAATGAGTACGCTGACAGGAGACAAGGGCCACCAAAGAGTCATTCAGCCAAGAGTACAGCTCTATCTGTGCAGCATCTCCACCTCTACGCAACAAGCCCAGACAGCCAGGTGACACTTCTGGCAGGTTTCATATGCACCAGCTGACTTTTCCACTCAGAACAGTTCCCAGATTCTAGCCTCACCCGTGGGAACATCACCGTTAGGCCAGGATAGAAGTCTGCTGAAGGCCACTAAACAACCCACAGAAGCAAGGCCACCAGAACTGCCAGCCACCCTACCTGGTGTTTGTTTCTCCAGAGCTAAGAGGAAGCTAAAGGTCTCAAGGGCCTCTGCTCACTGCTGTCATGTGGCTGTTCAGGAGATCTGGGCTGGGCTGAGCCACCAAACCATCCTCACTGCCACTGAACTTCTGACTTCTTAGTTTTAAAACTGGTATACAAAGATCGAACACTGACTAGCATCTAAAACCTACTCCTCAGAGGGAGGGCACAGATGTGAAGTGGGAGAGAAGAGGAGGCACTACGTCTCTCCTAAGCATATCCAGCTTGAGTCTCCAAGGCTGCTTCCACAAGAAAACAAAACTCAGCAGCTGAGGTCACCACCCACCTCCCCACAAGCACTCAGGGGCACACCCTGTCCAAGCACTCAGGGGCACCCCTGGGCCATCCCTGCAGCCAGCAAACAAGGACTAACCCAAAGCCTTGAGCCTAGAGGGCATGACACAGGCAGCCAAGGACAAGAAGGGGTTCTTGATCCTGGGAGCAGCCAGGGGAGACTTCAGCAAGGGCAGAAAAGAGTCGACCAAAACAGGGATGTACTGGGTCAGGCCGGACGGGTTCTTGGCCAGGATGATGTCCAGCAGTCCAAGCGCCGCCTCCAGCTCCCCATCCAGCTGCAAGCAGAGTTGTCCAGAAGGCAGGTCAGCAGGGCCCTGCTTGTGACAGCAAGCAGCAGGACCAAGCTGCCCAGCACTCTTCCGGCTTGAGCATGTGGCGGAGGTGGCCACTCACCTCCTGCAGCCGCCTCCGGACCTGCGCCTCCCTGTCTAGCTGGGCCTGCAGCATCTCCTTCTGCTTGCTGGTCAGCTGCACCTCCTCTTTGATGCCTTTCTTCTTCTTTATCTCCTAAAGAGGATGGGCAAACCAACCAATCCCATCTCCAGGGAACAGACCTCCCTCCCCAACAGAGGAAGGTGAGCTTGCTTCCACACAAACAGCACCATACCAGCTCTAAGTGTGAGTTGGGCCCCTGAACCCACCATGTGCACCCCCAACCTCCCACAAAGTCCACAGCCACCTGGTTTCTATAGAATGGAGACAGCAATAGAGAAGTAGTTGTTTTACTGGATTCTCTACTGACAAAGGCTAAGAGGGCTTTTTATGTTAGAGAAATAAAGGTTCCTCAATGTACTCAAAAGGGTATTCTGACAGCCAAATGGATTCAGAATCAAAACTTTAGCCTCCTCCTCTCCAACCCCTTCCTACATAAGCTCTCCCACAGGATAAGCTGAAGCTTAGAAAAGGCCTGCTATAGTGGCCTGAGACAACAAGCCACAGAACTCACTCACTCATTCAGCAAACATTTAGTGAGCACCTGGATTGTGCCAGGCACTGTTCCAGATGGCAGGAATATCGTAGGAACAAGATAAAGTCCCTGCCCTCACGGAGCTCACAATCTAGCAGGCGAAGATAGATAATAAACAAGTCAACAAGCACATAAACAAGATGCTTTTGGGTTATGATAAATGTTAGTAAAGAAACAAATATGATGTTTAGTAAAAGGGAGGAAGGGTGGGGTCTACTTTGGATAGGGTGGACAAGCTGGCCACCTCTCTGAGAAGCACACATGTGGACTGAGATGAGAAAGACAAGAAGAATCCTGCCTTGTAAAGACAGAGAGAAGAGCAAACGCTGAGAAGGAAAGAGTCCTGTGTGCTCTGCTCCTGTCAGAACCTGCTCTGCCCAAAGCTGAATTCAGCAATCAAGTCATGATTCCCCAGAAGTCCCACTGTACCAGGCGCTGTGCCTGCTATCAGGAGTCTAGATGGGTCCCAGTCTTCAAGGAAGTGGAGGGACAGACATGGAATCCAGCAACACCACTTAGCAGAGGAGACACGTGCACTGTCGCCAGCACCCAGCAGAGAAAGAAACCGGTTTTGAGTTGTGGGTGGAAGAAGCTATGAAGCAAGGGTGAAGGGAAAGTGTGCCAGTGCACCAGACACTGGTCAGGGGCATCAGAGGAGTGTGCCATGGGCCTCAGGATGTTCCAAGTGAACAGCATATGTGCAGTGGGAAAAGCCACCAGCTTGAGGCCACCAAGCTCAGCAGCCACCTTCCGTAAGTGCCTCCGTGTACTCACCTCCTTCAGCTCCAGCTCGATGATCTGCTCTTTGAAGGAATAAGCTTTGTTCTCTCGCTTCATGTTGGCCTTTTTTATGCTGTCCTGCTGGGCACTGAAACACCAGAGTGGGTCATCAGCCAGCTTGAAAAGCACCGCAAGTCCTGTCAGCCTCCCGCCAGCCATGCAATTCCAACTAGCTGTTAAGCACTGTGCACCAGCACAGTGCCGGATACTGGACACACTTAAATACCCAGGACCTAAGCACCGTGCCGGGGACACAACAGGCGCTTAGCCAATGAATGGATAGGCTGTTGCATTCAACTCACAGGAGGCACTGGCTCCATTCTACACACAAGAAAACTATGCCTTGGGGAGCAAAGGAAACTGAGCCCATAAGTGAGGTCTCACCTCTGAATGATGGATTTGTCATACAGCTCCCCAGCAGGGGTCTGCATAATGGCAAACTCCTCCCGCGTCACCAGGCGCAGTGCAGGGTTCTGCACGGAGGCAGTGATGGTGCTGATGAGCTGTGGGAGGACCCGGTCCGGCGACAGGACGGAAAGGGAGCCCATGGCATTCATGGAGGACTGCCAGACAAACGCAGACATGGTCAGTGTGTGCCAAGGCTGGCACTGGCAAGAGGTCCACCACACCTGAATGCCCCTAGCACTGGCTCCCCTTCTTTATGCCACTGCCTTGTTACTCCTGGGCAATGCCCATCACAGTGGCCGGCTGGAGTCTGCGTCTGCTTTCCTCACCAAGCAGTGCTCCTCTGTCTGACACAGCACCTGACGTGAGGTGATACACTCCTTCCCAATTCTCAATCTCCGTGGTTCAGGTGGAGCTGCCCTCACTTTTTCCAGAGGTAGGCATGTGACCCAGAACAGAAGGATGGGTGCAGAGATGAGCATGGCACCCAAGTCAGATTAATCAGGGTCAAAGCGACCCCAAGCCAGTAGACATTATTGAAATATGCAAGCTATTCCCCTAGGAGCTGATGGCAAGACAAAGCCTGGAACTCTAGCAGCTCTTGTGCTACCAGAAAGGGAAAGCCTGAGAATGGAGCCCACATCGTGGAAAACAGAGACAACAGACAAAGATGGATGGGACAGAGTAAGAGAGACATCACCTACAATGTTCCAAGGGCAACATGTGAACCCCTGTAGCCAGTCATATCCTTGGACTTTGCAGGTAAATGAGGCAGTAAGTTCCCTTTTGTGCTTAAACCAGTTTACATTTCTGTCACGTGCAACCAAGGGTCCAAGCCTACATTTCATCCATCTTCACCTGCTTCTTTGAATCCTCTCTTCCTGTACACTGTGATGAGAGGGCCCCCTCCCGGACCTGAGGCCAGACCAGCTCATGTGCCCGTCACCTGGTTTAGGGGACTCTGTGTGGTCATCCTGGGAATGATCTGATCCAGGTGCCTGGTGATAAAGGCTTCAGGATCGATCTTCATCCTGGCAAGAAGTGCTGGCCAAAGTCCAGACTGCACGGCAACTGAAGGGGAAGGGAGCTCTTTGAGGCCTTCTGCCTGGCCTGCTCTTACCCCATCCCCTAAAGCTCTGGGCTCTCCCACACCCACCGCAGCCACGGACCTAAGGATGGGTGGTGGGAGATGATCAGCATTTCCTGGGCCAGTTGTTCAGTGTCGGTGACATCACCCTTGAGCCCTGGCACACCGGAGATGACACACAGAGCCTCCTGCAGGACCCGTGGAGGCACGTAGGCCTTGCCTGCCTCAGTCACCTCTCCAGCATCAGTCACCAAAGCCTCTAAGGGCAGCACCTGTGTGGAGACACATGAGATAATACTGCTAAGAGCCCTGTGCAGGCTTGGAACACAGGAACCAAATATGCTACGGACACAGCGGCCCCTCACTCAGTTCTTCCCTGGGGTCCTTGCTGGAGTAGAAATGGATGCCCAGCTTCCTGCAATGGGACCCACAGGCTGTGAGATGTGCCTGGAAGAAGGAAGCACCTGTGGCTTTGCATCTAAAAAGCCTGCAGGGGTAAAGAAGGCACCAGGAACTGGTCCAGGAGACCCAGCCTGTGGTGGCAAGTCTGTCACTGGCCCACATTCCTCAACAGGCTTTGGGAGGGAGGGAAGCAGTGGAACACGGCACAAAGAGCACAGAAATAACAGCCAGGTCTTTGAGGGTCTCCCTCCGTCGGGGGAGACCCTGTGCAAGTCATTTGAACTCCTAGAACCCTGGTCAATTCATATGACACAAGAATAACAAGCCCTATTTGCCTTTGAAACGCATTGTTAAAAAAAAAATCAAAAGGAAAAAATGGGTAGAAAATGCTTTAAAAAGTACAAAGTGCTTTAAAAACATAAAGTGTTATTCAATTAATCAAGGATAAAGGGGGAGGGCACGGTGGCTCGTGCCTGTAATCCCAACACTTTGGGAAGCCGAGGTAGGAGGATCACTTCAGCCTAGAAGTTCGAGATCAGCCTGGGCGACATGGCGAGACCCCATCTCTACAAAAAATCAAAAATCAAAAAATTAGCGGCCACTGCAGGTGGTGTGCACCTATAGTCCCAGCAACTTGGGAGGCTGAGGTGGAAGGATCGCTCAAGCTTGGGAAGTAGAGGTTGCAGTGAGCAAAACAAAACAAAACAAAACAAAAACCCCAAAAACCCTGGAAAAAAGGTTAAGCTACATGTGAAAAAAAGTCTCTGAAAAGGAAAAGGAATCCTATGAAAGATGTTACTGGAGCTTGACGGCAGAGCAGAAGATGCTGGCATCACACAGATTAAGAAAGAACACCCAGGGAGTGGCCCAGCCAAAACCCCACATCGTAAGCAGGGGCAGCTAAGTGGATCCAAGAGCCCCAGTTCTAGAGCCCAGATGCCCTCACCTTGTGAGAACTGAGGACAGTCTTCAGCTCCTCCAAGAGTCCGTGCGCCAGCTTAAAGCCCCCAAGAGAGGACAGCAGCTTCCGAACTGTCTGCTGAGCCTGCCTGCGGACGTGCCAGGTGCGGCTCAGGAGCACCGCCACCAGAGCCCGGTGGTACTGCCTGCAAGCACAGGGACAGACAGGTCTGGGGGAAGGCCAAGAGCAGGGCTTTCCACAGCCAACCCTTCCACCTGCCACACACCCTTTCTCGGGTTCCTGCCAGCCTTTGCCTCATTTGGCCCAAAAGAAAAGGTAAGCCAGCCTCACGTACTGAACTTTGTTGCCAGTGAGTCTATGCGGGTGGTCAAGGAAAAGTCTCTCTGTCAGATGCAACACAGTACACAGGGCTTGGAGGGAAGAAAAGGAATGGAAGTGTTTTTAAAATAGTTAAGTGTACACATACATACCAATACCCAGAAATAACTGGAATGAACTGAAAATTAACACCAAAATATAAATGTGATTATCACTCGAAGTGAAATTACAGCTTGTTTTTTTTTTTTTGCTTATGCACACATGTATTTTGGAATCAGTAAAGTATATACTATTTTTATTTATTTTATATATAATATACACACATATACACATATATACACATATATATACATATACATATATACACATATATACACACACACACACACACACACACACACACACACATATATATATATATATTTTTTTTTTTGAGAGACAGTCACGCTCTGTCGCCCAGGCTGGAGTGCAGTGGCACGATCTCAGGGCTTACTGCAAGCTCCGCCTCCCAGGTTCACACCATTCTCCTGCCTCGGCCTCTCGAGTAGCTGGGACGACAGGCACCCGCTAATTTTTTTATATTTTTTAGTAGAGACTGGGTTTCACCATGTTAGCCAGGATGGTCTCGATCTCCTGGCCTCGTGATCCACCTGCCTCAGCCTCCCTAAGTGTTGGGATTACAGGCGTGAGCCACTGCACCAGGCCAAATTTTGTATTTTTAGTAGAGACGGGGTTTCACCAGGTTGGCCAGGTTGGACTTGAACTCCTGACCACAGGTGATCCACCTGCCTCGGTCTCCCAAAGTGCTAGGATTACAGGCGTGAGCCACCGCACCTAGCCTATTTTTACTTTTTTTGAGACAGAGTCTCGCTATGTTGCCCAGGCTACAGTGCAGTGGTGCAGTCTTGGCTCACTACACCCTCCGCCTCCCAGGTTCAACTAATTCTCCTGCCTCAGCCTCCTGAGTAGCTGGGATTACAGAAGCCCACCAGCAAGCCTGGCTAATTTTTTTTTTTCTATTTTTAGTAGAGACGAGGTTTCACCATGTTGGCCAGGATAATTCTGAACTCCTGACCTCAAGTGATCAGTCCACTTCAGCCTCTCAAGGTGCTAGGATTACAGGCATGAGCCACCATGCCAGGCCTATGTATTTTGTTTTCGTTGTTGTTGTTGTTGTTTTGAGACGGAGTCTTGCTCTGTCACCCAGGCTGGAATACAATGGTGCAATCTCGGCTTACTGCAACCTCCGCCTCTTGGGTTCAAGAGATTCTCCTGCCTCAGCCTCCCGAGTAGCTGGGATTACAGGCACCTGCTACCACGCCCAGCTTATTTTTGTATTTTTATTAGAGACAGGGTTTCACCATGTTGGCCAGGATAGTCTCGATCTCGACCTCATGATCTGCCCGCCTCGGCCTCCCAAAGTGCTGGGATTACAGGCGTGAGCCACCGTGTCCGGCCCCAGCCTATTTTTTTTTAATAATTAAAAATTACGGCCAGGCACAGTGGCTCACGCCTGTAATCCCAGCACTCTGGGAGGCCAAAGCAGGCAGGTCACCTGAAGTCAGGAGTTCGAGACCAGCCTGGCCAACATAGTAAAACCCCGTCTGTACTAAAAATACAAAAATTAGCCAGGTGTGGTGGTGTGCACCTGTAGTCCCAGCTACTCAAAGAGGCTGAGGCAGGAGAATTGCTTGAACCCGGGAGGTGGAGGTTGCAATGAGCAGAGATTGCACCACTGCACTCCAGCCTGGGCAACAGAGTGAGACTGTCTCAAAAAAAAAAAAAAAAAAAAATGCCTGATCCGGTGGCTCACGCATGTAATCCCAGCACTTTGGGAGGCCAAGGTGGGCGGATCATGAGGTCAGGAGACCAAGACCAGCCTGGCTAACACTGTGAAACCCCATCTCTTCTAAAAATACAAAAAATTAGCCAGGCGTGGCGGCATGCACCTGTAGTCCCAGCTACTCAGGAGGCTGAGGCAGGAGAATGGCGTGAACCCGGGAGGCGGAGCTTGCAGTGAGCTGAGATCGCGCCACTGCACTCCAGCCTGGGCGACAGAGCGAGACTCTGTCTCAAAAAAAAAAAAAAAAAATTACTAAGGCCAGGCACGATGGCTCATGTCTGTAACACCAACACTTTTGGAGGCTGAGGCAGGAGAATTGCTTAAGCCCAGGAGTTCAAGGTCAGCCTGGGCAACATGGTGAAACCCCCGTCTCTTAAAAAAAAATACAAAAATTAGCCAGATGTGGTGGTGTGCACCTGTAGTCCCAGCTACTCAGGAAGCTGAGGTGGGAGGACCACCTGAGACCAGGGAGGTCGAGGCTGCAGTGAGCCATGACTGTGTCACTGCACTCCAGCCTGGGCAACAGAGTGAGATCCTGTCTCAACAACAACAACAACAACAAATTACTATGGAGTTATAAAAAGAGGCCGGGCATGGTGGCTCATGCCTGTAATCCCAGCACTTTGGGAGGCCGAGGCAGGTGGATCACCTGAGGTCGGGAGTTCGAGACCAGCCTGACCAACATGGAGAAACCCCATCTCTACTAAGAAAAAAAAAAACAAAAACAAAATTAGCCTGGTGGTAGTGGCACATGCCTGTAATCCCAGCTACTCAGGAGGCTGAGGCAAGAGAACCGCTTGAACCCAGGGGGAGAGGTTGCGGTGGGCTGAGATCATGCCACTGCACTCCAGCCTGAGCAATAAGAACGAAACTCCATCTCAAAAAAAAAAAAAAAAAAAAGAATGATGAAGTTCATTATATACTGATATGGACTCATTTCCAGGTCTAGAAAGCACAGTACATACGGCAGGCACACTACCATTTGTGTAAAAAAGGTACAGAACAAACATATACAGGTATTTACTTGCATATATATAAAATATCAAGGCTACAGAAGAAGCTAATAAAATTGGTTATCTATAGCCGAGGAACTGGGTAGCCAGAGATCAAAGCAGGGGTATAATTTTCAATGTAGACCCTCTTGTATCTATTTTTGAATTACATTAGTCTATTTCCTTTTCAAAATTTAGCTAAAAATTTTTCTAAAACCAGGAAATGACTAACAGTTGTAGCTCATTAATGGGATGTTGCGATTTATGAGTCAAACGACTCTTCAAATCACCAATTAGTGGCAGACACTCCTAAGGCAACGTAGAATATTAAACACATATTTAAAATTCAACTGTTCCTTTTCTGCCAGGATAGAAACCAGTAGTTTTTGTGTCTCTTGGTGGGGGAGTAGAGCCTGCCAGACTCCACAAGAGCTTCTCAGCTGCCTTAACACAAGAAAACCTCCGAGACAGCACCAATTACCCAATCAGCTATAATTACAGCTCATGTCGTAGCTCCACAGCCATTACTGCTCTGTCTCCACACATCTCCCAAGTCCCATTTCCCTAACCTTATGTTCCCTACAGGAATGAATTTATTCCCACAACAGCTAAGCTGTTGGCCAGATCACTCTGGCCCAGGTTTTTGCAGACCTGACTGGTTGGTCAAGAAAGGGTCCTCTCTGAAGATTTTCCAAAGAGACTTTGCCTCAATCCCGAGTTCAACTAAGCATGGAGTAACTTACCATCCTCTGAAGCCATGACCAGGAATTTCTCAGAAGTGAAAACCTGCTTTTTCTCATCCACAATCAACTGCCAGAAACTGCTCAGTTTGGCCTCTGCAAGAAACAAAAGGTTACCCCACGACGCAGCTCACCACATCCCCCAGAGCTGATCTACTCCATCCTGAAGCTGCTGGGGTGGGCTTTGCTGACAAACCCTCCTCTGCAGCAGGAGGCTCAGTGCTCTTCCATTTGGGGAACTGACCTCAGTCCTTCTGGTATCACCTCCTGTACGAAACTCTTCGGTGGCTCTCTGCTGCCTACAGGATCCTAGGTGAACTGCTTCTCATCCGGAATTCCCATCCACCCCAGGCGCCAAGCTGGAATACCTGAGGTTTACAGACTCTGGCTTTCCCTGCCCTTCCCTGACTGGGGCTGTTTGGACTCACACTGGGCCATCCCTTCAGGATAATGAAATCCTTCAGAGGCTTCAGGGTACCAGTTCAAATGCTTCCTCCATGAAGCCCTTCCCAATACCCACCCCCCCAACTAAAAGCAATCTCTCCTTCAAAACTGCTCTAATGCCGCATTTTGTCTTAAGCTACGGATATATTTCTGTATTTCCTCGCGCCTACTGTGAAGTAAGCACCCTGAAATTTGCTGAAGAAGGTCATGTTCATCTTAGCATTCCCCCAGGTAGCCCAGTGCCTTGCATGGCCACAGTGAGCACACGATATTACATGAGGAGAGCTGAGCTCCATTCCTAACCAAAGGAGTTAAGTTCAGGTGTGTCCCAGTGCAGAGATTGGGAGATGAAATAAAGAAAGCCTGGCCGGGCGCAGTGGCTCACGCCTGTAATCCCAGCACATTGGGAGGCTGAGGTGGGTGGATCACAAGGTGAGGAGATTGAGACCATCCTGGCTAACACGATGAAACCCTGTCTCTACTAAAAATATAAAAAATTAGCCGCGCGTGGCGGCGTAGCGCCTGTAGTCCCAGCCACTCGGAAGGCTGAGGCAGGAGGCGGAGCTTGCAGTGAGTCGAGATCGCGCCACTGCACTCCAGCCTGGGCGACAGAGCGAAACTCCGTCTCAAAAAAAAAAAAAAAAAAAGAAAAAAAAAAAAGAAAAGAAAGCCTGAAATACGATGTAGCCACAAAAAATAATGAGAAAGCTCTTTCTGATGTACTGATTTGGAATCATTTCGAAGATATATTATATATAGTATATATATTATATATTATAAGTAATATGGCATATAGCGTATGTTCCCCAGCATGTTCAATTACATAACACACTATGTCTGGACATAAAATTGGTAATACTGTTTTTTCTTTCTTAGACAAAGTCTCACTGTGCCACCCAGGCTGGAGTGCAGTGGAGCAATCCCAGCTCACTGCAACCTACGCCTCCTGGGTTCAAGCGATTCTCCTGCCTCAGCCTCCCGAGTAGCTGAGATTACAGGCATGCGCCACCACACCCAGCTAATTTTTGTACTTTTAGTAAAGACGGGGTTTCACCATGTTGGCCAGAATGGTCTCGAAATCTTGACTTCGTGATCCGCCTGCCTCGGCCTCCCAAAGTGCAAAATTGGTAACACCGTTTACAGAGGGAAACTTAACGGCTACGGGAAAAGACAGGGCTAAGGGGAAGCTTCTCATGTTATATCCTTTTGAATTTTGTACTGTATGAATGTATAACCAACTGAAACAAACAGTCCCAATACTAAACCCTGGTCCATCTAGGTATCATCTACAAGCCTGTGTAGCACTGGAGCAACAGAATGAAGGAGGACAGTGACACAGTCCCCTGACTGCATTCCCACTGCCCATGCAACCATGAGGTTCATCCTGCAGATGACAAGCAAACCTGTGGCTGATCCAGTGTGGTCAGGACCAAGCTAATCCTGAACATCAAGACACACCTCCCAAGGACTCTTGTCAGAGGCCCCTGTCTCTACCATCCTAGACACCTCTGGACTCATACCAGCCTGTGAGTCAGCCACTGACAACTTTAAGAGCAACAAGGCTGCGGCAACCCCTTCAGTGATGGTGGGAACCTGAGTGCTTTGGGAGGCTGCCTTCTCCACTGTCTGGATGAGCAAGGGCAGTAAGTCCAGGGCCTGCAACAGCGTGTCACCTGTGGAGAGAGGACAAGCACCTTAAAGGACATCCTGATCCTTGGAAATGACAGGACTGAGAAAGGATTTATCTAACCAGCTGTGAACCAGACGACTAAAACCCTTCAGTTAATTTTTCAAATATCTCAAAAAGAAGTGAAGTGAAATCAAAACTTAAATCAAACTCTACAGCCACAAAATTAGAGGGAGAAAGATAATCCTTATGGCCAGGTGCGGTAGCTCACGTCTGTAATCCCAGCACTTTGGGAGGCCGAGGCGGGTGGATCACCTGAGGCTGGGAGTTCGAGATCAGCCTGACCAACATGGAGAAACCCCGTCTCTATTAAAAATACAAAATTAGCTGGGCGTGGTCCAGTTATTCAATTGATGGATAAGCAGAGACATTAGGTGTGTTGCTCAAGGTCACACGGCTAGTTGAGGCAAGTCAGAGCCACCCTCAATCCTGTCAATTCCCATCTGGTACTCTTCCCCCATACAGATGACCTTCGGACCCAAATTCTAAATTTGGGTCCAAATCTGCTGACCTCTGAACTAAACTCTTTTAAAAAAAAAAGGAAGCCAAGCACAGTGGCTCATGCCTGTAATCCCAGCACTTTGGCAGGCTGAGGCGGGGGGGATCATGAGGTCAGGAATTCCAGACCAGCCTGACCAATATGGTGAAACCCTGTCTTAGCCGGGTGGGGTGGTGCACGCCTGTAATCCCAGCTACTCAGGAGGCTGCAGCAGGAGAATCGCTTGAACCCAGGAGGCGGAGGTTGCAGTGAGCCGAGATTGTGCCATTGCACTCCAGCCTGGGTGACAGAACGAGACCCCATCTCCAAAAAAAAAAAAAAAAAGAGAAACCAGTTAAAACTATAGTTTGGCTGGGCACGGTGGCTCATGCCTATAATCCCAACACTCTGGGAGGCTGAGGCGAGCAGATCACCCGAGGTCAGGAGTTCAAGACCAGCCTGGCCAACATGGCAAAACCCTGTCTCTATTAAAAAATACAAAAATTAGCCAGGCATGGTGGTGGGCATCTGTAATCCCAGCTACTCAGGAGGCTGAGGTTGGAGAATCGCTTAAACCCAGGAGGCGGAGGTTTCAGTGAGCTGAGATCGCACCACTACACTACAGCCTGGGTGACAGAGAGAAACTCCATCTCAAAAAAAAAACTATAGCTCAAGCACATGTTTTCTTCCCCCCTACCCCAACACCTTGGTTTGTTGTTCCATGTTTCCATAGCTACTAAATGGGTACATCAGAACATTTCACAATGAAAGCAGTTTCCCAGATAATGTTTTATACTTGAATCCAAGAAATCTTTATTACAGAGGTTTATTTTCGTTTTGTTTTTAAAAGGTTTATTTTATATTATGTTTATTTTAAAAGCAATGAGCATTGAGTTCTGGCACTCTGCATTCCTTTTTTAAAAAATAAATTAAAAATAAATGCAACGAGCAGAACTAGCTCAAGCTGAAGAGACTAGGTAAAACCAAGTTTTTGCCATCTACAATTCAAAGTCCCACCTACAACTGATGGTCATTCAATGCAGCAATAATGCAAACTGATATATATAGTACATAGACTTTTTATATAATTTTTGGTAGAGACAGAGTCTTGCTATGTTTCCCTGCCTGATCTTGAACTCCTGGGCTCAAGCAATCCCGCTGCCTCAGCCACCTGTGTAGCTGGGACCACAGGCATGTACCACCATGCCCAGCTATTTTTTTAATTTTTTTGTAGAGATGGGGGTCTCACTTTGTTGCCCAGGCTGGTCTCAAACTCCTGGGCTCAAGCAATCCTCCCACCTCAGCCTCCCAAAGTGTTGGGATTACAGGCGTGAGCCAGCTCGCCTGCCTCATAGACTGTTTTTAAGTCATGGATGTGAGTTCACTATATCCCTAAGGCAGCTGAAAATGTATTGAGCGTACATTTCTACCCATGGAAAATCTATGACTTCAATCAGCACTACCTGTGGTTTGAATAAACCTCACAAACCACTGCACAAAGATGATCTATGATTCTGAGCTGGGAGACATATTTCAGAAAAAGATATATTGCTTTCAAATCAGTGCAAAAATCTCTTATGGTCAGATTCTTCTTCCCTTATCATTAAAAGAAATATGTGAGTACAAAGTTCATCAGACAAGACATTTCACACAGAAGGGGGTCCCCTCCCAAGAGGAGGCCCTGGAATCTCCTAGATGTTTCTTTTTCTTTTTTGAGACAGAGTATCACTCTGTCACCCAGGCAGGAGTGCAATGGCTTGATCTCGGCTCACTGCAACCTCTGCCTCCTGGGCTCAAGCGATTCTCCTGCCTCAGCCTCCCGAGTAGCTGGGATTACAAGCACCTGTCATCATGCCTGGCTAATTTTTGTATTTGTGTAGAGACAAGGTTACACCATGTTGGCCAGGCTGGTCACGAACTCCTGACCTCAGGTGATCCAACCGCCTCGGCCTCCCAAAGTGCTGGTAGGCGTGAGCCACTGTGCCCAGCCTCTCCTAGATGCTTCTTTAAATACAGTTCATAAGTTTAAATCTTTTTAAAAAGAAATACAAGCATATCTCTGAGATGGAAATCAGTAATAGAGGTTTATAGCTTGGAGACCAAGCTCCTATACAGATTTGAAAGTTTCCCCCAGCTCTGCTTGCCCAAATGACAGTAGGTTCCTCAACACTGAAGGAAGGGCGGTGGTCATTTTTAATAAGTCCAGAGTAAAGTTTACACGAAGTTGGATTTTTTAAACCAGTCTTTTTTTTTTTTTTTTTTCCAAGACAGAGTCTTGCTCTGTTGCCCAGGCTGGAGTACAATGGCGCAATCTCGGCTCACTGCAACCTCCATCTACCGGGTTCAATTCTCCCTGCCTCAGCCTCCCACGTAGCTGAGATTACAGGTGCCCGCCACCATGCCCAGCTAATTTTTGTATTTTTAGTAGAGACAGGGTTTCGCCATGTTGGTCTTGAACTCCTGCCCTCAGGTGATCTGCCCGCCTCGGCCTTCCAAAGTGCTGGGATTACAGGTGTGAGCCACCGCACCCAGCCCTTAAACCAGTCTTATCTGAGTCATTTCTCCATGATTTCAGATACTATAGTGACAAGTTCTGGTTCTGGTCCTCTCTGAATAAAGCTTTGTACTTTGAAAGTCTGACAAGGGGGAGAAGCCAGAATTTGTTGTGAAGACTGAATTCGGATTTTGGGCTAAGCCCAATGCTCTCATTTATTTCAGGAAGAATTAAACAGTGCAAAATAAGCTGAACTAACAGGGAAAGCGGGAACACTAACAATACCCTAAAGACTCAGTAACCTCTGCAAGGAGACCTGGACACTAGCCCTGGGAGTTGTCTTACCCCGGTAAGAGGCCAACATGCACTGCAGGTAGGCATGCCTCACCGCAGATGTGGAGGTTTTAAGGCTGAAAGCTTTTTTGAACCATTCAGTGAGCTTCTTGGGCACTTCCATAGTGAATCGGTTACACCAGAGAGCCAGGACTGAGACAGCGTGTACCAAGGTCCCTTCATGAACTAGGGCAAAAAGCAGAAGTCCAGTCAGTCCAATGTCTTATAACCATGTCAAATCATTGCAAGCAGTGCAAAAAACAAGCCAGAGTACAAGCGGGAGGAAGCAGTGATATTTCAGACAGCTACGAGCCTTGCTCTGAGGGAGGTGTGTCTTTAGGAGAGGTTTATGGAAGGAAAGCTCCAACTGTGAAAAACCACGGTCAAGGATGAGTACAGAACGCATGCTCACCATGTTGCACAGAATTACCTTCCTGCTGAAGGAACGGGATGAACAGCTCAGCCACGATCCCATTCAGGACCTGACTGGAAGGTCCAGACACCACGTGATGACTGACGCTCCCAATCCCTAAAAGGCAGATTCCCTGTTCAGTCTCTTATCAGCACAGAACCACAGAGGCAAGTCTTCCCACTGCTGCCACCTCCGCACTCTGGGTCACAGACCTCTTCTGTGTCTCCAGCAGGCATACCTCTCCTTTGGCCATTATTGATCTTCCTTCAATGCCCCCTCTACACCTCCTGCCTTCTATAGAAGCCAAGCCTCCTGCTAGACCTGAACAAGTCCCTCTTGTCAAGCAGGCAAGCAGCAGGGTCCTGGGAGGCAGGCTGGACCCAAGATCGTCACAGGAGTCAAGATGCAAAGAAGGCTTCGCCTTACCTAAGAATTATGTTAAAGCTTATCTACTACTAGGCCAGGCGCAGTGGCTCACGCCTGTAATCCCAGCACTTTGGGAGGCTGAGGCAGGTGCATCATGAGGTCAAGATCGAGACCATCCTGGCCAACGTGGTGAAACCCTGTCTCTACTAAAAATACAAAAAAATTAGCTGGATGTGGTGGTGTGTGCCTGTAGTCCCAGCTACTCAAGAGGCTGAGGCAGGAGGATTGCTTGAACCCGGGAGGCAGAGGTTGCAGTGAGCCAAGATTGTGCCACTGCGCTCCGGCCTGGCGACAGAGTGAGACTCCATCTCAAAAAAAAAAAAAAAAAAAAAGCTTATCTACTACCAGATCACAGCTCTACTCCTGGCAGAGAAATCCTGTACCTGCCTGTAATCCCAGCACTTTGGGAGGCTGAGGCGGGCAGATCACTTGACGCCAGGAGTTCAAGACCAGCCTGGCCAATATGGTGAAACCCCATCTCTACTAAAAATACAAAAAAATTAGCAGGCGTGGTGGTGTGCACCAGTAATCCCAGCTACTAAGGAGGCTGAGGCATGAGGATCGCTTGAACCTGGGAGGCAGAGGTTGCAGTGAGCTGAGATGGCACCACTGCACTCTATCCTAGATGACACAGCAAGACTTTCTCTCAAAAAAAAAAAAAAAAAAAAAAAGAAATCCTATACCTGAGAGGACGCTCATCTTCTGGGCTACAACAGTTAGTTTTCCTTCCGAGCCTGAGAAGAGAGACAGCAAAGATTCACATTCACATATGCCACATTTCCCAAGAGAGTGAACAATGCAGTCACGTGTGTGATGCCACGATACGGTTTCTGATTCCAGAAGTAGCCTTTGTGTTGTGAAGCTGGGTTTAAAGCAACTTTTACTAGCCTTTTGCTTTCTGACTCAAAAAAGAATGTTCCTACAAAAAACTTGAGAAACAGAAAAAATATAAAGAAAAACATTTAAAAGGCACTCATGTCTCCACTACTCAAAGACATTTCTTTTCTGGTGTATTTCCTTTAGTTTTTTCTGCTATGCCTACAAAAATGTGTATCTTAAAAACAAAAAACCTGAGATCACCCCATCCACACCACCCCGTGCACGGTTTTGTTCATTCACACACATTCACATTCCAGTGTGACGTCCCCCTGGCCACACAGCCTTGCCACAGGCAGACTTGGAGCATCAAGTCCCCTTCAGATCCCAGTTGAGGGAAATACCAGGGGCCACGCCTCAACCACCCGCATGGCCAAGAAGGCTTGCTCACCTCCGAGGATAGCAAATAGGTGCTTGGTCAGGGATTCCATGGCCGAAGAGTCACTGCACTGGCGTGCCAGGTTCCGCAGTGCCAGCACAGCTTCATCCATCAGGCGGGGACTGTTGGATTTCAGGTGACCTGCACACACAAAGCCACTGCTCAGAAGCAGCCAACAACTGAGCATCCAGACTTTCGTCTTTGTCTTTTCCATGCCCCCATCTCTTCAGTATTAGCTGTTTGCTCTCATTCAAATAATCTCAAGAAAGAAACTGCCAATGCCAATGTAGTTTAGGTTAGGGCCTTATTACTACCCTGAGCTGTCCCCTACCCCTGCTACAACAATTAGGACAAGTACAACCAAACCCAAGGTGACACTTATGGGCTGGAGAGGGGCTGGGATACTCACCAGCCAGTCCTTTCACGATGTCCATGGCATACTGGCTGAGGTCAAGCGTCACTGATGCCAGCAGACTAGAAATAGCTAAGGGGGACAGAAAGCACTGACCATGTCAGTCTAAGCAATAAATTCAACAGATAATTTTGTTCCCCTACTCCCCAGCAAATGCCACTAGGCCTGCTGTCTGGCCCTTCATCTCTACAGGCTACATGAGTAGTCCCAAAGCTCTGCTGAAAAGCTGTATACCTCCCCATCCCGATCAGCAAAAATTGCCTTTCCAACATCCCACCAACACATTTTACTAAGATACACAGGGACAGAGACTCAACCCTCAGATCCCATGATTTCAAGTGCCACCTCCATACTAAGTCCAGAATGTCTACAGAGGAGGTTCTTAACCTGAATCGTCTCCAGAAAGTTCTTTTGGGGAGGTGGAGGGGTAAGAGGATATTTTGTTTTCTTCCACTCAACTCTGAAAGTGAACACTTGATATTTTCTGGGAATCAGAACAATGGCTAGCACCTCCATAAAGCTATGAACTGATCCAGTGGGTTCTTGAACCCCTAAAATTATATGCAGTATTATTAATGGATATACTTTTGTGCATTCTTCTGACAAGACAGCCCATGACTTTTTCTCTTTCTTTTTTTTTGGACAGAGTCTGGCTCTGTCGCCCAGGCTGGAGTGTAATGGCATGATCTTGCCTCACTGCAACCTCCACCTCCCGGTTTCAAGTGATTTTCCTGCCTCAGTCTCCTGAGTAGCTAGGACTACAGGCATGTGCCACCACGCCTAATTTTTTTCGTATTTTTATTAGAGACAGGGTTTAACCATGTTGGTCAGGCTGGTTTCAAACTCCTGACCTCAGGTGATCTACCTGCCTCAGCCTCCCAAACTGCCGGGATTACAGGCATGAGCCACCGCGCCTGGCCTCTTGTTTTTTGAGATAGGGTCTCACTCTGTCACTCAGGCTGGATAGAGTGCAGTGTCGCCATCTTGGCTCACTGCAACTTCCACTTCCTGGGCTCAAGCTATCCTCCCACATCAGCCTCCCGAGTTGAGCTCCTGCGCTCAAGTGATCTGCCCACTGCCGCCTCCCAAAGTGCTGGGATTACAGGTGTGAGCCAATGCGTCTGGCTTTCAACATAATCGCAAAAGGTCCCCAATCTCTCTCCCAAGGTCCCAACAAGGTAAACAATGAATACATCCCCCTTCCCTCCCCCCTACCACACACACTTCTTGTTGCCAAATATCGAGAATAGAGATATAGGCAACTCATCTCCCTCCCACCATCCTGGTTGACAGCAACCTACTTTCAATAACATTCTCTGGACTCCTCAGTAAGGACTTCTGTATGGTGGGCAGTATCAGATCCTTAAATTCTGAGTGGGACAGGTATCGGAGCAGAGGGGCACAGCTATCCTACAAAGAAAAAGGAATAAGGCACCTAGCCCTCATGGGAACGGACCAAGAAGCAAAAAAGAGTTCAGCATCCCAGAATTGAAAATGGGATCAGTTGTCCAGGTGAGTAACGTCCACCTCTCGCTCACCAACAGGTACTTCGGAGGCTTGACTTTGCTCATCAGGATGTTCTTCATGTAAAAGTCCAGTAGGGCGCTCTAGAGAACACAAAGCTCTGGTTAGATCCTGACATTCTCAAGTATCTCATCACTGGCCTAAGGGGTCCCTCTTGTGAGAGTGCCTCCAAAAAATACAAATCAATGCCCCAAATTTCAGTGTTAAGCATAGAGGTCCCACTGATCACGCAACCCCACTTAAAACCCTTCCACAGCTTTCCATGGCCCCCGGGATAAAGTCCAAAGTCCTTCGTATGGCTTATAAGGTCCTGCCCACCACTCAGCTGGCTGCGTCTCACTCTAACCCATTCCTGCCACTCCAACCCCGCTCGCCTCCTCTCTGTTCCTGCCCACAGGCTGCTTCCTCTGCCCAAAATGCTCTGCCTCACCTCTTGACCTTGCTAATTCCTCTTCACTCTCAAAGTTCCTTCTTTAGAGTGATGTGTTCTCTGACCCACAGCCTAAATCAGGTCCTTCCGTTGTGGAGTCTCACGACTTCTCACACTTTCCCTTTGTAGCACATACTAGTTATAATTAGCTAGACTATCTGTTTAATGTCAGTTTCTCAGACTCAGTTCCATGGGGGCAGGGGTCATAGCTCCCTTACTCGCTGGTGTACCCCCAACACCGAGCACAGTGCCTAGAACATGGCAGCCACTAAATTGGGATGAATAAGTGACTGCATGAACAAGCAAACTATCACCCAAGCCAGAAACAGAAGGGAAACTTTCCAGCTCCTAGAAGTTCATGTATCATGGCAAAAGGCCAGAGTCTCACATGAGAAAACCAACAAGTTTCAGATAAGGTCAACAGCTAGGGTCACCAGGGCAAAGCAGGTTCCCATTCCTTCCCTCCAGCGAGCTCCCAACATCCCCAACATAGCAAACCCACAGTCACTCTGCCTTGGCACTTGCCTTGTGCTGACTGACCACGTCCATCTCCTTGTGACTCGTGCAGAACTGCACCAGCAGCCCCAGCATGCCAGCATAGTTCTGGTTGGGCTCTAGGCTGAGAATGGCTGACAAGTACTGTTCCACCAGCCCGGGGTTCTGAAGAGGAAAGTGCCAGGCAGGTGTTTAAGATGGCAGTGGGGGAGTGGCATGGAAGAAGCAATGCCCACCAGCCCCTGCAGTCCTGTCACCTCTTTCCACAGCTTCGTGAGTTTCTTCACAGCACCATCCACGGCGTGCTTGTGGGAGCCACCCAGCACCTCCAGCAAGAGCAGGCACTGCACTTCCACCTGCCAGGACCAGGGAAGACTCAGGTCAAGGTGGGACATGAGACTGAGGGTCCCATGGCTCTCATAGCCTGTAAAGACCTCCATCAGACCCTCCAAATCCTGGCTTCATCTCCACTCAGCCTCTCCCACTCAACTCCAGCCAGCTCCTCTTCCCTCCACCCCACACATTTAGTTCTGTCCTTTAACGACACTGTTCCCACTAGTGTTCGTTTAATAAATATTTGGTGATCACCTATTATGAATCAGACAATGAAGGCACAAGGGGAGGAAGACAGACATGGTCCCTGCTTTTTTTTTTTAAGACGGAGTCTCGCTCTGTCGCCAGGCTGGAGTGCAGTGGCACAATCTCGGCTCACTGCAACCTCCACCTCCCGGGTTCAAGTGATTCTCCCGCCTCAGCCTCCCAAGTAGCTGGGACTACAGGTGCGTGCCACCATGCCCAGCTAATTTTTTTTTTTTTTTTTTTTGAGACAGAGTCTCGCTCTGTCGCCCAGGCTGGAGTGCAGTGGTGCGATCTCAGCTCACTGCAAGCTCCGCCTCACGGGTTCACACCATTCTCCTGCCTCAGCCTCCCGAGTAGCTAGGACTACAGGTGTCCACCACCATGCCCACCTAATTTTTTGTATTTTTAGTAGAGACGGGGTTTCACCATGTTAGCCAGGATGGTCTCGATCTCCTGACCTCATGATCCGCCCGCCTCGGCCTCCCAAAGTGCTGGGATTACAGGCGTGAGCCACTGCGCCCAGCCGGTCCCTGCTTTCATGTACCTTAGAATTCAGAGGAAAAAAGAGATATTAAACAAATAAATACACAAATGAACATACAATTTCAGTGAGGTTTAAGTGCCATGCAGGTAAAGAATTAAGGGTCCTGTTTCATTTACTTCTTATCTGCCTTGACCTGTCCTTCATTAATTCCACAAATACTTACTGACCACTGCATGGCAGGCTCTATGCTGAGCACTGTGAATACAGAAGTGCATCTTGATATGGGGATTCGAACTGCATGGAGCTCACACCGTCCAACCCAGATTGACATACATAATAGGTCCTTGACTAAAAAAATCTCAGAGGCTGCCAGGCCTAGTGGCTCACACCTGTAATCCCAGCACTTTGGGAGGCCGAGGCAGGCAGATCACCTGAGGTCGGGAGTTCAAGACCAGTCTGACCAACATGGAGAAACCTCATCTCTACTAAAAATACAAAATTAGCTGGGTGTGGTGGCGCATGCCTGTAACCAAGCTACTCGGGAGGCTGAGGCAGGAGAATTGCTTGAACGCAGGAGAATCGCTTGAACCCAGGAGGCAGAGGTTGCGGTGAGCCGAGATCACGCCTTTGTACTCCAGCCTGGGCAACGAGAGCGAAACTCCATCTCAAAAAATAAAGGCCAGGTGCAATGGTTCACGCCTGTAATCCCAACACTTTGGGAGGCTGAGGCAGGCGGATCACAAGGTCAAGAGATCGAGACCATCCTGGCCAACATGGTGAAACCCTGTCGCTACTAAAAATACAAAAATTAGCCGGGTGTGGTGGCAGGCGCCTGTAGTCCCAGCTACTCAGGAGGAAAATCGCTTGAACCCAGGAGGTGGAGTTTGCAGTGAGACGAGATAGCGCCACTGCACTCCAGCCTGGTGACAGAGAAAGACTCTGTCTCAAAAAAAAACAAACAAAAATCTCAGAGACTTTATGTGCCATAAATGCCCAAGGTCACTAGTGAGTCGTGTGAACTGCCACCCTCAGAAAACAGATATGCTTGTGGCCGGGCGCGGTGGCTCACGCCTGTAATCCCAGCACTTTGGGAGGCTGAGGCGGGCGGATCACGAGGTCAGGAGATCGAGACCATCCTGGCTAACACGGTGAAACCCTGTCTCTACTAAAAATACAAAAAAAATTAGCTGGGCATGGTGGCAGGCGCCTGTAGTCCCAGCTACTCGGGAGGCTGAGGCAGGAGAATGGCGTGAACCCGTGAGGCGGAGCTTGCACTGAGCCGAGATTGCGCCTCACTGCACTCCAGCCTAGGCGACAGAGCGAGACTCCGTCTCAAAAAAAAAAAAAAGAAAAAGAAAAAGCAAGCAAGCAGATATGCTTGTGGAAAGCAATGCTGATAAATTCCATTTGCATGTATACAAAATGGCATATGTACAAGGTTATTCTTTGCAGAACTGTTAGTAACAATAAAAAACCGTAAGCAACAGAGGACTCCCTATATATAGCATAGTATAGAAAGGATTACTGGCTGGGCGTGGTGACTCACACCTATAAACCCAGCACTTTGGAAGACCGCAGCAGGTGGTTCCCTTGAGCCCAGGAGTTCGAGACCAACCCGGGCAACAAAAGAAAACCCCATCTCTAAAAAAATACAAAAATCAGCCAGGCATACACCAGCATGCCTGTAGTCCCAGCTACTCAGGAGGCTGTGACAGAAGGATCGCTTGAGCCCAGGAGGTCAAGGCTGCAGTGAGCTGAGATCATGCCACTGTGCTCCAGCCTGGGTGACAGAGCAAGATCTTTGTCTCAAAAAAAAAAAAAAAAAAAAAGAAGTCTGCAGAATCATGGTGTGTGTATAAAAAAATTTTTTAATACATTTTTTTAAAAGTAGGCTGGGCACGACCAGGTGCAGTGGCTCATGCCTGTAATCCCAGCACTTTGGGAGGCCGAGGCGGGCGGATCACCTGAGGTCAGGAGTTCGAGACCAGCCTGACCAACATAGAGAAACCCCGTCTCTAGTAAAAATACAAAACTAGTCGGGCATGGTGGCACATGCCTGTAATCCCAGCCACTTGGGAGGCTGAGGCAGGAGAATCGCTTGAATCCAGGAGGCAGAGGTTGCGGTGAGCCGAGATCGCGCCATTGCACTCCAGCCTATGCAACAAGAGTAAAACTCCGTCTCAAAAAAAAAAAAAAAAAAAAAAGTAGGCTGGGCACAATGGCTCATACCTGTAATCCCTGCACTTTGGGAGGCTGAGACAGACGGATCACCTGAGGTCAGGAGTTTGAGACTAGCCTGGCCAACATGGTGAAACCCCATCTCTACTAAAAATACAAAAATTAGCCAGGTGTGGTGGCATGCACATATAGTCCCAGTTATACTCAGGAAGCTGAGGGTTGAGAATTGCTTGAGCCTGGGAGGCAGAGGTTGCAGTGAGCCGAGATTGCGCCACTGCATTCCAACCTGAGTGACAGAATTACACTCTGTCTCTCAAAGAAAACAAAAAAAAAAAAACAAAAAAAACCACTCAGTGCAGATAAGCCAATGAGCTTGCCCCTTCTTACAAGGAGGCTTTTGGTAACAATGACACCCATTCCCTGAAGCAAATCCAAGAGAGTCCCAGCTCACAATACGTAATCCTTGACCCTCAAGGTTTCAGCATTCTAATCCATCATCAATCAATTATACTGACAGCCATTCCATGTTTGTCCCCAGAGGTGCGCTGGATAAGCTCCCAGGGATGCAGCCCTCTATCTAACCAGCAGGCTGCTTCATGGAGCGGTACTTGTGTTTCCTAAGGCCGGTCATCACTGGCACCTACCTGCCTGGGACTCTCCAGTTTCCACAGTCATCTCAACCCTCAACGAAACCTGGCTTTGCGACAACTCTTTGAGGTGGACAGGGTGAGTAGTATTTTCTTTCCCACTTTGCAAATGAGGAAATGGGCTCAGAAGTTAAGTGACTCAGCCAAGTCTCATGGACAAGAATCAGATCCAAGGCCTGGCAAAGTGGCTCACACCTATAATCCCAACACTTTGGGAGGCCAAGGCAGGCGGATCATCTGAGGTCAGGAGCTCAAGGCCAGCCTGGCCACCATGGAAAAACCCTGTCTCCACTAAAAATACAAAAGAATTAGCCAGGTGTGGTGGCAGGCACCTGTAATCCCAGCCACTCGGGAGGCTGAGGCAAGAGAAACGCTTGAACCCAGGAGGCAGAGGTTGCAGTGAGCCAACACCACTGCACTCCAGCCTGAGCAACAGAGCAAGACTCCGTCTCAAAAAAAAAAAAAAAAAACTACTCCTCATGACCTACACTAAAAAACCACTCCTCATGACCTACACTAAGCCTACCCAGGCACATGTCTGCTCTGCTCACCTCCCAACCTGGTGAGCAGACATGGGGAAAGAAAAAGAAGAGAATATGGAAGGAGCAGGTAGAGAATGGAAAGAGGGAATTTAAGAACCAAAACCAAGACAAAAAATCCATTCCATTCACCAGTTCAACACTGAAATCAAACACAGGGAATGGAATGATCAGCCAGAAAAACACCAAGAGGATTTACACTATGATATTTTCTAGTCTACTTGATTTTTGGCTGTCTTCCCAACTCTGGCCTGTCACGGCTTCCACACATGCCATGAAATCAGGGGCCTCATTTCTGTTGTGCATCACTGCATTTCTAGTGCCTAGCACCATGCCTGACAGAGAAGCTCCAAAATGTCTAATACACCAAACAATGTGATTATGCTGCACTCATGGCCATCCACCAAAGCCACACACCTCGGGACAACTCAGAGTGTCTGGTCACCCAGCACCCAGAAAAGCACTTGGCACCAAGAAGGTGCTGAAACATGCTCTAACTCCTGGCAGAAAGCTGACCCTTGCTACTTCAGAGACACAGGGAACCTACCAGTTTGTTCCAGATGTCTCCTTGTCGCTTGGCTCTCGATGGAAAGACAATGCGCACCAGGAGGCAGGTCCAGGTCAAGGCCAGCAAGGCGGCAGAGCCACTGCTCTTACTGCAGAGCAGAGTTGGGGATGAGTTCAGAGCAGCAGCCTCCACCTTGAGGACGAACACTGTCCCTAAGGCCCCGCCTGGTAATGCAGGACCCTCCCTTCACCTCATGGAACAGAACTTGAAACAAGTTCCCCACAAACCATCTGTGGCAATTCAGGACAAGAAGTCCAGGCTTCAGTGGCCAAACTCCCATCTCTTGGCACTGACAACTATAAAAACAAACAGATGGCTTCCACCATTAGGGGCCTGGTGGGCAACTGGTTCCCCTCAAAATGGCCTTGCTTCCACTGTTTCCCAACCCTGCTCCTCGGGAAAGTGGTTTTCTCCACTAAGCTTGCTATCCTGGCTCCTCCCTCTGGTGCACAGTCAACTGCATCAGCTTCTCCTGAGCAGGACTGTACCAATTCTCAGGGGGCCACAACTTTTACCTCTTACCTGGGAACACCTGCTTTGGAGCCTATACCAGAAGACTGCAGAGAGTGTAGAAGGTTCTTAGCAGTGGCTTCTGGCTGGGCCTCAGCCAACTGCTGGATGGCTGCCTGCAAGGCCCTGCGGGAGGCTGCATCTCTAGGGGGAGAGGCAAAGGAAAGGGTGAACATGCAGACCTCAGGCAGAGGCAGGGGCAAGGCTGCTCAGGCCATACACTGGTCTTTCTCAGGAGAAACTGATCACACCATATTCCAGTGGATAACAGAGAAGGGATTAGGAAATAACTAGATAAACTCACCTCCTCCTAGAGTTCTAAAAGTATCTCATAAGGGCAAATAAGCCATTGAGTGTGTAAGGGCAGCACCTACATTTATGGAGCAGTTATAAGGGTCTCAAAGTAGGCCAGACGATTTAACACACATGACTAAATGGCAGCATAAACACATTGACCACTATGGCACAGCAGGCAACTGTTCCAGGCACCTCACGCTTACTAACAACCACCCATGAGATAGAGAATGGCACCATCCCCATTCTGCAGACAAGGAAACTGAGGCACAGAGAGGTTAAGTAACTTGCCCAGGATCTAATGGCTAGGATGTGACATAGCCCAGATTTGGCACCAGGCAGTCTGGCTCTAATCTGGGCTCTAACCACTACTCTAAATCCCCTCTCTGTACAAAGTGCTCCACATATGGGGCCTTTGGCTGGGACTCACCTATATCGATGCAGAGTCAAGCAGAACAATTTGCAGAGCCCCTTCACTGCTCCCTCTGGAAGATCTGAAACCAGAGATTACACAGACAGCGGTCAATAAAAATCACTTGGTAAGCCGCTGGAGTCAGGTATTCTGCCCAGACATGATCTCAGCCCACTGGACACTCCCCATATATTTAAGACCTTCCTCCCCAAGAGGAAAAAGCAACAACAAAACAGGACTCTAGGAAAATGCCTGGTACAGAAAAGCTTTGGGTAGACATTTGCTAAATGAACGAAACTAAGAAAATAAAAGTGGCCTCGAAACCTCACATGCCATCAAGAGGAGGTTCAGGAGTGCTGGAATGGTTCTACTTCTTGATCTGGGTGCTGGTTATACTGGTGTTTAACATGTGATGATTCAGTGAGCTGTTCCATTAGGAGGCGTACCTTTCTTCACATACATTCTAATAAACGGTTTAAAAAACAGTGCAACACTGAAGTACTATGAGGGACCAGAAAAGGGAAGAACACCTATAACTGGAGTGTTTCTGAAAGTCTGAAGGACACATAAGCTTGGCCTATCAGATTAGTAGGCTCTGGAAAAATGGAAAGAGAGGGAGATACATGTAGAGTGCAGGGTTAAGAAGGCATAATACCTATTCAGAACACATGAAGAAGAAGAGAGGACTAATAACACCCTAGCTCTTAGTGCTTACAAGATGCCAGACCCTGCTCTAGATCATTCATACACATTCACTCATTTAATCCATGTAAGGTGGGCAGTGTTATTAAGGCCCCCCCGCCTTTTATTTTTCAGACGGAGTCTCACTCTATCGCCCCGGCTGGAGTGCAGTAGTGCGATCTCGGCTCACCGCAACCTCCGCCTCCCAGGTTCAAGTGATTCTCCTGCCTCAGCCACATGAGTAGCTGAGACTAAAGGTGCGCACCACCACGCCCAGTTAATTTTTGTATTTTTAGTAGAGACAGGGTTTCACCACGTTGGCCATGCTGGTCTCAAACTTGTGACCTTGTGATCCACCTGCCTCAGCCTCCCAAAGTGCTAGGATTACAGGCGTGAGCCATCGCACCCGGATTAAGCCCATTTTTAAATGAAGAAACCAAGTAATGGGAAACCAAGCCAGCCAGTCAGAGTGAAACAGATACACCCTAACTCTGGAGTGAAACAGATACACTCTAACTCTGGGCAGAAAGAGTTCAACTCTTGGTTGAACAAGAGTGCTCAATATGGCTGGGGGCAGTGGCTCACGCCTGTAATCCCAGCACTTTGGGAGGCCAAGGTGGGAGGATAACTTGAGGTCAGGTCAGGAGTTCAAGACCAGCCTGGCCAACACGGTGAAACCCCGTCTCTCCTAAAAATACAAAAATTACCTGGGCATGGTGGCACGTGTCTGTAATCCCAGTTACTCAGGAGGCTAAGGTGGGAGGATCACCTAAGCCTGGGAGATTGAGGCTGCAAAGAGAATCGCTTGAACCCAGAAAGTGGAGGTTGCAGTGAGCAGAGATGGCGCCACTGCACTCCAGCCCAGGAGACAGAGCGAGACTCCATCTCAAAAAAAAAAAAAGAGTGCTCAATAATGTTGGAAAGCCAACCTGTGACAAGTGCTGCATGACACAGTGAAGCACGCAAACAAAAGGGAGGAGCTTCTGAGGAGGAGGAAATTTAACCTGCAGTGTAAGACAGACTTATACTGGGTGTAGGAAGAACCTGAGAGCAGGAGGCCCATACCATTCCTCACACTTCAGGCACCTGAATGATGGAAGAGAAATGAATGAGGTACAGGGACGCAGTTTCCCCAGGGCCCTGACCACTGCATTGGTCCATGTGATTTGGGGCTATTTCAGTAACTGGGGAAAAAGAATGACTGGGGCCAGAAACAGGTTGTGGCTAAGACAATGACAATAACAGCTAACACACACTGTGAGCTTACCATACCCAGACAATGCGTTACATTTACTCCAACCTATCAGGGAAGTACTACTGCTATCTCCATGTTCAAAGCAAAGAAACAGGCTCAGAGAGGTGAAGTAACTTGAAGCAGGTCACACAGCCTGTAAGTGGCACAGCCCAT
This sequence comes from Homo sapiens, assembly GCF_000001405.40. Lineage (NCBI taxonomy): Eukaryota > Metazoa > Chordata > Mammalia > Primates > Hominidae > Homo > Homo sapiens. The sequence goes on from NC_000012.12 coordinate 120,186,895, forward strand.
CTGAGCCCTTCATCACTGACTGCTGCACTAGAGGCCTGTGACTGGAAAGATCGGTATCACATGGCTGCCTTTTCTAACTAGAGGGCTCTGCTGGGAAAGTGACCAGAAAAACCGTCGAGGATGCCATAAAACTCATACATTGAAGCATTAACACACAAGAGACTCTCTGAGACGCTCACAAATAGCAAGTTTACAAGCTTGGGTATCTTACTAGGCATAAGCAGGTCAGAAGCAGCAAATGAGAAGTTGGGTGAAGTGGTAGAAATAGGAAGTAAAAGTGGACAGAAAGGGAGACCCAATCTATATGGCCATGATTTTCTTTTTTTTTTTTTTTTGAGACAGAGTTTCGTTCTTGTTACCCAGGCTGGAGTGCAATGGCGCAATCTCAGCTCACTGCAACCTCCGCCTCCCAGGTTCAAGCGATTCTCCTGCCTCTGCCTCCCAAAGTAGCTGGGATTACAGGTGCCCACCACCACACCCAGCTAATTTTTTTGTATTTTTAGTTGACACGGGGTTTCACCATGTTGGCCAGGCTGGTCTTGAACTCCTGACCTCAGGTGATCCATCCTCCTCGGCCTCCTAAAGTGCTGGGATTCCAGGTGTGAGCCACCAAGCCCAGCCATGGCCATGGTTTTCAAACTTTAGTAAACATAGGAATCACCTAAAGGACTCGTTAAAACACAAATGCTGGGTTCTGTGCCCAAACTTTTTTTTTTGACACAGGGTCTCACTCTGTCACCCAGGCTGGAAAGCAGTAGCACAATCATGGACCACTGCAGCCTCAACCTCCTGGGCTCAAGCGATCCTCCCACCTCTCAACCTCCCAAGTAGCTGGGGCTACAGCACCTCCAGGATTTCCGATTTGAGTTGCTCCAATGGAGCTGAGAATTTTTATCTCTAACAAGTTCCAAGATGATGCTGATGCTGCCTGTCCAGGGACCACACTTTGAGAGCCAATGCTATACGGTAAAAACAAACATACCAAAAGAAATGAAAAAAAAAAAAAACAAAAAACTAGAATTTATTGAGTGAAGGCAAAATGGTCTTACTCTAATAAGTCATAGAGCTATCCCTTGGTTATGGTGCAGATCAGGATAATCAGATATGCTCAGCATTTCCCAAAATGTGTTCCCCAGACCCTCAACAGATTTTCAGCAAAAAAGAGGTTCAAAGAAAACACTGAATCCAAGGAAGCTTAATAAAGTGAAAACACCTTGTTGCGAATATTCCAAGAGGACATCAAAAACATGACCTCTAGGCTGGGCATGGTGGCTGACGCCTGTAATCCCAGCACTTTGGGAGGCCAAGGCAGGCGGATAACCTGAGATCAGGAGTTCAAGACCAGACTGGCCAACATGGTGAAACCCCATCTCTACTAAAAATACAAATATTAGCTGGGCGTGGTAGCAGGTGCCTGTAATCCCAGCTACTTGGGAGGCTGAGGCAGGAGAATCACTTGAACCCGGGAGGCGGAGGTTGCAGTGAGCAGAGGTCGCGCCACAGCACTCCAGCCTGGGTGACAGAGGGAGACTCTGTCTCACCAAAGAAAAAAAAAAAAAAAAAACCTCTCCCAACTTATTTGATCTTGGAATCCTTTATTGGCCAATCACCTACTACCATGGTGCTGACTTCCACGGAACACAGATTGGGAAAAATGATATCCCAAGTCATAAAAAAAATGTTTTTGGCTGGGCGCGGTGGCTCACACCTGTAATTCCAGCACTTTGGGAGGATCACAAGGTCAGGAGATCGAGACCATCCTGGCTAACACGGTGAAACCCTGTCTCTACTAAATATACAAAAAATTAGACAGGTGTGGTGGTGGGCACCTGTAGTCCCAGCTACTCCAGAGGCTGAGGCAGAAGAATGATATGAACCCGGGAAGCAGAGCGTGCAGTGAGCTGAGATCATGCCACTGCACTCCAGCCTGGGCAACACAGTGAGACTCCGTCTCAAAAAAAAAAAAAAAAGTTTTTGTACTCTGTATACTACTTGAGAAAGGTTTTAGCTATCTTTTTTAAATATTTCCAAACAAAATGGTTAAAAGTGTAAATAGCTTTCACACCTGAATGGATAAACTCTCCATGAACCCAAAAGTTTTAACTGTTGCAATTCACACTATAGCAAGGAAATAAAGTAAAGGCAGAAGTTGTGCAGGGAGGGGGGAAGAAGGCCATGGTTCCTTTTTTATTTGAGACGGAGTCTTGCTCTGTCGCCCAGGCTGGAGTGCAGTAGCACGATCTCAGCTCACTGCAACCTCCACTGCCTCCCAGGTTGAAGCGATTCTCCTGCCTCAGCCTCCTGAGTAGCTAGGATTACAGGCGTGCGTCACCATGCTCAGCTAATTTTTGTGTTTTCAGTAGAGACAGGGTTTCACCATGTTGGTCAGGCTGGTCTCGAACTCCTGACCTCGTGATCCACTCGCCTCGGCCTCCCAAACTGTTGGGATTACAGGCGTGAGCCACCACACCCAGGCTTTTTTTTTTTTTTTTGAGTCTCACTCTGTTGCCCAGGCTAGAGTGCAGTGGCATAATCTCGGCTCACTGCAACCTCCACCTCCCAGGTTCAAGCAATTCTCCTGCCTCAGCCTCCCTAGTAGCTGGGATTACAGGTGCACACCACCACACCTGGCTAATTTTTGTACTTTTTTTTTTAATAGAGACGGGGTTTCACCATGTTGGCCAGGATGGTCTCAAACTCCTGACCTTGTGATCTGTTGACCTCAGCCTCCCAAAGTGCTGGGATTACAGGCGTGAGCCACCGTGCCTGGCCAAGGCCATGGTTCTAAAGAAAGGCAATTTCAGCTGGGCCCAGTGGCTCGTGCCTGTAACCCCGGCATTTTGAGAGGCTGAGGCAGGCGGATCACTTAAGATCAGGAGTTCAGGACCAGCCTGGCCAACATGGTGAAACCCCATCTCTACTAAAAACACGAAAATTAGCTGGGTGTGGTGGCGCACACCTGTAATCCCAGCTACTGGAGAGGCTAAGGCATGAGAATCGCCTGAACCCAGCGAGGCAGAGGTTGTAGTGAGCCGAGAGCGTGCCACTGCACTCCAGCCTGGGTGACATCGTGAGACTCTGTCTCAAAAAGAAGAAAAAAACACAAAAAAAACCACAAAATTTATTTTTGATATGGAACACTGTCATTCGAGAAACCCCATCTCTACTAAAAATACAAAAATTAGGCAGGCATGATATGGGCACCTGTAATCCCAGCTACTCGGGAGGCTGAGGGCAGGAAAATCGCTTGAACCCAGGAGGTGGAGGTTGCAATGAGCTGAGATCGTGCCATTGCACTTCAGCCAGGGCAACAGTGAGAGACTCTGTCTCAAAAAAAAAAAAAAAAAAGAAAGAAAGAAAAACAATGAATATTGTCCAGGGTATGTGGATGAAAAATAAATACCTTTTCCAGCAACACACTTCCCAAGTTCACTGAGGATTTCTCTCCGTTCCTTTACACTGGCTGTTGTCACCTTCCCTGCAAAACGCTTTAGTGTCTCGGAAACCTGTGAAGGCCAAGCAACAGAAAAATTCACTAGTCAGACTATAAAACTATGAGTGTGTGTGTTGAGGGGTGGGTGTAGAATTTGGGGATCTCTCTAACCTGGGGTTTCTCAACCTCCCCACTGGTGACATTTTGCACCGGGTAATTCTGGTTGTGGGGGCCGTGTTTTTAGCAGCATTCCAGGTCTCTACCCACTCGATGTCAGTAGCAGCCCACCTTCCCCACCCGCCCCAGTTGTGACATTGTCAAATGTCTCCTGGCAGGCAAAATCACTCCCACTTGAGATGTACTGCTTTAATTCAACTAGTCAACAAATCAATATACCTTATTTAAACTTTGGCAATAAGAGGAAAGGCAAAGACCTCTGAAAAGAAAATATCCCTTCAGAACTACCCAAAATCTAGCAAGGGCCTGGTACGTGCCAACTATGTTCCCTTTACATTATCTCACTTTAACCTCCCCATAAAGGGAATGTCAGCATCCTGGCAACTCACTGGCAGAGGATAAGCACACTGGCTAAAGGGGGAAAGGTTAGGAGATTGGATCCCAGCTCTGCCTTTTACTAGCTGTAGAAACTTAGTCAAATAATGTCACTCCCCCAATCTTCAGTTTTCTCATCTATAAGATGCGGACAATAGCAGCTACCTCATATGACTGTTATGGAGCTTAAATGAGATTGCGTATAAGGTGCATCTACTCTCATCCCAAGCAAAAAGTTGGCTACTACTACCAAAAAGCCTGCAAGGGAGGCATCAGTATCCCCATTTTATAGGCGATGAAGAAACCATCTCCAAGAGAGGAAGTCACTGCTCAGAGTGGGGTCGAGAGCCACAGCACCTGCGTTTTTGAAACTAACTTTGAAACCAAACAGGTCTATAAACTGATGCTAACAAATCTTTAGCTTTCAACAGCCATCGAGTTACCACAGCTGCAGTCCCCTGCATAGGGACATAAGCATAAGACCCAGTGATGGGGGGCAGTTTGCAAACATCCCTGAAAATCTGCTCTTGAGCAATATTCTACAAGCTACCAAGTGGACAGGTTGTGGATTCATAAGCCGTAGAGCAGGGCATGATAAGGCTCATGTAACTTAACACAGTGGGGTTATCATGTTTTTCTTTTGAGGGTATTTCAAAGGCAGGCCTTATCAGTAGCGTAAGAGTCAAGCGTACACACAGAAATAAAATAATGCTGAGTTTTTCGTGCTTAAATCCCTGCCATAATTCTATTGGCAATGAATAAAAGAAACTGATGTCCAAAACTGTCTTCTACATAAATAATGTAGTTTTAACTTTAAAATGTCTTTTGTTTTTATAGTCATAGATGCACACAGAGTCAAAACCAAAGAGTTCTGAGAAGTCTGCCATAAAAACCAGTCCCTTGCCCTCACTCTCCATGGGCAACCCTTAGGTTGATCTGGTGGATATTTGGGTAGTTACCTCCATATATCTAAGTATCTCTAAATATGGAGGTAACTTGCATGTGCTTCTTGATTTTTCAGTTTTGCTACCTTTCCACCACAGCTCCCTTTCCTGCTGTGACCCCATCGCACACCCTCCCCATTTCCCCAGTGGAAGTCCCCAGTTTCACATACAGGCTAGGTCAGTAGTCAGTGATTACATTATATGTAAATGGCATTCAACATCCATTTAATAAACTCTGATTCTTCCCAGCTTTTTTATGCCCCTGGTGTTAATAATTACCCTTTCCCACCTCACTTCAGTTTGACTTGTTTTATCTGTTCTTATAAATAATTAAAACCCAAACTTTTTGCCATTTGTCTAAATCTCAGTACATTTAGGGAGATCAGGTATTCCATCAAATTCCACCTTCCTAAGGAAATCTCTCCCAGAGTTTTCTGACCTGCCCCAATTAGGCATGTGATCCTCTACAGCTGGGGCACAGTTTATCACCCTGAACATGTACTTTCTTGTGTTTGGGTGAAGCACAGCCTCCATTTTGTAAACTCCTTGCAAGTATGAAAATGTTCTGGCCAAATACAGAATTCTAGGTTGAAATCATTTTCCTTTAGAATACTGAAGACAAGGCTGGGTGCAGTGGCTCACGCCTGTAATCCCAGCACTTTGGGAGGCCAAGGCAGGCAGATCACAAGGTCAGGAGATCGAGACCATCCTGGCCAACATGGTGAAACCGCGTCTCTACTAAAAATACAAAAAAAAAAATTAGCTGGGCGTGGTGCCGGGTGCCTGTAATCCCAGCTACTTGGGAGGCTGAGGCAGAAGAATCGCTTGAACCCGGGAGGCAGAGGTTGTAGTGAGCCAAGATTGTGCCACTGCACTCTAGCCTGGGCGACAGAGCGAGACTCCGTCTCGAAAAAAAAAAAAAAAGAATACTGAAGACAAGGCCGGGCATGGTGGTTCACGCCTGTAATCCCAGCACTTTGGGAGACAGAGGCGGACAGATTGCTTGAGGTCAGAAGTTCGAGACCAGCCTACCCAACATGGTGAAACCCTGTCTCTACAAAAACTAGCCGGGCATGGTGGCGCATGCCTGTAATCCCAGCTACTCGGGAAGCTGAGGCAGGAGAATTGCTTGAACCTGGGAGGCAGAGGTTGCAGTGAGTTCAGATCGTGCCATTGCACTCCAGCCTGGGCAACAAGAGAGAAACTCCGTCTCAAAAAATAAAATAAAATAATAAAAAATAATTTCAGGCCAGGTGCGGTGGCTCACGCCTGTAATCCCAGCACTTTGGGAGGCCAAGGCAGAAGGATCACCTGAGGTCAGGAATTCGAGACCAGCCTGGCCAACATGGAGAAACCCCATCTCTACTAAAAATACAAAAATTATAAAATACAGAAATATTCTCCTGCACCACCCAATACGGTAGCCACTGGCTACATGTGGCTAACTGTGCACTGAAATGTGGCTGGTACAAGTGAAGAACTAAATTTTTTTTTTTTTTGAGACAGAGTCCCACTCTTGTTGCTCAGGCTGGAGCGCAGTGGTGCGATCTCAGCTCACTGCAACCTCTGCCTCCCAGGTTCAAGCGATTCTCATGCCTCAGCCTCCTGAGTAGCTGGAATTACAGACATGCCACCATACCCGGTTAATTTTTTGCATTTTTAGTAGAGACGGGGTTTTGCCACGTTGGTCAGACTAGTCTCAAACTCCTGACCTCAACTGATCCACCCGCCTTGGCCTCCCAAAGTGCTGGGATTACAGGGTGAGCCACCACGCCCAGCCAAACAATGAATTTTTTTATTTAATTTAATTTTAACAAACTTAAGCCATGTGGCTGCCATACTGGACATTGCAGCTCTAGAGATTTTTCCCTCAAGTGAGTATCAATGTTAAACATTCAGCATGTATTCCCCTAACCCTCTCATACTAAGCTTTTCTTTCTAGTATTCAGTACAACATAACTTGAACATCAGCCACCTGCATAGGAGTCTCAGTAAATGTCTTTTTGAATGCTTAAGTGGTCATTTTCTGGGCCTACACATAAAAATCAATCCCATCACCCTGGAGACACCAAATCAGCCCAGCTGTCCTTAGACACCTGTTCTTCCCCTGCCTCATGACAATGTCTTTTCACCTTAAAACATAACAACTGGGTGGAGGAAAAGGTTTTCCCAGGTCCTTCCTGAACTACAAGGTACCCATAGGTAACACTCTTCCTGGACAGGACAGTTCTTTTCACTAACCCTGGATCTGATAACAACCAACATATATCAAGCCGTATTTTATCTCACTGAACCTTCACAACAACCTTTTAAGATAAGTATTGTTTTAACTTCATTTTATAGATGAAAAGGCAGACTTGGCGGGGTTAAGTCACTTGTTTGGCATGTCACAGAAATCGACGAGCAGGAACTCAAGCCCAGATCTGTATGAATCCAAAGACTACACTCAAAGTCCCTGCTCATAGTAGGTGCTCAAAGAATATTTGCTGAATACAAAGTTTAAGGAAGACTTGGCGTTGGCCCGGGGCTCACAGCCGGAGGGCTTTGGAGAAAAGAAGTAGAGGCTCGGTAAAGTGAACTTCTGCAACTCTGGGGTCGGGCAAAGGCCCCGCCGAGCTCCAGCTGCTGAAGTCGAGGCGGGAGCCCCGGACTCCTCGAGCCCGCGGTCTGCCTGCGCCGCCCGGGCCGGGCCAAGCCCGCAGCCCTGAGAGTCCAGCCTGAGACGGCCCCGAGACTACGACCTCCACAGCCACCACCTCCAACGCCCCTAAGCCGAGGAGCGAGAGGGGCCCCGCCCGACGGCCACCGTCCGCACCCAGTCCCTGGCCGCGTTGGCCCCGCAGCCGCCCGCCTCACCTGCGTGTCCGCCGCCATCCTGCCGGGGCTGACTCCGGAACCGCTTCCGGAACGCTTCCGGGTCACAGCGTGGCCCACGCGGCAGGGCGAGGCCGGGAGCCAGCGGGGGCAGGGCCCCGGGCTTGGTGCCCCCGGGCAGGACGGCGGCCGCTGCAGCCCGGGCAGCCGGATCACGGGCTTAAAGTTGGCCCGCGCCCGAGCCACAAGGCCTCCTCCCCAGGGCCCGCTCTTCAGCCCCGGGCGCCTCGTGGGAGACTAGCGCTTGTAACGTGGTGAGCCCGCGGTGTAACGCTATGGGCCCGCCTTGCAGCCCCTGACCCACTTCCAGCCCGCAGGGCCAGCCCTACGTGGGCCTTTCCTGAGTGATGACTAAGTTCTTTAGAAAAACAAGTGTTGCTTCCTAGATAGCAGGAACTAAAAACTAGGTAAAAGAGTCGGTGAACTAGTCTTTTGTCCTCAGTTTGTAGTTCAGTTGGCGGATGACTTGTACAGGGTTAGCAAACGTGGCTGGATACGGAGGTCAGGGAAGGTTCAGAACTGAACGAGGCCCCTGCCCTGGGGAAATGCTGGACGCCCCAGGCTGGGAGTTTTGAAGGCCACAGGGCAAGAGGCTACGTGCAGACGTGGCTGCAATTTAGGGAACAGGGTCTCCACAGCTTAGTTGTCAGCCCTGTTAGCAGTGGCTTTCAAACCTTTGACACAGACCTAGTTAGAATGAATATATCATGTTCCAGCAGACAGATCTCTAAGTGAAATACAGGAATCACAACAAAAACACCTATTCTCAGCAGATGCTGCTTTCTCTTTAAATACTGGGGCCAGGCATGGTGGCTCACGCCTGTAATCCCAGCACTTTGGGAGGCTGAGGTGGGTAGATCAACCTGATGTTAGGATTTCCAGACCAGCCTGGTCAACATGACAAAACCTTGTCTCTACTAAAAATACCAAAAAAAAAAAAAAAAAAAAAAAAGGCCGGGTGCGGTGGCTCACCCTTGTATAATTCCAGCGCTTCGGGAGGACAGGGCGGGCAGATCACAAGGTCAGGAGTTCCAGACCAGCCTGGCCAACATAGTGAAACCCCGTCTCTACTAAAAGTACAAAAATTAGCCGAGTGGTGGCACATGCCTGTAGTCCCAGCTACTGGGGAGGCTGAGGTGGGAGAACCGCTTGAACCCGAGAGGCAGAGGTTGCAGTGAGCTGAGACCATACCATTGCACTCCAGTCTGGGTGACAGGACGAGACTGTCTCAACAACAAAAAAATTAGCCCGGTGTGGTGGCAGCCTCCGGTAATTGCAGCTACTTGGGAGGCTGAGGCAGGAGAATCACTTGAACCCAGGAGGCGGAGGTTGCAGTGAGCCAAGTCCAAGCCACTGCACCCCAGTCTCAAATATATTTGAGACTATCTCGAAAATATAAATTGGTTACCACCGAGTTGGAGCACCACCCAGTTTGAAAAACTTTACTCTAGGGGACTGGCCCCAGCATCCACCAGGTGCCTATCTCAGCTGACACTAAACCTACTCCAAGTATGCAGCAGCCATAGAAACAGTAATTCTAGTGTAATAGTTACAACTGTGTCTAGAAAACTGTATAGGATGTTTGATTGGTAGCTTCATTTAGATACCCAAACATCAACACCTAAATACAAAGCTCTGGTTTTACCATGGCTTTCGTTTCTAGCATATGGCACTATAAACCTCAAAATTAAGGGCCAGGCACATGGTGGCTCAAGCCTGTAATCCTAGCACTTTGGGAGGCTGAGGCAGGATTCCTTGAGGCCAGGAATTTGAGACCAGCTTGTGCAATATCTCTACAAAAAAAAAATTTAAAAATTAGTAGCTGAGTGTCATGGTGTGTGCCTGTAGTCCCAGCTACTTGGGAGGCTGAGATACGAGGATCCCTTGATCCCAGGAGTTCAAGGGTGCAGTGAGTTATGATTACACCACCACACTCCAGCCTGGGCAACAGCCAGACCCTGTGTCAAAAAGGAAAAAAAATTACAAAATTAAGAGTCCAGAGACTTTTTAAAGAAGTAAGCCTTTATTTCCTTGTTTTGCAAATAAAACTGGCTAAGTTGGTTGCTTTTTGGTGATTAGTCAAAGAGACCAAATCCCATATCCTCGTCCGACTCCTCCGACTCTTCCTTGGCTTCAACCTTAGCTGGGGCTGCAGCAGCAGCAGGAGCAGCTGTGGTGGCAGCAGCCACAGGGGCAGCAGCCACAAAGGCAGATGGATCAGCCAAGAAGGCCTTGACCTGAAAGGAGGGGGGAAGTGGTCAAAATGGTCATCCACACTCCTCTATTACCCACCACCCTCCTGCCTTGGTAGAGTTTAAGGACCAACAATATCAAAGTCCGTGTGAAGCCTTTCCTGTCAGAAGCAGCCCAAGCAGGACAGCTTGGGTATGGCCTAGTGAGGCAGGGTTCCTAAGGCCCAGCTCTTGCCCATTAACCCCCTCTTTGGGTCTCTTGTCATTTCTCAAGTGAGAAACGCCTTCCCTGCCTCCCAACCTCTCAAATATCCCCTCACAAAATTATCTGCTATATAAAATACAACTATAAAAGCAGTAAGGTAGAAGGCCACATCACCCTGCTAATTTGTCACAGTCAGGCCCACTGTGGTCCTGGTGGGATCCTTTTACCTTTTCAGCAAGTGGGAAGGTGTAATCCGTCTCCACAGACAAGGCCAGGACTCGTTTGTACCCGTTGATGATAGAATGGGGTACTGATGCAACAGTTGGGTAGCCAATCTGCAGACAGACACTGGCAACATTGCGGACACCCTGGGGGAGGGAAGATTTCATTTTACGTGAGATTCCCTACAGGAAAGGAAGTCCAAGTAAGGGTGAATAAAGAGAACCCTTAGCAGACAATAATTGCCAGGTTGGCAGCTCAGTCTCAAGAGAGGCCATTTCATCTCATACCAAATGCTCCTGGCAGAGCAATTCAGCCCCATCAAATAAATTTTGCCCTTATTCCAAATCCAGGTCTTCTGTATCCATTGTTGATGGCATTTACTTCCAAAGCCCCTACCACAACAGTGAAAAGCATAAACGACTAACGTAGCCATTGAGTTCCATGAACGAAAAATGTTCAACGATTTCCAGATGTGAACTTCATTCACTTGTCAAACTTTCAACAAATGAAGCTACCTAAGAGTAGCTAATAATATCTAATTATATACATTAATTTCAATTTTTCATTTGTCCAAGAAATGACATTTTCTATCACTATTATTCATTATTTAAAGGGCATTATTTTTTTTGTGAGACAGAGTCTCACTCTGTCACTCAGGCCGGAGTGCAGTGGCACCATGTCAGCTCACCGCAACCTCCACCTCTTAAAAGGCTTTTGATGGCAAAATGTGAGTCTCAATGCAGGCCCTAGAATAACAGCCCCAGCACTGTACATCCATTAATTCATTAAATCCTTTGGCCAGGCGTGGTGGCTCATGCCTGTAATCCCAGCACTTTGGGAGGCCGAGTTGGGCGGATCACGAGGTCAGGAGATCGACACCATCCTGGCTAACGCGGTGAAACCTAAAAATACAAAAAAATTAGCCGGGCGTAGTGGCGGGTGCCTGTAGTCCCAGCTACTCAGGAGGCTGAGGCAGGAGAATGGTGTGAACCCGGAGGCGGAGCTTGCAGTGAGCCGGGAGATTGTGCCACTGCACTCCAGCCTGGGCGACACAGCAAGACTCTGTCTCCAAAAAAAAAAAAAAAAAATCCTTCAACAATCTTATGTTGTTACTGACATTTTACAGATGAGGTAGGTAGACAGATGAAAACACAGTCCTTGGTTACAGGGACTCAGTCTGAACCTTGTCATGCTCTCAACCATCAGTGTAAGAGGGGGCAAGGCTGACAGCATATACCTCCAGGAAGCGAGAATGCAGAGTTTCCTCTGTGATATCAAGCACTTCAGGGTTGTAGATGCTGCCATTGTCGAACACCTGCTGGATGACCAGCCCAAAGGAGAAGGGGGAGATGTTGAGCATGTTCAGCAGCGTGGCTTCGCTGGCTCCCACTTTGTCTCCAGTCTTGATCAGCTGCACATCACTCTGAACCAGATAATAGTGGGGCAGTAAACACCTGTTGGACAACCAGCAGATCCATGGCCACTAAAAGCAGCTCCCCATTTGCCTGGTTAGCACAGGCAAACCAGGTCCACTCACCAGGATTTCAATGGTGCCCCTGGAGATTTTAGTGGTGATACCTAAAGCCTGGAAAAAGGAGGTCTTCTCGGGCCCGAGACCAGTGTTCTGGGCTGGCACAGTGACTTCACATGGGGCAATGGCACCAGCACGGGCAGCAGCTGGCACCTGACAAAGACAACAAACAGTGAGAAAAGCCTCTCCACTCACACAACCTGAGAATGGTCCATTTTGCTTTAAGGAGCAACAACAAAGTCTCTTTAGCCAACCCAATTGTCCCCTTACCTTATTGGCCAGCAACATGTCCCTGATCTCAGTGAGGTCCTCCTTGGTGAACACAAAGCCCACATTCCCCCGGATATGAGGCAGCAGTCTGCAAAGAGAAGTTTATGGGAGACAATCACCTTTCAGCACCATTCTCCAGGAAGAGGGAGACGGGCACTGGGGAGAAAGGACAAAACTGCCAGGGGAACTGACTTCTCCAGAGCTGGGTTGTTTTCCAGGTGCCCTCGGATGGCCTTGCGCATCATGGTGTTCTTGCCCATCAGCACCACAGCCTTCCCGCGAAGGGACATGCGGATCTGCTGCATCTGCTTGGAGCCCACATTGTCTGCTCCCACAATGAAACATTTCGGATAATCATCCAATAGTTGCTACAAAAAACAAGCCAGAGGAGCCAAGTTTAACAGGAAGAGAGAGGGAAAAAATGCCAGAAGAAACTGAACCCCACAATTTGTTTCCATCCCACTCCCTTTCTTCTAAGCTTTTGAAGTCAGAGGGAGATTGGGAGCTACGTTGTAACACTGCCAAACTGGATGATTGGCTAGCTGGGTATGAACGCTGAAAATTAGGTTTCTACATTCAATCAAGGAGTTTTTTCTTTTTTTACTTAGTTTTTAATTTTTCCCAATTACCAGGCATGCTTCTGATTCACTAAAATGGTTAACAGGATAAAAAAGGAATGTTCCAAGTAAGTTGGTCAAGAGGAGGGCTAGATTCACAGCATTAAAAGCACCACGTTAAGCAAATATAGCAACATTATTATTTGTAAAAACAATCTAGGCGTGTTTATCCGGATTGTTACACAATTCCTTTGGGTTTTGTGTCTGAAAACCTTCTAAGTGTGGGAAAATGTAATACAAGCTATGCTCTACAATGCTGCCTAATTGCTTAAGCGCAGTACAGTCAGCATTTCTGGGCAAGGGAGACCCACCTCAAAGGCCATCCAAAAGTCATTGGACACTTAAGTTTCTTGGCTGACAGGTCCTAAATATGCAACAGCTTGCTTCCTTACAATGAGTCATTCCTGACCTCAGACCTTCTCAAAAATGGAGTAAAACTGTAATGTGCGGCCGGGCGCGGTGGCTCACACCTGTAATCCTAGCACTTAGGGAGGCCGAGGAAGGTGGATCATGAAGTCAAGAGATCGAGACCATCCTGGCCAACATGGTGAATCCCTGTCTCTATTGAAAATACAAAAATTAGCTGGGTGTGGTGTCGCGCCCCTGTAATCCCAGCTACTCGGGAGGCTGAAGCAGGAGAATCGCTTGAACCTGGGAAGCGGAGGTTGCAGTAAGCCAAGATCAAGCCACTGCACTCCAGCCTGGACAACAGAGCGAGACTCCGTTTAAAAAAAAAAAAGTATAAAGCGCGCTCTTTTAGAAGCCAGACAGACCTGGATACGAATGCTGTCATCTTAGGACCCACTTAACTTGCCTGAGCCCGTTTATCTGCAACAGAAGGGACCTATCTCAGGAAATTGTTAACTAAACAGTATTTTCCCAAAAATGGCCTAATTCAGTAGCCGGTGTGAGTAGACCCTCAGCACATAGCAGCTGACTGTCCCTATTTGCGCTGGGGCAACATGAAGAGCAGAGGCGACCCACCCTGCACTTACGATGATCTTAAGGAAGTAGTTGGACTTCCAGGTCGCCCTGTCTTCCCTGGGCATCACGGCGGTGCGTCAGGGATTGCCACGCAGGGTTTAAAGACGATGTCACTGAGGAGAGACAGGGAGCTCAGGCCTGGTCACGCCGACACCCATCCCGCGGTCCCGGGCCTAAGAGGAGCAGGACACGCGCAATCGCCCGCCGGCCCTGCCTAGGGCAGCGGCCGTCATCTCGGGGCGTGCAAGCCGCCACCGAGGCCCCAGGCGGAACAGAATAGGACTCCATGTTCCCAAAGGCCCCCAAAGACCCCTCCATGCTTCCCGCCGGCGACCCCTGGCGCCCATCTAACTAGCACACGAACCTTCCACGAGGACGCCTGGCGAGAGAAGGGCCTCGCGCCCGCGCGTGCCTTTTATAATGCGAACAAAGTAGCCAATCAGAAACCGCGGATAGCGCTCCTGTCTATTGGCTGCGCCATCGCCCGTCAGACAAAGCTGAACGAATACAGGCAACCATTGGATAATATCGCTGCCACTCCAGCCAACGGAAAGCCGCCTTTAAGTAGGGTCGCGAAGGAAGGCGCTGCCTCGCGTTGGAGGAGCTTGCTCTGAGCTGCTGCCACCTGCTGGGCTGGAGCTGGAGCTGGAGCTGCGAATTCGGAGTCCCGGTTCCCTGTGCCACCTGGCGAGCTCAGCAAACTAAAAGGTATGACGTGGAGCTGAGACATAATTGCACATGCTTAGAAACAGAATGGTTTCTCTTTTTTTTTTTTTTTTTGAGACGGAGTGTCGCTCTGTCGCCCAGGCTGGAGCGCAGTGGCGCCATCTCGGCTGACTGCAAGCTCCGCCTCCCGGGTTCACGCCATTCTCCTGCCTCAGCCTCCGGAGTAGCTGGGACTACAGGCGCCCGCCACCGTGCTCGGCTAATTTTTTTTTTGTATTTTTAGTAGAGACGGGGTTTCATCATGTTCTCCAGGATGGTCTCGATCTCCTGACCTCGTGATCTGCCCGCCTCGGCCTCCCAAAGTGCTGGGATTACAGGCGTGACCCGCCGCGCCCGGCCTCAGAATGGTCTCTCGTCTTCTCTAGTTTTTCCGCCTACCAAAACAGAGGGATCCTTTAAAACCTGGCCGGGCGCGGTGGCTCACGCCTATACTCCCAGCACTTCGGGAGGACGAGGCGGGTGGATCACCTGAGGTCAGGAGTTCGAGACTAGCCTGGCCAACATGGCAAAACCCCGTCTCTACTAAAAATACAAAAATTAGCCAGGTGGGGTGGCGCATGCCCGTAATCCCAGCTACTCAGGAGGCCGAGGCAGAAGAATCGCTTGAACCCGGGAGCTGTGAGCTCTGCAGTGAGCTAAGATCACACCATTGCACTCTAGCCTGGGTGACAGAGAGGGACTCCATCTCAAAAAAAAAAAAAAAAAAAAAAAAACCTAAGTCAGCTCATCTCCTTATCTGCTTAAAACTTTCCGTTTCCTACAGAGTAAAAATCTAAAACCTAAAGTACCTACAAGGCCCTTACCTATCTGTCCCTCACGCCCACTCTGATCATCTCAGATGTTTTCCTCCTCACTTACTTGCTTTCTACCCAGATGATGCTCTGCTGCTTTTCCAGAGCAGGCTTTACTTGGGGGCTTTTGCATTAGCCATTCCCTCTTCCTAGAAAACTAGCCAACAAACATCCATAGAATAATTCACCTCCATCAAATCTTTTTTTTTTTTTTTTTTTTTTTTTTTTTTTTTTGAGAAGCAGTCTCACTCCGTTGCCCAGGCTAGAGTGTAGTGGAGCAATCTCAGTTCATTGCAGACTTGACCTCCCAGGCTGAAGTGATCCTCCCACCTCAGCCTCCCAAGTAGCTAGGACTACAGGCACACACCACCACGCCAAGCTAATTTTTTGTACTTTTTGTATAGATGGGGTCTTGCCATGTTGCCTAGGCTGATGTCAAACTTCTGGGCTCAAGCAATCCTCCCACCCTGGCCTCCTAAATTGCTGGGATTACAAGAATGAGACACCTTGCCCAACCCTGAGATCTCTTTTTTTTTTTTTTTTTCACTGAAACCTATGGAATTATGTATTAAATGATCCCCAAAGAATCAGCTATTTCAAAATTAAAAATTATTACAAAGAGCTTCATACATCATGTTATATCCTATATCACACACCATAAAACTGTCAGAAGTAGGCCGGGTGCGGGGGCTCATGCCTGTAATCCCAGCACTTTGGGAGGCTGAGGTGGGCAGATCACGAGGTCAGGAGATCCAGACCATCCTGGCTAACACAGTGAAACCCCGTCTCTACTAAAAAATACCAAAAGTTAGCCAGGAGTGGTGGCGGGCTCCTGTAATTCCAGCTACTTGGGAGGCTGAGGCAGGAGAATTGCTTGAGCCCAGGAGGCAGAGGTTGCAGTGAGCTGAGATTGCGCCACTGTACTCCAGCCTAGGTGACAGAGCAAGATTCCGTCTCAAAAAAAAAAAAAAAAGTTAGAAGTAGCTCGATTTCACGTTACTGTATTTCTTTTTCTTTTCTTTTTTCTTTTCTTTTCTTTTTTTTTTTTTTTTTTTGAGACAGAATTTCACTCTTGTTGCCCAGGGTAGAGTGCAATGGCGTAATCTCGGCTCACCACAACCTCCACCTCCCGGGTTCAAGTGATTCTCCTGCCACAGCCTCCTGAGTAGCTGGGATTATAGGCATGTGCCACCATGCCCGGCTAATTTTGTATTTTTAGTAGATACGGGGTTTTTCCATTTTGGTCATGCTGGTCTCGAACTCCTGACCTCAGGTGATCCACCCAGCTCAGCCTCCCAAAGTGCTGGGATTACAGGCGTGAGCCACTGTGCCTGGCCTGGGGTCTCTTTTATTTGTCTTCTTGGCTATCTGTGTTCCATGGGAAGGATGGAAAATAACATGAATGAGATTTAAATGCTGTTTTGACAGGTTATTAAGATTCCAATCACTCCAGGTGCGGTGGCTCACGCCTGTAATCCCAGCACTTTGGGAGGCTGAGGTGGGCGGATCACGAGGTCAGGAGATCGAAACCATCCTGTCTAACACAGTGAAACCCCATCTCTACTAAAAATATAAAAAACTAGCCGGGCGTGGTGGCATGTGCCTGTAATCCCAGCTACTTGGGAGGCTGAGGCAGGAGAATGGGGTGAACCCGGGAGGCGGAGCTTGCAGTGAGCCGAGATTGTGCCCCTGCACTCCAGCCTGGGTGACAGAGAGAGACTCTGTCTCAAAAAAAAAAAAAAAAAAAAAAAGATTCCAATCACAATCTGCCTACTCTCCCTGATCGAGCGAAGTCCAGAAAGGTGGCAGAATGTCTCTAAAGCAGCTACACACACACACACACACACACACACACACACACACCCCAAAAAATGCCAGAAAAGATGGAAGAGTAAGAAAATCAGGCCAACATGAATAATTTGGTAAAGTGGTGGGCGGGGCGGGGGGTGGTGGCGGTAGCAGGTTTAAAACCAAGACACTTGCATGGCAGGGTATATTGGTGCAGCTGACTGGCATAAAATTCCCTGAACAGAATTTAGATACGGGTAGCTCAAGTGCTGTCAATCTCATCTTGTTCTACCATAAATCAGTAGCTCCAACTGAGACCTCTGTGGGAGGCCAGGTTCTTATTCTCTGAAATTAGAGCCTACCCACTGTATGAGATTTCCTACCACAGGGCTAGCTCTGTTGCAAGCAGTAGGGTACTGACTCTGATTTCTCTAAAGTCCTTTGTAAATTTTTTGTGTTTTTTGAGATGGAGTTTCACTCTTGTTGCCCAGGCTGGAGTGCGATGGCGTGATCTTAGCTCACCACAACCTCCGCCTCCCAGGTTCAAGCGATTCTCCTGCTTCAGCCTCCTGAGTAGCTGGGATTACAGGCATGCGCCACCACACCGGGCTAATTTTTTTTATTTTTAGTAGAGATGGGGTTTCTCCACGTTGGTCAGGCTGATCTCGAACTCCTGACCTCAGGTGATCTGCCCGCCTCAGCCTCCCAAAGCGCTGGGATTACAGGCGTGAGCCACCGTGCCCAGCTGTAAATATTCTTCTAATGACGCAAATTTCACCATGGTGGGCACAAGCTCGAGTCCTTGGCTCACACCCTTGTTTCCAAGGCTTTGTTACGTTAAAACATGGAGGCTTCTATGGTGAGGGAGACTGGGGAATCACTGCAGGATACAGAACTAGGGAGTTGCAAGAATTACAGGAGTCAGAGCACTCTGAAACTATGCAGACTGAAATATGTCAAAAATGACTGTCTTTGGTATATCACAAGGGTTTGCCAAACTATAGCTCATGGGCCAAATATGGCTACTGTCTGTTTCTGTAGATAAAGTTGTGGCCGGGCGCAGTGGCTCACGCTTGTAATCCCAGCACTTTGGGAGGCCGAGGCGGGTGGATCACGAGGTCAGGAGTTCAAGACCAGCCTGGCCAAGATGGTGAAACCCTGTCTCCACTAAAAATACAAAAATTAGCCGGGCTCGGTGGCAGCCGCCTGTAATCCCAGCTACTCCGGAGGCTGAGGCTGGAGAATTGCTTGAACCCAGGGGATGGAGGTTGCAGTGAGCCAAGATTGTGCCACTGCACTCTAGCCTGGTGACAGAGCAAGACTCCATCTCAAAAAAATAATAATAAAATAAAAGTAAATAAATAGGCCAGGCACAGTGGCTCACACCTGTAATCCCAGCACTTTGGGAGGCCGAGGTGGGTAGATCACGAGGTCAGGAGATCGAGACCATCCTGGCTAACACGGTGAAACCCCGTCTCCACTAAAAATACAAAAAATTAGCCAGGCATGGTGGCAGGCGCCTGTAGTCCCAGCTACTCAGGAGGCTGAGGCAGGAGAATGGCGTGAACCCAGGAGGCTGAGCTTGCAGTGCGCTGAGACTGTGCCACTGCACTCCAGCCTGGGCGACAGAGCAAGACCCCATCTCAATAAATAAATAAATAAATAAATAAATAAAGTTTTATTGGGACATAGCCTTGCTCACCTATTCGTTTACACATTGTCTATGGCTGTCACAAATGAGTGGTTACAACAGAGACTGTGTGATCCCCAAAGCTTAAAATATCGACTATTTAGAGTGAGACTCCATCACAAAAAAAAAAAAAAAAGAAAAAAGAAAAGAAAGTAATTACAGAAAGTCATATAGCAACAAAACTCTCCAGGAAGGGCTTAAAATATCGACTATTTAGAGTGAGACTCCGTCACAAAAAAAAAAAAAAGAAAAGAAAGTAATTACAGAAAGTCATATAGCAACAAAACTCTCCAGGAAGGTACTTATTAGGATACCTGTTGAAAGAGGCAGTATGTATCGTAGAATGAGCATCAACTTTGAACCTAGATTTGACCCATATTTCTGCTTTTTATTGGGCCGAACAAACCTTGCCTCACAGAGTTATCAGGGTTAAGTGTTACGATCTAACTCAGCAGTCCCCAACCTTTTTGGCAACAGGGACCAGTTTTGTGGAAGACAATTTTTCCACAGACACCAGGGATCAGAGGGGAGTGTGATTTGGGGATGAAACTTCTACCTCAGATCATCAGGCATTAGATTCTCATAAGGAGCGTGCAACCTAGATCCCTCGTATGCAGTTTGCAATAGGGTTCGCGCTCCTGTGAGAATCTAATGCTGCTGCTGATCTGACAGGACGACAAGCTCACTCACTCGCCTGCTGCTTGCCTCCTGATGTGCGGCCCAGTTCCTAACAGGCCACAGACCAGTACTGGTCCTTGGCCTGAGAGTTAGGGACCCCGATCTAACTGACAATACTTAGTACTCACTAAACTGTCATGTTCTTCCTTCCAGTCTCTTTGTCTTCATCGTTTCCGGCACTGATGTGAGCA
The DNA here is from genome assembly GCF_000001405.40 of Homo sapiens. Classification (NCBI taxonomy): domain Eukaryota; kingdom Metazoa; phylum Chordata; class Mammalia; order Primates; family Hominidae; genus Homo; species Homo sapiens. The sequence goes on from NC_000012.12 coordinate 120,206,583, forward strand.
CATCATAAGCACAAGACCTGGACACCTTTACAATCAGAGGTAGCATCTGTCTGGAACTGTATCTTGACTCTCACTGGTGCTTTTCCTTTGGTTGATGCAAAGCTTTTGAATCCTTTAGGGAGATGTCATTGTGAGTATCTATGATACTATGCTACTACTATCTATGATCATTGAGAGTATCTATGGTACTATGATACTACTATCTATGATCATTGGGAGTATCTATGGTACTATGATACTACTATCTATGATCATTGTGAGTGTCTATGATAGTCTCCTGTGCCTTCAAAATCTTTGCCTTCTCCATAGAACTTTCCCAACTAGCTTGTAAGATCCAAAGGTGTGAGACACACTGATCCAGAACATTCAGGGAGTGTAGTGAGGGGAAGGAAATATAAATTGTCTCGTCAGCAGTTAATTTTTATTTTATTTTATTTTATTTTTTTTGAGATGGAGCCTCGCTCTGTCGCCCAGGCTGGAGTGCAATGGTGCAATCTCAGTTCACTGCAACCTCCGCCTCCTGGGTTCAAGCAATTCTTCTGCCTCAGCCTCCAGAGTAGCTGGGATTACCGGCACCCACCACCACACCCAGCTAACTTTTTGTATTTTTAGTAGAGACAGGGTTTCACCATGTTCGCCAGGCTAGTCTTGGACTCCTGAGCTCAAGTGATCTGTCGGCCTCGGCCTCCCAAAGTTCTGGGGTTACAGGCATGAGCCACCGTGGCCGGCCGGCAGTTATGTTTTGATGGCCTTTTGAGAATGGAAGCCTGTGTGGATTCCGTTGTCTGCCTTGCTGTGGATCCTGAAAGGTGTTCTGTTGGCACTGGGCGCTGAGCCAGGGGGCAGGCTGTGGTGGTCCAATGTTCAGTTGGCATATTTCCACTTGTACTTCAGGCACCCAACTTCCGCCATAGCCTAGGGCTTCAGTCTTCACCCTGAGATCCCTGGTTCCATCAAGATGCTCAGCTCCATTCGGCAACCCGCGGACACCCGAGATCTCTTTTTAATGGCAATGTATTACTGCACACTTCGTATTGTCCTAAGTACTCTGTGCACATTACTGAAGCTAATCTTTGCAACAATCCTCTGAGGAGATACAGTACTGTCAGTACTCCCATTTTATCGATGAGAATACTCACAGGAAGGTTAAATAATTTGCCCAAGTCTCTCAGCCAGTAAGTGAAGGCTTCAGAACTGAAATCTAGGAGGAAGTTCAAAGCCCCTGGGCCTCACTGTGCTATACAGTCCATTCCAAACCCTGAGTCAGCCTCCCTCTGAACGCACTTTTCCAAGTATATACATATGCACAAGGTACATTTCCAAGGACCTCCTGGCTCTGATGATATAAATATCATCTCTAATTGTAGTACATCAATATAACGGAATACCATGAAGCCATTAGAAAATGGTACAGATCTATATTTATTGACATGGGAAAATATCCACAAAGCAAAGCGAAAAGCACATTACAGTGAAATATACCATACCTGGCCGGGCATGGTGGCTCACGCCTGTAATCCCAGCACTTTGGGAGGTCGAGGAGGGTGGATCATTTGAGATCAGGAGTTCGAGACCAGCCTGGCCAACATGGAGAAACCCCGTCTCTACTAAAAGTATAAAAATTAGCCTGGCGTGGTGGCGGGTGCCTGTAATCCCAGCTACTCAGGAGGCTGAGGCAGGAGAATCGCTTGAACCTGGGGGGCAGAGGTTGCAGTGAGCCATGATCGCGCCACTGCACTCCAACCTGGGTGACAGAGTGAGATGCCATCTCAAAAAAAAAAAAAAAAAAGAAAAAAAAGGAAATATACCATACCCATTTCTAGAAATAAAATAAATCCAACATGGGCTGGAAGAATAAACCAAGTTATTCTCTTGAACTCCTGGGCTCAAATGATCCTCCCACCTTGGCCTCCCAAAATGCTAGGATTACAGGCATGAGCCACAGAGCCTGGCCCCATCATTCTCTTTGGGTGAGCGTTGAAGGTAATTTTCACTTCTGAGCTCACTATAGCATGGGAAGAGTTTAAACTAGAATTCAACATGCTGCTTTTGGAGAACCGTTCCAAACAACAGGGAAGCTGTGAAGACACAGCTCAAGGTTAAACAAAACTGCCCAGGAAGCTCTAGGACAAGCTTGTCCAATCCATGGCCTGTGGGCCACATGCGGCCCAGGATAGTTTTGAATTTGGCCTAATGCAAATTTGTAAACTTTCTTTTTTTTTTTTTTTTTTTTTTTGAGACGGAGTCTCGCTCTCTCGCCCAGGCTGGAGTGCAGTGGCGTGATCTTGGCTCACTACAAGCTCCACCTCCCGGGTTCATGCCATCCTCCTGCCTCAGCCTCCCGAGTAGCTGGGATTACAGGCGCCCGCCACCATGCCTGGCTAATTTTTTGTATTTTTAGTAGAAACGGGGTTTCACCGTGTTAGCCAGGATGGTCTCGATCTCCTGACCTCATGATCTGCCCGTCTCGGCCTCCCAAAGTGCTGGAATTACAGGGCAAATTTGTAAACTTTCTTAAAACATTATGAGATTTGTGATTTTATTATTTTTTTTCTAGTTCATCAGCTATCATTAGTGTATTTTATGTGTGGCCCAAGGCAATTCTTCTTTTTCCAACATGGCCCCAAGGAAGCCAAAAGATTGGACACCCAGCTGGGCGCAGTGGCCCATGCCTGTAATCCCAGCACTTTGGGAGGTCGAGGCAGGCAGATCACTTGGGATCAGCAGTTTGAGACCAGCCTGGCCAACATGGTAAAACCCTGGCTCTACTAAAAATACAAAAATTACCCGGGTGTGGTGGTGGGCACCTGTAATCCCAGCTACTTGGGAGGCTGAGGCATGATAATTGCTTGAACCCAGGAGGTAGAGGCTGCAGTGAACCGAGATCGTGCCACTACACTCTGGCTTGGATGACAGAGTGAGACTCCATCTCAAAAAAAAAAAAAAAAGCCAGGAGTGGTGGCTTACGCCTGTAATTCCAGCACTTTGGGAGCCAAGGCAGATCACTTGAGATCAGGAGTTTGAGACCAGCCTGGCCAACATGGTGAAACCCTGGCTCTACTAAAAATACAAAAATTAGCCGGGTGTGGTGGCAGCTGCCTGTAATCCTAGCTACTCAGGAGGCTGAGGCAGGAGGATCCCTTGAACCTGGGAGGTGGAGGTTGCAGTGAACCGAGATCATGCCACTGTACTCCAGCCTGGGCAGAGTGAGACTCTATCTCAAAAAAAAAAAAAAAATTGGACATCCCTGCTCTAGGGCCTAGGACTGGAGCTCTGGATCTGACCGGAGCAAAGAGGAAGCACGCAAATCCGGACATGACGACGAGGAGGCAGTAGAGACCCATCCTCAACTGTAAGTAACTGCCTTCGGCAGGGAAGGGGCTAACCCACGTTGTGTGGGCTCAGGCACGGCCGCGTCTGGTTCTGTGCAGGAACACAGGCAGAGGCAAGCCCTGGGTCCGCATCATGGCTCTGCCCTCACTCAGATTGCCTTGTACATGTAGGTTCTTGTCCTAGAGCCTCTTTCCCTACTTCTAAATGAGTGGAAAGCCACCCACAAGCCCGTGAGTGAGGATGCCCTTGGTAAACCCAGGTGATCACACCCTGGGCAGGCCCTGCCCCACAGGGCCCCATCCCGCTGCTCCCCAGCCTGTCCTCACCAACTGCCCAGGCAGGAGCAAAGCCCACGGGGAGGACCTGTGACCACAGGCAAGGACCACGGACCCCAGCCCCAGGGATTTTGACCTCAAGAAAGGAAACATCCACAATTTACCCTCCATCTGGTGATCCAGCTGCATCTGGGGTGGGTTTGGTCTCTGCTGGGACCATGAGGTTCAGACCACCAAGAAATAGCACTAGCACAGGTGAAAATCATGGGCAAACTTTATTGGCATAAATCACAGGAATTGAAATGGGAAAAGCCAGCTTGGAAGTTTACAGAGAAAAAATAAAATCAAAATCAAATTTTCAAATAACCACTGACTCAGAGAATGGACCCCAGAAACCCCAGTCCCTCTTGGGGAAGATCTAGGGTGGGTCACTATAAACAGAGCGGTAAGGCCTGCGGGTGAAAGTGGAGACATCAGACCTTTGGAGGGGCTGGGCTGACCTTCCCCCAAAAAGGAGGGACCCTCTTCGGAGACCCCAGCACACTCGGCTTCTGCCAGGAGGCCAGTGGAGTGGTTTGGACTGTCACCATTAGACCCCGGTGGGGCCCCTTTCTCCTCATCAGGAGCCCAAGGCCTGGCTCCTCTTTCATCCTTGGTAAAGAGCTCTGGGGGGTTTCCCCAGAGGAGCCTGTCCCTCTGCCCCAAATCCTATCATGCTCCCTTATGACCTTCTTTCCAGACCCCCTGAGTGCCGATCCCACCTGTGAAAGGGGAGGAGCAGATCTGGGGAAGGGATATGCCCAGAGGAAATCAACAAGACCAAAGAGACGTCAGAGTCCTGATGGCCAAAATCAGACACCAGCTTTCCTGAGAAGGCAGAAGAGAGAGCCCCATAGAAGCAGTGGGGGCTCAGAAGGTTCAGTGGGTTCACAGGGGAGCAGAGGCTCCTGAGGGCTTACTCAGACAGGAAGCAGCCCCCCAAAACATACTTCCCCTTCTCCTCCCACAGAAACAGAACAGATAAAGTTCAGAATTCTAGGCCCAAAAGGGTGCAACACCCTTCAACCAGTTTCAGTGAAGAGCTTGCTGGCCTGGGAAGTAAAGAAGGGGTTTCCAAATACAGCAGTTTATAAAACAGTCCTGGTGAGCTATGAAGTGAAAGAGGGGGAGTCACAGAGCTGCTCCCAGTTCACCTGCTTGTGCTAAGAAACAATAAAATACAAATTGCTTCCCCACCCCAACCCTCAGTACAAAGCAAACTTCACACCAGAGCCACCATCAGTGACAGGCCCAGTGGCGGTGGATGAGGAAGAGAATACAAAAGGGAACGTCTTTAAAATCTCTTCAAAATCATTTTGTATAGAGAAGTAAAAGCAACTCAGGCGATATGAATTCAAACCTCAGTGTAGAAATCTATCAAAGTCGGTACAGTGTCCAGGCACGCCGTCCCGGAGACGGAGGAAGTGACTAGAAAACATTATTGCTGGAGAGGCTTTTCTCAGTAGAACAAGAGCAGGTATAAAAGGGGAGGGCGGGTCTAAAAGGCAGGGGCAGTCGCCAGGCCTAGGGCACTGGAAGGGTAGGAGGAGCACAGAGAACCTTCCATGGCCCCTTTGGTTCTCTGCCTTTGGATGGATGGATTTATGCTGGCATTGTCTGGAGGGAGCCGGGTGTCCCCCAATAATCACAGAACAAAGACAATTAGGTCGGGGGAGGAATAAGGATAAAAAGAGACCCCAACAGACCCTGCCTGCCCTTCCCTGCCCCCCGGCTGCACTGCTGAAATATGAGGAAGAGATGGCTCCAGTGTGGGGTGCTGGCCAGGCCAGTTCGTGGGGACGTACATGGGCTGGGGTGGAGCCCCCAGCCTCTACCCCTGGGGAGGATGGAGAGTGGGCAGCCTAGGGAGAGCTACAGGAGGGAGGAGGGGGCCCAGAGGCTCTGGCAGGGGTGAAGACAAGCAGGGGGACCCCTCACGGCCCTCTGTCCATCCCGCACCAGCGGAGGACAAGGGTTCCAGTTTCAGTCGGGTTTACCCCTTCACCCCCGGGTGAAGTCTCTAGGTCACAGTCGCAGTTGGGGATGCTGGCTGGGGAAGGGGGGCAGAGACAGGGGCAGGGCACCTAGCAGAAGAGCTTGAGGAAGCAGTTCTGACAGTAAGGCTTGTCGTTCTGCTCCTTGAAGGTGCCCTTGTTGAGCTGCTTGAGGCAGAAGGCACAGACGAAGTGCTCGGGGTGGAACTTCTTGGCCATGGCGGTGATGCAGCGGCCGGTGATGGGCTTCTGGCAGCCAGAACACAGCGAGCCGCGCCGCTCGTGGTAGTGCACCTCACAGTAGGGCTGCCCGTCGTGCTCGAAGAAGCTGCCGTTCACGAATGGCGTGAAGCATTCCTGCCAGGCGGAGAGAGGGGCTCAGGGAGCTGCCCCTCGGGCTAGAGCTGCACCCTGTGTGATGGGGCCGAGGTGGGCATAGTCGGCACGCTCGGAGTGACTCCTACTTGCTAGGCGTTTCCCATGTGCCGTGTTGTCCTAAACGCTCATTTTTCATTTTTATTTTATTAAATAAATTTTTTTTGTAGAGATGGGGGTCTCACTATATTGCCCATGCTGGTCAAATGTGGCCTCCTGCAATCCTCCCACCTCGGCCTCCCACAGGGCTGGGATTATTTAGTTCTCCCAACAGGGGAGGCAACTGAAGCACACAGGTGAAGTAACTTGCCCAGGGTCATGCAGCTACTGAGGTCACAGCCTGGATTCATACACAGGTCTGACTCCTGAGCACTTAGCCAGGTGGCTGTAACAGTGTTCCCAGAAACACAGGTGTGACACTGGTCTGTAGTCAAACTCTGCCTCCTAGATTCTCATTGGAGATTCACATCACATATAGGTAGAAAAGGCTCTGAGAGGGGCCGGGTGAGGTGGCTCACACTTGTAATCCCAGCACTTTGGGAGGCCAAGGGAGGCGGATCACCTGAGGTCAGGAGTTCAAGACCAGCTTGGCCAACATGGTGAAACCCCGTCTCTACTGAAAATACAAAAAATTAGCCAGGCATGGGGGCGTGTGCCTGTAATCTCAGCTACTTGGGAGGCTGAGGCGGGAGAATCACTGGAACTCAGCAGGCAGAGGTTGCAGTCAGCCAAGATCGTGCCACTGCACACCAGTCTGGGCAACAGAGTGAGACTCCGTCTCAAAAAAAGAAAAGAAAAGAAAAGGCTCTGAGAAGTCCTGCAGGGAACAGTGTTTCCCAAACTCATTTGGTCAGAGAGCCCTTGTTGAATCATTAATAACCCCTGTGGGGCCCCCAGAATGCAGTGGTTTTGGAAACCACTGCCCATTTCTGTTGAGTCTGCTAAATACTTGCATTATCTCATTTAGTTCTCACACACTCTCCTCCCAAATAGGAATGGCCCAGGGCCGCTGCACAGGGCTGGACTGGGGGACATGTCTACCTTGCTCCTGGTTTGTCCCAGCCTCAGTACAAACCCTGGCCCAGGACCTACTGGACTGGAGGAAGGAGATCCCCTGCCTGCTCCCCCAATTAATAACCCCAAATGAGGCCTCTGAGTTGGATCCAGACAGCACAATGAGGAAGACCCCTCTCTCCCCACTGCCTGCTCCTCGCCCCTCCAGATGTGGTCAGGGGCTCCTTACCCGGCACACAAAGCACTCAGGATGCCACAGCGTGTTGAGGGCTGAGATATAGTTCTCCAGGATGGCCCGGGCGCAGCCGCCACACTTGGGTGCGAACATGTCGAAGTAGTCCTTGCGACAGTAGGCCTTGCCGTCCTTCTCGTGGAACCCTGGGGAGCGGGGGTTTTGGAGGCACAGTTCATTCCGGCTTCCAGAAGTGGAGCCACTCTGACTCCAACCTCAGCAGCGTCTCCCACCCCCACCTCCCCGGCCCTCCTAAGAGGCGGTGGGTCAGTCCGCCGGTCCAGCCCGTACCTTCGGGACCAAAGAAGGCTCCACACTGTGCACAGAAGAAGTGTTCAGGGTGCCACGTCCGGTCAAGGGCTGTCACCACTTTCTGTGAAAGCAAAATGTGGGATCAAGGCTGAGCTCTGGGCAGATCTCACAACTGAGACGCCCAGCAAGGCCGTCCTTCCACCCGCAGCTCATAGCCATAGACAGAGCAAAACACTCCCAAGATGGGGGTCTCTCCTAATTGTGCTGTGAATGCCTCTAAGAATTCAGAGTTACTCAGGATGGGACAAGCCAGACACATACCCTCTCCTCTACTCCTCACCCCAAGTAGAGGGCACAAGTTCTATGACTCCCATTTTATAAGTGAAGAAACATAGGCTCAGAGAGGCCAGGCATTTCCTAAGTTCACAGAGAGGGAGAGTGAGGCCGCTGGCATCCAACTCCATTTATCTCCTCAGGGCTCCTGAGTCCTGGGAGTCTCCACAGAAAGGAATCGAGATGGGAGGTGAAGGGAGGTGGGGCTGCCCGATGCACATCGGGACAGGCTGTGGTTCAGGTGTGGCTGTGAATCCGGCCCCACTGTTCCCTAGCCCTGTGAGCCTCGGGCATGTGACCTCTCTGAGCCTCCCACGGCACCCCCTGCATCCTCAGAGGGCTGCGGTGAAGCTGGAATGAGCGGAAGCGGGCGCGGTGCCGGATGAGGAACTCACATCCAGGATGGGGCCGTTGCAGTAGTAGCAGCGCGGGGAGAAGAGGTTGTGGTAGTCCTTTTCACAGTAGGGCTGTCCATCCCGCTCGAAGAAGTTCCGGGATCCGATCTCCTCCTGGCAGTGGGTGCAGACGAAGTGCTCGGGGTGCCACGTCTTCCCCATGGCGGTCACAACCTGAGGAGGAGATGGAATGCGGTCCAGGGCCAAGGCCAGCCCCGGAGCACCCCCACCCCTGCAGGAGTCCACTGGCCACACCCCTGCCCACTCCCCCTCATCACCTGCCCGGCGATGGGCTTCTTGCAGGCCCCGCAGACTCCTTTGGCGACTGTGGCGACCCCCAGCTTGTTCAGGTCAGACTGCAGGCTCCCCAGCATGCTGTCCAGCTGGCTCCCGGGCTTCGGGGGCCCCCCAGGGGGTGAGCTGCTCCCTGTCTTCCCCTGGGCCATGAACTGTGGACACGGAGGGGGCTGGTCAGGACTCCTGAGGCTCGGGGTACGGTGTCTGGCAGCACAGGGATGGGGGTACTTTTCTCCCTCCTGGACAGATGAGCTGATGGAGACAAGAAGTACAACCTCCTCCAGGGGCCAGGAGCCCTAAAGTGGGAGTGACGTCAGCAGGACTCCTGGTGGTCGGAGGGGCCCACCAGGGTCGGAAAGGCTGAGGGCACCCAGCAGGCATGGCCAAGCCCAGGGAGAGCACGACACGCAGGACACCCAGCCCAGCCTTGGCACTGACCCCTCCCTCGTCCTGCCCTCCGGGGCTGCTCCGCCCGCCGTCCCGAGGCCAGCCGGCCGCCCAGCACCGCTCCCCATCCGCTCTTTGCTCCAGGCCCTGGATCTTAGATAGGGGAAGAGATGAGGGTAAGAAATCTTTTTTAAAAATTAAGAAAGAATACAAGACCTTGTCACTGGACTAAAAGGGAATCTAGGATGAGATCTGAGGGTTTCTCCCCCACCGGCAGGACCAAAATTGGGGGAAAAAATCTGGAGAAAAAGAGCCCTGAGAGAGAGGCCTAGGGAGAAAGGAAGAAGGACAGGGAGGGGAGTCGACCAAAGGCAGAGGAAATGGCAAGGGGAGGTGGCCGGGCTCAGTGATGAGGCCTCACCGGGCGCTGGGCCTGGGGGCTGGAAGGGAGGAGACAGGTTTCTGGTCTCCCTTCTGGAGTGGCTTCTTTCCTCGATGGGAGCCCGGGGCAGTACTGAGGACCAGTCGAGGAAGGAGCAGACATGGGTGGACCCACAGAAAAGCAAGAGGGCAGCGGACCTTCTGAGTGGGGGAAGACCGGGGTCAAGGTTTACGGCAGGACTGTGGTTACTGTGCTGGGGCTTGTAGATGGAGGGATGGAGGGTATCTGTGTATGTGTGTGTGCACGTGTGTGTGTGCAGAGTGGGGGATGGCTCAGGCATTAGGACAGGGGACAGAAAGGGAGGGGCTCCTTTAAGGCCTGCCTGCATCGGGGGGAAGAGCGGGTCCTCATCAGTCTGGCAGCCCACGGACCTCATGGTGTGGGGTGCAGGAATGGGAAGGGCAGGGCCCTGCACCCCCTCATCATGGGGCTCTTCCCCTGCACTCTGGACCCCAGAAGAACCACAGGTATAAGCTGAGGGCCCCAGGGGGGAGGAGGCGAGCAGGCTGGGCAGGGGAGAAGAGCTGCTGGCCGCGGCGTCTGTGCGATGCTGGAGCAAAGGGACAGAAGGAGAAGCCAGGACAGAGATGGTTCTTCTCAGGGGAATGGGAGAGCCAGGAGGGAAGACAACCTGGGGAGAAGAAAGGAGGGAGAGCGATGAGGAAGAAATCGCCAGCTCAGCCCACAGGGGTGGCGGGACCTCCCCAGGCTCCCCCTGGGCCTTCCCACTCTGCACCAAGAGTGGGGCCAGTCTTCCAAAGTCACAGGAGGCAAGAAACCCCCACCCTCTCCCCAGATCTCCCCTCCGGCCAGCACTGGGGCCAGGGAAGAACCCGGACCCCAGGTGCTTGGCTCTGGCCCAGCCCCAGCCATGGGCATCTCCTCGCCACCTTCTCTACGAGCTGCCCCCCGGCCCGCTTCCCACGTGGCTGCACAGTGATGATGACGCCCTCGGTCAGCCAGTCCTGGGCAGAGGGCCCCGCCGCCTCCGCCGGCTCCTCTGCCTCAGGCTGGATGCCCAGCCGCCCCTGCAGCTCCGCGATGAGCTGTTCCTGGGATGGGGTCCTGCTCAAGGTGGCAGGGTCCAGCCGGCGGCGAGGGGAGGGCTCCCGGGACATGGGGTGTGCGTGGCCAGACTCCCAGCTCCTCCTGATCACAGATCGGATCTAGGGGGAGGGGGAGGGGAGGCTGTCACCGTCCCACTCCCAGCTTGCACAACGCTGCTCAGGCCACACTCAGATGCCTCAGGAGAGGGAGCACAAAAGAAAACCACCAAAGAACCAAGCGGAGGTGGGTGGAGGCACGGGGAGGGGGCAGATTGGACCGGTGGAGGTGGGTAGAGGCAAGGGGAGGGGGCAGATCGGACTGGCTCCAGAAGCACAGGCTGCGAGCGAGACCTCTGACCCAGCATTCACCTCTAAGTTGGCCACTGACCTTGGGCAAGACACTTAATTGCCATGGGCCTCAGCTTCCCCTTCCTTAAAATGGAACCACAAGATTTTCTTGGCTTACCGCACAGGGTTTGCACAAGAATTATTCCAGAGGATGTAAGTGCATGCCCTTGACAAGGCATACGGCTTTTTCTTTTTTCTTTTTTTTAATTTATAATAGAAAAAGTGTTTCCTTCCAGGAACTTTTTTTTGGGGGGGGACAGAGTCTCGCTCTGTCGCCCAGGCTGGAATGCAGTGGCGCGATCTGGTCTCACTGCAACCTCCGCCTCCTGGGTTCAAGAGATTCTCCTGCCTCAGCCTCCTGAGTAGCTGGGATTAAAGGCATGCACCACCACGCCTGGCTAATTTTTGTTGTTGTTGTTTTTTGTTTTTTTTTTTAGTAGAGATGGGGTTTCATCATGTTGGTTCGGCTGGTCTCAAACTCCTGACCTCGTGATCTGCCTGCCTCGGCCTCCCAAAGTGCTGGGAATACAGGTGTGAGCCACCGTGCTCAGCTAGCCAGGAACTTTTTTAACTAGTTTTTTTTTTCTTATTTATATTATTATGCTAATATTATATTATGCTATTATACTTGTTGGTAGTGTTTTGGGGGTTTTTGGTTGTTTCGTTTTGTTTTCCAAAGAGGCATAAAGCTTGGGGGATTTTTTTTTTTTTTTTTTTTTGAGACAGTGTCTTGATCTGTTGCTCAGGCTGAATGCAGTGGTGCGATCACAACTCACTGCAGCCTCAAACTCCTGGGCTAAAGCCATCCTCCTGCTTTAGCCTCCCCAGCAGCTGGGACTATAGGCATGTGCAACCACGCCCAGCTAATCTTTAATTTTTTGTAGAGACAGGGTTTCACTGTGTTGCCTAGGCTGGTCTCAAACTCCTGGGCTCAAGCGATCCTCTTGCCTCAGCCTCCCAAAGTGCTAGGATTACAGGTATAAGCTACTGTGCCAGGGTGAGGCATAAAGTTTTTTGTTGTTGTTGTTGTTTTGTTTTTGTTTTTTGAGACCAAGTTTCACTCTTGTTGCCCAGGCTGGAGTGCAATGGTATGATCTTGGCTCACCGCAACCTCTGCGTCCTGGGTTCAAGTGATTCTCCTGCCTCAGCCTCCTGAGTAGCTGGGATTACAGGCATGCGCCACCATGCCCAGCTAATCTTTTTGTATCTTTAGTAGAGATGGGGTTTCTCCATGTTGGTCAGGCTGGCCTCGAACTCCCAACCTCAGGTGATCCGCCCGCCTCGGCCTCCCAAAGTGCTGGGATTACAGGCGTGAGCCACCACACCTGGCCCGGCATAAAGTTTTAATTTAAGCAAAAAGCAAGTAATAAAAGTACTGTCAGCCACGGCCTATTGAGGGACCACATGCTGTGTTCTAAACACTTTCCAGGAATTATCTCATTTAGGTCTCCGGACAATCTTGATGGAAATTCTCCCCACTTTACAGATGAGAAAACTGAGGCTGAGGGAGGGGGTTGCCCAAGGTCACAGAGGTAGCAAGTGTTAGACATGTGGTTTGTATCTAGGTCTATCTGGTTCCAAAGTCCATGCTGCTAACCATTTCACCACATCAGAATGTCAAGGACAGCTCATCTGAAAGGAAAAAGCCTCAACAAGGCAAGAGGTGGGTTGACGCTATGAGAAATGCTGGGTCCACAGAGCCCACTGCCAAGTGCTGACTGTCAGGTCCGGCCACAGTGTCTCAGCATTTTCTGCCCAAGCAGACATGCGCAGAGTGGGAGGCTGCATGCAGTTAGCGAGGAGCGGCCCACACTCAGACCCGCCAATGGCCATGCCCAGCAGCCATGCGAGCTGGTGCCTGCCTGGCCAGAGGTGGAAATCCTCTCCGTGGTGCTGGGTGTGCCCATGGCCATGGCACATGGAAGCTCTGGCTGTTCCTTCCCGTCCTGGGTGGCAGCTTCCGTGGTGCCCTCTGGGCTCCTTGGGGTTTCAGGTCCCTGGGTTGGCCTGGCCACACTTCCCCTCTCGGTCATCTTTGCACCTAGCTGCTCCGTGGTAACTGAGGCAGGGGAGCTGCTTCCCAGCCTCCCTGGCTCTGGCCTTGGCCTCTCCTGCTGTAGGCCATGTTCCTCCGTGAGAGTCCAGGTATCTGGGAAGATGGCCTGCCGGTCCACTGCCACTACAGCTGGCTCTGTTACTTCTTGGAAGCTTCGAGCAGCTCCAGAGGGGGGCATTCTCTCAGGCCCGAATACCTCCGAAGCCCATGGCTGCTCCCATGTGGCAGCCAAGGCCTCCTCTGGGCACGAAGGGCTGGCTGGTGGCCCCTGGGGCTCCCCAGGCTCTTGGAGAGCTGTGCTCCCAGCACAGGGTACAGTGTGGCAGCGGGGAGCCCCAGAGAGCTCACTTGTGATGGTCGGCAGGTGCCTCCAATCTCGACCCTGACTCTCTGTGCCCACTGCCCACAGAGAACCCTCCACAGAGGGAGACCTTGAGTTGAAGGTGTCAGGCATCACCCCAAGACCAGCCAAATCAAGCCAGCTGGGGGCTACAGGAGGTAGAAGGCCTCGTCCACTCTGCTCAGTACAAGGGAACTCCGGAGTGTGGCCCTGGCCTCGAGGGGAGGGTATAGTGGTGGGTGGCAGAAATACAGATGGCATGGGAGGAGGAGAAGGAGGAAGGGAGCAGTATGAGGACGGAGCAGAGCTGGACAGCCCCGGGGCACTCAGAGCCACAGTGGAGGAGCTGGTCTGGAGAAGAGAGAAATGCAGAGGGGAGAGGAGAGAGAGAGATGAGGGGAGTGAGGACGGCTGCACCTTGCAGGCGGTGGGCTCGGCCTTAGGGCTGACCAAGGTGGCTGCAAAGCTGACGCACAGGACTGACCCTTGAAGGAGACCCAGACCCCAAAAAAGCTTCCCTGGGCTTTGCGTGCTTAGCCCTCACCAAACCCAAGCAAGAGAAAGCAGCCACCAAGCCGTGCCTGTGGAGCCACCCAGGGAGGGTATGAGAAAGAAAAGACCACGGTAAGGTGGACAAATGGGGAGCCAGGTGGCTACGGAAGACAGCCCCAGGCACAAATGGAGGGAGAGCCAGCCCCAGGGGCTGCTGAACCCGCCTCGGACACTGGCCCAACTCGGCCATGTCCCTCCGGACAATCCCAGCTTTCCTACACCCCAAGTCCTCTACGTCTTCCACATCCTTGCTCCAGGGATCTGACTAAAACCACTGCTGCTTCTCCTGGCATCAGGACACAGGCTGTCTGAGAAAACGGCAGCCTTAAAAGCACCGGGGCACAGCTCCCTCAGGCCAGGCCCTGAATCCAACTTACTTGCTTCTGACCATGGCTGCTCAGAACCACTGGCCTGGAGCTGGAACTATAGCACGCAAGGGTCACAGGGCCAGGCTCAACCCTCCACCCCAGCCACACTCCTGTCTCCCACCATGAAACCTCAGCTGAAGGGAGGCTAGGAGACACCATCAGGGCCAAGGGTGCAGGGACCGTTCACTCCCCTCTCATATTCCCTAGGTCATGCCCCAAAGGTCTCCAGCTGACCCACGTGGAAGTATGAAGTCAGCAGCTGCTGGTGAGTTCTGTCAATATCAATCCCCAAGGAAACACTGAATCCTCTAAATTAAACATCTCAGGCCTGGCAGGACTGGGGAGGCCCAGCAGGGGAGGGGAAGGGCAGGTACCTCGTGCAAGCCTGGCCCCATGGTTTCCCACAGACACGCTCGTGGGAACTCAGAGGCCCTGGAGGGCGAGAGGGAAGGATGGGAGAAGAGTAGCAAGGGAGGCTTGTGGATTCAGGATCAGAGGCAGAAAGAAAGAGGATGTGTTGAGGACAGCTAGCGTGGGAGATGGGGCTCCAGGGCAAATGACCTCCCAGGCACAGGCTCCCAAGTCCCACATGGCCCAGCAGAGAATGCCCTCCCCCACCCAGAGCAGCCATCAACACAAGGTTCTTTGTCCCAGCGTCCCAGCCTCCTGATCCCCTCGACCTGAGAGGCTGGGAGCACCCAGGGAGGAAGGAATGTCCCAGCTGAGCACTTCTCCAGCTTGTCTGCCTTCACTGGCTACTGCAATCCTCAGGCAGGCTGACCCGGCCCTCCCTCCCCATCTCCTGGCATCACAGCAAGGCCAGGGCATGACAGTGTCCCTGGCTCAGGGGCAAGGCACCCAAACACTGAGATGCCAAGATCCAGCTACCCACACTGAGGTAAGGGAGGAGAAGGATGAGGGAGGGGCGGCAGGGCAGGGAAGATGGAGGGTTCACAGGGCACCTTGAAATCCGACAGCGAAGCCATCAGCTCGTCCAGCTCCCTGGTGGCAGAGGAGGCCGAGATGCGTGTCTGCTGTTGGGTGGAGGTGACGCGCTGCGGGCTGCTCATCTCGCCCTGGTTCACAGTGATGGCAGGGCTGCAGGGTGGGCACAGCATCAGTGGGGAGCCCACAGTCAGCCCCACACTTCCCGGGGATCAGATCGACCTCTCACCTCGGACACTGGGGTCTCACCATCCCCAACCCCAGGGAGGTCCACCAGCTCCCTGTCTCTCCTGGGGACCCATCACTGGGTCAGAAGAAAGGGCAGTTCAATGGCACCAGGAAGTGCCAGGAAGACTCCTCTAGCCCCCAGCCCAAGTGAAAGCTGGCCTGCGAAACAAGCCCAAGCGCCCTGTGTTTCCTCCACAACACTGGACATGGAGGTGAGGCTACTGCAGTAACACGACGGCACTGGTAAGAGCTCGCGTGTTGGGCACTCACCATGTGTGCCACGCACTACACACCAGAAACCATTCCAAGCGCTTTACATGGATTACTGGTTCTCACCCTTACTGAGGTAGGTGGTCTTATCCCAGTGATCCCATAAGTTCTTGTCCCATTTTACAGATGGGAAAACTAAGGCTTGAGAGCTGACAGTAACTGTCAGAGCCAAGATGTGAACCCCACTGTGTGGCCCCAAAGCCTGTGCTAAGAGCTGCTAAGCTCCAGGCGCCCTCAGCCTGCACAACGTCTGTCCTTTCTGACTGGCAGTGACTGGCTGAAGGCAGGGATGGTGTCCATGTGACTCACCACTATCCCCCCAGTGCCTGGCAAATGGCAGACACGGGAGGGAGTGGGTGATACCAGGGCTAAGGGGACAGACACTGGACCCGGGGCAGGCTGGGCCAGCCCTTCCCCACCTGGGGAGGGCCCAGTGGGTACTCACACGGGGCTGGGCACGGAGCTCTCCAGTTCATCCAAGAGACTCTCCACACTGGGCCGCACGTCCTCCAGGCCCCGGCCCCCATTCCGCTTAGGCTTCTCTTTCGTCAGGGGCCCAGCTTTGCCTCCCAAGGGGCTGTTAGTCTCTGGGACACCATAGAGGGGGCTCAGGGCCCCAGGAAGCGGGGGGCTTGAGTTGGCCTCATCTTGCAGAGAGGAGAGAAAAAGGCTGCTCAGCCCTTGAGCCCTCCTGGGATCTAGAGGTCAGCAGATGGGCCCTGGGCCCTGGTAGACCCTGCCCCAGGGACCCGGTCCTACCTGCAGGGAAGCCTGGCGGGTTATGCTGTACAGCGTTCAGTTCCAGCAGCAGGCGGTCGAGTTCAGAAAGGTTGCTGCCCAGGGACGTGCTCATTACGGTGGGTGAAGGCTCAGCTGATTTCTGCTTGTTGGGGAAGCTTTGAGAGGCAAAGGAAAGAAGATAGTGAGAGATGCTTTCTGGCCTTGTACTGGCTTGGCAGTTCCCAGATTCCCAAGGAGAACAAGGCAGAGGAGATGCGAAGTCTTCCCCCGCAAGAGGACAGAGGGTAGGGAAGGGATGTGGTAAGAAGAGGGGAGGAGGCCGGGCACAGTGGCTCACGCCTGTAATCCCAGCACTTTGGGAGGCTGAGGCGGGCAGATCATGAGGTCAGGAGATTGAGACCATCCTGGCTAACACGGTGAAACCCCGTCTCTACTAAAAATTAGCCAGGCGTGGTGGTGGGTGCCTGTAGTCCCAGCTACTTGGGAGGCTGAGGCAGGAGAATGGCGTGAACCCAGGAGGCGGAGCTTGCAGTGAGCCGAGATCGCGCGACTGCACTCCAGCCTGGGCGACAGAGTGACAGAGCGAGACCCCGTCTCAAAAAAAAAGAAAAAAAGAAGAGGGGAGGAATGAAGTCTTGCTTCAGTTCCTCAGCTACACGGAGATGCTGTGATAGCCCAGAATGTCCACTGCATGGAGATGGCACTGATGAGGTAGACGGGCCCACCGACAGGCCTTCTGCAGCTTAAACCAGAATAACCCCACAAGGCCCAGTTGCTATGCCTGCTCCCGGGCCTCCGCTGCCTCCCACCCTGGCCAGGTCCCTGAGATTTCTAAGCAGGAGGGAAGGTGCCCTGGGCAGACTGGGGCAGTACCTGTAGACGTGCTCCTCCTCACCCACTCGGGAGCACGGAGAGCCAACACTGTCCTGAGGGTTGGAGACACTGGAAGTTTTGGCACTGGAGCCGTACACAGGTGATGAGGACTGAGGCTGCGAGAAGGAGAATGCTCAGAGGCTACCCCGAGGGGAGAAAAAGGAACAGGGGCCAGGAGCAGCTCCAGTCACCCCCAGGAGGCTCCTGCCCACAGCCAGTCTCACCAGGGAATTTCCACAGTTGGGCCAGGAAACCTGTGATTAACCACTTGGTCACTGTTCCACTCACGTGGTGAGTGGGAAGAGCAGTGTCTGGTTGGGAAGGGTCGACTGCCCCAATTCCATTCCATCCCCTGGCTCCCTAAGCCCCTGCCAGCTAAGTTCCCTCTGTCCCCCAGCCTCCTTGGCCTTCCCAGCCACTGTCCCCGCCTCACCTGCTGGTGGATGAATCGGGAGCTGCTGGGCTGCCACTGGTCTAAGGGGTCAAGGATTGTGCCATTGAGGGCCTCGCTGGACGGGGGTGGGGGGACGGGGGGTGGCACGGCAATCTCCTGGTATGTGTGGTTTCCAGTTGGGTATGAGTAGGGGGTCTCCTCCGACAAGAACACAGGCCGTTTGGAGATGTGGGAGGTGGTAGACTCCAAGTCCGCCAGCAGGGCGTCTGCAAAGAGAAGGCACGGGTAGCAGGTGAGAACCGGGATCCTGGGGACTCTCCCGTGGCAGGGCCCTCCCTGCCTGCACCTCAAGAGTTAATGCCTTCTAGCACCTGCCCCACCCATGGGAGAAATGACCAGCCTTGGGACAGGAAGCCACCAGCCCCGACCAGCCTAACCAAGAGCCGGCTCCCAAAGCTAACTTCTTCTGGCCACCCAGGACTGAAAGTGCTCTAGAGGCGGGCTCTGGGGCTGCCCTGTGGGATCTCCTACCTCTGGGAGTCAGGCACCTGGCACTGCGTTCCCTCCTGACAGGGCCGCGCAGCCGCGAGTGAAGTGCCTGTCTGGAACTCTGAATCTGCAGGGCAACGCGGAGAGAATGGGCGGGAGGGGCCCCACGTCACAGGGAGGGGCCCTGGCTATGCCAGGCCCTCACTTGATTTCTAAGAGCTTAGGCTTTCCCAGCCCCCGACTGGAAGGGGCACTCAGGATGGTCCCTGCCCTCCTAACCAGGTGGAAGCAGAAGCCCAGGCTCCAGGTTCCTCCTGAGGCTCTAGGCTTATGGGGTAAGGTGTGCGGGGAGGTGGGGGCTGGAGTGAGGCTGGTGCAGCGGTCCCCACCCCCTCAGTGAGCAGGGGGCAAGACTGCTCCATTGGCTGTTTCTGCGGAAGTCTGGCAAGCAGCCCGGCCCCAGAGGCTCCAGGCCCCCACTGTTCTGCTTTTAACAGCGGCAAGGGAGCCAAATCAGCCCTCTAGTGTAAGCTTCCATTACCCTGGCACCTGGCAGCCAACAGGGGGGCACTAGGTCTCCCCAGTCTCCAGAAAAGAAGGGTATAGAAGGGCAGGAGTAGGACCTGCTGACCCCCACTTCCTCCATCCCCTCCTGGGACCCTCAACAGCCCCACGGCTCAGACAGCCTGGCCCTGGATGCCACACCCTCATTCCTGCCCCGTTCACAACTTGCTTGCTCTCAGCTCCCCGGTAACCTGCTGGGTCCAGGGAGCTGACAGCTTGATCCCTAGCCCTCAGGATAATAAACATCTAAAAAGCAATGGCTGCGTTTATTGCCACTTATCAGTAGCAGGCAGACTGCTAGGCATTCTAGCAGCATGTACGAGGTCTCCGTTAATCCCCCTAATACCCCCTGTAGCTGGAAATGATTCTCCCCGAAGCGATGAGGAAAGCCGGGCTTGGAGAGGCAGAGGTCAGAGGTGTTTGCTCCAAATAACAAAGCCAGTGAGTGGCACAATTGTCTGACTCCTCAGAAGCCCCAAACCCCAAAAACCTGGCCTGTAAGAGGCCACTATGACTACCAGATGATGCCATACTTAAAGGGTTCAACTTCCTGAATGTTGGAGGCCCAAGCTGTGAGGCCTGCCAGTGTGATCCTTCCTTGTGGCCTTGCTCCCAGTCCCCCAACCTGTGTTCAGAGGAGGGAATAGAGAAGCAAGGCCCTCACCCAGGGCCTCGGTCTATGGGGCCACACCTTGTCCCAGCTGCCTGTCCTGATCTCCTACCCTCAAGGCTGGCCACACCTACCCCATGCTCCTGCCCAGATGGACAGAGGGGATGTCTGTTCCAAGGCCCAGGACCCCGGGTCTGGTCGCCTGACCTCCAAGGAAGTTCAGGTCCTACAGCCCGCCCCGCCCTCCGGGTCCCATGGAGGAGGCCTGGCTTCCTGTCTCTAGCAAACCGGAACTAGAGGGAGTTGGTAGGTATCTAGGTAACGGCAGAAAAGGAACCAGTGTCCAGGCCAATCCCCACGGCCTCTCCAGGGCCACACCTGCTGTCTTGGCTTCACGCAGTGTCCTCATTTCCTCTGGGCCCAATCAGCAATGGGTGGATCCCTCTTTCTCCACCATGGGCAGGGCCAGCTAAGAAACCCCATAGGACTCCCCAGAGCAGGCAACGAATGAGTGCAACCCCAGTAGGGGGCAGGAGCAGCTGCCATCCTTGAAGGCCCACTGGGGCCAGGAGCTTCACCTTTGTTACCTGCCATCCTCACAACGCCACCAGCACAGATGGTATAACTGCGGTTCAGAGGCAGAGTCACATCCCACACTGCCAAGGCTGGATGAAGTGACAATGCTGGACTCTGATCTCAGGTCTCTTGGACTCCAAACACCCAACAGAAGACAAATGGTCAGGCTTCCTTGTCAAACATTTTGAATCAGGGACTCCACCAAACACCCGCTCCACCACAATGTGATTCTAAGCCTGGGCTTTTGGTTTATGGATTGGATTCAGGTTTACAATGTCAACAGGCTCTTGGGAGCACAGATCCCTAGGCTGGTGAAGTATTGGTGAGAGGATGCAGTCCTGGGGCACAGAGACACAAGATCACTCATTCTGAGGTCGAGCCAGACCTGAGTTCAAGTGCCAGCTCCCCTCTCTACCATCCATGCCACAGGGCAAATCGCTTAGCTTCTCAGGGCCTGTTGTCTCAGTAAGCTCTTGAATAACTCTGACCTCAAAGTACTGGTGTGAGGTTTATAAGGGCTAGCAGGTACACTGGAAGCTGCAGACATCAGTTGCAAATATCAGGCTCTCCAGACCCAAGTCACTCTGCAGGAGGAAGCTCCATAGCACATTGGAAGCTACAAACATCAGATCTGATTTGCTCTGTAAAATCCAGAATAAGGTCTTCCTCCAAGGAGAGCAGTGTAGGTAGGATGCAAAGTACTAACTTCTTCTAAGTCTCCTAAGTCTTTTCTGGGTAGAATATGAGCAAACCATGAAAAGGGCAACCTTGAAAAGAAAAGAAAAGTAATAAAGTAACATTCAAATTGTAGCATGTCCCAGCCTGGGCAAAACAGTGAGAGCCTGTCTCTACAAAAAATTTAAAAATTAGCTGGGTGTGGTGGCGCATGCCTATAGTCCCAGCTATTCAGGAGGCTGAGGTGGGAGGATCACTTGAGAACAGGAGTTGGAGATCGGCTTGGGCAACACAGTGAAACCCCATCTCTACAAAAAATTTAAAAATTAGCTGGGTGTGGTGATATGCGCCTGTAGTCCCAATTACTCAGGAGGCTGAGGCAGGAGGATTGCTTGAGCCCAGGAGGTCAAGACTACAGTGAGCTACAATTGCACCACTGCACTCTAGCCGGGGTGACAGAGCAAGACCCTGTCTTAAAAACAAACGAACAAATCATAGAGTGCAGATGTCAGGGAGAAGGCACATCATTATTCAGTTTTCTCCAAAGTTTTGTCTATTTGAGGGACAGAGAAAAACCCCAGCAAGTCCATCCACCAGCCACAGGGTCTCTGGTATGGCTTCCTCCTCTCTCTCCACCCTTCATTCTCACCTAGTGATTTGGACAGGCAAGGACTAGGCAAGAGGGGTAGGGGTTGGTGCCTCCAAACCCCCCACAAACTCCTCAAGAAAGAAAACCAGAAATACAGGAGGCAAGCCAACAGTAGACTCCTAGCTTTACTTTGATTTCCAATGGGTGCAAATACCTGAGACTTCCCCATAGGCTGCAAAATGGTTAAGGGTCAGAGTCCCCTTGCAAGCTCAGCAAACGTCCCCCCTGGCTTGAGCAAACAGAGCTGGCAGACACTGCACACAGGAAGGAGTCCACTTGAAGGCAGAGCCCCATCCCAGCGGGGTCCCCCAGTGTCCGGCTCCAGCCTTTCCCTCTGCTCTAAATATTCCTGCTCCTCATACCCCAAAGAAGGTGTCAGGCTATCCACTCTTCAGAGAAAATGGTACCCACTGAAACCATTCAAGACCAGGAATACACCCTCCCTTCCCACATGCTGGGAGGACAGATTCCAGACACGCTGCTCGGAAGTAGTCGGGAGACCTCATTCAAGCTAAGAAAGGCCTCAAATTTCCTTGGCATTACTCTACTAAGTTTCCAGGTCCAGGCCTGGGGCCCTCCAGACCCAAGTCACCCTGAAGGAGGAAGCTCTCTCTCTGGGGCTTCCCAACCACTTTCTGGAGGAAACCCACCCTGAATTCTGCAGGTTTTCTGTCTCTCTGGGCCAGCGGAAGTATGCAACATGAGGAGGTAGGCCAGGCTGTCTCGAGGCTGAGGGCAGGCTAGGTGCAAAGTCCCCAGCGAGCCATGGGCAAAGGCCACGGAGCTATGTCCTGGCTCCGCCCTGGTGAGGAAGGGGTGCAGACTGTCTGCTGCTCCCCACCAGAGGGCACCATTGGCCCGTCAGCTTCTTGCCACTGGGTAACCTCGTGCAATCTTGCAATTTTCTAGCCGGGGAAGACTGGGGAGCCCCTGGCCATGGGCGCAGTGGGGAAGTTTCTATCCTTAGAGAACAAGGCTGAGCTGGAGGAACACAGCAAGCTAGTGGGAGGAACACAGGTAGCCTGGTATCACTTGAAGGCACAACCCAAGGGTGACATGCAGGGCTCTGGAGAACCAGAGGGGTGCACGCCCTCGCTTCCAGGGCCCTGTGCAAATGCAGCACCGTGTGCGCCCCTATCTGCACCCCATGGCTGCACCTGGTCGGAGCAACAGCATGGAACAGCTGCAGCTTTGGGTCGGGAGGCCGCCCTGGGGCAGGTGGCTGGGCAGAAACAGTGCACTACGGCCAGGCTGAGAGGAAGAAGCCCTTCCCTGGGCCTCAGCAACTGACTGAGCGTAATCCTTACAACCGGTGGGAGCCGCTGGAGGGTTAAGGTACAGACACCCTCAGCCCACTGCTCCGAGGAGGAGGGGACCGGTTCGCCTGCATTCCAGGGCAAGTGCTGCAGCTGCATCCCTCACATTCCTGTACCCACCTAGGGGCTCCGGGTGGAAGGAAACCTGGGTCCCCTTGTACCTACAATGGGGGGATGTCCCCCAGACTGTGGCTCTGGGGACCCCGGTTGATCCACTGACGCATGGCACTCAATATCAGATTAAAGAGAATCAATTAAAACCTTCCGCCCCCACCCCCGACTGCAGCACAGAAACAAGCCAGGCTGCTTCCTCCTACCTAAGCCCCTGCCACTTCTTAGTGTGTGATAAAGACTATCAAGACCAGAGGCCTGGAGCTGGACAGGTGCCAAGAGAGAGGAGATAAAAGTCCATCTCTCTGAGGGGGTGGGAGGACCCAGAGCGATTCCATTCTCTCCTCCCAGGCTCTGAGGACTTTCAGTGTTACAACTTGTACGGTGAATCCTCAGTCACCTGGGCTCTGCTCAATGGCTGAACTGCTCGGATAGGCTGCTTAACTGCTTTTGTGCCTCAGTTTCCTTGTCTGCCCAATAGGAATTCCACCATTTTACTCACAGGATTGGGACTACATGAGAAAAAGATATAAAGTGCTGACTTAGCACAGTGCCTGGAATACAGCACACAGGAAATGGGAGTTGCTAAATAGATTACAAGCTTCTTCCCAGGGAGGTGTTAAGCCCTAGGAGGGGAAAGAAATCACCTCCCCGTCCTATCCAATCCCTGAGGGCAAAGGGTGCTGCCCTCTAGTCCCAGATCAGCAGGAAGCAGGTAAATGTGGGGCATGGAGCCAGCTTTTCCATCCCTTCTTGGAGTTTACAGGCTGCCCTGCCACACCAGCCCCAGCGCCAGGGCCCCGTGGTCCCTGCCCACCTTTGCCATTCTGGACTCCTCCACCAGCAGCCCCAGGCAGAACTAGAAGAGGTATAGTCCTGTGGCCCTCAGGCAGCGCCCCACCTTAGCACGCCTTGCATTCTCGAGGCCTGGCCCAGGAGAGGCCCACGTAAGAACAAGGTATTTTCCAGCCCCTTCACCCAC
Source organism: Homo sapiens (assembly GCF_000001405.40). Lineage (NCBI taxonomy): Eukaryota > Metazoa > Chordata > Mammalia > Primates > Hominidae > Homo > Homo sapiens. Next base: position 120,230,084 of record NC_000012.12, read on the forward strand.
CTTCTTCTGCAGGCCAATTTCACTCAGCTTTCATTGCCCCAGGCAGGGAGCGGCCAGTGCAGCTTCCTTAGGAGCTGACAAGCCAAAGGAAGGAGCAGCAAGCACCGCCCTGAAAGCTCCAGCACCAGCAGCAACGGGCTGCCATAGCACAGGGGCCTTCCCCGCAGCCCTGGGCCAGCTGTCCATCCCTGCCATCTGATAGGAAACCCAGACTCCCAGAGAAACAAGTCCCTGTCCTAGGGGGTCTGGGGATGCCCAGCCTCATGGCCTGTCTATCCTGTTGGGTCCAGAACTCTGGACAAGGGAGGTTCCCAACCCCCTGATGACCACCTGGGCAGCCTTGGTAGCTCTGAGTGTCAGAGAAGCTGCGGCCTCCTTACAGTTGCCCACGCTCAGGGATATAAGCAGTGAGCAGGGCTTGGCCCTTCCTAAGGAAGGAGCTATGTAAACAGCAGGACCAGCTCAGGGATGGTCTCATCTCAGCCCCTTTGGTGAGACTCTTCCAGATTAGGAAGGAAAACAGAACGGGAAGGCGGGTCTCCCCCCTCCCCCTGGCTCCAAGTTCCCCTCCCCTCCCCCAGCCCAGAGCACATGAGCAGTTAGAGCAGAGGTAATCTAATCCGCAGCGGGGTGCTTTCACTCGGTGAGTAAGTCCCCAGGAATGGTGAGCTGGGTATATTTATCCTGATAACCGTCTGTCCTCAGTAAGGGCCAATCCACAATTAGGCCAGATCCACTCTGCCCCACCCACCCCCAGCCCAGGGACCTAGGGCCTGGACACTGACTAGGAACTCAGTCTCCTTGAGGGGCCTTCCCTGCCAATTTGGGTTCTTGTCAACTGTCTCCTCTCCAAGAATTAAGCTCCAGAGAGCAGGGGCCTTGTCGGTCTTGTTCGATGCCATATCCCCAGCAGCTAGAATGAATGGCTGAATGACAGAGGGGCTGTGAAGAGGAGGAGGATGGGGAAGCAGCAGTGAGCAGAGCAAACAGCCAGTGCGGAGGAGGGGAGCCAGGATGCCCTGATCCCAGGCCCAGCGGATGAGTGGGGGCCCCTCAGCGGATCCTCTAACCTCTCTGGATGTCTTCTCTATCAAGAAAATGGGCAGAACCCGATTTGTCCCCATTCCTAGTAGCATGCTCTGAGGAGATAATACAATTATGGGTGAGATTTATATAGCACCTTTGAGCTCTTCCGAGTTAGTCTAAATCCAAGATTCTGCTATTATCTGAATCCCAGACAGGAACTGCTCTGCTAAGAGGATGGATGAGAAACGATCAATACCATAGTGTCATTTAAATATTTAATAGCCATGCCTGGAGGTTACAAAGACTCAGCCACCAATTCTCCTCCGCTGACTCATGCCTCACTCAACAGGAACTGCATTTTACCCTTACAGCCCTGAAGGAAGTGTGGGCTGGGGGGTGACACACAGGAAGCCAGGGGAGAAGGCCCAGGAGTCTTCCAGTCAGCCGCCAGGGGAGGAGGGGGTGGTCATTTGGATGAAGTGGTTCTTCCCCAGGCTTCCTACAGGCCTAGCTTAGGAGGGTGGCTTCCTGTATGCTGAGGAGCTCTTCCTTGCAGAGGGTGACACAATATGAGTGTGCAGACAGACTGGCTTTATTGGCTGCCTGGCTTGTGCCCAAGGTCACAGGGCACAGGTAACCAGAGACCTGAGAAAATAATGGCTGCAAGGCAACTCCAGCAGTCACCCTGAGCTCCAGGCAGAAGACCAACTGTGCCAGGCCCATCTGCACCAGGCACACACAAGGCCCACCCATCAGGCTCCTGGCTGCAGCCACTTCCCCATCAAATTGGGCTCCAGGAGCTTAAGCAACAGCAGGTGAGACAAGGCTGCCCAGGTTGACTCTGAGCACTTCTATGCATCTGCCTTAGGCTACAGACACAGGAGTTCAGGCCAGGCTGGCCAAACACCAGAGTCTTTCTCTTCTTTTTTTCTTTTTTTGAGACAAGTCTTGTTCTGCCACTCAGGCTAGAGGCCTGATCACAGCTCATTGCAGCCTAGAATTCTTGGGCTCAAGGGATCTTCCTGCCTCAGCCTCCCGAGTAGCTAGGACTAAAAGCACATGCCACCACACTAGGCTTTTAAAAACTTTTTTGTAGAGACAGGGTCTCACTATGTTGCCCAAGCTGGTCTTGAACTCCTGGCCTCAAGCCATCTTCCTGCCTGGGCCTTCCCAAAGTGCTGAGATTACAGACAGGAGCCACCATGCCCATCCCCAGAGTCTCTTTCATATTGTAAATAACTCATCTCTCCTGTCCAGAATCAGTGGGCCCTCCCTCCTCCAGAGGTCCCAGAACATTGTGGACACATTTCATTGGTCAGATGTCATCCACCTCTTTAGGTCGCCCAGAGATGCTAGACCTTTTCAGGTCAAGTCCAGGGCCCCATTCCAGGCCCAACTCACAGCTCCTTCAATGGGTAAAACCCAGATTCACATACAAAAAAGACAGCCTCAAACCCAGGAGACTCATGGGCTGGAAAGGTTCTCAGCTGTTCCAAATCGACCCCAGCCCATTCCTGCAATCTGGGCTCTTCCAGGCAAGTTGATCTGTTGCAGAGCAGGGCGGCTCCTTGGGCCTCTCACCCCTGCTAATCACCAACAGAGGTTAGGAGGGGCTCAAAGTGAGTCATCGTCCCACAGAGACCCGAACAAAAAGTTCAAAAGTTTGCCTGTTCCTGAGATGAGCTGCAGTTTTTTTGCGATTTTTGTGGATTTCATAGCATTAGTTACCCACTCTTTGCTAATCAGGTTCTCACTAACCAGCCAGCACCTTCCCCTTTTTTCAGGCAGCAAGGTCATTTCCCGAAGTCAGCTCTCGCTTGCCTGACTTCCCCAGTTCTCTTTTCTAAGTCCCTTTAATAGCTCCCACATTTAGCTGGTCACTAAGTCACATCAATTCTTCCTTCGCGGGGCCTCTCCCTGTCATCACTTGCCTCCCTTTCCTTTCATCACCACAGCCAACCACTTGGACTAGCATTCGAATCCATGCTCAGTGCCTACCTGAACTTGACTGCAGCCCCCTGCCCTGGGTTCTCCCAATCTAACGCTTCCTGCACACACCATCGGCCCGAACTTCTTGGCACCCAGCCTTTTTGGGGCATGCCTCACACTTCACTCTTGCTTCTCCCCCTAGACTGCAGGTCCTCTGTGGGCAAGAACATCCTCCTGCTCCTGAATCCCCACAGCATGGATACCCTCATAGGCCTCCTTTTTTTTTGAAATGGAGTCTTGCTCTGTCAACCAGGCTGGAGTGCAGTGGCATGATCTCAGCTCACTGCAGCCTCCACCTCCCGGGTTCAAATGATCCTCCTGCCTCAGTCTCCCAAGTAGCTGGAACTACAGGTACACACCACACCTGGCTAATTTTTGTATTTTCTTAGTAGAGTCGAAGTTTCACATTGTTGGACAGGCTTGTCTCGAACTCCTGACTTCAAGTGATCCACCCACCTCGGCATTCCAAAGTGCTGGGATTACAAGCATAAGCCACTGTGCCCGGCCCTCACAGGCCTCTTAGAGGGGCTTGAATGAATGTGTGCAGAGCAAGGGGTGGAGTTATAATACTCACCCACTGTTGCCCTCTCTGCCTATAAAACAAGGTCAGAAACCCTGGGGATGGCATTCTGTTCTTGACCCTCTCAGAATATGGCCCCAAACTAACCTTCACTGCCTCCTTGGTCCCCCTCACTGCAACCCATGTCTCCAGCCAAACTGGACTCCCCGCTTCCCTTTTTGCCAGCGTGCCTTTCTTCACAATACTGAATGTGTCCCACCACTACCTCTATCATCATTCACCTGGTTTGAGCCTCTCGCACAAGGATATCCATACCCCCAGGGGACAGATGGAAGCCAGGGGTACAGGAAGCCACCTCAGGATAAACCCAGAACACTCTGAGGATCAAATGTACTCAGGGGCAAGAAATGTAAATCATTGTCTTAAAACAAACAAGGCTACATTATGGAGTCAAATGCAAAATGCAAGTGAAATCGTAAGATAAAAAGAGAGGCTTCAAGGCCTGCATGGTGGCTTATGCTTGTAATCCCAGCACTTTGGGAGGCCGAGACAGGGAGATTGCTTGAGGCCAGGAGTTCGAAACCATGTTGGCCTGGCCAACATGGTGAAACCTCATCTCTACTCTACTAAAAATACAAAATTTAGTTGAGCATGGTGGTGCATGCCTGTAATCCCAGCCTCTTGGGAGGCTGAGGCAGGAGAATGGCTTAAACCCAGGAGGCAGAAGTTGCAGTGAACAGAGATTGCGCCACTGCACTCCAGCCTGGGCGACAGAGTAAGACTCTGTCTCAAAAAAACAAAACAAAAAAAACAGATAAGATTTTGCTCTTGGGGACTTTGGCAAACAATTTTAAGCAGCACCACAAAGCCCCCACTGTCCACACATAAAACCACCCCTGCCCATATCACAGATTTGGCTGGTCTGCTGTCGTTGGGAGCTAGGATGGTCACACAGTTCTTTGGACACCCTCTGGGCATCCCACCTGCATGGCAGTGTGGTAGAGTGGAAGGAATGGGCCATCTAACAGTGAGGAGGATGGGTTCAAATCCGCCACTCACTAGCCTGGGTGACCAGTGACTAGATAATTCTGGGCTTTAGTTTACTCAGGCACCTCATAGCGCACAGTGAGTAATGGATGAAAAAGAATGTGAGAGCCATCCTGGTGGCTGGGATAAAATAAACGTAAGCCTCCCACTCTGACACACAGGAGACACTCAGTCAATAGATCCACATCACTGATTTTCATCTCCCTTAAGGCCAGCAGGGGGAGGAGTCGGAGCCAGGGACTGCAGCCAGGGATCCTGGGAGCTGTGACAGGTTGTCACTAACTCAGCCTTCTTGCTGAGCAAACCACTGACCTCACCCTTTGTGTCTCGGGTTCATTCCAAGTCCTCCTTGGAGAACATCAGCTGAGCCCAGGCGCCTCCAACTCACTGCCTAGCAAGGACAGAGGCAAGCGAGGGAAGCTGCAGGGCCCCAACGCCTCCACCCCCACCCCATCCCTACTGCCTGCCGGGAAGTCACAGCTGTCTGAGAGGCCTGTGGCTTTGAACCCAGAATCGCAACAATAGAAGGAACTGCCCAAGCTCCATGGTAGCTCCCAGAGGAACCCAGGAGAGAGCAGCCTCTGCTCCTGCCACGGAAGCTCTGAGCCCAGCAGAGTGCCAAAAAGGGATCCAAAGACGGGGCTGCGAGGCTAGAAAGCAGCTCAGGAGGGGGTGAGGAGTGGAACAACCCTTCCTGAGCATCTACCAGGAGCCCAGCCTTGCAGCCCCATTTGTTGCCAGGGATTAGAATGCAGACACCCAGAGCCGCCCCATAAGGCCCCACGAGGACTGCGCTGCCTGACTGCAGAGATCACCCATGTTCTTCCCAGGATGCCCCACAAGGAGAGGAATGATCGCTTTCAGCAGCTGTCCGTCCTCTGCTCGTCACCACTCTCCACTCCCACAACACACATCCCCAGAGCCCCCAGAGGAATCCAAAAAGGCGGGCCTGCTGGGTTCCGCTCTACTGCTGCCCACTCCAAGTCTCCTGTTCTCTTTTCTTTCTGCCTCCTCCTCACCCTCTGCCTCAGGAGGGGTCTTGAGCCACAGAGGAGCCCCTAGTGGTGGTACAGAGAGCTCAAGAATTCTGAGAAGGCTGGTGCACTCCATGTTCTGGTCTAACTTGTTGATGTGCAAGGTCGACGCGCACAAGTGTTTTCCCCCTGTGCTACGCTGCTTGTGGTCCCATCTGAACCTCAGGGTGCAAGATGGGCCTGCCCCGGGAACCAACCTCTGACCTCGCAGAGATGACATCAGAATCATTAAGAGACACACAGGCAGACAAGGGACTCCACTGTAGGCACCAAACCAGCCAACACGGGACAGCCAGCAAGACAGCCAGCCTAGATTTTCCAACCCACAGTCAGCATAGCTGTTCCCTTCAATGGACAGCCACATGTCTCACCCAAGCACTTTTCCCACTGAGCAAAAAAGTAGGCAGTTCCATGTCTTGCCCTCTGTACTGCTGTTTTTAACTACTCTGTGTCTGGGCACAAGAGGGCTGCAGAGGGCACAACACGCTGGGGAAACACAAGCCTGAGCATAGAGCTGTCCTCAGCCACTGGCTCTCGACCCTGACGTGCAATCTGCCATGAGGTGTGTCACCAGTCCTTGGCTAATCATCATAAGGTATGGACATCTGCAACTGATTTTTTTCTTTTTTTGAGACAGGGTCTTGCTCTGTTACCCAGGCTGGAGGGTGGAATACAGTGGCATGATCACAGCTCACTGCAATCTCCACCTCCTGGGATCCCACCTCAGCCTCATGAATAGCTGGAACTATAGGTGTGTGCCACCATGCCCAGATGATCTTTTTTTTTTTTTTTTTTTGAGACGGAGTCTCACTCTGTCGCCCAGGCTGGCGTACAGTGGCGCCATCTCAGCTCACTGCAACCTCTGCCTCCCGGGTTCAAGCAATTCCCTGCCTCAGCCTCCCGAGTAGCTAGGATTACAGGTGCCTGCCACCACACCCAGCTAATTTTTGTATTTTTAGTAGAGACAAGGTTTCACCATCTTGGCCAGGCTGGTCTTGAACTCCTGACCTCGTGATCCACCCACCTTGGCCTCCCAAAGTGCTGGCATTACAGGTGTGAGCCACTGTGCCTGGCCCCAGCTGATCTTTTAATTTTATTTATGTATTTATTTATTTATTTATTTGAGACAAGGTCTCACTCTGTCACCCAGGCTGGAGTGCAGTGGTGTGATCATAGCTCACTGCAACCTCAAACTTCTGGGCTCAAGTGATCTTCCCACCTCAGCCTCCCAAGTCATGAGGGCTACAGTGCATGCCACCACACTTGGCTAAGTTTTCTATTTTTTGTAGACAGGGTCTTAGGATGTTGCCAGGGCTAGCCTGGAACTCCTGGGCTCAAGCGATCCTCCTGCCTCAGTCTCTCACAGTGCTAGGATTACGGGCATGAGCCACTGCACCTGGTCATTGCTTGCTTGCTTATGTATGTACGTGTGTGTGTGTGTGTGTGTATACACACACACACACACACACACACACACACACAGAATCTCACTTCTATTGCCCAGGCTGGGGTACAGTGGCATGATCACGGTTCACTGCAACCTCTGCCTCTTGGGGTCAAGCAATTCTTGTGCCTCAGCCTCCCAAGTAGCTGGAATTACAAGCATGTGCCAACACGCCCTGCTAATTTTTATATTTTTAGTAGAGATAGGGTTTCACCATGTTGGCCAGGCTGGTCTCGAACTCCTGCTGGCCATTGCTTTTATTTTGGAGAAAATAAACTGAAGTGGGTTCAAGATGACTCCATGACCATCAGCCCCACCCGCATGTGTTCCAGTGCATTTACTTGAGTGAAAGAAAGAGCTAGGAGTGCAAAGAATGCCAGACACACCCTTGGTGTCATCTGAAGGCTATGTCCTGGCAGCGCACCATTTGAAACCACTATCATAGATGGTCACGAGTGCTGAGAAGAAGTGGGGGAGGGGAGTCAGGCTAGCTGCCCCCAGAGTGCTCCCCGAGCTGACCCTCAGTGACCCTTTTGCCTCCCTAGAAGTGTCTACCTCATCCAGCCCTGGGTCTTCTTGGGCACACAAATTTTGGAAGCCATCTGCTGATTTCAGGGCTCTAGGAAATGCTGAGGCCCCTTGACAGCTGGCGTCCCCACAGAGAGTTGGCACCTCCTGAATAAGGAGTGGTCTCAGGAGGGCCCATCCCATGCACAGAAGCTCCAAGTCTCGTCTCAGTCCCCCCACCCCACTGAGCTTTGTAGGCTCCCCAGGCACAATCATAGGCAGCAGGCCTGACCCAACCCAGGGCGCTGGTGGGATGGCATCACTGAGCTACAAAGGAGGAATGCCCCGGCCACTGTCCTGAAGAGGGCAAGGCCAATTTCTCCGGAGGCCCGGAGCCTTGCCAACTCTCCGCATGGGGAAATCTGCCTCTTCCTGGACAGGGAGGAAGCAGATGGAGCTGCAGAGTCACGCTGGGAAACCACAATAGAAAAAAAGGAGAGAAGATATTTTCCTGAAACAAAAAGCACCCAGGGAGACCTCTGGGCTTTCAGTCTGGCTAGTGGAGTTCACGTGTAGGTATATCAAGGTGCAGGGGAGAGGGATAGGGTGGGAACAGAACTCAAATGAGACCACGTCGTAGTTAGCCTGCAAGAAGCCCACTAACTCCAAAGCTGAGGAAGCAGGCCAAGCAGATGCCAAGCCTCATGGGTAAACTGAACGGAGGTGCCTGTGCCCGGGGGTTCATGCAGCAGAGAGGGTTCCAGGGCTCCAACCAGGCTTGGCTGGCCTGGCCTCCCTCCACCATGCCCAGCTGGCTATGCCAGGGATTGATGGGGGAGGGGGTACACACCTCGCCCCTGGTTTGGATTTTATTGCAGGAGACACTCTGGGGCTCCGCAAATCCAGCCCAGCAGAGCCAGAGGGCAACAGCAGTACGTGGCCGCAATGCCCAGAAACACCACACAGAAAGTCCCCATGTACACACGTGGAGCATTCCAGAAGGTTGTTTGGAAGTTGGATTTTGAGCTGTGGAGAATGTCTTCTAATAGAAACAATACTCTGAGGGGAAACTGGGTGACTGTTCAGGTAGACTATTTACATCACTAGCTCCAGTGGATGCTAGGTTCTGCAGTGTCTGCAGAGATTGCTGTCTTGCCATGAGGTGCTAGGGTGAACCCCATCATTCCTCCTTCAGGCAGTACCTGCTCTGTGCCTAGCTATGTATGGGGGGCACAGCTGTCCTTGGACGCTCCTAAGCTAAACTTCCCAAGGACAAGAAATCCCGTGCTTCTGCCCCCTAACTACTGTACTGCAACACAGGGAGCTTCGTGGTCAGCTAGGGAACTTCTGACGGGAACCAAACTGTCGGGTGGGGCTGCTCCTTCTCCTCCTGCCCATCTTTATGTTCAGACAGGAAATGGTCACCAAAAAAGCCAGGGAGCTGAGCAAGCACCTGTCCCACTACTGCCCTTCCTGGTGCCACTGGTTTCTCCTTTTTAAAGGGTGGAAGTTTCTGCTGGGTGTGGTGGATCACGCCTGTAATCCCAGCACTTTGGGAGCCCGAGGCCAACGGATCACCTGAGGTCAAGAGTTCCAAACCAGCCTGGCCAATGTGGTGAGACCCTGTCTCCACTAAAAATACAAAAATTTAGGCCAGGCGGGGTGGCTCACGCCTATAATCCCAGCACTTTGGGAGGCTGAGGCAGGTGGATCACAGGTCAGGAGTTCGAGACCAGCCTGGCCAGCATGGTGAAACCCCGTCTCTACTGAAAATACAAAAAATTAGCCAGGCATGGTGGCGCATGCCTGTAGTCCCAGCTACTCGGGAGGCTGAGGCAGGAGAATCGCTTGAACCCAGGAGGCGGAGGTTGCAGTGAGCCAGTATCGTGCCACTGCACTCCAACCTGGGCAACAGAGTGAGACTCCGTCTCAAAAACAAAAACAAAATTAGCCAGGCGTGGTGGTGCATGCCTGTAATCCCAGCTACTCAGGAGGCTGAGTGAGGCAACGGAATTGCTTGAACCTGGGAGGCGGAGGTTGCAGTGACCTGAGATCACACCACTGCACTCCAGCCTGGGTGACAGAGCGAGACTCTGTCTCAGATAAATAAATAAATAATAAATTAAATTAAATAAAAAATCTGAGCTAATCTGAATAAATTGAGAGATTTCACATGAAAGCCAGGATTTCTGGCTTCCCAGGAACAGTCAGAAGAGCTAGCTAGCAACACTGGTCTGCTTGGCTACCTTCTTTGGAACAACATGAAATCTAGCTCCCTTTTTTTTTTTTTTTTGGCCCACTTCATCCATTCACATGACCTGCCTGGCCTCTGCAGGTAAGTGAGTATGCAACAAAAATGTAGCACAGGTTTTGTCGCTGAACTACGTGGTTTCAGGTCCAGCTCTGCCACTTGCTAGCATGACACCTCTTTGAGCTCAGTTCCCTCATCTATAGAATAGGTATAATAACTGCCCCTTATATAATGGGGACTGTGGGGTTCCCAAGCCTCACTCAAGCCATTTAGAGGAACAAATAAGATAACAATCATAAAGCAGTCCTGGTACATCACAAGCACACAGCCATGCATATCATTAGTGCCTATCTCACCAGGTGACAGGTGACAGATGGGGGATGAGGAGCTGTCCCACCCACAAAGCTGACATCCCTGATTGCCCCACCAGAGCAAGTGCATGCCCAGCACTGCAAGCCATAAGCAACTGCAGAGAAGGTGCTCTGACAGGTGTCAGTTAGGTAGTCTGACTCTCCCACAGTGGCTCCAGAGTCACCTGTTAAGACACTGGGACCAGACCATCAGACTGTAAACAAGATCTGGGCTAAAAAGCTGAGAGGCTTTGCAGGACCCAACCAAAACAGCAATCTCTCTCCCTGGCTTTGAAGCCATTCCCAAGTTCAAAGGGTCACCAAGCAGATGCATCTGGAGGCCCCTGCATTCGTGGTGTGGGAAGCTCAGTGCACAAGCCAACAGGAAGAAGGGCACTGCTGATCCTCCCAGGAGTCCAGTCCAAAAGCTGGCATCGCAGCCCCACAGTGCTCCCAATGACGCAAGTGCCAAGAAAGGAGTCCAGGGATGGCCCTTCTGAAGTCTCTGCCTCCTAACTCTGCCAGAGCATTCGCCATTGGAACATCGACACTAACCCACCCAGGACTGACTCCAGAGGCCCTGAGTGTCAGGCATAACAGTGCCCACCCACTCAGGGTGGCCTGCACCTGGCCCCACAATCCACCCTCTTCCTGCTGGCTCAGTTCAGCTCCCTAACCCTGGAGCAAAAGTATTCCACATTCTCTTTTTTTCCCTTTCAAAGGGAAAGGGAGGAAGAGAGCCCCCCAAGGGAGCTAAACTTTATATCAGAAGTCTTAATCTGGCATCTGGAGCTGACCCTCCTGGGGATCTGTGGACCACCTGAAGTTTCACTACCATGTCCCTACCACACTACTCTGGGGAGAGATCCCAATAGTCATGGCCCAAAGGGGTTGGGAATCTGAATGAAACCACTGCCATGGGCAGGCCTGACAGTGCACCACCCTGCCCCTGTCAGATCACAGCTTGGTCCTTTGAAGACAAGTCTGATCACTAGGGGCTGAAGCTGAAGCTGCCTCATCTTCACCTCAATCCCAGGTGATCAGAATTTCTGGAATGGGACCTGCCTGGACACTGACCCAGGCAGCAAACTCCAGTGAAGCCACCCCAGTTCAGGAGGCACAAAACAGATGTGGCCTCGCTTGGGTATCCAAGGCAGAGCCACCTGCACCTGTCTCACGTGCCTCCTCCAAGACCCTCCCTCCGATGCTCTCACTGGGACAGCCTCACCTTTACTAGTGATGGCTCCAATCGCGTTCACAAACACATAGTGTGCACGGGCACTATGCTGGGCATGGGAGGGGCAAATATACAATGCCTGTCTCCGGGGAGCACTGACTAGTGGGAGACTGTCATAAACGAGGGGCAGAAGGCCCTGAAAGCGGCAGTGGGCCAGGAGGAAAGGGGAGGGGCTTTCCAGGCAGAGGTGGAAAACAGCCTGGGAAAGTGCCCAGACAGAGGGGATGGGAGCTCAGAGTGCAAGTCCCAGCTTGATGGAAGAGGAGTCAAGGGCCGAGGGCCCACTGGGGAGTCTGGACTTACAAGGGCAAGCCACAGAAGGAAGGCGGTCAGCAGCGGAACAGCAGGACCAGGCTTGCACTTTACATCACTCAGGCAGGGGAGATCAGAGGGAGGCAGGGCTCAATTGGAGGAAGAGCAAGAGTTGCAATACTCTACATGAAATCAGGTAAAATCAATGTTACCTGGAAACTGAGTGGATATGGAGAAGGAGTGAGGAGTGCAGGATGCCTCCCATGTTTGTTTCCTGCAGGAGGGATGGAACAGATGAGACAGGGAAGAAGGTCTGCGGCAGGGGTCAGGTAATGACGGTAACAAGGATCAGGAGTTACACCAAGAACAGGCAGAGCCACAGTGTTCCCTGAGCCAGGGCCCAAGGACGTTTTTCTCTGGCCAAGGCACCTATCTAAGTAACAGTTTGTTAAATTATATGGTACCCTTCTCCTGAACACAAGTTGTTCTCCCTGTCTGGCTTTGGGAGAACCTCAGGAAGTTGCATGCAGCCTGCTCTGGGAATTCTCAGAGTGTTCAGGAAGACCATGGGCTCCCTTCCTCTGCCCGCACCCATCTGCACGAGTCTGCCTCTGAAATTCAAATAGAAAGCCAGCCCCATCTCTGACAGCCGTCCTCCAGGAAAAAGAGGGGTCAGCCTAAGCAGGTTATCAGAGGAACCAGATCCTTCCTGCCACATGAGCATGCGGCTCACCACTGGGGCCAGAGGGCCCAGGACACAATCTCAGGCCTCAAACCCTCATGGAAATGCCCTTCAGAACTGACCCACGGCCCCAGCCCCAGCTGACCACAGAGAGACTTTGCACAGATAAAGCTCATCTCATGGCCAAGTGTGGTGGCTCATGCCTGTAATCCCAGCACTTTGCGAGGCAGAGGCGGGCAGATCACTTGAGGTCAGGAGTCCGAGTCCAGCCTGGCCAACATGGAGAAACCCTGTCTCTACTAAAAATACAAAAATTGGTGTGGTGGTACACGCCTGTAATCCCAGCTATTCAGGAGGCTGAGGCAGGAGAATTGCTTGAACCTGGGAGGCAGAGGTTGCAGTGAGCCAAGATTATGCCACTGCACTCCAGCCTGAGCGACAGAGCGAGACTCGGGCTTTAAAAAAAAAAAAAAAAGCTCATCTCACTGTAGGATAACAGATGCCCCAAAGGCCAGCCCCATCTCAGCTATCGTAGCAAGGTCATCCCCAAAAGGTCATTCCAATGAAGATGCAAAGCCTAATGACTGTCCTTGGCCTTGTGGCTCAGGATAAGTTTGATTAGCTTGAAAGATCCAACTGGACACAGGGCACCAAATCACTACCAATGAACTAAACACACATGCTTGCACACACGTCCGCCCTCCAGGCCTCTGCATGAGCTATTCCCTCTCCCTAGACCTCTCTCCTGTCTTCTTTACCAGGCTAAATCCTTTCTAATCCCTTGAGACTCATAATAGCTTAGTTTATCTTCTTCAACGAGAGGATAAAAAGGATCCATCCTGCCTACCTAGAGAAAAAGCAACGTGTTGCTTTTCTGCTGGGAAGGTCTCTTTCCAAAATCTTATTACAGAATGACCATTTAAGTAAAGGACAAAGGTTGGGGCCTTTTCTAAATGTTGAGGTTCTATTTAAACACACAACAAAAGGCCGGGCATGGTGGCTCATGCCTGTAATCCAAGCATTTTGGGAGGCCAAGGCGGGACGATTGCTTGAGGGCAGAAATTTGAGACCAGACTGGGCAACACAGCAAGACCCTGTCTCTACAAAAAATTTTTAAAAATTCGCCAGGTGCTATAGCACATGCCTGTAATCCCAGTTACTTAGGAAGCTGAGGCTGGAAGATGGATTGAACCCAGGTGTTTGAAGCTGCAAGTGAGCTATGATGGCATCACTGCACTCCAGCCTGGGCAACAGAGAAATCCTATCTCTTAAAACACACACAAAACAGAGTCAGTTTAGGATCCCATTTCCTCCAGGAAGCCCTCCCTGACCTTACTCTCCTACAAAGGGTTTGAGGCTCCATTCCTTTGAGTTCCCAAAGCACTGTGCACTTCTCCTATGAGAACACCTCAAGCTGGTAGGAACTGTCTGCCTAAGGGGCCATGTCTCACAGCCTAGGAATAGCACATTGTGGGTAGGGAGTACGCCTATATTCATCTTCATCTGAGCATTGGGCAGAGCCTAGCATATAATAGGGGCTCCATGGATGATACCAAACAAATCAACAAATGACCTGCGCCAAGTCAGTCTGCTGCTGAGATCAGCCTTGCCACTTCAGCTCATGCCACCTCCTGGTCCTCCCTAAGAGCTCACTGTATGCAAAGCCCGGTGAGGGAGAGCAACACAGGAGCACAGGGCCCAAGTTGTTCCTACTCTTCTATCCCAGAATGTCCCATCTACTGTGATCTAGTTGCCACCACCCCTCCCCAACCAGCAAAACTCCTACCCTAAAATAAACAAACAAAAAAATAGCTGGGCATGGTGGCCACATCTGTAATCCCAGCACTTTGGGAGGCTGAGGTGGGTGGATCACAAGGTCAGGAGTTCAAGACCAGCCTGGCCAAGATGGTGAAACCCCATCTCTACTAAAAATACAAAACTTGGTCGGGCGCGGTGGCTCACGCCTGTAATCCCAGCACTTTGGGAGGCCGAGGCGGGCGGATCACGAGGTCAGGAGATCGAGACCATCCTGGCTAACACGGTGAAACCCCGTCTCTACTAAAAATACAAAAAAAATTAGCCAGGCGTGGTGGCGGGCGCCTGTAGTCCCAGCTACTCGGGAGGCTGAGGCAGGAGAATGGCGTGAACCCGGGAGGCGGAGCTTGCAGTGAGCAGAGATCGCACCACTGCACTCCAGCCTGGATGACAGAGTGAGACTCCGTCTCGGAAAAAAAAAAAAAAAATACAAAACTTAGCTGGGCGCAGTGGCAGACGCTTGTAATCCCAGCTACTTAGGAGGCTGAGGCAGGGAAGTGTTTGAACCTGGGAGGCAAAGGTTGCAGTAAGCCAAGATCACGCCACTGCACTCCAGCCTGGGTGACAGAGCGAGACTCTGTCTCAAAACAAATAAATAAATAAAATAAAATAAAATAAATAATAAATAATAAAAAAAAATCAAAGGAATAGTCCACAAGACTTTGTGGCTGGAGCATAGCCCCTTGTGGGTACTTAAGGTTTAAACTCACTGGGTGGCCTATCTGGCTTCCTTTGTGGGTGGGGAAGGGGAGCTCCAAGAGGTGGGCTCAGGGCATAGGAATGAGGCAGCTGGGAGGGAGTTGGGGCCTGGGACTGGGTGACTCTCTGGCTTGGTGCTGGGGAAGGAGGAGGAGGGGCATCACGTAGCAACAGAGCAAGAAGGAACAGGAGTGTGGCAGCCCCAGGCCCTGCAGATCTGGTCACACCTCTCCCCATGGAGCAGAGGAGGCAGGGGACATGAGCTGGAATGTGCGATTTTCTCAAACGTGCACCACCGGAATGTGTCAGCAACACCAAGTGTGGGGCTGTGTAGCCCAGAGAGACTGACAGCATCGATTATCATGACTGAAGCACAGATGGGATGAGCCACAAAGCACGTACAGATTAGTGAGGCTGAGGGAGTTCACAGGCAGGGAAACTAGCCAGGGAGGAAGAAGACAACACGTTCTCAGACGAGAATGGGAAAAGGAGGGGAAGAAAAAAAAAAACAAAACAATGTTTTCCTGACATTTTTGTTAACTTCTTTAGTCTTCAAAAAAAAAGAATGCGGCCGGGCACAGTGGCTCACGCCTGTAATCCCAGCACTTTGGGAGGCCGAGGTGGGTGGATCACAAGGTCAGGAGATCAAGACCATCCTGGCTAACACGGTGAAACCCCGTCTCTACTAAAAAATACAAAAAATTAGCCGGGTGTTGTGGCGGGCACCTGTAGTCCCAGCTACTTGGGAGGCTGAGGCAGGAGAATGGCGTGAACCCAGGAGGCGGAGCTTTCAGTGAGCCGAGATCGCACGACTGCACTCCAGCCTGGGCGACAGAGCGAGACTCCATCTCAAAAAAAAAAAAAAAAAAAAGAATGCTAGAAATATTATAGTAAATTTGTGGACAAACATAAAAGGTGGACTACATAGTACGGGTTTCATAATATATGTAGAAATAACAAAAAACAGGAGGGGGAAATGGAAATATACTGTTCTTACATTATACGTGAAATGGTATGGTATGATTTGAAGGCAGATTGTGATTAATTTAAACCTGCAAACCACAGAGTGACCACTAAAATCAAACCAATGAAGTATAGCTAAATAAGCAAAGAGTGGAAATAAAACAGAACCCTAAAAAATACTCAATGAATCTAAAACAAGGCAAGAGGCCAGACACAATGGCTCACACCTATAATCCCAGCGCATTGGGAGGCCAAAGCAGGAGGATTGCTTGAGGCCAGGAGTTAGAGACCAGCCTGGGCAACACAGTGAGATTCCGTCTCTACAAAAATAAAAATAAAAAATTAGGCTGGGCACAGTGGCTCATGCCTTTAATCCCAGCACTTTGGGAGGCTGAGGTGGGCAGATCACTTGAGGTCAGGAGTTCGAGTCCAGCCTGGCCAACATGGTGAAACCCCATCTCTACTAAAAATACAAAAATTAGCTGGGCATGGTAGCGCATGCCTGTTATCCCAGTTCCTCCAGAGGCTGAGGCATGAGAATCACTTGAACCTGGGAGGCAGAGGTTGCAGTGAGCCATGCACTCCAGCCTGGGGGACAGAGAAAGACTCTGTCTCAAAAAAAAAAAAAAAAAAAGAAAAAAGAAAAGAAAAAGAAAAAAGAAAAATTTAGCCAGGCCAGGCGCGGTGGCTCATGCCTGTAATCCCAGCCCTTTGGGAGGCTGAGGCAGGCAGATCGTGAGATCAGGAGATCGAGACCATCCTGGCTAACATGGTAAAACCCTGTCTCTACTAAAAATACAAAAAAATTAGCTAGGCATGGTGGTGCGTGCCTGTAGTCTCAGCTACTCAGGAGGCTGAGGCAGGAGAATCACTTGAACCCGGGAGGCAGAGGTTGCAGTGAGCCAGGATTGCGCCACTGCACTCCAGCCTGGGCAATAGAGTGAGAATCTGTCTTAAAAAAAAAAAAAAAAAGAAAAATGTAGCCGGGCATGTTAGCATATGCCTGTAATTCCAGCTACTCGAGAGGCTAAGGCAGGAGGATCACTTGAGCCTAGGAGTTTGACACTGTAGTAAGCCATGACTGTACCACTGCACTTCAGCCTGGGTGACAGCAAGACCCTGTCTCTATAAAAAAAAATTTTAAAAAAAAGAAGGCTAGAAAAGAAGAAAGAATAAACAGATGGCACAAATGGAAAATGAATGGCAACATGATAGACTTCAGTCTAACCACATTGATAATTACTTTAAAATCTAAAAGGTTTATATACTCCAATTAAAAGGCAGAGATTTTCAGCCTGGGTAGAAATGCAGTATTTAATACATGCTATCTACAAGAAACATACTTTACATATAAAGACACAGATAGATTCAGTATAAAGCAATGGAGAAAGATATACCATGCAAACACTAATATCAAGGAAGGCAGAGTGGCCCTTTGAGGGAGCCAGCTGGCAGCTGCCACTAAACTCTGGTGTGCCCTCGCCTGCTCCTGAGTTGCCACTGTTTGCCCTCACCCCAGAACAAGTCAGCTAGGAAGCCACACCACAGCTATGGCTTTCAAAGCCATCCGTGGAACTAGAGGTGGCAATTTATTAAATCAGAATTACCCTAGCCTGCCGCAACATCAAATCTCTGGAGAAGGTGTGTGCTGACTTGATCAGAGGTGCAAAGGAAAAGAATCTCAAAGTGAAGGATCAGTTCAGATGCCTATCAAGACTCTGAGAATCACTATAAGAAAAACGCCTCGTGATGAAGGTTCTAGGACAAGGGATCGTTTCCAGATGAGAATCCGCAAGTGACTCACTGACCTGGATGGTCCTCCCGAGATTGCTAAGCAGATTACGTCCATCTGTACTGAGCTGAGATTCAAGGTTAAAGTCACCACTGCAGATGTTTCAAGCAACTATTTTATTAACAGAATAGCAGTTGTTTAAAAGAAAAAAAGAAAGAAAGTTGAAGTGCTTCTGTTAATATCAGGCAAGGCAGACTTCCAGACAGGAATATTACCAGAGGTAAAGAGGGACATTTCATAATGATGAGTCAATTCATCATGAAGACATAATCATCCTAAATGTACACCCACTCAACAACAGAGCTCTAAAGTAGATAAAGCAAAAATGGACAAAATTGAAAAGAAAAAGTGACAAATCCACAATCCTAGTTGGAAACTGGAGACTTTGACTCTCCAGTTGAGAAAGCTCAATAATTGAGAAAAAACTCTTCCAAAGGAAGCCAGTGGAAGATATAAGCAAATAACCCAAGAGAGGTGAAGAGCAGGAGGACAGAGGGCTGCCAGACTGCTGGTCTGGGGAACATGAGGGACCCCAGCCTTTGCTCACGGTAGAAGAGGGGGCTGGAGGATGGCCACAGAGCAGGAAATGCTCCCTCCTCTGTCCACAGCCCCTAGACCTTCCCCAGAGGGAAGCACGCCAGCTCACACCACACTTCTCCTGGGGTCATTTTCAGTCCCTGATAACCCTGGATAGGGGTCAGTGTTCAACAGCCCCCACTGCCCTCAGCAGACACCTGGTTGACTATGTTTCCTCAATTACTGCACCCCCAAGCACACCATATACAATCCACAGATGACTTTCACACACACACACACACACACACACACACACACACACACACACACACACCAGACTGTCCCCTCTCTTCCCTCCTCCCCAGTGGCACCGCGTGGCATCACCCTCATTGGCGAGCAGGAATCAGAACAGAGTCTACAATGTCAGCAAAGGGCTGTATGCGACAGTCACTGAATCCAATCCCAGCTCCACCACTAATCAGCAACTAACCTCGGGCAAGTTGCTCACCTCTCTGTGCTTCAGTGTCGTCAGCTAGAATACCTACTTCAGAGGGCTGTTGTGAGGAAATGATAAGGGAACGTAAGGGAGGTATTTAGAACAGTGGCTGCCACAGAGTGAGTAACACTATATTAATGCTGGCAGTTATGGCCAGGTGCAGTGGTTCACGTCTGTAATCCCAAAACTTTGGGAGGCTGAGGCGGGTGGATCACCTGAGGTCAGGAGTTTGAGACCAGCCTGGCCAACATGGTGAAACTCCATCTCTACTAAAAATACAAAACTTAGTCAGATATGGTGTTGGGCACCTGTGATCCCAGATACGTGGGAGGCTGAGGCACGAGAATCGCTTGAACCTGGGAAGCAGAGGTTGCAGTGAGCCAAGATTGCACCACTGCACTCCAGCCTGGGCGACAGAGCAAGACTCTGTCTCAAAATAAATAAATAAATAAATAATAAAATAAAAATCCACAAAACCCCTTTTGTAATTGTGGTCTTAGATGGAAGCTCAATATATAAACAGAGAAAAGTAAGCAGCTCTGACTGAAGAAGATGACGGCCACAAACTCCCAAGCATAGGAGGAAATGACATCCTAAGGTTCCTTCCAGCTCTGGAAGCACCAGAGGACTCTAAGAAAGAATGGATCAGTCCAGAAGCACAGAGGGGGAGTGCAGACTGATAATACCCAACAGGCCATTAGGAGGGAAAATCTCAGACAGTCGAAGCAGGGAGAAGAGGAAGGACAGAGCCCAAGCCAGTGGTGCCCAAAGGAGCTGCTACCAGCAATGCCCTCAATTGCCAGTGATCAGCCAATCAAGCATCCCCCAGGATGGTGACACCCCAGCCCCCATGCTTTGGCCAAAGTCAGGCAGATAACAGCTGTCTCCTGGTCACTGTTCCTGCTGCTCTAGAGGCACAAACAGGATGTTTAGAAGCAGATGACCACAAGTGACCACAGGAAGCCATGACAACCGCCTCCAGGTAACGATCTTCTTCCCCAGCTTCTTTCCGGCTTGGCTGCCTCCAAAGACCAGACAAAAAGACTTCAAGTGCCAACTTCCAAAGAGAGAGAAGGGGGAGGAGTTCTTGGAAAGTTCAGGACACAGCAGAAGAGGCCATTTGAGGTGGTGAGGCAGGGAAGAAATGAGACCACCCAGCTATCCCAACAGCTACCTCACCTCAAAGACGCATTGTGCCTGATGAAGCTAAGCAGGGGTGAAGAAACTGCACATCCACTGCTTGGGACAGAGGACCTTCCAAGACAGGCAGCATGTGACCAGGCAGGCTCAGGAGGGCTGCCAAGTCGTGTCTCTGAGGAGTGACTGCAGTGTTCCAGGCATCACGACCACTCCTCCACACCCACCCCAGAGGAGCCCATCCCACTCAGCTGTCCCAGAGCACATCAGTGATGAGAAACTGCCTTAGCCGGCCAGCCGAGCCAGGAGTACACAGGGGAAATGGCAAATCCAGAGGAAACCAAGTGCAGGCCATTGGACACTCCCATTTCCACCTAAGGAAGAGGAATGTTCCTGGAAACAGAGGGGGCAAAGCTCGGCCAGGACTCTCTGAGCCACTTCAAACCTCCAACAGAGCCCAGGGTGGGTCCCACAGATCAACTACCCCTAAAGGGGTACAGTCACTGGGCCAGCTTCATGACACAGCTGTGTCCACTCAGTGTACAACCACCAAGTTCACAGTCCAGAAAACCAACTCTCCTTTTTTCTACTGCTACTAGGAGCCTCAGGGGCCAGACCACCCCATGAGGCTTTCTGGATGCCTAGAGTGCTAGGAGAAGCCCAGGGCTGATCTGGGAGTGGATCTCAGCACAGCTCCCTGTGGCAGCTCTCACTAATATTAGTGTTAGATGAGCGATTAGTATAAACCAAGCCACCAAGCCACCTCCTCCCCCACCACTTCCTCATGAAAGCCACCAAAGAGGCTCAGGGGAAATTAAAAGTCATATAACCAAAACCCAACTTAACACCACCAGCCCAAGGGTGTGGCCATTTCACCTCCACAGCAGAGTTCCAAACATTCTCCAACCCATGGCGCCATGAAGAGTCCTAAATCACATTCTTCCAGAAAGTAACTGAAGTCAGATTCTTCCCCCAGGCCTAGCTAAGCAACCAAACAGGGCCAATTGCACTAAGTGCCCACCAAGGCCACGGGAAATGCAGCCAACCTAAAGATGAAGTGGAAGCTTAAATTCGAAGAGTGGGCCAGGTGCAATGGCTCACGTCTGTAATCCCAACACTTTGGGAGGCCGAGGTGAGCAGATCACTTGAGGCCAGGAGTTCAAGACCAGCCTGGCCAACATGGCGAAACCCCATCTCTACTAAAAATACAAAAAATTAGCTGGGTGTGATGGCAGGTGCCTGTGATCCCAGCTACTCGGGAGGCTGAGGCAGGAGAATCACTTGAACCCAGGAGGTGGAGGTTGCAATGAGCTGAGATCACGCCACTGCACTCCAGCCTGGGCAACGGAACGAGACTCTGTCTCAAAAAAAATCAATTAATTAAAAAATAAATAAGGCCCGGCATGGTGGCTCACGCCTGTAATCCCAGCACTTTGGGAGGCCAAGGCAGGTGGATCACTTGAGGTCAGGAGTTTGAGACCAGCCTGGCGAACATGGTGAAACCCCACCTCTACCAAAACTACAAAAAACAGCCAGCATAGTGGCGCATGCCTGTAATCCCAGCTACTCAGGAGGCTGAGGCAGGAGAATCACTTGAACATGGGAGGTGGAGGCTGCAGTGAGCTGAGATCACGCCCCTGCACTCCAGCCTGGATGACAAAGCAAGACTCCATCTCAATAAATAAATAAACAAACAGGCCGCTGCGGTGGCTCACTCCTGTAATCCCAGCACTTTGGGAGGTGAGGTGGGCAGATCATTTGAGGTCAGGAATTCAAGACCAGCCTGGCCAACATGGTGAAACGCTGTCTCCACTAAAAATACAAAAATTAGCTGGGCGTGGTCGTGGGCGCCTGTAATCCCAGCTATTTGGGAGGCTGAGGCAGGAGAATTGCTTGAACCCGGGAGGCAGAGACTGCAGTGAGCCAAGATTGTGCCACTGTACTCCAGCCTGGGCAACAGAGCGAGACTTGGTCTCAAAAATAAATAAACAAACAAACAAATAAATGCCAAGAGAATGATACCAAAAGCCAAACCCTCCACCCCAGGAGTTGTCAAGATTATCCCAAGAATGAACGATAACCATCACCAGTTACTGAGCACTTTGAAAGTATTTCGGGAAAGTATGTCAGGAAATGCACCTATTTCATGGATTAGGAGACCAAGGCTCAGAGTGTAAAGTGATCTGCCAGGGTCACACAAGTAGTAGGCAACAGCATTGATACAGAACCAAGTGTGGCTGATGTCAGAGGCTGGGTTCTATGCCACCTCCCCACCCCAAACCCAGAGAGAACTCAGGTTCTCCAGAGGAGGAAGTGGTTTGCTGCAGGCTCAGCATCACTGTGGGTGTCGCAGTTCATACCCATTTAATCACCAACCACCATCAAGTAGTTATTAAGTGACCGCAGAGAGAACAGCACAGTGCTTGGTGGCAAGGGGTATTTGAAAGGCAGATAAAATCCCTGTCTTCAAAGAGCTTACGGGGCAGAGCGGGAGACAGAAGAAAGCCTAATTTACACAGATCTGTAAAGTTTTACCTTAGCAGGAGGGTCAACAGGCTGGTTAGTTTTATCGGGGAAAAAAGCCTTCTCAAAAAGGTGGATTCAGCTAAGATTTTAAAGGCAGAGGGTAAGGTGAGTCAGGAGAAGGCTATTTTCTGCAACTTGAACCAACATCTAGACTCAAGGCAGAACTGAGTGGTTGGCATGGTCAGAAGTCAAATGTAATTCAGAGACTGCAATACAAGATACCCCCTAGATCTGGCAACTGCATTTGTCATTAAACATCGAGCACAGAGAGTTCTTAGAATCCCCCAAAGCAGGGGCCAAGTAGGAATATGTGTGAGGCAAGTGAGACCCAATGTAGGCAACAGAGAGGGTCAAATACAAGGCTGGAGCTATTGAGGTTAACCAAGTGGTGACACAGAGTACACACATCCCATGAAGCCTGATCTGATTTTTCAAAAGAAACGACATGTAATGAAACTCCGTCTCTACTAAAAATACAAAAATTAGATGGGCGTGGTG
Source organism: Homo sapiens (assembly GCF_000001405.40). Taxonomy (NCBI): domain Eukaryota; kingdom Metazoa; phylum Chordata; class Mammalia; order Primates; family Hominidae; genus Homo; species Homo sapiens. The sequence goes on from NC_000012.12 coordinate 120,252,865, forward strand.
GCGGGCGCCTGTAATCCCAACTACTCGGGAGGTTGAGGTAGGAGAATTGCTTGAACCCAGGAGGCGGAGGTTGCAGTTGAGCCGAGATCATGCCACTGCACTCCAGCCTGGGTGACGCAGTGAGACTCTGTCTCAAAAAAAAAAAAAAAAAAAAAAGGAACAACATGGACTTTTTGGTGCAATCTCCTGATGTTTTAAATGTTGGCAACTAATTTGGAATATTTTGAATACCATGCAGACCAAGCAACAAGGGTCTGCAGACCAAATCTGACCCGTAGATTTCTGATTTCTACCTTGAGGTTTCCCATATGAAAAACCAGAAAGAAGACCAGGCATAGTGGCTCACGCCTGTAATCCCAGCTCTTTGGAAGGCCAAGGCAGGTGGATCACCTGAGGTCAGGAGTTTGAGACTAGCCTGACCATTATGGTGAAACCCCGTCTCTACTAAAAATATGAAAAGTAGCCAGGCATGATGGCACACGCCTGTAGTCTCAGCTACTCAGGAGGCTGAGACAGGAGAATTGCTTGAACCCCAGAGGCGGAGGTTGCAGTGAGCTGAGATCACGCCACTGCACTCTAGCCTGGGTGACAGAGCGAGACTCCATCTCAAAAAAGAAAAAAAAGAAAAAGAAAAAAGAGACCGGGCTAGTTGTGGGAAGACCCACCCAAGGTGCAGGTTCTTGCATCATTGCCTGTGGTAACACTGGGTGTGTTCCCTTCCCCTAACTCCTCTGGGCTTCAGTTTAGCTTCCTCTGAAAGTAGAAAATAACTACTATCTACCTCAAAGGGTGGCTATCAGAACCATATAAAAAATGATCGTCAATGGACAAATAATTAAAATGTGGTTTATACATCCATTGTATATAGATACAGTGAATTATTCAGCCTTAAAAAGGGAGATTCTGCCCATTTGCCACAGCATGGAAGGACGTGCTAAGTAAGATAAGCCAGACACAACAAGAAAAACATTGCATGATCTCACTTATATGTACTATATACATATATTTATTTATTTATTATTTTACTTATTTTTGAGATCGAGTCTTTCTCTGTCACCCAAGCTGGAGTGCAGTGGCGTGATCTTGGCTCATTCCAGCCTCCACCTCTTGGGTTCAGGCGATTCTCCTGCCTCAGGCTCCCAAGTGGCTGAGACTACAGGCCCGTGCCACCACGCTTGGCTAATTTTTATATTTTTGGTAGAGAGGGTTTCGCCATGTTGGCCAGGCTGGTCTCGAACTCCTAACCTCAGATGATCCACCCACCTCAGCCTCCCAAAGTGCTGGGATTACAGGCGTGAGCCACCACGTCCAGTCCAATATATATATTTATATATCTATAAAGAGGTCAAATACAGAGATCGAGAATGAAACAGTGGTTACTATGGGTGGAAGTGGAGAATGGGGAGACGTGGGTCAAAGAATACTAAGTAGCAGATACACGAGATGCACAAGTTTAGAAATCTAATGTATGATATGAGGGCTGAAGTTAAGAAAATCGTACTCGGGATTTTCGGATTTTTGTTACATAAGTAGATTTAGCTGCTCTTGGCACACAGGAAAGTAGCTGTGAGATGACTGACAGGTTAATCTGCTTCACTTTAGCAACCACCTTACTATCTGTACGTATCCTATGACAACATGTTGTAAACCTCGAATATACACAATAAGGTTTAGTGGTTCTTTTGTTTTTGTTTTGTTTTTTTTGAAATGGAGTCTCGCTCTGTCACCCAGACTGGAGTGCAATGGTGTGATCTCGGCTCACTGCAACCTCCGCCTCCCAGGTTCAAGAGATTCTCCTGCCTCAGCCTCCCAAATAGCTGGAATTACAGGCACGTGCCACCACGCCCAGCTAATTTTTGTAATTTTAGTAGAGACGGGGTTTCACCATGTTGGCCAGGCTGGTCTTGATCTCTTGACCTCAAGATCCACCTGCCTTGGCCTCCCAAAGTGCTGGGATTACAGGTGTGAGCCACAATGCCCGGCCTAAGGTTTAGTTTTTTAAAAAATAAAGAAGCACATGAAAATATTTCCTCAAGCTTAACGTGCTACACAAATGCCCATTATCTAATACAGGCCCAGAGAAGAGAGGGGGCGCTAACAGAGAACAGGCAGTAGATGGGGCCTGGGAGAGTGAAAAGGAAATGAGAAGGGAGTAGATGAGAAGGGAGAGTGGAAAGGAAATGAGTTGAGTCTCTGCTGGTGCGCAGACCGGAAGAATCTGGACAATAGAATTCACGTCAGGGGTGGAAATATAAATTTGGGAGTCACCAGCACACAGGTTATAAAAGAGGTCATGCAGTTGATTAACTGACCGAGGTGCATAGTTGAAAAACAAGGAGTTCAGAGAAATCCTTTGGGAAAACACCCAGGTGCACCTCCACTCAGGGATCAGAGGAGACTTGGGAAAAGAAGGTGGGAGGGTCTCTGGAGAAGCAAGCGGAGCTTAAGGAAGGGAGAAAAAAATATGCAGCTAAAGGGTGAGACAGGTGTCTCAGCAAAAGAGCAAACGTGGAAGAATGGGTCAGACTGTGTTAAAATTTAAAAAGGAACAGGCCGGGCGCGGTGGCTCACACCTGTAATCCCAGCACTGGGAGACCGAGGCAGGCAGATCACAAGGTCAAGAGTTCAAGACCAGCCTGGCCACTATGGTGAAACCCCATCTCTACTAAAACCACAAAAATTAGCTGGGCATGGTGGCGGGCGCCTGTAGTCCCAGCTACTCAGGAGGCTGAGGCAGAAGAATCACTTGAACCCGGGAGGCGGAGGTTGCAGTGAGCCAAGATCATGCCACTGCACTCCAGCCTGGGTGACAGAGAAAGACTCTGTCTCAAAAAAGATAATAATAAATTTAAAAATAAATAAAATAAAAAGGAGCAAAGTAAAAAAGTTAGTAAGTGCAGGTCAGGCACAATGGCTCACATCTGTAATTCCAACACTTTGGGAGGCCGAGGTGGGCGGATTACCTGAGCTCAGGAGTTCGAGACCAGCCTGGCCAACATGGCAAACGAAACCCCATCTCTACCAAAAATACAAAATTAGCCAGGTATGGTGGTGTGTGCCTGTAATCTCAGCTACTGCGGACTGCGGGGGGTTGGGGGGGGTGGGGCGGAGGCAGGAGGATCGCTTGACCCTGGGAGACAGAGGTTGCAGTGAGCCAAGATCATGCCACTGTACTCCATTCTGGGCGGCAGAGCAAGACTCTCTAAAAAACAAAACAAAAAACTGAAGTTAGTAAAAGCAGAAAAGTAAAAAGAGGGAAACAGGCAAGACACATGGTGGCTCACACTTATAATACCAGCACTTTGGAAAGCCAAGGCAGAAGGATTGCTTGAGGCCAGGAGTTCGAGACCAGCCTGAGAAACATAATGAGACTCCGGCTGTATAAAAAATAAAAAATTGGCCAGGCATGGTGGCACGTGCCTGTAGTCCCAGCTGCTCAGGAGGCTGAGGGCAGGAGGATCGCTTGAGTTGGAGGTTACAGTGAGCTGTGATCAGATCACTGTACTTCATCCTGGGCAAGAGAACAAGACCCTGTGAGAAAAGAGAAAGAAGAGAAGAGAAGGAGAGGAGAAAAACGGAACCAGAAGAAAAAGGAGAGCCAGGTGGACCTGCAGATGGGGACATCGGGGCCACATGGGGCCACAGCCATCTACACTGACAGAAGATGATGACCATGAGGTATAAAAGGGGGTAGAAAGATGGGGACGTGGGGGGTGGAGTAAAGCGTGAGCAAATAGAGGCCATCCTTGAGGATCTGTCTACTATGTGCTAAGCACCTCACTCAGTCTCCCAACAATGTGGAAGGCAGGCATTACACCCATTTCATAGCCTGCTTTCAATAGGGTTTTTTTTTGTTGTTGTTGTTGTTTTTGAGACGGAATCTCGCTCTGTCACCCAGGCTGGAGTGCAGTGGCCTGATCTTGGCTCACCGCAACCTCCGCCTCCCAGGTTCAAGGAATTCTCCTGCCTCAGCCTCCCGAGTAGCTGGGATTACAAGCATGCGCCACCACGCCCAGCTAATTTTGTATTTTAGTAGAGATGGGGTTTCTCCATGTTGGTCAAGCTGGTCTCGAACTCCCAACTTCAGGCCTCAGGTGTTCCACCTGCCTCAGCCTCCCAAGGCTGGGATTACAGGCATGAGCCACCGCGCCTGGCCTCAGTAGGGTTTTTATGTTTTAGAAGAGGCCAAAGTCTCCAAGGCTCATTCAAAACAATACACACAGACCGGGATCCAGAAGAGAATCGGCCTGAAGCTCCCTGGAGCTCCCTGGAGGGTTCCACCCCCCTTGCTCCAGCTCACCCAGAGTTCTACGATTCAAAACAGCTGGAAATGTGTGCCCTGCTCTCCCCAACAAGAAAACAGAACAGAACATGGCTGTTTCTGCCAAGCGAATTCTGAATAAGCTGCATTCCATTTCATTAAAACAATTACCTGAGCTCCAGCCAAGAATTACATAAAGCTTCCTCCCAGCATCACCCCCTCCCCCATAAAACACACATCATGCTGCTTTCAAATAGGCAGAGTGAAGCTCTGAGCCCTCGCTAGAAGACCTCATAGTCCTCGCCAAGTGGCCAGCCTCGGCATCTCTGCACGCTGACATAGATGACATGAGGCTGAAAGAAGACCTTGGCATGAAGCCCTCCCCTCATGAGAGCCTGCTGGCTGCCCGAAATGTTTCTAGTAGGCACCAGGGCCCTCACCTCTGCCTCAGAGCCAAGAGGGCCACTGGTGCCAGAATCCAGCTATTTCCCCAAAACAGACTGGAGGTCCAAGAGGGCCAGCTTTGAGTCAGCACAAACTAGACAGGAGGGACCAAGGGAGTGGGGATTCCAGGAGGGGGAGCCTGAAGGCTGGAAAACTGGATGGTCAGACTTGAGCTATAAGCAAAAGCCTGGGGACACTCAGCCATCACTGCCCACAGGTTAATGGTGTTCCACTGGCCACAGATAAGGGGTTCATGATGTGAGGCAAAAGACATCTCCTCCCCGCCCACAGGCCTCAAGCTGCCCAGAGACCGTTCCCTGAATTATGTAAAGCCTTGCTGTGGCTGGGCACCGTGGCTCACACCTGTAATCCCAGCACTTTGGGAGGCCAAGGCGGGCGGATCACCTGAGGTCAGGAGTTCGAGACCAGGCTGGCCAACATGGTGAAACCCCATCTCTACTAAAATTACAAAAATTAGTCAGGCGTGATGACGCACGCCCATAATCCTAGCTACTGCGGAGGCTGAGGCACAAGAATCACTTGAACCTGGGAGGCAGAGGTTGCAGTGAGCCAAGATCACACCATTGCACTCCAGCCTGGGTGACAGAGTAAGACTCCGTCTCAAAAAAAAAAAAAAAAGTCTTGCTCTGCATCCCATCAGCCTAGACAACCCATCTCAAACTCCAACCAGAGTTCGGCATCTCACATGCTTCAACCCTGGTCTGATTAATGTCATCATGCTCAAATAACTCATGAGGCTGCCTCCACACCTATGGACACACACTGTCTCTGGGCCTGTCTTTTTTCTGCACAGGTCACAGCACTGTGCTCCCCATTTCCCAGATGATAGTCAGCAGTCACTGTCACCTGAGGCCCCCCCAGCTACTGTCTCTGCTCACCCAGTCTTCCCACCACCTGCTCAATCACAGGAGACCAGCAGTCATTCAGGCCAACCATAGGCAGGCGCAGGCCAGCACCTAGGCCCAACAACTCCAAGCCCATCATGGAAAAGCAGGGTTTCCTTACTTTTCTCCAACTTTTCATTATAAAAATGTCTAAGCACACAGAGAAGTTGAGAGGCCCGGGTACTCTCACTTAGATTGAATGGCTGTCATTGTTTTACCACTTTGTGTAAACGCATGGCCCTTGTGCTCTCTGCCCTTTATGTGTATATCCTTTTTTTCATTATATCATTTAAAACTAAGTTGAGCTGGGTGCAGTGGCTCACACCTGTAATCTCAGCACTTTGGGAGGCCGAGGTGGGTGGATCACCTGAGGTCGGGAGTTTGAGACCAGCCTGACCAGCCTGACCAACATGGAGAAACCTGGTTTCTACTAAAAATAAAAAAATTAGCCAGGCGTGGTGGTGCATGCCTGTAATCCCAGCTACTCGGGAGACTGAGGCAGCAGAATCGCTTGAACCCAGGAGGCAGAGGTTGTAGTGAGCTGAGATGGTGCCACTGCACTCCAGCCTGGGCAACAAGAGCAAAACTCTGCCTCAAAACAAACAAACAAAAAAAAACAAATAAAACTAAGTTGAGGCCAGGTGGGGTAGCTCACACCTGTAATCCCAGCACTTTGGGAGGCTGAGGCAGGTGGATCACCTGAGGTCAGGAGTTGAAGACCAGCCTAAACAATATGGTGAAACCCCACCTCTACTAAAAATACAAAAATTAGCCGGGTGTGGTGGCATGCACCCATAGTCCCAGCTACTCAGGAGGCTGAGACAGGAGAATTGCTTAAGCCCAGGAGGCGGAGGTTGCAGTGAGCCAAGATCGCGCTGCTGCACTCCAGCCTGGGTGACAGGGCAAGACTCTGCCTCAAAAATAAAAAATGAAAAAATAAAAATAAGTTGCAAGACATCATGACACTTCACTCCTAAATACTTTAGCATGCACCTAACAATAACAATATTCTCCCATAAAACCACAATACCACAATCACACAAGAAATAAGCATTAAAAGTCCGTCTTTAAGGGAAGATTTGGCCACTGGGGTTCCACTGGGCCTGGCCAACCGCATGTTCTGTCTACCACTGGCCCAGCATCCAAGGCCTCCCTGGAGAGGCCAGCCCTGAGCACCACTGGTTAGGCAATCGGTTAGTTAGTTGGAAGACTTATCAGGGTATGAATGTACACTCAAGGCCAGATATGAGACTCCCAACAAGACCCAGACTGCAAAAGGCAGAGTGGACCCCGTGAGGCTGTCGATGGAGTCTCAGGGCCCATCCCAGGTGAGGAGGGCACCCTGAAGCCATTTCCATGACTTGCTTTGTGAACATTTCTGAGAAAACTCAGCTTCCTGATTCTCTCTTCCTCTCCCCCTCCCATAGGACATCCTTCATTCTCCACCATAAAGTTTTCAACAACTCCCTCCTCTGGATACGGGAAAGACAAGGAGCATGTTCGGGTGCAGCGGGGCTGGGGGCACAGGAAGGCTTCTGATTCCTGAGCAGAGGAGGTGGCAAGGGACCACAGGGGACCTGCCCCAGGTTCTCCTTGGCAGTGGTGCTGTAAGCTCACTGCTCTGTCTCAAGAGTAACAGGTGACTGGAGAGGTGACCAGGGAGGGAGGATTGGGGCCTCCCCTGGAACAGGAGACACTCCCCCCAGGACCCTGCATCCCATCCTGAGTGTGTGTCCCCAAGAAAGAACAAAAAGGCCGGGTGCAGTGGCTCACGCCTGTAATGCCAACACTTTGGGAGGCCGAGGCGGGTGGATCACCTGAAGTCGGGAGTTCGAGACCAGCCTGACCAACATGGAGAAACTCCGTCTCTACTAAAAATACAAAATTAGCTGGGCATGGTGGCTCATGCCCCCAGCTACTTGGGGGACTGAGGCAGGAGAATCGCTTGAACCTGGGAGGTGGAGGTTGTGGTGAGCCGAGATCATGCCATTGCCCTCCAGCCTGGGCAATAAGAGTGAAACTCAGGAAAAAAAAAAAAAAGAACAAAAGACAGACAAGAAGCTGCAGAGAACAGGGAAATGACAGATGTGGAAGACAACAGAGAATAGGGTGGGTGCAGAAAAATGTTAGTGTCCTAGAAACAGAAAACAGTCAAACCAATGGGCAACCCATATCAGATGCAGTATTATGAACAGAAGTGTAAAGAATGCACCAGGCACAATGGCTCATGCCTGTAATCCCAGCATTTTGGGAGGTTGATGCAGGCACATTGCTTGAGGCCAGGTGTTCAAGAACAGCCTGGGAAACATGGTGAAACCCTGTCTCCACAAAAAATTTCAAAAATTAGCGGGGCGTTACGGCATATGCCTGTAGTCCTAGCTACTCGGGAGGCTGAGGGAAGAGGAACACTTGGGCCTGGGAGGCAGAGGCTGCAGACCCTGTCTCCAAAAAAAAGTGTACAAAACAGTTGGCTGCAAGTCCCGCTCAGCAGCCAGACCACCTGGATTCAAATCCTAGCACTGCCATTCACTAGTTGTAGAACTTGGGCAAGTGGGCTCACCTCTCTGTGTCTCAGTTTCCTCACTTATAAAACAGGTAGTAGTAATACGACTACTAATAAAACCTGCCTCATATGGCCAGCTTGATTCAAGCAAACAATGCATGTAAAGTGCCCAGCACAGTGCCTGCACATAATAAGAGCTCAATAAATATTATGAGAAAAAGTTCTGTAAACACTGTAAAAAAGAAAAGTACCCCCTAGGCCAGAGTGCAGTGATGCGATCTCGGCTTACTGCAATCTCTGCCTCCCGGGTTCAAGCGATTCTCCTGCCTCAGCCTCCTGAGTAGCTGAGACTACAGGCACGCGCCACCACGCCCAGCTAATTTTTGTATTTTTAGTAGAGATTGGGTTTCACCACATTGGCCAGGCTGGTCTTGAACTCCTGACCTCAAAAGATGCACCCACTTCAGCCTCCCAAAGTGCTGGGATTACAGGTGTGAGCCACCATGCCCGGCAGATTTTGTTATTATTAATGAAGGCACTGAGACTAGGATGATCCCCGGAAAGGCTGCAATGAGGCTGGAAGTTTATTCAACATCTCTGGAGCGAGGTAAAGACGCAAGAGAAGCTTCAGAGTCAGATACTCCAAGCAGGATGACTAAATAGGAGAGGAGGGCTGCTCAGTGGCCCACCAATAACTCTGGCCTTCCATCAGCCTCTCCAGCCAAGGGTACACCCAGTCTCTTCAATGCATGACCATCACTAGGGAAGCTGGAAAAAAGGAATACTGAGATATTCCCTCAAAAGACCTTGAACCTATAGTGACAGGGCTTTGGGTTCCAGTAGGCTGAGCATTTCTCCATCAAGCTATGTCTGCCCAGGCAGCAGACAGCTTCACATATCAGAAAGTGTACCCGCTGAAGAATCAAACCCACCAAGGTTTGAATCCCAGCTCTGCCCCTTACTAGCACAAGCCCAGGAGAAGGTCTGGCACTGATGCAGAGCCCACCAGGAGGGCACTATCGCTGCATGGGTAAATGCCGCCTCTGCCACACGCCCAGCAGCTGGGTGCCCTGACTCTGCCCTAACACACAGAGGGACCACAGACAGGAAAGCCCAAAGTCCAGACTTTCCATGGAAACAGGGAGGCTCCATAGCTCCCAATGCCCCAGGCAACTCCTCTGCCCCCCTAGCACTACCCCCAAGGACAATGAGGCACTGTTTTCCAAAGGGTCAAGACTGCTGAGAAGCTGAAAGAAGACATGTCCAGATTCCAGCAGCAACTGGGCACTGCCAACAGCTGGCTGTTCCCCCTGCTAGAGGATGGGAAGGCAAAGCTACCCAGTCTTGCACTGGACACACCCTTTGCCATTTCCTGGGATGGGCCCCTAGGGCAGAGATTGTTAAAGGTAACTATCAATTACTCAGCAGGCCCCAAGGCTCATCCCCCTGGTTAGTCACCAGCACCTACCACCTTATGATGATTAAGATAACCGGATCTGGAATTGGATGAGCCTGGGTTCAAATCCCAGCACTACCACTAAACTTCCCTGAGCTCAGGTTTCCACATGTATAAAGTGGAGCGAAAACACCTCCCTTTCTGAAAGGTTGTGATACAGCTCGTAAAGTGCTGAGTACAGTGCCTGTCTCCCATGAAGCGCACATGATCATGATTAGACCACAGTTGTGGTCAAAGCCCCCACCAAGTACACTGAGAACATGAACAGAGGAAGAGCAAGCAATCGGGTTAGAAAACACAGTCAGAGTGCATCTCAGTGTTGTGGGAACTCTGTCCAGGAAACTCCGGCCAGAACTTGAACAGAGCGAACTCTGGGCCAAACCAGCATCTAAACAGTAATAAGAAAAGCCACCAAGCAGCCACCCCAAAGAACAAAGTGGAGAGAACACACAGGGAAGGGCAGAACACGCTGTGTTGATATTTTTCTGCTCAGAGAGCTATAAATTTGTAACTTATTAAGCAGCACATGGTGAGTCTGTCATTGGCAACTATGGGAAGGAGAAGAGTTCCCCATTTTTTATTAGACCAAAAAACAAAGTCACAGAGGAGGTGATGCACCCTCTGGCCTTGCTACCGGACACACCATAAACTCTCCCCTGTGTTAGGGACCAGGAGGCACACGGCTGAGAGCACGCTCAGGAGAAAAATAAAAACAAGAGGTCTGGGCTTTGTGTCCACCCTAAGGAAAACAGCTGAGCCACCCTAAGGAAAACAGCTGATGGCAGTGTGCTGAGCCGCCATCCAGACAGCTGACGGGGCCCCAGTGCAAAGGCAAATTCCTCTCCCCTCCTGCACACCCCATTCCTCCCACCCCAGGCTCCGGTCAGTCAGGCGTGGCTTGCCCCTTGGGAGCTCAGGCCAAGGAAGTCGGGCAGCCCGGATGTAAGCAACTGGGAGTCTATGGTAGAAAGCAGTAGAAGTTACAGGTGATCGCCATCACCCAGTGGCAACCCCTCCTTCAAGTGCCCTTGCCTCCTCCCCAGGAAAAAAAGTCTTCTCGGTATACAAGAGCCACAGATCTGGGAGCTAGGAATTGGGCTTCCAGTTATGGTTTTGTCATTTCATGGCTGTGCAGCCTTGGGCAAGAGAATCAGCCTCTCTTCGTCTCGGCTTTCTCAATCTGTAAAAAGGCAGGTGGTCATGACAGCATTGGCTTTAAGGTGGAATCTGATAAAAGGGTTGTTGTGAGGATATCACAAATCGAGGTAGAGGGAAGTACTCCACAAACAGCAATTTAAATCCCTACAATCCCCTCTCCCGTATACAGTACTCTCTTTCCTTTCAGAACTCAGTTTCCTGGCCCTAAATGGAAGACTGTCAGAAGACAGGAATTCCAGATTTCGATGGCGAGCTCTACAAAGACTTTCTCAGTCCTTGAAACAGCACGGGGACTGCCGAGAAGCAACAGAACTGCACCAGCACTTTAGAAACTGTAACTTTGCTCCCAGTTCCCACTGGGAAAGCACTCAGACTCTTAGATCCTGGTTCAAAGAACATCCCCCAGCCTCCTTCCAGCTGAGCTATTTTTATGTGAAAAAAAAAAATACCTGCCTGGAAGCCATGCCAACCTTGAGCACACTGGAAAAATGGGTGCCAAGCCTGACCCAAAGGCAGAACCACGCTTGGCAGCCATCTCACTCTGCAAAACAGGCAGGACCCTACACCAACCCCAGCTCCAGGATCTCAGGGGCACCCTGATCCCAAAAGGAAGCTGGAGGGAAGCAGTCAAGTCCAGCACCTACAAATAGCCAGTCTTAACTTAGTGCCCGGCGCTGCTTGGTAGAGGTCCATCAGTCCTGTCTGCTGAATCTACTCCTCAGAGCCTGGGACAGAGGAAGCATCAGTGGTCACACAAGCCACCCACAGTCCAGAGAGGAAAGACAAGGCTCCTGCAGAGAAGAAACGTTGCCCCCCTCCTCACCTCCCAAGCTCAGGGCCCTCCAGCTACAGGCGTGAAGGGGAGGGAGAGACAGCGAATCCTCCCACTCCTGCGTTCACGCCACCCAAGGCATTCCTAGAACCCTGGCACCAACCCCCTTGGGTTTAGAGTCGGCTTCCAGGAGATACTTTCTTTCCCCTAACACCAGATCAAGACTGGACTGAAAAGAGTAGCCTTGGGGCTCCAATAACAGGAAAACAGTAAAACTCTGTTCTGGGCATCCTGTCCTCTTTCACCTGCGTGGCTTCCAGCAGGGCCTGACGCAGAGAGGGTGGAGGGGACTCTGCTAGCCAGGACACGTTCAGGGATGGTCATACCTTGGGGCCCACCTTCCACCTCATTCCCCTGGCATTTCACCAGAATCTAGGGGTGGGGAGAGAATCAGGACTCCCAAATTACCGTTCTAGACTTAGATACCATGGTAGACGGACTGGTCTGTGAATTGAGGGGCTGGTCCACAGAGCGGGGAGGTCAGTGAGAGAAAATGAGTGATGGGTCCTTGAAACGGGGTGACCAGATTTGAAGTGGGGGGTCAGAAGAGCAGGCAGACTGGGAAACTTGTCTTTGAAATGGGGGTGTGGTCATCACACGCTCATCTCTAGCTTTTGCATCTGACTTGTGAAATGAAAGGGGTGGGCTCCGAGGGGTTATCCCTGAAGGGGGGTGCTAGTCTGTGAAGTGGGGGGCGGCCCTGGAGGGACGGGGAGCAGGTCGAGGAAATGAGGGAGCAGCCCATGAGATCGGGCAGCTGCTCCCCGAGTTGGGCGGTCGATCTGTGAGGTGGGGGTGGGGAGAGGTCTGCGAGGTGAGGGTCCCGTAGCTGACGAGGTGGTCTGCCGCAGGAAGTCTCGTCCCTGCAGCGGACGGGGTGGGTCCCTGAGGGGCGGGCTGGTCCCTGGGGCCCTTCTGGGAGATGGTGATGGGTCCCCGAGGTCGGGGGTCCAGAGGTGAAGCCGTCCCAGACGGGGGGTCGCTGCTGTGCGGTCGGTGCCGGGGCCGGCCTGGCCCGAGACTAAGGCCCGGTTAGGGATCCCAGCCCCGCGGAGCCCCGGCCGGCAGGGACAGGAGCTGAGGCCGGGGCCGCCGAGGGTGGGATCCCGCGGCCCCTGCCGCTCGCTGGCGCCCTCCTGGCCCCAAGCTGCGCGCCTCTCGCCTCCTCCTCCCTCGGCCTCCCGCTCACTCACCGAGGTCGTCCATGGCCGGACCACGGGCGCCGGCTCAGGGTCGCGCTAGCTGCCCGTCCCGGGGCCGCTCGTCTATGCCCCGCAACTTTTCCGCCGCGAGCCTCGGCCCGGAACGGAACGCGCCGCCGCCGCGCGCGCCCGCGCCCGCGCCCGCCGCGCGCCCCGCCCCCGGCCGCCCCCTGTGCACGCGCGCCCCGCCCCCGGACACCCCCGCGAGCTTGCTGGCCCCGCCCCCTGCGCACGCTGGTCCCGCCCCCGCCAAGAGCCCGGGCAGTGGGCGTCGCTGGGCGGGGCGGTGGCGCCCCCTCGCGGCTAAGCGGGCAGGTGGGCGGCTCCCAGGCCTCCAGCCACTCCCATCCATCTTTCTGTCCCTCTCAAAGTCACTTGCCTGACCCTGCGGATGACAAATCCGTCCACAGTCAGCCATGTGTCTGTGCATTCGTCAGCCACTGGGTCATCACATGCCTGTCCACTGGACAGTCAGTTTTGCCCACCTGTCCGTCTGTCACCTGTAGGTCACCACCCAGGAGGACCATAAATCAGTACCAGGCAAGGCCCGGAGCCCGTGGCTGACCTTTCCTGGGGTCGTCCTCTGGATCAATGGCAGTGCAGCTCGCAGTTCACCCTTTCTGGCCCAAACCCAATACCTGTGTGGTTCCATCTCTCTTAATATTACTTCCACACAGCCACCCTCCCTAGACACTTTTCCAAAACTGCATGGGGCAGAGGGGTCCCCAGATTAGACATTAAAGGGAAAACTACAGGAAAGTCACACCCAGTGCTCCCACACACTCGGAAATTGGGTAATAATAACAACTACCATTTATTGAGTGTCTGAATAGACAGACACTATATAGCTATTCTCTAAATTAATCCTCCTAGAGGTACTTCCCTACCCGTTGGGATGGGTGATGGCAGTTTGTGGATTTTATATAAAACTGCTCTGCAAGTACAGCTTCGAGTTCCCCTTGTCCCTCAAGAATCCAGGCCTTCTGGGTCAGATCAGGTCCTCCAGAAAGCAGATGAGATGCTGAGATAAAGCTAGGGGTAATGCCCGTGACAGAGAAGGGGAAATAAGCAGGGTTGGGCAAGGAGACTCAGATCTGACAAACAGGTCAACCCATCAGGGAATTCCAGGACAAAAAAAATGAGAAGTCTCCTTGGGCAGAAGTATCCGGGTTCCAATGCTCCCACCATGTTCAGTCATTTTATAAAGGCAGATCCAAGCAGCTTCTGTGGCTGCCACATTCTCCTATAATAAATTCAAGACCAAAGACTGTTCCTCAAACACTCTATTGCGTGGTTTTCCAGCATCTTGCACATACCTCTATTTTGTTTTAGTTTTTGTGTTTTTGTTTTTGTTTGAGATGGAGTCCCAATCTGTCGCCCAGGTTGGAGTGCAGTGGTGCAATCTCAGCTCACTGCAACCTCCGCCTCCCAGGTTCAAGTGATTCTCCTGCCTCCTGCTGGGATTACAGGCGCATACCACCATGCCTGGCTAATTTTTGTATTTTTAGTAGAGATGGGGTTTCACCATGTTGGCCAGGCTGGTCTTGAACTCCTGATCTCAGGTGATCTCCTGCCTCCTGGTGGGATTACAGGCGTGTACTACCATGCCTGGCTAATTTTTGTATTTTTAGTAGAGACAGGGTTTCACCATGTTGGCCAGGCTGGTCTTGAACTCCTGACTTCAGGTGATCCGCCCCCCTCAGCCTCCCAAAGTGCTGGGATTACAGGTGTGAGCCACCACGCCCAGCCTGTTTTTGTGTTTTTAAGACACAGTCTTGCTTTGTTGCGTAGGCTGGGATGATGAATAAGACTAACATGATGTCTACCTTCTTGAATCTAAAGGTGCACGCAAAAGAGCAAAGTGGTTAGCATGAAGGATGAGTAGCCTCGCCCCACTCCCAGCTGTGTGGAACAGCATGTGCAAAGGTCTGTAGACAAGACATTTAATACTGACCACAAGCCTAGGAGATGAGCATTGTTAGCCCCTTTTACAGCTGGAAGAGTTGAGAGTCAGAGGTTGAATTACTCCAGGTCATACAGCTAATAAGTAAGGAAACTGAGATTTGAACCTGGGGAGGCTTATGCCAAGGCCTGGTTATGAAACGGCTAAGTGAAACTGCTAACAACTTAGACCAACCCCAGGGCATACGCTTGTCCACTTCTCCAAAGGTCTAAAACCTTTCTTTTTCAAAGCTGTGTGGTCTGGAAATGCGAGGCACCCATTGAATGGGCAAGTTTCCCATTGCTATGCAGAGTTCTAAAGAGAACTGAAGCTTCAGAGTTGAGTGCTGGTGCACTCGAACACTCAGGTCCCTGCCAGGGATTTCCTCATGTAAATCATTCCTAAACCCCCATTTCCTCCCTGGCTTCCTTCTTCCCTTGGACTCTCACCCCACAGCAATTAAACTTGGTGTCTAGTTCAGGCTGCTACAACAAAATACTGTAGACCGAGTGACTTATAAACAACAGAAATTATTTTTTCACAGTTTTGGAGGCTGAAAGTTCAAGATCAGGGTGCCAGCACAGTCAGGTTCTGGTGAGGGCCCTCTTCTGGGTTGCAGACTGTTGACTTTTTGTACCCTCACACGGCTCAAAGAGGGTCCCTTTAATAAAGGCACTAACTAATCTCTTTCATGAGGGCCCTGCCCTCATGACCTAATCACCTGTCAGGCCTCACCTCCTAACACTATCGAATTGAGATTAGATTTCAACATATGAATTTTCAAGGATATGAACATTCAGTCCCTTGCATTTGATAAAATCAATCAGGTTTTTTCATTCTTCCTAAAGATTAAACGACATTGACAGAGCAGATGGACAACCCTGCTGACTTCTTGCTAGTGGTTCATCTTGGGCAATTTACTCTGTGCCTCAGTTTCTTCCCCTATAGAAAGGTTAATAGTAGCTACCTCTCAGAGTCCTCATAGGACTAAATAAGAAACGACACACCTAGTACTTAGAATGGTCCTTGTCACCACAAAATAACACTCTTCACTCAGCAATAGAAACAGAACTCGACCAGGCTCACACCTGTAATCCCAGCACTTTGGAAGGCCAAGGCGGGCGGATCACTTGAGGTCAGGAGTTCGAGACCAGCCTGGCCGACATGGCGAAACACCATCTCTACTAAAAATATATAAATTAGCTGGGCATAGTGGTGTGCACCGGTAATTCCAGCTGCTCAGGAGGCTGAGGCAGGAGAATCACCTGAACCCAGGAGACGGAGGTTGCAGTGAGTCGAGACTGTGCCACTGCACTCCTGCCTGCGCGACAGAGTGAGACTCTGTCAAAAAAAAAAACAAAGAAAGAAAGAAGGAAGGAAGGAAGAAAGGAAGGAAGGAAGGATGGAAGGAAGGAAGGAAGGAAAGAAAGAGAGAGAAAAGAAACAGAATGCAAGCCGGATATGCAATCAAAACTTTTCTTTTTTTTCTTTCTTTTTTTTGAGACAGAGTCTCACTCTGTCGCCCAGGGTGGAGTGCAGCGGCATGATCTCAGCTCACTGCAACCTCTGCCTCCCGGGTTCAAGTGATTCTCCTGCCTCAGCCTCCTGAGTAGCTAGGATTACAGGCACCCGCTATCACACCCGACTAATTTTTGTTTTTGTTTTTTTTTTTTTTTTTGAGACGGAGTCTTGCTCTGTCGCCCAGGCTGGAGTGCGGTGGCGCGATCTCGGCTCACTGCACGCTCTGCCTCCCAGGTTCATGCCATTCTCCTGCCTCAGCCTCCCAAGTAGCTGGGACTACAGGCGCCCGCCACCACGCCCAGCTAATTTTTTCTATTTTTAGTAGAGACGGGGTTTCACCGTGTTAGCTAGGATGGTCTCGATCTCCTGACCTCGTGATCCGCCCATCTCGGCCTCTCAAAGTGCTGGGATTACAGGCGTGAGCCACCGCGCCTGGCCAATTTTTGCATTTCTTTAAGTAGAGATGGGGTTTCACCATGTGGGCCAGGCTGGTCTTGAACTCCTGACCTCAGGTGATCCCACCTGCCTCACCTCCCAAAGTGCTGGGATTGCATGTGTGAGCCGCCGCGCCCGGCCCAATCAAAACTTTTTTAGCCAAGTGCAATGGCATATGCCTGTAGTCCCACCTACATGGGATACTGAGGCAGGAGGATTGCTTGAGTTTAGGAGTTTGAGTCCAAACTGGGAAACTAGCAAGACCTCCTCTCTAAAAAATATCTTTAAAAAAATAAAAGAAACAGGCCAGGCACGGTGGCTCATGCCTGTAATCCCAGCACTTTGGGAGGCCAAGATGGGTGGATTACCTCAGGTCAAGAGTTTGAGACCAGCCTGACCAACATGGTGAAACCCCATCTCTACTAAATATACAAAATTAGCTAGGTGTGGTGGCACATGCCTGTAATCCCAGCTACTTGGGAGGCTGAGTCAGGAGAATCGCTTGAACCCGGGAGGCGGAAGTTGCAGTGGGCCAAGATCCAGCCTGGCTTACAAGAGCAGAACTCCATCTCAAAAAATAAAAAATAAAAAAATATATGGCCGGGCACGGCGGCTCATGCCTGTAATCCCAGCACTTTAGGAGGCCGAGGTGAGCAAACAACCTGAGGTCAGGAGTTCAAGACCAGCCTGGCTAACAGCCTGGTCTACTAAAAACACAAAAATTAGCCGGGCATGGTGGTGGGCACCTATAATCTCAGCTACTCCAGAGGCTGAGGCAGGAGAATCGCTTGAACCTGGGAGGTGGAGTTTGCAGTGAGCCAAGATCACACCACTGCACTCCAGCCTGGGGGACAGAGTGAGACTCCATCTCAAAATAAATAAATAAAATAGATAAAATTAATGTTAATAATATATTTTATTTAATTCAATATATCCTCAGTGTTGGCTGGGCATGGTGGCTCACACCTGTAATCCCAGCACTTTGGGAGGCCAAGGCGGGAGGATCACAAGGTCAGGAGATCAAGACCATCCTGGCCATGGTGAAACCCCATCTCTACTAAAAATACAAAAATTAGCTGGTGGCACGTGCCTGTAATCCCAGCTACTCGGGAGGCTGAGGCAGGAGACTCACTTGAACCAGGGAGTCAGAGGTTGCAGTGAGCTGAGATCCCACCACTGCACTCTAGCCTGGCGACAGAGCAAGATTCTGTCTCAAAAAAAAAAAAAAAAATCCTAAATGTTATCATTTCAACTTGTAATCAATATAACAAAATATCAGTGAGATATCTTACTCTTTTTTGTATGAAGTCTTCAAGATCCAATGTGTATTTTACACTTACAGCACATCTCAATCCAAATAGCCACATTTCTTTTCTTTTCTTTTTTTTTTTTTTGAGACAGGGTCTCACTCTGTTGTCCATGCCGGAGTAGAGTGGTGAGACTGAGGCTCACTGCAGCCTCAATCTCCCAGGCTTAAGTGATCCTCCCATCTCTGTCTCCTGGGTAACTGGGACTACAGGCACATGTCACCGCACCTGGCTAATATTTTTTATTTTTAGTAGAGATGAGATTTTGCCATGTTGCCCAGGCTGGTCTTGAACTCCTGGGCTCAAGCCATCTGCCCACCTCTACCTCCCAAAGTGTTGGGATTACAGTCATGAGCCACTGCATCCGGCCCAGCTAGCCACATTTTAAGTACTCAGTAGTCACATGTGGCTAGCGGCTACTGCATTGAACGGTACAGTTTTAAATGTCAGCTGTCATCATTATTTTGGTTTTTGTTTTTTTTTTTGAGATGGAGTCTCGCTCTGTCACCCAGGCTGTAGTGCAATGGCACAATCTCGGCCCACTGCAACCTCTGCCTCCAGGGTTCAAGCAATTCTCCTGCCTCAGCCTCCCGAGTAGCTGGGATTACTGGCGCGCGCCACTACACCTGGCTAATTTTTGTATTTTTAGTAGAGACGGGGTTTCACCATGTTGGCCAGGGTGGTCTCCAATGCCTGACCTCGTGATCCGCCCACCTCGGCCTCCCAAAGTGCTGGGATTACCGGAATGAGCCACTACGCCTGGCCTATTTTGGGGGTTTTAACCTAAAAATCATTTCCTCAGAAAACTGTTCCCTGACCTGCTGAACTATGTCAGCCCTGTTATTAAAATCTTTTTTTGGGACAGGCGTGGTGGCTCACACCTGCAATCAGCACTTTGGGAGGCCAAGGCAGATGAATCACCTGAGGTCAGGAGATCAAGACCAGCCTGGCCAATATGGTGAAACTCCCCCGTCTCTACTAAAAATACAAAAATTAGCCAGGTGTGGTGGCACACACCTGTAATCCCAGCTACTCGGGAGGCTGAGGGAGGAGAATCACTCAAACCCAGGAGGTGGAGGTTGCAGTGAGCTGAGATCGCACCATTGCACTCCAGCCTGGGCAACAGAACAAGACTCCGTCTCAAAAAATAAAAATAAAAATAAATAAAATCTTTTTTTTAGCATTCTAGAAGCACTCATCATGATTATAATTAAATAATTTCTGGCCGGGCACGGTGGCTCATGCCTGTAATCCCAGCACTTTGGGAGGCTGAGGCGGGTGGATCACGAGGTCAGGAGATCGAGACCATCCTGGCTAACATGGTGAAACCCCATCTCTACTAAAAATATATAAAAAAAAAAAATTAGCCAGGTGTGGTGGCGGGCGTCTGTAGTCCCAGCTACTCAGGAGGCTGAGGCAGGAGAATGGCATGAACCCAGGAGGCAGAGCTTGCAGTGAGCCGAGATCATGCCACTGCACTCCAGCCTGGGTGACAGAGTGAGACTCCTCTCAAAAAAATAAAAAATAAAATAATAATAATAATAATAATAATAATTCCGGCCAGGCACAGTGGCTCATGCCTGTAATCCCAGCATTTTGGGAGGCTGAGGTGGGCAGATCACGAGGTCAAGAGTTAGAGACCATCCTGGACAACATGGTGAAACCCCGTTTCTACTAAAAATACAAAAATTAGCTGGGCGTGGTGGCGCATGCCTGCAGTCCCAGCTACTCGGGAGGCTGAGGCAGGAGAATGGCGTGAACCCGGGAAGTGGAGCTTGCAGTGAGCCGAGATTGCGCCACTGCACTCCAGCCTGGTGACAGAGCGAGACTCTGTCTCAAAAATAGTAATAATAATCATTCCTATTAACTTGTTATTTGTGTTTGTCTCCTACTAGACTGTAGGCTTCAGAAAGGTGGAGACCATTTGCTCATTGTTCTATCCCAGTGCTGGCATACAACAGGTGCTCAATAAAGATGTGTTGGGTGAATAACATTTATTAAGCACACACTTAATGAATTAGCCTTAGCACTGCATTAACTAAAGTTGGGAAGAAAGAGGTTAAGAGAAAAAAAGCAGCCGGGCATGGTGGCTCACACATGTAATTCCAGCACTTTGGGAGGCCAAGGTGGGTGGATCACCTGAGGTCAGGAGTTCAACACCAGCCTGGCCAACATGGCGAAACCCCGTCTCTACTAAAAATACAAAAATTACCGGCCAGGCGCGGTGGCTCACGCGGCTCCTAGCACTTTGGGAGGCTGAGGCAGGTGGATCACCTGAGGTCCGCAGTTCGAGACCAGCCTGACCAACATGGAGAAACCCCATCTCTACTAAAAATACAAAATTAGCCGGGCGTGGTGGCGCATGCCTGTAATCCCAGCTACTCGGGAGGCTGAGGCAGGAGAATGGCTTGAACCCGGGAGGCGGAGGTTGCTATGAGCCGAGATTGCGCCATTGCACTCCAGCCTGGGCAAAAAGAGCGAAACTCTGTCTCAAAAAAAAAGAAAAAAAAAATTACCTGGGCATGGTGGCACATGCCTGTCATCCCAGCTACTAGGGGAGCTGAGGCAGGAGGATCGTTTGAACCTGGGAGGCTTGCAGTGAGCCAAGATCGTGCCACTGCACTCCAGCCTGGGCAACAGAGTGAGACTCTGTCTCAAAAAAAAAAAAAAAAAGAGAGAGAGAGAATAAAAGCAGATCTAGAAGAGTCAGTTCCAGAGCTTATAATATACGTGTGGACATTTTCTTTACAAAACCAATAGTTGGTCATTGTGGGAAAACGTCTCAAAAACTCGAATAAATGGACAAGCACAGTGGCTCACACCTGTAATCCTAGCACTTGGGAGGCTGAGGCAGGAGGATCACTTGAGCTCAGGAGTTCCAGACCAGCCTGGGCAACATAGTAAGACCTCTTCTTTATTTTTATTTTATTTTTTATTGGATTTCCTTTCAGATTCAGACCTACAGATATCTTTTAAAATAAAAAACTTATTTTAAAATGAATAAACTAAGATGAAAATTAAAATTATCCATAATCCAAAACTAAAAGAATGACCAGTTGTAGATTTTCCAGAGCGTTCTTTTACACACAAAAAACATACACATATATGTTTTTAGATATAAAACATTAAATATATATTTGAATATTTTTGCACACTGTTTTGAAACTTGGTTTTCTCATTTACCCATTTATCACTACTTTGTTTTTTGTTTGGGGTTTTTTTTTTTTTTTTTTGGGATAGGGTCTCCCTCTGTCACCCAGAGCTGGAGTACAGTGGTGCAAACACGGCTTACTGCAGCCTCGACCTCCCAGGCTCAAGTGACCCTCCCACCTCAGCCTCCTGAGTAGCTGGGACTACAGGTGTGCACCACCACATCTAGTTATTTTTTTTAATTTTTTGTAGAGCTGGGGGCCTCCCTATGTTGTCCAGCCTGTTCTTGAACTCCTAGGCTCAATCAGTCCTCCAGTCTTGGCCTCCCAAAGAGGTAGAATTACAAGCATGAGCCACTGTGGCCAGTCCAGTGTGATCATCTTTTCATGGCATTTAACATTCTTCTGAAACATCAATTCCTTGGGTAAAACAGCATTGCATCATATAATTGTACCAGGATTTACTTAGCCAATCTCCTGATAAAATTTAGTTAGTTACAAATTTTCACTATAATCAGCAATGCTAGGACAACATCCTTATAGTTAAATCTCGGAACACTTCCTTAATGATTTCCTGCAGATCAGTTCTTAAGGAGTGGAAGTGTGAGGTTAAGTGTCGCGTTAGTCCGTTTACTATGTGTTGACAAAGTGTGGTCTATAACTGCTGTATCTAGATAAATATATCATGTATATTTCATGAGTACTGAGTTGACATGCAACACTGTAGGGTGGTCCCAGGCATAATTCTCCCAAATGTAGTGTGACTAACTGCCACTGGTGGAATGAGAGGTTGTAGCTAGTACAAAGATTTATTATTTTATTTGTATTTTTTGCAGACACAGAGAGGTCTCACTTTGTTGCCCAACTGGTCTCAAACTCCTGGGCTCAAGGAATCCTCCCACCTCGACCTCCCAAAGTGCTGGGATTACACACATGAGCCACCATGCCCAGCTCAGTTTTTTTTTTTTCTTCTTTTCAAGACAGAGTCTCGCTCTGTCGCCCAGGCTAGAGTGCAGTGGCGCGATCTCGGCTCACCGCAAGCTCCACCCCCCGGGTTCACGCCATTCTCCTGTCTCAGCCTCCCGAGTAGCTGGGACTACAGGCGCCTGCCACCACGCCTGGCTAATTTTTTGTATTTTCAGTAGAGACGGGGTTTCACCGTGTTAGCCAGTATGGTCTCGATCTCCTGACCTCGTGATCTGCCCGCCTCGGCCTCCCAAAGTGCTAGGATTACAGGCGTGAGCCACCGCGCCCGGCCAGATTCCTTATTTTAATAGTTACATATTTATGTGTTAGAAAATTATCTAATTAGCACATAAAACCTGTGATGGCTCCAATATTATTTATTTATTTATTTTATTTATTTTAATTTTTGAGACGGAATCTCGCTTTGTCACCAGGCTGGAGTGCGGTGGCACAATCTTGGCTTACTGCAACCTCCGCCTCCCGGGTTCAAGTGATTCTCCTGCCTCAGCCTCCCGAGTAGCTGCGACTACAGGCACCCACCACCATGCCTGGCTAGCTTTTGTATTTTTAGTAGAGATGGGGTTTCACCATGTTGGCCAGGATGGTCTCGATCTCTTGACTTCATAATCCACCTCCCTCGGCTTCCCAATGTGCTGGGATTACAGGCATGAGCCACCGCGCCTGGCCCAGCTCCAATATTATTGTTTAGGATAAAGATAAGGTTTTTTTGTTTGTTTGTTTGTTTTAAAGTGGGTCCACTTAAAGAAAACTATGTAGGGACGGGCACAGTGGCTCACGCCCATAATCCCAGCATTGTGAGAGTCTGAGGGCTGAGGAGGGTGGATCACCTGCGGTCAGGAGTTCAAGACCAGCCTAGCCAACATGGCAAAACGCCATCTCTATTAAAAATACAAAAATTAGCCAGTGTGGTGGTGCAGGCCCCGTAGTCCCAGCTACTTAGGAGGCTGACGTGGGAGGATCACTTGAGCCTGGGAGGCGGATGTTGCAGTGAACCGAGATTATGCCACTGCACTCCAGCCTGGGCGACACAGCAAGACTTCATCTCAAAAAAAAAAAAGAAGATTTGAGCTAGAATTCCAGTTTTCCTCAGTTCCCATTTGGGGATCCTGGGAGAGTCTCTCAGCCTCAGTTTTCTCATCTGTGAGATGGGGATATTGAGAATTCTTCTCCATATGGCATGCCTGCCTGGAAGGGCTTATAAACAAAGAATTGTGTCTGGGCATGGTGGTTCATGCCTATAATCCCAATACTTAGGGAAGCCGAGGTGGGCAGATCACTTGAGGTCAGGAGTTCGAGACCAGCCTGGCCATCATGGTGAAACCCCGTCCCTACTAAAAACACAAAAATTAACTGGGTGTGGTGGCGTGCACCTGTAATTCCAGCTACTTGGGAGGCTGAGGCAGGTAGAATCACTTGAACTCAGGAGACAGAGGTTGCAGTAAGCTGAGACTGGGCCACTGCACTCCAGCCTGGGCAACAGAGTGAGACTCCCATCTCAAAAAAAAAAAAAAAAAAAAAAAAGTTAAAGAAAACAAAGAATTATAAGGTCAAAAAGGATCTCAAGAGATTCTTCAACCTTTTCTCAGGTGAAGGGGGCTGGATTTCCACCTTCATCCTCCTCTCTATCACCTAAGGACCCCATATGTTGACCGGGTGTCCACCTGGAAGTCATCCTCTGTTCCTCCCCGTCCTCGCTTTCCACACCCAGTTCTGCCTGTCCATCTGCAAAGTGTAGCCCAATTCCCACCCCCACCCCCTCATTTTCACCTCTGCAATTATATCTCTAGGTGCAGCCACGCACTACCCTCTCTTGCCTGGGATTACTGCATGAACCTCCAAACTGGACCTCTATTGTCAATTTTCTACCCAGAAGCCAATAAGCCAATGTTATCTTTTTAAAAAAATTTTTTTGAGATGGAGTCTTGCTGTATCACCCAGGCTGGAATGCAATGGCGCAATCTTGACTCACTGCAACCATCACCTCCCAGGTTCAAGCCATTCTCCTGCTTCAGCCTCCCAAGTAGCTGGGACTACAGGCACGCTATCACGCCCGGCTAATTTTTCTTATTTTTAGTAGAGACAGGGTTTTGCCATGTTGCCCAGGCTGGTTCTGAACTCCTAACCTTGGGTGATCCACCCCCCTCGGCCTCCCAAAGTGCTGGGATTACAGGCGTGAGCCACGGCACCAGCCTAATGTTATTTTATTTTATTTTATTTATTTATTTATTTCGAGACGGAGTCTCACTCTGTCGTCCAGGCTGGAGTGCAGTGGTATGATCTCGGCTCACTGCAACCTCCGCCTCCCAGGTTCAAGTGATTCTCCTGCCTCAGCCTACTGGGTAGCTGTGATTACAGTCACACGACACAACACCTGGATAATTTTTTGTATTTTTAGTAGAGACAGTGTCTCACCATGTTGGCCAGTCTGGTCTTGAACTCCTGACCTCTGGAGATCCGCCCCCCTCGGCCTCCCAAAGTGCTGGGATTACAGGCGTGAGTACCCGGCAATGTTATGGTTTTTTTGTTTTTTTTTTTTAGTATTTATTGATCATTCTTGGGTGTTTCCCAGAGAGGGGGAAGTGGCAGGGTCATAGGATAATAGTGGAGAGAAGGTCAGCAGATAAACACGTGAACAAAGGTCTCTGGTTTTCCTAGGCAGAGGTCCCTGCGGCCTTCGGCCTTCAGCAGTGTTTGTGTCCCTGGGTACTTGAGATTAGGGAGTGGTGATGACTCTTAAGGAGCATGCTGCCTTCAAGCATCTGTTTAACAAAGCACATCTTGCACCGCCCTTAATGCATTTAACCCTGAGTTGACACAGCACATGTTTCAGAGAGTACGGGGTTGGGGGTAAGGTTATAGATTAACAGCATCCCAAGGCAGAAGAATTTTTCTTAGTACAGAACAAAATGGTGTCTCCTATGTCTGCTTCTTTCTACACAGACACAGTAACAATCTGATCTCTCTTTCTTTTCCCCACATTTCCCCCTTTTCTTTTCGACAAAACCGCCATCGTCATCATGGCCCTTTCTCGATGGTCGCTGTCTCTTCGGAGCTGTTGGGTACACTTCCCAGGCGGGGCGGCCTGGCAGAGGCGCTCCTCACCTCCCAGAAGGGGTGGTGGCTGGGCAGAGGCGCCCCTCACATCCCAGACGATGGGCAGCCGGGCAGAGGCGCCCCCCACCTCCCTGATGGGGCAGCCGGGCAGAAACGCCCCCCACCTCCCAGACGGGGTGTCCGGGCAGAGGCGCCCCCCACCTCCCAGATGAAGGGCGGCCAGGCAGAGGTGCTCCCCACCTCCCAGACGGGGGAGCCGGGCAGAGACGCCCCTCACCTCCCAGACGGGGTGGCTGGGCAGAGGCGCCCACTTCACAGACGGGGCGGCCGGGTAGAGGCACTCCTCCCAGATGGGGTGGCGGCCGGGCAGAGGTGCTCCTCACATCCCAGACAGGGTGGCGGCCAGGCAGAGGCGCTCCTCACCTCCCAGACGGGGTGGTGGCCGGGCAGAAGCGCTCCTCACCTCCCAGACGGGGTGGCGGCAGGGCAGAGGCGCTCCTCGCCTCCCAGACAGGGTGGCAGCCGGGCAGAGGGGCTCCTCGCTTCCCAGACGGGGCGGCCAGGCAGAGGTGCTCCTCGCTTCCCAGACGGGGCGGCCGGGCAGAGGCTGTAATCTTAGCACTTTGGGAGGCCAAGGCAGGCGGCTGGAAGGTGGAGGTTGCAGCGAGCCGAGATCACGCCACTGCATTCCAGCCTGGGCAACACTGAGCACTGAGTGACCGAGACTCCGTCTGCAATCCCAGTACCCCAGGAGGCCGAGGCGGGCAGACCACTCGAGGTCAGGAGCCAGAGACCAGCCCAGTCAACAGGGCGAAACCGTGTCTCCTCCAAATATACAAAAACCAGTCAGGCGTGGCGGCGCGTGCCCGCAATCCCAGGCACTCGGCAGGCCAAGGCAGGAGAACCAGGGGAGCCCGGGGCAGGGAGGCTGCAGCGAGCCGAGACCACGGCAGTACAGTCCAGCCTTGGCAACAGAAGGAGACCGAAGAAAGAAAGAGGGAGCGGGTGAGGGGGAGGGGGAGGGGGATGGGGGAGGGGGAGGGAGCTGTTATGTTTTTTTTTTAAAAATCAACTTTATTGGGCTAAGTGCAGTGGCTCATGCCTGTAATCCTAGCACTTTGGGATCTTGACATAGCTGATCTCAGATCTTGGCATAGCTGTTCACGTGCCACCTCTGTGGGTCCTGAACATTTTATCTAAAGTCTCCCCGTACCCCACCAAATCAGACTCCTTACCCTGGTATTTGTTGAGGTTCACCTTCTGCCATTATATTCTGCGTTTATTTGTGTACTTGTTTATTATTTGTCTCTGCCTCCCCCATTAAAATGTCAGGGCTATGAGAACAGGGACTATGTCTGTCTTGTTTGCTGCTTGTTCACCAGCATCTGGAATGGTAGGTTTGAGTAACTATTTTTGAACGAATGAAAGACTGGCAACATGGAGATGCCAGGAGATGAGTGAGCTGGGCTGCATAATTAGTTGTAGCATCAGGATGAAAACCCCAATCTCCTGGCCCCCAGCCCAAACCTCTCTCCTCCTTCTCAGGCCATTCACAGATCTTCCCAGGACTGACACACAAGACAGTACAGGGGTCTTAACTGCAGTGGTTTTTTTTTTTTTTTTTTTTTTTTTTTTGAGACGGACTCTCCTCTGTCGCCCAGGCTAGAGTGCAGTAGCGCGATCTCAGCTCACTGCAAGCTCCACCCCTCGAGTTCACACCATTCTCCTGTCTCAGCCTCCCGAGTAGCTGGGACTACAGGCGCCCACCACCATTCCCGGCTAATTTTTTTTTTGTATTTTTAGTAGAGACGGGGTTTCACCGTGTTAGCCAGGATGGTCTCAATCTTCTGACCTCGTGATCTGCCCGTCTCAGCCTCCCAAAGTGCTGGGATTACAGGCATGAGCCACCATGCCCGGCCCGTTTTTTTGTTTGTTTGTTTGTTTTCCCCAAGATGGAGTCTTGCTCTGTTGCCCAGAGCTGGAGTGCAATGGCACAATCTCGGCTCACTGCAACCTCCGCCTCCTAGGTTCAAGCAATTCTCCTGCCTCAGCATCCCGAGTAGCTGGGATTACAGGCGTGAGCCACCACACCCGGGTAATTTTTGTATTTTTAGTAGAGATGGGGTTTCACCAAGTTGGCCAGGCTGGTATCGAACTCCTGACCTCGTGATCCACCTGCCTCGGACTCCCAAAATGTTGAGATTACAGGCGTGAGCCACCATGCCCAGCCGCAGTGCTGTTTTTAAGAGCAAGAGACTGGAAACAACTCAAATGTCCATCAATAGGGGGCTGTTTAATTAAATCACATACAGTTCTACAACGGAAAATTATGTAGCCACAGAAAAGATCCCAGGAAGCTCAAATGTACTGAAACGAAACAGCTTCCAAGATCTGAAAACATAACACTGAACGATGTAGGTAACGTGTGTATCATTTGTGGGAAAAAGTGGGATACAATATGATTATAAGATACTTATACAGGCCGGCGCGGTGGCTCACGTCTGTAATCCCAGCACTTTGGGAGGCCAAGGCAGGCGGATCACAAGGTCAGCAGGTCGAGACCAGCCTGGCCAATTTGGTGAAACCCCATCTCTACTAAAAATACAAAAATTAGCCAGGCGTGGTGGCTTACGCCTGTAATCCCAGCTACTCGGGAGGCTGAGGCAGGAGAATCACTTGAACCCGGAGGGGGAGGTTGTGTTGAGCAGAGATTGAGCCATTGCACTCTAGCCTGGGCAACAAGAGTGAAACTCCGTCTCAAAAAAAAAAAAAAAAGGTACTTATACAAGGCTGGGTGCAGTGGCTCACGCCTGTAATCCCAACACTTTGGGAGGTCAGGGAAGGTGGACTGCTTGAGCCCAGGAGTTCCAGACCAACCTGGGCAACATGGTGAAACCCCATCTCTAAAAAAATACGAAAAAAGTTAGTCGGGCATGGTGGTGGGCGCCTGTAGTCCCAGCTGCTCAGGAGACTGAGGTAGGAGGATCACTTGAGCCCAGGAGGTGAAGAATGCAGTGTGCCACTATACTCCAGACTGGAGGACAGAGTGAGGCTGTGTCTAAAAAAAAAAAAAAAAAAAAAAGATAAAAAAGATACTTATACAAATTAAATTGAAACAACTCTGGAAGAATGCACACTACCAATGTTAACTGGCTAGGGTTGGGGCTGGAGGAATGGGGTGGCTGGGAATCAAGAGTAGAAAGGAGATTTCACTAAGTACTCTTTTGCATAGTTTGAATTTTTTTTTTTAGGGGCGGAGTCTTGCTCTATTTCCAGGCTGCAGTCCAATGGCACGATCTCGGCTCACTACAACCTCCGCCTGCTGGGTTCAAGCGATTCTCCTGCCTCAGCCTCCTGAGTAGCTGGGATTACAGATGCATGCCACCGTGCCCAGCTAATTTTTTGTATCTTTAGTAGAGATGGGGTCTCACCATGTTGGCCAGGCTGGTCTTGAACTCCTGACCTCGTGTAATCTGCCTGCCTTGGCCACCCAAAGTGCTGGGATTACAGGTGTGAGCCATTGAGCTCGGCCCACATATGTAACTTAATCTATTGCTAAAACAAATTAATATTTTACAAAAATAGGCCAGGCACAGTGGCTCACACCTGTAATCCCAGCATTTTGGGAGGCCGAGGCGGGCGGATCACGAGGTCAAGAGTTCTAGACCAGCCTGGCCAACATGGTGAAACCCCGTCTCTACTAAGAATACAAAAATTAGCCAGGCATGGTGGTATGCCTGTAATCCCAGCTACTGGGGAGGCTGAGGCAGGAGAATCACTTGAACCCAGGAGTGGGAGGTTGCAGTGAGCTGAGATCGCACCATTGCAGTCCAGCCTGGGTGACAAGAGGGAGACTCTGTCTCAAAAAATAAAAATAAAATAAATAAATAATTTTTAAAAAGTACATTTAAAAAAATGTCACTACTGGACGGGTGTGGTGGCTAGTGCCTATAATCTCAGCACTTAGGGAAGCCAGGCGGGAGGATCACTTGAGTTCAGGAAAACAGCCCATCTCTACAAAACATTAAAAAATTATCCAGTTGTAGAGGTGCCAACCTGTAGTCCTAGGTACTGGGGATGTTGAGGAAGGAAGATTGCTTGAGCCCAGGAGTTGGAGGCTGCAGTGAGCCATGATCACACCATTACACTCCAGCCTGGGTGACAGAGCAAGTCCTTGTTCCAAAAAAGAAAGAGAGGAGCGCAGCACTGCCGCCTGGCCCCTCCAGCTTCCCGGACCACGGCCAACCTCGAGCGCACCTTCATCACCATCAGGCCGGACAGCATGCAGTGCGGCCTGGTGGGCAAGATCATCAAGCGCTTCGAGCAGAAGGGGTTCCGCCTCGTGGCCATGAAGTTCCTCCCGGCCTCTGAAGAACACCTGAAGCAGCACTACATTGACCTGAAGGACCGCCCATTCTTCCCTGGGCTGGTGAAGTACATGAACTCAGGGCCGGTCGTGGCCATGGTCTGGGAGGGGCTGAACGTCGTGAAGACAGGCCGAGTGATGCTTGGGGAGACCAATCCAGCAGATTCTAAGCCAGGCACCATTCGTGGGGACTTTTGCATTCAGGTTGGCAGGAACATCATTCATGGCAGTGATTCAGTAAAAAGTGCTGAAAAAGAAATCAGCCTACGGTTTAAGCCTGAAGAACTGGTTGACTACAAGTCTTGTGCTCATGACTGGGTCTATGAATAAGAGGTGGACACAGCAGCAGTCTCCTTCAGCACGGTGTGGTGTGTCCCTGGACACAGCTCTTCATTCTACTGACTTAGAGGCAACAGGATTGATCATTCTTTTATAGAGCATATTTGCCAATAAAGCTTTTGGAAGCTGGAAAAAAAAAAGAGAGAAAGAGAGAAGGGGAGGGAGGGGAGGAAGGGAGGGAGGGAGGAAGGAAGGAAGGAAGGAAGGAAGGAAGGAAGGAAGGAAGGAAGGAAGGAAGGAAGGGGAAAGTTAAATAGAAAGAAAGAGACACAGACGGGCCGCGAGCGGTAGCTCATGCCTGTAATCCCAGCACTTTGGGAGGCTGAGGTGGGCGGATCACAAGATCAGGACATCAAGACCATCGTGGCTAATACAGTGAAACCCCGTCTCTACTAAAAATACGGAAAAGTAGCCGGGCGTGGTAGCACGTGCCTGTAGTCCCAGCCACCCGGGAGGCTGAAGCAGGAGAATCAGTTGAACCCGGGAGGCGGAGGTTGCAGTGAGCCGAGATCGCGCCACTGCACTCCAGGCTGGGCGATAGAGTGAGACTCCATCTCAAAAAAAAAAAAAAAAAAGAAAGAAAGAAAAGAAAGAAAAAAGAAAGAAAAGAAAGGCAGTACAGACAATAACAAGAGGGGCCTCAACCGCTCAAGAGTGATTCAACTGAGACTTGAAAACATTTCCTGGAAAAGAGCTAACCCTAGCTTGATGTTTTGCGAAAGGGAGGCTGTGGGAAGAGCATTCTGGAAGGAGGGGTTGGTATTTGGAAAGGTATGCCGAGGGCCCCAGAATAGGGGTAGTAAGACGGAAAGTTTCCAGCCTCCCCTGGCTTATCTCAAGGAGGAGCCTCATGGCTCAGAGGGTGGGTCCTACCAGGCCCTTCGGCCCTCTAGGAGAGGCTCCTCGTGTCCAGGAAACCCAAAACAGGCAAGGGTTTAAATCTCAGTTCTGGCTGGGTGCAGTGGCTCACGCATATAATCCCAGTACTTCCCAGGCTGAGGTGGGTGGATCACTTGAGCTCAGGAGGTCGAGACCAGCCTGGGCAACATGGCGAAACCCTGTCTGTACCAAAAAAACAAAAAATTAGCCAGGCGTGGTGGTGGGTGCCTGTGGTCCCAGCTACTCGGGAGGCTGAGGTGGGAGGATCGCTTGAGCTCGGGAGGCGGAGGTTGCGGTCAGCTGAGCTTCCACCACTGCACTCCAGCCTGGGTGACACAGTGAGACCCCATCTAAAAAAAAAAAAAAAAATCCCAGTTCTATTTGCCAACTGTGTAGTCTTTGGCATGATACCTCATCTTTCACCTTTCTGAGCCTCACTTTTCTCTTCAGTAAAATGGGAGTGAGGTTCTACAGGTTTAATACTTAGTAGTTGTGTGGTTTGAGACCAAGTGACTTGACCACTCTGAGCCTCAGTTGCCTTCTTTGTAAATCTGGATAATAAAACATATATATGCCTTCCATGGCTGTTATGTGGATTTAACAACAAAAACAAAAATGCACAAAAAGGGCTGAGAAATTGTAGCTATTAGCATCATTGAAGAACCGAGGTGAGACTTTAGGGCTAAGAGGGAAAAGGACAGATTTGGGGATTTATCCAGCCACCCAAGTGCTGAATCGAGTTGTTGTGAGTTAATAATAAATATTATTATTATTGAGTACACATTGTTTAACACGTGTAAAGCATCACGTTAAGTCTTTAAAACCTAATGGGTGTTTTATGTCCTATTTACAGGCCAGGAAACTGAGGCTTATTAAGTAAAGTCACCTGCTCCCAGCTACAGCTACAAAGTGGAAGAGTCAGGATTCAAACCCAAGACTGTCTGACTCATGAAGGGGAGTGTCAGGGTTGTGCCACAGCCTTTGGGCAAGTCCAGGATTCCCAGCCGACTTGGACACAGTGCCTTGGGAAGGCTCTGGTTGCCTCTGAATTTGGGAGAAGGACACAGTCTGGGTTACTGCCCTGCATAAAACCTTCATGACACCAGAATAAAGCCCAGTGGTTTTTCATGATCTCATTGGAGGACCCAGTATGTACCTCCTCACCAACTCTCTCTACTTCCTCCCTTCTCAGCTCCACTCACTGGGAATAATTTTCAGGTTGTTCAATAAGCCTTGTTGGGCCGGGCGTGGTGGCTCATGCCTGTAATCTCATCACTTTGGGAGGCCAAGGCGGGTGGATCACTTGAGGACAGGAGTTCGAGACCAGGCTGGCCAACATGGCGAAACCCCATCTCTACTAAAAATACAAAAGTCAGCCAGGCGTGGTGGTGCATGACTATAATCCCAGCTACTCAGGAGGCTGAGGCAGGAGAATCACTTGAACCCAGGAGGCAAA
Organism: Homo sapiens; assembly: GCF_000001405.40. Lineage (NCBI taxonomy): Eukaryota > Metazoa > Chordata > Mammalia > Primates > Hominidae > Homo > Homo sapiens. The sequence continues at coordinate 120,285,061 of NC_000012.12, forward strand.
GGTTGCAGTAAGCTGAGATCGTGCCACTGTACTCCAGCCTGGGAGACAGAGCAAGACTCCACCTAAAAAAAAAAAAAAATTGGCCACGATGGCCAGGTATGGTGGCTCCCGCCTGTAATCCCAGCACTCTGGGAGGCCAAAGCAGGTGGATGACCTGAGATCGGGAGTTCGAGACCAGCCTGAACATGGAGAAACCCCATCTCTACTAAAAATACAAAATTAGCCAGGTGTGGTGGCGCATGCCTGTAATCCCAGCTACTCAGGAAGCTGAGGCAGGAGAATCGCTTGAACCTGGGAGACGGAGGTTGCGGTGAGCTGAGATTGTGCCATTGCACTTCACCTGGACAACAAGAGTGAAACTCTGTCTCAAAAAGTAATAATAATAAATAATACAAAAATTAGCTGGGCATGGTGATGCATGCCTGTAGTCTCAGGTATTTGGGAGGCTAAGGCACGGGAATTACTTGAACCCGGGAGGCGGAGGCTGCAGTGAGTCGAGATTACACCACTGTACTCCAGCCTGGGCAACAGAGAGAGAGACTCTATCTCAAAAAAAGAGACAAAAACAAACAAACAAACAAAAACACCGGGCACAGTGGCTCACGCCTCTAATCCCAGCACTTTGGGATGTTGAGGTGGGTGGATCACTTGAGGTCAGGAGTTCGAGGCCAGCCTGGCCAATATGGTGAAACCCCATCTCTACTAAACTACAAAAGTAGCTGGGCGTGGTAGCCCACGCCTATAATCCCAGCTACTTGGGAGGCTGAGGCAGGAGAATTGCTTGAGCCTGAGAGGTGGAGGTTGCAGTGAGCCGAGATCGTGCCATTGGACTCCAGCCTGGGTGACAGACTGAAACTCCAGCTCAAAAAAAAAAAAGAAAGAAAGAAAGAAAGAAAGGAAAAAAAGGCTGGGCTCACGCCTGTAATCCCAGCACTTTGGGAGGCCAAGGCAGGCGGATCACCTGAGGTCAGGAATCCGAGACCAGCCTGGTCAACATGGTGGAAACCCATCTCTACTAAAAATATAAAAAATTAGCCAGGTGTGGTGACGAGCACCTGTGATCCCAGCTACTCGGGAGGCTGAGGCCAGAGAATCGCCCGAACCCGGGAGGTGGAGGTTGCAGTGAGCCGAGATTGCACCACTGCACTCCAGCCTGGGCAACAGAGCAAGACTCTATCTCAACAACAACAACCACAACAGAAAGGCCACATATTCCTGACTCCAGGCCCCTGCCAGTGCTGTTACCACTGCTAAAATCCATCCTGCCCTCTTTGTCCCGGTTAATGCCTCTCCTCCTTCAGTTCACAGCTCAGCTACCCCCTTCTTCAGGAAGCCCTCCTTGACAACTACCCAGGCTTAGCTAGTCAGTCCCATGACCACCCCATCCCCACTAAAGTACTTAACTCTGAAACAGGCACCAAAGGAAGCACTCTTCCCATATCTCACTTAATACTCACCAAATCTCTGGCCGGTCGTGGTGGCTCATGCCTGTAATCCCAGCACTTTGGGAGGCTGAGGCAGGTGGATCAGGAGGTCAGATCAAGACCATCCTGGCTAACACGGTGAAACCCCGTCTCTACTAAAAATCCAAAAAATTAGCCGGGTGTGGTGGTGGGTGCCTGTAGTCCCAGCTACTTGGGAGGCTGAGGCACGAGAATCACTTGAACCCAGGAGGTGGAGGTTACAGTGAGCCGAGATCGCGCCACTGCACTCCAGCCTGGGCAGCAGAGCGAGACTCCATCTCAAAAACAAACAAACAAAAGATACTCACCGAACCTCTCTGGTAGTGGGTCTCATCTTTGCAGAAACATTGGAAGCTTTAACACACATTTTTTTTGCCCTGACCCATTCCTCAGAAATTCTGATTTAATGGGTCTGGAATGCAGCCGGGGCACAGGGATTTTTGTAAAGCTCCTCAGGTGGTTTTCTTGCACACACAGTCAGGGTGGAGACCTACCGAACTCTGAGATAGAATCAGGACTCTTTTTGTTTTTACAGCCAGGGACACTGAAGCATGAGAGGGTAGATGAGTGGCTTACCGTCATGCAAGTAGAGAATAACGAAGCAAGGTCTTGAACCCAAGTCTGGCTTCAAAGCTTCATGGGGGAAAAAAAAATCAGTTGGCCTCAGTTAATTTCCCAGCAATGGAGAAACTGTAGAGCTTAGAGCCAGCTCTGTTTTGAGACAGACACTGAGGGCCCCTTGGGCATGGGATATTTTTAACCTAGAAGCTGGTGATTCTTGCTAACATTCTGCAGTGCCTTGAACACTGAGCAGATTGTTTAGGGGTCTGTGGGCTCTTTCCCTGCTGAGATAGCCCTTGTAGTAGGGCTTTTCCATCCTCTGGAGCCAGTGGGTGGGAGGGTGGGTGGGGGTTGGCCTCATGGCGGGTGGGGTGGCTAATGTATCCAAGGATATTACCTACATGGTGGATAGGGAGAAGGTCAGTTTTGGATGAGCCCAGATTTCTCCTCCCTCCGAGACATTTTATCTCACCCAACACAGCCCCTTCTCCCTTCTCTCCACCTGGAAAACAGCTGGAAGACAAACCTAGGTTGAAGCTGGATTGTACACTCAGCGCCTCAGGAAAATGGATGCACGTTCACCCTCCCGCTTCTTCCCCTCCCTGACCCGTGACAGCCCCGTGAAAGCTGCAGAACACTTACAAATGTATGTATCAGGCCAGGCGCGGTGGCTCACGCCTGCAATCCCAGCATTTTGGGAGGCCGAGGCTAGTGGATCACGAGGTCAGGAGTTCAAGACCAGCCTGGCAAATGTGGCAAAACTCCATCTCTACTAAAAATACAAAAATTAGCTGGGCGTGGTGGCACATGCCTGTAATCCCAGCTATTCAGGAGGCTGAGGCAGGAGAATCGCTTGAACCCAGGAGGCAGAGGTTGCAGTGAGCTGAGATCGCACCATTACACTCCAGCCTGGGCAACAGAGCAAGACTCCGTCTCAAAAAAAAAAAAATATGTATATGTCAAACCTTCTCCAGCTGTCCTCATATGTGATTTGTTGGGCAAATACATTGGTATAGTCTTAGGGGTGCCAGTATAGGGATATCCCTTAAAACGCAAAATAAGCATGGCCTTTGAGGAGGCAATTCTACCTATAGAAATTTTCCCCACGCCCAGATTACCTGAGGCGAGGAGATCGAGACCAGCCTGACCAATATGGTGAAACCCTGTCTCTACTAAAGATACAAAATTAGTCAGGCGTGGTGGCAGGTGCCTGTAGTCCCAGCTATTCGGGAGGCTGAGGCAGGAGAATCGCTTGAACCCGGGTGGCGGAGGTTGCCATCAGCCGAGATCATGCCGCTGTACTCCAGCCTGAGCAACAAGAGCAAAACTTCGTCTCAAAAAAAAAGAAAGAAAGAAAGAAAGAGATTTCTCCCCAGAAATACCCCAAGAGTAAGGAAAGATGACGTAGCATCAAGCGTATTCATTATAGCATTGCTTATGGGAAAAACTGGAAACAACTCACGTGTCCAATAATGGGGGATTGGTTAACCTTGGTAGGTCACATCCATATGGGAAAAGGGGAATTAGGTGCTGGCATGGAAAATGTGTCCACAATGTATTGTACAGCAGAAAGAAAAAGGAAGTAATAGAACTATATGTAGAGTATAATCCAATTTTTTTTTTTTTTTTTGAGATGGAGTCTCGCTCTGTCGCCCAGGCTGGAGTACAGTGGCACGATCTTGTCTCACTGCAAGCTCCGCCACCCAGGTTCATGCCATTCTCCTCCCTCAGCCTCCCAAGTAGCTGGGACTACAGGCGCCCGCCACCACGCCTGGCTAATTTTTTTTGTATTTTTAGTAGAGACAGGGTTTCACCGTGTTAGCCAGGATGGTCTCGATCTCCTGACCTCATGATCCACCTGCCTCGGCCTCCCAAAGTGCTGGGATTACAGGTGTGAGCCACTGCGCCCGGCCAAGTATAATCCAATTTTTGTTAATAATTATGTTGACCTATAAGTAGAACATTTTGGAGGAATAATCTCACGTACCTGTGACTATCTCCTTGGAGTCAAGGTGAGATTATTGTGAGAGCCTTTGTCACTGTTTCATGTGTATATTTGAATTTTATATACAAACATGCAGTAATTTTTGTATTCAGAAAAAAGAATTTAGATTTGAAACAGAAAACAATGATACGTAAAAATCACATGAAGCCCTCTCTCCCCTCCTTGCTTGCAGAATAATAACAAAAAAATGGATCCACTTTAATATGGTTAATTTTATGTTATGTAAATTTTACCTCAATTTTTTTGTTTGGATTTTCCTTGTGGGGGATTTTGAGATAGGGTCTCACTCTGTCACCTGGGCTGGAGTGCGGTGGCGATATCACGGTTCACTGCAGCCTCGACCTCCTAGGCTCAAGCAACCCTCCTGCCTCAGCCTCCTGAGTAGCTAGGATTACAGGCAAACACTAATTTTTTAATTTTTCCAGGCACGATGGCTCATGCCTGTAATCTCAGCACATTGGGAGGCCAAGGCAGGTGGGTGGCTTGAGCCCAGGAGTTTGAGACTAGCTTGAGCAATATGCAAAACCTCCACCCCTACAAAAAATAAAATAAAATTAGCTGAGTGTGGTGGCACGTGCCTATAGTTCCATCTACTCAGGAGGCTGAGGTGAGAGGATCACTTGAGCCTGGGAAGTGGAGATTGCAGTGAGCTGATATTGCATGACTGCACTCCAGCTGGGGTGACGGGGTGAGACCCTGCTCTCTCCAAAAAACAAAAACAAAAAGAACAACAACAAAAACATTCTCATATTTTTTGGTAGAGACAAGTGTCTCATGATGTTGCCCAAGCTGGTCTTGAACTCTTGGACTCAAGAGATCCTCCTGCCTTGGCCTCCCAAAGTGCTGGGATTACAGGCGTGAGCCACCAGGTCCGGCCAAGAACCCATCTCTAATAAAAAATCTGCAATAAACAGTAAGTCGAGTTTTCTTCTAGCGTGTGATGATGCTAATTATACAATGCTACATTTCTTCCCCTGCTGTTCAAGCTGTGGACCCTGGACCAGCACCTGCGAACTTTTAGAAATGCAGAATCTTAGTCTCCATCCCAGGCCTCCTGAATTGGAATCTCTAGGAATGGGGATTCGATCTGTGTCTTAACAAATTCTCAAGGTTATTTTTATGCACGCCAAAATTTAAGAAATTGTTGTAGTTTGATTTTGAAAGGACATGCACTCTTCTTTTCACGTTATTTCTAAGTTTTGGATAACTTTTTTTTTTTTCTTTTTGAGACGGAGTCTCACTCTGTCGCCCAGGCTGGAGGGCAATGGCGCGGTCTTGGCTCACTGCAATCTCCGCCTCCCGGGTTCAAGCGACTCCCCTGCCTCAGCCTCCCGAGTAGCTGGGATTACAGGCGCCCACGACCATGGCTGGCTAATTTTTTTTTTTTTTTTTTTTTTTTGTATTTTTAGTAGAGATAGGGTTTCACCATGTTGGCCAGGCTGGTCTTGAACTCCTGACCTCGTGATCTGCCCGCCCTGGCCTCCCAAAGTGCTGGGATGACAGGCGTGGGCCACCGCTCCCGGCTTCTTCTTCTTTCTTTTTTCTTTTTTTTTGAGACAGAGTCTCACTGTCACCCAGGCTGGAGTGCAGTGGCGCAATTTCAGCTCACTGCTACCTTCGCCTCCACGTCTCCAGTCTGTGAGGTCCTTGAACTGGGGACTGAGTTTAATTTGCCACTGGAGCTGTTTTTCCCAGCACCGTCTTTGACCTTGTAGGTACTGTTGCCACCCTTTTTGCCACCTCTTTTTGCTACAGGCTGGAGGAGTCTTTTATGGGCGGTGTCCTAAGCAGGTCCAGCTGGATCCGCCATGCCCAGAGTTGTGACTCCTGAGGACCTCTGTCCATGGACAGCCCAGGTCTTCGTAAAAAGGTAAGACTGGAAGAGGCTGGTGTAGTGGGAACAAGTACCACACTAGGGGCAAGAGAACCTGATAAGCCCCAGCTCTGCCGAGGACTCCACAGTAGGACCTGAGCAATCTTCTGTGCCTTTTTCCCTCTTGGTCGCTTTAAAAGGAAGAAAACGCGGTGGTTCACACCTGTAATCCCAGCACTTCGGAAGGCCGAGGTAGGCGGATCACCTGAGGTCAGGAGTTTGAAACCAGCCTGGCCAAGAAGGCGAAACCCCGTCTCCACTAAAAATACAAAAATGAGCCGGGCGTGATGTTGGGCTCCCGTAATCCCAGCTACTCCGGAGGCTGAGACAGAGAATCGCTTGAACCCGGAATGTGGAGGTTGCAGTCAGCCGAGATCGCGCCACTGTACCCCAGCCTGGGAAACAGCGAAAACTCCGTCTCAAAAAAAAAAAAAAAAAAAAAAAGGAAGACTTTGGATGTATTAATGTGTTAGTTTTAGAGTTCCCCTTCCCTTTAAGGGAATCTGTGACCTTCAGTGACAAAGGAAGTGGAGTAGCTCACTCGCTGGCTGCATTTGGATAAAAAAGATTAACGATAACTGTCTTAGTTAGAACCCAGTTCCCAACATAGTGTCATACATTTTGGAAAACAACTCACAGTACCCGCACAGAACCCCGGACATTCAATCACGGAATACTCCTGAACAACAACCAAAAAACTATCATAGGAACAGCTCATAACTTATCAAACCAAACATAAGACACAACCTGCTATAATACAACTTCCTAAAACCCTTTTCTTTAGACTTTTAAAAATTCAGTCTCCGTAGAGACTGTCAAAAATTGCCAATGCCGACTATATTTCAAGTCGTCATGGCGGGGTATTGGGAAAAGTTTTCAATTAGCAATAATCGCGCCTCGGATAAACCTCATTGGCTACGATACTGCCACTGCGCAAAGCTGGAAAGGTTCTGTTCGCGCCCCGCTCCCCCACGGATGATGACTACCATTACATTGAGGGTGAGTGCCTGCCCGTGTGTCCGTGTATACGACGTGTTCCCACTCCACCAGCCGTATTTAAGGCCCATCTGCATAGGAGGTTTCTTGTTGTTGGAACATCCCGTGTCAAACATTCAGGTTTTGAAAACCATAAGAATATTCGCTTGGGACGCTGGGGAATCTTATGCAAATCAACGTGACGTCACAGAGATGACTCGGTTGAGACTTGAATTTTGAGCGAGGAGAGTGAGCAGTGGGAAAGCGAGCCTGGAGGGCGCAGACGGACGACTAGCTGTGCTCGAGGGTGCGGAAACAGCAGGGTGGGGGGAGTTGGGAATAATTTTAGGACGTCACTGTGACAAAATCTGAATGGAGAACACGGCTGGGCGCGGTGGCTCACGCCTGTAATCCCAGCACTCTGGGAGGCCGAGGCGGGTGGATCACGAGGTCAGGAGTTCAAGACCAGCCTGGACAAGATGGTGAAACGGGGTCGCTACTAAAAATACAAAAAAATCAGCGGGGTGCGGTGGGCAGGCGCCTGTAATCCCAGCTAGTCGGGAGGCTGAGGCACGAGAATCGCTTGAACCCGGGCGGCAGTTTGCAGCGAGCCGAGATCGCGCCAGTGCACTCCAGCCTGAGCGACAGACTTCGTCTCAAAAAGAAAACAACAGTGCGAGAGAAAGAAAACAGGACAGCCAGCTGGCAAGAAAAGTCAACACCGCCCTGCATTTACCTTAAAAGTAGAGATCACAAAATCAGCAACTCCAACTTTCACAAACGGAAATCGCTAAACAGGGGTTCGGCAAAGTTTGCAGCGAGCCGAGATCACGCCAGTGCACTCCAGCCTGAGCGACAGACTTCGTCTCAAAAAGAAAACAGTGCGAGAAAGAAAACAGGACAGCCAACTGGCAAGAAAAGTCAACACCGCCCTGCTTTTACCTTAAAAGTAGAGATCACAAAATCAGCAACTCCAACTTTCATAAACGCAAATCACTAAAACAGGTAAACTTGCAGGTGCTCTCGCGAATCAGCTGGTAAGACACTTCCCCATCTCTCATTTAGAGAGTTTGCGAACAAGTACTCTTCAACCTCCCAAAACCAAGCACCCCCACACACACAAAAAAAGCCTCTGTTGTTCAACTGCAAGAAAATTCAGTCTCCGTAGAGACTGTCAAAAATTGCCAGTGCCGACTATATTGCAAGTCGTCACGGCGGGGTATTGGGAAAAGTTTTCAATTAGCAATAATCGCGCCTCGGATAGACCTCATTGGCTACGATACTGCCACTGCGCAAAGCTAATTTGTTACGCCCCCTGCTCATCACTCCCAATAAACCAGCTTCCTATTTCGCAAAGGTGAGTTTAGGGCCTATGGAAAAATCTTCACTTATTGCTTGCTTGAAAATTATACAATCATAGAAAGATGTTTGTGACCTGCGTAGGTGGTTTCTGCATATCGTTGCTGATTTCACTTAGCTAGGTTTTTGTTGATATGAAGCAAAGCACTATGGGAGGAACATGCTAATAGACTTAATTCAGAGACTGCGAAGGGCTTTTGAGAGAAAAGGGATCAAAATCAGGGTTCTGTTCACTTGGCTCCAGATTCAGTGTAACAGACTTCTCCAAAGACGATTATTGTTTTGTCTTTTTTCTTTTTCAAACTTTTTTTTAAATTATGCCAAAGTATACATAAAATTTACCATTTTAACCTTAAGTGTAAATTCACTGGCATAGAATATGTTCACATTGTTGTGTAACCATCATCACTACTTACCTCCAGAACTTTATCTTTCATGCCCAAGGGTGGAAACTGAGACTCTGTACCCATTAAACCCTTACTCCCTGTTCCCTTCTCCTCCAGCCCCCGTGGCAACCTCTTTTCTACTTTCTATCTCTATGACTTTGTGAGTACTTTATATATATATAAATGGAATCATACAATATTTGTCCTTGAGGTCAGTCTTATTTCATTCAGAATAATGTTTTTAAGGTTCATCCATGTTGTAGTATATATCAGGAATTCATTAATTTTATGGCTGAATAATATTTCACTGTATGAGATGTTATCTTTTTTTTTTTTTGAGATGGAGTTTTTGCTCTTGTTGCCCAGGCTGGAGTGCAGTGGCATGATCTCGGCTCATTGCAACCACTGCCTCCCGGATTCAAGCGATTCTCCTGCCTCCATCTCTCAAGTAGCTGGGATTACAGATGCATGCCACCACTCTTTGTATTTTTAGTAGAGACAGGATTTCACCATGTTGGCCAGGCTGGTCTCAAACTCCTGACCTCACGTGATCTGCCTGCCTCGGCCTCCCAAAGTGCTGGAATTACAGGTGTGAGCCACTTCACCCAGCCCATTTATTCTTGTCTATTTTTTTTTTTGAGACGAAGTTTTGCTTTTGTTGCCCAGGCTGGAGCGCAATGGCGAGATCAACCTCCGCCTCCCAGGTTCAAGCGATTCTCCTGCCTCAGCCTCCCGAGGAGCTGGGATTATTTTTAGTAGACACGGGGTTTCACCATGTTGGTCAGGCTGGTCTTGAACTCCTGGCCTCAGGTGATCCACCCGCCTTGGTTTCCCAAAGTGCTGGGATTACAGCCGTGAGCCACCGCGCCCGGTCCCATTCATTCTTTTTTGAGACAGCTTTTGGCTCTGTCGCCCAGGCTGGAATGCAGTGGCGCGATCTCAGCTCACTTCAACCTCTGCTTCCAGGCCTCAAGTGATCCTCCTCCCACTTCAGCTGGATACTTTCTGTATTTTTCGTACAGACAGGATCTCACCATGTTGCCCAGGCTGGTCTCGAACTCCTGGGCCCAAGTGATCCTCCCATCTTGGCCTCCCAAAGTGCTGGGACTATAGGCATGAGCTGCCGCCCGGACCAACTGTTTATCCTTTTTTTTTTTTTTTTTGAGGGGGAGTCTCGCTCTGTTGCCCAAGCTGGAGTACATAGACTCAATCTCAGCCCATGCAACCTCCGCCTCTGGGGTTCAAGCAGTTCTCCTGTCTCAGCCTCCCGAGTAACTAACTGGGATTACAGGTGCGTGCCACCAATCCTGGCTAATTTTTGTATTTTTAGTAGAGACAGGGTTTCACCATGTTGGCCAGGCTGGTCTCAAGCTCCTGACCTCAAGTGATCCTCCTGCCTCAGCCTCCCAAAGTGCTGAGCCACGGCGCCCGGCCTATCCATTTATTTTTAGATGGTCATTGCTGGTTTCCACCTTTTGTCTATGGGAATAATGCTGCTATTGGTGTGCAAATATCAGCTTAAGTTTCTGTTTTCCTTTTTTTTTTTTTTGAGACTGAGTTTCGCTCTTGTTGCGCAGTCTGGACTGCAAAGGCGCAATCTCAGCTCACCACAACCTCTGCCTCCTGGGTTCAGGTGATTCTCCTGCCTCAGCCTCCCAAGTAGCTGGGATGACAGGTATGCGCCACCATGCCTGGCTAATTTTATATATATATATGTATAAATATATATATAGATAATTTTTTTTTTTTTTTTTTTTTTAGTAGAGACGGGGTTTCTCCATGTTGGTCAGGCTGGTCTTGAACTCCTGACCTCAAGTGATCTGCCTGCCTCGGCCTCCCAAAGTGCTGGGATTACAGGTGTGAGCCACCGCGCCTGGCCCCTGTTTTCTATTCTTTGGTGTACATACCTAGAAGTAAAATTGCTGGATCATATGTTAATTCAAAAGGGTTTGGACACCTTAATTCAAAAAGAGGCTCAAATAATAAGGATTTATTTCCACAGAATGTTCACAGTTTCTAAAATTTGAAGCAACTTTCACCCTCACTGCCTGTTTTCCTTCAGGATGTAGAAAGCTATTAGAAACCTACATCTGGTCTAGGTGTGGTGGCTCGAGCGTGTAATCCCAACGCTTTGGGAGGCCAAGGCAGGTGGATCACCTGAGGTCAGGAGTTCAAGATCAGCCTGGTAACATGGCGACATCCCTGTAAATACAAAATACAAAAATACAAAATTACAAAAATACAAAATACAAAAATTAACGGGGCGTGGTGGCGCTTGCCTGTAATCCCAGCTACTAGGGGGGCTGAGGCAGGAGGATCGCTTGAACCTGGGAGGTAGAGGTTGCCATGAGCTGAGATCATGCCACTGTAATCCAGCCTGGGTGACAAAGCGAGACTCCGTCTCAAAAAAAAAAAAAAAAAAAAAAAAAAAGAAAGTAACATTTCCCCCAACATTTTATCATAAAAAATTGTAAACACGAAAAGTTCAAAGAATTCCTCAGTGAACATTCATGTACTCATCATCCATATACAAAAATGACATTTTTTTTTTTTGAGACGGAGTCTCGCTCTGTCGCCCAGGCTGGAGTGCAGTGGCGCAATCTCGGCTCACTGCGAGCTCCGCCTTCCGGGTTCACGCCATTCTCCTGCCTCAGCCTCCCGAGTAGCTGGGACTACAGGCGCCCGCCACCACGGCCGGCTAATTTTTTCTATTTTTAGTAGAGATGGGGTTTCACCGTGTTAGCCAGGATGGTCAAAAACGACATTTTAAAAGGCCTGTTTGATGCTGATGTGTTATGTGATTATTTCTAACTTGTTTTGTGTTTTTTTTTTTGTTTTTTTTTTTTTGAGACATGTTCTCAGTCGCTTAGGTTGGAGCGCAGGGGTGCAATCACGGCTCAGTGCAGCCTAAATCTCCTGGGCTCAAGCGATCTTCCCACCTCAGCCTCCCAGGTAGCTGGGACTACAGGCACACACCACCATGCCCAGCTAATTTTTCTGTATTTTTTGTAGATACAGGGTTTCACCATGTTGCCCATGCTGGTCTCCAGCTCCTGGGCTCAAGTGATCCGCCCGCCTCGGCCTCCCCAAGGGGAGGGATTACAGGCATGAGCCACTGCAGCAGATTTCTTATTTAATTCACAGCCTGGATAAAAAGAAAAGACTAGCAATGTGGTGAATTTAGATTCTTTTACTTTGATCATCCAGTCAAGGATTTAGTCATTAATTCTGGATGGGGTGGAGTTGTGAGAAAAACACTAGGCCAGGCACGGTGGCTCACGCCTGTAATCCCAGCACTTTGGGAGGCCGAGGCGGGTGGATCACAAGGTCAGGAGTTCAAGACCAGCCTGGCCAAGATGGTGAAACCTCGTCTCTACTAAAAATACAAAAATTAGCTGGGCATGGTGGCGGGCGCCTATAATCCCAGCTACTTGGGAGGCTGACATAGGAGAATCACTTGAACCCGGTAGGCGGAGGTTGCAGTGAGCCTAGATTGCGCCACTGCACTCCAGCCTGGGCGATAGAGCGAGACTCCGTCTCAAAATAAATAAATACATACATACATACATACATACATACATAAAATAAAATAAATAAATAATGGGGCTTGGTGTGGTGGCTCACGCCTGTAATCAAAAAAAAAAAAAAAAAAAAAAAAAGAGAGAGAGAAAAAGACTAAAGCCCTAATCCTAATCCCATGAGGGTATCAAAGGAACTTCCTAGCCCTTGAGAATTCTAGAATGGGTGGCCCATTACACTCTCTCAGTAGCTATCAAGTGAAATTGTGTGTTTCACCAGCTGACTTGGATGACAAAAAAAAAAAGAAATAGAAACAAAGCATACAAAAATTAAAAAAGAAAGAAAGAAAGAAAGAAAAAACAAAACAAAACAAAAAAGACTTGGATGACTTCACCGTCCAGGGATGATTTTCCAGCACTATGAGAAAAATTGAAAACTCAGCTAACTTTTCCTCAGAGCATGAGATTTTTGGGGGCCTAGAAGCACAATAGAATTCCCAACCAATCTCTATTAGTGATGATCATTCCACTTGGAGAACTGAAAAAATAACCTAGGTTTGAACTTTTTCATAGTAAAATTGGTGAATGGGGAAGGAGAATGTCACTGTTCTCACATTTTTAAAAGTTATGATCAAATACCCAGAAAATGTGTGCAGAAAATGTGCTGGATTATAATTTTTAAATTTTGGGGGGGATTATAATTTTTTTGACAACGAAAATTTCAGTCTAGCTTCTGGTGCTTTCTTTCAGCAGATGTGGTCAGGTTAACTAATGCAGAAAGGGCTGTCAGTGGCTGGAGTGCAGTCACAGGATCATGGCTCACTGCAGCCTTGAAAAAAAAAGGGGGTGGCCGGGCGCAGTGGCTCACACCTGTAATCCCAGATACTGGGGAGGCTGAGGCAGGAGAATCACTTGAACCCGGGAGGCGGAGGTTGCGGTGAGCCAAGATGGCGCCATTGCACTCCAGCCTGGTCAACAAGAGTGAAACTCCATCTCAAAAAAAAAAAAAAAAAAAAAAAAAAGGAGGGGGCTGTCATATGAGTTTCCCCGCCTAGTAGATCCTACAGCTACTGACTTTCGCTGTTGCTGGAGCTACTACTCCCTGTGTACTAAGTTAAAAAGAATCGGCCAGGCGCAGTAGCTCACGCCCGTAATCACAACACTTTGGAAAGCCTAGAGCCCAGGAGTTCGAGACCAGCCTGGGCAACATGGTGAAACCCCGTCTCTACAAAAAAATACAAAAATTAGCTGGGCTTGGTGGCCCACCTGTAGTCCCAGCTACTCAGGAGGCTGAGGTGGGAGGATGGTTTGAGTCCAAGAGGTTGAGGCTGTAGTGCGCAGTGATCGTGCCTCTGAACTCCCGCCTGGGTGAAAGAGTGAGACCATGTCCCCAAAATAAAAAAATAAGCTTTTAAATAATTAAAGTGGCAGGGCGCAGTGGCTCATGCCTGTAATTCCAGCACTTTGGGAGGCTGAGGCGGGCGGATCGCGAGGTCAGGAGTTCGAGACCATGCTGACAAGCATGGTGAAACCCCGTCTCTACTAAAAATACAAAAATTAGCCGGGCATGGTGGCGGGCACCCGTAATCCCAGCTACTCGGGAGGCTGAGGCAGGAGAATCACTTGAACCCGGGAGGCGGAGGTTGCAGTGATCTGAGATCGTGCCACTGCACTCCAGCCTGGGCACAGAGCAATATTCCGTCTCAAAAAATAAATAAATAAATAAATAAATAAATAAATAAATAGCCGGGCGCGGTGGCTCACGCCTGTAATCCCAGTACTTTGGGAGGCTGAGGCGGGCGGATCACGAGGTCAAGAGATAGAGACCATCCTGGCTAACACGGTGAAACCCCGTCTCTACTAAAAAAAAAATACAAAAAATTAGCCGGGTGTGGTGGCGGGCGCCTGTAGTCCGGAGGCTGAGGCAGGAGAATCGCGTGAACCCGGGAGGCGGAGCTTGTAGTGGGCCGAGATCTCTCCACTACACTCCAGCCTGGGCGACAGAGCGAGACTCCGTCTCAAAAATAAATAAATAAATAAATAAATACAATAATAATAATAATAAAAGTGGCGGGGTGCAGTGGCTCACTCCTGTAATCCTAGCATTTTAGGAGACTGAGGCAGGTGGGTCACCTGAGGTCACGAGTTCAAAACCAGCCTGGCCAACATGACGAAACCCCATCTCTACTAAAAATACAAAAATTAGCCGGGCGCAGTGGCGAGCGCCTGTAATCCTAGCTACTCCGGAGGCCGAGGCAGCAGAATCACTTCAGCCGGGAAGGCAGAGGCTTCAGTGAGTGAAGATCGCGCCACTGCACTCCAGCCTGGGCAACAGAGCTAGACTCTCTCAAAAAAAAAAAAAAAAAATTAAAGTTAGTTTTACTTACAAGTCTTACTGAGGATTACAGACCGAGGGCTATAGTGTGGGAGCAGTTCCATCAGACTGGTCCAACACAGAATTTCAGCCACTCATATACAAGTGGTGAGTGTACGGCGCCTGCAAAATCACATTAAACTTGCTTCAAAGTTACATTAAAGCACAATCATATCAAAGTTTGGGTGCAAGAGTATATCTGGTTATGGATTACAGAGGTATCATCACTAACCCCATCAGACATTATCTTGTGCAGGAAAAGGCAATGACCAGAGTCATTTATCTTTTAATGAATATAGTGACTTGGAAGAGACATGGAGGGCTGTGTGCTCTATTCTGTTTTGTCTTCAAAGCATCTTTCTGGAGAGCTGTATGTTGTCACAGAGTCAGGGGCTTCATGAAACGATGCTGCCAAGTCGAAATAAGCAGGCCCGGCATGGTGGCTCACACCTGTAATCCCAGCACTTTGGGAGGCCAAAGCAAGAGCTTTCCTTGAGTTCAGGAGTTTGAGACCAGCCTGAGCAACATAGTGAGACCGTGTCTCGACAAAAATAAAAAATAACAAAATTTAGCTGGGCGTGGTGGTGGATGCCTGTGATCTCAGCTACTCGAGAGGATGAGGTTGGAGGATCCCTTGGGCCTGGGAAGTAGAAACTGCAGTGAGCTGTGATGTCACAACTGCACTCCAGCCTGGGTGACAGAACGAGACCCTGTCTCAAAAAAAAGAAAAAAAAAAAGCAGAAATGGGCAAACTACTAAATGGTCATTTTGCCAATATTACCTCCAAAGATACAATGATAGAACCAAAAACCTAAAAACTCTTTCTCAAGCTTCCACATTACTTCTCTGCACTTCAGTTCATCTTTATTTATTATTATTATTTTTTGAAGAGATGGGATCTCACTTTGTCACCCAGGCTGAAGTGCAGTCGCACAATTATGGCTCACTGCAGCCTCGATCTCCTGGGCTCAAAGTGATCCTCCCACCTGAGCCTCTTGAGTAGCTGGGACTACAGGCACACACCACCACACCCCGCTAATTTTGTTTATTTTTTGTAGTGAGTGGGTCTCACTATGTTGCCCAAGCTGGTCTTGAACTTTTGGGCTCAAGTGATCCTCCTGCCTTGGCCTCCCAAAGTGTTGGTATTACAGGTGGGAACCACTGCACTCAGCCCAATTCATCTTAAAATGGGGGAAGGGAGTCCTTAGGTGGTCTTCAAGGTCCCTGCTGGCCGCCCACCTTTATGTCCAAAGACACTTATACATTTATTGATTTAGGTGATGCTGCAGAGCGGCAGTTCTGGTTGTCTACACATTAGGAACAATTAGGAAATTTGTAGATCAGAATCCCTGGGAGTGAGACGCAGGCCTTGTTTGATTAACTTAATAAAAAAAATATGATAAATAAAATTGGAGAAGCCAAGCAGGTTAAGTACATTAGTCCAGGTATAATATATTTGGCTTCATATTAACTGTAAAAACATCACTTTTGGCTGGGCACAGTGGCTTACGCCTGTAATCCCAGTACTTTGGGAGGCTAGGGTGGGCAGATCACGAGGTCAGGAGATCAAGACCATCCTGGCTAACATGGTGAAACCTTGTCTCTACTAAAAATAAAAAAATTAACCGGGCGTAGTGGCATGCGCCCATAATCCCTGCTACTCAGGAGGCTGAGGCAGGAGAATTGCTTGAACCCGGGAGGCGGAGGTTGCAGTGAGCCGAAATGGCACCATTGCACTCCAGCCTGGGCAACAGAGCGAGACTCCGTCTCAAAAACAAACAAACAAACAACAACAACAACAACAACAAACTATCACTTTTTCAGATATGTATAAACACATTTCTTCACAAGTTCAAGGTATTTTACCAATAGCAAATAACTTGATACTGTCGTTGTGAATGAAAAGGATCACAAACTCTGATGTTTAGAATGAGTCAAATCTAGGCCGGGAACAGTGGCTCAGGCCTGTAATCCCAGCATTTTGGGGGGCCGAGGTTGGCGGATCACCTGAGGTCGGGAGTTCGAGACCAGCCTGGCCAACATGGTGAAACTCTGTCTCTACTAAAAATACAAAAACTTTAAAAAAAAGTCAAATCTAGATCCATGATTAATGACGTGCTCATTTCACATTGCATGTTTGTATCAAAACATCTCATGTGGGTAAAGCATAGACAGGCACAGAGAAAAGAAAAAAAGACAAAAAATAAGAGAAAAGATGGCCGGGCGCAGTGGCTCACGCCTATAATCCCAGCACTTTGGGAGGTCAAGGCGTGCGGATCACCTGAGGTTAGGAGTTCAAGACGAGCCTGGCCAACATGGCGAAACCCCCGTCTCTACTAAAAATACAAAAATAATCCCAGCTACTCGGGAGGCTGAGGCAGGAGAATCGGTTGAACCCGGGAGAGGGAGGTTGCAGTGAGCCGAGATCGTGCCACTGCACTCCAGACTGGAGTTTTTTCAAAAAAAAAAAACAACAACTCCGTCTTAAAAAAAAAAAAGAAAAAAGAAAAAAAATCTTATGTACACTATAAATATATACACCTACTAAGTGCCCACAGAAATTGAAAACAAAGAAAAAAATCCATGATTAAAAGCTTTTATATTAACGGGGGAACCTCTGACCAGAAAGAGCCGACAGGGGGCGTTCCTGGATGATCTGGGGCTGTCAATTGCGAGACGCGGAGGATTGTGGGACTTGTGGTTTTTCTCGCATCATTTAAGCTTTCTGGACTACATGTCCCAAAATGCAAATGCAATCAGACGGTCCCACTGTGGGGTGTGAAGTGTCCGTAGAGCTGTGAGAGGTAAGTGTGTTCTGTGTGTGCTGCGGATTTCTAGAAGTTGTGGATTTCTTGTGAGGGATTCTATTTCTCCTCTTTGCCCTCGGTGGGACCTGGAAGAGAGTAGTTGTTCCACTGATGCACGTTTTCAGCGGGGGTTTCCCCTGACCCTTTGGTCTCGGGAAACCGGACTGTGTGTTTGTTCAGCTGTTCACGTTTTGCTGTGGAATGTCAAGGAGAAAGCGGGGTCCTGATCTCAGATCTGGAAAGCCAAACATAAAATAATGTTTACATACGGGGTGCATGTCACTAGAGGATTTATGCATTGCATTGTGTCAAATAATATGTCAAAGTTTTTTCTTTTTCTTTTTTTTTTTTTTTTTGATACGGAGTCTTGCTTCTTCGCCCAGGCTGGAGTGCAACGGCGCGATCTCGGCTCACTGCAACCTCCGCCTCCCGGGTTCAAGCAATTCTCCTGCCTCAGCCTCCCTAGTAGCTGGGATTACGGGCACGTGCCACAATGCCCGGCTAATTTTTTTTGTATTTTTAGTAGAGTCGGGGTTTCACCATGTTGGCCAGGCATGTCTCGAACTCCTGATCTCAAGTGATCTGCCTGCGTCGGCCTCCCAAAGTGCTGGGATTTCAGACGTGAGCCACCGCACCCGGCCCTCTATTGTTACAGCTAGAAAAGCTGACGGGCAGGGGTCTTGTCTCTCTGATGTGTCCAAGTAGCAGAGCTTGCAGTGGAGGGTAAACTAAAATAAGGGGGAAATGAAAAAATAAAAGGAATGCGTGTGTGTGCTTAATTACATGAACAAAATCAAACAAAACCTGACTCATTAGGGCCAGACTCAGAGGCTCACACCTGTAATTCCAGCACGTTGGGAGGCCGAGGCGGGCAGATCACTAGAGCTCAGGAGTTCGAGACTAGCCTGGCCAACATGGTGAAACCCTGCCTCTACTAAAAATACAATAATTAGCCGGGCATGGTGGCCATGTAGTCCCAGCTATTCTGGAGGCTGAGGCAGGAGAATCACTTGAACCCGGGAGGCGGCGGTTACAGTGAGCCAAGATCATGCCACTGTACTCTAGCCTGGGCAACAGAGGGAGACTCTGTCTCAAAAAACAAAACGAAAACAAACAAACAAAAAATGAGAAAAAAAAAAAACCACCCCAGTTTCTCACATGAGGCTTCTTTTTCTCTAGAATGAAGATGAGCTTTGCGTTGACTTTCAGGTCAGCAAAAGGCCGTTGGATCGCAAACCCCAGCCAGCCGTGCTCGAAAGCCTCCATTGGGTTATTTGTGCCAGCAAGTCCTCCTCTGGACCCTGAGAAGGTCAAAGAGTTACAGCGCTTCATCACCCTTTCCAAGAGACTCCTTGTGATGACTGGGGCAGGAATCTCCACCGAATCGGGGATACCAGACTACAGGTCAGAAAAAGTGGGGCTTTATGCCCGCACTGACCGCAGGCCCATCCAGCATGGTGATTTTGTCCGGAGTGCCCCAATCCGCCAGCGGTACTGGGCGAGAAACTTCGTAGGCTGGCCTCAATTCTCCTCCCACCAGCCTAACCCTGCACACTGGGCTTTGAGCACCTGGGAGAAACTCGGAAAGCTGTACTGGTTGGTGACCCAAAATGTGGATGCTTTGCACACCAAGGCGGGGAGTCGGCGCCTGACAGAGCTCCACGGATGCATGGACAGGTGCAGGAGCTGTACACGGTTTGAACGCAAACCCGTGTGTTGTTTTGGGAGAGTAGGGACCTTGGCTGTCTTGATCACCACAGTCTTAGACCTTGAGAAAAGGATTTCAGAGCAAGTTGTTTATTTTGCAGTTGATTCCAGTAAATTCATTGACGGAGCAAGGATGTAAAACAGGAAAGAGAGGAAAGCCAAGAAAGTGTGTGTTAATGAGTGGGTTACTGCCTTGGGCACTGGGGTTCAGTCCTGTGAGGGACCCTCCAACTGTCTAGGACATGCCTGAGGATTGTCTCAATGAAACTTGAGGACTGGGGCCGGGCGCAGTGGCTCACGCCTGTAATCCCAGCATTTTGGGAGGCTGAGGTGGGCAGATCACATGAGCTCAGGAGTTCGAGACCAGCCTGGCCAACATGGTGAAACCCCATTTCTACTAAAAATACAAAAATTAGCCAGTCGTGGTGGCACATGCCTGTAATCCCAGCTGCTTGGGAGGCTGAGGCAGGAAAATCTCTTGGGAGGCAGAGGTTGCTGCAGTGAGCCGAGATTGCACCACTACACTCCAGCCTGGGCAACAGTGCAAAAAAAAAGAAAAAAAGAAAAAAAAAAGTTGAGGATGGTGCACAGTGGCTCATACCTGTAATCCTAGCACTTTGGAAGGCTGAGGCAGGAAGATTGCTTGAGGCTAACAGTTCAGGACCAACCTGGCAAACACAGTGAGACTCTGTCTCTATATAAGTAAAGTAAATTTTATATATATATATATATATATATATATATATATTTTTTTTTTTTTTTTTTTTTTTTAAAGAAAGTTGAGGCCGGGTGTGGTGGCTCACGCCTGTAATCCCAGCACTTTGGGAGGCCAAGGCAGGCAGATTACCTGAGGTCAGGAGTTCAAGACCAATCTGGTCAACATGGTGAAACCCCGTCTCTACTAAAAATACAAAAATCTGTTGGAAGTGGTGGCACGCACCTGTAATTCCAGCTACTCAGGAGGCTGAGGCAGGAGAATCGCTTGAACCTGGGAGGTAGAGGTTGCAGTGAGCTGAGATCATGAGCTGAGATCATGCCACCACACCCCAGCCTGGGCAACAGAGCAAAACTCCGTCTCAAAAAGAAAAAAAAAAAAGAAAGTTGAGCAAGCTAGGGTGATTTTCTTTTATTTTCTTTTGTGTTTGTGTGTGCACGTGTGTGTGTGTGTGTGTGTGTGTGTATGACAGGCTTTCACTCTGTCACACAGACTGGGATGTGGTGGTGTGATTATAGCTCACTTCAGCCTCAATCTCTTGGGCTCAAGTGATCCTTTCACCCCAGCCTCCTAAGTAGCTGGGACTACAGGCAAACGCCACCGTGCCCAGCTAATTTTTAATTTAATTTTTATTTTTTGTAGAGACGAAGTCTTACTATGTTGCCCAGGCTGGTCTCGAACTCCTGGGCTCATGTGATCCTCCTGCCTTGGCATCTCAAAGTGCTGGGATGACTAGTGTGAGCCACTGTGCTTGGCCTTGAAGCTAGGGTATTTATTCACCATCTCTCATCCCTCATGGGTCCAGGATCACTCTAGGGGAATTAATTCCCTAACATTTTGACTCTGCTCCTCCCAAGGAGGCTTCCGTGGGCAGAGAACATCTGAGGCAAGAGAGACACAGGAAACTGCTTGTAAGAAAATTGTGTAGGCTGGGCGCGGCGGCTCACGCCTGTAATCCCAACACTTTGGGAGGCTGAGGCAGGCGGATCACGAGGTCAGTTGATCGAGACCATCCTGGCTAACATGGTGAAACCCCGTCTCTACTAAAAATACAAAAAATTAGCTGGGCGCGGTGGCGGACGCCTGTAGTCCCAGCTACTCGGGAGGCTGAGGCAGGAGAATGGCGTGAACCTGGGAGGTGGAGCTTGTGGTGAGCCGAGATCGCGCCACTGCACTCCAGCCTGGGTGACAGAGCGAGACTCCGTCTCAAAAAAAAAAAAAAAAGAAAGAAAGAAAATTGTGTCCACCAGGGTGCTGTGGTTCATATCTGTCATCCCAGCAACTCAGGAGGCTGAAGCAGGAGGATTACTTGAGGCCAGGAGATCAAGACCTGCCTGGGTAACACAGCCAGACTCCGTCTCTACAAAAAATTTTTTTAAGAAAGGAAATTGGCTGGGCACGGTGGCTCGCGCCTGTAATCCCAGCACTTTGGGAGGCTGAGTTGGGCGGATCACCTGAGGTCAGGAGTTCGAGACCAGCCTGACCAACATGGAGAAACCCTGTCTCTACTAAAAATACAAAATTAGCTGGGCGTGGTGGTGCATGCCTGTAATCCTAGCGACTCGGGAGGCTTAGACAGGAGAATAGCTTGAACCCAAGAGGCGGAGGTTGCGGTGAGCCGAGATTGTGCCATTGTACTCCAGCCTGCAGCCTGGGCAACAAGAACAAAACTCCGTCAAAAAAAAAAACAAACAAAAAAACAGAGAAAGGAAACTGGGACGGGTGCGGTGGCTCATGCTTGTAATCCCAGCACTTTGGGAGGCAGAGGCAGGCAGATCACTTGAGGTCAGGAGTTCGAGACCATCCTGGCCCACACGGTGAAACCCCATCTCTACTAAAAATACAAAAAATTACCTGGGCATAGTGGCGCACGCCTGTAGTCTCAGCTATTTGGGAGGCTGAGGCACGAGAGTCGCCTGAACCTGGGAGGCAGAGGTTGCAGTGAGCCAAGATTGTGCCACTGCACTCCAGCCTGGACAACAGAGTGAGACTCTATCTCAATAAAAAAACAAAAAGAAAGGAAACTGTTCGAACGTGGCCTTTAGCATGTTCTGAGGAAAATATGAGCTGAACACCAATAGCATGTGCTATAAACTGCTGGGTTTCCAATGCCTAGGATGGCTAGATACATAGACCATAACGTAGCCGGGCAGTAGTCAGAACTCAATCAATAATGAGGGAACAGATACATGGGAGGGTATCATGCTTATGGGTCTGGCAATAATTGTAGCTAATTGGAGACTTATTTCTTTAAGCCCTAGAGAGGCTCCTCTGAGGGCTGAAGTCAGTCTGCCAATGCTGAAATATTTACTGGGTGCCTAGAATGTATGGTGTACATACGTTACACTATGTAGTACATTATAACACTAACTACTGTGCTTCTTAGTGGTCAGAACCAAAGTATAGGCTGGGCTCAGTGGCTCACACCTATAATCCCAGCATTTTGAGAGGCTGAGGGGGCGGATCACTTGAGCTCAGGAGTTTGAGACCAGCCTGGCCAATATGTCGAAACCCAGTCTCTACTAAAAATAAAAGATTGGCCAGGCGTGGTGGCGGGCGCCTATAGTCCCAGCTACTCGGGAGGCTGAGGCAGGAGAATTGCATGAACATGGGTGGCAGAGGTTGCAGTGAGCCAAGATCGTGCCATTGCACTCCAGCCTGGGCGACAGAGGGAGATTGTCTCAAACAACAAACAAAAACCAAAGTATAAAACATGGCCCACTTTATATGCAAGAACTTTGTAATATTTGGGAAGACACAAAAATAACATAATTGGCCGGGCACGGTGGCTCACGCCTGTAATCCGAGCACTTTGGGAGGCCGAGGCAGGGGATCACCTGAGGTCAGGAGTTCAAGACCAGCCTGACCAACACAGTGAAACCCTGTCTCTACTAAAAATACAAAATTAGCCAGGCATGGTGGTGCATGCCTATAATCCCAGCTACTCAGGAGGCTGAGACAGGAGAATCATTTGAACCCGGGAGGCAGAGGTTGTAATGAGCTGAAATCGCACCATTGCACTCCAGCCTGGGCAACAAGAACGAAACTCCTTCTCAAAAAACAACCAAGCAAACAAACAAAGAAAAGCACATAATTAATGATAAATGACAACGCATGATTGTGAAATTGTGTGGTTCTTGATTTATATGCTGTGCATGTTCAAATAAACAGATTTAGTAAAGATTGGAATAATCAGTTGAGAAAGCTTTTTAAAAAAAAAATTTTTTTTTTTAAATAGAGACAGGATCTTGCTGTGTTGCCTAGTCTGGTCTCGAACTCCTAAGCTCAAGCCCTCCTCCTGCCTTGATCTTCCAAAGTGTTGGGATTACAGGTGTGAGCCACCATGCCTGGCCCAAGAAAGCTTTTTTTTTTTTTTTTTTTTTGAAACACAGTCTTGTTCTTGTTGCCCAGGCTGGAGTGCAGTGGCACGGTCTCGGCTCACTGCAACCTCCGCCTCCTGGGTTCAAGTGATTCTCCTGCCTCAGCCTCCCAAGTAGTTGGGATTACAGGTGCCTGCCACCACCCCCAGCTAATTTTTTGTATTTGTAGTAGAGGTAGGGTTTCATCATGTTGGCCAGGCTGGTCTCGAACTCACTCCTGACCTCGTGATCCGCCTGCCTCGGCCTCCCAAAGCGCTGGGATTACAGGCGTGAGCCACAGCGCCTGCCCCAAGAAAGCTTTTATGGGTACAGGGGGCTTGAGATTGGCTCAGGTTTGTCTAGGCAAGAGCGGGAAACAGGGCTTTCCAAATGAAGGGAAGTTGTAGATCCCAGAGGAGTCTGGCCTGGCCTCTGTAGAGGTTTGGACCTGGGACTTGCAGAAACCAGATTGTCTGGGAAAGTTAGGCCCAAATCATGGTTACATTTGAAAATCAGGCAGTGCAGTTGGGTCTGCTGTGAGACACCAAAGGGGTTTATTAGTGGTTTCTGAGCAAGCAAGCAACATGATAAAAATAGCATTTGAGGAAGGCTAAACAGGATTAAAAAGAGCAGGTCAGGGAGGTCAGCCTGAAAGACCTAGACTAAGGTGGTATCCAGGGAATTTGAGTTAATGATGCTTATGGATTCATTAAAACAATTTTTTCCGCCGGGCGTGGTGGCTCATGCCTGTCATCTCAGCACTTTGGGATGCCGAAGCGGGTGGATAACCTGAGGTCGGGAGTCAAGACCAGCCTGACCAACATGGAGAAACCCTGTCACTACTAAAAGTACAAGAACAACAAAAAATTAGCCGGGCATGGTGGCACATGCCTGTAATCCCAGCTACTCGGGAGGCTGAGGCAGGAGAATCGCTTGAACCTGGGAGGCGGAGGTTGCGGTGAGCCAAGACTGTTGTGCCATTGCCCTCCAGCCTGGGCGACAAGAGTGAAACTCTGTCTCAAAAAAAACTCACAATTTTTTTCATGAAGAAAATCTGTTCTTTTAATAATGAAAATTTCAAACTTCACAAAAGTAAAGAGAATTGTATAATGAATTCTCATATACCATCACCCAGATTCCAAGGTTTTATCAAGATTTTGTCATGTCTACTTTATCCATTCTGTCTCTTCTTAAGCATTTTAAAACAATCCAGGACTTCTTGACATTTCACAGGGGCCTTTTTTTCTTTTCTTTTTTTTTTTTTTTTGAGACAGAGTCTCACTCTGTCGCCTAGGCTGGAGAGCAGTGGTGAGATCTTGGCTCACTGCAACCTCCACCTCCCGGGTTCAACCGATTCTCCTGCCTCAGCCTCCTGAGTAGCTGGGATTACAGGCATGCACCACCATGCCCGGCTAATTTTTGTATTTTTGGTAGAGACTGGGTTTCACCGTGTTGGGCCAGGCTGGTCTCAAACTCCTGACCTCAGGTGATCTGCCTGCCTTGGCCTCCCAAAGTGCTGGGATTACAGGCATGAGCCACTGTGCCCGCTTTCTTTTTTTTTTTTTTTTTTTGAGATGAAGTCTTGCTCTGTCACCTAGGCTGGAGTACAATGGCATGATCTTGGCTCACTGTAACCTCTACATCCTGGGTTCAAGCAATTCTCCTGTCTCAACCTCCTGAGTAGCTGGAATTACAGGTGTGCACCACCACACCCGGCTAATTTTTTTGTATTTTTGTAGAGACAGGGTATCACCATGTTGGCCAGGCGGGTCTCAAACTCCTGACCTCAACTGATCCACCCATCTTGGCCTCCCAAATTGCTGGGATTACAGGTGTGAGTCACCGTGCCCGGCCTGGCCTTTTTTTCTTTTTTAGACAGGGTCTGGTTCTGACACCCAGGCTAGAGTGCAATGGTGCCATCATAACTCCCTGTAACCTAGAACTCCTGGGTAATTAGAACTCCAGCTAATTAAAAAATTTTTTTTGGCTAGGCGTGGTGGCTCACGTCTGTAGTCTCAGCACTTTGGGAGGCCGAGGTGGGCAGATCACAAAAATTAGCTGGGCGTGGTGGCAGGCGCCTGTAATCCCAGCTGCTCGGGAGGCTGAGGCAGGAGAATCGCTTAAGCCCAGGAGGCGGAGGTTGCAGTGAGCCGAGATCGCGCCATTGCACTCCAGCCTGGGCGACAGAGCAAGACCCCGTCTCAAAAAACAAAGACAAGCCAAAAAAATTTTTTTTGTAGAGAGAGCGTCTTGCTGTCTACCCAGACTGGTCTGGAACTCCTGAGCTCAAGCGATTCTCTTGCTTTACGCTCCCAAAGTGCTGGGATTACAAGGTGTGAGCCACCATGCCTGGCCACAGGGGTTCTTTTAAGAGAAGAAAATCAACATAATCTGATGGCTGACTAGAACTAAAAGGAGAAAAATGAGGCTGGTTGTGGTGGCTCACACCTGTAGTCCCAGCACTTTGGAAGACTAAGGCAGGAGGATTGCTTGAGCCTAGGAGTTCGAGGCTGCAGTGAGCTATGATCATGCCACTGCACTCCAGGTAAGAGCCACCACGCCTGGCCAAGACCCTGTCTCTTTTTTTTTTTTGAGACGGAGTCTCGCTCGTTGCCCAGGCTGGAGTGCAGTGGTGCTATCTCGGCTCACTGCAAGCTCCGCCTCCCGGGTTCACGCCATTCTCCTGCCTCAGCCTCCCGAGTAGCTGGGACTACAGGCGCCCGCCACCACGGCCGGCTAATTTTTTGTATTTTTAGTAGAGATGGGGTTTCACCGTGTTAGCCAGGATGGTCTCGATCTCCTGACCTCGTGATCCGCCCGCCTCGGCCTCCCAAAGTGTTGGGATTACAGGCGTGAGCCACCACGCCCAGCCTGACCCTGTCTCTTAAAAAAAAAAAAAAAAAAAAAAAAAATAGGCCGGGCGCAGTGGCTCATGCCTGTAATCCCAGCATTTTGGGAGGCCAAGGCGGGCAGACCACCTGAGGTCAAGAGTTCGAGACCAGCCTCAACATGGAGAAACCCCGTCTCTACTAAAAATACAAAATTAGCCGGGCGTGGTGGTGCATGCCTGTAATCCCAGCTACTCGGGAGGCTGAGGCAGGAGAATTGCTTGAACCTGGGAGGCAGAGGTTGCGGTGAGCCAAGATCGCGCCATTGCACTCCAGCCTGGGCAACAAGAGTGAAACTCCGTCTCAAAAAAATAAAAAATAAAATAAAAAAATAAAAACAGACACAAAGTGCTCTCCCTCACTGGCTCAAGCTCTGGTGATTGGAGAGGTGAGAAGGGGGGCCAGGTGCAGTGGCTCACACCTGTAATCCCAGCACTTTGGGAGGCCAAGGCAGGCGGATCACCTGAGGTCGGGAGTTTGAGACCAGCCTTACCAACATGGAGAAACCCCGTCTCTACTAAAAATACAAAAAAAATTAGTCGGGTGTGGTAGAGCCTGCCTGTAATCCCGGCTACTCAGGAGGCTGAGGCAGGAGAATCGCTTGAGACCAGGAGGTGGAGGTTGCGGTGAGCCAAGATCATGCCATTGCACTCCAACCTGGGCAATGAGAGTGAAACTTGCTCTCAAAAAAAAAAAAAAAAAAAAAAAAAAAAAGAGGTGAGAAGAGAACCAGGAGACACTGTGTCCTGGAAACCAAGAAGGAGAAGCATTTTAGAAGGAATGGTAATAGACAGTGGCAAATTCAGCAGATGAGCAAGGGAAAGTATAGAGGGAAAAACGCAGGTTTGGGCATTAAGGAAATCAGCAGGCAAGGCATTTGCAGTCATGTTAAGGATAAAAGTGAGCTATAGCAGAAGGTTAGGAAGGAGTGTATAGGAAGGAAATTGATGGGCTGGGCGCAGTGGCTCACACCTGTAATCCCAGCACTTTGGGAGGCCAAGGAGGGAGGATCACTTGAGGCCAGGAGTTTGAGACCAGCCTGGGCGACACAGTGAAACACCGTCTCTACCAAAACTACAAAAATTAGCTGGGCGAGATGGCGCGTGTTTGTAGTGCAGTCCCTGCCACTCAGGAGGATGAGGTGGGAGGATAACCTGAGCCCAGGAGGTTGAGGCTGCAGTGAGCTGAGATCGTGCCACTGCATTCCAGCCTGGGCAACAGCCAGACCCTGTCTCCAAAAATAAAAAAAATAAAATAGAAAGTATGGCTAAAATGGGGTGGGGATTGTGTGTTAGGGAAAGAAAGCAGCGATGGAAGGGCTGAAAATGGTTGGAGATGAAACGTCTCTGACAGCTTTGTGCCTCCCAAGGGCATACTGTTCAGTCAGCGTCTTCCTTGGTTCCAGGGTCCTGTGCTTGGATTGTGGGGAACAGACTCCCCGGGGGGTGCTGCAAGAGCGTTTCCAAGTCCTGAACCCCACCTGGAGTGCTGAGGCCCATGGCCTGGCTCCTGATGGTGACGTCTTTCTCTCAGAGGAGCAAGTCCGGAGCTTTCAGGTCCCAACCTGCGTTCAATGTGGAGGCCATCTGAAACCAGATGTCGTTTTCTTCGGGGACACAGTGAACCCTGACAAGGTTGATTTTGTGCACAAGCGTGTAAAAGAAGCCGACTCCCTCTTGGTGGTGGGATCATCCTTGCAGGTATCTGACTTGGCAAGAGTGGTAACCACCCCTTGTGCGGGATTGGGAGTCCTGGAGAGACACCCTGTTTGGTTTAACTTTTTCTAGATCTAGAGAACCTAGACATTCTTATGTGTGTCTTTTCTCCGTGCAGGTATACTCTGGTTACAGGTTTATCCTCACTGCCTGGGAGAAGAAGCTCCCGATTGCAATACTGAACATTGGGCCCACACGGTCGGATGACTTGGCGTGTCTGAAACTGAATTCTCGTTGTGGAGAGTTGCTGCCTTTGATAGACCCATGCTGACCACAGCCTGATATTCCAGAACCTGGAACAGGGACTTTCACTTGAATCTTGCTGCTAAATGTAAATGCCTTCTCAAATGACAGATTCCAGTTCCCATTCAACAGAGTAGGGTGCACTGACAAAGTATAGAAGGTTCTAGGTATCTTAATGTGTGGATATTCTTAATTAAAACTCATTTTTTTTAAATAAAAAATTGTTCAGCTTTATATGAAATGCTTCATGAATTTGTGTGTCATTCTTGCACAGGGGTCATACTAACCTCTGTATCATTCCAATTTTAGTATATGTGCTGCTGAAGAGAGCACTAAAACTAATTTTTTTTTTTTTTTGAGACAGGATCTGGCTCTGTCACCCAGGCCGAAGTGCAATGGCCTGACCTCAGCTCACTGCAACTTCTGCCTGCCAGGTTCAAGCCATCCTCCCACCTCTGCCTCCCAAGTAGCTAGGACTACAGGCGTGCACCACCATACCCAACTAATTGTTTTTATTTTTTGTAGAGACAGGGTCTCACTTTGTCACCCAGGCTGGTCTCGAAGTCCTGAGCTCAAGCTCTCCACCCGCCTCAGCCTCCCAAAGTGCTGACTTTATAGGCACGAGCTACCACACCCGGCCAAAACTTTTTTTTTTGAGACAGTCTCGCTCTGTTGCCCAGGCTGGAGTGCAGTGGTGTGATCTTGGCTCACTGCATCCTCTGCCTCCTGGATTCAAGTGATTCTCCTGCCTCAGCCTCCCAAGTAGCTGAGATTACAGGCACGTACCACTACACCTGGCTAATTTTTTATAGTTTTGGTAGAGACGAGGTTTCACCATATTGGCCAAGCTGGTCTCAAACTCCTGACCTCAAGTGATCTGCCTGCCTTGGCCTCCCAAAGTGCTGGGATTACAGGCGTGAACCACCGTGCCCGGGTGTTTTGTTTTGTTTTGTTTTGTCTTTGAGATGGAGTCTCGCTCTGTAGCCCAGGCTAGAGTGCAGTGGCATGATCTTGGCTCACTGCAACCTCTGCCTCCCAGATTCAAGCAATTCTCCTGGCTCAGCCTCCCGAGTAGCTGGGACTACAGGTGCCCACCACCATGCCCGGCTAATTTTTGTATTTTCAGTTCACCATGTTGGCCAGGCTGGTCTTGAACTCCTGGCCTCAAGTGATCCACCTGCCTTAGCCTCCAAAAGTGCTGGGATTACAGGCATGAGCCACCAAGCCCGGCCAGTGGTCATCTTTCCATGTCCTAAGTGCTATGGTATTGTGACTGATAGGCTGATGTTCACAAGCATTCCCTGGACCCTGCTCTTCGTTTATCTTTGCATTCACTTGTTTCATTTCTTTACAGATCCCTAAGGAGCATCCGTTTTTTCTCAAACTAATCAAAGCTCGCTGAGTGCAGCCTGTAGGGGGCAACAAATCAACACCTCTCTGCCAGCCCATTTCTCAACCCGGCAGCTTTCCCAGCCAAAGAGTTAAGGTCTAGGCTGAGGAGATTTGCCCCAGAACAAAGACTTTTTCAAAGAAGCAGCTGCATTCATTTCCTTTTTATCTCACCTGGCAGGAGAAATGGCCTGGGACATATGTAGGCCAGAGTGGTCTCTGGAGCGCCAACCCAAGGATCTCACTAATTTTGTGGGGTAAGGGTAGAAGGAAATGACTAAATTTATAATCCAAATGGTTAAGTGTCTTTAACTGAACCATTTTGATATAATTTTTGAAAAAATAAGCAATGGCCATGAATTAATTTTTTATAACCAAGAGATAAAGGAATCTTTCAAAAATAGCACAGCAGCTGGGCGTGGTGGCTCAAGCCTGTAATCTCAGCACTTTGGGAGGCCAAAGCGGGCGGATCACGAGGTCATGAGATCGAGACCATCCTGGCTAACACGGTGAAACCCCGTTTTTATTAAAAATACAAAAAAATGGGCCAGGCACAGTGGCTCACTTCTGTAATCCCAGCACTTTGGGAGGCCAAGACAGGCAGATCACGAGGTCAGGAGATCGAGACCATCCTGGCTAACACGATGAAACCCCTTCCCTACTAAAAATACAAAAAAATTAGCTGGGCGTGGTGGCGGGTGCCTGTAGTCCCAGCTACTGGGGAGACTGAGGCAGGAGAATGGCGTGAACCTGGGAGGCGGAGCTTGCAGTGAGCCGAGATCTTGCCACTGCACTCCAGCTTGGGCGACAGAGCGAGACTCAAAAAACAAACAAACAAACAAAATTAGCCAGGCGTCGTGGCAGGCGCCTATCGTTCCAGCTACTTGGGAGGCTGAGGCAGGAGAACGGTGTGAACCCGGGAGGCGGAGCTTGCAGTGAGCTGACATCGCGCCACTGCACTCCAGCTTGGGCGACAGAGCAAGACTCCGTCTCAAAAAAAATAAAAATAAAAAATAAAAAATAAAAATAGCACACCAGGGCCAGGCACAGCGGCTCACGCCTGTAATCCCTGCACTTTGGGAGGCATAGGCGGGTGGATCACAAGGTCAGGAGATGGAGACCATCCTGGCCAACATGATGAAACCCCGTCTCTACTAAAAATACAAAAATTAGCCAGGCATGGTGGGATGTGCTTGTAGTCCCAGCTACTCAGGAGGCTGACGCAGGAGAATCGCTTGAACCAGGGAGGCGGAGGTTGCAGTGAGCCGAGATTGTGCCACTGAACGGCCTGGGTGAAAGAGAAAGACTCTGTCTCAAAAACAAAACAAAACAAAACAAAAAAACCACACTAGGTATGTGGATTGTATGTTTATATATTTAATTATATATATATATATTTTTGAGACGGAGTCTCGCTCTTTCTCTTTTGCCCAGGCTGGAGTGCAGTGGCGCAATCTTGGCTCACTGCAAGCTCTGCCTCCTGGGTTCATGGGACTACGGGCGCCAGCCACCACGCCCAGCTAACTTTTTTGTATTTTTAATAGAGACGGGGTTTCGCTGTGTTAGCCAGGATGGTCTTGATCTCCTGACCTCGTGATCCACCCGCCTCAGCCTCCCAAAGTGTACCTGTTTGTCTTTTTTAAAAAAGATTGCAAATGAGGCTCGGTGGGAGGCCGAGGTGGGCAGATCACCTGAGGTCAGGAGTTCCAGACTAGCCTGGCCAACATGGTGAAAACTGTCTCTACTGAAAATACAAAAATTAGCCGGGCGTAGTGGCCAGTGCCTGTAACCCCAGCTACTCGGGAGGCTGAGGCTGAAGAATCGCTTGAGCAGAGGAGGCAGAGGCTGCAGTGAGCCAAGGTCATGCCACTGCACTCTGGCCCGGGCGATAGAGCAAGACTCCGTCTCAAAAAAAAAATTATATAGACACATATATATACATAAAATAATAATAATAGGCCCGGCACGGTGGCTTATGTGAGTCTGTAATCCCAGCACTTTGGAGGGCTGAGGCGGGTGGATCACCCGAAGTCAGGAGTTCGAAACCAGCCAGCCTGACCAACATGGTGAAACCCTGCCTCTACTAAAAATACAGAATTAGCTGGGCATGGTAGCCGGCGCCTGTAATCCCAGCTACTTGGGAGGCCGAGGCAGGAGAATCGCTTGAACCTGGGAGGCGGAGGTTGCAGTGAGCTGAGATAGCATCATTGCACTCCAGCCTGGGCAACAAGAGCAAAACTCCGTCTCAAAAAATAAAATAAAATAAAAATAATAGTAATAAAAAGTAAAAAAATAGAAAAAGATTACAAATCAAGGCTTGCTTAATGTAATAAAGACTTTCTCAAGAAAAATTAAAGTGCATTATCCTTTCCTCTCCTTCCCCTTAGGAAAACAGTATTTATCGAACATTTACTATACAACAAGCACTTAGGAAGCATTTACACAACATATTTGGACACTTAATTCCCACAACCCTATGATAAGAGCACTATTATTTCGGGTAACCTGCCCAAGGTCACCAAGAGGGTGACTAGGCCAGGAATGAAGGCCAGTCTGTCCAGTTCTGAGTTCGCTCTCGGACTTTCTGCTGTAGAAACCCGGTGGGGTAACAGCAGCTGTACCTGCGGAAGAAGGACAAAGCTCAAGAAACTTCCAGAAGTGACCCAGGCTGGGTTCTGAAAGATGAACATGCCTTCACGAGGTAGGAAAAGGGAGGAAACCACTCATGCAAAAAGCATGGCTGTTACACCACCAAATCTCTTCGGTTTTTTTTTTCCCTTCAATGTGGGGGTGGAAATTTAAGTGTAGATTTGGGGCGCCTCAGAGGCCTGTGGCTCGCCCAACATCCCCTTGCCTCTCTGCTTGGCCACCTCTCCTCTCAGCTCCCCTTTGTTCCCTGCACCCCACTTTCCCTACCCCCTAATCCGTCCCCGGGATAAAAGCAATGCAGGCGATGCCCACAGGAAACCGGCAGGAGGAGCTGGGTGACAGGGAAGAGCGACCCGGAGAGTCACATCCACGTGAGTTCGCCCTCTTTTCACACTCTAGCGCCCATTCTGTCCTTCCTGCTGGATTCTGGCTCAGGAGAAGAGCGCCGCCAGGACCCCAGGAAGCTGCAGACAGGAGCCGCTGACACCTCCACCTCACGCGGACGCCACCTAGTGTGACCATTACCAGCCACTGCGCCTGCGCAGACTCGGGTTTTCTGTGCGCGCCAGAGGGGCGGGGCCTGGGCCGGGAAGGGGCAGAAGTAGACCGACGGCTGGGCCGCCATTCACCAATAGAAAAGAGAGATCGAGAGCCACGTGCTCATAAGATATCCAATCACAATCACATCCTGTGGCGGCGGATTGGGGGGCGTGGACTAGAGGTTGATCGGGTTGGGCACACAGCATCACGTGACACGAAAAGGTAAATAAGGCCACGTGGCTTTTTCTCCTTGGCTTCGGCGAAACATTACGTCACACTACCGTCTCTGAACAATTATTTAATGAACTTATGTGATGCGCTAGACAATGTGAAGACAATGCGGTTGCTAGAAATTGTAATCTCTCCATCAAATTACTCTGTCCAGCTTATTTCCTTGTTTCTTCATTCAAATCATCCTAGACATTCAACT
Source organism: Homo sapiens (assembly GCF_000001405.40). Lineage (NCBI taxonomy): Eukaryota > Metazoa > Chordata > Mammalia > Primates > Hominidae > Homo > Homo sapiens. Next base: position 120,318,017 of record NC_000012.12, read on the forward strand.
AGTTTTCCGTATCCTACTTTCATACAAATGCTCATTTAAAGATAATTAAGGGAATTTATTCTCTCTTTCCCAAGCCTTGATAATGAAAAAGAGGTAGGTTATTTTGTTGTTGGTTTTTTGTTTTCTTTTTTCTTTTTTTTTTTTTTTTGAGACAGGGTCTCATTCTATCACCCAGGCCAGAGTGCAGTCTCACTGCAGCCTCAACCTTCTGGGCTCAGGTGATACTCCCATCTCAGCCTCCCGAGTAGCTGGGACTACAGCCATGCAACACCTTGCTGATTTTTTGTAGAGACGGGATTTCACCGTGTTGTCCAGGCTGGACTCAAGCAAGCCTCAGCTTCTCAAAGTGCTGGGATTTACAGGCCTGAGCTACCACGCCCGGCCCAAGAGAGATTTTTACATCAGAGGATATCTTTAGAGCCTTTAGTAGCCCTGTGACTGCTCTCTCTCTCTCGTTTGTTCTGTCATCTAAATAAATAAATAAATAAATAAGAAGAAGTAAGCACCATTTTCCTAAAAGCCCACTTTTCTTCCATCCAACAGGGACTTGCAATTTCTTTCCACTGAAGAAATATTTTTTATGGCCTTCACAGTTCGTTGAAGATTAAGGCCAGGTCTAACTTGATTTTGCATCCCTTGAAATTCTTCATAGCACAATATGCAAAGAAGGGTTCTTCGGTTTATGCTTGTTGAATTTGAATTTGAGAATAGTCCCATTCTTGCCTGCCAAAGAATTAAAAAGACTTAAAAAGAATTAATTTTAATTAAAAAGAATTAAAAAGATAGCACTTCTCTGAATTATCTGGATTTGGGTTCCAAGGTCAGCTATGCCACCCAGGAATTAGTGACTTTTGGCAATCCATTGCATCTTTAAGCCAGTTTCCTCATCCATCAGATGTGGATATAACAGTACCTACAACTATAGAACTTCAAGGATGACAAGATAATTGTGCAAAAGACATGACACCGTCTGGAGCATACAGCATAATATATACAAGGATGCCAGTTTGAAGAGTAGGGAAGAAAGTCTCAGAGCAGACTGAATTGTAGACAGATACTAACACTAAATCATTGTCTTGTGGCCAGCCCCGAATACATTGTATCCTCAGCATTTTGTGTGGTGCCTGGCCCAGAGTAAGTGTTCAATAAATAATCATTGAATGGATGAATAAAATGAGGGACCGGGCGTGGTGGCTCACGCCTGTAATCCCAGCACTTTGGGAGGCCAAGTCGGGCAGATCACGAGGTCAGGAGATCGAGAACATCCTGGCCAACATAGTGAAACCCTGTCTCTAAAATACAAAAAATTAGCTGGGCGTGGTGGTGCGTGCCTATAGTCCCAGCTACTCAGGAGGCTGAGGCAGGGGAATCTCTTGAACCCGGGAGGCAGAGGTTACAGTGAGCCGAGATTGCGCCACTACACTCCAGCCTGGTGACAGAGTGAGAATCTGTCTCAAAAAAAAAATTATAAATAAATAAATAAATGAGGGAGAAATTATGCCAAAAGATAAGTCCACACACACTCCCTTCTTCAAATGGAAGGTCTTCTATTGCCCACCACATACCCAGAAATGGTGGCTGTTCTGTCAGTTTCCAGTGGTCTGAAACTGCTTAATGGTGCCTTTTGATAGTGGACAGAGTCTCACTGTGTCACCCAGGCTGGAGTGCAGTGGTGTTATCTTGGCTCACTGCAACCTCTTCCTCCCAGGTTCAAGTGATTCTTCTGTCTCAGCCTCCTGAGTAGCTGGGATTACAGGTGCACGCTACCATGCCCAGCTAAATTTTGTATTTTTTAGTAGAGATGAGGTTTTGCCATGTTGGCCAGGCTGGTCTCGAACTCCTGACCTGAGGTGATCTGCCCTCTTCGGCTTCCCAAAGTACTGGGATTACAGGCGTGAGCCACCATGCCTGGCCTCAACTTTGCTTTTCTGCTTCAGTTCCCTTCTCTGCCTCTCCCCACTTGCTCTGGTGAATTTCTTTTTTTTTTTTCTTTCTTTGGCCGAGTATCACTCTGTCACCCACGCTGGAGTGCAGTGGTGTGATCTCAGCTCACTACAACCTCAGCCTCCCTGGTTTAAGCCATTCTCCTGCGTCAGCCTCCTGAGTAGTTGGGATTACAGGCCTATGCCACCATACTCGGCTAATTTTTGTATTTTTTAGTAGAGACAGGGTTTTGCCATGTTGGCCAGGCTGGTCTCAAACTCCTGGCCTCAAGTGATCTGCCCACCTAGACTTCTCAAAGTCCTGGGATTACAGGCGTGAGCCACTGTCCCTGGCTTAGTTCTGGTGAATTTCAATGTAAATGTAGTCATAAATACTCATAGAGGAATTGGGCTGAAGTGACTTAGTGGTTAAAAGCTTGGGCACTGCCACCAGACAGACCTGGCCAAATCCTGATTTTGCCATTTGTGTGATCTTGGACAAATGACTTAACTTCTCTGAATTTTTAGTTCCACATCCATGAAATGGGAGCAAAAATATCAATATCACAGAGCTGGTTTGAACATTTAATGAGATGAGATGTGGAAAACTCCGAACAAGGAAGTATGCAGTAAGTGCTCCAGAAATGCAAGCTGTTATTGGTTTTTTGTTTTGTTTTGTTTTGTTTTGTTTTGTTTTGTTTGTGTTTTGTGTGTGTGTTTGTTTGAGATAGTGTCTCTCTCTGTCACTCAGGCTGGAGTGCAGTGGCGTGATCACAGCTCACTGCAGCCTCCAACTCCTGGGCTCAGGGGATCCTTCCACTTCAGCCTCCCTAGTAGCTTGAAACAGGGTCTCACTCTTTCACCCAGGCTGGAGTGCAGTGGTGTGATCATAGCTCACTGCAGCCTCAAACTCCCGGGATCAAGAGATCCTCCTGCCTCAGCCTCTTGAGTAGCTACGATCATAGGCGCGTGCCGCCATGCTCGGCTTGTTAATGTTTATTATATTTCATGACTACAGTGTCAAAATTAGCCTGTAGAGTGTGGTGAAGTCTTTTATTTAGAAAAGAAAGTCGTGGCCGTGTGCGGTGGCTCACGCCTGTAATCCCAGCACTTTGGGAGGCCGAGGCGGGCGGATCACGAGGTCAGGAGATCGAGACCATCCTGGCTAACACGGTGAAACCCCGTCTCTACTGAAAATACAAAAAATTAGCTGGGCGTGGTGGCAGGAGCCTGTAAACCCAGCTACTCGGGAAGCTGAGGCAGGAGAATGGCGTGAACCTGGGAGGCAGAGCTTGCAGTGAGCCGAGATTGCAGCACTGCACTCCAGCCTGGGCGACAGAGCGAGACTCCATCTCAAAAAAAAAAAAAAAAAAGAAAGTCATTGTAGAAAAATGGTTTAATACAGTTGAAAATGGAGGCAGAATCATGAGACGGGGGCAAGGTCTGGCTCAAACTAAAGCCTACCACTTCAGGCAGGGAAGGGCAGTGGTTCAGCATGTGTTTTCTGTTGTTAGACTTGCCGAGTTCAAATTCCTTCTCTGCTGCTTACTAGATGATAGCATTGGAAAAGTGACCTCTCCTATTGAGCCTCAGCTTAGGAAAATAAGATTTGCTAATAGCGCCAATACCTCACAGGGCTGTCAAGAGGATTTATGGACACACAGTCCTGGTACAGAGTAAATAATCAGTAGATGGTGATCGTTAATCATTACTCAGGTTTCAAGGTGCTTGCTTGCTTCCTGGAAGTGTCTTTCTAATTCAACTTAGCTTCCAAGGCTGGAAGAAATGATACTCACAAAAGACTAGGCAGAGTAGCCAGGCGCGGCGGCTCATGCATGTAATCCCAACACTTTGCGAGGCCGAGCCAGGCAGATCACTTAAGCTGAGGAGTTTGAGACCAGCCAGGGCAACATGGCGAAACTCTGTCTCTACAAAAAATACAAAAATTAGCCAGGCATGGTGGTGCATGCCTATGGTCCCAGCTACTCGGGAGGATGAGGCGGGAGGATTGCTTGAGCCCGGGAGGCGGAGGTTGCAGTGAGGCAAGGTGGCATCACTGCACTCCAGCCTGGGCCACAGAGCAAGACTCCACCTAGAAAAAATAAATACATAAAAATAAAAGAGTAGGCAGAGACCTAGTTTATAGACAGAGAATAAAACAATATCCAAACATGAGGTCTTTCAACAAGGTGCTTTATTGGAGAGTACAGTGTGAGATGAGGCAGATAGAGGTGATGCTTTTGAGAGGTGATATTCAACTCTGACAATACTTCTTGGTGTCCAGGTTCTTGTGTGCCTTGTTATATGGAGCTTTTGAAAAGCAGATGGCAGCGTTGCGGTCGCAGTTGCAAATGAAGGCCTCACACTCTTTGTTTTTGCCTGGAGAGGGATGAAAGGAGAGGACTGAGCCAAGGTGGACCCTGTTTTGTACAATCTGGGGCAAGAAGAATTAACTGGAATAAGCTGGCAGCCATTCCACTGATGCACATTTAGGGCTGACAGATTAAGTGAATACAAGTACATCAGGATGCCCAGTTAAATTTGACTTTCAGATAAACAATGAATGCAATATTTGGGACATATACCCCCCAAAAAATTATCCATTGCTTATCTGAAAGTCATATTTATCTGGGCATCCTGTGTTTTTTTGTTTTGTTTTGTTTTTAAGACGGAGTTTCCCTTTTGTCGCCTAGGCTGGAGTGCAGTGGCGTGATCTCAGCTCACTGCAACTTCTGCCTCCTGAGTTCAAGTGATACTCCTGCCTCAGACTCCTGAGTAGCTGGGACTACAGGTGCTCGCCACCATGCCCAGCTAATTTTTGTATTTTTATTAGAGAGGGTGTTTCATCATGTTGTCCAGGCTGGTCTCAAACTCCGGACCTCAAGTGATCCATTTGCCTCGGCCTCCCAAAGTGCTGGGATACAGGCGTGAGCCACCATGCCCAACCTAGTTTCTCTACTTTAAAGCATGTATTTTAAAAATTATGGAACATCCTTAAATGGAATACTACATAGACATTTAGAAAAATTAGGTATGCCTGCACATGGAAATTTTCCCAAATAAAAAAAGCTAGTGTATGCCCCAAAAATCTGGAGGAATATGTAACTGGTTATCTTTGGGTAGTAGGATTATAGATGCCTTCCACTTTCCATAATAGATATTTATGTAGAGTTTGAAGTTGCATTACTTTTGGCTTGTTTACTTTTATAACCAAAATAAACAATAAGATTACAGTTAAAATGCATTTAAACTTTATTACATATAATTTACGTATCTCTGCTTACCTTCAGGAATCTTATTAGTTTTGTTTCTCTCCGATCCTTTATTTTATTTATTTATTTTTTTGAGATAGAGTCTCGCTGTGTCGCCCAGGCTGGAGTGCAGTGGTGGGATCTCGGCTCACTGCAACCTCTGCCTCCCAGGTTCAAGCAATTCTCTTGCCTCAGCCTCCCGAGTAGCTGGGACTACAGGCATGCATCACTACACCCAGCTAATTTTTGTATTTTTAGTAGAGATAGGGTTTCACCATATTGACCAGGCTGGTCTCGAACTTCTCACCTCAAGTGATCCACCCACCTTGGACTTCCAAAGTACTGTGGTTACAGGCTTGAGTCACTGTGCCCAACTGAGTTATTTTTAATTAATATGAACAAACATCCTCTAATGCAGGTTTCTTGTCTTAGTTGCAAACATTAAAAAAAAACTGTGTGTGAGTGTGTGTGTGTGTGTGTATTTCTCTGGGGAGAGGGTTCATAGCTTTCATCAGATTTGTAAATTTGGCCTTCTAAAGTGGAGCAGGAGGATGTATAAGCAAATTAAGCCATATTATTCAGTGACTAAAATAGTAACAATGAAAAAACAGTAACAATAAAGGTTTGAGGCAATATGAAAAAGTCATAACAAGGTGATAAGTGAAAAAGCAGAATGCAAGATTGTATTTATTCTGCAAAGTTGTCAAGATTGTTTTAAAAAAAGAAAAAGAAAGTTTATATCTAGGCTGTGCATTCATCAATTATTTATTGAGCACCTACTATATGTCAGACACTGCTCTAGATCTGGGGATATAGCAATAAAGAAAATAGACAGTAATCGGCCAGGCACAGTGACTCACGCCTATAATTCCAGCACTTTGGGAGACTGAGGCAGGCAGATCACTTGAGGTCAGGAGTTTGAGACCAGCCTGGGCAACATGGTAAAACCCCATCTCTGCTAAAAATACAAAAAATTAGCCAAGCATGGTGGTGCACGCTTGTAATTCCAGCTACTCAGGAGGCTTAGGCAGGAGAATCGCTTGAACCCGGGAGGCAGAGGTTGCAGTGAGCTGAACGGAGGTTGAGGTGATGAAGTGAGACTCTGTCTCAAAAAAGAAAGGAAGAAAATAGGCAGTAATCCCTGTTCTGTGGATCTTACATTCTATTGGAAAGATGGAATGTAAAGAAATAAGTAGCCGCACATGGTGGCTCACCCCTGTAATCCCAGCACTTTGGGATGCCAAGGTAGGAGGATTGCTTGAAGCCAGGAGTTTAAGACAAGCCTGGCCAACGTAGTAAGACCCAGTCTCTACAAAAAAATTTTTTTAATTAGCCAGGCGTGGTGGTGCACGCTCGTAGTCCCAGCTACTTGGGAGGCTGAGGTCAGCAGATCCCTTGAGCTCAGGAGGTTGAGGCTGCAGTGACCTATGGTTGCACCACTGTGCTCATGCCTGGGTGACAGAGCAAGACCCTGTCTCTAAACAACAACAAAAAAAAACCCAAACTGTCACCACTTACAAGCTGTGTGATCTTGGGCAAATAGCTCAGCCTTCTGAGCCTCAGTTTTCTTATCTGTTAAGTGAGGATAATTGTACCTATCCCATAGTGTTGTTCTGAGGATTAAAGGAGACACTGCCCAGAACCAAGAAAATTAACACTAAATCATGGCTGTTGTTACTATTATTTCCCCCCGGCCTACTGAGAACCAACTAGAATTCATAGGTCAAGGAAGGGATAAACCTACTGCTACAGGTGATTGCCGAGCCAGAGCACGAGTATGAATAGGTGTGGGTGTACGGGTTGTCCAGCAGAAATTTACAGCTGTCCAGCTTCTTGGCCTGGTCATAGCAGTTGTCATGTGTCTGGCAGCACCTGGAAAGTGGGAGGGACAGCTGAGATAGGAGTAAGTGCAGAGCAATAGGTCAGCCCTCACCTGCCCACTCTCAGGAACAGGTGGGGATGACTTCGCCAAGATGCTTCAGGAGAAATGATCCTATGGCTTGAAAAAATATAAGTCCTTTTATCATATATTTATTGAAAGCATTTTTTTTTTTTGAGACAGAGTTGCTCTGTTACCCAGGCTGGACAGCAGTGACACGACCTTGGCTCACTGAAACCTCCAACTCAGTCTCCCAAGTAGCTGGGGTTACAGGCGCTCGCCACCATGTCCGGCTAATTTTTGTATTTTTTAGTAGAGACAGGGTTTCACCATGTTGGCCAGGCTGGTCTCGAACTCCTGACCTCAAGTGATCCGCCCGCCTCGGCCTCCCAAAGTGCTGGGATTACAGGCATGAGCCACCGCGCCTGGCCTGAAAGCGATTTTTAACATGGTTGCAAGAATACAGTAAAATCCTGTATTCAGAAGGTGCAGTGACAACCACTGCTAGAAAATGACACGTGGATAGTTGCTGTGATGTTTACTGTTGCTACATTCTGCCACTGGAGGGCAGCATCGCCCACTGTTTTGCACGTCGGTCATTGTTTCCATCTCTAACGGGGTGCGTTCGCTACAGGGTCCTCTTGGAACATATTTGTTTATTTGACAAGAGGTGAAAATATGTTATCCTTAGCAGATATGCAAGTCCCCTTTGTATGCCTCGTGAGATCCTTGGCGTGTGCCCCACCCCGCCCCCGGCAGGCACTCCAATTTTCCTGCAGGCGGATCACTTACTTGTCCAGTTCATCCACGGGGGTGCCTGAGCCCCCCAAGCCACAGTAGCAGCCGTAGTTGTTGTATTCCAAGAAGGGGTCACTCCCCGGGATCACGCACTTGATCATTTTGCGGAACTGCCACACGGCCCGAGGGCTGATGCCGCTGTCGGCGGCGGCCACTGCAAGAAGACATAGCCAGAGTTCAAATCGGTCTGCCAGCACCCCGGGGACACACTGCCTTCCTGCTCCCTCGGGTCCCACGCTGCCTCCCTGACCCCTGCCAGCTGCCTCCTCTGAAGACCGTTGGACCCAGGAACCTGGTAAAGTGAAAGTGGGTAGAGGTTTTTTTTTTTTTTTAATGAAAACTTTATATATATAAAGTTTATATCTTTGTGTGTGTGTATATATATATATATCTTCTTCTTTTTCTTCTTCTTCTTCTTCTGGGACCCTACCGCCTCAGCTAGGATTACAGGCATGTGCCACCCAGCTAGGCCTGATAGTTTTTTTTTTTTTTTTGAGATGGAGTCTTGCTCTGTTGCCCAGGTTGGAGTGCAGTGACACGATTTCAGCTCACTGCAAACTCTGCTTCCCGGGTTCACGCCATTCTCCTGCCTCAGCCTCCCTAGGTCAGATAGTTTTAAACTATCTGCACTGTTTATCCAGTGAATATTTATTGAGCACTTACTATGTGCCAGGCTCTGTCCTAGGAGCTAGAGATACAGCAGTGAACAGATATAATAATAATAATAATAATAATAATAATAATAATAATAATAATAATCTCTAACCTCATGGAGCTTACAACCTAGTGGGAGAGAAAAACAATAAATAATAAATGTGATAAGGCCGGGCACGGTGGCTCATGCCTGTAATCCCAGCACTTTGGGAGGCCGAGGCAGGCGGATCACAAGGTCATGAGATCGAGACCATCCTGGCTAACACGATGAAACCCCGTCTTTATTAAAAATACAAAAAAATTAGCGGGGCGTGGTGGCAGGCGCCTTTAGTCCCAGCTACTGGGGAGGCTGAGGCGGGAGAATGGCGTGAACCCAGCAGGTGGAGCTTGCAGTGAGCCGAGATCGCACCACTGTACTCCAGCCTTGGCGACAAAGCAAGACTCTGTCTCAATAATAATAAGAATAATAATAAATGTGATAAGTAAGGAAACTGGATACTGCATTAGAAAGGGGAAGAATAGAGCAGGATGAGGAGAATCTAAAAGGGAGGTCACCCAGCCTGGCCAACATGGTGAAAACCTGTCTCTACCAAAAAAAACACACAAAAAATTAGCTGGGCATGGTGGTGTGTGCCAGCTACTTGAGAGCTACAAGTCCCAGCTACTTGAGAGGCTGAGGCAAGAGAATTATTTGAACCCAGGAGATGGAGGTTGTAGTGATCTGAGATCACGCCACCGCACTCCAGCCTGGGCGACAGAGTGAGCCCCGTCTCAAAAATAAAATAAAGTAAAATAAAAATAAAAATTAAAATAAAATAAAATAAATGGGAGATTGGCCTAACTACTTAGTTGAGTAAGGTGGGAGGATCACTTGAGCCCACGAGTTGGAAGCTGTGGTGAGCTATGATCATGCCACTGAACTCCAGCCTGGGTGATAGAGCAAGACCCTGTCTGGAAAAAAGAAAATAAAGGCAAGCTTTCTTAGCTCAGGCAATCTGAGTTCAGACTTGCAGGTTGAAAAAGTGCCAGCCTTGAGGGAACCCCAATAGAGGAGCCCTTAAGCCCCACTGGGAACCTCGAATTGAGACTGCGGGGCTGGCCATCCCTGTTTGCTGTGGCCTGTGGCCCCCATTCCAGAGGAGTGAGATCTTAGCTCACTTGGGAGAGAAAGGCGGGTGGAGCCGGGGAGACTTGCCTACCTGTGAGCAGCACAGCTAGCACAAGGAGTTTCATCTTGCAGTCAAGGTGAGAAAAGAACTGAGATGACCAGTCTCAGGTATAGTCTTATAGTCAGTCTCCACACAACCCTGCCCAGATAAGGCTGGAGTGTTTGCTTTGCTCTTGGCTGAGTTTGGGGCTGGCCTTGAATCTGTCTGTTGCAGGAATGACCCTGACGATTTGCCAGCATGGGATCACTGGAAAATATGTTATGCATTTGTCCTTAGCAACTGTTAACCAAAGGGATGGTTTCTGGAGTTTTCAGATCTTACAATCTTGACCCTCATACCCACCACTTTGTACTCAGCCCAGCTTCACGGGCTGGTTGGGGAAAGCAAAGCCGTCAGTTCAGTCGGACGCTGGGATAAGGGAGACAAGAAGGAAGTGCAGCCTGGGCAACATAGAGAGACCTCATCTCTAAAAAAAAAAATGTTAACCAGGTGTGGTGGTGGATTGCACCTGTGATCCCAGCAACTCAGGAGGCTGAGATGGGAGGATCTCTTGAGCCAGGGAGGTCAAGGCTGCAATGAACAGTGATTGAGCCTCTGCAGCAGAGTGAGACCCTATTTCAAAAAAAAAAAAAAAAAAAGAAAGAAAGAAAAAAGATCGCTGCCTGCAGCCTCAATGTCTTATCAAGTGCCTGAATCTGTGCACTGGGTCTGGTTGAATAGTCCCATCAGTCGTGCACCTTGCAGATAAAGAGACAGGTTCAGAGAGTTGCGGTAACTTGCCCAAGGTCACACAGTTGGCAAATGACAAAATAGGGCTCCAGTTTAGATCTGTCTGATTCCAAGGCAGAGGTTTTATTTTTTTCCACCACTCCGCTCTGCAGTGTGGGTTTGTGAGAAAAACCTGGGCTTTGGATTCCAAAGGCCTGAGTCTGAATTATAGAATACTAAAGGGCATTAGAACTGTCATATCAGAGGCCAGGCACGGTGGCTCATGCCTGTAATCCCAGCACTTTGGGAGGCTGAGGCTGGCAGATCACCTGAGGTGGAGAGTTCGAGACCAGCCTGACCAACATGGAATAACCCTGTCTCTACTAAAAACACAAAATTAGCCAGGCATGGTGGCTTATGCCTGTAATCCCAGCTACTCCGGAGGCCGAGGCAGGAGAATGGCTTGAACCCTGGAGGCGGAGGTTGCGGTGAGCTGAGATCACGCCATTGCACTCCAGCCTAGGGAACAAGAGCAAAACTCCATCTCAAAAAAAAACCTGTCACATCACATATCTATTTATTTATATATATTTTTTGAGACGGAGTCTTGCTCTGTTGCCTAGGCTGGAGTGCAATGGCGCGATCTTGGCTCACTGCAAGCTCTGCCTCCCAGGTTCATGCCATTCTCCTGCCTCAGCCTCCCAAGTAGCTGGGACTACAGGCACCCACCACCACGCCCGGTTAATTTTTTTTTTTGTATTTTTAGTAGAGATGGGGTTTCACCGCATTAGCCAGGATGGTCTCGATCTCCTGACCTCGTGATCCACCTGCCTCGGCCTCCCAAAATGCTGGGATTACAGGCGTGAGCCACCGCGCCCGGCCAAATATCTACATAACATTGTTTAGCTGAAATTCACATAACATTAACCACGTTTAAGTAAACAATTCGGGGGCATTTAGTACCTTCACAGTGTTGTGCAACCATCACCTCTATGGGGTTCCAGAACATTTTTATCACTCCAGAAGGAAACCCTGTACCCATTAGCAGTCACACTCCCTCAGCCCCTGGTAACTGCTAATCTGCTTCTCTCTCTCTCTCTCTTTTTTTTTTGAGACAGAGTTTCGCTCTTGTCGCCCAGGCTGGAGTGCAATGGCACGATCTCGGCTTACTGCAACCTCCGCCTCCCAGGTTCAAGCGATTCTCCTGCCTCAGCCTCTCGTGTAGCTGGGAATTACAGGCGCCTGCCAGCATGCCTGGATAATTTTTGTATTTTTAGTAGAGACAAGGTTTCACCATGTTGGTCAGGCTGGTCTCAAACTCTTGACCTCAGGTGATCCACTCCTCAGCCTCCCAAAATGCTGGGATTATAGGCATGAGCCACTGTGCCTGGCCTCTGATCTGCTTCTCTCTATATAGATTTATAATTGGTTAACTTGGTGCTCTTCTGTTCCTATGTCACCTCTACAACAACCCTGTGGGATAAGGAGGGCCTGGTTATTTAATTTATTTATCTGTTTTTTTTTTTTGAGACAAAGTGTCGCTCTGTTTCCCAGACTGATGTGCAGTGACACGATCATAGTTCACTGCAGCCTCAACCTCCTGGGCTCAAGCAATCCTCCCACCTTAGCCTCCCGATTAGTGGGGACTACAGACATGTGTCACCACACCTGGCTAATTTAAAAAAATTTTTTGGGCCAGGCACGGTGGCTCATACCTGTAATCCCAGCACTTGGGGAGACCGAGGCAGGCGGATCACGAGGTCAGGTGATGGAGACCATCCTGGCTAACACAGTGAAACCTTGTCTCTACTAAAGATACAAAAAATAAGCTGGGCATGGTGGCGGGTGCCTGTAATCTCAGCAACTTGGGAGGCTGAGGCAGAAGAATGGCGTGAACCCAGGAGGCAGAGTTTGCAGTGAGCCGAGATCACGCCACTGTACTCCGGCCTGGGCGACACAGCGAGACTCTGTCTCAAAAAAATTTTTGGAGACACGGCGTCTCCCTATGTTGCCCAGGCTGGTCTTGAACTCCTGGCCTCAAGTGATCCTCCCATCTAAGCCTCCCAAAGCATTGGGATCACAGGCGTGAGCCACTGTGCCCAGCAACCTTGATAGTTTTGAGGAGTATTGGTCAGGATGACCCTCTCTTGGAATTTGTGTGTGTGTGTGTGTGGGTGTGTGTGTGTGTGTTTGTTGTAGTCTCACTCTGTCGCCCAGGCTGGAGTGCAGTGGCACAATCTCGGCTCACTGCAATCTCTGTCTCCCAGGTTCAAGTGATTCTTGTGCCTCAGCCTCTGAGTAGCTGGGATTACAGGCACGTGCCACCACGCCCAGCTAATTTTTATTTATTTATTTTTATTTATTTTTGAGACGGAGTCTCACTCTGTCACCAGGCTGGAGTGCAGTGGCGCGATCTCAGCTCACTGCAACCTCTGCCTCCCGGGTTCAAATGATTCTCCTGCCTCAGCCTCCCGAGTAGCTGGGACTACAGGTGCACACCACTGCGTCCAGCTAATTTTTGTATTTTTAGTAGAGACGGGGTTTCACCATGTTGGCCAGGATGGTCTTGATTTCTTGACCTCATGATCTGCCCGCCTCAGCCTCCCAAAGTGCTGGGATTACAGGCGTGAACCACTGCACCTGGCTCTCTATTGGAATTGTCCTGTGTTTTTCTCATAATTAGATTACAGTTATGGGTTTGGGGGAGGAAGACCACAGAGGCAAAGTGCCATTTCATCACATGGCTGCTTTATGTTTAATCATCTCTTTTCTGGGCCGGGCGTGGTGGCTCATGCCTGCAGTCCCAGCACTTCGGGAGGCCGAAGCGGGTGGATCACCTGAGGTCAGGAGATCGAGACCATGGTGAAACCCCATCTCTACTAAAAATACAAAAAATTAGCCGGGCGTGGTGGCGGGTGCCTGTTGTCCCAGGTACTCCCGAGGCTGAGGCAGGAGAATGGCGTGAACCCGGGAGGCGGAGCTTGCAGTGAGCCGAGTGCCACTGCACTCCAGCCCGGGTGACAGAGTGAGACTCTGCCTCAAAATAAATAAAAAAAAAATAAAAATAAAAATGAAATACCATTAAAAGTTCAGTTTCTCAGTCACAATGGCCACATTTCAAGGCTCATAGACACATGTGGCGAGTGGCTGCCAGATTGGCAGCCACAGAATGTTTCCATGATCACAGAAGGTTCTGTTGGACAGGGCTGCTGTGGATTGTCACAGAGCCTGTCTCAGGGCTGCCCCATGGGAGGTGGGGGCTATGAGGACTAATGGAGGGGGACTTGGTTAGGTCAGAATCCCACATCAGCTTGACTGAATGGTCCTGCCTCTGCAGCCCCAGAATGAGTGGAGTCTGCCCAAGCAAAGGGAAGCCTTGCCCAGCAAAATGTTCAGTCCCTCTTATGTGGGTTCCTTGGGGTCATAACAAGACAGAGGACCAGGCACTGCTCCTAGGTTTAGGCCTGAAGGATGCTAAGTGGGTGATTGGGGGTGGCTCAAAGAAGGAGAAGCAGCTATGGTTGCAAGTAAAGTTATTAATTACCCTTTTTTTCCAGGCTGGAGTGCAGTGGTGCAATCTTGGCTCACTGCAACCTCCACCTCCCAGGTTCAAGTGATTCTTCTGCCCCAGCCTCCTGTGTAGCTGGGACTATAGGCAAGTGCCACCACACCTGGCTAATTTTTGTATTTTTATTAGAGATAGTGTTTTGCCATGTTGGCCAGGCTGGTCTCAAACTCCTGCTCTCAAGTGATCCACCCAACTCGGTCTCCCAAAGTGCTGGGAATACAGACATGAGCCACCGCACCTGGCTAATGAGTTACTATTAACTGAGCGCTAACTCCATCCCAGGTCCCATATGCTAAGAACCTGGCACAAAGGTCGAGGTAGGTCCAGTACAAACTTCATTTTACAGAGAAGACAGCTGAGGCTGAGAGAGGTTAAGTGACTGCCCCAGAGTCACACATCAGGACCAAGATATGAGTTCGATCTGGTTCTCATGCTACCATCTCAGGCTAGGGAGTACTGAAAGTCCCTTGAGGAAGGAAGAGATTCAGTCCAACCTACGACTTCCCTCCTTCCCCAGCCCATGAAAGCCTTCCTAAGAACAATCTGGACAAACTCCACGTGCTGGAGTTTAGGCAAAGCACCTGGTGGGGAGGGGGTCCGGCCGCTGCCACAACCCTCTCCCCCTGGAAAGAGACATGCTCACTGTGACAGCCCAGACCTCTGTGGCTCCTGCCACAAAGGTGACAGTATAAGGGACCTGGAAGGGCACTAGGTAGCTCCCCAAGCCCCTACACTCTTTGTACCTTGACCTTCCACCACCCCAGATCCCTGCACAGGTGTGCGAAGCACAGCCTCTCCCAGCCTGGGAAAAACACACTCTTCAGTGGAAAGAACAGCTAAGCATAGCTGCTTGGCCCCTTCAGGTGAGGGCGTACCCACGCTTCAGCAAGGCCACATCTACTTGGCTTCTTTTTTTTTTTTTTTTTTTTTTTGAGATGGAGTTTCGCTCTTGTTGCCCAGGCTGGAGTACAATGGCGTGATCTCAGCTCACCGCAACCTCCGCCTCCCAGGTTCAAGCAATTCTCCTGCCTCAGCCTCCTGAGTAGCTGGGATTACAGGAAGGCACCACCACACCCAGCAAATTTTGTATTTTTAGTAGAGATGGGGTTTCTCCATGTTGAGGCTGGTCTCGAACTCCTGACCTCAGGTGATCCGCCCGCCTCGGCCTCCCAAAGTGCTGGGATTACAGGCGTGAGCCACCGCACCCGGCCAGGTCTATTTGGCTTCTAAAGGATAGGGCTCCTGTTTCTAGGAAGTGCTTAACAGCAGCTACCAGCTACCATCTGCTGAGTGTTTCTATACGCTTGGCACTGTGCTAGCACTGTGCTTTACATATGTTGTCTTTCAGCCTAACAACACTCTTCTGATATAGTTATTATTACTGTGATAGTTGTCATCATCTTCCCCATCTTATAGATAGATGATGAAGCAGTTTCAGAGAGTGTAAGTAACTTGCTCAAAGTCACATGGCTAGAAAGTGGAGAAAAAATTTGAACCTGTGTCTACCTGCCTCTGATTCCTGCTCTCTCCAATGATAACAACAGCAGCAATTAACATGCTGTGAGGCTGTGCTAGGAAGGATACTAAGAGCCTTGTATAGGCTAGCCCACCATCAGGTGCCAATGAGCAAAATGAGGCAGTATACCGGTGTAACTAAACCTTTTCCACTCCCAAAGCCACCATCTTCAGTGTCAGGATCTTCCTGACAGCCTCCTAACTGCTATAATGGCACTGTCTACCTCCATCTCTCCGGAGAAGGGATAGTGTAGCCAGTGGCTCCCAAACTTGACTGATCCCTGGACTCCCCTGGAAAACTTAAAGAGTGATATAGTCCAGGCATGATGGCTCAAGCTTATAATCCCAGCTATTCTGGAAGCTGAGGCAGGAGGATTGCTTGAGTCAGGAATTCAAGGCCACATTGTGCTATGATTGTATCACTCTACTCCAGCCTGGGCAACAGAGGGAGACCCTGTTTCAAAAAAAAAAAAAAAAGGTAATACAGATTATTGGAATGTAAGATGTGCAGGTTGGGTATAAGGATCTGAAATCTGTGGTCTCTCTCTCTTTTTTTTTTTTGAGACGATGTCTGGTTCTGTCACCCAGGCTGGAGTGCAGTGGTGCAATCTCGGCTCACTGCAACCCCTGCCTCCCAGGTTCAAGTGATTCTCCAGCCTCAGCCTCCCAAGTAGCTGGGATTACAGGCATGCGCCATCACGCTTGGCTAATTTTTTTGTATTTTTAGTAGAAATGGGGTTTCGCCATGTTGGCCAGGTTGGTCTTAAACGTTTGACCTCAGGTGATCTGCCCGCCTTGGCCTCCCAAAGTGCTGGGATTACAGGCATGAGCCACCGTGCCCAGCCGCTCTTTTTTATTTAAATTTTTTTTCAGCAGGCCAGGCATGGTGGCTCACGCCTGTAATCCCAGCATTTTGGGAGGCCGAGGCCAGCGGATCACCCGAGGTTGGGAGTTTGAGACCAGCCTGACCAACATGGAGAAACCCCGTCTCTACTAAAAATATAAAAATTAGCCGGGTGTGGTGGTGCATGCCTGTAATCCCAGCTACTTGGGAAGCTGAGTCAGGAGAACCGCTTGAACCCGGGAGGCAGAGGTTGCCGTGAACCAAGATCGCATCATTGCACTCCAGCCTGGGCAACCAGAGTGAAACTCCATCTCGAAAAAAAAAAATTTTTTTTTCTAGGTGATTCTGATAGTTATGTAGTTTTAAACCACTGTTTTTTTGTTTTTTTGTTTTTTTTTTTGAAATGACTATTGGGTTGGATAGAGGTTACTGGGTGTTATTATGCTTTAAAACTCAAATATACTATATATTTTTTCTCTTCTTTTTTTTTTTTTTTGAGAACACCATGGGGGAAAACGCCCCCATAATCCAATCACCTTCCACCAGGTCCTTTCTTCCACACTTGGGGAATACAATTTGAGATGAGATTTTGGTGGGAAAACAGAGCCAAACCATATCATTCCTCCTTGGCTCCTCCCAAATCTTATGTCCTTTTCACATTTCAAAATCAATCATGCCTTCCCCACAGTCCTCCAAAGTCTTAATTCATTCCAGCAATAACCCAAAAGTCCAAGTTTAAAGTCTCATCTGAGACAAGGTAAGTCCCTCCACCTATGAGTCTGTAAAATAAGAAACAAGTTGGTTACTTCCAAGAAACAACGCAGATACAGGCATTGGGTAAATGTTCCCATTCCAAATGAGAGAAATTGGCCAAAACAAAGGGGTCACAGGCCCCATGCAAGTCCGAAACCCAGCAGTGCGGTCATTAAACCTTAAAGCTCTGAAATGATCTCCTTTGACTGCATGTCTCACATCCAGGGCACACTGTGTGGGCGACAAGCCACCCAGGCGCCGAGGCAAGAGACTGAGGACATGAGCTGTTCCAGTATAATAAAATATAAAACAAGAATAGTTATACTAGATATAGATCTTAGATATGATTATATATGAATATCAATAATCATTAGTTGGTAGCAATGACTCTTTATTCCAATATTATAATAATCCTCGCTCTATAATCATAACTTAGGAAAAACCAGACCATGCAGAGATGGGAGCTGAGGGGACATAGTGAGGTGTGACCGGAAGACAAGAGTGCGAGTCTTCTGTTATGCCCGGACAGGGCCACCAGAGGGCTCCTTGGTCTAGCGGTAACGCCAGTGTCTGTGAAGACGCCCGTTGCCAGGTGGACCGTGGTCTAGTGGTAGCATAAGTGTCAAGGGAAAACACCCACTGCTTAGCAGACCGGGAAAGGGAGTCTCCCTTTCCCTGGGGGAGTTTAGAGAAGACTCTACTCCTCCACCTCTTGTGGAGGGCCTGACATTAGTCAGGCTCGCCCATGGTTATCTGGAGGCCTAACCGTCTCCCTGTGATGCTGTGCTTCAGTGGTCACGCTCCTAGTCCGCCTTCATGTTCCATCCTGTACACCTGGCTCTGCCTTCTAGATAGCAGTAGCAAATTAGTGAAAGTACTAAAAGTCTCTAATAAGCAGAAACAATGGCGTAAGCTGTCTCTCTCTCTCCCTCTCTCTCTCTGCCTCGGCTGCCAGGCAGGGAAGGGCCCCCTGTCCAGTGGACACGTGACCCACGTGACCTTACGTATCATTGGAGATGACTCGCACTCTTTACCCTGCCCCTTTTGCTTTGTATCCAATAAATAACAGTGCAGCCAGACATTCAGGGCCACTACCGGTCTCCGTGACTTGGTGGTAGTGGTTCCCCGGGCCCAGCTGTCTTTTCTTTTATCTCTTTGTCTTGTGTCTTTATTTCTACACTCTCTCGTCTCTGCACATGGGGAGAGACCCACTGACCCTGTGGGGCTGGACCCTACACACTGATGTAAGGGGTGGGTTCCTAAGGCCTAAGGCAGCTCCATCCTGTGGCTTTGCAGGGTACAGCCCCCATGGCTGCTTTCAGGGGCTATGTACCTGTGGCTTTTCCAGGCACATGGTGTGAGCTGTCAGTGGATCTACCTTTCTGGGGTCTGGAAGATGATGGCCCTCTTCTCAGCTGCACTAGGCAATGCCCCAGTGGGGATTTTGTGTGGGGGCTCCAACCCCACGTTTCCCTTCTGCACTGCCCTAGCAGAGGTTTTCCATGAGGGCTCTGCCCCTGCAGCAGACTTCTGCCTGGACATCCAGGCATTTTCATATGTATTAGTCCATTTTCATGCTGCTGATAAAGACACTTCTGAGGCTGGGAAGAAAAAAAGATTTAACGGACTTACACTTCCACATGGCTGAGGATGCTTCACAATCATGGCAGAAAGTGAAAGGCATGTCTCACATGGTGGCAGGTAAGAGAAGAGACCTTGTGTAGGGAAACTCCCCCTTATAGAATCATCAGATCTTATGAGACTTATTCACTATCATGAGAACAGCACAGGAAAGACCTGCCCCCATTATTCAATTACCTCACACCAGGTCCCTCCCACAACACGTGGGAATTCAAGATGAGATTTGGGTGGGGACACAGCCAAACCATATCACCATACATCCTCTAAAACCTAGACAGAGGTTCCCAAACCTCAACTCTTTTCTTCTGCACACCTGCAGGCCTATCACCACATGGAAGCTGACAATGCTTGTGGCTTGCACCCTCTGAAGCAATGGCCCGAGCTGTACCTTGGCTCCTTTTAGCCACAGCTGGAGCTGGAGTGGCTGGGATGCAGGGCACCATGTCTGGGGGCTACACAGAGCAATGGAGCCCTGGATCTGACCCACGAAACCATTTTTCTGTCCTAGGCCTCTGTGCCTGTGATGGTAGGGGCTGTCATGAAGATTTCTGATGTGCCTTGGAGACATTTTCCCCCATGGTCTTGGCCATTAACACATTTGGCTTTTTGTTACTTATGCAAATTTCTGCAGCTGGCTTGAATCCCCAGAAAATGGGTTTTTCTTTTCTACCACATGGTCAGGCTGCAAGTTTTCCAAACCTTTATGCTCTGCTTCCCTTTTAAACATAAGTCCCAATTTCAAACCATCTCTTTGTGAATGCACATGATAGAATGCTTTCAGAAAAGGCCACTCACCTCTTGAATGCTTTTTTGCTTAGAATTTTTCTTCTGCCAGATAACCTAAATAATCTCTCTCAAGTTCAAAGTTCCACAGATCTCTAGGGCAGGAGCAAAATGCCACCAGTCCCTTTGCTAAAGCATAGCAAGAATGACCTTTGCTCCAGGACCAAGTAAATTCCTCATCTCCATCTGAGACCATCTCAGCCTGGACTTCATTATCCATATCACTATCAACATTTTGGTCAATACCATTCAACAAGTCTCTAAGAAGTTCCAAGCTTTCCCACATCTTCCTGTCTTCTTCTGAGCCCCCCCTAAACTGTTCCGACCTCTGCCTGTTATCCAATTCCAAAGTCACATCTACAAGTTTCAGGTTATCTGTATAGCAGTACACCTAGCAGAGGTTCCCCATGAGGGCTCTGCCCCTGCAGCTGACTTCTGCCTGGACATCCAGGCATTTTCACATGTATTAGTCAGTTTTCATGCTGCTGATAAAGACGTACCTGAGACTGGGAAGAAAAAAAGATTTAATGGATTTATAGTTACACCTGGCTGGGGAGGCCTCACAATCATGGCAAAAGTTGAAAGGCATGTCTCACATGGTGGCAAGACAAGAGAAGAGACCTTGTGTAGGAAAACTCCCCCTTATATAATCATCGGATCTCATGAGAGCTGGTACCAATTCTCTGTATTAGTCTGTTCTCACACTGCTATAAAGATACTACCTGAGACTGGGTAATTTATAAAGAAAGGAGGTTTGATAGTTCCACATGGCTGGGAAGCCTCAGGAAACTTACAATCATGGCAGAAGGCAAAGGGGAAGCAAAGCACATCTTACATGGCAGCAGGAGAGAGAGAGCAGAGTGGGGAGTGTTACTTTTAAACCACTGGATCTTGTGAGAACTCACTATCATGAGAACAGCATGGGGGGAACCACCCCCATAATCCAATCACCTCCCACCAGATCCCTCCCTGGGGATTTCAATTCCAGATGAGATTTGGGTGGGGACACAGAGCCAAACCATATCACCCACATACTTCTTTTTTATTGGCTATTTTAAAGCAAATCATAGCTCTCAAGTCATTTTATTCATAAGCACTTCTGTATGCATTTCAAACTTTAAGTATTTTTTAATTCTGGTAAAAAATATATAAAGTTTACCATCTTAACCATATTTGAATAGGCAGTTCAGTAGTGTTCAGTATATTCACACTGATAACATTTTTCATCTTGCAAATCCAAAACTGCACCCATTAAACAACTCTCCTTCTCCCTTGCCCCAGGCTCTGGTAACCACCATTCTACTTCTTGTTTCTGTGAATTTGACTAATCTCAGTACCTTGTATAAGTGGAATCATATAGTATTTCATCCACAGTCTTATTTCATATAACACGATGTAAGCTGATGTCCTCAAGGTTCATCCATGTTGTAGTATATGACAGTATTCCCTTCCTTTTTTTTTTTTTTTTTTTGAGACAGAGTCTTGCTCTGTCACCCAGGGTGGAGGCTGGAGTACAGTGGCACTATCTTGGCTCACTGCAACCTCCACCTCCTGGGTTCAAGCGATTCTTCTGCCTCAGCCTCCCAAGTAGCTGGGATTACAGGTGCCCACCACCACGTCTGGCTAATTTTTGTATTTTTAGTAGAGACAGGGTTTCACCATGTTGGCCAGGCTGGTCTCAAACTCCTGACCTCAGGTAATCCACCTGCTTTGGTCTCCCAAAGTGCTGGGGATTACAGGTGTGAGCCACCACATTCAGCCCAATTTCCTTCCTTTTTAAGGCTGAATAAATAGTCCATTGTATGGATAGATCACATTTTACGTATCCATTTATCCATTGATGGACTTTTGGGTTGTTTCTACCTTTTGGCTATCATGAATATTGCTGCTGTGAACACTGGCGTACACATATCTGTTTGAAGGGCTGGGTGCGGTGGTGCACGCCTGTAATCCCAGCAATGAGTGTGAAGTGGCATCTCATTGTCAACACTAAGCTCTGGGTCAAGTGGAAAGTAAAGACCTTCCCAGGAGGAAAGCAGGAGGGAGAAAGTGCAGAGAATATTTAAAAATATCCACTCTGATTATTTAAGTTAAAGGCACTTGAAAAACAGCAGGAACAAGATGATCACTCTCACCTTTGTGCTGTTTCTTAAAAGCAGAAGATGATGAAATTCCTGAGTGAAAGACCCCCAACCTGTACTGGAAGGAAAGGCAACATCCTTATCTTCGAGGGCGGGAAGTCGGCACCGAGATGATTCTGTGCAGGCCCTTGTTAAAGTAATTCTTTTTTTTTTTGAGACAGGGTCTTGCTCTGTCACCCAGGCTGGAGTACAGTGGTGCAATCTCAGCTCACTGCAGCCTCTGTCTCCCTGGCTCAAGAAATCCTCCCATCTCAGCCTCCCAAGTAGCTGAGACTACAGGCCTGCACCACCACACAACCGGCTAATTTTTGTATTTTTTTGTAGAGATGGGGTTTTACCATATCACCCAGGCAAGTCTCGAACTGCTGGACTCAAGGGATCCGCCTTCCTCAGCCTCCCAAAGTGTTTCGATTACAGTTGTGAGCCAACGTGCCCAGCCAAAATAGCTTTTTTTTTTTTTCTTTGAGACAGTCTCACTCCGTCACCCAGGCTGGAGTGCAGTGGCGCGACCTTGGCTCACTGCAACCTCTGCCTCCTGGGCTCAAACGATTCTTATGCCTCAGCCTCCCAAGTAGCTGGGACTACAGGTGCGTGCCACCACACCCAGCTAATTTTTTGTATTTTAGTAGAGACGGGGTTTCATGTTGCACAGGGTGGTTTCGAACACCTGAGCTCAGGCGATCCGCCCGCCTTGGCCTCCCAAAGTGCTGGGAGTATAGGCGTGAGCCACCATGCCTGGCCCAAAATAGCTGTTATCTTTTAAGCTTCTCCACATAATTGAGTGGCTTTTTCATAATTTACTATTCTTTGTCCAATCCAGTATATCAGTAACTCTAACTGCTTCTTTAGGTCTTCATTTCTCCCTCTCTCTCTCTTCTTTTTTTTTGAGAATGAGAGCATCTTGCTCTGTCCTCCAGGCTGGAATGCAGTGTCAAGAACATGGCTCACTGCAGCCTCCAACTCCCAGGGCTCAAGCAATCTTCCCACCTCTGTCCCCTGAGTAGCTGGGACCACAGGCTTGTGCCACCATACCTAAATAATTTAATATTTTATATAGATGAAGGTCTCACTAAGTTGCCCAGGCTGGTCTTGAACCCCTGGCCTCAAGCACTCCTTTTGCCTCAGCCTCCCCAAGTACTGGGATTACAGGTGTGAGCAACCACACTCTGCCTTCATTTCTTTATGGAGGCTCCCATGCCATGCACAACTTTTAATAAATAAATGTGTACGCTTTTCTCCTATTCTTTTTTTTTTTTTTTTTTTGAGACAGAGTCTCACTCTCACCCAGGCTAGAGTGCGGTGGCATGATCTCAGCTCACCGCAGCCTCCAGCTCCAGGGTTCAAGAGACTTTCCTGCCTCAGCCTCCTGAGTAGCTGGGACCACAGGCACCCACCACCACACTCGGCTAATTTTTGTATTTTTAGTAGAGATGGGGTTTCGCCATGTTGACCAGCCTGGTCTCGAACTCCTGACCTCAATTGATCTGCCCACCTCTGCCTCCCACAGTGCTGGGATTACAGGCATGAGCCACTGTGACTGACTGGCCCTGTTCATCTATCTTGTGTCAATTTAATTCTTGGATCCTGCCAGGACCCTAAGAGGATGGAGGTGAGTCCTGCCATCCCTAAAACAGGAAAATGAGGTATCCCTGAATGCACAGAGACACAAGACATTCACAAGCCCAGCAACGTTTTCAAATAATTTATTAGGAATTTAAAACTGAAAATAAAACCTGGAAAAAGAAGTTACAGATGTGGAGAGAAGAGACACCGGAGGATGGTAACTTGCTGGCTTCGAAACACCATGTAACATCTTAAAAAAAAAAAAAATCCCAAAGCAAATCAGAAAACGGAATTCCAGGGTCCTGAGCCCATGGTTGGGCCCAGTGGGGTGGAAGGGTCCGGGAATGAGGGAGAGGGAAGCTAAGTGTCTCAGGACTCAGCTCAAACGTGTAGAAAATTAAAAATAAAAACCAATAAAATGCAGCTTCTCTTTTATTAGGAAACATTAAAAAAAAAAAAAACCCAAAACACGAACAGCCGCGCATCTCAGTAACAAAGATTATTGCTTTGTGTTCTCAGGGCTGATAGGTTAAGCACCTCACACAGACAATTAACTCTCCAAAGGTGGGGTTTCCGGGTGGGGGCAATGCTGGGGAAGAGAGCTCAGGCCCTGGGCCTCATAACTGGGGGAGAGGGACACACAGAAGGGGGATGGCAGTGGGTGGGCCTTGGCCCTGCCACGCCAGCCAGGCCACTGTTCATGAAGGTCCAACGCTCTGAACCTCTCTTTTTCCTTAGAAGGGGGGTCTGGGGTGAGGGGCTGCCAAGGGACTCTGGCTGTGGGGTCATCCTGGTGGGAAACTTCAGTGAGAGAATGTGGGGGTTCCCTGAGACGCCCTTTGCTTTCCCCTGGGGTCTGCCCTCGCCAGAGCGTCCCCTGGTGCCCACTCATTGCGGGGGTCGAGGGGGAAGGGGGACAGACTGAGCAGAAACCATGAAGCCCCAACCTAGGTAGGGAGCAGGGGAGACCTTTGGAGAGTTAATTCCTGTCCAGCAGTGTCGCTGGGCAAGCCCTGCTCTTCCCACGCCCTTTGCCCCCACACTGGGTTTTTGGAGTGGGCAGGTCCAACCAAGGCCTTGACCCTGAGGGCCTGAGAGAGCGGGCCTGCCGTGGCCACAGCTGAGGCCTGCAAGCTTACAGTAACGGTGTCTGAGGGGACAGAAACAGGGGAGGGGGGAGCCCCTCACCCCCGAGGGGTCTTAGAGAGGGGTGGGCACATCACCTCACAGTATTTACATATGATACAGGACGGGATGGTTCCAGGGGCTCGGCCTGGCCTCCCCGCAGCCCTGCCCTCCTCTCCAGGGCTGGAGGGAGGCGGCCAGGGGCCCACACCCAGATAGACACTTTGTTCTCAGCTGGTGGGGGGCACCTGGCCCCTTGCCCCCTGCGGCCTGGGGCTTCACATTCACAAACCTAGAAATAGTTTAAAAAAGGTTTCTTTAAAAAAAAAAAAAAAAAAAAAAAGGGAAAGGGTAAAGGAGGGGAAATCTGAATAAAAAACAGGGGTTGGGCTGCGGCCTGTAGCAGGCTCCCTCCGCCTTCACTCCAGCTATGCACAAATCCAAAAGCCTTTTGGGGAGGGGGCGGTCCTAGGGGGGCGCGGCACGGAGGGAGGGATGGACCAGAGGGCTGGGGTGGGCAACCGGCTAATCCAAAATAAATAAAAGCAGGGCCGGGAGAGGGGCGGGTGGGGATGGGGGCAAGGGCGAAGAGGGGGACGTTAGTAGGGGAGCCAGACGCTGTTGGGGGCAGCAGGGCAGGGGCCGGGCCCGGGGAGTTGGGGGCAGGCAGTAGCGGGTCCGAGTCGCTGCAGGGGAGGGGGCGGCGGCTGCGGCTGAGGTCTCCCGCCCCCTCGCTGGCTCACTCGTGGTCCTCAGTCAGCTGCAGGCTGGGGCGCTGGGAACACAGCCAGGAGGTTATGGGGGCTCCCGGAGCACACGCAGCCCTCCCCAGTTCTCTCCCAGAAGAGCTTTGTTCGTAAACTACCTACTTTCTTCTTCTTATTTTTTTAGAGACAGAGTCCAGCTCTGTTGCCCAGGCTGGAGTGCAGTGACAGCGATCATAGTTCACTGCAGCCTCAACCTCCCTAGGCTCAAGTGATCCTCCTGCCTCAGCCTCCTGAGACTCTGGGATTACAGGTAGTATCTGGGACTACAGGTGAAAGCAAACACACTCTGCTCATTTTTGTTGTTGTAGCAGAGATGGGGATTCACTATATTGCCCAGGCTAGTCTCAAACTCTTGTCCTCAAGCCATCCTCCTGCCTTGGCCTCCCAAAGATCTGGGATTACGAATGTGAGCCACCACACCCAGCCAGACTTTGCACTTTCTGTTCCCTGGTTGGATGCCTCTTTCCCCAGATTTCGAATGGCTGGATTTATTTAAATGTCCCCTTCTCAGAGATACCTTCTCTAAACCCCACATCTAAAATAGCCCTGTCATGCACAGTCTGGAATTATCTCATATGTTCACTTGATTTTTGTCCTGTGAAATGAGAGAGGACTTTGTCTGTCTTGTTCATCCTCTTTCCTGGAATGGGGCTCATAAATGAATGGGTGAATGAACAGAATGTCATGGGCTCACAGTCTCCCACCATCTGGATAGACACTGTGATGGCCGTGTACACAGTCCCACAAGTCGAGGTATCCTGTTGTTTTTTGTTTGTTGAGGTGGAGTCTTGCTCTGTTGCCCAGGCTGGAGTGCAGTGGCCTGATCTCGGCTCACTGCAGCCTTCGCTTTCTGGGTTCAAGCGATTCTTGTCCCTCAGCCTCCCGAGTAGCTGAGATTACAAGTGCGCACCATCACGCCAGCCAAGTTTTGTATTTTTAGTAGAGATGGGGTTTTACCATGTTGTCCAGGCTGGTCTAGAACTCCTGACCTCAGGTGATCCGCCTGCCTTGGCCCCGCAAAGTGCTGGGATTATAGGCGTGAGCCACTGCGCCCGGCCAAGGTATCCTGTTTTGATAGCTGTGTACTATACCACTGTACACACACTAATTTGTTTAACCACTTTCCTTTTGATGGATATTTCAGTTATTTGCAGTTTTAAAAATAAATGCCTAGAAGTGGAATTGTTGGGTCCAAGGGCATGAATGTTTGAAACTGGGACAAACACTGCCAGACTGCCCCGGGAACCCCTGAGCCACTGTACTTACTTGCTTCTCCCATATCTTGATCAATGCTGGGCAGTGTTCAACTTAAAAAATCTTTGTGGCTGGGCCCGGTGGCTCATGCCTGAAATCCCAGCACTTTGGGAGGCCAAGGCAGAGGAAGATCGTTTGAGCCAGGAGTTCAAGACCAACCTGGGCCACATAATGAGACCCCATCTCTACAAAAAAATTTTTTAAAAACTTAGCCAGGCATGGTGGCATGCTCTTGTGGTCCCCGCTACTTGGGAGGCTGAGGTGGAGGATGGCTTGAGCCTAGGAGTTCCAGGCTGCAGCGAGCTGTGATTGCACACTGCACTCCAGCCTGGGTGGCAGTGAGACCACATCTCTATTAAAAATAATAATAATAGGGCTGGGCACGGTGGCTCACCCCTGTAATCCCAGCACTTTGGGAGGCCGAGGCAGATGGATCACTTGAGGCCAGGAGTTTGAGACCAGCCTGGCCAACATGGCAAAACTCGTCTCTGCTAAAAACAAAAAAAATACCAAAATTAGCTGGGTGCGGTAGCACATGCCTGTAATCCCAGCTACTCGGGAGGCTGAGACACGAGAATTGCTTGAACCCAGGGGACGAGTTTGCAGTGAGCCAAGATTGCGCCACTGCACTCCAGCCTGGGTGACAGAGCGAGACTCCATCTACAAAAATAAAATAAAATAATAGTAATAATAATAAACGATCTTAAAAAATCTTTGTGGCCTGCGCTGGTGGCTCACACCTGTAATCCCAGCACTTTGGGGGACCAGGGCAGGAGGATCCCTTGAGCCCAGGAGTTTGAGACCAGCCTGGGCAACACAGTGAAACCCTGTCTCTACAAAAAAAGTAAAAAAATTAGCCAGGCATGGTGGCAGGTGCTTGCAGTCCCAGCTACTCGGGAGGAGTCTGAGGTGGGAGGATCCCTTGAGCCCAGGAGGTGTGGGTGACAGAACGATATCTTGTCTCAAAAATAATAATAATAATAATCTTTGCCAACCTGATAGGTGGGATGTGAAGCCTTACTGTTGCTTTGATTTCTGTGTTTAAATGGAGTAGGGTGAGCAGCTTTTCATCTTTATTGACCACAGCTGGTATAAAGATCTGTCTCCCCTGGGACTGTGGTTCTTGAGGGCAGGGATGGGGTCTGTGTCCCAGATTCGATGGCCCAGGACAGGCTTCCCCAGTGCCACCCCACCACCTGCCCACCCCCACATCCTCACCTCCTGCCACCGTCCCCTGCTTCAGTGGTACCCATTGGTGAAGGCTGTGGCAATCAAAGGGCCCTGAAAAGGAAAGAATTTGACTCCTAGATTCCTGGGAAATAGAGGAAGATCAGGGGCTCCTTCTCTCTCTGCAGGACATCTGAAGTGAGGCGCTGACCTCTCTCTACCTGTCCGGATCGCCCCCCTACTGCAGGTCTGCCTACCCGGATCACCCCCCACTGCAGGTCTGCTCAAAGATTCTCCAACAGAGGGCCAGGGAATCTGCACAAACCGTACCCTGGATAAAACCAGGGCACCCCTGGAATCAAACCTCCATGTGAGCAGAGATGCCATGTGTCTCATTTGCACCTAGAGCCCACTATGCCTGGCATTCAGAGGCGATAACTAAGTGCCCACTGAATGAATGATAACCCCCACAACTCTTCCTTAGTGATCTTTCTCCATTCATCCTCCCTCACCCTCCTTTTGCCCCCAGAGACAAAGAAGTTCTCTCCCTTCCCCAACTTGGGGGTCTCTCAAGGTGTGGGGGGTGAGGTGGGGGCCGCTAGGCCTGGCCACTCACCCCAAGACTGTGGCCGAAGCCGGTGCTGGGGGCAGGGCTGGCGGCGCTGATGTAACTGCTGACCCCCGAGTCCTGGTTGGCCGCCCCGTAGAGCTCGGCCATGGGGCCGGGGCTGGTGGTCCCCAGGAAGCCCCCTGTGCGGCTGGGAGTCGAACCTGGAGGGGGAGCCATCGTCCAGGGGTGAGAGCCTGGCAACCCAGAAAGAAGACGGTGATAGCCCTGGTGCCCTCTGCCACCCCACGGCACCCCCTCAAGCCTGTCCCACCCACCCTAACCTGGACCCCCACATTTCAGAAAGTCCTGTGGGCCCACCTCCTGGAGATCTCCCCATGCCCATCCACCCAGTCACCCCTAGCCCTGACCCCCATCATCTCGTCTGACCACTCAGCAGCCTCACCTCCTGAGCCCCTTCCCAACCTCTCCCCACCTAGCAGCTGAATGCATGTTCTAAACCCTGACCCGCGTCCCTCTGCTACTTGCAATTTCCACTGTCTCCCCACCACCCGGGCTCCTCCTGCCTCCGTTCTCCACTCCCCACTTCCGCACTTTCCCCACCCACTGGCCTCCAAGCCTTTGCATATGCTATTCCCTCAACCAGAAACACTTTTCCTCCTCTTTGCCTTTGAATGCAAAGTTAAGAGGCCCTTCCTCTTGGAAGCCTTCCCTCGCCTTTCCTAGAGGCCCCAGCTGGGAGCTCCTCTGGTACTGGACTCCCCCTAGTGCAGCAGCATCAGCCATCAGCATTATTGCCTTTTTAATACCTGATGCCACCACCAGGCTGCAAGCCCTGGAAGGCAGAGACCCTGTCAGTCTTTTTTTTTTTTCTTTTGAGACAGACGGAGTCTCACTCTGTTGCCCAGGCTGGAGTGCAGTGACGTGATCTCAGCTCACTGCAACCTCCGCCTCCCGGGTTCAAGCGATTCTCCTGCCTTGGCCTCCCGAGTAGCTGGGATTACAGGCGCGCACCACCACGCCCAGCTAATTTTTGTATTTTTAGTAGAGACGGGGTCTCACCATGTTGGCCAGGCTGCTCTGGAACTCCTGACCTCAGGTGATCTGCCCACCTTGGCCTCCCAAAGTGCCAGGATTATAGGCAGGAGCCACCGCGCCCAGCCGACCCTGTCAGTCTTGCTGAGGGCTGGCTCGCCCATGCTGGCACGATGCCCAGCACAGAGCAGGTAATCAGGTGATACTTGAGTGAATGAACAAGTGTCCCTCTGCAAAGGGGTGGCAGTGGCCTTCTCCCCTCCCCTGGACTTCTCTGCTCCCTGTGCTCCCTCATCTCTCTTCCTGCACCTCAGAAGAGCTCACCTGTCCCTCGAACCACAGCCGCTGCCGCCGCTGCCGCCGCCATTGGTCCGTAGGCAGTGAGAGGAATGGCTGAAAGGAAAGGGATGGGCACATCAGCATGGCGGTGAGGGGCAGAGATGGGTGAAGGAGGCCCCTACCTTTTAGGCAGAGCCTGTCCAGCCTGGCCCTACCTCAGAGGGTTCCATGTAGCCCCAGGGTCAAGGCAGAAAAGGCTACCTTGGGCCACACCATCTGTGTCCTGACCTGTGGCATGGATGGAAAAAGGTGGGAGAGAGGACAGCTTCCCAGTGAGTAGCTGAGCCTCAATTTCTCCCCTGGTCTGGGGGGACATGCTTGAATAACCCAAAGCTCATGGAGGGTGGAGGCAGGGCACCCAACCCTGAGAAGCTGCGAAGGTTGCCCGCAGCTGCCCCCTTCTCCAGGATGCCCTTGGCAAAACAGGGATCACTTGGCCCAGAGGTGCCTGGGAGCTCACGTCCTTCTTCGCAGCCCACGACACCTGGCGATAGACAGACATGGGACAGGCCCCCAGGCCTGCTGCCCCCAGGTAGAGCGCTCTAGGGGTCAGGCTGAGGCTGGGCTCACACCGAGGCCATAGCGTTGCACCGCACCTTCTGCTGCCTGTCCTGCTCCCCTCGCCCCTGTCTCCTGAGAGCACCCTAAGGGCCTCCCTGACCACCCAGAAATGACCACTGCCTCCCCCAAATCCCCCCAGCCTCTTTGTCTGCCATCTCCTCTTCAGACACAGGCACCTATCCCCTTGTTTGCTGTCTGCCATCATCGCCACCTCTGCAGCACCTAGCACCTTGCCTTGTACACGGCAGGTGCTTAATACCTGCTGAAAGAGTAGAAAGGGAATCTGCTTAAAACACCCAGTGGCTTGAATGGCTTGAGCCTGGGGCTCCCTGGGGCTGAGAGATGAGCACCTCCTACTGTGAATCTTTCCTAAAAACTTCATACAGTGGGCTCCTTCTCACTCAGATGCCACCTCCTCTAAGAAGCTTTCCCTGAATACCCCCACTCAGGCGGCCCCTTGTCCCCAACCATAACGCCTTAGCACATTTCCCTGCTTTAATTTCCTCATGGAACTTCTCACCCTCCAAAAATATCTTTTTTTTTTTAAATTAATTTTTTTGTAAAGATAGGGTCTTGGAAAGGCTGGGTGCGGTGGCTCATGCCTGTGATCCCAGCACTTTGGGAGGCCGAGGCGGGCGGATCACCTGAAGTCGGGAGTTCAAGTCCAGCCTGACCAACATGGAGAAACCCCGTCTCTACTAAACAAAAAACAAAAAACAAAATTAGCCAGGTGTGGTGGTGCATGCCTGTAATCCCAGCTACATGGGAGGCTGAGACAGGAGAATCGCTTGCACCCAGGAGGTGGAGGTTGCGGTGAGCCAAGACCGCGCCATTGCACTCCAGCCTGGGCAACAAGAGCACAACTTCATCTCAAAAAAAATAAATAAATAAAATAAAATAAAAGATAGGGTCTTGGTATGTTGCCCAAGCTGGTCTCGAACTCCTGACTTCAAGCTATCCTCCTGTGTTGGCCTCTCAAAGTGTTGGGATTACAGGCATGAGCCACAACACCCAGCCCAAAAATATCTTATTTGCTTTGGGGATACTCAGGTAAGCCTTTCTTGTTTTACTTGATTTTTTTTTTTTTTTTTTGAGACAGAGTCTAGCTCTGTTGCCCAGTCTGGAGTGCAGTGGCATGATCTCAGCTCACTGCGACCTCTGCCTCCTGGATTCAAGTGATTCTCCTGGCTCAGCCTCCTAAGTAGCTGGGACTACAGGTGTGCACCATCATGCCTGGCTAATTTTTTTTGTATTTTTAGTAGAGATGGGGTTTCACCATGTTGGCCAGGCTGGTCTCAAACTCTTGACCTCAGGTGATCTGCCTGCCTCAGGTTCCCAAAGTGCTGGGATTACAGGCATGCACCACCACGCCCAGCTAATTTTTGTATTTTTAATAGAGATGGGGTTTCAACATGTTGGCCAAGCTGGTCTTGAACTCCTGACTTCAAGTAATCCACCTGCTGCAGCCTCCCAAAGTGCTGGGATTACAGGCATGAGCCACCACCCCCGGCCTGTTTACTTGTTTACTGCTGTCTCCTTCCTCTGGAATTTCAGTTCCAGGAAGACAGGAACCTTGTCTGTGTCACTCACTGTTGTGGCCCCAGTGCCTGGAGTGGTGTCTGGTACAATGAATATTTATCGAATGCATGAAAAAACCACCCAAGTCTCCTTTTCTCCAAGGCTAGAGGAAAGTTCAGATCCTAGGTGCCCAAGCACTGTTGATCTTGTACCTACTCCCTTGCCTGCCAAGATATCTCTAAAAGGGACATTTCTTCTGTCATTTCTTTAAGGCCAGGGACTGGGCTCTGAGGTCTGTTGTTTGGCTCATTTAGGCATTTCCATAAAGTCAGAGGAGCCAACCCCAGCATGTGCTTACCACACTGTAAAGAATGACTTATTTATATAATAAGTATTTGCTCCCCTCTCTAAACTGCGAGTTCTGTGAGATCAGGGCCTGCCTCTGTCTTATCCCCGCTCTGTCCCCAGGGTCTGGGAGGGCATCCTGTGCACAGTAGGTCCGTAACACATGGTGCTCTGTTGCCCAGGCTGGAGTGCAGTGATGCAATCATGGCTCACCGCAGCCTTCACCTCTTGGGCTCAAACGATCCTCCCACCTCAGCCTCCCAAGTAGCTGGGACTACAGGCATGCACCACCACCACACCTGGCTAGTTTTTTATTTTTTTTAGTAGAGATGGGGTTTCACCATGTTGCCCAGGCTAGTCTTGAACTTCTGGCCTCAAGGGATACTCCTGCTTTGGCCTCTCAGAGTGCTGGGATTATAGGCGTGAACCACCACGCCCAGCACACACAGTTCTTAAATGAGTAACAAGGACCTCCTTCCAGCCCTCCACCCTGACAACTAGTGGCCAAACTCTCCCTCTTTTCAGGGAAGAGCCTCTGTTACCTGCATCTCTAGGGTTCTCCTCCCCACCCCTTCCTTCACTCCAGGTTTCTCTTCCTCTCCCCCATTTTGGGGGAACCCTGAGCACCCCTTGGAAGGAAGGTCTTATCTAAAGCAGGGTCCATGCTCACGTCTTCCACACATGGCCAGGTTGAGGGGAGAGTCTGGGGGTGGGGTGGGGGAGAAGCAGCTTGGACAGAGAAACCCCCTGCAGCCCACCCCACGTGCTTGCAGTCTCCTCGGCTCAAGGCTGGCTCCGCAGCTGAGCTGGCTGGCCCGAGTGAAGGTGCCAGCCAGGAAACCGGCCCCCTGTCACCTTCACCCCACTTGTCCAGAAGTCACCAAAGGGCTGGATTCGGCCCTTGGCAATATTTCATTTGGCTCACAGTGTTTTAAACATTTAGAATCTGTTGCCAACATTGAAAAATAATGGAAAAATTCATACGAAAGCAAAAGCCAGGTTTCTGGCATCTCTGGAAAAACATGAGATCTGAGCATAGTGAGTCTGTGTCCCCTCCCGGCAAGAGTCAGCTGGCACCGAGGGCAGGTATGCCCACGCTGGTGTGCAGACGTCCCCACCCAGCCCACTTTGCAATGAGTTTGAGACCCTGGCTTGTTCACTGCGGGATCCCAGAGCCTCCATGGAGCCTGGCACACGAGAGGTGCTAGATAAATATTTGCCAAATGGATGAATGAGTGACTTTGCCTCCATCTGCTTGGCTTGGCCCTATGCCCCACCCTTAAGGGCCATGTAGCCGCCCAGACTGGCCAGTGCCCAGGCACAGTCTGCTGTGTCCCCACAGCCGGAGGGCTGGCGGGCAGGAGAAAAGGATCCCGCTAGCTTTCCCCAGGAAACTCCCTGGGCCCCTTCTGTTTCTCCCCATGTGGCCTGAGAGGTATACAAAATCCGAGCGACTGACCTGTAAGCTCGGGGAGGACTGGGGCGCTCGGGAGAGGGGTCCGCTCTACACGGAATTCTAAAATGAAACGTAAAACAGCTTAGGAAGAAGCAGGGGAGGCCCCTTGGACATGGCCCAGGGAGGACAAATGCACCCACAGGGACACTGGGTGAGGAGACAGGCCATGCACAGGACCCAAGAGCTGGGGAGGGGGAGAGCACAGTTCCCAGAAGGCAGGGGAGGGCAAGGAGACAGACACAGAGGAGAGACAGAGAGAGGGAGCAGAGTTGCCACCTATACCCTGGGCACGGGGCAGGGCTGGAGCTACGATTCCAGGTGTTGGCTTGTTTCCTTCTTTTCTGTTTCTTTTCTTTTTCTTTCTTTCTCTCTTTTTTTTTTTTTTTGAAATGGAGTCTCGCTCTGTCGCCCGGTCTGGAGTGCAGTGGCGCGATCTCGGCTCACTGCAAGCTCCGCCTTCCGGGTTCACGCCATTCTCCTGCCTCAGCCTCCCAAGAAGCTGAGACTACAGGCGCCCGCCACCACGCCCGGATAATTTTTTGTATTTTTAGTAGAGACGGGGTTTCACTGTATTAGCCAGGATGGTCTCGATCTCCTGACCTCGTGATCCGCCCGTCTTGGCCTCCCAAAGTGCTGGGATTACAGGCATGAACCACCGCGCCTGGCCCTTTTTATTTAAAAAAAAAAAAAAAAAAAAGACAGGGTCTCACTCTGCTGCCCAGGCTGGAATGCAGTGGCATGAACACAGCTCACTACACACTCGACCTCCTGGGCTCAAGCGATCCTCCCACCTCAGCCTCCTCAGTAGCTGGGACCACAGGCACACAACATCATGCCTGGCTAACTTGTAGAGACAAGGCCTCACTATGTTGCCCAGGCTGATCTCAAACTCATGGGCTCAAGCCATCCTCCCATCTCAGGCTCTTAAAGTGCTGGGATTACAGGCGTGAGTCACCATGTCCAGGCTCGGGTGTCTCTAAAAGGCTTACAATTTGACTATTACCAAAAACATCTCCCAGAATCCTCTTCTTCTTGTGTGTGTGTGTGTGTGTTGGGGGAAGGCAGCCTGATGAAAAGCGACGGCCCTAGAATAGGTAGAATAGGTCAGGCTTGGGTTCAAGTCCCAGCTCTGCCACTTCCTAGTTGGCTCATCTTAGCTTTGTCATTCTTCCTCTGAGCCTATGTCCTCATCTCTAAAATGAGGATAAGCATCCTTCCCCCATGAGATTATTGAGAGAATTAGGCAACGTCCCGTACACAAAGTTCTCCAAGCTGAACAGCCCTGAGGCAGAGGATGTAAGTGCTTAGGGGCCCTCCAAATAAATAAGACCCCCAAGTAAATAAATAAATAAATGGCCTTGCAAAAGTTTGTATTTCTTATTTCAAAGAAAACTGCATTGAATAGTCATCATGGGAAGTCCAGAACTGGGCTTCCTGACATTTACTTTCAGGTCTAGTGTTATCTTTATGTTGGCTTACAAATGAGCGTGGTAATGATAATGCTTTTCAACTGGTTTTCAGCATTTAGGGTCTCAGCATAATACCTTGTCTGGACTTGAAAGAGCTCAGCCTAGAGCCTGGCCATTATAGGTGTCTGTGATGATGCAACCAACAATGGCCCTCGGAGAGGCCCCCACTACAAGCCCAATGCCCTCTCTGGTGGAAGTGGCAACCCTGGAGTCGGGTGGGGAGGAGAGACAGGCAGGAGGCAGGCAGAGGATGGCCTGGGAGAAAACGGTGCCATGCAGGGCCACGCTGGGAGCCCCTGTCCCCAGCTTCTGGGGAGGGGTTTGGGGGGGATGGGTGGGGAGAGGCCCTCTTTCCTCAGACATGCCCTTCCTTCCAAGCCTCCAGCAAGCAGACCCCCAGCCATGCACCCCTAGACACCACCCTGAGAAGTCAGACTGCCCGGGAACCAGGGGCATGCTGGCAGCAGAGGGATACTGAGCAGGACTTACCGGGGAACTGGTAGGTGTAGCCAGGGGCGAGGCCTGTATAACTCCGGCTGGCGTAGGTTGTGGCTTGGAAACCTGGGTAACCTGATGGGGCAAGGGGGCAGTGTCAGATGGCTCATCCACAGGGCGGATCCTGATCATGGAGAAGGACCTGAGCCACTCATGTCCCCTCACCTTCCTTTATCATGAATAATAGCTATACCCTCCAAATACCTTCTTCATACCAAGCCCTGTGCCAAGCACACTGCACACTATTATCCCGTTAAACTCGCCTTAGAGGTAGGTACTGTTAGGCACCCCATTTTACAGACAGGAAACTGAGGCTCTGAAAGGTGACACTTTTTGGCTGAGAATAATCCAATGCTCTTTGAGCTCTGGCTCCTGCTTCCCTCCTGTCCTCATCTCCTGCACACTGCTCCTCCCTCCCTCTGCTCCAGCCACATTGGCTTCCTTGCTGTTTTTCAGCTTTGCCAAGCTCATTCCCACCTCAGGGCCTTTGCACATGCTGGTGCCTTTGCCTGGAGCACTCTTTCCAGATGACTACATGCCTGAGTCCCTCTCATTGTACAAGACTCCGAAACATCTTCCCATAGGTGTCCTCCTTCCCATCAGCTACAATTTCTATCATGTCACCTTGGCTTTTCTTAGTACTGATGATCATTATCTGAACTTATATAATGATTTTTTTTTCTTTTTTCTTTTTTAGAGACAGGATCTTGCTCTTTTGCCCAGGCTGGAGTGCACAGTGGTACAATTGTAGGTCACTGCAGCCTCAAACTTCTGGGCTCAAGTGATTCTCCTGCCTCAGCCTCCCTAGTAGCTGTGACTACAAGGTGTGTGCTGCTATGCCTGGCTAATTTTTAATTTTTTTGTAGAGATGGGGTCTTGCTGTATTGCCCAGGCTGGTCTCGAACTACTAGCCTCAAGTGATCCTCCTGCCTTGGTCTGGAATTACAAGCATGAGCCACCACACTTGGCCAGAAAGTACTCATGATTTCTTTAAGTGCTGATTTTCTGTCTTCTCAAAGAAAAATCCAATAGTTAGCAATAATGGTGCAATTAAGATTAAAATTCAGATCTGACGGGCTCCAAGCCTCTTAACCACCGATCTCACTATTTGTTAGATAATTTCTTTTTCCACTTTTTTTTTTTTGAGATGGAGTTTCACTCTTGTTCCCCAGGCTGGAGTGCAATGGCATGATCTCGGCTCACCGCCACCTCCGCCTCCCAGGTTCAAGCAATTCTCCTGCCTAAGCCTCCCGAGGAGCTGGGAATAAAGGCATGTGCCACTACCCCCAGCTAATTTTGTATTTTTAGTTGAGACAGGGTTTCTCCATGTTGGTCAGGCTGGTCTCGAACTCCCAACCTCAGGTGATCCACCCGCCTCAGCCTCCCAAAGTGCTGGGATTACAGGCGTGAGCCAAGGTGCCTAACTTCTTTTTCCACCTCTTAAATGAAGGGTGAAAACAGCTCATGAATCACCTTAGAATAAAACTTTCTCAATGTTCTAAATAAAACAAAGTGAAAGAGACAAGACAACTAACTACAATACCTGATTCTAGCCTGGATCTTATTCTGAAGGACAAAAATATTCTATAAAGAGCATTACTGGGTCTGGCTGGCCATGGTGGCTCATGCCTACCACCACAACACTTTGGGAACCTGAGGTGAGAAGATTGCTTGAGGCCAGGAGTTCGAGACCAGCTGGGCAACATAGTGAGACCCCGTCTCTACCAAAAAAAAAAAAAAAAAAAAAAAAAAGAGCATTATTGGGTCAATTGATAAAATTGGAAAATAGAAAGTAGATTAGATAAAAATATTGTATCAAGGCCGGGCGCGGTGGCTCACGCCTGTAATCCCAGCACTTTGGGAGGCTGAGGCGGGCAGATCACGAGGTCAGGAGATCAAGACCATCCTGGCTAACACAGTGAAACCCCGTCTCTACTAAAAATACAAAAAATTAGCTGGGCACGGTGGCGGGCGCCTGTAGTCCCAGCTACTCGGGAGACTGAGGCAGGAGAATGGCGTGAACCCAGGAGGCGGAGCTTCCAGTGAGCCAAGATCCCGCCACTGCAGTCCGGCCTGCGAAAGAGTGAGACTCCGTCTCAAAAAAAAAAAAAAAAAGAAAGAAAAAAATATTGTATCAATTATAAACTTAGGAAGTTGATAACTAAACTGTGGTTACATGAAAGAATATCCCTAATCTTAGGAAGCATCAAAGGGTAAAGGGCCACGATGCATGTAACTAGCCCTCAAATGATTCAGTGAAAAATCACAAGTCTGTGTGTCTATACATGTGTACATACATATTTGCAAACACACATACACACACATATATACACATAGAGTAAAACTGATCAACCAAAATGGGGGCAAAATGTTAAGAACAGGTGAATCTGATAACAGGGTATATGGATGTTCTTTGTACTGTTTTATTTTTGCAGCTCCTCTGAGTTTGGGATTACTTCCAAATAACATGTTAAAGAAAAAAGAAAAGCTTCAAGGAAGACTGTGCCCTATTTGGAGGCTGCTCGCCTCCCCGACTTCTGACCCTCTAGCCCATGCCGTGCCCCCTCCTCTGAATTCCCAGAGTACCTCTCTGTGTGCCACTCCCCCATGCCTGGCATAAAGACCCCCTTGTACTGTTCTCTTTCTGTGTGTACACATCTCATCTCCCCAGGGAGCCTATGAGCTTCCTGGGGGGCCAAACTCAGATTTACCACCCTCAGTCTTGGACCCAAAGCACAGCTGACTCCTGCTCAGCTTTCAAGGCTCATGGCAGCCTTCACCTCTTCCAGGAAGTCTCCTCAACCTCCAGGTGGGTTTAGGGGCCTCCCACAGCCTCCAGTCACTCTGTAGTGGCAGTGCCCATTTACTCCTGTCTCCAACTTGAAGGAGAGCCCCATGAGAGCAGGCTCTCCTTCTCAGAAGTTGCTCAATAAATATTACCTGAATGAATAAGACCAGGCAGCCTTCCTTTTGCCCCCTCCAAAGGCCTTTGGCCTTTGCAAATGCTGTTCCCTCCGCCTGGAACACTTTTCCCCTTCCCGTCTCTCCAGCCTCCCCATCACTGGCTCCTACTCCACCCGCAGACTCAACTTAAATGTAACTTCTTTTCCCACTTCTCCAAGTCACGGTCAAGTTCCCTGTGACCACACTCCCTCGGCACCCTACACTTCTGCATCTGAAATCTATTTTATCTTCTTACTTGTTTTCCCTGCCAGATTGTAAAGAAAGTCATTGTTGCAGTTCCTGGCATAATGTCTGGCATATAGAGTTGCTCAATAACTGTGTACTGGATGGATGAATGGATAGAGGAATGGACAGATGGAGGGATGGATGGACGAGAGAATGGACAGATTGACAGGACCAATGAATATGGTTGGACCTTTCTGCTGGCTACCACCAGAGGGCAGCACCCCCCAACCAAACCACCCCACCTTGGGTAGGACTGCCAGACCCGACAGATCCCTTGTCCCCACTCCTGCTCAATGACTCAGACAGGAGGAGGGCAGACCACAGGGGAGGTGCAACACCCACACAGCCCCTGCTAGTCCTGGGAGCAGTTCTGGCAGAAAGAAGCCGCAGGCGCAGGCTCGCGCATACCCAGCATGCCGATGCCCAGCATGAAGGCGTCCATTCCGTAGGGCATGACTCGAGACCTCCCCCGGGCTGAGCCCGTTGGCGACATCACCTCCTTTGGCTGAGCTTTCTTACATTCCACCTGCAATGAGACCTGGCGGTTAGTCTTTCCCACAGAGCTAGAGTCATTAGCCCTCTTGTTCCCTGGAAAGCCCCTTTATTAATTTTATTAATTTCACTGTCCAGCTGAAAACTATTTCATGGTTACCACTGATGGAGCACTCACTATGTGCTGGGGAGTGTGTAAACGGCTTTGCATGCAATCGTTCAATGAATGCTTACACCAATACTACCAATACTATGATGGAGGAGCTTTTCCAGTCCCATTTGACAGATGTGGAAACTGAGGCTCAGAGAAGGGAGGTCATCTGCCTGATTAACTACCGTGTGACACTGCCTCCCTGTCTAGGTTTTTAGGGGTTGGAAGAACTGGCTCTGCCTCCACTCACTCGAAGCCCCTCTGCCTGCCTTTAGAACCTCATAGCTTCCCTGGCAGGCCCCACAAGGAGCCCCAGTCTTCTCTGTGCCTGCGCTCCATCCAATCCCAACTCACCATGTTTTTGTTTTTGTTTTGTTTTGTTTGAGACGGAGTCTCACTCACTCTGTTGCCCAGGCTGAAGTGCAGTGGCACAATCTCAGCTCACTGCAACCTCCACCTCCCGGGTTCAAGCGATTCTCCTGCCTCAGCCTCCCAAGTAGCTGGGATTACAGGCACGCACCACCATGCCTGGCTAATTTTTGTATTTTTAGTAGAGACAGGGTTTCACTGTGTTGGCCAATCTGGTCTCAAACTCCTGACCTCATGTAATCTGCCCACCTCAACCTCCCCAAAGTGCTTGGCTTACAGGCGTGAGCCACTGCGCCCGGACCCAACTCACCATTTTGTTGTTGATTTCATGAAAATGAATTTCACACACTTTCTCCACGATGTCCTCACTCTCAAACGTGACAAACCCGAACCCTAGAGGTTGGACAAAGGATAAAGGCAAGGTCAGAACCAGAGCGCAGGGTCAAAACTCAACCCCAGGTCGTACCAATATCCCCGCTCCTCTCTCTCTGGCGAGTGAGAGTTAATGAAAGGCTCTGCTCACAGCCTGGAATCCTCTCAACTATCCACTGAGACAGGGTTTCAAGTCCCAGAATACAGATGAGGAAAATAAGGTTCAGGTAAGTGAAGTAACTTGCCCAAGGTCACACAGCAAGTTAGAAAGTGGTAGAGCTGTGATGAGAATACACTCAACATGCTTTTTCTAGTCCTCAGGTGTTTTCCAAAGAGGGAAGAAGGAACACACATGCACACTCATTTAAACTTACACAAAGGTGTACATGTCCAAACATACAAATGTACATAGACACACATTCACGCATGCATACATCTAGATACCTGCGTATCACGCAGACACATGCAGTTACCCTGACATACCAGATATAAACAGATATTTAGGCACAGATACCCCCTTTTGCACAGATACAAATACACACACACACAGAACACATACCCCACTCCCAAAATGGACTAAAAGTCCTGAAACAACTGGAGAAACAACCCTGTCTCCTCCTGGGTGTGCCCCAGGGACTGGAAAGGGATTTCTCAGAAGGTAAGGCCCTCGGGAGAAAAACAGCCAGGTGGCGCACACGCACACGGTGTGGCCCAGATGCTCACAGGTTCAGAGGCAACGGGGCTGGGGGCTGGGGGCTGGGCAGGAGGTGACTGCCTGGGGCTGTGGAGTCAGCCTGACCCTGGGCGGCCTGGCCTAAGCTCTGGTTACCAGGGACAAGGTAAGCCCGGGCAGAGGCAGACACCACTAGGGTGGGGGTAGGAGACTCAGTGGGTTGCAGGGACTGGGGGGGTGGGTACTCCTCTGTTCGTCTCGTGTGTCTGCAATTCGGCAAGTTTCTAGCACAGGAAATGGTGGGACAAAAGCCTTCTGTAAGGCCAGGCCTGGGAGAGGACGCAGATCCTGGGGGATAGGATGTCAGAAGGCGAGATGAAAGGGCAGCTGTGACCTGCAGCCCCCTGGCTGACCACGGGGCCCAGCCTGGGAAGGGGGAGGGGGCCACACTCACCTCGGTGCCGGTTGGTGGTTTTGTCAAACATCAGCATGGCGTCGTCCACCTGAAACACAGCCCGCCATGGAGGACCCAGCAGATACCAGCGGAACCCACTACCACCAAGGAACAGGGGCTCTGGCAACCCACTGCCCTCTTGCCCACTCCAGGCTTGACCTTCAACCTGCTCCCTGCACAGGGGACAACTTTCCTTCTGCAACCCCACTGAAAACCCTTTTCAATCACCATCATCTCAATGCACCAGCCTGCATTTATTAAGCTCCATTGTCCTCCCAACATTCCCTGCATGGTAAGATCCCCATGGTGTAGATAAGAAAGTAGGCTCAGAGAGGTGAAGTTGCCTGCCCAAGATCACACAGCAAGACCTTGACCAAACTGGGGAGGCACAGAGAAGATGCTAGAGAAGGAAATATGGGAGGGAGGAAAATGACAAGATGGGGAAGCAAAAGCCTCATCCCTTTCTGTAAAAGGCCAGGAGGACAGCAACCAGACTGGACTCCCCTCTCCGGCTACAGATCTTTTCCTCTAATTGAGGTTTCCTTTTGCTAGAGGCTGTAATTAAAGCAAGTAGAGTTCAGTGCCTGGGCTGCTTTGCCTCCCACTGACTGGGGGAAGGGAAGGAGACTGGGAAAGGGGGAGGATCTACATCATCCATCCTCTCTTGGACCCCAGTCTACTCTTGTTACTTCCTCTAGGTACCCCTTGGATATACGGTCACCAAAGGCCTTGGTGCCACCTTCCATTTGCCTGCATCTGGTGCCTCCTCCTTGCCCTCTTTCTTAGTTAAGGTCTGAGTCACCTTTGGTATAAATCAGGGGCTGCCTCTGATACCCAACCCAATCCTACTCCAGGCCCCAACCCTCCCCCAAATGACCAGACATCCAAAGGATTAAAAAAAAACTTTTCTCAAGCCATCAAGCCATGGGTAACCAGCCTCTTCCCTACTCTCCTTCCCTCTACTTCCAGGCCCAGCATCCACCACCTTCTTTTTTTTTGGAGACAGAGTCTTACTCTGTCACCCAGGCTGGAGTTCTGTGGCATGATCTCGGCTAACTGCAGCCCCCGCCTCCCAGGTTTAAGGAATTCTCCTGCCTCAGCCTCCTGAGTAGCTGGGATTACAGGTGCATGCCACCACTCCTGGCTAATTTTTGTATTTTAGTAGAGATGGGGTTTCACCATGTTGGCCAGGCTGGTCTCGAACTCCTGGCCTCAAGTGATCCACCCGCCTCAGCCTCCCAAAGTGCTGGGATTACAGGCGTGAGCCACCAGGCCCGACCCCATCATCTACCTTCTAAAGGCCCTCCCCTGCCTCATTAAACACCCTGAACTACCGTGATCCTCCAGCTCTCCTTAGGCATCAAGCTACAGTGGGCCTCTGACTCCCACTGGGAGAACCAGGACCCCACTGAGCCAGGAGGCAACAAGGTCCCTGGAGAATCTCATGACATCTCTCTTCTCAAAGAGCTGCCTGTACTGGGGCCCACGCAACAGAGTGGCACTCTCACTCCCATCCTATGGACCCACTCTGAGTCCCAATCCCAAATCAGCTGGACCACCCGAATGGGACAATCATTTCAGGTTCAGCACATCTTGCCCACCCCTCACTTAACCAATGAAAAACAGAAACCCAGAAAGAAGGATTGTGGTCATAGCACAGGCTTTGGGTAGGACGGGCCTGAGCTGGAATCCTGGATCCTGCATTTGCTGGTTGGGTAACCTTGGGCAGGTGACTTGATGTTTCTCTGGCTTTGGTTCCTCATCTGTGAAATAGGCATAACAGTGTCTATCTCACAGGTTGAAGTTAAATGAAAGACACCTTTTTTTTTTTTTGGAAAAGGGTTCTCGCTATATTGCCCAGGCTAGTCTTGAACTCCCAGGCTCAAGCAATCCTCCCATCTCACCCTCCTTGGTAGCTGGGACTACAGGTGTGCACCACCAAGCCTGGCTATGAGAGGATTTAGTGAGATAGTGCATGTAACACTCTTAACTCACAGACCCAGGATATAGTAAGTGCCTAATAAATAATAGCTATTATTATTATCTTTACAAGGGAGGGACTTGCCCATAGTTACACGGGGGGAACGTGGCAAAGCTGGGGAGAGAGCAGCCAGATACTAATGGCTTGAAGGTTGCATGAGGACATCGTCTGTGTCATTTAGGGCCATGACCACCATCCTATTGAGCACCTTGACTGGAGGTCAATCATTTTTTGAATGAATGAATGAATGAATGAACGAACCAGCCACACCCTCCCCCCTAATCCTACAGCTCCGAGTCCCTGCCTGACCCACAAATGGATTCAGCCCAAATCCACAACTTCTCCCACCTTCCTCCACCCAACCCTGCAAGGAAGGCCACCATCCCTGGCCCCACTACACCCTTCAACCTGGGCCTTGGCTGGAGAGGCCCCTAGTGGGACGGTGGGGTTGAGGCCAGGGCAGGGGGCAAGGAAGATGGCTGGGGGTCCGGGTTAGCCCCACCGGTGTCCCCTCCTGGGGCGAGCTGAGGGGAGGGAGGCTCCCGGCCCAGTGTCCTTAATAGGCTTTGGTCTCCATGGGAACCCGAGGGCAGGGGGGATCGGGCGGGGGGAGGGGAGGCGGCCGAGGCCTGCTGACCAGTAGGAGCCGAGCCGCCAAGTTCGGCGGCCGCTAAGCCTGAGTGGCAGCCATGGCGGCTGACCATTGTTCCCCCCTCGGCGGCGGCCCCTCGATCCGGGCGGGGGGCCCCCCGCCGCGGGGCCCTTGGCATTCCCGGCTGTCCCCCTCGCTCCCTGGCAGCCTATTCTCCGGCTCCCCCTGGCCTCCCCGGGCCGGTTTCACATGCCAACGCCGATTTAGGCCCGAACAAAAGACGCGGCCGCTGACGGCTTCTCCTGGGGCCCGGTTGCCATGGCAACGCCGGCCCCGGGGGCAGGCGGCCTCCAATCACAGCTGCTGGATCAGATTAGTGCGAGCTCTAATGCTCGGCGCTCAGACACAAAGACACCCCGCCGCAGCCGAGCCGGGCCTGCTGCTTCCCAGGAGCG
Organism: Homo sapiens; assembly: GCF_000001405.40. Classification (NCBI taxonomy): domain Eukaryota; kingdom Metazoa; phylum Chordata; class Mammalia; order Primates; family Hominidae; genus Homo; species Homo sapiens. The sequence continues at coordinate 120,362,033 of NC_000012.12, forward strand.
CCCTACCCTCTGGGGCCCGGGCCCGCCCGACCTGCCCTCTGTCCCGGACCCAGGTGCCCACCGAGGCACGAAAGCCGAGGCCTCTGGTCCCCCACACCACCAGCCTCAGCTGGCCAGGGGACACCTCCCCCCCCCACACAATCCCAGGCCCATTTCCCAGGCCACGTCCCCCTTCGCTTGCCTGGGGGTGACTCGAAGTGTCTTGATGGGAAAGTAGAGACCCAGCCTCTCGCCTGTCTCACCTAAAAGAAGAAAGACCAGGGACCCCGGCCCCAAGCAAAACAACCCTCTTTCCCTCCTAGACTTCAAACGTAGGACCCTCTCTGCCATCTCCCCATGGGACTCCAAAGTTCACATTGTCCACCTTTCAGAGGACACCCTAATGTCGGATGTCGCCACAACATCTACCTCTTCAGAGGCCCAGAAATTAAAGCTCCATGCCCCTTACAGCTCACAGCCAATCCTCTGGGCCTGATCAGGAATTGGGGGATGCTCTCATCAGTTCCCCCCAATACCCAGGGGACCAGCAGCCCCCCAGCTCTGGCTCCAAGCTCCCCACCTGTGCAAATAGGGTGCCGAGTGCAATTGGGAGTCATATTTATTGCCTCCTTATCATCCTCGCCTGGAAGGAGTGGGGAAAGGTTCAATAGCCTGTGGCCTGGACAGGTGCAAACTCCCAGGAGGCCACGGGCTGACTTGATTGAACTGGCTGTGGGAGCACTGCCTCCCTTGTGAGAATGAAGATAAGTAAGAGAAAAATACAGTGGAAGGGCAACAACAGGGCCAGCTACTGTGTGGCTTCTCTGTCCCGAGGGATATCCTGAGTCTGAAGCTCACAGATGAGCCAGGAGGCTGCAAGGTGGATTGGCCTGGTCTGCCCCCACAGCAGGATCCAGCCCCACTCTCATCTTTTGCAGGAATGGAATGACCTGGCTGGATTCGGCTTGCTAGTGCCCCATTCTACAGTGTGTTCACAGCCCCAGCAGCAAGCGCCCCCAGTTTAAACCCACCTTCCCAAACTGCTCAAAATATTGCTTCACGTCCTCCACCGTGGTGTTCACCGACAGCCCCCCCACAAAGATCTTCTTCGTTCGAGTCACCATCTGTTAGGGGAGGGAATGAGAAAGTGGGCATCTGAGTCCTGTGGCCTACCGCCACCAGCAGGGGCTCGAGCCCCCCTGCCAGGATGCCAGCTGACAAGCTCTCTGTGGCCCCAGCCTCTTTAAAGGCCCCCCCCCCGCAAGCTCCCTCTTGGACCCCCGCCTCTAGGCCTGTCATGGGCAGCTGTGCACCCACACCCTGGCTGGCTCGAGTGTGCCTCCTTCCTGCCTCCCTCCCTAGGGACTATGTCCAGAAAATGCCTTCCCTAAGGACTAACACAGGGAAGGGGGCGGGCCAGTGACCCAGACCCACAGCCTAACACTAAGACCTCACTGGCCCTCCTGGGAGACCCCCCAAGGTCCATCACAGAGTCTCCCTGAACTCAGTGCCGACATTTTCCTCATCAGCCTCCTCCCAACACAACCTCTGGCAGCCCTGTGGCCCCAGCCCTGTTTTAGGAAGAACACATGGTCCTAATTACCCCAGGAGCGCATGGCTAATCCGCGGCAATTCCCAGCCCCATCCTAACACTAAAGCACCTTCTGTCACCAAACTGCTTAATGGAATTAACCCAGTTCCAACCATGTGCTCCCTGGTGCGGCTTCCTTCGAATACCTGCTCCATAATTGCTTTCAGGCCCTCTACTGGACCCTTCCAGAGATGCCCCTTTCCTGTCTCCCAAAACTCTTCCTCTCCTTCAGCCCTGGCAGGAGTTGGGGGACTTGATGGAATTCACTGGCCCGGAATCTTAAAGAGCTCTAGTTCCACCTGGCAAAGGAGGAAACCGAACTCTCCTAGAGAGGGACCTCGTCCTAGGACCCATGATAAGTCAGTAAACTCAGGGGTCCTGACCCCATGTTCCGCAATCAGTCTCTCCTTCTGTCCTCTATATTCAATTGCTTCAAAAGGAAGACCTGGCTAGTTGCCCTGAGGCCTAGAATAGACTCTTAGGCCCCTGCCCTGCACCAAAAGTTTTTTGAGTGTTGTATCACTCAACTGCTCAGAAATCCATTTTCTGCGCACCTTGACCCTCTCACTGGGAGAACTCGCCAGAGCAGCAGGGTAAGAGAGCATTGAGAAAGCAGCCACAGACATCTAAACTGAAAGACAACAGGTGACAGAGTCTGTGGTCCCCTCTGCCTCTGCAAAGGGTGACTGGGGGGATCCAAGGGTAGCTCCCTAGCCTGCCTGTAGCGCGGCCTTAGGGTCTAAGTCTGTCCTGTATTTCACTTCCAGAGGCCTGGACATCAAGGCTGTGGTCTATGATGTTGGAATTAGACTCAGGCTCCAAACTCTACTGGGTTCAAATACAGGACGATGAATCCTCTGAGTAGCTCCCCTTTCTCCCAACACACACAAGCCCCTCTCCAGTCCACCCCAGAGCTCACGTGGAAAGACATATAGTGTCTTCAGGCCACAGAGCAAGGACGTCAAGAATCCCCTCTTCCCAGCCCAGCCCATTCCACAAACACTCCAAGCAGAGGTTCCAGAAGCATCTTCCAGAGCAGGAAATACTGGGAAAATCACTGCCCAGCATTGCCCATAGTAAGAGAGCTCCTCCCAGACATAGACACACCTACCTTGGGCTGTGCTCGCCGAGGGAAGGCCACCTTAGGGTCAATCTACAAGAAAAGGGAGAGGTAGAAGGGGTCTTGGTTATCGCATTTTTAGAAGAGCGACCACACAGCCTTCAGCCCTCAGGACCTCTCTCCTCCCAGGACACAAAGGTGACAGAAATCACAAAAGCCTCTAGGAGGAGAGAATAGTGGTTAAGCATTTATTTTTATTTTTTCTTCAGACAGAGTCTCACTCTATCACCCAGGCTGGAGTGCAGTGGCACGATCTCAGCTCACTGCAACCTCTGCCTCTCGGGTTCAAGTGATTCTCCTGCCTCAGCCTCCCTAGTAGCTGGGATTACAGGTGCGCACCACCACACCCAGCTAATTTTTGTATTTTTAGTAGAGACGGGGTTTCACCATGTTGGCCAGACTGGTTTCAAACTCCTGACCTCAGGTGAGCCGCCCGCCTCAGCCTTCCAAAGTCCCGGGATTACAGGCACGAGTCACCACGCCCAGCCAGTTAAGCATTTAGACCCTAACGTCCCACTGCTGGGTTCAAATCCCATTTGCACTGCTTCCCAGCTGTGAGACCATGGACAAGTTATTTCCCCTCTTTGAACGTCAGGGTCAAGTTCACCTGCAAAATGGGCAAATAATAACACCCACCTCAAAGGGTCATCAGCAGATTATTGGAGATAATGCATACAAAGCATTTGGCATGGTGTCTAGCTCACAGCAAAAACAAAAACAAAAAAAATGTAAGCCGTCTTATTCCTTCAAGTATCAGGTAAATCGAGGGCCTTCCTTGCGTAACTGACTTCACACAGATGACCTATCTAGGTAAGGTATGCAATTCAGGCTTTGGAAACCCTGCAAATGGGAATACTCTTTGTCTGCAAAAGGCTACAAGCTGAGAGTTCATAACCATCAGGAGTAGGCTCAGTTCTGTTTTCGCAGTACTATCAACATCAAATAGCTCTCCTTGAGGCTGTGAGCAAACAGCTCCTTGATAATGCAGCTAGGCTTGGGGCAAGGCAGAGTGCAGTCTTCGGTGACGTGAAAGGGCATGGGACTTGACCTAGAAACTCTGGGCCTCTTGCCAAGCCTGTGATCTTGGTAATGCACTCGAACTCTGTGAGCCTCAGTTCCTTCATCTGCAAAGTGGGGACAATCACACCCGCTTTTCCCAGGGGCAGCTGCGGGGAATCAGATGAGATAACGCGGGTGAAAGCGGCCCTTTGTGAACTGCCCTTCATTGCACAAACAAAGGTGCTATTACCAGCAGGCCACCTTTGCCCTTGGCTGTGAACAACCAGAGGGAAAAATCAAGATGCATCTGGGTGTACTCCTGGGTACTATAGCTGTACGACAAACAGCAAAAGACAGGGCATGAGACGCTGTGATCCATGCAGGGCCTACAGGGCCAGGTCAGGCCAGAGCTTTTTGCCACCCACATGGGTGGACGTCATTCATAAGTTCACCAGCCAATCGCAGGGAAGATCTATCTTTTCCCAAAGTTCCTTCTGTTCAAAACTCAGCCTCGTTCTAGGCAGCTGGCTCTGGCTTCTCTCTGAATGGCACAGACCAGGAACTAGCCTCCTACAGGCTCCCCCACTGGAATCTGTCCACAGAGATGGAACCTCCAAAATCCACACTGGGGCAATGCCTCCTCTCCTGCCAAGTCCCACTGGGCTCCAGGGAAAAATCACAACTGCCCATTTCTCCCGCCTGAAGTTTCAATTCCACACCTCCACGGACATGTCCATCCTTCTCTTTCTCCCAGAAGCAGCCGCCCCAGCCACCAGCGCACCACACACAGTCCCCCTACACAGACCCCGATGGGGAGATGGTACCCAAGCCACGATCCCACAGACCCACGCACACCCCATCCCTGACACACCCCACCTCCACTGTGACTCACAGCTGGCAACATAAATAAAACCCAACAAGTAAATAAAAGGTGAAAGTCAGAGCTCAAAATAGACTCCCCACAGTAAACCTCCCTCCCACCCCCTTTCCCAGGCTGGAGGACGCCAAACACAGACAAAGCCCTGGCCCTTTTCAGCCCCATCTCCTAAGGATGCTCATCTCACCCTCCTTCCTCCCTCATTCTCTTCCCCTTTATCAATCTTCCACTCCTCCATCCCCCAGCCCCTAAATCTCAGCTTCCTCAGCACTGCAGAAGCCATCAGTGCATTCTGAGGACAGGGGATGGTAGCAGAACAGGCAGCTTGATGGCAGATAATCACCAAAAACAATAGGCCACTGTCTCTCCATTTCCAGGCTTGGGTCACTCAGGCTGCGCCAAGAAGATCCTTTCAGAGCCGGCAAAGTTGAGGCCTGGCCTCATTTGCTCATTACTGCGAGCGGGAGCGGGAGCCACTGGGCAGAGATAACAGGAGCTGGGGACAGGCGGTAATTTGACAAATTCTTGGGCACAAGCAGCTATTGTTGCAGGTAAACGGGAGCCAGGGACTGACCCAAGCAGAGAGGCCCAAGGCTGGGGGACAGCAGGGAAGCATGGAGAGAAGAGATCCACACTATCCCTGCCCCCAGCAGACAGACACCCCCATCACATGGGAGTAACCCCCTCCTCTGACTTTTCTACTTTTCCATCTGCCCTGGAGCCAGCGCCCCCTGCAGGGTCTAAGACACGAAGGAGCTGTGGGACAACAGCAAAATGTTCCATGAGTTTGAATGCCAACCAAGCAGCTTCTCCTAAGATCTAGTCTTCCGAAGGGTCGTTTCCAGGCAAGCTAGAGCCTTTCTCATAAATCCCCTCCGTGGGCAAAGCAGGTCCCTGTCTTCCACACAAAGCAAGGAGCTCATTGACCAAAAGTCGGGGGAGGAGGGAAGGAGAGAGGGAGGGGGCTTCAAGGGATGCTTTGCCATTGGTCTGGATGAAGAGGGGGTGTCGCAGAGCCAAATACTAGTTAGAGTTCACAGAAGCCACCGGGTGGGTCAGTGCTACCCTGACTCACCCAATTTGGGCTGGGGGAGGGACCTAGCCCCACCCCAAGCTCTGCTCTGAGGCATCATGATTAGTACTTCTAGGGAGAGGGTGGCGGCTGCCTCTCCCCTCACCAGGACTAGGGGAGGGGGGATGTAGCATCTCATGGCAGGCCAGGGATTTTTCTCCTCCCTCTCCCCCCCAACTCTAGTGACAAAGTTTCAGAGCATGGCAGCCCTCTTACTCAGAAAAACTCCCTCCTTCCTCATGGACCCCGTCCAGCTGTCCCCTGGGGAGAGTCCTGACCCTCTCCTCCGGCAGCCTCCCTCTCCCAAAGGACCCCCGAAGCCCCGAGGGCCACTCACTGTTTTGGAGTCGAGCTCGTGCCGCGATTGCGCCAGCACTTTATCCACCCCCGCCTGGTCCATGAAAGTGACGAAGCCGAAACCCCTGCGCGCCGTAGTGAGGGAGAGGCAGATGGTTACAAGGCAGTGAGTGGCGGGTGGAGGGGGGCGAGCCGGGAGCAGGAGGAGGGGGTGAGGGGCTCACCTGGATCTCTTGGTCAGGGGGTCCCGCATCACCAGACACTCCTTCACCTCCCCGAACTGGCCGAAGTATTCGCGCAGCCCTTCTGTAACCACACACCCGCCTTCGGACCAGCCCGGGCCCCGCGCCCTTCCCCCCCCCCCGTCCTTTGCCCCCGGTGACCCCGGAGCGGCCCGGCCGCCCCCGCGCCAAGCTGCCCGCGCGTTCTCCACTGCCGCCGCCCCCCACCGCCCTCGCCCCGTTCCCGCTGAGCCTCCTGGCGCCCACCGGGGCCCCGGGAAGCCGAGGGCCGAGCTGGGCTGGAAGGGGGACGGCTCCGGCCGGGTTCCCGCCGCTCCGGGAGCAGCCTCACAAAAGTTTGAGCCGCAGGTGCGAGCGGAGTTGGCGCTGCCGCCGGCGGGTCCCGGGGGCCCAGCCCACCCCCCGATACCCCCTGAACCCCTCATCTGCTCCCCTCCACCCGCTGGGCCGGGTGCGCTCGCGGATCGCCCTGCGCTCTCGGGGTCTCCGGGCGGGGCGCGAAAGAGGGCGCGAGGGCGCCCGGGGTCAGCAGGGCGCAGGGCCGGGCTGGGGTGTCCGGGTCCGGGGCGCCGGGGGGTCCGGGGTGCCCTGCCGGACCGGCGGGCGCTCCCGGGCTCGCTCACCCTGCGTAGTCTGCCAACTGAGTCCCCCGATGAACATCTTGCTGCGGGAGGAGGAGAGACACAAAGGGCCCGCGTGAGCGCCGGGCGCCAGGGCGCAGGGGGCGCGGGCCCGGGCTCCGGGGAGGCCCGGCCGGACCCGGATCGGCCATGTTGGCGGGGCCGGGGCGGGCGCGGGCCAAGCAGGCCGGGCCGGGCCGTACCAGGGGTCGTGCGGCGAGTCCGGGGAGGCGAGGCCGGGCTGGGGCGCGTCAGTCTCCATCGGGAGCCGCGGGCGGCGCGGGCAGCGGAGCGGCGGCGGCGGCGGCGGCGGCGGCGCTCGGCGCGGGGCAGATGAGGAGCGCGGCGAAGGGGGCCGGACGGACAGGCCATGCTGCCCCCTCCCCCGACCCCGCTCGGGCGGGCGGGCGGGGACGGCCGAGGGGAGGGCCCGCCGGGGGCCGACCTGCCGGCTCCTCCCCCCGCCGCCCTGCGCGCATAAAGCCCCGCGCTCGCCCGCGAGCCCGGGCGCCCGCGGAGGCGGCGGCGCCGGGACCCCCTTCCCGCGGGGCTCCTGGGTCTCCGGGGCCGAGCGAGACCCCCGAATCCCGGTGCGGGCCGGGACCAGGGCGCGGCCGCACCCCCCACCCACCCCGGCGCGGGGGCCCGGCCGCGGGAACGCCCTCCCGGAATGAAGCGCTTCCCGGTGCCTTCAAGGTAGCTCGGTTCCGGATCGGGAACCCCCCCGGTCTTCCCTCTCAGGTCCCTGCTGTCCAGAATTGAAGAGAACCCCAATCTCCTCGGGTCGGGCGGGAGATAGCCCTAGTGCTCCCCAGTCCCCACATGCTCCATTTCCCCAGTCGGAGCGAGAAGCCGCCCTCAGAGCCCCCAGTTTCCTCCCAACCTAATTTACAGCCCCCCACCCCCACCCCAGGGCTCTAATTTAGAGCCCTCGCTCCGTTCCCAGGATCCCATATCCAGTTTGGGGGACCCACTCAGTGCCTCGCGTCCCGAGTGGGGAACCTCCATCAGCACCCCAGTAGAAACCGTATCCTCTTCCCCAATCCGTCCTCAGCCCTTGGTGTCCAAAGTGAGAGTCCCCCTTAGTTTCCCCAAATCCCTGCCGTCCACATTAGTGGACCCTATGGTCTGTTGAGAAAATCCCGCGCCCCAAGCCCGGGTTCTCAGTTTGCCGCCACCCCCACCTCCCGGTGTGAGGAGTCTCCCCTGGTTCTCTCCCTCCCTGGCCGGTTTTTGTGAGATCCATTCAGACTCCTGTCCTGATTCGGGAAACCCGGTTCCAGACACTCACCACCCCCACCACACCGAGGCTGGAGGAAAAGGCAGTGCCTCTTAGAGCCTCCTGTTTCCAGTTTAGGAGCCCAACGCCTCAGCTGTGCACCGTCCCCTCCGAATGACCCCCTTCTTTTGCAGAGGTCTAAGCTCCACCCCATCCCATTGGAAGAGCCTAAACTACCTACCCACTGCATTTGGAATGACTTCCCTCAGTCCCTCTTATTTTGAGGCTACTCCCCGTGAAGGCAAACACCTTCCTTTCTACCCCCATCTTCTGGGTCTCTGGGATCCCCCAGTACTTGCACCCAAGGCTCCTTGGAGTCACCTTACGTACCCCTAAAATTCCCTCCCTCCAGCCTGGGAACAACCCTGAGAAAGTATTCTGGTTCACCAGGGGAGCTGCGGGGCCACTCTCCTTATCCCCACCTCTCCTTATCCCCGCCTCTCCATATCCCCACCTCTCCATATTCCCACCTCTCCATATCCAAGCCTTAGGACCCTTCACTTCCCCAGCTGAAACCAGCCAAAAAAGGATCAAACCAGGAAGCTTAGGTGGCCAACACCCCTTCTCCCCATCCCTGCTGGGGGTCTCAGTGCCACACAAGCCCCTCCCTCCCAACTCACCTTCTACTCCTTCCCCCATCCCTACCTTAATCCATCCGGTGTAATCCAGTGACAACCCATGTTGACAAGCCCTTTGCTGTTCACCTTCACATTCCATCCTGAATTCAACACCTTTTATTCCTGGGCATCATAACTCTGACCTCTGGAAGGGTGCCCATCCCCCTCTTGATAGCCCTCCTTCCCTCTCCCCACCCCAACCATCAGGCAGAGAAGAAAGTGAGAGACTTACAGTAATGGTTTCCTTGGGGACCTTCTGGGAATGCTCAGCAGGTATATCCTGCCACCCTGTGAGCATAACACTAGAAACAAACTTGCTTTTTCCTGTTTGTGTCCCCTACTCTGCCCCACAGTTTCTCAGCATCCCCTGGACTGGGGACTGGAGGGCCACCCACACAAGGCATTTCTTACCATTCCGACACAAAAGCATTCCAGTTTGTGTTGTAGCAGAGACACAGATGAGGGTGAGCAGGTAGCCTCTGCGGTATTAGGGAGGTGACTCTTCTTAGGTCTGAACTTAAAAAGGGTCATTGGAGAGGTGCGGGGAGTAGGGATCTTCCAGTGTTCCTGGACTTTGGTTTGTGTGCTGGTGCTGCTGGGCAGATGAGCTTGAAGGATAGGAAATGGGTCCTTTCCGGCAGTGGCGACCTACCCACGAGAACATGCCTCTCGACAGGGATCTCCTTCATCCTTCTCCAGAAGAGAAGAGGAAACAGAAGAAGAAACGCCTGGTGCAGAGTCCCGATTCCTACTTCATGGATATGACATGCCCAGGATGCTATAAAATCACCATGGTCTGTAGCCATGCACAAACGGTAGTTTTGTGTGTTGCCTGCTCCACTGTTCTCTGCCAGCCTACAGGAGGAAAAGGAAGGCTACAGAAGGATGTTCCTTCAGGAGGAAGCAGCACCCAAAGCACTCTGAATCAAGATGAGTGGGAAACCATCTCAATAAACACATTTTGGATTAAAAAAAAAAAAGGAAATGGGTAAAGGCATCTGTTCAGAGTCAGCCAATGCTGTGTAAGAAGTAGCTTGAGATAGGATCCATGTATTAGCATATTCATTCAGAATCTGAGGAGGAAGCGTCTACCTCTTTTGGTCAGTAGCTTGTTTGTATCACAGTAACATGGGTTAGACTTAGACAAATCCTCTTTCAGTGCAGGTGTATCTCAGCTGCAGCAGCTTCAGTCCACTTTGTTCACAATAGGGGCGACAAGCCCTTCTAGAGGTAGCCCTCACAGGACAATGCAGTTGTAAACTCATGATCCTCATAGTAAATTGAGGATCTCAGTGGTATTAAGGAAAAATGATCTTTAGAGCAACAGGCCCAGACTTCAGAATTAAGAGATTAGAGGATGTGGTTCCAGCTCTTTTTCTCTGGTACTACACACACAGAACATCACTCAAAGAATAAAAGAAGAATTTGCTTTATAGTTTTTAAAAAATCCTCTTGAGAAAGACAGTGGGCAAATGATATTATGCAACTTGGCACAGGTATTTACCGAACATCTTCTATGTACTAGACACTGTCCTAGGTGTTGTAGTCCCAGCAGCTGCCTTTGTAAAGCTTGCATTCTAGAGATGAGAGTCATACAAGTAAATGAATGAATGAATGAGTCAATGAATGAATGAGTGAATGAATGAATAAACAATAGATAAATAAATGGTGTGTTCAGTTAGATGTTGTAGGTGCCACAGAGAAGGAAGGGTGATAGGGAGGGTGGGTACTATTGGGAAGAAGGTGAGATGAAATTTTATATATATATATATTTTTGAGATGGAGTCTTGCTCTGTCACCCAGGCTGCAGTGCAGTGGCATGATCTCGGCTCACTGCAATCTCTGCCTCTTGGATTCAAGTGATTCTCCTGCCTCAGCCTCCCCAGTAGCTGGGGTTACAGGCATCCACCATCACTCCTGACTAATTTTTTGTATTTTTAGTAGAGATGGGGTTTCGCCGTGTTGGCCAGGCTGGTCTTGAACGCCTGACCTCAGGTGATCTGCCCACCTCTGCCCTTGAAAGTGTTGGGATTACAGGCGTGAGCCACCACACCTGGCCTGAGATGCAATTTTAAATCAACAACATTCTCATGGGGAGGGAGACGTTTTAGCAAAGACTTGAAGGAGATGAGGTAAATGAGTCTACTCTATGATACAGAACTCTCATTTAAGCAGAATGTCTGCATCTCTTAAGTACAATGATAATTAACGTTCATATTTTGACTTTCACTACTCTAAAACTGTAGGTCAAGTGGACTAGGGGTGGATGGGGGCTCAGAAAATGGCAGTTTTTGAACAGACACCTCTATCAGATGAGAAGGCTGAGAGCTGAGGGTTTTCCTTGGCCACTCTTGGAGAAACACAGCTTTAAGATATATTGAAGAGCCTTTGAGAATGACAACAACAAAATTAAAGATTAAATTATAGTCCATGTGGTTTTAGCGTGCAGAGTATTTCACAGTGTTCTCATTCTTTGAAAATGCAATATTGGCCGGGCGCAGTGATTCACGCCTGTAATCCCAGCACTTTGGGAGGCCGAGGTGGGTAGATCACGAGGTCAGGAGTTCGAGACCACCTGGCCAACATGGTGAAACCCGGTCTCTACTAAAAATACAAAAATTAGCCTGGCGTGGTGGCGCACGCCTGTAATCCCAGCTACTGGGGAGACTGAGGCAGGAGAATTGCTTGAACTCAGGAGACGGAGGTTGAAGTGAGCTAAGATTGCACCACTGCACTCCAGCCTGGGTGACAGAATGAGACTCCGTCTCAGAAAAAAAAAGAACAAAAGAAAATGCAATATCCAAGCAAAGCCCTGAATTACCTGGAACTTCCCATTTCTTGTCCATGCAAGACAAGGAAAAATTTACTGTAAGCTGATTAAGAGCCATGCATTTATAATCAGCCCATTTTACAAACTTCCCCCACTTAAAAAAATATATATATATACCTATATATATATACTTTATTTTTTCTTTCTTTTTTTGAGGCAGGGTCTCACTCTGTTGCCCAGGCTGGAGCGCGGTGGCACGATGAGGGTTCACTGTAGCCTCAACCTCCTGGGCTCAAGCAGTCTTCCCAATGCAGCCTCCCAAATAGCTGGGACTACACATGCACGCCACCATGCCCAGCTAATTTTTGTTTCGTTTTGTTTTGCAGAACGGGGTCTAACTATGTTGCCCAGGCTGGTCTCAAGCTCCTGCACTCAAGCAATCCTCTGCCACCACGGCCTCCCAAAGTGCTGGGATTACAAATATAAGCCACTATGCCCAGCCTAAAAAGTAGACTTTATTTTTATTGAGGAGAAAGTACAGAGATTTCCCCATACCGCCTGACCCCACATGTGTGTAACCTTTCCCACTGTCAACATCCCCCACCAGAGTGGTACATTTGTTACAATTGGTGAACCTATACTGACACATTGTTATCACCCAGAGTCCATAGTTTAGAGTTCACTCTTGGTTTTATACATTCTATGGGTTTGGGCAAATGTATAAGGACATGTATCTCCCATTATACTGTCATACAGAGTAGTTTCACTGTCCTAAACATTCTCTGTGCTCCACCTATTTGTTCTCCCCTCCCCCAACCCCTGACAACCCCTGATCTTTCACTCTCCATAGTTTTCTCTTTTCAAGAATGTCATATAGGCCGGACGCGGTGGCTCACGCCTGTAATCCCAGTACTTTGGGAGGCCGAGGCAGGCGGATCACGAGGTCAGGAGATCGAGCCCATCCTGGCTAACATGATGAAACCCCGTCTCTACTAAAAATACAAAAAATTAGCTGGGCATGGTAGCGGGCGCTTTTAGTTCCAGCTACTCGGGAGGCTGAGGCAGGAGAATGGCGTGAACCCAGGAGGCAGAGCTTGCAGTGAGCCAAGATCGCCCCGTTGCGCTCCAGCCTGGGCAACAGAGCAAGACTTCGTCTCAAAAAAAAAAGAACGTCGTATAGCTTGAATCATACAGTAGTAGCTGTTTCAGATTGGCTTCTTTCACTTAGTAACACACAGTTAAGATTCCTCTATGGTGGCTTTTTTTGTGTGTGGGTTTTATTTTTTTGTTTCCTGGGTTTTTTTGCTCGTTTGTTTCGTTTGTTTGTTTGTTTGTTTGAGACAAGGTTTCACTCTGTCGCCCAGGCTAGAGTGCAGTGGCATGTTCAGGCTCACTGCAGCCTCAACCTCTCAGGCTCAAGCAATCCTCCCACCTCAGCCTCCCCAACAGCTGGGACTACAGAATAGCTGGGACTACAGGCACACACCACCGCCCCTGGCTAATTTTTGTATTTTTTGTAGAGACAGGGTTGCACCATGTTGCCCAGGCTGGTCTGGAACTCCTAGCTTCAAGTGATCCACCTGCCTCAGCCTCTCAAAGTGCTGGGATTACAGGTGTGAGCCACCTCGCCTGACCCCGTCTATGTCTTTCCATAGCTTGATAGCTTGTCTGTTTTTAGTGCTGCATAATAGTCTGTGCTCTAGATGTACCACGGTTTATGCATCCCTTCACCTCCTGAAAGACATCTTGGTTGCCTTCAAGTTCTGGCAATTATGATTAAAGCTCAGGTTTTTGTGTGGACATAGGTCTTCAGTCCCTCACTTTTTTGTCCTAATTTTTCTCTCTTTTTTTTTCCTTCTCTCAGATTTCTGGACTCAACCAGAAGGCTATGAGCTGGAGTAATGAAAGCACTTGACTGAGAGTCCAAAGATCCATATGCTGGTCTTGGGACTACCACTGTTTCTGGTCGGGTGGTTCTAGGGATACACCACTTAGCCTTCTGAGCTTCCATTTACTTTCGGAGTTGCTGCAAGACTTAAGTGAGATCATGTATTTGAAAGCACCTTAGACACTCTAAAGCACTATGGGAAAGTAAAGGTAGTCCATCAAAAGCACTATGGGGGTGCCGGGTGTGCTGACTCACGCCTGTAATCCTAGCATTTTGGGAGGCTGAGGTGGACAGATCACTTGAGGTTAGGAGTTTGAGACCAGCCTGGCCAACATGGCAAAACCCCGTCTCTACGAAAAATACAAAAATTGACCAGGCGTGGTGGCACATGCCTGTAATCCCAGCTACTGGGGAGGCTGAGGTGGGAGAATCACTTGAACCCAGGAGGCAGAGGCTGCAGCGAGCCGAGATCCTGCCACTGCACTCCCGCCTGGGCAACAGAGTCAGACTCTGAGCAATTATTGTGTCTCAGGCACTTTGCGTTGGGAAACTCATTCAATCCTTGCAACAGCTCTCTGAGGCAGGTCGCTATTTTACAGATCAGGAAATGAAAGCATTGAGAGGTCAACTTGCTAATAAAGATAAGACGGGTGGTAAGTGAGGGGGCTGAGATTTGAATTCAAGTCTGATACCAGAATTCCCATCATGCACTTCATCATGAACATAATTTTATGTTATCTACCTATTTAATGCACACACAATGCACCTATTATTACAGATGGTTCTGGAATGTCTGTTATGCTGGAATGGGAGCTCTCTAAGGGAAAGTCCCTTAAACCTCTTTGCATTCTCCTCCACCACCCCTTATCCTCAGGACCATACCTTACACTAAGTACTCAATAGTTGGTTTTTGTTTGTTTGTTTGTTTGTTTTTGAGACAGGGTCTCACTCTGTCACTCAGGCTGGAATGCAGTGGCATGATCTCGGCTCACTGCAACCTCTGCCTCCTGGGCTCAAAGGATCCTCCCACCTCAGCCCCCCAAATAGCTGCGACTACAGGCTCAAGCCACCACACTCAGCTAGTTTTTGTATTTTTTATAGAGACAGAGTTTTGCTATGTTGCCCAGGCTGGTCTCGAATTCCTGAGCTCAAGTGATCTGCCTGCCTCAGCCTCCCCAGGTGCTGGGATTACAGGCATGAGTCACCATGCCCGGCCTCACTAGTTGTGCTTGCCTAGAAACCATCACTGTGCTAGGGCTGGAGGATGAGATGGTGAATGAGACAGACAGTGATTCCTACTTTCACAGATGTGACAATCTGGAGACACAGTAGTTTTACATACATCTTTTTTGCCTAGGCTGGTCTTGAACTCCTGAGCTCAAGCGATATTCCCGCCTCAGCCTCCCAGAGTGCTGGGATTACATGCATGCACCACCACGCCTGGCTGATACACATCTTTTTAACCAAGTCATTTGAATCACTGCAATAATTAAATGTAGTAGGTTCTATTAATGTGCTTGCCTTACAGATGACGAAGCTGAAACTCAAACATCTGAAGTGACATGCCCAAGGTCATGCAGCTGGCCAGTCTAAAAATCTAGCTCTACCTGACCCAAACATTATGCTACACTCTGTCTCCATTCCCCACCCCCCGACTTTCCCCACTGCCCTGGCAGGGAGGGAATTAAATAAACTATTCTGCTTGCCCAGCTGAGAACACCCACAGTCTGTCCAGACCTGCTGACTCTCCCACTTTCTCACTTTCTCACTGTCGCTTCCAATGACAGCCAGGGCTGGTTTGATGTGTCGGTGAAAGGGGGGATGCTTCAGAGTTCTATGGTTTCAGCATCTGAAGTCACCTCTCTGCTGTAATTAACTCTGTGATTTAATCTGCTCAACTAATCATTCTACAATTCAGGGGCCAAAGACAAAGATGTTAAGAGGATGCCTCCTTTATGTTTTATTGTTTTTAATGTTTATTTTGGGAAACTGAAACTGTGGACCTGGAGAAGTGAAACCGCAGGTCTGTCAGTGCTGACGGTGGGAAAGGGGTGCCAGGCTGCAGGCAGGGGCTTCTCTTACACTTAGGCCAGACCTAAAGGTGAAGGGCTGGCTAGAGGGGAGGTTCTCATCTCTGAGCCCCATCTGGAGAACAAAGCACCCTCCCTAGAGCCCAGGTTTTCAGGGACCAGGGAAATAGTTTTTGGAGTTTGTGAACTTAGTGGAAAAAGTATTAGGGAGTTAGGAGCCTGGGGCTCCACCTCTGACCTTGAAACAGGCTCTTCCCCTCTCTGAGCGCTAGTTTATTCATGTGCAAAATGGAAAGTGGCATATTATTCCAGAGATGGAAAATTGGTTTCAGTTTTTCTACTTGGCCTCTCAAATTACCTCCAAAATGACTGGTAGTGGCTAGGGCTGGGCAAGGATAGAAATCGGGTGATTGATTAGTGATGTCTGCCTTGGTGCAGGTAGTCATGGAACAGTAGAAGGTGTGCTATAGCGTTGCCTTCTCTGGACTAGATGATCACTACATCCTTTCCAGTTTTGGTCTTCTAGAGACCTTACAACAAGAAGGGCAAGGATTAAGAGCTACGCAGCACCCCCAGGAGTCAGACAACCAAGGGAGGAACCATCAAAGTGACAATTTTATTAATAATGATAATACATGATTCTATATGTGGAGGAAAAGAATTTACATCAAACCATAAGCCATTTGCATCAAACCATTAATGTGGTGGGGAGGCGTGTGTGTTAGTATGAGTATGAATTTTTTCTGTGAGTATAGATTTATCTTAACAACCAGAAAACAGTAAAAACTGTTTAACGTGGTGGGGAGGCGTGTGTGTTAGTATGAGTATGAATTTTTTCTGTGAGTATGGATTTATCTTAACAACCAGAAAACAGTAAAAATAATTTAAATGAGTCTATTTAAAGACTGTTCAAGAACACTGATAGCAGCATTATTCATAATAAGCAGAAATTGGAAGTAATCCAAACGTCCATCAACAGGAGAATGGATAAACTATGATATATTCGTACAATGGAATACTATGTAAAATGAAAAGGGCCGGGCGCCCAACACTTTGGGAGGCCAAGGCGGGTGGATCACTTGAGGCCAGGAGTTCAGGACCAGCCTTGCCAACATGGTGAAACCCCATCTTTACTAAAAATACAAAAATTAGCTGGGTGTAGTGGCACAGGCCTGTAATCCCAGCTACTTGGGAGGCTGAGACAGGAGAATCACTTGAACCCGGGAGGTGGAGGTTGCAGTGTGCCAAGATCACTCCAAGATCACGCAACTGCACTCCAGCCTGGGTGACAGAGATTCCATCTCAAAAAAAAAGAAAAAAAAAAAAGAAAAAGAAAAAAAGACCATGCTTGGTGGCTCACGCTTGTAATCCCAGCACTTTGGGAGGCTGAGGTGGTCAGATTGCTTGAGGCCAGGAGTTCAAGACCAGCCTGGCCAACATCGTGAGACTGTCTCTACTAAAAATACAAAAATTAGCCAGGTGTGGTGGTGTGAGCCTGTGGTCCCAGCTACTGGGGAGGCTGAGGCAGGAGAATTGCCTGAATCCAGGAAGCAGAGATTGGAGTAAGCCAAGATCGAGATCGTGCCACTGCACTCCAGCCTGGGCAACAGAACAAAACTCCATCTCAAAAAAAAAAAAAAAAAACACACAAATGACAGATACATATAACAATACAAATGAATTTCTTTCTTTCTTTTTTTTTTGAAACAAAGTCTTGCTCTGTCACCCAGGCTGGAGTGCCTCCCAAGTTTTATATATAAATTTTTATATATAGCTAAAACCCAGATTAAGATACAGATCCATAAAAGTGACCACTCACCACGTGTGGCTACTGAGCACTTGAGATGCAGCTGGCCCAAACTAACCAGTGCTGTAAGTGCAAAATATACATTGGATATCAAAGAATGCAGAAAATGAATGTAAAATACAGTGATAATAATTTTACATTGATTACATGTTGAAACGTAATTTTTGAATATATTATTAAAATAAATTTCACCTGTTTCATTTTATGTCTTTTTATTTTTATTTATTTATTTATTTATTTTTATTTTTTTGAGATGGAGTCTTACTCTTTCACCCAGGCTGGAGTGCAGTGGCGCAATCTTGGCTCATTGCAACCTCCACCTCCTTCGTTCAAATGATTCTTCTGCCTCAGCCTCCCGAGTAGCTGCGATTACAAGCACCCACCACCACACCCAGCTAATTTTTGTATTTTTAGTAGAGACATGGTTTCACCCTGTTGGCCAGGCTGGTCTCCAACTCCTGACCTCAGGTGATCCACTTGCCTCGGCCTCCCAAAGTGCTGGGATTACAGGAGTGAGCCACCGCGCCCGGCCTTTATGTCTTTTTAATGTGGTTCCTAGAAAATTTTTAAATTACATATATGGTTTACAGCTGTAGCTGGCTTTTTTTTTTTTTTTTGAGACGGAGTCTTGCTCTGTTGCCCAAGCTGGAGTGCAGTGGCACGATCTTGTCTCACTGCAAGCTCCGCCTCCTGGGTTCATGCCATTCTCCTGCCTCAGCCTCCCAAGTAGCTGGGACCACAGGCGCCCGCCACCACGCCCGGCCAATTTTTTGCATTTTTAGTAGAGATGGGGTTTCACAGTGTTAGTCAGGATGGTCTCAATCTCCTGACCTCGTGATCCGCCTGCCTTGGCCTCCCAAAGTGCTGGGATTACAGGCGTGAGTGTAGCTGGCATTTTATTTCTATTGGGCAGCACTGATATTGAAGCTTTCCTTCCTCCAGAAAGTTATCTCCTGCTTCCAAGTCAATATCTGCTTCCCAAAGATAAATGCGACTATGACCTGTCTTCCCATAGATTAGTTTTGCCTGTTCCATAATTTCATATAAATGGAATTTTTGTATGTATTTTTTTGCATCTGGCTTCTTTTGCTCATACAGTTTGTTGTTGTTGTTGTTGTTGTTTTGAAACAAGGTCTCACTTTGTCACACAGGCTGGAGTGCAGTGGCATGATCTCGGCTCACAGCAGCCTTGACCTCAAGCAAGTTCAAGCGATCCTCCTGCCTCAGCCTCCTGAGTAGCTGGGACTACAGGCATGCACCACCATCCCCGGCTAATTTTTGTATTTTTCATAGAGATGGGGTTTTGCCATGTTGTCCAGGCTGGTCTCAAACTCCTAGGCTCAAGTGATCTGCCCTCCACCACCTCCTAAAGTGCTAGGATTACAGGCATGAGTCACTGTGCCCGGCCTCAACCTACAATTTTTGAAATTCATCCAAGCCGAGCATAGTGGCTGACACCTCTAATCCCAGCACTTTGTGAGGCCAAGGTGGGAGGATCACTTGAGGCCAGGAGTTCAAGACCAGCCTGGGCAACATAACAAAACCCCACCTCTACAAAAATATAAGAAAATTAGCCAGATATGTTGGTATGAGCCTGTAGTCCCAGCTACTTGAGAGGCTAAGGCAGGAGGATCTCTTTAGCCCGGGAGTTTGAGGAAACAGTGAACCATGATTGTGCCACTGCATTCCAGCCTGGGTGACAGAACAAGACCCTGTCAAAAAAGAAAAAAAGAAGTGAGAGTGAGAGTGATACTTTACAAAAAAAAAAAAACAGAAAAAATTAAAAGGGGAATAGGATGAGCGAGTGGAGATAGAGTAACAAAGGTAAAGAAGGATTGAGCTACATCTGGCCGGGTGCGGTGGCTCACACCTGTAATCCCAGCACTTTGGGAGGCCAAGGCAGGTGGATCACTAGCTCAGGAGATCGAGACCATCCTGGCTAACACAGTGAAACCCCGTCTCTACTAAAAATACAAAAAATTAGCATGGTGGCGGGCGCTTGTAGTTCCAGCTACTCAGAAGGCTGAGGCAGGAGAATGGCGTGAACCCGGGAGGCGGAGCTTGCAGTGAGCCGAGATCGCGCCACTGCACTCCAGCCTGGGCAACAGAGTGAGACTGTATCTCAAAAATAAAATAAAACAAAATAAGAAAGGATTGAGCTACATCCGTGAATCTATTTCCACCAGCAGAGAAATTCACCACGGCTCAGCGTCCCCAAGACTGGGTGAGAAAATCACAAAAGATCAAATTTGGCAGAAGCTAATCAAGAGTTTACTTTTTGGTCTCAGCATCATATCCCAATTTTTTAGTGTGTCACATGTAACATGTAACTAATAACAACAAAGTAGATATTGACAACTTTACTGAGCCCTTACCATGTACAGCATGGTGCTAAGAGCTTTCCTGTCTGATCGCATTTAATCCCCTCTACAGTCTTCTAAAGTTAGTTCTATGATGATCCTCCCATGTTGTAGATGGGGAAACTGAGGCTCAGCAAACTTACCCAAGGATACTACACTCAGAAATGGCAAAGAGGGGATTCAAAGGCAAGTGTCTCTGGTTTCTGGTCTGGTATTTTTAACCACTACCTCTACTGAAGCTTGAGAATGCTTTCTTTGCCTTAAATAAATAAATGAAGAAGAAAAAGAAATAAACAAATGAGGAGAAGTGGAGTCAAGGTTATGTCTATAAATAACGTCACTCTTGCTCCCTGGCCTTTGGACAAGCTCTCCAGAGGGAGAGAGGAAGAGCTGGGGTTACGCAGAATTCAGACTATCTTATCTGAACACCATGGAAGCATGAGTCACGTGGGAATGCCATTCATCAGGAGTGTCCCAATTTTAAAAAGGTTGAGAAAGGCTGCCTTGGAGAGCCTCTGATGCCCCCCTCTTGCTTTATGGATAAACTTAGAGATCCAAAGAAAGAATTATTTTTCCCAAGGTCACACAGCTAGTACTCAGCGGCTACATCTTTGCCTCTTCTCTTCTCAGTGAATGAATCAAATGTGCCTTTTCCACCGTGTCAGGTACTCTGGAGGTATCCACACCTGAATAAGGCTTGCTGACAGTTCTTGAGGCATTTACGCTCCAGTAAAGGGACAAATTATATCCCAAAGCAAAGTATGAGAGCCTTAAGAGAGCTTTGGAAGCTCAAGGGAGGGAGGGAGTACAGTGGGTTGGAGAGGAAAGGGAAGGCTGGCATCTAAGCTGGGTCGGAAAAGCAGAAACAGAGAAGTGGGCACTCCTCAAAGGAGAGCCAGTGGGTACTTGTGTTGGCTGAACTGTGTATTTACCACCGGCCCAACTATTGCCTCTAGTGTCCACCATGATGTTGAGTCAACATTAAATTATTGGTTAACTGATGCAGAATAGAACTCATTCAGGGTGGTTTCGGGGGCAGAAAAAAAATTAAATTAAAAAACTCATTTGGCCAGGCTAGGTGGCTCACGCCTGCAATCTCAGCACTTCGGGAGGCCAAGGTGGGCGGATCACCTGAGGTCAGGAGTTCGAGACCAGCCTGGCTAACCTCATCTCTACTAGAAATACAAAATTACTGGGCATGGTGGCACATGCCTGTAATCCCAGCTGCTCAGCTGCTCGGGAGGCTGAGCCACAAGAATCAGTTGAAACTGGGAGGCAGAGGTTGCAGTGAGCTGAGATTGCACCACCGCACTCCAGCCTGGGCGACAGAGTGAAATACCATCTAAAAAAAAAAAAAAAAAAAAAAAAAAAAAAACTCATTCATCAGAAATGCAGAGATAAAATTAGCTGAGAGTGGTGTGCATGTCCCTGTAATCCTAGCTAGACAGGAGCCCAAGATAGGAGGACCACTTGAGGTCAGGAGTTCAAGACAGAGCAGCCTAAGCAAAAGACTGAGAACCCCACCTCTACTAAAAATAAAAGATTAGCAGAGTATGGTGGCTCATGCCTTGAGTATGGTGGCTCCCAGCCACTTGGGAGGCTGAAGTGGGAGGATCCCTTGAGTCCAGAAGGTAGAGGCTGTAGTGAGTTATGATTGCTCCACTGCATAAATACAGACAATGTGTATTTGTGTGTGTATATTGTAATGTCTGTGTATCCCGAGGTCATATGCTTCTCAAAAGAAAGGACTGTTAGCCAGGCACCGTTACAAACACCTAGGCAACATAACAAGACTCTCACCTCTAAAAATAAATAAATAAATAAATAAATAAATAAATAAATAAATAAATAATAAGGACTGCTTTCTTCTTGTTCCCCATTATGGCTGGCACATAGCAGGCATTCTTTACATCTTGGCTGAATGAACAAATAGGTAAATTGTGGGGAAGACACATTGGCCCCTTTAAGCCTTAAGAAATAATAACCAGCTGGGCGTGGTGGCTCACGCCTGTAATCCCAACACTTTGGGAGGCTGAGGCGGGCAGATCACGAGGTCAGGAGTTCGAGACCAGCCTGGCCAATATGGTGAAATCCTGTCTCTACTAAAAATACAAAAATTAGCCGGGCGAGGTGGCATGCGCCTGTAATCCCAGCTACTCGGGAGGCTGAGTCAGGAGAATTGCTTGAACCTGGGAGGTGGAGGTTGCAGTGAGCCAAGATCGAGCCATTGTACTCCAGTTCTGGGCGACAGAGCAAGATTCTGTCATGGGAAAAAAAAAAATTAGCCTGGCATGGGGGCGGATGCTTGTAATCTCAGCTGTTCAGGAGGCTGAAGCAGGAGGATTGCTTGAACCTGGGAGGCAGAGGTTGCAGTGAGCAGAGATTGCACCATTGCACTCCAGCCTGAGGGACAAGAGTGAAACTCCGTCTCAAAAAAAAAAAAAAAAAAAAAGGCTAAGTGTAAGGCTCACACCTATAAACCCAACACTCTGGAAGGCCGAGGTGGGAGGATTGCTTAAGGCCAGGAGTTCGAGACCAGCCTGAGCAACAAAGGGAGACTCTGTCTCTACAAAAATTTAAAAATTAGCCAGGCATGGTGGCACTTGCCTGTAGGCCCAGCTACCCGGAAACCTGAGGTGGGAGGATCGCTTGGGCCCGGGAGATCAAGGGTGCGGTGAGCTATGATCGTGCCACTGCATTCCAGCCTGGATACCAGAAGAATACCCTGTCTAAAAAAAAAAAAAAGGCTGTTAAGACTTTGCTTTTTAATATAGCTATATGGCTTTTATTTTGAGACGGTGTCTCACTTTGTTGCCTAGGCTGGAGTGCAGTGGTGTGATCTTGGCTCACTGCAACCTCCACCTTCCAGGTTCAAGCGATTCTCCTGTCTCAGCCTCCCAAGTATCTGGGATTGTAGGCCCCTGCTAGCACATCTGGCTAATTTTTGTATTTTTAGTACAGACGGGATTTCATCATGTTGGCCAGGCTGGTCTCGAACTACTAACCTCAGGTGATCCACCTGCCTCAGCCTCCCAAAGTGCTGCAATTATAGGTGTGAGCCACCACACGCGGCCAAATACAGCTTAATATAGTGACACACAACTAGGAAATAGATGGAACCAGGATTCAAACACCCGTCCTTCTGATGTGAAATTTTGTGACTCAGAAGAGGGAAGTCAGACCCAACCTGGAGAGCCCACTCCCATGCCTGCCTGCAGCTGTCCCAGCTGTGCCTTTAGAGGGTGGGCTGACCTCACTCTGTCATCAGCAGCACCAGCAAGCACCAGAGGGGTGAGTGTCTCTGGGAGCACTCAAAATCATCCACCAAGAAAAGATCAGGCCTTCTATAGTATTTTTTTCTATTTCATCTCTTTTCCCCGCTCTTTTTTTTTTTTTTTTTTTTTTAAGACAGGGTGTGCCTCTGTTGCCCAGGCTGGAGTGCAGCAGTGATGTAATCATAACTCACCGAAGCCTTGAACTCCTGGGTTCAAGCCTTCCTCCCACTTTAGCCTCCTGAGTAGCTAGGACAACAGGTGCGTGCCACTATATCTGGCTAATTTCTTATTTTATTTATTTATTTAGACAGAATCTCACTTTGTCGCCTAGGCTAGAGTGCAGTGGCCCAATCTTAGCTCACTGCAATGCAATCTCTTTTTCCCAGGCTCAAGTGATTCTTTTGCCTCAGCCTACTGAGTATCTGGGATTATATGCATGTGCCACCACGCCCAGCTTTTTTTTTTTTTTTTTTTTTGAGATGGAGTCTCACTCTGTGGCCCAGGTTGGAGGGCAGTGGTGCAATCTCGGCTCACTGCAACCTCTGCCTCCTGGGTTCAAGAGATTCTCCTGCCCCAGCCTCCCAAGTAGCTGGGATTACAGGCACACGCCACCATGCCCAGCTAATTTTTGTATTTTTAGTAGAGATGGGGTTTTGCCATGTTGGCCAGGCTGGTCTCGAATCCCTGACCTCAGGTGATTCGCCTGCCTCAGCATCCCAAAGTGCTTGGATTGCAGGTGCGTGCCACTGCTCCCGGCCTAATTTTTGTATTTTTAGGAGAGACTGGGCTTCACCGTATTGGCCAGGCTGGGCTTGAACTCCTCGCCTCCAGTGATCCACCCACCTCAGCCTCCCAAAGTACTGGGATTACAGGCATGAGACACTGTGCCCAGCCTATTTCATCTTTTTAAAATTTCTTTTGCATAGATGTTTGTAACATAGATATTATAACAGTAGAGTATGTATATATTTTGTAAATATATAAATGTATGTATGCTAGAAATATGAGCTCAAAGATTGTTTCCTCTTAGGGATGTATCATCACAAAAATTTGGAGATCATTTCTTAAGACAGCAAAGACAAAGATTAAAAACAATTATTATAGGATATTTACATGTGAAAGAATAAAGTTGGACCTGGCACCATGTAAAAACAAAATGAACTCAAAATGGATAAAAGAAACACAGGGGTAAATCTTTATGACCTTAAATTTGGCAATTCTTAGTTATGTCACCAAATGCACAAACAACACAAGAAAACAATAGATATATTGGACTTCATTTAAATTTAAAACTTTTGGCTGGGTGCAGTGGCTCATGCCTGTAATCCCAGCATTTTGTGAGGCTAAGCAGGAGGGTTGCTTAAACTCAGGAGTTTGAGACCAGCCTGGGCAACATAGTAAGACCTCGTCTCTACATAAAATAACAAAATTTAGCTGGGTGGTGGCACGAGCCTGGAGTCCTAGGTACTTGGAAGGCTAAGGCTGGAGGATGGCTTGAACTCAGGAGTTCGAGGCTGTAGTGAGCTATGATTGTGCCACTGCACTCCAGCATGGGTGACAGAGCGAGACCCTGTCTCAAAATAAATAAATGAATAGATAAATAAAAATAAAAACTTGGGCATCAAAAGGCACTATCAAGAAAGTGAGGCCAGGTGTGGTGGCTCACGCCTATAATCCCAACATTTTGGGACGCCAAGGCAGGCGAATCACTTGAGGTCAGGAGTTCGAGACCAGCCTGGCCAACATGGTAAAACCCCATCTCTATTAAAAATACAAAAAATTAGCTTAGAGTGGTGGTGGGCGCCTGTAGTCCCAGCTACTCGGGAGGCTGAGGTGGGAGAATCGCTGGAACCTGGGAAGTGGAGGTTGCTGTGAGCTAAGATTGTGCCACTGCACTCCAGTCTGGGCAACAGAGCGAGACTGTCTCAAAAAAAAAAAAAAAAAAAGTGAAAAGGGCTGGGTGCAGTGGCTGACACCTGTAACACCTGTAATCTCAGCACTTTGGGAGGCTGAGGTGGGCGGATCACTTGAGGTCAGGAGTTTGAGAACAGCCTGGCCAACATGGTGAAACCCTATCTCTACAAAAAAAAAAAAAAATACAAAAATTAGCCAGGCATGGTGGCGTGTGCCTGTAGTCCCAGCTACTTGGGAGGCTGAGGCAGGAGGACTTGAGCCCAGGGAGGTCGAGGCTACAGTGAGCTGTGATCAAGCCACTATACTCCAGCCTGGGCAATAAAGTGCGACTCTTTCTCAAAAAATAAATTAATAAATAAGTACAAATAGGCAAAGGACTTGAATAGATATTTCTTCAAAGAAAATACATAAATAGCCAATAAGCTCGTGAAAAGATATTCATCTTGAGCCATTAGTGAAATGCAAGGCAAAGCCACAATGAGATATCATTCCACACCTACTACCACAGCTATGAATAAATAAATAAATGGAAAATGACAAGTGTTGGCAAGAATGTGGAGAAATTGGAGCTTTCTGTACGTTGCTGGTGTGAGCGTAAAATGGTGTGGCACTGTGGAAAACCGTTCGATGGTATCTCAAAAAGTAAAACAGAATTATCATATGACCCAGATCCTAGGCATATACCCAAAATAATTAAAAACAGGTATTCAGACAAAAACATGCATGATCATAGCAGCACCATTCACGACTGCCAAAAGATTGAAACAACCCAAATGTCCATCAAGTGATGAATGGGTAAACAAGATGTAGTATACCCATGCAAGGGAATACTATTTAGCCGTTAAAAGGAATGAAATAGGACACATGCTACAACATGGATAAACCTGAGGGACATCATCCTAAATGAAAAAAACCAGGCTGAGCTCAGGGGTGCATTTTGCCGGCCTTAATCCCAGCACTTTGGGAGGCCAAGCCAGATAGATCGCTTGAATCCAGTAGTTTGAGATCAGCCTGGACAACATGGAGAAACCCTATCTCTATCAAAAATACAAAAAAATTAGTTGGGTGTGGTGGCGGACACCTGTGGTCTCAGCTACTTGGGAGGCTGAGGCAGGAGGATCGCTTGAGCCCGGGAGGTGGAGGTTGCAGTGAGCTGAGATCGCGCCACTGCACTCCAACCTGGGTGACAGAGTGAGAGCTCATCTAAAAAAAAAAAAAAAAAAGAAGGAAAAGAAAAAAGCCAGATGAAAAAGGTCACATACTGATTCCATTTCTATGAAATGCTATAATTCCATTTCTATGAAATATCTAAAATAGGTAAATCTGTAGAGACAGAAAGCAGGTTAGTGATTGCCAGGGGCGGGGGGAATAAGGAAGGAGAAGTAATTGCTTACTGGATATGATGTTAGAAGTTTGCCTTTAGGGTGATGAAAACGTTGTAAATATACTAAATGCAACTGAAATGCAAGCTTTAAAATAGTTAACTTCAATAAAACAAAAATAATTATCATAAAATAAATACATGATCATAGTAAGAAAATATCTTTTTTCAAACAGCACAGAATGGTACTAAGTGACTTCTCTCCATGCTCTATTTCCACTCTTCAAAGGAAATAAAGGATACTACAATTTATGATGTTTTTTCCCCAAATTTATTCCATACAGATAGAAATGTGCGATATGTGTATACATGTTTGTGTGTAGATATTTCCTTTTCCTCTTATGCAAATGAGATCATATTCCATTCAATGTACTGCCTTTTTCTCTTGGCAATGTGTCAATTACCATTCCATATCAATACAGTTTTCTTAATGGCTTCGTAATATGGGCTTCCCATACTCCCTGTCTCTTCATCTTCAGACCTGAGGGCCCCACTGTTTCCCTCCAAGTTCTGAGTCCCAACGCCATCCTGCCTCGGACTTGTCAGTGACTTTGACCTCAATCGTTGCTCCTTCACGTGGCATTGTCAGGAGTCTCTAATATCCAGCAGGTGCCTGGCCCCATGGGCTTTATAAAAATGGCAGCTCCCTTCTTCTGCACCCTGTGCTATGCTAGGGCCAGCTGGGGGTACCATAGAATAATGCCCGAGGGTGTAGACTCCCTGTCTTACCAGCCGTATGACCTCAGGCAAGTGCCCTAACCTCTCTGAGCCTCAGTTTCCTCCGTTGCATTGAGGCTATTCACAGTCCCGTACAATGATGCTCACACAGCGCTGAGCCCAGGGCCCAGCTCGGAGCCAGTCGGCATCACGTGATCTTTCGGGAAGAAAAGGTGGGCAGAGCCCTGGGTCGGTGGCCACCTGCTTTTGGGTAGGGCACTAATACAGGGTGCTGAAGCGGGAAGGTGAGGCCGAGCTGGGCGGCCCTGGGAACCCGGGAAGGAGGCGAGGCTGGAGTGGAAACGATTAGAATGAGAGCAAACTGGCTCCTGAATAGAAGCTTTTATTCCTGCCGGAGAGGGCTTTGTTCCACAAACACGTGACACACAAAAGCCTCTACTTGAATTCGGGAACCCTAATTGGTTCTCAGGTGGGGGAGGAGAGGGGTGTCCGGATTTAGGGATTCCTTAAAGGGACAATACTGTGGGGAGCTGAGCCCAGGGTTCCTCCCCATTGTCAGTGGGAGGGGGTGGCGTGGAGGGGAGGGGATGGGGTAGAGGGGAGGGGAAGAGCTGGACCAGTGGGGGTGGGGCGGCTGTTAGAAGAGGAGGGGGAGGGGAGAGGAAGGGAGAAGGGAAGAGGGAGAGAAGCACAGAGAGACTCAGAGGCCTGCAGCCCCCTGGGCCAGTGCTTGAGAAACAGTAGGCATGGACGGAGGGAAAGAAGGAAGGACGGAGGGAAGGAAGGAAGAGAGGAAGGAGGGGAGGAAGGAAGGAGGGGAGGGAAGGAAGGAAGGTAGGAAGGGAGAGAGGAAGGAGGGAGGGAGGGAAGGAGAGGAGGAAGGAAGGGAGAGAGGAAGGAGGGAGGGAGGGAAGGAGAGGAGGAAGGAAGGAAGAGAGGGAGGAGGGGAGGAAGGAAGGAGAGAAAGAAGGAAGGAAGGTAGGAAGGCAGGGAAAAAGGGGAGGAAGGGGGGAAGGAAGAAAGGAAGGAGAGAGAGAAAAGAAGGAAGGGAGGAACGGAGGGAGGGAAGGGAGGAAGAAAAAGAGGAAGGAAAGAAGGAAGGAAGGAAGGAGCCTGGCGCGGTGGCTCACACCTGTAATCCCAGCACTTTGGGAGGCTGAGGTGGGCAGATCACTTGAGGTCAGGAGTTCGAGACCAGCCTGGCCAACATGGTGAAACCCCGTCTCTACTAAAAACACAAAAATTAGCCAGATGTGGTGGTAGGTGCTTGTAATCCCAGCTACTTAGGAGACTGAGGCAGGAGAATTGCTTGAACCCGGGAGGCAGAGGTTAGAGTGAGCTGAGATGGTGCCAGAACAAGACTCTGTCTCTTTTTTTTTTTTTTTTTTTTTTTTGAGGCGGAGTCTCGCTCTGTCGCCCAGGCTGGAGTGCAGTGGCATGATCTTGGCTCACTGCAACTGCTGCCTCCCAGGTTCAAGTGATTCTCCTGCTTCAGTCTCCCAAGTAGGTGGGATTACAGGCACCCACCACCACACCCAGCTAATTTTTGTATTTTTACTAGAGACAGGGTTTCACCATGTTGGCCAGGTTGGTCTCAAACTCTCCTGACCTCATCTCAGGTGATCCACTTGCCTCGGCCTCCCCAAGTACTGGGAGTACAGGCGTGAGCCACTATGCCTGGCTGAGACTCTGTCTCAAAAAAAAAAAAAAAAAAAAAGGACAGAGGAAGGAGAGAAGGAAAGGGAGGGAAGAGGGAAGAAGGAGGGAAGGAAGGAAAGGAGAGGGGGGAGGAAGGAACAAGAGAAGGAAGGAAGGAGGGAAGGAAAGTAGGAAGAGAGAGAGAGATTGAGGGAGGAAGTAAGAAAAAAAGGATGGGAGGGAAGGAGAAGGAAAGGAAGGAAGGGAAGAAAAAAGAGAAGGAAGGCAGGAAGGGAGGGAGGGAAGAAAGGAAGGAGGAGGAGGAAGGGAAGGAAGGAAGGGAGGGAGAGAAGAAGGAAAGGAAGAGGGAGGAAGGGAAGGAAGGAGTTCTTAGGATGTCCCTTAAGGCCCTTCCTCCCTCTCCAGCCTGGCCCATCCCACTCTCACTCTCCCTCCCAGTGCTCCAGCCACACTGGCTGCCTTTCAGTTCCTGAGATACCCCAAACTAAGTCCTACCTCAGGACCTTTGCACCTGCTCTCCCGCCTACCTGGAATGCTTCCCACTTACCTGCCCCCCTCTTCCCATGGCAATCCTGCAGTTCAAGTATCACCTATACAGAAGAAGTCTTCCTAGACCCCCAGGCCTCTAGCCTATCACCCTGTTTTACTGTCCTCAAGCCCTTAACACTCACAGACATTGATGGAAAATGGCGATTGTGCTCAGCTCTATCCCCTGCCCTCAGCACAATGCTTAACACACAGCAGAAGATCAAAAGATACCTGAGACTATCTGGCTGGCTGAGTGGAAAGGGAGCAGTGGCTGCAATAATGCCCATCCTTTCCTGGCTCCAGAGCCATTGTTCTTAGGGTTAGCTGAGCTCAAGCCTCCCTTTGAAACTTTCTAGCCGTGTGGCCTTGGGCAAGTCACTTTGTCTCTGACTTCATTTTCCTTTTTAAAAAATTATTATTATATTTATTTATTTATTTATTTTGAGACAGAGTCTCATTCACTCTGTGGCCCAGTCTCATTCACTCTGAGTGCAGTGGGCTTCCCAGGTTCAAGAGATTCTCCTGCCTCAGCCTCCCAACTAGCTGGGATTACAGGCGTGTGTCATCACACCTAACTAATTTTTTTTTTTTTGAGATGGCATTTCGCTATTGTTGCCCCAGCTAGAGGGCAATGGTGTGATCTTGGCTCACGGCAACCTCTGCCTCCTGGGTTCCAGTGATGCTCCTGCCTCAGCCTCCTGAGCAGCTGGGATTACAGGCATGCACCACCACGCTTGGCTAATTTTTTTTTTTGTATGTTTAGTAGAGATGGGGTTTCTCCATGTTGGTCAGGCTGGTCTCGAACTCCTTACCTCAGGTGATCTGCCTGCCTCAGCCTCCCAAAGTGCTGGGATTACAGGCAGGTGTGAGTCACTGCGCCCGGCCTTTTTTTTTTTTAAACAGAGTCTCGCTCTGTCGCCAGGCTGGAGTGCAGTGGCACGATCTTGGCTCACTGCAACTTCTGACTTCCCGGTTCAAGCGATTCTCCTGCCTCAGCCTCCCGAGTAGCTAGGATTACAGGCATGTGCCACCACGCCCAGCTAATTTTTGTATTTTTAGTAGAGACGGGGTTTCACCATGTTGACCAGGATGGTCTCGATCTCCTGACCTTGTGATCGGCCCGCCTCGGCCTCCCAAAGTTCTGGGGTTACAGGTGTGAGCCACTGTGCCTGGCTCTAATTTTTTAATATTTTTAGTAGAGATGGGGTTTCACCATGTTGGCCAGGCTGGTCTTGAACTCCTGACCTCAAGAGATCAGCTTGCCTTGCCCTCCCAAAGTTCTGTGATTACAGTCATGAGCCACCAAATCTGGCCTAAAAATCATTATTTTTTATTTTAAAAAATTTTGTTTGTAGAGATGATGTCTCACCATGTTGCCCAGGCTGATCTTGCACTCCTGGGCTTAAGCCATCCTCCCACCTCAGCCTCCCAAAGTGTTGGTATTAGAGCCGCAAGCCACCACGCTCAGCCTTAACATTTTGAATATATAATTTTGTTGAAGAAACAGGGTCTTGCTACATTGCTCAGGCTGATCTCAAACTCCTGGCCTCAAGTGATCCTCCTGCCTAGGTCTTCCAAAGTGCTAGGATTATTGGCCAGGCGCAGTGACTCACACCTGTAATCCCAGCACTTTGGGAGGCCGAGGTGGGCAGATGACCTGAGGTCAGGAGTTCAAGACCAGTCTGGCCAACGTGGCGAAACCCCATCTCTACAAAATTACAAAAATTAGCTGGGCGTGGTGGCAGGTGCCTGTAATCCCAGCTACTTGGGAGGCTGAGATAGGAGAATCACTTGAACCCGGGAGGCAGAGGTTGCAGTGAGCCGAGATTGTGCCACTGCACTCCAGCCTGGGCGACAGAACAAGACTCTGCCTCAAACAAACAAACAAACAAACAAACAAAAAAGTGCTGGGATTATAGGCATGAGCCACTGCACCACCGGGCCCCTTTTCTTTAAAAAGCACAGAACTGGCAGGGAGCGGTGGCTCACCCCGTAATCCCAGCACTTTGGGAAGCCGAGGCGGGTGGATCACGAGGTCAGGAGATCAAGACCATCCTGGCTAACACAGTGAAATGCTGTCTCTACTAAAAAAATACAAAAAATTAGCTGTGTGTGATGGCAGGTGCCTGTAGTCCCAGCTACTTGGGAGGCTGAGGCAGGAGAATGGCATGAACCCGGGAGGTGGAGCTTGCAGTGAGCCGAGATCGCACCGCTGCACTCCAGCCTGGGCGACAGAGTGAGACTCCATCTCAAAAAAAAAAAAAGAAAGCACAGAACTTACCTCACAAGGGCATTGACAGGATGGCAGAGAGAACAAGCACTGAGCGGGTGCATGATGGGGACCTGGGGAACATTAGCCACGCGGGTAGAAAGGCAGTGGGTATTTCTACAGAAGAGGAAGGACTCCCATTCCCTGAGCCCCAACTCTGTGGCAGACGCTCTCATATGATATTTTAAGAAATACCTGTAAACAACTTTTGAAGCAGGTTTTGATCATCCCCATTTACAGAAGAGAAAACAGCCTCAGAGAGGTTAAGAGACTTCCTCTGGATCACACAGCTAGTAAGCAGCAGAGCCAGGATTCGAACCCAGCTCTACCCTCTATCTCATCCCAAAGACTATGTTCTGCCTACTCTGATCCAAGTGCCCTCTTGGACTTCCAGTGCAAGGAGGCTGTGGGAAGGGGAAGGAAGGGCTTAGGACCCTGAGGGACCTGCAAGGCTGGGGCTGCCCCTGTACCCTCCATTAGCATTCAGCCTGGGCCCTCATTATATGAGTAGGTAGAGTCCTGAGTTCTGGACTATGGGCTCCATGCTTCAGTGAGTTATCTTATTTTATTTATTTTCGTGACAAGTTTTTGCTCTGTCACCCAGGGTGGAATGCGGTGGCAGGATCGCAGCTTACTGAAGCCTCAGCCTCCCAGGCTCAAGCGATCTTCCCACCTCAACCTCCCAAGTAGCTGGGACCACAGGCACGCACCACCACACCTGGATAATTTATTTTATTTTATTTTTATGTTTTGAGACAGAGTCTTGCTCTGTTGCCCGGGATGGAATGCGGTGGGGCAATCTTGGCTCACTGCAACCTCCACCTCCCGAGTTCAAGCGATTCTCATGCCTCAGCCTCCTGAGTTGCTGGGATTACAGGCGTGTGCCACCACGCCCAGCTCATTTTTGTATTGTTAGTAGAGACAAGGTTTTGCCATGTTGGCCAGGCTGGTCTGAAACTCAAGTGATCCTCCTGCCTTGGCCTCCCAAAGTGCTAGGATTACAGGCATGAGCCACTGCGCCTGGCCCAGTTACTTATTTTAGAAGTTATATTTGAGCACCTATTCTGTGCCGAGCCCTGGCATGAGCTGTGAACAGGCCATATCTATCCTAGATGTGCACTAATGGGGCTTTGGAGGGTGGCAACAGGAGGCCCGGTGAAATCCCCGGTGAGAGCAGCCTTTTCGCCGTGGCCTGCCGTGAAGCACTATGGCAGCACCCACACCTGCCAGGACTGAAGGTATTGTCGGGCCCTCTCCTGCTCCCAGCTGCAGCCAAGGCCGTGTGTACAGGGCCCTTTAAGTAGTCTGTGCCCTCCCTAATTAACCAGCTAAAGAAAGAGCTGGCTTGAAATGGGATTGTGCAGACCCAGCTTTGGGACCCGAGGACGCCGGATCGGGGATTGTTATGCTAATCGCCTGAGATCAGCAGTTCCCGTGCCCTTCAGATGGCAGGTAGCGAGGCCGGGCTCTGCCCAGCGGCTGTGGCTACAGGAGGCCAGGCTTTTCCTCCAGCTTCCGGCTTCCTCTGTTCCCCTCCTTACCCCGTCAGACTTGCCCTGCCTGTCCTCCCACCTGCCCGTTGGCTGGAAGGCTTGGCGTCTCCTAGAAATGTCCAGGCCAGCTCCTCCCACCCTCCAAAGAGAAACCTGCTTGCCTTCAAGCTGGGCGCTAATTGGGGATGCAGAGGCAGGAAGGAGAAGGTACCCAGCTCCTCCTCCTGTATAACCCATTCTCATCTCCAGGCATGAGAGCCTCATTGGTCCCTCCTGCCCCCTTGGGCTCTGGAAAACACACTAGGTGGTGCCTTTGCCGCTTACTAACTATACCATTTTGGGCAAGTGACTGCCTCTCAGAGCCTCAGTTTCCTAATCTGTAAAATAGGTTGATAATAACAGTAGCTACCTCAAAGGGTTGAAATGAGAATAGAATGAGAACAGGCATCTAACATAGCCAGTTCAATTGCTACTGCCCATCCAGCACTGGATAATAGCTCCCTGTGTAGAGCACCCACTATGTGTCAGCCCTATGCTGTATCCTTTTTTTTTTTTTTTTTGAGACGGGGTCTCACTATGTTGCCCAGGCTGATCTTGAACTCCTGGGCTCAAGCAACTCTCCTGTGTGCCACCATGGCTGGCCCTTTTATAAGGTGTTACCCCATTTTGCCTTGCCTGCCCGCCTGCCTGCCTGCCTTCCTTCCTTTCTTCCTTCCTCCTTCTTTCCTTTCTTTCTTTTTTGAGACAGTCTCACTTTCTTGCCCAGGCTGGAGTGCAGTGGCACCATCTCGGCTCACTGCAACCTCTGCTGCCCGGGTTCAAGCAATTCTCCTGCCTCAGCCTCCCAAGTAGCTGGGATTAAGGTGCCTGCCACCGTGCCTGGCTAATTTTTGTGGTTTGAGCAGAGACAGGGTTTTGTCATCTTGGCCAGGCTAGTCTTGAACTCCTGACCTCATGATCCACCCACCTCAGCCTCCAAAAGTGCTGGGATTACAGGTGTGAGCCACCGTGCCCGGCCCATTTTGCCTTTTCAACCACTCTGTGAGATAATTAACATTATCACCCCCCATTGCACAGATGAAGAAACCGAGGCCCAGAGGGACTGACGCACTTGCTCGAGACCTACCCCAAGCCAGTCTGTTCTCTTAACGTCTATTCTGCAGTTTGATATGTGACCATTCACAGTGAGCTTGGTCAATACAAAGATGTTCCCAGAAACATGTGTCATCGTTATATATTTAATGTGCAGGAGAAAAAAAATTAAAGTAGCATTTTAAGCCTGTGAGTTCACAAATAGTATTGCTTAGGTTAAATATATTTAAGTTCATACAGTGACCAGTGCAAGTATGGTCATAGCGGCTTTATTCATAATAGCAAAAACTGGAAACAATCAAGACACCCATCAACAAGAAAATAGAGGAACAAACCGTGGAACAGCCATATAATGGAATACTCAGCCAGCAGCGAAAGGGAACAAACAACTGGTCAATCTACAATGGGGACAAATGTCACAGACTTTTTTTGTTTGTTTGTTTTGTTTTTTGTTTTTTTGAAATGAAATCTCACTCTGTAGCCCAGGCTGGAGTGCAGTGGTGCAATTTTGGCTCACTGCAACCTCCGCCTCCCGGATTCAAGTGATTCTCCTATCTCAGCCTCCCAAGTAGCTGGGATTACAGTCACCTGCCACCATGCCCAGCTAATTTTTGCATTTTTGTAGAGATGGGGTTTCGCTGTGTTGGCCAGCTGGTCTCGAACTCCTGACCTCAGGTGATACTGATCCACCCACCTGGGCCTCTCAAAGTGCTGGGATTACAGGCGTGAGCCACCATGCCCATCCTCACAAACATAATACTGAGCGAAAGAAGCTAGACTTGAGTGTACACATTATACTATACGATTCCACTGATACGAAGTTCAAGAATAGCTAAAGCAAATCTATGGCTGCCAATGGGGAGGTGGATACTGCTCAACTGCTCAGGGACGCCAGGGAACCTTCTGGGGTGATGGGAATATTCTATATCTTTTTTTTTTTTTTTTTGAGATGGAGTCTCGCTCTGTCGC
The DNA here is from genome assembly GCF_000001405.40 of Homo sapiens. Taxonomy (NCBI): domain Eukaryota; kingdom Metazoa; phylum Chordata; class Mammalia; order Primates; family Hominidae; genus Homo; species Homo sapiens. The sequence continues at coordinate 120,396,839 of NC_000012.12, forward strand.
CCAGGCCAGAGTGCAGTGGCACCACTTCGGTTCACTGCAACCTCCGCTTCTCGGGTTCAAGTAATTCTCCTGCCTCAGCCTCCTGAGTAGCTGGAATTACAGGCGTGCACCACCACCCCTGGCTAATTTTTGTATTTTTAGTAGAGAGGGGATTTCACCTTGTTGGCCAGGCTGGTCTCGAACTCCTGACTTCAAGTGATTCGCCCACCTCGGCCTCCCAAAGTGCTGAGATTACAGGCGTCAGCCACCACTGCTGGCCGGGAATATTCTATATCTTGATGTGGGTGCGGTCACATGAGTGTTCTTGTAGGCAAAAATGCATCAACAGGTACATTTCATATTTGTTCAAGTTAATGTATTTGCACTATGCATCAATAAATCACGGTTAATAGGTTAAGGGAGTTTTTTGTTTTGTTTTGTAGAGATGGGATCTCACTTTGTTGCTCAAGCTGATCTTGAACTCCTGGCTTCAAGTGATCCTCCCCCCCTCAGCCTCCCAAAGTGCTGGGATTACAGGCTTGAGCCACGGAGCTCGGCCAGGTTAAGATTTTTAAAAAATAAATTTATTTAAAGAAAAATTCTATCTAAATAGCAGTTCGGGGTGTGCAGATATGGCCAAAAAATAAAAATAAAAAACAAAAAGCAAGCAAACAAACAAAACTTCAACCACTGAAGTTGGGGGTAATATAAGTGCTAGGCAATGCAGATGTATTCAGCTTCCCCTTCAAAGGGTGCCAGACAAAATACAGGACGCCTAGTTAAGTTGAAATTTCAGATAATCAACCAATACTTTTTGAGTGTAAGTATGTCCCATGCAATATTTGGGACATACTTATACTTTGTTTTTTGTCTGCTTTTGTTATTTATCAGAAATTCACATTTAACTGGAAGTCCTGTATTTTTATTTGCTAAATCTGGCCACCCTGCCCTCCTGGGATCCCACCCCGTCTCGCAGCCCGGTGCCCACCGCAGGCGGGTACACCCTGCGCGGTGCAGTCACTCCGGGCGCAGCCTGGCAACGCGGCCACAAAGGGAGCCCGGGAGGCGGAATCTTTCCACATGCCTGATCAATGGGGGCGCGGAGACGGCGGCGCAAACAGGCCTGAGACAGCCGCACAAAGAGGAGGCCCCTCGGTCGCTCCCGCCTTCCATTGATCCTGGTCCTTTGTGGCTCGGACAACGGGGGCGCGGGAGGCGCCTTGCGGGGACTTGGCCGTTTCTCATTAGAGGGAGAAGGCCTGTGAGCACCCCCGTCCCGCCAGCCCTCCCCACCGTTCCTCCTCCCGTGGGCTCCAGGCCTCAGGTCTGGGGCTGTCCAAACCTATCAGGGGAACTGGGCAGGGCACAGGGTGGGGTCGGACCAGGCTAGGAAGGTCTGGAGCCTGCCTGTGGGGGCCAGCCACCCAGCCCCCGCCTCCTGAGGACCCCCCAGTCTCCTCTGGCGGGCCCTCTCTGTCCCCTTGGTTACAGGCAGGTTTTGCACAGTCTCTGTTTTTTTATTTATTGAGCAAATATTTATTGAGCGTTTGTTCCAAGCTGTTCCCACTCCCTCCTGCCCCCATGGCCACTTAAACTAGCCAATTCCTCCTCCAAGCATCACCTCTCTGGGAAAGCACCTCTCAGTCCTCTCTCACCTCAGGTTGGGTAGTGAAACCCCACTACACATACACACACCCCGTGTGCCTCTCCCCACCTCCCTGCTCTTCATTCATGATAAAAATGACTAACAATTATGAAGTACTTACTATGCCTGCCATGCTAAACATTTTATTGCTGTCTCCTTTAATTCTCATAACACCCCTCTAGATTGGAGCTACTATGATCTCCATTTTCCAGAGGTGGAAACTGAGGTTTGGCATGCTAAAATGGTCACCCAAAGTCATACAGCAAGCGGTAGAGTGGAGATTTGAATGCAGGTGATGAATTGCAGTTTGAGATCTTCACATCCCAAGTTCCAGACTCTATGCAGGATTCATTGCTGTGGCCCAGTAATGAACTGTTTACTCCATCAGCACATTTACCCACTGTACTGTGTCTATTTGGCCTTTTCCGTCTGTGTTCCCCACTAGACTGATTGGTCTGTGACCGCAGCACCCAGCACAGAGAAGGTGCCCAGGGTATATTTGCTAATCTGAACTATTGGGTTTAAGAATTTTGGTTGGGCGCGATGGCTCACGCCTGTCATCCCAACACTTTGGGAGGCCAAGGCGGGCAGATCACCTGAGGTCAGGAGTTCAAGACCAGCCTGGCCAACATGGTGAAACCCCGTCTTTACTAAAAATACAAAAATTAGCCAGATGTGGTGGCAGTCGCCTGTAATCCCAGCTACTTGGGAGGCTGAGGCAAGAGAATCTCTTGAACCCGGGAGGCAGAGGTTGCAGTGAGCCAACATTGTGCTGCCACACTCCAACCTGGGCAACATAGTCAGAGTCCATCTCAAAAAAAAAAAACAAAAAAAAGAATTTTGCTAGGCCCTCAGGCTGGGAAGTGAGGGGAGGACCTAAAGATGAATCTATTACAGTCTCTGCCCACAAATGAGCTTGAAATCAGACACTCAAATAATATAGGAAGGGTTGCAGAGCTCTGGAGTCTGGTATACCTTCCCCACCCCCTTGAAAAGATCAGCTTCATTGAGGTATAATTTACATGCAGGAAAATACACCCATTTTAAGTGTCCAGTTCGATGAACATTGACAAATGCATACACCCATGTAACTAGTATCAATGTCAGATGTAAAACATTTCCATCTTCTCAAATAGGTTCCTCAGGCTCTTTGCAGTGAATGCCCCGCCCACCCTGTCCCACGCAACCCCTGATCTGCTTTCTGTCACTATAAGTTAGTTTGCATTTTCTAGAGTTTCATATAAATGAAATCATACAATGTGTACTCGTTTGCATCTGGCTTTTTTCGCTCACCATGCTAATGTGGTGATTCATCCATACTGTGGAGTGACCTTTCAGTTCTAAATCCTCTCTCTGCTTGTGACCTCTTTGAGTTTCACCCTCTTCATCTGTAAGACAGGGGTGGATTCTGTGAAATTTCGTTAAGAGAATGTCTGCCAAGTGCACAGGACCTGCACACAGTTGGCATGCAATAAACGCTCTTGATTAGTATAACCTTCCTGCTAGACTGTAAGCTCCATGAGGACAGGGACCTTGGTCATTTTGTTCACCACTCTCCACTAACTGCAGTGGCTACCGTTTATTACAGACAGTGAATAGGAGCTCGGAGACCTACAGCAAACCTGTCCAAGATCACACAACTAGTAAGAGGCAGAGCTGGGATTTGAACCCAGGCAAACTAGTGCTGGAGTCCTTACTTTTTAAATTTTTTTGAAACAGGGTCTCACTGTGTCGCCCAGACTGGAGAGCAGCAGCACGATCTTGGCTCACTGCAGCCTCCACCTCCCAGGCTCAAGTGATCCTCCCACCTCAGCCTCCCAAGTAGTTGGGACTACATGTACCCACCACCACGCCCAGCTAATTTTTGTACTTTTTGTAGAGACAGGGTCTCACTATGTTGCCCAGGCTGGTCTTGAACTCCTGAACTCAAGCAATCCACTCCCCTCAGCTTCCCAAAGTGCTGGATTATAGGCGTGAGCCACCACACCACACCTGGCCTCTTTTTTATTTTATTTATTTATTTTTTTTGGACAGAGTCACGCTCTGTTGCCCATCTTGGCTCACTGAAACTTTCACCTCCTGGGTTCAAGCAATTCTCATGCCTCACTTTCCCAAGTAGCTGGGACTACAGGCACCCTCCACCATGCCTGGCTAATTTTTGTAGTTTTAGTAGAGACAGGGTTTCACCATGTTGCCCAGGCTGGTCTTGAACTCCTGAACTCAAGCGATCTGCCCACCTCAGCCTCCCAAAGTGCTGGGATTACGGTCATGAGCCACCGCAGCTGACCTCTTTTATTATTATTATTACGGTATTATGTATGGGGTCCTCATCTTAATCACTATACTAAACTACCTCACAATCATTGTTCTCTCTAACAATCTCCCCAAATCTTCTCTTCTTGTCACCTTCACCCTTTACTGACCACTCTATGGAGGGAGCATAATATAAAAAAAAAAACTCTACAACTACTAATATATATTTTTAGTTTATGTGTGAGGCAGTATTCTAAGCACTTGACATTTATTTACTTGTGTAACTCCTCAATAATGCTGTAAGGTAGCATTATTGGGCATCTCCCCATTTTACAGATGAATGAGTAAATTGTAGTGTAACTGAGAGGCTGTGGTGTTGGAGTCAAGAAATCTTCCTTTTTTAAAAAAGTGACACATGGGCCGGGCGCGGTGGCTCATGCCTGCAATCCCAGCACTTTGGGAGGCCAAGGCAGGCGGATCACGAGGTCAGGAGATTGAGACCATCCTGGCTAACATGGTGAAACCCCGTCTCTACTAAAAATACAAAACATCAGCCGGGCGTGATGGCGGGCGCCTGTAGTCCCAGCTACTGGGGAGGCTGAGGCAGGAGAATGGCGTGAACCCGGGGGGCGGAGCTTGCAGTGAGCTGAGATGGCGCCACTGCACTCAGGACTGGGCGACAGAGCGATACTCCATCTCAAAAAAAAAAAAAGTTATACATAATAATGGTACATATTTTGGGGGCACATGTGGTATTTTGATACATACATGCAATGTGTGATGATCAAATCAGGATAACTGGGACATCCATCAACCCAAATATTCACCCCTTCTTCATGTTGGGAAACATCTCCGTTCCTCTCCTCCAGCAAATTTTTTTTTTTTTTTTTTTTTTTTTGAGACGGAATCTCATTCTGTGGCCCAGGCCAGAGTGCAGTGGCGTGATCTCGGCTTACGGCAACCTCCGCCTCCCAGGTTCATGTGATTCTCCTGCCTCAGCCTCCCAAGTAGCTGGGATTACAGGCACCCGCTACAACATCCAGCTAATTTTTGTATTTTTTTAGTAGAGACGGGTTCTTTCGCCATGTTGGACAGGCTGGTCTCGAACTCCTGACCTCAGGTGATCTGCCTGCCTCGGCCTCCCAAAGTGTTGGGATTACAGGCGTGAGCCACCGCTCCCAGCCAAGCAATTTTGAACTCTATGACAAATTATTAACTCTAGTCTCCCTACTGTATGGTAGAACGCTAGATCTTATTCTTTCTCAATGTATTTTCGAAGGACAGCTTCCTTTTGAAGCCCGGCTTTGTCATGCTTTCCACGGGACTCGAGCAAATCTCCTCCCCTGACAGCTTGTGTATTCCTCTTGCCAGGACGTCCCCAGAGCCCCTTCTTTGACCTGACATTTTTTTCTGGGCGCTTCTCTCTGACCCCTCGGCAGGGTTTTCTCTTCCTCTTCTAAGTTTCTTTCCCCAGTCCCTTCCTGGGCCTTAGCAGGCCAAGGTTACAATTTCAAAAGGAGTTGAGTTTCTTCTGGAAAGGAGCTGGGACCGAACCCCTCCCCTCCATGGTCTCTTCCCATAAATGCCCCCTGTGTGCAGCGCCCAGGGGCCCCGGGGAGCCTGGCCGGCTGATCTGTAATTAGAAACTTTTCTGCCTTCACGACAGGAGGAGGGAGGGCCCAGGTCTGGCCCAGTCATTTTGTTCGTCATGAATTATTCAGGAGATGGGAAGTGGCGTGAAGCCGGCCCCTCTGCTGACCAAAGCCATGCCCAAGGCAGCCCGACCTACTCAGCTCTGCCTCTTTCACCGTTTCAGATCCAGAGAATAAACAAACCATGTGCCAGGCACGTTTATGGAGGGCGTTTTCATCAGACTCGATGAGGGAGCATGTTCTTCAGCTGAGAGGGGTGACAGGGACTTATCCAAGGTCACAAGCCTAGGAAGAGGACGGCTGAGCTGGGAGTCAAACCCAGGAACATGATGCGAGGTTCCGTGCTCATTTGGTGCTATTACAGATGCTGGGCAGAGGAGGAGGGGAGGAGACCCCACCAGGCCGGCTAGGAGAAGATAAAAGATGCTTTCCTTTCTCCGCTTGCCTTGCTCTTGCTAAGTCTGGGGGATGGAGAAGGGGGATAATATGGAAAGGAGACAACTAACCTCATGGAGACCAGCTGGGTGACAAGCAAGAATTATTATTGTTATTGTTACTATTACAGACAGGATCTTGCTCTGTTGCCCGGGCTGGCGTGATCTCGGCTCAATGCAGCCTTGACTTCCCTGGCTCAAGAGATCCTCCCATCTCGGCCTCCTGAGTACCTGGGACTACAGGTGCACGCCACCACACCCAGCTAATTTTTCATATTTTTTGTAGAGATGAGGTCTTTCTATGTTGCCCAGGTTGATCTTGAACTCCTGAGCTCAAGCGATCCTCCTGCCTCAGCCTCCCGAAGTGCTGGGATTACAGGCATGAGCCACCGCACCCAGCCAAGCAGGTATTATTTTGCCTGCAGTATTTAATAGAATCCTCGCTAACCTCTGAGGAAGGTGTTATTATGCCCATTTTATGGATGTAGAAACAAAGATCTTGTTTGTTTTTTTGAGATGGAGTTTCGCTCTTGTTGCCCAGGCTGGAGTGCAATGGCGCAATCTTGGCTCACTGCAACCTCCACCTCCTGGGTTCAAGCGATTCTCTTGCCTCAGCCTCCCAAGTAGCTGGGATTACAGGCAAGCACCACCACACCTGGCTAATTTTTGTATTTCTAGTAGAGACGAGGTTTTGCCATGTTGGCCAGGCTGGTCTCAAACTCCTGACCTCAGGTGATCCGCCCACTTTGGCCTCCCAAAGTGCTGGGATTACAGGCGTGAGCCACCGTGCCTGGCCACAGAGATCTTAAAGGAGTTTATTCAAGACACATAACAGCTGGTTAGCGGCAGGTTAGGGGCTCAATCTTGGCACTTCTCTGTGCGTTGCACTCTTTCTCCTCCACTCCTGTGGGTAGGGAAGCAGGGCTACCGAGGAATCTCAGCTCCTGAGTCCACAATGGTCCTTGGATCAGACTTGCCTTGTTGTCACACCTCTCAGTGTCCAGGCACTGCTCCAGGATAAACCCTCATGAGTGTGTGGATGATATCTGCCATCCCACATTGGTTAACCTTGCAAGGTGGTCCTTTAGAAGGCTCAGGGCTTCCTCATTGGCACGGAGCTGGCAATTCTGAGAGATAGATCAGCTCTAACTGTAGTTCCTGGAGAAACTAAAGCACAGAATTTGGAAAGGATGCCCTGGCTCCACTCCTTACTCTCTGTATAAACTTGGGCCAATTCCTTAACCTCTCTGTCAATTTGCCCATTGATGAAGTGAGATGAAGATAAGAAATAAACATGGCCAGGCGTGGTGGCCATGCCTGTAATCCCAGCACTTTAGGAAGCCGAGGTGGGCAGTTGCCTCAGCTTAGGAGTTGGAGACCAGCCTGGGCAACATGGTGAAGCCCCAGCTCTAGTAAAAATACAAGAAAATTACTCCTGATGACAGCTTCTCATTAAATTTGGTTAACAGAGAGGCAGCAACTACCAGATGGTGAACATGTGTCTTCTGGAAACAGCCCCCCAGTTTTCCCTGGGGAACTCTCCCTCTCCCAATATCAGTTCCTGTATCTTGGATGGAACTTACTCTGCCCACCTGTGCCTCCAGGGTTGGCCCTGGGATCCAGCCTGGCCACAGGATTGGTTGAAGAACAGGCATATGACCCAATGGGAGCCAATCAGTGGGAGACTTGAGATTTTTGCTGGAGAGAGGCACTGTTTTTTAACCAACAGGAAAAAGCATGGGTGGAGCTCCTGAGAGCCTTCTTGTCACCCTGGGGAGGAGCGTGTCTGTCTGAGATTGAAACCACAGAAGAAAGCAGAGTCAAGACATGGCAAGGACATGAATTGGAATCTTTGAACTCCTTGATCCAGTTGTAAATCAGTAAATAATAATAATTATTATGATTCTTTGCTTTGTTTGCATCAGTGAGTTTTCTGTCATTTACAACTAGGAATGCTGAGGAAACTTGCCAACAATGTGCCAATGTGTGTGCTCTCTCTCTCTCTCTCTGTCTATATATATGTACATATATATATATATATATATATTTTTTTTTTTTTTTTGAGACGGAGTCTTGCTCTGTTGCCCAGGCCACAGTTCAGTGGCCGATCTCAGCTCACTGAAACCTCCATCTCCTGGGTTCAAGCAATTCTCCCGTCCAGCCTCCTGAGTAGCTGAGACTACAGGGCACAGCATCACGCCCAGCTAATTTTTGTATTTCTAGTAGAGATGGGGTTTCACCATATTGGTCAGGCTGGTCTCGAACACCTGACCTCAGGTGATCTACCTGCCTCAGCCTCCCGGAGTGCTGGGATTATAGGATTACAGGCGTGTGCTATATATGGGCCAGACGCGGTGGCTCACGTCTGTAATCCCAGCACTTTGGGAGGCTGAGATGGGTGGATCATGAGGTCAGTAGTTCGAGACCAGCCTGGCCAATATGGTGAAACCCTGACTCTACTAAAAATACAAAAATTAGCTAGGTGCGGTGGCGTGAGCCTGTAGTCCCAGCTACTCAGGAGGCTGAGGCAAGAGAATCGCTTGAACCCGGAAGGTGGAGGTTGCAGTGAGCCAAGATCACGCCACCGCACTCCAGCCTGAGTGACATAGTGAGACTCCGTATCTACGAAACAAAACAAACAATATATGTATATTTGTTTTGTTTTGTTTTGTAGAGACAGGGTCTCGCTATGTTGCCCAGGCTGATCTTCAACACCTGACCTCAAGCGATCCTCCCACCTCGGCCTCCCAAAGTACAGATGTGAGCCACTGTGCCCAGCCACACATCTTTCTCTCTCTCCATATATATATATGGTGGTGCACACCTGTAATTTCAGCACTTTGGGAGGCTGAGGGAGGAGGATCACTTGAGCCCAGGAGTTTGAGGCCAGCTTGGGCAACATAGTGAGAGCCCATCTCTATTTATTGAAAATAAAACAAGAAATAAAACAAAATGGGGCCAGGTGTGGTGGCTCATGTCTGTTATATATATATACACACACACACACACACACACATATATATAGTGTATATATATGTATATGTGTATATAGAGTATAAATATATATACTCTATATACATATATACATATATACACATATACGTATATATAGATAAATATATATACATATATATTTATAATATATATGTATATAGAGGATATATACTATAGATCCTCTATATACATATATACACACACATATATAGTGTGTGTGTATATCTATCTTTGATTAAAATAACAGTATATGCTGAAGAGTCACTTCTAATTATTACTTTTGTTTTACAAACTTAGGTCAAGAGAGAATGTGGAGTAAGGCCTTAAGATTCATAACAACGCCTAGGTGCAAATGAAGGGCCTTTACTCACTGGACTTATGCTGTCATGGAGTCATAGACTTAGAGTCATGGATTGGCTTTAACTATGGTTTTCCTTTCTGCTTTCAGGAAAACATTTAATTTCCACCCTGGGCGTAGTCTATGCCCAGCTTCCTTGTGGTGCGCTGTTTCTGTCTGCCTTTTGTCTGTGTGCTGGTGGTGTCAGAGCCAGTAACTATCTGTTTACAGTTTCAGACAGTAGCATTAATTGCCTTTTGAACCTCCCATTTTCCTCCAAGAACTCCCTGCCTAACTGTCTCAACTGTCTCCCTGGAGTTTCTTTTCTGTGTGGAAATGTCTATTTTTTTTCCCATAAAATCTGACCACCTGCAAATCCCTACATATTCTCTTGTGAGTAGGCAACATGAGAGAAAGACATGTAGGTGGCAGATAATCTGCGCAAATCAGAGCTTACAGGATGAAGCTTCTAGGCCAAACAACAAGGCAGCTGTTGGGTGGCAGAAAGAGCCCTGGAATTGGAGGCAGACCAGCAAGTGAAATCTGGTTTTGTTACTTACTTGCTCTGTGACCTGGGACAAGTTACTGCATACTGCTGAGCCTCAGTCTCCTCATCCATAAAATGGGCACAGACTGGGTGCAGTGGTGCACACCTGTAATTCCAGCACTTTGGGAGGCTGAGGCAGGAGGATCACTTGAGCCCAGGACTTTGAGACTAGCCTGGGCAACATAGCGAGATCCCATCTCTATTTCTTTAAAACAAAACAAAAAATAAAATAAAATGGGGCCAAGCGTGGTGGCTTATGCCTGTAATCCCAGCACTTTGGGAGGCTGAGGTGGGTGGATTGCCTGAGGTCAGGAGTTCGAGACCAGTGAAACTCCGTCTCTACTAAACATACAAACATGTCTACAACATGGTGAATCTCCGTCTCTACTAAAAATACAAAAATTAACTGGGCATGGTGGCACACACCTGTAATCCCAGCTACTTGGGAGGCTGAGGCAGGAGACTCGCTTGAACCTGGGAGGCGTAGGTTGCAGTGAGGCAAGATCATGCCATTGCACTCCAGCCTGGGCGACAAGAGTGAAACTCTGTCTCAAAAAAAAGAAAAGAAAATAATACCTGTTTCACAAGGTTGGATAATTTACCCGTATGACAAAGGCACTGTCTTCTGGAAAAGCACATTTCTCTGCCCTTTACTTGTCTAGTATGGGTTCAAAATAGTAATAAAACTAACATTTATTGAACACTGAGTTTGAGCTCAGCATTATTTCAGCCTTACGACAAATCCTTCAGGGGGCCAGCCACTGTGGCTCACACCTGTAATCCCAATACTTTGGGAGGCCGAGGTGGCAGGATCACTTGAGCCCAGGGGCTCGAGACCAGCCTAGGCAACATAGGGAGACCCTGTCTCTATTAAAAAAATAAATAAAATAAAAAATAAAAATAAATTTAAAATACCAAACCCTTCAAAGTTGTTGCTATTATAATACTCCCACTTCACAGGGATGGAAGTAGAGGATCCGAGAGTAAGTTGCTGAAATCACACAGCTAAGTGGCAAAGCTGGGATTTGAACCCAACAGTTTCACTTTACAGCTTACTCTTAACCAGGACCATATGGCCTCCACTGTGGTAGTAGATATCAGCCACCCACAGTGGAGGCCAGATAGGGCTAAAAGCTGTGGGTGCTGCCTCCTGGGGAAAACCACATTGTTCTCCGACTTCCCTGGCCCATATGCCAACTCTACTTCATAAAGAGCTGATTTTTTTTTTTTTTGAGATGGAATCTCGCTCTGTCACCCAGACTGGAGTGCAATGGCGTGATCTTGGCCTACTGCAACCTCTGTCTGCTGGGTTCAAGCAATTCTCCTGCCTCAGCCTCCTGAGTAACTGGGATCACAGGTGTGCCACCATGCCCGGCTAATTTTTTGTAATTTTAGTAGAGACGGGGTTTCACCATGCTGGCAATGCTGGTCTCCAAATCCTGACCTTGTGATCCGCCTGCCTCAGCCTCCCAAAGTGCTGGGATTACAGGCGTGAGCCACCGCGCCCTGCAAGAGCTAATGTTTTATTTTGTTATTTTTTATAGAGACAAGGTCTTGCTCTGTCACCCCGGCTAGAGTGTAGTGGTGTGATCATAGCTCACTGCAGCCTCAAACTTTTGGGCTTAAGTGATCCTCCTGCCTCAGCCTCTCAAAGTGCTGGGATTACAAGTGTAAGCCATTGTGCCTGGCCAGCTTGATGAGGTTTTTTTGTTTGTTTGAGACAGAATCTGGCTCTGTTGCCCATACTAGAGTGCAATGGCATGATGTCAGCTCACTGCAACCTCCGCCTCCGGGGTTCAAGCAATTCTCCTGCCTCAGCCTCCCAAGTAGCTGGGACCACAGGCGTGTGCCACCATGCCCAGCTAATTTTTGTATTTTTAGTAGAGACGGAGTTTTGCCTTGTTGGCCAGGTTGGTCCCGAACTCCTGACCTTAAGTGATCCACCCACCTCGGCCTCCCAAAGTGCTGGGATTAAGGGTGTGAGCCACCGCCTCCCACCCAGCTTGATGTTTTAAGAGTCCAGACCCTAACTACTCTTGGGAGACATGGTGGGAATAAGGAAGTGGCAGCTGGGCTTTGGAATCCAAACCCTGGCCCCTCCTGGACACTCATGCCTCCTGTGTACCAAGGGGAAGGTGGAGAAACCAAGGAGATAGGTCCTGTGGGAGCCTGGACAGGGGAATCCATGGGCACATACATCTCTACGTGCTTGGGCACCATGATGTCAGCAGAGCACTGGTTAACACATGCATGCACCCACGCCGTCAGACTCACGGTGAACACGTGAGTACACATGTGCATATCTGTGGCTCCACAAGTACGCATATCCCTCACTCACACACTCACAGGTCCGCCCACCCTGCACTGAATTCCTGGATTTTGTCAGAACCCCATTAGGGCCGGGCGCGGTGGCTCACGCCTGGTAATCCCAGCACTTTGGGAGGCCAAGGCAGGCAGATCACTTGAGGTCAGGAGTTTGAGACCAGCCTGGCCAACATGGTGAAACCCCATCTCTACTAAAAATACAAAAATTAGCCGGGTGTGGTGGTGCACACCTGTAATCCCAGCTACTCAAGAGGCTGAGGCAGGAGAATTGCTTGAACTCAGGAGCTGGAGGTTGCAGTGAGCCGAGATCGCACCACTGCATTCCAGCCTGGGCAACAGAGTGAGACTCTGTCTCAAAAAATAAAAAAAAATTTAAAAAAAAGAAAAGAAAAGAAAAAAGAACCTCATTAGGCAGAATAGCAGAATAGCTAGGTCAAGTGTACAACTCTGCTCTTGCCTGTTGGGTTTGAATCCTGGTTCTGCCAAATACCAGCCAAGTCTTTGGGCAAATCCTCTCATCTTTCTGTGCCTCTACTTACCCATCTGCAAATGGGAGTAATAATAATATCTGTTCCTTTGAGTTGTTGGGAGTTTAAAGAATTGTAGGGTGTCGCCGGGCACGGTGTCTCATGCCTGTAATCCCAGCACTTTGGGAGGCCGAGGCGGGTGGATCACGAGGTCAGGAGATCGAGACCATCCTGGCTAACATGGTGAAACCCCTGTCTCTACTAAAAATATAAAAATTAGCTGGGCATGGTGGTGTGTGCCTATAGTCCCAGCTACTTGGGAGGCTGAGGCAAGAGAATTGCTTGAACCCGGGAGGAAGAGGTTGTGGTGAGCCAAGATCATGCCACTGCACTCCAGCCTGGGTGACAGAGCAAGACTTTGTCTCAAAAAAAAAAAAAAAAAAAAAAAAAGGTCCTGGTGCGGTGGCTGACGCCCGTAATCCCAGCACTTTGAGAGGCCAAGGTGGGTGGATCATGAGATCAGGAGTTCAAGACCAGCCTACCCAATATAGTGAAACTCCGTCTCTACTAAAAACACAAAACTTAGTTGGGCATGGTGGCGTGTGCCTGTAGTCCCAGCTGCTCCAGAGGCTGAGGTAAGAGAATCACTTGAACCCAGGAGGCAGAGGTTGCAGTGAGCTAAGACTGCACCACTGCACTCCAGCCTGGGCAACAGGGCAAAACTCTGTCTCAAAAAAAAATTTGTAAAATATTAAAAATGTATAAATATATATATAGAGAAAACTAGAAGGAAATAAATTAAAATGTTAATATGGTTGCCTTGAATAATATGGGGGATTATATTTTATTTAATCAACACTATTTCTTTAAGAAACTGTGTTTATTTAATGGACATTTTTTGTTTTTTTGGTTTTTTTTTGAGATGGAGTCTTGCTCTGTTGCCAAACTGGAGTGCAGTGGCGAGATCTCTGCTCACTGCAACCTCCGCCTCCAAAGTTCAAGCGATTCTCCTGCCTCAGCCTCCTGAGTAGCTGGGACTACAGGTGCGCCTCACCATGCCCAGCTAATTTTTATATTTTTAGTAGAGACAGGGTTTCACCATGTTGGATTACAGGTGTGAGCCTCCGTGCCCGGCCTGTATTTTCTTTAATAAATATATATTAGAATTATATATAGCAAAACCACATTTCTTTTGTTTTGTTTTGTTTTTGAGACAGAGTCTTGCTCTGTCACCCAGGCTGATATGCAGTGGCATGATCTCTGCTCACTGCAACCTCTGCCTTCCGGGTTCAAACAATTCTCCTGCCTCAGCCTCCCAAGCAGCTGGGATGACAGGCGCCTGCCACCACCCCCGGCTAATTTTTGTATTTTTAGTAGAGATAGAGTTTCACCATGTTGGCCAGGCTTGTCCTGAACTCCTGACCTTAGGTGATCCACCCACCTCAGCCTCCCAATGTGTAGGGATTACAGGCATGAGCCACTGCATCCAGCCCTAAACCACATTTCTATTAGCTAGTTTTTAAAAATTACAAATGTAACATGTGCTCACATTAAAAGAAAAAAATGCGTCAGTACACAAAGGTATAAGATGAAAAAGTAAAAGTTCTTTACCCCTTAGACTCCTTCCCTAAATGTAACTGTTACCAATTTCATGTATATCCTTCCAAAAATGTTCCATGCCTATATACTTAGATATGATTATTATATTTTAAAAAATAGATATAGGCTACTTGGGAGGCTGAGATGGGAGGATCACTTGAGCCCAAGAGGTCGAGGCTGCAGTGAGGTATAATCACGCCATTGCACTCTAGTCTGGGCAACAGAGTGAGACCGTCTCAAACAAAACAAAACAAAAATAGATATAGAATCACACAATCCAAATGATTTTGGAACTTGCTTAGTTATTTACTATAGTACAGATTTTTGGATATCTTTGCATGTATGATATACTCTTTTTTTTTTTTTTTTGAGACGGAGTCTCACTGTCACCCAGGCTGGAATGCAGTGACGTGATCTTGGCTCACTGCAACCTCTGCCTCCCAGATTCAAGCAATTCTCATGCCTCAGCCTCCCGAGTAACTGGGATTATGGGTGAGGGCCACCATGCCCGGCTAATTTTTGTATTTTTAGTAGAGACAGGGTTTCACTATGTTGGCCAGGCTGGTCTCCAACTCCTGGCCTCAAGTGATACACCCGCCTCAGCCTCCCAAATGGCTGGGATTACAGGCGTGAGTCGCTGCACCTGGCCTGATATACTCTTTTTTTCTTTTTCTTTCTTTCTTTTTTTTTTTTTTTTTTGAGATGGAGCCTTGCTCTGTCGCCCAGGCTGGAGTGCAGTGGCACGATCTTGGCTCACTGCAACCTCTGCCTCCCGGGTTCGAGTGATTCTCCTGCCTCAGCCTCCCTAGTAGCTGGGATTACAGGTGCGCACCACCACGCCTGGCTAATTTTTGTATTTTTAGTAGAGGCAGGGTTTCACCATATTGGCTAGGCTGATCCTGAACTCCTGACCTCGTGATCCACCCGCCTCGGCTTCCCAAAGTGCTGGGATTACAGGCCTGAGCCACCACGCCCAGCCGATATACTCTTATAATGACTACAAAACATTTCACTGTAAAGTTACATGATGATTTACTTACTTAATTTCCTACTGATGACCATCAAGTTTGTTGCTAGCCTTTGCTTTTATAAACACCTTCAAAATGAACAAATTTGTTTCTACTATTTACCTACTCCTACTCACATGAATAGAATTTTAGATGTGGAATTGCTGGACCCCAAGGGCTTGTGTATTTCATATTTCAAAATAATGCCATCCAGTAACATACATATATATAGGTGGTCCTCTGTATTTATTCATTCCACATCCCTGGACTCCACCAACCTTGATGGAAAATATTTGGGAAAAAACCCTGCATCTGTATTGAACATAGACAGACTTTTTTCCTTATCATTATTCCCTAAAAAACACAGTATAACAATGATTTACCGGGCATTGACATTGTATTAGGGATCATAAGTAATCTAGAAATGACTTAGAGTATACAGGAGGGTATGCATAGATAATATGCAAATACTATGCCATTTTATATCAGGGACTTGAACATCTGTGGATTTTGGTATCTGAGGGAGGTGCCAGAACTAATCCCCCAGGGACACTGAATGACGACTGTATATAAAGCACAAGAAGAGAAAAGATGAATGGAAGAAAAAAACCTCAGTGTGAGGCCAGATGCCATGGCTCACGCCTGTGATCCCAGCAGCACTTTGGGAGGCTAAGGCGGGTGGATCACCAGGTCAGGAGTTCGAGACCAGCGTGGCCAACATGGTGAAACCCGGTCTCTACTAAAAATACAAAAATTAGCCAGGTGTGGTGGCGCGTGCTTGTAATCCCAGCTACTCAGGAGGTTGAGGCAGGAGAATCGCTTGAACCCAGGAGGCAGAGGAGGCAGTGAGCCAAGGTCACACCACTGCACCCCGACTCAAAATAAATAAATAAATAAAAAGAATAAAAGAAAAAAAAAGAAAACCTCAGTGTGTTAAGTTGTACCCAAAGTGTTTGTGCAGTATAAGTATGCAAAATGAACATAAAATAAAAATGAACTACTTAGCCAAGAAATAAATCATCTATGGCCATATACTTAAATATTAAAAGTGTTTTTCTTTGATTTCCTTTAATGCAGAATCAAGGAAGAAAAAAAATGATATTCTTTCATGGAGCCACAGATAGTTTTTATACTTTATTTTCTCAATGTCTTATATCAAATATTAATTTCTTTTCTGTAATCAGAAAACAGTACCATGGATACTATGAAAAATAACGTTGTGCTTTTTAATTAAAAAGCAATACATAGTCATTGTAATAAGTTTAAAAATAAAAAATGTATAAAAATGTTAATAATGTCCCTTTCTTTACCTCTAAATTTACCCGCTGGCCAGGCACAGTAGCTCACACCTGTAATCCCAGCACTTGGGAGGCCGAGGTGGGCGGAACACCTGAGGTGAGACCAGCCTGGCCAACAGGGTGAAACCCCCTCTCTACTAAAAATACAAAAATTAGCCAGGCATGGTGGCGCGCACCTGTTATCCCACCTACTCGGGAGGCTGAGGACACGAGAATCACTTGAACCCGGGAGGCAGAGGTTGCAGGAAGCTGAAATTGCCCCACTGCACTCCAGCCTGGATGACAGAGTGAGACTCCGTCTCAAAAATAAATAAACAAACAAACTTACCCCTCGAAATAAACAATGTTAACGGCCTGGATAGGAATCTTTTCAAACATTTTTCTATAATAGAGTGTGTGATTTTTACATCAGAAATGAATTTTAAAACCTTAAAAATTTTGTTTAATTACCCCTGCCTGGCACTTCAGCAGATCACCCTTGCTATCTCCAACCCTGTCAAGCTGTGTGCCCTCTTTCTGTGTCCAAACAACTTGCCCTCAAAGAAACCTACTTGGGGCCCTGCTCCCTGGAGGCACCTGCGCCTCTGCCTTGGCTCAGGTTCAGCAGAAATCAAGGCCAGACCCAGGAAGTGTTGGCCCCAGCTCTAGCCTGATCCCGGCCCTGGAGAGCCAGCGCTCCCCAGCCTGGGGAGCGAGGGGCCCGGCGCCAGGCGAGGCCCTGGGCTCCCAGAGAGGCCTCCTTCCCGCCCGCTTTCTCTAGGAGTAATTAAGAGTGAAATCCTCCTCCTGGTGACCCCGTGCTCCAGGCCCGGGCTGATTTACACATGAAAGGTCTACGGAGGGCCTGGGCTTTCTCCTTTTCACATTCACAATGAGGCACAGCCTATAAATAAAACCTCTCTGGGAAACAAGAGGCTTCAAAATGTGTGTGTGTGTGTGTGTGTGTGTCTGTCCCCCAGAGGGAGTGTGTGTGTGTGTGTGTCCCTGTGTGTGTCCCAGAGTGTGTGTGTGTGTCCCAGAGGGAGTGTGTTTGTGTGTGTGTCTGTGAGAGGGAGAGACAGACCCAGAAGGAGAGAGACCAGAGGGAGAGGGGGAGTTTGAAAGGGCTAGAAAAGGGAAGGAGTGTGAATAAAAGCTGGTGTTAATTGAGCGCTTACTGTGTGCCAGGCAACCATCCTCACAGCAATCCTGTAAGGGTGGTTTTATGGTTCCCATTTTAAAGATGAAGAAACTGAGGTTCAAAGAGGGCAAGAGTTGCCCAAGATAACACAGTGAATTAAGGGGAAGGCTTGGACTCAGGAAGTGGGATGAACATAAGATTCAAATGATGGGCCGGGCGCGGTGGCTTACACCTATAATCCCAGCACTTTGGGAGGCTGAGGTGGGTGGATCACCTGAGGTCAGGAGTTCAAGACCAGTCTGTCCAACATGGTGAAACCCTGTCTCCACTAAAAATACAAAAATTAGCTGAGCGTGGTGGTGCGTGCCTGTGGTCCCTGCTACTCCGGAGGCTGAGGCAGGATAATTGCTTGAACCTGGGAAGCAGAGGTTGCAGTGAGCCAAGATCACGCCACTGCACTCCAGCCTCGGTAAAAGGGCAAGGTTCCGACTCAAAAAAAAAAAAAAAGATTCAAATGATGACCTGTGTCTTTGTGTCTTGATTGTGATGATGATTACAGGACTATGCATTTGCCACATATGTACTAAAAAGGGAGAATTTTACTGTATGTATACTGCAATAACCATGACTTTTATCATTTTTAATTTTATTTATGTATTTATTTTTGAGAAAGAGTCTCGCTCTGTTGCCCAGGCTAGACTACAGTGGCACGGTCTGAGCTCACTACAACCTCCACCTCCCAGGTTCAAGCAATTCTCCTACCTCAGCCTCCTGAGTAGCTGGGACTACAGGTGTGCACCACCATGCCCAGCTAATTTTTGTATTTTTTAGTAGAGATGGGGTTTTGCCATATTGGGCAGGCTGGTCTCAATCTCCTGACCTCAGGTGATTCACCTGCCTCGGCCTCCCAGAGTACTGGGATTACAGGTGTGAGCCACCGTGCCCGGCCAATCCTGACTTTTAAAAAGGTAAAATAAAATAGGCCAGGTGTGGTGGCTCACGTCTGTAATCCCAGCACTTTGGAAGCCGAGGTGGGAGGAGCTCTTGATCTCAGGAGTTCAAGACCAGCCTGGGCAACATGGCAAGATCCTATCTCTACCAAAAAAAAAAAAAAAATTAACTGGGCACAGTGGCACATGCCTGTAGTCCTTGCTAGTGGGGAGGCTGAGATGGGAGGATTGCTTGAGGCTAGGGAATTGAGGCTGCAGTGAGTTATATTTCCACCACTGCACTCCAGCCTGGACAACGGAGTGAGACCATGTCTCAAAATTTACAAAATAATAATAATAAAATAAAATACATACAAAAAAACAGAGGCCAATGGGCAGTGATTGGTGAGGTATCCTGGATACTTGAGGCC
The DNA here is from genome assembly GCF_000001405.40 of Homo sapiens. Taxonomy (NCBI): domain Eukaryota; kingdom Metazoa; phylum Chordata; class Mammalia; order Primates; family Hominidae; genus Homo; species Homo sapiens. The sequence goes on from NC_000012.12 coordinate 120,415,856, forward strand.
TCTCTATACCATTCCCTCTAGCAGGCCTGTTAACCTTATTCACCTCTGTATCCCCAGGCTCAGGGCTCAATAATGGGGAATGTAGATATTAGGGAAATGTTTGCTCAATTGATTGAATACATGGGCTAAGTCATTCTCTCTGGACTCATTTTGCCATCTATAAAATGAGAAAATGATGAAACACTATGGCAAACACCTCCTAATCAGCCTCAGAGGTCACCACCTGCAGGAAGTCTTCATGGATTCCCTTCCACCCGCAGATTGATCAAGGGCCTCTTCTGGCCTCTTACAGAGCCAGGTTGTGTTCCCATCCCTGCACTGACTATAGTGTACAATATTTGTCTGGTTCTGCTCTGTGGAGGCACCTGTGCCTCTGCCTTGGCCCGGGTTCAGCAAAAATCAAGGCTAGGCCTAGAAAGTGATGGGAAATACTCCACGTGAATATTCAGGTTCTTTGCAGTAGGGCCAATGTCCATTTTGCTCCTCTCTGTACCCCAAGTACCTATCCCATAGCATGTAGAATGTTTGAGAAATTAATGAATTAATGCATTTATGAGCTCTGGTCTCAGGTTCAAATGTGAATCATGGCTGGGCGCGGTGGCTCACACCTGTAATCCCAGCACTTTGGGAGACCGAGGAGGGTGCATCACCTGAGGTCAGGAGTTGGAGACCAGCCTGGACAACATGGCGAAACCCTGTCTCTACTAAAAGTACCAAAATTAGCCAGGTGTGGTGGTGCACTCCTGTAGTCCCAGCTATTTGGGAGGCTGAGGTAGGAGAATTGCTTGAATCTGGGAGGCAGAGGTTGCAGTGAGCCGAGATTACGTCACTGCACTCCAGCCTGGGCAACGAGAGGGAAACTCCATCTCAAAAAAACAGAAAGTGAATCATGCTGGTGTTGGCTGGGGCTGGGCAAGGGTCTCAGGCAGCAGAAACCGGCCAATGGAGAAATCCCTGTGCAGTAAAGATGAGCTGAAAGGCCTGACTTCTAGAGCCCCAAGAAAACAATCAGAGGGGCAGATGGTTTGGGGAAGGGGGGAGGCTCTGGTGAGTGGGCAATCTGCCTGCATCTGTTTGAGGCTGAGAGTGAGGTGGGGCACATGGATATGGTTAGGTCCCAGCTCTGCTACTTCTTAGCTATCATTCAGCCCCACCAACCCTCAGTCTCCATATCTGTGAAATGGGCAGGGAATATAATGATACCTGCTTCTACTTTAACATGTTTATTCGGAGGGTGAAGGTACATAATAAGGTCAAAGTGCCTAGTCAGAAATAGTTTGTAATTTATTTATTTAGAGACTGAGTCTCATTCTGTTGCCCAGGCTGGAGTGCAGTGGTGCGATCTCTGCTCACTGCAGACTCCACCTCCTGGGTTCAAGTGATTCTCCTGTCTCAGCCTCCCGAGTAGCTGGGATTACAGGTGCCCACCACCACACCCGGGTAATTTTTATATTTTTAGTAGAGACGGGGTTTCACAATGTTGGCCAGGCTGGACTTGAACTCCTGACCTCAAGTGATTCGCCCACCTCAGCCTCCCAAAGTACTGGGATTATAGGTACTTATTTATTTTTATAGAGATGGGGTCCTACTATGTTGCCCAGGCTGGTCTTGAACTCCTGGACTCAAGCAATCCTCCTGCCTCAGGCCTCCCAGAGTGCTGTGATTACAGGCATGAGCCACTGTTCCCCACCAGAAATATTTTAAACTCCATAACATCTTTTCCTCTTTTCTCCCAAATGTTTTTCTTTCTTCCTTTTTTTTTTCCTTTGAGACAAAGTCTCACTCAGTTGCCCAAGCTGGAGTACAGTGGCACAATCACGGCTCACTACGGCTTCAATCTCCTGAGCTCAAGCCATCCTCCCAGCTCAGCCTCCTGAGTAGCTGGAACTACAGGCACATACTACCACATGCAGCTAATTTAAAATTTTTTGTGGAGACAGGAGTTTCACTATATTCCCCAGACTGGTCTCCAACTCCTGGACTCAAGTGATGCTCCCACCTCAGTCTCCCAAAGTGCTGGGATTACAGGTGTGAGCTACCACACCCTACTCCCATGTTTTTCACCCTAATTAGAGCTGCCACTCATGAATTCCTAAAAATAATATTAGCTTTCCTAACATTTAGTGAGTGTCTTCTGTGTGTCAGGCACTGTGCCTACACATATTATTTAATTTAACCTTCACAATCATTCTGTAAGGTAGGTCTGCTATTATTCTTATCAGAGAAGAAATAGGTTCAGAGAGGTGCAGTGACTTGTCTGAGATCACACAGCCTCTGAGTGGTAAACCTGTGAGGTGAGCCATCTGTTAATTTGAGGGAACACCAGAATCCTTTGGAGGGCTTGTTCAAACACAGATTTCTGAACCCCATCCCAAAGTATCTGATGCAGCAGTTCTGGGGCGGCTCCCAAGAATTTACATTTCTAGCAAGTTCCCAGGCGATGTTGCTGCTGCCAGTCCTGGGGCACACTTTGAGAAACATGGCCTAATACCAAGATTTTTCCACTGTCATTATCCCAATTAGGCATGTTATGTCAAGTCCAGCCTTTTACAATACGCTCGATTCAAGGAATTTGAAGTCTAGTATAGTTCATTCAGCCCTAGGCATATATGACCCTATAGTCTTAATTAAGTCTTCAAAACACACACACACACACACATCCCAACTTTCATCTACATTAAAGGTACAAAAAGCTGGAAAATATAAATGAGTAAAAAGGACAGAATCAACCCTGGTCACTTCAATTACTCCAGTGAGATCACTTTTTGTTATACTTTTTGTTTATGGTTGTATAGGGAAAGCTTTCTGGATAAACCAACTCACTGGATTAAAAATTCATGGGAGGCCAGACGTGGTGGCTCATTCCTGTAATCCCAGCGACTTGAGAGGCCAAGGTAGGAGGATTGCTTGAGGCCAAGAGTTCAGAAGCAGCCTGGGCAACTTGGCAAGACCCCGTCTCTACCAAAAAAAAAAAAAAAAAAATCCCTGGAATTGGCTCACTAGCTTAACAAATGCTCGCTTTGCCTGCTATAAAATCTAGAACAATGTGAGGCCCACAGCAGCTGGTGGGTTCATTTCTAGTGTGACAAGCCACTAACTCCTGTTGAGTGAAGATGTGACCATGTGGTTATCAAGAGTCAGGGGGGTTGGTTCTCCCATCAGTTACTCCTTTTTTTGAGACGGAGTCTCACTCCGTTGCCAAGGGTGGAGTACAGTGGCATAATCTCGGCTCACTGCAACCTTCACCTCCCAGCTTCAAGCGATTCTTGTGCCTCAGCCTCCGGAGTAGCTGGGATTACGGGCACATACCACCATGCCTGGCTAATTTTTGTATTTTTAGTAGAGACAATGTTTCACCATGTTGGCCAGGCTGGTCTCGAACTCCTGACTTCAAGTAATCTGCCTGCCTCGGCCTCCCAAAGCGCTGGGATTACAGGCATGAGCCGCTGCGCCCGGCCATCAGTTACTCTTGTAATTAAATCTTATAATTATATAGGACAAACTGATAAAATATGAGTCGGAAAAGAAGACGGATGTTTCTATGAATGCAGTTGAATGCTTTGGAAAGACTCCAAAAAGTTAGTTGGTACATATCATTATACATCTGTCCAAACCCACAGAATGTGCAGCATCAAGAGTGAGCCATAGCTGGGCGCGGTGGCTCACGCCTGTAATCCCAACATTTTGAGAGGCCGAGGCGGGCGCATCATGACATCAGAAGATAGAGACCATCCTGGCCAAAATGGTGAAACCCCGTCTCTACTAAAAATACAAGCTGGGTGCGGTGGCTCACGCCTGTAATCCCAACACTCTGAGAGGCCAAGGAGGGCGGATCATGAGGTCAGAAGATAGAGACCATCCTGGCCAAAATGGTGAAACTCTGTCTCTACTAAAAATACAGGCTGGGCGCGGTGGCTCATGCGTATAATCCCAGCACTTTAGGAGGTCGAGGCAGGTGGATCACCTGAGGTCAGAAGTTCAAGTGCCTGTAATCCCAGCTACTCGGGAGGCTGAGGCAGGAGAATTGCTTGAACCTGGGAGGCAGAGGTTTCAGGGAGCTGAGATCGCACCGTTGCACTCTAGCCTGGGAGACAAGAGCGAAACTCTGTCTCAAAAAACAAAAAAAGAAAAAATATAAAAATTAGCTGAGTGTGGTGGCACGTGCCTGTAGTCCCAGCTACTTGTGAGGCTGAGGCAGGAGAAGCGCTTAAACCCGGGAGTCGGAGGTTGCGGTGAGCCGAGATCACGCCACTGCACTCCAGCCTGGGCAACAGGAGCAGAACTCTGCCTCAAAAACAAACAAACAAACAAAACACCACTCATGTAGGGTACGTTGATAATGGGGGAAGCTGTGCCTGTGTCTGGAGAGGAGAGAGATATATAGGAAATCTCTGTACCTTCTGCTTAATATTGCTGTGAACCTAAAACTGCTCCAAAAAATAAAGTTTTTGTTTGCTTGTTTGTTTATTAAGACAGGGTCTCGGCTGGGCATGGTGGCTCACGCCTGTAATCCCAGTACTTTGGGAGACTGAGGTGGGCGGATCCCAAGGTCAGGAGATGGAGACCATCCTGGCTAACACGGTGAAACCCCATCTCTACTAAAAATACAAAAACAAAATTAGTCAGGCGTGGTGGCGGGCGCCTGTAGTCCCAGCTACTCGGGAGGCTGAGGCAGGAGAATGGTGTGAACCCGGAAGGCGGAGCTTGCAGTGAGCCGAGATCGCGCCACTGCACTCAAGCCTCGGCAACAGAGCGAGACTCCGTCTCAAAAAAAAAAAAAAAAAAAAAAGACAGGGTCTCACTCTGTTGTCCAGGCTGGAGTGCAGTGACGCAATCATGGCTTATTCAGCATTGACCTCCTGAGCTCCTGTGATCCTCCTGCCTCCACCTTCCGAGTAGCTGAGACTACAGGTGTGCACCACCATGCCTGGCTAACTTTTGTATTTTTTGTAGAGACGTGGGTCTCACTATGTTGCCCAGGCTGATCTTGACCTCCCGGGCTCAAGCAATCCTCCTGCCTTGGCCTCCCAAAGTGCTAGGATTACAGGCATGAGCCACCATGCCTGGCCAATAAAGCTTAATTAAAAAGAAAAGAAGCCAGGTGCGGTGGTTCCTGCCTGTAATCCCAGCACTTTGGGAGGCTGAGGTGGGTGCATCACCTGAGGTCAGGAGTTTGAGACCAGCCTGGCCAACATAGTGAAACCTCATCTCTACTAAAAATACAAAACTTGGCCGGGCATGGTGGCGGGTGCCTGTAATCCCAGCTACTCGGGATGCTGAGACAGGAGAATTGCTTGAACCTGGGAGGCGGAGGTTGCAGTGAGCCAAGATCTGCCACTGCTCTCCAGCCTGGGCAACACAGTGAGACTCTGTCTCAAAAAATAAACTACTGGGAGCCGTGACTCATGCCTGTAATCCCAGCACTTTGGGAGGCTGAGGCGGGCGGATCACCTAAAGTCAGGAGTTCAAGACCAGCCTGTCCAACATGGTGAAACTCCGTCTTTACTAAAAAATACAAAAATTAGCCGGTTATGGTGGCGGGCACCTGTAATCCCAGCTACTTGAGAGGCTAAGACAGGAGAATTGCTTGAACCCAGGAGGCGGAGGTAGCAGTGAGCCAAGATCGTGCCACTGCACTCCAGCCTGGGCAACAGAGCGGGACTCCGTCCAGAAAAAAAAAAAAAAAGAGAGAGAGAGAGAGAGAGGAGATTGTGCAGTTCTCAATTATTTATCAATTTTGATTTCTTCTCTCTCCAGACCATAATACTAATATCGGCACCACACTTTGCAGCTTATAAAGCACTTTCAATTCTATTTTATTTAATTCTTGCAACCCCAGGCAGAAGGCTTTTATTACCCCCTTTCTATAGGTTGGGAAACTGAGGCTCAGAGAGGAGAAATGAAGGTTCCAAGTAGAGGTAAGTAAGGCATTCAACTGGGGCAAGAATTTAGAGTTACTTGATGAAGTGCCTAATTAGCCCCAGGGCATGGTGTTGACAAAGGAACTATAATGAAAACACTAAACTCTACCTTTTGTGGAGGAAGATCCCCTGGGGCGGGGGAAGGAGGTAAGGAGTAGAGACTAAGAAGTTGACCATGTCTGGTTCATCTGTGATCCTGGGCCAATGTAGGCCCTGGGGAAAGATTTGGTGCTGGGTTGAAGAAATAAGAAGTGAAGGAGGCCAGGCACAGTGGCTCACGCCTGTAATCTCAGCACTTTGGGAGGCCAAGGCGGGTGGATCACGAAGTCAGGAGTTCAAGACCAGCCTGGCCAAGATAGTGAAACCCCGTCTCTACTAAAAACACAAAATTAGCAGGGCGTGATGGTGCATGCCTGTAATCCCAGCTACTCGGGAGGCTAAGGCAGGACAATCGCTTGAATCCAGGAGGCAGAGGTTGCAGTGAGCTGAGATGTCACCATTGCACTCCAGCCTGGGCAACAAGAGCGAAACTCCATCTCAACAACAACACGGTGGCTCACGCCTGTAATCCTAGCACTTTAGGAGGCTGAGGTGGGCAGATCGCGAGGTCAGGAGATCAAGACCATCCTGGTTAACATGGTGAAACCCCGTCTCTACTAAAAATACAAAAAAAAATTAGCCAGGTATTGTGGCGGGTGCCTGTAGTCCCAGCTACTCGCGAGGTTGAGGCAGGAGAATGGCATGAACCCAGGAGGTGGAGCTTGCAGTGAGCCGAGATCGCGCGACTGCACTCCAGCCTGGGAGACAGAGCGAGACTCTGTCTCAAAAAAAAAAAAAAAAAAAAAAAAAACCAACAACAACCAAAAAAAAAACAAAAAGTGAATGAATAAATGAATGAATAAAGGGAGAAACTTGGAGCAAGACCCCTTCGCCCTCTCTGGACTCAGTTTCCCCATTTTTTACTTGTTGACAGCTAAGTTTCTCATCCTTAGGAAAATGAGCAGACACAATATTGTACTCTATTTCCAGATGCACACAGACCACCCTCCTGAACCCCTACTGTGGATCCCTTGGGAGGGGGTGATCCACTGAACCCTATGTAGGGAGCCCCTGAATTTGAGGATCTGAGATCCCTTCCAGCCCTGGTGTTAATAGTTGTAATAATGATAATAGTAATAATAATAGGATCCAGAAGTTTTGGGATATTGGCTCTGGGTCAGGCACTGTGCTAAAAGCTTTATCTCATGTAATCTCTTTACAGCCCTGTGACGCAGCCATGGTTATTATCATCTCCATTTTGCAGATGAGAAAACTGAGGCTTAGAGAGGCTAAATGACTTGCTCACGTTGCACAGCCTAAAAGTGAAGTCCATGGTTTCCAATTTAGCACTGCAGACACCAGGGCCCCAGCACTACCCCCCCTCCATTACGGAAGAGTAGGACCTCCATGGGGCCCGCCCTTCCTTCCTTCCTTCCTTCCCTCCCTCCTTCCTTCCTTCCTTCCTTCCTTCCTTCCTTCCCTCCTTCCCTCCCTCCCCTTCCCCTTCCCCTTCCCCTTCCCCTTCTCCTTCTCCTTCTTCTTTCCTTCCTTCCCTTCTCTTTCCTTCCTTCTTTTCGTTTTGTTTTGTTTTGTTTCGTTTCTTACTTTCTTTTTTCTTTTTTTTTTTTTTTGACGGAGTCTCCCTCTGTCGCCCAGGCTGGAGTGCAGTGGCGCGATCTCGGCTCACTGCAACCTCCGTACCCTGGATTCAAGCAATTCTTCTGCTTCAGCCTCCCAAGTAGCTGGGAATACAGGTGCGCACCACATGCCTGGATAACTTTTCTATTTTTAGTAGAGACGGGGGTTTCACTATGTTGGCCAGGCTGGTCTTGAGCTCCTGACCTCAGGTCAGCCACCCAAAGTGCTGGGATTACAGGCGTGAGCCACTCTGCCTGGCCCATGGGGCCATGGGGCTCTTTCAAGGGCAAACTCAAGTTGCTTTTTTCTTTTCTTTTTTTTTTTTTTTTTTTTGAGATGGAGTCTCATGCTGTCGCCCAGGCTGGAGTGCAATAGCACCATCTCAGCTCACTGCAACCTCCGCCTCCCAGGTTCAAGTGATTCTCTTGCTTCAGTCCCCTGAGTAGCTGGGATTACAGGCAGCTGCCACCGTGCCCAGCTAATTTTTGTATTTTTAGTAGAGACAGGGTTTCACCATGTTGGCCAGGCTGATCTTGAGCTGCTGACGTCAAGTGATCCTCCTGCCTCGGCCTCCCAAAGTGCTGGGATTATAGGCGTGAGCCACCACTCCTGGCCCAAGTTGCTGTATTTGAAGAGTGTATCATAACACTGGCAACCATTCATTAATTTAAGTATTCATTCAGAAATCATGTATGAGCACCTCCTATGTGCCAGGCACAGACTGGTTAATGCGGGCTCATGAGGATCATGGTCTCTGCCCTCAAGCAGCCCCACTTATTTATTATGTATTTATTTATAGAGACAGAATCTCACTCTGTTGCCCAAGCTGGAGTGCAATGGCGTAATCATAGCTTACTGCAGCCTTGAACTCCTGGGCTTAAGCAATCCTCCCACCTCAGCCTCCTGAGTAGCTAGGACTACAGGTACGCACCACCATGGCCAGATAATGTTTTTCAATTTTTTTTTTTTTTTTGTAGAGATGGGGTCTTACTATGTGGCCCAGGTTGCTCTCGAACTTCTGGGCTCAAGCAATACTCCCACCTCTGCCTCCCAAAGTGCTGAAATTACAGGTGGCATGAGCCACCACACCTGGCCAGTCACATTTATTTTATTGTTCCTCTCCACGAGATTCAGGTGTGAGCTATTGCAGTGCAGAGTCTCGGACCCTGTTCTGGTCCCACAGAGTCGGATGCTTTGTGGTTGGAGCCCAGGAATCTGCATCTTACAAGCTTCCCAGATGCCTTATAAACACTGAGATGCGGGAACCCCTGGGTTAGGGCTGAGGCGACCTCGACAAGCAAAAATTCATCACACAGCAAGAAATGTTTGCTTTTTTCTTTTTTTTTTTTGAAACACAGTCTCGCTCTGTCACCCAGGCTGGAGTGCAGTGGCACAATCTTGGCTCACTGCAACCTCCACCTCCTGGGTTCAAATGATTCTCATGCCTCACCCCCCCGCCTGAGTAGCTAGGATTACAGGCAGGCGCCACCACACCCAGATAATTTTTGTATTTTTAGTAGAGTCCAGGTTTCACCATGTTGGCCAGGCTGGTCTTGAACTCTCCTGACCTCAAATGATCAAACTCCCAAAGTGCTGGGATTACAGGTGTGAGCCACCGTGCCCGGCCAAGGAACATTTTCTATAGGGATTATGGGGGTTGCCAGGGAAGGCTTTTGGGAGGAGGTAACCCCTTTTTTTTTTTTTTTTTTTTTTTTTAGAGACAGGGTCTCGCCACGTTGCCCAAGCTAGTTTAGAACTCCTGGGCTCAAGTGATCCTCCTGCCTTAGCCCCCCAAAGTGCTGGGATTACAGGCATGAGCCACCAGGCCCACCCAGAGGTGACCTTTTAAGATGAGACCTGAGGGGTGAGTAGTAGTGAACAAGTCAACGAGAAGGGGGAAGAGACACAGCAAAGTAGAAGCCCCAGTCCTTGCCCCGAAGGAGTTGACAGCCAGGTGGATGGAGGGGATATAGTAATCAAGCATAGCAGATGATGCTTCCAGGAGGTTGTGGAAGGTGAAAGAAGCCCTGACTCAGCCTGAGGAATCCAGGTGACTTTGCCGAGGAGGACCATGTTTTCCAACACCCAGATATGAGTGCAGACTGCGTCACAACTTGGGTGAAGAGAATGGGTGTTCAAGAGAATCAGGGCAGGCCAGGAGTGAGGGAGGAGTCTCCTAAGTGTTAAAGGCCTCTTAACAGCCAACTAGTGATGGGTAGAAGTCCCAGTCGACCTCTGATCTGGATACTGTTTTCACCTCCATTGTCAATGCTAAGCCTTTGTTTGTTTGAACTAAGTCCTTCTATCTGGAGTCCTTAGTGATCCGGCAGTAAATGGTGTAAATGGTGACATTTAAGTGAGTGGAGGATTCCTTTGCAATGGGACCCAGAGAACACCTGCTAATTCAGAGGAATCTCAGGATCTCATCCCTCTCGAAATAACCTTCATGGCCACCATTGCTGAGGAGTGGGTAGTAGAACTCTGGCCCTGGCCCTGGCCAGCCTTCATTCAGTCCTAACATGGCTGCTTTCTAATTATCTGTCCTTGGATACGTGTTACTTAATTTTCTGATGCTGCAATCTCATACTCTGGCGAAGGAGGCTAATAATAGTACTTACTACTGCCAGAGAGTTATTTTGAAAACAGAATTAATTTTCTTATGTATTAACTTTTTTGTGTGAGTTAAATTTTCATTTACAAAAAAGAAATATATATTTATATATAATATATAATATATAATTATATATTTTATTTATATATAATATATATAATTATTCATTTTTAATTTATATATATTTATAATATATAATTATATATATTACATATATTTATAATATATAATTATATATTTTATATATTTAATATATATAATTATATATTTTATATACTTATAATATATATAATTATATATTTTATATATTTATAATATATATAATTATATACATTATATATATGTGTATTATATATATCGTGTGTGTGTGTGTCTATGTCTGTGTGTGTTTCAGACAGGGTCTCGCTCTGTTGCCCAGGTGGAGTGCGGTGGCATGAACATAGCTCACTGCAGCTTTGAACTGGGCTCAAGCGATCCTCCCACCTCAGCCTCCCGAGTAGCTGGGACCACAGGCATGTACCACCATGCCTAGGTAATGTCTTTTATTTATTAATTTATTTATATTTATTTATTTATTTGAGACAGGGTCTTGCTCTGTTGCCTAGGCTTGAGTGCAGTGGCGTGATCTCAGCTCACTGCAACCTCTGCCTCCCCGGTTCATGCCATTCTCCTGCCTCAGCCTCCTGAGCAGCTGGGACTACAGGTGCATGCCACCACACCCGGCTAATTTTTTGTATTTTTAGTAGAGATGGGGTTTCACTGTTTTAGCCAGGATGGTCTCGATCTCCTGACCTCATGATCTGCCCACCTCGGCCTCCCAAAGTGCTGGGATTACAGGCGTGAGCTACTGTGCCCAGCATGTCTTTTTTTTTTTATTTTTAATTTAAAAATTTTTTTTTGAGGTGAAGTCTCACTCTGTTGCCCAGGCTGGAGTGCAGTGGCATGATCTCGGCTCACTGCAAACTCCACCTCCCAGGTTCAAGCGATTCTCTTGCCTCAGCCTCCTGAGTAGCTCGGATTACAGGTGTCCACCACCACACCCGGCTAATTTTTGTATTTTTAGTAGAAACGGGGTTTCACCATGTTGGCCAGGCTGGTCTCGAACTCCTGACCTAAAGTGATCCACCTGCTTCAGCCTCCTAAAGTGCTGGGATTACAGGTGTGAGCCACCGCGCTTGGCCATGTCTTTTATTTTTGTAGAGATAGGGGCTTGATCTGTGTCACCGAGGCTGGTCTCGAACTCCTGGCCTCAAGCAATCCTCCCACTTTGGCCTGTCAAAGTGTTGGGATTACAGGTGTGAGCCACCTGGCTTCACCCATGTTTTTTATTTGTAGAAGTTTATGGGGCGCATGTGTAATTTTGTTACTTCCATAGGTTGCCTAGTGCTCAAGGCAGGGCATTTAGGGTATCCATGGCCCAAGTACCATACATTGTACCCATTAACTAATTGCTTATCCTCCTCTCAACTCCCACCCTTGAATTTTCTTATGAAATCTTCTTAGGATCTAAGATCACTGCAGCCTCTGCCTGCTGGGCTCAAGTGACCCTCCTGCCTGCCTCAGCCTCCCAAGTAGCCGGAACTACAGGCTCACACCACCATTCCGTGCTAATTTTTTTGATAGGAGGTTTTGCCACATTGCCCAGGCTGATCTTGAACTCCTGGGCTCAAGTGATCCACCCGCCTCAGCCTCCCAAAATGCTGGAATTACGGGTGTGAGCCACTGCCCCCAGCCTTTTATGAAATCTTTGGAAGAGCACCTGATGCACAGTGAGACCTCAGAAAATGTTAAGTATTGTCATTTTATCAGTTATGTCCCAAAAACTGTGCAAAGTGTTGGGGATACAACAACAACAAAGACAAGCTAAATAAGCTAAATGCTCTCGTGGAATTTATAATCTATTTTTTGTTTGTTTTTGAAACAGTCTCACTCTGTCTCCCAGGCTGGAGTGCAGTGGTACAGCGTGATCTCGGCTCACTGCAACCTCCACCTCCCGGGTTCAAGCAATTCTCCTGCCTCAGCCTCCCGAGTAGCTGGGACTACAGGCGCATGCCACCACACCCATCTAATTATTTGTAGTTTTAGTAGAGACGGGGTTTCACCATGTTAGCCAGAATGGTCTCGATCTCCTGACCTCGTGATCCGCCCACCTCAGCCTCCCAAAGTGCTGGGATTACAGGCGTGAGCCACCATGCCCGGCACACCCAGCTAATTTTTGTATTTTTAGTAGAGATCACACCAGTGCACTCCAGCCTGGGTGACAGAGTAAGACTCCATCTCAAAAAAATAATAAATAAAAAGAATTTTTAAAAATAATAAATTATTATTATTATTATTATTTGAGATGGAGTTTCGCTTTTGTTGCCCAGGCTGGAGTGCAATGGCATGATCTCAGCTTACCGCAACCTCCGCCTCCCAGGTTCAAGCAATTCTTCTGCCTCAGCCTCCCTAGTAGCTGGGATTACAGGCATGTGCCACCACACCCAGCTAATTTTGTATTTTTAGTAGAGACAGGGTTTTTCCACACTGGTCAGGCTGGTCTCGAACTCCCGACCTCAGGTGATCCACCTGCCTCAGCCTCCCAAAATGCTGGGATTACAGGCGTGAGCCACTGCACCCCGCCAAAATGATTTTTTGAGACAGGGTCTCACTCTGTCCCCCATGGTGGAGTGCAGTGGTGCTCACTGCAGCTTTGACCTCCTGGGCTCAAATTATCCTCCCACCTCAACCTCCCACTGAGTAGCTGAGTTTATAGGCACTCACCACCACGCCCTGCTAATTTTTTTGTTTTTTGTAGAGATGGGAGTCTCACTTTGTTGCCCAGGCTGGTCTTGAACACCTGGGTTCAAGCAATCCTTTCACCTCAGCCTCTGAAAGTGCTGGAATTACAGGCGTGAGCCACCACGCCTGGCTTTAAAAAAAAGTTAAGAACAATTAGTGTTTGTTATTACTCTGCAGACTGTCGTGGGAAATGCAGACAGGACTGTGGTGATTGCCTGGGTGGAGTTTAGAAAATAGCTGTGGAGCACATGAATCTGCTAGATAAAAACAGAATTCATAATTCATGACCTGTTATATTGCACTGTAAGAGTCCAGACATTGTGTCAAAATTTAAAGAAGCAGAATTGACTTGTGTGTATATGTATGTGTGTGTGTATATATATATATTTTTTTGATGATACATATATATATGTATAAAGCTGGGTGTAGTGGCACATGCCTGTAATCCCAGCTACTAGGGAGGCTGAGGCAGGAGAATTGCTTGAACTCAGGAGACAGAGATTGCAGTGAGCCAAGATTGGGCCACTGCACTCCAGCCTGGGTGACAGACTGAGACTCTATCTCAGGAAAAAAAAAAAAAGTAAGCACTTTGTTTGTGTCAGGTACTGTGTTTGGTGTTGGGATATAGGAGTCAGCAAGACAGACAAGCTCCCTGCTCTCGTGAAGCTTTTCCCAGGCGACTTAGAAGTTAATGGGGGAGGGGGAAGAGCAGTCCTGGGACAGGGAACCGCCCGAGCGAAGGTCCTGAGGTTGGAAGGGGCTTGGCACATTTCAGAAACAGAAGGAAGCCTAGCTCGGAGGATGGATGTGGTGTCCCTAGGGATAATGGTGGAGATAGGCAGCGATGGTATTCCTTAGCACCTTGGAGGTCAGAGTAAGTAGTTTGAGTTCTATCCTGGGGGCAACAGGGTTTCAAACAGGGATGGTGGGATAGGCAGATTATACTTTAGAAGGATCTCCTGGCCAGGCAACCTGGCTCACACTTGTAATCCCAACACTTTGGGAAGCTGAGGCAGGAGGATCACTTGAATTCAGGAGTTTGAGACCAGCCTGGGCAACATGGTGAAACCCCATCTCTACAAAAAATACAAAACTTGGCCGGGCGTGGTGGCTCACACCTGTAATCCTAGCACTTTGGGAGGCCGAGGCAGGCGGATCACCTGAGGTCAGGAATTCCAGACAAGCCTGGCCAACATGGTGAAACCCGGTCTCTACTAAAAATACCAAAATTAGCTGGGCATGGTGGCGGATGCCTGTAACCCCAGCTACTCAAGAGACTGAGCAGAACTGCCTCCCAGGTTCAAGCGATTCTCCTGCCTCAGCCTCCCGAGTAGCTGGGATTACAGGCATGTGCCACCAAGCCCGTTTAATTTTTGTATTTTTAGTAGAGACAGGGTTTCGCCATGTGGGCCAGGCTGGTCTTGAACTCCTGACGTCAGGTGATCCGCCCGCCTCGGCCTCCCAAAGTGCTGGGATTACAGGCGTGAGCCACTCTGCGCCTGGCCGAGGTCTTTCTCTCAAAGCGATCACTAACCTGGCGCCACTGAACTCCAGCCTGGGCGACAGAGACCCTGTCTCTAAAGAAATTATTAAAAAAAAAAAAAAAAAAAAAAAAGGAGTCCTTGAGGCCCAGGAAGGGTCCTCTCCAGCCCTCGCACAAGCTCCACCTCCCCTCCTCCTCCAAGGATCCTGAGACCAGACAGCCACGTATAAGGTGGCGGGCGTGACTCCTCTGGCCAGGCTCGTGGGCGGCGCCCGCACATGCGGAGCCTGCCACCCACTGGGCGAGAGCGGTACTGCAGACGCGGGTGTCAAGAGTCGCCCCACCCGGTGGCTTTGCTGTAAATGTTCACTGAGCGCCTTTTCTGTTCCAGGCAGAAGGGGTCCCTGCCCTCATGTGGCTTACAATCTAATGGAACTAATACCAGCAACGGAAGTGCCGCTAGCGACTTGATTAAAACTTTTTTTTTTTTTTTTGAGACGGAGTTTCGCTCTTGCTGCCCAGGCTGGAGTACAATGGCGCAATCTCGGCTCACTGCAACCTCCGCCTCCCGGGCTCAAGCGATTCTTCTCAGCCTACTGAGTAGCTGGGACTACAGGCGCCCGCCACCACGCCGGGATAGTTTTTTTGTATTTTTAGTAGAGACGGGGTTTCACCGTGTTAGCCAGGATGGTCTCATCTCCTGACCTCGTGATCCACCCGACTCGGCCTCCCAAAGTGCTGGGATGAGAGGCGTGAACCACGGCGCCAGGCCAATTTTTGTGTTTTTAGTAGAGACAGGGTTTCATCATATTAGTCACAGGCTGGTATCGAGCTCCTGACCTCAGGTGATCCACCCACCTCGGCCTCCTAAAGTGCTGGGATTCCAGGTGTGAGTCACCATGCCTGACCTTTTTAAAATTTCTTTACAGCAATGCAAGAAAAAACTTTTTTTTTTTTTAATAGAGATGGGATCTCCCTATGTTGCCCAGGCTGGTCTTAAAGTCCTGGAATCAAGCAATCCTCCTGCCTCAGCCTCCCAAAATGTTCTGATTACAGGCATGAGCCACCACGCCTAGCCTATAGCAACTTTATAATCTGCTTTTTGATGAAAGCTTTTGTTCTTATAATACAAGTACTATACGTTCATGGTAGAAAATTTAAAAAGAAAATTTAAAGCCCAGACATAACTTCTGTCAACATGTGAGTGTAGCCCTTACGGAATTGTCGTGTGTTTTACAAAAATAGAAGTATACATTTAATATTTTGTAGCCTGCTTTCTTGTTTTTAACAGCTTTATTGAGATATAATGTAAGAGGGACCGATATCAATACATTCCAATATACCACCTTTTCACATACAATATATCTGCTTTGTTTTAAACTTAATGTAATAGTGGTTTATTAATAATAATATAACACAAATCACTGCTATAGGTTGAGGAAAGTGCTAAGTGCTTTACACACATCATCATGTTCAGTTCTCCCAAAAACCCTAACAGTAGGTACTATTATTTTCCTCATTCTGCAGATGAAGAAACTGAAGCATAAAATTACTTGTCCAGCAATAGCAGCAGAACCTGGATTTATTTTTATATTTTAAGATAGGGTTTTGGCTGGGTGTGGTGGCTCACGCCTGTAATCCCAGCATTTTGGGAGGCCGAGGCAGGTGGATCACGAGGTCAGGAGTTCGAGACCAGCCTGGCCAAGATGGTGAAACCCCGTCTCTACTAAAAATACAAAAATTAGCCAGGCAAGTTGGCGGGTGCCTGTAATCCCAGCCACTCGGGAGGCTGAGGCAGGAGAATCGCGTGAACCAGGGAGGCAGAGGTTGCAGTGAGCTGAGATTGTGCCACTGCACTCCAGCCTGGGTGACAGAGTGAGACTCCGTCTCAAAAAAAAAAAAAAAGATAGGGTCTCACTCTGTTGCCCAGGATGGAGTGCAGTGGCATGACCTTGGCTCACTGCAACCTCTACTTCCTGGACTCAAGCAATCCTCCACCTCAGCCTCGCAAGTAGCTGAGATTACAGGCAGGCATCACCATGCCCAGCTAATTTCTGTATTTTTTGTAGAGATAGGGGTTCGCCATGTTGCCTAGGTTGGTCTTGAACTCCAGGGTTCAAGTGATCCTCCTATCTCAGCCTCCCAAAGTGCTGAGACTATAGGTGTGAGCCACCTCACCCAGCCAGAGGTGGACTTAAATCCAGCTTTGTCTGAGAACCTGAGTTCTTAACCATTTTGTTATGCCTGGCCTGTGCCAGGCATTGAGAGAATTTAGAGGAATCCGAAAAAAAAAGGGGTCTCCTGGCCGGGCGCAGTGGCTCACGCCTGTAATCCCAGCACTTTGGGAGGCCGAGGTGGGCAGATCACCTGAGGTCAGGAGTTCGAGACCAGCCTGGCCAACGTGGTGAAACCCCATCTCTACTAAAAATACAAAAATTAGCCGGGTGTGGTGGCAGATGCCTGTAATTCCAGCTACTCAGAAGGCTGAGGCAGGAGAATTGCTTGAACCCAGGAGGCGGAGGTTGTAGTGAGTCGAGATCGTGTCACTACACTACAGCCTGGGTGACAGAGCAAGACTCTGTCTTAAAAAAAAAAAAAAAAGGTTAGGGGGTCTCCTGGGGCCTGAAGTGGAATGAGGAAGTGGAATAGTCATCATAAGAGGTACAGTGGGCTGAACATCACTGGGGGACCAGAGGCCAGGGTCAGGATGTAACCAGGAAAGGCTTCCTGGAAGAGGTGAGAACCGAGTGTGATGTGTGCAGACAGAGGTGGGGAACCACGTGGGGCTGGCCTAAGCAGAACCTCGGGTGTAGACGAGTGTATGAGCATCAACAGGGACCAGTAAGGAAAAATAACTGAGCACCAAATTCTATGGGGTCACAGAGATAGATGATACTGGGGGTCTGCCCTCTAAAGCTGACAATCTAGCTCGGCAGAAGGTTGAGAGGTGGGGGTAGGAACACAGAAATAAGTAATAGCTATCACTGTGCACACCCGCCCCCACGTGTCAGGCTTTCTACCTACATTGACACATTTAAGCTCACAACATCTCTGGAAGATCCAGTTATTAGCCCCATTTATGAATGAAGAAAGAAAGGCTCAGAGTAAAGCAGATTGCTCTAGGTCTTCCTAGCAGGAAGGGCTAGGGCCAAGGCTCAAACCTGGGTGGCTCAAGGTCTAAATCCAGTGTTCTAACCTGCACAGCTACGCTATTCAGCCTACCCCAGCTGGACCGCCCCCTCCCACTGCAAGGAAACCAACCCTGACACCCAGCCTTCTATGCCTTCTATGCAAACCTCTAGGTGCACTTCAGTCAGAAATCTTTTTTTTTTTTTTTGAGACGGAGTCTGGCTCTGTCGCCCAGGCTGGATCTTGGCTCACTGCAACCTCCACCTCCCAGGTTCAAGTGATTCTTGTGCTTCAGCCTCCCAGGTAGCTGGGATTATAGGTGCCCGCCACCACACCTGGCTAATTTTTTTTTAAGACGGTGTTTCACTCTTGTCGTCCAGGCTGGAGTGCAATGGCGTGATCTTGGCTCACTGCAACCTCTGCCTCCCAGGTCAAGAGATTCTCCTGCCTCAGCCTCCCAAGCAGTTGGGATTACAGATGTCTGCCACCACGTCTGGCTAATTTTTTTTTTTTTTTGTATTTTTAGTAGAGACGGGGTTTTACCATGTTGGCCAGGCTGGTCTAGAACTCCTGACCTCAGGTGATCCACCCGCCTCAGCCTCCCAAAGTGCTGGGATTACAGGTGTGAGTCACAGCGCCTGGCCTTTTTTTTTTTTTTTTTTTTTTTGACAGAGTCTCCTCTGTTGCCCAGGCTGGAGTGCAGTAGTGCAATCATGTCTCACTGCAAGCTCTGCCTCCTGGGTTCAAGCGATTCTCATGCCTCAGCTTCCCAAGTAGCTGGGATTACAGGTGTGTGTCAGCACACCCAGCTAATTTTTGTATTTTTAGTAGAGACGGGGTTTTGTCATGTTGGCCAGGCTGGTCTGAAACTCCTGACCTCAGGTGATCCGCCTGCCTTGGCCTCCCGAAGTGCTGGGATTACAGTCATGAGCCACTGCACCCAGCCTCTCTGGTGGTATCTTTTGGAAAGATATCTTTCTGGAAAACTCTTTCCATCCCAGCCCAAACTTGTCTCTGACTCACTCATTTATTTGAGGGTAGGTGACTTAGATGTCATATCCTACAGGAGGGCAGACTGACTGCCCCTCCAAAGCCAAATGCCATTTTGATCCTCTTCTATTGACCCTGTACCACCTCGATCAAGACAATTCTTTGTTTTTTTTTCTTTTATGGTCAAAAAATTTAAGACTAGTTCCAACTTGAAGTAGTTTTGTTTCAACAGATCAAGATAATTCCTTGTTTTTTTTTTTTTTGAGACAGAGTTTCACTCTTGTCACCCAGGCTGGAGTGCAATGGCACGATCTCTGCTCACTGCAACCTCCACCTCCCAGGTTCAAGCGATTCTCCTGCCTCAGCCTTCCAAGTAGCTGGGATTACAGGTGCCCACCATCACGCCCGGCTAATTTTTGTATTTTTAGTAGAGACAGGGTTTCACCATATTGGCCAGGCTGGTCTCGAACTCCTGACCTCAGGTGATCCACCTGCCTCGGCCTCCCAAAGTGCTGGGATTACAGGCATGAGCCATCGCACCTGGACTAGATCAAGACAATTCTAACAGTTAACAATTATTGAGCACTCATTTTGTGCCAGGCACTGTGCTAAGAGTGCAGTATCTCAGAGTGGTTAAACATGGAGGCTTTGGGGCCAGACTTCTAGATTTAAATTCTGGCTCTGGGTCAGGAACAGTGGCCGACACCTGTAATTCCAGAACTTTGAGAGGCTGAGGTGGGAGGATCGCTTAAACTCAGGAGTTTGAGATCAGCCTGAGCAACATAGTAAGACCCCGTCTCTAAAAAAAAAAAAATTAGCTGGATGAGGTGGTGTGCACTTGTAGTCCTAACTACTCAGGATGCTTGTTAGGTGCAGTGGCTCATGCTTGTAATCCCAGCACTTTGGGAGGCCGAGGCAGGTGAATCACTTGAGGTCAGGAGTTTGAGACCAGCCTGGCCAACGTGGTGAAGCCCCATCTCTACTAAAAAATTCACAAATTAGCCGCGTGTGGTGGCGCACGCCTGTAATCCCAGCTACTCGGGAGGCTGAGGCAGGAGAATTGCTTGAACCCAGGAGGTGGAGGTTGCAGTGAGCCAAGATTGTGCCACCACACTCCAGCTTGGGTGACAGAGCAAGACTCCATCTCAAAAAAAAAATTTGTTATACAAAGGAATGAATAAATGCATATTACATTATTACATTCCTATTGTAGAGAAGAGGAAGCATAGCTGGTGGCAAACCAGAGATTTGAACCCAGGAGTTCCTGATCCCTGTCTTGAACACTTTCTTTTTCTTTTTTTTTTAGAGATGGTGTCTTGCTATGTTGCCCAAGCTGGACTTGAACTCCTGGGCTTAACGGATCCTCTGGCCTCAGCCTCTCAAGTAGCTAGGACTACAAGCAAGCCCGGCTAGCTTAGACCCTTTGTATGGCCCCAGTGTGGGGCCTCATATACCCTTTGGCTGTGTTTGAGGACGTGTTTGACAGATTTGATGATCTTGATTGCACCCTGAAGTATAAAAACTTAGGCTACTCGAGAAAGATTTCATGCTAAATCAGGTAGTAAAGCTCTAGTAATATGATCCTAAGGTTTTGTCTTCATGAAACTGCATGACCTTAAGGCATCGGTTTCAGCTAACCTGCCCAAGGCCACACAGGCTGTAAGGGAACAAGATGTGAGCCCAGCCTTCTCACACTAGAGTCCCTGTTTGTTCTCCTACCCGGACTTTTTTGTTGCTGTTGTTGTTTTGAGACCAGAGTCTCGCTGTGTCGCCCAGGCTGGAGTGCAGTGGCATGATCTCAGTTCACTGCAAACTCCACCTCCTAGGTTCAAGAGATTCTCTTGCTTCAGCCTCCCATGTAGCTGGGACTACAGGCTTGCGCCACGACGCCGAATAATTTTTGTATTTTTAGTGGAGACGGCGTTTCACCATGTTGGCCAGGCTGGTCTCGAACTCCTGACCTCAAGTGACCCACCTGTCTCCGCCTCCCAAAGTGCTGGGATTACAGGCGTGAGCCACAGTGCCGGCCTTTTTTTTGTTTTGTTTTGAGATGGGAGTTCAACTCTTGTTGCCCAGATTGGAGTGCAATGGTGCAATCTCAGCTCACTGCAACCTCTGCCTCCTGGGTTCAAGCGATTCTCCTGCCTCAGCCTCCCAAGTAGCTGGGATTACAGGCATGTACCACCATGCCCGGCTCATTTTGTATTTTTAGTAGAGATGGGGTTTCACTATGTTGGTCAGGCTGGTCTCGAACTCCTGAACTCAGGTGATCCACTCACCTCGGACTCCCAAAGTGCTAGGATTACAGGCATGAGCCACTACATGCAGCCCCCAGGAGCTCTTGATCTGAGGCATAAAGATGCTTAGAGGGTTTCCAAATATATTTTATGGTCACCTATTCTCCCAACAATGTGTGCTATACTGTGTGTTTACACATAGGTGTGTCTTTAGAGGAAAGGGTTCAAAGCTTTCATTAGATTCTTTTTTTTTCTAATAAAGAAAAAAGCTTTGTTGCCCAGGCTGGTCTCAAACTCTCAAGCTCAAGCAATCTGTCCGCCTCGGCCTCTCAAAGTGTTGGGATTACAGCCATGAGCCACCACGCTGGTCCTCATTACATTCTCAAAGGGGCCTATTGAAAAAAAAAAAAAAAAAAAAAAAAAAGGCCGGGCACAGTGGCTCACGCCTGTAATCCCAGCACTTTGGGAGGCCGAGGAAGGCGGATCACAAGGTCAGGAGATGGAGACCATCCTGGCCAATATGGTGAAACCCTGTCTCTACCAAAGTACAAAAAAAAAAATTAGCCAGGCATGGTGGTGCGTGCCTGTAATCCCAGCTATTCAGGAGGCTGAGGCAGTAGAACTGCTTGAACCTGGGATGCAGAGGTTGCAGTGAGCCAAGATTGCACCGCTGCACTCCAGCCTAAGCAACAAGAGTCAAACTCCGTCTCAAAAAAAAAAAAAAAAAAAAAAAAAA
The DNA here is from genome assembly GCF_000001405.40 of Homo sapiens. Classification (NCBI taxonomy): domain Eukaryota; kingdom Metazoa; phylum Chordata; class Mammalia; order Primates; family Hominidae; genus Homo; species Homo sapiens. The sequence goes on from NC_000012.12 coordinate 120,437,421, forward strand.
AAAAGATGAGACTGTTGAGTCAGGATTAGGATCCAGGTCTGCTGGCACCAATTTCAGTGCTCTTTATACTTTCTGTTGCTATTCATTCATTCATCCATTCATTCAGCAAATTTATATCAAGTATCTGGTATGTGCCAGGTATGATTCCAAATTACACCATTCCCAGATTATTCTGAGAATGCTGCAGTGCCAAACTCTTGGTATCACAGACTTTATATTCTAGTGGGGGAGACAGACAAAATAATAATATAACGACGAAGGTGCAATGTTATGTGCTATGAGAAAACGCAGTCGGAGGATGGCGAGGAAGGGGAACGGAATTTTAGATAGGGCGGTCTGGGATCAGAACCTCCAGATGCCCGTCCATGGACTCCAACGAAGGGAGCGATTCCAGGTACCAGGGCACCCTGCACAAACCTCTCTTGAGCTTCCGCCTCGCCCAGGTGGGGACGGTAGGGAGACCGGAGGGCACACGCATGCGCACGAAGGAAACGGTAAAGCCTGAAGGGAGGTGCAGAGCGCATGCTCTCTCTTGCCCGAGATGCCGAGGATTTTGACAAGGACTCCGTCGTCCCGGATGATAGTGCTCAGGTTAATGCCAGTGGGAGGGCGGCGCCCAATAGTAACTTCCTTTGGAGGTTGTAGTACCGCCCCCAGAGCCAATTTTCCACTTCCGCTTCCGGCGCTGCGGCAGTCCAGATCAAAAATGGCGGTAGTTGGTGTGTCCTCGGTTTCTCGGCTGCTGGGTCGGTCCCGCCCACAGCTGGGGCGGCCTATGTCGAGTGGCGCCCATGGCGAAGAGGGCTCAGGTACTGGGGCCGGGGTCGACGGGTCGAGCCTCAGCCCCACTCGGGCGAGACAGGGAGGGACTGTGACCTTGGCCCGAGGCCTTGCGGGAGGGAAAGTGAGACCCGGGCCCGCCCCATACCGGCGCTGAACGTTTGTGGCTTCTCCGCAGCTCGCATGTGGAAGACTCTCACCTTCTTCGTCGCGCTCCCCGGGGTGGCAGTCAGCATGCTGAATGTGTACCTGAAGTCGCACCACGGAGAGCACGAGAGACCCGAGTTCATCGCCTACCCCCATCTCCGCATCAGGACCAAGGTACGCCCTTGTACATCTCTTCAAGCGTCCGTTCTCTTTTCGTTATGTGTGCCTTAGTGCAAGTTCTTCATTCTCTGAAGGCATGGGTGCCAGGCGTGTACAGCTTGTTTATCCTCACAAACAGAAAATGTATTTTCTTCCATTTTGTGGATGGACAGCTGACACTTGGGATTACGTCTCAATTCTCTTCTTCAAGGTCATACAATAAGTGCTCTTCAGTTTCCCTTTTCTCCGATTCATCCTACCTCCTGCCTTCTGAGACAGTTCTTTTTTTTTTTTTTTTTTTTTTTTTTACTTCTGAGACAGTTCTGAAACAGGTGTCCGTTGTGTAAAGCCTGGAGGTTTGGGAAATCCAATTAGAGTGGCAAAGTCTGAAGGTGGTTCGCGTAAGCGAACCCAGCAGCTACATGGGAGGCTGAAGCAGGAGAATCCCTTGAACCTAGGAGGCGGAGTTTGCAGGGAGCTGAGATCGTGCCACTGCACTCCGGCCTGGGCAACAGAGCGAGACTCTGGTCTCAAAACAAAACAAAACAGCAACAACAAAACATGGGCATCTGGCAGCTACTAGTTGCATAATGAAGAGACTGACAGCTTTCTCTATTCCCCACCAATACCTTTTCTCGACTGTTTTATCATTGGTTGTTGATGTAGATATATTACAATGTTGTGTCCTCTGTTGTTTGCTGTATCTTTAACAAGGGCTTATTCTGATTCTTCAATACTGGCCATGCGCGGTGGCTCACGCCTGTAATCCCAGCACTTTGGGAGGCCAAGGTGGGTGGATCGCCGGAGGTCAGGAGTTCAAGACCAGCCTCGTCAACATGGCGAAACACTATCTCTACTAAAAGTACAAAAAGTAGCCGGGCGTGGTGGCGGGCGCCTGTAATCCCAGCTACTCGGGAGGCTGCGGTGGGAGAATCTAGGAGGTTGAACCCAGGAGGAGGAGGTTGCAGTGAGCCAAGATCCAGCCATTGCACTGCAGCCTGGGCAACAGGAGTGAAACTCCGTCTCAAAAAAAAATAGTAATAATATACTTGATCTTAGCCAAAAGGCCGAGAAGTGATGAAAAAAGTTATTATTATTATTATTATTATTACATCACCTAGCCCATATAGGACTGGCCTTGTAGAAACTTAACCTAGACTCTTGAATTTGTTGAGTCTTTGAGCGGCACTCCCATCCTTGTACAATGCAATTAGAAGCCAAACAGTAAAGGTTTCTCAGCCTCAGCACTGTTGACATTTGGGGCTGGGTAATTCTTGTTGGGGGGCTATCTTGTGCATTGTGAAATGTTTAGCCATATCCTTGGCCTGTACCCACTAGGTGGCAGTAGTACCTGCGCAACCCCACTCCCGCTTCCCCCTCCCCCGCCCCCATCACAGTGTCTCCCGATACTACCCAGTGTGCCCTGAAGGGGCAAAATCACCCTGGGTTGGAGACCGTTGCCCTAAAGTAATGCTTTTCAAAGGTAATAGGCAAGATAATTCAGGGTGGGCTGCAGTTTCCCAGCCCAGATATTGTTTGAAGTCTGGGATGGTGCCAGAAATCTGCATTTAATTAAGCATCTCCCTCCCCTAATACTGCCACCATTTTGATATAGGTGATTTGAGGATTACACTTTCATAAACACAGCACTGGATATACTAGTTACTAGGGAGAGGATGATGAGTAACTAACTTGAGCTTGCATTTTCTGCCATCCATATTTGTTTCTGGAATTAAAACTGTCCTGTAGCCAGGATAACTTTAAGGGCTCCCCTGGTAGTTATAAGAGCTCCTTAAATAATGGGAAGGTTGAACTACACCAGTAGATAAAGGACTAATTTCCATTTTGTTTTTATATATGATCTGTCACCCCGTTATAAGCAGTTCATGACGGTGTTCTTTCTAAATTATTTTCTGGAATTATCTAACTGACATCTTCACTCCACAGCCGTTTCCCTGGGGAGATGGTAACCATACTCTATTCCATAACCCTCATGTGAATCCACTTCCAACTGGCTACGAAGATGAATAAAGAGAATCTGGACCACTACCCGGGCACCAGGGACCACAGCACTGGTTTGGACCGTTACTCTGCACATGGACCAGAAAAAGTATATGGGACCTTAAGCTCACCTTCTTTACTTGTATCAAATGATGACTGGTATACTGGTCTCCCATCCCTTTGCTTGTGGCAGGAGATGGCTTAAATAAATAACTTAAATTTAGATTGGTCATGAGCTGAGAGTTACTTTCTTTGGTTGTGTTTTTTCGCAGAAATTAGCATTTGAGCTTCAAGTCAGTGTCCAAGTTGAAAAGAAATTGGCATTAGTTATTTCTGTTTCCACAGTGAAGGTCTAGGCTGCTGTTTAGTGTTACAGGTCCAATTCAGCCCATTGAATAAGTGTTTATAACAGCCCCTCTTGGTTTATTGTGCCTGATGTGGATAAAGGGACCAAGTGGAGTGGTGCTAATTAAGCATCAAGATTAGTCCTTGGTCAGGTGCGGTGGCTCATGCCTGTAATCCCAGCACTTTGGGAGGCTGAGGCTGGCAGATCACCTGAGGTCAGGAGTTGGAGATCAGCCGGGCCAACATGATGAAATCCTGTCTCTACTAAAAATACAAAAATTAGTTGGGTGTGGTGGCGCACTCCTATAGCTGGGTGTAGAGGCTTGAACCCGGGAGGTGGAGGTTGCAGTGAGCCAAGATCGTGCCACTGCACTCCAGCCTGGGCAACAGAGTGAGACTCTGTCTCAAAAAACAAAAGATTGGTCCTTGACGGGCCTGAGATATCAAAGACATTGAATGGCTAGCAGAATGCCTGCAATTTACACCTGAAAGAGGTATCTGTATTTCTCAAGAGGAAGTGCTTGATCTGGGTCTCATCTTTTTCCTGTCCCATTCCACTAGCATTTACTGCAGAATCTTCCCTGTAGTCATAATTTTCTTGAACATGTCAAGTTCTTTTTTTTCTTTTTTTTTGAGACGGAGTCTCTCTCTGTTGCCCAGGCTAGAGTGCAGTGGCACGATCTCCACTCACTGCAAGCTCTGCCTCCCAGGTTCAAGCCATTCTCCTGCCTCAGCCTCCCGAGTAGCTGGGACTATAGGCACCCGCCACCACACCCAGCTAATTTTTTGTATTTTCAGTAGACACAGGGTTTCACCATGTTAGCCAGGATGGTCTCGATCTCCTGACCTCGTGATCCACCCGCCTCAGCCTCCCAAAGTGCTGGGATTACAGGCGTGAGCCACCGTGCCTGGCCTCGAATGTGTCAAGTTCTTACTTTGAGGTAATCTCCTTCAGGGCTGGTAGGGTCAGAAATCTTAAGAGAAACAAAGGGAGCGTGACACATTTCTGCTTATTGGCTTTTCTGTGGAATTAAAACTATCCTGCTTTAATGGATAGTAAATGGTAGTAGTAGTAGTTACAAAACCACTCTGAGAGGGCAATTATTATTATTATTATTATTATTATTTTTTTTTTTTTTTTTTTTTTTTTGAGATGGAGTCTCGCTCTGTCGCCCAGGCTGGAGTGCAGTGGCGGGACCTCGGCTCACTGCAAGCTCCACCTCCCGGGTTCACGCCATTCTCCTGCCTCAGCCTCCCAAGTAGCTGGGACTACAGGCGCCCGCCACTACGCCCGGCTACTTTTTTGTATTTTTAGTAGAGACAAGGTTTCACATGTTGGCCAGGCTGGTCTTGAACTCCTAACCTCAGGTGATCTGCCCACCTCAGCCTCCCAAAGTGCTAGGATTACAGGTCTGAGCCACTGTGCCTGGCCAGAGCTGGTTTATTTTATTTTATTTTATTTTTTGAGACAGAGTTTCGCTTTTGTTGCCCAGGCTGGAGTGCAATGGCATGATCTTGGCTCACCACAACCTCCACCTCCCAGGTTCAAGCAATTCTCCTGCCTCACCCTCCTGAGTAGCTGTGATTACAGGCATGTGCCACCACACCTGGCTAATTTTTTGTATTTTAAGTAGAGATGGGGTTTCTCCATGTTGGTCAGGCTAGTCTCAAACTCCCAACCTCAGGTGATCTGCCCACCTCAGTCTCCCAAAGTGCTGGGATTACTGGCGTGAGCCACCGCGCCCAGCCAGCTGGTTTATTCTTAAGGCTCAAAGGAACACTTTCGTGGTAAGGTTCAAGAGGCAACAAGGTATTTCATATTATATTACATTAAACTGGTAACGCAAAAGTAAGGCATATACAGTACGGAATAGAGAATCTCATTGTCTTTGCCATTTTGTAATAATTAACGGAATAGAGAATCTCATTGTCTTTGCCATTTTGTAATATTACAGCCTGCACTTCTGAGTCCCTATAGAGCTGTTTTGGTTGTGGCCAGTCTGAGTTTAGGACAGATGCATTATACTTCAGCTTGCTGCCTGGCCTCCCTTGGCTGGGTTCCAAACATCTTTTATAATCCTTGGATAATGGACCCTAGCCAGTCATAAAATATAAATGAAGAATGTTTTGAAATGACATTAAGGACAAGTCACATTAAATATGATGTAGCAATTGGTAAAGTGGAGAAAAGACAATAGAATTAGGGCCTTCTATAAATCAAGTTTCTTGGTTTATTTTTCAGACAGGGTCTTGCTGTGTCACCCAGCCTGGAGTGCAGTGGTACAATCACAGCTCACTGCAGTCTCCACCTCTCAGGCTCAGGTAATTCTCCCACCTCAGCCTTTAGAGTAGCTGGGACTACAGGCACACACCACCATACCCAGCTAATTTTTTTGTAGAGACAGGGTTTCGCTATGTTGCCCAGGCTGGTCTCAAATTCCTGAGCTCAAGTGATCCGCCCATCCCAGCTTCCCAAAGTGTTAAGACTACAGGCATGAGCCACCATACCCGGCCTGTAATTCAAGTTTCATACTACTTTGGGTATCTAATAAAACCAAATTACTCAATTAATTGTGGGGATTACGTGACATTCTGAGGTAAGTAAGTGCTCTCCTGATCCTTTTTTGGTACCGTAGTGTATTTGTATAGCCTATTGTGGAAATTTTAGAAATCAGTGAGGTTTTGGCTGGGTGCGGTGGCTCATGCCTGTAATCCCAGCACTTCGGGAGGTCAAGAGTTCAAGACCAGCCAACATGGTGAAACCCCATCTCTACTAAAAATACAAAAACTAGCTGGGCATGGTGATGCATGCCTGTAATCCCAGCTACTTGGGAGACTGAGGCAGGAGAATCATTGGAACCCAGGAGGTGGAGTTTGCAGTAAGACAAGATTGCGCCACTGCACTCCAGCCTGGGTGACAGAACCAGACTGTCTCAAAAAAAAAAAATGTGAGGTTTCTGATTGCCATACTGTACCACCTAGCTTAAGACAAGTCACTTTTTCTTCACCTTTAAGTTACAAAACACAAAACTCTCCCCACTGTATATATGAGGTTTGTAGGGTAACAGGGTAATAGTTCCATAAAATGCACTGAGTTCCAGAGGCAAATAATGATAGAAACTAAATGTTACAATTTATTCCATCTTCAGGATTACAGACATTACAGGGCAGGATGAGTAAACAAGGCAAATGAAGCGAGCACCTTCAGCTTCCCCCCTACCCCGACATTTAACCAGATGCAGCATTTTGACATTTTTAGGATATGCAGGTTGACAATTCACTGACTTGGGTTGAGAGCTGGCAATAGCAGATCTTTGCAATTTAGGTTCTTCCTCCACAGCTATTCCAAGTATCTTAATTCCTGAACTGCACACTGAGAGCTCTGAAATGGTGTTCACTGCAACATTCTTGCAGCTTTCACATCTTAATCTGACACCTCTTGTGAAGGCAGGGAACTGTGTTAAAAGCTGTCTTCCTCTTTGCTAATCCAGGCCACCATCAATCTTAACCATTAGTTACTATATAAAAATAAAAGTGTGCTCAAAAGCACTCACTGAAACTGTTGTGCCCAGATCCCTTTTCAGAGCATTAGTTCCCTGAGAGGAAAAAAAGAGGTCCTAACCAATTGCTTTCATAAATAGTGACCCCAGTACAGTGTATATGTCTTTTGCAGCAGAAATCAAGAGGTCAGGCAGCTCTGCTCATCCTGACTAGTTTATCATCGTTTGCATACAAGGTATATTTATGTAAAGCTGATTCCACGCCAAGTATTGCAACCATAATCTCAAAAAAATTGTTCAATTTTAGCACACAGTTCCTGCAAGATACCACAGCAGGTGAGAAATCATCTCAAAGAGTTCATCTTTTACAACTGAGAGGAAAACATCGAAGGAGGAAATAAAACTCCTCTCTCCTAAGTTCCTCATCAAATCTGATGGCTATGTTCACAGAGTTAGTTGACAAAAATCCAGAGTCCTCAATTTCTGGACTTGCGAAATCCTTCAAGGTGACTGTCAAGGTCAAGAAGAATTTTCAGGCTTTTCTTTGCCATGGCCCATGAACTCCAGTCCTTCAATAGGAATCTCTTTCTCCTTTATTGCTTTCTGGTAGGAGGAGAAAACACATTATAAAGACCTACATGAAGCTTAAGTTGCAAGCTTTGTAAATAAAATATGACAGTACAAAAGTAAAATCAAGCTGATTATAAAGACTTATAACCATGATTCAAACCACATACTTTTTAAAAAACAAGTACCGGTCAGGTGTGGTGGCTCACGCCTATAATCGCAGCATTTTGGGAGACCAAGGCAGGTGGATCACTTGAGGCCAGAAGTTAGAGACCAACCTGGCCAACATGGCGAGACCCTGTTTATACTAAAAATACAAAAATTAGCTGGGCATGGTGGCGCATGCCTGTAAGCCCAGCTACTCGGGTGGCTGAGGCATGAGAATAGCTTGAACCTGGGAGGCGGAGGTTGCAGTGAGCTGAGATTGTGCCATTGCACTCCAGGCTGGGAGACAGAGTGAGACTCTGCCTCAAAAATAAATAAAAACCAGAAGTACCATAATGAATAAATCAAGTGTAAGACCTGAGGGAGACTGGAAAAGGAGTTGTGAGGGAACCGTTAAAATTAAGTGAAATTTGAAAAATAATCATCACTTTGTGTTAGTGAAAGACTTAGGTTCAAATCTGGGTTCCAGGACTTACTGGCTATGTGACTAACTGTAAATGGGATGAAGACAGCAACTACCTCGGGGAATTGCTGTGAGGATGTGTTGGGTTAACTTATTGGAAGTGCTTTGCCCGGTGCTGTTCTTAACAATTCAAAGCAGTTCCACATCCATTGGGCCAGAATAAACATTTCCTGGCTGCAGTTGCGGGGACTGGTCAAGAGAGAGAAACAGGCTAACGAAGGGTTTATAACAACAAAAAAATGTGACCCTCCAGTCTGAATTCTGAAGTATAATCCCGCCCAGACCCCAGCAGTAATAGTGGAAAAGTGCACCACCTGCGAAAGAACCAAGGAAACCTGATGCTAGTGAACTCGGATTAATCACTTCCTATTTCTGGGTGTTAGTTTTTTATGTATAAAATATGAGTAACTATGCCCACCTTGCGAGTTTAGGGTGAACACCAAATGAACCAAAGGATGTGACTGTGCTTCTTGAAAAGCACTGCCCCAATATTTGTCATTCGGAGAGACACCCAAGTGGCCTCGGTGGTGATGGTAGGGGAGCGAGCTCCTGCCACTGGCCTCACTGCGACTTTTCTCCACCCTTCCAGTCCAGTCCCAATCCCCGTAAAATACGATGAGTGTGGTGGGACACAGCGCCGAGAATGCAGGGCCTGGGAACAGAGGCGGGAGGGCTCACCTGAACACACTGCTGGTAGCGCTTGAAGAGGTCGGTGCACGGGTCCCCGGAGCTGTCCCCCTTGAGAAATTTCTCGGCGAACCAGCGATTGAAGCACTGGTCGTACTCGCGCTTCATGTCCGTGCATGCCTCCCCCACACTGTTCATGGCGACAGTGGTGGCGGCGGCGACGACGGCGCACTCTGATGTCATCACTCTCAGGCGCGTCGCTCGGCGTTACGCGCGGGCGCACTGCGGGGGCCAAGGAAGGAAGAAATGTGGTCGCGGTTGGTGTGGCTGGGCCTTCGGGCCCCTCTGGGCGGGCGCCAGGGCTTCACCTCCAAGGCGGATCCTCAGGTAAAGGCCAGGGCCATCTAGGCGGGTGGCGGAGCAAGCCGGGAGGCACTTCGGAGCGCCGGTGACCCACACTCCCCGCCTCATCCCTCCTCCAGGGCAGTGGCCGGATCACGGCTGCGGTGATCGAGCACCTGGAGCGTCTAGCGCTTGTGGACTTCGGCAGCCGCGAGGCAGTGGCGCGACTGGAGAAAGCTATCGCCTTCGCCGACCGGCTACGCGCCGTGGACACAGACGGGGTGGAGCCCATGGAATCGGTCCTGGAGGACAGGTAAACTCGCGGCTGCAGCCCCGAAGCCTTGACCGTGGCCCGTTCGCAGCCGTTTAATGTGACGATTAGCGAACAGTTTTCCAGGGGGTTAAAGAGTGTTAGCAAGATTCAGGAACTTGCCCACAGTCACCTCGCGAGTCAGTGGCTTCACTCTTCCCCTTGTTCATTACTGATGCTCTCGCTAGTGTAAGTGGAAACAAAACCCGAACTGCTAATCACTGCCTTTGTTTTTTTTTTTGTTTGTTTGTTTTGTTTTTTTTTTTTTGAGACGGAGTCTCGCTGTGTTGCCTAGGCTGGAGTGCAGTGGCTCGATCTCGGCTCACTGCAACCTCCGCCTCCCGTGTTCAAGCAATTCTCTGCCTCAGCCTCCCGAGTAGCTGGGATTACAGGCGACTGCCACCAGGCCCGGCTTATTTTTTTTGTATTTTTAGTAGAGACGTGGTTTCACCATCTTGGCCAGGTTGGTCTTGAACTCCTGACCGTGATCCACCCGCCTCGGCCTCCCAAAGTGCTGGGATTACAGGTGTGAGCCACCGCGCCTGGCCTAATCATCGCCTTTAAGGCCCTACTCCATAGAGTCCCTACCTACTCACTCCAACGTACTCTTCTCAGTACTCTCCTTGGCTACCTTGACTGCTTCTCCAGCAAGACAAGTTCTTTTCCTCTCTAGATCTCTGCACTGGCCCTTCGTTTTTTTCCTTCCTCTCAGTATTTGCATGGCTGCCTCCCTCTTGGCACAGGTCTCAGCTTATCTTCTCAGAAAGGGCTCTCCTAACCACTCCAAATCCCTTCTCCCCTTCTAGTTAGTAACTCATCCTATTGGGTTTTTTCCCTAACATTTTAATGGACTTTTGTTCATTTGTTATATCTCTTTTATTAAAATGTGAGCTCATTATGTAGTTACTGTTTTATTCCTGCCTTGAATTTTTATTTTATTTGTTTTTGAGATGGAGTCTCACTCTATCACCCAGGTTAGAGTGCAGTGGCATGATCTCAGCTCATTGTAATGTCCACCTCCCAGACTCAAGAGAGCCTCCCATCTCAGCCTCCCAAGTACAGGACCACAGGCGCGTGCCACTTGGCCTGGCTAATTTTTTGTATTTTTGATAGAGACGGGATTTTGCCATGTTCCCCAGGCTTGTCTGGACTCCTGAGCAAAGGTGATCCACCCATCTCAGCCTCCTAAAGTACTGGGATTACAGGCATGAGCCACAGCACCTGGCCGTGTTTGATTCTTTCAAATGTCTTCTCTACTTTGCAATTTTCTTTTTCCTTTGGGACGGGGTCTCACTATGTTGCCCAGGCTGGTCGCAAACTTCTAGACTCAAGAGATCCTCCTGCCTCAGCCTCCCAAATAGCTGGGACTATAGGTGTGCACCACCACACCTGGCTAATACTTAAAATTTTTGTAGAAACGGGGTCTTGCCATGTTGCCCCATATGGTCTCAAACTCCTGGTCTCAAGCAATCCTCCTGCCTCAGCCTCCCACTTCCTCAAGAAAGTTTTTTTTTTTTTTTGAGGTGGAGTCCTGCCCCATCACCCAGGCTGGAGTGCAGTGGCATGATCTTGGCTCACTGCAACCTCCACCCTCCAGGTTCAAGTGATTTTTGTGCCTCAGCCTCCGGAGTAGCTGGGATTACAGGCACCCGCCACCACACTCAGCTAGTTTTTGCATTTTTAGTAGAGACAGGGTTTCACCATGTTGACCAGGCTGGTCTCGAACCCCTGGCCTCAAGTGATCCGCCCATCTTCGCCTCCCAAAGTGCTGGGATTACAGGTATGAGTCACTGCACTGGCCAAAAAAGTCCATTCCTTTTTTTTTTTTTTTTTTTTTGAGACGGAGTTTCACTCTTCCACCCAGGCTGGAGTACAGTGGTGCAATCTCAGCTCACTGCAACCTCCACCTTCCGGTTTCAAGTGATTCTCTTGCCTCAGCCTCCCGAGTAGCTGGGACTACAGGCGCCCGCCACCACGCCCAGCTAATTTTTGTATTTTTAATAGAGACGGGGTTTCACCATGTTGGCCAGGCTGGTCTCGAACTCATGACCTCACAGTCCACCCGCCTCGGCCTCCCAAAGTGCTGGGATTATAGGCGTGAGCCACAAGTCTTCATTCTTTTATACTTAGGTTCTTTTTTTTTTTTTTTAATTGAGACAAGAGTCTCGCTCTGTCGCTGAGGCTGGAGTGCAGTGGCGTGATCTTGGCTCACTGCAAGTTCCGCCTCCTGGGTTCATGCCATTCTCCTGCCTCAGCCTCCCAAGTAGCTGGGTCTACAAGTGCCCACTACCACGCCTGGCTAATTTTTTGTATTTTTAGTAGAGATGAGGTTTCACCGTAGCCAAGATGGTCTCGATCTCCTGACCTCGTGATCTGCCCACCTCAGCCTCCCAAAGGTGCTGATTACAGGCGTGAGCCACTGTGCCTGGCTATACTTAGGTTCTCTACCTGTGGCTCTCGTGATATCCAAAAGGGCTGATTTATACATGCGTTTATACATCTATTTAAGGGATGTGTTGAGTCTCTGCCCCTCTCCTGCTCACCCACCTTCCACAGCATGTCTGTTTTTCCTTATCATGTTCTCAGTGGTTGGCACTGAGTATTCAGTAAATGTGTTTTGTTTTGTTTTGTTTTGTTTTTTTGAGATGGAGTCTCACTCTGTTGCCCACGCTGGAGGCAGTGGCGTGATCTCGGCTCACTGCAACCTCTGCCTCCTGGGTTTGAGATTCTCTTGCCTCAGCTTCCCGAGCACCCGGGATTACAGGCATGCACCACCATGCCTGGTTAATTTTTGTATTTTTAGTAGAGAGGGGTTTCACCATGTTGGCAAGGCTCGTCTTGAACTCCTGACCTCAGGTGATCTGCCTGCCTCAGCCTCCCAAAGTGCTGGGAATACAGCCTTGAGCTGCCGTGCCCGGCCACAGTAAATGTTTAATGAATTTTTTTTTTTTTAGAGACAGAGTTTTGCTCACGTTGCCCAGGCTGGAGTGCAATGGCGCGATCTCAGCTCACCACAACCTCTGCCTCCCAGGTTCAAGCGATTCTCCTGCCTCAGCCTCCCAAGTAGCTGGGATTACAGGTGCACGCCACCACGCCCAGCTAATTTTGTATTTTTAGTAGAGACAGGGTTTCTCCATGTTGGTCAGGCTGGTCTCAAACTCCCGACCTCAGGTGATCTGCCCACCTTGGCCTCCCAAAGTGCTGGGATTACAGGCATGAGCCACCATGCCCGGTCCCAGTGTTCTTTATTAATATCTCTAGGAAAGGAGGGACTAGAAGCACAGAGTCATCAGAATTTCCCCAAGTTATCTAGAGGGTAAATACAAAGAAATATAACCATCATTAATAAGGGAAAAGGTCGTGAAAAAAGATGAGGAATTTGGATCCAGTAGCTAGCATCTCAACCTCGTATTCAGTGATCTGTACTGTTTTTCATAAATTTGGAAACCAGTTTGGGTTAATAATTCCCATTAATCATTTTAATGTGACATCTGTAGGACTTTAATGCTTTGAACACACAGAATGTAAAGTGAAGACAAGTATTAAACCTTTTATTTTTTATTTTTTTGTAGTTTTTATAACTTCATTTGATGTATTTGATGATCAGCAGTTAGTTCCCATCCACACTGACTGTAGATTTGTGAAAGTGGTAACAAGTATATAACCAAAGTATAGAGCTTATTTGGTGAATTTCTAACCTCATTATGTTTTCTGGACCATCCACTGCACATGGACACAGTATGGACATTCCTTACTACTTTGGCCCAGACAGCTTTGTTGAGCCTGGTATCAATACACATATCTGGAGTTTTCTATCTCCTTCATTGCAAATTTCCGGTCTCTTTAAGAGCCTGAGGGGCACACTTCTTGAAGCCCACTCCATGGATACACTTGTGAATATTAATGGTGTACTCTTGGGTCACCACCTAGTTGATGGCATAATGGCCATTCTTCTCACCATCCTTCTTTGCAGGAGGCCAAGTTGCTTAAATGTTTTAGGTAGTAGGCATCTTAGCTATAAAAGCCCTGACTTGGCCGGGCATAATGGCTCACTCCTGTAATCCCAGCATTTTGGGAGGCCGAGGCAGGCAGATCACTTTAGGTCAGGAGTTCGAGACCAGCCTGGCCAACATGGCGAAACCCTGTTTCTACTTAAAAAATACAAAAATTTGCCGGGCATGGTGGTGCATGCCTGTAATCCCGGCTACTCTGAAGGCTGAGGCAGGAGAATTGCTTGAAATCAGGAGGCGGAGGTTGCAGTGAGCTGAGATCACGCCACTGCACTCCAGCCTGGGCGACAGAGCAAGACTCCATCTCAAAAAAAAAAAAAAAAAGGTAGACTGGGCGCGGTGGCTCACACCTGTAATTCCAGCACTTTGGGAAGCTGAGGTGGGTGGATCATGGGGTCAGGAGTTGAAGACCAGCCTGGCCAAGATGGTGAAACCCCATCTGTACTAAAAATACAAAATTAGCCAGGCAAGGTGGCAGGCGCCTGTAATCCCAGCTACTCGGGAGGCTGAAGCAGGAGAATCGGTTGAACCAGGACGGCAGAGGTTGCAGTCAGCCAAGATGGAGCCACTGCACTCCAGCCTGGGCGACAGAGTGAGACTCCGTCTTAAAAAATACAAAACAAGGCTGGGCGTGGTGTTTCACGCCTGTAATCCCAGCACTTTGGGAGGCTGAGGCAGGTGGATCACCTGAGGCCAGGAGTTCGAGACCAGCCTGACCAATATGGTGAAACTCCTTCTCTACTAAAAATACAAAAATTAGCCGGGCATGGTGGCGCACTCCTGTAGTCCTAGCTGTTCGGGAGGCTGAGACAGAAGAATTGCTTGAACCTGGGGAGCAGAGGTTGCAGTGAGCCGAGATCACGTCACTGCACTCCAGCCTGGGCAACAGAGCAAGACTCCATCTCAAAAAAACAAACAAACAAACAAAAAACGCCTTGACTGGCTAATAGAAACCCCTTTGCACACTAATAACATGTCATTTGGTTTGAGGTAA